>NC_000023.11:135929381-138429381 GCF_000001405.40 Homo sapiens
CAGTAAAATGGGGTGAGCAATTTCTACTCCCTGGAATCCTCAGCAGGAGTGAAAGAGATGTAACATTCCAAGTGTCTGTACCATGCCAGGGCATAGTCAGAAAATTTGTGGGCTAACGATGAGGGCAAAGATGAATGATACTGGCTGGGCTCATCAGTGCTGCGTGACACCTACAGGGAGACGGACTCTGGTGACCCCTAACCCCCAGGAGAAACTGGAAAGGTACAGAGATGTCCGCCATGGAGCACAGCCTGTGGACAGGGAAACATGCACTTTGGAGGCAGGAAGGCAGCCCGATTTAAGATGCTCTGCATGAGCTTTAAGCAGAATCTCCACTGTCTAGTGTGAATTGATTTTCTGAGTATCTCCCCCAGAAAAGAGACTGTTGTTCTAGGTGCAGGTTTTCAAAAGAAAGGACGTCCCTTTTTATACAAGCTCCATGTTGCGGGAATATCAAGCGTCTGCCAAGGGACACTTAGCCTTGTATTACGGGCTCTTGAAACTGATACAGAGTTGCATCATATTTTAAGATGAAAGGGGTTTTTGCCATGGGCTTCTCCACTTGGCAAGGCAAAATCTTCGCACATTTTAGTTTGGGGATCTCAGTTTACTAAGGAATTTAGTCGCCCTTTTGTGTAGTACAGTCACATTGCAGTAGAATTCTTAGAGCATTGGCAGTGGAGTTAGAAACACCTGGGTTTAAATCTGGGCTTAGCTACCAGCTAGTTGTCTGTCCTTGGGCAAGTGACTTAATCTCTCAAGGCTCAGTCTCCTCAGGTGTTATTTAGAAACCATAGCTCCTATCTCAAAAGGTTGTGTGGGGATTGAAGGTGAGCATGAACGTAAGAAGTCATAGGCAATGCCCAGCATGTTTTCATTGCTCATGCGATGTCCTTCCTGGGTTGGTACGGCATACAGGAAGCGGACATGGCCAAGTACCTAGTAGATGTTGCAGCTCTGGGGCAGAGCAAAGTTCAAGGTGGGTCATTTGCTGATTTTCAGTGACCTGTTCTGGGGTACACAGAGTGAAGACTAGCCCGGAAGGCCAGCAATAAGCTGAGTGAGGGTAATTGGGCCCTGACAGGAGACAGCTTCCTAGGAGTACTCAGAGCTGACAGGCTGAGGCAGAGGCAGAAGCAGAAGATGGGAGCTAAGCCCTCACTCTCCTGAGAGGCCCATGTAAGAGACGACAAGTGAGTAGAGAAAGTTCTGGAGTCAGGGTCATGTGATGAGTAGAACACAATGGGAGGCTGTGGGTCAGGAGGAGTCTAAAGCTGGAGAGTATGATGAGGCTGCACTGGATGAGTGGAAAGTGCTTTGGGTTCAAGACAGAGCTGGAGATGAGGTGCTGCTACAGGTATGCACTTATGTGCCTATGACCTGGCACTAGTTACTTAACCTCTCTGTGTTTCCATATCCTCTTCTGTAAACAGAGGATGATAACAGCAGCTATTCCCTAGGATTACTGCGAACAGTAAAAGAATTAATTCATTTATTCAACATTGACTAAAAACCCTCTAAGTGCCAGGCACTAATATCGGCATGAAAAAAACAGTGAACTAAACTGTTCTCGTGGATCTTACATTCCAGTGGAGGGCAAATGCACTAAACAACCAGAGCAACTACAGAACATGTTATTCACCAAAAGCAGAAATCAGGTGAAGAGATGGTACAAGAGTGGATGGTACTTTGAACTTGGTAGTCAAGGAAGGCCTCTCTGAGAAAGAGACATCTAACCTGAGACAGGAGTAAAGGACCTTATGCATTTAGTTCAGCCCTGAAAGGCTCAGCTTCTGCAGAGTCCCCTCTCCTCCAAGGTCAGAGAAAAAGGAGGGACACGGATTTTAGTAAGTCTTCCTAAGGCTTTCCAGCTCATGTCTTTGGGTGCAGTCTGCATGTAATCTTTTCTTCTGCATGTCTGCCCTGCTCCAGCACCGGAGGAGGAGACAGCAATCTTACAGAGACTGCTTAATGAGCTCCTACCATTGCAGAAGGCCCTTTCATTATGAAAAATCTGTACACACAGATATTATCGCCTATTGGTTCTGCTTTCCTGGTTGAAGTTTGATTGATATAGATTTTGGTATTAAGTGTGATTTCAGAAGAACAGAATTTTAAGAAGAAATTCTCTGAAATTGTTCTGGGTTTCTGGAGTTCTCTCTTTTATCTAATTTGATTTAAAGGCCTTCGTGACCCTGTTTCTAATGGTAAAAGAGCACTGGTAGTCTACAGCAAGAAGTGGCAAGGGATTTTCTTAAATTATCACTTTTAGTTATTTGCACTCAAGCACCTGTAAGAATGCCAGGGTCTAGGTGATCAAGTAGGTGATTTCCGTAAACAAGTATCCCAGAACGTAAAATAAAATAAAAATTTTAAAACTACAAAAAAAGCCTAGTATGGTGGCGCAGGCCTATAGTCCCAGCTACTCTGGGGGCTGAGGTGGGAAGGTCGCTTGGGCTTAGTGTAGGGTCCAGCCCTACTGGGCCTGTGGGTTTTTCTCCTCGTTTGCGGAGACGAGAGATCGTAGAAACAAAGACACAAGACAAAGAAAAGACAGCTAGGCCCGGGGGACCACTACCACCTAGACGCGGAGACCAGCAGTGGCCCCGAATACCTGGCTGCGCTGTTATTTATTGGATACAAGGTTAGGGAGCAGGGTAAGGCCCAGGCACTGGGTTACCGCTAGACCAGGGAGCCCTCTAGTGGCCCTATCCAGGCATAACAGAGGGCTCACACTCTTGTCTTCTGGTCACTTCTCACCGTGTCCCTTCAGCTCCTATCTCTGTATGGCCTGGTTTTTCCTAGGTTATCATTGTAGAACAAAGATTATTATAATATTGTAATAAAGAGTAATGCTACAAACTAATTATTAGTAATATTCATATATAATCATATCTATAATCTATTTCTAGAATATTCTTATTGTATATATTTCCTTTATTGTACTGAAACAGCTTGTGCCTTTGGTCTCTTGCCTCGGCACCTGGGTGGCTTGCCGCCCACAGCTCAAGAGGCGGAGGTTGCAGTGGGCCGGGATCATGCCACTGCACTCCAGCCTGGGCAACAGAGAGACACCTTTTCTCAAAATTTAAATAAATGGATAAGTAAATAAAGTAGAAAAAAAAACAATGTAGTGAAAATGAGGAGTATAATGGAGATGACTGGTTGCCTCTAAATGTGCTGGAGAACATAGGAAAAGAAAATTATGACCTCAGGTCCTTAAAGCCTTATCCATACCAAGATCCACATAAAGAGCTAGAAAGCATCCATGAAAGAACCCATTATCTCCCGTAGCCACATACCTGATATTTGGGAAAACCATATCCAAAGGTGAATCTTGCAGTTGGCTGAATTACAACACGAATGCAATTCCTAATCTCTCAAGGTCTCTTCTGTTCATGTAGAGCACTGACTGGGAATGAATGGGATCCTGAACATTTTAATGTGATATATATGCAGACTTTGATGAAGCTGGGTACCTTGAACCCCTAAATTCTGTGAGATATGTCTTTCAGACACCTAAAAAAAGGTGTAAAAAAGTAAAAAAAAGCACCTTCACTCCCGCCCAAGGAGTTTATTTCTCCTCTGCCTGAAGAACCTGCAATAGTCTGGTCTGAGGTAGTGGCCTTGCAGGACACTGTTGATCCTCCTGAGAAACTGCACCCACCACCTTTACTTCATTTAAAACCCTGTAAGACTCAAGTTTCCACCAGCCCCAAACTAGAGGGTACATAATGTGACCCATTAGTAGGGGTAGAATGTACTATAACAACTACTGATATTTTTTTCCAACGCTAATAGGCAGAAACCTAGGGACTTTGTGTGGAAATGTTTCTTGAGGGTGGGGTATGAAGGTAGAGAAAAAATAAATTTGATACACACCAGATTTATCAATATAGAGTCATTAAGCCAAGGTTCTGGATTCAGTGTTTTTCTTTGAGAGGGTAAGGATGGCTCTAGCAGTTTGCTTGGTTGGTTGACTAAAATAAGGAAGCAAATGTTGACTATCCTTAATTAAGGAGAAATTCAAGGACTTCCTTGATATAGTCCAAAGGCTTAAGGACACTGGAATGTTGGAGTGAATTTATCATGGAAGAACTGCTCAGCCATGCTGGTAGGTCCAGAGGACGTGACTTTCACCAAGGCTGCAAGAAATTACTTTGTATGCGGAGCCCAGAAATCTGTGAGGAGTTTGTGGTGGCTGTCTTCTTTAGTCATACATTACTGCAGGCTTGCCCTTGAGGAAAGATCATGCTGCACTGCCTAATAACTATGCTGTTAATCGTTGTCCCGACCTTCCTCAACAGATCTGCGCCCAATTCTTACTGTGGCAGTGCATGGTGGAAAAGTAATCAGAATTCTCAGGGATTACTTGATAAAGGCTTTGAACTGGTACTAATTCCAGGATACCTAAAATGTCCCTATGCTACTCTAATAAGAGTTGTTTCTGTTAATCATGTGGTTTTTCATCAGGAAATTCATGTGGTTTTACATCAGGTCCAATGTACAGTGGACTAAGTTGGTCCATGAATCCACCTTCTGGTTGTTTCCCAGTTTCAGAATGCATAGTTGGGGACGTACACGGTAACTGGCAGAATCCCCACATTGGTTCCCTGACCTGTGGAGTGAGGGATGCTATGGATGGAGAGGCCAAGCTGAAGCCACTAGAACTGCCCTAATTATAAAAATCATAATCCACAAGCAATACTACTTTCCTGGAGGGACTGCAGTAACTGGTGGTAACACCAAGCATTTGAAGGACATAGGCTAGTGATTCTTCAGCCATCCCTTTCAACTGAACTATTTGTCCTGTGCAGAAATATATGGATTTGTGGCCAGGCACGGTGGCTCACGCCTATAATCCCAGCACTTTGGGAAACCAAGGCAGGTGGGTCACTTGAGGTCAGGAGTTCAAGACCAGCCTGGCCAACATGGTGAATCCCTGTCTCTACTAAAATATACAAACAATTAGCAAGGTGTGATGGTGCACAACTACAGTCCCAGCTGCTCAGGAGGTTGAGGCAGGAGAATCGCTTGGACCTGGGAGGTACTGCAGCTGCTGTGCTCCAGGTGGTTTTGTTGCTTTCGTAACTGTGACATCCCTGGGAACCTGATACATAATATCAATTAGGTGAATGTTTTTTTCTCTTTCAGTCATTATCACAAACAAGTTTGGGTTCGGCTGGAAAGGTCAGCAATGTACTATGACCTCCTATTTCAAGCTTATATCAACTCTCTAAGCTTACATCCTAAATGAGTCCTTAAGGGTCCTTGACCACCGTTCCCTTATACCAGATGTGACAGCATCCTTGCACTGATAACACTATGCTGACTGAGCGGGAGGTAGCAACTAATCCAGTCGCATTAGCAACACACTTGCAAGACATTCTGTGATAAATAATTCCCACACAAAATCAGGGGCCTTCTAACTGAGTGAAACGTTTAACAATCTAGTAGTCTGGCATGTCAAGATGGTGCTTATAAGGTGAACAGCAAGTTCCTACATCTTGCCTTTCTTACCACTAAATAAGGAACGCAAAAACGAATTGTGTAATAGATGCTTGTTTTCGCGTATACCTCAATGTTGTGCAGTACCATGACCCATTGCCAAGTGACTGAAACCCTGCTAGCATGGATTGGGGCCCAGAAAAGGAGAAACTTCTCTGATCCTGCACGTGTGGTCTCGTGTGGAGTTCCCTGTGACCAGTTGACTAGAAAATAAAAAATATCATGCCTGATTTTCATTTGTTACTTCAGAATATTCAGGCACAACATGTATTAGTTTGTTAATGCTACAAAACAAATTATCCCCAATTTAGCAGCTTAAAACAACACAAATATATAAGCAGTTCTGTAGATCAGAAATCTATGCAGCCTGGATTGGTTTCTCTGCTTAGGATCTCACAAAATCAAAGTTAAGGTATCAACCAGGCTGCTGACTAACTGAGGACTCAGAGAGAACCTGTTTTCAAGCTCATTTGGGTTACGGGAAGGTCTAACTTCTTAAAGTTGTGGAACTGAGGTAGCCATATACTTGCAGTCTTGGCTGAGGCCACTCTAAGCTACTTGAGCCACCTCCATACCTCCTTGGATGCACCCCTCTATCTTCTAAGCAGTAATGGTGCATCATGATTATGGTGGCTGACATAAAGATTATTCATGGGTTTGGCAAGATGAACTTTCATTTACCAGGTCCATCTCACTACAGCCACTGCTCACTATTCAATCTGCCAGCAGCAGAGACCAACACTGAGTCCCCAGTGTAGCACCATGTCCCAGAGTGGTCAGTCAGCTTCCAGGTAGCACTGTGATTACTTGGGTCTGCTTCCATGATTGAAGGGGTATCACTTTGACCTTGCTCAAATGGACACTTATTCTGCATATGGATTTTCATTCCCACCCACAGTACGTCAAGAAAACCAATACTGTGGTATTAGGAAAGGCTGTATCCACCATCGTGGTATCCCACACTGCACCAGTTTTTTTTTTAATACTTTAAGTTCTAGGGTACATGTGCACAACATGCAGGTTTGTTACATATGTATACATGTGCCATGTTGGTGTGCTGCACCCATTAACTCATCATTTACATTAGGTATGTCTCCTGATGCTATTCCTCCCCCCACCACCTACCCCACGACAGGCCCCGGTGTGTGATGTTCCCCTTCCTGTGTCCATGTGTTCTCATTGTTCAATTCCCACCTATGAGTGAGAACATACGGTGTTTGGTTTTATGTCCTGGCAATAGTTTGCTCAGAATGATGGTTTCCAGCTTCATCCAAGTCCCTACAAAGGACATGAACTCATCCTTTTTTATGGCTGCATAGTATTCCATGTTGTATATGTATCACATTTTCTTAATCCAGTCTATCATTGATGGACATTTGGGTTGGTTCCAAGTCTTTGCTATTGTGAATAGTGCCACGATAAACATACGTGTGCATGTGTCTTTATAGCAGCATGTTTTATAATCCTTTGGGTATATGCCCAGTAATGGGATGGCTGGGTCAAATGGTATTTCTAGTTCTAGATCCCTGAGGAATTGCCACACTGTCTTCCACAATGGTTGAACTAGTTTACAGGCCCACCAACAGTGTAAAAGTGTTCCTATTTCTCCACATCCTCTCCAGCACCTGTTGTTTCCTGACTTTTCAATGATCGCCGTTCTAACTGGTGTGAGATGGTATCTCATTGTGGTTTTGATTTGCATTTCTCTGATGGCCGGTGATGATGAGCATTTTTTCATGTGTCTGTTGGCTGCATAAATGCCTTCCTTTGAGAAGTGTCTGTTCATATCCTTTGCCCACTTTTTGATGGGGTTGTTTGATTTTTTCTTGTAAATTAGTTTGAGTTCTTTGTGGATTCTGGATATTAGCCCTTTGTTAGATGGGTAGATGGTAAAAATTTTCTCCCATTCTGTAGGTTGCCTGTTCACTCTGCTGGCAGTTTCTTTTGCTGTGCAGAACCCCTTAGTTTAATTAGATCCCATTTGTCAATTTTGGCTTTTGTTGCCATTGCTTTTGGTGTTTTAGTCATGAAGTCCTTGCCCATGCCTATGGCCTGAATGGTATTGCCTAGGTTTTTCTCCTAGGGTTTTTATGGTTTTAGGTCTAACATTTAAGTCTTTAATCCATCTTGAATTAATATTTGTATAAAGTTTAAGGAAGGGATCCAGTTTCAGCTTTCTACATATGGCTAGCCAGTTTTCCCAACACCATTTATTAAATAGGGAATCCTTTCCCCATTGCTTGTTTTTGTCAGGTTTGTCAAAGATCAGATGGTTGTAGATGTGTGGTATTATTTCTGAGGGCTCTCTTCTGTTCCATTGGTCTATATCTCTGTTTTGGTACCAGTACCATGCTGTTTTGGTTACTGTATCCTTGTAGTATAGTTTGAAGTCAGGTAGTGTGATGCCTCCAGCTTTGTTCTTTTGGCTTAGGATTGCCTTGGCAATGTGGGATCTTTTTTGGTTCCATATGAACTTTAAAGTCGTTTTCTCCAATTCTGGAAGAAAGTCATTGGTAGCTTGATGGGGATGGCATTGAATCTATAAATTACCTTGGGCAGTATGGCCATTTTCACGATATTGATTCTTCCTATCCATGAGCATGGAATGTTCTTCCATTTGTTTGTGTCCTCTTTTATTTCGTTGAGCAGTGGTTTGTAGTTCTCCTTGAAAAGGTCCTTCACATCCCTTGTAAGTTGGATTCCTAGGTATTTTATTCTCTTTGAAGCAATTGTGAATGGGAGTTCACTCATGATTTGGCTCTCTGTTTGGCTGTTATTGGTGTATAGGAATGGTTGTGATTTTTGCACATTGATTTTGTATCCTGAGACTTTGCTGAAGTTATCAGCTTAAGGAGATTTTGGGCTGAGATGATGGGGTTGTCTAAATATACAATCATGTCACCTGCAAACAGGGACAGTTTGACTTCCTCTTTTCCTAATTGAATACCCTTTATTTCTTTCTCCTGCCTGATTGCCCTGACCAGAACTTCTAACACTATGTTGAATAGGAGTGGTGAGAGAGGGCATCCCTGTCTTGTGCCAGTTTTCAAAGGGAATGCTTTCAGTTTTTGCCCATGCAGTATGATATTGGCTGTGGGTTTGTCATAAATAGCTATTATTTTGAGATATATCCCATCAATACCTAGTTTATTGAGAGCTTTTAGCATGAAGGGGTGTTGAATTTTGTCAAAGGCCTTTTCTGCATCTATTGAGATAATCATGTGGTTTTTGTCTTTGGTTCTGTTTATATGATGGATTACGTTTATTGATTTGCATATGTTGAATCAGCCTTGCATCCCAGGGATGAAGCCAACTTGATCGTGGTGGATAAGCTTTTTGATGTGCTGCTGGATTCGGTTTGCCAGTATTTTATTGAGGATGATGCTGGCCTCATAAAATGAGTTAGGGAGGATTCCCTCTTTTTCTATTGATTGGAATAGTTTCAGAAGGAATGGTACCAGCTCCTCTTTGTACCTCTGGGAGAATTCGGCTGTGAATCTGCCTGGACCTGGACTTTTTTTGGTTGCTAGGCTATTAAATATTGCCTCAATTTCAAAGCCTGTTATTGGTCTATTCAGGGATTCAACTTCTTCCTGGTTTAGTCTTGGGAGGGCGTATGTGTCCAGGAATTTTTCCATTTCTTCTAGATTTTCTAGTTTATTTGCGTAGAGGTGTTTATAGTATTCTCCGTTTGTATTTCTGTGGGATCGGTGGTAATATCCCCTTTATCATTTTTTATTGTGTCTATTTGATTCTTGTCTTTTCTTCTTTATTAGTCTTGCTAGTGGTCTACCAATTTTGTTGATCTTTTCAAAAAACCAGCTCCTGGATTCATTGATTTTTTGAAGGGTTTTTTGTTTCTCTATCTCCTTCAGTTCTGCTCTGATCTTAGTTATTTCTTGCCTTCTGCTAGCTTTTGAATGTGTTTGCTCTTGCTTCTCCAGTTCTTTTAATTATGATGTTAGGGTGTCGATTTTAGATCTTTCCTGCTTTCTCTTGATGGCATTTAGTGCTGTAAATTTCCCTCTACACACTGCTTTAAATGTGTCCCAGAGATTCTGGTATGTTGCGTCTTTGTTCTCATTGGTTTCAAAGAATATCTTTATTTCTGCCTTCATTTTGTTATGTACCCAGTAGTCATTCACGAGCAGGTTGTTCAGTTTCCATGTAGTTGAGCGGTTTTGAGTGAGTTTCTTGATCCTGAGTTCTAGTTTGATTGCACTGTGGTCTGAGAGACAGTTTGTTATAATTTCTATTCTTTGACATTTGCTGAGGAGTGCTTTACTTCCAACTATGTGGTCAGTTTTGGAATTAGTGCTATGTGGTGCTGAGAAGAATGTATATTCTGTTGATTTGGGGTTGAGAGTTCTGTAGATGTCTATTAGGTCCACTTGGTGCAGAGCTGAGTTCAATTCCTGGATATTCTTGTTAACTTTCTGTCTCGTTGATCTGTCTAATGTTGACAGTGGGGTGCTAAAGTCTCCCATTATTATTGTGTGGGAGTCTAGGTCTCTTTGTAGGTCTCTGAGGCCTTGCTTTATGAATCTGGGTGCTCCTGTATTGGGTGCATATATATTTAGGATAGTCAGCCCTTCTTGTTGAATTCATCCCTTTACCATTATGTAATGGCCTTCTTTGTCGCTTTTGATCTTTGTTGGTTTAAAGTCTGTTTTATCAGAGACTAGGATTGCAACCCCTGCTTTTTTTTGTTTTCCATTTGCTTGGTAGATCTTCCTCCATCCCTTTATTTTGAGCCTATGTGTGTCTCTGCACGAGATGGGTCTCCTGAATACAGCACACTGATGGGTCTTGACTCTTTATCCAATTTGCCAGTCTATGTCTTTTAATTGGAGCATTTAGCCCATTTACATTTAAGGTTAATATTTTTATGTGTCAATTTGATCCTGTCATTATGATGTTAGCTGATTATTTTGCTCGTTAGTTGATGCAGTTTCTTCCTAGCATCGATGGTCTTTACAATTTGGCATGTTTTTGCAGTGGCTGGTACCAGTTGTTCCTTTCCATGTTTAGTGCTTCCTTCAGGAGCTCTTGTAAGGCAGGCCTGGCGGTGACAAAATCTCTCAGCATTTGCTTGTCTGTAAAGTATCTTATTTCTCCTTCACTTATGAAGCTTAGTTTGGCTGGATATGAAATTCTGGATCGAAAATTCTTTTCTTTAAGAATGTTGAATATTGGCCCCCACTCTCTTCTGGCTTGTAGAGTTTCTGCCGAGAGATCCGCTGTTAGTCTGATGGGCTTCCTTTGTGGGTAACCTGACCTTTCTCTCTGGCTGCCCTTAATATTTTTTCCTTCATTTCAACTTTGGTGAATCTGACAATTATGTGTCTTGGAGTTGCTCTTCTCGAGGAGTATCTTTGTGGCGTTCTCTGTATTTCCTGAATTTGAATGTTGGCCTGCCTTCCTAAGTTGGGGAAGTTCTCCTGGATGATATCCTGAAGAGTATTTTCCAACTTGGTTCCATTCTCCCCGTCACTTTTGGGTACACCAATCAGATGTAGATTTGGTCTTTTCACATAGTCCCATATTTCTTGGAGGCTTTGTTCATTTCTTTTTGCTCTTTTTTTCTCTAAACTTCTCTTTTCGCTTCATTTCATTCATTTGATCTTCAATCACTGATACCCTTTCTTCCACTTGATCGAATCGGCTACTGAAGCTTGTGCATGCGTCACGTAGTTCTCATGCCATGGTTTTCAGCTCCATTAGGTCATTTAAGGTCTTCTCTATGCTGTTTATTCTAGCTAGCCATTCATCTAATCTTTTTTCAAGGTTTTTAGCTTCTTTACGATGGGTTTGAATATCCTCCTTTAGCTTGGAGAAGTTTGTTATTACCAATCATCTGAAGCCTTCTTCTCTCAACTAGTCAAAGTCATTCTCCATCCAGCTTTGTTCTGTTGCTGGCAAGGAGCTGTATTACTTTGGAGGAGAAGTGGTGCTCTTATTTTTAGAATTTTCAGCTTTCTGCCCTGGTTTCTCCCCATCTTTGTGGTTTTATCTACCTTGGTCTTTGATGATGGTGACGTACAGATGGGGTTTTGATGTGGATGTCCTTTCTGTTTGTTAGTTTTACCTCTAACAGTCAGCACCCCCAGCTGCAGGTCTGTTGGAGTTTGCTGGAGGTCCACTCCAGACACTGTATGCCTGGGTATCACCAGCAGAGGCTGCAGAACAGCAACTATTGCAGAACGGCAAATATCGTTGCCTGATCCTTCCCCTGGAAGCTTCATCTCAGAGGGGCACCCAGTTGTATGAGGTGTCAGTCGGCCCCTACTGGGAGGTGTCTCCCAGTTAGGCTACTTGGGGGTGAGGGACCCACTTGAGGAGGCAGTCTGTCCGTTCTCAGATCTCAAACTCCATGTTGGGAGAACCACTAATCTCTTCAAAGTTGTCAGACAGTGATGTTTAAGTCTGCTGAAGTTTCTGCTGCCTTTTGTTCAGCTATGCCCTGCACCCAGAGGTGGAGTCTACAGAGGCAGGCAGGCCTCCTTGAGCTGCAGTGGGCTCCACCCAGTTCGAGCTTCCTGGCCGCTTTGTTTACCTACTCAAGCCTCAGCAATGGCGAACGCCCCTCCCCCAACCTCGCTGCTGCCTTGCAGTTTGATCTCAGACTGCTGTGCTAGCAGTGAGCGAGGCTCCATGGGCGTGGGACCCTCTGAGCCAGGCGCAGGATATAATCTCCTGGTGTGCAGTTTCCTAAGACCGTTGGAAAAGCACAGTATTAGGGTGGGAGTGTCCCAATTTTCCAGGTACCATCTGTCATGGCGGTACCTTGCACTTCCTGGGTGAGGCAATGCCCCGCCCTGCTTCGGCTCACACTCCATGAACTGCACCCACCGTCCAATAAGCCCCAGTGAGATGAACCTGGTACTTCAGTTGGAAATGCAGAAATCACCTGTCTTCTGTGTCGCTCACACTGGGAGCTGTAGACTGGAGCTCTTCCTATTCAGCCATCTTGGAACCAGAAATGGCCCACACTGCACCAGTTTTAACCATGAAACTCACTTTACAGGAAATGAAGTATGAGAATGGGCTCATGCTAATGGATTTCACTAGTCTTCTGATGTTCTTCAACATCATGAAGTGACTGGCTCAATAGAACAGTGGAGTGATCTTTAAAGCCTGAGTTGTAGTTCTAGCTTTTTGGCAGTGCCTTGAGGGACTTGGCTGACAATCTCAGAGGTGGCAATGCTGTATCCCAGCTTCAAGTATATGGAACTATTTCTCCCATAGCCACATCTATGTCTTCAAGAATGAAAGAGGCAAGATGCGGGCCTCCTCTCACTATTACTCCTGGGTGTCTAGCAGCAAAATTTTTCTTCTTATGCTCAAGAAGCAAACTTTGCTCTCAAGAAGCCAACTTTTGGCTTTGCTGGACTAGAGGTCTTAGTTACAAATTGAGAAATTTTTTCAACAGGGGAACCAAAAATGATTCCATTGAAATGAAAATTGTGTCTGCCAGCTGACCACTTTGAACTCTTCATTCCTCTCAACCAAGAGACAAAGTAGGGGGTCCGCTACTGACTTGGGTGATGGAAACTGAAAAAAAAAGGAGATCAGGTTCCTACTACACCAGGGGCTAAGGAAGAGTATGTCTAATATGTCTAGAGAGCTTCTTAGTCCTCTGGTGTTTTGCAATTAGAGTTAATGGAAAATCACAGCAACCCCTTCCAGGCAGGACATCTAATGGTTCAGACTCTTCCATAATGAAGGTTTGAGTCATCCTGCCAGGCCAAGCATCATGACCAACTGACATGCTATCTTAGGGCAAAGGGAATGCAAAATGGGTAGTGAAAAAAGGCAGTTATAAATACCAGCTACAACAATGTAAGCTGCTGCAGAAACCACGACTGCAATACTATTTACCTAATGGGTTAATAATATCTACCAGCACAGGTGGGAATACAAAACAACCAAAAAACAAGTTATTCTTTCAAATGAAATGCTTAGGGAAAAAGAACATCTTTTACTAACAGAAATTTCTTAGCTTCTGGAAGGCCATTTGATTCAGTAACATATGCCAGGAGACTTCAGCAATATCCTGCTCCATTGCAGAAAACAGCAATCTGATCCTTTTCTCTCTTGAATCATTAATGAGATTATGCATTTGGGGTGTGATAATCCTCCATGGACAAGTACTCCCAAATCATATGTTCCAGTTTCTTCTCAAGGAGCTGAACAAAGTCTCGGCTCATATATCTGAAAAGAAAGAGACATGTCATTAACCAAAAGATAGCCCAAGAACCTATGCTGTAGGAAGCACCGTGAAGGACAGAAAGATGAAGAAACAATCAGCATGGAAATAGAAATTCATCTGCATGGTAAGAGGTACTCTAGCCGGCAATAACAAATGCTGGCGAGGGTGTGGAGAAAAGGGAACCTTCACACGCTGTTGGTGGGAATATAAATTACTACAACAACTATGAAGAACAGTATGGAGTTTCCTCAAAAAACTAAAAATGGAGCTATCATATGATTCAGCAATTCCATTGTTGGGTATATACCCAAGAGAAAGGAAGTCAGTGTACCGAAGAGATATCTGCACTCCCATGTTTGTTGCAGCACCATTCACAGTAGCCAAGATTTGGAAGCAACCTAAGTGTCCACTAACAGACAAATGGATAAAGAAAATATGGTACATATACACCATAGAGTACTGTTCAGCCATAAAAAAAGAATGAGATTCAGTTATTTGCAACAACATGGATGGAATCAAAGGTCCTTATGTTAAGTGAAATAAGCCAGGCACAGAAAGACAAACTGCCCATGTTCTCGCTTATTTGTTGGAGCAAAAATGTAAGACAACTGAACTAATGGAGATAGAGAGTAGAATGACAGTTACCAGAGGCTGGGAAGGTTAGTGAGGGTGGAGGGTGTGGGAAGGGGGATGATTAATAGGTAGAAAAATAGAACAAATAAGATGTAGTATTTCATAGCCCAATAGGGTGACTATTGTCAGTAATAATTTAATTGTACATTTAAAAATAATGAAGAGTATAATTGGATTGCCCGTAACACAAAGGACAAAAGCTTGAAGAGATAGATACCTCATTTACCGTGATATGATTATTACACATTGTTGTCTGTATCACAATATCTCATATACCCCAGAAATATATGCATCTGCTATGTCCCTACACAAATTTTTTAAAAGGAGGTTGTCTAGCAAATACAAAGAGTGTCAATCGAGGGACAATGCACACCTCAGACTATGATGATATTGGAAGTCTCCATAGTCTTCGAAGAATGACTTAGATTCAGATAACATTAGCCTAAGTAACTGTGGAGACAGCTGTAACTATGAGTGAGGACCAGGGTTTGAGAAACTCAAGGCAGGGGCTGTTCCCCCACGCTCACCCCCAGTACTCTATTGGGCCCAAGTGCTTAAAGAAATTGGACAGTTCCTATTTCTACCCACCTTGCTGCTTCCTTGATGATGGATTAAAAAAATAGTTTCTTGACTTCTACAGGTCCTTGCACTCCTTAAAGCAATTTGAAGATTTTTTAATATTCTGAAGGTGTTTAAAAAAACCTTCAGTATTATCAAATATAAAGAAGAATACAAGAGAATCTATACCTCAGCAATCATGCTTCATAGGCTAAAAGGTTTCAATTGCTTAAATCAAGATACCTGCACATACAAAAACTAAATAATAAAAAAGACACCTGCACATACATACCAATGAAACTCTTTTAACCCTAACCAAGTAAGAAAAGAAAAGCAAAAGGCGTACTATGCTGTAGTCAAAGAAAAGAGGAACCACCATAAATTATGTGCAAACTCAACTCTGGCAAAGAATCAGCCTCAAGAGGTAACATGAATATCTTCTGAATCATAGAAAGAGAGACTTCCTATAGTTTTATAAAAACAGACATTCTTATACTACTTACTTTGTCCAATGCATCGGATTTCCTTCACTAATTGACATTTTATATCAGCATTAATTTCTTCTTGGCTTTTAGGAAAAAGGACTATTTCTCTGCATTCTAGGTCATCTCCAGAGAAATTGCTGGTAATGATTCCTCCCACAGGTGCATTGCTACCAGATTTCTGCCTCATCCTATCTTTCTGAAGTCATCAATCTGAGAATCCAATTGGCTGGGTGGAATACCATCTCCTGTCATAAGCTCTGGTGAAACAGATTTTGAGTAAAAGCCATCAGTTGGTGTTTGACCACTTTCTTTCCCCTCCACATAGACCTCATGAATGACAGATCTGGAAATCAAACTGAGAAGTTGAGCTGTGAGATATGTGTGTTTCATCACCCCTCTGGGTACATCTATGTGCTCCTCAGTTTCTAGGGAATTATTTATTTCATAAATGGGAGGATACACCAGGGAGAAATCCCAGGCCTGACAAACGGAGGCCAGGACACATAATACAATAAAATCACCTCTTATTTTCTGGCCCTATGAATAGATATGGAAACCAAGTAAGACAGTACAACTCTAAAGCAACATTCACAGATCCCTGGTACTCATGGGACAGTTTCAGCTTGTTATGCTTTACAAGTTGAAAGCAGCAAGTCTCACTTGATATCATGATTTCTCAAATTCACTTACAAACTGCCATGCTTTACTGAGCTGAAACCCAGGCAACTGGGATACAACTCAACCGGTCTCCTGTTATATCAAACACATTCTGAGAAAATAGAGGCGGCCATTACTGCTGAAAGTTCTATACGCACTCCACCACCAAAAAGTCCCTTTTACTGTATGATTTTCCTCATCCTTCCTTTCTGTCTCACAAAAGTGACTTTCTTTTCACTCCAGGTCTGACACCTCTCATTTATTCATCGTCTGTGGCAGGCAGCGTGCCGGTAGCTGGGGATCAGCAGTAAACAGCCCAGAGAGCAACGTTCCCTGCCCTTGTGGAGCTCACATCCTCATGGGGCGGTCAGACAGTACGTGCACAATGAGCAAATGAAACATACAGTGTTGGGCTAGTGGTAAGGAAGCAGTCCACAGGCCTGTGGGCAACAGCAGCAGAGGGAGCCCCAGGAGCTGCTGCTGGTTGGGCAGAGCCTTCTGTGGAGGTACCCTTGGGCAGGGCTTGAAGGAGAAAGCAGAGCTGCCTGCGCAGAGGCAGAGGGGGAGTTCCAGGTTGCGGTGAGGCCAAGGATATGGGCTGGAGTGGGGATGGACCGGGCACTACGGGGTGAAGGACAGTAGCAGAGAGAGTCAGGAGATGATGGGGCCCGTGTGAGGAGAGGGTGACGGAGGCCAGGCCACGCAGAACCTCGCAGACCAAAGCTGCTTCGCAGTCGGTTCTGAGTGCTTAGGAGTGTTGAGGATGGGTGTTCAGGAGCGACATGGCATCACGTGATTTACATGCCAACATCATGACCCGGCTGCAGGGTTGGAGGGTATGTGTTTGATGCGGGAAATAATGGGAAACATGGAGGTATCTCAGGAGCTCAGTGATTGATCGTGGCAGAGTGGAATAGGAGAGAGAGAGATGCTGGGGTTCAGGAATTTTTTACAGTATTTAGAGAAGAGAAGAAAAAGAAATGTAGAAAAAAACAATGATGGGGTCGGGGGCGGTGGCTCGTGCATGTAAAGCCAGCACTTTGGGAGGCTGAAGTGGGTGGATCACCTGAGGTGAGCAGTTCGAGACCAGCCTGGCCGACATGGCGAAACCCCATCTCTATTAAACTTACAAAAATTAGCTGGGTGTGGTGGCTGGTGGTTGTAATCCCGCTTCTCAGGGGGCTGCGGCAGAAGAATCACTTGAACCCAGGAGACAGAGATTTCAGTGAGCCGAGATCGCGCCACTGCACTCCAGCCTGGCCGAGAAGAGCGAAACTGCGTCTCAAGAAAAAAATGATAGGGATTCACCAATACAGACAAGAAATTTAAAAAAAAATTGTGGAAAATGGAAATCCAAGAAGATTTTCATGAAGAAGCGAGTGAACAACTGTCAAATGCTGCTGAGAAATTAATGGCAATATCAGCTGAAACTGTTGACCTTGTCAAGGACAGTTTCTCTGGAGGGGATGAGGCAGGAGGCCGACTGCACTGGATACAGCATGAAGAAGAGGTGAGGACAGGCTTACTTACTGTTTTCTTTGGACATGGCACAGCCTGCAATAAGGCTGTCTCCTGCTCCTTGTTTCCTTGCCAACAGGGCCATCTTCTACCTTTTCTGATACGAAGGACTGTCACATTCCCTGGGACGTTTAAACACAGTTTCAGGATCTACAGCCACCTTCTCTGTTTTATCGGTTATTGTTTCCTGAAAAACATCAATGAACATATTCCATTCATGACAAAAATCTAACAATCACAAAATGGCAAACAGTCTGCATATGTGTATACAACCAAGACTTTGAATCATTAATTTCACTTTTAATCATGAGCCAAGATTTACCAAGTCTCAACAAACACTCTGTTCTCAGGAAAAGAAACCTAATTTTAATGTACACAAAGTAAAACAGAAGAAAGATGGTATAACCAAATCAATCAGAATGCTTGTGGAATAAGCAGCTGTCATCAACCAAAAATAGATAAAAATATTATTACCTATTTGAAGATGTATAAGCCAATCTGTATTAACCCTTATTAGGAAAAATACATGCATAAACCAATCTGTATTAACCCTTATTATACATTATATTTTAAATTATATATATAATACATTATATTATACATAATAATATTTAATATAGAAGTATGTATACTTATATATTATATAAATATAGAAGTATGTATACTTATATATTATATAAATATAGAAGTATGTATACTTATACTTATGTATTAGTATTTAAGTATATTATATATTTATTATATATTCAAATAGATGTATAAACCAATCTGTATTAACCCTTATTAGGAAAAACGAGGACAAAGAAAAGGATTTTAGAAGATTGATACAAAACTGATAACGACATCTGACAAGGATTTTAGAAGAAAGAAAAGCTACAAGATCAAGCCAAAATACAAGCCAAGATCACCCCTGAACTTAGACACAAAAAATTCGAACTAAACGTGAGCAAATAAAATGTACTAGTACTTAAAAAGGACATACATCAGCCATGGTGGAGTATATTGTAGAAAGGCAACATTGATTTAACATTTGAAAATCAATAAATGTAATTCACCATATTAACAACAACAACAACAAAAACACGGAAACACCACATGATCATTTTCATACATGGTCAATGTTTAAAGTCCATTCGTGATAAAAACTATCACCATCTTAGAAAAAGGGGCAACTTTCCCATTCTGGTTAACATATGTACAAAAAAATAGTAAATGCCATACTTTATAGTGACGTATCAGTATTTTCTCCCTGAGTTTAAAAACAAGACAAAGATGTCCACTATCCATTCAACAATTTACTGGAGGTTCTGAAAAGTGCTGTAGCATCAGGAAAATATAATAAGTTTAAAATTTGGAAAGAAATAACCTCGCAGACCAAAGCTGGTTCACAGTCGGTTCTGACTGCTTAGGAGAGTTAAGGATGGGTTTTCAGGAGTGACATGCCATGATGTGATTTACATGCCATTCACAGATGACATTGTTCTGTACATAGAAAATGCAGAAGAATAAAATCATTATGGTTAATAAGCAAATTTAGTCAACACACTAGATCTAATAAAAACCAATGGCATTTCTGTGTAATTAATAGCAACAAATAATTAGAATAGGAGATTTCAAATGTCATTAAAAACAGTACCAAAAACATCAAATATTTAGGAATAAATCTAATCAAGATATGCTAGAGTACTACACAAAAATTATAAAACATCACTCAGAGAAATTCAAGACTGCAGTAAATGGAGAAAAATATTCTTTCCATGCATTGGAAGACTAGGCTAGAGTGGAGTGGCACAGTCTCTGCTCACTGCGACCTCCACCTCCCAAGTTCAAGAGATTCTCCTGCCTCAGCCTCCCGAGTAGCTGGGATTACAGGCGCCTGCCATGACGCCTGGCTAATTTTTCTATTTTTAGTAGAGATGGGGTTTCACTATGTTAGCCATACTGGTCTCGAACTCCTGACCTCAAGTGATCCGCCCGCCTCGGCCTCCCAAAGTGCTGGGATTACAGGCGTGAGCCACCACGCCCGGCCGGAAAACATTATTAAGAGACATTATTGTCAAGTCTCTCAGAATGATCCTAGCAATCATATTTAAAATTCCACCATGTTAACAAAAGTTTTTCTGAAAATTGACACGCAGATCAGTTTTTAAGTATATGCAAATTAAAGATTTGGAAAAGCCAAGTTTTTTTAAGCCAAGGGAAAGTCAGTTTTTTTAAGAAAAAGAACTAAGTTAGTAGATATGCACTACTATATATGAAATTTACTATAAAGGTAGAGTAATTAAAACAGTGTGGTATTGGAGCAATGACAGGCAAATACACCAAGGGAAGAGGACACAGAGAACAAAAAGAATCTGGAAATACAAAATACAGAAGAGCTGTAAATCATTGCGGAAAGCACAGTGCTTTTAATAAATGCACTTGATAAATGCAGGGAAAATACAAACCTTGACTCTTACCTCTTCCCACTCCACAAAACTTTATTAAAGACGGATAGACAATCGAGTAAACACTTAAGATATTGTCTTCACAACTATAGAATAGGCAAAGATGTTTTTAATGAGGATAAACAAGCACTAACCATAAAGAATGAACTGTTTAATTAGACATAATTAAATGGAAAACTTCCGTTCCTCAAAGACACTATTAACAGACTGAAAAACCAAAGCGTGTTTGTAGATTATACATTATGCAGTATATAGTATAGGTTATATATAAAAATATATATTAATTACACACATATATGCATATAGATCTGGCAACAAATGAGTGGAATCCAGAATATATCCACAACTACAAATGAATTTCTAAAAAACAAACATCCCAATAAAATTTGGGGGGAAAAGCTGAATATGCACTTCATAGGAGTCAAACTTAAATGGCTAATAATCACATCAAATATACCTGGACTCTGACTTTACTCCATTCCATGAGAATTTATTTCAGATGATTGCAAGATGAAAACGTTCTGGAGATCTGTTTCACAACAATGTTAATATACTTAACACTACTGAACTGCACACTTAAAAATGGTTAAGATGGTAGATTGTATGCCATGTATTTTTTCCCACAATTTAAAAATTTAATGAAAAATGAACTCTCATGGAATGATACCCTCCAGCAAATACAGAGATAATTGAGGGTACAAGCGCACATAAGACCGAAAAGTGCACACTACTACCAGCTTTTTGAATCAGCCCATATTTGCTGAGACTAGTTAATTCATTAAACAGATAATACAGTTAGTTGGGTAGAATACCATATCCTGCCATGTTCATAACCTCTGGTGGAGCAGATTTTGACAAGGAATCATCAGGTGGAGTTTGACCACTTCCATCTTCTCCTCATGGACATCGCAAATGACAGTAGCATCTGGAAACCAAATTAAGTGGTTTCACATAAAAGTCTCACATGATGTCGTGATTTCTGAAACTTGCAAATTAAATGGTTGAGCTGCAAGGCAGGTGCATTTCTTCACCCCCACAGGGATGTCACTGTACTCTGTAGTTTCTAGGAAATTATTATTTCATAAAGTAAAATGATAAACCAGACAGAAATCTCAGACCTGAAAAATTGAGCTCATAAAAGATAATACAACAAAACTACCTCTTAACTTCCTGGCACGATCAATACATACAGAAATCGAGTAAAACTATACAACTAATGAACATTCATAAATTCCTGGTACTCTTTTTATTTATTTATTTATTTATTTATTTATTTATTTTGAGACAGGGTCTTGCTCTGTCGTCCTGGCTGGAGTGCAGTGGCATGCTCATGGTCATGGCTCACTGCAGCCTTAACCTTCTGTGCTCAAGCAGTCCTCCTGCCTCAGCCTCCCTAGTAGCTGAGACTACAGGCATGTGCCATCACCCCCAGCTAATTTTTGTATTTTTGTAGAGATGGGGTTTCACCATGTTGCTCAGACTGGTCTTGAACTCCTGGGCTCAAGTGATCCTCCCACCTCGGCCTCACAAAGTGCAGAGATTACAGGCGTGAATCACCATGTCCGGCCAAGATACTCTTCATTTAACGTTGCCTTTTTGCCTTTTACAAGTTGATGAGCTGAAAGTCTCACATGATGTCATGATTTCTGAAACTTGCATATAATTTTGTGTCCTTTTCTAAACTGGAAGCCAGACAACTTGGATACACTTTGACCTGCCTCCTCTCTACATCAAATATATTCTGAGAAAATAGAGGCGGCCACTAGTGCTGAAAGTTCTATAGACACTCCATCACCAAAAATCCCTTTTAGTGTATGACCTTCCTCATCCTTCGTTTCCAGAAAAGTGACTTTCTTTTCACTCCAGGTCTGACACTTCTTTCATTTATTCATCATTTGTGGCAGGCAGCGTGCTAGGAGCTGGGAATCAGCAGCAAACAGCCCAGAGAGCAATGTTCCCTGCCCTTGTGGAGCTCACATCCTCATGGGGCAGTCAGACAGTACATGTACAATGAGCAAATGAAACAAGCAGCATTGGGCTGGTGGTGCGGAAGCAGTCCACAGGCCTGTGGGAGAGAGCAGCAGAGGGAGCCCCAGAGGCTGTGGCTGGTTGGACAGGGCCTTCTGAGGAGGTGCCCTTGGGCAGGGTTGAAGGAAGAAGCAGAGCTGCCTGTCCAGAGGCAGAGGGAGAGTTCCAGGTTGTGGTGAGGCCAAGGGTAGGGACTGGAGTGGGGATGGACCGAGCACTACGAGGTGAAGGACAGAGGCAGAGTCAGGAGGAGATGGATGGGACCCACTTTAGGAGAGGGTGATGGAGGGCAGGCCGTGCAGACCAGAGCCAGGAGTTCAGGATCTGTTCTGAGTACTTAGGAGAGTTGAGGACAGGTTTTCAGGAGGCACAGGGCATGATGTGATTTATGTGCCAAAATGCTGACCTGGCTGCAGGGTTAGAGAGTATGTGTTGATGGGGGCAAGAATGGGAAACATGGAGATAGCACAGTCACCCAGTGATTGATCATGGCAGAGTCGACTAGAGGGGTGGAGAGAAATGGTGATGTTTGGGGATTATATTAGACATAAAGTTGCCTAGAGTTGCTAAGAGATTGAATGTGAGAGAAGAATAAGAGAAATGACAGTGATTGTAAGGTTTTTTTTGCCTGAACCACTGGGTAAATAGTAGGGCCAGGAGTGTTTAGGAGCCAGCACACAACTTGCAAAAGCAGATTGTGCCCAACTCTTCCTGACTCAGTGTTCAATGACCGCATGTTGATAGCTCGACATTAGCCAAGTCAGAATTAATTTACACAACATAGTAATCTGCAAACACTACAAACAAGGGCTTCTCTACCCTACCACCCTACACACACCTGTGGACAGCAAATTGTTACAGTTTTACCAGTACATCACTGTATGGTGTCATTAACTGAGTTGGCAAGTGCTGTATGTAGAGAAGGTGTTTTGGGAGAGACAGTTCAGGAGTTCAGTTTAAACACATGGAATGGGTTGAATTTTAAATGTTTCTTGGACAAGTAAGTGGAGATGCCATCTCTGCATTTGAATTTGAGTCTGAAAGAATGAATTTGGACCCTGATCTCTCAATATATACAAAAATCAACTCAACGTGGATTAAAGACTTAAACATAAGACCTGAAATTGTAAAACTCTTACAAGAAAACATAGAGGAAAAGCTTCTTAGCATTGTTCTGGGCAATACTTTTTTGGATAAGACCCCAAAAGCACAGACAACAAAAGCAAATAAGTTCTGGAAACCTATTGTATAGCATGGTGACTATAGTTAATAACAATGGATTGTATACTTGAAAGTTGTAAGAGAGTATACTTTAAATGTTCTCTCCACAAAACAATACGTATATGACGTGATGGGTACATTAATTTGCTTGATTTAATCATTTAATGATATATACATATATCAAAACCTCATGTTGTACACAGTAAAAATATACAAGTTTTATTTGTCAATTATACCTTAATAAAGCTGGAGAAAAATAAATCAATGTAGAAAATACATGCAATGAAACACAATAGTTTCATAAAGGACAAAAGTAAAAGCATTAAGTGAATCTACCAAAAATCTACAGTGTGCATTATTGCTAGTGATTAAAAGTTAAAAATATTCTTTGTAAAATCAATAACAAGACAAAGATGCCCATTAGTGCCACTTCTATTCAACACTGCATTATGATAATTCCTAGCTTGCATCCTGAGATAAATTATTTGTCTAAACTAAAAGCTCAAAGTAGTCTGTAGACAAAGAACTTAACAAGGTGGCTAGATATAAAATCAGAATATAAAAATTAACTGTGCTTCTATATAAGAGTACCAAGAAACTTAGGAAATATAACTTTTTAAGATAACATTAGCAAAACTATATAAGGAATAAGCATATAAAGATATATATGTAGAAATATATATCATATACATGGAATATATATGGACTATATATATGAAGTATGTGAATGCATATATATAAAATGAATATAAGGAGGTATACCAACCAATAGGCAGATAATTATAAAAATTTACTGGAAGACATCAGAGAAAACTTAAAAGGGGGGCTACACTGTGGATAGGAGAACTCAATGTCCATCCCCCTCTCCAGATTAATGTATAAATTCACTAAAATGACAAAGATCCCAACACGTTCTTTTCATGGAACTTGACAAGCTGATTCTAAAATGTATATGGGCTGGGTGCAGTGGCTCACACCTATAATCCCAGCACTTTGGGAGGCCGAGGTGGATGGATCACCCGAGGTCAGGAGTTTGAGACCAGCCTGGCCAACATGGTGAAACCCTGTCTTTATTAAAAACACAAAAATTAGCAGGGCATGGTGGTGCGTGCCTGTAGTCCCAGCTACTCGGGAGGCTGAGACACAAGAATCACTTGAACCTGGGAGGCAGAGGTTGCAGTGAGCTGAGATTGCATCACTGCTCTCCAGCCTGGGTGACAGAGCAAGACTCTGTCTAAATAAATAAATAAATAAGGCCAGGGGCGGTGGCTCACGCCTGTAATACCGGCACTTTGGGAGGCTGATGCAGGTGGATCACGAAGTCAGGAGTTCAAGACCAGCCTGGCCAATATAGTGAAACCCCATCTCTACTAAAACATCAAAAATTAGCCAGACACGGTGGCAGGCGCCTGTAATCCCAGCTACTTGGCAGGCTGAGGCAGGAGAATCGCTTGAACCCAGGTGACAGAGGTTGCAGTGAGCCAAGATCGCACCACTGCATTCCAGACTGGGTGACAGAGATTCCGTCTCAATAAATAAATAAATAAATAAAATGTATATGGAAAAGTAAATTCTCAAGACCAGTCAAGATAAACGTGAAGAAGAACAAATTAGGGGGAAATGCCTTACTGTTTTCAAGACATTATTAACCTTTAATAATAATGACAGTGTGATATGAATGCAGAGGTACATGAATTGAACAATGAAAATAGAATAGCAGAGCCCAGAAAGAGTCCTATGAATATGTGGAAATTTGACACATTTCAGAGGTATCATTGAACATGATTGGAGGAAAGAATAGATCATGTAGTAGTGGACAGCACTGGGACAACTGGCAATCTATGTGAAAAATAATGCCGTTGGATTTCTTTCTTATGCCATATTTTTTAAAAAGCAATTTCAAATGGATTAAGTACTTAAGTGTGAAAGAAAAAATTAATAAGACTTTAGAAGAAATTATAGAAGAATTTCTTTAAGATTTCAAAATAGAAAAATATTTCTTCAAGAGGATACAAAAAGTGCTAAACAGAAAAGTTTACTGCGATGGCATTGATAATACTCTCATCTTACATTTGATGGTATGCCCCTTTTATTAAGTTTCATCATATATATGCTCTGTATAGTTAACGCATTTGACTACAAAAAGAAAGGCATATAAATTATGGCAGAGCAAAAGGTCAGTACCCTTTAACAATCACGAAAAAAATAAGCCTGACTTGTAGCAGAATTCTCCTCCTTTTAATGAATCTGTGGTTTAAAGAAATTATCATAAAAGCAGAACTAACATTAAGGGAAATTTAAAAACCAAAATCCTAGCAAGCTATTATTTTTAATGAATACTTACTTCATCTCATGAATGCAAAGATGGGTCAACATTTGAAAATCTATTCTTGTAATTTGCCATTTTAATATGTAAAAGAAAAAATATATATGGTTATTTCAATATATTCCAAAAATGCACTTGAAAAAATTCAAGATCCATTCCTGAATTTTAAAAATAATGATAACAAGGAGTAGGATACAAGGTTAATATACAAATTGGATTACTTTCCTAAATCCCAATAATTGGAATTTGAAATTTAAAGGCAATGTCATTCACAAGAGCACCAAAATAATGAAATATGAGATGGAGTTTCGCTCTTGTTGCCCAGGCTGGAGTGCAGTGGCATGATCTCAGCTCACTGCAACCTCCACCTCCCGGGTTCAAGCGATTCTCCTGCCTCAGCCTCCCGAGTAGCTGGGATTGCAGGTGCCCCCCACCACACCTGGCTATTTTTTTTGTATTTTTAGTAGAGACAGGTTTTCACCATGTTGGCCAGGCTGTTCTTGAACTCCTAACCTCAGGTGATCCACCCACCTTGGCCTCCCAAGTGCTGGGATTACAGGCGTGAGCCACCATGCCTGGCCAAAATAATGAAATACGTATAATCCAAACAAAATATGTATAGGATCTACATGTGGAAAACTACAAGGTCTATATAAATGGAAAGCTATTCCACCTTCACAAATTGGAAGATGCAATATTATTGTCAGTCCTTCCCAGCGTGATCTATAGATTCAAAGCAATCAACATGAAAATCCCAGCAAACTATCTTGGAGATATTGACAAACAGATTATAAAGCTTCTAAGGAAACAGGAAAGACCCTGAATAGCCAACACAATACTGAAAAATAACAACAAACTTGGAGTACTCATACTACCGAATTTCAAGACATAGTATAAAGGTAAATGATCAAGACACTGTGGGACTGGCAATAGACACATCAACCAATGGAACAAAGTAGACAGCCCAGAAATAGATCCACACATATGCAGTCAATTGGTTTTTGACAAAGGAACAAAAGCAAAGCAATGAAGAAAGCACAGTCTTCTCAACAAATGGTGCTAGGACAAGCGGATGTCCATATGAAAAAAAAAAAGGAACCTAGACACAGATCTTATTTATACCTTTTGCAAAAATTAATTTCAAATGGATTATAGATCTAAATGTAAAATGAAAACCTACAAAACCTTTGAATGGAAACATAGGAGAATATCTAGATGAGCTTAGGTTTGAAAGTGAACTTTTAAATTCAACACCAAAAGCATGATCCATGAAAGAGAAACCTGATAAGTTGATCTTTACTACAATCAAAATTTATCTGTGATAGACACTGTTATGAGAATGAAAAGAGAAGCCACTGACTGGGAGAAAATATTTGCAAAACCCACACGTGTAAAGGACTTGTATTCAAAATATACAAAGAAGTCTTACAACTCAACAATTAAGCAAACAAACCAGTTTTAAAATGGGCAAAAGACCTGAACAGATACCTCATCACAGGAGAAATGCAGATGGCAGATAAGCACATACAATGCTTAACATCATTTGTTGTTAAAGAACTGCAAATTAAAACAAAGAAATAGCACTACACACCTATTAATAACTAAAATTCAAAAACTGACAATACCAATTGCTGGCAAAGACATGGAGCAACAGGAACTCTTATCCATTGCTGATAGGAATGCAAAATGGTCCATTGCTGATAGGAATGCAAAATGGTACAGCCACTTTGGATGGCAGTTTGGCAATTTTTTTATTTTTTATTTATTTTATTTTTTGAGACAGGGTCTCACTCTACCATCCAGGCTGGAGTGCAGTGGTGCGAACACGGGTCACTGCAGCCTGGAACTCCCAGGCTCAAGCAATCCTCCCACTTCAGTCTCCTGAGTAGCTGGGACTACAGACATGCACCACCATGATTGGCTAATTTTTTTGTATTTTGTGTAGAGACAGGGTTTCACCATATTGCCCAGGTGGTCTCGAACTTCTGGGCTCAAGTGATCGCCCGTCTTGGCCTTTCAAGGTACTGGGATTATAGGCATGAGCCACCGCATTCAGCTTGGCAATTTCTTATAAAGCTGAACATAATCTCATCATATGACCCAGCAATTCTGCTCCTCGGTATTTACACCCAACCACTTTGAAAAATCATGTCCACACAAAAACCTGCATGTGAGTGTTTATGGAAGATTTATTCATAACCAGCAAAGACTGGCAGCAACCAAGATGTCCTTCAATAGGTGAATGGATAAACAAAGTGTGGGAACATCCATACAATAAAACTATTATTCAGAGATAAGAAGAAATGAATTATCAAACTTCTGAGAGAAATGGAGGAATCCTGAATGCATATTGCTAAGTGAAAGAAGCCAGTCTAAAAAGACTACATACTGCATGATTCCAACCACATGACATTCTTGAAAAGGCAAAACTATAGAGACACTGAAAAGATCGGTGGTTAACACAGGCTCAGCAGAAGGGGAGGGAAGGATAAATATGTGAAGCACAGGGATTCTTATGGCTGTGAAACTATTCTATGTGATAATACAATTGTGGATACCTAACATTATGAATCCATCATAACCCACTGAACTTCCAGAAACAAAAAGTGAACCTTAATGTACACACATTTTTAAAAACCATTTGGGAGGTCAGGAGAATACCAAAATCGAAGGTAGAATGTTACAAAACAATCTAAGTTTATCACAAATTTATGAAACAATCTCACCAAAGGAGGTGAGGGAAAAGGTCCTGACCTAAGTAACTTTCAAAATGAGTAGCCTGTGAAACTAATGGCAACAAATGAACAACCAACAAAGCTACATAATCACTGTGCTCTAGCTGATAAAGTTGTTTCTTGTGGGGGAAAGGGTTAACAATTCTGAAGCCAGTTTATATGTATACTGGAATTAAACAGTTGAAGCAAGAAGAGAGCCGATGGTGGGAGTCGGGTTTCTCAGTTGCAGTGGAGGTTTACAGATAAGCAAAGGGAAGAGGTTAGAATGATCTATGTGGTAATGGATTGAACATCAGTATGAACTCATGTTTCATTTAATGGAAATACAGATGTTACATATTTACACTTAGGCATAAATGCACAGGTTAGTATGCACATATATATTTCCTTGATCTGTCTGCTGAAAAGGCCTAGAGGCAATGAAACGTCAAGCAGCAATGAGCGAACCTAGTGGCCAGATCTTGGTTTGTAATACCATTCTTCAATGAAAGGAACCATGCTCCTTGGAGAAATGGCTGATTCCAGGACTGAGGAAGGAAATATACAACACAAGCCCGGAACATCTTTGTAGTGCCAGGAAGGAAGTACTCAAATAAAAAAAAAAAAATAGAAAACTCACAATGACAACGATGGGAATATGTCAAAGGGACACAGGAGTTTACTGAAAAAGCTACCAATGTCTGAAACTGGAACAATTTCAACAAGATATAGTATTAAAGGATAAAGCAAGGTATGAGTCCAAACTCATAAAAATAAATGAATAAATGGGGGAGAAGAAGCATATCTCCCATGCAGAAGAATTCCAAATAAGTTATGTAGATACTCTGTCCTCAAGGAGGTGGAGCATAACATGTCACTCCTTATGTGTGGGCTGTGCAGAGTGACTTCCTTCCAAAAAGTACAGTATGGAAAGGGGAAAAAACAGTACTTTACAGTGGGGAAACCTGACAAACACTACCTCAGCCAGGTGATCAAGATTAACATCAGCAGTATAAATGTGTCCTTGATATGATGTGATAAGAATAGCACTTTACCTTAGTGGTCTTCCTCCAAAAACACACACAACTCCAGTTTAATAACCGAAAAATCATCTAACAAATCCCAGTAGAGGAAGATTCTACAAAATACCTGACCAGCACTCCTGAAAACTGTCAAGATCATCAAAAACAAGGGAAGTCTAAGAAACTGTCACAGCCAAGAGGAGCCAAGACATGATGACTAAACGTAATGTGGTCCTCTTGATAGAATCCTAGAACACAAAAAGGATACTAGGTAAAACCAAAGGGGCTGGACGCGGTGGCTCACGCCTATAATCCCAGCCCTTTGAGAGGCCGAGGCGGGCGGATCACGAGGTCAGGAGATCGAGAACATCCTGGCTAACACCGTGAAACCTCGTCTCTACTAAAAATACAAAAAATTAGCCGGGCATGGTGGTGGGCACCTGTAGTCCCAGCTACTCGGGAGGCTGAGGCAGGAGGATGGCATGAACCCGGGAGGCAGAGCTTGCAGTGAGCCGAGATCGCGCCACTGCACTCCAGCCTGGGTGACAGAGAGAGACTCTGTCTCAAAAAAAAAAAAGGAAATCTGAATAAAGTATGGACTTTAGTTAATAATAATGTATTAGGCCAGGCACGTTGGCTCACGCCTGTAATCCCAGCACTTTGGGAAGCCGAGACAGGTGGATCACCTGAGGTCAGGAGTTTGAGACCAACCTGACCAACATAGAGAAACCCCGTCTCTACTAAAAATACAAAATTAACCAGGCGTGGTGGTGCATGCCTGTACTCCCAGCTACTCGGGTGGCTGAGGCAGGAGAATCGCTTGAACCTGGGAGGCAGAGGTTGCAGTGGGCCGAGATCACGCCATTGCATTCCAGTAATACCAATACTACTACTACTAATAATAATGTATTGACATTGGCTCATTGTGTCAAATGCCTCATGCTAACATGTTAATAGAGGAAATTGAGTATGGAGTATGTGGGAACTCTCTATACTATCTTCCCATTTTCTCCATAAATCTAAAACAGTTCTAAGAAAATAAAGTTTGTCTAGAGAAAATACCAGCTTAAAAAAGAGGTAGACAGACTTGAAAAGAGACTACAGAGACACACTAATAATGTAATTTGTGAACCTTGGTGGGGACAGCTATAAAAGCTATTTAGGGGATACATGGGGAAATATGAATATGAAACTTTGGGTGGTTGATCCATTTTTTTACCTGTGATAATGGAATTGTGGTTAAATGGGAGAATCTCCTCCCTCTTGCAGGAAAGGCATGCTGACATATTAAGTGATGTCCTGAAGTGTGATGATGAAGTTTGCAACTTAGCTCGAATGAATCAGGAGGGGAGGAAAAGCACATCTGGAGAGAGCAAAAGCAACAGTGGTAAAATGTTAAAAATGGTGAACCTAAATGAAAAGTATACTGGTGTCCATCCTATTTTCTTTCACATTTTCTGTAGATTTGAAATTTTTCAAAATTAAATTTCAGGGAAAATATAATTTTAGATTTGGACAAAATGATATGAAAGCTTATCTGAAAAAAATAAACATGCAGTAACTAGAAAAAATTCCTAAAAATGAGGTATGGACTAGCAATACCCAAGACAAAAATATATAACAATTTAAAATAATTAAAAGACTCGTATTTTTTGCAACAGACTACAGAACCCAGAAGCATATCTAACCAGACATATGGAAATTTGATGTATGAATGAGGATGATGGTTTTTCCAATCAGTGTTGAAAAAGTTAATAAATGGGGTTAGAATAGATTGCTATTGGAGAGAAAAATGTTGAATCCTCTCCTCACTCTTACTACCTAGACAAATTCCAAATGAATCAAAGATTTAAAAGTTGAAAAAAAAACCTTTAAAATACTGGAAAAATACATTAAATTTATTCTTAAATGCAAAGGTGGCCTTTCTAAGCAAGGCAAAATCTCAGAAGCTGTAAAGACTAAGTTTAACTACATAAATAAAACTTAGGAAAATATTATTAAACATGACAATGGACCAATTTTCTTAGCTTACAAAAAGCTCATACAAATCAATAAAACACATACCACCTAATAGAAAACAGAACATGACTACACATTTCACAGGAAATATCAGTAATCAATAAACATGAAAATGTGTTCCATCTCCTTCATTAAAATGTACCAGACCTTCATTAAAATGCATTAGAACTTCATTAAAACGCAAGATACCATTTATTCACTTTCACATGATCAGACTTCAAAAGTTTAGTACCCAGTATTGGCATGGGTTTGGTAAATAATCATTCTCATACATTATATGTGGAAGCATACTGGGCAAAGATTTCTAGAGGACAATTTGGCAGTAACTACTGAACTGAAAATAAAAAATACCCTCTGATCCAGCAATTGTATTGCTAGGTACACTGTAGAATAAAAACTCATTATATGTACAAGTATATTCACCACAATGTGATTTAATATTGGAAACAACCTAAAGAGCCTATCAGTGTTTGAACATTTGTAACACATTCAAACATTAGAATACCACACAGCCGCTAAAAATAATGAGGTATTTTTATATATACTGATACAGAAAGATCTCATAAAACACAGGTAGCAAAAAAAGCAAGGTACAGAAGAGTATATATAGTCTGATTCTATTAATGTGAAATTTTTAAAGTACAAATTTGCTGATAAAAAATAAAAAATTGTTTTCCTGTGAGTACAAGACACTTGAAACTGGTTACTTTTGGAGAGGAGTATTAGGGTAGGAGGGAAGGGACCAAGTTTTTATACCTTTCTGTACCATCTGATCTTTTCGCCATGTGCATACATCATCTTTCTTGCCCCCACTCCCCTTTCTAAGAACACTTAATTAACAGGTTATTTTGAGATATTCCTAGGTAGGTTTGAATACCGGTGGTGTTATTTTTCAAAATACTGTAGATAAGTGCCAAGTTTTGCAATTTAGAACTTCCCCTTGGATTTTCATTAAACTTTATATTTGCTTCCTTGATGCTTTAATCATAACGATTTCCTATTAAGTATAAAGTGACACTTTCAATGGGAGTTTGGCTTTATAACAAATTTGTGATGGAATCATTAGACACTGCTGCTCAAGAACCCATTTTTACACCCCAAAGGGCATTTGATGATTTATAAACATCATCAAGATTATACATTCTATTTTGACTATTAAAAACATAAAACTGCAGTAAGATTTTACATGTACAATTAAATTATCCATTGAATTCAGTAAAACAGCATCACAGTAGAAAAATACAGTCATAAAATTAGCTCTTACATTTTTCTGGGGACAGAAAAGCAGAAGAAATGAGATTAAAAGTCCAAAAAAAAAAAGCCCAAAAAACACTACCAAAAACAGGGTGAGACAATCATTTATTTATTGGACAGGGCAAGGTCATTTAAAGATTGGAAACATATCCCAAAAACACGTGTTTAGTTTGGTGTTACAGGCATTGATGCTCACAACAAACAACATTATTCAATACATCATGTAAACAGGCCACATACAACCAGGAAGATGCTGTCAAGCCACTGAGAAGCCACAATGCTTAGAAAACAATCATTAGGGAGTTACAGAGAATAATCACCTCCAACTCATTGATATGCATATTCTGCGGCTGCACAGTATTTGGCTGGTTCCCTGGTTATTAAGTGAGTCGTTCCGTATTTTAAAGAGCCTTGATTGGTACACACTTCTGAATATCACTGAAATCAGTCAAGCAAAGGCTTAACTAGCTCACATCATATTTTTGAACTACCCTAGGCAATAATTGACTGTCTCACAGTACTGTAGATAAAATTCTGTACTTAGCATATTTAGCAGTGTTACAACGCATCCAAATCACCTTTAAGTCCTATGGTACATACTTGAAAAAGACAGCAGAAACTCACTGGAGTAAATGAAAAAAGAAATTTGGGGAGCTCACCTGGCCTGAGGTATACAAGCTGCTAGCAAAGATAGACACACGTGAAAACCACTTTGTCAATTATTTGCCAAGTCATTTGGCCTGATTTTTGGCCTGATTTTTAGCCTGATTTTTAGCAGGACTCTTCCCGACTGAGGAGGCAAAGATTTCAACATCCATTCTAGAGACTAGCCACAGTATTATAAGTAGTAATATATCATAAATGCTTGGTTATGAGGAAAAACTACTCAGCATAAGATTCACGGAGAAAAACCTGTTAGGTATCTGGCCCTCTTGCCTGAAATCTATTGATTTTACCAACCACTCCCTTTCACAGCAATAAGAGTTCTCAAGATGAGAAGAATTTTCTCACTCCATATAGAAAATCATATTTGGGAAGCCAGTCCCAAAAGACCGAATATTGTAGAATTCCATTTATATGAAATGACCAGAATAAGCAAATCTACAGAGAGAGAAATAGATTAGTGGTTGCCAGGGGCTCGGGGATGGGGTGGGCACTGGGAGAAAATGAGAGGTGACTGCTCAAGGGTACAGGGTTTCTTTTTGGGGTAACGAAATGTTCTAAAATTGACTGTGGTCACGGTTACACAACTTTGTGAATACACTAAAAACCACTAAATTGTACCCTTAAAATAAGTGAATTGTAAGGTATGTGAATTATATCTCAATAATGTTACAAACATATTAAGAAACGAAGACATACCCCAAAGAGAAGGAAACAAGAGGCTCTTCCAAACCAAATCGTACCAGAAGAAAACAGTAGCCAAGTCTGATGGAAGGAGCTTGTTTCTTGCATGCTATTTTATCATCATCACTTTAACCCGATTTCACATTTTTAATTCATTTCTAAATTATTTTAGGTTATCGGCAGATTTCTAACTTTGTTCTCATTAGAGAGCAGAGTCAGTGTTCCGCAGACAGACTGGGCTGGCGTAACAAACCAAAACTAAACAACAATAAAAACCCAATGAAAAATAATCTCATGCTTTGGGGCTATGTGTTACCAGTCAGAAGAGAAGAGCTGATGTCCATTTCTAAAGGAAAATAAAATGCCTACAAGTACAATGGCATCTTATGACTCATGCCTAAAGCACATTTCCTTTTCAAACCTGCATACAGTTATTCCCTTTTTACACCTATACAATTCAACAAAAGCAATGTTTTTATACCTGTACAATCCAAAAAAAGCAACGTTCTCTACAAAGAAATGTTGAGCTTCCTACAGCTCTCTAGCTCAAAGAGCTAGCCAATTTCCTTAAAAGTAAAATTACTGTTTCTAAAAATATCAACTCTGTATCCTCATCCTCACTTTCAGCAACATACAGTGAAGATGGAAAACTTGAAGACTGCTATAAACCAGAAACTACAAAACAATTTCTTAAATGACCTGATTTTCCTAAAAACCTTAAAAACATTAGTTCCAAATACTGAGAATATATTTGGCCCAATTCCTTTGAACTCTGTCTTTAGATTAATGACGAGTTTCCTTTATTTCACTTATTCACTAGTTTAGTATGAAATAAACAGAGTTTGAATCAGTTAAACTGGCTAATGACAATTTTCCTCAATGATTTTTCTTCTGCATAGGCATGATAATGAAATCACAAAAGGTCTTCAACTAGTCTTCAACTATTCTTACACTATATAATCAATTAGGGAAATTTTTACAGACAAATGAAGAGAACACAAGTAGCTTTACAGTAAGTTGAGCCTGTTACATATATTTGTTCTGACAAAGAATTTCTGACACAAAAATTGCTCACTGCACACAGAATCTCAGAGAAATGATGAAACAAGACAGCTGATGGTAGAAGGTATATGGGAGCAGGGTAGGGTGAAAAGTCACAAATAAATTAAAAACTGGCAAGTACTTCTGAAGCAGAGCCACTTTTTAGGGGACACAAGAAAAACTGTTAAATCACCATTTTGGTCTCATCAGGGAAGTCCATTTGTTAAGAATTGAAGACCATTTTACTATAATTCATGCTGCAAAACACAGCAGTCACACAGTATTTCCAAAAGGATTCCAAAAATTGTAGTGCAAAAGAAAAGAAATCTAAAAAAATAAATAATCACAAAAACCACCAACATTTTTCAAGGAAATGTGTTCAAAACAGTGGCTTTTACAAAAGATGTGGATTTGTTTTAAATGAAAAAAAAAATAATTCCTATATGAAATACCAAAGACTCATTTCACATATAACTTACACTGCATTAATGATTGGATTAACAGTATATAAACAAGGGCCATGGTTTTTTTTACTAAAGTAGGTCTGAAAGATCAATATAAATACTAATGGGGGCAGGGAGGAGTGTTTTATACCCCAAACTCCAATATTCCAGCTCTGTGTCCTGTCCTATTATTATAATTTGTAAAAATCTTAACGACGCAGTGATTCGAGTTTTCGTAACTTCAATGATGTGTTAGAGGACAATGCATCTTGGTTTGAAGAATTTGCTGTATCCGAAGGCCGGAAAAGTACTCGACCACGATGATTAAATACATAAAAGGATGGGTGATTCCTTAACGTATCAAATGTCCTTGAAAGAAGAAAAAAGCATCAATTTTAGATAAACCTTTATAAAACCCTACTTGAAAATAAGTAGGCTTCTAACGAATTATCAATTTACTATGGGTTATATTTTTTAACAAGTATTAATACATGAAATCAGACTGTAAATAATAATTATACTGTATCTCTTTTCCTATATAAAGAAAATAAGAAACCTGGAAAAGCAGCATATAGCTCTCAAATTTCTTCTTTTTAAAAAAAATAGAGATAGGGTCTCATTCTGTTGCCCAGGCTGGAGTGCAGTAGCACAATCATAGCTCACTGCAGCCTCAAACTCCTGGACTCAAGCGACCCTCTCATCTCAGCCCCCCAAGTGCTGGCACTACAGATGCGCACCACCACACATGGCTTTCTTTTATTATTATTTTTTGTAGAGACAGGGTCTCCCAATGTTGCCCAGGTGGTCTCAGACTCCTAGGATCAAGCAATTCTCCTACCTCAGCCTCCCAAAGAGCTGAGATTACAGGTATGAGCCATGATGCCCGGCTTCTAATATTTTTTTTTATCCAGCCATTCCTTCCAGAATGCCTATGAATAACAACACAAATACTAGCTCAACTATTAATCTCCCCTGTAAATCTAACAGTAACGCATGTCGAATAGTCTTTTTAAAAAAGCAGCACATAGATTACAGCTTTGATTATTCTCATTTGGCCCTCATTATTCAAGCCATATGATCGTTTCACAGATCTGTTTTCCAAGAATCTTTCAAGCACAACAAAAAATTCCTTTTGGCCCTCTGTACCTGCTATTGTCCAAACACATATTTTTCTACCACCTACTTAATGACATTGTTTTACTTCTTTCTTTCCTGGCCCCTTGCCTGTGATTCTTGGTAGACTCTTTGTAAGAGCAAGCAGTGATGACAGTAAAGTATCCTTTCTACTTTTCCAGTGAGAGATATGTAGTCTAAAAGAGTTCACAAACACCTTGGTGTGTGGCCTTTATGGTTTTTGTTTTTCAATATTATTTTCCTGGAAAGGATAGGAGAACTCTTCCTTTGACAAAAACTCAAATCTCAGCCCACCTAAACATCCAAGCATACTCCCATACAAAAAAGAGGCCTGATATGTAACTCCTTAAAATGTACATATTGGGTGGGGCACGTTGGCTCACATCTGTAATCCCAGAACTTTGGGAACCCAAGGCGGGTGGATCACTTCAGGTCAGGAGTTCGAGACCATCCTGGCCAACATGGTGAAACCCCGTCTCTACTAAAAATACAAAAATTAGCCGGGCATGGCGGCAGGTGCCTGTTAATCCCAGCTACTCAGGAGGCTGAGGCAGGAGAATCACTTGAACTTAGGAGGCAGAGGTTGCAGTGAGCCAAAATCATGCCACTGCACTCCAGCCTGGTTGATAGAGACTCTGTCTCCATAAAGAAAGAAAGAAATAAAAATAAATAAAATGTACATAATGAACTAAAAGGGGGATATGACTTTCCTCTAACACATAAATGTTCACTGTGACTCCTTCTAAGAAAATATTGTAAAGGGGCATCATGTCCAGGATCAAGAAGGTGGGTAAAGTCCAGAGATGGAACTGAACAAAGCTAAAGGATGATTTTAGGAAAGTAAAAATATGAAAAATAAAAGCAAACATAGCTCATGAAAATAGCTTAGAAGTAGTCCAGGAGAAAAAAAAGAAAGCAGAATAACAAATATACTTTTAATCCAGTAGTAGAAAAGGGCCTGGGAGCAGAGCTTATCTCACATACTAGGTTCAAGTGAGAGGGGAAACCGAAAACCACTTACTCTTCCAAAGACTAAGCTGGGACAAGAGGATAGAAAGAGGATGGTAGGAAGAGAGGGATGGAAGGAGTGAAAGGGGGAAGGGAGGGGGGAAGAAAGGGAGCAAGGAAGGAATGGAAGGAGAAAGGTTAAAAATTCTGAGGCATTATTTTTCTATATATCTATTTTCATCCATACAACCAACCAATAATTTTAAGCAACGTATTTTTTTGATTCTACTGTGAATAATCTGGCATTCATCTTCCATTTTCTTACAGTATCAAATACCGCCTCAATGTTTTTACCTCATTATTCATACAAACTGTGTAATCAAAATGCAGAAACAAAACCAACTTTTATGTATCAGAAAACATACTTTTTAAAATTATGTGAATACAGCAAACCTCTATGAAATGCAATGCCTATGAAAAGAGAAAGACTTACTTATTTTTCAGTTCTGAAGTGGCATCCATGTCTTTAAACTCTCCTGCAATATGAACTATACCGTAACAGGTAACTGCAAAGGCCAGAAGTGTCTGAAGAACTATCTGTGAGTATAAAGATTGATAATACTAAATAACACAAACATTATTATAAATATTTACAATTTTCTCTCTACCTCTTCATTGCCTCTAACAGGTAGTCCTCTCAGGGCCACCATCAGGGAGACAATGCTCACTTGAAATGACTGGGATTCAGACACAATACAATCTATAAATTCTGTGGATTGGCTGCAAAAATACCTCTGATGCTTCAATAAATAAATCTAGTGTTCAAATAAGCAAAATCACTGAGTACTGAATGGTACTGAGCCACTCAGAACTCAATGATCAAATATTACCTGCTTCCAAGAGCAACTAAGAATTTTTAAGGTATTATTGTTTTTGTTTTTTTTTTGTTGTTGTTGTTGTTGTTTGCTTTTTGTTTTTGAGACGAAGTTTCCCTCTTGTTATCCAGGCTGGAGTGCAATGGTGCAATCTCGGCTCACTGCAACCTCCACCTCCCGGGTTCAAGCAATTCTCCTGTTTCAGCCTCCTGAGTAGATTACAGGCATGCGCCACCACGCCAGGCTAATTTTGTATTTTTAGTAGAGACGGGGTTTCTCCATGTTGGTCAGGCTGGTCTCGAACTCCTGACCTCAGGTGATCCGCCCGCCACGGCCTCCCAAAGTGCTGGGATTACAGGCGTGAGCCACCACACCCAGCCAGTATTATTGTTATATATCATAGAGTGCAGAAAGCATATGTACACAGCATAAAGCAATTAAAAGACCATGTACCCACCACCCAGCTTAAGAAATAGATCATTCCTAGTACCTTTCAAGTTCCACATGTCAATCTCAGATGATATCCTTTACCTTCCCTCTCAAAGTTAACTATGGTCCTGAATTATATATTACTCAGTTTCTTGTTTTTCTTGATAATTTTACCAGCTATTAAATATATATGAATCTCTAAAACATATATGCCTTACTTTTGCCCATACTGAACTTTATTTAAATGGACTCAAATGTATTCTTTTGTGTCTAGCTTTCCTCGCTCAACATTATGTCATTGTGTGTGTGTGTGTGTGTGTGTGTGTGTGTGTGTGTGTTTTCTTTTTTTGAGATGGAGTCTTGCTCTGTCACCCAGGCTGGAGTGCAGTGGTGCAATCTCGGCTCACTGCAACCTCAGCCTCCCAGGTTCAAGTGATTCTCGTGCCTCAGCCCCCAAGTAGCTAGGATTACAGGTGCCCGCCACTGCACCCAACCGATTTTTGTATTTTTAGTAGAGATGGGGTTTCACCATGTTGGCCAGGCTGGTTTCAAATTCTGACCTCAGGTGATCCGCCTGCCTCAGCCTCCCAAAGTGCTGGGATTACAGGCATGAGCCACCGTGCTCGGCCAGTTTTCACTGTGCTTTGTATTTCATGATATGAAAATACCACAATTTATCCATTCTGCTGTTGTTATTGGATATGTGGGTTGTTTCCTGTTACCTTCACAATCAACATGAATATTCATATGCATGTCGCCCAGTTCACACATGGAAACACTGAGTGTAGAGTATGCACATGTTCAATTTGATTGAGTAATATCAACTGCTTTCCAAAGAGGTTGAGCGAGCAAAAACGCAGAATGTTTTATTTTAACCAACATGGGATTATGGGCATGTTCAGATTATAGAAAAAAGTTCTTTAAAATAGACATAAATATGTGTATGTGTGTGTGTGTGTGTGTGTGTGTGTATCTACCACAAAAAAAAGGTGATAGGAGTTAACAGCCTCATCAATCATATATTTAATTACAGACAAAGTCAAAATTAGCCACAATCTATTTTCCTGTTTAAATTAAAATCTAACATCATATACGATACCAATTTACATTCCCACCACCAGTCTACCAAGAACACTTGGTTTTTGTTTTTGAGATGGAGTCTCGCTCTGTCACCCAGGTTGGAGTGCAGATCTCGAGTGCATGATCTCGGCTCACTGCAACCTTTGCCTCTCGGGTTCAAGTGATTCTCCTGCCTTGGCCTCCCGAGTATCTGGGATTAAGGCGCCCACCACCATGCCCGGCTAATTTTTTGTGTTTTTAGTAGAGACGGGGTTTCACCGTGTTAGCCAGGATGGTCTTGATCTCCTGACCTCATGATCTGCCTGCCTTGGCCTTCCAAAGTGCTGGGATTACAGGCGTGAGCCACCATGCCTGGCCAGAAGACTTGTTTTATATAACACAGTCACAGGCACTTTTAACAAGAATCTATATGAGCTGTCATGAAAGTAAGACTGAAGTTGTTAAGTAATAAAAAAGTTAATTATAAAACTATACATATATACACATGTATAACTTTTTAAAGAAAAAATAATACGTGTTTGGATTAGGTAAAACTACACATACATAATGCTGTTTGTGTATAGGAAGAAGACTGAACTACTGCTATACTCCAAACTGTTGGGAGTAGAAGTGGAACTGCCAAGGAACGGGGCCAGTTCTTCTGTTGTTGGTGTTTTTATAATTGTGTAGGGTCAGTTTTAGTTTTTACTGTTTGACTCTGTTACAAAGAACTTACTACTTGTGTAATTTCAAGTCTAGTAAAGATAAAAATTGTGAGTGATGCTGGAATACTTATCATTTTAGTTTTAAAAAACACTTTCCTGGTCGGGCGCTGTGGCTCACACCTGTAATCCCAGCACTTTGGGAGGCTGAGGCAGATGGATCACCTGAGGTCAGGAGTTCGAGACTAGCCTGGCCAACACAGGGAAACCCTGTCTCTACTAAAAACACAAAAAAATTAGCTGGGCGTGGTGGTGGGCGCCTATAATCCCAGCTACTTGGGAGGCTGAGGAAGGATAATTGCTTGAACCTGGGAGGCAGAGGTTGCAACGAGCCCAGATCGCGTCACTGCATTCCAGCCTGGGCAACAAGAGCAAAACATTGTCTCAAAAAAAAGAAAAAAAACTAAAACCACTTTCATTTTACCACCTATGTATGTCCCTAAACAATGTACTGTTGGCTTTATTTCCCTTACATAAAAATGAACTTTTCTAAGAAATAAAGCTAAATAATCAACTTTTTAAGTCCATCCCATACTATGGACAGAGCATCTTCGAGAAAGACTATTTCGACTACAGCTCTAGAAACCAAATAGAGAAACCTTTCCAAATCTTTGAGCTTTATGAGTGATGAAAAGTGGAGATCACAGGCCAGGCGCGGTGGCTCACTCCTGTAATCCCAGCACTTTGGGAGGCCAAGGCAGGCGGATCATGAGGTCAGGAGATCGAGACCATCGTGGCTAACACGGTGAAACCCTGTCTCTACTAAAAATACAAAAAATTAGCCGGGCATGGTGGTGGGCACCTGTAGTCCCAGCTACTCGGGAGGCTGTGGCAGGAGAATGGTGTGAACCTGGGAGGCGGAGCTTGCAGTGAGCTGAGATCAGGCCACTGCACTCCAGCCTGGGTGACAGAGTGAGACTCCGTCTCAAAAGAGAAAAGAAAAGAAAAGAAAAGTGGAGATCAGATTTTATTTCATGTCTGAAAAATTTTACGAAAAACCAGTAAAAAAAAAATTATTACAAGCTATGTGGCTGATTTTAAACATACATGTAACGGAATATAAATGACCAACTTACATCTATTGGCAGTGATTCATCTTCTTTTTCTGTTAATCGCATATAAGAACGATCTATAAACCAGAAGCATACCATTAAGGAAACTGTAGTTCATTTTTCTTTCTTAAAATGAAGCAAATCAATATACCAAAGAAGTGGCTGACTTATGTGCAGCACACCAGCATGGCACATGTATACATATGTAACTAACCTGCACATTGTGCACATGTACCCTAAAACTTAAAGTATAATAATAATAAAATAAAATAAAAAATAAAAAAAGAAGTGGCTGACTTATATGCTACATAAAGTAATGCTAATCCTGGATTCCTCAAAACCTTCTATCTTCTAAGGTAGTCAGCTCTATCTTAGTCAACTATTTTATTTTCATCATGACCTGCTTTGTCACCTTATAAAATGGGTAAGAGTGACAAGTGAGCAAGTATGAGGCAGAAATACCTTAGTATAATTTTTCTTTCATTATTATAGAAATACTAGAAACTTCTCAAAACCGTTACTTTCACTAACTCGCCAAAGAAATCACAATTATTTAAAAAGTAAAGTCTACAGAAAATCTCAACTCTGAAATAGCACCACCACCAACCACACAGTATGGACAAAATAATACTGGTATGGAAATGGTTCTCCTGAGAGGATACGCTGGGGCAGTGGTGGAATAGGAATTCCATGAAATCAATTTCTGCCTCTACTAGTTAATTATAATTCCGCTGCTGCTGCCTTAACCTCAGGAGGCAGCAAGGGATAAAAGAAAAGGATCAGGATTTGGAAACTGGTAAGCCTAAATCAGTGCCAGCTCTTCAATTTACTATAATTTCATTTAATTAAAGAAGCCCGCAGTGATCATAATACATATCTCAAGTTCAGAGTGTTAAAATGGTGGGTGTCTTAGAATCAAAGAAATACAGTATCTATTTTTTTCATTACCTGAATTTCCACAACAGTAAAATGAGAATAATGTGAGGTGAGGATTAAACAAGATACAGTAAATGACTGGTGCCCTACTGTAACAAAGTTCATTACAGCAAAGATGAGCATGCCACAGCACCACATTGTGCTATCTGCTGCTACAGTCTGACATGACACACTTAGTCTTAAAGTTACATATTACTCTCTCCCTAACATGAGCATTATATATAAAGAGGTCTCACTGCAGTGGCAAATCCACAAGGCATTCTCATCACCCAAAACATAAAATACAAAAATCTTAATTCTAGATGAACCTAGGACAATCCCTATTTAATAACGTACTTTGGACTAAATAATTCAAACTGTTTTTGAGTGCATGTGTATTGACTCTTGAAGAAGAATGTGTTTAGAGACATTTCTTAAGTTTTAACCTACAGCTCTGTCATAAAGACAAGTGTAAAAGAAACATCAAACCAACACCAAAAATCGATTTTGACTAATCTCCTATCTGGTTCAATTCCTAGCTAGCTTGCTAGTTTGCATGAAGCCTCGCCTGCTTCTAACACTACCTTTAACCAGGAATTTCCTCATCTGTAAAATGAAGGGGTTGGACTTCAGTGAACTCCAAAGGCCCTTCTCGCCCCACAATCATATAATTCTACAGTTAAAGCTTACTGTAGAAAATGACACAGTACTCCAGTGTATCCTAATCTCTTCCAGGACAGTGTTTCTCAAACTAATGCGCATACAAATCACCCTGGGATCTTATTAAAACCCAGATTCTGATTGAACAGGTCTGGCCTGAGTATCTTCTAATTACCTGCCAGGTGGTGCTCATGATGCTGGTCTGTTGATCACACTGTAAGCAGCAAGGATCTAGGATACTTTCCTTAACCTCCCAGTTCCCCCAAAATATGACTGTCCCTGCTTCCATGCATCCTTATATACTTTTAGCATATCACTTTATTGTAACTACTTCTTGATCCACTTGTTTTCCTTTAGACTTTGAACTGGCTCAGGGCATCACTGTATCTCTAGCACCTAAACACAGCGCAATTTCAAACAGCGACCCAAAACTGAATTTCATAACGCAGTGTAGCACAAATCTTTTGCCCAACGTCACACAGATGTAGCGGTAATGCAAGTTTTTAACAACCAGTCCTTTAGACTCCCAGTCCAGTGCTCTTTCTCCTGTACCACAGTGCCTCCCTGAGGCAATCGGTCACTTAACTACTCAGTCTCTGCCTGGACAGCCCAAGAGTGCCCAAGATGTTGTCCACTTGGTTGTCGTGGGACCATGAGCAACCAGAGTCCTCAATCTCACAACTGTGCCTGATCTGCCCCATGCTGGATCTGACATCACTTGTCCTGGATTCCTGGAGACTCCTATTCTGAACCCTCTCCCAGACACCTCCTTCCAACCTTCCTGCAATTTCAGGTGCCACACTCTCTCCAAATTCAAACTCCGAACCTTCCACTGGGAACTCCTGCACTGATTTTCTTAGTCACCCCAAACTGTAAGGTCTCAAAGGACCATTAATCTGACACTCGGTCCGATGGTCCCTTAGAAGTGCGCCCACACACCGCCCCTAGGGTTCCACACCGAAGCGGTCCCCGTGCCCCAGGCACTTACGCTGCGCAGCGGAAAAGGCGGCGTGGGCTAGGGCAAAGAGACCGATGCCCACCAGCCCCTTCCACAGCGACGGCGCCATGATGCCGAAGGAGCAGCAGCCCAGCAAAAGAAGCGAAGGACGGCGGAGCTGTTTCTTCTTCCACCGGCGGGTGTCCGCGCGCCGCAGAAAGATGACGTCACTGAAGTCCTGAGCGCAAAGTGTCTCAGTGGTGGAAAAGCCAGAGGGCTGTGAGAAAACGGAAACAGGAATGCCGGGAAGAAGCAGAAAGCTACACGGAAAAAGGTCCGCGAGAACCCACGAACCTGCGCTATGGAGGCCTCTCTAGGAGGGCCGGAGCCCAACGGAGTCATAAACGAAGAGGCGAAAGCGGGAGCTACGGGGAAGCGAAGAGGAAGGGCGCCGGCAAATGGGGGCAGGGCCAGTGGCGAGAACAGGGTGGGGCAGAGGGACGGGGGCCTGCGTAGAGAACGTGTGGGGGCGAGGGGCGGGGTAGGCAGACGGGCGGGGTGGGGAAGACGCGCGGGGCCCGCACGAGGGTGGGTGTAGCCGAGGGGCGGGGCCAGTGGGTGGGTGGGTGGGCGTAGCCGGGGGGGGGGGGCCCTGGTGGGTGCGGTCGAGTGGCGGGGCCTGCGGGGAGGATGGGTGGGGCCGAGGGGCGGGGAGGAGGTGGGGCCGAGGGGCGGGGAGGAGGTGGGGCCGAGGGGCGGGGAGGAGGTGGGGCCGAGGGCGGGGCCTACGGGAGGATGGGTGGGGCGTAGGGGGCGGGGCGGAGGGGACGGAGAGTGGGTGAGGGCCGAGGGGGCGGGGAGGAGGTGGGACCGAGGGGCGGGGAGGAGGTGGGACCGAGGGGGCGCGGAGGAGTGGGACCGAGGGGGCGGGGAGGAGGTGGGGCCGAGGGGCGGGAGGAGGTGGGGCCGAGGGGCGGGGCTGGGGGCGTTGGGGAAAGGCGGTAGGTGCTGGATATAGACCCCTGACAGTTGTGTTTTGTGGGTTGGTTGGTTTTGGCTTTTTGTGAAACTGTGCCTTTTGTTTTCTGTAGGCCTTTCCTGTGCTTCAGCTCCCTGGAAACTGGCACTGCAGAAGGAGGCAAGGGTGTTAAAACGAGGAGGCAGTGTCAGGACAAAATCCCAGGATCTGGAACCCCAAATACTTGGCTCGCGGGAAGTGCTCAGTAAACCATTTTAAGGTCCTGGAGAAAGATTCGCGCAAAAAGAGGTGTAGCGCGGGGGGAGTGTTTTGTCGTGAAAAGAACCAGCTTACATTAAGGAAGAAATGAAAGAGGAAATTTTAAAATGCTAATAACGCAGCCTTCTTGCCTTGTCTCTATCTCTGATCCGGGTAAAATGTATACTCCTCTGCCCATTTTTCTTTGTCTTCATCTCCTGAAATGTAGACATTTAATAGTGAGCTTCTCCCCTTGACCTCATCACTCTGCTGTCCCCTGGGGAGCTCACCCATTCATTCCCACCGCTTCAGCCAGCAAAGGTATTACAGTGATTCCAAATCGACATCTCTATCACAAATATCTCTCCTTAGCTCCAGGGCTGCATTTCTGACTACCAGATAGGCATTTATTTCCTGTGGCACTTAAAACGTAATATGGCTAAAATGGAATTCATCCTTTTTTTCCAAATTCTGCACCAGTTCCTCCAGTGACCCCTGACTGAGTGGCAAAGCTTTGTAAACTGCATATCACAAGGTAAATGCAAAGTATGATCACCATTCTTTTCCTTTAACCCAATCAGAATTCTACGTTTTAGTTGCATCAATTTGCTTTTGCTCAAAGATGCGTCCTATCCTGACCACCCCTTTTAAATGTGCAAAATTCCTATTCCTGATCCCCTTATTCTGTTCTACTTTTTATATCACCTTCTAACATACTATATAATTTAACTATTTATGTTTGTTGTGTTACTGTTTACTGTCTGTCTTTCCCCACTGGAATGTAAGCTCTGAGAGAACAGAGATTTCTCTGTACCTAAAACTTTGACTGTCATGTGATAAGCATTCAATAAGTGCTTGTTGAATGACAAATGAATTCCGGAAAATAATTGGGACAGTATCCCTATTTGAAAGGATCTCTACAGAGAGTCCTTCCAATCTTTTGAATTGGGCTCAAAAATCCCCATGGACTTGCATGTACTCTCACATTTTGACAACCTTTTGATTGTAAACATTTTCTGATATGCTTGAGCTTCCTCAAAGCTGGAAAAACAAATAAGACATCTCATTAGCTGGGCATAGTAGCACATGCTTGTAGTCCTAGCTACTTGGGAAGCTAAAGAAGGAGGATTGCTTGATCCCAGGAGTTCAAGGCTACAGTGAGCCATGATTATGCCACTGCACTACAGGCTGAGTGACAGAGCGAGACCCTTTCTCTAACCAAAAAAAAAAAAAAAAAAAAGTAGAAGAAGACATCTAAAATTAATCATATTTCCTCAACTTTACTTATATAATTTTTGTCCTGGATCTCATTTTCCAAACCTTTAGTCATGTTCATTATTCTTTTCTGGGCCCTTTCCAATTTCTTCACCTCTAAGCCAGAATTTTACACAATACTTGATGGATGTCAAGTGCAGTATAATGCATTCCTTACAAATGTAGTTCTATTTATACAATCAGGAAGAACCAGGAGATAATCTCTCTGTAGTTGACAGGAAAGTGCTTCCTTCTCCGCCCCTGGGAGGTAATAAGGTAGAAAAGATAGTTGACCAAAAAAATCTTACAACTTTGTTTTGTCTAAAATAATGGTCAGATTGAAATTAGCCTTTTCAGATCCCCTGTAAAATTACCCCTTCTTCCAGACCAGCCTGGCCAACATGGTGAAACCCCATCTCTACTAAAAATACAAAAAATTTGCCGGGCGTGGTGGTGGGCCCCTGTAATTCCAGCTACTCAGGAGGCTGAGGCAGGAGAATCGCTTGAACCCAGGAGGCGGAGGTTGCAGTGAGCCGAGATCACGCCATTGCACTCCAGCCTGGGCAACAAGAGTGAAACTCCATTTCCAAAAAAAAAAAAGAAAAAAGAAAAAAACCCTTTTAATATCAATTTATCTGAAGCAGAAAATGATTAGGAGTTTTCTTATAGGACCTGAGATCTGGTTCTTTTCCTTTAAAAAGATGAAGTTATAGGAAAAAAGAAATTCAATAATGAATCTGGTATTTGTATAAACCACCAATGCATTATCCTAGTCTTCAGGGAGATCACCCATGTCCAGATATTGAGTTTTGTTTTCTCTATTGCCCTCTTAAGATGCATTTCTCACTCTTTTTTTACCTCTTTACCCATATACTGAATGCAAGAGAAACTAGCCTCGTTTCACATTTTCTAGTAATACATGGTTAAATTATGTTCAGGGAGTGAGATTTTAATTGTCTTTTCTGTAGATTCCAACCTGAAGGGAAGCCAAGGTATTCATAGTCACAGTTACCAAGGACTGTATCATTCAAATAAGTACCTTGGGTTCACTCATACATGGTTCTTTAAGTTGCAGTTAATCCCAAAGGTGCAAGGTACAGCTAGTGGTAGCACTGTTTTCATGAGCTCTTAGAACAAAAGTCAAACCTCATGAGAAAGTGCATTTAAATTCCTAAGTGACCCCAGAAGTGCTGTTTGTTTTTCCAAAGAAAGAGCCATTTTCCATATGCACCTTGGATAAATGATGTGGATGTTATTAAAGATGGGGATAATGGTCTCTAAAGCGTTTCCTACTGAGATGTTATTTGTGAAGACTTATCACGTTTCCCAGGCTAGTTCACTGAATAGAGAAAGCACTGCTATCCCAGACTCATCTTCAAGCTAATTGACTTATTACATGCCACCCAGCTCCACGAGTATCTTCACACACTGCTTATCCACGTCTCCATTTTCCATGCAGATTCTCCCTCGATCTGGCACACTGTTCTTTCCCACCTGGTTCAAAATTCCACTTTCCTTAGGAATATGCTCCTGACTATTATAGATATTTATGAGATATATACCTATTGTAGGCACAAAACCTTTCTTTGAGCTATTTATATTTCGTACAACCTCTCTGGGTAACACATTCTAGAAGTTTACTACCTGCCGAGTAAACTAGTACTTTCAATATTGAAATCGCATCCTGTTTACTTTTTTTTTTTCATTACCAAAGTGGTATGAGCTCATTGTAAGAAATTCAAACAATAAAAAAAAGTATTTGTCTTGAAGCATTAAGTGGTACCTTGGTATTTTAAGTTTTGAATCTGAGTAAACAGTACTGTGGTTACATGATTCATATCTTTAAGATTTGTTTACTTGCTGGATGATCTACACTACAGTGGTTAAAAGCATATGCTCTGGAATAGTTTTGGGTTTGAATCCTTGCTTTTCCTTTTCTACCTCTGAGAGATTGGAGAAGTTACTTAACTTCACTGCGCCTCAGTTTTCTCATCTGTGAAATGAGGATAATAATAGTGTTTACCTGCCTAGGTTGTTATCAGCATTGAGTGAGATCATACATATAAAGTGATTAGAATAGTCTTACACATAGTAAACACTAAGTAAATGTCAGCCATTGTTGTTGTTGCTATTGACCCTTCTAGCTATTTTTGTAAGCTAAAGAGGTTCCTTACCTTTTTAGTCTTTCCTAAAACATCAATTGCTTCTCTCTTTTGACTATTTTAATTGCTCTTCTCTGGACCATTTCCAGATCTACTAATATCTCTCTTAGGGTTTCATTACCACATGTGCACAAAGTATCCTAGGTTACTTGTGTGAGGTTAATATGATTATTCATTTCAAATAGCCTTCCTAGCTGGGCACGGTGGCTCACGCTTGTAATCCCAGCACTTTGAGAGGCTGAGGCGGGCAGATCACTTGAGGTCAGGAGTTCAAGACCAGCCTAGCCAACATGGTGAAACCCCATCTCTACTAAAAACACAAAAATTAGCTAGGTGTGGTGGCGCATGCCAGTAATCCCAGCTACTCGGGAGGCTGAGCCAAGAGAATCACTTGAACCTGGGAGGCAGAGGTTGCAGTGAGCCAAGATCGCACCACTGTACTCCAGTCTGGGCAACAGAGCGAGACTCCATCTCAAAAAAAAAAAAAAAATCAAATAGCCTTCCTAATGACACTGCAAATCTTATTTGCTTTTTGAGCACATTGGGTTGGTCTGTTCAGAAAATAAAGTGAAACTGATCCAATATTCCCATAGACTGTTCTTTTTGATAAATGTAGAAATTGACCCTTCTAGTCTTAAAGCTTGAAACTTACATTTGTTTGATCTGAGTTCCTTCCTCAGGAAAGGACCTTCAGGCCTCTCAAAAAAAAGCATCAAAGAACTGAAATTCACCAGACCACCACACCAGATACCACCACACTAGATTCCAGACCCCTCATTCGTCATGATTGCTTCCTTGCCCCTCCCTACTTCTTGTTTTCTTATACATTATTGCATTTCTTCCCTGCTTTGTAAACCCCTAGTTTTAGTCGGTCAGGGAGATGGATTTGAGACTGAGCTACCATCTTCTCGGCTGCAGCACCCAATTAAAGCTTTCTTCCTTGGCAGTACTTATTGTCTCAGTGATTGGTTTTCTGTGCAGTGAGCAGCAGGGCCTAGACGGGACCCCTGGTATTTCAGTAACAAAACTGAAAACCTCAGCATCCTTATCCTGGGTACTAGCTGTGACCTATTCTTTGTTCCACATGAATATAGGCATTTTCTATACTGCTGCCTTAAGTCCAAGTCTCTTTATACCTTCTCTTCTTTGGCGCTCCCACAGCGTCAATATTATGCATATAGCTCAAAAATCCATCACTGGTCCAGTCTTTACTCCTGAACTGCAGAGCCAAGTTCCTAAGTGCCTATGTTGACATCCGTTCTTGGATATCCTACCAGTCCCTTAAATCCAACCTGTCCATAGTTGAGCTCTACTTTCTGACTCCCACATTAATGCTACTGACAGCCCTCTGTTTTTCAGTTATCCAGGTTCAAACCTTTGGAGTCATCTCTCAGTTCTTCTTCCTCAGGCACTCCCACTCACCCACCCAATCAATTCCAAGACAGGTTAATCCTACCTCTGCATTGGCTCTTTGCATCTAACTTTCCATATGCATTCCTACTGCACCTGCTAAGTTAAGGCCTCACTACTCTTCAGCAAGATGACCTTTATAACCTCCTAACTGGCCTCCCTAGTACTTACCTTTCCACATTTCTTTTCTTTTCTTGAAATGGAGTCTTGCTCTGTTGCTCAGGCTGGAGTGCAGTGGCACGATCTCAGCTCACTGCAGCCTCCACCTCCCAGGTCCAAGCGATTCTCCCACCTCAGCCTCCCGAGTAGCTGGAATTACAGGCGCACACCACCACGCCCAGCTAATTTTTGTATTTTTAGTAGATATAGGGTTTCACCATGTTGCCCAGGCTGGTCTTGAACTCCTGACCTCAAGTGATCTGCCCACCTCAGCCTCCCAAAATGCTGGGATTACAGGCGTGAGCCACTGCACTCGGCCTCCACATTTCATTCACCCCCTTTTCTGTTGCCAAATTAATATTGGGGAGGTTTTTGACCAGGAAAATGAATGAGTTAAAATTTTCTGTGGCATAGAGGACTTCCACAATATGACTTCAACCTAGTTTTTCAGCCTGTCCCCCAATACATGATTTTTTTTTTTTTTTAAGACGGAGTCTCACTCTGTTGCTCAGGCTGCAGTGCAGTGGTGCAATCTCGGCTCACTGCAACTTCGGCCTCCCAGGTTCAAGTGATTCTCCTGCCTCAGCCTCCTACCAATACATGAATTATTTAATTCAGTGTTTATCAGGCACCTCCAACGAATCAATGACTGTGTTGACTAAACTTATCTATGCTGTTCAGTCATCTAGTATTACACTGAGTGAAGCTCTCTTTTCAGCTTATCCTTGAATTGAATCTCTCTACCTGGAGAAATTTAATGTTATCTGCAGATATGAAGATTTCTTTGACACTTCATTAAATTTAAGAGATATTTATTTATTATTTTTAGAGTCGTGGTCTCACTCTGTTGTCTAGGCTGGAGTGCAGTGGCATGATCATAGGTCACTGTAACCTCGAACTTCTGGGCTCAAGCAATCCTCCCACCTCAGCCTCCCAAGTAGGTGGGACCACAGGTGCACACCTCCATACCTGGCTAATTTTTTAAATTTTTGTAGAGATGAGTTCTCACTATGTTGCCCAGGCTGGTCACAAACTCCTGGCCTTAAGCAATGCTCCTGCCTCAGCCTTCTAAAGTGCTAGGATTATACGTGTGAGCCACCATGCTTGGCCTAAGAGACATTTATTGATGCACAGATATGTTTTATTAAGTTCCTGTTTTGGTTAGGCCTTATGCTAGATGCTGTCAGTAAGGAAATAAATGCCTAGTTCCTGCCTTCAAGATGCTCATGACCTGTTGAATGACAAACTTGTCAATCAAACATGACAGTACATCATGGGAGCTACTAGGATAGAGATCTTCCCAGGGGGCCATAGAGCCCTTTCTGAAGAGGGGCCCTGTATTAGTCTGTTCTCACACTGCTATAACGAACTACCTGAAGACTGGGTAATTTATGAAGAAAAGAGGTTTAATTGACTCACAGTTCTGCAGGCTGTACAGGAAGCATGACTTGGGGAGGAGGATCTCAGGAAACTTGCGATCATGGTGGAAGGCAAAGAGGAAGCAAGGAGTGTCTTCTTATGGCAGCAGGAAACAAAAAGCGAGGGGGAAACGCCACACACTTTTAAACCCTCAGATATCCTGAGAACGCACTCACTATCACAAGAACAGCATGGGGGAAACTGTCCCCATGATCCAATCACCTCCCACCAGGTCCCTCCCCCAACAGGTGGGGATGACAATTTGACATGAGATTTGGATGGGGAGACAGAGCCAAACCATATCAGGCTCCTAACTCAGCCTGAGGGCATCCTGGAAAATTTGGTGATCTTTAATCTGAGTTTCGTCAGACAAGTAGAAGTTAGTTAGGTGAGGAAAAAGTTGAGGACTATCCAAGTAGAAGGAACACATGGAAAGGCACATAGACGGCAGGAAACCACATGAAGCATTCAAGGAACTAGAAGTTCAGAATGGCTGAAGCAAAATATATTTGGGAAATAAGCACAGGATATAAGGGTGAAGAGACAGTCTGGAGGCAGGGTGTGTGGAGCATTGGGTGCCAGGCTAAGGAGCCAGAGCCAAAAGCAAGGCAGGGGGCATTAGAGGATTTGTGTTCCAGAAACACCCCCTTATGAAAGTGTAGAGGAATGATTGGCAGAGACTAAAGAAGAGGTCAGCATATCTTTCTGGCAAAGGGCCAGATAGTATATATGTAAACTTTGCAATCCACAGTCTCTTTTGCAACTGCTCAACTCTGCCCTTGTAGTGCTAAAGCAGCCATAGACAATAAGTAAAGGAATGGACATGGCCATGTCCAATAAACCATTATTGATGGACACAGAAATTTGAATTTCATATCACTTTCACATGTCACAAAATATTCTTTAATTCTTTTTTTCTCAGCCCTTAAAACGTGAAAAACATTCTTAGTTTCAAGACATACAAAAACAGATAGCAGGCTGGATTTGGCCCTCAGACTGTAGTCTGATTTTTGATAATCCCTGGACTATCCCTGCACTCCCTGGATGGGAGTGCAGAGAATGCAGACAATTCCTTTGAGAAGCTTATCTATGAAGAGGAAAGGAGAGATAGTACAGTAGCTGGAGGGGTGTGGATGAAAAGGTGTTTCTCAGAGGAGACCTGAAAATGTTCATGGAGAGCAGAAAGAGATGATAGAGAAGGAGCCACTGAAGATGGTGGAGGTGGAGGGCGGGGGTTGGGGGGGGCGGTGATTGTTGGAGTAGATCCTGGAAGAAGAGGAAAGGAAGTGATGACATGCAGAGTACAGTTTGGTCAATTCGCTTTTTTTTTTTTTTTGAGACAAAGTCTCACTCTGTCACCCAGTCTGGCCCAATATCAGCTCACTGCAACCTCCATCTCCTGGACTCAAGCCCTTTTCCTTCCTCAGCCTCCTCAGTAGCTGGTGCTACAGGCACGCGCCACCATGCCCGGCTAATTTCTGTTAATTTTGTAGAGACAGGGTTTCACTATGTTGCCCAGGCTGGTCTTGAACTCCTGGGCTCAAGTGATTCTCCCGCCTTGGCCTCCCAAATTGCTGAGATCAAAGGCGTAAGCCACCATGCCTGGCCAATTAGCTTCTTAAGGGAGAAGGAAACACTTCTTCCACTGTGGCTGGGGGGAGAAAGAAAGGATGGGCACTGATGGGATATTTAAGTAGATAGCAGGGTAGGATTTTCCCAGAATGCCTTGACTTTCTCAGTGACAAAAGAAGCAAGGCTGGATTCCTGGTGAGTTGTCTATATGAGCAGTGAAGTCACTCAGGATGATGTCAGGCCTGGGGAGTGGGGTGAGAGGAGAGAGGAAGCCTGTGAAACAGATTCCCTAGTACTCAGCAAATGTGTAGGAGTGACCAGGAAGTCAATAAGTGAGGACCATGGGGAAGGAGAAGGTGTTAGAGCTTCAATGGAGGGTGGAGGGGTAATGAGTTTGAAACAATGTGAAACAATGGGAGTGAGCACAGTGCCAACTCCTTCAGGCCACCTGATGCAGGGTGTGAGTTGTGTATACGTGTGTATATGTGTGCAGGACAGTGGGGCTGTGACCAAATGAACATGAACAACCTCCACTTGCAATAGCGTCAGAGCGTGTGATATCCTGGGAGAGACATGGGTTCTGGTAATGAGAGGAGATGGAGGGGCCATCCATGCAGTGACTGAGAGGGTTGAGTAGTATGTTTACAAGGAAGAACGTTCCAAGGAGCACACCGACTAACATGGAAAGGGAGGGAAGTAGCAAGAGGAGAAACCCGGGTGTAGGCGTCAGAAGTATAGAGCAGTGCTGGATGGAGAGAGAAGTACATTCTCGGGGGAGCAGAAGCCTCAGGGGGATTGGCTGCCTGGTAGAAGTTACTACCATTTCAAGATTCCTCCTAGAACTCGAGTACAAAGAGATTGCTGAGGGGCATACTAAGTTGCTGGGGCCACATAAACAGAGGTGGAGTCTGGTGCTTGAAGACATTTCCTGACTCTGGTCAGGGAAGCAATCTGTGGCTTCGGGTTTTTTTTTTTTTTTTTCAAGTTCCCAACACTCAGTGAAAAGTGGGTTTATGCTGGGACAAAACAGCCTTGGAATGAGCAGTTAGCAGGTAAGCTCATTTACTAGGTCTTCTGGGGAGAGGATGATGGGGAGAATGGGAAGGATCCTCACCTAGGTTTCTTGCTTCCACAAAGCCCAGCTCTGTGTGAACAGGACAGTGTGGTTCAAGTGGAGTCAGGGTATAGGGGAACAGGCAGCCATGAGGTTTCTTGGGAAGACACAGACCCAAGTACTAATAGCAGAGAATGGGCACACAGTCACTGGCTCTGATTTGGGACAGTTCCTGACCTGACAGGGACAGAAAGTGGAATTGGACATCGTTTGAGTGCTTTTTTTGTTTAGCTCATCATCCTGAGAGCTTAGAGAGCTGGTTAGTGAGGGTGAATACACACAGGGGCAGCTTGGAGTTGCCTGAGTATTACTTGTTTTAGCAAGGAGGTTATATGGCCATGAGATGGAAAGAACCATTTGAGAATCATGAGTTCCAGGCAGAATGATAGGAATTGAACTGACAGTGGTACCACTGATGGTATGAAGAATTTGAGAAGGAATTTGTACTTGCAGGGGGAACTCATTTCAAATGAGCTCATTTCAAAATATTTTTAGTTTTGAGGGTGGTAGGAGCCTCAACAGGGTATGCTCAGAATCCAACAGGTAGAGGCCTGAAGTTGGGGCAGCAGGCCAGGGCTTGAGACTTGTAGATCATTCATGTTGAAATCAAAGTCTTGAGAAAACAAAGAGCCCACACAAACTAAGGAGCGATCGGAGAAATACAGAAAAAATAGGAAGTCACTGTTCTCAAAAGACAAAGCTCCAGTATGGAGGTGAGAACTGTGAAAATTCTGGTGAGAGAGGTTGGACAGGCTGAGAACAGAAAAAAAATACTGTCCTGAGGAATACTAAAGAGGAGAGATGAGAGATAGGGGTCAAGGGTGACTTCGGAGCTGGGGACATTTGCTTTAAAACAGCAGTAAAAAGGAGCAAGAGGAGAAGGAGAAATCCACCACACCACCCAAGATTTTTTCTTCGGGAGGGAAGTGTTTACGAGCATTGGGAAATCTAAGCACAAACCGATCCAATCTTTGCTGTAAGGTTGATGAGTTTCTGTGTACAGATTCCTAGCGTGAGAGATGACTTATATCAGATGTTTACATGTAAAGAAAACCGACTACACAGACACACACATAATCCATACCTTTGAGTCGATTGTTTTATGAACTGCTACAGTGCTCTGTGTGTGTGTGGTGTTTTTTTGTGTTTTTTTTTTTTTCTTTCCCGATGAGGACAATACAAGGAGAATCCGATTTAAATTTAAATTACAGAGATGGAGATTGAGGCTCCTCCCAAGGGGACAACTTATCCTGTTAAGAGACACTGGGGGACGATATTGAGATGGGTTATGAAAGATCAATTCCTATGAAAGATCAATTCCCCTGAGAGCTCTGAGAATAGGATCAAAGTAGAAAGCGCAGTCTGCCTCTGCTTGGTTACACTGAGCCGATGTTTCTTTAGCCAAAGGCAGTGGGCTAGTTTAGACGGCCTTTCATTCCCGGCAGCGCCTGTGGGTGCGTGTGACCTGGGACAGAGGGGCAAAGGAACCTGGCAGAGCGAGCTTGGGATGCCGCGGCCCCTTTAAGAGCGGCGGCGGCGGCGCGCGCTCCGACGGCTACCCCCGGGCCCCGCCCCTTTCCCGTGAGCCCTCGGGGAGTGGTCCGACCGCGGGCGGCCGCCGGTGAGGTAGGGGCGGGAGGCGGGGGGAGACATGGCTCGGCGCGGCTGGCGGCGGGCACCCCTCCGCCGTGGCGTCGGCAGCAGTCCCCGAGCCCGCAGGCTCATGCGGCCCCTTTGGTTGCTCCTCGCAGTGGGCGTCTTTGACTGGGCAGGGGCTTCGGACGGCGGCGGCGGAGAGGCTAGAGCCATGGACGAGGAGATCGTGTCCGAGAAGCAAGCCGAGGAGAGCCACCGGCAGGACAGCGCCAACCTGCTCATCTTCATCCTGCTGCTCACCCTCACCATTCTCACAATCTGGCTCTTCAAGCACCGCCGGGCCCGCTTCCTGCACGAAACCGGCCTGGCTATGATTTATGGCAAGTTCCTCAACCCTTGTCAGCCCCTTGGCGCTGCCCCTTTCTCTGCCCGCCGGCTGCTTCGCCTCCTCTGCTGGCCCTGCTCGGCCTACGTTCGGCTCCCCTTCTAATTCCTTCCATTTTCTGCCTCGCCTTCCCCCTACCCCGCGTTTCTCTGCCTCACCCCCTTTCCTCTTCAGCCTCGCGCCCCATTTTATCTGCCTCTCCACACCTTTTTCGCTTCCGACCCCACCCCCTTTTTCCTCCGCACCCCCAGCCCCCCACCCTTTCCCTGCCTACCAAGCTCGGGACCCGGGGCTGAGGATGGAAAACGAGTGGGCGCGGTGTCTGGAATTGGGCTGGGGGCTGGGGGAGGGGAGACACCATTGCGATCCATTTCTCTGGGGTGTCAGTTTGTTTAAGGTTCATTGAAACTGCAGTAGTATCTCTACTGCCCAGAATCTGGCGTTCTTTTGGAGCCAGAGTCGACCTTTACTCAACACCTAGCTCCTGCTACGCCCTGTCCTTTCGAGGTTGCAAAGGAAAATCTTATTCTTGTGGAGTCCGAAAAAAAAAACCCGAACGTGAAATAGGCTACAGAAGGCTTAGGGCATTTTTAATGACATCCCATTTATTGTACTATGCCTCTAATATCTGATATGGATACCTGTGGTTGACCCTTCCAATTCAGGCATACAAAAGTGAGGACGAGGAAGAGTTAAGGTCCTTCCAGAAGTATAGTGTACTATACGATGATCAGGACAGTTCAGACAAACAGTAATTACAAACACCATGCATATGCAGTATGGGTGACTTGCTGTTGGCATGAGGTTATTGACCGATTGTAGAATAAATGGCTTCGATTCTTGTGTCTCAGTCTGCTTTCTGAGGTTTATTATTATTATTATTATTATTATTTTGGTGACAAGGCGAGAAGGGGTAAATCAAAGTGTGGGCTCAGAGGCATTTTGAGCTGTGCTGGGGCCTCAAGAGGAGAAAAGATACATATTGCCGACTGTATTAATCTGTGCGGGTATTGCTAAAGAGATGAGGGCGGACAAACAATTCTTTCTGTGCAGTACATGTGTGAAGATTATCTTCATTTGGAGCAGTTAAACCGATGAGCTTGTTGAGGTTTGTCTCTCAGACTTGCAGATAGGTAGATGAAGCTTTGGCACAAAAGACATTGCTCCATGCAAACCCCCGCCCCCTAGTAAATCCAGACTTCTGTAATGTGCATCTCTCAAGGATAGCAAGGAAAGGTAGTTGTGTGCCTCAGGAAGATGCATGAACTCAGGCTTATTTTTCATTTTTAAGAGAATACAGTTCTGAGCCTGCGTGTAAAATATCTCTGCTCACTAAGATTCCTAGTTTTTAGACATATTAGATGGTTTTTATATTTAATATGTTTTGCATTTCATTTGCAGTGCACCTTAAGCCAAATTGGCCAGATAAGCTATATATTTCTATATAATTTTCTGCATAACAGTGTGTGATTTATTTACTATCCTCAACAAACATTTGTTGATAAACCTTCTATGTATTATGCTCAGAAAATACAAAGAGGTATAAGATCTTTGCCTTCAAGTCACTTATAGGCAGGTCATATAAAGAAAATAATGGCATCTTAAATTTGGTTAAATGCCAAATGAGTATTATAAAGTAATGAACTGATCAGAGATACTTCTTTTATAGAGAGAGATAGTATGATGTGGTAATTAAAGGTACAAGGCTTTAGACCAGAGGTCAGCAATTTTTTTTTTTTTCTGTAAAGGGCCAGGTAGTAATGATTGTTGATCTTGTGGATACGTAGATCTCTGTCGCTGTTGCATTTTTTTTCTTTGATTTTTTTTTCTTTTTATAAAGTTTTACAACATAAAAACTATTCTTAGCTCTCGGGCCATACAAAAACAGACCAAGGGCTGTAGTTTGCCAACCCCTGCTTTAGAATCAGACCTAGATTCCCGTCACACTCTGCCCATAGGTATGTGTGATCTTAGACAAGTCCCTTACTCTCTTTTACCATCATCTATATGTTAGGGATGATGATAGTAGGATTACTGTGAGGAAGAAATGTTTTTAGACTAGTAACTGACCCTTAAGTAAATGCCCAAGAAATGATAGCTGTGCTATTATTATTATTATTGCTGTTACAACTGCATTTTCTCAGATTAGGCCCAGAACAACTCTTTTAATTGGTCAGTCTCATAAGTCAAGGGACAAATACAGTCTTTTTAAGAGAATCAAATAGGGGCTTTGAATTGCCCTGGAAATATTTTCTCTTTGGTAGCTGGTATCATTAACCTCATCTAACTCTAGGACTGAAGTAGAAAAGGATTACCGATTGCATTTTGTGAGGTTTCTAAGTTAATAAAAAGTGATAGAGCACCTTGGTGTTAGTATTTTTTGAAGGAAAAACAAGGGTATCTCTTGTGGAATGTAAAGTGCAAGAGTGTTAGTCTGGGAGTCAAATCTGGAGTTGACTTGGCGTTCTTTAGCCTGTCCTATTTTCTCATTGTGGGCAATGGGTGCTGTGGACCAAACAGCCTCCTAACTTAACTCGCAAGTCCAGTTCGAGAATAGATGGGATTGGGTCAAAGTTTCTTTCTTTCTCTCTCTTTCTTTTCTTTCTTTCTTTCTTTCTCTCTCTTTTCTTTCTTTCTTTCTTTTCTTTCTTTCTTTCTTTCTTTCTTTTCTTTCTTTCTTTCTCTCTCTTTCTTTCTCTCTCTTTCTTTCTTTCTTTTTTTGTGGAGGGTCAAAGTATTTTCAATAGCATGAAAATTGAAGTTTTCTTTTTCCTTTTTTTATTTTTGATAGAGTGTTGCTCTGTCGCCTAGGCTGGAGTGCAGTGGTGGGGTCATAGCTCACTGCAGCCTCAACCTCCTGGGCTTAAGTGATCCTCCCACCTCATCCTTCTGAGTTACTGTGACTACAGGTGTGCATCACCACACCTGGCTAATTTTTTATTTTTATTTTTGTGGTGACGCGAGTGTGGGGGGGTCTTCCCATGTTGCCCAGGCTGGTCTCAAGCTCTTAGCTCTTGGGCTCAAGCTATCCTTTCACCTTGGCCTCCCAAAGTGCTGGGATTATAAGTGTGAGCCACCTCGCCTGGTCAGAAATGGAAGTTTTCTAGTCCTATTTATTGTCTGTTATTTTTCTTATAGCTCTCACAACATCATAGCTATCTTATTATTATTAATATATTATTTTAAAACCTTTATTTTTCAGCATGACTCTGGGGTCAAAATGGGATGCCTAGACCTCTAAGATTCAGCCCACTGGTGATCTTATTCCTGTGATATTGGGTTAGCTACGTAAATCCTGGAAAATGCTATTAAAAATAAGCTTTTCCTTTATCTGAGAAGCAGGAGTAAAAACAGTTTAAATTGCCAAAGTGGTCAGTTTCTAGATTGTAATATAGATCAATTGCTCCAGTTACAAACACACAATTGCAAAGTACCCACATGTTTTGCTCCTTGGGTTAGCTTTCTTAAGAAGCTTAAAAGTGAGTCACTGTTAGTAAAAGTTGTCGAGGTAGTTAAATTAAGTCTGAAAAGTGATCACGCACTACACTGTGCTTACAGATGGTATAAAAAGCAAAATATGGCAGAAATATTTGTATTGCCTTAAGCTTAAGGCATCTGGAGTCCGAGGTTTAACCAATGTGATTCATCAATAAATATTGATTAGATGTCTATGATGTATGGGATATGATGAGAAATACATGTTTGAGCCACAGTATCTGCCCTCAAAGCACTTATCATCTAATGACTATGGCTCATACCTTATTTCTCATCATATCTTTCACAAAACTAATCTGTAGAAATTGTATCAGTTTTGGTCACACTTAATGCCCTAGTGATGTTCTTCCTATATTTTTGACTATCAGAGGCTTCAGGTGTGATTGGCTGGAATAATGGGCTGAAATCCATGAGGAAACCAGTCACTGCCAACTGGGAGAATCACACATTAGTAGGGCCTTGGGTGATGCTGATTTTTTTTATCACTGGGAGACTTTTCAGCACAGGAGGGTCAGGAATGTGTAGGAGGGTTAGGACCTCTCTGTTTTGTGAAAGATATCTCTTTGTGGTTGTGTTTTTTTTGTTTTTGTTTTTGTTTTGAGACGCGTTAGGACCTCTCTGTTTTGTGAAAGATATCTCTTTGTGGTTGTGTTTTTTTTGTTTTTGTTTTTGTTTTGAGACGGAGTCTCGCTCTGTCTCCCAGGCTGGAGTGCAGTGGCGCTATCTCGGCTCACTGCAAGCTCCGCCTCCTGGGTTCATGCCATTCTTCTGCCTCAGCCTCCCGAGTAGCTGGGATTACAGGTGACCGCCACCACGCCTGGCTAAATTTTTTGTAATTTTAGTAGAGATGGGGTTTCACTGTGTTAGCCAGGATGGTCTCGATCTCCTGACCTTGTGATCCACCCACCTCGGCCTCCCAAAGTGCTGGGATTACAGGCATGAGCCACAGCACCCAGCCATGGTTGTGTTCTTTGTTGCCTGTTAGTGGTCATTTAAAGTTTCATAATATAAATATTTTCTGTGCCTCCCTCTATGTAGGAGGCTAGAAGTTTCTGCTTTAGTCTCTTAACAAAGCTCTGTTTTTGTATCCTTTCACTGAGAATTGCTTTGACTCTATGACTAGGATTTGGCCTTTTACAGAACCCTCGTTAACTTGATCTGTGAATTTTTTTCAAATACCAATTTTTCAGATGCCTGGTGCCATAATAAAGGGATCTTGATTTTGTTTTCAACCTAAATAATTATTCTCCATGCTGTTGTTTTATCGACCAAGGTATGTGTTTCAAATTTGCCCAAGTGCTGAGCTCTCCTCAGGGTACCCAGTGATGCTTCAGCATAGGGTTGGGCAAACAGTAGAACCAGTGGGCACTCGGGAGGCGGAGGTTGCAGTGAGCCGAGATCACGCCACTGCACTCCAACCTCAGCAACAGAGTAGGACTCCGTCTCAAAAATAAATAAATAAATAAAATAAAAAAAAAGAACCATGGTTGGGCTTGGGGACATGGAAGGAATTTATGCTGCCATTATTAGCATTTGTAGTAGCTTGTCTGTGATTTTTGCATGTAAATATAAGAGGACAGCTTTTACTGAGCCTCTTAATTAGCTCTTGTGGAATAGTAGAGAAAAGAGCTGTTTCTGTCTCATACAGGCAGAACGACTGGATCTACAGGCTTTTCTCTTCTAGGTTATGTCTGTCAAGTGCAGTTGCTATCTAACAGTCAGTTTTTAATTTTGTTTTTGGAGGTGAGATATTTTTAAAAGGTGTCTTTCATTTATTTTAAATTCGAACCTTTGTTTAAACGTTTTTAAAGTTGGTGTCATTATACTACTGTTCACGAATGAATCATTACTACTCTAAAAAATATATGTGACTATAAATTGACCAGAAGGATCCCTCCTCTCTGCTCCCTCCCTGCTTCCTGGGCAACTACTGCCTTTTTTTTTTTTTGGACAGAGTTTTTGCTCCATTGTCCTGGCTGGAGTGCGGTGGCATGATCTCAACTCACTGCAACCTCCACCTCCTGGGTTCAAGCAACTTTCCTGCCTCAGCCTCCCAAGTAGCTGGGATTACAGGTGCCTGCCACCACGCCCGGCTAATTTTTGTATTTTTAGTAGAGATGAGGTTTCACTATGTTGGCCAGGCTGGTCTCGAACTCTTGACCTCAAGTGATCCACCCGCCTCGGCCTCCCAAAGTGCTAGGATTACACGTGAGCCACTGCGCCCGGCTGGCAACGACTGCTCTTATACCTCCTCATTTCTGCTTCATCACTTCTCACTTGGGTCTGGTTTCCACTCCTGCTACTCCACTGAAACTGCTCTTATCAAGGTCACCTATGGCCTCCTTGTTGCCAAACCCAATGGATACTTCTAATGCCTGCCTTACTCGACTTTACTATAGCATTTGATAGTTTTTATCACTTCCTTCTCCTCAAAAATGAATTTTTTCCCTTTCTTCCTGACTTTGCCACCACTGGTTCCTTTTTTTTTCTACTCCTGTGGGTTTTCCTTCTCAGACTCCTTCATCAGCTCCTTCTCCTCTAGCAGCCCCTTAATGTTGGCTGTTAATAGATCAAACCCCAGATCTATATCATAGTCTTCTTCCCATTTTACTTGCTCCCCTGGCGATCTCATCTACATCTGACTTCAACCATCTTATGACTGCACAGTGTATATCTCCAGTTGAGACCCCTCGCTTTAGCTCCAGATACCACATACTCAACTATGCGTGTGTCACAAGTACATCCAACTCAACGTGTCCAAAACTGAATGTAGCCTTTTCCCCTGTAAATCTGTTCATCTGTGTATGTTCCTTACCTCATTGAATGTCCTTGTTATCCCCCTCGGTGCTCAGGCCAACTTACCCACCTGGTTACCAAATCAATTAAGGTTCCTCTTAGTCTTTCATCTCCCTTCCTCAGTCACTAAATCTTCCTAAAATATAATACCTTCAAAAAATCCTTCTCGCCTCCTGTCAGTACTCTCTTAGGTTAGGACCTAAACTCTTATTGCCTGAATGCCTACAGTAGCCCTGTATCTAGCCTTTTAGACCCTCTTTAGTCTAGACCAGTCTTTCTAAAGTAGAAATCTGCTATCAAGCCTCTGCCTTCTATGACTTCATTTTACTTTTGGGATAAACTTCAAATTCCCTTCCCCAACAGATAAGATCTTTTATGATTCAACTCCTGCCAATCTTTCAAACCTCAACTCTTGTCACTTTATAAGCCAGCCATACTAAACTACTTGATTCACTGGATGGGCTGTGTTGTCTCCATCCTTGACTGATATGTACTACTATTCCCCTACGTGGAATATACCCATTTCTTCTAGTTTGTTACCTGCCCAGGTGACATCTCTGGAAAGACTTCCCTAATGTCTTACTCCCCCAGGGTTGCATAGTTGTCTCTTTTCTGTTTTTATAATACCTTGTATACATATATATATATAGCATTATGATTGTTTATTCAGTCTGTTTTCACCAACTGGACCGAGTTTTCCTTGACATTATGATTGTTTATTCAGTCTGTTTTCACCAACTGGACCGAGTTTTCCTTGAAGGAGGGACCTTGTTTTCATCTCTGAACCCTGGAGGCCTACCTAGCATAGTACACTCATTCACGTATTAAAAGAATGGCTGGCTAGTCAGAATGAAAGGCAATAGGAAGGTAAAATGCAGCTAGTAGTGGTATACTATGCATGGAGTTAAGGAAAGTTCCAGAAGTTTGGGTTTTATTTGTAGTTGAGGTATGTCCATACAATGAAATATCGTTTGGTCGTAAAAGTAAATGAGGTTCTGATGCATGCTACAACATAGATAAACCTTGAAAATATGCTAAGTGAAAGAAGTCAGACACAAAAGGCCATATATTGTAGGAGTTCATTTATATGAAATGTCTAGAAAAGACAGGTCCATAAAGAAAGAAAGTAGATGAGTGGTTGCCAGGGGCTGTGGATTCGGGCATGGGGGAATGGAGAGTGACTGCTAGTAGGTGTGGGGTTCTTTTTGGAGGGAAGGAAAATGTTCTAGAATTAGATAGTGGTGATTGATGTTCAACTTTGTGAATACACTAAAGACCACTGAATTGTACAGTTTTTAAAAGGATAAACTTTTGGTGTTTGAATTAGATATCAGTAAAGCCATTACTAAACAATTATAGTCGATCAATATAGTTTTATAGGGCTGGGCATGGTGGCTCAGGTCTGTAATCCCAGCAGTTTGGGAGGCCGAGGTGGATGGATTACAAGGTCAGGAGTTCGACCTTGGTCAGGAGCCTGGCCAACATGGTGAAACCCCATCTCTACTAAAAATACAAAAATTAGCCAGGTGTGTTGGTGTGAGCCTATAATCCCAGCTACTTGGGAGGCTGAGGCAGGATAATTGATTGGACCCGGGAGGCGGAGGTTGCAGTGAGCCGAGATCATGCCACTGCACTCCAGCCTGGGCAACAGAGCAAAATTTCGTCTCAGAAAAAAAAAAAATTTAGTTTTACAGTACCTAGAACATTGTGCATATTTGAATGTCAGTAGGATGATCCAGCAATCTGTTTGATGTCATAGTGCCAGATTCAGGACTTCTATTCCATGTTTTGATTTTGAAGCAGATTTTTAAAATTAAAATCTGATCTTTTAGAAGTAGAAGAACTCAATCAACCTACAAATATTATTGACTTTTCAATTTGTTAAATGTGCATTGTTTGGCCAGTCATGTGCTTTGGGAATAAACTTGCGAAGTGCATTGTTTAAGTCTTATAAATTGATGAATGGAGGTGAAAAACAAATTTCTTTTTTTTTTTTTTTGAGACAGGGTTTCACTTTGTTGCCCAGGCTGGAGTGAAGTGGCATGATCTCGGCTCACTGCAACCTCTGCCTCCTGGGTTAAAGCAATTCTCACACCTCAGCCTCCTGAGTAGCTGGGATTACAGGCGCCCGCCACCACGCCCGGCTGATTTTTTGTATCTTAGTAGAGTTGGGGTTTCACCAAGTTTCCCAGGCTGGTCTCGAACTTCTGAGCTCTCAGGCAATCCACCCATCTCGGCCTCCCAAAGTGCTAAGATTACAGGCATGAGCCACCGCGCCTGGCCAGAAAACACATTTCTAACACGATTGCACTGTCGAGTTGGGACACATTGGAGCATATTCTGTCTACAGATGATTTGAAGATATTTTCTCCTTTTGTTACCTTCCTCATTACTTATTTAAATATTGATCTAGAAATGCAGTGATCTGTGCTGTTGTCCTAGGGAATGTTTTTCTCTCCTGTTTCACTGGATTATATGAAGATTGGGCTGTTTGTTGTATGAATTTAGTAATATTTTAAAACATAACTGCATTTCATCTAAAAATCAGTTCTGAGCTACAGGGAACTACCGTAAGAGATTTTCTCTTATCCATAGTTATGCGTGGGGTACAAAAGAAGTGGTCTCTGTCGGCAAGAAGAGCTTATGTTGTTCTTTTTTCCAGGTCTTTTGGTGGGCCTTGTGCTTCGGTATGGCATTCATGTTCCGAGTGATGTAAATAATGTGACCCTGAGCTGTGAAGTGCAGTCAAGTCCAACTACCTTACTGGTAAATGTTAGTGGAAAATTTTATGAGTATATGCTGAAAGGAGAGATTAGTTCACATGAACTCAATAATGTTCAAGATAATGAAATGCTTAGAAAGGTAAGTTCTTAAAGGAAATCTTTGAATCTTTTTTGTGTCTAACTAGCAGCAAAATGATCCAGGAGAAAATAAGTAATGGATTTTTAATGATATTTAAAATAATGAGTCTTTTTCAATGGAGTAAAACCTCAATTAACAAATGTAATAATGTAAGGAAATGGATATGTCTGTACAACTCATTTTCTGATTGAGGTTAAGTAGTATAACTCTTTTTGTTTCTCTCTGGATTGTTTACAGCTTGTTGTGATAAATGGAGACTGGGATTGAGTTAAGCAGAATTTATAAGCGTTTCTTTCCATTTGCAGATGGTCCTTATAGTTTTCTTTTTCTTTTTCTTTCTTTATTTTATTTTTTCTGAGATGGAGTCTCACTCTGTCACCCAGGTAGAGTGCAGTGGCATGATCTTGGCTCACTGCAGCCTCTGTCTCCTGGGTTCAAGCAATTCTCCTGCCTCAGCCTCCCGTGTAGCTGGGATTACAGGCATCCACCACCACACCCGGCTGATTTTTGTATTTTTTAGTAGAGACGGGGTTCTACCATGTTGGCCAGGCTGGTCTCCAACTCCTGACCTCAAGTGAATCCCCCGCCTCGGCCTCCCAAAGTGCTGGGATTACAGGCATGAGCCACTGCGCCCAGCCGGTCCTTATAGTTTTATAGTACTTCAGCACATTGGCTTTATTTGATAATACCTAAAATATTCTATTAATATTTCTTTCAATTCTTTCTTGCCTTGCTTGTATTCTATACCGATCACAATTTAATCTTTCTTTGATTCACAATCTGACACAACTTCAGGGGCCCTAAGTGTGAGTCTGAGTTATTGTACCATATTGTGCATAAAGCTTTATGTTAGAGTTTGAGTTGCAATTGTACTGGCTCCCAGAAATCCCTGGAGCTGCTTTCTCCTGTCTCCCTCATAGGTTTATCATGACGTTTCTCATGATAAACGGCTCAATGCCACTTTGCTCATGTCTCTTTGTTTTCTCCTACCTTTGCTGTTTGCCTTCACTTCTGTCTGCTACATTGGCAGGACTTGACTTTTTTTTTTTTTTTTTTTTTTTTTTGACACAGGGTTTTACTCTGTCACCCAGGCTGGAGTGTAGTGGCACGATCTCAGCTCTCTGCAACCCCCGCCTCCCAGGCTCAGGTGACTCTCCAACCTCAGCCTCCTTAGTAGCTCAGACTACAGGCACGTGCCACCATACCCGGCTAATTTTTGTATTTTTAGTAGAGTTGGGGTTTCACCATGTTGTCTAGGCTTGTCTCAAACTCCTGGACTCAGGCGAACCACCCACCTCAGCCTCCCAGAGTGCTAGGAGTACAGGCAGGACTTGATTTTTATAGCTACTTGGTTGTGTTTCTGACCATCTTTAATGCTTTTAAAATTTCATATGAACTTGAGGTTTACCTTGCAGCAGGAGTTCTTTCCACCTGTGGAAAATTCCAATTCCTTAAAAGTTCTAGTTAACGAAGTTTTAGCATGGGTTTGTGTGTAGCTACTTTGTGTTCATGTCACATTCTACTGCAGCCTTATGAACAGAAGGGGGTATTTACATTTTTATGGTGACTAGGTCTTAAAATGAGTGGGCTATCGGAAGTAGAAATCTGAGCTGTACAGAAACTTTTTACTACAATATTATACAACTTTAGAGATGTTATCTATGTAAGAAATCTGTTTCTTTTTGCCAACAATAATACTGTACTCTTAAGTTTTATATTACCAGTTTGGGGTTTCATTCATTCATTTATTTTTTGTTGTTGTTGTTTTTGTTTTTTTTTGTTTGTTTGTTTGTTTGTTTGAGACAGAGTCTCGCTCTGTCGCCCAGGCTGGAGTGCAGTGGCGTGATCTCGGCTCATTGCAAGCTCTGCCTCCTGGGTTCACGCCGTTCTCCTGCCTCAGCCTCCCGAGTAGCTGGGACTACAGGCGCCCGCCACCACGCCCGGCTAATTTTTTGTATTTTTAATAGAGACGGGGTTTCACCGTGTTAGCCAGGATGGTCTCGATCTCCTGACTTTGTGATCCGCCCGCCTTGGCCTCCCAAAGTGCTGGGATTACAGGCTTGAGCCACCACGCCTGGCCTCATTCATTTATTTTTGGGATGGAGTTTTGCTCTTGTTGCCCAAGCTGGAGTGCAGTGGCACAATCTCGGCTCCTCCGCCTCCCAGGTTCAAGTAATTCTCCTGTCTCAGCCTCCCAAGTAGCGGGGATTACAGGCATGCACCACCATACCTGGCTAATTTTGTATTTTTAAAAGAGATGGGGTTTTGCCATGTCGGTCAGGCAGGTCTCAAACTCCTGACCTCAAGTGATCCACCTGCCTCGGCCTCCCAAAGTGCTGGGATTACAGGCGTGGGCCACAGCACCCAGCCAGGCTTCTTTTATTTAAAGCGAAAGTAATGTTCATGCTTTCTCTTTTTTTTTTTTTTTTTTTTTTTTTTTGAGACAAAGTCTCACTCTTTCGCCCAGGCTGGAGTGCACTGGCGCGATCTTGGCTCACTGCAATCTCTGCCTCCCGAGTTCAAGCGACTCTCCTGCCTCAGCCTCCTGAGTAGCTGGGATTACAGGCACACGCCACCACACCCGGCTAATTTTTGTATTTTTAGTAGAGTTGGGGCTTCACCATGTTGGCTAGGCTGGCCTTGAACTCTTGGCTTCAGGTGATCCGCCCATCCGCCCACCTCCGCCTCCCAAAGTGCTGGGATTACAGGTGTGAGCCACTGCGCCTGGCCCTATTTTTAACTTTTTTCTTGGTTTGTTTAGATGGAGTCTTGCTCTGTCACCCAGGCTGGAGTGCAGTGGTGCAGTCTCAGCTCACTGCAGCCTCTGCCTCCCAGGTTCAAGCAATTCTCCTGCCTCAGCCTCCTGAAACATTTTTTAATGACATAGTATTTTAATACACTTTCCACAGATAGGCCTTAACTGATTGTTCCAATGCTATCTCCTGGTCGTTTGGTTGAGAAGTAGAATAGAAACTATCCTATATGAAATATTTTTAAGTTAGCACAGTAATGTTCTTGCCTTTGACTAGTTTAACATATAGTATTTTTTCTTTTTGATCATTTGATAATGGAATATGAGGTCTTCTAGGGAATTGATCTAAAATAACTCTTTATTTTAACAGGTTACTTTTGATCCAGAAGTATTTTTCAACATATTACTTCCTCCTATCATATTTTATGCAGGTTATAGCCTGAAAAGGGTAAGTCCTTTTGTCTTTCATATACTTTGAATAATCTTAAACTCAGTGGGCTTTGTAATATTTGACACTTCAGAAATGGGCTGTTCTTTCCAGATTACCCTCCTTTCTCCTCTCCTTATCCTTTTTAGATGCTGAAATTTATACCTGTACAAGAATGCTTTCTCTTATTTATCCTAGTGAATAATGCATTTAATCCTAGTGAATAATGCATTTCATATTAGCATAGCATAGAAAACCTTTTCTTTTTCAAGTAACTGGTAAGTATTCTAACAGTGTAACTTTTTTTTTTTTGTCAGAGACATTTTTTTCGAAATCTTGGGTCTATCCTAGCATACGCTTTTCTTGGAACAGCAATTTCTTGTTTCGTTATTGGGTAAGTATTTTAAGCTTAAAATACTTTGTGGCCTTCAAATTATAATTTTAAAATAATATATTTTTGATTTATGCAGTGTTATATATTCCTGACTGGGTCTAAAGACTTTTGCAATATTCACGTAGGTAATAAGTTGTTTGAATTTTCCTTAAGGCCAAAGTATTACCATATTTCAATGACATGAATTAAATTTGGGATTAGTCACAAAGTACTACAGTAAACCCATCTTCTTACTTTATCCTAATTTTTTTAACAGTTGATATTTTTTTCTAAAGTAGGACTGTGTTTATTGAACAGGTCAATAATGTATGGCTGTGTAACGCTGATGAAGGTAACGGGACAACTTGCAGGAGATTTTTACTTTACAGATTGCCTACTGTTTGGTGCCATTGTATCAGCAACTGATCCAGGTATGTTTTATATGAGTGGAGTTTACATACTTGAGGTGCATTGTTTTGCAGTCAAATACATGTGGGTTTTTCTTTCTTTGAGGTGTAGAATTCATGATTAGATACTTCCTTAGTACTATACTTTCTAATTGTGGAGGAAAAAACAAAATTCATGATTCCTTTTGGCTTCAGCACAAATTTGTTTTCCTTTTCCTTTTTTTTTTTTTAATTACATTTGCCTATTACTGGTCCACAAGTTGACGCTGTTTCAACAAGGACTATAAGGTACTTTCTTCAGAAATTCATGTTGGTCTTTATCCCTAGTGATTGAGTATAGAAGATGAACTAGATTATAGATTAGTTTAAATGGGTAATAATTATATATTTCCTTTCAAGCTTTTAGAAAACCAGTTCCCTAAAAATCTTTCAGTTTCTATTCAGCTGTATGCATTTAACAGTAAGAAAAAATGTTTACAAATGATTGTTAGAAGGCAGTTGTGCTAATACAGGTTTGATTTGGAGTCATTGGAGGACTTTAATATACATTAAAGAATTGTTTTTATAAAATTGGCTTTATGATTATACAGTTGTTTGTTTAATATTAACACAACTTGTTCCCCTGTGCTTTAAGTGTCAGATCTTCTAAAAGTTGTGTTCCAGAATGAATTTAATTGTACTGAGTTAGGTTTTAGTTTTCCTGATAGAGTATTGGTAAACTTAACAGCTACATTCAAATTAGGAATTTGGAGAAGACACAGAATGGAAAGGTTGGGGTAGGAACATAGACTGATGTTTTTGAACTAAGGATGGAAATTTTCTTTTAGCATGCTTTAAGACTTTCGTTGAAGCTCATTTTGTTTTACTTTTTAACCTTGTAAGTTAATCATCTTTAATTGTCATCCAGCACAATTAAAGGTAGAATCCTAAGGTTATCTCTGCATTCCTGTGTTAACTCTGATAACACAGGGCTTTATGGGAAGGAGAAAAATGTGTTCAATACTCTATGAGAGATATTTTGGCTGGACACAGTGGCTCATGCATATAAATGCCAGTGCTTTGGGAGGCCGAGATGGTAGGATCACTTGAGACTGTGAGTTCGAGACCAGCCTAGGCAACACAGTGACACCCTGTCTCTACAAAAAAAAAGAAAAAAAATAGCTGAGCATGGGAGTGCGTGCCTGTAGTCCTAGCTACTTGGGAGGCTGAGGTGGGAGGACCACTTGAGCCTAGGAGTTTGAGGCTGCAGTGAGCTGCAGTGAGGCTGCAGTCTCATTCTGCCTGGGCGAGAAGGGCGAGACCCTGTCTCCAAAAAAAAAAAAAAAAAAAAAAAAAAAGATTTTAAAGGATTAGTTAGAGGGCCATTTTAGAGAATTTGTGTAGTTTAGCATTTTTAAAACTGGAAATTAAATTGCTTCCTTAAAGACCACCAAAGCTGTCCTCTCATTGTTTGTAGCTACTCCCATTATCAACATGAAGGTAGGATGGTTTTGGCAAGGAGCCGGTGGTCTCTGGTTTCTGTGTCCTTTCATTATAAGCAAGGTTCTCAACTTTTCAAATCCTATGAGAAATCTGAGTCCATGAGTCCATTGGCTTGGCTACATTATTTCAACTTTCTGGTTTTGTTTGATAGGACTATTGCCTGAATAGCCCAAGCAAATATCTTTTGCTTATATAAAGTTGGACTGTTATTTTTTTCTGAATTATGTAAGTACTTGCCCCATTTCTATTATTTTACCATTGTTAGCTTGCTCTTAGAAGGGTGAGGTATGGGTTTCTTTTAGAAATTCTGCACTATTGCTCTACTCTCCTTCTCCCCCTCTCTTGATGAGCTTTGGTATCAGTATATTCCAGCTGCAATGCTTTGTAGTAGAAACTATATCTTTTAAAATATACTGGACATGGTGGCTCATGTCTTTAATCCCAGTGACTCAGGAGGCTGAGGCAGGAGGATCACTTGAACCTAGGGGTTTGAGGCTGCAGTGAACTGTGATTGTGCCACTGTACTCCAGCCTGAGTGACAAAGCAAGACCCTGTCTCTTAAAAAAAATTAAATAAATAAAATGCAAGTTTCTTGTTTTTATGATTGGCATTTGAAAAGGCTCTCTCAGCTGGGTCTGGTGGCTCACGCTTGTAATCCCAGCCCTTTGGGAGGCTGAGACAGGTGGATCATGAGGTCAGGAGATTGAGACCATCCTGACTAACACGGTAAAACTCTGTCTCTACTAAAAATACAAAAAAAATTAGCCAGGTGTTCTGGCGGGCGCCTGTAGTCCCAGCTACTCGGGAGGCTGAAGCAGGAGAATGGCGTGAACCCGGGAGGCGGGGCTTGCAGTGAGCCGAGATTGCGCCACTGCACTCCAGTCTGGGCGACAGAGCAAGACTCCATCTCAAAAAAAAAAAAAAAAAAAAAACCAAAAGGCTCACCTCTCGTTATATTAATTTTTCATGTCCGCTTGGGTTTCTTTAGTAACTGAGCTATGTGACTTAGTAATTAAAGTTATAATATAACTTCAATTTCATCTGATTTTCTAAGATTTCTCATATAATTGCTTTCCTAAAAGGAGGATTTATTGTTTTTCTTCTTAAGCTGGAATATTCTCATAGTTGGCTTCTTATTAAGACAAATCCAGCAGCTGTAATTCTGGTCATAAATTTTACCCCAACCAAAAACTAAACCTATGTTTTCATTTCCTACTGTCTTTGCTAAACCTTTGTGCTTGCAATTTGTAAGTCAAGTACAAATGAGTTGTAAGGCCCAAAGAAACAAAGTTTGCAACATTAGATTCTTTTCATAATATTCTTCTTCATTAAAGATTAATGACTACATGGTCTATAAGAAATTCTGAATATATTCTTTGTGGGAAAGAAATGTACAAGACACGATTATTAACATCTGCGTGAAGAATGTAGGCCAACTCAGTTCTTCAGGGTTACTTTCAGCCATTTTTAAGAGAGAGAGGAGAAGTTTGTGCAGGTACACAATTAGAAAAGAAAAATATTTATATAAAATTACGGGGTCTTTAATATGGTAAGAGAATGTTTATTAGGATTGAATTCTAGGAGGAAATGAATTTCTAAATAACTCTCAGAGTCATCTACTGAGGAGAATATGTTATATTTGTAATGTCTAAGTATTCCTCTGACTCTTTTTACTTACTAGTGACTGTTCTTGCTATATTCCACGAGCTTCAAGTTGATGTTGAACTCTATGCACTTCTTTTTGGTGAAAGTGTCCTCAATGATGCTGTTGCCATAGTGCTGTCCTCGTAAGTGTTTGTTTTCTTATTATATTCTGAATATTAAGTGTGAGGGTACTAGGAACTGAAAGTCACTTATTGAATAAAGTACATTATGAATGGAAACATTTGGAAGAATGAGGCATTTTTTTCCCTCTTGAAGAAATCCATATTTTATAGATAAATTGGAAAATACAGGGAAGAGAAAAATATGTACTGCCACCACCTAAAGACAATTACTGTAAACATTCTAGAACATTTCCTTTTCTATGTATGATATTGTTACATAGTTGTGATTGTAGTGTCTGTATAATTTTGTATTCGGTTTTAACATTACAACATGAGCATTTAATTTTTTAAATTAGATTTAATATTTTCTTTCTTTTTTTTTTTTGGAGATAAGAGTCTCACTCTATCACACAGGCTGGAGTGCAGTGGCGTGATCTCGGCTCAGTGCAACCTCTGCCTCCCAGGTTCAAGTGATTCTCCTGCCTCAGCCTCCCGAGTAGCTGGGATTATAGGCACCCGCCACCATGCCCGGCTAATTTTTGTATTTTAGTAGAGATGGGTTTTCACCATGTTGCCCAGGCTGGTCTTCTCCTGACCTCAGGTGATCCACCTACCTCGATTTCCCAAAGTGCTGGGATTACAGGCGTGAGCCACTGTGCCCGGCCTTAATTTTTTCTGAATACATAATATATTCACGTGGCTCATAAATTAAAGTCATGTAAAAAGTTACACACAGAAAATTCACACTCTTACATCTGTCCTCATCCACCTGTCCCCCTAGTTCCTTGTAGATAACTTTTTTTTTTTTTTTTTGAGACGAAGTCTCGCTCCTGTCCCCCAGGCTGGAGTGCAATGGCACGGTCTTGGCTCACTGCAACCTCTGCTTCCTGGGTTCAAGTGATTCTTCTGCCTCAGCCTCCTGAGTAGCTGGGATTACAGGCTCCTACCACCACGCCCGGCTAATTTTTGTATTTTTAGTAGAGACGGGGTTTCACCATGTTGGCCAGGTTGGTCTCAAACTCCCGACCTCAGGTGATCTGCCCGCCTCGGCCTCCCAAAGTGCTGAGATTACAGGCGTGAGCCACCACGCCCGGCCTAGATAACCATTTTTATTAGTCTCTTACCTATCTTAGTATTTCTTTATTCAAATGCAGGCACAACCGTGAATAAATAGTCTTATTTGCCTCTCATTTCTTATTTTTAAAGTTACATACTGTCTATCTTCTGGAGAACTTTGCATGTCAAAAGAGTGAATATTCTCATTCTTTGCAGCTATATAGTATTCTCTGTGTGAACTGCATTATTGTTTATTTGCTCAGTCTCCTATAGCAGGACATTTGAAGGGTTTTTAATCCTTTGCTGTCCCAAAAGGTGCTGCAGTGATTAACCTTGAACTTACCTTGTTTTATACATGTTTAGGTATAATGGTAGGCTGAATGTCCCAAAGTGAGATTGGTAGGTAGGTTAAAGGGTAAAATCCATTTGTAATTTTGTTCGACATTGTTAAATTGCTCATCAAAGAAATTGTAGCACTTCGCACTTTCACCATTAAATTATTGGTCTGTTTCCTCACAGTTTCGCCAGCAGAATATTTGTCAAACTTTTATATTTTTGCTAACTTGATAATTGAGAAATATCTCATTGTAGCTTAATTTGTGTTTCTCTTATTTGACATAATCATTTCAAAACATTTTTAATCTCTAGAAGTGTTAATATATATTATAGATATGTAGTTATGTATTACTTATACCAATTTAATTGCAGACAATTTTGAATGAGCAATATTTTTTATCTAATTATAGAAAGTACTATACATGTTACTATAAGGTGTTTGCAGGTTGAAGAATGAGTCTGAACCTCTGAGGAATTCAATCCTGCCTCCCTAATCTTTTTTTTTTTTTTTTTTTTTTTTTTGAGACAGAGCTTTGCTCTGTCACCCAGGCTGGGGTGCAGTGGCGCAATATAGACTCACTGCAACCTCCACCTCCCAGGTTCAAGCAATTCTCCTGCCTCAGCCTCCCGAGTAGCTGGGACTACGGGCATGTGCCACCATGCCTGGCTCATTTTTGTATATTTAGTAAAGACGGGGTTTCACTGTGTTGGCCAGGCTGGTTTCGAACTCCTGACCTTAGGTGATCCACCTGCCTCGGCCTCCCCAAGTGCTAGAATTACAGGCGTGAGCCACCATGCCTGGCCCCTGCCTACCTACTCTTATTAGGCAAATATCTAACTCTATAGGCAGTTGCCCTTACTTCATACCAGAACTTTCTATGAGAGAGAAGTAAGAGCCCTTCACATTTTCTCTTTATTTTTATTTCTCTCCTTAATTTTCACTTTGTTAGTTATGAAAGAATAAAACATCACTGGCTCTGTTTTGCATAGCCTGATTGTCTTCTGCAAAGTTGGAAATTATTATTTCTCAGATGTAACATTAATCCCTTAAACGTTGTATGTGAAGATATACAAAAGGCCATATCCTTTTTTGTGAATGCAATGTATGTAAATATTACCCCCTCCCCACCATATTTATTGCCAGATTTTTTTTGCAGCTGTCTGCAACTAATATAAATTTAACTTGAGAAATAAAACCTAAAGGCTGTAACTCATATTGATACTGAACTTTAGCACCTTCAATGATGATAGGTGCAGAATAAGAGTTTTGTATTATTTGAAGTAAGGGAGAAATGGATAGTATGGTTATAAAAAATGTTATAAAAAATGAAGCAACAAAGATTGTTGAAGCTTCCAGTACGTAGGTACATGAGCGATTACCAGCACTACAAAGTAAAGAGAGTAGGTACAGGCAGTCACTTTTAGCATCGATTCCCTATCCTAGACAACTATTCTACTGTTCAGTCATCTTACTAGTAACTGTTGTCTTATCATTGCCCTAATGGCCTAATGGATTAAGAGTTAGAAAATCTCTGTTCTGGTCTTATCTTAAACTGATGTGCCCTGTGCCTTAGTTTTTCCTATTAATAAAATTGCCTGTTTCCTGCATCTTTAGGAACAGTTGATTAGCGTTAGAGGAAAAGATAAAAACCCTCATTGAAAGATTTTGAGCTTGGAGTTATAAATAATCTATTTCCTGCAACATTAGGAATAGTTGATTAGTGTGAAAGGGGTCAAAACCTCATTGAAAGATTTTAAGCTTGGGGGTGTACATACCAGTGTTGGTGAAGAATAAATGCTAAAAAGAGAGAGCCGGCTGGGCGCAGTGGCTCATGCCTGTGATCCCAGCACTTCGGGAGGCCGAGGCGGGCGGATCACCTGAGGTCAGGAGTTCGAGACCAGCCTGGCCAACATGGCAAAACCCTGTCTCTACTAAAAATACAAAAATTAGTCAGGCGTGGTGGCACACGCCTGTAATCCCAGCTACCTGGGAGGCTGAGGCAGGAGAATTTCTTGAACCCAGGAGGCGGAAGTTGCGGTGACCTGAGATCTCGGCACTGCCCTCCAGCCTGAGCAACGGAGCGAGACTGTCTCAAAAAAAAAAAAAAAAGAGAGAGAGCCCTTTCCATAGCATTTCTCACAAAGGGCCATACTTCTTCTCTTGCAGCCTTTCTCAAACAGGGTTTTCTGTGAGAGAATGAAGCCTTATAGGAAACAATTTGAGTGAGTCTTTTCTCATTTCACCTAAGGATGATAGCGAGCTAGTGCCATTTTAAATTTGTAAGAGATAATACGTTAACTCATTACAACCTCAGTGGGATTCTGGTGGAGAAGGACTGTATCTTGAGAGGAACATAACAGAGAAATTGTTAGCTCTGTGTTTTAATAGAATTGAAAAAATGAGTTACTGCCCAAAAGCTGAAGGGAAAGCAGTTGTGTGCTCGCTGTGGGAGTTTACTAGCTGGAATGATCAGTGGTATCATGCTCATCATTCTTCATTTACCTTTTATGTGTTTTGAAGTGGGTTAGATGCAGATAGTCTACTTTGTGTTGAATTTTCTTAGTTTGAGGATTATCTACTGTCTGCATTCTGTGTAAGCAGCTTTGCATCAAAGGGGAGGGAACCCCTTTTTGAAGGAGTTCTGTTTGGCAGTTAACAGGTTAAGGCAACTCATCTTGAAATTTATGTTGGAGGTTGTTTTTGTTTCTGTCTGGTTTTTTTTTTTCCCAACTTTTATTTTAAGTTCAAGGGTACATGTGCAGGATGTGCAGGTTTGTTACATAGGTAAATATGTGCCATGGTGGTTTACTGCACAGGTCAACCCATCACCTAGATATTAAGCACAGCATCCATTAGCTATTCTTCCTGAAGCACTGTTTTTTTTTTTTTTTTTTTAACCTATTGGAGTAGCAGTTATTTTATTTTATTTTATTTTATTTTTTAAAATAATGCTTTTAATCCAGTGAGGGTGAAGTGAAATTGACTCCCTCATACATGGCTGCATGAGGTAGATCTATATGTATATTGATATATTATGTTAGATACGGTATATGTAGTTAGAGATAAAGTATACGTTGCATAGTATTCCACTGAATGGATTACCGTGATTAGCCTGGGGACCTAAATCCATATTAGTTTAAAATATGTTGTTTACAGTCATTTATATTTTTATGAAAGAAGATGTACAGAGAGACAACAAACGTGATAAACTGTTTAACTTCACTAATTACCAGAGATACATGCTAGGATCAGTAGCCATTTCTACCTATTCAATTAACAAGACATAACTTTTTTTTTTGAGACAGAGTTTTGCTCTCGTCACCCAGGCTGGAGTACAATGGCGCGGTCTTGGCTCACTGCTACCTCCGCCTCCCAGGTTCAAGCGATTCTCCTGCCTTAGCCTCCCGAGTAGCTGGGATTACAGGTGCACACCACCATGCCCAGCTAATTTTTGTATTTTTAGTAGAGGTGGGGTTTCACCGTGTTGGCCAGGCTGGTCTCGAACTCCCAACCTCAGGTGATCCGTCCGCCTCGGCCTCCCAAAGTGCTGGGATGATAGGCAGGAGCCACTGTGCTCGGCCAGAATTGTTAATGATAATGACATAGTACAGTCATTCTTAGCCAGGGGCAATTTGCCACCCCCTCACCACACACACACAGGAGATATTTGACAGTGTCTGGGGGCATTTTGGCTGTCATCAATGGGGGGGGGTTCCTATTGACATGGCCTAGTGGGTAGAAGTTTTCAATGCACAGGACAGCATTCCCCTCACCCCACCCCCATCACAGCCAACAAATAAATACCTGGCCACAAATATCAATAATGCTGTGGTTGAGAAACCCTGGTGTTGTAAAACTAGACCACTCATACATTGTTAACATTGAAATTGGTATTACCTTTTATCACTATTTATGATAATGTTAAAATATGTTTGTGGCAAAAATTTAAAGCATTTGACTCAAAAAGTAGAAAATTCCTGAAATTTCAGCTCAGAAATAACCACTATTAGGATTTTAATCCAGACTTTTTCCGTTAAGATAGTAGTATACATATAAATATGTTAATAATCTTTATAAACAATAAAGGCATAGTAGTATATATACTTTTCTGTAGCTTTTTTACTTGGATATTATACTATATTAATACCTCTATTATCACATTGGGTGGATGCATTACAAATTTACCTCTCCAATCCCCTATTGATTGATTAATATTTGGTATTTTCTAATATTGTATTATGACTAGCATGGCAGTGAGCATATTTATGTGTAAATCTTTGTGAATCCTTGTAAATATTTCTGTAGGGTATTTTTTAGGAGTAGAATTGCTAGGTCAATGGTATGATCATTAAAAAAATTGGGAGATATTATCATATTTCCCTCCAAAAGTGTAATGGAGACCTTTTGGAAGGCAGTGGAGCAACATGTAAAATGAGCCATAGGTATAGTAATAGTCTATTTTTAGAAATATAGTGCAAGGAATAGTCTAAAATATATAAAAAGCAAGAAGATGTTCTTTCAGTTATTTATAGTAGCAAAAATAGTAGAAGCAACTTTCAAATGTCTAACAATGAGGAAATGGTTGAATAAATTGTGCTGTATCCATTTGGACCATTGTGAAGTCTTAAAAACTGTAGTTATAAAGACTATGAATTTTTTTTTTTCTTGAGATGGAATTTTGTTCTTACTGCCCAGGCTGGAGTGCAATGGCATGATGTCAGCTCACTGCAACCTCCACCTCCCGGGTTCATGAGGTTCACCTGCCTTAGCCTCCCAAGTAGCTGGGATTACAGGCATGCACCACCATGCCCGGCTAATTTTGTATTTTTATTTTTAGTAGAGACGGAGTTTCTCCATGTTGGTCAGGCTGGTCTCGAACTCCCCATCTCAGGTGATCCGCCTGCCTCGGCCTCCCAAAGTGCTGGGATTACAGGCATGAGCCACTGCGTCCGGCCAAGACTATGAATATTTTTATGTCATTGTCAGTTAAAAAAGCATAATTCAAAACCACACATTCACTGTGATTACAGCTAAATAAGAATTAGCATGCATGTAACACAAAGAGGGGAAAGGAATACAGAAGGAAAATAAAATCGATCTATCAGGGTAGTGGAATGATGGGAAGATTTTTCCACCTAAACTGTACATTTTATTACTTTCAGGGTTTAAAAAAAAGTATTCATAAAAAATGCTACTGCCTCAAGATAAAATATCAATTGATACAGAAAAGATGAGTTAAGATTTCAATCCAGAGGCTAGTGTCTGCCTAAGAGAGAACAAAACGAGCCTGTCATCTGTTCTCAGCCCATCATGTTTCCCATGTGTCCTTATACATTTTAATGATTAAAGAATGAAATAATGATTAGTGTGAATCTTGAATTTACATGAACTAATCCAGGGAAAGCAACCTCAGGAGGCATGGCATAGGTATTTTGTTCCAGAGAGCATTTTGAAAAATACCACCAAAGAAAAAGAAGATTGTATAGCAATTTTTTTCTTTTCTCCAGCCAGTTACTGTATTTTCATGTTATAATGAAATCAGATCTCATTTATGGTAGTGGGACCCTTTATATATATGTAGGTAAGGTAGCATGGTGTTAAAGGCCATTTCATATTTATCAAAATGATATCAAATCTACTGTTCCAAAATGATCTGGTTGCTTTGCACATTTAAACGTAAATGTTTAACATTTTCAATTTAGAGTGAGTCTCAGAAATTTCTGGATCCCATTATCAGAAATTAATATTAGTGCTATATTTCAATAAAATAAGTACAAATTAGGAGATTTTAGTTTGATCTTAGATTTTTTTTTTAACCTGGGAGATATGAAAAGAACTTGTATATGGTATAGCAAACATTTTTCAGCCTTGAATCAGAAAAAAACATTGCAGCAACCACAGGGAGAATTCATTATATTTTTAGGAATGTGTTTTTCCTTCTTTTCTTTGACGTGATTTGTATGATGTTGTTGAGTCTGGACTTTTTATAATGCTGGTCTCTCAATTAACTGAGATGAGAACTGATTTAGTAACGGTAAGCACCGTTGCCAAAGACCTGCTGGCAACAGCAATTTTCTCAGGCATTTCTATTTCCTGGGGTGGTAACTGTTACAAAAGAAGCTTTTTCAGACCAGGTTTGGACTGTGAGTTCAAGATGGAGAGCATCTCCTATAATTGCCTGTCTTGGCCTGGTATAGAGTGACTTTCTTTCAGAAGTTTGAGGTGGAAGATCCAGCTGGTTATGCTGAAAGTACTGTTGAGTGGATTCTAATTCCTTGGGAGGTCTTTCGAGTGCTTTTTCCTATAATAGTCCATTTCAGTGAATGAATAGATATTAGGCATTTGGCCCATTCTAGAATTCTAAAAGTTGGAAGGGTCCTTCAGTTACCTTTTTTTCTCATAGGAAAAACAAAATGTGACTGGGTTGAGTATTGAATAATGTTCTTTATGTTCTTATGCCTCTACTGGAAACAAGTGGGATTTTTCATTAGTTTGTTCACATTAGTATGTTAAGGCTTTCGGACACTCAGTACTAGTAATTCTGAAACAGAATCACAAAAGAATAATACTGCACAGTATCTTGGGGATGGGGGAAAAAGCTTGGTGCAATTTTCATATAGAGGATTTTACAATGTTCTACCCCCCCCCCGAAATTAACATTTAAGGGAAAGCCAAGTTTTCTTGCTAGCCAGATACATTGCAGGATTTTTGGGTAATTTTGTCCTTATTTTGGCAATTCCAATCGAAAGCTTGTTTTTCTTCTCCCTCTAATTTCATCTTTCAAGCTCTATACTACATAATGTTTTTTTAAAAGTAAAGGTTGTTTTCAGAAGTAAAAGCAGTCTCTCTTCTGTAGCTCAATAGTGGCATACCAGCCAGCTGGAGACAACAGTCACACCTTTGATGTCACAGCGATGTTCAAGTCTATTGGGATCTTCCTTGGAATCTTCAGTGGATCTTTTGCAATGGGTGCTGCTACTGGAGTGGTGACAGCTTTAATATCCTTTTGTTATATTTATCTTTTCTTGTTAACATAATATAGTAGTTGAATGCTGTATTCCGTTGTTTTTCCTAGTTCTATGATTAGAATTATGTTAGAATTATTAATCTTATAACTAAGTACTTGGTTTGAAAACATTAAGCAACAGTCTTTGCCAATAAATAAATAAAAGAACTGTATTGTTCTGCATAGGGTTTGGTGCCCTAAAACTTTCACTGCAAGTGTATAATTAGAGATGATATCTCTCTGAGGGTGAATTTTATAGTTGTAGATTAAATAGCTGTAAAGGTAGACATATTCCAAAGAGCCTCTGGGTGTTCTGTGTTGCTGGTCAGCCTGGCAGTCTTTTGCTCTTTGTTTAATAGGACAAATAGGAAATGTACAACAGCGACGCCGAATGAACAAAATGTGTTTCCTTGGTTAGGATATGTAAGAGTTCATCTCAGCTCTCCCGATTTTAAACTTTGTGCTCTAGAGCCCTGGACGGGAAGCCCAAAGGACCTGAGTTGTAGTCCTGGTACTACCACTTAGTCAAGTTATTCTTGTGTTCATGCAAAGGCCATTTTATCCCGGACTTCACCACCATGCAATATATCCATGTCATAAAACTGCACTTGTGCATCCTGAATCTATAAAAACAAATTTTATTTTTATTTATTTATTTGTTTTTTTGAGACGGAGTCTCACTCTTTCGCCCAGGCTGGAGTGCAATGGCACGATCTCGGCTCACTGCAACCTCCGCCTCCCGAGTTCAAGCGATTCCCCCGCCTCAGCCTCCCAAGTAGCTGGGATTACAGGTGCGCAACACCACACCCAGCAAGTTTTTTTATATTTTTAGTAGAGATGGGGTTTCATCATGTCGGCCAGGCTGATCTCGAACTCCTGACGTCAAGTGATCCACCCACCTCGGCCTCCCAAAGTGCTGGGATTACAGGCATGAGCCACCGTGCCCGGCCTAAAAACATGTTTTAAACCCCCCACCCAAAACAAAAAGCCAGAAGGCATGTCTGGATCACCTGCTACATGTGCTGTGCTCTGTGTATCAAAGCTAAAGAAGACAAACATGACCTCTGCCTCCCTGGTGCTTTCGATATAGTGGCAGACACAAACATGCTAGAAGCTTTGACACTTCACCTCTTTGGATCTCAGTGTAGGAAATTGGAGGGTGGGGACGGTAGGAAAGAGGAGTGGGACTAGATGATGTCTAAAGAGTTTCCAGCTCTGGCCTGGTGCAGTGGCTCGTGCCTGTAATCCTAGCACTTTGGGAGGCCATGGCGGGCGGATCACAAGGTCGGGAGATCGAGACCATCCTGGCCAACACGGTGAAACCCCGTCTCTACTAAAAATTCAAAAAATTAGCCGGGCATGGTGGTGGGCGCCTGTAGTCCCAGCTACTCGGGAGGCTGAAGCGGGAGAATGGCATGAACCCAGGAGGCGGAGCTTGCAGTGAGCCGAGATGGTGCCACTGCACTCCAGCCTGGGCGACAGTGCGAGACTCCGTCTCAAAAAAACAAAACAAAACAAAAAAGTTTCCAGCTCTAAAACTTCTATGATACTTGTATAAAACAGATACGTTATTCTTTGTCAAGGACTTCTTAGTTTGGTATACTTCAGCCTTGTGCTGGAAGAGGCTTCTTTTATGGCTTTTTATAAGTGAACTGAGGCATAAAGCAGCAGTAAAAAGAGTTCTGAAGGTGATGCCAAGAGTGATAGTATCTCTTCCCCATTACAAGTTCCTTGAGGGTAGAAAGTATATCTTGTTAATCATTTTGTTGTAGTGCCTAGTTGTAGAAATGACTCTAGATTCTAGCCTGAGATTGGTCGTAACTTGGCACAGGCCCTTCCACTGTCAGCTAACAAATACTTGTTAAACTAGTATAAAGCAGTGAAGTGCCTCAATTTCTTCATCATGGAATGAATGCTCTATATCATAGAAGTGGTAGAGGATCAAATTCGTGTAAAATCTCTTGGAAATTATGTATTTTTATAAATGTAAATTGCTACAATTATGGAAGCTGTCTAGCTTTGGGTCTCAGATTAATAGAGGTGGCATGTTATAGATCTGATCTGTTACTCCCGTCTCTATCTATCCTTTACTGCATGGTTTCTGGCAAGGTGTGTGATACCCGTGAAACAATTGGAGTGGCTAAGCCGTAAGGCTTCCTCACTGAAGGGAAGGCAGCTGACTCCTCAGTAAGATGCTCATTTTAAAAGTCTCCCTATTCTGGTGGTACCTTATTCTGAGATTTCTGTGTTAGAGAAGCTAGAGAACCTTTCTTTCATGGTTGCCTTGCTTAAACTGTTATTTTTTCTAGTCACACTTTTGTGTTACAAGATCTCATTACTAGCCTTAACAGTCTTACGTGACAAAGTTCACCAAATTACGGGAGTTCCAGTTGTTGGAGACAGGCCTGTTCTTCTTGATGTCCTGGAGTACCTTCCTCTTGGCTGAAGCATGGGGCTTCACAGGTAGGTGACTTGCTCCCTTTGATTGTCAACCCTTAAAAGGAGTGACTTTGCCAGTCAATTTTGCTCCAAGTGGATCAGCTCCGTTAGTATTTGAACATACTTATTGTGGTTGGGATTTAGGTTGTTGCTTTAGAACATAAAAAAAAATTTTCAGTGGAAGTGGTTCCTCTTAACAAAGTAAGTCACAAATGAGAATTTCCAGACAAAGCCTATAATCTACTGTGAAGAAAGAACCTCAGTATAAAAGGTGGGAACCATCCTTTTATGTGAACTTGGAATTTGTTGTCTTTATAGGTGTAGTTGCAGTATTGTTTTGTGGCATCACACAAGCACATTATACGTATAATAATTTGTCCACGGAGTCTCAGCATAGAACTAAACAGGTAAGAGGAACTTTATAGTTTGTGAATAGGCTTTTCCTTCTTTCAGCAAAATAGAAGTCTTTTTTACTAAAAAAAAAAAATAGTCTTTGATCTGTTCAAGATGCTATCTACTCATTTTGGCTCCTCTTCCTTTGACTCTAAAAGTAGGTGGGATTGGCAAAATGAAGAATGACAGCATTTAGGGTGGAAATAGATCAGCAGAATAGCCAGAGACTGTTACTATTGTGGCTTCAATAACCAGTGAAGTAGCTTCCCTTTTTCTCAGTGTTTTCCCAATTTAATGGCTTTTAAGGGGAATGTTTTGGAAGCTCACTCTGGTTTTACTTGAACTACTGCTGTGTGACGTAGATAAGGTTAACTTCTGATCTGACCAGACCTACTAAGAGATGACATAAAGAAAATTAACTTCTGATATTACTAGACCTTCTAAGACATGACATAGGTAAGATTAGCTTCTGATCTGATTAGACCTACTAAGAGAAGATAAACTTCCTTCAGTCCGCTCAGGTGCTGCAAAGCTACTATGTTTCCAGGAATGTCAGGGGACTAGTCAGTGGTCTGGTTTTATTTGGTACTGAATGATCAGTTGTGCAGGGTATCTGAAGGGAATTATAAAGGAGATAGGAATACAATTTTTCCAGTCTTAGGAGGTATGTGGGACAAATACATGAAAAAAGTGTAATGTCTGGAATAGAAATAGGTGCATACTTGATTATGGCTATAGTGAGAAACAGAAGGTTTAAATTTTGCCAAATGACAAGAAGGTTGTGGGATTCGCCTGAAAAGGAGTGGTGCTAAAAGCAGGAGCAACAGTATTTCTTCTTCCGGCTAGAGCCACAAATCAAGTTTATGACCTATGCTTTTCCCCAGCCCCTCAAAAGAGATTAGGCTTTTTCCCCCAAGTGTATACATTAGGGCTACAAATCCTTTTTACAAATTAATTCAGTGCAATAAGTAAAGAGAAGAAAATCAGCTGGCAGGGGGCGGTGGGGGAGGGGAGTCAGCATTTTTCCAGGTCGTGGGAAGGGAATAAAAAACAAGAACAGGCCGGGCGCTGTGGCTCACGCCTGTAATCCCAGCATTTTGGGAGGCCAAAGCGGGCGGATCACCCGAGGTCAGAAGTTCGAGACCAGCCTGGCCAACATGGTGAAACCCCGTCTCTACTAAAAATACAAAAATTAGCCGGATGTAGTGGCTTGCGCCTGTAGTCCCAGCTACTCAGGAGGCTGAGGTAGAAGAATCGCTTGAACCCGGAAGGCGGAGGTTGCAGTGAGCTGAGATCGTGCCACTGCACTCCAGCCTGGATGACAGAGCGAGACTCTGTCTCAAGAACAAACAAACAAACAACAAAAAACTAGAACAGGGTAAGAGCTTCCAGTGTTGTTGGTGATATGATATGAAGCTTATGTACATTTAAGAAATATGAGGAATAGGAATCCTAGATTATGTACTTCAGATTATATGTCATAGAAGACATCAGAGAAGTAGGGGAAATGGTTTGAGGCTTGAGGATCTGGAAAGTATCCTAGAAGAAACAGTACCCTTAGAAGGATGGGGAAGATTTAGGAAGGCCTAGGGGAGGCAGTACAGATAAAGGCAGGAATAAAAAGAAGGCAGTAAAGTGTAGAGCAGAGGGTGGCGGACTCCAGCCCTCCGGCCACATCCGGCCCTTGCCAGTGAGCTAAGCATGGTTTTCTTTCCATCCATTTTTAATTGGTTGGCAAAAGATCAAAAGAAGAATATGTTGTGACCCATGACAGTTATATGAAATTCACATTTCCATGTCCACCAATAAAATTTTCTTGGCACACAGCCACACCCATTTTTTAAAATATATAGTCTATGGCTGCTTTTGTGCTTCACTGGCAGAGTGAAGTAGTTGTGACAGAGACTTCTTGGCCTGCAAATCCTCTCATGTTTACTCTCTGGCCATTCATGGGAAAGTTTGCCGATCCCTATGTTGCAAAGTAAAGCTGGGACTCTGGAGTCACTGTATTGTTTTAAATCCTGGTTCTACTACTTGCTGGCTGTGTGACCAGGAGGAAGTTCCATAACTTCTCTGTGCTTCAGTTTTGCCATCTTTGAAAATGGAGATAATAATAATACCTACCTCACTGAGTTTTTGTGGGATTAAAACGAGATAATGCATATGAAGTCCTTAGTATAGTATCAGACACACGGTAAAAACTGAAAAAGGTATAGCTGTTATCATTAGTATAAATAAGTAGTAATAATAGCATATTAAATCATTTAAAGAAAAATAAATATACGCTTACTTATTTTAATTTTTATTCTCATTTTTGGGTAATAAGGCAACCCTGGTTTAAAGAGATTAACTAATTTGCCCAAAGCCACACAGCCAGCAAAGGGGAAGACAGGGCTCAAGCCTAAGCATTTTCATTCTTAAGCCCATGTTCTTAACCACTATTCTGTTATGTGTCAGAGGGCTCATTGTAGATAACTCTGGTGGCCAGAGGGACACGAGATTATGAAGGGCCTTAACTTCATTCAGCAAGTATCATATACCATTGCCAAGGCTATGATGTGAATGGGATGGGGCAGGCGGGCAGCAGGGTTTAGTTCCCCCCACAGATAGTTCTGCTATCCTACAGATCGATCTCTTCCACAATGTGGAAGCCCCTATCTGTAGGACGCTTACTCCCTATACGAGAGGAAGACCCACGCAAAAAGTGAAGTCACAGGGCAAGCTGGGAGTACGAGAGTTCTCACGAAGCACTCTATGCTAGGATCAGAAAGTTGAAATGAATCTTATAGCTTGCAAGAGGAAAGTATCTTGAAACTATCAGTTTTAGAGATTCATTGGTTTGGGGGAGCTGGAGGATGAGGGATGGTTAGAGGTCCTTTCTCATCATTATGGGTAGGAAGTGATGAAAGTTTGACTAAGGCAGTAGCAGGGACACAGGAACATTAAAAAAAACTGACAGTTTGGAGGAAGAGGAGAGGAATAATTGAAGATGGGGCTTTGAAGAAGGGAAGCTGTTAGGGGAAATGAGGGGGCAACATTCCTGGCTTTTTCTGCAGGACTAGAAATGTCGTCTCCACATTTGCTCCCTTCTGAACCACATATTTTGTGTGTATGCATGAAGTTTATATATATGAGTGTCTGTTTTAATATCTTAGTAATACTCATGCTTTCAAATTATGTAACTTTATTTGCTGGACTAATCTTTTACAATTTCGTTTCAGTTGTTTGAGCTTCTCAATTTCTTGGCAGAGAATTTCATCTTCTCCTACATGGGGCTGACACTGTTCACCTTCCAGAACCATGTCTTTAACCCAACATTTGTAGTAGGAGCATTTGTATCCTTTATTATGTGTTTTATTTTGAAAATATTTTTAATTGAGATTTTCATGTGGGTTTTGAGTATGTGGTTCATAAGAATACATTTAAATATATACAGTTTTCCTCTGAGTAAAACAAATAAGGATTCCAGCTCTTTTTTCTAGTCTATTTATTTTATTATATTCTATTTCAATTTGTGGTTATTGCACAAATAATGTTGACAGATTAAAATGACAGACAAGTGTCCCACTGTTCTGCCAACCCCAAAAGATAAGTGTTTTCCCTTTATTACTACAGGGAAGGAGAGGTTGGATACTGGGGAGCAGTTAGCAGTCTATGCCACAGGGCAGAAGGCGAAAGATAAGGAAACGTTGAATGAGGCCACTTTCTTTCTCTTTCTCTCCCTCCCCCAACCCCTCTCTCTCCCTCTCTCTTTCTCTCATATATATACAAAGAGTCTTATAAAATAAAAACCCCAACCTGGGCAATGTAGCAAGACCCCATCTTTACAAACAAAATTTTAAAAACTAGCCAGGTATGGTGGTTCATGCCTGTAGTCTAAGCTACTTGGGAGGGTAAGGTGGAAGGATCCCTTGAGCCTAGGAGTTTGAGGCTGCAGTGAGCTGTGATTGGGTCACTGCAGTCCAGACTGGGTGACAAAGGGAGACCCTGTCTCAAAAAAAAAAAAACCAAAAAACCAAAAAACAGTTGGAAGGAAGAAACTGAGTATATGAAAGAGAGGAGGCAATAGTGAAAGCCTCTTGAGAAGGCAGGAATGAAATCCAAAGCATGTAGAGAGAAATTTTGCCTTCACTGGAAGGAGAGACAACTCCACCATGACTACAGGAGAGGATAGGGTATGTAGAAATGAAGGCACATTTGTAAGATGGAGCCATCCTCTCTGATGGCTTCTATGTTTATCTGTTAAGTAGGAGGTGAGATCATCTGCTGAGAGTAAGATAGGGAGTTATCTATTGTGTAACAAATTACCTTAAATTTAGCAGCTTAAAACAACAGACAGTTATTATCTCACACAGTTTCTGAGGGTCAGGAATCCTGGAGCAGCTCATCTGGGTGATTCTGGCTCCAGGATCTCTTAAGAGGTCGCAGTTGTGCTCTTGGCTGGGACTGCACCTTCTCAAGACTTGACTAGGGCCAGGGAATCCACTGCAAGCTCACTCAACTCACATCACTGTCAGCAAGAGGCTTCTATTCTTCACGTGGATATCTCCATAGGGCAGCTTACAACATGGCTTCTTCCCCCAAACTGAGTGAGCTGAGAGAGCCCTAAAATGAAAGCCGAAGTGCCTTTTGTAACCTAATCTTTGAAGAGGCATACCAGCGTCACTTCCATAATATTCTGTTGGTTATACAGACCAACCTGGTACAGTGTGGGTGGGGACTACACAAGGGTGTGAATACTAAGAGGCAGGGATGGTTAGGGACTATCTTGGGGGATGGCTTACACAGATCATAGGGATTTTGAGGAAGATGGAGGTTCGTGAAATAGTTGTTGTAGAGAGTGGGAGAATAAGTTGACCAAAGAAACTCAACAGGACTGCTAAGAAGTACTAGGGATCCATTGTGTTTGAGAAATAGGAATTAGCAGTAGAACCAATCTGCCCCATTGAATGAGTTTGTCCAGCAGTACTTACTGTAAGCATGGAAAAAAGAGATAGTTGGCTCCTTCCAGGTTTGGAGTTTTTTCAAGTGGGTGCAATGAAAACAGAAGGACAAGAGATCATAGTGTTATTACATGACTGATGCACTCTAAACACTTCATTTAATGTTTAACATTAAAAGGTGTTATTAACATGATGATAAGAAGGGAAGTGAGGAAAGAAGACATTGTTTAAGGAAAGAATATAGGGATCTTTGGACTGAAGGTCCCAGTGCTATGGAGGAATGATCAGAGTGGGATAGTTGAACACAAAATATGGAAGGAGCAATTGTGGTCAGTGGGAATGTTTGAATAAGGAATTTTTAAAAGAAATATTTTAAAACCTCACATCAGAATGAAGATTCTGCCAAAGAGATTAGTGGAAGTTTTTTTTTTTTTAATTAAAACTCTAGATAGGATCTCTGTTAGAAAGCGAAGTATTACTGAAATACTATTCTGCAGAGCCTTAGTCTGTGAATGAACTTTAGGCAAAAAAGATAAAGTACTGTTAATAAGAGAAGTTCTTAGCTGAAAGATAACCATGAGATCAGTAACTTAATGTCCTGCTAGTCTTGGAGAAAATTTGGAGCAGTAAAGTGGCTCGATCCACTATACTTAGTCTGGAAACAAAGCTAAATATTCTCTGTAGGTTTCTGAGTCTGTTAGGAATTAAAATTCCTCAATACAAAATCCTACCATGAAAATGGCCTCGTAACAGGAGAGAGTTGCTCTATTTCTGGCTATGTTAGTTAGGACATAGGTTGGTTTCATGTGAAAAGACTCAAACTAATCCAGGTTTAAACAACATAGAAATTTCTTTCTTATCTAAAAATCTGAACTGGTATGGCAGTTCTGCTGCATAGGGTCATCAGGGACTGAAGCAATATTGTTGCTAACATCCTTAGGGACTTGCTGTTGTTCTTGTGATCCAACGTGGCTCACCCCTGTCTGCCCGTTGCCTTGAAGGGCTTGACCCAGAATGTGCACACGTCCCTTCCACTTAACATCATTGATTACACCTACTCACAAGGGAGGCTAGGAGTTATATACTTTATCTGGGTGGCTGCATAAAGATGAAAGGGAGGAGTGCCAACTACCAAGGAAGAAAGCAAGAACAGATGTTGGGGAGAACTAGCAGTCACTGCCACGTTGGCCCACATGTTTCGTGGTTACATTTTCTTTTCTTTTTAGGGAATCACTTTTTAAAATAAATGTTTGATTTTAGAATAGTTTTAGGTTTACAGAAAAATTGTGAAGATAATACAGAAAGTTCTCATATGCCCCGCACTCAGTTTCCCCTATTATTAACATATTAGCATGGTACATTTGTCACAGTGAATGAACTAATATTGATATTACTAACTAACGTTTGAACTTTATTCTGATTCCCATAGTTTTTCCCTAATGTCCTTTTTCTATTCCAGGGTCCCATCCAGGATACCACATTACATTTAGTTGTCATGTCCCCTTAGGCTCTGCCTGACTGTGACAGTTTCTCATATGTGTTCATTGTTTTTGGTGACCCTTGACAGTGTTGAGGGGTACTAGCCATGTGTTTTGTAGAATGTCCTGCAGTTGGAACTTGTCTGATATTTTCCCCATGATTAGACTGGAGTTACATGTTCTTTGGGAGGAAGACCACAGAGGTAAAATGCCATTCTCATCACATTATATGAAGGGTATATACTTAATAATGTTGACGATAGTCTTAATCACTTGGTTGAGATAGTGTTTGTCAGATTTATCCATTATAAAGTTACACATTCCCCCCCCTTCCCCCGCCATGTTGTACTGCGTGGAAGGAAGTTGCTATGAGCAAGGATTGAGGAATGGGGAGTTAGGTTCCACCTCCTTGAGGACAGAGTATCAGCAAAATTATTTGGAATTTTTCACACAGGAGATTTATCTATTCTTCCTCATTTATTGTTTTATTCAGTCATTTTTTAATTATTATTACTTTTTTTTTTGAGACAGAATTTCACTCTTGTTGCCCAGACTGGAGTGCAATGGCATGATCTCAGCCTACTGCAACCTCCGCCTCCCGGGTCCAGGCGATTTTCCTGTCTCATCCTCCTGAGTAGCTGAGATTACAGGCATGATCTGAGATTACAGGCATGCGCCACCACGCCCGGCTAATTTTTATATTTTCAGTAGAGGCAGGGTTTCGCCATGTTGGCCACTCTGGTCTTGAACTCCTGACCTCAAGTGATCTGCGCCTCTCAGCCTCCCAAAGTGCTGGAATTACAGGCGTGAGCCACCACACCCAGCCCAGTCATTTATTTATATCAATATGGATTCACTGATATTTATTTTATACTTTGAGTTATAATACAACTTTTTTATTTTCTTGCTGAAACTGTTCCAGCTTGGCCATTGAGAGCTCTTTTGGCAGGCTCTCCTGTGTGCCTTTGATATATCCTCATCATTGTTTTTAATTTTTATCTTCATCATTGTTTTTAATTTTTTTTTTTTGAGTACTTCCTTACTCCCTGGAACTATAAGATGCTTCAGGCTCATCTTGTATCTGTTCTGGCTCAGCCCAAGAATTGGCCATTTCTCCAAGAAGTCCTGGTTCCTTTTATTGGAGAATAGTATTAGAAACCAAAATCTGAGCACTAGGTGTGCTCAGTGTTACTTGGTGTCTTTGCTTCTAGGCCGTCTCAGCTGACAGATTGCTTCTAGGCTCTCTCAGCTGACAGAGCAAGGAGTTAGATATGTATATATCTATATATCCATATATGTAGATATATATACTAACTCATATATACACATATATCTATACATATTTCTGCATATAACCATCTGTATCTCTGTTAAGCTCAATATGGGTTCATACTGATGTCTCCAACTTTAATTCATTACCACATGGATGATTCTGGCCTCCTCCTCTTTCTGAACTGTAAACTCCCATTCTAACAGTAAGAAACCTTGTTGTCACCACTTGCCATCCATTTACCTAATTGTTCAGTTTCAGTATACATGTATAATAGTTTCAGAATTGTTAACCAGTGTTCCCATGGGAAACAGCTTTGTCATGAGCATAGAATGCTTTTGTGCAGTGTCTTCTGTCTTTAGTCTTACAGATTCTTCTGTTTTCCAAAGTTACTTAGACCAACACCATTCCCCCTACCTTGTTTGTTTTGAGACAGGGTCTCGCTCTTGTCACCCAGGCTGGAGTGCAGTGGCACGATCTCAGCTCACTGCAGCCTCCATCTCCTGGGTTCAAGCAATTCTCGTGCCTCAGCCACCAGAGTAGCTGGGATTACAGGTGTACACCACCACACCCGGCTCATTTTTGTATTTTTAATAGAGACAGGTTTTTGCCATGATGGCCAGGCTGGTCTTGAACTCCTGGCCTCAAGCTATCCTCCCGCCCCGGTCTCCCAAAATGCTGGGATTACAAGTGTGAGCCACCATGTCTGGCCTTGTTCTGTTTTTAATCTTAGATTTTCCCTTATATTTTTCTCAGGAAATGGGATGGAGACTGTATCGTGACTCCTGAAATAAAAATTGCCATCATAAAGCAGGAGTCCCATAGACAGCAAACTGGAGAAAAAGATACTAAAATTGGTTTCTAGTTAAAACCAATCTGAATTCACATTAAACTTTCCCTTTGAAGCAAGTTGGAAGTATAAACTTAGTGGAGTACAGTGGGACTGGTAGCCATTTTAGTGCTGTGAGGTGGTGATTCAGCTGCCCTTTTCTTTGTTCTGAGGAAGGAAGGGGAAGTTTTCTCAGTATTACTCTTCTTCCTACCAACACTGACAATGAAAGTGAATTAACCTATTCTATTAATAATCTTAAAAGTATAGTAAAGAAACTGCTTTTAAACGTGTTTCTCTTAATCTAGTAAATTTCCTGCATGTTACACTTGCTCTGTCTGATTTGGTAGCAACTAGCCAAATGTGATTATTTTAATTTGAAGTAATTAAAATGAAATAAATTTTCAGTTCCTTGATCACTCTAGCCACATTTCAGGTGCTCACCAAATTGGACAGTTCAGATATAGAAAATTTCCATCATTGCAGAAAGTTCTGTTGGACAGTGTTATGTTAGACAATGGAACCAAGAGACTGTGTGTTAGAAACTGAGTTCCCTAAAATAGTCTTTCACCATCTTGAGTGTATAGTCTAAATAATATTAATAGTAAAATGAAATGATCCTTAACCTATTAATAATTTTAGGTTGCTATTTTCTTGGGAAGAGCTGCCAATATTTACCCCTTGTCCCTCTTACTTAATTTGGGTAGAAGAAGTAAGATTGGATCAAATTTTCAACACATGATGATGTTTGCTGGTAAGTTGTAACTTTCTTCTCTTGCCCACTTCAAGCAACCATTCACAATGCGTGTGCCAGCTTGATGTAACACTGAGATGTTATGCTGGTCATATAATACTCCTTTATTTTTATATTATTTATTTATTTAGAGACACTGTTTCACTCTGTCGCCCAGGCTGTAGTGCAGTGGCACGATCTTGGCTCACTGCAACCTCTGCCTCCCAGGTTCAAGCAATTCTCGTGCCTCAGCCTCCCAAGTAGCTGGGATTACAAGGCATGCACCAATATGCCTGGCTAATTTTTGTATTTTTAGTAGAGATGGGGTTTCGCCATGTTGGCCAGGCTGGTCACGAACTCCTGACCTCAAGTAATCCACCCACCTTGGCCTTTCAAAGTGCTAGGATTATAGGCATGAGGCACCACGCCTGGCCTATAATACTCCTTTAAACATTGAAGTTGCATCCTTGAATAGAAAAAGAAAATGTATATATATATATATATATATATATATATATATATATATATATATATATATATATATATAGTGTCCCATTCCCTTCTGTGGGAATTTTTCATATTCTGATTCCAAATCCTTGGTTCAGAATTATGTCATACAAAGTGAGAAAGATAAGGATGAAGTCATTTTCAAACAAAAACCAGTAGGTGAATGTATAGCAGTTCTTTTCATAATTGCCAAAACCTGGAAACAACCCACTTGTCTGTCTCTCAGTGGTCAAATAGCTAATCAAACTGTGATACATCCATGCTATGGAATACTACTGTGCACTAAAAAGAACAAACAATTTACCCATACAGCATGGATGAATCTCAGAGGCATTATGCTAAGTGCAAGAAGCCAGTCTTGAAAGGTTACCTGCTGTGTGATTCCCTTTATATGACATTCACAAAAAGACAAAGTCGTAGCGATGGGGAATGCATCAGTGGTTGCCAGGGGTTTGATGGAGTGACAAGAGGTTAGACTAAAAAAGGGTAATACAAAGAAATTTGACAGGGGGAGGGATGATGAAACCATTCTGTGTCTTGATTGTAGTAGTAGTCACACACACCTCTATGAATTTGCCAATATTCATGTGGCTATAGACCAAAAAGAGTGAATTTTACTGTTTGTAAATGAAAAGTGAATTTAAAAAAATTACTGAAACATCAATGCATGTCAGTAAGTAACATACACAAATTCTATTTCTGTTTGTACTTTTTTTTTTTTTCCGAGATGGAGTCTTGCTCTGTCACTCAGGTTGGAGTGCAGTGGTACAATCTCAGCTCACTGTAACCTCTGCCTCCCTGGTTCAAGCAATTCTGCCTCAGCCTCCCAAGTAGCTGGGATTACAGGCATGCGCCATCATGGCTGGCTGATTTTTGTATTTTTAGTAGAGATGGGGTTTCGGCATGTTGGTCAGGCTGGTCTCGAACTCCTGACCTCAGGTGATCTGCCCACCTCGGCCTCCCAAAGTGCTGGGATTACAGGTGTGAGCCACCATGCACAGCCTGGACATATTTAAGTATGTTAATATTTACTGCATATTTGTTCACATGCTTCTAAGTTTTTAGAACGTGCTTTCTTGCTCTGAATTTATGAAGCTTGCATTGGTAATGAGTTATTGAAGAAATACCTTTTCTGTTCCCCTGTAGGCCTTCGTGGTGCAATGGCATTTGCCTTGGCCATTCGAGATACTGCCACTTATGCACGGCAAATGATGTTCAGCACCACGCTTCTGATTGTGTTTTTTACCGTGTGGGTATTTGGTGGTGGCACCACTGCAATGCTGTCATGCTTGCATATCAGGTAAGTACTAACTAGAGACCTCATTTTAAGATTAAATTTTAATTTGGTTTATTTTTCTGCCTGTTTTCAATTTTTAATCTTTGGAGAATCTGTAATGTTTTATTTTTTCCTTTTAAAAAGTATGTAATATATAGTACAGAAAAAGGAAAATATATATGCAAAAGAAAAATTCATTGTTAAGACTTTGAGGGATATCTTTCCAGATCTTTTGCTATACATGATATATATTTTTGACAAAAAGGGGCAACACTGAAGGTACTCTTGTAGCCTGATTTTTAAATGTAATATAGCATGGACATTTACATTGTAAATATATTTACATCATTGCTTTAATGGCTGCATATGTCCTGATTTACTTAATCAAAACCCTGTTGTTGGACTTTTGTATTGTTTCTAGGATTTTGCTATTACCATTACCATTTGAGGATTTTGCTGTTACTATTACCGTTAACGATGTGAACATTCTTAAATGTATACACCACTGTGTACTTGTTTGATTATTTTTTAGAATGCATGTCTAGAAATGAAATTGCTTGCTCAAAAGGATATGTATATATTTAAGGCTTTTGATCAATATCACCAGGTCAGATAAAAAATTTGCCTTCCACCTGCAATGTATGAGACAATGCGGTTTACTCCAACCCTAATCACTACTAGATATTATCATTTTTCTCATCAGCACTGTTTTTAACCTAACAATCCAAAGCCGAGATCGTGAGGTCTTAGTCTTGAATGTGTACCAGTTAATGTATTCAATTTGAAAGCTCCCTTGTATCTCAAGAGTTCTGCATTTGTTTCCATGGATACAGCAGCCTATGCTGCTAAAGCCTTTGTAGATTTGAGTTCTGTGTTTGGCTGAAACTTCATAGACATTAAGAGCTACCAAGCTTCCAGAATACATAGGACTCATTAGAGAAAACAGTATTTCACACTTTATAGATCCTGTCCTCCATTTTTTTAAATTCTATTACACCTTTTTTAAGACTTCTAAAAACCAGCCAGCCCTAAATCACACTTTGAATGTTGTTGTTATTGTCTTAATTTCTCTTTACTATTCAAATCTCTTATAATTTCTGTGCTTTTATTGTGCATAGTATAAAATACACAAAAATAATGTTCTTATAACCTTAATTATTACTTTAGGGAGGACCTGGCATTTATTGAACACTTACTATGTGCTGGGCATTGTGCTAAGTACATTTTACATATTTATCCAAACATGATAACTCCATTTTACAAGGGATGAAATAGAGGCTTAGAAAGGTTCTGAGTTGTTCAAGGTCATCTGGATAATTAAATGGCAGGCAGAGGAGCCTCCAGTCTTTCTTAATTTTTTTAGAAATTAATTTCATCAAATAATGGTCATGGTACATTTTGAAAGGACACAGTTCCTTTCTTTTCTCAAGAGCTTGTAGATGAAGACTTTCCCTCATTGTCCTAAGGATAACAAAATTAAATGTAAGAACAAACCAAACAAAATATCTACGCTTACCATCCCCGCAAAAAGAAAAGACAAAAACGTACCTACTCACACAAAATTTAATCTACATCACTAGCTGTCAAAGCTCTTTGGCCGCATAGTGCCTGTCCTGTAACATAGTTGGTCACTTAATTATAATATTGTCTTATAGTCTTAGGTTACTTCTTATTGCCTTCTTGTTTTATTGGCATTATTCTTGGCCTCTTCGTGAACAGGGGCTGTATTTTAAGCTTTTCTTCCCTCCCCCCAAATTTGTCTAGTACAATTTTAAGGGCACTGCAAAGTCCTGAAAGTTTAAGATTCATGCAGACTTAGACTTGGCTTTGAGTTCTTGCCCCTTCACTGATGAATTCTGTGATCTTTGGCAAGTTCTTTAACCTTTTAAAGCCTCGGTTTCCTCATCTGTAACATGTATGTTATAGTACCTACCTCCTTGGGTTGTTGTAAGGATTCAGTGAGCTAATATCTGTAAAGTTCTTAGCACAGCATTTCAAATTACCTTTTATTCATTCATTCAATAAACATTTACTGAACACCAGCCATGTGCCGGGCACTGTAGGTTACAACTCAGTGGTTCTTTTTTTTTTTTTGAGACAGAGTCTTGCTCTGTCGCTTAGGCTGGAGTGCAGTGGTGCAATCTCAGCTCGTTGCAACCTCCGCCTCCCAGGTTCAAGCAATTCTCCTGCCTCAGCCTCCCAAGTAGCTGGGATTACAGGCATGCACCACCACACCTGGCTAATTTTTGTATTTTTAGTAGATATGGGGTTTCACCATGTTGGCCAGGCTGGTCTCAAACTCCTGGCCTCAAGTGATTCGCCCGCCTCAGCCTCCCAAAGTATTGGGATTACAGGCATGAGCCATCTCACCCAGCCTCAGTGCTTCTTAACTGGGGAGAATTTTGCCCCCCGCCCAAGGGACATTTGGCACTTTCTGGAGACATTTTTGGTTGTCACAACTGGAAGAGGGGGCCTCTGCTGGCATCTAGTGAGTAGAGGCCAAGGATGCTGCTAAACATGCTACAATGCATAGGACAGGCTCCTCACCACCTGCCAACAGAGAATTATCTAGGCCAGAATGTCAGTAATGCTAGGGTTAAGAAATCCTCCTCTAGAGAAGCACAGTGATCAAAATAAGATAGAAAAGGTTCCTCGACTCATAACATCCATACTTTAGTGAGAGAAGACAGACAATAAGCTAGTAACACATAAATGAACCTGATAACTGCAGATGATATTAAATGCTGTGATGGGAATCGGGCAAGGTACTGTGATAGTGACTGGGGATGGGGGTGTTTTTGATACAAGGAGGCCAGGGACGGTTTCTTTGAGAGGTTATGTTTGAGTTCAGTCTTACCTACGTGACTAGATGGTGCCAGTTAAACAGTCATCAGGAAGAAGAGCAGTCTAGGCAGAGGGAAGAGCAAGTTGTACAAATGTCCTGAGGAAGGGACAAACTTGGCCTGTTGAATGAACAGGAAAAAAACTCTCATGGCCGGAGTATAGTGACTGAAGGGTAGATAGGAAGTGAGGTTGGCAAGATCCTATGGAAGCAGGGGTTCTGCACACTTAACTGTCAAGGGCCAGAGAGTAAATATATCAGGCTTTGGAGGCCATATGGTCTGTCTCAGCTACTCAACTCTAGTGTGAAAGCAGCCCTAGACAATATATAAATCAATTGGTGTGGTTGTATCCCAGTAAAACTTTATTTACAAAAACAGAAGAGGTGCTGATGTGGCCTGTAGGCTGTACTTTGTGGACCCCTAATGTATAGTCTTGTGGAACATGGTAAGGGATTTGGATTTTAAAATACAATTGGAAATCCTGGAGGATTTTAAAGCAAGGGAGTGACATGAAGTCATTTACAGTGTAAAAGGTTCACTTTAGTTGTCATGTGAACGGTGGATCCACAGTAAATTTGAAACAGCCAGCTATTCCCATGTCCTTTCACATAGTTTGTGACAGTCACATTTCTATCATTTACTACACATGCTTTGCACTTCTGCGTCTCTGAGCCTTTGCTCATACTGTTCCCTCTGCCTGGAATGCTCTTTCACTGTCAGTAAATGACACAGCTAAGTGCCACCTCCTTTTCCCTCTGTTCTTTTCCCTCGGAACCACTCTTATGTTGGTGCAACATTGGGCCTCTTCATTGTAGCACTTATTTTATTCAGTCTTGTGATAATATTGTTATAAGAGCTGCCACTTAGTGTTAATGTTTCAGATACTCTTTTAAAAGCTTTTCATACATTTTCTCATTAAATCCTTGCAGCAACTCTGTGTGGTGGATATTAGCCCCATTTTCCAGGTGATAAAGTGATGATTTATAAGACTGCCTCACTTGACTGAGTTCACACAGCTAGAAAGCAGCCAAGTCCAGATTTGAACCCAGAGCTCCCTGATAGAAGCCCTTAGGGATTATGCCCTAGTTGTGTTGGTTTCCCCCACTAGTCTGTGAGTTCCTTGAGGGCAGGGGCCATGTTTAATTCATTTCTATGCCCTGTGCCTAGTACAGTGCCTGGCAAATAATAAGTGCTCTATAAATGTTTATTACATTGACTTAGCTTCTAATAATGTACCATCTATTACAAGTGTGCTATCTTCAAGACCACTAGATGTCACTGGAGATGCATAAATGTGGTTAGAGTTTAATGTGACTGAGAAGATGTTAAAACAGCTCCTGGCCATTTTAACAAAGGAAAAATGAGCCATTCTTTGAATTATGAATCTGGTCATAGCAATCTGTTTTCAGGTCCTTGACCATGGTTCCCTTGCTTTCCAGATGCAGCCTTGCATCATTTTCTCCCTTCAGTGTTATTTGTGTTCTGGGATGCTACTGCTACAGCTTCTAGTACTGCTATTTTTTCTGTGTTGTCTGTAGTAGTTAATTTAATCAATAAACATTTGAGCACCTATTGTGTGTCAGGTACTGTGCTAGACTCTGGGGATACAGAGATGAATTGAGACATGGCCTTTACCCTCAAGGAACTCACAGTCTTTTTGGGGAGACTGACAGGTAAATAACTATACTCTACTGTGCTAAGTATCATAATAAAGGACTGTAGAAAGTGCTGCAGATGCACAGAGGAGAAAATGATTCTGCTTGAAGGGGTCGTAGAATGGTTACTTTGGAACTTGAAAATCGCTTAAAAAATGAGGGAAAGCACATTGCAGCTGGAGAGAACAGCATGAGCAAAGGCATGGGAGGCACAGGAGAGGATGGATTTGGGGAGATGAGCAGGCAGGTATAGCTAGAATGGGGCATGTAGAAGAGAATGATGGGAAATGAGGATGGAAAAGTAGGTTGGAGTGGGGTGGGGATGCTAGTTTGTAGAGAGTCTTGAATGCCCCACAAAAGACTTCAGACTTGACCCTCTGGGTTGTAAGCCACTCTCAGAGTCCTTTGTCAAGGGAGTAACACAGCGAGCTCTATGCTGGCGACAGCTGACTCTCGGGGAGAGCCTGGCAGCTGGAAAAGCTTCCACGACAGAGCCCGTGAGCCTCAGGATGAGGGCTGCCCTTGAGCAGTTGGGATGGAAAGGAGAGAAGACTTGAGAGACCGTTTAGAGGAGGAATGAACAGAGTTTGTGAGTGCCCGTGTTTAGGGAATAGAGAGGAGCCAGAGAACTTTGTAGTGAAGCTTTTCCCTGGGATACAGAAAGCAGGAATTTTAAACAGATAAAACAAGAGTTGTGAAGAAGCAAGGCTAATGTCTATCCATTAGCCTATGAAAAACCTGTAATTGGGCCCTCTCTTCAGTCATCGTAACAGAATGTTGCCATGAGAGCTGCGAAGTGAATTGCACTGTGCCATCCTTGTTTTTGGAGCTAGCCAGTAATTCTTATTTAGCAACTGGGGCAGTGCTGCTCTCCCTGATTCCGCTTCGAGTGGACCTATATTCAGAGAAAAAAAATGCTGTTTTTTTCTGAAACTGGTAAGTAAGATTGCAGGAAGAGAATCATGGGTACACCCTGCTTGCCTTAGAATCCAAGCTGTTGCTAAGGAAAGTGGCAGGAGCCAAAAATCTGCATCAACAGCTATAGAGAAGCAAGAAAACATTAACCATTCCATAGCTTCTGTGTTGAGAAAAGTAGTTGCCTGACAATGTATATGTGTGAATAGACCATTTTTTGGCTTCAAAATCTCATTTGCTCTTTGTCTTTCTCCTTTAGGGTTGGTGTTGATTCAGACCAAGAACACTTGGTAAATATGCGTTTTTGTTGTTCCTGGCATTTCTGTCAAATGTGCAGTCATTTGGAAAGAAAACAATCTACTATAAACTTCAACCTTCTATTTAGATCCTGTCCTCTTTGCCTCAGCTTTGGAGGAATGATATCATTCCTGGCTTTTCTCACTGCTCCATAGAGACAAAACCAAGTTTGCCACAGTGCCATAGTGTGTGGTTATCAAGGGTGACAGCTTTCATGTCTCTGGGCCATCCTGCCTGGGCTTTTGTCCCAGAGGAGAGCAGTCTTTTAAGCACTCCTGGGTTTTCGAGTGACTCCTCTGGCACGGGGAGGCTTTTTCCACTTTGGTTTGCGCATGAAGGCTTGTCTCTGATGTAAGCCCCACTCCAGCTGCTCTTCCTGTGTAACTTTCAAATCGAATGACCAGCAGCTGCCCTAGAGAACTGCCTAGAAGCTTTTGAATCTTCAACCAGTCTTCCCTGCCTGCTCAGGGAAACGCACTTTCTTACCTTGCCCCTCAGCCTTGGCCACGTTTCCTTGCTTCCTTCCTTCTGTTGTGTCAGTTTCTCAGTTGTTGCTATGAACTTGAGCCCGTTGGACTGAATGCATTGTAACTCACTGCCCTCTCTAGACTGACTACCCTTGTCTGGTATTTTCCATCTGTTTTTCAATTGCTTCTGAGCACCATTGAATATGTGTCTCCATATCAGACGTTAGATGAGAAATCACAGAAATTAGATTTTTGAACATGGAAAGCATCTCTTTCAAAACACAATTTTTTTCTTGTCAGAAACAAACCACAGTCAGTATATTTGTCTTCAGGGTGAGGTTAAAAAAAACATTTCTCAGATTCATTTCCTAAATGCTAATTTTGTTAGCTGTTGAGTGATGAGTGTGAATGTATGTATGAGATATAGTAAGTACTTGACTCTTGTGGTCAGAGCCTTAAAGTAGAATTCCATGGGCTTGACATACTTGTAAAAACCAAGCTGGATAAATTCCCATGATGCCGGGCTCCTGGTGTAGTGTCCAAGGGGTGATAATTCCTCAGTGCCTCCTCCCTGTGTGAAAACAAGAATAAAGTTAATCATGCAGTTCAAAAGACAAATGCTCGATCACTGTGTAAGTCTCCACCAGCTGTGTCACCTGTGTAACCACAGAGGAGAAATGGAAAAGGAGTGACAGGGAGAGAGCCAGGTAGGTGAGTGCCAGTCGTGACATACAGAACAAAGGACCGTTTTTTTTCCCATACCTTCAAAACCCTATGGCTGGGCCGGGCATGGTGGCTCACGCCTGTAATCCCAGCATATTGGGAGGCCAAAGCGGGTGGATCACACGAGGTCAGGAATTCGAGACCAGCCTGGCCAACATGGTGAAACCCTGTCTCTGCTAAAAATACAGAAATTAGCTGGGCGTGGTGGTGGGTGCCTGTAGTCCCAGCTACTCAGGAAACTGAGGCAGGAGATCGTGCCACTGCACTCCAGCCTGGGCAACAGAGCGAGACTCTGTCTGGAAAAACAAAAACAAAATAAAAAAAAAACAACCCTGTGGCTGTCTTGGTTATATTGTTCCTTTAATATTTTGAATGTCCACGAGAAAGCACAGAGGAACCTTATACTAAGTATGGAGTGTGTGGGGGTGGGGTATACAGGTGTTCATGTGGTGAGGGGTGGTGAAATGTTGTTCTTCAAGAGGTGGAGGCACAGAAAGATACTTCTATGATGTGAAAGGAATTGCAGGTGTTCTTCAGCTTTCGTAAGCCCATACAGTGTTTCCAAACATTTTTGTGTTATATATAAGTTGATACATGACACGTGACACGTTGAAGCAGAGAGAAATTTATTTTGAGCATTAGGAAGGACAGGAAGAAGCCAAAACCCAGAATCTAAACTCTGTGCTTGCTTGCTTATTTATTTATTTATTTATTTACTTACTTACTGAGATGAAGTTTCACTCTGTCGGTCATGCTAGAGTGCAGTGGCACGATCTCAGGTCACTGCAACCTCCACCTCCCAGATTCAAGCAATTCTCTTGCCTCACCCTTCCAGGTAGCTGAGACTATAGGTGCCTGCCACCACGCCCAGCTCATTTTTTTGTGTGTTTTTAGTAGAGACGGGGTTTCCCCATATTGGTCAGGCTGGACTCGAACTCCTGACCTCAAGTGATATACCCGCCTTGGCTTCCCAAAGTGTTGGGATTACAGGCATGAGCCACTGTGTCTGGCCTAAATTCTGTGCTTTTAGAAAAGAAGATTATGGAAACATAGAACATGAGCACTGGAAAGGGCCTTCAGAATTCTCTAACCCTCATCATGTTTTTATACATGAAGAAATTCGGGCCCAGAGAGAGAAAGGGACTTGCTTAAACTACTTAATGTCAATAAGCTGGGACTGGAAGCAGATTGCCTAACTGCCCAACTGCTGACTGCACCATATTACAAATAAAGACACAGTTTATATTTTTGGAAACTTTTAGAAGACGCCTACTTGCTATGTTAGTTTCTCCTCCTAGCTGGTCAGGCTTACCATGGAATTTCCCTACTTGTTTTTATTTTGCTAGTGTTTCAAGAACATAGTAGCAACTTTGAAGTTGCTAGTTATTTTCGAGATCCATGACGACTCCCAAATATAGGGATGTTGATGTGATATTTTCTAAGGTGCTATTATTACATTGAGAGTTAAGTCTTTCAGGTTCAGTACATGAATTATACCACATTGATTTTTTTTCTTTTTTTTGAGATGGAGTCTCGCTCTGTCGCCGAGTCTGGAGTGCAGTGGCACGATCTCGGCTCACTGCAACCTCTACCTCCCGGGTTCAAGTGAACTTCCTGCCTCAGCCTCCTGAGTAGCTGGGATTACAGGCAGGCCCCACCACGCCTGGCTAATTTTTGTATTTTTAGTAGAAACGGGGTTTCACCATGTTGGTCAGGCTGGTCTCGAACTCCTGATCTCGTGATCTGCCTGCCTCGGCCTCCCAAAGTGCTGGGATTACAGGCATGAGCCACCACACCCGGCCCCCACATTGATTTTTTAAGTGAGAGTAGATTCGTAAGTTAGCAAGCAGCCTGAGTAATAGAGGTGTTCAGAAAAACATTTCAATTTCCTATTCCAAAGCTGCAATATACAAACTATTAAATTTCTAATGTTACCCTTGTTGGAGAGTGTCTTATAATATAGTAGCCTCTATTTCTGATTCTCCAAAGGAATGGCTCTAAATAAATGTTCATATCTTTGTATAGATATTGATTTCTGTATTATCTATCTGCAGGGTGTTCCTGAAAATGAAAGGAGAACTACCAAAGCAGAGAGTGCTTGGCTTTTCCGGATGTGGTACAACTTTGATCATAAGTATCCTTAATTGAGGGAAAAAAAAAAAGGATAATGTGGACATAGATAATTACAGTTTAATGGAACAAGTGTTTTGACTATTCTCTTCCTGGAGCAGAATATAAAACCTACCTTTCATCTTCCCTTTCCCCATCAGTGCTGTGGAAAAGGAAACCCACACAGACAGATTCCTCTTCAAACCCATGAAACCGTAGGGACTGGTCATTTCAGAAGCTGGCTGTGTAAAGGGAACCAAAGCCCAAATGACATACTTTCTTTGATATATAGGTTTATTTATTGAGCAAACTTTAATATTTGTTGTCCTTTAGCTAATTTAGTGAATCCCACAGAAGGTATTTCTTGGTTCTTGTCTGCGTACTTGGCAGGGTAAGAGAGGAAAGGCTTGGGAAAAAGCATGAGAATGAAATCAAAATGCGATAATGTTCAATACTGCGCTGTTCAGCAATACACTTTTTTTTCCCCTGACCTTTCCAAAGACTAGGAGATTCTCTCTGTTCAGCATGCCACAGATAGCTAATGTTTTTGTTTGCCAGATTTCCTTCTTGCCCTGTTGTAAGTCTGTTTCATAGCTGTACTTTGAGTAGTGTTGATATTCTATAACCTCTTTAAATCAGGGATCCCCAACTCCCGGGCCGCGGACCAGTACTGGTCCGTGGCCTGTTGGGAACCGGGCCACACAGCAGGAGGTGAGCAATGGGCCAGTGAACATTACCACCTGAGCTCCGCCTCCTGTCAGATGAGCAGCATTAGATTCTCACAGGAGCCCGAACCCTGTTGTGAACTGCACTTGCGAGGGATCTAGGTTACATACTCCTTATGAGAATCTAATGTCTGATGATGTGAGGTGGAACAGTTTTATCCCAAAACTGTTTTGTTCCCAGCCCAGTCCATGGAAAAATTGTCTTCCACAAAACCGGTCCCTGGTGCCAAAAGAGTTGGGGACCACTGCTTTAAATCATGCCTTTTAAACATTTTATCATTATTAAAATTAATTTCTTATTTGAAAATTCACCTAGCAAAAACAGCCATGGAGTTCTTTCAGGCTCTGATTTATCAGTAAATGATTCAAAACTTGGTTTATGTTCTATTGAAGCAAATTGGAGACAACCGTGTAAGAAATTTGTCCTTGCTTTCAACTTTCTGATGAAAGCCTTGTATATTTAAGAAAAATCACTTGACACTTAATGATTAGAAGCTACTACTTACCATGTTCTGTTTGGTAATTTTTGCATTCACTGCTTGCAAGTACTTCAAAATTAAATTATTGTATGGAAACAAGAATGCAAGCATATCTGGGGTATTAAGACTCCCATTAGAGAAAGAGAGCCTGGCTCTTAAAATTTTTTAAAGATTATGTCATTACTTTTGGCTCCATTGTCAGGGTTTTGGATATAAGCCACTCTCATATCTCTTGGGGCTTTTTCATCCCTCTAATTTAGCAATAATTTTTTAGTGAGTTTTCTGCATAAAATGTTTTGTACATTTTCTACATAATATATAAAACAGTTCAATGATCCTAATGTTGAGAAAGCGTAGAATAATAGCTTATTCTTCTGTATATTTTATGGAAGTAAACACCAAGGCTTGTTTGACTCAGTACTGCCCTATTAAGTCCTACTCAATGAAGACCTGATCATTTTAATACCTAGTGCCCTGATATAATTAAATATTCATTATTTTAGATTTCAGTTCATTTGTGTAGGCAAATGATTTGTTATAATTGAGCTATAACTTGAATACAATAAAGTACACGAATCTTAAGTGTACAGCTTAATGAATTTCAACCTGTGTCAACAACTGTGTGCCTCCCACCCATACAAAGATACAAATGAACATTCTCTATCCCCCTCCACAAAGGGGTAACCATGATTCTGACTTTCATCAACATGGGTTAGTTTTACCTGATTTTGATCTTTATATATATGGATTCATATATTAGGTATTCGTTTCTGTCTTGCTTCTTTCACTCGACATCTGTGTAATTTATCCCTATTGTTTCATGTAACAGCAATTCATTCTTTTTTTATTGCTGTAGTAGGGTAGAGCTCTGTAGTAGGAATATACTACAGGATTTTTGTTTGTAACCAGTCTACTGTTAATAAATATTTGGGTTGGTTCTAGCTTTTGGCTATTACAAAAACCTGCATGAATATATATCTTTTGGTGGACATAGCACTCATTTCTCTTGGGTATATACCAAGGAGTGCAAAGAGTGGAATTTAGGACAAGTATATGTTTAACGTGTTTTTTGTTTGTTTGTTTGTTTGTTTGTTTGTTTGCAGTAGTGTCTGGCTCTGTCACCCAGGCTGGAATGCAGTGGCACAATCTTGGCTCACTGCAACCTCTGCCTCCCAGGCTCAAGTGATCCTCTAAACACAGCCTCCTGGGTAGCTGGGACTCCTGGTGCATGTCATCACACCCAGCTATTTTTTTTTTTTTTTTTCTCAATGTAGAGACATGGTTTCACCATGTTTCCCAGGCTGGCCTTGAACTCTGGGACTCAAGTGATCCACCCACCTCAGCCTCCCAAAGTGCTGGAATTATAGGAGTGAGCCACTTGCCCAGCCTGTTTAGCTTTAAAACAGACATTGCCAACCAACCAGTTTTCCAGAGTGATTGCAACCAGTTTAATTGGTTTTAACCAACTTGGTGAATTTATGATTATTTCCATCAGCAAATTAAGGGAGTTCTATTTTTCAGTCTTTTAAATTTTAGCCATTTTGATGGGTGTGTAGTGATATCTCATATGGTTTAATTTGCATTTCTCTGATGACCAGAGAGGCTGAGCACCTTTTCTTGTTTTTTGACCATTTAGATATCCTCTTTTGTGAAGTCTAAGTCTTTCGTCCATTGTTTAACTGAGTTGTTTTTTTCTCTCATTGATTTATAGTTCTCTCTATATTCCTGAATTGGGTTTTTTGTTGTTGATTATTGTATTTTTTCTCAGTCTGTAGCTTGCCTTTTCATTTTCTTAATCCTGTATTTAAGGAGTAGAAGTTCTTCAATTTAATGAAGTCTATTACATTTTGTTTATTTTTAAGATAAGTTCCCACTCTCTCACCCAGGCTGGAGTGCAGTGGTGCAATCATAGTTCACTGTAGCCCCAACCTCCTGGGCTCAGGTGATCCTCCTGCCTCAGCCTCCTGAATAGCTAGGACTACAGGTGCATGGCACCACATCCAGCTAGTTTTTAAAAGTTTTTTATACAGACAGGTTCTCACTTTGTTGCCCAGGCTAGAAGTCCATTTTATTCACCTTTTATGGTTAGTGTTTTCTGTGTCTTAAGAAATCTTCCATATCCCAAGGTCGTGAAGATATTTTCCTGTTTTTTTCTAGAAGTATGATTGCTTTAACTATCACATTTAAGTCTTTGATCCATCACAAATTCATTTTTGTGCATGGTGAGAGATAGTGGGTGAAGATCTACTTTTTTCCATATGCATATCCAGTTGATGCAGCACCATTTATTGAAAAATATCATCCTTACCCCACTGAATTGCAGTACAATCTTTGTTGTAAATCACTTGGCTGTATAAGTGGGGATAAGTTTCTGGACTCTCTTTTTTAATCCTGTTTCTCTATTTTTATATCAATACCACACCCTTTTTATTACTGTACTTTATAATAAGTCTTGCTATCCAGTAGAGTAATTAAAATCTGGCTTTGTTCTTCTCCAGTATAGCCTTGGCTATTTTGGGTGCTTTGCGTTTTCCTTTAAATTTTAGAAACAGCTTGTCAATTTACACACATGTGCATGTGCACACACACGCACACACACAACTGCTGGCAAGTTTATTGGGTTTGTATTGAATCCATAAATGAATTTGGAGAGAAATGATATCATAACAATATTGAGACTTCCATATCATAAACACAGCATATTGCTCCACTCATTTAGGTCTTTTAAAATTTCTCTCATTAACGATTTGTACTTTTCAGTACACAGCTCTTGTACATTTTCATTAGATTTATTCCTAAGTATTTGATGTTTTTGATCCTATTGCAAATGGTATTTACTCTGTTTTATACTTGTTTGATGTAAATATATAGATAGAAAATTGGATATTTATTTATTTATTTATTTATTTATTTATTGAGACAGAGTCTCACTCTGTTGCCCAGGCAGGAGTGCAGTGGCACAATCTCGGCTCACTGCAACCTCTGCCTCCCGGATTCAAGTGATTCTTCTGCCTCAGCCTCCCAAGTAGCTGGGACTACAGGCGCCCGCCACCAGGCCCAGCTAATTTTTTGTATTTTTGGTAGAGATGGTGTTTCACCGTGTTTGCCAGGATGGTCTCGATCTCCTGACCTTGTGATCTGCCCGCCTCAGCCTCCCAAAGTGCTGGGATTACAGGCGTGAGCCACTGTGCCCAGCCTAAAATTTGATTTTATATATGGACCTTGGGTCCAGCAATCTTGCTAAGTTCACTTATGATTTCTAATAGATACTTTTTGGTCTTCTATATACATAATTAAATGATCTATGACTAATTATTTTTTTTTCTTTTCCAATCCCTGTATTTCTTTTTTGTGTCTTTTTACATCAGCTTTTTTAGGGGACTTCTTCAGTGCAATGGTGAATATAAGTGATGATACAGGACATTCTTACCTTATTCCTGACCTCAGAGGGAAATTTTTCAATATTTCACCATTAAGTACGATGTTAGCTATACGTTTTTGGATATATCCTTTAGCAGGTTAAGAGCATTCTCTTTTATTTCTAGTCTGCTGAGAGTTTTTATCATGAGTTTTTGTCTGCTGAGAATTTTTAGTATCAGATGCTTTTTCTGCATCGAGATGATCATGTGTTTATATTTTTCTTCTTTAATCTGTTATTTTGATTTTCATTGATTGATTGTTTGAATGTTAAACTAGTCTTGCATTGCTGGAACAAATTCCACTTGGTCATGATGTGTTATCCTTTGTGTATATCTCTGGATTTAATTTGCTAATATTTTGCATCTGATTTTTGTGTCTATTTTTATGAACAATATTGGCTTGTGATTTTTTCTTATAGTGTCCTTGTCAGGTTTCTATAACAAGATTAAGCTGGCCTCATAAAATGAATCAGGAAGTATTCCCTCATTTTCTGTTCTCTGAAGGAGTGATAAGATTAGTGTTATTATTATTTTTTTTTAATGTTAGGAAAGTTTTACCAGTGAAGCCATTTGAGCCTGGAGCTTTCTGTAGGAGAAAGTTTTTAATTTCATTAATAAATACAGGACTATCTAGGTTTTTTTTTCTTTTTTTTTTTCTTTTTTTAAAACCATTTGTCATCATCTGGCGAGTTTTTTTTTCTAAGGAATTTTTTCTTGTAGAGTCAAACATCAAGACTTGTTAGCCTCAGTACTACCCATTCAGTACCAGAAGATGAAGACCTGGTCATTTCTTTACTCAAAATGCTAGAATTCATCATTCCAGTTTTTTAGTAGCTTTGTGTTTGGCCAGATGTTTTATAAAGCGTGTTTATATGCAGTGTTTTAATCTTTACTTAGAATTTATTAATATGAGGATTCATGAAATTTTCTCTGACTTTCTCATTTTTAACTGAGAACCACCTTAGGGTCTCATTTTAGAAAATGAGGAGGGAGGGCATGGAGGCTCATGCCTGTAAACCCAACACTTTGGGAGGCTGAGGTGGGAGGATTGCTTGAGGCAGGCTCAGTTCAAGACCAGCCCTAGCAACATAGCGAGACCCTGTCTTTGCAAAAATCAAATAAAAAAAAATTAGTTGGGCATTGTGGCACGTACCTGCTATGATCACCCACTGCACTCTAGCCTGGGTGACAGAGCGACACTGTCTCAAAAAAAAAAAAAATAAATGAATAAATAAATAAAGTGGGGAATTTGTGTGTCTGTATCCTTTTCTCCTTTTTCTTGTGATTCCCTCTTTTTTCTTCTGAGTGTCATATATTCTCATGTCTATTTTTATTTTTTGGCAAATAAATGAATACTGAAATGAGGGCCTATGATAAAGGGCCTCATGATACATAGTTTTTTAAAATGTCTTGAGATTTGACTTGCCTTTCCTTCTTATAGCTTCCTAAGTAAACAGTCAGTCTGATACTGAAGTTTCAACTTATACCATGCAAGAGGCCAGCTGAATTCACAATAAATGATGAAAACCATTTTATTACTATGTTCTACTGGAAAATTTAATTTCCTCTCTGGCCATTAACATTGTTTACTTTCTCCCTTATCTCCTGTAGTGCCCAATTTACAGTGATGTTCCTTTTGGTTTTAGTAAAATCAGAAAAGCAATGTGATGTAGTGGAAAGGGCACAAGATTTGAAATTCAGACCAATTTGGGCTAGCAGATTGGTCCCCATTTACCTCATTGTGTAGCTTTAAGCAGGTCATTGACCTCTCTGAGCCTCAGTTTCCATATCTGTGAAGTGGAGATGATAAAATACCCCTTTGCTGTTTCACTGCCATCATGTGAGGAGGAAATGAGACCATAGATGTGAAAGCCCTTTGCTGTCCTCCGAAGTGGTTACTATACTATGATGGTGATTATTATCAAACGAGTTGCTCTTTTAAATTTGTAAAGAAAGGACCACAGCTCTTCCTTAACCACCGCAGCTATCTGAAGCCTCTGCTGACCCACAGCGGGCCTCCGCTGACAACAACACTCCCTGCCTGCTGTGGACCCATCGCCAGGTGCCTCACCAGCCCCCAGGCTTACGAAGTAAGTTGGTTTTATCCAAAACTAAATTCTTCAGTAAGTTAAATTTATCTGCTCTGTGGATGAGTCACTGGTTTTATTTTATTTTGGTTTGTTTTTTTGCCTTTGAGGTATAAATTCCATGAAAGGGAATTTAAGCATATTTTGCTCAACCAGAAAATACACTGAAACCTATAAATATAATTCACAGCCTTTGAAACAGCATTTGAAAACAGATATAGAATCGTGCCTCATCTTACTGTGGGTGATTTTAGTAAATAGTTCTATTTCCCTGCTGGCTTTCATTTCTTTGCAGTATGTGTCCTGAGCTCAGCACTAAATGTGTATGCTTTCCTCCACAAATGAGGGTTGTCTCAGTTACATTTTGAGGATTTTAAAACAATTTTGACATCCCTAAAGTGCAACAGATGGTCTATTATTTCACACCTCCCAACCTTTGGATGTTTGGGAAAGCTATCTGCCTCTGTTCCACATTTCTGGGACACATGAGCATATCTAGATAGAATCTGAATTCCATATTTTTTCCTTAGCTACCAAAATGTGATTGGTAATTTGATAAATATTGCTACTAAGAAAAAAATAACAGAAATCCTAGCTGACCTTTGTTTTTAAATGTGCACGTTTTTATTTTTCAAGTTCTTTTTTAAAAACCTTCCATTCTGGCCAGGCGTGGTGGCTCATGCCTGTAATCCCAGCACTTTGGGAGGCCGAGGCGGCAGATCACCTGAGGTCAGGAGTTCAAGACCAGACTGGTCAACATGGCGAAACCCAGTCTCTACCAAAATTACAAAAATTAGCTGGGCACAGTGGCGTGCACCTGTAATCCCAACTACTCGGGAGGCTGAGGCAGGAGAATTGCTTGAATTGGGGAGGTGGAGGTTGTGAGCAGAGATCATGCCACTGCACTCCAGCCTGGGTGACAGAGTGAGACTCTGTATCAAAAGAAAAAAAAAAGAAAAAGAAAAAGCCTTCCATTCTAAACAAACCTTTCAGAAATAATCTATGACATCATATAGGCTCCCCTGTTAACAAAGCCCACCAGTTTTGACTACTTAGGTGCAACACGCAGAACCTTGAGAGGGGAAGCTGTAGTGAAGCTGTGTAGACATGCACCACACACACCTCCCTCCCCGTGCCCCCATTCCCTGTGAGTGAACCTCATGTGAAACCAGATTGTATAAGAAATGGACAGGAGAGAGTAGGCAGAGTAGGGGTGGCATCTGGGCCAGGGAGGAGCATCCTACGGCTTTGTGTTATGTCGTGTCAGTGCATGTTTCTGACAGACTGTGCCTGTGAGATGGGGCACACACCCCATGTTGCCCCTCCTCTCCCTTCCACATTGCCCAGGCTCGCCTCTCAAACATTGTCTCCATTTCCACCATGCCCTGTTAACCCACATAACTGTGCAGAGAAGTCAGCCAGCTCTGTTGGTTCAGGCAGTGAAGCTTGGCTCTTGGATTCCAGAGACCCACTCGCTGTCACCAAAAGCCAGAAGAGGTCCACAACAAACCTGTGTCCTTGGAATGTAGCGAAACACAACAGGCTCCCTAGAGCAGCTGTAACAAAGTACCAAAACCGAATGGCTTAAACAATAGAAACTTATCATCTCTTATTTCTGGAGGCTAAAATCCAAAGTCAAGTTGTTGGCCGGGTCAGTTCCTTCTAGGCTGTGAGGGAGAATCTGCTCCAGGCCTCTCTTCTAACTCCTGGTGGCTTCCTGGCTATCTTGGACCTTCCTTGACTTACAGATGCATCACTATGTATCTCTACTTTCATCTTCACATGGGGTTCTACCTGTGTGCATGCCTACTTCCGTGTCCAAATTTCTCCTATTCATAAGGACACCAGTCATATTGAATCAGGGCCTACCTTATTTCCAAACAAGACCCTATTTCCAAACAAGGTTACATTCACAGGTGCTGGGGGTTAGGACTTCAACATCTTTTGGTGGGGGGTTGGGGAGGGACACAATTTAACCCATAACAACCATCACACTTAATTTTTTTTTTTTTTTTAGACAGAGTCTCACTCTGTCACCCAGGCTGGAGTGCAGTGGCGCGATCTTGGCTCACTGCAACCTCTACCTCTCAGGTTCAAGCGATTCTTATGCCTCAGCCTCCCAAGTAGCTGGGATTACAGGTGTGCACCACCACACCCAGCTCATTTTTCTGTATTTTTTAGTAGAGACGAGGTTTCGCCATGTCAGCCAGGCTGGTCTTGAACTCCTGACCTCAAGTGATCCACTCACCTTGGCCTCCCAAAGTGTTGGGATTACAGGCATGAGCCACTGCACCTGGCCCAAACGTAATTTTTTATATTATCTTTGTTAACTGCTTTTTTTAGTTATAACACTAGCAAGCTCATGGCCAAATATCCATACAGTATGGAATGTACAAAATGAAAAATCAAAGTTGCCTTCCTCCTACCTGCAGTCCTCGAGGCAGTCTTTATTATAGGCTCACTGTGGATACTTCCTGATATATTTTATTGCAAATAAATATGTGTATATATGGCTTTGTTATTGTTTTACACAAATGGGATTATAATAGGCATATTGTCCCATTACTTGCTTTTTTTTTCAATTACTGACACATCATGGATACCTTTATATGTGAGTATGTTAGATGTCTTACCTTCTCTTTTCATGGCTACGTCCTATTCCATTTCATAGCTGTAGCAAAATTCATGTATTCAGTCTCTTATGGATAGATGTTTCAGTCATTTCCTTTTTTGCTATTATAAACAATACTTATAGTGAATATTCTTTTACATATAAACTTACCTAACTATGTAAAAGTATATAGAATAGATTTTAAAGGTAAAATCACTGGGTCAAAAGGCATGTGCATTTTAAAATTTGATAGATATTGCCCCAAACCTCAAACTTAATAAAGACACTAGAAGGTGCTGAAGAGCCCCTGTGGACCTGTGAAGGAGCCACAGAGCTTGTGAGTATTGCTGAATTAAGTGATAGATACTGGTTAGATAGACTTACTGTCCTAACTAGATTAGACAGGAAGGGATTTGGGCTGGTTGGTGGATATGAGTTTGTTTGTTTGTTTTTGAGATGGGTTCTGGCTGTGTTGCCCAGGTTGGCCTCAAACTTCTGGGCTCAAGCAGTCCTCCTGCCTTAGCCTCCCCAGTAGCTAGGACAATAGACATGTGCCACCCATACCCAGCCGTTTATTTTTCAGTTCACACTTTTTTTGGTCTTTGAGTATTTAGGGGAATTTCTAGCAACAGCAGATTAAATTCCTTTTTAGATTTTGTCTAATAGTCTTCTCAGTCTATTTGATGGTCTTAGACAAATTCAAAATTTTCAAACAGACATGGGATTTAGAAAGCTGGAGAATATACTTCCCTCAAGGAGCATCAATGACAGACTGTTTTATGCTAGATCAATGTGAATATTTAGAATGATCCTTTCTCTTTAAAGTCATTTAGAAAAAATGACTTGTTCTGTTTTTTAAAAGTAATATATACTCATTATAATAAAATTTCAGATAATACAGAAACATAAAGAAGAAAAGACTTTTCTATACACACATTTTTTATTTGCCAATATGGGACTATGTATTCCTGATTCTTTTCCCTTTTGTAGAACCTTATTTAAGTATACTATTTTGGTCGTAATATTTCCATGAGAACCAAAGCTTATGGAGCTGCAGTGAGGGCTTGATATGTTTCTCTGTACCCCAAACTGTATTAGGTGGTTGGACTACGTAGCATTCACCCTGTGTCTTCACCACATGTGAATCGGTCTGCTCCTGCCACACACTAGACTCTAAGCCTCTTGAGGGCAGATTGATACACACACAGTTATAGCTCAAGGGTAAGTGCCACTACAGGGAGAGGGCCAAGTATAGGATGCCACGAAAGCACACAGGAAGGACAGCTAACCTAGTCCTAGAAGCTCAAGGAAGACTTCAGAGCAAAAGTGATAAAAGGATGTTAGTCATTTGAAGGGAAAGAGGGGTCATGTAGAAGGACCTGAAGGTAAGAGAAAGCACGAGGAGTCTGGGCAGCTGTCACACTTCAGTCTGGTTGGCAGACAATGGGGCCTTTGGTGTGGGAGGGGCAGATTGTAGCAGGAGAGGAACTAAGGATGCCAAGTCACGCTGTATTTTAAGCCAAGGTATGGACTTTAGACTTTATCCTGAGGGCAGTGGGCTACCACTTAAGGGTTTTAATGGGGGATCCTCGAAAATACTCCTATTGGAAATGTCTCTTGAACTTCTCAAAAATTCTTAAATCTTACTTTATTTGCATTTAGAACCAGGAACAGTTGAAAGATGATGATTCTGATCTTATTCTCAATGATGGTGACATCAGTTTGACATATGGAGATTCTACTGTGAACACTGAACCGGCCACATCCAGCGCCCCAAGGAGATTTATGGGAAACAGTTCTGAAGATGCCTTGGATCGGGAGCTTGCATTTGGGGACCATGAACTGGTCATTCGAGGAACACGCCTGGTTCTTCCAATGGATGATTCTGAACCCCCGCTAAATTTGTTAGATAATACGAGACATGGTCCAGCCTAAGCTTACTAATACTCACTTAGTGATTTGTAAAATTTGCACATGTGATTGTGAAGAAATTTGTACTACCTAAAAGTCCCAGTGCATGTCTCTGAATGTGTAAGCTATATAAATGCTATTTATATGGCATAGAAAGAATATAAATATCCTGTACACGGCAGATTGTGAACAAACTATATTCCTTTAAGTTTTCCTGGTTGCACTCTGTAGACTGGATCTGTTTTAGGAAGTTACTTTCACAGTGATGTTGTGTGTTCTGTTAGTTTTATGTCTCAGTTAAAGTGTAAAAAGTGACGGATTTTCTCTTTCTTAAACTTACCTGACACTTAACCAGAGTACCAGTTCTCGTGATGTGAATTAATTTTTTTGTGTGCTAGGGGAGGGAGAGTGAGGAGGGAGTGTTATTTCCTTGGGAACCTAGGGAGGAGAGGTTCCTTTGTTGGGAAACTTTTGTTGATAGCTGCTGCCTTTGTCCTGATCGTTTTCTTTCCCTTTTCTCTGGTGGCCTGTTGTGGTGCAACGAGCTGATGGCATTTGATCTTGCCCCATTCAGGTTGGGGAGTGAAGTGTGAGGACCCTTTTCCCCCGCTTGCTGTGAAAGCACAGATTCATTGACTACAGTACACTGTTGTTCAGAAAAGAAGGCTGCAAATGACTTCTGAGACTTTATGTCTTTTCTTCCAGACCAAGACCGTAGAAGGAGTCACATCTAGCCGGCTTAGCCAAAGTACAGGTGTATATAGTTCAGGGCACTTGATTTAGATTTGGAGGGGCTGGGGTGGGCAGAGAGCAAGAGGCGAGTAAAGAGAATGGTGGTTTCAGAGATCTCTCTTCCCAAATGTGTAAATATTCTATACCAGATAAGTTTAAATAAGAAATTTAATTGCTGCTTAATTTTTGATTATGTACTTTATCTGTATAGCAGGCTTTGTCGTCAGAAGTTTTTATATCGATTTAAATTGCTGCTCTTTAGCAGCCAAACAGGAGCAAAATGTAAAATTTTTGAACTTACTGTGTCTAATCATCATTTGTTAGTCTGTAGTTAATGTCAACAGTTAATTTATGAACCCACGATCGTTCCACACTGCACCAAAGTCAGTCATAAGAGAAATCGAATATTCTGGAGCACTGATTGCAGCAGGGTGGCTCCTTTGTGTGCAGCAGGTGTAGTAGTCTTCATTTTCATGGTACGTTTTAATATTAATTACCTAAGCTGCCATGCATTTTTTTTTTTACAGTTCTCAAGGAAGAGCACAGAACAATTTCTCATTTCATATTTGGAGTATGAAAGTAGATTCTATTTTGTAATGCTGATAATACCTAAAGATGCATTGAATGCTTGGAAGAATGCTTTTTGATGTTGATTTTGACCTGTTCATGATTCAGAAGAAAAACAAACTTTTTTGGATTTTTTTTCCCTCAGGTCTGAGTAGCATTGCCTTAAATCTTATCCAGTTAGAACATTGATTTATTTACATGATGTTCAGATTTTCCAGTGAAAAATACCCTTCTGAACAAAACATGTACTTACTCTCCGAAAGGCATCTATCTGTGCTATTGCAAACACTCCTTGAGATTTTAGGGGAATTCTAATGTTGTACCCTTTCGTGGCAGCTTTGACTGTTGGCATAGCCATTTGTTATGTAGTGGTAGCGACTTTCCTGCTATGCAGGAATCCCTCCCATGACGTGTATGTTTTACATGATGTGTGCCTCTTCACGCAGTAAATAGTTTCTTGTTAATGTATGTTTGAGGAGTTTGAACGTCAGTGTCACTTACCCACAAAGTTATTCAAGTTGTAAAAGGTTATACAATAATTTAACAACTACCTTTTTTATTCTGTCGGGTTACTGACCTCACTTTATGTAAATACTTCGCATGACAAATTCAGTAACTCGTCTATTTCAGCATGCATAAGACTTTTCACTAGGGAAACTGATAAAGCTTGAGTCAACTAAATCTGCCTTCATACTTTATCAAGGGGAACCAAGCCTGCTGTGCTTACATCAGCATCTGGAAGACTTTCCTCTCCTCTAATCTGTGTACACATCTCCAAGCAAGGAAGAAAAAACAAACTCTGCTCAGACGCCTATGAAACACCTGAATGAACTTTGATGAAGTACAGTCTGAGTTACCATCATGCACAAGTAGAACTGCTCTTGGACTTGTTTTCCTGTTGTTTGTGGAACCTACGCGTTTGAATGGCTTGAACGTTGCATCTTTTAAAGTTATTTTTTAAGGTTTCTTGGCATTTATCCTAGTTGTCCGTGTTTGGCAATGTGCTGTTAAAGTAATAGACTTTTAATCTTTATGTATTTTTTGTTTTCTCTGGAGTACTTGGACAGATGTTATAGTGGTTTCTTTTAGGAAAATCTGTCATTAAAAAAGTTATAGCCTTGCAAATAACCACTCACAGTATTTGAGTCACAGTTTATTTTAGTGAGACGTAAAGAGTGCTGACTTCATTTATTTTTCTACCTATATACCTAGTGGAAAAGGGGAAGACTAATGTTTTCAAATAAACAAACAGAAACCTAACAGAACTTAACTTATGGGTTGGCAAATTTTTGGTGCTTATGTGTAAGGGTGGATGTATTTGCTTATGGTCACAATTGGACTCTTTAGGAAATATGACTCAAAGCTGTCAAATTCTATTACATTGATTTGTAGCCTGTTAGCTTAGTAATGGATAATGTTATAAAAATGCTGGTATGGGGAAAGAGAATTCTATATCCAGTTAGGTGGGAAGGCAGTTCCAAGTATATCCAGTTAGGTAGGAAGGCAGTTCCAAGTTTGGCTAAAAGCATGATCACACAAATACAAATAGTCCTCCTTCCAAGTTAAAGACACGTCTCTCTGTGCATGAGAAGTTTTATAGGCTAGAGTCTGCTGACTGCAAGTTTGTCTAGTCCAGCAATGGCACCAACCACACTGTCTGTTGTGTTTTCTTGTCATCCACTCCAGCTTCCTTGTTTATGGCCCAGTGAGAGACATTGGTGGGGGATGGTCCACACACAACAGGCTCTTTTCTTGAAGGAACCCATGTTTTCTAATTCCCTACACAAAACCCTACATTAGATCTGAGCAGGTACAGTTGTTAACCTGACCCAATGCAGGAGTATAATGAGATGAGAGTCCCCGACAGGACGTACGCCACACAGATGATGTAGTGTGAGGCTTGAAAATAAATTGGAAATGATAATAATAGTTCTCATTTTTGAGCCCTTCTTGGGTACTGGTCATGTGTATACAAGGCATTTTAAAATCTATAATCATGCATTGAGGGCACATTCTATCATCCTCAGTATACAGATGAAACTGAGGTGCAGAGAAGTCACACAGCGAGTAAGTGGCAGAGTCAGGACCCAAGTCAAGTCTGACTCCAAAGCCCAGATGCTTACTATTTTGCTGGCCCCAAAGGCAGGCTCTGCTGATTCATCCTGATTGTAACCAGAAGGATGAAGGGAATTGCAGAATTGCTTTCTAGCCTGCTGCCCCCGACCTGCTTGTCATCAGGCCAGGCTAAGGCATGAAGTCTCAGCTCTGTGCCTCCACTTGCTGCTGTGTTCTTGGCTGTCTTGTTGGCGTTCCCTGGTTGGGAGGGTCCTCGCATTCATAGCAAAGGGCCCTCCAGTGTCTTGTTGGGCCCATGGGCGAGCAGCCTGCCTAGCAGCATTTCTTCATGCTCTACCTCCCAACATTATCACCAAGGGGCCCGGATTTTATAGCAGAGTTTGCAGTCCTGAACAATGGCTTTGCATCCCCACAGTTAAGCATAGTAGAAAAAGCCCAGGCTCTGGAGTGACACAGACCTGGGTTCAAACCCAGGCTCTGCTGCTTGCTTATTGTGTAATGTTGACCACTTACTTCACTGAGCCTTTTAGTTTTCTCAGCTGTAAAGTTAATTCATTCAAGAAATATCTGAGTGCTTACTTTGTGCCACACACAGTAGAGATAGCAGCAAATAACTAAACAGTTCCAGCTCTCATGGAGAGTATTCTACGGGAGATGTAGCAATCTCATGGGGTTCTTAGGAATCATTCATGCAGGAAAGACTGATTGCCTTCTTGCCTTCTAGCAGGGGGGGATATCTTGTTTTTATGTTTTGTTTTGTTTTTGGTTTTTTGTTTGTTTGTTTGTTTTGAGATGGAGTTTCGCTCGTTTCGCTCTTGTCGCCCAGGCTGGAGTGCAATGGTACGTTCTCGGCTCACTGCAACCTCTGCCTCCCAGGTTCAAGTGATTCTCCTGCTTCAGCCTCCCGAGTAGCTGGGATTACAGATGCCGGCCACCATGCCGGGCTAATTTTTGTATTTTTAGTAGAGACGGGGTTTCACCACTTTGGCCAGACTGGTCTCAAACTCCTGACCTCAGGCGATCCACCCGCCTTGGCCTCCCAAAGTGCTGGGATTACAGGCATGAGCCACCGCGCCCAGCCGATATCTATCTTAAGTAATCAACAAATAAAAGAATCGTGGCTATGCGCGGTGGCTCATGCCTGTAATCCCAGCATTTTGGGAGGCCAAGGTGGGTGGATCACGAGGTCAAGAGATTGAGACCATCCTGGCCAACATGGTGAAACCTGGTCTCTACTAAAAATACAAAAATTAGCTGGGCATGGTGATGTGCGCCTGTAGTCCCAGCTACTCAGGAGGCTGAGGCAGGAGAATCGCTTGAACCTGGGAGGCAGAGGTTGCAGTGAGCCGAGATTATGCCACTGCACTCCAGCCTGGTGACAGAAAAAGACTCCATCCAAAAAAAAAAAAAATTATAAGTGCTAGCTGGATGTGATGGTGTGCACCTGTAGTCCCAGACACTCAACCCAGGAGGTTGAGGAAGGAGGATTGCTTCGGCCCAGGAAGTCAAAGCCACAGTGAGCTGTGATCACACCACTGCATTCCAGGCTAGGCAACAGGGCGAGAGCCTGTCTCAAAAAAAAAAAAAAAATGCAGGACAGTATGAGAGGGTACTGTAATCTGGTGATAAGGGGACTGGGGAAGATTGTCCTGATAAAGTGACATTTAGACCTCAAGTAAGTCAAGGGTCAGCCATGTGAAGCAGGGTGAGGACAAGGATCATTCCAGGCAGAGCAAACATTGATATTCCACCCGACCTTTATTCAGTCAAAACATTATTGAGTGACAAACACACCACATGCTGTGCTATCCTGTTTACATACAGTGAGGAATACCATAGACACAGGCCACCCTTGCGGCACTTACAAGTTAGTGGGGAAGACAGTAAGTATCCAACAATTACATAAGCAGAGCAAGGAGCATCTTGAACCAAAATCTGCCCCCGCAGCATCCTCTCCCTCGCCTCTGTCCCACTGGATCTCTTAGGGCGAGTTCACTCCCTGCTTTTGTGTTGCCACCTTCAGACATTTGAAAGGAGCTGGTATGTCTTCCCTGAGTCCTTCTGTCCCCATGCAAAACAACCCCATTCCCTTTCTGTCTTCAGGACATCTTCCAGAAGTCCATCATTCTTTTATGAACGCACCCAAGCGCACACTGGCTTTGTTTCAGTGGCTTCCTCACGTGCTCATCTTACAGTGGGTGGACTGTCCACAGAAAATCTGAGCCAATAGTGCCCTGCCCTCATAGAGCTTACATTCCAGTCAGGGAAGGCAGACCGTAAATCAACATACACACAAAATCATTCAAGTTGGGTAAGTGACAAATAGGAAATGAGATAGAGGGTGATGGGTGTGCGGAGGCAGGGTGGTTGTAGGAGGGACATTCAGGAGGTCTTGCTTAAGGGGTAACATTAAAACCAAGACCTGAAAGAGCCAGCCAGGCAGAGAACAGTGGAAGAGTGGTGAAAAGGTCTGGTTTGGGGTAGATGCTCACCGCATGTTTGTTGAAAATGAGTGAAATGCTCTCCTGACCTTTATGGAGCTGGATTTTGAAGTCCAGGGTGGTGGAATAAGGAAGCAAGAGGGTAACAGTCAGGAGGCCTGAGTCCTAGCCCTGCCTGCCACTAGGCACTTTTAGGAAGCCACTTCAACCTGCCTGAGCCTGTCTCTTCCTTTATAAAATGATGGCAGTTCGCTGAGCTATTACCATGTGCCAAGCACTGTGGTAGGTACTGGATACTGGTTCCAGCCCCAAGTCACTGCCAGGCCTATTGCGGGGGGATCAGATGAAGTGATGTACGTTGAAATGTTTTGACTGGGATTCAGAAGACTGTCGAAACCGAGTTTGAATATTCGCTAAGGTTTGCTGATGAGGTGCTATTTGAATAAAATACGGAAAAGTCTTTGCAGACCATGCAGCTACTTTGGGCTGCTTTTCTTTGGAATCTCCAGTTTAGCAATTTGGAGGTGCCCCAAGTGGTTGCCACGGTAAACACTGAATTCTGAGAACTGGCTTAGTTGGGGCTGTCATGGCTGGAGCCCGAACTCCATGAGACCTGGCAATTTCTGGCCAATTCTGCCCAGTGAAAGAACCCTTTCCTTTTTTTTTTTTTGAGACGGAGGATCACTGCAACCTCCACCTCCCGGGTTCCAGCAATTCTCCTGCCTCAGCCTCTCGAGTAGCTGGGATTACAGGCATGCGCCACCACACCCAGCTAATTTTTTATTTTTAGTAGTGACAGAGTTTCACCATGTTGGCCATGCCGGTCTTGAACTCCTGACCTCAGGTGATCCACCTGCCTCGGCCTCCCAAAGTGCTGGGATTACAGGCGTGAGCCACCGCCCCCGGTTAAGAACCCTTTCCTTTACCATGAACCTGTACTGCAGTTGCAGCTTGAGGAGAGGACTCCTGTCCTCCGTATCACTGTAGGACACCAGGTTGGCTCATTTTCCATTTGCTGCTGTCTGGTAGGCACTGGGTCCTGCTAAAGAGACACAGCTCAGTTGTGCATGTCACTTCTTTTTCAGTGATGAAAAAATGTATTGAAAGCTCTCTGAGCACTTCTTGGAAACAAGGTTTAATTTCTCCAGATTTGTTGGAATTTTGAAGTGGTTCACTGTATGTTTAAATACAAATCCTACAAAAACTGCATGAGAAGTATTCAATTTTTGGTTGCTTTAGGAGTCACGAGTCTTTATTGCATGATTTTTTTTTTTTCTGTTCATTTGAATTTCTTATACAGCTGTGTTCCCATGTGGACTAGGCAAAAAGCATGTGAGCTGTTTTTTCACCAGAAAAAATCTGGAACACTTCTGTCAGATAATAGAAGTTGCCTGTTTTTTCAATCTTAGAGTTGGTTTCGTGTAAGAAAGCAAGATAATGGCAATTGGACCCCCGATTTTGCCTCAAAATTGGTTTTTTAACACTTTTTTGAAACTCAACAATCAAAGTTTCATTTGCTGAGGGGAACGAAAAGGTTGATATTTAAACACTCCAGTCAATCAATATTTTGCTTACTAACATCCAGTCAATAGACACTGAGAACCTCACCTGGGCTGAGCCCTGGGCCAGGCACTGGGAACGCAGAGGTGACAAAATCATAGCTTCAATTGAAAAACAAATGCAGCCAATTAAGTAAGAGCATTGCCATTGTATGAAAAGCATTACAAGGGGGGCGCTGAATGAAATTCAGATTCCTCTCCTGCTGCTGCCTATGGTGGGCAGAAGAATGGCCTACCCAAAATATCCACACCCTAATCCCTGGAACCTGTGAATATGTTCAGTTACATGGCAAAGAGAATTAAGGATGTTAATGGAATTAAGGTTGCTAATTAGATGACCTTGAGGTGGGAGTTTATCCTGGATTATTCGGGGGGGGGGGCCCAATCCCCTTAAAGTGGGAGAGCCTTTCCTGGCTATGGTCAGAGAAAGAGATGTGATAACAGAAGCAGGGTCAGCGAGATGCTACGTTACTGGCTTTGTTTTTTTTTTGTTGTTGTTGTTGTTTTGAGACGGAGTCTCATTCTGTCTCTCAGGCTGGAGTGCAGTGACAAGATCTTGGCTCACTGCAACCTCCACCTCTCGGGTTCAAGGATCCTCCTGCCTCAGCCTCCTAAGTAGCTGGGACTACAGGTGCATGCCACCATGCCCAGCTCATTTTCGTATTTTTAGTAGAGACGGGGTTTCACCATGTTGGCCAGGCTGGTCTCGAACTCCTGACCTCAGGTGATCCACCCACCTCGGCCTCCCAAAGTGCTGGGATTACAGACGTGAGCCACTGTGCCTGGGTCAGATTGCTGGCTTTGAAGATAGAGGAAGGCAGCCTCTAGAAGCTGGGAAAGGCAAAAAAAAAAAAAAAAAAAAAAAAGGATTCTCCCCTAGAGCCTCCAGAACAAACACAGCCCCACCGTCCCCTTGATTTTAGTCCAGTGGGATCCTTGTCAGACTTCTGACCTACAGAACCATCAGGTGTCAAGTGAGTGTTGTCTTAAGCCAGTGGTCCCCAACCTTTTTGGGACCAGGGACTGGTTTCATGGAAGACAATTTTTCCACGGATTTGTAGCGGGGGAGAAGGGGGGATGGTTATGGGATGATTCAAGTGCATTATTCATTGTGCACTTTATTTCTATTATTATTACATTGTGATAGATAACGAAGTAATTATGCAACTCACCATAATGTAGAATCAGTGAGAGCCCTGAGCTTGTTTTCCTGCAACTAGACAGTCCCATCTGGGGGTGATGGGAGACAGTGACAGATCATCAGGTATTAGATTCTCATAACGGGTGCACAACCTAGATCCCTTGCATGCACAGTGCACGATAAGGTTCGCCCTCCTAGGAGAATCTAATGCCACTGCTGATCTGACAGGAGGCAGAGCTCAGGCAGCAATGCAAGCAATGGTACTGGTACTGGTCTGTGGCTTGGGGGATGGGGGCCCCTGTGTTAAGCTACTAAGTTTGCAGTATTTTGTTATGGCAGCAATAGGAAACTAACCCACTGCCTTTGAGGGAGAAACTATTGTCTCTGATGCTATTTTATTCTAAGTTCTGCTCTGTGCCAGGCACTGTGTGTAGTGCTGCAGATACTGAACTGAGCAAGACCCAGACTTCAGAGTCTGGTGGGAGAGACTAGCAGGTATACAGATAACCTTGGTGTGGTGCAATAGGAGACATGATGGAGAAGAGTCCAGGTGACAAATGCCAGGCTGGAGAAGGTCCTGCCATTTCTCTGACATTAACATTAACCTAGCTCTTTTTTTTTTTTTTTTTGAGATGGAATCTCACTCTGTCACCCAGACTTGAGTGCAGTGGCACAATCTTGGCTCACTGCAACCTCCGCCTCCCAGGATCAAGCAATTCTCCTGCCTCTGCCTCCCGAGTAGCTGGGATTACAGGAGTGTGCCACTGCGCCCTGCTAATTTTTATATTTTTAGTAGAGATGGGGGTTTTGCCATGTTGGCCAGGCTGGTCTTGAACTCCTGGCCTCAAGTGATCCACCCACCTCGACCTCCCAAAGTGCTGGAATTACAGACATGAGCCACCTCACCCAGCCTCTTTTTTTTTTTTTTTTTTTTTTTTGAGACAGCGGCTTGGTGCAGTGGCCCATGCCTGTAATCCCAGCACCTTGGGAGGGCGAGGTGGGCAGATCACTTGAGGTCAGGAGTTTGAGACCAGCCTGACCAACCTGGTGAAACCCCATCTCTACCAAAAATACAAAAATTAGCTGGGCATGGTAGCAGACGCCTATAATCCCAGCTTCTTAGGAGGCTGAGGCAGGAGAATCGCTGGAACCTGGGAAGTGGAGGTTGCAGTGAGCCTTGATCATGGCACCACACTCCAGCCTGGGCAACAGAGTGAGACTCCATCTCCAAAAATAAATAAATAAATAAATAAACAAACAAACAAATAAGACAGGGTCTTGTTCTGTAGCCCAGGTTGGAGTGCAGTGCCATGATCAAGGCTCGCTGCAGCCTCAACCTCCAGTGCTCAAGTGATCCTCCCACCTCAGCCTCCCAAGTAGCTGTTTATTACAGGCACGTGCCACAAAGCCCGGCTATTTTTATTTTTTATTTTTTATAGAGACAAGGTCTCACTATGTTGTCCAGTCTGGCCTCAAACTCCTGGTCTCAAGCAATCCACCTGCCTCAGCCTCCCCAAGGATTGGGATTATAAGCATGAGCCACTGCACCCAGCCTAACCTAGCTTTAACTAGCACTTTCACATTACTCACTGGTGTAAGAATTTTTCCCAGGCCACCATGCTCAATATGTTACCAGGAGTGGCAATGTATGGAAGACATGATCATACAGGGGTTTTAGAAAGATCACTTACTGTAGCTACGGTGGAAAGGATGAATTATTTGGAGATGGGTAACAGTGGACACAGAGATGATGGTTAGAAGACTTGGTCAGGTGAGAGAGAATGGTGGCCTAAGCACAGGAATACAGTAGGGGTCGAAAGGAGGGGACAGATGCAAGAGACATCTGGTTGGTGTTGATTTGGAGACTAGCCGTAGTGAATGGGTGAGGGGGACAGGTTACAGTGATTACCAGCAACCTGGATTGGGCAAATCAGTGGATGGGGTGGTGGGAATCACAATTTTAGAAGATACCTATTAGGACCAAGAGATTGAGAGATGTAGCGGTCAAAGCACAAATCTAAATTTGTTTCTGGATCACTTAGGTAAGGGTAGGTGGAGCCCAATTAAGAAAAGAGGGGAGGGAGAGGAGGGCTAAGGGCCCCAAACAAAAAGGCTGGGAAAGGATACGAGTTTGAAAAACACCAGGGTTTGCCATCCATTCTCTCATTATAACCTAAAAACATCTGGAGCTTTTTGCTATGGGTGGTGTCTGGGGAAAAATAATTGCTTTAACCAAAGTACAATGGATGGAGGAAAAAATAAATTATTTTCCCTCCTTACGAAAAACAGAAAGCTACAGAAGTTCTCAGGGAATGATGGGTGGTGTTATTAGGAAACTTTCAAATGTACGTCACTCTGGATTTCAGTGTATTCACCTCCAGTCTGGCCAGAAGAATGAAAATATATGTTGTGGGCTCTCTAAAACACAGTTTTTAGCATTTTCCAGAAGGGTCAAGGGCCAAGGAATGAATACTGGATGTGGAAAGGAAGCCACGGCTAGTTGGCCAGTCTCTTTCTGGTTCTGTGTGGGTTTGCATGCAAGCTAAGAGACGGCTTCGCTTTTTGCTTTTCCTCAGAAGCTGTTGCAAGAGTTCTCAAGCAAATCCAATCTAGTGTCCAAGCCCTCTGGTATGCTGTTCTCAAACACTGTGTGCCACTAGCTTGCTGAAACAGTCCGTGCCTGACCTGCTGTCTTTATGGAAATTTGAACCAAATAGCAACTGTTGGGATGGAGGTCATCCAATAGGCATGGATACAAACTTTCAAAATATTGGGCTTTGCCTCACTAGAAGGAAATCAGCAAGTGACAGTATAACTGAAAAAAGAAAGCTTAGGGGTCTATATTAAGATGAAGGAAACATCTGGTTTTTGTTTTCTCAACTTTTATTAATTCATCAGAGGTGTGAGTCACCAGTACACTCAGCCAATGTTTCCAAAATGAAGTCCTCATTGCCTCCGGAGTGGCTGGGAAAAGTCACTTCAGAACTAACTTGAGAGAAAGATGATGGACAAAGAGATGTCTTTTTTTTTTTTTTTTTTAAGAAATGTAGTGCTGGTCCTGATACGTAGAGGTCTTTCCTAAAATTGCTTGTGTTAAACCCCAATTACATTCCTTCCTCGGCAGGAATTTATTTCTTCACCCAGAAACTGTAGGACTGATGTGCTGACCTAAAAAACATACATTAAACGCAGAACCTCCCCTTTACCTACAAAGGCAGTCCAGGACAAAGCTGGCTATTCTATGTAACAATGGAGCCCACAGCTCTGCTCTCATTACACTGAGCTCTGTTCTTTCTGACCCATTGGTAGGGATGTCAGTAGTGCGATTCCAAACTCTGTTTCATAGGAAACCAATGACTTGATTATACAAATTCTTCCTTCATTCCTTCTGTCTGATCTAGAAAGTCAGAGGTACATCAGGCATGCTGCCTGCACTCAAGGAGCTCACAGTCTAGTGGTGAAGATAGCCTTGTCATTAGATACATGGTTTTAGAGCTCAGCATTTATTAGATATGTGGTTTTAGAGCTCAGCATTTCTAGTTTGTAAATGTAATAGATCAAAATGGCCATTTTTTTCTTGTAGAGAACTTCATGCCATCTTTTCATTATGCCCTTTAGCAGGATCAATAGCTTATTATTAGATATTTTTGGTATTTCTCTGATTTCTCCACTGATTTTATGTGAACAAGCAGCATCTGTGCATGTAGTTTCTGTACCACGCATTTGGAGTCACTTCTAAGGATGAACAGAAGAACTTACAAGGTAAATTAAAAGCAAAAGTAACTGGCACACTGCTTCTATCTGTGCTGAGCCAGTTGCCACTTCCTCTCCATAACCCTGGTATATTATAGAACTTTTTCTTGTTGTTAGGCTAAGGAAGAAACGAAAGGGTAGCTTCAGGCCAGTGGCTCACGCCCGTAATCCCAGCACTTTGGGAGGCCGAGGTAGGTTGATCACCTGAGGTCAGGAGTTCGAGACCAGCCTGGCCACCATGGCAAAACCCCATCTCTACTAAAAATACAAAAATTAGCCAGGCTTACTACAGAGGCTGAGGGGGGAGAATCGCTTGAGCCTAGGAGGTGGAGGTTGGTTGCAGTGAGCCGAGATTGTGCCATTGCACTCCAGCCTGGGCAACAAGAGCGAAACTCTGTCTCAAAAAAAAAAAAAAAAAAAAGATAGCTTCAGATACCACTCTAATTATACAGCATCTAGAGTCTGTACTTATAGACAATGATCCAATTCTATATCAAATAAAGCACAAACCAGGTCTTAAATATTTTAATGACATGACTGAATTCAAATAACAGTGTCTAGTTGGGTAGTTCAGGACAGAAATTTCCAGCTTGTGGGCATTGTAGTTTCTTACTGTAAGATAGTCTTTATATCGTGTCCCTTGTAGTAAATGAAAACTTCAATCTTTATAAAGAAAATGATGTCATCGGCTTGCCCTTTTCTCTAGTCCCCATCAGATTGAATTTAAATATGATACCGGCAAGAACAACAGAGTAAATGATCAGTTTGTGATGCATCTGGTCCAAGGGGGATTATTTTGACAGTCTGTTCTAACCATACAAACAATGTTTCCAATAAAAAGTTTTATTAGGTGTTGTCACAGATATAAATGTTTCATAAAGATAGCACTCCAGTTGTAAATCATACTTGAAATCATTCTAAAGTCACCTCATTAGATACCAAGAAAAACTATGTCTTTCACATAAATTCTGGCCTCGAGTGACTTTAAAAAAAAGGAGCAAAGAATAAAAAAACAAAACTCAAGCCCCAGCCATCTAAGGCTGAACTTTAAGAGAACTGACAGGAATAAGAAAATTTCCTTTGTCTGTTTTTGTAATCTTTTTAAGATCATACACTTCAAACATTTCATTATCTTCCTGGGTCCATCAGATTCTCCAGAAATGATGGAAGTGGAAAAATAATCTAAACTCACTTTTTAGAAAAACTCTGGCTCATTGGCCAAGCGCGGTGGCTCACATCTGTAATCCCAGTACTTTGGGAGGCAAAGGCTGGCAGGTCACCTGATGTCAGGAGTTTGGAACCAGCCTGGCAAACATGGAGAGACCCAGTTTCTACTAAAAATACAAAAATTAGCCGGGCCTGGTGGCGCATGCCTGTAATCCCAGCTATTCGGGAGGCTGAGGTAGGAGAATCGCTTGAACCTGGGAGGTGGAGGTTGCAGTGAGCTGACATCACACCACCACACTCCAGCCTGGGCGACAGAGTGAGACTCTGTCTCAAAACAAACAAACAAAACCTCTGGCTTATTGAAGTATGATTTATATGCCATAAAATTTATCCTTTAGCATATAGCTCTGTGAGCTTTGAAAAACATAGACGGCCGGGTGTGGTGGCTCACGCCTGTAATCCCAGCACTTTGGGAGGCCGAGGCGGGTGGATCCCCTGAGGCCAGGAGTTCGAGACCAGCCTGGCCAAAATGGTGAAATCCTGTCTCTACTAAAAATACAAAAAATTAGCCTGGCGTGGTGGCAGGAGCCTGTAATCCCAACAATTCAGGAGGCTGAGGCAGGAGAATGGCTTGAACCCAGGAGGCGGAGGCTGGAGTGAGCTGAAGTGAGCTGAGATTGCAACATTGCACTCCAGCCTGGGCAACAAGAGTGAAACTCCATCTCAAAAAAAAAAAAAAAAAAAAAGAAAAAAGAAAAACACAGACATGTAACTATCACCACAATCAACAGACGAATCGGGTTCATCTCTCCAAAAACTTCCCCTGTGCCCATTTGTAGTTAATCCCTTTCCCCACCCTGGGCTTCTGACAACCACTGACATATTTCCTGTCCCTGTAGTTTTGCTTTTTCCAGCATGTCATATAAACAGAAGCATACAGCACATAGCTTTTTGCAGACCTGCACTTTTGAAATTAATGACATTGTTTTCAGATTATAAAAATAATACATGTTCATTGTGGAAAAAATTAAAATATTTAAGAAATGAGACATGAAAATGCTACCCAAAGATAACCATTGTTAACATTTTAGTGAGGCTTCTTCCAGTCTTTTTACTCTATATGCATATGCACCCACACATTCAGAAACTTTGGAAAATTGAAATCCTACTGTATATAAGATTAACTCTTTCTTGAGAGTGAAAGGCATGAGCCTAATCAATGGGCTGAGGGATAGAAAAGAAACAGGCACAGAACAAGATGCAGAGGAGTAACTTTCCAGGCTGCCTTTGGAGGCTTGGTGGCCTCTGCATTTGGTTTCCCAGGCTGCTTGCATTCACTTGTTTTAAGCAAAGACCATCTTTTATTTTTTAAAATTGTTTTGTAGGCAAAGGGTCTTGCTATATTGCCCAGGCTGGTTTCAAACTTTTGGGCTCAAGCAATCCTCCTGCCTTGGTCTCCCAAACTACAGGGATTACAGGTGAGAGCCTCCACTCCTGGCCATCTTTTTGATTTGGATGCTGGCTTTTTCGTGAACTGAAACAAACACATTCCCAGGTTGAGTTCGATGCTGGTTCCTCTGGGGACTGACAGTGCCCTGTGCTCCTCAGCTGCAGAGAACTCCTCTCACTACATTAGAATTGTTCATTTATTTTATCCATCTCCCCCACTAGACAGTAAGCCATAGGCTCAGACACCCTTGTCTCAATCGTCTGATTTCCCCCAGTGTTAGGTATACTGCTCAGCAAAAAGTAGATACAGGAACCTACCAAGAATGTGAGGGATGAACAAAGGAGCGAATGAATGAACAAACCAAGATCAAACATTCCCTTTACTGGACTAGTGACTGCCACTCATTTTCTTCTCTTCTGCTTTACCCACAGAAGAGGAAAAAATACCTTTTTGAGCATTACTCTGGTGGCTGTCACAGAAGGGGTGAATTCTGCTTTCAAATGTTTTGGCATTTTTTTGACTCACAGCTACACAACCTGACAAGATAGCCAACTAGCTACTTCTCATGTTTCTGTGGCATGCCTCATGCACTGCTCCATGGAGCCGACCAAAACCGTATTGGCTGGGAGATGTAAAGTGCCAAAAACGGACCTGGCAAGGAGAAAGAAGAGGCGATCTGCTTGGAGTTGCCATTGGTGGGCACACAAACCTGTGAGTGGCTCGTGCGTGCTTCTCCATGGCCATGCAAGCTTTTGCCCTCCCTGCACTTCACAGGGCTGGGAGAGAATGGAAAGTCTATGTTTAAGATCAGGGTAAGCTCACGTCTGTAATCCTAGCACTTTGGGAGGCCAAGGCGGGTGTCTCACCTGAGGTCAGGAGTTCGAGACCAGCCTGGCCAACATGGTGAAACCTCCTCTCTACTAAAAATACAAAAAAAAAAAAAAAAATTAGCCAGGTGTGGTGGTGGGCACCTGTAATCCTAGCTGAGGCAGGAGAATTGCTTGAACCCGGGAGGAGGAGGTTGCAGTGAGCCGAGATCCCACCATTGCACTCCAGCTTGGGCAACAAGAGTGAAACTCATTCTCAAAAAATAAAATAAAATAAAATAAAATAAAAAACAGGATAAGTTGAGAAAGAAGAAGGTAAGGAGAGGGAGAAAGGGAGAATTACAACAACAGAATTAAGGCCATTGTCATTTTCCCCTTTGATCTGAATCGTCAGCTATTTCCCGCATGTAATAATAATAGCGGTTGTCTCTTGTTGAAGCACCTAATCTGGGCCAGGCACAGGGTTAAGCCCTTTATAAGCATGGCCTCATCGAATCCACAGAACAACTCTCTGAGCTGAGTGCCATTGCTATCCCTTTCTTGCCGATAAGGAAGGAACTGGGGCTCAGAGTGGTTCAGCGAAGGTCCAAGATCACACAGCTACTTAGCACAGTGCCTGGCCTACAGTGAACACCCTGTCAATGGTAGCTGTCATGGCGATTATTACTATGATTAATCATAAGAAATGGCTGGTGCCACCATCGGCTCAAAGCAGACTGAAGTCTCAAGGCCCAAAGCAGGCTCTGAGGTGCAGACTCCCGGGGGCCTGCTCAACAGGCATGAGGACCTCGACTTCCCTTTGTGCTTCTTCAAGACTTGGGATGGTGGCTCCTTGGGTGGTGGGGAAAATGATGCCATACTTGTGTCTGGCTCCTTCTTGGTTCCCACAAATGTCCTTAACATTTTCCATTTTCTGAGTGGCTTTTGTGAAACTGCTCTGATGTGGTTGACAGAACTTATAGTGGGATCCAAGTCAAGCCTTCCTCCAGAGGAAAGTTGGAAGCCTTTAAGGGTCTTGTCAGTGCTCACGTAGCCCACAGCCTCCTGCCTAGCATTGGCCAAGGCCAAGGCTTCCCGGCAGTCAGCTCTGGATCACAGCACACTCATTGATTCCTGCGCTGTTTCCGGGGGTGGGAAATCAATCCCCTATCGGCCTGGCTTGGGCTTGCTGGGCCTTTTCTCCAGGGAGAGTTTCGCTGGGGCCTCTGATCTGCACGTGATGCTCTTCATGGTTCAAGGGCTGTCGTGTCCAACTCAAGATGATTTCCTTTTCCGTGTTTTCTGCAGCTTTTTTTTTTCAGGACCCTAGAAAAACTTTGAAACTTAAAATTACTCGTGTGCCAGGAATTCCCACAGCCTCCTTGTGAGGGGTAGGTGAGCACCATATGCTGTTTATACAAAAATAAATGGCTTCCCCCCATGAAGCACATGGGCCCAAATCACTGGCTAACCCCCTTTTTACCTTAGCAGCTGGAGCAATGGCCCTCTGGATGAGAATGCGTACGCAGATAGAAATTTGGCTCTAAAAAGCCCTGAACAGTTTGTTTGTACAAGAGCTTGGTCTCCTAGAGAGGCAGGTGGTGGGCAGGCCAGTGTCCCTCTGTGGGACTAGCTGAAGAAAGCAGGAGAAGACCAACATGCAGTGCTGGACAATTACCTTGTCCCTCCCCGGGGCGGACTTTCAGGGAGGTCACCTCATCTTAATCACCACTTCCCCAACATCATGAGCCCTAGGACTGGGTGCAAAGGAGGGGTATCTCTCTTTTTGAAATTAAAATACTTGAAGTTATCGCTTCACTTGGGCAATAGATGTCTATTAATTCATTCCTCAAGCAATTATTGAGTACTTACTATGTGCACATCTGAAATTGTACCAAGTGCAACTCCAACCACTTGCCCCAGTGCTGACCCAACAACAACACTGGGCCAAAACTAAAAGTTTGGAAGTGATGGAGGCTGCAAGTTGACAGCCTGGGCAGCTAGAGAGTGAAAGTGTCAGTTGCTGCATTTCGATGGGATTTTATTCAAGCATGTATTCATTCATTCATTCATTCATTCATTCATTCATTCAACCAAGATTCATGAGTGTCTACTGTGTGCCACATAGTGTGCTAGGCACTAGGGATATCAGAAGGGAGAATGCCAGCTGTAATCAAAGGGAACTTCAGATAACAGTAGCTAACATCTACAGAGTGTTTATGTGTGCCAAGCACCATCATGAGATGGCTTCTCTCTTTTAATGCTCATTCCAGCAGTGGCAAGGAGGTCCAGACAGATGGGGAAACTGAGGCTCAGAGATTTTACTGACTTACTCAAAGTCACATAGCCAGAAAGTGGCAGAAGTTAACTTGCAGAATCCAAGTGAGCCCAAGGGCCTGAGGTTGTGTTCTTTGCTGGTTACTACACATTACTGTACATTACTGCCTGCTGCAGGGATTAGCTAGCTGCAGCCCACAGGTCGAGTCCAGCCCATTGACTGTTTTTGTGCTGCCTGAGAGCTAAGACTGGTTTTTGTATTTTTAAGTGGTTGTAACAAATCAAAAGTATATTTTGTGACACATGAAAATTATATGAAATTCACATTTCAGTGACCATCAATAAAATTTTATTGGAACACAGCCATGCCCATTCATTCACGTCTTGCCTAAGGCTTTTTCACTACAGTGGTAGAGTAGAGCAGTGGTGATAGACCTATGGCCCGCAAAGTGAAAAATGCTTACTATCTAGCCCTTTACTGTCACTGACAGAAAAGGAAACAGATCTCAGCCCATCTCTGAGTTCAGGTGGTCCCCAGAGCCCTGCCTCCCTATCCCAGCTCTTCCTCAGCAACTCAGAAAGACCACCGGGGAGACTTGAGTGAGCATTTCAGATGATGGCTGCCTTTGAGTTATTTCCAGCACTTCCTTCAGAGTCTTTGAGGCTGAAATGTTTAGGGTGGTATTAGGTTTTTCATCAAATGTTTAGATGAAAATGTAGACAGCCGACTTGGGGTTATTTGTGAACAAAGCCCTAAAGGCAAATCTTATTGGTTTTTGCTGAGAGGTGCCAAATTATCTCAGCCTCCACTGGGAGCTGCTTGTGGGGCCTTATATGGGCATAATCTCCTAAGCCAGGCTTGCCTCACTCTGCGGCATGGTTGGATCCACTTTTAAGGTTATGTGTGAACATTTCTTGTCTTCCTGTTTGCTCAAGCTGTGGGGAACTTGGCTTTTGCCACACTTTAAGGGAACATAAATGCTGTCCACTTTGAGCACGTTTCATTTGTATGTCAAAGATGACAACTGCCTTCCTTTTGGAATTCTTCTCCCTTTATATTTGTCTGTAGGTGGAAGGAAGCATTTTTGTAAGTGCTGGAGTCGGGGAGATGTCGCTTCATTATCCTAGTTGCTTCCTGGGATTAGTGTGTCTGAAGAGATGTTGATAAAGGAAACATTTACTGTGTGTCTATAGGCAATGAATGTGTCTGAGGCATTCCATGGGCGTTAGCTTACTCAAACCTTGCAAAATGCCTTCACTCACTCTTTCAACAGGTATTTATTGAATGCCTACTAAATGCCAAGTCATGTGGTAAGCCAAGACAGTAATGGGGAGAGCTACTCCAGACTGGGAAATCAGGAACGGTCTCTCAGAAGACATTTAAGATGAGGTCTGAAGGATAAGAAGGTGCTGGCTGGGAGACTCTTCGTAATTGGATTGGAAATCTTGGTGCAGACATTTGAGTTAAGAGAGTTAATGAAAGAACTGCGCCAGCAACTCAGTTGACCAGAGCCCCATGCTGAGGAACCCAAGGCTACTGGGGATTTTGTTCTAGAGACCTCAAAATGGAACCCTAACCTAGGCTTGCCCTGGAAAATATAGCTCTGGTCCAAAGGAGATCAGCTGAGCAAGTGAGGCTCCCCCCACTATTGGACACCAAATTCTGCAAATGTTTATGGGGCTGTTCTCATAAGCCCAGCACTACCTAGGTTTTGGGAATCCAGAGACAAATCAGAGAGCAAGGAGCTCAGGGTCTAGTGGAGGAAATAAGTCATATAATCAAATAAATGACTCGACGATGTACTAGGTACAACAAAAGAAATATGTATAAGATCTCAAGGTAGCACAGAAGAGGGGGTGCTGAACACACTTGGGAGGCCCAGTAAACAGCCAAGGGAGGCTAAATTTTGAAGAGCCAGAAGGGCCCTTCCAGAACAAGAAACCTGCATGACCAAATGCCCAGAGACACAAAGCCACATGCCAGAGGCTTCATGCCACTGGGTCTTTGGGGAATAAGAAGACCTGTTATTTTCGAGCCTGAAGTACAAGGTAGAGAGTAGTGGACATTGAGATTTCAGCAAGGGCAGTTCAGGGTGAGCTTTGGGAATAAGTGTTTCGGATTTGAGCCACACTAAAGGTATGTAAACACAAGAAAGGAGATGTCTGTGTTAACTTGCCTTGATAATGCCCCTCTTGTTACCCAATCCCACTGGTTTCAACTTCATCTTCTGGGAACCTATGGTATTTCAAAGACACTGCCTGATCCCTTTCTAGACAAATTTTATGCTTTTGGAAGTGGCATTTCCCCGCTAAGTACTTTATACTGTTTTCTTACAACTTTGCAAAGCATCTGCCATATGGTATTTCTCCCAAGTGAGAGATTATTGCCTCTTTATTGGAGGGGGGGAGCTGAAATGAAGTCATCTGTCCACTGAAGTGACAGCTGCAAGCAGAGATGTACTCTCTAGGCAGCAGGCCTGCCGTCAGAGCCCAACCCGGTGCGCCTTCTCCAAGAGCGGCTGTCCCCTCCCAGCCTCCTGTCGCCGCTTTCCCTTTCTTCTTGCTTCCTGTTATATAAGAGCATTTTTGCAGAGATGAGCTCTGGGCTTGTTCTGAATATTTTAGGTGTCAAACATCCTGTTTTTCTCTGAGTAATGTGACCCTGTCAATGACCCACTGCATTTCAGAATGACATCATGGGATTCAACCGAGAATGGTTGAAGAGAAGTGATTATGGGAGCTCAGGGACCTCTGCTTGCCCCTTTACCTTTCAGCAAGTTGTTTGGAGATGTCAAACAAGAAGTCTGCAAATGAGTGTCTGCTTTGCACAAGAGCAGGGGTTGGCAGACTAGGAACTGCAGACCAAATCTGGCCCACAGAGCAAATCCATTCCCAGCTGATTTTGCAAATAAAGTTTTATTGGCATTCAGCCATGCTCATTTGTTTGAGTATTGTCTAAGGCTGCTTTTGCACTGCAATAGCAGAGTTAAGTTATGTAACAGACCCCATATGGCAGGCAAAGCTGAAAATTTTTACTATCTGGCCCTTGCAGAAAAAGTTTGCTGAACCCTGCGCTGAAGCTCTCTCCTCCTACACCCTAGGAAGAGGGCACATGGATTTAGCGTGCTCTCATCCCATGACTGAGTACCCGCCCATTCCTTTCCCCTCTTCCCCAAACACCTGATACAACAAAAAAGGTAAAGGTTGATTTTCAGCAAGCATATTGGGGCTTTCGTATGTATTAAATGTCATCAGAACTTGCACATTTATTAAATGTGTTGCCTTTCTAAGAAGTTCCCTAAAGAAATTGCACACACTTAGGCTAGGCACGGTGGCTCATACCTGTAATCCCAGCACTTCTGGAGGCTGAGGCAGGCGGATCACCTGAGATCAGGAGTTCGAGACCATCCTGGCCAACATGGTGAAACCCCGTCTCTACTAAAAATACAAAAATTAGCTGGGAGTAGTGGCACACACCTGTAATCCCAGCTACTTGGGAGGCTGAGGCAGGGGAATCACTTGAATCTGGGAGGCGGAGGTTGCAGTGAGCCGAGATCACGCTATTGCACTCCAGCCTGGGTGATAGAGCAAGACTCTTGTCTAAAAAAAATAAAAAGAAAAAAAAAGAAAAGAAAAATGAAATTGCACACTTATTCCAATGTGGCTGCCAGTGTGCCAGACATTGCAGGGAGTACTCTTCAGAGCCAAGCTATGTGACACCTGAGAAAATCCACTTCACCTTCTTTTTGGACCCAAAGTAGTGCAGCCTTGTTGGAACATCTGCCTAGTTGCCATGGATCAATGTTGGCTTATTTTTTCAAACAACAGCAAATTCAGCACTAAGGATATTCCAAGGAATTGGTTGCATGTTCTGAGGTTAGTTCCTTAAAAAGTGCTCAACATACGATGTCTTCAGAGGCAAGGTATCTTCACCCAAGGACTTGAGAGTCAAAGTTAGACTTTGGAAACAACTTTTGGAATTGTAGTGCATGTTTTCAGCATTTGGGCCATTCTATGTCTTACAAAATGAAATGTTCAGTGTGTGGCTCTCTCCTCTCTATTTAGGGACTGTATCCATACTTCAAAGGACTTTACCATCTGTCTTGTATTTCCCCATCTCTTCCCAGCTGCTGTTAGTGGATTTTGCTATGGCATGGTGCATTGTACCCATTTGGCTAATAATGGCATGAGCTGAGGGTTGAGGAAGCCCTCTGCTCAGTTCCGTTTATCACAGCCAAGTTTGGATAGGAAAGAGTCCCCTAGGAGCTGGAATGTGGTATACTATGGATGGGCATGTCAGCATTCACTGGCCCTGCTCATATCATGGACCACAGTGTGCTCTGGACTGCGGGGTGGAGGCGGTGTGGAGTTTGGTGGTTTTAGAAAACCGTGAAATGCCTACTTATTGCTCCACATTTTTGCTTTCTCATTTTCCTTAAGCCCATTCCACAATGAGGGTATTGGTGTGGTCACTCCTGAAGCAAAAAGATAACAAGTTGCTTTTCAGCTTTTTAGCTTTTTTGGTCATTTCTTACTTCTTTTCCTCCCCGCCTTTGCATCCAGAGCCACTGTCTCCCACACGAAGCGTCTTAAATTTTTATGAGCTCACAGTTGCTTCACTGATTTCTGTGCTGCCAGAGTCTGAGATGCAGGACTCAGCGGGGACTTGCTCAGATCTGTTTGTGTATATACTTCCCACTAAACTCGATGTGCTTGCATGAGTGAGAATAATCAAGTGCATTACTCAGAAGCAAGGAAGAGTAGGGCTGGAGCCACAAGAGCAAATCCCTCCCCAGTTCTCCTGGATTTGCACCACCCCACCTCACTACCCAGTTCTGGATCAATCAGAGGTAGCTTGGGTTGAGAGGCTCTTTTGTTCTGAGTTTTTTTTTTTTCCTTCAGAGACCAGAATTTAAGCTTGAGCTGCTTTCTCGCCTGGGGAGAGGAGTGGGACCCAGTCCTGATATTATGGGGCCCAGTCTTTGTGTCTTGGTGCCCAAAAGAAAGCTGAGACCCTTAGACCACTCATGGTGCAGAGAGAGGAGCTGGTCACACCATATATGTGTGTACTACACATTTCTTCATGAACATATATGCCTTTTGCACACATGGTGACTTGGTCCCACTGGACCTTTCCAAGGACAGGAATGATGTCTTCTATTGTTTGTGCAACATCACACATAGACTAGTGTCTTGGACCAGAGGACACATAGTCTGCTTAATTGTCTACAACAATATGTAAATAGCAAGCAAGTGGGACTTTGAGGCGTTTGTTTTTTTATTTTGAGCTTAATTTCTATTCTGGTAGTACTTAATAATCAAGTAATTTGTCTGTGAATCCTCCAAGGGTCGAATCCCACAGGACTTCCATCAATCAGCCAGCATCCAAAGGAACTTGTGCTTTGTTCATAAAATGCCTGGCATCACTGGTCCTTGGGAGATGGCCAAACTGGCATGGCTCGCCACGAAAGAGAGGGGTGGGGGAGGGACTCTTTGCTAGAGAGCTTTTCGGCTTGCAATTTTAAAAAAGGAAAGCGGGTAACTTCAGAACTGTTTACTGGAAGGCACAGGACCTCAGTTTTGATGCTGAGAGAGGGAGAAGTTGTCTTGGCAAGGGCTCTGTTTCGGTTTACTTCTTAGTATTCACAGGGGTAAGGAGCCCTGTTTAGTAAGTTGGACACGTTCTGGTGGGCAAAGCTTCTGGAGGTGGAAATGATGGCTCTTTGTTCTCAGTTGGGGAGGTTGGGGGGTTGTTTGAAGACAGCTCAAGGCCGGACAGAGATGCAATGCAGGGACTCTTAGCCCACATTCCTCTTCACTGCCTTCCAGAAAAGCTGAGATTGTTCAAAAGGACCATTAGACCTCCAGATAGCTCAGCCTTGCCCTGGGTTCTATCATTAGCCAATGGTCTACTGTTTTTCATGAGTGTCCATGTGTCCATGTGTTATCTGTGTCCCAGGTCTTACCTGTCACTGACTAACAAGTCTCCAGCACCGACCCAAATTTCTAAAAAGCTGCCGTCTGCCAGCCTCTCCCTTCAGCCTGCCATAGGGGGCAATTTGTTTTTTCTTCCTATATCAAGAGTCTGCCCCATCTGGAAACGTAGAAAAAGAACCTTCCCTAGTGTCCTCCTTTAATTAGTGCCAGAGGTGATGCATGCTGGGAGAATGTAGGCCACCCCTAGGGAACATCTGATGACTTATCTTAGATCCCAGCTGGGGCAGCACAGGCTCCTCACTTGGTTTACCATTTCCACTTGAGGATTGCTGCTCTCCTCTGAGGGTTACCTTTGATTGTTTGATTGACTGATCATTCACTATCAGTTCATTCATTCAACTTATCCAACATGTATTCATCCAACACTCATCCTACCACATTCCAAGCATTTGCCTAGATGCTGTGTTACAATGTGGGGCAAAACCAGACAAAGGCCCTGTTTCTATGGCATGTATATTCCTTCTGGTGAAAACAGCCAATAAACAAAAAAGAAACACACAAACATGGAAAAGATCCAAGAGTGGCAAATGCAACACAGAGAATGAAAGTAGGGTGATGTGATAGAGTGACTGGGGGGCTAGCTCAGATAGCATGGTCAGGACAACATCCATGAGCAGAGCAGACTTCAAACAGCAATCTGAAGGATAAGTAGCCAGACTTTCAAAGGTGAGGGTGAGGAGTATTCTAGGTATAAGGATGAGCTGATGGAAAGAGCCTGCTATGAGCTAGACCCGACATGCAGAGGGGAACAAAAGAGAAGAGGTAATTCCAGCTACGTGGGAGAGTAAGGTGGGAGGATCACATGAGGCCAAGAGTTTGAGATCAGCCTGGGCAGCATAGAGACACTCCATCTCCAAAAAAATATTTAAAAATTAGCTGGGTGTGATGGCTCATGGCTGTAGCCCCAGCTACCAAGGAGGCTAAGGTGGGAGGATCACTTGAGCCCAGTAATTGGGAGGCTGCAGTGAGCTATAATCATACTACTGCACTCCAGCCTGGGCAATGGAGTGAGACCCCCTTTCTAAAACTAATAATAATAAAATTAAATTTTTACAAAAAGAGGGAAGACGTCCCTTCTCCCCAGTGCTAATAATTTAGTTAGGAAGACAGACGGATAGATAGGCAGTTACAATGCAGTTAGATCAATGCTATGACAGGAAAAGCAGACAGAAAGCTCTGGAAACATAGAGTAAAGGTTCTGAAGGCTGAGTGTAAGGATCGGAGAAGGCTTCCTGGAGGAAGAGGCATTTAAGCTGAGTAGAAGTTAGCCAGGTCAACTGGGAGAGGATGTGTGGAGGGAAAAATGCTCCCCTGTCTAAGCAGAAGGGACCACAAGTGTGAAGGGCCACTACTCACAGTGCAGCACATATCTGAGGAACCAAGAAATGCTCACAGAAGTTCAGGAAAGGGGAGGGGTTATGGGATATGAGACCGGAGAGCAGACAGGGGCATGTTATGGATTTGGGATTCTGGTTCTGACAATAATGGAGAAGCCATTAAACAGTGTTAAGCTGGGGAGAGACATAATCCAAATTATGTTTTGAAAAGACCATGGCTCGGCCGGGCGCGGTGGCTCATGCCTATAATCCCAGCACTTTGTGAGGCCAAGGCAGGTGGATCACCTGAGGTCAGGAGTTCGAGACCAGCCTGGCCAAAATGGCGAAACCCTGTCTCTACTAAAAATAAAATACAAAAATTAGCCAGGCCTGGTGGCACATGCCTATAGTCCCAGCTACTTGGGAGGCTGAGGCAGGAGAATCACTTGAACCTGGGAGGCAGAGGTTGCAGTGAGCCGAGATTGTGCCACTGCACTCCAGCCTGGGTGAGAGAGCGAGACTCCGTCTCTCTCTCTCTCTCTGTCTCACACACACACACACACGAAAAAAAAAAGAAAAAGAAAAGACCATGGCTCTTGCTAAGGGGAGAGTGGGCTGTAGGGGAGGAAGGCTGGAGGCAGTAAGATCAGTTAGGAGACAAGTTCAGGCACTCAGGTAAGAGAGGGTGTTGGTTTGACCAGGGTGGTGGATGGAGATGAAGATAAGTGGACAGATTCATGAGACATGTAGAAGGTAAGACTGACAGGGCTTGATGAGGGAGTTGTATACGGAGGTAAGTGAAAGTGAAAGAGGAGTCAGTGATGCCCCTGAGGCTTTTGGCCTGAGCAAGTGGATATCGGCTGGTACTATTTAAAGAGATGGCAGAAGGTGAGCACCGTGGTGCATTCCTGTGGTCCCAGCTACTGGAGAGGCTGAGGCAGGAGGATCACCTAAGCCCAGGAGTTCGAGGCTGCAGTGAGCTATAATGGTGCTACCGCACTCCAGCCTGGGTGACAGAGCAAGACCCCATCTTAATAATAATAATAAATAATAATAATAATAATAAAGAGATGGCAGAGACAGAGTATGATATATGGTGAGGATATGGAGGCAAGGTGAGAGCTGTGCTCAGGACATTTTGAGTTTGAGGAGATGTCCAGCAGGCAGATGGAAATACAGGGGAGTGTTCTGGCCTAGGAAGAGCTGTTAGTCCAGAGATGAGAGTTGTGACAGTCAAGGCCACGGGAATGGAGAGGAATGCTAAGAGAAACAGGCACATTTAGAGGTCACCACATTTCGAGGTCAAGTGGAGGAGAAGGAAGAGTAGCCAGTGAGATAGAAGAAAACCCAGAAGTTGTTTATTTGAAGCAGATGAGAGGAAAAACTGTTTCAAGGAGGAAGAAGCTGTTCACGTGTCTAATGCTACTGCTGAGCCTTCAGATGAAGACAGTAGAATGACTGTTGCATTGGCTACAGGGAAGCCATTAGTGTCCTTGACAAGATCTATTTCAGAAGAGGTAAGGGGGCAAGGAAGCCTGATAGAAACAAGTGGAGAAGGGCATGGGATGTGAAAAAGTGGAGCAGCAACATTTGCAGGTTGTGGTGCAGTCTGTGGTTGCCGTCCTCCTGCCCTGCTGCAGGTCCTATGTGTATGTATTTTTAAATCAATGTATTTAAGTACTATAACAACCACAATAGTAACTGACCTCTGTAAAGGAATGTTTAGGTTACTAAACACTTTTACAGGTTATCTACTCTACTTACCAGTTTTTACGTACAGTTTTCAACCAATATTGCCTTTCAAAAACAGGAAAAGATAATCTTCACTTAACCAAGATTAGCGTTTTTCATTTTCCCCCGAAAGTCCAGAATGGGAATGACTTGACATTGAAAAGCCTTACCAACAAATTAAGGAATGACACGTAGGCAGCACAGTCTTTCAAGGGGCTATTTTCCAAAAATTCATTTAAAAAACAGTTCTTGGCTGGGCACGGTGGCTCATGCCTGTAATCCCAGCACTTGGCCGAGGCAGGTGGATCACCTGAGGTCAGGAGTTTGAGACCAGCCTAACCAATATGGTGAGGCCCTGTATCTACTAAAAATACAAAAATTATTAGCCGGGCGTGGTGGAGTGTGACTGTAGTCCCAGCTACTAGGGAGGCTGAGACAGGAGAATTGCTTGAACCCGGGAGGTGGAGGTTGTAGTGAGCCCAGATCGCGCCACTGCACTCCATCCTGGGCAATAAGAGTGAAACTCCATCTCAAACAAACAAACAAAAAAAAATCAAAGATGACTTAAAAGACTGGAGAGACACAAGAGTCTTGGATACGAAGACTCAGCATAGTAATGATGTCAGTCATCCCCAAATGATCTACGGATTTGACATAATTCCTATCAACATCCGAATAAATAAAATAAAATAAAAACCAGTTCTTGTCCCAAAAGTAATTGAAATACACTTCTTTTTCATCAGGAAAACAGTGTCTAGGTTCCTAAGATGGCCCACAAATGCCCATTTTACCTCCCACAATTCTGCTGAGCTGCAGTTCACACTCATTACACTAGCCTACTGTTGAGGCAATTCCCTCTGGAACTGGGGAATTCCACCAATTCCCTCTACTCCTTTAATGAGTATGATTTGCCTAAAAAGCCATGTCAGGAATTCCGAAGTCACCCTAGACCTCTTCCTATCTCACATCTTCTATATCCAACTGGCCACTAAAGCTTATCATTACTACCCTTCTCAAATCCACCTCACCATGCCGTATTTCCATCAGCTTTTACTTGATTCACGTCCTGAGACCTAGTCTCCCTCATAGTACGTGAACTACATAGTACATAGTACATGGAGTGAGGAGGGTAACATGCCTTAGCGGGATGATGGTTTCTCGGAAGTTGGTAGATTAAGAGATCAAAATATGGAAGGGGATATCCATGTTGGCAAGGATAGATTTGACTAAAATGTGCTATGTCCAGTGAACGAACAAATGTACCATGCAATGTTAAAGATTTTGAATACTGGTGAATATTCGTATGGAGTTGGTTTTGTATGTAAGTGTAATATTGATGTATTACAGTTGATTAGGAGATTGCTAATACTTGCTTATATGCATGTACTGTAAGCTGTTTAGTACTATAAGGCTTATGTATGTACTATGTACAATCAAGCATTAATAGTACTATATATTATTCATGGGGACTAGCAGGTTGGTAGCCAGGTGACCAGGCCTCCATTTCCTCTGCCTGCTTTTTAATGATTAATATTCCTCAGGCTCTTTTCTTTGTAAAAGTCTCATCAGGGGTGGCACTACTGGACCATCTACCATGGCAACTATGAATTCATATTTTCAGCACTGATCTCTCATGTGCTCCAGATCCACAGATTCAATGATCTATTATACATGTTTGCGGACAGCTAAAATTCAATAGGCTCATTTTTTCTTTCTTCCAAAAAATCTACCCCACCCCCTAGCCACCACCAATTCCCTCTACTCCTTTAATGAGTATGATTTGCCTAAAAAGCCATGCCAGGAATTTAGAAGTCACCCTAGACCTTTTCCTGTCTCACACCTTCTATATCCAACTGGCCACTAAAGCTTATCATTACTACCCTTCTCAAATCCACTTCACCATGCCGTATTTCCATTGGCTTTTCCTTGATTCACGTCCTGAGACCTAGTCTCCCTCATTCAAGTCTATATGCAACCAGATATGATCATTTCTCTGTCTTCCTAAAAGTTCAGTAGCTTCCTATTGTCTGCAGTAGCATTTCTCAAACTGGCAAAAGAGTACCTTCAAAATTAAACAAAAAATTTCAAAAACCTCCCCTACATAAATTGAACTGGATTAAACAATGTTAAGCAGGCCTCTCACTAGCAAGGTTTTGAAATCTTACAATGCACAATACTACATATTTCCCTGTCATGAGGAATCGGGGTGGAGGGGAGCCCCAACTGGGTTCCAAGGACAAAGTCAAAACTTATTGCAAGACATGTAAGATCCTACAGATTCTGGCCCTGCCTAGCTGTCAACGTGATCTGCCATTCATCAATGATTATCATTCACCCATTACAAACCTTACGTGTCATTCACTTACAACACAATCTGTAGTTCTTCAAAGAGCCCTACTGTTTTCTGACTCTAAATCCTTTATATACAATATTCCTTCTGCCCAGAATGCCGCCCTTCTCTAACTTAGTCTGGTTGAAGAGCTCCTACTTGCTCTTCCAGGGCCAGCTCAGGCTACTAAACTTTGATTGTCCCTTCCACCTCCTAGCAGAGGACTCCTTCAACCTTTGTCCTGCCTCTGCAGATATCAGAGCGCTTGTCCAACACTACTGAATTTAGAGACTAAAAACCTTAAAGGTTGGGAACCAGGCAGGCATCCAGCAGTGTAGCTGAATAAAGGAGACAGGGCAAGACTCGGGGAAGAAGGGGTGGAATCCCTCTTCTTTTTCTAGTCAAAATTTGACAACAAAGTAATTTTGTCTTTGGTATGCTCCTACATCTCATCCCTATCCTCCTTTCCCAGCTCTCCCAATACCCTGTGATATGGTTTGGCTGTGTCCCCACCCAAATCTCATCTTGAATTCCCACGTGTTGTGGGAGGGACTTGGTGGGAGGTAATTGAGTCATGGTAGCAGGTCTTTCCCGTGCTGTTCTCGTGATAGCAAATAAGTCTCATGAGATCCAACGGTTTTAAAAAGAGGAGTTTCCCTGCACAAGCTCTTCTCTTGTCTGCCGCAATGTGAGACATGCCTTTCACCTTCTGCCATGATTGAGGCCTCCCCAACCACATGGAACTGTAAGTCCATTAAACCTTTCTTTTGTAAATTGCCTAGTCTCAGGTATGTCTTTTTCAGCAGCATGAAAACAGATCAATACACCCTGTGTTCCCAGGTCCCTTAGTGACCTCATGTAACTCTATACAACCCCCACCACAGCACTCTTCTTCAGATCAACTACTTGCTCTTCCTCTTAATCAGGAGCCCTTCTGTTCAGAAATTATTTTATTTTATTTTATTTTATTTTAGACAGAGTCTCACCTTGCTGCCCAGGCTGGAGTGCAGTGGCACGATCTTGGCTCACTGCAACCTCCGCCTCCCAGGTTCAAGTGATTCTCCTGCTTCAACCTCGTGAGTAGCTGGGATTACAGGCTCCCGCCACCATGCCAGGCTAATTTTTTGTATTTTTAGTAGAGACAGGGTTTCACCATGTTGGCCAGGCTGGTTTTGAACTCCTGACGTCAAGTGATCCACCTGCCTCAGCCTCCCAAAATGCTAGGATTACAGGCGTGGGCCACCACACCTGGTCCAGAAATTGATACATAAATGTGTGACAGCTTCTTGTGGCTATTAACCTAAGATGAATCTCTAAGAAACAAAATTTAAAAAGAAGTATGGAGAGGATAAGGGTGGAGCAGGCACTGTAACACACAGAAAGGCCTGCTACAGGTTCTTTGCCTGGAAACTAAGATCAGATCCTCAGTGGGCTGCGCAGGGGAAGTCATTCCAGAGAATTTTATGTTCAATCAACGTGTAACACCTAACACGCTCCTACTTGACACAGGCACACTCTTTCCTAAATGCATTCCATTCCCTCAACTTTCCAAAGTTCCCATAAGGAGTCCTACTATGTGCTAGGAATCCAGCACATGCATGATAAAACTCCATCATTCTTTTTTCATCATTTTCAACTGGCTACTATTAAGTGCACCATATGGGCCCTGAGAATGAAGCATTGAAAAAGGCAAATTCATGGAGTTTACAATCTAGTGGAAGACACAGATAAGGAAAACAATAAATAAACGTGCCATTTTTCTGACAGCAATGAGTGCATTCAAGAAAATAAAACAGGGCCGGGCGCGGTGGCTCACGCCTGTAATCCCAGCACTTTGGGAGGCCGAGGCGGGCGGATCACGAGGTCAGGAGATCGAGACCATCCCGGCTAAAAAATGGTGAAACCCCGTCTCTACTAAAAATACAAAAAAATTAGCCGGGCGTAGTGGCGGGCGCCTGTAGTCCCAGCTACTTGGGAGGCTGAGGCAGGAGAATGGCGTGAACCCGGGAGGCGGAGCTTGCAGTGAGCCGAGATCCCGCCACTGCACTCCAGCCTGGGCGACAGAGCGAGACTCCGTCTCAAAAAAAAAAAAAAAAAAAAAAAAAAAAAAAAAAGAAAATAAAACAGGGTAATAGGATAAGTAGTGATAGGGCAGGGGAGTGACAGAGTGTGAGAAGGGCTCCTTTAACCAGGATGGCAGAGAAGACCTCTCTGTAGGGAAGACGTTTGCATTCTTTTTTCTTTTTTTTTTTTGAGATGGAGTTTCACTCTTGTTGCCCAGGCTGGAGTGCAGTGCCGTGATCTCCGCTCACTACAATCTTTGTCTCCTGGGTTCAAGCAATTCTCCTGCCTCCCAAATAGCTGGGATTACAGGCACCCACCACCATGTCTGGCTAATTTTTGTATTTTTAGTAGAGATGGGGTTTCACTATGTTGGCCAGGCTGGTCTTGAACTCCTGACCTCGTGTTCCCTCTCCTCAGCCTCGCAAAGTGCTGAGACTACAGGTGTGAGCCATCATGCCTGTCGGATGTTTGCATTCTTCATAGAGTTCTATTTGTCTCCTTCCTCACAATGACAACCATAACAGCTACATCGGCTGCTGCTACTGCCACAAATACAATCTCTGCTAATATTACCACTGCCACCTCAGTATCCATGAGGAAGACCCTTCCACCTGTGGCCTCTTCGTTCCTTGACTTCCTCTCTTTCAGTGATCTTGTCCACCCTGACCCACCTCAGCCACTCACTTCCATGATCATACCCTAGACCTGACCATTACCAATTTTTCTACCAAAACTTTCAATGTCTCATTGCAAGGCTAGATAGGAGACTACCATCTTCTCCCTGTCCAGCTCGCTCCCACTAGTGACTCTAACTATCTTTGCCTGCATGAGACGTCCAATCCATAGATCTTCCTTTGTTTTCACTGTCCCCCACCCACTTGATGTCCTCTCTCCCCAACTTACTGAGCTTTCCTTCGATGCTTAGTCACTGTAATCACTCTCTTGCATACATTCCAGCTCCTCACCCTCCTCACATCTGCATACTCACTTGACAAAATCCCGAACCTGTTTCGATTCAACTCTCTGCCTGCTCTGCACCTGCAACTGACATGTGGCTGAGGGAAAATACAAAACCACGATGGCTGATGACTGGTCTCACTTTAAATTAATGACTGCTAGCCACAAGTGAGTCCTTAGAGCTGCGTGCCTGGCAACCAAACTAGTTCCCTAGATATTCCTTCTCCAAGTCTCCTAAAAGACTGTTACATCTATTCCTCTCTCTTCAAAGTGCCAACACTCCCTCTCCCATCCTCATTCTATGCAGATGATCTCATTTCCTATTTTATTGAGAGAATAGAAGCAATCGGAAGATTAAAAGGACTTCTCAAAGCTCCTACAACCAAATATGTTACAATGGAAGAGGTGTCTCCCATCTAGGGGCAACTCTTCCACTTGTCTACTAGATTCCCACCCCTCTCACCTACTCAAGATTATGGCTATAACATTTCTCCTGTCTTCTAAATCATTAATTTTTCCTGCTCTACCAGATCATTTTCATCAGTGAACAAACGTATCTCTTGACCCACTTCCCTCTCTAAGAACTGCCCCATTTTTTCTCTTTCCTTTTACACTAAAGCTTTGGAAGTGTTGTTTCCAAAGTCTCTCCCCTACTCATATTCTTCCTCTCTCCTCTCTCCCTGCTTCCCCCCACTGATTCATGTTTTTCTATTCCTCTTGGACACTAGAACTGATCCACTGCATCTTCTTGTGCAGCGCTGTCCATGTCCCTGAGACACCATGGTGAAAATGAAGGCCAGAGTAAACGAGTTGGCTGTATTGGGTTCCTGGTCACCAAGGCTGCTTTTAACTCTGGCAAAGTGTATATTGTCACCACCAATGACCCCATCATTGACCTCAACTACATGGTCTACATGTTCCCTTCTCATTCCACCTATGGCAAGTTCCATGGCACCATTAAGGCTGAGAATGGGAAGTTTGTTATCAATGGAAATCCCATTGCCATCTCCCAGGAGCGAGATCCTACCAAAATCAAATGGGGTGATTCCGGCATTGATTATGTTGTGGAGTCCACTGGTGTCTTCACTGCCATGGGGAAGGCTAGGACTCATTTTCAGGGGGTGGGGGGAGCCAAAAGGGTCATCATCTCTGCCCCCTCTGCTGATGGCCCCAAGTTTGTGATGGACATAAACCATGAGAAGTACCCAAACAGCCTCAAGATCATCAGCAATGCCTCCTGCACCACAAGATGATTAGCCCCCCGGCCAAGATCATCACCTGACCTGCCTTCTGGAAAGACCTGGCAAATATGATGACATCAAGAAAGTGGTGAGGCAGGCATCTTCACCTGCCTTCAGGAGGGCCCCCTCAAGGGCATCCTGGGCTACAATGAGCACCAGGTTGTATCTTTTGACTTTAACAGCAACACTCAATATTCAATTTTCGATGCTGGGGTTGGCGTCACCTTGAACGACCACTTTGTCAAGCTCATTTCCTGCTATGACAATGAATTTGGCTGCAGCAACAGGGTGGTGGACCTCATGGTCCACATAGCCTCCAAGGAGTAAGACCCCCTAGACTGCCAGCCCCAGCAAGAGCACGAGAGGAAGAGAGAGACTGGACTCTCAGCTGTTGGGGAGTCCCTGCCCCACTCAGTCCCCCACCTCACTGAAATTCTCCCCTCCTTAACACATTTTCATGCCAGACCCCCTGAAGAATGGGAGGGGCCTAGAGATCCTCACCTTGTCATGTACCATCAATAAAGTCTCCTGTACTCAGCACCCCCCAAAAATCTGATCTCAAGAATTCTTAAGAAATGTAACTCCATGAGATTTACAAGACTTCCTAAGTTCTACAATGAGAATTCCAGTTGTACCAGCAAAAATGTCTGGAACCATAGGTACAGAAAAGTATAAGGCCATACATTAAGATTTTTCTATTGCATTTTAAAATGTATAGTTGTTGAGGTTTTGGGAAAAATTATAAAAATAGAGAAAACTACAGAAAGTAACATCATACTTATGTTCCCATTATCCAGGACTAATGACTGTGAATATTCTGGCATATTAGCCTCATGTATTTAAAATTTTTATTGTGGAGAATTTCAAACACATATAAAAGTGGAGAAGAGAGTAGAAGGAATAGTATGATCAATCTCCAGGTACCCATCAGTCAACTTCAAAAATGATCCTGCCATGGTGAACATTTTTTCATCTGTTCCCTTACCCATTTCCCTCACAAATTGTTTTGAAGGAAGCCCCATATATTGTATAATCTTAACTACAATATAATCAGTATACATCTGTAAAATGTATCTTTGATATCCTCTTCACATTTATAATAGCCTCATGATGTCACAATTTTTTTAAGTTTGTTTAAATTTGGTTCCAAATAAGGTCCACACATTGCAATTACTTGATATGTGTCTCTTAATCTATAAGTTCTCCTGCCATCTCTCTCTCTCTCTTATTTATTTATTTTTTTTTGAGACGGAGTCTCACTCTGTCCCCCAGGCTGGAGTGCAGTGGCACGATCTCGGCTCACTGCAACCTCTGCCTCCTGGGTTCAAGTGATTCTCCTGTCTCAGCATCCAGAGTAGCTAGGATTACAGGTACCCACCACCATGCGCAGCTAATTCTTGTATTTTTAGTAGAGACGGGGTTTCACTATGTTGGTCAGGCTGGTCTCGAACTCCTGACCTTAGGTGATCCACCCACCTTGGCCTCCCAAAGTGTTGGGATTACAGGCATGAGCCACCGCGCCTGGTCTCTTTTTTTCTCTTAAAATGTATTTGTTGGAAAAATTGGCTGTTTATCCTATAGAATGTTCCACAGTCTGGAGTTTACTACTGCATCCCTGTGGTGTCATTTAACATGCTCTTCCATCGTTTGAATTTCCTGTACATTGCTGGTTGGATCTAGAAGCTTAATCAGATTTGGGTTTATTTTTTTGGCATGATCACTTCATTGGTGGTGGTGTGTCCTTCCATTAGGAGGTACAGAGTTGTCATAATGTCTCTGTGTGATGTTAGCAGCTGTTGGTGCTCCACTGGGGTTGCAAAGTGGTGATATTAGAATTCTGTCATCCCATCTTCATTTATTAGCTGGAATACTTCTATAAAAAGAAATGTCCCCTCACCTACTGTATGTTTCTATAGAAAGGCAGGAAAGATGCTTGATTTCTTCCCTTTACTTAGCAGTTTTTAAAAATAATGAGCTGGGGCTGGGCGCAGTGGCTCATGCCTGTAATCCTAGCACTTTGGGAGGCTGAGGCAGGGAGATCTCTTGAGGTTAGTTTGAGACCAACCTGGCCAACATGGTGAAACCCCATCTCTACTAAAAATACAAAAATTAGCTGGGCATGGTGGTACACACCTGTAGTCCCAGCTACTTGGGAGACTGAGGCAGGAGGTTTGCTTGAGCCCGAGAGGAGTAGGTTGCAGTGAGCCGAGATTGCACCATTGCACTGCAGCCAAGGTGACAGAGTGAGACGCTGTCTCGGTAATAACAATAATAATAATAATAATAAGTTTGTTACTTAGCACCCTCCAATAGTGAGATTTTTTTCCCATCTCACTACGGCAGGCTTTCACCCTTCACCATTCCACCTAAACAGCTCTTGTCAAGGTCATCAATGATCCTCATGATGTTCAATCCAGTGATATAGCCTTCCGTCCTCAACATAGGTGAAGTGTCAACAGCATTTGACACATTCTTTTTGCAACATTTGTTTTTTCACTTTCTTTCTAGGATAATCTACTATTGGTTTTCTTCCCATCTCCTTCTCTATCTCCTTTGTTGATTTCTCCTCTTCTGCCTGAGTTATTTTTTCTAACTGAGATGTAATTCACATACCATAAAATGTAACCTTTCATAGTGTACAATTAAGTGTTTTTTTGTGTGCTCACAGAGTTGTGCAATCATTACCACTAATTCTAAAACATTGTCATCACCCCAAAAAGTAACCCTTTATGCATTAGCAATCACTCTCCATCCCTACAGCTGTGCCTCTGACAATTATGAATCTACTTTGCATCTGTATGGATTTGCCTATTCTCCTCCTTCACTTAACATTGGAGTGCTCCAGAGCTCAATCCCTTTTCCTTTTTATCTATCCTTAAGTCCTTGGTGATCTCATTCAGCTCTATGGATTTACATACAATCCACATAGTGACAACACCAGCATGACCTCTCCCCTTAAACTCTAGATTTGGATACCCAGCTGCCTATTTAATCTGTCCCGATGGATATCTAATAGACATCCCAAACTTAACATGTTTCAAAACTAGCTGCTGATCTCCTAGAACCTGCTCCGCCTGTATAGCCTTTATCACAGATTTTGACAATCTTATCCCTCCAGTTGCTCAGGCACCAAAACCTTAGAATCATCTTGGACTCCGTCCTCTCTCATTCACACCCCACATCTACTAAATCGGGAAAGCCTGTTGGCTCTAACTTCAAAATACAGCCAGAATCTGACTATGTCTTACAACCTCCACTGCTATTACTCTTTTTTTTTCTTTTTTTCTTTTTTTTTTTTTTTGAGATGGCGTCTCGCTCTGTCGCCCAGGCTTGAGTGCAGTGGCGCGATCTCAGCTCACTGCAAGCTCTACCTCTCGGGTTCACGCCACTCTCCTGCCTCAGCCTCCCAAGTAGCTGGGACTACAGGCGCCCGCCACTACGCCCGGCTAATTTTTTTGTATTTTTAGTAGAGACAGGGCTCCACTGCTATTACTTTTATCCAAACCACCATCACTTCTCATCTAGTTATTTCAGTGATCTCCCTGCTACCACCCTTGTCCCTTCTACAGTTTATTTTCAACCCAGCAAAGGGTGGTTCTTTAAATATATGAGTTAGGTGATGCTGATCATGTTATAATAATACCTTTTGCACCTGCTACGTGCCAAGCCCTACAAGGCCTTACATGATCTGGCCCTGCTACTCTCCCTGTCATTCATTCATTCATTCATACCACTCTACACTGGCCTCCCTGCTGCTCTGAACCACCTCGCCAGCATGCTTCTATTTCAGGGCCCTTGAGTTGCTATTGTCTCTGCCTGAAACACACTTCCCTCAGGTATCATCATGGCTCCTGGTTCACTTATTCATTTCTTTCAGGTCTTAGCTCCCTTGTCACCATCTTAGGTGACCATCCTATCCAAAACTGCCACCCACCCCTAATCCCAGCATTCCCTATTCTCCTGCCCTGCTACATTATTCTCCATAACAATTATTATCTTCTGACAAACTATGCATTTGACATTTTTGTTTATTGTTTGTTTCCCCTCCATAGATTTTTTAAAAAATTTTTTATTTTAAAAGAATTATGCAAAAATAGAGATGGGGGTCTCACTAGGTTGCCTAGGCTGGTCTTGAACTCCTGGGCTCAACTGATCCTCCCACCTCAGCCTCCCAAAGTGCCGAGCCAACTCCGCAGTAGATTTAAGGTCTCCTGTGAAAAGATTTTGGTGACTTTATTCTCTGCTATATTCCCAGCACCTAGAACAGTGTTTCACAAAAAGGTGCCCAATAAATATTAGTTAAATGACTGAATAATAACACCAGTAACCAATTAACAGGCACAAACTGTGTAGTTAGACAACTCACATTCATGATATCACTTCGTTTTCATAACAACCCCAGGAAGGTGGATTATTGTCCGTATTTTACAGATGAGGAAACTGAAGAGTTGAGTGAATTTCCTAGATACACACCTCTGGTAAGTGCCAAAATGCCAAATCCAGCTTCCACAGGGTCACAGTACAGCTGTTCTTGCCCCCCTCAAAGTGCCTTCCCCAAAAGATGATTATTCTTTTTTTGAGACGGAGTTTTGCTCTTGTCGCCCAGGCTGGAGTGCTGTGGCGCGATCTCACCTCACTGCAACCTCCGCCTCCCCAGTTCAAGAGATTCTCCTGCCTCAGCCCCCTGAGTAGCTGGGATTATAGGCATGCTCCACCATGCCTAGTTTTTGTTTTTTTTTTTTTTGGTATTTTTAGTACAGATGGGGTTTCACTATGTTGGCCAGGCTGGTCTCAAACTCCTGACTTCAGGTGATCCGCCTGCCTTGGCCTCCCAAAGTGCTGGGATTACAGGTGTGAGCCACTGCACCTGGCCAAAAGATGATTATTCTATGGGTATTCCAGACTCTTAATGCAAACACGTACATGGACCCAAATAATGAGATTTCCATTTTAGGAGTTATCCAAAGGCAGGCAAGGCTTTGTAGGTTTATTTTGCTTTAGTGGCTGTGCATCTTTGGAGGTACAGCCACAAAGGACGAACTTGGTCCTGTTCAGACTTCAGAGATAACAGAACTGACATATGCATCAGTGGGAAAGAACAATGTGACAGGAGTAGGAGATTAATTTTTTTTTCTGGAGTGAAAATTGTGTACAGCAGAGGCAATTTATCGTGTCGTATCATCACTGAAATTATCTCCCTGCTGTCTGCCAGCCCAGCTTTGCTTCAGTGGTTTCCTTAGTGTTATTTAAGCAAATAAATTATGTTTGCTTCTAGCTTTACTTGTTTACATATTTTGTGCACTGCTTTAGTAAGAGAGTGCATTTTAATAACTTTTATGTATCTAATAGTCATAGATATTTGTAACAATATTTTCGCAGTCATATAGTAAAAACAAACATTGCATTCTTGACAGGGTCAGATTGACCATCATTTGCTAGCATAATCCTTTATCTTTGATGTCAACAGCACTAAATTAGATACAGTTTAAGCAAAAACACTTGAGCATAAAGACTTGGTAGGTTTTTCACACAGCTGGACTTCAGTTGTGGAAGGTTAAGGAGAGTATAGTTGAAGAGGATGTTTTTAAAGGGGTCATAATAAGGCCTGTTTTAATGCTGCTTGAAGGACGTAAGATTTTGAAATGGGAGTCCCCATAAATGGACTGGAGAATCTACACAACATTTGGAACTGGTCTCTTTCCTCTGAAAATATAACCTTGGAAGTTGGTATTAGCTCAATTTTACGGAGGCATCTTGGGGAAATTGCAATAACCTTGCCCCTTGCCTTCTATTTCTCATCCATTTCTAGTTAAAAAATGTTTACAGGCAGCCCCACTGACCACTTTTAAGAGACTGTAAAGAAAAAGTAATGAGTGATGATTGAACATAGGTATTAGCATGTTTCTTTTCTCAATATCTTTGAAATTCCAGCTATCTTGTGCAGGAGCCCAGGCATTAGGATTTTTTTATTTTATTATTTTTGGAGGGTGGGGGTATGCAGAGTCTCACTCCTTCTCTCAGGCTGGAGTGCAGTGGTGCGATCTTGGCTCACTGCAGCCTCCACCTCTGGGGTTCAAGTGATTCTCCTGCCTCAGCCCCCGAGTAGCTGGGATTACAGGTGCCTGCCACCACGCAGGCTAACTTTTCTATTTTTAGTAGAGACGGGGTTTCACCATGTTGGCCTGGCTGGTCTCGAACTCCTGACCTCAAGTTATCCACCCACCTTGGCCTCCCAAAGTGCTGGGATTACAGGTGTGAGTCATTGCACCTGGCCTATTTATTTATTATTATTTTTCAGACAAGGTCTGGTTCTATCACCCAGGGTCGAGCGCAGTGACGTGATCTCAGCTCACTACCACCTCTGCCTCCCAAGCTCAAGCAGTCTTCCCACTTCAGCTTCCTGATTAGCTGGGACTACAGGCATGTGCCACCACACCCAGCTAATTTTTGTATTTTTGTTTTTATTTATTTATTTATTTATTTTTTTGAAACGGGGTCTCCCTCTGTTGCCTTGGCTGGAGTGCAGTGGTATAATCTCGGCTCACTGCAATGTCTGCCTTCTGGGTTCAAGTGATCCTCCTGCCTCAGCCTCCCAAGTAGCTGGGATCACAGGCATGAGCCACTGTGCCTGGCCAAATTTTTGTATTTTTGTGTAGAGATGGGGTTTCACCATGTTGCCCAGACTGGTTTCAAACTCGTGAGTTCAAGCAATCCACCTGCCTCGGCCTCCCAAAGCGCTGGTATTATAGGCGTGAACCACCGTGCCCAGCCTTATTTTATTTTTTAAAACTTATTTTAGCAACAGGGTCTTACTCTGTTGCCCAGACTGGAGTGTAGTGGTGTGATCATGGCTCACTGCAGCTTCAATCTCCTGCGCTCTAGTGATCTTGCCTCAGTCTCCTAAGTAGCTGAGACTGCAAGGAGTTTTCTTCTTATTACAGAATTCAAGTTGGCATCACCATCACATCTACCTGTAGGTTGAGTTCTGCCCTCCAGAGTGAACAGATATGCCCTCTTCCATATGTTAGCCCTTCCAATATTCAAAATTTAAAAAACCTCCCATGTTCCTTCCTACACTTTCATCTCAAGATCCCCTGTATATAGCAAGGTAAACTTTCTCATTACCATCTTAATTTTTGGCCTATATATCCTCTTAAATTTGTCAGAAACTTTTGGGTAGTGTTTCATCTGGTCTCTAAACCTAAGTCCAGTTATAAATAAAATAACTGGCCAGGCGCAGTGGCTCACATCTGTAACCCCAGCATTTTGGAAGGCTGAGGCTGCCAGATCACTTGAGGTCGGGAGTTCCAAACCAGCATGGCTGACATGATAAAACTCCGTCTTTACTAAAAATACAACCACGCCTGTAGTCTCAGCTACTCGGGAGGCTGAGGCAGGAGAATCACTTGAACCTGGGAGGCAGAGGCTGCAGTGAGCCGAGATCACGCCACTGCACTCCAGCCTGGGTGATGGAGTGAGATCCTATCTCAAAATAAATAAATAAAATATCATTATATTAAATGCACAACTATACTGTAAAATAAAATTCAAATGAGGCAACATGACTTCCGAGGGCTGTTCACTGCCAGAAAATAAACATTTTGTTTTACAGTTAATTTCTTCATTTATACACTGAAATACCTCACGCTTCTCAAAGGAAATATATGCAAAAAAACGTGGGGCAGAATTGAATAAATTGAACCTCAACACTCGATTGTTTCAGGATATGAAATCTCAAAAATCTTTCTGTAGTGGCCGGTGATTGGCACTTGTGAGAGTTTAGTGTCCTAAAACAAGCTCTCGGACAGATTATCAATGTGTGCATTTTTACACTGAAAATACCACAAAAGGGCTGGGCAAGGTGGCTCATGCCTGAAATTCCAGCACTTTGGGAGGCCGAGGTGGGTGGATCACTTGAGGCCAGGAGTTTGAGACCAGCCCGGCCAACATGGTGAAACCCCGTCTCTACAAAAAATACAGAAATTAGCTGGGTGTGGTGGCGGGCGCCTGTAGTCCCAGCTACTTGAGAGGCTGAGGCACGAGAATCGCTTGAGCCTGGGAGGCAGAGGCTGCAGTGAGCTGAGATCATGCCACTGCACTCCAGCCTGGGCAACGGAGCAAGACTCTGTCACAAAATAATAATAATAATAATTAAATAAAGGAAAATAATTCATTGGACTTTTGCTCAACATTAAAATTGTTATATTCATTAGAAAGATAGTCAGAAGGCTTTACTTTATTTTCCTAGTTAAGAATTCTTTCAACAACACCATTCTGTCCTACATGAAATAATTAGGATTCAAAGAGATTTGAAAATGTTGGGCTGGAACCAACAAGATGAAATATAAGAGATTTTGTGTCTGCTAAAGCAGCTTAAATTACATGAACTTTTAAAATTGCCATGTCACATGGCTGACTCACACAAAACTTGTGGTCAACTAAAGCCCCTGTGTCTTTCTCTGTGGTGCCAAATAGGTCTTTCTCATGTTCCACTTTAAAAGTATTAGACATTATAGATTATCTTATTGGTTTCAACTTATTTTTCTTGCATGTCTAGATTTTAAAAAAAAATTATTAAAGTATAACTTACGTAAAGTGCATAGATTTTAAGCGTAACACAGCTTAACACACACACATACACACACATATTTTTTATAAAACCATCACTCAGATCAAGAAACAGAACATTACCAGCATCCAAAATGCTCCCTTGTGCCCCCTTCCAAGATTGGTTTTGCCTGTTTTTGAACTTTGTATAAATGGAATCATACAGGATGTACTTGTTTGTGAATGGCTTTTTTGTTGCTTGTCTTTATGTCTGTGAGATTCATCCATACTGTTGCGGATAGCAATAGTTTGCTCTTTTTCATTGCTACGTAGTAATTCATTGAATGAATCTGTTTTTTAATTTTTTTAAATATTTTGAGACATAGTCTTACTATGTCACCCAGGCTGAAAGGCAGTGGCACAATCTTGGCTCACTGCAGCCTTCACCTCCGGGGCTCAGGCAATCCTCCCACCTCAGCTTCCTGAGTAACTGGGACCACAGGTAGGTACCAGCAAACCTGACTAATTTATTTATTTTTATTTTTTGTAGAGACAGGGTCTCACTATGTTGCCCAGGCTGGTCCTAACCTCCTGGGCTCAAGCCATCTTCCCGCCTTGGCCTCCCAAAGTGCTAGCATTACAGGCGTGAGCAACTGCACCTAGCCAAATGAATCTAATAAAATTTGTTTATCCATTGTCCTTGATGGAAATTGTGGATGCTTCCAACTGCCGGCTAATATAAACAACGCTATAATGAACATGCTTGTACACATCTTTTGGCAATACATGGATTTTTATTAGGTATAAACCTGAAATGACACTTGCTGGATCATAGAGTATATGTATGTTTAGCTTTAGTATATATTGTGAAACATTTTAAAAAGTGATTGTGGGCCAAACGCAGTGGCTCACACCTGTAATCCCAGCCCTCTGGGGGGCTAAAGAGGGCGAATCACTTGAGCTCAGGACTTCGGGACCAGACTGGGCAACAAAGTGAGACCCCCATCTGTACAAAAAATACAAAAATTAGCCAGGCGTGATGGCACGTGCCTGTAGTCCCAAATACTTGGGAGGCTGAGGTAGGAGGATGGCTCAAAGCCTGAGAGGCAGAGGTTGCAGTGAGCCATGATCACACCACTGCACTCCAGCCTGGGTGACAGAGGTAGGCATTGTCTCAAAAAAAAAAAAAGTGATTGTGGCAATTCACACTCTGTGATGTTGTTTTATATGTCCTTGGTTAGGCTATAGTCTTCAGTTATTCAATCAAACATCAATCTAGGTGTTGCTGTGAAAGTACTTTCTAGATATGATGGAAGTCCACAATCAGTTGACTTTAAGCATGGGAGATTATCCTAGATAATCTTGGTGGGCTTGATTCCGTCAGGTGGAAAGCCTTAAAAGAGCAGAACTGAGGCTTCTCAGAAGAAGAAATTTTGCCTATGGATAGCAGATTCAGCTTATGCCTGAGAGTTCCAAACTGCCCTTTTTGTCAGCCTTCCCTGTAGATTTCAGTCTTGTCTAGCCAGACTCCACAATTGCATAAGCCAATTTCTTGCAATAAGTCTCAAAATATGTCTCCTATTGGTTCTTTTTCCCTGGTTGAATCCTGACTGATACAAATTTTGGCATCAGAAGTAGGGTGCTGCTGCAACAAATACCTAAGTATGTGGAAGTGGCTTTGGAATCGGGTAATGGGTAGAGGCTAGAAGAATTTTGAAGAGCCTGATAGAAAAATCCTAAATTGCCTTGGATAGACTGTCGATACAAATATAGATGTTCAAGATTCTGTCAGGAAGGGCTCAAAAGAAAGTCAGGAGCATGGTAGAAAAACCTGTGTCTTCTTAGAGAATACATATGTCATTACAAAGAAAATATTGACAGGACACCATACCCTCCCCATTTTTCTTTTCTTTTCTTTCTTTCTTTTTTTTTTTCTTTTTTTTTTTTTTGAGACAGGGTCTCACTCTGTCACCCAGGCTGGAGTGCAGTGGCGCAATCTCAGCTCACTGCAACCTCTGCCCCCTGGGTTCAAATGATTCTCGTGACTCAGCCTCCCGAGTAGCTGAGACTACAGGCGTGTGCCACCATGCCTGGCTAATTTTTGGATTTTTAGTAGAGACGATGTTTCAACATGTTGTCCAGGCTGGTCTCGAACTTCTGACCTCAGGTAATTCACCCGCCTCCGCCTCCCAAAGTGCTGGAATTACAGGCGTGAGCCGCCGCACCCGGCTCCATTTTTCAAATATAGATAAATCAAAATTTACTTTTAAAAAATGTTCAAGGGATCCACAGGTAAGCAGGAAAAGAGAAACAGAGGAATGAGAGACAGAGGGAACAAGGAGAAAATAAATAATAAAATGCCAAATAAAGTATAACAGATCAATAGTTATATTAATGTAAGTGATCTGAATATGCCTATTCTGTTTCTCTGACAAACCCTGGTAATACACTTCCCATCATGTTAGCAAGCTTATAATAGTCAGATACCAAAACAGACAGATAGTACACACACACACAGACACACACACACACACACACACACACAACCACTACACATCAATATTGTTCCTGATAGACACAAAAACCCTTCACAAAATATTAGCAAATAAAATTCAACAATGTACCAAAATAGTTATATACCATGAGCAAGTGAAATTTAATCCCATTTTGCAAGGCTGGTTCAACATTTGAAAATCAACCAATGTAAATTCACCATATCAACAAGCTAAAGAAAAATTACATGATCATAATGATTATGTCAATTGATACTGTAAATGTATTTGACAAAATTTAACACCCATTTATGGTTTAAAACCTCTCAGAAAAACGGGAATAGAAAGAAAATTCCTCAACTTGATAGCAAGCATGTATTAAGTTGGTGCAAAAGTAATCGCTTTTTTACCATTAAAAGTAATGGCAAAAACTGGCCAGGCACAGTGGCTCATGCCTGTAATCCCAGCACTTTGGGAGGCCGAGGCAGGCAGATCACTTGAGGTCAGGAATTTGAGACCAGCCTGGCCAACATAGTGAGACCCCTTCTCTACTAAAAATACAAAAATTAGCCATGTGTGGTAGTGCACGCCTGTAATCCCAGCTACTCAGGAGGCTGAAGCAGGAGAATCGCTTGAACCCGGGAGGCGGCGGAGGTTGCAGTGAGCAGAGATCACATCACTGCACTTCCCACTCTCAAAAATCAAACAATAAATAAAATGAAATACAAAATAAAAATTAATCACATTTCTATATGTCAGCAATGCACATGTAGAAAACAAAATTTCAAACCACAATACCATTTAAAATTGCTCCCGAAAATAAAATCCTTACGTATAAATCTAACGAAACATGTATAAGATATGTGTGCAGAAGATTTCAAAATTCTGATGAAAAAAAATCAAAGATGGCCGGGCAAGGTGGCTCACCTCTGTAATCCCAGCACTTTGGGAGGCCAAGGTGGGCAGATCACCTGAGATCAGGAGTTTGAGACCAGCCTGACCAACATGGTGAAACCCCATCTCTACTAAAAATACAAAACCAGCTGGGCGTGGTGGCACATGCCTGTAATCCCAGCTACTTAGGAGGCTGAGGCAGGAGAATTGCTTGAACCCAGGAGGTGGAGGTTGCAGTGAGCCGAGATCACGCCATTGCACTCCAGCCTGGGCAACAAGAGCGAAACTCCATCTCAAAACAACAACAACAACAACAACAACAACAACAACAACAACAACAACAACAAACCAAGAAAGAAAAAAATCAAAGATGACTTAAAAGACTGGGGAGACACAAGAGTCTTGGATAGGAAGACTCAGCATAGTAAAGATGTCGATTATCCCCCAAATGATCTACAGATTTAACATAATTCCTATCAACATCCCAATAAGGTTTTTGTGGATATAGACAGATGTATTCTAAAATTGAAATGGAAGGGCAAGAACCTTGAATAGCTTAAAACAATTTTGAAGAAGAACAATAAGGTGGGAGGAATCATTCTACCCAATATTAAGGCTTCCCTGATAGCTGTGGTAATCAATACAGTGTGGTGTTGGTAAAAAGATAGTCACATAGACTGGTGTTTAGCTGGACTAGGGCAGGTATTATCTAAGAGTTTCTGTTCCATTAGGGCCATCCTTTTCCTAGTCCCTTGGGAAGGGAGAGCAGGCTTTTCTTAGAGCTTTTTTTGGTCTGTGCCTGTTGGTGGTTCCAACTTTCAGGCTTCTCTGGCACCCTATTTGGAAAATATAAGAGGCCAAAGGGAAACCCGGAAAACATAGCACCATGTTATTCCTGAAGCCCCAAGTTCCCTGGCCAAGTTAACCTTCTTCTTTCCACCTGTCTTAGTTTGTTCAAGCTGTTAGAACAAAACACCATAGACAGAGTGTCTTATAAACAATAGAAATTTATTTTTCCCAGTTCTGGAGGCTAGGAAGTCCAAGATCTAGGTGCCAGAAGATTTAGAGTCTGATGAGGGCCCATTTTCTGGCTCATAGACAGTGCCTTCTCACTGTGTCCTCACATGGTAGAATGGGGGAACACGTTTCTTCAGGCCACTTTAGTAAGGGCACTAATTCTATTCATGAGGGCTCCACCCTCATGACCTATTCACCTCCTAAAGGCCCCACCTTTTCATGTCATCATCTTGGGGGTTTAGGATTTCAACATTTGAATTTGAGTAGGACATAAACCTTCAGACCACAACATCATCTTTGAAAGTCTTCATGTTTGTTTGTTCTGCTATGCCCAGACTTTTTTAGTTGTAAGAGGGGCTCTTTCTTTCTTTCTTTTCTTTTTTTTCTTTTCTTTTTTTTTTTTTTTTTTTGAGACAGGAGTCTCGCTCTGTTTCCCAGGCCGGAGTGTAGTGACAGTGACACAGTCTCAGCTCACTGCAACTTCCACCTCCCAGGTTCCAGTGATTCTCGTGCCTGAGCCTCCCAAGTAGCTGGGATTACAGGTGCATGCCCAGCTGTTCTGTTTGTTTGTTTGCTTTTTGTATTTTTAGTAGAGATGGAGTTTCACCATTCACCTTATTGGCCAGGCTGGTCTGGAACTTCTGGCCTCAGGTGATCAACCCGCCTCGGCGTACCAAAGTGCTGGGATTCCAAGTGTGAGCCACTGTGCCTGGCCCCTTTTGTGGTATTTTCAGTGTAAAAATGTACACATTTGTAATCTGTCTGAGAATTTGTTTTAGGACACTAAATGCTCACAAGTGGCCTGGCATGGTGGCTCATGCCTGTAATCACAGCACTTTTGAGAGGCCCAGGTGGTGAATCATCTGAGGTCAGGAGTCCAAGACCAGCCTGGCCAACATGGTGAAACCCCATCTCTACTAAAAATACAAAAAGTTAGCCGGGTGTGGTGGTGCGCACCTGTAGTCTCAGCTACTTGGGACACTGAGGCAGGAGAATTGCTTGAACCTGGGAGGTGGAGGTTGCAGTGAGCCGAGCTTGTGCCACTGCACTCCAGCCTGGGCGACAGAGCAAGACTGTGTCTCAAAAAATAAAAATAAAATAAAATAAGAAATGCTCACAAGTGCCAATCACTGGCCATTACAGAAGGTTGTTTTGGATTTCATGTCCTGAAACAATTAAGTGTTGAGGTTCAATTTATTCAATTCTGCACCAAGTCTTTTGAATACATTTCCTTTGAAAAGTGTGAGGTATTTCAGTGTATAAATGAGGAAATTCGCTGTAAGATTGAATGTTTATTTTCTGGCCGTGAACAGCCCTTCACAACAACAGTCATGTTGCCTCATTTGAATTTTATTTTACAGTATAGTTGTGCATTTAATATAATAGTATTTTAAATTATTTATTTATTTATTTAGAGACAGGGTCTGGCTCTGTCACCCAGGCTGGAGTGCAGTGGTGTGATCTCGGCTCACTCCAACTTCCATCTCCCAGGTTCAGGTGATTCTCCTGCCTCAGCCTCCTGAGTAGCTGGGACTACAGGCACGCGCCACCATGCCTGGCTTATTTATTCTTTTGTATTTTTAGTAGAGACGGGGTTTCATCATGTTGGCTAGGCTGGTCTCGAACTCCTGACCTTAAGTGATCCACCCACCTCGGCCTCCCAAAGTGCTACGATTACAGGCGTAAGCCACCATGCTTGGCTGGCTCTTTCATCTTGATAGGACCGGGAAGTCAGATTTCTTTCTGGGCCTTTTTGAAAACTGATGCTGTCATGCAAGGTATTTAACCACCTCTTCCAAGCTTTATGTCACTTCCACATTCAGTTTCTTTTTTGTTTATTTTTTTTGAGATGGAGTCTCACTCTGTTGTCCAGGCTGGAGTGCAGTGGCACAATCTGGACTCACTTCAACCTCCGCCTCCCAGGTTCAAGGAATTCTCGTGCCTCAGCCTCCTGAATAGCTGTGATTACAGGCGTGCACCACCAAGCCCGGTTCTTTTGTGTGTGTGTGTGTGTGTGTGTGTGTTTAGTAGAGATGGGCTTCGCCATTTTGGCCAGGCTGGTCTCGAACTCTTAGCCTCAAGTGATCTGCCCACCTCGGGCTCCCAAAGTGCTGGGATTACAGGCGTGAGCCACCGTGCATGACCTGATTTCCAGTCTTTATTCCAGTTACTGATAAGAAATGTTGAGCTTAACAAACAAAGTAGTTTACCCTGCTTACTAAACCTTCTTTCACTTTTTGTGCTTTATTCCTAGTCTATGTCTGGCCTTTCACAGTTTCTTGGCCAATACTCCCAATTCTACATACTGGCTCTAATTTGTCTATTCCGTGATTATTCTGCTTCTGTGATTTTTATTCCTGGTCCACCACAGAATAGCACTGCCAGTAACCCCATTTACACTTAAAGTATATTAAAAAAAGCTCTTGTTTACATAAAAATAATCTGGTGACGGTGTCTATATACATTAATGTATGGGAACACCATTTGACTTAGGGGATTTACACACACACACATATATGCAGTCATGTGCCATGTAAAGATGGGGATGAAACCACCTTTGCAAAAATTATAACAGTGAGAAGATTATGACAGTGAAAGAGATCTGATTTAACCAACCCCCATTTTCCTTTAACCTCTAAACTGCCCTTAGTCATCCCTGGGTTTGGACCAAGTTAACTTTGGGAGAAATTTAGTATTTATTTATTTATTTATTTAGAGACGGAGTCTCGCTTTGTTGCCCAGGGTGGAGTGCAGTGGCGCAATCTCGGCTCACTGCAACCTCCGCCTCCTGGGTTCAAGTGATTCTCCTGCCTCAGCTTCCTGAGTAGCTGGGACTACAGGCATGCGCCACCACGCCCAGCTAATTTTTGTACTTTTAGTAGAGACAGGGTTTCACCATGTTGGCCAGGATGGTCTCGATCTCTTGACCTTGTGATCTGCCCACCTTGGTCTCCCAAAGTGCTGGGATTACAGGCATGAGCCACTGCGCCCAGCCAAAATTTAGTATATATACTTTAAATGGTAATAATCCTTTCCCCAAAACTAAACTGCCTTTGTAAAGCTAGTGAAAGACCACCAGGTTAGGAGGATGAGAGGAGCCTGAATTCTGCTGAAGTGTAGATATAAATGATTACCACCCATTTTTCCTGAGATGACAAGATTTATAACCTCCCAATTACTCCTACAGATAACATCACTAACCTAGAACCCAAGATTGTCCTTTTGAGATGCTTTCTCAGGTTTTTGCATTTCTGACAACCGATGGCTCCACCCAGACCCACCAAGTGGTCCTGTGACCCAACCCAAAAGTGAACTCAGCACATACGAGGGCCATTTTCCACACTCCTATGATTGCATCCTCAACCAATAAGCACCACCCATTCCTCAGCCTGCCAAACTATCCTCAAAAAATTCTAGCCTTTGAATTTTGTGGGAGGCTGATTTGAGTAATAATAAAACTCTGGTCTCCTGTTCAGTTGGCTCTGTGTGACTTAAACTCTTTCTCTATTACAATTCCCCGTCTTGATAAATTGGCTCTATCTGGGCAATGAGAAAAATGAACTCATTGTGTGGTTACAGGGATATGCTCTGAGAAATGCACCATTAGGCAATGTTGTCATTGTGTGAACATCATAGAGTGTACTTACACAAGTAAGTGTACTACGCACCTAGGCTATTCGGTATCGCCTATTCCTCCCAGGCTAAAAACCTGTACAGTATGTTATTGTACTGAATACTGTAGGCAATTGGAACATACGGTAAATATTTGTGTATTTAAACATATCTAAATATAGAAAATGTACAGTAAAAATATGGTACAAATGATAAAATAAAAGTATTAATACACCTGTATAGAGCATTTACCATAAATGGAACATCCGGGACTGGAAGTTGCTCTGGGTGAGTCAGTGAGTGGGTGGTGAGTGAATGTGAAGGTCTAGGACATCACTGTACACTACTGCAGACTTTATAAACACTGTATACTTGGGCTATGGTAAATTTGTAAAAAAACAAACAAACAAAAAAGTTCTTTCTTCAATAATAAATTGTGGCTCACGCCTGTAATCCCAGCACTTTGAGAAGCTGAGGTGGGTGGATTGCTTGAGCTCAGGAGTTCAAGACTGGCCTGGGCAACATGGCAAAACCCCACCTATACAAAAAATACAAATATTAGCTACAGGCATGTGCCTGTAAGTCCCAGCTACTCGGGAGGCGGAGGTGGAAGAATCACTTGAGCCCAGGAGGTCGAGGCGGCAGTGAGGCATGATGGCACCTCTGCACTCCAGTCTGGGTGACAGAACAAGACCCTGTCTCAAAAATTAATTAATTAATTAACCTTAGCATACTGTAACATTTTCATTTTATAAACTTTATTCATAACACATCTTAAAATACGAACGTTGTACAGATGTACAAAAATACATTTTTCTTTATATCCTTATTCTATAAGCTTTTCTCCATTAAAACAATATTTTTTAACCTTTTAAACATTTTTGCTAAAACTAAGACACAAACACACACATTAGATCAGGCATACACAGTCAGGATCATCTATATCACAGTCTTCCACCACCACATCTTGTTCCCCACTGGAAGATCTTCAGGTGCAATAAACATGAAGCTGTCATCTCCTGTGATAATAATGCTTTCTTCTGGAATATGTCCTGCAGGAACTGCCTGAGGTTGTTTTACAATTAACTTTTTTCTATATAAGTAGAAGGAGTATACTCTAAAGTAATGCTAAAAAGTATAGCATAGTAAATATATAAACCAGTAACACAGTCATTTACTATCTTGTTTTTGTTCAAACATTTAAGTTAGGTGCAGTGGCTCGTGCCTGTAATCCCAGCACTTTGGGAGGCTGAAGTGGGAGGACTGCTTGAAACCAGGAGTTTGAGAACAGCCTGGGCAACACAGCGAGTCCTCTTCTCTACAGAAAAAAAAAAATACAAAAATTAACTGGGTGTGGTGGGGCACACCTGTAGTCCCAGGTATCCAGGAGGCTGAGGTGGGAGAATTGCTTGAGCCCAGGTGTTAGTGGCTGCCACTGCACTCCAGCCTGGGCAACTGAGCAAGACCTCATCTCTTAAAAAAAAAAATTATTGAGCATTTTTTTATGGGACAAGCACCGTGCAAGGTGCTGGGACATAAGAGTAATTACAACAAAGTCCCTCAAGGAGCTCATAGTCTAATGGTAAACCACAGAGCTAACAGAGGCACACAGTGGTAAATGACTTACCCAATGAGGTGGAAATAGCTAGGTATGTGGAAACCTGGGACTAGAGCTGGAGAGAGGGCACGGTAGAACTTACTGTAAGTAAAACCCCTTTGATTGAAGAGCTGGGCTGCATACAGAAACACATTACAAAATCTGCTTGCAAAAACCTTCAGTTTCCAGTTTTCCCCACAATTGAATTTATGTCTCACAATGAATTAATCTATCATTTGATAGCATTTCTATACTTGGCCCCAAAGCCTTGGAGCATGCCATCAATCTGTTGAGACACAGCAATTTAGTAGACAGCTTAAAATCAAGAAGTATCTGACTCCAATTTCAGCATTAAGAACCATATTAAAACACTTCAGTTAAATCAATGAATGTAAATGTACAGCACATTTATGATACTTCTACATGTAGCAGTTTGGAAAAACTCTCCTCTAACCCTCATCCAGAGTATTCTAATAAGTGATGGATACCAAAGAAATTAGATAATTTGTCACTTTCCAATATATACACTATTTTGGCTGTACAAGGGCAAAAAGTGTCACTTGGAAATAGTGGATAAGTAATCTAAGCTTTACACAGATATATACAAAGACATCACATTTGGATCCAATATACAACAGTAACTGCAAACATGAACCAGTGTAAGGCAATTTCTTTTGTGATATATGACATAATCCCTGAAGGAAAGGGTAGAGCCTGCAAACAACCGTCCATTTCAGGCCTGACTGTCATTTTCATGACACCCTTTGTGACGAAGCTATTTCAGGAGGCAAGATGTCTATTCCGATGACAAAAAGCAGTGCATAATTATACATGGAGTTGTTTTCAAATGTGGAAACCAGAATTATTCAGGAATCTAAGTCGTGAACTACTCAAAAATAGTACTGGTGGTAATGCTGCTACTAACCGAAAACAAGAGCACTCCATGTCCATTGCTGTAAGAATCAAATGTGATGTGTAATTCTCCGCAGAGGATGTTCCCCCAAAACCTCAACAATACCTGAATTCTCAAATGTTATCAGTTGCTCATGTCAAGCAATTCTTCACCTTGCTGAGGATTTTCTTCTTCTTCAGGGTGTTCTGGATGTCTGCTCTCAGATGAAGTCCCAGTGCTCTCAGATGAAGTCCCGGCACTCTCAGACGTGTAGTTAGCTTCGTAATCCTTCTTCGATAGACACAAATAGGCGTCAACAGGTCCGTCGTTGTTACTTAAACGTAATGAGAAAGAGTCTTCAGAAATTGGAATTTCCAGTGTGATTTCTACTGGCAATTTAGCGACAAAAACGGTCTGTTCCTGGAAGCGTTCCAAGTTGTGAATGTCTTCAAGCGTCACATATGCTAGTTTTCCCAATTCTTTGTCATTTGTTAACTCACACAGTTGCTGAGAACAATCTTCAATTAACTTATCCAAGGCATCTTCTGTTGCTGATAATTTGGAAACTTCCTCCTCTAGCTTCTTTTCTTCGGGTGTTGCTCCAGAATTAAAATCAGGTCCAATCCACTGAATATGGTTCTTAGATGTTTTTTCAATTAGTTTGACTCCTTGTAAGACACTGATGATGTCATATATTCTTCGTCTGTGCACTGCCAGTTTTGCTGCTACCTGGCTTAAGCTAAGAACACCTCCAGGAGCCGATTTGAGAATATCTATAAATTTTCGCGTTGTACAAGCCAGTGATGTCTTATTATGAGGTTTCATATTTACAGTTTCTCTTTTAGACTCAGGTTGTACATCATCTTTGGAATTAATCCTTATTGTTGATGGCAGTGGGCACTCCGCATTGGTGGCGTCTCGGCGGCGAACCGTCTCCTCCGCCGGGTTAATGGGCAGGTCAGTCAACTTTCCTGCAGGCTGCTGCTGACTCATGGCTGCTCAGCAGGACGGCCTGCGGCCCTCACACCCCACACCCCGCAAGCTCTCCCGCCTTCTCCAGCTCGAGCACCGCTCCCAACTCACCAACTTCTGAATACTCAGCACGAAGCGGGTCCAAGGCCTGCTCGGAGGTGCAGTTCGACTAGGCCTTCTGGTCCGCCAGCAAACGCGCCACAGCCCCACGCGCCACGGCCCAGCCCGGGAGCTCCGGATGCAGACAGGAAGTGGGCAGGGCGACACGAGCGGCTCTCCGGTGGTCTCGCCCAACCGTCTGCCTACATGTGGAGTGCTGACAATTGTTACCAATTATGTACTGCACAGAAATGCATTTGTTATACTTTTATACCACAAGCAACGCAGTAGCTTCGTTTGCAGCAGCATCACGACAAACACGTCCGTAATTCATTGTGCTACCACGACACTAGGTGATAGGAAGTTTTCTGCACCGTTATAGTCTATGGGACCACCATCATATATAAAGTCCGTGGTTAAATGAACGGTCATTAATGCGATGCATGGCCGTATGTATATAGTTTTATACACTTTATTTATGTATTTATTTATTGACAGTCTCGCTCTGTCACCCAGGCTGGAGTGCAGTGGCACAATCTCGGCTCGCTGCAACATCTGCCTCCCGGGTTCAAGCAATTCCTTGCCTCAGCCTCCCGAGTAGCTGGGATTACAGGCACTCACCACCATGCCTGGATTTTTTTTTTTTTTTTTTTTTTTTTTTTTTTTTTTTTTTAGTAGAGACAGGTTTTCACCATCTTAGCCAGGCTGGTCTTGAACTCCTGACCTCGTGATCCACCCGCCACGGCCTCCCAAAGTGCTGGGATTATAGGCGTGAGCCACCGCGCCCGGCCTAGTTGTTTTTTTTTTAATGGAGTCTCCCTCTGTCACCTAGGCTGAAGTGCAGTGGCGTGATTTCGGCTCCCTGCAACCTCCTCCTCCCGGGTTCAAGCAATTCTCCTGCCTCAACCTCCCAAGTAGCTGTGATTACAGGTGCACACCACCACGCCTGGCTAATTTTTGTATTTTTAGTAGAGACAGGGTTTCACCATGTTGGCCAGGCTGGTCTCGAACTCCTGACCTCAAGTTATCCACCCACCTCAGTCTCCCAAAGTGCTGGGATTACAGTCGAGAGCCACTGCGCCTGGCCAGCTCTTTCATCTTAATAGGACAGGGAAGCCAGATTTCTTTCTGGGCCTTTTAGAAAACTGATGCTGTCATGCAAGATATTTAACCACCTCTTCCAAGCTTTCACATTCAGTTTCTTCCTTCCTTCCTTCCTTCCTTCCTTCCTTCCTTCCTTCCTTCCTTCCTTCCTTCCTTCCTTCTTTCTTTCTTTCTCTCTCTCTCTTTCTTTCTTCTTTCTCTCTCTCTTTCTTCTCTTTCTTGTTTTGAGACGGAGTCTTGCTCTGTCACCCAGGCTGGAGTGCAGTGGCACGATCTCAAGTCACTGCAGCCTTTGCCTCCCAGATTCAAGCTATTCTCCTGCCTCAGCCTCCCAAGTAGTTGGGATTACAGGCACCGGCGCGCCACCGGGCCTGGCTCTTTTTTTTTTTTTTTTTCCCTAGAGACAAGGTTTCACCATGTTGGCCAGGCTGGTCTCAAACTCCTGGCCTCAAGTGATACACCCATCCTCGCCTCCCAAAGTGCTGGGATTATAGGCATGAGCCACCGCACCCAGCCATAATTTTATACACTTTCAATACTTTTATTTTATGGGTCTGGGCAATGATTTTTTGTATTTGACCACAAAAGTTCAGGCAACAAAAACAAAAATAGATAAATGAGATTGCATGGAGGCTAGTCGTGGTGGATCACTCCTGTAAGCCCAATCCTTTATGAAGCAGAGGTGGAAGGATAGCTTGAGCCCAGGAATTCCAGACCACCCTGGGCAACACAGTGAAACCCCGTCTCTACAAAAAATACAAAAATTAACCGGGCATGGTGGCGCACACCTGTAGTCCCAGCTACTCAGGAGGCTGAGGTAGGAGGATCGCTTGAGCCTGGGAGGTTGAAGCTGCAGTGAGCTGTGATCGTGCCACTGCGCTCCAGCCTGGGCAAAAAAGTGAAACTCTGTCTTAATAATAATAATAATAATAATAATAATAATAATAATAATAACGAGGCCAGGGTGGCTCACACCTGTAATCCCAGAACTTTGGGAGGCTGAGTGGGGTGGATCACTTGAGGCAGGAGTTCCAGACCAGCCTGGCCAATGTGGTGAAACCCCGTCTCTACTAAAAATACAAAAATTTGCTGGGTGTGGCGGTGTGTGCCTGTAGTCCCAGCTACTCAGGAGGCTGAGGCAGGATTGCTTGAGCCTGGGAGGCAGAGGTTGTAGTGAGCCTAGAGTGTGCCACCACACTCCAGCCTGGGTGACAGGAGTGAAACCCTGTCGAGAGAGAGAGGGAGAGAGAGAGATTGCATCAAACCAAAAAGCTTCTGCACAGCAAAGGAAACATTAACAGAGTGAAGAGGCAACCTACGAATTGGGAGAAAATATTGAAGACCTAGAGGATTTTTTTCCTCCCTCCTCACCTTTCTCTTCTCTAAACCCCAGCCAGACCGAAAGCACAGAAGCAGTCCAGACTGCCAAGTAATGCTCACAATGAGATGCATCCTTTTCATTGTCTAAGATTTTTTCAAAATCCATCATTTATGATTAATTACTATATGCTAGTTACTGTGCTAATAACTGCATACATTCTCTCTAATCCTCAGGCCATTGCTATAAGGTAGAAGCTAGTATTATACGCATTTTCAGAGAATGAAACTAAGGCATAGAGAGGATAAGTAACTTTCCCAAATCACACAACCAGGATTTGAAACCAGGTCTCTATAACTACAAATCCCAAACTCTTAGTCATAATGCTCTCTAATGACTTCCCTAATGACTTTGCAATAAAGGGATTTAATCTTTGAGTTGACATAATTAACTGACATAATTAACTGATATAACTGGTTATACTAATTTACATTAAGCCATCGCCTCTCATTGCTACCTTAATATGAATTCTTTCTTCAGATTAGGCCAAACATGAAACAATGTCCAGAGGGAACTGAGAGAAGGACTGGGGAATTATTATGAGGAACAAGGGAGTTTGGAGCCATAGGCATAGTAAAAGCTGGGATTATGGGCCACAGTCCTGGGTGGCAGTCCTATCGGGGCACCATAGGGGCAATTGCAGCCTGTGGATGAGGATGGGAAGAGGACTGGGCAGGGAGAGAGCAGAGATCAGTTTCTCAGCTCTGTCATTAACAAGCTGTTTGAGCTTGAATTAATTACTTGACTTCTCTGAATTTCAATTTTATCATCTGTCATTGAGATGGTTAGAGTATCAGAGGACATACACAGGTGATCTGTGGTCTGAGTGAGGCCAGTAGACATGTTTTGTTTGGATAGCTTAGTATAAAACAATTTTTTATTTTAAACACCTTTAGGCAAGATATGTACTCACTAGATCAGCACAGGCTCCATCTCTCTCTCTCTGCTTCACCTCAAGGCGGTCTCACTCATTTAGTTCACTGCCAGCTCCTACAGTCATTTTAGGTTTTGACCACTGCCCTGGTCACAGCTTCTTGAAGAGATGTTCAGCCCTAATTACATTCATTACAAATGAAACTACATCTGCCCAAGGGGATCTAGCCTACTAGAGTGAGAGAGTACTGGATGAAGAATCAGAAAGGCCTGAGTTCTAGGCCTGCATCTGACACACAAAACTGAGTGATCTCAGTTAAATCAGCTAACTTCTTGGATTTCTGATTTTGTTTGCTCCTCTATGCAATATCCTGCTCTGCTATGCTCACATAGTTGTGGAAATCAAATACAGGTTGAGTGTTCCTAATCTGAAAATTGCAAATCTGAAATATTCCAAAATCTAAAACTTTTTGAGTGCCAACATGATGCTCAAAGGATGCTCTCATTGGAGCATTTTGGAGGTAGGCTTTTCAAATTAGGGATGCTCAGCTGGTTAAAGTACCTGCAAATATCCAGAAATCTAAAAAATCCAAAATCTGAAACACTTCTTGTCCCAAGGATTTTAGATAAGGGCTACTCAACTTGTAGTATAAATAATGTATTAGTCAGAGTTCTTCAGAGAAACAGAACCAGCAGGAGATAGATATCTGTCTCTATCTCTATCTCTATCTCTATCTCTATCTCTATATCTATATCTATATCTATATCTATATCTATATCTATGTCTATATCTATATCTATCTCTACCAATAAGCTTCTTTAACAGACTTTAAGGCAAATTTTCTTATTTCTGGCCGGGCACAGTGGCTCATGCCTGTAATCCCAGCACTTTGGGAGGCAGAGGCGGGTGGATTGTTTGAGTTCAGAAGTTGAAGACCAGCCTGGGCAACATGGTGAAACTCTGTTGCTACCAAAAAATAAAAAATAAATAAATAACCAGGCGTGATGGCACATCCCTGTGGTCCCCGGGAGGCTGAGGCACGAGAGGAATCATTTGAGCCTGGGAGGTGGAGGTTGCAGTGAGCCGAGATTGTGCCATTGCACTTCAGCCTGGGCGACAGAGTGAGACCCTGCCAAAAAACAAACAAACAAACAAAAAACACCAAGAAAGAATGTGTGTTTGCAGAAGTCCTTGATATTTCTTGTACTTATAACTTTTAAACTGATGTCATTATTTTATTTTTTCTTTTTCTGAGATGGGGTCTCACTCTGTCGTCCAGGTTGGAGTGCAGTGCCCCAATCTCGGCTTATTGCGGCCTCCTACTCTGGGTTCAAGTGATTCTCCTGCCTCAGCCTCCCAAGTGGCTGGGAGTACAGGCACACACCACCAAGCCCTGGTCATTTTTGTAATTTTTTTTTTAGACAGGTTCTCACCCTGTCGCCCAGGCTGGAGTGCAGTGGCACAATCTCTGCTCACTGCAACCTCTGACTCCTGGGCTTAAGTGATCCTCCCACCTCAGCCTCCCAAGTAGCTGGGACTACAGGTGTGCACCGCCATGCCCAGATAATTTTGTATTATTATTGTGTGTGTGTGTGTGTGTGTGTGTGTGTGTGTTTAAACAGGGTTTTGCCATGTTGCCCAGGCTGGTTTCCAATTCCAGGGCTCAAGCAATCCACCCACCTCAGCTTCTCGGAGCGCTGGGATTACAGGTATGAGCCACCGAGCCCACTGACCTTTTTTATTTGTGTGTGTGTGTGTGTGTGTGTGTGTGTGTGTGTGTGTGTGTTTTACCATTCAAGTTATGAGAATGTCTCATTTTATCCTCCTTCCCTAAAAGTCTGGAATTTTTCAATACTGTTTTTAATTACAGGAATACATGATGAAATATAGCAGAAATGGCACAGGCTTTGTAGTCACATCCAGGTTCCAGTCTCTCCTGTACCACCTACTGGCTGAATGTCCTTTGGCAAATCATTTAGCCTCAGTTGCTTCATGTGTACAGTTGGGTTAGCAACAGCTCACTTACAGAGTTATTGTAAGCATTAGAGATAATGGGCCCATGGAAGGAGTGCAATAAAAGACAGCTCTTGACATTCACTACACTTTATTATATGGTGGGTGGGTGTTGAACAGAAGCAAAATCACCTGATTTTTTTTTTCAGTCTCACTCTATCACCCAGGCTGGAGTACAGTGGTGGAATCTTGGCTCACTGTAGCCGTGAGCTCCCGGGCTCAGGTGGTTCTCCCACTTCTACCTCCTGAGTAGCTGGGACCACAGGAGTGTGCCTCCACACCCGGCTAATTTTTGTATTTTTGGTAGAGGTGGGGTTTTGCCATGTTGCCCAGGCAGGTCTCGAACTGCTGGGCTCAAGTGATCCACCTGCCTGGGCCTCCCAAAGTGTTGGGATTGTAGATAGGTGTGAGCCACTGTGCTTGGCCCTGTGATCTCCTTTATGTCCTCCTCCAAGGCTCAGCAATGCCTCTCACCGCTTTCCCACTGGCTCACATAGTTCCAGCCTTTCTGGCTTCCATGCTGGTCCTCAAAAATGTCCCACACACTCCATTTTCATGGCCTTCACACTTGCTGTTCCCTGTCTAGAATATTCTCAGATATCTTCATGGCTTGCTTCCTTACTTCACTCAGGTCTCTGTCCAAATGTACCATCTTAGACAAGAGGCCTTTCCTCACCATCCTAAATGGCATAACTCCACATCCGTCTCTATGGCCTTGATCTGCTTTAGTTTTTATGTAAAGGCATCATCGCCACCTGACATATGTATCTGTGTATTACATGTCTCCCCTTCATTAGAACGTAAGCTCCATGAGAGCAGGGCTTTTTATCTCTTTTGTGAACTGCTGTATCCCTGATGCCTAGAACTGTAGGTGTTTGAGATGTATTTCCTGAGTGAACAAATGAATGGACAGACCAGATGAGTAGAGAAGTAAACATTCCTTTGCAAAGCAGTGTGATCAGTGCTAGGAGAGCTTTATACCGGGTGTTGTGGGAATCCCTAGTCTGACTTGGGGGTGGAGTGGGGGTAAGAATTATTAATGAAAATTTCTTAGAGCAAGTCACATCTGAGTTGAATCCTGCAGAATGAGTGGGAGTTTTCAGGCCTAGAAAGTGAGGAAAGGGTATTCCAGGGAGATTAAAACAGTGCTGCAAAGTCCTATATGCCAGAAGCTTCAGAAATTTTAGATAGTTCAGAGTGACAGAAAGGAAAAAAAGAAAGATGGAGGGAGGGAGGGAAAGAACGAGGCAGGAAGGAAGGGAAAGGAGGAGGAGAAGGAGGAAAGGCAAGGAAAAGGAGGAAGGGGAGGGATGGAGTGAGGAAGGAAGAGGAGAGAGAGGAGGAGGGAGGGGAGGAAGGAAGGGAGAGAGAAAGGAAGAAAGGAAAGAAGGAAGGAAGGGAGGAAGGAAGGAAGAAAAGGAAGAAGAGAGAGGGAGAGAAGGAGGAAGAAGAGGGAAGGAGAGAGGGAGGGAAGAAAGAGGAGGGAGGGAAGAAAGAGGAGGGAGGGAGGAAGAAAGGAGGGGAGGAAATCTGTGCTCTCAAGGAGCTCATGATTTAGTACTAGGGGATAACCATGTAAACAATTGAAAATCAGTTTGATTAAATTGGTGGTAGAGCTATATTCAGGGTGGAGTAGGAACACACAGGGAAGGGGGTCCTCCTTCTTTGAAGGGAGGAGGAGCCCTGGAGGGAAAGAGAAGGCTTACCAGAGAGTATTGAAGGCCTGACTCTTCACCAGGCAGATGGAGGGGAGAAGGCCCAGTGGAAGGAGAGAGAACAAGACTTGCAAGGACATAGGGCTGTGAGAGCAGAGTGGCCTTTGGAGGTTCCTGGGCATAGAGGCCTTTGGGGCCACAGTAAGGGGTCTGGATTGTATTCCAGCAACAGTGGGAGCCACTGAAGGACTTTAAGTGGAGAGGGGTGAGGGAAATGTTACAGATTCAGGATTAGCTCCTAAATCAATCTTTATTTAATTTTAATTTTTTTTTTTTGAGATGAAGTCTCACTCCGTCGCCCAGGCTGGAGTGCAGTGGTGCGATCTCGGCTCACTGCAACCTCCACTTCTCAGGTAAAAGTGATTCTCCTGCCTCATCCTCCCAAGTAGCTTGGACTACAGGTGCAAGCGACCACACTGGGCTAATGTTTCCTTTTTTTTTTTTTCTGTATTTTTAGCAGAGATGGAGTTTCACCATGTTGGCCAGCTTGGTCTAGAACTCCTGACCTCAAGTGATCCACCTGCCTGGGCCTCCCAAAGTGTTGGGATTACAGGTTTGAGCCATCGTGCCTGACCTTAAATCAATCATTTCTATCTTCTCTGTGAATAATCAATTGAAAATAAGATCAAGCTTGGAGGCAAGGAGATCATACTTGCAGACCACATTCTGCAAATATTCTGCAAATATCTACATCAACATAAGCTATGTTGCAGCAGTGGCTATTCAAAGTGCATCACCTGGGATCATGTTAAATAAGCAGAATTTCAGGTCTCACTGCACACCTGCCAAGTCTGAATCTGCATTATAACAAGATCCCCAGGTGACTGGTGCCCATATTAAAGTTAGAGAGTCATTGGCCAAGACTAAATGGGGATGGAGAGGAGGCTATAGATATGGGAGAGTTATTAAGAGAGGATCAACAGGATTTAGCCTCAGCTGTATTGCCTTATTTCTCCATTTGCTGACTTCCCTGTTTTTTGGTGAACTAGAGTTCCAACTGACTGCACTCTCCTGGGTTGGGTTCCCACCACAGCTGAGAAGCTGACCTTCTCTTTGGGTCTGGAGCTGTCTGGAAACAAAAAATTGGTTTCTTTTCAGGAGACCCAGTAGATGGCTCCTTATGCAGCTCAAAATCAATAAAATGTAAAATAAAACCGTGTCGGATAATTCTACTTTTTTTTTTATCTGTGTTCTCTTGATTTTACAATTTAGTATACATACATAAGCACACACATTTTTTGGCTCAAACATTTGAAAGTGAGCCAGGAGAATAGGGTCTGGGGGCAAGGAACCTAAGGCCATTTCACGCTGACTTCTTAGTACTAAATAGAAAGGAAAAGTATACCTTGGGCGGTATGGCCATTTTCACGATATTGATTCTTCCTATCCGTGAGCATGGAATGTTCTTCCATTTGTTTGTGTCCTCTTTTATTTCGTTGAGCAGTGGTTTCTAGTTCTTGAAGAGGTCCTAAAAAAAAGAAAGGAAAAGTATAACTTTCTACACCTAAGTAACAAAAGTACCACAGACTACTCCCTTTGCAAACCCCTACCTTTTCTGCACGGCAGATGGGAAATTGAATGTATCTCTGATTGGTCGCTGTTTGCAACCAATCAGGCGTTTGCATAGGAGTGTAACTTTCTAACTGTACTTCAGCCTCTGATTGTGAGCCAAGTCTTCATTTGCACAGAAGTACAACTTTATAATTTCACTTTAGTCTCTGATTGCAAGCCACCACTTTATTTAAATGAGGTGAGCACCAAGTGGCCAATGGGAAACTTCTAAGGGGTATTTGCACCCGAGAAGATTCTGTATTCCGGCCCTTGAGCCACTGCTCGGGCCTGCTCCCACGCTGTGGAGTATACTTTCGTTTTCAGTAAATCTCTGATTTTGTTGCTTCATTCTTTCCTTACTTTGTTTGTGCGTTTTGTCCAATTATTTGTTCAAAACACCAAGAACCTGGACACCCTCCACCGGTAACAAAAGTATGTGTTAAGAACTGTGAGGGTCTGAGGTTTTATCCTGTTTGAAAACCCACAAGTTAGGCCAGGCAGGGTAGCTCACACATGCAATCCCAGCACTGTGGGAGGCCTAGGTGGGCGGATGACTTGAGGTCAGGAGTTAGAGACCAGCCTGGTCAACATGGTCAAACCCCGTCTCTACCAAAAAATACAAAAATTAGCCGGGTGTGGTGGCTCCAGCCTGTAGTCCCAGCTACTCGGGAGGCTGAGGCAGGAGAATCGCTTGAACCTGGGAGGCAGAGGTTGCAGTGAGCTGAGATCACGCCACTGCACTACAGCCTGGGCGACAGAGTGAAACAGTGTCTTTGTAACAGAGTCAAACAGTAAAAACTAAAACTGACCCTACACAATTATAAAAACACCACAACGGAAAAACTGGCCCCATTCCTTGGCAGTTCCACTTCAACTCCCAACGGTTTGGCGTATAGCAGTAGTTCAGTCTTCTTCCTATAAACAAACAACGTTATGTATGTGTAGTTTTACCTAATCCAAGCATATATTATTTTTTTAGAAAGTTATACATGTATATATATATGTATACTTTTATAATTAACTTTTTATTACTTAACAACTTCAATCTTATTTTCATGACAACTCATATAGATTCTTGTTAAAAGTGCCTGTGACTGTGTTGTATAAAACAAGTCTTCTGGCCAGGCACGGTGGCTCATTCCAGGCTCAAGCAATTCTCATTCCTCAACCTCCCAAATAGCTGGGATTACAGGTGTGCACCACCATGCCTGGCTAATTTTTGTATTTTTAGTAGAGAGGGGGTTTCACCGTGTTGGCCAGGCTGGTCTTGAACTCCTGGCCTCATGTGATCTGCCTGCTTCAGCCTCCCAAAGTGCTGGGATTACAGGCATGAGCCACCACGCCCGGCCTGGTTCACCATCTTACATTACCATCAGCAATGTGTGAGGTTTCCCATTACTTCACATCCTTGCTAATATTTTGTGCTGGCAGTCTTTTTGATTTTAGCCATTCTAGAGGGTATGAAATGGCATTTCACTGCAGTTTTAGTTTGCATTTACCTGATAATTAATAATGCTGATGAGCTTTTCATGTGTTTATTGTCCCTTCATAGGTCTTCGTTTTTAAAGTGTCTATTCAAGTATTTTGTCTATTTTTCTATTAAGTTTCTGTATTTTGTTCTTTGTCAGTTATATGTATTGTGAATATTTTTTTCCCAGTTTGTGGCTTGACTGTTCATTTTCTTTTTTCTTTTTCTTTTTTTTTTAACTTTTGTTTTAGGTTCATGTGTATTTGTACAGGTTTGTTATATAGGTAAACTCGTGTGACAACGGTTTGTTATATAGATTGTTTCATCATCCAGGTACTAAGCCTAGTACCCATTAGTTATTTTTTCTGATCCTCTCCCTCCTCCCAGCCTCCACCCTCAAGTAGACCCCAGTGTGTGTTGTTCCCCTCTATGTGTCCATGTGTTCTCATAATTTAGCTCCCACTTAAAGTGAGAATATGCAATATTTGATTTTCTGTTCCTGCATTAGTTTGCTAAGGATAATGGCCTCCCACTCCTTACATGTTCCTGCAAAGTACGTGATCTCATTCTTTTTTATGGCTGCATAATATTCCATGACTTATATGTACCACATTTTCTTTAGCCAATCTACCATTGATGGGCACTCAGGTTGATTCCATGTCTTTGCTATTGTGAATAGTGCTGCAATGAACATTCATGTGCATGTGTCTTTATGGTAGGATGATTTATATTCCTTTGGATATTTACCCAGGAATGGGATTGCTCAGTGGAATGGTGGGTCTATTTTTAGCTCTTTGAAGAATTGCTACACTGTTTTCCACAATGACTGGACTATTCATTTTCTTAATGGTGTCATTTGATGAGGAGAAATGTTAAATTTTAATTGTTTCATTTATCAATTTTTTCTTTTAAGGTTAGTGCTTTCTGGGTCTTATCTAAGAAACCATTGCCTATCCCATGTCATGAAGATAATTGCCTATGTATTATTTTAGAAGCTTTAGAGTTTCAGCTTTTGCCTTTAGGCATATGATGCATCTAAAAGTAATTTTTAATTAAGTGGTGAGATAGGGGGTCAAAGTTCCTTTTTCTTACATAAGAATATCTAGCTGTGGCTAGGTGTGGTGGCTCACGCCTGTAATCCTAGCACTTTGGGAGGCTGAGGCAGGTGGATCCCCTGAGGTCAGGAGTTCGAGACCAGCTTGGACAACATGGTGAAACCCCGTCTCTACTAAAAATACAAAAAAAATTAGCCAGGCATGCTGGCAGGCACCTGTAATCTCAGCTACTTGGGAGGCTGAGCCAGGAGAATAGCTTGAACCTGAGAGGCAGAGGTTGCAGTGAGCTGAGATCACGCCATTGCGCCCTCCAGTCTGGGCAACAAGAGTGAAAGTGTGTCTCAAAAAAAAAAAAAAAAGAAAAAGAAAAAAAGAAAAAGAAAAGAAAAAAGAAAAAGAAAAAGAATATCTAGTTGTTGGCCAGGCGTGGTGGCTCACGCCTGTAATCCCAGCACTTTGGGAGGCCGAGGCGGGCAGATCATGAGGTCAGGAGATAGAGACCATCCTGGCTAACACAGTGAAACCCCATCTCTACTAAAAACACAATTAGCTGGGCATGGTGGTGGGTGCCTGTAGTCCCAGCTACTCGGGAGGCTGAGTCGGGAGAATGGCTTGAACCCTGGAGGCGGAGCTTGCAGTGAGCTGAGATCACACCACTGCACTCCAGTCTGGGCAACAGAGCGAGACTCTGTCTCAAAAAAAAAAAAAAAAAAAGAATATCTAGCTGTTCCCAGCTCCATTTGATGAACAGACTATCGTTTCCCCCATTAAATTGTCTTTGCACCTTTGTTGAAAATTAACAGGCAGTACCTGTATGGGGTTATCACTGGACTCTCTATCCTGTTCCATCAATCTATTTGCCTGTCTTTATGTCAGTACCACACAGTAGCTTTAGAGTAAGTGTTGAATACAGGCAGTGTGAATCACCCAAAGTTTTTCTTTTTCAAGTTTGTTTTGTTTAGGTCTTTTGCATTTTCAAATAAATTTAGAATAAGCTTGTCAATTTCTATAAAAGAAATTGACTGGGATTATAAATGGGACTGCATGAAATCCAGAGATCAATTTAAGAGTTTGGCATCTTAACAGTATTGATTCTTCCAACCCATCAACATGATATATCTCTCCATTTATTTAGGCCTTCTTTAATTTCTTTCAGCAATATATTCTATTTTTCAGCCTAGAGATCTTGAACTGCTCTCATTATACTTTTTCTGAGTGTTTGAAATTTTTTTAATTTTATAAATAATAATGTGTTTCAAATTTTCTTTTCCCAGTTTTTCATTGCCAATATACAATTCGTTTTGTACATCAACCTTTTATCTCATAACCTTGCTTAATTTGCTTATTAGTTCTAGTATTTCTTTTGTAGATTCCTTAGCTTTTTTCTATACACAATTATGTTATTTGAAGAAAAAGTTTTACTTCTTTTTTTTCCAATTTCTATATCTTTTATTTCTTTTTCTTGCTTTATTGCACTGGCTAGAACCTCCAGTATGATGTTGAATAAAAGTGATGAGAATGGACATCCTTGCTCTGTTACTAATTTCTAAAAGAATATTCTGGCTGCTGTGTAAAAAAAAAAATGGTCAGTGAACAAGTAAAGGCTAAAGATATAAATTTGTGATTCATGAATATATAGATAGTATTTAAAACATGAGCCCTGATGAATAACAACATTTAAAGATTGGGAAATAACTTAAAATAAAAATAAACTGATAGCAGAACTGGAAAAATGAAAAAGATGCTGCCAGGAGGCCAGAAATAATAACAGATAATATTTATTGAATGTTTACTATTTACCATGACCTATTCTAAGCACTTTTCATATATTATCTTATTTACACTTTGCATGAGTAGAGGAAATAGGGAAGTAAAAGACACTGCAGGAGAAGCTTGAGGATGTGCGATATCACAGAAACAAACTAACCAAAAAGATTGTCCTAAGAATGAGAGAATGACTGACTTTAGAATATCACTGAGAAGCTAAATAAGGACAGAAGAATGTTCCTTGGACTTGCCAACATTGAAGCAAGAGCTTCAATAAAGTGGAGAGTCTGGAAGATGGGTTGGAGTGGGTTGAAGAGTGGATGGGAGGTGAAGAGGAAGAGGCAGTATGAGTAGATAATTCTTTGGAGAAGTTGGGCTAAGAAGGGAGCAGGAAAAAGTATCAGATGGAGAGGGCTGTGGGGTCAAGGAAGGAATGTTCGTGCCCCTAGTGTACCAGCCACACTATCCTTGTCCAGCTCTCCCACACTTGCCTTTGCCCACACTTTTCTTTCCATATGCCAAGTTCTAACTCCATCCTTCTCCATCTGGCAAACTCTTTTCTTCTAAGACCCATCTCAAGTACCCCTTCCTCTGTGAAGACTTCACTAGCAATCAGGGTAAAGTGAACCACTTCCTCCATCATGCCCCTAGGTATCATGTACACACTTCTATTAGAGCACTCAGCACATTGATTTTAATGTAATTGTTTTATTTGCTGTGTGTCTCCCCTACTCTACTATGGCTTCCTCGAGGACCATGGGCAGATTTTACCCATTTTTGTTCATTCCCTTGTTAAAAATCCTCCACTGGAAATGGGTAACTGGCAATACAGGTGTGTTCAGGTTGTAAAAATTCATCAAGCTCTACACTTACATTCAACACAAAGGTCTTTTTTTAATGTACAAAAAATAAGTAATGTAAAAACTCTTTCCCTATCCCATTTATTTCAGGTTAAAATCCAATTACTGAGTACCTACTATGTTTCCAGCACTGTGCTAGGTTCTTAGATAATCCAAGCAGGCACCTTTGGCCTTCCTGTCCCTTTCCAGCCCTTGGTCTGTGCTGGCTGGAGTCTGAAGAAATCATAAACATGTTCTGCCCCAAGATAATTGGTTCCAGGATGGTCAGATCCTTGCTTGGCTCTGTAGGATACTTCACGAGGAGCTTGAAAATGCTGGATAAACAAAGGGGATGAATTTACAAATATTTTGGACTTCATGTTATCCTGTTAATATACTTCTGGAAAGTAGCAAAGTCTTTTGCAATAATACCTTAATATTTCACATTCTGCTTGTGAGCTATTATCTATATATTAATATTCCTGTTGGGCCATATGTCATTAACCAACAACCAGCGAAGTTCTGAGAAACTGATCTTTGAACCAATGTGATGGAATGTTCTACCTACTTTTTAAAGGCTCAAAATAAATTTTTCATATGTTTATCCAAAAAGTTAAAAAAGCAAACATCTTATTTCTTCATTTTTAGTATTGGAGTGTATTACTTACACTTAATCTGTGTTTAGCAATCTGAAATAGGGCCTTAAGAGTGTTTGAATTCCTGGACCTCTTTCACATTTCTGGACTTCAATTGAGTGAGATGAAAACATTGCAACAGTGGCAATCTGTAAACAGGGAAAATCAACCCATATTTAGCAATTGAAATAGGAATATGACTTGTGTAACATTCCAGTTTTGAAGTTTAGCTTTGGCTAAATTGTCTGACTTCAGCTAAATTGCTCAACTTTCCTGAGTCTTAGGATCTCCATCTTATAAGATGGAAATACTATAGTCTGTAAGATTAGCAATGAGAAAGAATATACTAATAATTGTAGAGCTTTTTGCTAGGAGAAAGTATGATTACTCATATGAATTGCTTTATCTGAGGGAAAGATAATAATTCTGCCCTCCAATTACAGAACCTTCTGAGGTGTTCTCATGTAGAAGGCCTTAAGAAGACACAGGAACTTGTACATTTAAAATGGGTGTTGATGGTGTATAAATATACTTCACAAAAGCTGCTTTTGAAAAAAAACATAGGTCCATTTGAGCACAATGTCTCCAATCTAATAGAACCCACTAAAGAAACTTCTCTCAGGTTCTTATGCCAGGAAAAGCTGCACTCATCCTGAGCAAAACTATGGTTTATCTTTTTTAAATTTTATTATTTATTTATTTATTAAATTTATTTATTTTGAGACGGAGTCTTGCTCTGTCGTCCAGGCTGGAGTGCAGCGGCACAATCTCAGCTCACTGCAACCTCCGCTCCTGGGTTCAAGCGATTCTCTTGCCTCAGCCTCCTGAGTAGCTGGGACTACAGGTGCGTGCCACCATGCCTGGCTAATTTTTTGTATTTTTAGTAGAGAGGGGGTTTCACCATGTTACCCAGGCTGGCCTTGGTCTCCTAACCTCGTGATCCACCTGCCTCGGCCTCCCAAAGTGCTGGAATTACAGGCATGCGCCACCGCACCCAGACTGGTTTATCTTATATACAAGACAAACTTGATCTTGCTTCCTTCTTTCCTTTGCCCACCAGGAAGCCCAGAGGCAGGTTTGTAATTCACTTAAGGCATTCCAGCATACTGTTTTAATTTTACTTTTTGTTTCACTTAATTTTCCTTCCTACATTTTCCCTTGGTCATGAATTTTATCTATTGATCATTTTTTATCCTGTTACATTACACAGGTTGGTGTAACCCACTTCATATCCTCTTTGGAAGGAGGCAGTATGTAACCAACCAAACCACTACCTTCGGTTACTTATTAATTAACAGGAAGGCAGTATGAACATAACAAATGCTACTCCATGTTGGAAACACCATTGCTGCTAACCTTTTTAGAGAGAGTGAAGGGGGAATGGACTCAGGCTCCACTTGACTTACTAGGTTACTTGGCCATAACAATCTCCAAGAATAGGTGTGCAGATAATGACTGTATGTAAATATCCAATTAAATATCTTTGAAATTTATAAGGCCAAAGCTAATTTATTATGCTTTGAGACACTTATTTCTCATGGACACTCTGTACCCATCTGCCTAGCAAGAAAGAGACACTCTGGAACAGAAGGTCAAGCAATAGGTGATGGTAGGCAACATTTCCATTTTCTCAGTGTACTTGGAATAAGAATTCCACTGCTCACCATGGGCTGGAAGACCCCAAAGAAGCTGACTGTTGTCTGTCTCTCCAACCTCCTGTCCTTCCACTCTCTCTCTTGTTCCACAGGCCACTATCGCCTCCTTTCTGGAAATGTCTGGCTTTTCCCCATCGTAGAGACTTTAGATTCCTTTGTTCCTTCTGCTTGGAATGTTCTTTTTCCAGCTCTGGGTTCAGGCAATCCTTTCTCCATGAGGCCTCAGCTGACATAGCACCTCCTAGGAGAGGCCTCCTCTGACCACCCTTTGTTTCTTTCCTCATAACCCGCAATTAGATTATTTATTTGTCTGCTTGTTTTTACTCTGCCTCCTTCACTAGACTGAAACCTTCTAAGGGCAAGGCTATCTTATTCATATGAAGAATATTGAATCTCCATAGTGGTGCCTCCACAGGGACTCTTACCATCCCCTCCTGCTTATTTCCACTATAGCTCTAATCACAACCTGAAAGCTGCTTTCTTTGAGTTCTTGGTTATGGCCTGGCTCTCCCTATTAGACTGTGAGCTACATGAGGGCACGAACCGGGTCTCCCTGGCTCACTTCTATATCCCCAGTACCCAGCCCAGACCCTGACACTGGATCGATGACAGAGCCTCAGCTTTTACATTTAGGGCAAGCACCATGGTCACCTCTTCCTGAGTGAAATCACTTGCTTTTAACTGTTTGATCTAGAATTACGGTGGCACTGGCTGCTGGTTCCAAAGGAAGAAGAATGAAGGAGAAATGATCTTTCTATTCCTGTTATGCATGTAAATCATGGAGGATTTCAGCACAACTTTTGAATGGTATTGTAGGAATGCAGAAGTGCACAAGCAAATGTTTAGGCGACTGGAAAACTTTCTGTGTTACTTAGCAGCTGCAATATTGAGAAACATTTTTTATGCCTTGTGTGCACTGTGAAAAGGCAAATGGCCTCTCATTTTTGAGCATTCTCCAAACTCTTAGTTTAAAAAACTTTTTTCATATTTTAAAAGTATCAATGAAACCAAACCATATAACACAGGCTACATTGACTAGCTTAGAAATTCCAGTGGTTATCAGGAAATAACAGGGTTAACTGCTACAAGTTGGAGGAAAGTAGTAGAGTCCACAATTTTGAAGGAGTATTGTCAGAGGTGGAGCAGCTGCTGAGAGTTGTGGCAGAGTGGATCTGGCTGGGGATATTGAGAAATCAACGTGGGCCAGAGAGGAGGGAGATATGGGAACCAAATCGAGTCTCCACCTTGCATCCTATTTCTCCTAATATGATTCATGCCTTCCTCCCCTGCATCTGGCTTCTTGCCTTGGTAGCTTGTCTTTATGCAGTTAACAGATAGGTTTTTATTTTATGGATATGATATCGTGCCATACTAATGTAATAAGACCTAAGCTTAAATGTCTAGGGAGTGTAACCACTACACATGGATGAATTCATTTTGTCTATTATCAGCCTAGCAATTGCTGAGCTGATGGGGTTTATTGTAAAAATCTTGACTTGCTTATGTCCTTTACCAGCAGAACATCTGCTTGCAAGTTCAAACTTCAGAGTTCCAAGAGGATTCAGGAAGTGGGTTTGCAGCCTAAATATACATTCAGTTGTTTTCAGTTAGAGGGTAACCAACATCTCTTTCTTATTTTCTTTCTTTCTTTTTTTATTTTGAGATGAGGTCTCACTCTGTCATTCAGGCTGGAGTGCAGGGGCACCATCATGGCTCACTGCAAGCTCCACCTCCCGAGCTTGAGCAATCCGCCCACGTAGCTGGGTCTACAGGCATTACACAGGTGCATGCCACCATCACCTGCTAATTTTTGTATTTTTTTGTTGAGAGGGGGTCTCACCATGTTGCGCAGGCTGGTCTCAAACTCATAGGCTCAAACGTTCCCCCCACCTCGTCCTCCCAAAGTGCTGGAATTACAGGTGTGAACCACTGCACCCGGCCTCTCTTTCTTATTTTCTAATATTTCAATGCAGAAGCCCCTTAACACTACTTATAGACAGTTGTACAACTTGACATGTTACTTCTCAGGCACTTAGCCTCTTGAAGTATCCGTTTATCTAATTCCACCTAAGCCTGTGGTGATTTTGTACAAAACTGTGCTAAAACACCTTGCATGAAAAATACTCAGATCATGGTTTTTCAATTATGAATTGGATTGGGGCCTGTTTGCTAAAGATAACGAGAATGGAATCTTGGGAACACTAAACACTTAGGTCCAAATAAAACAAGCCCTCCCTACTATCCCCTCCAACCACATACTTGAGAATCTGCACATCAGCATTACAGATTTTATCTGTGCTCCTCAGGAAACTATCACCACGCTTCCCAAGAGATGAGGCGGGTCCCCCTCCCTATTCTGTCTTGTTTGGGGAAAGTGGAGACAAGAGTGGCATGGCTATTATTTTGTTGCCATATAAGGAAGCATTCTTTTTATTAATAAGCATCACTTTAGGAATAAAAAAAAATGCAATTTAGCCTTGTAGAAACATGTCAAGATTTATTCATTCATTCACTCAACAAATATTTGTCCAACTTCTATAGGTATGAGGCACTGTGCTAGATGCTGGGGATATAGCAGTGAACAAAATAGACAAGGTCTCTAAGAGATTACATTCTAATGAGACTCTTAACAGAAAAGGGTCCTTGTGGATCGTTCAGACCCTTATTATCTCGTCAGGACTGTAACACTATCCTTCTAGTTATTTTTCTACTCTCTCCTGGTCAACCTTGGCAACACATTCAGTTAGATTTTTTTAATAATTGCATAATTTAAAATATGTATTAATATAATACATTTATATAATACAAAACAAATAATTCAGAATCGAAAGTCATATAATAAAAAACCACAGGCCGGGCATGATGGCTCATGCTTGTAATCCCAGCACTTTGGGAGGCCAAGATGGGCGGATCACCTGAGGTCAGGAGTTCGAGACCAACCTGGACACCATGGTGAAACCCCATCTCTACTAAAAATACAAAATTAGCCAGGCATGGTGGCAGGCGCCTGTAATCCCAGCTACTTGGGAGGCTGAGGCAGGAGAATCGCTTGAACCCGGGAGGCAGAGGTTGCAGTGAGCTGAGATCGAGCCATTGCACCCCAGCCTGGGTGACAAGAGTGAAACTCCGTTTCAAAAAAAAAAAAAAAAAGAAAAACAACAGTCCCCCTACCCACCCTTTACCACACCCTAGTTCTGCTCCACAAAAGCAGCCACTTAAATACTTCTAGCTGTTTCTTAATCGTAATTATGGCCACATTCCTTTACAGTATGATTTTATTGCTGTTTCTAGATTCATCCATTTCAGACACCATCTATTGATTTCTTGTTATGCTAGAAGAGCACTAGAGAGATGAAGATCTACCAATTTTACACTATATAGTTGTACTGTGTTGTAAAATAAAACAAGTGTATTTACACTATTACAACTATGTTAACAACACTTATTGTGGAGCCATCAAGCAATATACTATGCTTATTTTTATTTTCTTTTCTGTTGCCTAGGCTGGAGTGCGGTGTCACAATCTCGGCTCACTGCAACCTCTGCCTCCTGAGTTCAAGCAATTCTCCTGCCTCAGCATCCCAGGTAGCTGGGGTTACAGGCACATGCCACCACGCCCGGCTAATTGTTTTTGTATTTTTAGTAGAGACGGGGTTTCACCATGTTGGCCAAGCTGGTCTCGAACTCCTGACCTCGTGATCTGCCTGCCTCGGCCTCTTTTCTTGTCACATATATTTTTTTCCTGGAACCTCTAATTACCTTTAGTTTTGTTTTGTTTATCTATCATTCACTTATCGTAAATTCTTTATAGCTTCTCCATATTCTATCGAGTCCCCCTTTGCTTCTTCAGACATGACTTTTCTTTTTTCCTTTTCTTTTTTTGAGACGGAGTCTCGCTCTGTCGCTCAAGATGGAGTGCAGTGGCACGATCTCGGCTCACTGCAACTTCTGCCTCCCAGGTCCAAGCGATTCTCCTGCCTCAGCCTCCCGAGCAGCTGGTATTACGTGTGCATGCCACCACGCCTGGCTAATTTTTGTATTTTTAGTAGAGACGGGGTTTCACCATGTTGGTCAGGCTGGTCTCAAACTCCTGACCTTGTGATCAGCCCCCCTCGGCCTCCCAAAGTGCTGGGATTACAGGTGTGAGCCACCTTGCCCGGCCCAGACATGACCTTTCTAGGGCCTAGCATCTTCCTATGCCAATCTCGACTACTTGCTCTCTAGGTCTGTTGCACATGCACACTTGCCATCCTGATCCTGTCCCATGCCACTCTCCAAGGTTGGATCCAGTTTCCTGAACCCCAACTGTTCTCTAGACTTGTTTTATTCCCTTGTTTTGCTACAACATATCCTCCAGTAGTCTCTAAGTAGGATGCACAAGAGAGAAAGTTTCTGGTCTCTTGCATTTGTGAAAAAGGTCTTTAACCTCACACTTGATGAGTATTGTAGCTGGGAATGGAATTCTGGGTTGAAGATGATTTCTCTCACATTTTTATAGCATTGCTCAGTTATCTTGCAGCATCTAGCATTGCTCTTGAGAAGCTTGATACTGTTCGGATTCTCCTTTGTATGTTGTGTGACTGATTCTTTGGAGGGTTTTAAGATCTTCTCTCAATCCCTGTTGTGTTGGCATTTCAGCCTCTTCTGTGCCTGGTGTCTTCAAGTCATGAGCCTCTCAAATTCACGTGCTCAGATATCTCGTTTGAGGAGATGTATAGTGAGCACCATGTGATTCAGGGCGAGGGTGAGAGTGAAGGTAGGGTAGGGGATGAGGGTGTTGTCTAAAGCACAGCTCTGCTCATGTAACTCCTCTGCTCAGAAGCCTTCCTATTTATCTCTTGCCTAGTGAGATAAGTCCAAACTTTTTATGCCCTCTAGGATACGGCCTAACCTACCTGCACTGCTTTAGGGGGTTACTACACTTCAGTTATTACCTCCGGGCCAACTAGGGTACTTGACACTTCCTAAACACAATAGGTGCATCTCACTTCCATTGCTCTTCCTGTGCATTGCCACACCATCCTGCCCTAACCACCTCACGCAGCTGGAATTGCCTTTCTCATTGACCTGTACCTGTCAAAGTCCCGCTACCCTCCAAAGCCCCAAAAGGTACTTCCTCCATTAAGAATTGACTTTATTCTCATCATAACTTTTGGTGCCTCCTTGGGCTCAGTCTTGGCTTTCTTCCATGTGTTCTAGTTATTGATACACAGAACCGTACTATAAACTCTGAGACAGTAGTGATATAAAATTTTGTTTTGGCTCCAATGGCACCTAGCACAGTGCATGGCATATAGTAGGTACTCTACCAATGCCTGTGAAATAAATACATCTTACATTTCTGTAAGTGTGGAAGAATACCATCACATTTTAACAGCTTTATTGAGATATCATTCAAATACCGGACAATTCACCCATTTAAAAGGTACAGTTAGGCCAGGAGTGGCGGCTCATGCCTGACACCCTGAACTTTGGGAGGCCAAGGTGGGGAATCACTTGAGCCCAGGAGATCAAGACTATCCTGGGCAACATAGTGAGACTCCATCTCTACAAAAATCAACAAAATTAGCCAGGCATGGTGGTACACACCTGTGGTGGCCCCAGCTACAAGGGAGGCTGAGGTGGGAGGATTGCTTGAGCTGAGGAGTTTGAAGCTGCAGTGAATTATGATCATGCTACTGTACTCCAATCTGGGTGACAGAGTGAGACTCCTCAATAAATAAATAAATAAATAACATACAGTTCAATGGTTTTTAGTATTCATAGAATTGTGCAACCATCACCAAAATCAATTTTGAACATTTCCATCACCCCAAAAGAAACTCTGTAGCCATTAGTAGGCATTCCCTATTTCCTACCAACTCTCTAGCCCTAGGTAAACAATAATCTATCTTCTGTATCTACAAATTAGCTTACCTAGTTATTTCACATAAATGGAACCATAAATATGTAAGTTTTTAACGACTGGCTTCTTTCGCTTAGCATAATGTTTTCAAGGTTCACCCATGTTGTAGCTTGTATCAGTACTTCATTCCTTTTGCACTTGGAGATCCAGGTATCCCAGAATTTGTTGAAGAGGCTATTCTTTCTTTCCGCATTGAATGGACTTGGCATCCATGTTGAAATCAGTTGATCATAGACTTATTGGTTCATTTTTTGACTCTTAATTCTATTCCATTGTTCTATATGTCTATCCTTATTCCAATAGCACACTGTTTTGATTACTGTAGCTTTGTGGTAAGTTTTGATATTTGGAAGTATGAGTTCTCCAACTTCATTTTTCTTTTTCAATATTGTTTTGGCCATTCAGGGCCCCTCGTAATTCCAAATGAATTTGAGGATTGGCTTTGCCATTTCTGCAAAAACTGCTATTGGAATTTTGATAGGGATTGTATTAAATTATGAATCAGCTTGGGGAATATTGGCATCTTAACAATATTAAATCTTTTGCACCATGAACATGGAACATGTTTCCATTTATTTAGGTCTTCTTTAGTTTCTTTGCATGATGTTTTGTACTTTTCAGAATAGAAGTTTTGCATCTCTTTTGTTAAATTTATTTCTAAGTAATTTACTCTTTTTGATACTATTGTAAACTGAAGTGTTTTCTTAATTTTATTTTCAGATTGTTACTATAACATTTTGAATAAGATACAAAAAATCACCATGATCAATCAAAGTTTAAAATCAAAGGTTGTTAATATATATTTTTAGGTTGTTGTTTCAGGGCTTCCTGTGTTTTACAATGTCCAGCACAGTAACAAGGCTTTAAAAAATTATCACATTAGTATGTTTTGGTAATGTGGAAACAATTGACCTCACTAATGGATTTAAGATTATCATAAAAATTCTAAGCCAATACTATCATATCTGAGAAAAGTTAATGTGAAACTGTTTACTTTGGTTGTTCCAGAAACCTGTCTTCTAATAGTTAAAGTATTTAATATGCTCCTTGGGTGACTGGCTATTTCCATAATTATAGTTCTTTCTCTAAAAAACGTGGAAAATTCTTGGGTGTTGGCATTAAATGTCTTGTTTTCTTTAATGAACTGAAAATCAGATCCAATCAGATTAAAATTTTCTCAAGGACCAAGATCTGGACTCTGCAGTTAATGTTCTGGATGAGTTTTGTTTTTTGCAGTAGACATAAATTCACACCAACTCCTCACCTAGAGAAGTCAGTCCCTCCGTTTCTCTATTTTTCCCTTAAGACATCACACTTAGCATAGTCCTCTCTCTTTGAATTGCTGGTTCTCCTTGCTTTATGCCTAATTAAATAATAAACAACTTTATCAAAATATCTAGTATGTTATTGGCCAGAAATCAAGTATACAGTGAACATTTATTTTACTTGAAACAATATTTTTTATCTTAAAAAAGGTTTTTATGCTAGTCAGGGTTTTAGAATGTTTACCCAGATGTTGTGTCAACTTTTAAAAAGAAATTTCATAGACGGGAGGCATTTGAGAAGTTGGAAAGGACCTTAGAAATCCAGCACAGGGGTCTGTGAGCCAAGTTCAGCCTGTAGGCATGTTTTACTTGGCCCTGGTGGTATTTTAAAACTATTTAAATTAGTTGCCAACATTTACAAGTCATAAAAATCTGGATTTCTGCCTTTTCTTGAAAAAGTGGGTAAACCTGGCCATCTCAGGGCTACACTGCAGCATGGCACATACTGGGTGCATATGCACTCCATCCAGTTTCTCAGGGTCCTCCTGTAGGCTCACTTCCATCAGTTGCATGACCTGCTGACCCTGGGGGAGGCCCCTTTGCATCTGTGACTCCTGAGCTAACGTAATCCCCTTCTGAGGTTTTGAGACTGAGGTTTGGAAAAATCATTACTGCCCAAAGCTAGTCAACAGCTAATCAGTTGTCAATTTCTTTTCTTTTCTTTTTTTAATATTTATTTATTTATTTATTTATTTATTTATTTATTTATTTATTATGTATTTATTTATTCATTCATTTATTCATTTATTTTGAGATAGGGTCTCACTCTGTTGCCCAGGCTGGAGTGCAGTGGTGCTGTTACAGCTCATTGCAGCCTCGACCTCCCCAGGCTCTGGTGATCCTCCCACTTCAGCCTCCTGAGTAGCTGGGACTACAGGCATGTGCCACTATGCCTGGCTAATTTGTGTGTGTGTGTGTGTGGCGAAAGGGTTTCGTTTCTCCCTGTTACCCAGGCTGGTTGCAAACTCCTGGGCTCAAGCCATCCATCTGCCTCAGCCTCTCAGTGCTGGGAATATAGGCATAAGCCACCTTGCCCGGCCTAGTTGTCAATTTCTTAATAATGCCAAGAGTATTATTTATAAAACAGATAAAGTTAGAGGAGGGCTAATTATTCTACATTTTCAAAGGACTTTCTTGCTTGAATGGCATCCCCATTGATGTAGTTAGGCTTTTAAAATATAATGAACTGACGGAGGATCCAGGGAAGAGCCACAGCAAATCAGAGTGATTATACCTAAAAACAATAAAATGTGTTCTGAATCATCATCGTTTCAATCTATCTCCCAGTTTATATCTGACCTCCTCTTTAAAATTTTCTTTCTTGTCTTTCTTTTGTTTCTCTCCTCTTCTTCCAAACCCTATGATTTATTTATGTATCTGGGTCACAACTAAGTTAGTCCTTAATCATCTGTTCATTCATTAAATATTTATTTCAACACTTACTAGCTGCCAGGTGCTGTTCTGGTCACTTGGGATAGCACAGTGAACAAAAGGGACAAAAATTCCTTGCGCCACTTACATGCTAGTGGGAGAATGAGATGATAAGTAAACAAAGAAGATCATTTCTGATAGTTATAGGCACTCCGAAGGTGTAAAAACAGGACAATGTGACAGCTGGGGTTGGGGTCTATGAAGCCAGCCATATCAAAGTGTGGGGAAGAGTGATGTAGGCTGAGAGGAAAACAAGCACAATGGCCCTGAAATGGAAACAAGCTTCGTGTGTTCAATGAAGGGACAGGCTAATTGGTAGGAGCTGAGATGGGGGAGGGGGGCAAGGGACAGGCATGCAGGGCCTTGCAGGCCATGGACATAGGTTTAGATTTTATTCCGCATTAGGAGCCCTTGGAGGGGTTTCCTTTATATTGGCCATGACTTATACAGTTGTCTCGCTCTTGATATCCATGGGAGATTGGTTCCAGGACCACTCACTGGTGAACACCAAAATCCACAGGTATAATCCCTGATAGAAAATGTTGCAGTATTCACATATCACCTATGCACATCCTGCCGTATACTTTAAATCATCTCTAGATTACTTATCACACTTATTACAATGCAAATGTTATGTAAAAGGTTATTATATTGCATTTTTAAATTTTGTATTTTTTTTGTTGTATTATTATCTTTTACTGTGAGGTTTTTAAAGAATTTTTCTGCCAGATGTGCTGGCTCACATCTGTAATCCCAGCACTTTGGGAGGCTGAGGCAGGCAGATTGCTTGAGCTCAGGACTTCGAAAGCAGCCTGGGCAACACAGGGAACCCCCCCCCTTACAAAAAATACAAAAATTAGCCAGGAGTGGTGGCACCTGCCTGTGGTCCCAGTTACTCACGAAGCTGAGGTGGGAGTGCAGCAGGAGAATAGGGTCTGGAGGCAGGAAACCTAGGGCTGTTTCACGCCAACTTCCTAGAACTAAATTGAAAAGAAAACCCTAACTTTCCATGCCTAAGTAACAAAAGGACCAGAAGTGACTCCCTTTGCAAACCCTCACCTTTTCCGCATGGGCAGAAGAGAAATTTAAAGTATCTCTGATTGGTTGCTTTTTGCAACCAATCAGACGTTTGTACAGGAATGTGACCTTTGTAACTTCACTTCTGATCACAGGCTTACATGAGGTGAGCACCAAGTGGCCAATGGGAAACCTCTAGGGGGTATTCGAACCCAAGAAGATTCTGTATCTGGACCCTTGAGCCACTGCTTGGCTGGCTCCCACACTGTGGAGTGTACTTCCATTTTCAATAAATCCCTACTTTCATTCTTTTGTTGCTTCATTTTTTCCTTGCTTTGCTGTGCGTTTTGTCCAATTCTTTGTTCAAAATGCCAAGAACCTGGACAACTTGTGGTCAAGACCCTCTACCACTAACAGGAGGATCACTTGAGTCTGGGTGGAGGTTGCAGTGAGCTAAGATCATGCCACTGCACTCCAGCCTGGGCGACAGAGCAAGACCCTGTCTTAAAAAAAAAAAAAAAAGAAAGAAATTTTCCATTCGTGGTTGGTTGAATCCACGGATGCAAAATCCACAGATATGGAGGGCTAACTGTGTTTCTTCTGAGTCTTCCGCAGCAGACTGCATAGTGCTAGGCATATAGGAGTAAGTAAATACACACTAATGCGTTGACTAGTTGATAATTGGGTCAGGGACCCTAAGCAATCCTCTGGAAGCAGACTGGCACTAGGAGGACCTGGAATGGCAAAGCTTAGGAATGCTTCATTTGCAAGAGACAGTTTCCTTAGGATAAAACAAGGGCAACGGAAGCAAGCACCAGGAGCTCTTTAGTGTTTCCATCTTACATGATGTCTTGAGAACTCTGTAACACCTCTGTGCAGAAGAGAGCAAGTCTTTGACTCAGTGACTCAAATGAGGAAGAAGTTGTCATTGGATGTCACTAGTGTCAACGGCGTCCATCCTCCTGAGTATACAAGATATAAACAGGTCTCCTCTGAGAGAAGCAGCAGTGAGCAGGTGAGGCCCCAGCATTTGGCTGTGGACAAGCCTATTGCCTGGCCCTCAGAGAACTGTGGGTTCTGGATGGGGTGTGTGTGTGTGTGCACACGTGCGTGTGCATGCATGTGTGCACACGTGCGTGTGCATGCATGTGTGCACACGTGCGTGTGCATGCATGTTTGTGCGTGTGCATGCATGTTTGCACGCGTGCATGTGCATGTGTGTGTGCACACCTCTGGAATCTGCTCAGACCTTTGAAACAGTTCAGCTGTTAAGGCAGAAACTTCCCAAGAGATGTCAGAGAAACCAGTGTGGATCATTATCTGATAATTACTAAATATTAGCTTGAGTGAAGGTTAAAGGGGTTCTGCCGAGAACTCCTCTAGGCTACAATCTCTCTTAGAGTTCTGAACCTTCCATTCACTGACCTATACAAAGTGGCAGGGAGAAGGGAATCTTGCTGATCTATGGGAAAAAAAATTGCCCCCAAATAATTATTATGTACCTCAATGGCAAGTTATGATCCAACATCTCTAAAACATGTACATACAGTGGGCCAGGCGCGGTGGCTCACGCCTGTAATTACCAGCACTTTGGGAGGCCGAGGTGGGTGGATCACCTGAGGTCAGGAGTTCGAGACCAGCCTAGCCAACATGGCAAAACTCCTTCTCTACTAAAAACACAAAAAAATAGCCAGGCATGGTGACGGGCGCCTGTAATCCCAGCTACTTGGGAGGCTGAAGCAGGAGAATTGTTTGAACCAGGGGGCGGAGATTGCAGTGAACTGAGATTGTGCCGTTGCACTCCAGCCTGGGCAACAGAGCAAGATTCTGTCTCAAAAAAAAAGAAAAGAAAAAAAAAAAAAAGAAAAAGGTATGCACAGTGAGGTCAGGAACACATACATGAAAATAAGTCTGTCTATTCTAGCATAATGTAGTAAGGGTGCCTGGGTTTAAATACTGGTAACTCCTTTTAAGAACTGGGTGACCTTTGGTAAGTTGCTTAACCCCCCTGACCACTTCAGTTTTCTCATGTATAAAATAGGATAATATAGTACCTCATTCATAAGGTTACTGTAATGATTGAGATCATACATGAAAACCAGTTAAAACACTGCCAGGCACATCAACAAATGCTAGTTATTGTTATTTATTTCTTTATTCCTGTCTTGTTTTAAAAATCACAGAATTAAGACTATTTACATTTGCATTGCATTTGTAGCAATTAACAGTGTGCTATTTGAGCTGAAAATTATTTTTGCAGGGGGACAGAAAAGAGACAGTGTTAGTAATTTCAGTCGCTGTCTTCTACTTCATGCTGTTTTCTTAACAAGCTTTATAGAGAAGCACTTCTTACGTGATTCCCAAATATAGGCCTAATCTCGACCAAGCACGACTCTCACTCCTAAATCATTCCAGTCTAGAAAACAAGTCACGAATTCATTTTCTTCCACTTTTGTTCAATTTTGCCAAACCCATTAATCAATGAAAAACATAAATCATCTAACTCTTCAGAATTCAACTGCTGTTAATACTCAGCCAACTCTAAGCATAACTTAATCCCGGGCTGAGAGGAGCTGTGCATATTTTTACCATAAGCCTATAGGGGACAAGTCTGAATGTGATAATCTAGACCAAGAAAATAATTACCATAGCATGATTTAACCCCAAAGAGATCAAAATAATTATAATATCATGATTTAACCCCAAAGAGAAAAAACTTCCAAAGCCTAAACTGGCTCTTCCTCAGTGGGTCTCTGGCCTCCCTCAGCTCCCATAGTTCTAAAAAAGGGAACATTAGCCTATGATGTGTATGATCTCATTTTGAAAAAAAAAAAAGTTTCATACTTATCAGTGAGTTTCACTTCTGAATTAACAGAAAATATGGTTATTACATTTAAATATTCTGAATATGTATATGTCTTTTATTTTGAGTTGCTTTTTCTATAATATTGTTTGTGCTTAAATTGTGAACAACTGAAATATTAATGGATGAAAAGGAATGTTTAATTAACTTACTTTTATCAGACACCAAGTCAACTTCTATATTTAGCAACTGAACTAATAGAGAAGGCTGCTGCAGAGTTAGTCAGCACATCAGCCTGTTAAATATCAAAGAGCAGAGGAGGCCTTTTGTCTCAGCATTGAACCAGAGACTGAAAATGCATTTAATTTTAGCATTTCCAGAGGAGGAAAAAAAGATATAAAACAAGATAATCAGGAAAAATGTCACGCACCGCCTAAGTACACGTTTGTCAAATGAAAAATGCCAGGAGGGTGGCAGCCTAAGTAAGAGGTCTGCCCGGAAACCAGAATTCATCCTCACAAGTGAATTCTTTAAAATAATTTACCGTTAAAACAGCCAAGGCTCCCATCTCTGCTAAAAGAGGTCCCAGGGAGTAGTAGAGTATTGAGTAGGTGGCGGGTTTTTTTTCCAGAAGCAGTTTCATGTGGTCTACTTTAGCATTTAAGGACTCAGAGGGTGTCATCAGTGCAATTGATGGGAAGGATTAGAAGAATGAAAGAAAAGCTTTCTTTTAAGAGTGAGCTTTTATTTTCTTAAGATTGTTTTATGTTGAGAATGTATATCCAGGTACAGGTGGCAGGGAGGAAGAAGTAGGCAAGATGGGTACCCTTCAAGATAGCCTAGCAATCCATATATATATATATATATTTTTTTTTTTTTTTTTGAGATGAGTCTCGCTCTGTCACCCAGGGTGGAGTGCTGTGGCATGAACTCTGCTCACTGCAACCTCTGCCTCCCGGGTTCAAGCCATTCTCATGCCTCAGTCTCCCGAGTAGCTGGGACTACAGGTGCATGCCACCACGCCTGGCTAATTTTTTTTTTTTTAGATGTAGTCTTGCTCTCTCGCCAGGCAGGAGTGTAATGGCGTGATCTCGGCTCACTGCAACCTCCACCGCCTGGGTTCAAGTGATTCCCCTGCCTTAGCCTCCCGAGTAGCTGGGACTACAGGCGTGTGCCACTACGCCCGGCTTTTTTTTTTTTTTTTTTTTTTGTATTTTAGTAGAGATGGGGTTTCACCATGTTGGCCAGGATGGTCTCCATCTCCTGACCTCATGATCTGCCCACCTTGGCCTCCCACAGTGCTGGGATTACAGGTGTGAGCCACCACACCTGGCTGCCTGGCTGATTTTTTTTTTTTTTTTTTTTTTGCATTTTTAGTAGAGATGGAGTTTCACCATGTTGGCCAGGCTGGTCTCGAACTCCTGACCTCAGGTGATCTGCCTGCCTCAGCCTCCCAAGGTGCTAGGATTACAGGCGGGAGCCACTGCGTCCAGCCTCAATCCTAATATATTTTAAAGGTTTTGTTGTATTATGAAGGTAAATTGCACATTATTAATAAACAAAGCATAAAGAGAAGGAAGCTTGAGCTTTGATCAGCCATGATAATATCTTTAATTTATTTTGGTATTCCAAGAAACTGTGCCAGTGCTTGCCACATAGTGAGTCCCAATAAATATGTGTTGAATAAATGACAAATAGTTTCACATCAAGAAGGTGAAGTGAGCATATGCCTAATTCTCCCCACATTATTTCAAACACATAGGAATGATCTAGAAGGTCTTGAAGATATTTAAAAGTACATAACCGTCAACTGTGAGAGGAAAACTGAAAATTGTCACAGTCCAGAACAGAGACAGAAACTAAGAGTGGAGAGCTAGGAGCAGTCTAGGATAGGGCTTCAAGTCCATGGGGGAAATTCCGCCAAACTTGCCCAGTATGTGGTAGGAGGCTGGCACCAGGATCTCTGTGTGAAAGCAAGGTTTACAGCTGTGCTTCCCACCTGGTCTGCCTCCCACTAGGATTGGACCAGAATCTCCTGCTTGTCTGAAGCAGCAGCTGAGGCAGAAAACTCAAGCTAACATAAGACCTATGCCTGGTTTGTGCCATCTGAGTGTGGGCATTGGAACTGCTACATCTTACAGGAAGAAGCCCTGATCTGAGCTTTTGCTAACTCAAGGAGCCAGGACTGGGAGAACCGAGAAACCACCTCCAAGGGGATGGGCATGCAAAAGAAAATTCCCATAGAAAATTAGGTCCCAAACAAAACGATAACATCTATGGGGAAGTTGGGCACCACAAAAAGTGGCCAGAGACCCAATATCTGAGGATATGAAAATAACGGAATAACCTAAAAAGGACTTTCAAGCAAGCATATTTAAAATCTCCAAATTTGGCCAGGCACAGAGGCTCATGCCTGTAATCCCAGCACTTTGGGAGACCGAGGTGGGTGGATCACCTGAGGTCAGGAGTTCGAGACCAGCCTGGACAACATGGTGAAACCCTGTCTCTACTAAAAATACAAACATTAGCTGGGCATGGTGGTGGGCGCCTGTAATCCCAGCTACTCGGGAGGCTGAGGCAGGAGAATTGCTTGAACCCAGGAGGCGGAGGTTGCAGTGAGCCGAGATCATGCCATTGCACTCCAGCCTAGGCGACAAGAGTGAAACTCAATCTCAATAAAAATAAAAATTAAAAAAAACCCTCCAAATTTTAAATTAAAATTCAATTTAATTTAATTTAAATCTTGTGTTTGCAAGTTGTGAAATACTATATATAGTATTCTACCTTTTGTATAAGAAAGTAGCTAATATCTGCAAAATATATTTTGCAGGAAGGATAAGCCAGACATTAAGGAAGTTGATGACCCAAAAGGAATGGGTGGGAATGGGATGTGAAAGAAAGCAATGGCACTTCTCTAAGTATATTTTTGTATATTTTGTCCTTTAATTATGTTAATATTTTACATATTCAAAAATAAAACTGAATATGAGAAAAAATGAAAATGCAATATAAACAAATAACTGCATATCACACTGAAGATGTAATTATGCAGTAGAATAAAAAGAATTCGTCCACTAACTTTTGACACAGCAATCTCATTGTGCACATTCAATAAGATATATTATATAGATAAAAATAATGGCAAAGCAACCTTGAACATGTTAGTGGTTTATTATTGATGTCAACACTGCTGCTGTAGCAATTTGAAGCCATTTTGTGTATCACTGGACTCAGCAAATGAGTAAATAGGCTGAAAAATGCATAAATACACTGGAAGTTGGGATTCTCACTGTGGGAAAGGGGAAATACAAGTTATGTTACAGGGGAGGGAGTGGAAGAACCATGTGATGTTGGACTGGAATATAGCTACTAGTATGAACTCAATTCTATTTATTTATTTATTTGTTTTGAGACTGAGTCTCACTGTGTCACCCAGGCTGGAGTGCAGTGGCATGATCTCTGCTCACTACAACCTCTGCTTCCTGGGTTCAAGCGATTCTCCTGCCTCAGCCTCCCGAGTAGCTGGAATTACAGGTGCATGCCACACGCCTCGCTAAATTTTGTATTTTTAGCAGAGATGGGGTTTTGCCATGTTGGCCAGGCTGGTCTCGAACTCCTGACCTCAAGTTATCTGCCTGGCTCACCCTCCCAAAGTGCTGGGATTACAACCGTGAGCCACCGTGCCCGGCCTCATGATTTTTTTTTTTTTTTTTTTTGAGGCAGAGTCTCGCTGTTTCACCCAGGCTGGAGTGCAATGGCACGATCTCGGCTCACTGCAACCTCTGCCTCCTGGGTTCAAGCGATTCTCCTGCCTCAGCCTCCTGAGTAGCTGGGATTACAGGCACGCACCACCACGCCCAGCTTTTTGTATTCTTTAGTAGAGACGGGGGTTTCACCATGTTGGTCATGTTAGGTTTGAACTCCTGACCTTGTGATCCACCCGACTCGGCCTCCCAAAGTGCTGGAATTACAGGCATGAGCCACCGCGCCTGGCCGGCCTCATGATTTTAAAATGTACTTCTGTCTAGTAAAAGGGCCTAGAATCAATGACATCCCAATGGCAGTGAGCACACAGCACCTAGTTCTTGTACAGTAGTCCTCCCTTATCTGTGGTTTCATTTTTTGTGGTGTCAGTTACCCACAGTCAACCACAGCCCAAAAATATTAAATGGAAAATTCCAGGAATAAACAAACCATAAGCTTTAAATTGTTCTGAGTAGCATGATGAAATCTTGCACAGTCCTGCTTTATCCCTCCCAGGACATGAATCATCCCTTTGTCCAGGATGTTCATGCTGTGGTTACTACCTGCCTGTGCCGGTTATCAGATTGAATGATATAGTTTGTACAGGGTTTGGTACTATCTGTGGTTTCAGGCATCCACTGGAAGTCTTGGAATGTAGCCCCTGAGGATAAGGGAATGTTACCCAAACACCAGGGGTTTGGTCTAGGTACTGCTGCTCACCACACAGAGAACCAATCACTGAGATGATGATTATTGCCAAGGAAGAAGGCTTTAATTGGGTGCTGCAGCTGAGGAAATGAGAGCTCAGTCTCAAATCCATCTCCCAGACCAACAAAAACTAGGGGTTTATACAGCAGGCAAGAAATGTAACAATGAGTAAGAAAACAGAAACTAGGGAGGGGCCAGGAAGCAATCATGATGAATAAGGGGTCCGACATCTCATTGTCTCCAGGTGGTGATGTGGTGAGTTTCAGTTCTTTGATACTTTTTTTTGACAGAGTCTCATTCTGCTACCCAGGCTGGAGTGCAATGGCAGTATCATAGCTCACTGCAGCCTCCACCTCCCAGGCTCAAATTATCCTCCCACCTCAGCCCCCATGGGTAGCTGGGACTACAGGCGTGCATCACCACACCTAGCTTATTGTATTTTAAATAGAAACACGGTTTTTTTTAAGTTTTTCTTTTATTATTATACTTTATGTTTTACGGTACATGTGCACATTGTGCAGGTTAGTTACATATGTATACATGTGCCATGCTGGTGCACTGCACCCACTAACTCGTCATCTAGCATTAGGTATATCTCCCAATGCTATCCCTCCGCCCTCCCCCCACCCCACAACAGTCCCCAGAGTGTGATGTTCCCCTTCCTGTGTCCATGTGATCTCATTGTTCAATTCCCACCTATGAGTGAGAATATGCGGAGAAACACGGTTTTGCTAGGTTGCCCAGGCTGTCTTAAATTCCTCGACTCAAGTGATCTGCCTACCTGGGCCTCCCAAAGTTGATCCTTTTTTTTTTTTTTTTTTTTTTTTGAGAGGCCCGACAGCCCTTTCCTGAGGAAAGAACTCAGATAAACAAATACAAATTTCAAGCTTGGCTGGGCGTGGTGGCTCATGCCTGTAATCTCAGCACTTTGGGAGGTCAAGGTGGGTGGATCACCCGAGGTCAGGAGTTCGAGACCAGCCTGGGCAACATGGTGAAATCCTGTCTCTACTAAAAATACAAAATTAGCTGGGCACAGTGGCAGGTGTCTGTAGTCCCAGCTACTCAGGATGCTGAGGCAGGAGAATCACTCGAACCCGGGAGGCAGAAGTTGCAGTGAGCCAAGATCACGCCACTGCATTCCAGCCTGGGCAAGAAGAGTGAAGCTCTGTCTAAAAAAAAAAAAAGTTTCAAGCTTTGAGACCAGAAGTGTCTGTCAATTTCTCTGTTTATGAAAAAAAAAAAAAGTATCTATGGGGCTATTGGGTTGGTTTCAGGGGGACTACTATATTCTGAATACCACCTGCCTCAGGTGGGGGTCTCTGGAAACAGAAGCTGTGATGGAGTATAAAGTACAAGATGTTTACTAGAGATCAACCAATGTATACCTATGGAAGGACCGAAGGAAGCAGGACTGAGAAGAGAAAGATGAACTGTGTTGCGGACCTCAACCAACCCAGCAGGGCGCTCTGGTACAAGTATTTTGTCCCAATAGAGTGTCCCAAATGGGGCTGAAAAGCCAGGCCTTTTACTTCTGTCTCAATCACTAGACGTAGGTGGCCCCGGAAGGGCATGCACCTAAGTGAAAGTGTTTTGCAGCTGAGGCAGACATTGAAGGAGCAGACAGCTGGAGGCTGCCCGCTGACCACACTCCCGATAGATAGGCAGCAAGCCCTTTCTACTTAAAATTTAATTTAATTTAATTTTATTGTTGTTGTTGTTTAGAGATGGAGTCTCACTAGGTCATCCAGACTGGAGTGCAGTGGCACAATCCTATTTCACTGCAGGCATGACCTCCAGGACTCAAGTGATCCTCCCACCTCAGCTTCCCAAGTGGTTGGGACAATAGGCGTGTACCACCATGCTCAGCTTCAAATTCTTTCTTAAGATGATCTGGGTGGCACATGTTCATGTCTAAAACACTGTTCCCACTCAAAGGAACTAGATCTCCTTAGAGAAGTGGCTGATTCCATGTCCAGGGCAAGGGAAGAACAAAGTGCGTCTGGAACATCTGGTAATGTGAGGAAGCAAGGAATACTCGAAAATCGATAAGACTCATGTTAAAAAGATACAGGAGGCTGAGTGTGGTGGCTCACGCCTATAATCCCAGCACTTTGGGAGACCAAGACAGGTGGATCACTTGAGGCCAGGAGTTCGAGACCAGCCTGGCCAACATAGTGAAACCCTGTCTCTACTAAAAATACAAAAATTAGCCAGGCGTGGTGGCACCCACGTGTAATCCCAGCTACTCTGGAGGCACAAGAATTACTTGAAACAGGGAGGCAGAGGTTGCAGTGAGCCAAGATCGTGCCACTGCTCTCCAGCCTGGGCAACAGAGTGAGACCCTGTCTCAAAAAATAAATAAAATAAATAAGTAAATAAACAAACAAATAAAGATACAGGAGCCAGCTAGAAGGGGCTCCCACTAGCCAAATTTGGGACAATTTGAGCATCAAAATGAATAAGGACAGGAATGGATTGTAACATACTGAATAAAAAATTCGGCCAGGCATGGTGGCTCACACCTGTAATTCCAGCACTTTGGGAGGCTGAGGTGGGCGGATCACAAGGTCAGGAGTTCGAGACCAGCCTGGCCAATATGGTGAAACCCTGTCTCTACTAAAAATACAAAAATTAGCCAGGCGTGGTGGCATGTGCCTGTAGTCCCAGCTATTTGGGAGGCTGAGGCTGAAGAATCGCTTCAATCCAGGAGGCGGAGGTTGCAGTGAGCCGAGATTGTGCCACTGCACTCCAGCCTGGGTAACAGAGCGAAACTCTGTCTCAAAAAAAAAAAAGAAAAAAAGAAAAAAAATAATTCATGGGTCCATACTGATACTGTAGAAAAAAGTTCAAAAAAGGATAGGGGAGAAGAAAAAGATCTTTTCTTTTTCTTTTTTTTTTTTTCAGGCCAGATGGGTAAGATGCCAACGTCATAACAAGGTTCAAGGGTGGCACATCTCACACATGTGCATGAACACCCAATCTTCATGCTCATGAACTACAAAAAGATTGAAAAAGCTCTTCTTTATAGGAGAAATCCAACTAATAAATGTAGGATAAATGACAAAAATAGAAAAGCATTATTTTATAACCACCATAGTTAACTGATTCAAGCAAAAATCATCAATGAATGCTGAAACTATCAGGTGAAAACATACTGAGAAATAGAATATTTACACCCTCTCAAAATGTTGTTGAAATGGGAAAAGTTCCCTTATCCCTCTCACAGAGCGTGCGATGGAGGTGTGGCTCGCTTCTTCGGTGCCTCACTGCTCAAACTTCTAGGAGAGCATGCAGATGGGCAGGTTGTGGGGCTCCGACCCCACGGCAGTGGCTAGGAGCGAATGTTCACAGCTCCTGAAGCCCCAGTGGGCGTGTATTACAGGATGCTCTTTTAGTTTGCCATCTATAGGCGACCTGTGCTAGCTCAATTAGACCCCCTTCTTTATCATAAGGACAGAGGGATTTCTGTATCCTGGGGTTTCTTGCCTTGGTGTACCAGAAGAACCGGATCACAAGTGAGCTTGGAGAATGAATGCAAGGTTTTATTGAGTGGAAGTAGCTCTCAGCAGATGGGGGAGCCAGAAGGGAGAAAGTTTTCCCCTGGAGTCAAGCTGCTCAGTGGCCTGGGTTCTCCTCCAACCACCCTGACCAAACTCTATGTCATTCCGCCAGTTGAAGGCCTGCCGGCGTGCCAGCATCTGTCTTGTGCTCTTCCACTGGCGTGCTCCCCTCGACATCCTCTCAACGTCCAGTCACTTGTGTCTTCTTCTGCCAACGTGTTCCTTTCAAAGTCCAGCCACTTGTGTGCCTGCCTGTTAGGGTCTCGGGGTTTTATAGGCACAGGATGGGGGTGTGGCAGGCCAGGGGGGTCTTGGGAAACGCAATATTTAGGCAGGAAAACAGATATGCCAGTCCTCACCTAGGTCTGTGGACACAGGCCTGGGGGTGGAGCCCTAGCCAGGGACCACGCCCTTCCCTTCCCAGCACTTCCCTGCCCCCCTTCCATATCATTACTTCACAGATTACCTATTAATTCTAAGGCTAAAGGAAACTCTTACAATGGAGAAGTCTGATAGAAGCCACCTGAACTCAGTGATCAAACCTCACATTAACAATAATGGGACAAGGTGGCATTATGTGCCCTCTGATGTGGTGCACTAAGAAATATACAACATCACTTCTGTTGTATTCCTGCCAAAAATGGGAACGGTCACAAATCCAAATTGAGGGACATTCTGGGTGAAAACAAACAAACAAAAAAACTAACCTGAGCTCTTCAAAATGTCAATATCACAAGAACCACCTCACCCCAAAAAAACAGCTTGGAAATATTCTAGATCAAAGAAGGCTAAAGAGACTTGACAATAGTGTGATGTTTGGTTCTTTTTTTTTTTTTTCACTGATGCCTCAAATTCCTAGTTCAAGGGAACCTCCTGCCTCAGCCTTCTGAGTAGCTAGGACCACAGGTGTGCACCACCACATCCAGCTAATTTTTAAAATTTTTGTAGAGATGAGTTTTTGTCATGTTGACCAGGCTGGTCTCAAACTTTTGGGCTCAAGCGATCCTCACGTCTTAGCCTCCCAAAGTGCTGCGATTACAGGCATGAGTCACTGTGCCTGGCCAATCCTTGATTACATTTTGGATTTTAAAATGCTATGAAGTATATTATTGGAACAACTGTGAAAATTTGATTTCAGATGTAAATTTGATATTATATCAATGTTAAATTTTCCAAGTATGATTATTATACTATGGTTATGTAGGCATATGCCTTTGTTTTTAAGAGATACATGAAGTATTTAGGGATGAAGTGTCGTATCATCCAGAACTACAACTATCAAATAGCTCATCAATAGATAGGTATCGACATACACACAAATAAAGCAAATGTGAAAAATATCAACAATTGATGAATGTAGGTAAAGGGTATATAGGTTTTTATTATGCTATTCTTGCAATGTTTCTGAAGGTTTGAAATATTTCAAAATAAAAGTTGACAAAAAACAAAAGTGCAAACAAAAACAATTTTCCAGAGATTAAAAAATATAAAATAGAATACATAAAACAATAATAATGATTATTAAACAGGAGCCTGCAATAAGAAATCCATTGGAAAGAAAGAAAAAAGTTGGATAAAGAATAGAAAATACAGCAAAATCAACAAAAGTTGTTTCTTTGAAAATATCAACAAAATTGACAATCCTTCAGTTACGACGACCAGAAAAAAAAAAATTGAGGACTCAAATTACTAAAATCAGAAATAAAAGAAGAAAGTGTATTATTACTGACCTTACAGAAATTAAAAGAATTATATGTGCTGGGCACAGTGCCTCACACCTTTAATCCCAGCACTTTGGGAGGCTGAGGCAGGAAGATCGCCTGAGGCCAGGAATTTGAGACCAGTCTGGGCAACATAGTGAGACCCTGTCTCTACAAAATATTAAAAAGTTAGCCAAGTGTGGTGGTGAGTGCCTGTAGTCCCAGCTATTTGGGAGGGTGAGGCAGGAGGATCGCTTGGGCCCAGGAAGTCAAGGCTGCAAAGTGAGCCGTGATGGTGCCACTACACTCCAGCCTGGGTGACTGACAGAGACTGTCTTAAAACAAAAGAAAGCCAAAAAAACCAAACTGGAACTAAAATCGCGGAGAACAAAAACATTAGAGTTGGGGGTGGGGTGGGAGAAATTACCTTGTTTGGGAGAAGGATGGAGATAGTGATTACATTTGGAGTGTATGATATAAATAGAATGCATGACTTCTAAAATGACTGGGGTGACAGGGAGAAGAGATGAATAAAGAATAAAGCTGGGCATAGTGGCTCACGCCTGTAATCCCAGAACTTTGGGAGGTGAGTGGGGTGGATCACTTGAGGTCAGTTGTTCGAGACCAGCCTGGCCAACAGGGCAAAACCCCATCTCTACAAAAATACAATAATTAGCTGGGCATGGTGGTGCACGCCTGTAATCCCAGCTACTTGGGAGGCTGAGGCAGGAGGATCATTTGAGCCTGGGAGGTGGAGGCTGCAGTGAGCTAAAATCGTGCCACTGCACTCTAGCCTGGGCAACGGCACAAAGCCTAGTCTCAAACAAACAAACAAACAACAACAACAACAACAAAAAACCCCAAAAGAATAAAGCCAGAAGATTGAGTCAAACAGACAAACAAAAGTTGCAGAATGATATAGACTAATGGTACCACTAATGTACACTAAATATAAAATCATGAAACAAAACCAACTCAGAATAGTGGTTGACTCAGGAGAAAGAAGGGGATAGGACTGGAGACAGTAGACAATATTAAATATTTTATCTGCAATATTCAATTCTTTTATTTTCCAAAAGAGAAACAAAGTAAAAACAACACAATAACAAAACAACAACAACAAAAAACTTCTTATTGACCAAGTCTGAAAAAAAATAAAAAACAGAGAGACAAAAGTAAATATAAACTCTTAATAGTTATGGATTCTGGGTAGTGGGAGCATGAGTTTTATATTATTTTTTGTACTTTGCTTTTTAAGAAATGTCTGGGCCAGGCACGGTGGCTCACATCTGTAATCCCAGCACTTTGGGAGGCTGAGGGGGGCGGATTGCCTGAGGTCAGGAGTTCGTGACCAGCTTGGCCAACATGGTGAAACGCTGTCTCTACTAAAAATATAAAAATTAGCCGGGCGTGGTGTCAGGCGCCTGTAATCCCCCCTACTCGGGAGGCTGAGGCAGGAGAATCGCTTGAACCTGGGAGGCGAAGGTTGCAGTGAGCCGAGATCACGCCACTGCACTCTAGCCTGGGCAACAGAGCAAGATTTCATTTCAAAAAAAAAAAATGTCTGAAAGCCTAAAAAATAGATGGGGAAGTGTGCTGATTAGATTTACAGTCCACATTTATTAATTTCATATGTAATCTTGGCCTAATCATATAACCTTTTTTTTCTTTTTCTAAAGACTGTAAAAAAGCTAAAGATAGGCCGGATGTGGTGGCTCACGCCTGTAATCCCAGCACTGTGGGAGGCTGAGGCAGGCGGATCACGAGGTCAGGAGATCAAGACTATCCTGCCTAACACGGTGAAACCCTGTCTCTACTAAAAATACAAAAAATTAGCCAGGCGTGGTGGCAGGCTCATGTAGTATCAGCTACTTGGGAGGCTGAGACAGGAGAATGGCATGAACCCGGGAGGCGGAGCTTGTAGTGAGCTGAGATCATGCCACCGCACTCCAGCCTGGGCGACAGAGAACGAGACTCCGTCTCAAAAAAAAATAGCTAAAGATAATCCATCGTACTTGTGTAAAAATGGGAATGTCAAGATGGAAAGGTGGAGAAACAATCTAACGTTTCCTGAACACCTACTATCTGTCTGATGTTGTGCTAGGTTCATTACATGTGGTATGTAATTTAATTTCATTCTCACAATAATCCTGTTACTTAGATAATACTAGACCTGAATTGCAGATGTAGAAACTGAGATAAGGTAAATTAAGTCATACTGGGGTACACATAACACGGGGGATACATGAAGAATTTCCAGGAGTCCGTGGGCACAGTCAGTTGTGAAGAAATCAATTTTTAGACCCTTAACTTTTAAAAAATGATCTGCCTGAGAAAGCTGTGTCTGAGGCAGGTGGATTCTCCTTTTCCTCCTCCTTTTTCTCAACAGCCCTTCTCCCATTTTACAAAAGAAAGACAACCCCTTTCTCCATCACTAATCTGACTTTGATGTATTGCCGCAGGGGATATAAACCTCCCCGTGCCAAACAAAGGGAGAAGCCAAAATAAGGGTGTTGTTGTGGAAAGATGAGTGAACCTGAACGCTGCATAACAAGACCTTTTGCAACACAGGTGGTTTCCAATTCTTTGTCTTCAAAAAAACTTCTGAAGGATCTAATGGAATTGTCAACCAATAAATCATTAAAATTAATTTTTGACAATAGATTCAGGATGGGATGGGATTTCAGTTACATAACTCAGAAGAAATACAAAGGTTTGTATGGCAACACTGTGAGAAACGTCCTTCTACTTATTTATGTAAACAAAGCTTCTTAGCCTTAATATTTTTAAAACATGTAAAAAGTCAAAATAACATTGATACAGAGCCCTGTCTCATTCTAACCATAAACAATATTTATCCACAAATGGCATGAACTAATTAAAAAAGACTTCATCCATGTCTAAGAACTACATTTCCAAAAAAGTTTACATTGTGCATTTAAATTATTTTTCAAATCTTGTTAAATATTTAAGTTATTTTGATTAATTGTGTACTAAAGATAACTCTATCCAGAAAACTTTTTTATATTCCACCCCGTAGAAAACTTTTTTTTTTTTTTGTGAGATGGAGTTTCACTTTTGTTGCCCAGGCTGGAGTGCAATGGCATGATCTCAGCTCACTGCAACCTCCGCCTCCCAGGTTCAAGTGATTCTCCTGCCTCAGCCTCCCTAGTAGCTGGGATTATAGGCATGTGCCACCACGCCCGGCTAATTTTGTATTTTTAGTAGAGATGGTGTTTCTCCATGTTGGTCAGGCTGGTCTCGAACTCCTGACCTCAGGTGATCCGCCCACCTCGGCCTCCCAAAGTGCTGAGATTACAGGCGTGAGCCACCGCGCCTGGCCTAGAAAACTTTTAACACGTAGAACTTTATGGTAAAAGAATTTTAAAAATGTAATTTATGTACATATTTGCATTGCAGAGATGTATATAGAGTGATGAAAAACAGACTTACACGTGTAAAATATATTACATTAGTACAAAATTCTGTGAAAGAAGTGAAGGAGATATGACTTAAAGAAGAAAAAAGGAGCAATGTAAAATTTCCAACTGTTAATGAAGTTAATCATGTATAATATTTAAATGGCTAATGGTGGGTATGAAACAACTACTCTATTTAAATTTAATTGGATAGAATAAAAAAGTGATGTAATCATTTTAGAATGTCAGTATATACTATATGCCCCAAATAACTTCGTTTTGTAACTATTTAAACATTGGATGAAAAAGTTTAGATACCAGCTTGTAACGTGAATGGTAAGGTAAGTAAAATGTCTCACTCACTATTGTGTACCTAGTGCACCAAGCACAGGGCCTTTCTTATATTAGACAACCACATAAATTATTTCTAAACTGAATGGCGTGGGGGCACACAGGTTTTCAAAATTATTTTAGGGAGCATGTGAACAAAAATGTTTGAACACACCTGAGTTTATAACTTACCCTGGGCCACACCACCAACCAAGGCCAAGCTTAGACTTGAACCCATGTTTGCAAGATTCCAAGACTCCAAGACTCATGGTGCTTAGACTATACCTGAGGGAGATAAAGGATGCTATGAATGTTGGTCTTAATTATTAACTCCATTCTGCTTAGAAATAATTTATTTGGTTGTCTAATATGAGCAAGGCCCTGTGCTTGGTGCCACTAGGTATTAGGTTGGTGCAAAAGTAATTGCGGTTTTAATACGCAATAGTGAGTAAGCATTTTACTTACCCTCAAGAAGCTGAAAACTTTACATGAGAGATAAGCTGCCTTCATAAAATCTTTAATATAAGATTAAGTGTAATAAGGGCAAGAGACATTTATGATACGTACTACAGAAAAAGAGAGAGAAGAGAGGCATGGTGGTGCATGCCTCTGGTCCCAGCTATTCAGGAGGCTGAGGTGGGAGGATCACTTGAGCCTGGGAGGCTGAAGTTGCAGCGAGCCGAGATCGCGCCACTGAACTCCAACTGGGTGACAGAGTGAGACCCCGTCTCAAAAAAAAAAAAAAAAAAAAAAAAAGCAAAGAAAAGAAAAAGAGAGAGAGAGAGACAGAAGGGTTTGAGCAGGTTCCAACATCAGATAGACAGATCTTTGTAAAACAGGTAAAATTTGGACTGTGGTAGAAATGGGTGAAAGAAGGTAGAGAGAATTCATTCACCCATCCCTCCATTCACCCAAGAACCATTAATCAGAGACATAGCAACCAAATGTAATAAATGGGCCTTTAAAATTCGTGGCTGGCACAATGAGATGTCTCCTCACCCCAGTTAGAATGGCTATTATCAAAAGGACAAAAATAACAAATTCTGGGAAGGATGTAGGGAAAACTGAACTATTGTAGATGGTTGGTGGGAATGTAAATTAGTACAACTATTATGGAAAACGGTATAGAAGTTCCTCAAAAAGCTAAAAATAGAACTAGCCTATAATCCAGAAATCCCACTACTGGGTATATATCCAAAGGAAACAAAATCAATATGTCAAAGAGAAATGTGCACTCCCAAGTTTTATTGCACTATTCACAACAGCCACAATATGGAGTCAACCCGTGTCCATCAACAGATGAATGGATAAGGAAAATGTGATACACACACACACACACGCACACACACACACTGGAGTACTATTCAGCCATAAAACAAAAGAATGAAACCCTGTCATTCACAGCAACATTATGAGCTTGGAGGACATTATGTTAAGTGAAATAAGCCAAGAACAGAAAGACAAATACTGCATATTCTGACTCATATGTGGAAGTTAAAAACGTTAATCTCATGTAAGTACAGAGTAGAATAGTGGTTACTAGAGCCTGGGAAGGGTAAGGGGAAAGGTAGTAGTGATAAGATGGTTAATGCAAACAATGTTACAGCTAGATGGAAGGAATAAGTTCTGGTGTTGTATGGCACTGTAGGGTGACTATCGTTAACAATTATTGTATATTTTCAAAAATCTAGAAGAGCCAAATTGAATGTTCCCAACACAAAGAAATGATCAGGCCAGGCACAGTAGCTCACGCCTGTAATCCCAGCACTTTGGGAGGCCAAGGCGGGCGGATCACCTGAGGTCAGGAGTTCGAGATCAACCTGGCCAACATGGAGAAACCCCAAGTCTACTGAAAATACAAAATAATTAGCCAGGCATGGTGGTGTGTGCCTGTAATCCCAGTTACTCGGGAGGCTGAGGCAAGAGAATCACTTGAACCCAGGGGCAGAGGTTGCAGTGAGCTGAGATTGCGCCACTGCACTCCAGCCTGGGGACTCCGTCTCAAAAAAACAAAACAAAACAAAACAAAAAAAAGATCAGCATTTGAAGTGATGGGTATGCTAATTATCCTGATTTGATCATTACACATTGTATACATGTATTGAAATATCACACTGTACCCCATAAAGATGCACAATGATTATGTGTCAATTAAAAATAATAGTAAAAAAAAAGATTATTTCTTGACATGGAAAGATGCTTATCATTAAACAGATTACCAGGTCGCCAAAATAGAAATTGTTTGTATCAGGGGTCAACAAACATTTCCTGTGAAGAACCAGTAAATATCTTCAGCTTCGTGGGCCATATGATCTCTGTCACAACTACTCTGTTCTACTGTTGTACTGAGGAAGTAACCACAGATAATATGTAAACAAATGAATGTACTTGTGTTCCAATAACACTTTATTTCTTGACACTGAAATGTGAATTTCATATGAATTTTACATGTCACAAAAAATACCCTGCTTGAAATAAATGAACTGTAAAAACATTTGGGAGACATCTGGAGAATTCAGAATCCTGACTGGGTATTTTTTGGTATTAAGAAATTTTCGCTAACTGTTCCTAGGTGTGATGATGATATTGTTCTTATGTTCTAAAAAGGAGAAAAGCATCTTTATCTTTTAGCCATATGCACTTAAGTATTTCTGGATGGAATGATATGATGTTTTGCATTTGATTTAAAATAATCCGGTGTATGTGTGTTGGAGGGAATTGGTAGGAGAACTACAATTAAAACAAAATAAATCATGTGTTGATAATTTCTGAAGTTGGGTGTTGGGTGCATGGAAGTTCATTACATTATTTTCTCTATTATGTATATGTTTATATTTCACCACAATGAGTTTTCAACATGGCGAAACCCCATCTCTACTAAAAATACAAAAAATTAGCCAGGCGTGGTGGTGGGCTCCTGTAATCCCAGCTACTCGGAAGGCTGAGGCAGGAGAATCGCTTAAACCTGGTGGGTGGAGCTTGCAGTGAGCAGAGATCAGGCCACTTCACTCCAGCCTGGGCAAAAGAGTGAAACTCCATAACAACAACAACAACAATAACAACAAAACAACAACACTATTATAATTTAATGCTTACCATGTTCCAAGAAACTGGAAGTATAAACAAGGAAAATACATTGCTTGCCCTCAAGGAGCTTATGATCTGCTGGGGAAAACAGACACATGAAATGACCAGGTATGTCACGATTACCTATCGGCATGAACCAAATGACCAAATGCCACGGGAGAACTGGATTCTGCCTGAGTTGGTCAGGAACGGCTTCAAAGAGACGGTGAGGTTTCACTATTTCAGAAGTAGAATTTCTAGGACTTGATGACCTACGGGATGTGAAAAAGATGGAGTCAAAAGTAATAGCTTTTACTTTGCCCACGTGGGTGGGTGGTGTGCCATTAATGGAAACAGGAAATACGGGGGGGGGCGGGGAGGGGGCGGGAAGAAATAGATCAGGGTGGGGGCAGGCAGGGGAGAGTTCAGCCTTGGACCTACAGGAAGTTGTTGAAACTGCTCTAGGCAGAAGGTTACTTAGTTACCGCAGTAACTAAGGTTTCAAGAGGGGAATGCACAGGATGTTTTTGGAGATCCTTCTAGATCCCGGACTAAGAGCCTACAGGCTGGGGAGAGGCAGGAGGTAAGGCTGGCTGGAGAAGTAGATGTGTTCTCTGAGAGCTGTTTTGGGCTCCACCATTGACAGGACACGTGATGATCATGAAATGGAGCCACTGTTTCCCTGTGGATTCCATTGACAAAGTCAGATGAAGGTCTTAGCACCACTTTGGGGGAAAAATAACTAACCTGAAAGAAGCAGCCACTTTGGATGACTGTAATAAAAGTGATGAACAGTCTTTTTTCATTGTTTTGGAAGTGGAGTATACAGGTTTGGATTGTGGGCTCTGGAAATATGCTGCTTGGTTTTAAATCCTGGTTCCAAGGTTGCTTAAGCCTCGGTTTCCTCATCTGTAAAGTATCTCATATAAGAGTAAATAAAATGATGTATGCAAACTGTCCATTACATAATACATTTTCAATAACTTAGAATTATTAGTTCTAATGGTACTTTTTGAAGAGAATGTAAAGGACTTGATTACTTTGTGTGCTGATAAATGCTCCATATTTCCTTCCAAGGAAATTCTTGGAAATTCTTGCTTAAATTCTATTGAAATTGAAGGCCGTTTTCCTCGTGCTCTGTTCCTTGGAAAGGCAAGAAGGAAGAATGAATAAAGGAAGAGGGAGAAAGGAAGGAGTCTTGAGAAGAATGAATCACAACTAACACTGATTGAATGCCAAAGAATAGCCAGAAGTTTCCCTGAAAGAGGGTGCTCTGTCCAGAGCCTTCCATCATGGGTGCCTCTTGGCTGTTTCTTTTGGGCTGGGCTGTTTCTTTGGGCTGGTATGGGGTGGGGAGTTGTCTGTGGCCAAGCTAATTGTTCAATGCCTTTCCATGATGGAGTGGGGGCAGATTGGCTTCCTCTTCTCCTAGGCAGTGTAGCGGGACTTCTCTTGCCATCTAGAAGGACCAAACTTCAGTGCTTCTGAGGGCTTAGAAGGGGAAAAGAGAAAGCCCAGGCCCCTGGTGCTAGGAGCAGAGAAGGGTACTTTGTAAGCGCTTATGCTGCTGGTTCTCTGGTAAGGGAGACCACTAGCCAGTTTGTGCGACATGGGGCAAATAGGAATCATGAGGATCTATTTGCTAGATCTGTGTATACCACACCATCCCTACACCCGCCCCTGTCATCATCATCTACCTCCATGGTCTTCTGTACAGTGAAGAATGACTTTCGGCAGATGGAGGGCCAATTCTCCCCATGAATCCAGCCCTTATTCCATCTCACCTAGGCAGGGGACTTGACTCCTTTAGTAAACCCTCCTGTCATGCCTCACCAACCCCTCTCTACTGATTATCCCTAAACTGTTGACCAACAGGCTCTCATCTCTCAAATCACAAAGAGAGAAGAGAATCTTTGCTTGTCCCTACTCGCTCCTCCAGTTCTGCTCCATTTTTCTTCCCATTTACATTGGAAAGTCTCAAAACAGTTGTCTACCCTATGCTGTCTCTACTTCAACTCCAATTCCCTCTGCAACCCTGTTCCATCAAATCCTTCCACTTTCCTCCACTAGCACCACCCTAATCTAAACCACCATCAGCTTTGATAGGAACTATTGAGAAAGCCTCCTAACTAATCTCCCTATTTAAATTTTTAATCTCTTCTGAACCATTCTCCATATAGTAGTCAAGGTGGTCTTTTAAAAATGTAAACCAGATCTGGAATACTACTCAGCAATAAAAAAGAGCAAGCTATGGAAACACCCAACAACTTGGATGAATCTCAAGGGACTCAAAACCGAGTGAGAAAAGCCAATCTCAAAATGAATATTGTATGATTCATTTACAAAACATTCTCAAAATATCAAACTTACAGAAATGGAGGACGGATCAGTGGTTGCCAATGGTGAAAGACTTGGGGAACTGAGGAGATAGTTATTGCTGTTTTATAATTACAATACAACAGGTAAGATCCTTGCAATGATGAAACTGTTTTATAATTGACCATGGTAGTGGAAAGAGGCCACACGTGATAAAATTGTATAGAACACACACATACCAGACGTGCACGCGCGTACACACACACACAGTAGAAGTAAAACTGAAGAAATCAAAATAAGATTGGTAGATTGTATTAATGTCAATATTCTAGTTATCTTATAGTGTAGTCTTGCATTGGGGGAAATTGGGCAAGGGGGACCCCAGATCTCTCTGTATTATTTCTTACAAATGCATGTGAATCTACAATCATCCCAAAAGACAAAAGTTTAGTTAAAAGAAATATAAGTCAGACCGTGTCACGCCTTGGGGTTAAGCCACTCATTCAATGCCCTCCCATTGATTTTGGAATGAAGTGGCCTGCCCATGGACTGCACCTGCCCATGGACTAGTATGCAATCCACGATCTGGTCCCTGCCAACCTGTCCAGCCTTACTTTCTGGTACTCTCCCCAGCTTTCCTGGCGCCAATCATGATCACCACCTTTTAGTTCCAAAGCATCAAGATTTGGTCCCTCCTTCTGACTTGTTTTCTGGAAAGCTTTTTCCTGGCTCTTTCATATCTTTCAGGGTTCAGCTTAAATGTCACCTCCTCCTTTCCTAATCACACTATTTGTACTTTTCCTGCACAGGCTTTATCCAAATTTGATTATTTTCTCACTTCTTTATTGTCTGTCTCCCCCACTAGATTACAAGCTCCCAGGGCAGGGTGCGTACTGTCTGCAGACAACGCTGTTATCACCAGAGCCCGGCACTGAGCTTGGCACATGGCGAGGGCTCAGTAAACTGAATGCTGAGTGAATGAGACGCCACGCGCCGCTTTGCCATCGGTGCTTTCTGAGTGACGTTAAAACGCTCTGGATGGTGGCACTGGGATTATGGATGGGGCTTATTTAGCTCCCTCCGGCTTGCTACTAAGGGGAGGGGTCGTCGGTGGGCCTTTCGGCGCCGCTGCAAGCCACCGGGTTCCGAAGTCGGAGGCCGAAACGGCGTGGGCCCCGAAGCGGGGCCGCTTTTCAGGGAGTGCGCAGGTTAGCGAGGACCCCGGTGAGGCGAGACGCCACCCTCACTTGGCTGTCTTTGTTGCTCCCACCTCCCCAGCCCCAGCCGCCTGCAGTGATTCGTGACTCCCGCAGGCCTCTAAGGACCGCTGCGCGAGGGAGGGGGCCCGAGGCGCCCCCGGCCCGCCCTCCTCCCGGTCTTCGGATCCGAGCCGGTCCTCGGGAAAGAGCCTGCCACCGCGTCCCCGCAGCCACCCTCTCCGCGTGCCCGGCCCTCTCCAGTGGCGGGGGCACGTGGGCGCGCGGGGTGCGTGGCAAGCCGCCCCTCTCCCCACGCCCGTCCGGCCGTCTCCCGCGCGCGCGCCCCGCACACAGCCTCCGTGCAGTGGGCAGAGCCCGGCCCCGCGCGCGCCCCGCCCCGCCCCTGGCTAGCCGCGCCCGCCCCCGCGCTCCTGCTTCCTCCCCTCTTTCCCTCCCCGCCTCCCAGGCGCGCACCCCTCCCCTCGCGCCCCTCCCGCGCCCTACATCCACCGCCCGGCGGAGGGGGCTCAGTCCGCAGCCGCCGCCGCCACCGCCGCGCCTCGGCCTCGGTGCAGGCAGCGGCCGCCGCCGCCGAGACAGCTGCGCGGGCGAGCATCCCCACGCAGTAAGCCCGCTTTCTTTCCGCTTGTGCGCGCGTGTGTGCCTCCCGCCCGCCGGCGTCCTGGGTCCCGGGGGAGCGGCTGCCCTTCTGCCCCGCCGCCGCCGCCGCTCGGGGCTGGTCCCTGCGGTCCCGGCTGCCTGGCCTTCCAGGGCTGGGTACTGCGGCTTCGGCGGCCTCGCTGAGGCCGGGGGCCAGGGGCCGTCCCGGGCTGCGGGGTGCGGGACGAGGGACTGCGAGTGCGAGGTCCCCCCTGGTGCGTGCCTCGGCCTTCCCTGGGTTTTTGGCTCGATGGGGACTAAGAGGCAGTGGGGTGGAGGTGGGGGGGATCGGGAGTGAAATGGGGGCTCTCCATGTTTTCCTGTGCGGGGGATGGTGGGGAGTGAGGAGGGAGTGAAGGGGGGGCCCTGGTTTTGTCACCAAGGATGGCGGGCAGTGGGGGGTGGGGCGAGGTGGGGACACCTCTTGGTTCTTTCAGCCAGGATAGCTAGCAGGGGCTGTGGGGAGCGGGTGAGGATGAAGCGGTGGGTCGACTCCCTTGGTTTTCCCATCAAGGATGGCGGGGATCGTGGAGGGGGGAGATGGGAGACCTGCCTTGCTTCGCTCAACGAGGATGGCGGGGGTGGCGACGAGGAGTAGACGTGAGGGGGCCCGCCTCGGTTTTCTTGACTGGGATGCTTGTGGGGTGGTTGGAGGATGGGGGTGGGGTGCAGAATAAGGAGGGAGGGGGAGGGCCCGCTGTGGTTCTTCTGTCCAAGGGGGATGGCGCGGGTTTGGCGAATGGGGGTGGGGAGGGGGTATTTCAGCTCCAGCGTGGAATCTAGAGAAGCACGAGGAAGGTTCTATCACGGGGGTTGAGCCTTAGAAGGTGGGTTTTCAAAACTGCAGGGCGTGACCTCTCCCGCCTCGAAAAACGTGAAATCCTTACAAGGTGCCGTCTGTTCTAGGCTCTGGGACAGAGGTTTCTGCTTTCGAAGTTTCTCTTCCTTTCCTCTCTGCTCTTAGCGTCCAGGACTAGGTAAAGGTTAAAAAATCATCAAGGCTAAGCGACTGTTGTGTCGTTCGTGTTGAGCGCTGTATTATTTTCTGCATTTGGGAATGTGCGAGTTTCTCAGGTTTGTTTTGATTGCCTTTTACAATAAAAACCCCATACTAGGGAGATCCCTTAGGAAAAGAAAAGGACAAGGCTTATTAATGGGATGCCAGGTTTGGATTTTGAATTTCCTGAAGGGCAGGAGATACATCCTTGTAGCATTTCGCTTGGTTTTGAGAAGAGTAGAAGTAGTAGAATAAGCGTATGTATTTGCTGGAAGTCCCCTTGTATTCATTTAAATTATCCCTTCGGGATTATCCGAGCCCCCTTTGATTTGGGTTTGGAATAGATCCAGTTTTCCTAATTGGAGCCATCATCTTGTAATTGCTTGTAATTCTTCTCTGGGTTATCAAGTCTATGGCAAGCTTATAGAACAGCAGGAATAATTTTTTCCGTCATCTTAAGACAGTTTTAATGTAAACGTTACGGTGTTCCTTGCAAATGTGAACATTTGCAGAATAGCACAAGTTTAAATTATGGGCCCCCCTGGAATTTTGTAAAGCCTTTCCTGCCTCAGCTCATCTCCAAGAACCGGGCCCTCCCGATCCTTACACTGAAGAAGCAAGAGCTTCTGGGATGGTAGCTTTGCCTTTACAAACTCATGTTCATGTTTGCTTAAGAAGAATACGTATTAAGCAGGCATTTGCCTTTTATGTGGTGAGACTATAGTGTTTTCCCATTTTTGGTTACATAAGGTTCCGATCAAGTCTTTACCTTCAGTCTTTAAAAATGCTTATTTAACATTTTTAAGGGCAAATATAATCTTTATGCAACAGGAAATTGGTCAGATAGGCCATGATTTGTGCAAACCACCTCACGATAAGTACATAGTCTAAGACTATCATATAGATTCTGTAACCATATATGGTTTTTGAAATTCTAGGCTACCATTCCCATATTTAATTTTCAGAAAAGGAAAATATTTTTTTCAGCCAAGTCTAGATTTTTGAGTGAAACTAAGAAAAATTGTGTAAGATTTAAATTGATAAAATTCCTCCTGTATAATACCAGTGCATTGGAGGTAATTTAATATATATTAAATGAATCGACCGCTAAAACAAAATAATTATTTTTTTTCCTGGAAGTGTTAAACTGGAAATGTTTAAGGGGAAATAGATTTTTAGTCACAAAGACCGACAAAAATGCATTTATTTACACTATTGTATTATAATGTTAGTATGGTATTCATTCTGTGCCCCCAAATAGCAATTGAAAAAATAGCATATTTTTATAATAAAATTTAAGCATAATGTTTTTTTCTCTGAGGAGTAGAATGCAGAAAGTGGTAAAAAATCTTTTACAGAGAGAAGCATGTTGATAGGAAGTGGGCTTTAAGTTTCTCTCTGGACAGAAGGTGTAAATGGCGTATCTTTTACCTGGCTTTTTGAGAATCTGTTGCCCTCTAGGACATGAAAGACATTTCAGGAATTAACAGAAGTCGGATCAAATTCTCTTGCTAGATGTTCTTAAAGATTTTGCTGATACGCATTTGAAAATTTGTAAATCACGTTTTCATGTAAGAAATTAACCCTCACCTCTAAAGTTTGAGCATTAAAAAAGTTTGTTGAAGGCATGGAAGGTAATCTCCTGTGACTGAACCCTGTTTTCCCACTCTCCACCTCCTAGTTCCCTTCTTCCCCATGCCTCTCCTTTCTCCCCCGTCCGGTGCCAGCAACATTGGCTTTTATAACCTTATGGGAGTTGAACCAAATATTCCTGCTTGCTCGAACTTGAGGCCTTATCTTTTTGGCTGCTTTCCCCAGCTTTTGCCTACTGAACTTTTTTTTGTTAATTGAACTATCTAGTTGTTTGGATTTGGGGTAAAAGGGAGTAGACTGTAATTGTTTTTTCTTAAAAGATCTTTTCTTTTAGCTCCTGTGGGACAAGAGCAGAGAAAGGTTCTTTTTTGGTCAGTGGTGTACTTAATTAAGCAGAATATATGACTTTTCGTTTATTCAACAAACATTTGCCGAGTTACCTCCTCTGTTGGAGGCTCCATGCTAGGTGTGGAGTTATTTGGTTGATAAGAAATGGCTTCCACCTTTCTGGTGAAGTTATGAAAATGAAAAATAGACAGTGAATCTGTTGTGAGTAATCAAGAATTGTCTGGAGTTTTTTGGACAGACAAAAAAGATTTCTTGATGTTTACATTCAGCTTTGTATTACTGTATAGAGTAGGGAGAAGTGGATGGCCAGCATCCCTTCCTGCGACTTAATGCATCTCTGATGGCAAATTGGGCCTCCCCAAAATATTTTTCTGGGGTCAACTTTGAATTATGGATAGTAATGGATGATGGAGCCCAGAAGAGTGGATAGTCCTAAATAGTAGCTCGAATAAACCTTTGACCTTCTACAGGGTTGCTTCCTGAGTGCCTGGAGAAATCCCCTCTTTGTGGATAGTGCCACACTGGTGGTTTTCAGCCAGGGCGCTTTTGCCCCCCGGGGTCACTCAACAATTTTTGCTAGATGCACTCCACTGGCATCCAGTTGGTAGAGACAGGGATGCTGCTTAAATATCCAACAGCGCATAGGGCAGTGCCTGGCGGCAAACAAAATTATCCAGCCTGAAATGTCGATATGCCGAGGTTGATGTAATTTCCTCTACATAATGTAGCAGAACATAATTCCAGGAGAGTAGAGAACAATAACAGCGTCTTGAGGTGACTGAGTAGTTGGCGGAGCTCACTTTATTCGTCTCAAAAATGACTAGTTTCAGCCAGGTGCTGTGGTTCACGCCTGTAATCCCAGTACTTTGGGAGGCTGAGGCAAGCGGATCACTTGAGCCCAGGAGTTCGAGACCAGTCTGGCCAACATGGCAAAATCCTGTCTCTACTAAAAATACAAAGAATTAGCCGGGTGTGGTGGTGTGCGCCTGTAGTCCCAGCTACTTGGGAGGCTGAGGCACGAGAATCGCTTGGACCCAGGAGGCGGAGGTTGCTGTGAGCTGAGATTGCACCACTGCACTCCAGCCTGGGCGACAGAGTGAGACCCTGTCTCAAAAACATAAAATAAATAAATAAAAGTGACTAGTTCCTGCATACCAACCTGAAGAATTAAAGAAAATAACAGCTACCATTTATGGCACTTACTCTGTGCCAGAGGACTTGTATACATTATATATTCTCTTCATTTTATAAATGAGGAACCACACTCAGAGAGGTAGAAGATCTTGCCTGGAGCCTCACAGCTGGTCAAGGTTAGAAGTAGAAATCAAGATTAAGATTATTACTCCTTTTAAGTTCATGGTTTTAAGCACAACTATGCATTATCTCCCTTGCGGCATGCATCATTCAAAATCTTATGTAACAAAATGAAAATTACTATATGTCCTATATACCATTGGGCTTGCCTGAGAGTAATTAAAACCATGAATGCTAAATGTGATCATACTTGGAGTAAGTGACAAGGAGTAGGGGAAAAGGGAACCAACATTAATTGAACACCTACTAAAATTTCAGGAAGCACGCAAATTAAATATATACTCATTGTCTAATTTGATTCTCAGAGCAACTCTGCAGTTATGATGCACATTTTACAGATGAGAGTGGGAGATATTTGTTAAGTAACTTGTCTAAGATTGCACAACTAATAAGCAGCAAGGTTGGGATTTGAGATGATGTCCCACAACCAAGCCACTCTTTGCTGCTTACTCTAAAGGTAGGAAGTAAGTTGAGCCTCTTGGAGAAAGGAAGGTAACTGGCTCTGGGTAAAAAGTAACTTCAGGCAGAGCGCAGTGGCTTACGCCTGTAATCCCAGCACTTTGGGAGGCCAAGCCGGGCAGATCACCTGAGGTCAGGAGTTCAAGACCAGCCTGGCCAACATGGTGAAACCCCGTCATGGCTAAAACACAAAAATTAGCCAGGCGTGGTAGTGGGTGCCTGTAATCCCAGCTACTCGGGAGGCTGAGGCAGGAAGAATTGCTTGAATCCAGGAGTCGGAGGTTGCAGTGAGCCGAGATAGCGCCACTGTATTCCAGCCTGGGCGACAGAGCTAGACTCCATCTCAAAAAAAAAAAAAAAAAAAAAAGTAATTTGAGAGGTAACACGTAGTAGACGTTGGATTATATTCAGGTAGAGAATGGAGAGATGAATTGCTATACCTTCCTCATCTGATAAGAATCGAATTCTACCTGGAATTTGTTCTAGAGATCTACTCAAATTGAAACAGTGATTGTCATTTTGTCAAACTTCATTTTCTATCTCACCTGAATTTTCCAAGCTGTGCTTTGATAACCATGAACCTGGAAGTTATGGAAATCTGTGCTTAACCTTTCGGTAGCTCACCTTCCACCTTTCTTAGGGCTGTCCTGTAGAACTTAGGAGTGACAACATTTGGTTTTTGTCTTCTTTTTACACAATTTAAACATTTGTGCTTGCTATGGAAATTGTTTTTATAATACGCGGCATCAAATTCATTCTTGTGTTTTTCATATGGGGTTGTTTTGTTTTGACAACTAAATATTTACTTTAAGTTTTAACGTGTTTTGTTTCGGAGCACAAAAAGAGGAAACATTTAAAAAACAGCCCAATCACAATCATTTTGTCTGAAAAGCATTTTTTTGCGGGAGGTGGGGGGGGGCAGGAAAAGGACCACATGTTTAATTTCATTTGCTTCAATTGGAAAGGAATTTTAACCACGATTCTCAAGGGCCAGGATGCTGGAAAAAAATGTTATTTAGATAAAATGCCTGTTTTGATATCCACATAGAACTGTGAGCCATAGATTCTGATTATAATAATAATGTCCTGATTCTACTACAGCAATCAGCCACTTGAGTAATCAACCACTGTGTATAGACAGACATGCATGGTGGTACCATCTGATTTGTCCCATCACCCATTGATTCATTCTAGAGTAGACTTGAGAGATCTGATAGAACTTGCAAGAATGAATGATCCTTTTGAAAATCAAATTTTTCAATAAGAATGGTACATTTTATTGTAGGAAAATGCAGAAAATATAGAAAAGCTTCAAGAAGAAAACCAAAATCAGTCATAATCCACCACCCCAAAATTAATGACAATATTTTGTATGTCCTTTAAAAATGGAGTACTTTCTAAAAATGGTGGATTCAAGCCCATTGCAAAACCTCCAACTTATATAGTGTGTTATTTTTTTTTAAATGACTAGATTTTCTGAACGACTGCTACATCTCTAGATGGAAGTCATGGTCATAACCCATGAAAAGGGAAAGCTGACAGGTAGTTGGAGAACTATGCTATAGCCTCTTCCTGGCAGCTATGTAAAGAAGCTTAAGGGTAGCTCCTTCAAATTTCTCCTCTTCCAGCTTGAATGATCAAGTTTCAATGCTAAAAGAGGCTGTTAGTACCCACCCCCCATTATTTTACAGATGAGGAAACTGAGGCTCAAAGGGGTCAAGCACCTAATGTGCTAACGTCAGAGTTCCAGCTTGAATTTTTAGATTGTCTTCATAGGTAGGTAAATTTTTTATTTCCTAAAGATTCTTCACAGTCAAAAACTTTTTCATGGCCTGACCCTCAAAAGAACAAGCTATTGTGGTGGGAGTATACTATAAAGGATACTAAAAGGCCAAGTATAATAACTTGCTAATTTCAGAATATGTTCCGAACAGCTGTGGGCAGTACAGGAATTTTTCATGTTATTTGCTTTATTGTAATTGAACATTTAGTGATGGGGAACCTCTTGGATGGGTCTAGCTCTCAGTTTAATTTTCTCTAGCCTATGAGGCAAGTGCCAAGGCATATGAAGTATGCCTATAGGTACAAAAATGAAAGATGACATTGAAAGAGTCTTTAGACATGGTAGCCTGGAAGATCGCAATTAGGGCTTTTGCTCCATGAAAGTATTTTTTTCCTTTATAAAGGGAGATATCTGTTGAAATTGTGGGATAGAGATTTTAAAGATTGCATCTGCTTCCAAACTAAGGTCAAAAGTTAAATTGTAGTAAATGTGTGCAGTGTGGTATCATTAAACTGTACACACATACGTGAAATTGTTGTTTTAATCTGGCATCTTTTTTTTTTTTTTGAGATGGAGTCTCCCTGTGTCGCCCAGGCTGGAGTGCAGTGGCGCTCTCTCAGCTCACTGCAACCTCCGCCTCCTAGCATCAACCGATTCTCTTGCCTCAGCCTCCCTACTAGCTGGGATTACAGGCACGTGACACCACATCTTGCTAATGTTTGTATTTTTAGTAGAGACGGGGTTTCACCATGTTGGCCAGGCTGGTCTCAAACTCCTGACCTCAGGTGATCCACTCACCTCGGCCTCCCAAAGTGCTGGGATTACAGGCGTGAGCCACCACGCCCGGCCTTAATCTGGCATTCTTAAAAAAATCAGTTATTTAGCTTTCTTCCCCCTCTTCTCCTGCCCCATTTCATTTCTTTCTGTAGCTGTGAGGGTCATTCTCTCTTTGTATCTGTTTCACTCTCAGGGTGACTCTTTTTTCAGTCCACCTGACTGCACTCACTTTCCTTTTTCCAGGCTCTCCGTGGATCCATATCCTTCTATCACATTCATCTGCCACTGCATCTTGCCCTTGTCCCCGTTTGCCAGTGTTAACAATTACCCCACCCTGGGCTGGGCCAGGGCTGTTTTTCAGCTTAGGCCGGGCAGGGAAGCTGATCTCCAGGGCAGATGTGGAGTGAGAAGAGTTGTTGTCACTCTATACAGAAATGTCATTGACAGAATAGGATTAAACAAAATATGTACAGAGATTACATAGGCTATGTATACATGTAAACTTGTGAACACAAAATCATTCCTTCTTTACAGCTAGGGTCCCAGCAAATGCTACAGCTACATGAAATAATGAGTATGGATACCTATTGCCGAGGGCTTACTATTTGAACAAGTGAGAGAATTGTACTCTTGCCTAGGGGTGTATTTTTAAGTAGTTTTTGCTCCTGTTCCTTATTATTGCCTGCTAATGGATACGTATATTGTCAGTAAGTGACCAACTCTCCTAGCTTCCTGTAGTACACTGTATTTCTCTTCTGAAAATGGATTTTCCTCTGTATTTAAACCACAGATTTACTTGTGCCTCATTTTTGAACTACTATAGATAAAAACTCACAGATAGGAAATACCTGTGGACTGTTTGAAATGCAGTGAAACCTAGAAAAAAAAAAACAATCAAAATAATAAGTATCTCCTGTCGGCATTTTACTGCTTGTAGAATTGATATTCTATTTGCCCACATAAAATCTCTCTGGATGTTATTCCTATTGCAAGACATAGTAGCTTTTCTTCCTGTTCCTTATTATTGCCTGCTAATGGATATGTACATTGTCAGTAAGTGACCGGCTCTCCACAGCTTCCTATAGTACACTATTTCTCTTCTGAAAATGGATTCCTCTGTATTTAAACTACTGAGATTTATTTGTGCCTCATTTTTGAACTACTATAGATAAAAAAGGCACAGATAGGAAATACCTGTGGACTGTTTTTGAAATGCATTGAAACCTAGAAAAAGAAAATAACAATCAAAATAATAAATATCTCTTGTAAGCATTTTACTGTTTCTTTTTACCCACATAAAAACTGTCTGGATGTTATTCCTGTTGCAAGACATTAAATGTTCTATAGCCTTTTTTTTTTTTTTTTGAGACGGAGTTTCGCTCTTGTTGCCCAGGCTGGAGTGCAATGGTACAATCATGGCTCACTACAACCTCTGCCTCCGGGTTCAAGCGATTCTCCTGCCTCAGCCTCCCAAGTAGCTGGGACTACAGGCACCCACCACCATGCCCAGCTAATTTTTGTATTTTTGGTAGTGACGGGGTTTCACTGTGTTGGTCAGGCTGATCTCGAACTCCTGACATCAGGTGATCCGCCCTCCTCGGCCTCCCAAATTGCTGGGATTGCAGGCGTGAGCTGTTCTGTAGACTTTCTAATAACAAGAATTTGTAACAGTCACAAGGTTTTAAATTTCCTTTTCAGTACTAAGGAAATGATAGCTGGGAATGCAAAGGCTTTATTGGCAAGATTGTTTTGACAAGGATGGCACAAAACTAAATTTCTATACTTGATTAATTTATAAGTCTTGTCACTCACTTTTAGTTTTAGAGTGTGGATAAAGCTGTTTGATTCTTGTCAGATTTGAAATGTATGATTTATGAGACATTAAGGATTGGTTTTTCAGTGCACTCTGCCAGGTCTAGTTTTATGCGTCATTCTGGTTTGGGAAGCTGAGTGCAAGTCTGCCTACAGACATAATCAATCACCTGCACTTTCGGGTGGCCAGGTGGACTGAAGTAACAGGTTTCCCCCCAGGTTTCTCAGAGACTAAGGAATACACACACACACACACACACACACACACACATAGGCAGACCTGCAAATTATCGGTCCAAAAATATTTATATCACTAAGCCAGAGCAGTGGATTTAGACATTTGACTTAACAAAATTTGTTTTTCAACACGTTCTAGCAACTACCCTGTAAATGATCGTCATTTCACCTACAACAATGAAAAGATAAAGTCCTCAGCCGCATAGCTTCTAGAGGCTAAAGAGGCACGTTAAGTTGCTTGTCAAAGACTCCACACCTTCAGATGCCAGGGTCAACACAAGTTTTCAAACCCTAGACCCAATCCCTTCTAGGCCACAGAAGGTCTGCCTCTTGTAAGGAAGGAATTTTCCAATGCACTAAGCACAGCTAATCACACTAAGGAAAGAAACCAAGCAGCCAAACTAATATGAGGAAGTGAAAGTTTATACTTGCATCTTATAGCAGATGGCCTTTGTTAGAGCCACTTTTAAAATATCAACTTCACCGAGCATGATTTAGGTACAAAAACCGGCATCCAATTAAAGCCTCCAATTTGATGAGTTTAGACAGATGTATATACCCATGAAACCACTGCCCCAATCAGGATGTGGAATGTTTTTATCACCTCCACAAGTTTATCCTTGCCCCTTTTCCAGTAACATTCTTCCCCCAGCCCCTTTCCCCCAGATATCCCGTTATGCTTTTGTGTGAGAGCCACTTTCAAAACTCAGATTTGAAAGTTTGTGGATCTTCCTCTATAAAAAGACTATATTTATGTCCAAAATGCAATTGTCTTCTCTATGTTTAAAATAATACTACAGAGAAATTCTAGGTATTGATTTCCTAGAATCTTTCCCTCATCCTCTGCAAGTAAGCTACTTAGTAAATAGTTTCATTATGTACTTGAATTGAAGAGAAATTACAGCCAAGAGAAAAACAATTCTGATAGACAGAAAAGCAGTGTATGTTCTTCTCAAGTAGTTACAGTGAGGTGTTAAATCCCTCAAGAACCAGAGAAGTAAAATTTGAATTTTGCTTCGTACTTATTTGTAAAGTAAAAATGAAGACTGAGAATAAAGGTTTTATATGTATCTATCTGTCTAATCATTCATCCATCCACCCATCCCTCCAGCTAGTGTGTGTATATATGTTTCTGTATAAAATTACTATGTATTAATAACCCTATCCCTTGAGGATTACAAAAGATTTGAAGGCTTCAGAGGGAATTTTCTGTGCATGAAAGGTGTACTGTCTTTACACACTTAGGTGCAAAGCAAGCTTTTCATATGCTGTTATTACTCTCATTGATATATTTAATTGAACTAATAATTATTGAGCAATTTAAAGGCTGCTGCATTGAGATGGAGTTTGTCCCTTCGTTTGTCACCTTCTAGAAAAATCCAAGTGTCAAAAAATATCTCGCTGGCTCTCTGTTCTGTTGCTATTACTTCGGCATGCGTCGTCTCCTCTTGCCACTCTCGATTTCTACTGTTTCTGCCCTATCTTCCTTCCCTGATTTTCCTCCTCCATGTCTTTCCCGTATCCTGATGCCACTTCTCTTGCACTGCTCTGATTTCTCATGAGAAAGCCATTTTTATAAACATCTCCAGACCGAGAGGGCAGCAGACTAATTCCAATGTGTCAGATAGCATCTTGGAGGCTGTTTCTCCTGTGATCCAACACTTTTTTCACACTCCTTTCCAGTTTCGAGCTGTACTGGAAATTGGAGAGTTGTGAAAGGATGGTTTTTGGATAATCAAAGTTGAATATACTTGCTGGGCTGTGTTATGACCGTCTTTGAAGCCACGAATCATTAAAAATAAGTGAATAGTTTACATTATAATATTCCTAGGAAACTTCCTTTGATAATTGTAAAGCAATTAAAATTGTCCTGAGATAAGGTGATTTATTGTTTTTCAGAATGGGCCATAAAGATATTAAAGAACCCATTCAACATTTGTCAAAACCCATAAAATGCACAACGCAATGAATGAACCCTAATGTAAACCCTAGACTTTAGTTCATTATAATGTATTAACGTTGGCCCATCAATTGGGACAAATGTACCACATCAATACAAGATATTAATAATAGGGGAAACTGGGAGATGGATGCTAAGGAGGTATACAGAAACTCAGTACTTCCTGCTTAGTTTTTCTGTAAACCTAAAACTGCTAAAAAAAAAAAAAGTCTACTAATTAAAAAAAAAAACTCTTCAAATGTATGGGTTTCAGAAATACAAAGACTAGATCAGGAGCTTTTTATTATTACCGTGTGGATTAAAGTCTACTGTTTGTGGCCAGGTACAGTGGCTCATGCCTGTAATCCCAGCAATCTGGGAGGCTGAGGTGGGTGGATCACTTAAGGCCAGGAGTTTGAGACCAGCCTGGCCAACATGATGAAACCCTGTCTCTACTGAAAATACAAAAATTAGCCGGGTGTGGTGGCATGTGCCTGTATTCCCAGCTATTCGGGTGGTTGAGGTGGGAGAATCACTTAAACGCGGGAGGCAGAGGTTGCGGTGAACCGAGATCACGCCACTGTACTCCAACCTGGGAGACAGAGTGAGACCCTGTCTTAAATAAATACATAAATAAATAAATAAATTCCAGTGTTTGTTTTTCAGAATGAGTGAAATAAGAGATGTGTTTCTCCTTGAGTGATGTAACTTGTGGCACGAGCCCCTGAAAAGGGGAAGTATGAGGTTCCAGGAGAGCTGCCCAGTACCTCCAATGCTATGTCTAGTTGCACAATAGTCAGTAGATAGGTCAGTGGGAGCAGTGGGTTGGGACTTCGCTTGCCACCCTTGAAACATCATGCCATCTTTGCAGTGGAGTCCCAGATTTGGCAAATTCCCTGCCCTACAACCCAGTGGGCCCTCTTTTGACCCTTGCATTTGTGGTATCATTAGCAACAGTGACAGTTGGTGAACTTATGCCAACTCTGAGCCAATATCCAGGTCAGAGTTTGATTGCTTTGGGCCAAAGGCTATTATTGCATGGCTTGTAGAAGCATAGGCCCAATGCCAGAACTTCCATGCACTTACTCAGTATGGCCAGCTCTACAGTAAACGTGTGTGAAAAGATTCGGTTTTTATAGGCATTAATGTAAATAGTTTCTTTATATTGGACCTGGGTAACTATGATGGGCAATTACAAGTACCCATTGCTTTCCTGAGTTGGCTATGAGAACAGAACATTCTGTGGTACGTGGTAGTGGGGGTGAGGGGAGGATCAGGTCTAAGAGGGACATTGCAGCTGCAAAGGGAAAGAAAAAAACTGAGAAGCCATCAAGGATTAGAAGGCAAATGGGAGCCATCACTCAAGCACTGTGTATCTTGAAGTGGTTGTCTGTCAGGTCTGTGATAAGACCTGGGGTGAAAAACCTCATAGTTCATGTGATTATCTGAAAAATACCAATAAAGGGAAGAGTTGATTATAGAGTTCGCCTGTTTAGTTTTTTTGTTTGTTTGTTTGTTTTTTTTGAAACTGTGTCTTGCTCTGTCACACAGGCTGGAAAACAGTGACGATCGTGGCTCACTGCAGTCTTGACCTCCTGGGCGCAAACAATCCCTCTGCTTCAGCCTCCTGAGTAGCTGGGACTGCAGGTGTGCATCACCACACCCATCTAATGTTTTAGTTTCGTAGAGGCAGGGTCTCGCTATATTGTCCAGGCTGGTCTCAAACTCATGGCTTGTTTAGCTTATTAAACTTTATTTTGTATATTGGAAATAATTCTTTGTGTACAGATCTGTTAGGTGTCCTCATTGTTACATCTATTGTTAGACAGAATTTTATTTTTCTTAATTTCATTGGTTGCCTGAATTGACTATATATGTGGTACCACCTGTTAAAAGCAGATTTTGATGAGGAAGGGGAGAAAGAGGATAAAAATAACCTCTCCCTCAAGTCCCATTTCATGATGGAAGCTAGGATTCCAGTTCAGTGGCCAGGCTAAATGGTCACTTGATGCCAGTAGTGAGCTACTGCCACTGGATTTCTTTCAGTCAGCTTCACAATCGACACCAAATCCTGCAGCTGACGTGACTTTACTGCAATTCATGTTGATTGGAAAAATGGCAAAAGTCACCATCTAACCCAATCATAATATGTTTGTTTCCCAGATATAGACAGGCTGGGTTCGTCATTAGGCCTAGTGTAGTCATGCTCCCTAACTACTGTGAGTATCTGGAAGGATTGGGGAGGTATAGTGGCAGCGGCTTGTGGGACAGGCATGTGACAGCATCCTTTTGCCCCCTTGCTGCTCACCCACCTGCTTCTTGCCACCTATTGGCTCCTCTTTGTCTTCCCCTCATTCTGTCTTCTCTTTATCCTTAATCCAGTTACTTTTGAATTTTCTGTTAAGGAACCAGGAGAGCCTCAGCATGAAAATAATTGGCTTAAGTATTCAAAGTACCAGAGCAACATACTTTATAATTCTTGGACTGCCTGATTGTTACTGCTGCAGTGGTTTGTTGGGTATTAAATGAGACTTAGGGTATTTTGTAAACGTTTTCTGACATACAATTTGAAAGTTGAATTTTGTCACCTTACAAACTTAGTTATTCCTGCAACTTTTAAAACCCCCCTAAATTTTCCTTATGTGTTCATGATTATCCCCATAGCAGATAATGGCCACATGCGTGCTGATATGAAGGATTTGCTCCAGGGCTAATTGATGGGAGCAGAGCTGCCCAGTTGCTGAATTGTAAGGAAACAGTTCATGGAGCGCCAATGCCAATTTAGGAAAAGTATGGGGCTGAGTACTTAGTAAGATGAAATAAAAAAATATTTATCCAGTGCTTACTCTAAGGAGAAGGCACTTGGCTAGGTTTGCTAGATGCTGTGGGGAGCCTTAAAACAACAGTGATCTCTTCAAGGCCGGGCGTGGTGGCTCATGCCTGTAATCCCAGCACTTTGGGAGGCCGAGGCAGGCGGATCACTTGAGGTCAGGAGTTTGAGACCAGCATGGACAATATGGTGAAACCCCGTTTCTACTAAAAATACAAACATTAGCTGGGTGTGGTGGCATCTGCCTGTGGTCCCAGCTACTCAGGAGGCTGAGGCAGGAGGATCACTTGAACCTGGGATATGGAGGTGGCAGTGAGATGAGATTGTGCCACTCCACTCCAGCCTGGGCGACAGAGAGAGACCCTGTCTCAAAAAAAAAAAAAAAAAAAAAGTACTAGCGATCTCTTCAAGCAAAGAACGCCCATTCTAATTGGAGAAGCTGTTAAAGACACATGAAGGATGTGGTGGAAAGAGTATTGAACTGCATAGGGTGTGGGGAGAGAGTCAGGAGTTTTGAATCCTAGCCTGAGTTCTGCCACTAAGCATTGGAAACTCTGGGCAAATCATCTCCCCACTCTGGGTCTCAGTTTATAAAAAGGCAAATGAACGAGATCATCTCTAAGATATTCTGTAGATTGATTCATAAATGTGGAAGAGATTCTGGAAAACGGAAGCTTGAGCCCAGGAGTTCCAGACCAGCCTGGGCAACATGGTGAGACTCTGTCTCTACAAAAAATACAAAACATTAGCCTGGTGAGGTGATGTGTGTTTGTAGTCCCTGTTTCTCAGGAGGCTGAGGTGGGAGGATCACATGGGCCCAGGAGGCTGCAGTGAGCTATCACCTGGGAGCTTGTTAGAAATGCAACTTTCATGGGCCCCACTCCAGACCTAGGGAATCAGAAACGCTGGGGATGGGGCCCCGCCATCTGTGTCCTAACAAGGTCCTCTCTCAGGAGATTTTGAGGCACAATAAAGTCTGACAATTACAGGCTATAGGAATTTGGGTCAGTGGTTCTCAGCCTCTGCCATACAATAGATTCATCTGGGGGAACTTTGTTGGGGGTGGGGCGCTGACTTTGTTTGTGCTGCTGTAACAGAATATCTGAGACTGGATACCTTATAAAGAACAGAAATCTATTTCTCACGGTTCTGGAGACTGGGAAGTCCCAAGATCAAGGTGCAAACAGGTTCGATTGTTAAGGGCTGCTCTCTGCTTCCAAGATGACACTTTAGTTCTCCAGCCTCCAGAGGGGAGGAACGCCCTGCCCTCATGTGGCGGAAGGCAGAAGGGCAAGAGAGCCAAAGGCTCTGTTGAAGCTTTAATCCCATCCACCAGGGAGGAGCTCTCCCGGTTTAATCACCCCACCTCTTAGAGGCCCCACCTCTCAATACCATCACATTGTCCATTAAGATTCAACACCTGAATCTTGGACACATGAAAACCGTAGCAGGCACCCAGGCATCACTAGTTGCTTTGGCTCTCCAGGTGCCGCCAATTTTGAGAATCACTGGTTTAGGGGAAAGTGGCATGAACCAAGACTTCTGTCATTCTCTAGCTGCAATGAACGTCAGATGCAGGGAGTCAGCCAAAGCCAGAGGCTTGAATTTCACTCAAAGAAACTTGGCCTTTAGATTACAATGGAGAAAGGTTTTTGGCAATGGGAGTGATACATCCGAGGTGGAACATTTGAGAGATGATTCTGATGCTAGCTATGTGAAGAAGAGGGCATACCCATAGTTAAGAAATCTGATGAAATAGTCTGGTGTGAAGTGATAATGGGCCAAATTAGGACCTTAGAAATGAAATTATAAGGAAGAAAATGTATGAAAGCTCTTTTGCAGGAAAAATGGGCAGGGTTTGGCGATGGTTGCTGGGGTGACAGCAATGTTAGAATGTCTTTGGTTCAGGAGTACCTCTCAGACTTCTGGGAGGGCCAGTGCTCTCTAGATGCATCTGGCAAAATTGTCATGTATGGATCTGTACAATTCTTTGTTTTTTGTTGCTTTGATTTAGGAGTTATAATGCGGAGGTGACCCACAGCAAGTTATAGAAAAATACAGAATTACAGTCACCTCAAAAGCTACTCATGGTCATCATGTCAGAGGGAAAAAATGCTGTTTTTCTTTTAAGGAAAGAATGCTTGGAGTTGTGGGAAAGTTGTAGACTTGGCAATGAGTAATTCAAGCCTATCAGTCAATTAAGTGAGTTTTTATTTTATCATTTGTTTTATTTGGGAGCTGCTGTAATAGTCATTGAGAGGACATCAGTCTTCATATTTTTAAAACAAAACAAAAATACCATTGAACATTAGGGCAAAGGACAAGAATTTCAAGGTTTTTACCTTTTGACTTCAGCAAATATTTGCTGCTCCATTTTTCTTGCTAGATTTTGCCATTTGACTTGTGTTTTTCCTTTGTTCCAATTTGTTCTTTGTGCTTGATAACTGTAGTGTACTCTATTTTTTTTTTTTTGAGACACAGTCTTGCTCTTTTGCCCAGGTTGGAGTACAGTGGTGCAATCTCGGCTCACTGCAACCTCTGCCTCCTGGATTCAAGTGATTCTCGTGTCTCGGCCTCCCAAGTAGCTGGAATTACAGGCACGCACCACCATGTCTGGCTCATTTTTGTATTTTCAGTAGAGATGGGGCTTCACCATGTTGGCCAGGCTGGTCTCGACCTCCCAAAGTGCTGGGATTACAGGCGTGCATCACTGCTCCTTGCCTCTATTCTATTTTCGATGGCTTTTTTATTCATAAGTATTCTTAAGGTTTTAATATTCCAGTTAAAAAATAAATATATTTGTCCCTTTATGTTTTTCCCCAATATACTTATTCTTCCTTTATGACCAAAAATTATTCAAATTTGCATCCAGAAATGGCTCACAGAAAGAGCTCCTTGGTATTTATTTAGGGCATGGTGGGACCTTTTGTTAGTTTCTAGGTCATGCCACATCTGGAAGGAAAGACACCTTTTATTTACTAATTTGAAAATCTATGAAAGCAGACTCAGTATTTTACAGGGTTGCATATATTCCTATGCAAAGTTGCATATATTCCTATGCAAAGTTAAAAATGACTCACTACTCCAACTTTGGTAAATGTGTGCACTTTAGTTTTTGAAAGAAGTGCAAAAATCTGCAGAAAAATCTGGACTAATCATAACTTGAAATTTTTAGTATATCTGGTAGATAACTTTTAAAAATATAACCCATCTTTTCCCAAACTGGATAGGGATAATTCCTCTCTTTGCAAATTGTGAGGAATATTATGATTGTATCATATAAAATAAATATAGAAACGTGTAGAATAAATGATCTTCCAGAGTATATAGAGGATATCACCAGATAATACTCTGTACTAAATATAAGGACACAAAACTGGACTTTATTATATTTCTATAACTGGTAATATCCTTCCAGTTTTTGCTTGTTTATTAAATGAATATACTGTTAAAGATTTGGTTATGTTGTAGATCTTAATTATGTTGGAATTATTAAAAATGAGGCATCTTTAATCTGTACTGCTTATTTCCAATAAATTATTTTGCCGAATGAGAGCCAGTTTACCAGTTCTTTTGTTAAAGAAAATGAGCCAGTGGCTACCTCAGTTGTATTTATCATTGCCTTTTATGGTAAACATTTAAAATGTGTTTTTAATGGTGCACATGCCGATGTTTCTGACCTCTATAGTAGCATAAGTATTTGAATAAAAGTGAGGTAAATGAGAAGTCTGTGCCACCCAGTCTCATCACAAGTGTACCTAATTAAGAAGATGTTTGGAATTCACTGTTCTTTGATTTCTTGGGTGGGAGAGAATATTCTGAAGGCTGTGATTAAGGAATCGTTACCATGACAATCACATTCAAAGAATTGAGAGGAGACAATGAGTCTGTGGGGGATCATCTCTTTTGATTGATTTGACTCTTCTTTTAAGTTCTTTCAAACAGCTGTTGTCACTGGATTTTCTTTTCCACGTAATTCACACAATTGATTGGTGATGTGGGGATCATTGAAGCTTGGTTGTCAGTAGTGATAAGGGTCAGCAGTGTCCATGACCACAATACTTTTGCTAAACCTGGAGAGTGATTGTATGTGTTAAATGTCACTAAAAAGTAACTCTTGGCTTCTTTCTGGAATAATATATGTGGTTTGTCTATTTTCACTTATTAATTTTGTCAGGGTGGGATATGATTATCATGATCTCTTTGAAAGCATGACTAACTCTAAAGTGTTTGAGCTTTATTTTGGATTACTTTGCTGTCATCTTACCCAGTGTTTTGTGTGCTGTTTTGTTTTTATTCTTTAACTTGCACAATGTTGTCAACGTAATTTATATGATGTTCTGGTCAGAGACACAGTTACACGCTGCAGATTGAAAAGTACACACAAATATACCCACCATGAGTGCTTCAGCCTCACGACCCCAGCTCATGTTAAGTGGGACATGCTAGTACAGATGATAAAGTGAAATGGAGATACAAAGGCAGTTCAGATCTGACTGTCAATTTTTCTCCTTTGTGGACTAATTCTGGGTGGTGAAACCATGAACTATGGAACGAAGACTGCTCCAGCATGAGTCTGAGTTGAATCCCATGTGAGAGCTTTGCCTCCTCAGCCTTTGGGCCTTTCTTTCTTCTGCCCTCTGGAGGGTGTCAGAGAACATGAAATGCAAGGACTTTCTGGAAAGGATAGCCAGGGTTTGGTCTGGTAACTAGAAGACACTTTCCCTGCCCCTTCCCCACCACCCCCTCCAAGCCGGAACATGTAGAGGTGAGGAGCAGACAGAGAGATGGCAGGGAAGCCATTGGCAAGGTGGGAATCTTAGGAAGGAAGTGATTCCGGTTCTTGAAAAAGACAACCGGATTCCATTAAGTAGAATCGGTATGAATTGTACTCATCTCTAGGAAAAATCAATTCCAGAAGGGTGAGTAAGATGAAATATGATAAGACTAGTGTGTGACAGATTCAGGTTTGAAGCTTAAGGTGGATGGAATCGAAAGAAAGGTATATTTGGTGTCAAGTGTTTGTGGCGGCATGTGAAATCATTATCCACGTTTGATAACAGTTTGACTCTTTGCCTGCTATAATAATAGTAGTAAGTATGTATTTAACATTCAATGCGTACCTTGTGTGGGGGAGGCACTGCTAAATGCTTTGCATGGACGTACCTCCTTACCTCTATGAGGTAGGTGGCCATTATGATGCTCATAGAGGCTGGACAGCTAATATGAGGCGGAGCCTGTATTTGGGCTCAGGCAGTCTGACTCTGGTGCCCCTGCTGTGAAGAGCTGTGCCCTGCTGCATTCCTCCTGTAGCTGCACGAAAGGGTGTGGAATCTTCTAGAAACAGTGAGTTCTATATGAGTGGAGTGTGGTGGTGGGAGAATAGATGGAGTAAAGCCTTTTGTGTAAACATACCATGCTAAGTACTGGGAGATAGAAACGAAATGAGAGATTTTTTTGTTTTGTTTTTTGAGATGGAGTCTTGCTCTGTCGCTCAGGCTGGAGTGCAGTGGTGCGATCTCAGATCACCGCAACCTCCACCTTCCAGGTTCAAGCAATTCTCCTGCCTCAGCCTCCTGAGTACCTGGGACTACAGACACACGCCACCACGCCGGCTAATTTTTGTATTTTTTTGGTAGAGACGGGGTTTCATCATGTTGGCCAGGATGGTCTTGATCTCATGACCTCGTGATCCACCCACCGCAGCCTCCCAAAGTGCTGGGATTACAGGTGCCAGCCACCACACCCAGCCAAAATAAGACATTTCTTTGCCCCTGCCACCAAGATATTTAACATCTTACAGGACTAACAAAACCTAACATGAACCAGTCCAGATTCATATGATAGAATATGAAAATGTTTTCTGGAAAGAATAGCCAGAGTCCCAGTCTGGTTACTAGAAGACACTTTCCCTGTCCTTTCCCCACCTGTAGCCCTTCCAAGCTGGAATGTGCAGAGGTGAGGAACAGACAGAGAGATGGCAGGGAAGCTATTGGCAAGGTGGGAATCTTAGGAAGGAAGTGATTCCGGTTCTTGAAAAAGAGAACCGGATTCCGTCAAGTAGAATCGGTATGAATTGTACCCATCTCTAGGAAACATCAATTCCAGAAGGGTGAATTAGATGAAATATGATAAGACTAGTGTGTGACAGATTCAGGTTTGACGCTTCAGTTGGATTGAATCGAAAGAGAGGTATATTTGGTATCAGGCGTTTGTGGTGGCATGTGAAATCATTATCCACGTTTGATAACAGTTTGACTTTTTGCCTGCTGTAATAATAGTAGTAAGTATGTATTTAACATTCAATGGGTACCTTGTGTGGGGGAGGCCCTGCTAAATGCTTTACATGGACGTACGTCCTTACCTCTATGAGGTAGGTGGCCATTATGATGCTCATAGAGGCTGGACAGCTAATATGAGGCGGAGCCGGTATTTGAGCTCAGGCAGTCTGACTCTGGTGCCCCTGCTGTGAAGAGCTGTGCCCTGCTGCATTCCTCCTGTAGCTGCACGAAAGGGTGTGGAATCTTCTAGAAGCAGTGAGTTCTATATGAGTGGAGTGTGGTGGTGGGAGATGAGATGGAGTAAAGCCTTTGGTGTAAACATACCATGCTAAATACTAGGAGATAGAAATGAAATAAGAAATATTTCTTCCTGACACCAAGATACTTAACATTTTACCGGACAAAGAAAACCTAACATGAAACAATCCAGATTCATATGATAGAATATGAAGATACTGTCTCTACTTAAGTACAGGTGGGAGGAAGACTGGAAGATGTTCCTTTGAATTAAGTCACTTTAAAACATTTGCTTTCAAATGTTAGCGCTTCACCATGGGCACAAAATTTGTCTTCCTCCAGGCTTTTGGCCTGGCAAACAAGAACCCTGTCCCTATAGTCAGCAGATTCATCCATTTTGAGTTGGGAAGCATTATCTTCAGCCTTTTCTTCCTGACAACGATCCTGACAATCGTCGTCAGGATCTCTAAAGAGATGAACTCATTAGCCTAGTGAACCAACAGTCTCAGCTGTTTATTTACCAGCACATTAACAGTTTTTCCATTTATATCCACTGCCTGTGTGACGATCAGCCTGGAAATGGTTTGAGCATAGGGTGGGAGGGGTGGTTACACACCTGGTTGTAATCCTTGGTTTATTTTTGCCCTGTTTCCATCTATACTTCTTGAGAGCTTCCTGTGTTACAGGCACTGACCTGGGTGTTGGGGCAGAGTAGTGAAAAAACAGACTGGGTCCCCCGCCCAAGGCACTGTCTTTTCCTCAGATTTCATTCGCTCATGTACATTTTCATAGTTGATCTAAAAGCGGCATTTGGTGTGAATTCTAGGATTTCACACTTTTAGGATAATACAGTGATCACACTCCCTTTCTCCTTTGCCCCAGCCAGTCCTTTCTGAATAAAGGTCGAGGGATTGGGGGAGGAAGGCAGTGATGCGAATGGGCCTGTGGGGAGGTCGCACGGGCTTGAGGAGGGCAGCATGTCGTAGCGGGCCATATTTGTGTCAGGGTTGGGAACGGCACAAGGCACACCTGTTTCCTAGTGCTGCAGAACCCTCGTCCTGGGATGAGCCTGCCCGCTAGTCTGCATCCTAATCCTGCTGTTGATTGGAGATAACTTCAGCGGTCACAGGGCACCTCGTCTCCATGGCAACCCCTCTAAATATTCCTCTAGTGACTTGTGCTCTACATTCTGGCTGGATCAGAGCCCTCCTGTGGCAAAATATTCTAAAGATGTTAAAAGAGAGAGAGAGAAAAAAAAAGGCTCAACTAATAAATCTATTCTAAACGACTGAGTCATTTGTTTTGATTACCCGGGTGATTGCCAAATGTTAATTTAAAACTGAAATAGGCCATGAGCTCACTCCCCTAACAATGCTGAGTGTTTGAGCTAATACGGCTTGATAATGAGGGAGCCAGATCCACTGCCAGTGCTCATGTTATATGATAAACAGACATTTGGAGAAGTATGCAGAACATCTTGGCAGTTTTCCTTTAACTCTAAGGGTTGTAAATACAAAGTAGAATGTGTTACCATGAGCCATTTCATAGGAAGTTGACTTTATTTTTTTAGAATTCAGAACTTTGCTTCTAAAAAGGTAACTTTGCCTCTTGATTCTCATTTTTTTCCCTAACTTAGGCACCTTGGAAGTTGTTTTCAACCATATCCAGCCTTTGCCGAATACATCCTATCTGCCACACATCCAGCGTGAGGTAAGTTTTACTAATTGCCACAAATTCTTACACTGATCTCCAACCTTCTAAGTTGTGGTATTAGGGGCGGCATTGTACAAAGGGCTTTATTTGTACCAGGAGGTTTCAGAAGGTTCATTTTAATTGACTCAACCAATGTCACTGCTTACCCTAAATATTAGCTCTCGGGGGCAATGTCTTTTCAAGGGAAAATCTCATTTGCTTTCAACTTGGGCATATGAAAAGGGAATTTGCCAGGCACAACAGAACTATTTGAATGTCTGCTTTAAAGTAAAGATCTGCTCATGTCGTTGCACGAACAGTAGGGAGCAGGAAAGCTGCATGGAGCAAATGCTGGGATGGGACAGAGGAGACTCCTGCTGCCAGCCACGAGAAGGTTAGGCTGACCTGATCAGCTATTAGGAATCTTTCTCCCTGGGTGGAAGGAGCCAAGGTGCAGGACTGGCATTGCAAAATCTGGTGATAGAAGGCCAAAGAGTGCTTCTGCTCGGTGACATTAATAGGGTCCAGGAGATTTTCTTCTGATTTGCCCTCAAGTTCAGAACAACCTGTGGGAAGCCAGTGTAAGAATGCTTATACTGGATAAGCGTTCTCTGTCCTCTTCATTTAGCCACAGTGGCTTGTTTATACTCTGTGATGACTCAGGGTTCCTCAATTTTCTCTTTGAGAGAGGGACATTGACCTTTGAAAATAATGAAGGAATCTAAGAGAAGGCTCATCCAGGCACGATACAGTAATGGTCCCTCCTTTTTGGTGCCCCGGTCTCTGTGCGCTCACAAGAGGGAATGTAACCTTTGCCAGCACCATACCTGTCAGGCTTTGCCATTTCATCCCTCAAAAGGTTGCTGCGTTTTTGCCTTCACCTTCACCCTGCCCACCCCTGCATGCAGCCACATGGTCAGTGTAGGTACTTAGATTTCAGTTAGGGTACATGCTCAGCAGGTGACAAGAATTGCCTTTGTTATGTCTACTTGCTACAGAATTCTCCCCAGGTTTTAAAATATATATCTTCAAATACCTAAATGTATTAAACCTTAAAGAGTAAAAAGCATAGGACAAACTTTTAGAAATGCTAAACCTGAATTTTATCCATTTCATCAATTATGGTGGTAGTCGGAAGTCCTTCCAAGGCCCTCGGGCTTGAAGCAAGCTCGGTGATACAAGCTTTCAGCAGCTTCCCTCTGCTGCTGGAGATGGAATCTTCATTTCTGGGTCTAAATCCTGCCATAGCTCTCATTCATAGCCTTTACCTATAATGGTTGTTTTCAAACTTAAAAAAAATGATAGAAACCTATCTTCAAAAAATACAAATCTTTAGATCTAACCCCAATAGAGAAAACCAAAGCTGAACTGCTTTGGCTCAAGTAGGAGGCTGTGACTCTCTGTCACCCTCCTCTAAGGGTGAACCCTATTGAAAGAGCAGAGATTTTAGCTCTGTGCCCTTTCCCAGCTCTTATTTTTATTTTCCCACAGAAGAGGCTAGATTCTTTAAGGAGATATAAAGAAGGGAGAGAGAAAGATATAAAGATTCTTTAAGGAGATACAAAGACATCCTCTCATCAGCTGGAAATGCCAGCTAGGTGAGACCTGACTATGCATATGCATTGTTTGCCCTTAGTAATTCCATAGCAATCTGCAAATTCAATCAGCTTCATCAGCAGAAAACTTTGATAGAAACCATGTGTAAAAGGGCTGTGTTCTTAAAGTGGAACATTTAAATCGAAGTTTTTCAAGCACACATTTCAAGTGGTTTTATGATACCAAGCACACCCCAGTGACATCTTTACATTGACCAAAACTTGGTATCCTTGGGTTTTCTTTTAAAGCACTGAGTTTCTCAGGTGTGTCAGTTGAATAGAATCTGCTAAATTCTGTTTTTTTTATTTTTTTAAATTTTTTATTGATTTATTTTTTTTTATGGAGTCTTGCTTTGTCGCTCAGGCTGGAGTGCAGTGGTGCAAGTGCAGTGGTGCGATCTGGCTCAGTGCAACCTCCGTCTCCCAGGTTCAAGCAATTCTCCTGCCTCAGCCTCCCAAATACCTGGGATTACAAGCGTCTCTACATCAACATGCCTGGCTAATTTTTGTAATTTTAGTAGAGACAGGGTTTCATCATGTTGGCTAGGCTGGTCTCAAACTCCTGGCCTCAAGCGATCCGCCCTCCTTGGCCTCCCAAAGTGCTGGGATTACAGGCGTGAGCCACTGCGCCCGGCCAAATCTGTTAAATTCTGTTTCCATGTAACAGAAATATATAGGATTACACAACTGCATCTGGTGTTCTTTCTTCCTTTCTTTTATTCATTCATTCAGCCCTACTATGGGCCAGGGCAGGAATGTAGTGGTGAGCACAAAAACAACAAAAAAATACCTTTTGGGTTTGATATTCTTCAAGGGTGGGACATGCCTAGATTATTTTCTCTTTTGCAGACAAGGAAACTGAAAATTGCTTTGCTTTTCTCAATTACATTGCCCAGTATTCAGTAGACAGGTATGGATGCAGGGGTACAGTTCCAAGTCCCCATCTCTACTCTATTCTTTGAGCCTATGATTTATGCCACTTCCATATAAGCATGTGCAAATAAAGTATTCAGTAATTGCCATGGATGCAGCTGTCCCTGGGACCCGAAGGCCCTAAAATGAAAATAAATGTAAACTGTGCGTTTCACACTCTATTTTTAAAACGTTTGTTTGGAATAATTGAATAGTTTAGTAAAATGGGCTTTGCTGTTTCCACATGAGGATATCTTGTTCTTTTATTTTTTATTTTTTTTGAGACGGAGTCTCACTCTGTCGCCCAGGCTGGAGTGCAGTGGTGCAATCTCGGCTCACTGCAATCTGTACCTCCCAGGTTCAAGCGATTCTCCTGCCTCAGCCTCCCAAGTAGCTGGGATTACAGATGCGTGCCACCATGCCTAGCTAATTTTTGTATTTTTAGTGGAGACGGGGTTTCACCATGTTGGCCAGGCTGGTCTCGAACTCCTTACCTCAAGTGATCCGCCTGCTTTGGCCTCCCAAAGTGCTGGGATTACAGGCGTGAGCCACCATGCCCGGCCTATTTTGTTCTTTTAAGTGATGGTGTGTCCCCTTTTAATACAGTATTTATCATAGATAAACTTTATTATTCAGAAACTTAGAATTATTCCATTTGGCTGCCTTTTAGTTTACAGAATTATTTGGAACACAAGCTTGAACACATAATTCTTAACACATACGTGAACTGGGCTAAATTTGAGTATTTGTACCATAGTAGTGACAATATTGTTAATTAAACATGTGTTTCACATGTAGGAGATATTTGTATCACTGACATATGGTCATTTTCATTATTGATTTGGCAGTTTTTTAATATTCACAAAACACAAAATTTTGAAATACAGTAGTCAAAGTGATTTGATCTGTGCCATTTGTATTGATGTAACCTCTCTTCTTGGTGCACTAGCAATAAGAAGGAGAATCAGCACAGATGGGTTACACAGACTTAGAGGATTTGGAAACCATCACTTTAGAGCCAAGGTCTCAAACTGATGGGCTGGATCTGGCACACAGAGGTGTTCTTTTAAAATTTTAATTGCCAGCATTTAAAAATTGAAAGGTTTCATATTTTTTGAAGTCCAAATTTTTCAGCTTCTCTTGAAATATCAGAAGATCTGGCAATATTGAGCCCTCACTCCTGTTTGGCTACACTAGGCTGGAGCCAAATGGCTGCTGTTTCTTTTCTTTTTTTTTTTTTTTTTCCTGAGATGGAGTCTCGCTCTGTCACCCAGGCTGGAGTGCAGTGGCGTGATCTCCGCTCATTATAAGCTCTGCCTCCCAGGTTCACGCCATTCTCCTGCCTCAGCCTCCCCAGTAGCTGGGACTATAGGTGCCCGCACCACGCCCGGCTAATTTTTTGTATTTTTTAGTAGAGACGGGGTTTCACCATGTTAGCCAGAATAGTCTGGATCTCCTGACCTTGTGATCCGCCCACTTCGGCCTCCCAAAGTGCTAGGATTACAGGCGTGAGCCCCCGCACCTAGCCAGCTGCTGTTTCTTTAGCTAGAGCATGAACTCTGAAGTTTGCCACAGTCTCTGGCAGTATCTGTAATCTCCTTGACACTAAGGACAAGGGTTGGTTGCCATTATCTGAATGTTTAACCCCTATAGACATGTGAGTTTTCAATCCCAGGTCTAGATAAAATTGAGGTTGCAAACTTAAGGTCATCCTTTTTCTCAAGATATCAGCTTGCTAATTTTCAGGGGCACGACATAGGGTGACAGTCATATTAAGGAGGTGCTTTAAAAGGGTTGAGGGCAAACATTTCAGAGGAAGGTTACTTTCTGATGATGGTACCTGATTAAGAAAAGGATACATCGACAGGTACGGGTGATTTATTTTATTCTGGCAGATTCCTGTAGTCTACTTTGGTGCTTCTCACACTTTAATGTGCAGATTCTGATGCAGCAGGTCTAGAGTAGGGCCTGAGATCCTGCATTTCCAACAAGCGCCAGGTTATACCACTGCTGATCTGAGGACCTCCCTCTCTTTGAGTAGCAAGGGGACTCTAAAAGCAATCCTAAGAAAAATCAGTCAGGCAGTGATGGTGCTAATGTTTAGAACATTCACTTTTCTCTAGCCTGAGAAAGAAAAAGAGATACGAACCAGGGTATTTTGGGTTGAATCTTCCCAGATAAATCTGGATCTACTTTGAGTTGGAGCAGAGGAGATGAAAAATCAATTATTTTCAATACAGTATAGCACATGGGAAAGATAAATCTAACTCTGATTTTAAAATTTGTTTTAAATTAAGTGCTTCTGGTAAAAAAAAAGCTAGATATGCTCAGGAATCATGAAATGTAGGGATTAGAGCTTTTAATTTTAGGAAAATATGGGGCTGTTAGCAAACTTGTAAATCAGACCACAGAAAATAGGATAATTATCAAATCCCTGGTTATATGATAACCTTGTAAGCTATAAAATGATTTTAAAAAGTTGGAAAGAAAGAAATCAACAGTTTCAAATATATACAGTCCTATATTGAAAAGTATAATTAAAATGAAAAAGCACACCAGGAAAAATCTGTGGCACAGATGACAAGATACATAATTTCTATATCATGCACAGACCTCATACAGATTGTAAGAAAGGTGCGCACAGGCCTAGCACGTGGTAGGTGCTTCCTAACTGTTGGCTGAATGAATTATCCAATTGATAGATGGGTAAAAGACACTCAAGTTATATCACAATGTAAAGAAATGCATGGAAAACACTCAGCCTCACTGGTATGCAAAGATAAGCATATTTGAACGTCAGCAAGGCACACTTTTACTAAGTTAGCAGAATTACAAAAAGAAAACACAATGTTAATATGGTTAACTTGAAATGGATATGCACTTATTCACTGCTGGTAGCAAAGTAAGTTGGTACAAAGCCTTTTGGAACATTGTTTGGCAATATATGCCTAAAGGCACAAAGATTGGTACCCTTTAATCTAGTAATCATACTTTGGGAAATGTGTTCTGAGAAACAAATTATTCTAAGAAAAGAAAAAAAGCTGTGTAAGCATTCATCACAGTGTTATTTGTGAGGACAAAAAGAAAGAATTTAAATGTCTAATGTGAAAAAAATAGTTCATTTATTCAATAAATAGTTTTGATTGAGTAGATTATGATACATCTATGCAGTGGAATTTCATGAATCTGTTAATTATAATTTTCACACTTACATTAGCAATATGAAAGAATTTGTATAATACAGTCTTACTAAAAAATGCAGGATGCAAAATTGTATATATGCTGTGATTGTAACTTGCAAAGTGATATGTACCTGTGGACAAGAACTAGAAGGCACAAGGAAAAAATGTAAGTATCACTTTATTTGAAGTTGTATTCATGTTGTGATGTTGTTTGTACATTTTGCTATTACTTAGATGTTGAGAATCTTCCACTTTTATGTACTTAACTCCATATCACAAGCCGGATATTCTAATCTATCACAGAGTGCTTAGTAAGTAACCAAGAAACATGAGGACTCCTGTCTAGAGCCTAAACATGGGGTTCCAGTGCTCTAGTTCCTTCTCGCTTGTTGTGTTTCATCATCCAGAGCCCCCATTTCTCTTTCTTCCGTATTTGGTGGTTGGTAGAGGCATCTTGGTATATACCACATGACACCAAGTATAAATATTTGTTTCAGAGCTTTTAATGAATGTCTAGCAGTGCCAGGCAGGGAATGAATTTTCATGTTTAAAGGTCCAGTGTCCACTTAAGGAACATCTTAATGGAGCTACAGCTCAAGAGCAAGCCCATTTCATCTTCTGATTTCCATTAGATAAGCAACAAAAATTGGCTTTAAGGTCATGAGCCTCCTTACAGCAGTCCCTCTCACCTTCAGCTGTATTCCCTATTTCAGATATACTTGTTTCTCTGCTGTAAGTACACTTTTCTTTTCTAATTAGGTCAGTTACTTCATGTCTGTTTTTCTTTTTTGACATGGTTTCTTCTGGCTTTGGCACCACATATTTTCCCCATATGTCATTGCCTCTGGAGCTTCATGTTGCAATAGTTTTTCAAGGGGAACGGAGAGCACATTGCTAAGGGTGGGGGATGGCTTTTGCCTCTTTTGCCTGCCCTTTGCTTCAGTGAGTGTTCGTATTTCTGTTGGGCCTAGTTCTGTTTGGTTTTGTAGTCTTCAGAGTCAGTTATGTTTGGACTGAAAGATACTTAAGTAAAAATAATGGCAAGTCAGAGATATGTCTGGCAAAGGTGCAGCACATTTGTTAAGGTTACTGGTTTATTTATCTCCCTTGTCTCTATGGTGACTAAATCTGGGTCTGGGATTTAATGGACTTAGTTTTGACCTCTTGTAACATCTCCTAACTTTTCCCAGCCTCTGATTTAGAAAGAATTCATTTTCACTTGAGGAGAGAAACTGTCTCACTTAGAAAAGGGGTCCTAACTGGACTCTCGAAAAGTGGAATCTCTAGTCTTTGATTCTTACACAGTCTTCAACCAGAGTACCCATTGTGGTTGTAAAGAAAGCTAAGAAGTCATGTAGAAATACACACACACACACACACACACACACACACACATAATGTCTCAAGGAAATACTTTTCTTTTTAGTGAAATAAAGTATTATTTAGTTAATGTGAATGAACTGTCTGTAAAGAGAACCTTTTGTCAGAATACCAAATCAATGGAACCATTGACTGGACATTATGTTTTTATTTTTTAAAAGTATCTCCTTTACCCATTACAGGATTATAAATTTGCACACATATAAATGTTTGAACCATATTTCAGAGTTCAAGTGTATTAAATTGTGCCATGGAAGTCCACAATAAAGATTGGGTTTGACCAGGATTCTCATGGAAGAAGTCAGATTTGGACAGCTAAGTTCAAATCTAGTGTTCCATCTTCACAATTGATGTGAAATGAGGACATAGATATCTGATCTCTAAGGTAGGTAGAGTCAAACCATCTTGGACTTCAGTTGGTTCAAATGAGCCTTTAAAACTTTTTCTCTTCTCCTGTATGGTGCTTTGAGACTTATAAAAACATTCCAGCTGTAAGAATTTACTAATTTGTTCATCTGTTTACAGGTCTTTTCAGCTTCTCTAAGAATAAGCTCACATGTGAATTTTCTTTGAAACCCCAAAACAAAGGAGTCAGTAAATGATTGATTATCAAGTATTGCACAGAGACTGAGGCAAGGGAAGTGACAAAAGTCCTCTTCTGTCCTTACTCCCCAAGTATAAAATATTAGAGTTCAGATCTGTCATCAAGTTTAGTTCAAGCCCAATAGGAACTTGTGATTACTTAGTAAGGTTTTTGAACATCATAAAAGTTCAGTGCATATGGAAGTTGTTGTAAGATTTTGTCCATCATGAACGCTCCTATTAATAGGCAAAGATTTGAGAAGCCAACAACAGATGCTCACTTGTAAGAGAGAACCATGCCTGGGAGATGAATGTTGGATGCTCCTTAACTTCTGAGTTTGAAACCTTGACTCACTTGTCTTATAACCGTGGACGTAGAATATTTGTTAGATTAAGGTCATAGCTAAGTCATACAAATTTTATTATGATCAGTACAGTAAGCATAGCTGGGGTCAAAGCTTTTATGGAAATCACAATGTTAAGGCCTGAAGTCCTTAATAATGCTTGAGAAAGAATGGCACTTTTATCATCATCATTATCATTGTCATCATCATTATTATCATATCAACCTTATATCACATGTTGAAAGCCCAGTGTGGTGAACTGTGCTAATAATTGTTATAATTTATGTATTTCATTATTGATATTTCAATTTTGTTTGAACAACTGTAGGGATCAATTTAAAATAAAAAGGAGGAAATATATAAAAATGTATTTAGAATAGTAGCCTCATTGTCTTGTCTTATCAGCCAGATAAGCTTTGTGCTTTGTAGAGCATCTCTCACTGAAGGATACCTAATTATTGGATAAACAATTAGTTCTTTAACAGTTCTTAGGCTGGGTGCAGTGGCTCACGCCTGTAGTCCCAGCTACTCAGGAGGCTGAGGCATGAGAATCGCTTGATCCCAGGAGGCAGAGGGTGCAGGGTGCAGAGATCGCACGACTACACTCCAACCTGGGTGATAGAGTGAGACTCTGTCAAAAAAACAAACAGACAAAACAACAACAACAACAACAACAAAACCCAAACCAAAGAACAGTTCTTCACCTAAGTAGAAAAGCAGAAAAACAATGGTTTGAGGTCTTTGTGAGTCTGTGGACATCTCTTAAACCATGTGTGAGAGGACCATTTCTTTTTCTATTCTTTTTTTTTTTTTTTGAGACATAGTCTCACTCTGTTGCCCAGGCTGGTGTGCAATGACGTGATCTTGCCTCACTGCAACCTCTTGCTCCTGGGTTCAAATGGTTCTTGTGCCTCAGCCTCCCGATTAGCTGGGACTATAGGCGTGTGCCACCAGGCCTGGATAATTTTTTGGTATTTTTAGTAGAGACGGGGTTTCACCATGTTGGCTAGGCTGGCCTCGAACTCCTGACTTCAAGTGATCCACCCGCCTTGGACTCCCAAAGTGCTGGGATTACAAGCATGAGCCACTGTGCCCAGCCGATAGGACCATTTCTGTACACATTCATTAGGGCTACAAATTCATAATTTCCATAAGGTACTCTCTGTGTTTCTTTCCCAGGACCGGTAGAGTTTTTCCTATGGGTGGTGGTGAGAGTTTGTGTACATAATTGTCAGCGTGCACAGGCATAGGGATTTATAATCCAGAGGGTCTTTTGCTCCCTACAGTGGTTCAAATGGAAACTAATTGGAGAGGGTGAGTTCCACCCTTTGCATTGGGCTCATGGGACAGGTTTGAACTGGAAAACAGTACAACATGCTCCAGTATTTTTAGCCTATCCCTTATGTTCCCAGCTCTGCCGTTTGAACTGTCAGTTCTCATAGACTTCACATAGGATCTTGACCTGACTTTTGGTCCTCTCGTGGGTGTTTTCCATTTTCCTTACTGGGGCAATCTAAGGCACAAAGAGTAAAGGATTTGGTCAGAGTTACTGTCTTAAATTGTACTCTGCTTTCTCCAGGAAACTGGAAGCTTCTGAGGAGCAAGAAGCCTGATGTTTCCTCTTATGTCCTTTGTATCATTTATTATTTAGTGCCAGAGACTTAGTAGGCATTTGCTAGAGATACAATTAATTGAATGAAAGGCATTATGTAAATTACAAACCATAGCATTACCGTGGTATTACACAGGACTGTCTTAGGATCCCTGTTCCTCTAATATCCATATTCCTGAATTGTTGGAGGATATGCTTGAATAGAACAATCCCTTTTCCTTCACTGTAGCATGACATTATTTCTTCCCGGCCTGTTATCAGCAAGTTTTTCGAACAGAAAAGTTGAAATTATACAGTGAACGCTCCTATTCCTACCACCTAGAGTCAGCAATTAAACATTTTACTATATTTGCTTTATCAAATATCCACCATTTACCCATCTTAATTTTTGGATGCATTTCAGAGTACGCTGAAGGCATCTGTACGCTTTACCCCTAAACACTTCAGCTTTATCATTATGTGGTTTCAATTTTGACTTTCTTAGAGCTGCTTTCAAATTTGTTGAGATCCTGACATTTATTTTGGTGGTGGCTAAGAAGACGTAGTAACTCAAATGTGCAATATGCTCAGTTTTCAGACCCTGGGAGTTTCTCTTTGTTTGTAACTACCAGCAAGTATACGGACACATACATATCGCTGTCCCTTCCCCGCTTCGTTATATGGTCACATTATTTGTATTGTTGAAATTTGGAAAGCCAGCCTAGGAAATGCAGTTGAGGGGCTTGTGGATATGAATGAAATCAAAGAATTGGGGTTGAGAATAGTAGGGCAAAAGGTTAGAGTTAGCTACTATAAAGGGAGGATAGAGTTGGGTATAAGGAGTGGGGAAGAGATTCAGATCAGGAAGTTATCAGCATGATACCACTTTCATATATGAAGTCTAGAGAGGGTTTGGTGGCTGTTCATATGACCTAAAGGTCATGGATTGAATAAACACTAAGAGTGCAAATAGTCCTTCCAGTCTAGTGGTTTTCATATTGTATTCCATGGAACCCTAGAATTTATAGACATGTCTCAGAGGTTTTACCAACATTTGAATTATACTTTCGCAAGTATATTGAACTATTTTTAAAAACACTAATAAGAAAACCCAACAAAAACACTTGACTGTGTTTTATAGAAAATTTTATCATCCTGGAGAACACATACTGATTGACTTTATTTTATTTTATTTTATTTATTATTTTTTTGAGACAGAGTCTCACTCTCTCGCCCAGGCTGGAGTGCAAAGGCGTGATCTCGGCTCACTGCAACCTCTGTCTCCCAGGTTGAAGCGATTCTCCTGCCTCAGCTTCCTGAGTAGCTGGAATTACAGGCGCTTACCACTACGCCTGGCTAATTTTTGTATTTTTAGTAGAGACGGGGTTTTGCCATGTTGGCCAGGCTGGTCGTGAACTCCTGACTTGAGGTGACCCCACCCGCCTTGGTCCCCCAAAGTGCTGGGATTACAGGCGTGAGCCACCGCGCCCGGCCCTGATTGACTTTAACATAAGTAAAGGTTATTAATGTCAACCTAAAATAAAGTTTTGACTAACACTTATCTGTCATCCATCAAAGTCGGGGTAGTATTTCTATGTGGGAATAAAGACAAAAGGTCCACAGCAGGACCATTACACTAAAGCCATGGGTGTTAAGGCATTGGCCTGCAAAAGCTGAAGTTACGTTTTGGTTTCCAGTTACCATGAGCACTTATCCATCTGTTATATTTAGATTTTTTTTTCTAGTACCTTTAGGAATCTGCAAACAGACGAGTATCTGCTTTAAACTTGAAACGACCATAAAAGGAGAGAGATGGTTAGGATGCCGGAGGCTGGCTACACTGTCATCCTTCAGATGGGCCTGTGTGAATGGATTAGGGAACCTTCAAAAAGGTCTCTCTTCTGGCCCAAACTGCTCAACCTGGTCTGAAAATGTATGTGTGCAATATTGCACTTCATGATGAGATGTGATGTTCAGGGCTTCTTTAATAATGCCTAGAAAAACCTTAAAATGGGCTTGGCAGATTTCTTTCATTTGGAGGCTGTGGTACTCAACTTTGGTGTTTTTCATTCCAGACTGTACCACATTCTGTGCCCATAGTTTGAAAAACATTTTGGAAGCCAATACCTGCTTGTGTGTAGCTGCAGTCAGTTTTTAAAGGTTTTGCTGATGTATATTTTATTTTCCCCTAACCTTTATTAAGATCTTCAAAGTTGAAATGACTTTGCAGTGGCCATCTTTATCCCCATCATCAACAGGCTGCCATTAATAGCATTTTATTCTACCTGTTTTATTACTATCTATCCATCCCTCCATCCATCAGTCTATCTTATTTTTGGATGCATTTCAAAGTGAATGTAGCAGATTTCACCAGTTAACTTCATAATATTTTATACACTTGAAGTCTAGCTTTTTGAACAGTACACAAATGTGACTAAATTGCTATAGAATGCTGTTAAAGAAGGTATAAAATAAATGCCCCAGTTTTGGAAAAAATTTAGGAGCCTTATTTTAAAAGTAACAGGTATTCTGGAATCCTGGCATGGAGTTGGAAAAAAATATACTAATTTTTAAATTGGAACTTTTTTGTAACTCTGACATTGCTGACCCCTAAAAAAGAGGGGATACACTTGTAAATTTTATTTTCATCCCAGGCAGGAGTTAAGTAACTTCCCGTTCTTATAGAGAGGCAAGATCATCTTGAAAAGTGTTATAGACATAGAATGTTGGTTACGCCCACAGAATCAATTGCATTTGGAAGGCAGAGGAACAGTTAACTGAGGACTAAGTTGATCTATGCAGGGTCTGAGTCCAAACCCTGGTGTCAAGGTGTTAAGTGCAAATTATTATTATTATTTTTTAAAGAAAACACTCTTGTTACAATTTGGACAGAGAGAATGGTATGGAGATGAAAGGTTCTCGTGTATGGCTTTTGCTCCTATTTATGTGGAAAGCACGCCCTACATTCTTTCAAAGCTGTGTTGTTCCCTTTATTCTCAGTCCCCAGAATTGTGTGCAAACACACTCTCTTGGCCCAGGGGTTTGGCTGGGTGTGTTTCCTTCTGGAAGTCTTCACTAGCACTCTTGAGTTAGCTGGCAGGAGATCCCTTAAAACCATTTCCAAGCAGTTTTTCTCACTTCCCTATAGGGGCTAATCCTGTACTTTCCACTTCAGTTCCAGCTGCTGTTGCTTGGGAAGAAACAAATTTCTGCTGTGTTCTCAATCTCCAGACGGTCCATGAAAATTTAATGTATAAGAACAAAGAGGCTGGGCGCAGTGGCTAACGCCTGTAATACCTGCACTTTGGGAGGCTGAGGTGGGTGGATCACCTGAGGTCAGAAGTTCGAGAGCAGCCTAGCCAACATGGCGAAACCCTGTCTCTACTAAAAATACAAAAATTAGCTGAACGTGATGGTGGGCGCCTGTAATCCCAGCTACTTGGGAGGCTGAGGCAGGAGAATCGCTTGAACTCGGGAGGCAGAGGTTGCAGTGAGCCAAGATTGCGCCACTGCACTCCAGCCTGGGCGACAGAGCGAGACTGTCTCAAAAAAAAAAAAAACAAAAAACAAACAAACAAAAAAAAAACAGAAAATATATTTTGGGCAGAGATTAGTTGGGGGATGTGGGTGGGAAACCTGGTGATTAGATATATTTAAACGTGTCATGTCAGTATAGAGCGTGAATTAAAAATAAATTATATTTGGAGAGTTGTAAGAAATTTACCAGTCCCTTCAGACAGACACATGACCCTTTAAAACTCATTAAAACTCCTTGGCACAATGGAATAACATGCACTTTGGTCTTGGAAGAAACCATTAGGTTGCAATGTTTTTGATTTCTCTACCACTGACTTGCTCTTTGATCTTGGAAAGTGACTGACTTGTCCTGTGATTGTTTCATAATCACCCATAATAAAACTGACTTACTGTATATAGTGAATAGTTAAGTTTAAAACTATATCTAGTTTCCGTTATAGCTCAAGTTTATGTATTATTTTATTAGCGTTTAGATGTTAACATTAAGCTTTCAAATCAGATGAAATTTAATTTGAAAAAAGTTTTCGTGTATGAATACTTTATATTCTGCAGTTCATACATGCAGTACCACCCTTAATTAAATGATATTTCCACAAATCAGTTTGGAAGATTTTCTTCCTGCAAAATGTATGTTTAAAATACATAAAAATTGATGGGACCATGTACTTATGGCTAGTCGGAAAGTGGAAAGTTTTTTAGATTTATGCTTAGGACAGGTGATAGTACTTGAGCTTCTATTCTTAGTTTGACCTTGCCTCCCCCACCCCCTTAAAGCAAGACACTTAATCTCTTTAATGTCTCAGTTTATTCATCTTTAACACCTGTATTCTTATTTCATGAAAACAATACCTGGTTTATATTTGGTAGCATTTAAGGACTTGATATAGAAGGTGGTATGGAAGTTCAAATTATATAGAAAGTATTTGTATGCTGAATGATAATCTTGACAAATTACTGATTACTACATTTAGAAAGTTACAACTCTGGAGGGAATTGATATTTGATATTGTTTTCCTGTGTGTTCTAAGTTACCACCATAACAGTAGGAAAATAAACCCTATCCTGGCTGTGTTACAAAGGGATTAACTCACTTCTTCAAGTTGTTACTAAATCTCCAGCCCTTTAAACAACAGAAATAAAAAGTGTTCCTTATTTTAATTTTTCCGAAATGAAAGTCCTATAACTAACCTTGGCTTAATTTTTTCTTTTGTTGAGGGCTTTCCAAGTTATTTTCTTTGTGAGGAATGGAGGCTAAACCATGTCAGTTGCTTGAAGCAACTAAAAATACCCCGTACAAATATGCAGAGGAGTATGCTTTTGATTTTTAGATCAAAACGAAGAAGCAAGATTTTATGGAGCTTGCTTATTATACATTTATTATACTGAGCTACTTGTGCCTTTTCAAATAATTAAATATTAACTAAATACAAGAGGATTAAATAGCTAGACTTTAAATAAAACTAAAATAGCCATATTAGTATTTTCTAAATTCTGTATCATTGAAAGTTTAGGCTGATATGAAAGAGAGGGAATTCCTATCATGGGGATTGCCAGTCTTTTCACAAAGACCTGCCACTAGATTTTGTAGTATATGATAAATGTGTGTGTGTTTATTGTGAAAATTGTGTGAGTCATATGAAAAATTAAGTCTACTTGAAAAATCAAAAGACATTACCTACTTGGGTACAAAGCCTGATTTATATATATATTTCTTTAATGACCATATTATGTTATGTTAAAGTTTGTATAGTACTTGGACATATATTATTTAATTTCATTCCTAAAACAATTCAATAGGGAAAGCAAGACAGATATTAATATTCCCATTTCATAGATGAGGAAGAAAAAATAACTTGGCTTGTAAGCAATTCAGCAGAGTCAGAGATTGCATTTGAGATTTTTGATTCTAAGTCTAGTGTGCTTTCCTTGGGTTACAACACAATAAAGTCAAAAACATTTACTGTTATTTTCATTAATTGAAAGCTTAAAATCAATTTAAAATTCTAACAGTATAAAATTTAACAGTATAAAAATATTGTTAATTTAATTTTATGACGTTAATTTTTAAATTGATTTTTGAATTTGCTAAAAGTGTTTTAAAATCAGTATCCTGTTTCACAATTCCTGAATTAATCTCTTCTCTGTACATTTCCTGTTCCAGTATGATAATTTATATAGGCTTTAGCATTTACTTATGGTATTAAATGAGTAGACAGTTGGAAGGGAATTAAAATTAATTAGGTCTTGCAGTTCTTATAATACTCCTGGTTTGCCACACTGAATTGCCATGACGTGGCTGGGGATCCCTGTTTTAACATCTAACAAAGATAGCTGCCAGTGTACTTAATTTTAAAACGGTCTCATCTATTAAGCTGCTTTATAAACATCAGCCCCTTTTCTGAAGTCCGAAGTTAGTTTTTTAAAATATTCACTGATAATGGAGTGGGGGTGCTGGTGACGTTTCTCTTTCTTGTTTATCTGTAAAGACAGGGAGGTGCAATCTAAGTTAGGAAATTGGTGACAAATAGTCATAGAACATGGGTCACCTGGCTTCAATTAGTTATGTGACCTTTAAGAAAACAAGTGCCCGTTTCAGAAAAGACTGACCTTTGAGGCTAGAGACATCAAGCTACTCCTCTACTTTTAGGAAAAAACAATGACAGGGTTAATTTAAAACTCTGATGCAGACAGAGTTGAAAAATCCATGACAGATTTATATAACGAACGTGGATGGTGTTTTGTTTTCCCAGAATGCAGTTTTAAGGTCAGACCTATGACTCAGAGCTGTGCACTTCCCTGGTGGTATGCATCAGTGACATGTTGCCAGTCTAATCGTCCAGAAGGGCTTGTGCCCAGCTCGGCTTGCTCCATTATAATCCCCAGCTGAGAAGCCACCTTTCATTTTTTTTAAATAGATAAGGAAGACAGCATGAACATTTGAAACTCAAATACTATATGTAGTTTATAACTTTTCAGCCTGAAGACTTGATGCACACTAAGTTGCCTCTTTAATTTTGAGAAGTATAATCTCCATTGCCACTAATCCATCATGGTGTGGCACTGCATGAGGATATGTTGTGTGCATTGTCAGTATCGGCGTTTTGCTGAGTTTACTGTTTTTTAGTTCATTGGCAAGGCATCGTGGGTTTTGGTGCAAAGAGCATGGATTTGGAATCAAAAGCCACTTCCTCTCTGGGTGGCTGATTAGCTGAGGGTAACCTTCATATAGCTGGCATGGGATTTCCAGATGGCATCCTCTCTGCATGAACAAAAACAATGTGCCATTTCAGTAAACTTTGGTGGGTGCTCCCTCATCCACTCCAGATCTTTTCATCTCTTTCCTTTTATTCCCTCCCTTTCCTTGTAAATCAAAACTCCCATTCCTTTAGTGCTGCTGATCTCTTTTGGGGGTTAGAAGAAAGCAGTCTGATTAAACTAACTTACTACTGTTTTTAGTTGGTTCATCCTATCTTTAAAAAATGTATATATTTCAAGGCTGGGTGCAGTGGCTCACATCTGTACTACCCAGCACTTTGGGAGACCGAGGTGGGTGGGTCAGGAGTTCGAGAGCAGCCTGGCCAACATGGTGAAACTCTTTTCTCTACTAAAAGTACAAAAATTAGCTGGGCATGGTGGCACGCACCTTTAGTTCCAGCTACTCAGGAGGCTGAGGCAGGAGAATCGCTTGAGCCCGGGAGGCAGAGGTTGCAGTGAGCCGAGATCGCACCATTGCACTCCAGCCTGGGCGACAGAGCGAGACTCCATCTCAAAAAAAAAAAAATATATATATATATATAGATAGATAGATAGATAGATAGATAGATAGATAGATAGATTTCTTACAGCATTGTGATAACAAATATTTGTCAATAAGAGACTAACTGTGGTATAGCTTTACAATTGGATACTATGTACATGTTCAAAAAGTAGAAGCTCTTTACGTACTGACAAGGAAAATTCTCTGAATATAAATAAATAGAACTAGCAATAGAATTAATAGAAAAAGCAAGGTGCAGAGGAGTATGTATAGTATACCACTATTTATGTTTTTTTTTTTAAAAGAGGAAAAAGAAAAAATATATAGCTGCCTATCTTTTATAAGCCCAGTATCTCCAGAAGCATAAAGAAGACACTGGTATCATTGGTTATCAGTGGAGAGGGGGAAGTAGATGTCTGGGGATAGATAGGGGGAAGAATACTTTTCACTATGTATTCTTTCATACTTCTTCAAAAATACATCTTTGGAAATAAACCCATGCAAAAAAAAGAATGTTCACAGCAGTATTATAGTGGCTAAAAAGTGGAAATAACCCAAATGTCCATTACCTGATGAATGGTTGAACAATATGTGGTGTATCTGTACAATGGACTATTATTCAGCCATAAAGAGAACTGAAGTACTGATGCATGCTATAGCATGAATGAACCTCGAAAACATTATACTAAGGGAAAGAAATCTGCCACAAAAAGCTGCATATTGTGTGATTCCATTTTTATGAAAGCATTATGCTAAGTGAAAGAAATCAGCCACAGAAGGCCATATATTGTATGATTCCATTGCCAGAAGTGGCACATCCATAAAGACAGAAAGTAGGTTAGTGGTTCCCACGGGGTGGGGGTGGGGTATGCAGAGTGATGGCTAAGAGGTCCAGGATTTCTTTGGGGGTGATGAAAATGCAGAATCAGATGGTGGTAATGATTGATATACATTATGAATATACTAAAAGCTGCTGAATTGTACACTTTATAAAGGTGAATTTTATGATATATAAATTATTTTAAATTTTACTTAGAGATGGGGATCTCACTATGTTGCCCAGGCTAGTCTTGAACTCCTGGCTTCAAGCAATCCTTCTGCCTTGGCCTCCCAAAGCACAGGCATGTAAATTATATCTCAATAAATAAAATAACATAGCAAAACAACTTGAAGTCATGAACATGGAAACTTAAAGAATCACTGTGAACATATAAAACAAAAGTTTTCACCTAAGAAATGTTTTTATTCTAAAATATTTTACATATTATCTCTATAATGACAAAGGACTTCATGTTCTTTAGCTACCTTCACTCACACTCACCTGGAATTATTTCATTTTATAAGTGAAGATTGTTAACCCAAATGAAGCCCTGATTGATAAAATTTTGGGTAAAATAACTAAAGAAAGAATGTGTGATTATCTGGAATTGAGATGTTGTAGCTGCAGGCCTTGCCCAGGCTGTGCCAGTAGGAGAGGAGGTACGGAGCCTCAGAGAATCTTTTGGACCAGTGTGCCCTTTCTCTCCTCACAGCTCATCCCAGAGCTGTCCCTGCCTCCTTAGGCTGATATGCCCCTGTTCCCTTCCTTGTGTTCTCCTGCAGTGAGCTGAGGCACAGGGTTTAGGGAGCCTATTATGATAGGAGGAGATTAACTTTGGGGTTCTGGGATGAGATCTGTGGACCTGAAAATATAGCCTCTCTGATCCTAGTCACTAACTGCTCATGCATGGAGAGTGACAGCTAAGAGGTCCGGGGTTTCTTTTGGGTGGGGATGTGAGGTGCTGGGTCATTATGGACATACGGCAATGGTCTGTCTACACAATGGTCAGATAATAGTCTTCTTACAGTCATCCCAACTCTAGATGCTTTAGCCGGAGTTCATCTTGGGGTGGGTATGGGGGATTGACCACAACGTGTTTTTGGTCAAGAGTCGGGTAGATGGTGCATATTTTGGTTCTGCCACCCCTGGGACCTTGGGCATTGCTGTACTCACCCAAGCTATGTCTCGGCACAAACAGCCTCATCTCCTGAGCTGTAGAGTCATTTCTGTAAGTGGCTTGATGAGATAGGGTCTTTTAGATCCATGTCCTTGGCATTTATTCAGAATTAACTCACATAATATGATGCTAATCTGCATTCTGGCTGGAGCTGCATATAGGTAGCCTCTTTTCATTGTTGGCCTTTATAGCCAACTTAAGCTCAGAGATGTGAATCAAGGGTGGCCTGCCTGATGAATTAGTGCTTATAAGGTAAACCCTTATTTGTTGTGTTGGAAAGTTTATTGACTCTAGCCAGAAAAGGTCTAATTAGCCACTGGGCCCTTTCCTGGCAGGGAGGATGTAGGGAAGACCCTCTGCAGCTCAAGACTGGACAGGTGACCTAGACCTATTGGGTATTTATTTCATTAGAGGATCAATAGAGCAGAGATTTGTTCTCCCCAGGTCTCCATCATCTGTTCATAAACCCTCCTGACCCATGTTGAGTCCACAGCTGTCTCCACTGGGCTGTCAAGCTGCTGAGGCCAATTCCTCTGAGTCCCTAGGACTTTGAGTTTTGCTCTCTGCTGCCCCAGTCATTCTCAGGCCCATGGTCCTTGCAGCTGGGCTCTTGGCCAACATCCTGAGCCCTTATCTCTTTTCCACATATTCCCTGTGAATTAGTAAACTTGATAAATTCTATTTGTAGGAATCTGCTGCTTGGGTCGGCCACATTTTTAGCGTGTAGTTGAATTAATAATATATAGTGCTTACTGTGTGCCAGCCACTGCTCTAAATGTTGCAAATATTTACTGCTGTATTTCTCACAATGACCCTTTTACATAGGTACTATTATCATCCCCATTTTACAGATGGGCAAATTTAGTCACAGAGAAGTTAAGTGAAACTTGCCAATGTCATACAACCAGTAAGTGATAGAGGCAGGATTCGAATTTAGATATTCTGGCTTCAGTCTGTGCTCTTAGCCACTGCACTATATTCTCTTGAATCATTATAAAATAGATATACTAATCTCAGGGCAAATTTCCTACTATTTGTCTTGGAACTAACCATGTTAATTGTTCAACCAATCTCATATAAAGTTAAGCCTTAAATTTCTTTCATGGAAGCCTTCAAAAATAGTTATGGTCCAGTCTAAACCGTTTTACCTGAATTTCATTGAATGCAATAGGACAATCACTCCTTGTTTCACTCTCTGTACCTTAGATAATCTGGTCTTATTTATACCAGTTAGGTACCTACTTCCCATGTTTGTTCTTGTTGATTATCATTGGAAATGAGCAAGAAGGGTGGGGATGTGAGGTGAATGGGGTGTGATCTTTCCACGTACATGTCCTTTGATGGCTTCTGCTCCTCTAGCTGCAGACTCTCCTTGCGTTCTCCTTTCTGGACTTCGTGTTCCTGTCATTCTGTTTCATGTACTTGCTGCCTGGCATGGTGAACTTGTTGTTTGACTTCAAGGGCTTTGAAATCACTCACTCTTGTTCCTTAAGTGTCAGCTGTTTAGGTAGAGCCTCTGCTTCCGCATCCAACCTAGTCCATATCTCTCTCAGCTCTGCGTCAACTACTGCTTCCAAGTTAGCCAAAGTTTATCCATAAACTTTGTTTTTCTTTTTAAGTTTAATAGGGTTTAATTGAGCAAAGAACGATTCGCGAATCAGGCGGCCTCTCGAACCAGAGTAGGCTAAGAGACTCCAGCATTAACCATTAACTGTGGCTGAGATAACTTGACTGGACTCTTGCTGCTGCATGAGAGAATCTGCAAAATGTGTCATCTACACACACAACTGTCCCTTAGTCTCAGGGTCTGTGACCCAGCTTAACCTCTGTTGATGAATATAAAGTCAAGGGATAACAAACCCCCTTTACCATACATAGCATTCCTAAGGTTTACATTGTCATGAGTAAAGATCCCTTGCTAATACGGTACAAGGAATAGTGCCTTCGGAGTCCAGACACTCAGCTTCTAGACCTGGAGCAGCTGTTAACTCAGGGAAGCAGGTGATCTCTCCATCTCTGGGCCTCAGCTTTTCCATCTATAAAATGAGGTGATTGGATTAGGTGGTATCTAAGACCATTTCCAACTCTATCATGCCATTTTTATGAAGCTGGAGACACCCTCAGACCTGGCCCACTTTATCTTCAGGTCCGCCAATCCTCTCCAACTTGTGGAGGAGCCTATACTCTGTCCTTACCATGCACAGGTTGACGAACAGGGAAGACAAGCTGCCATTGAGGGTGGTAATCTAATGGCAGACCACACACCAACAGGATCACTCTGGTTCTGCAGCTGAGTTTTCACAAAACAGTGCCTGTCCTGGCACAACAGAAGAGCTCCTTCCACAGAAAGTTATTCCTATTTGCTCTCTCAGATACGAATCACTGTGGGCCACCGCGCTCCTCTGTCCACCTGTGGTTACTCCTGCATTGAATCTGAATCAAGACACTGCTCAGGCAGTCAAATGTTGGCCTTCGGGGAAACTTGGCAGATGGGAGCCAAGTGAGCTTTCACTTTATGTACTTTCAGTCCTCTGGAAATCTGGATTTCCCCTGCTATCAAAATAGACAATGCTATTGCCTAACAAAATATAGACTTCCTGAGTGACATCCAGGTCACGGCTTGATCTCTTTCCTCCTGCTGTGTTCATGCTTCCACTTCCGTGCACCATGTTAGGTTCAGATGATCTACTGACCAAACCCCAGAGAACCACTCATGAGTCTTTTCAACCTTTACCTTGAATTCTAGGGCTATCTTCTATTTGGGGTTTGAAAACACCAGTGCATAATAAAGTAATGTATTAATTATAGTTTTTTGGTAAATAAAGATAGATCGTATGTTACTAGCCTTGATGTTTCACACAATGAAGCAGAGCTCATGAATTATTATAACATCCCTGATCAAGGCAGTTGATCTCAGTTATCAGCATTAAGAATAAAGGTATGGATGGAAGCTTATTTGATTTGTTCTTCTTTCCTATTATGGATATTAACCAGCTGGGTAAATTATAGAATAGGGTCATGGAATGTTTAGCCCTCAAGCATTTATCAGAGGCTTAAAATGTTCATAAAAGGTGGGCTTGGTGAATGCCAGGACTTAGCATGGTTGAAAGGGTGTTTTGAGTCATGGTACATGGCAATATGGAAATAAAACAGATATGTCACAAGTAGGTGGTAGAAATAAACTGGAAGAGAATTTTAACATCTAAAATGTGACAAAGATTTATCCTTACCAGCTTCTCAGTTTCCTGAAACATTTATTTTCCTTTGATTTTAGATTCTGTATTTATGTTATATATCTCTTTCTAAAACATTTTCTTGTTTCTGTTTTCTTTACTTCTTTTACTTTTTTGCCACTTCTGTTTTTTGAAAAATATCATCCTAGGCATGCTCTGAAAGTCATTTGTTCGGTGTTTTCCTGATAGTGATTTCTGGTTATAGGCCCATAAAGTATCTGTAGGATGTGGTTAGGATAGTTCCTACCTCTTGGTAAAAGTCTAGTAGTAACACAGGAAGGGCACAGACTTTGGGGACAAGAGACATTTAAAACTGTTACTGATCATGACATTACCAAAAATCAAAAGACAGGGGCCATGGCTCATGCTTCGTAATCTCTCTGTGAATATTATAAGGAAAATTCTAAGCCCTGGTCAACTGTGAAATGAACAGGTCTTCAGTGGAGTTAATTAGCATTTTCCAGGTGCTTTGCTGTTTACAGTGTCCTTTATTTCATGTATCTTCTCATTTGTTACAGGTCTTCTTTCATACCTTTTCCTTTTCTCTGAGATTCAGAGACCCTTTGGGGAGGCTGAATTTCAGGTTTGTTTTCATTAGGACCTTACATGACCAAATCCCCCCTCTTGGGGTTCCAGGGGTGCTCCTTCATTTTACTCTCTGATGGGTATGCCATGAATTGTGACATTTAAGCAGTGACTTTGCAAAATTGGACGTGTCAGTAGGAAAAAGTACTCTTCCCACCTTAAAGATTGACAGGAACATGAGATGGCTGAAGCTGTTCTGAGCTTTTTTCTGGCAAGAGTACATAGGACAAGAAATACTCTGGAGAGCTCAACATTGAATCACATCATATCATAGTGCATGACTAGTTGCCTTAATCTTGCAGTTGGACTCACTCAGGAGAAATTGTTGGCAGAGGGATTAAGTAGCCTGACAAAATTATATTGAGAAAAAAACTTGCAGTCTATTAATTTATTAGTAGTAGATATGAGGGAAAGAAGAGTCATGTAAAAAAAAAAAAAAACAACTGGACATGAAACCACGGAGAAATCCACAAAGACTCCATTACAGTTTGTTATCAGCCTCTTGCCCCTGGCCATGACTAATGGCCAGTAATTGTCTGAATAAGTTTTTAACCATTTGGAAATTTCTTCAGGAAAAGAAAAATCTAGTAAAGGGAGAAGGGTGACCACAAGTCAAGCTGTGAATGAGGAAGTCCTGAAATGTGGGCTAAGTGGGTCACTGAATTTGCCGTGTTTGATTCTTCGGTTGCACCACTTTGAACTTTTGAAGTTTGATCCTCCCAGTGGTGTTTCTGAGGTAGAGAGGCTAGGATTAGATTGCAGTGTGAGAAATCCCACAAACGTGATTCTACTGTAATCTTACTGTTCTCTCTCGCTCCTTGATAACTGGGATCCCATTAAAGGGGGTTCATTATTGACATCTCAGAAGAAACTCATTGTGAAGTCTAAAATAAAGTGCCATTCTTCCCTACACCAGCTCTGCCTCCCATATTCCCCATTATTTTCCCAGTCACCCAGAGTCACAACCTCAGAGAGATCCTTGGCTCCTTCCCCTTCTTTCAGTTCTTGTAGCCCTGTCACAGTGTCCCTTATATCTAGTTTTTCCTTTCCATGCCCATTGCCCCTGCCTCTCATTCTTTCAGTCTTTCCTTGCATCTCAGTGGACAATTGCATTACCCTGTGCTGTCTTCCCTGCCTCCTCTCTTCTCTGAGATCTGCTCTTCTTATCACTGCTTGCATGACTCCATCTCATTCTCCCCTTGCACCAGTTGCAGAAAGATCCTCCGTGTGTGGCTTTCCCTCCTCTCTAGCTTTCGGTCCTACTACTTCCTTATCTTGTGCTTCTGTCACACCCCAACCCCCCCCAGCTGCATCCTGCTTCTTGAACACGTCCTGTGTTTTTCTCATACCTTAGGTGACATGGTACCATTTTCTTGGAACACTCCCTCCCCCTTGTCTGCATGCCAAAGTCTTAATCATTCTTCAGGGACCAGGTCAAATGCCGTGACATCCATCAAGTCTTTTCTCATCTCCAAACCAGATGTGATCTCTCCCTGTGATAAATGTCAGTAACACTTTATACCTTTCTTGTAATACTTGTAAGGCTCTGCCTTGCATAGTAGTCATTTGCATATTTATCTTGTTACACTTGAAAGTAAGGACTGTATTTTATTCTTTGTGACCAGTAAAATACCTTGCACCACATAGTAGGGCATCTGTCCAATAAATGCTTGTCATATACAATAAAGCAATGGCTGGGGCGGCATTATCTACAGGTTAACCCAATAATAGGTCATAATGTATCTGCAGATAGTAGGACCATAAGGATGTGTAGATAAACCCTGAAGTAAATGATTCGCAGAGGGTCACATGGAAGGGAAACAGGGAGTTTGATACCTAGCACTCACTGAAAAAAGCGTCCGGATACTGCTAGAGTGTGAGACTAGAAGGCCTGAAATGTAACCATCATACACCAAAGAGAGTTGCTCCCAAACACCAGCCAACTCCACCAATAGTATATAAAGGTGCGTTGTAAACAGTACAGTGATTCTTAAAGATATTATTAAACATCATACTGTTAATATATAACAAGATTGACTAATATGCCAATGAAACCCGTGACTCCAGGTACCTGTGAAATAGCCAGCAAGGGTTCTGAGCCACTGATCCAAGACAGGACAAAGTTACCAACTATTCTTCCTAAGAAATTGTTTCTCATCATGCAAGGGGCTGTTTCTGTCTTGGTTTTGTGGAAGGTCTAATTCTGTGGCTTGAGGACATCTGCAGTAGGGCCAGATGTCAGAGCAGGTAGTGGTCATGCTTCATGAAGTTTTTAGGAGGGCACAGTTACCTGGTTGATGCAAATGGAAGTAACTGGAATAAATGCTATTGTTGCAGGCCCAAGCTCCCAGTCCATCCTGGCTGGTCATAGTTGACTAATTCATGGTGGTCAAAAAGTGATTCTCTTGTCTTTGAATTTTCTCTTGTATTTTAGGCAAAACAGATTTGTTTTTTGATACTTTCATAAAGCTGTCTATCCATATTCTGTTGTCACTTTTCAAAATGATCAGAAACCTAAAGAACTACCATACTTGCCTAAAAGAAGACACTTCCTGATGCATAGCTTGAAACAGGAATTGACTTCCTAAAGGAAAGTATTTGGCACACCAAGCCTATTGTTCACAGCGCTGCAAGAGAGGCATTTCAACATACATGGGCTCTTCCTAAAAATATAACTTGCTAAAATAAAAAATTCAGGGTTCATTAAGGTTAATCATCTAATAAAGTAAGAGAATTTCCTCTAGGTGAAAAGTTTCAGTTTATTTTAGGGGTGTGGTGTTGTTACAACTGGCTAATCTCCGCACCATAATTTAATCAGGCTGGATGAGAAAGAGACTAGAAAGGCGTGGAGCCAGAGCACAGTGTAGCTTCTCTTCTTTTCCCAGGCTTATTTTTTTCCTCTAACATGTAATAAATTTACTCGTAACAACCTGGCTTTTATTGTGTCATTTTCTAGCTAACTGGGAGTTACTGATGTCAGTTGTCTTTTAGAATAACTTTTCCTTAAACATTTGAAGATCGTAAGAATTGGGGAACTCATTCATTCATTTATTCATGGAGCATTTACTGCTCACCTACTGTGTGCTATAGGAACATGAAGACAAGCAAAGCACTGCCCTGGCCCTCAACCTGGTAGGGGAGATGTGTGAATAGGGCCAAAACCACTTAAACAAGACAGTGGCTATAAAGGTGTCTGTACCAGCGAGAAGGTCAGCTGCCTTCCTTGAAGTTGAGTGGCCAAAACCACTTTCAGGATTGCAGGTGGGACTATGTTTTGGAGGCTTGATGGATTTTTCAGTTATTTAGTTCATTCTTTCAAGGAATAGTTATTGAGAGCCTCCTGGGAGCTGGGCAGTGTTCTAGGCTCTGGGGCCACTGCAGTGAGCTCCAGTACTAAATCCCTGCCTTCATGGAGCAAAGCAGGAGATCAGACAGCAAGGAGAGAAATCAGTGCAATACCAGCAGACTTGAAGTAGGGAAAGGAACAACCATGACTCTGGGCACAGGGGACAGTGAGGAGGCCAGTGAGGTGGGAGTGAGGGAAAGGGGGCTAAGGGTAAGGCCAGAGAAGGAATGTGGAAGAAGGTCCTGGAGGGACTTGGGGGCTTTCTTTTCCTAGAACATGCTCCTAATAGCCAGCCCCCAGACATCTGATGGCCTGTTGAGCTATTACAACATTTTAGGTTGATGTCTTCATTTTCATTCATGTTTTTCCTTTTATTGTCCCTGATGCTGAAAAACAAGAGGTTGAGTTTGTGAGACAAAATGTCTTCATTGTGTGTGTGATGGGGATAGGCATAGTCTCCCCATCTTGTTCTGTGCTGTCTGCCGTTAAGGAGGTGGGGAGATTACGATCACTCTCCTTTCCTGTACAGTAATCTGCTGATCTCTGGAACATACTAAGGAGGACATAGAGTGACAACATCTATAATCCCCTTAATCTCTATATTCATACTGTCTAATCTCCTTGAGTTACACTGGTAACATAAGTCTATCTCTTAGAGTTACTTTTATCATTAACAGCACAAAAATGTATTATTTACAGGGCCAAATGCAAGCTCTTGAGGCATATAAAGTGGATTAATAAGGTTGGCTCAGCGTTAAGCTATGCCAGAGCCGAGTCCAAATTTTATTCCGGTACAGGGATGACTTTCTATGTGGCCTCTCTGGCTCTGGAGCTAATTTGGATGCTGAGTAGCCCCGCAGGTATTTATATGTAGCGTTTGGTATTTTTACTGGGTCCTATTCTTCTCCCTTGGATCACCTAAAATGGTTAAGAATTTTCTAGTGGGATTAAGGTTGTGATCTCTGGGGAGGGGTGGGACATCTGCTCTCGGTTATTTTTGTGTTAGCCGCTTCCCCTTAAATGTATGTTCACAAATGAGCCACAGCCTTATCAGCTGGGGTTGAGGGAAGACTGGTCTAGGTGCTGCTCCTGAACTTGGTCTCTGAGCCATGGCTTCCCATAGACACTCAGGTAAAACTTCATGCTCTTTATCTTATATTGAGCACAGTTTTGTTAGGGCAGTGAATCCGTCATTGGGCTAAAAGATGGTTTTTGATGAAATGATTTTAGTCTTGTCTGAATAGTAAATAAATTATAGCTTGTCTCTGTTTTGCCTTTGCCTTTCATGCTATTTCAAAGACAAAATATTGTTCAAGTACAATGAACAGTTTGAGTGATTTATTTTAAAAAGAAGTATATAAACATGTTACCACTATATTTTTACCTTTTTCAGGACATCTCATGAAACTATAAGAGATTGTGGGAGGAAAGGTTTTTCTGGTTAGGAATTTTTGGCTTTCTTTTTTATAAGATACAATTCTTCATCTTGACAGTGCTTTACATCCAAGGTGTTTGGAGAAGGTAAATCGAATGTGGAGCTGAAAGGAGGAACATTTGTAACTAAGAAAGTCCATAATGACCTAGCACATCTTCCCTTTTGCTGACAATGTTTTAAATCTTCCCGAAGTAACAGCTATGTTCCTTTTGATATGCTAAGTATGTTATTAATTGTTTTTAGCAGAAAAAGGGGCACATTTTGGACTCCTTGGGACATGAGCATTTTCTTCTGGTTTTGTAACCTTACAATTAAGGAAGCCCTTTGGCCATCGACAAGAAATCTATGAACTAGGGGCTGAGGGGCCAAAAGCCCAGTTATTTGAAGCCAGGAGGGTGGCTGTGGCCCTGTGGCCCTCTGCCTAAGTAACGGTTCCCTTTCTTGGGGCTGGTAAAGTCAGACGGTTAGATATAAAGAAGGCACTTCATCCTGTCTCCCAGCTTTCAGATTAAGGGATGTCATTATCTATGTTTTTTTTTTTTTTTGAAAAATCATTTTTTAAAACTCATTGCCTGTCAATATTTAAACAATGGAAATACTTTAGGAAATTTCTCTTTTTGGGGTTTTAAATATGCTGCAATGGAATGCCCTACCTTAATGAATTAATATGTAATGTCTTCCCTGTTCCCAAGTGTTCAAAAGTTGTCTGGTTTTTTTTTTTTTCCAACCCTCAGGAGCTGTTTCACAAACATGGTACCAAATGCTTGAGATTGTGGTTATCAGCCAAGATACACATTCTCTGGGTGTAGGCAAACTAGTCAGCTGTGCTAGTTGTCCTGATGAACCTTAAATGCATGTTACCTGGTAGAATAACTCTCATTTTGTTTACTAATTAAGTGACAGAATAGTGACAGAAAGTTTAAAAGTTTAAATAGTGACAGAAAGTTTATAGCATACCCAACCTTGGGTTTTAAATTGCACCAAATTCTTATGTCGTTCTTGTGTATGTAAGTCTGGAGGCTCTAATAACTGTGGCTAAATGGGACCAATTATTTATACCTTTTAGATGATTTTTGAATTCAGGAAATTGCATTTTGTATTGCATTAGGTTAATAGATTCATGAAAGCAGAGAAGAATCAGTCCATGAGACAGAGAAGTCCTCATAGAAAATCAGTGTTGCCCTGAAACGGGCTCAGTATGGGCAAAATAGAAGCTAGGATAATTGGATCCAAATCCATTTTTAGTGACTATCCATATACTGAGAGGACATTTCAAGGACAAAAACAATGTATACTCTTGACATTGAAGACTTTCTGTCTGCAAAATTATGTAGATTCAATTTCTTTAGCCTTTGGCCTTTCAAGTCGAAAACCAGGTTTGGGGTGTGGAGGGGGATCAGGTCACTTGCCATATTACACAGCCATCGATTCCCTTCACCAGCTGCTGCTCAGTGGGCCGCACAAGCCCGCCAGTCTTTTCTCAGGGCAGGGATGGAAAATGAGAGGGTAGGATGAGAGGAAAGTAATCCAACTGGATTGGCTTCTTAAAATACAGAAGATTTGAGTGAGAGTGAAACTGAACATTTTGTGCTTTTGATGACCACCAAATGACTACCTACTACTTCACCACAGCTGGAGAAACTAAAAACACATGCTCTTTTGCTGCCGGGTCAGAAATGCTTTTTTTCCCATATGAAAGAGGGGCTGTGTTGCACGTAATCTGTGCAACATTATGAAAAATCTTCATATACAGACAAAATGGTACTAGAATTGAATCTGGACTGCAGGAAGTTCAGTGGCACATAATTTTTCTTTTAATAATCTATATCGAACCCTCCTGACACCCGATATAATCTAAAATGGCATTAGTTATACATCAGTGACCCAAAAAAGATTTGTTTTTTTTCTAAATGCAGCATACCAGTGAAGTTGCTAATTACATTGAATCATTCTGTACACGTTCTATTTTGAAGGGAAAAAACACTTTCTGATTTTTGTATGAAATTGTATGAAAGACTACTTTTCAGCCGTGACTCATGAGCTCCGTCTCATTGCAGCTACTTAGGTATTTATTCCCAAATGTCTGACGACACCTCCAGGTGCATTAGCATGTCTATTACACAAGTGTCCTATTCATTGGCTAAGGCTTTGCTCCATCTGTTGAATGTTCTGAGGAAAGCATTATACCCTTTCTTTAGAAGCCAGTGTTTATATGTGGAGTCACTAATGTACTGGTAGGTTGGATTTAGTGAAGAACAGATCTGAAATAACCTGATTTTTTTCCATTTGGGTTGTTGTTCATTGTTTACACTGTACATTACACCCTTCATGGAAAACACATAGAAAAATGCTACCTACTCATGATATTCACATTCTCCTTAAATATTCATAGTTTGAGCAACTCAGGCATGAGGGAGAAGATGAACAATAGGAAGAAATACATGAGAAAATACATGTAAAAACACAAGCAAGATTTATTAAATACAAATCGACTGTAATGAGAGGTTTATAGTAAAAAAGAAAAAAGAAAAAAACAAATGTTGTAATGTTATATTACTTGTATGTGTACATGATTAAATTGAAAGCCAAAACTTTTAATTAAGATACTGAGGTTTATTTAGGCACCTCTCAGCATGTTGGATGTAGTTCAAGAATTTTCTGAAAAAGGAAGCTTGTTTATTAAGTGAAAATGATGTGTCTTTTGAAGCAGGCATAGAAAGTCAGGCTACCCTTTTGGAATAAATGTCTAAAATTTTATCACCCAGCCACATTTCTAACTGTATTCTAAGCTTGTAAAACTTTAATTTAGTTAATTTTTAATTAAATTATTTAATAATGATGCTTTCTGTCTTAGAAAATCAGGGGACATTTATGTGGACCTAAGGTGTAGGTTAGACTTCAGCACCTTACACGTCATATAAGATGATTTTTAAAATCAGGAAATAGTATGTCATATTGCATTAGGTTCATAAGTCCATGAAAGCAGAGGAGAATAGGCCCAAGAAAGAAGTCCTTACAGAAAGGAAATCAGTGTGGTCCTGAAATAGGGTTGGTATGGACAAAATAGAGGCTCAGATAATTGGATCAGAAGCCACTTTCAGTGACTATCCACATACCAAAGTTTTAGAAACTTAGTTGTGGTAACATATCTCCATCTGTCAATCAACAGGCATATACTGAGTGATTCCTGTATACAAAGCCCTGGATTAGGTACTGGGGCCCCCTAGTGTATGAGCAGAACTTTCTGTCATAGAGAAACCCCACTTGTTAGCACTAGGGAATGTATCCAAGTCACTCGGCACCAAAGTATGTTAGCAGCGGGGAATCTGTGGGTCTGTAGCAACCTCATTTCTTGCCTCCTCAAGGAAGAACAAGGCAGAGGGAGAAGCCAAGGCAACTTTTAGAGCAGGAGTGAAAGTTTATTAAAAACTTTTAGAGCAGGAGGCCGGGCACGGTGGCTCATGCCTGTAATGCCAGCACTTTGGGAGGCTGAGGCGGGTGGATTACTTGAGGTCAGGAGTTGGAGACCAGCCTGGTCAACATGCTGAAACTCTGTCTCTACTAAAAATACAAAAATTAGCCAGGCTTGGTGGTGCACGCATGTAATCCCAGCTACTTGGGAGGCTGAGGCAGGAGAATTGCTTGAACCTGGGAGGCGGAAGTTACAGTGAACAGAGATTGCACCATTGCACTGCAGCCTGGGTGACAAAGTGAGACTCCGTCTCAAAAAATAAAATAAAGTTTCAGAGCAGGAATGAAAGTAAAGTACATTTAGAAGATGACCAAGCAGGCTACTTGAGAGATTCAAAAAGTGCATGGTTTGACCTTTGACCTGGGCTTTTATATGTTGGCATGATTCGGGTGTTATATTACTTCTCTCCTGATTCTTCCCTTGGGGTGGGCTGTCCGCATGCCCAGTGGCCTGCCAGCACTTGGGAAGTGCCGCATGCGTGGTGTTTACTGAAGTTGTGTGCATGCTTACTTTAAGCGATTTTTCCCTTAGCAGTAGAGCATTCCCAGAGGTAGGTCTTATACCAGTTAAACACCGCAATTTTGCCTCTTAGTGCACATGCTTGAGCCCAATTACCCACCTCCTGAGATCTCATGGGGACGTGGCTGAGCATCAGTTTCAGGTGTTTCTGTCTATTAGGGACCGTGTTTCCTTGGTGCCAGCTGCAACCAATTATTATTTTAGCGAGAGATAGTTTAACAACCATCTGACCTTCACCTGATGGCCGCCTGACATTCCTGGTTGGGTGGGGGGCCCTCTCTTGCCCTGCTCATGTCTAATACCTACTCTGGCATCCCTACTATGTACAGATGAGGGCTACACCGAGACATTAAAATTAGTCAAAGAGCTGCCCGAGGGCAAACATGCCCTCCACAAAGACAAGTGGTAAGGGAAGAAGCATGGTGATGATGTGTAGCAATTGTTTCCTTCAATGATGGCTGACACTCCCATTCCCGGATAACAGCAATAGGTCAAGGCAGACATATCTAGAAGTTCTGGAAGATTAAAGGCCTTCACATTTCATGTACTTAGAAATAGCTAAGGGGATAAAAAATTATTCCCTAAGAAATAAATGCCTAAGTACATGTAATTCTGTAAGGTTGAAGAGAGCCCAAAAGAAGAGGTAAAATGCTGGCTGGGCATGGTGGCTCATGCCTGCAATCCCATCAAGTTGGGAGGCCGAGGTGGGCAGATCACTTGAGGTCAGGAGTTCAAGACCAGCCTGCCCGACATGGCGAAACCCCGTCTCTACTAAAAATACAAAAATTAGCCAGGCGTGGTGGCATTCACCTATAGTCCTAGCTACTCAGGAGGCTAAGGTAGGAGAATTGCTTGAACCCAGGAGGTGGAGGTTGCAGTGAGCCAGGATAGCACCACTGCACTTCAGCCTGGGTGACAGAGCGAGACCCTGTCTCAACAACAACAAAGAGGTAAAATGCTATCTTCATTTTTCCCTATTCTCTCATTTCAAACAAAAGAAAGTGCAAGCTGGGATGGACGCGGTGGCTCATGCCTGTAACCCCTGTAATCTCAGGTGCGGTGGCTCACGCCTGTAAAATGCACTTTGGGAGGCCAAGGCAGGTGGATCATGAGGTCAGGAGATCGAGACCATCCTGGCCAACATGGTGAAACCCTGTCTCTACTAAAAATACAAAAATTAGCTGGGTGTGGTGTCACATGCCTGTAGTTCCAGCTACTCGGGAGGCTGAGGCAGGAGAATCACTTGAACCCAGGAGGCAGAGGTTACAGTGATCCAAGATTGCGCCACTGCACTCCAGCCTGGTGACAGAGCGAGACTCCGTCTAAAATAAAAAAGAAAGAAAGAAAGAGCAAGCTTTTCTCTCCTCATGAAGTCAAAGCTTGATAGTAGCTCAGACTCAGGGAGCCCACACTCAGGATCTTTGCATGTGTGTCTCAGCATTGTCATTTATAAGCTGGCTTTTTAGAGTTGTTTTGGTCTTGTGCACATCAGCACATCATTCATATTTTATACAAAATTGTGACGTGATCAGTATCTCCTCCAACTTCATCCTGAGCACACTGCGTGCATGAGGGTTTGAAATTGTTTTGTAACAAATAATCATAAATTTAGAAGTACGTGACGTAAGCTAATTCAGGTTGCCCAGAGTTCCACTTAATTTGATTTATTGCAAAACAAATACGAAAGTTCATGAATTTGACATAGACATTGTTAACATACTTTAAGTATTTCTAGCCTGTTTACTTATTATGCAACAAATCCAACATTCCTAGAAGTGCCTATTTTATCTAGACTAATTGTTTCCACACACATTAAAAGGACTCAAGTGAATTGTAGAAATGTATTCTAAAAGAATATGCCCTTTGAAATGATTCTCCATCTGGATACAGACTGCAGGTTTAAGTATAGAGTGGTGGGGAATCTAAGGTGTAAGGTGACCCTAGAGTTTTCAAACTCAGAGTGAAAAAATCTTGCCTAAAGCTAGGATTCAAAAATACCAAGAGATGAAACTCTTCTTATGGGTACTATTAACTTGGGGTTGATTCATTTAATTTTCCTTTTGCTTGGTTTAAGACCATGTACTATAGGAATGATACAGTGGCCAGTGACTTCATTGTCTGACATTTTCAACACCCTTTGTTACTTCTATCTTCACTGGTGAGCTGTGGATTATTTTATCATCTGGATGCTTAGAACTCTGAGCAAGTCATGTTCTAGAACTATGAGACTAAACAATGAAGAACTTTGCACTGGTAATATCAAAGTACTGAAAGTGTGTGGTTTTAAAGTGTGAAAAACATGGCAGTTAAGATCTCTCAGGTACTTTGAACCATAATGCAGTTTTCCTTCTCTTCAAAACCTCTACTTCTAAATGGCATTCATTGTGTTTTCTAGTGTTTTTTCTTTGGTATGACACTAGTTAACCTGTATTTCTTACCATAAAGCTAGGACTCAAATACTAAGAGGTTTGACTCACCTTAGGTGGAACTTTATATAGTACTTTAACTTAGAAATATTTGGAATCAATTTCTGCTTATAAAGGTATCAAAAGCAAGTGATACTAAAACGAGTAGGTTCAAAGTTGTATACTAAATAGAGACCTTGGTAAGAGAGAATGAGGGATTTTCAAATATGGTCCAGAAGATAGTCTCTGAAAGGCTAAACCAGCAATGGTTACTAGCCATGCAGGAAGCCAGTGCTGTCTAATCTTACAAATTCTGTTTTCCTGCCAAATGGCATTTAGGAGCAACTGATAATTTATTTCTTGCCACTTGCCGTTACTGGAGATTTATTTGGTTTCTCAACTCAGCCCTTAACAAGAAAGCAAGTCTTTGTTGAGGGCACAATATTATCAGTATGGCAAAGCTAAGACGAGGCTTCTGTGTGACACTGGAAAGACCAACAAGAATGGATTAAAGAGAGTGATTTTCCATATGCTGTCACTGGGACAGGTACTTTTCTCTGTAGACACACAGGCTAAAAGCAGTTTAAAAGCTTCCTTACCTAAACAGTACATAGTTCAAGGAGATAGGCCCTGTGTCCATTGCGTCTCTAGTTTTTGTTTCTAACCCATTATATAAAGAAACATCCCAGTTTGCTTTTTAGAGAAAAGTTCAAGTTAGAACCATTCTCTGGTCTTGCTAAGTCTCTTAATTGTGACACAACTGTCCTAAGCAACTGTCCTTGCACAAGAATGTCACTCATCTGCTTCATCTGCCAGCTCCTTAGAGATGAGGGGGGTCTGTGTGTCAGCAGGAGGCAGAAGGCCCTGTGGCTCATCCAGTGGCCTGATTTCCTTTGTTTGGAGGCTTGGTTCTGAGTGAGAGTTCAACAGCCTTTGCCCAGGCGGCTTCTCAAACACAGGGTGTGGTTTCCTTAGCTCACTCTCTGCTGTTTGGTTGCTCATGGCAACAAGATCCAAATAACTTGGACATGTGTTTGTATAAAAAAAACCTGGGAATGGAACCCAAAGTGAGACTTTGGGGCTTTCAGTTAGTGGAAGAGCTGCGGTGAGTACCAGGCAACTGCTCATTTATTTTCTCTCATTCTTTCTCTCTAAATTACGCTGGAAGTTTGCTAGCACAATAACCATGTTTGTGGATAGTTTTAGAAAGTAGTCTCAATTCTTGTATTTCCTGCACAAATGAAATAATTGCTATCTATTTACCCGTGCAAATTTCTTTTTCGGGGGAGAGGAACAAATTAGCATATGTTTAAAGAAGTTGAAAGCTAATAGAAACTCATATTTGGTACCTTTTGGGTGGCAGGATTCTATAGGAAATGCCTTGGCAAAGGGAGCTGCAGAGTGCCTTAGTAATGCTTGGGATTGCAGGCGTGTTGTCTAGGGCCACAGCCGGGGAGGGGACCAGGGAGGGAAGAGGGGTTGTTCATACGGAGGGAGTGGAAGGGATTCTTGGAATAATTTTTTCCAGACTCTATTTTAAGATTATAATTTTTAAGACAGCAAATATCCCAAATGGTAATACTGGTTACACTTCTATGAGCATATTGATTCTCACTTGCTTGACTCAAGGGAGGGTTTGATTTTGGTCACAAAGCCACCCGTGACTATGACAGATAATTCAAGGTTGCCAAACTTGCCTGTGCCAATTGACAAAGCCATTTATATAAGTCCTCTCTTGCTATATTGCTCTGGCCTCAAAAGGCAGTAAACTCTCTTGGACAAAACTCTTTAGGATCTATTCAGGGATTTAACACTTTTCTGCTAAATTGCAAGTAAATTTAAACATTTTAAACAAATTAACAAGGATTGCTTAGGTACCTGGTGTGGTACAGAATGAGCTGTCAGTTTCTATTCTGATGAATAGAATTTTATAGATAGGAGGAACGGGAGGCCTCCAGAGGATACTACCCTCCCTAAAAAGAGACGGAGGAAGAGCTGAAAGCGGGCAGAGAGGCTTCTTGATGACAACGTGGTGGGCTTAGAGAAGCTGCTGCCTGCAGGCGGGGCCCCTGCTTTCCTGCACCCCTTTGAGCCTCTGCCCCACACTCTTCCTTTGTATAAAACAACTGCTTCTTGCCTGCCTGCCCCATCACACCCCTCCACTCCATCGGGTCACTGCTCAATGGCACAATAGCACTGCTCAGCCATACCTCCCAGCATCCTGTCCCCTATCTGGTGACTTGGCCAACACAGGCTCTGATCCACTTGCCCCGCTCCGCATCTTTTGTGAATCAGCACAGTTGATATATCTGAGCAGGGGCTTCTACCATCTCCCCAGGGAATCACTAGCCATCGGCCATCTGGCCCCGCGGGGTGCTTTTGTTCCTGGAATCATAGTGAAGTATCTGTTGTCTTGGTGCCTGGTAGTCAGCTCGGCTGAAGGGGAAGCTGGGTCTTGGTCCTCAGACCCCATGGACTCCAAGGCAGCATTGTGCAGGTGCCTCTGGGAGCCACTGCTCAGGGTGCTGGGGCATTTCCTGTGGTCATTTGTCCTGTCTGCTTGCCCCCGCAGGTCCCTCCAGCTACAAGGTGGGCACCATGGCGGAGAAGTTTGACTGCCACTACTGCAGGGATCCCTTGCAGGGGAAGAAGTATGTGCAAAAGGATGGCCACCACTGCTGCCTGAAATGCTTTGACAAGTTCTGTGCCAACACCTGTGTGGAATGCCGCAAGCCCATCGGTGCGGACTCCAAGGTAACGGGCATCCCCATGTGCCAATGGGAAGGGCTGGGTTTTGGAGTGTCCTTTGCCCACAACCATGGCAGCAGCAGCTGGCTGTTAGGATTTCCCAGCATCACTGCAGCCACCTTGAGGCCTCAAGGAAGCCTCCTCCACTCCCCAGGCCACAGTGGCCCGAGCTGTTTAATGTGGGGCTTGACTGGATGGGCGCCAGCGCCCTTGCCAGCTCTTTTGATTGCATTCTAAATATTTCAAGAATTGTGAGATTTTTATCCTCACCTCAGCGTCCCTCCTATAAGAATAGTCACTGTGGGGCAGTCCCAGGTGTAAGGGACTGTGTCATCTCAGTGGTCAGTCCCAGGGAAATCAGCCTTATGGGAGGGCTCCTGCCACCACCCCCAGCACCCCTCATGGTGGCCCACCCTGTCTGCTTGGTTTCCAGGAGGTGCACTATAAGAACCGCTTCTGGCATGACACCTGCTTCCGCTGTGCCAAGTGCCTTCACCCCTTGGCCAATGAGACCTTTGTGGCCAAGGACAACAAGATCCTGTGCAACAAGTGCACCACTCGGGAGGACTCCCCCAAGTGCAAGGGGTGCTTCAAGGCCATTGTGGCAGGTACTGCCTCCTTCCCACCCCGGGTTCCCAGGGAGGAGGCCCTGAGGGCAGACGTGATGTGGGCTTGCTTATCATGGTGGGGCTAACGTTGCTCTGAGCTGCTTTGAGATCTTAGCATATATATGTACACATATACATACACGTATATATGCGTACACATATATGCTCGCACACACGCACACACTCGGAGACTAAAGAACACTGGCGAGAACAGCCTGTGGCAACAGAATGAAGTGAACAGTATGTAGCGCTTTCTCATTTGGGCGTAGTAAGTGATGAAAGCATGCTTCTTCCTCAGGGTGTCATTCTGGGCCAGGCAGTCCCTGATTTAATGTCTAAGTGCACGCAGGGTATAGAGGTGGGGGAGTGGGGGATTCAGGCACTGGATCCTAAAATAATAATGCTGGGGTCCCCACCCATGACAGAAATCCTGGGTTGGCACAAGCACAAGTAGAACACAGGTAGGTTAGTTGGAGGTGTGAGGCCAGTAACTGCAGGGCCTGCATCCCCTCACCTCTGGAGGGCCTGGGGAGGGGAGCTGAGTGGATGCAGCCCCCTGCAGAGCCTGTCAGTGGGGCTATCCAATTGCTTCCCTCTGCAGGAGATCAAAACGTGGAGTACAAGGGGACCGTCTGGCACAAAGACTGCTTCACCTGTAGTAACTGCAAGCAAGTCATCGGGACTGGAAGCTTCTTCCCTAAAGGGGAGGACTTCTACTGCGTGACTTGCCATGAGACCAAGTTTGCCAAGCATTGCGTGAAGTGCAACAAGGTATGCTTTCAAGGGAGTTCTGCATTGACCGTTGTTTCTAGAAGTGTTTGACAGTTTGCAGAGCACTTCCACACACACTATCCCATTCCATCCTCACGACAGCCCTGTGACGTAGGAATTATTATTCCCGTTTTACAGATGAGGAGATCGTGGATTAGGAAGCAGTGCCACAGCCAAGTCAGGCTGTCAGTACGCATCCTCAGCCTGGTGGTGCGGGTGGCCCGTATGGCATGCTGAGCTGGGCAGCCCTGGCTCTAGAAGCCTGCCTCCACCACTTAGGGGCTGTGTAACCTCACATAGGGGCTCACCTTCTCCGAGCCTTGGTGTCTTCATCTGTAAAGTGGGGATAATAATAGCCCCTGCCTCCCATGGCTGTTGTGGAGATTAAATGAGATATTGTATACCAAAGCGCCCAGCACAGTGCCTGGCACGCAGTAGGCATTCAACAAAATGGTTGTTGAATCTGAATCCGGTGCTACACTCCCTGGTCTAGGCCATCACATCTGGAGGAATCACTTACCAGGATCAGCCCTGGCATGCCGATTGCTTTGTGTGTGTTACCTGCTCTAAGAAGCTGGCTGGGCAGCGTTTCACCGCTGTGGAGGACCAGTATTACTGCGTGGATTGCTACAAGAACTTTGTGGCCAAGAAGTGTGCTGGATGCAAGAACCCCATCACTGGTAGGCTAAAGAGTCCTTGCTAAGTCTGCCAGGCTAGGTTTTGCGCATGGTAACCATCTCTCATTTTCCTGTCGTCGGTTTCATCCACAAAGGCCCCCAGAGAATGCCCTTCTCCCCCTGCTATTGTGGTCCCAAAGGCCCCCCAAGAGTTTGGATTCGTCCCCAGGCCAGGTTAGCCTTTGCAATACAGAACACTTCCTGACTGTTGACTAACAATGCTGAGAGTTCACAAGCCTGAGACCTGCCAGCCAACACCGGCAGGCACTGCCACTTTGCAGGGGGATTCTGGGGGGAGGGGTGGGAGGAGGGTAGAAAGAAGGGGGTGGGGGAGGGTGGGGAAGGGGTAAGGGAGGCCGAAGAGTGATAACCCGGGATTGTAATACCCCATAGCTGAAGGCTAGTTCAGAGATGCCTGTTGGCAGGGTTTCTTTTTTTTTTGGTTTGCTGTTTATTTGTTTTTGCGATCAGCAAAGCTAATCACTTCATTCCTCATCTCGCGGCCGCGATCCACGTGCCCTGGGCCCTTTCCCTTGCCTCCAATTTTCCCATCTTCCCGGGGAGCCTTGAAATGTACATTTGAGAAGACTTTTGCCATCCTCAGGGAAAAGGACTGTGTCAAGAGTGAGCCACCCAGTCTCTAAAGCTAGGAAGCCCCCAGTGTGCCACGGGAAACGCTTGCCTCTCACCCTGTTTCCCAGCGCCAACCTCCGGGGCAGGCATCCGGGTGGAGAGAGGACTTGTCCCTCGTGGGTGGTGGTTCTTTATAGAAAAAATCGAAGCTTAGCAGCTCCTCGAGGCCCGGTAAGTGCACACCCCACGAACAGCCCAAGTTTGCCTCCTGGTGGCCACTTTGATGTCATGGCCCTGACCTAAATCAAAGAAACTGGTTATGCTGGGAGGTCGGTGCGCGTCACAGGGCAATAGCGTGGTGGCATGGGAACGTGGGGTCTTTACATCAGGGAAGCCCTTGGCCGGGCTTCAGCATCTTCTCAGGTCCTTGAGAGCCACAGCAGGGTTGCGGCGGCATGGGGGACAATGGCGGCGTGGGGGACTGTGCACGATGGAGTGGAGGAGGGGGTCTGGGAGCCAGGCAGACCTGGCTCTTGCGTGCTTGTCGGTCTGTGAGTGGGGCAGGTCGTCATTTTATCTCTCTGAATCGTGGTTTCCTCACCTGTATTCATTCAGCTGTTTCTCTTGTTTTCTTTTCTTTTCTTTTTTTTTCCCCCCAGGGTTTGGTAAAGGCTCCAGTGTGGTGGCCTATGAAGGACAATCCTGGCACGACTACTGCTTCCACTGCAAAAAATGCTCCGTGAATCTGGCCAACAAGCGCTTTGTTTTCCACCAGGAGCAAGTGTATTGTCCCGACTGTGCCAAAAAGCTGTAAACTGACAGGGGCTCCTGTCCTGTAAAATGGCATTTGAATCTCGTTCTTTGTGTCCTTACTTTCTGCCCTATACCATCAATAGGGGAAGAGTGGTCCTTCCCTTCTTTAAAGTTCTCCTTCCGTCTTTTCTCCCATTTTACAGTATTACTCAAATAAGGGCACACAGTGATCATATTAGCATTTAGCAAAAAGCAACCCTGCAGCAAAGTGAATTTCTGTCCGGCTGCAATTTAAAAATGAAAACTTAGGTAGATTGACTCTTCTGCATGTTTCTCATAGAGCAGAAAAGTGCTAATCATTTAGCCACTTAGTGATGTAAGCAAGAAGCATAGGAGATAAAACCCCCACTGAGATGCCTCTCATGCCTCAGCTGGGACCCACCGTGTAGACACACGACATGCAAGAGTTGCAGCGGCTGCTCCAACTCACTGCTCACCCTCTTCTGTGAGCAGGAAAAGAACCCTACTGACATGCATGGTTTAACTTCCTCATCAGAACTCTGCCCTTCCTTCTGTTCTTTTGTGCTTTCAAATAACTAACACGAACTTCCAGAAAATTAACATTTGAACTTAGCTGTAATTCTAAACTGACCTTTCCCCGTACTAACGTTTGGTTTCCCCGTGTGGCATGTTTTCTGAGCGTTCCTACTTTAAAGCATGGAACATGCAGGTGATTTGGGAAGTGTAGAAAGACCTGAGAAAACGAGCCTGTTTCAGAGGAACATCGTCACAACGAATACTTCTGGAAGCTTAACAAAACTAACCCTGCTGTCCTTTTTATTGTTTTTAATTAATATTTTTGTTTTAATTGATAGCAAAATAGTTTATGGGTTTGGAAACTTGCATGAAAATATTTTAGCCCCCTCAGATGTTCCTGCAGTGCTGAAATTCATCCTACGGAAGTAACCGCAAAACTCTAGAGGGGGAGTTGAGCAGGCGCCAGGGCTGTCATCAACATGGATATGACATTTCACAACAGTGACTAGTTGAATCCCTTGTAACGTAGTAGTTGTCTGCTCTTTGTCCATGTGTTAATGAGGACTGCAAAGTCCCTTCTGTTGTGATTCCTAGGACTTTTCCTCAAGAGGAAATCTGGATTTCCACCTACCGCTTACCTGAAATGCAGGATCACCTACTTACTGTATTCTACATTATTATATGACATAGTATAATGAGACAATATCAAAAGTAAACATGTAATGACAATACATACTAACATTCTTGTAGGAGTGGTTAGAGAAGCTGATGCCTCATTTCTACATTCTGTCATTAGCTATTATCATCTAACGTTTCAGTGTATCCTTACAGAAATAAAGCAGCATATGAATAACCTGCCTCCTGTCTTTTCATTCTGCCTGGTGGAATCGCTATAAGGTGATACTCCTAATCCAGAAACCTAAATGACTTATTTTCCTTCCAGGATATACTCACTTTAGTGCAGGCGCACAGAACATAGGAATTATAAACAAACCTGTAAAAACCACACTTGATTGATAAATAAATAATTAAAAACAAACAGAAACCACTCTGACCTAAAATAGTATTTCCCAGATTTTCACATCCCTGAAAAAGAAAGAAAACGATGAATTGGTTTGATTTGGCCAGGGGATTAGGGAGGGAATCCCTGATGAAGCATGGCACTGAGAAGCCATCTTGGTCCCTGTTTGTTGGGTGCTTCCTCGGTGTGCCTTTCCCCTTGTGCCCTCTGGAGCCTGGGGTCCAGGTTGAACGTGACCATCTCAACTGCGGCTGCCTCCACCTGCCAGCTGAATGACACCCTCGCTCCTTCTTGTGGATGTGGCTCACTAAGGAAGCTGCCCATTTGGGCCCATGCACTTCAGTTAGGGGGAACATGCAGGGATGCCGTGGGCAGAGGCAGGGGGTTGGCCTGGCATTGAGGCTCCCCAGTTGCCGCTGCTTCTAGACTAGCACCACACACCAGTGTCTTTTGTTCACCTCTGAGGCTCGTGTTCTTGGGTCATCCAACCTGCCCACACCCATGTGGCCCTTACGGCACAGCACAAGAGGCCCCATGCGACAGGTGTCTGCTGCACTCTCCTGGTGGAAGAGGCTTCAGACCATAAGGGCCCCTCGTCAAAGTACAAGCAGAACTGGGTGGGAGGAGGGGGTGTTAGTCTTAACTGGGCCACATGCTGAGGGTGATAAAAGCAAAGGACAGAAGCCCTTTGGTGCTAACGTTTGCCTTCTGAGAAGGGAACTGAACCTGTCAGCAAGAAACCATGAGCACTTTTAGGAATGTGGCACATCCCCTTGTGTGTGTTTCCTTACAGAAATTAGCCATGAAAACCTTGAAACCAATGAAGTCTGTCCAGTCATGTGGGGCCCCAGGGACAGTGAGGCTGGCTCAGGGGATGGGGAGTGGCTGCCCTCACTGCTCCCAAGGGAGTGGGCTGAGTTCCTGAGGCTGCAGCAAGGAAAGGAGCCCCACGGGGAGAGGGGACAGAAGACAGGCCTGGGATGGAGAGGGGGCCCCATCTGCCTTCACTAAGGGCTTTGGCCCCGGCTTATGCTCTCAATCCATTTCGGCTGAGCCCTGGGCCTTCAGCATCCAGACGCATGCTCTCCTTCCTACCCACGTGCTCTTTCCCATTCCGGAACTCCTCCTCACTGCGACAGTTCCTTTCCCTCCAGTCCTCGGTCCACCCTCCTTCTCAGCCCCTTCCCACCCTAATGCCCCTCCGCATCTGCCCTACATTCTATGGTTTGCACTTCACTCGTTTCCCTCCTCACTCCTGTTATCCCTTTGCCCTTCTAGCCTGCTTGGCCTGCAAAACCTGAGTGGATGGCTTGAGCTCTGTTGAGGAAAAGCACCCTGGCCTAAAATTCCCCGTCCCACTACTCTGCCACTTGGCCCAAAGTCCCAAGACCGCCTCCACCACCTTCCTCACCCGGGAGACTGAGGTCTATCCGGAGTCAGCTTCTAACTATTGCTTGCTTCGTGATGCCTGCCTGCCGTTCACACTTCAGCATCTTGTGAAGCACCTACACGCATCACAGCTGACACGCACCATCACTCCCGTTTCCCAGATGAGAAAACAGGTTAAGAAGCTTGCCTAAGGTCACACAGCTAATAAGTGACAAGCCACACCCTAGACACACCTCTAGCATATCACTCATGACACTAAATTGTCGTAAAAAATAGACACATCACAATAAAACCATCGTGCACAGTGCTCAGTACTTAGAAGGCATTTGTTTGTTGAATATGCGATTTTAAGAGTGACACCCCTAAGGCTCAGGAGAAATGAGGGTAAATTTCCCCTTAACAATTTGTCAGCAGAGAAACATTTTCTCCCTCATAATTAATGGGATCAGAATATCAAGAACCTCTCTGCTTGTGGTTAACAGGGTGGGCTCTGGCACCAGGCTACCAGGGTTCAAATCCTGGCTGCTCTGCCACTTTGTAGTCATGAGACTGTGGGCAAGTTAACCTCTCTGAGCTTGATCCTTCACCTGTGAGACGTAAAATTTCTACTTTGCAGAATCCCATGTGGGAGACATAATGCAGGTGCTTAGTGAGGGGACTGGCACCCAGTAAACACACTAAATGCCAACAAACATTTCATTCCCAGCACCAAAGACACTGCTCTGGTGTCTGTGACATACCCTGCAAGCCTCAAGACACTATGTCCACTCCCAAAGCAGTGTGGGGTGTTAGTTTGAGGGACAAACTTGGGTTTGAATATCAGCTCTGTCTCTTTCCAGCTGTGTGACCTGGAACAAATGCTGCTCTCCACAAATTTCAGTGTCCTCATAGGCATAAATGAATACCCACACCTCATAGAGTTGTTGTGAGCATTGAAAATGCCTGGCTGGGCACGGTGGCTCATGCCTGTAATCCCAGCACTTTGGGAGGCTGAGGCAGGCAGATCACCTGAGGTCAGGAGTTCGAGACCAGCCTGGCCAACATGGTGAAACCCTGTCTCTACTAAAAATACACAAATTAGCCAAGTGTTGTGGTGTGTGCCTGTAGTCCCAGCTACTCAGGAGGCTGAGGCAGATGAACCCCTTAAACCTGGGAGGCAGAGGTTGCAGTGAGTCAAGATCACGCCACTGCATTCCAGCCTGGGCAACAGAGCGAGACTCCATCTCAAAAAAACAAAAAGAAAATGCCTATCAAGTACCTTGCATATTGCACATGTAAACCTAACTGCAATGATTACAATACAGTTGGGGAAATTAGAATCAGATGGGTGCCTAGGACCCATCTGGAAACACTGTAACTGGACTGGTAAGGAGACCAAAGGCAAGGAGGCTGTTTCGGGGCCTGTTTTGACCAACCAGGCCGGCCAGGCACTGGAGGGGTGGGGTCACTGAAAATGACAGGGAATTGCCCCCTGACATGATAAAATGTCATGCACAGTCCGCCTCCACGCTCTGGCTCCTTGGCCATCGCTGCTGTTTTATGCCTCCTGATCCCTCTTGCTCTGGCTCCAAGGAGTTAGAGGTGTTTGAGAACAGTGGAGTCTCAAAACTGAAAAGGCTGCAGAGATTGTAGCACAGCCCCCTCATTTGACAGACAAGGAACAGGGATCAGAGAAGAGCAACAACGTGCACAATGTCACACGTGAGCTAGCAGCCCTCTCAGCTGGGTTCAGGTCTTCAGGGGCCTGTCTGGCATTCTTTATGGTATTTCACACTGCATTCTTGTGGTTTTTAGGGATTGGAGCTGTTAAAAAACTTCATTCCACATGCAGTGTCCACAATGACACAGGCGTAGAAAATGCGCTGATCTGCAGAATCTGCTGGTAGAGGCCAGGGGTCTGTCCCTCCGGGTAGAGGATACCAGGAAGGGAAATGCGAGGCAGCAATGCGTGAGGGGAAAGCTAGGTCAGTGTCCATCACCTTGGCCTTGTAAACAGGAACATCCTGGTAGACAGTTTCAATGGATGGATCAACAGGACCTGGCGCCAGACTTGGCAGTGAAGAGTTTCCAGCTCAGATGAGACACAAGGAGGAATGGGATTTCTGGAATTTGACAGGAATGGGATGTGTCTAGTTCGTGCTGATTTAAAAGTATATAGAATGCTCTAGCATGTTCAGTGGGGAATGGCTACCACCATTCTCATAAGCACCAGACCCCAAAGACTTGGGATAAACAAGGACCTTGCCTTATCAAAAACAAAACCTAGTAAAGCAGAGGTCCCCAACCCTTGGGCCACGGACTGGTGCTGGTCTGTGACCTGTTAGGAACTGGGTCACAGAGCAGGAGGTGAGTGGCAGGAGAGCAAATCTTCATCTGTATTTACTGTGGCTCCCCATCACTTGCATTGTTGCCTGAGCTCGGCCTCCTGTCAGAGCAGTGGTGGCATTAGATTCTCATAGAAGTGAGAACCCTATTGTGAACCACGCATGTGAGGGATCTAGGTTGTGTGCTTCTCATGAGAGTCTAATGTCTGACGGTCTGTCACTGTCTCCCATCACCCCCAGATGGGACCGTCTAGTTGCAGGAAAACAAGCTCAGGGCTCCCACTGATTCTACATTATGGTGAGTTGTATAATTACTTCATTATATATTACAATGTAATAATAGAAATGAAGTGCACAATAAATGTAATGCACTTGAGTCATCCTAAAACCACCACACCATCCCCACCAAAGGTTCATGGAAAATTTGTCTTCCACAAAACCAGTTCCTGGTGCCAAAAAGGTTGGGGACTGCTGGAGTAAAGCATGACTTAAGATTGGAAACTAAACACTCACAGGCAGATCAGAACATTTGTTTTGCCACTCACAGTAACAGTGATGTCATTAAGAGATGAGTATAAAAGAGCACAATTAACTGCCCAGACTTTTCAAAGCAAGAGGGTTTTCCTCATCCAAGGTGAGCACTGAATGTGAGAATTAAAGGGGCAAGGGGAGGAGGGAAAGGGGAGTGACTGCTTAAAGGACACAGATTTTCTTTTCAGGGTGATGAAAATGTTCCAGAACTAGACAGTGGGGATAGCTGCACAGCCTTGTGAATATACACTTTAAAATGGTTACTTTTAGGTTATATGATTTTTATTGGGATTAAAAAAAGCAAGATCAGCACCATAAACCAGGGCAAGAAAGAAAAAACAAAATATTTTTTTTAAAAAAATCAAAAGATACTGCAGTAATAAGCCTCAACTTATACAACAGAACCATCACAGGGAAGAGTAACAAGCACTGAAATAGTTGCAGGAAGACAACCAGAGCTTGAAAACTCACATCTAGGCTGGGTGTGGTGGCTCATGCCTGTAATCCCAGCACTTTTGGAGGCTGAGGCAGGAAGATCACTTGAGGCCAGGAGTGCAAGACCAGCCTAGGCAACATAGCAAGACCCTATCTCTAAAAAAAAAAAAAAAAAAAAAAGAAAAAAAGAGAAGAAGAAAGAAGAAGAAGAAGAAAGAAGAAAGAAGAAAGAAGACGAAGAGAAAAAAAAAAAAGCCAGGTATGGTGCCATGACTGTGGTCCCAGCTACTCAGGAGGCTAAGGTGGGAGGATTGCATGAACCTCAGAGTTTGAGGCTGCAGTGAGCTATGATCGTGCCACTGTACTCCAGCCTTGGCCACAGAGTGAGACCTTGTCTCTAAAACAAACAAACAAACAAAAAAACTCACATCTTTCTATTCCAGAAGTGGAACTCTGCCAAATCACCAACTGGATGAAGAGGGAAATCAGGGGATTTGATCCCTGTTCATTCAATTTGCTGGCTGCCTGTGTTCATAGCTCAGCCAACAATTGGTGTTGCCTTTATACCACCACCAGTACACTTTTTTTAGTATTATAATGAAAAAACCCTTGTTTTATCTCCAAAGTTTATTTTATATAGCACACATTTATATGGAACTGTAACAGTGTTTCAACACAAGACATTTGTGCAGAAAAATAACAGGAACTCTTTTGTTAGGATGATTGTCTCTGTTTTATACATGAAAGAGCTAGTATATAAAAATAGTTTTTAAACCAAAGGTAACCTTCTCTATTCTATATCAAAAGTACAATACTCTGAGTGGCAAAGAACCAGGGAATCTGAAAGAATTACCTCCTTTTACTAATCCAAGACTGGCAGCCAAAAGGAACACTGGCCTGCTTCAGACTATTTACGATTCAACACTGAAAACTCATTAGGAGAATTAATCTGCATTTGAATTTTATGGAATCATATACTGTGTGTGCATACATACGTGTATGTACATCTGTGTGCATTTCTGTGTGCCCATCACACGAACTCACTGGCAGCCAGTGGCTAGAGAAAGGCAAGCAAATTTTGGTTGTATCTCAAGCCTGAGTGTATACTCAACGACAGAACTGGAGAGTACAGGCAGAAAAGTACTTTAAACATTTAGAGGAATTAAACATACCCCACGGGACAACAGCCATATACTCCTTTATGTACACAATAAAAATAATATATGTTTCTGTAGATAAACACCAATATGTCCTTCAAAAGGAAACACTGACAAGAGCATGAAAGGTGCTGACTGTTCCAAGATGGGGCTTTACAGGACTCCCAGCATTTCAGGTTATTAGTGCCTGTGTACTCACTGGCACAGATGGGTAGAGTTAAAAATATACATATATCACAGTAAAATACAATTTGCTGGATTTTGCAACCTTTGGTATTTTTATATTAGAAACAATCTGACAGCTCTTGTGAGCGATCCTGCGGCCCTTGCATAATCTATTCTGTTCTCTACAAGATCAACTGTGAGTTTTTAGCTGTCAAAATTGTCACTGGTACACAGAAAAAGCATTACTTGGCTGGGTGCAGTGGCTCACACCTGTAATCCCAACACTTTGGGAGGCCAAGACGGGTGGATCTCTTGAGGCCAGGATTTCGAGACTAGCCTGGTGAACATGGTAAAACCCTATCTCTACTAAAATACAAAAAAATTAGCCAGGTGTGGTGGCACATGCCTGTAATCCCAGCTACTGGGGAGGCTGAGACAGGAGAATTGCTTGAGATGAGGAGGCGGAGGTTGCAGTGAGCCGAGATTGTGCCACTGCACTGCAGCCTGGGCGACAGGGCAAGACTCCGTCTCAAAAAAAAAAAAAAGAAAAAGAAAAAGAAAAAGCATTACTTTAAGATTTCAAATATATACTGAAAGAGAATTAGTTCTGCAATCAGATTCTTCTAGAAACTCCACAGTTACAGTTTCAGGAAAGCATCCTTGATGCACTCACTCCAGCAAACACATTGGTGGGACAACACAAGAATGAGAGACAATGATGATTTTCCAAAGAAAACAAAAACCACTCTTTACTTAGAACTCTTGCTTAGACACAAGAGAATAAGATGACTTTAACATCTGAGATATACATCAAAGTGGCCTTTTGACAGTTTCTTTCAATTTTTCGGTGTCACTTCCTTTACCAGGTTCAAGTCAGAAGCAGAAAAATTTGAGGACTGATGGGCCCAGGAGTTGAGTTATCCAGAGTGGAAGATGTATTCATCTCCCAGGCTGAGTAAGGTTTACATATCTGACCAGAGGGAAAAGTAAAAGAAAGATCAGTAGAGAAGATGCTAGTCTCACAGCAACTTGTCCCTGGCCTCCCTTCAGGGCACACGCCCAGGACTCTCAGCAGCCCCTCTGGAGTTGCTGACACACTGGTCCTATAAATGTCCTTCACTTCCCCAGTCCCCAACCAGGCCCAAGGTGCTTCTCAATTTCAAAGAGAACTTCTCAAGGAAAGAAAAACAAGAGGCTTCTGGTTTTGGAAACAGGTTGAGGCTTATTCCGAAGACCTCCCTAATCTTCTGCCCTAAGCAACTGTCTGTGTGCTTGCCAAGCAACCAGCAGACCAGGAGCTCAGAGGAGTCTGAGATGCAAGCTTGAAAAGATCATTTTTTTTTTTGAGACAGAGTCTTGTTCTGTCACCCAGGCTAGAGTGCAGTGGCAGGATCTCGGCTCACTGCAACCTCCGCCTCCTGGGTTCAAGTGATTCTCCTGCCTCAGCCTCCAAAGTAGCCGGGATTACAGGCATGCATTACCACACCCGGCTAATTTTTGTATTTTTAGTAGAGACAGGGTTTCACCATGTTGGCCAGGCTGGTCTCAAACTCCTGACCTCAAGTGATCTGCCCGCCTTGGCCTCCCAAAGTGCTGGGATTACAGGCGTAAGCCACTGCACCTGGCCAGAACTTATTTTTTATATCCGGCCTGAAATGTGGTACATAAAAATTAGAATCAAGTCATCTACTCTCTACTTTCTCAAAACCAACTTAATGGAAGACTCTCACATCATTCCTGCAGACCCACAACTGTCTTCTCCTTCTCTTCCAAAGCTATATGGTGCAAAGACTGCCCTGGAATGGCTAGAAGGAGGGGAGCGGGTTCAGGGTCAATTGCCTTTCAAGAAAAAGGTAGATGAGATGAGGACTTACCCAAATGAGGAGAAACAGGTTTGCTTCTTCTCTTATTGTCTAAAGGTGTCTGAGGACTTTGGCAAGATGTCATGGAATCCTTCAGATTTTGTTTGTGCCTGTCAGGAGAAAAATGTGACAAAGATAGTTCTGTGTGACTTAAACAATGTTGGTGATCTTGTCACAGATACGCTGCTGCTCATAATTCATACTAACAGAGGATCTGCTGGTGGTGTTGGTTTCATCCGCCTTTCTGGTTTTCGTTGTGTGACTGGTCATTCTTTTGGAAGATGGTCTGGAAAGAGACAGTTTGGTTAGAATCCCAATTATTCCCAAACCAAGGCTCTGGCCTAAAAGAAGCTTTGTCCTTTAATTAACTTCTAAGAAATGCCTTGGAATTAAAAAACATTTCAGAATCATAGAACAGGATGACTGAAAGGAACCCTAGAGATCACAGGACACACTGATTTTCAAACTGTATTCCAGAAAGCCCTAGGTCCCACGGAAGCACCAGGAGTAGGAGCAGCTAAGCACGCAGGACTCCAGAAACCATGCCCCTCCCTTACATTGGTCAAGGATGCGGCCAGTGAGGTGTAGTAACAGAATTGGTACAGGTCCTCTAGCTCTAATGCTCCTTCCACATCATCACACCTCTCAGCAGACTCCTGTTCCTGTGGGCCTTGCAGGTGAATGTCTTCTCAGGCAATTGCCCATGTAGCATTCCTTTCCATGAATCAGTTCCTGCTCTCCTGACCTAACTTTTGACCTTGTTTCCTTACATTGACAATGAGCATATTATGGCCGGGTGTGGTGGCTTACGCCTGTAATCCCAGCACTTTGGGAGGCCGAGGTGGGCAGATCACTTGAGCCAAGGAGGTTCAAGACCAGCCTGGCCAACATGGTGAAACCTCAACTCTTAAAAAAAAAATGAAAAATAAAAAAATAATAAAATGAGGATATTACTGTCACACTCACAGTTGTGATGATAATTGAAATAGGTAATATAAAATGCCTGGTATATAGCAATCACTCAATAAATGTCTTCTTGCCCAACTTTATGAGATAACATTAACCAATGTGAACAAAAGTAAAGTTTGGAGCCAGATGTATCTGGAATTGAATTTGGGCTCTGCCCTTTAATAGCAGGATATTGGGCAAATAAAGCCCCTAGCCTCTCTGACCCTCAGTCTCCTTGTCTTTATACATGGGGATGATGATCCTTACCTAGCAAGGCTGTTGTGGGGATGAGTTTATTTCCGTTAAGTCAAATATGTGACATGGTGTTTGGTACAAACTAAGAGCACAAGAGATCATATTTATCTAGCATTCTAAGATTGTCAATCATAATCCTGCCAAGTTTATTTAGATAAGCTGGCTAAGTGACTCACCTTGAAACTACTTCCTGTATTGAAGTGTCTTTCATGCTTTTTTGTCTGAAGTTTTTCAAATCGCCATTAAAATATGTTTTTGGCTCTTTACGGACCTGGCTGGTACCATCTTCTAGAAATACCAGCTTGTGTGTCATTTTCTTGGCATTGTTGAACGGCATTTTAAATTTGGTAGGTGAGCCTGTGCCATTTAGAATGGCTAGGAAAAAAAATTACACAATTAAATATGGAGTTTCAATAAAGAATTCAAGAAAAAGTGAAGGCTATGATCCTGATGGGATGGGGAGTGGGTACTGCCTGCCTGAAGGCAGGAAGAGTCAAGCAGCAGTACTCCTGGGAGGCAGGCCCAGCAGTCACAGAGTTTCCCAAGCCATGTCCCAGGCCACTGCTCAGCACACACACTCACCCTGCCCTTGAGGCACCAAGAGGCTACGTTTAAGGAATCTGTCCTTTTTCCTTTGCTAGGAAAGAATAATGACCAGAGATAAGACTGCTCCAGATTTTCACCCCTCCCCTGATCACTCACCTAGACAATTCTGTTTGTGCATTTCGTCTTACCTCTAATTTTTCTTTTTTTTGAGACGGGAATCTCGCTCTGTTGCCCAGGCTGGAGTGCAGTGGCACGATCTCCACTCACTGCAAGCTCCACCTCCAGGGTTCACGCCATTCTCCTGCCTCAGCTTCCCAAGTAGCTGGGACTACAGGCGCCCGCCACCACGCCTGGCTAATTTTTTGTATTTTTAGTAGAGACGGGGTTTCACCGTGTTAGCCAGGATGGTCTCGATTTCCTGACCTCGTGATCCGCCCACCTCGGCCTCCCAAAGTGCTGGGATTACAGGCGTGAGCCACTGCCCTGCCTCATCTTACCTCTAATATTACCTTCTATCTTCGGCTTTCCTCAATGCCCTAAGGCAGACTGAGGGGCTCTTACTGCTATGTTCTCATTGTATTTTCACCAAACTTCTTTCAACCCAATCATCTTGTGGCAGTATTATGGTTTGCTCATATGTTTGTCTTCCCACTGGCTATGGCTCCTTCAAGCTGAGGCCATGTCTTTTCACCCCTTCATCCCCAGCACCTAGTAGAGGACCTGACTTTCCTGTTCAACATCCACTGGCAGGAAAAATATGGACAAATAGTGTTTTCTCAAATGGCAATTACTGCTACTACAAAGTGGTTCCTACTTGTAAGGGAGTCAATGATACATTTGAGAAAGCATTCTTATTATGACATGGTTTCAATTTTTCTTAATGAAGTGGAAAGTGGAATTCCACCTGTGGTCAACATGGATGCCTTGAGGAGCTGAGCTATGAAATGCTGGCAATCCTCACATTCAACTGAGAAAGAGCTGCTGTCTACAGTCCATTAGCATGGTCTTTAAAATAATAAGCAGCAGCAGCTGATATTTATTGAGAGTTTATGTGTGAGACACTGTTTTTAGCATTACATGGATTTACCTCACTGAAATCTCATATCCACTCTAGGAAAAGGACATTAGCTTCCCCTTTTTCAGATGGGAAAAACTCAGCACAGAAAGGTTAAGTGACCTGCCCAAAGCCACACAGCTCAAAAGCAGAGGAGCCCCTGGATATGAACCTAAGCAGTCTAGCTCCTAAATGGTGACTAACCTGATGGAAACATTTCATTCAATGAGTCCTTGTCGCTTTCTTCGTTGTCAGCCTCAGCCTCTTCATATATGTCATGGCTGGATGTTTCTGTGACCTACGATTAAAAAAGGAAATCTTGATTATGCCTAATATTCAATCATCCTGGTTTAGAATTTCAACAAAGTCTGACTTCAAAGCTGGACTGATGGCTAATTTTTGTCATTTCAACGAAAAGGTAAAAAAATATAACCTCTTTTAACTGGCCCCAAGAATCTACGGGGGATAGGGACAGGTGCCCGTAGCTGCGTCTTTTAGCTAGGAAGACATTCAAGAATGAAAGATTTCCCTGGGCAGGAGCCAAGGGAATATAACTTTGGGTTGGCATTTGTTCTCTGCCTGCTCAGAACCTTAACTAAGGCGGGATGGGACTAGTCAGTGAATAGCTAAAAAGTTTTTGACTGTTTTTTTTTTTTTTTTTGGGAGAGGGGAGGACAAAGCCTCACTCTGTTGCCCAAGATGGAGTGCAGTGGCACGATCATAGCTCACTGCAGCCTCAGACTTTTGGACTCGAGTGATCTCCCGTCTCAGCCTCCCAAGTAGCTGGGACTATAGGCATGTGCCAACACACCTGGCTAATTTTTAAACTGTTTTATAGAGACAAGGTCTCACTGTGTTGTTCAGGCTGGTCTTGAGCTCCTGGGCTCAAGAGATCCTCCTGCCTTGGCCTCCCAAAGTGCTGGGATTACCAGCGTGAGCCACCGCACCCAGCCTTTGGTTGCTGCTTGAGGGAAAACTCCCAATGAGTTGAATGAACTTTGACATGATGACTCCCAGCGCTTTTTGAAAATGGCATTTCTACTCTAAATTCTCATGTCATTTAATGCAAATGACCACAACTGGGTAATTACAAACAGACAAAATATCAGTCTTGTAGCATAGAATGTAAAAAGCACAGAATCTGGAGGAAAAAGGCCTTGAATACATGTGCTCCATCAAAAGACATGACATTGGGGTAAGCAAATAATGATGAAACAGACCACAAAGACACTCACCATAAGGGAAAAAATGATAAATTTGAACTTGTTAAAATGAAGAACTTCTGTCTGGTTCATCAATAGACATTAGGAGAGTGTGAGGCAAACTATGGCATGGAAGAAGATACCTGCAATATATATATCCAAAGGACTCCTAACCAGTGTAGGTAAAAATACCTACAATTCAATCAGAAAAAGGCAGGTGACAAAATAGGAAAATGGGCAAATGACTTGAAAAGGTACTTCACCAAAGCAAATCTCCAACAGGCCACTAAGCATTTATGAAAAGGTGCCTAACTTCATTAGTCATCAGAAAATACTGGTAAATTCAAGAACATTAAAATCAGAATGCAGGGTGTGGTGGCTCAAGCCTGCAATCCCAGCACTTTGGGTGGCTGAAGCGGGTGCATCACTTGAGCCCAGGAGTTCAAGGCCAGCCTAGACAACATGGCAAAATCCTGTTTCTACAAAAAAATAAATAAATAAAAAATAAAAAATTAGCCAGGTGTGGTGGCATGCACCTGTAGTCTCAGCTACTTGGAAGGGTGAGATGGGTGGATTGCTTGAGCTTGGGAGGTGGAGGCTGCAGTGAGCCATGATTGCGCCACTGTGTTCCTGCCTGGGTGACAGAGCAAGACTCTTATCTCAAAAAAAAAAAAAAAAAAAAAAAAAGCTTCTATCCAGAAGAAGACAACATTAAGAAAAGATAAACTGGCTGGGCATGGTGGCTCACACCTGTAATCCTAGCACTTTGGGAGGCTAAGGCAGGTGGATAACCTAAGGTCAGGATTTCGAGACCAGTCTGGCCAACATGTTGAAACCCTGTCTCTAATAGTAATACAAAAATAGCTAGGCATGGTGGTGCATGCCTGTAATCCCAGTTACTCAGGAGGCTGAGGCAGGAGAATCACTTGAACCCAGGAGGTGGAGGTTGCAGTGAGCCGAGATCACACCACTACACTCTGGCCTGGGTGACAGAGCGGGACTCTGTCTCAAAAAAAAAAAGAGAGAAATGATCAGCGTTTGAGGTGATGGATTTGCTAATTATCCTGATTTGATCATTACACATTGTATACAAAAAAAAAAAAGAAAAAAAGAAAAAGAAAAGATAAGCTGTAAACTGGGAGAAGGTATCTGCAACACATAACCAAAAAAGAAGCAGTATCTATAACATTTAAAGAACCACAATGAGACAAATCAACCCAAAAGTCTTGGGCAAAAGATAAAAAAAAACATTTCACACAAAAGAAATATGAGAGCTAACTAAAGATATGAAAACATGGTCAACCTTGTTGATAATCAGGGAAATGCAAATGTAATACTTTATTTCATTACCACCAGATTGGGTAAAGTGAAAAACTCGGCAATAATGTGAAACAAGAGGCATTCTTATACACTGCTGGTAGGAGTATGGAGACTACCTTTGAGGCATTCACATCTGTCTTTCTTGTCCGCTTCATAATTTCTTCTATTCTCTATTTAAAGGAAAATAAAAATTCAAACATGAAAACAGATTAGAAACCAAACAGTTGTCCTAAAGGAGTTGATTATCCCCATTTCACAGAGGTGCACAATGGCAGTGATTGCTCCAAAACCACAAATATTACCAACAAAAGGCTTACGGTGGCAGTTGAGTCCCCTATCCCAATCCCAGTTTCAGCTATAAAATGCCCTGAATGATGACCGCTGTATTTGTTATAACACAAACATTCAAATGACAACATCTCACTCCTAATTTTGCATATGCAGAAATTCATTAGACTAAGCATATATTATTGCGAACCAATTAGAGCTTTTAACATAATTTTAGTCTTTAGTCTTCAGCTGATTCCTGAAGCCAATGTTAATGAAAATAATACACCTCAATGATGCCACACTGTTTTGTGTTAATGAAGAGAGAAGATAGGAGGTGGAGGAGAAATATATTTCTAGGGAAGGACAGGAATTCTCTCTCCTGTGCACACTTCTTTCCCTGCAGTGAGGAGAGTTGCAGCTCCCTGGCCCCCTCAAGGTGACCAATCTACTACCAGATAGGCCTTGCAGCAACTCAGCCTGGACCAGGGCTGCAGATGAGCTCACATGTGGCCCTACCTTAAAAATAGCCTGCACCTTGGCCTCTCAAAGAGGCCTACAGTTTGTGCTTCTCCCCATGTAGTTGCTGCAATTTCCAGCCAGTTTAGAAGAAAGTCTTAACTTCTACCAACCCCTACCATGACTGGAGTCCTTCTGCTCAGAGAAGTTTTGTTACCAGAGGTTTGATATAGTGAGGCATCACTGTAATGGCCAATGGCCACCAAGGGTCCATGAGAGGGAGGCATGATCAGTAAGAGGACAGCCCTCTATGTAGGAGAAGTCAGATCCTTGGATAAGGAAGAGAATCGAGTGGGAAAACCACCAGGAACTAGCATATATCAGATTTGTGATTTTTAAAAACATGCTGATATCAGGTGCCCAACATTGTTTTAAACACAGAATCAAGTCCCCCCAAACAGAGAGCGAGTACCTTTTTCCTTTCTAACCGTTCTTGTAAATTTTGTAACATAATTCTCTCGTGTTCTTTCTTGCGTTTGTCAGCTTCCTCTTGAGCTTTTATTTTGGCGTCCCCTTTCTAGGAAATTTGCATAAAAATATCATTCAATCTCAAGATACCTGAGTGACATCAGAGAACTCTAGTTTAAAAATTTCAATGGTAAATGTTATCTAGTATAACAAAAGAGTGTAACCTTTTGAATGAGGGTTCCTATATCATGATATTTGCGGATTGTCAATTTTCAAAGCACTAGTTAGAATGCACAAAGCTAGGCTAAATGTTATCCTGAGGATTCAGGACCACAGGGTCATTGTTATGAACATCACACCATCCTAATTCAAAGTATGTGACTGTGGAGCTATCCATTAACACAGTAACAGGAGCCAACAGCCTGACATTTCTCAAAAGCACTGAGAGGATTCTTGAAGGCACCCTCCTGAGAAATGCAAGCATAAACAATCATATATAAAACATATGACCAATGCTGGTGAATAATACACTAAAAACTGGAAATATAAATTGGGCTATGGTAATAATTCAAACTGAGTATAGTCTGAGCTCAGTTTGGGCATTTATTTACCCAGTGACTTGACTTTAGATAGATGAGACATTCTTCAGTTAATGATTTTAAACTTGTAGAAGTATGTATGGTTTATCTTATCTGTTACAGGGGTGTAAGGTCCAGTTGATGGAGTTGTATATGGTACCACAGAATGCAAGATGGGGGAAACCAATGTAGGATGTGGAATCTGTTAAAGCAATTTGGATTTCAAATTAAGGACTACTAATCTACAATTTGCTGTTTTCTGCTTATTTCACTAGGAAAACATTCTATGGTTTTCTGAGGGTGGCTGACAATGACCTGCAGTGGTACTGGGTAATAGAGACTGTAACATAAAAATGCAGCCAGAGGTTGGGCGCAGTGGCTTACACCTGTAATCCTAGCACTTTGGGAAGCTGAGGCGGGCGGATCACCTGAGGTCAGGAGTTCAAGACCAGCCTGGCCAACATGGTAAAACCCCATCTCTACCAAAAATACAAAACTGAGCTGAGCGTGGTGTCAGATGCCTGTAATCCCAGCTACTTGGGAGGCTGAGGCAGGAGAATGGCTTGAACCTGGGAGGCAGAGGTTGCAGTGAGCCAAGATTGTGCCATTGCACTCCAGCCTGGCTGAGAAGAGTGAAACTCCATCTCAAAATTAATAAATAAATAAATAAAATAAAAAATAAAATGCAGCCAGAGAATCTGCTCATGTCTTCTTTCTCAGAGACAGAGATTTTTGCTCTGGGTTCCATCTGAACTTTATAATCTGGTTCTCATCCCCTGATAAAGTGTCAAGTCAGCAAACCTGCAGTGGTGCTTCCTGGTCTTCCTGATCCAGCCATCCTTTCTTCTTTTTAGTCTCATTTTGTTGCTGCCCATCTTTGAGTTTCAAGTGGTCTTCTGCTTGGCCTCCAACTGCTTCCTTTGCCATGTCTTTTGATTTCTTAATGACCCTGAGAGTATTTAAATAATTGTTAGTATTTATCTTGATTGCTATCATACTCAGCTTGCACTAGTGAGTTTTTATAGTGAAACTTCCTGTGTATAGTAATATAATTTATATCCACACCAGAGTCACTACATCTTCTGTGTTGTTACTATATAGGAATTACACAATTCCACCCCTTTTTAAAGAGAAAAACTAGCCCTCGGGAGCAGAAAAATATTTCAATCAAGTAATAGATTACTTTGCTTGTTAAAAAACACACATACGTGAGAGGAACTCATTCCTTAACTGTCTTTGAGACATGACATCCCCTAAAAGGCCTTCTTTACACGTGCTCACACCCAATCTCTCGTGGGGGTAACAGAGATAATTTAGAGGAGAGTCTGGTGGTTCCCTAGTATTCAGCACTTTCAAATGCTAAATCAGCTCTGTTTATATGAAGCGATGAATAATATTCTTCAAGTTAGAGGTTTTTTTTGTAATTCATAATATTCCCTTCTTTTTCCCAAGCCCATATAAGCATATGGAAAATGTGTGATTATTTCAAATAACACTAAATACTTAAAAGCAAATTCAGTACTGTTGTTATTCCCTGCAGCCAGTGGACAGAGGTTTACATTATAAGGCCCGACATAAAATAGTCCTCAAGATGGAGGAACAAGAAACCTTTGCTAGAATTTGAATGCACACAACTGTACATGAGATTTGCTGCCCACAAAGGAAATCCTTCTAGCAATGACTCACTGGCCTGATGAGACACAGGTGTCACAAAGATCACAGAAAAAGTAAAACATGAGTAAGTATAATTTTCAGGTTTAAAAATCCTGATGTTACAAGTCTTTTAAATAAAGGGCTGACACTAGTGAACACGAACTGATCTGTTCTTATATACCACTCTGGTGCTGAGAGATCAAATCCTGAATGTGAGTTTGGTCTCTGTGCATCCTCCTAGCACACCTTAATGGCACATGATGTATGGAGGCTAAAAAGGACTGTGCCATTTATCCACATACCAGGGTCCTTAGCCATTTACAAGGGCTTGAAATGCTTCCTATGCAGGCAATGAGGCACTTCTGATCCTCACTGAAGAAAGTCAATTGTTCTTTGAGAATTTATAACTTGAGGGTAAAATTTTGACTTTCAAAAATTTGGGCCCCACTCAAGATTTATAGTATAGGAAGGAAGACTTTGTGCTGACCTTTGCTGCATTTCTTCCCGTTGTCTTTCTTCTTCCTCTTTTTCTCTTTGTTCACGAGCAAGGCGGCGCAATTCTGTCAAAATTTTTGTTGCCGCCTCGGCATTCATAATACCTGCAGTACTCTTATTACCAGACTCTAGTTTAAATAAATATGTGCAACAGTTAAGAGAGCTAATCAACTCTCACTCCAACAAAGAAGTGCAACACAATCCAAAACATTAAAATATATATATATGTGCGTAGTCCAAAATTTATAAATCACAAGCAAACTATAGGTGATTATCTAACAGATTTTGTTCAAACTGCACCCCCAACAACAGCAGAAGCATTTTGTTTCTTTTTAACACCTACTTGTTCCAAAATGAAATAATGTACTTCTACTTTCGTTTTAGTGGTTTTGAGATAACTGAATCAACTGACCCCATGGGAAAAGAGTAAGAAATACTGAATATAGAGGAAGACAAGCTTATGCTCGGTCCAAACAAAGGGTACAAATATCTTAAATACTCAAACAAATATGTATCTGGTATACATTTGAGATCTGTGCATCATTTTTACTATATGATTACTATTTAGCTAAACCTTGATAATAGTGTATACATTTGGTTGATCATAGAGTAGCTAACTGTAGATAACAAAACCAAGACTATCAGTAAAATAAGGTGAGTACACAGAGGCATATGATGATATTTTGGTCTATATAACTACTAATTTATTTTAAATAAATCATATGAAAATGAGAAGACATATCAGGAATGAATAATCTGTAATTAAAAGATTGTTTCTGTTACAAAAAATTCACTGTGGAATTCCGTAAAAGAGCAAAATTCCCCAGTGTGTTTTTGAAATTAAGTAATGTCCATGGGTATTAAGAATGCACGTAACAGGCAAAATAGCAATATGGCACTTTCAGGAATACTACACAAATCAAGGGACACCACATTATGGCCTATATATAAAAACGAACCTAAATCTTAGGAAAAACCTGCTCATCCACGAGTGGATGTGCTCTCTCCAAGAACCATCACTATCAGAGCTAGAAGGGATCTCAGGAATCACCTAGACCAAACCTCTCATCCGACCTGTGCTTTTTTTTGATATGGGGTCTCGCTCTCTCATCCAGACTAGAGTGTAAAGGCACTATCACGGCTCACTGCAGCCTCCACCTCCTGGTCTCAGGCAATCCTCCTACCTCAGCCTCCCTACTAGCTGGGACTACAGATGTGTACCACCTTAAGCTAGGTGGTTATGGTATAATATGGCTTACTCTTATCCTCAACCCCCTAACCGAATATATAGCCTACCCTTTCCACATCGGGCTAATTTTTTTTTTTGTGTGTGTATATATATATATATATATATATATATATATTTTTTTTTTTTTTGTAGAAACAGGGGTCTCTCTCCTATGTTGCCTGGGCTGGTCTCAAACTCCTTGGCTCAAGCAATCCTCTCACCTCAGCCTCCCAAAGTGCTGGGATTATAGGCGTGAGCTACCATGCTTGGCCAGACCTATGCTTTTAAAAGCAGTTCCAAAAATGGATTTTTCAAAACAAAGGGGTGAGAAGAAAGCTTTGGCAAGGACAAACAAACAGAGAAGATACATTCCAATGTACCAGAGATTGGTTAGATTCTCTCTTTCTAAAAGGAAAATAATTCCCTAAAGTTCTCTCAATTGGGGAATAAAATGAAGTGAACCTTTCCCAGAATACAGTAAGATTTTCTGTGTTGCTAAGATAAACTTCTTAGTGAAAGAACTTACCTTCATAGATCATATGCCTTTGGCTCAAAGCCTCACATCTGTTAGTGGTTTTAGAAACTGTTTCTTTTTTCTTTTTGACAGTACTTGATGCACTTTGCACAGACAGGGTGTGTTGAATAGGCATTATTTTATAAGGAAAAGAAGTCTGTGGTGACTGTTTTGAAATAAGTGGTAATGGTGATGGAGGGCAGTTCTTTTGGATTTGCCTGCTGAGAAAAAGTAATACACATTTGCTAATTAATTTTCAGTGTACAATTTCATAAAATATAAGATGCTATTATGAGATGACATTATAATCAGGGAATTTTTCTGAAAAATAAATCCCTTTTTACAGGCTTTTTTCCCTTTACATTTGTGTTACCATGCATACTATATTATTTCACTCATCAAACATTGACATGGAATTTGTTCTAGTAAAACGCCTATCAGGAACAGTTGCGAATAAGCTGCTTACTTAGTGCTGATGGGAGACGGCAGACCACAAGCATTTTCAGGAGATGATGACCATTTATAACACTCAGTGTATGATGATAGACGCTTCTTGGCAATAGGGATTAAGGCCTGTTTGTCCATTTCTGATTTCTGAACAGATAAACACAGTATGGTAAATTACTAACAAACAATTCTTTTACTGCAGCTGGCTTTTTTTTTTTTTTTGAAGAGAAAAACATTCTGAATAAAACACAATTAGAATTCTTTAAACTGCAATTTTCTTTTAGAGTATGAGAATCAGGACATTGATATTTGCTTCTGGACTAACAATTTACATTACACAATTCCAGGAGATCACAGAAATAACAGGTTTAAAAGAAATATTATCCTTCAAAACCAAACTCAATTTCCAAATCCTAACTCAGGGTTTAAAACATTTCTCAAAAAACATTTCTTCAGAGTTTAGAAACAGAGTTCATATAAACTTACATTTTCTCCCTTCTAATAAAAACTCACTAATATTTCAGCTTTGGAGGAAAAGTGGTACAATGAACATCAGAGAATTTTAAATTCCTAGTTTAAGTGAGTTAACCTATTTTATTAATTATATTGCAGAATATTGTAAATAATATGCTGGTTATGTTGTAAAATCTGACCTATCGTGAACTATACAACAAAATATACATATTTTAATAGAAAATTTGTCAATAACAGGCACTTGACAAACCTTTGGAGCGTCTCTCGCTTTTGCCTTGGGAGATGCTTCCATGCTTGCTTCAAGGGATGTCTTGGGGGATGCTTTCACCATCGCCTCAGGAGATGCCTCCATGCTCTCCTTGGGTGACCCTTTCACACTCTCCTTGGGGGCTACTTCTGCGCTCCCCTTGGGAGGTGCTTCCAGGCTCCCCTCTGGGGCTGCTTCCACGCTCACCTCTGGCAGTGCTTCCAGACTCACTTCCGGGGGTGCTTCCAGGCTCGCCTCCGGGGATGCTACTATGCTCACCTTGGGAACTGTTTCCAGGTCCACCTTCGGGAGTGCTTCTATGCTCAACTCGGGGGATGCGTCCATGCTCATCTCAGAATCATATGTGCTCACCACAGGCGACACGTCCACGCTCACCACAGGGAATGAGTCCGTGCTCACCTCAGGGGCCATGCCCACACCTGCCTTGGGGGACGCTTCCATGCTTGTGTTGCAGAATACTTCCACATTCACCTGGGGGGGTGCATCCACACTTGCCTTGGGAGGTGTCTCTACTTTCTCCAAGGGAGACTCTTCTACTTTTGTTTGAGGAGGTATTTTCATTGTCGACATGGGAAACATAACAGCCCTCAATTCGTCGCTAGTACATTTACGCAAGGGTACAGTGACATACTGCATTACATAATTGGTGACGCCTGTAACTGAATGAGGACAGAGCATGAAATTCCCTAAGTTAGAAATCTGACAAGAAAAGGATGCACCAGGTACACAGTATAAGAACAGGAACACAGAAAAGAGATTGTTTATTAGGAAAGCACAGGGATTACACACAACACAGGAAATGCTTAGTGAAATGGATGACAGACACAGGACAGAACTATCACAAAGTCACTACTTCGGAAGCAACATTAACAACAGTCGTTGTAAAGGCAATAGTCTATTACAGATGAAAATAAGATGCTTCTCCAAAGTTGATGTTTGCAATAAGCTGTTTCTATTTTAATCATACTATATTTCAGAATAATTTTCACAAAAAATTACAAGATCTTCAACCCTTTCTAAAAGTAATCTAAACATCTTCGCCAGGGCTAGAGATCTTACCATTATAGGTGATTATGTAAGATACTCCATATTTTAATGTTTTAGAATAGAATGTAAGAAAGAGCATTTTCTCACCCATACTAAAAACTTAATAAGACATTAATCAGAGTGGGTTGGATCTCCAAGGTCCTTTCCACCTTTAACAATCTAATTTTATTTTTCCTATGAAACGGACGAAAATGATAATATTTGGTGCCAGGTAAGATGGAAGAAAGCGATTAATACCAATGTTTGGAACCAGGCAACCTCATCACAACTGGTGGGAGTATAGATTTGTATATTTTCCCTGGGGAGCATAAAAAGTACATACTGTTTGTTCCAGCAATTCTACTTCTAGGTTTACCCTTAGGAAAAAAAAAATTACATAAATATATAAAAATGCATGTATAAAGTTGCTAATTACTGCACTGTTTATAATACTGAAACAATTGAAAATACCATCCAAATGTTCCAAAGGAAATGTAGACCATATTAAGGCAGTCACTAAGAGCAATAATATGAAATATTTTGGACATAGAAGATGGAAAGCAGGTTATTTCATTTTGTGAAAAAAAATAAATGCAAAGAAAAATATGAAGTTACCAGTGAGCACAGGGATAATGGGGGATTAGATTAAAAACATCTTCTACACGAAATATTTATTGCTTAAACGATTAATTTTTTTTTTTTTTTGAGATGGAGTCTCGCTCTATCACCCAGGCTGGAGTGCAGTGGCGCAATCTTGGCTCACTGCAACCTCCGCCTCCCAGGTTCAAGCAATTCTCCTGCCTCAGACTCCCAAGTAGCTGGGATTACAGACATGTGCCACCACACCCGGAAAATTTTGTATTTTTAGTAGAGACGGGGTTTCACCATGTTGGCCAGTCTGGTCTTGAACTCTTGACCTCAAGTGATCCACCTGCCTCAGCCTCCCAAAGTGCTGGCATTACAGGCGTGAGACACCGCACCTGGCCTAATTAAACATTTTTCAAAAGGTATTTGGAGGTGGCTTCCTTAAGACCTGGTAAATTAAACTAAAAAAAAAAAAAAAAAAAAAAAAAAAAAGACCTGGTTAAATTTATCTGCCATCTCATCTTTAAGTATGGGTGGCAAATTTTCACCTAATCTTACCCCAAATTACCAAAGATAGACTACTTATGAATAAAGCTTTTAGTTAAATTAAATGTTATCTTTTAGTCCCTCACTTTTAGTGGAGAAAGCATTTTATTTACATATCTACATGTGCCTAAACAGTCACATTACACCAACAGTTTGTGCTACAGAAAATATAGTATGACTGGATTTGTATTAGCTATAAACTTTTAAGACAAAATATTGAGATTTTTTGGATGGTGGTAATAGAAATATCTCACCATAGATTGGTGGGAAAGGGAGACTGGCAGAAAATAACCTGACATACACATAATTGGGCATAAAAAAGTCAGGAATTAGAACAAAAGAAATAAGGCTGCAGTACAAGAAAGTCTGTGATAGCATTTAGATGTGTTTTACTAATCATATAAATACTAACAGAGAAAAAGCAAAGGGAGTGGGATATATACTGGAAAGGAAAAAGTGAAGGGGAAAAAAAAGAAAAAAAATCATAGGAACAATGCATTAGTCCTTTCCATTACTGGGTGGGGGGGGTGGTCTTGCTATCCAAAGGCAAGTCTAATGCTATATGTAAACTATAAATGAGAAAGTCCACACAACTCTGAAGATGTTTCATGTTAAGAACAATCTTTAGGTCTCTAACTAAAAGCTGAAGGGTGGCTCTATGCTATTCTTCCATATTTTAGGTGAAAAAAGGAAGGTAGAGTAGGAAACTTTCTCCCTTGAAATGAGTGAAGGTTTTCTATATTTTTAAAACCCATAGAACTTTAAAATTTAACAAACACCTTCAAAGTTAGCTATCTCATCCTACAAATTACCTGTCTCCCATATAACTGCCCTATCATGTTAGAAGTCATAAAATAAATATGCAACATCAAATGCTGGGTAAAATCACTAATATGGTAACTACGGATTCAAACTATTTTGATGCCTAAATGCAACAAATTCAGTGATGAAGCCTGCTTTGAAATGCAAACACTTAACACCTCCTGGCTTTCCACCATATGCCTGTTACCTGGATCATCTTTTCCAGGGCTGGATAATGAAGCAGCACTTCTGCTTCTGGCTAATGACGCTTTTGTTGGGCTGAACAGACAACTGATTAAATTATTCTCTTGAGAACTGATATATGAGCAACGAGATATATGATGAGAACAAATCCAAAGGATTCCATTGGAGGTCTCACAAATGCAAAGCAAGAAAGAGCAATGCAAACTGCTCTCAACAGCAGCTTTCCCAGCAACACAAAACACTGAACACAGTCATCTGACTGGACTGCACTGTCAAAGAAGAGATCCTCAGAATAAAAGGAGAAAGGCCACAGCATACATACCAAAATAACTCTAAGGAAAGAATCTAGGTAACATTTCAAACAGAGCCATTCCCCACCGTATGAAATTTATGGAGGAACTCACACTTGAGGAAAAAAGTTGCACATGGCAAAACAACTTTGAGAAAGATTCCTACAGATAGACAGCACTGAAAATCATAATGGTCAAGTCCACTGCCAAAGGCTCCAAGGAAGTGAATAAACACTTTTGTTAAAAGTAAATTTTGTTGTAAATATCTTGCTCCAATAAATCTTCATGTTCATAAAGATCCCTGTGTCAATGACATTTGTTCTAATAGGATTTGACCTGAATCAATTAGGTGGAAGGTCTTCTGTAAAGGAATGGTTTGGTATGAAACAAAAAGCAACAAATACACGTGAAAGGAAAATGCTAGGGAAAGGTGTTAGAAAGAAACTACTTTATGGCCAGGCGCGGTGGCTCACACCTGTAATCCCAGCACTTTGGGAGGCTGAGACAGGCGGATCATCTGAGGTCAGGAGTTCAAGACCAGCCTGACCAACATGGCAAAACCCCATTTCTACTAAAAATACAAAAATTAGCCAGGCGTGGTGGCAGGCGCCTATAATCCCAGCTACTCGGGAAGCTGAGGCGGGAGAATCGCTTGAACCCGGGAGGTGGAGGTTGCAGTGAGCTGAGATGGCGCCACTGCCCTCCAGCCTGGGCAACAGAGCGAGACTCTATTTCAAAAAAAAAAGAAAGAAAGAAAGAAAAGAAACTACTTTATGTAAAGAAGTACTTTAGTAATCACTGTGAAATTCTGTGAATAATCAGCAGTGAAAATATGCACAAAGGATATATGTGGGTAATGCTATGAAGCAAGGGCAAAGCTTTGAAGTTCGAAATGTGGCCGGGTATTTAAACTTCCAAATACAAATTAATGAAATACTGGAAGTGAATCAAATCCTCCAGTACACTCCTATCTATACCAATATTCTGTGATTTATTTCCCCAGCTGCATTATCCACCCCTTGTCAGATGATGGCAGGAATTATATACTTCATTTAAAGACAGATTTTTCTGGCTTTAGCCAAATAAGCATGGCACCAAAGCACATTTTTTCAGTCTAAGAAGGAATATTTTGGCTTCCAATTTTGGGAATGATTTTTCAAGCAATTCAATGTTGACATAAAATACCTCTTTTAAATCACTATTTAAAATTTGTATTTAGAAGTAACTAACCACGTGGCTTCCTTTCGGCTTGTTCTTTATCAGTAGACGAATGTAGGTTACTATCTCTTCTATTTAAAGATGAGCTTCTCTCCTTGTCTGTTTTCCCTAGAGAGCAAGTACAAAAGGAATATTAGTTTTCATAAACTACTAATTATCTCAGGAGTGAGATACTCCTTTTTCAAACATTTTTTATGTTCTCTACCTTGCTTATAAGACTTAATTTCAAATATTATGCAGAGATTCTATATCCCCAAGCTTAAAATGAGTTTATTCTTTATCTGAAATGAAAAAAAATTTAGAAAATGGTAAAAATTAAGAGGTAAAATATCTGACACTATCTGACATCAAAGTTCCCAAATTATAAACATACAACCCTTTAGACATGATGCCTAATACTTAAAAGTAATTTACACTTTAGTTATAACTAGTATTTTTGTTATATATGCATATATTTAAAAAAGATATATACGTATACACACATGTACACACACATGTGCACACACCAGTATAAAATGATGAAAACATGAAACTCCAATATCAATCATTTAGATAAAAAGATATTTGTTCTTAACATAAAGAAAACAAATTATCTGAGTTATACATGTATCAACTTGTAGGCTCTAACAGACTGTCAGTGTTTTACCCTGCGGAGCCATTCTTTTGATATCAGGTGTAAAGTTATTGATAGCTGTAGCATCTGATTTCTGCATCATGGCCAAAAAGTGGCTTTCAGAGGCTCAGGTCCTGGACCTTACAAGTTAAATAGTTATAACTAGTATTTTTAAAATAAAAATGAATATTAACAATTGGTATAAATGCCACGATTTAAGCAAACCAAGGAGAAATAATCTGCTTCCATGTAGACACTTTCATTTCACTTGAGATACCCTCGCTCAGAATACTGAGAAATGTCTGTTTAAAAAATAATTTCTCTTTTGGGGATTTGTAAACTAAAGTACATGTTGACAACACAGTATCATCGGAAAATTCCTTGAATTAATAATGTGATTGAGCAGCATGAACCACAGAGGTGGTTAGATCATGTGATTAAGTCGGTATCCTTCATTAGCATACTGCAAAAAATGACAAAATGGTGTGAGCAGTTATTATGAATCAGCAATGAGTAGAAAAAAATAGACTACTTGAATCAACCCAGATTTAAAATAGTTACTTAAAATATTACAGGTTAGATTATGAACTTCATCTGAGTTTAAAATGTTGATCTCTCTGGATTGACCAGGTTTCATTTCAAGTTAAAGGTAAGACATTGTCAATATGGATTTTATTTCCTAGAAATCATTAATTATAGCATTCATCATTTCAGAGTGTGCAACATACTGTACCTTTAAGAAAATATTTCACAAAGTGTCTTCCACACATACCTTCTTGTATTAAAAGCTAATAAAGAAATCATTTTAAAAGTTTTATTTGGAATTGCTCCTTCACAGTACAATTTAACTAATTATTATCTTGAAGTCATAATCTGTCCCTTCTCTTTTTTTTATTATACTTTAAGTTTTAGGGTACATGTGCACAATGTGCAGGTTTGTGACATATGTATACATGTGCCATGTTGGTGTGCTGCACCCATTAACTCATCATTTAACATTAGGTATATCTCCTAATGCCATCCCTCCCCCCTCCCCACACCCCACAACAGGCCCCGGTGTGTGATGTTCCCCTTCCTGTGTCCATGTGTTCTCCTTGCTCAATTCCCACCTATGAGTGAGAACATGCATTGTTTGGTTTTTTGTCCTTGCGATAGTTTGCTGAGAATGATGGTTTCCAGTTTCATCCATGTTCCTACAAAGGACATGAACTCATCATTTTTTATGGCTGCATAGTATTCCATGGTGTATATGTGCCACATTTTCTTAATCCAGTCTATCATTGATGGACATTTGGGTTGGTTCCAAGTCTTTGCTATTGTGAATAGTGCCGCAATAAAAATACGTGTGCATGTGTCTTTATAGCAGCATGATTTATAATCCTTTGGGTATATACCCAGTAATGGGATGGCTGGGTCAAATGGTGTTTCTAGTTCTAGATTCCTGAGGAATCGCCACACTGACTACATGTCTCATTAATAAGGCTTTTGCTCATTATACTAAATATGTAATAAATGTCTATGAGATAAATCTTTGCTAATTCCTGAAAGCAATTAGATAGTAAAACAGAGTCAATGCTTGTGGAACAATTAAGATATATTAAAATGAAAGTACATAAACATGGCATTGCAATTAATGTTATCTAATTTTTCTAAAGGATTTAGTTGGTGAATAATAAATTAATTTTACCATATTATAAGCAAGGTGCCAGAGAAAATCTTCCCATATTAATCTATGAACAAACCCAGACTATATATAAAAGTGCTTTGGGAAAGCACATTGAGGGTGGAGGTGGTAAGTGGATGAACTTTTCTCAGACCAATACAAGAGAAAATGTGATATACTCAGACTGACAATAAAAGACCTCTCAAGCTCATCACTGAAATTTTAAGAGTCCTAAAAGTACAAATAACATAATGTAAGTTGGAACAAAAATCCTTTCGCCCTAGAAATCCTTTTCAACATATTAAAAACTATATTGTTTTAGGCAAAAATGGAAATCTTTTCCATAAGGTTAACTACTGCTACAATTAATTATACTTTAAATTGTATCCAAAATCTTTTGCTGTACTGGAATTGTATAGCAATCAGCATTGCTCAAAAATTGTCGAGATACCTAATAATGCAAAACAAACATTTTAAAATTCAAACTATAATTATGCCTTATTCAATTCACAAGGCACAAAAGCCATCTTTCCTCATCATTTTTACTGGCTAAGTTTAAGGGAATGATGTGGAATTTGTGCTCTTTTTCCTCTCAAGAACATTCCTTTTTTTCCTCTAGAAAGAAAAGGGATCTTTTTTTTGGATTGATGGGTATAGTTGCCTAATCCATTTCAATTATCAGTGAGAGGCACCATGTGCTACAAGCCAGACATGGTTATTGACACACACTTGGGTATAGATTTTTCTTTTAATAAGGAACACTAATTAAAAGGACAAACACCAGAAACAAAAAGACATTTGAATTATTCATAGTAGATAACTTCACTGTATTTGAAACAACTCTGTATTGCCATTAGGAAGAGTTGTAAAGTGGAACTTGGCAATACGTCTATCATTAAACATCATTATCACATTATTTGCTTTTGGGGGAAAACATTGACTTATAAATGAAAGGTACAACTTAAATATCATGATCCATCTATCAAATGACCAAAATATAAACCACAGAAAAGGATGTTAGAGTAGAAATCACTGAATTTCTTGGAGTCTTAACTATAAAACAAGGAAGGCAATTATACTTGTCTGTCAATTTTCTAAGATAATTGTGAATAACAAATATGATATATGTAATGCAGATCAACCTGTCCACTGCTATATATATGCTATTATTTTTCTAAAATGAGGTAATATTCACAATACTTAATGGAAATTGAATAACTGTCTAACCAGTCTGTAGAAAACACAATTTCATTTATATGTTGGTAGAATATGAACTAATCTTCAAATAAATAATTATGCCACTTAATGGCAGTGTCTTTTGACCAAAATATGTTTCAGTTTCAGCTACTGAGGTCCAATAATCCCATCTGATATGATTAACACAAACATCATGAAACAAGTATATTGATGAAAATACAAGGCCAGGCATGGTGGCTCACGCCTGTAATCCCAGCACTTTGGGAGGCCGAGGAAGGTGGATCACTTGAGGTCAGGAGTTCAAGACCAGCCTGGCCAACATGGTGAAACCCCGTCTCTACCAAAAGTACAAAAGTTAGCTGGGCGTGGTGATGCAGGTCTGTAATTCCAGCTACTTGGGAGGCTGAGGCACGAGAATCGCTTGAGCCCACGAGGCAGAGGTTGCAGTGAGCCAAGATCATGCCACTGCACTCCAGTATGGGCAACAGAGTGAGACTCTGTCTCAAAAAAAAAAAAAAAAAAGTATGACTATCTCTCTCCCTCTGCTGTAAAATAACATGGGACTCTTCTGAAATAAACATAAATGTTCCACAATCTAAATAGGTGGTACTGTAAAAATATAAAGAACTGATTTCATTTAATAGAAATTCAGTAGAATACATGAAATAACTACTTACTTTTGGCAACGGAATTTTGAAGGCCTGCAGATGACAAAGGCATTTGTCTGATTAAAGCAGAAGTACCCTGTTCAAGTTTTTCAGTAGATGCAGATCGTTTATTGGCTGAGAAAAGACATAATACTTACTGTAATCATATTTCAAGGAGGAAAGAATCATTAACTGAAAAAAAAATGAGTTTTCATGATATAGTTCTATGGAGCACAGACTTACATTACTCAAGTTCACAATATCACTGCCCGTCAATCCTTTTTTTTTAGTAGAGACGGGGCTTCACCATGTTGGCCAGGCGGGTCTTGAACTCTTGACCTCAAGTGATCTGCTCGCCTTGGCCTCTCAAAGTGCTGGGACTACAGGTGTGAGCCACGGCAACTGGCCAATCCTTCTAAACTACATAAATTTTACTTTTGTTTTCTGAAATTGTGTAGAATTATGTGCATATAAGAAAATTTACACTAAATCAATAGTAGACAAGGCAGACTTATTTTTAAAAATATGCATTTGATAAGCTGTGTAAAGCTTAGTCATTATTCAGCATTTTTCTGCTGATTATAAGTTTAAATAAGATTTTAGGTATATTGAGCTAAATAAAATCTACTATAACATTTCACCTGTTTCTTTTGCAATGGCATATGACAGAAATTTAAATTTACTATATACAGTATTTTTGTTTAGGATACAAACACTAAAATCTTGCTGTAAATGCAAGCTTCTACTCATAGCCAATATTTAAACAAGAACATAAACAAACTTAAAATTTAATGGGTGTATTAATTACCAGTTTTGCTCTCAGAATTCGCCATTGCAGAGCCTCCCCATGACCATCTTTTTTGCTGATAATCATCAGCAAGTCTCCTCCGTTCCAAAGTACGATAAAGAATGGCTGTAAATTTTTCCTATTTAAAATAAAAGCCAACATATTTTTACATATTCATCAAATTAGTATAATTTTGATCTGTGGTTTATAAAATAAACCATAACCAAATTTCTGTCTCAGGTAAAAGTTTAAAATAATTGGAGATATGTCTCAGCTATCAATCAATACCAGTGCTTCTCCTAAATAACTCATTTTTTTTTATCTTATGGACCTTGCATTAAGAAAATGACCATGCTTTCCTCTTTGTTTGTATCATTAGGAAATTTAGAGCCAAATGTGTAGCCTCTTTCTAGCAACTGTACAAAGACTGATTGGTATACTTTTGTGCATGCTAATCATACCTTATGTTTTATTTGCCTATGTTAGTTTTCCCCTCTGCTTGATTCCCCCAACCATTTATTTTTATCATCTGGTGTGGTATGTATTTTTAAGTCACCTTAAATTCTTTGTAGAATGAGGCAGGGGAAAAATCAGCACACATATAAGTTAAATTTATACCAGAATCATCTAGTATACTCACATCTGTAACAGCTAAAATTCTGGTGTTAACTAATAAAAATAAAGTTTCAAAAAAGATAATCAATATATTTGTCTTGACCTCAACTTTAGCTGGTCAAGACAACAGCTATACAAAGTAAATACCATGCTGCAGCAAAACAACTCCACTTCCAGAAATGAGCTCTTCTCTCAAATATTTCTCATCCTTGTACTGTGCCATACCATGAACTCAGGTAAGCAAATCAACTTTTAGGACCAGAGATCTTCTATTTTTCCCTAACAACAACCGTTTCATAGCAAACACCATCCTTACAAAGCCTCTACTGTTTCTACCAATGGCAAAGATAAACGTACTAGGAAAATGGAGATGAGCCATATCTTCTGAGAAGAAAAGCAACCGCAATTCTTAAAATAAAGTTGATACAATGGGCAACATTTGAAAATTATATTTTCTAACAGAAAGGCAGTTGTTCTGAATTACTTAGAAACCCTGAAACTATAATAGACTAAAAACAAAGATTAACTTTGTATTATTAAACTATTTCTGATTCTATTCCACTGTTTCCAAATGCATTACCTACTGTGCTCTCTTCCAGGTCCCTTCTCACATCGTGGCCACCCAGGGCTCACATAGAAGTTCCTATCCCATTTCATATACACCTCCTGTCCACACTCATCCCTCCTCAGCACCACTGAGTCTGGGTTTTTTTTTTCTGCTCTCCAGAATTCCTCTCTTTTGCTATATGTAGCCTACTTACAGTGTCCCATGTCCCCTGTTCTGTCTGGGACTCTCCCGCACTAGCTATCTGGGGTTTTCTTTTGCCCCTTCTCCTGCCATGTCTGTGGCTCCCTTTCTGTCTGCAGTGTCATTTTGCTGCATTCTCTTCTATTCTCTGTGTTCTCTCTGGCAGCTTCCTCTTTCTCTAAGATAGTCTTTATTTTTTGGTCTCAGTCCCTGTGACTTGTCTCTCTCCTCCATGGACTCCCACTCACTCTACACACAGTTTGTATTTCACTTTCTTTGGTTCTTTACTTAGTTCTTGGTTCTTTCTTCGTTTATCATTACTTAGTTCATTCTCTCTCTTTCTCTGGCCTTCATCTCTTTACCACAGAAAAGTAAAATAAGAGAGATGTTTCAAGAAGATGATGGAAAGTGACAGAAATTCTGAATGAGAGTCTACCAAATACTAGAGCATGAAACAGAGCATAAACAACCACAGAAAAGGGTTCAGAAAGGGAGAGATATAGTACACCATGGATGGGGAAAAAGTGGCACAAGAAGTGTCCTAGAATCAGGAAGCTCTCCAGATAGGGTGCAGGGCTGGAGAGGAAGCACGTACAAGAGCAAAGGTATGGATGAGGAGGGAGGAAACTGAGCACCGCAGAGAAAGACAAGAGGAAGCTTCATGGGAGAAATGGAACCAAAGAGAAAAGGAGAGAAAAAGAAATGCAAATATTAGAGTGACAGAAAATAAGAGAGGGAAATAAAAATACAACACACTGAGAGAATGGCAGGCAGAGGATATAAAGATGGGGAAAAACAGACAGAAGCTAAGACAAAGACAGAATAAAGAAAATCAAGCTGCCTCAGGCAGAAAAAGGCCAGAGTCAGAGACCAAAAGACAGACTAAGGCTTATTTAGGGACACTTAAGAATCCCTATAATAGGCTGGGCACAGTGGCTCACGCCTGTAATCCCAGCACTTTGGGAGGCCAAGGAGGGTGGATCACGAGGTCAGGAGTTCAAGACCAGCCTGGCCAAGATAGTGAACCCCCATCTCTACTAAAAACACAAAAATTAGCCAGGCGTGGCGGTAGGCGCCTGCAATCCCAGCTACTTGGGAGGCTGAGGTAGGAGAATTGCTTGAACCGGGGGGGCAGAAGTTGCAGTGAGCCAAGATCACGCCACTATACTCCAGCCTGGGCGACAGAGTGAGACTCTGTCTCAAAGAAAAAAAAAAAATCCCTGGAATAAAGAGAAAGAGAGAATGCCAGGAAGATAGAGGACAGTGTCACAGCGACCACGCTAGATTCAGAAGGAGTGAAGCATACTCCAAGTCAAGTAGTGAAATGACCTACAAGAGAAAAATTTGGTGTCAGAGAGAATCATACGGAATGAGACAGGTAGCCAGATGCCCAGTACCACAAAAGACAAACTGAAGAAAGACAGAAGTGAAAAAGAGAGGGCATAACAAAGCCACAGACTCATCCCAACAGAGTGCCAAAGACACCAAAAGAGAATCCAGAAAGGAAAAGAGAGGAGCAGTGCCACAAAACAAGAGCAAGAATGCTGACTCTGAACCACACATCCAGAGGGGCCCTGTCAGGAAAGGGAATGTGAGGAACACGGAGACAGAGGGTAGAGAGGGAGAGAGTGTGAGTGTGCACCAGAGGGAGCCAGGGAAGCTGAAAAGGAGAGCGAATGCCCTGATTTGGCTGGGGAGTCACACTTTTAAAGGAGTTGTGAGAAATCGGTCAGATGAGGGCACGTCAGGGAGGGTCAGACAGTGGGGTCTGCCCCTATTCTGTAGGCAATGAGACAACAGTGAATACTTTTTGGTAGTAAACAGAGCCACTCAGAACAAACCCCAGGCCACAGGTACCTCATGTGCCAAGTCCTGAAGGTGGATGGGGCTTTGTTCCTGGATTTGGAAGTCTCCCCATTCCCTAGGCTAGTGGGTCTCAGCTCCTGGCATCTTATCAGGACATGGGTAAAAGCCTATATAATGCTGAGGGGAAGAGGAAGCGAAGAAGAAAGAGCTGGGATTGGTTCCCTTTCTACAGGGCAAGTAAGGCAGAGAAGGCCTGAGAAAACAATATTCTAGACTCAGGCAACACAGTTTATCCTCTCATGCACAGGCTGCAAAATTATGTACCTTTTGTGCTTCATCCTTCTGGTGTCTTTTTTCTTCTGCAGCTATTCTCCGTTGTTCTTCTTTCTCTTTTCGCTCCTTCAGCTTTCTCTGTCTTTCCTCCATCTGTTTTTCATATTGGAGCTTGGTCTTTCTTTCTTTTTCAAGTAGTTGTGTTTCTTTATTGGCTGAAATATTCCAAATACATTTTCAAGGTGTAAGAGCCAAGAAAATATTTAGGTTTTCCACATTACACACACAGAAGGAAAAAGTTAACACATCTCATTCACTTTCTTAAAATAACACAACCTGTGCTAGTAACTAAAGATTTATTATAAAAGTGAACAGAGGTAGCCACTGCAGAACCATTTTCACTGAGTATTCATTTAACTCTGGAGAACTGGATTGTCTGTGCCAAATGACTCTCATCCTGTCCAAACTACAATTCCAAATTAAGAAAAAATATTTTCTTTCATGTGATATTTCTGCTGATTTGAGCTAAAGTCAAACCCTACCATATTAATATGCTGTACATTAAAATACTAATTATTAAAAACTGCATGGCCAGGATACATGTTTTGTTCCCTTCTACTAGGAAACTTCTTTCAAAGTCCTCATCTATACAGACCATATTAAACATGCCAGTTTTACATTAATGGACTTAACCATATACCATATTACAGGAGAGCAAAATTTTTCCTATATTCAAATTTTCCCTCACTAAATGCTTCTGAAGTGTGACTCTGTATAAATTAGGATCTAAAAGGATAATCTTTTTACAACTTGGTAACATGCTTTTCATCTTATCTATGTTAGGATTATTGGCAATTTATTTTCATTTTTAGAATAACTTTTACTGGCCAGGCGCGGTGGCTCACGCCTGTAATCCCAGCACTTTGGAAGGCCGAGGTGGGTGGATCACGAGGTCAGGAGATCAAGACCACCCGGGCTAACACGATGAAACCCCGTCTCTACCAAAAATACAAAAAATTAGCCGGGTGTGGTGGCGGGTGACTGTAGTCCCAGTTACTCGGGAGGCTGAGGCAGGAGAATGGCATGAACCCGGGAGGCGGAGGCTGCAGTGAGCTGAGATCGCGCCACTGAACTCCAGCTTGGGTGACAGAGTAAGACTCCGCCTCAAAACAAAACAAAAAAAAAAGAATCACTTTTACTGAAATCCCATTCTGATTGTTTTTACAAATATTGAAGAAATTTCCAGACCTTAGTTTTCAGAAAATCAAAGCTAAGATAAACTACTCCTTCAAAAATTAAACAATTTAATCAAAGAATTTTCATGGGCCTTCTTGCCTGATTTAGTAAAAGGATTTAATCCAAAATAATACATAATATAAAAATTATACTCTATCATATAAACAAATTAGGAGGAATAAGTTAAAAACACTTTGCAATATATAACACAATTCATTTTGATTTTTGAAAAAAGGTCTAAAATATACCGTCTTGCTGTCTCCTTTTCTCCTCTCTGCGCTCTCTTGCTAATCTTTGTTTTATGTCATTTTTAAGCATGGATCCATCGATTACTAAAAAAAAAAGAATATAGTTAGATATTAATAGGATATCAAATTTTAAAGATATGACACTTTGACATCTATCAAAGCATCAGAGAAATTATACCTGGTTTAAATGTCGATCTTATATTTGAGGAATGGGTTGCAACACGATTAACCACATCTTGCTTCCTCCTTTCCTTAGCAATCTCGTTTGCTGCAGCAACTAAAATACAGGGAGATAAAAGGATTAGATGTTAAGAATACGGATAGCTAACACAGGAGTCAGCAAACCACGGCCAATTGTATTTGATGATAAAGGATAGGATCACTTCTATAAATCATGACTGATTTCATCTGGGTCAACAACAAAGATATATTGAACACCTATGATCTTCAACAACACTTTAACAAAGAATTTAAAGTGTTTACTATGATGGGCCAGGGTATTTGTAGACATAAAGATAATTGAGTTGTTAGTGGCGGTGGCAGCATAAGTTTGTGGATGAGTAGGAGCCAATGATTAATAGGTTTTAAAAATGTCTCAAACAAAACATTACACCAAGTGTTAGAAATACTGAGCTGGCGAGGAATTGGGAAAATTAAGTTTCACCATAAATTGGGAATTCAGAAGATAACAGGTTAAGAATTTATGGATCTGAATTGGGAAGCAAAGTGTTAACAGTGAAATACTCAGTGAAAGATCAGGCCCAACCAATGTTAAGGAGTACATTTATAAATTACCTAAATTAGGGGCTTTCTATCCTGGTTGCACACTGGAATCACCTAACTCACTTTTAGAAAATCAGCAATGCCTGCCTGCCCGCTCCCCATCACCAGTCTCTGGCTGTGGGGCCCAGGCATCTACAATTGTTGAGCTCTATTCTGATGCATATTGAAGGTGGAGAAATAAATATTCTTTTAGAAGAAGTAATCTCCAATGAGATGGTATCATTCTAGGTAGATGTCAAGCAAACAAATATAAATTATACAAGGTGCAAACAAACGTGTAAACAGGCAGAAAAGTGATAAACTTCAATAAGGGTGAAGTGTAAGATTAGGAAAGCACAGTATGAGGAAAAGTAAGAAAACTAAAATTCCAGGATGACACACATGAGTTATTATAGGGGAATCCCTGAACCCTTTAATTCCACACATGGCTATATCTAAAATGTCCCACAATACTGAGCATCTTCAGAAAGAGTATTGAAAATAACACTGAAAACTAACTCTGTTCTTCTTTTGTAGAAAAGCACAGGAAGTAAGCCCCTGTGATGCTGCATACAAGTCTGGTTTCTATGTATTGAGAAAAATGTAACAGTTGAAGATGGGCAGTTAAAGTAACTGAGGGAATAGAGGGGCTGTCCTTGGACTTATAAAATGAATGAACTCTGAGGTGTTAATTGCTACTGAGGGAGTTATTTTACAGCATAATCTTGAAAATGACATCACAATTGCTGCCGTAAGGATCACCATTTTTTTTTTTTTTTTTTACCCCAGAGGCCGAACAGCCCAGATAATATATGACCTAGCTTAATTTGAGGATTAGACTCTTCTCAGCTTCCTTAATAATTTAAGTACTGGCAATTCCATGGACCACAATTATTTTCTGAATTTGAGCACTAGTATATTAACAAAAATTCTTGGTCTATAGACACTCCTATATACCCACTTGCAACATTTTTATGTGAGTGCAGAGAAAACAATAAAGTACTTGTAGTATTGTTTTTACACATTCAGTTCTCCTGCTTAGAAGTCCCAAGGATAGTCCGTATTTGACACTATTTAGCTGATAATTTCCCTCAAAATCTACATTTTTGGCCCAGAGTGGTGGCTCATGCCTGTAATCCCAGCACTTTGGGAGGCCAAGGCAAGTGGATCACTTGAGGTCAGGAGTTTGGAACCAGCCTGGCCAACATGGCAAACTCCCATCTCTAAAAATACAAAAATTAGCTGGGTGTGGTGGTGCATGCCTGTAGTCTCAGCTACTCAGGAGGCTGAGCCCAAGAGTTTGAGGCTGCAGTGAGCCTTTAGCATCCCACTGCACTCCAGCCTGGGCAACCCTGTCTCAAAAAAAGTATACTTTTACCAGGCTAATTAAAAATCTTATTAAACAGAAATAACCTTAGAAGTAGCTGTGGTGAGAATAATGAACCGAATCATATAAAGGTTAATGTGGTAGTAGTATCAAATCTGATTTTTAGACCTTTGTATCCAAATTCCTACTGGTAAGAAATACATTAACAGAAAGGACAGGGTTTAAAAATTATTTAAAATGTCCAGAAAATGGGATAACACCTTTATGTCTGGATATAATAAAGTCAACATTTTATTCAACTTCATTGAATGAAAGAATTTACTTAACATGCATTTAAATGAATGAGGGAATTTACTTAATATTCAGTTAAAAGTAACAGCAAGGTATTTCTGTAGTCCTTATACTAATTCTAAATCCAAAATTAAAGTAAAAGTTATATTTTGCCCAGAGATTAAATAAGAAAATGTGTAGTGTATTACTAAAACTGAATTATGAATCTTAATCTGTATTTATAGAACTTTTCTAAAAACTTCCATAACACATATTATATACCATTTCACCATTTACAAAGTTCATTTGTATTACTTCATGTAATTCTTACAACAATCCTATAAAGTGGACGTAATTATTTTCCCCAATTTTTTTTATAGTTGAAAAAACTGAAGCTAAACATAACTTTCCCAGTTCACACAGGTAGTAAGTGGTGAAGCCAGAACTTGATTTAACTGTAAATTTCAAAGCAACTTTATTTTGAAATATTAAGAAAAAATAACAGGAAAAGAAATCTGCCATCAGAGAACCATAAAAATCAGGCAGATTCACAGAATTTTGCCTCAAATAGCAAAAGCCAAAGTCATAGGGCTGAGACTTTCAGAAGACCTCCAAGTTCAAACCAAAGATAGCATGTCTTGAAGACAAAACTGGAGACAATTTTCTACCATTTAGAGCTGTCTACAATGGAATGGCTACTTGGAAAAATATTAAGCTCCTCATGAGAGTGCCCATTCAAGTGGCAGAAGTGCCCCAGGATTTTACAGCTGGGACTCTGGATGCCTGACAAGATCATCTTAAGGTTTCTCCAACTCTAAAATTCTATGATAATCTAGCTGTCAATCTCCGTAGCTTTTTCTGCATTGGTAGAAATTATTCTTTGAAAAAGTTATTCTAAACTGAGAAACACTGGTGAATTTAGAAAAACAAGAAGGGAAAGGTGATACGTCAGTGGCAAGTTTCTTATGCTCATCTGGTTGAAATATTCAAATAAATTTTTATTTTAAAACAATTCTGCATAAAAATATAAACACGTGTTTTGTTAAATATTTGGTATGCTACAACCTCAGCACAGTGCTATGCACAGAAAACATCACTCAACAAATATATATTTACACTTTATATGTAACACATATATATATACATGTATCTATTGCATGCATACATAAATGTATAAAATAAATGTATTTTGACTGTGCTATGCATTTATATGTTATGTATTCAAGACAGTTTTAACTCTTGCTGCCAGACTGCCAGCAGAAGATGAAAACAACATTTTAGCAAAAACATCTGTCTCCTTGACCCCTTCAGGAAAACGCTGAGATCTAAAGGGCAGTTCTGGTCAAGTTGGTGCTCTGTGAAAAAAGTCTAACATGCGATATTTACAATTCCTAACATGAAGTGGGCAGCAAGGTTTTAAACCAGGGTCCTAGGTTAAGACTTTTACATGGCTCTTAAGTTTTTGGTTTGAAATGCTGTGAATTCCAGTATCTGTCCCATATATAATTTTAAAACACTTTCCAACATCTGATATACAAATGCTTTTAGGGGTTTATCCGGTTCACAGCTTCTTCACCATATTGGAGTAATGCTGGTTAATCTAAATCACTGAAATAAACCAGTGCCTGAGAGCCACAGGTACCAATAAGCAACACAATTTATTGGAGACTGTCTTTCTAGGTGAACCATAAGTATAGACACGGAAGGAAGATTCTTTTCTCCCTAATGAATGGTGAAAGTGTATGTAGTATATGCTTCTGACACAGTCTTTGGAGAGCTGATTCAAAGTCTTCTCAAGTAACATATAGCTTCCCAATCGTAAACAATCTAACTTTTTAATTGCAAATGCAAAAAAACCCCTAAGAAATTCAATTAAAATTAATAAAATCGTTTTATTCGCGCTCATAGCAGAGGGAACTAGTCTAACAGGCTAAAAGCAACCTCCTGAAAGGAAGAAATCCTATCTCAGGTAGTGGAGCAGTCTCCTGGACCAAGCAATGTGCTGTCAAATTGTATAAGATTAACGGTTTTCGAGGAGGGAAAAACGTTTTGGCGATGGGACTAGTTGAGGAAAAAGCACTCTGAAGTGCTGATTCCCGTTCAGTTCAGCCTAGAGACTGCAAGATGTCCCACAGAAGATGACATCTTGTTGAAGTCATGTGCTACAGCAGGCAAATCAGGAGATGCAAAGAGCCAAGTTTCATCCCAACTTTTAAAGCAACTTTTAAGCATCCCCACCCTCACCCAGCTTCCTCCCTGGACCTTGACCGGGAGGGTGCAGGAGGTAAGCCTTTGGGAGAGGCAAGGACTGCGACAGTAAAAGCGCCTAAACTCGCCCACGACCCGGGCTGGGGGATAACTCAAACTTTCCGTGCCTGGAAAGGCTGCCTGGCGGCGGAGGCGGCGCCGGCGCGCGGAGTCCCTGCGGGCGCCCGCACATCCCAGGCAGCTGTGCGTTCGTTGGGGCGGTTGCGCGGGCGGCCACCGCCCCCCAAGGGCAGATGGGGCACGGGGCGGTCCGCGGGGTCCGGCTTCCAGCCGCCCCCGCCCCGCCCGTCGAAGCAGAGCCCGTGAGTTGCCTCGCGCCGCGTCCGCGGGGCTCAGACCGTTGGCAGCGGCAGTTCGACCGTTGGCGGCGGGACTCAGGCGGCTCGCGGCGTCGGCTGACAATTTCAACCCCCCGCCCCCGCCCCTGTCCCATCCCAGGGCACTCCGGCGGGGGTGAGGGGAGGACCAGATAGCACGAGGCGACTCCAGGGAAAAGTTTTGTGGCGCCCGCTGCGCCGCTCCGACGGCCCGGGGACTGCGGGAACCCTGCCTCCCACGCGGGCCCGAACCACCCCCGGGAGCCACCCGCCCGCTCACCCATCCGTGCCCGCAGCTCTCTCAAGGATGGGCTGCCGCCAGCGCCAGCTGCGGCGCCGTCCGCCATCATCGGAGTCGGGACCGGAGGCGGTGGTGGCTCTCCGCATACATTGCGCAGGCGTCGGCGCGGCCTCCGCTTGGGTCGTGGCCGGGCTGCCGGTGGGCGGGGCGGGGCGGGGCGGGGCGGGGCGGGGCCCGAAGGGCCACCGCGCCCGCCTCGGACCTGCGAACCGGGCAGGATTGCCCCTTGCGTCCCACGTCCTGACCGGCTGGGCAGCGACTACCTGGTCTAAAGAAACCCTCTCCTATGTTCCGTGCTCTGCCCCTACTGCATTGTGAGGACTAGCCAATCAGCACCCAGCTTGGCCCCCCCAACATTCCTTTCTTCACCTTTACCTAGCAACACAGTAACATTCCTTCCTCATTCATTCATTCATTTAAAGAACATTTACGGCGTGCCTCCTGGGTGCGCTTGTATCATGAGTTTACTAGTCCTTGAAACATTACACAAAGAAAGACCCAAGTTGGGGGAAGAAGCCTAGGGAGAGGTTGGGAGTCGCAGGCTTGCTTTGAGGTGCTAGGGGCCCCATCATGAGTAGGCTTCCCTAAACTGTTGCACAATAAATCATGACACATAGGTCTCAAAGTTGGGTGAAATATCTTTAAGATGTTTGTGAGTCTTCAAAGAGAGGCAGAGGACTTATTGGCATCAATCTCTCCGGATTTTGGGAGAGACTCTACCAGGTTGCAGAATGTTTTTCCCATTCACAAGGAAAACCGTCATTGGCCTGAGGCTCCTTTAAGGGGCAGACCTCACTTCATGGGGGCTTGCCCTTATGAGGTGGAGTCACCACTGTTGTGAGTGTGTGTGTAGTGACATAGTTGTAGGCACGCAGTTTATGGTTGGGGCCATTAAGTGTGGTGCAGGAGATCCCAAAATGGGGCTGGACCACTTGTGAGATGGGCACTTTGGCGAGACCACTGAGTCTCCAAATGACATGGGAGCTGTAAAATGGAAGAAGCTAATAATAGCATATATTACATATGTTAGCAATGATAGCATAAGTTACATATATTAATATATAATATATATAATATGTAATATGGGGCAGGCACGGTGGCTCATGCCTGTAATCCTAGCATTTTGGGAGGCTGAGGTGGGTGGATCATTTGAGGTCAGGAGTTCGAGACTAGCCTGGCCAACATGGTGAAACTCCGACTCTACTAAAAATACAAAAATTAGCCGGGCATGGTGGTGGGTGCCTGTAATCCCAGCTACTTGGGAGGCTGAGGCAGGAGAATCGCTTGAACCCGGGAGGTGGAGTTTGCAGTGAGCCATGATAGCACCACTGCACTCCAGCCTGGGTGACAGAGCGAGACTCTGTCTCAAAAAAAAAAAAAAAAAAAAAAAGAAAAGAAAAGAAAAAGAAAAAAAAGACATTACGTTGCACCTACAATTTTAACAAAAATTAAAACGTGGTCAATAAGTGTTTGCGATGATGTAGATTAATACAAGTGGGGGGCCAGGCACGGTGGTTCACACCTGTAATCCCAGCCCCAGCACTTTGGGAGGCCCAGGCAGGTGGATAACCTGAAGTCAGGAGTTCAAGATCAGCCTGGCCAGCATGGGGAAACCCCGTCTCTAGTAAAAATACAAAAATTAGCTGGGCGTCGTGGCGGGCCCCTGTAATCCCAGCTGCTCGGGAGGCTGAGGCAGGAGAATCGCTTGAACCCGGGAGGTGGAGGTTGCAGTGAGCCGAGAGCTGCCACTGCACTCCAGCCTGGGCAACAGAGCGAGACTCTGTCTCGAAGAAAAAAAAAACTAGTGGCAAAAATAAACAGTTTGGCATTATAACTCCCGAAGCTCTGCTTCTAAGTAAATACAGAGACCAATGCTTTGCATGATATCCAGGATGGTAGCCATTCATGATTATTAATACGACACACATATGATTAGGGTGCCCACAAAACACACACACATACACAAACACAAGTTCAGCTTTCATGACCTTATCTGGAACTCCGCAAACAGAAAATTTAGCAAAACACATCAGCTTTGTAGTTTCTTGCAAAAATGTTGAACCCAAATCTAATAATGAAGAAACATTCAGACAGAGATAGAGACTGTGATATAGTCCACAAAATAACTGGCCCCAATGCTTCAAAATATTAGTGTCATGAAAGACTAACAACAAAAATCAGAGAAGTGTTCCAGATCACAGGAGGCTAAAGAGACCACATGCAATGTATGATCCTTGATTACAACCCTAATTTTTAAAAGAAGCTTGAAAGGGCATACGTTACTGGCATAATTAGAAAATTTGAATATGAACTGTATGGTACATGATATTGTATCAAGGTCAAATTTCTTGGGTGTGGGAATGATGTTGTAGTCACCTAGGAAAATGCACTTCTTCTTAAGAAATAAATAGTCACGCCTGTAATCCCAGCACTTTGGGAGGCTGAGGCCGGCACATTGCTTGAGCTCAGGAGTTCCAGACCAGCCTGGCCCAACATGGCGAAACACCATCTCTAGAAAAAAATAAAAACACAAGACAAAAACCCAAAAATTACCTGGGTGTAGTGGCACATGCCTGTAATTCCAGCTACTCGGGAGGCTAAGGCAAGAGAATCGCTTGAACCCAGGAGGCGGAGGTTGCAGTGAGCTGAGATTGCCTGCTGCACTCCAGCCTGGGAGACAGAATGAGACTTTGTCTCACGAACACAAAAAAAGACATAAATATTGAAGAATGTAGGGGTAAAGATTTGAGGTTTTTCCAAATAAGAAGTTAGATAATTTTTTCTTTATTTTTTGAGATGGAGTCTCACTCTATCACCCAGGCTGGAGTGCAGTGGTACAGTCCTGGCTCACTGCAACCTCCGCCTCCTGGGTTCAAGCGATTCTCCTGCCTCAGCCTCCCAAGTAGCAGGAATTACAGACCTGCACCCCCACGCCCGGCTAATTTTTGTATTTTTAGTAGAGACGGGGTTTTGCCATGTTGACCAGTCTAGTCTCCAACTCCTGAGGTCAAGTGATTCACCCTCCTTGGCATCCCAGAGTGCTGGGATTACAGATGTGAACCACTGCGCCCAGCCGAGTTTTTTTCAATCTAGAAGTTTGTCTTCAACTTATTTGTAAACACTGTCACTTTGAAAAATAAAATTTGATTGGGAATTACACATGGGGAGGCACCCTACTAGTCTTTTCAGTGTTTAGAGCCTCTAAAGGCCTCAGTCCAGCCAGGGTGTAGGAGGAAGAGGGGAGATAAGACATCCAGGAATAACCACATACAGGTGGCATGAGTAGGATTTAGGCGAGTAACTGAAACGGCTTCCAAGGGCTAAGGGATGAGAAATCAGTCCTGTTTGGAGTGATCAGAGAAGTCTTTGTGGAAGAATTAGCACTTATTCTGGGCCTGAGATGGGGACTGTGGGAACCACCTCCAAAAGCGAGTAACCACGTCTTAATTCCAGCCCATGGTCGCTGAGTGGGCAGATGGGCCCATCTGTGGCCAGATATTCCCACTTTTCAAAATAAACTCGAAATCTGGATCTTAATGTAAAATCTATTTTTAAATGATGACATTAAAAGTAAAAACAAAAACAAAAACAAACAAACAACAAAAACAAACAAACAAAAAAAACGGCTGGGTGCGGTGGCTCACACCTGTAATCCCAGCACTTTGGAAGGCCAATGCGAGCAGATCACCTGAGGTCAGGATTCCCAGACCAGCCTGGCCAACATGGTGAAGCTCCATCTCTACTAAAAAATACAAAAATTAGCTGGGCGTGGTGGCACGCGCCTGTAATCCTAGGTACTAGGAGGCGGAGGCAGGAGGATCACTTGAACCTGGGAGGCCGAGGTTGTGGTGAGCTGAGATCGTGCTATTGCACTCCAGCCTGGGCAACAAGAGCAAAACTCTGTCTCAAAAACAAACAAACAAAAAAAAGCAAATAAAAAAAGAAAAAACATGGTGCAGGGCAGTGTTCAAATTTCCAAATTGCCTCATTTAAAAAATCTTTGAATAAAAATTCAAACAAGGTCCATACATTGCATTATTTGATATGCCTTTTAATCTGTAGATATAACTTCTTTCTCTCTAACATCATTGGTAGATTACTGTGAGATTTAGTATTCATTTAGTAGGTAAATTATTCAATTAATCTTTTATTAACCACCTACTCTGTGACTAGCAGTGTGGGGACAAATACATATGGAAGGAAGCCCTGCCCTCTAGGGTCCCCAATCTCATTGACTCTAAACTAATGACTTACATCAGGGTCCCTTTAGATGTTTCCTTGGGGCTACAGAAGCTCACCAAGGAGCTCCCACGAGACTGTACATTTCTGAGAAAAAAATATTGGAACTGAAAGCTATCAGCTTGGGGACAGTGGAGTTTATTCTGGAGCCAAAACAGACTCAGAGCTGGGAAAGAACCCAGGCGGCTCCTCTCCTCTCCTCTCCTCCCCGTATTTGGAAAGCATGTGTTCCCCAGCGAGCAGAGAAGAACTGGAATCCTGCTCGCTTTTTCTTCCTTCTAGGCTATTTTTTCCCCTTAAACCTTACACCCTTGGGAAAAACATTCAGAAACCACAGTCATAACAGGTCTAGAAATTGCCACATTTGTTTCTATTAAAAGATGAAGTTTTTTAAAAAATTGAACTTACATATAATAAACATTTAGTGAGCTTACCAATCTAGCGAATTTGCATGCAAACTGCCACCACCACAGTCCTGTACTATGAGTTTTAAGCTTACCAGCCATGCGATGGCTTTTTCTCTCCATTCTTAACGACCTGTTAGATTCCTTGTCATATACACAGTTGAGACAAGGCTCTGGTTTTGTGTTCTTTCTCCTCTCGTCGCTCACTCTTGTCCTGCATCTGTTGTAGCTTGACTGTGATGCCCGGGAAGAGTGATGTTTCCTTCTGGACTCATCTCTTGCCAAATCTACTCACATTTTCCTTCCTTTTCCCACATCTGCGCTTTCTTCCCTCCTAAGTTACAGACTTACCTCGGGGGCTGGTCATGTCTCACTTGGTTGATGGCAGCCTTCTCAGCTCTGGAATTCCCACTGCAGCACTGCTCCCCCACCAACAACTGACACTTCAGTACCCCTCCTTCCTGTGGCACAGAGGACCAGGGTGACCCTGCTGTCTAATTTCAACAGGCTGCTCTGTACCATTTCCTTTTAGGTCTTCCCTGGGGTGGAGGCGCTGATTTTCATAGCCTGAGCTCACCAGGGAGGGGGCAGTGAACTTCTGAGGAGAGGAAAAAGAGGCTCCCACTGCCATTTCCCTCCAAAGTGGGAATGTAGACGAACCTCAGAGAGGAAGGGTGTGGCAGTGGGGGCAATTTGCTTGGAGTAGTACATAAGCCGAGGAAACTGCCTGGTTGATAGTAAGAGCCATCATTTGCCGGTTGCCTACTCAGTGGGAGGCCCAGTGCAAAAGGGTCGACATGGATTATTTCGTGTAATCTTCACCACAACTTTATGAGCTAGCTTCTATTCCCATCCTCATTTTACAGATGAGGAAGCAGGCCCAGGGAGGTTAACTAACCTGCCCAGATGGGAAGTCGCAGAGTTGAGATTCAAGCCCACATGTATCTGACTCCAGAGCTCGTCCGCCTTCCACTGGGCCTCCCAATTTCTTTTTCCTTTATTTTCTGAGATGGAGTCTCGCTCTGTCACCCAGGCTGGAGTGCAGTGGTGCAATCGTGGCTCACTGCAACCTGCATCTCCCGACTTCAAGCGATTGTCTTGCCTCAGCCTCCTCAGTAGCTGGGACTACATGCGTGCCCCACCACACCCAATTTTTTTTTTTTTTTTTTGGTATTTTTCATAGAGACGGGGTTTCACCATGTTGCCCAGGCTGGTCAAACTCCTTACCTCAAATGATCCACCCGCCTTGCCCTCCCAAGTTGCTGGGATTACAGGTGTGAGTCACTGTGCCTGGTTCCTCCCAATTTCCAGTTGACAAGCCCTTGGACACTATTAATTCCTCACCCTTGTCTTCCACTTCTTCCTTGATCCAATCCTCACACTCTGGCTACAGAGCCTTTTGAAAGTTACACTTTCTAATTGGTAAGGTCTCCCACAACTACATCTCCTAACATGAGTGTTGGTACAGCTGTCTGTTAAGCCTCTAATGAAATCGACTCAAACTATTGAAGAAGAAAGCATTGAAAATGGGTGTTTAGTTGATGGTTACAATAAAAGCCCAGACACTTCACCACTACAAAACTGCACTTGTACCCCTTAAAGTTATACAGATTAAAAAAAATGGGTGTTTAATGTATATCTTGCAAGGGAGATAGATATGACTCCTTTTAAGCAGGCTTCCTTCTAGAAAGGCTCAGAAGAGTCAATAAATGCTGAGTACATGGGACTGATTTCAAAATACATGTATAAAGGAAGATGTGCCACATTTATCATGCTGTGTATCCTGTAAAGAATATTTATGGAATGAATAAAAGAGAGTACTAGAAGCCCCCTGGGTACTGAAGGAGGAAGAAATGAAAATGCTTTGGATGGCCACCCCAGTGTTGAAAAGATCTAGACTTAAAATTATTAAAGGGCAAGAAAATGTCCTCATTTTTTTTTCTTGACTTCAAATAAAGTACAGCAAACATGGGCTGTGCCTCCTCATTCCAAATACAGGCCTGCAATATAAGGGAAGCTTCAGAGGATGCCAAAAAGCAGAAAGTATCAAGGGATGCCCTTTAAAGACACTTTGGAATTTCTAATAGAGCTAAAAATTGGTAAAATCCAGATAGGAAAAAATGAGAAGAAAATAGGAGTTAACATAGATTTCTGGGCCCCATTCCCAGAGTTTCTGATTCTATAAGTGTTATTATTTATATGACATCCATTCCTGAGTATACTGAACAATGTCTTGTGTGATGACAATTACTGCTGAGTATTTAATACCATTACACTTTGATAATGGAAAATATTAGAGATTCTAATACAGATCTAGTATTGTGTACATTGTGGAATATATATATGTATATATATGTATATGTATACGTATATGTGTGTGTATATATACATATATTTTTTTTAACTCAGAGCAGGCAGATGCTTTGCCCTGGGTTACATTGAAAGCCAAGGTAGCACCATGACATTACCAGCGAGCATGACAAGGCAGGGAAGCACATCACAATACAGACAGGTGGAGGTGGTGGTGTACGTCACCTATAGGGAGATGCAGCAGAGATGCCTGATGGCATTTCATATCACAATGCACTGTGCCAGAGTCTGATACAACGCACTGCATACACGATTTTCTCTTTTCCCCACAAAGGACAGTACACGCACAAAGCCAACTACATTTTAAAATGAGCTAGCTAGATGAATGAAGGAGAAGTAAAAACATCCAGATCACACACAGAAAGTGAGACACAGAAGAAACTCTTCTCCTATAAACTGAGAGAGATGTTTCCCCGGGAAAATTGGTCAGATTCAGAGTAGACCATGTCCCCTCATCCACTGCACTCAGCCCCCAGTTTTTCATGCTGCAAACTCAGATGTCTCTGTGGCAGAGGGAATGGTTTGTTGCTTTGAGTGTTGATCTAGACATCTGGAAGCTCTGTGGCTGGGAGGAATCTCATCCATACTTATGTATTGTACTTCATTAATCATCAAGTCCTATCTGGGGCTACATGGTGTTCTAAAGTCTTAGATTATAAACACTTTGAGATTCAACCTGAAGGCATTTTCACTGGTTAAAAATCTGTTCTTGCTGTGGTTCTTCTTGAGAGAATGTCCCTTTGCAAAACTCAGTTGTCAATGGGCTGATACAGTTGTGTAGCTGAAAGCCTTCACTGTAAACCTCATTGTTTTTTTCATGGCCAGTTCACAGCCCTATTTAAAGAATGTGTACTTTGGGAGAAAAAGGGCCTGAGAATATAAAGGGACCTGTGTGGGCAATCTCCAGGGCATGTGGGTCTATTGGCATGCACGCATGGGTAGCCAAGAGTCAAAGCAAGTTTTGCCAATGGATTCCCATCATCTTTGCATGCAGGTCAGGTGAAGGACTCAGCAAAAACAGAGCAAAAGTTCTGAGGCTCAGGTTAACCCAACAGCAAACACTTCAAGGCCCACAAGGAGAGTATTCAGGAAGAGACTTGAGGTAGATGAGGAGAAGAAAAAAAGTGCAGGTTATCCCTGAGGCCAATGGGTAAATAGACCATTTTCCTCTGTTCTCATGAAAGACACATACACTTGGATTTTGCTTTTCTTTAGTTTCCAGATGTTACTGTTGAGAACATATCAAGGATGTCAGAACTAGGAACAACTGTCAAGGCCACCTACTTTAGTCCTTTTACTTTCCTCCGAGGCTCAGAGAGAGGTGTTGACTCAACTTCCTGTGGCTGGAACCGAAGTCTCCTGACACCCTATCTAATGAATGTTCTTTCCTCTACGCACACGTGAAAGGCTGCCTAAACAATCTTTTGGGAGGAAAAAAAAAAAAGTGAGAATTGCTGATCCAATGCTGGGAACCATTATGTAATCCAGCTGGAATTTGGCCTATATCCTCCCAATGAAACTGAAAAGGGGATAGGAGGGAATTAAATGGAGATGTTGCAAAGTTTTGAAAGATGTACTGTTTGACAACTTGTTCTTTTTGTAAAGGTTCCTGTGAATTGGCCTTTACCTGCTGTTCCAGACTCATTCCTCACTACTTTCTCCCAGGAACTCTTTTTTGCACAGGTGAAACCAGGACGTCTCCTGAGCCTACAAGGGCCTCTGCTTTGATCTTTGCTCTTCCCCCACCTCACCGAGGCATGATTCAAATTCAGGATAATCTGATTCCAGAGCTCGCAAGCTTTCCATCAGTAGGAGGAGTCAGAGGAAGAGAGGGCCACTAAAAATGTTGCCTGGGAGCCTATGCCAAAGGCCAAACGAGCAGCCACATCAAATTTCCATCTGAATCTGGGAGTTAGGATGGGAATGGGGGAAATGGCCAAGCTCTAGTGTACCTGAGTGGCTTCATGGAAGAAATGGCTATTTCTTGAATGGTGAGTTTTTTTATATGTTGTCCTCAGAGCTTAGGACAAGGCAGGGAATCGCATCACAATACAGGGAGGTGAGCGACACATCACCAACAGGGAGGTGCAACAGGGATGCTGATGGCATTTTACCACAATGCCCTTCTTTAATACTGTGTAGAAGGTTTGTGTTCAATAAGTTTTGTTGTTGATCATGATGACATTTATTATTATGCCTGGGGATAATTAATTCAACTGAAACATACTCAGGAGGAACTGTTTCGTTTTTTGGTACTAACCAGTTCTTTTCTTTCTCTCTCCTTTTGCTGGGGGCGGGGGAGAGATATGTGCACCCAATTCCGGGATACTGCAGAAAAGGCTGATGTAAGAAGGGAGGTGTGAGAAATAAAGTACTGACTTCAATTTTGGTTCTGTAGAAATATTTGGGTAGCCGGCTTGGTGGTGTTTTCATGATTAAAAATGACCCAGTGTGTGTGCTTGACAGGAACATGGACCACAGCATGCCTGACATATGCTTTTTACCATCTCCATATGTCTCATTTATATCTTAATCCACAGCCTGCTGGGAAATAGCAGGGTAAGACAGCACTTGGGGGACCTCTGTTAGTTGGTCTCATGCTATTTTCTTAGCCTATGGTATTCACACATCCTCCACTCTGAGCTGGAATTTGGCCCTGGGCCTGTGCAATTGCCATAGGGCTGACTGCAGGGAAAAGAAAATTTGAAATGTGAAATGACTTTGTTCAAATATGAGTCAAGGATGTGTTCAGTCTGTTTATAGAAGGAGGAAATGACATTTGAAGAAAATTGGTTCAGGGAGAAATGCTGTCATTATATAAGCATTCATAGTTTAGTAACAGACTGGTGAAGAGAGTAACTGATTGGCTAACTTGCGAACCCCCTGAAAGTGTCCTTTATCCACTGCAGTGTGGTGAGGGGCTTTGGAACTGAACACATCTGGGCCTGGGTCCCAGTTCTGCCACTTAAGGACTTTGTGACCTTGAGCCTCAGTTTTCTCATCTGTAACATGAGCATAATGACAATTTCTTATAACTGCTCCATTATTATTCAAATCAGGTGATATAAAAGATCAGATACAGTGCCCAATGTACAGTACAGGCTCAATAAAAAAAAGATTGTTAGTAGTAATAATAGCTAATAGTTTGAAGGAATTTACCGTGTGTCAGGCACCGAGTCATACACTTTATTTACATTGCAGCCTCACTTATTCCTGACAATAATGCTATGAGGCCGGGCGCAGTGGCTCACGCCTGTAATCTCAGCATTTTGGGAGGCCAAGACTGGCAGATGGCTTGAGCCTAGGAGTTCGAGACCAGCCTGGGCAACATAGTGAGACCTCTTCTCTACAAAAAATCAAGAAATGAGGCAGGAGGATATCTTGAGCCCAGGAGGTCGAGGCTGCAATGACCCATGATTGCACCACTGCATCACTCCAGCCTGGGGGACCCTGCCTCACAAAAAAAAAATGCTATGAAGTCAGTAGAATTATCCCCTCAAATGCTGTTACTATTAATAATGATAATAATATACATACCACGTAGCTCAGACTGCAATAGATAATTCCATGCTTCCTGATCCTGTCCCAACTCAAAAGTTACCTGAAAGCCTTTTCTTTTTCTTCTCCCTTCACCTTTACCCTAAATGTCCTCATTTGTGAACAGAGGGCTGGGGATGTTTTACCAGGTGATTTAGAGACTAAAGACAGGAGGCCAAGAAAACAAAGCATTTTGCAACCCAAATGCTGGCAGAGGGATTTGCAGTTAGAAACGAGATCAAGTTTTTTAGGCAAAGAATAATAATTGTGTGTAACTATCCAACAAAGATGCTTGTTTGGGGAGAAATAAATGCAGGACTCATTCATATTTTCGAAGTCTTTTTAAAGACCAGAATGCTGGCGCTTCACAGAATGTCAGTACCCTTTGTGTTCCTGCCCTGCCCCTTCCCCTACCTTCCTCAGCTGTTGTGGGGGAGAAGGCCTGTTTCAGAAGAAGACAAGGTAGGGTCTATTCCCTTGAGGTGCTGATAAAACGTTGTCCAGTTGCAGACACCCCTCCCCCTCCCCCAAGCTTGTCTCCTGATGGAAGAAGCCAGAAGGCAGGAACAAATATAGTCTCAACAGACTGCAGCTACTACAGTGCTTGAACTCTCCCCTCATTTCTTACAAGTGGAAACAGCCTTACTGGAAGAGTGATCTTGCAAGAAGAGAAAACATCTATCAAGAGTAAGGCAGGCCGGGCGCGGTGGCTGATGCCAGTAATCCCAGCACTTTGGGAGGTCGAGGCAGGCAGATTGCTTGAGGCTAGGAGTTTGAGACCAGCCTGGCCAACATGGTGAGACACCGTCTCTACTAAAAATACAAAAATTAGCCAAGAGTGGTGGCGCATGCCTGTAATCCCAGTAACTCAGGATGCTGAGGCAGGAGAGTCACTTGAACCTGGGAGGCTGAGGTTGCAGTGAGCCGAGACGGTGCCCCTGCACTCCAGCCTGGGTGACAGAGCGAGACCGTGTCTCAAAAACAAACAAACAAACAAACAAAAAAAACAACAAAGAGTAAGGCAAAAACTGAAGCAGCATCTCATGAGAATCTAAGCCGGAAGACCATAGTCATGGCAGTTTATGGCAAAGAGGGAGGCATGTGGACCTTGAAGAGCATCAGGTTCAGGAGGGGTTAACCCCAATCACGTGGCTTAACACACTCCTCCTTCCCCCGCTTCAGGACAGCTTGTGGTTGGGGGAAATAGTGCCTCCTAGATGACAAAGTTATTTGAATGCTAGTTGAAAACAATGCTGGTTCGAGCCAGAATTTCCACATTTTTCACTTAAACTGTCTGTGCATAATTTCCAATTCTTTCTGGGTATGTTATTCCACCCCCACCTCCATCTCTGCCAATTCTCTGGGTATGGTAGAAAGGAAGCACTTTTATTCCAGTCACCAAAGTTTATGAAAATATGAATGACATTAATAGAATATTTTGAATCGTGTATTGCTTTAAGATAGGAAAGTCAGTTATCTTTTTCTCTGGTGGCCTTTTTGCACCATACTTTCCTTCCTTCCCTCCCTTCCTTCTTTCCTTCCTTCCTTCCTTCCTTCCTTCCTTCCTTCCTTCCTTTCTTTCTTTCTTTTTGAGACGGAGTTTCACTTTTGTCTCCCAGGCTGGAGTGCAATGGCCCGATCTCAGCTCACTGCAACCTCCACCTCCTGGGTTCAAGTGATTCTCGTGCCTCAGCCTCCTGAGTAGCTGGGATTACAGGCACCTGCCACCATGCCTGGCTAATTTTTTGTATTTTTTGTAGAGACGGGATTTCACCATGTTGGTCAGGCTGGTCTGGAACTCCTGATCTCAGGTGATTCACCCACCTCAGCCTGCCAAAGTACTGGGATTACAGGCGTGAGCCACTGCGCCGGGCCTTGCACCATACTTTTCAAAACATGTTAATGGACACTCACTTCATGGTAGGCATTTTAAACTGTGATTCTCAGGAACACCAGAGACATAAAAACTAAAATTATGACACATTTGATAGTTCAAAGACACTCAGATTTAATATTTAATTAGCTTCCTCCTCATTTTATGAAGGAAGCGATTTAGAAAGTGACTTGTCCAAAGTCACACTTCTTGTAAATGGCAGAGCCACTCATTTTATTTTATTTTATTTTATTTTATGTATTTATTTTGTTGAGACGGAGTGTCGCTCTGTCGCCCAGGCTGGAATGCAGTGGTGAGATTTCGGCTCATTGAAACCTCTGCGTCCTGGATTCAAGTGATTCTCCTGCCTCAGGCTCCTGAGTAGCTGGGATTACAGGCGCCCGCCACCACGCCCAACTAACTTTTTGTATTTTTAGTAGAGGTGGTGTTTCGCCATGTTGGCCAGACTGGTCTCGAACTCCTGATGTCAAGCGATCCACCCACCTCGGCCTCCCAAAGTGCTGGGATTACAGGCATGAGCTACCATGCCCGGCCAGAGAGCCACCCATTTTAAAGTCCCATTTTTCACAATGCAAATGATAATCCCAGCAGGGTGTTTTTTTTTTTTTTTTTTTTTAAGATGACATCTCCCTTTGTCGCCCTGGCTGGAGTGCAGTAGGAATGTACAGGTGCACACCACCATGCCAGGCTAAATTTTGTATTTTTAGTAGGTACAGGGTTTCGCCATATTGGCCAGGCTGGTCTCGAACTCCAGATATCAAGTGATCCGCCTGCCTTGGCCTCTCAAAGTGCTGGGATTATAGGTGTGAGACACTGCAGTCATCCCCAGCAGCTTTTTTGTGTGTATAGAAATGAACAAAATGGTGGCCGGGCACAGTGGGTCACGTCTGTAATCCCAGCACTTTGGGAGGTCGAAGTGGGTGGATAACCAGAGCTCAGGAGTTCGAGACCAGACTGGGCAACATGGTGAAATCCAATCTCTACAAAAAAAAAATACAAAAATTAGCCAGATGCTGTGGCACATGCCTGGTAGTCCCAGATACTCAAAAGCTGAGGCAGGAGAATCACTTGAGCCTGGGAGGTGGAGGTTGCAGTGAGCCGAGATCGTGCCACTGAACTCCAGCCTGGGTGACAGGGCAAGAACTTGTATCAAAAAAAAAAAAAAAAAAGAACAAAATGATTAGTTGCTATGAGAATTAAATGAGATAATATTTATAAAGTGGCATGCACAGTAGCTCGTTCCCTACACTACACACGTTTTCTTTCCTTTACACACATATATATTTTTGAGACAGAGTCTCGTTCTTGTCTCCCAGGCTGGAGTGTAGTGGCGTGATCTCATCTCACTGCAAGCTCTGTCTCCTGGGTTCAAGTGACTCTCCTGCCTCAGCCTCCCGAGTAGCTGGGATTACAGGCATCTGCCACCACGCCCGGCTAATTTTTGTATTTTTAGTAGAGACGAGGTTTCACCATGTTGGCTAGGCTGGTCTGGAACTCCTGACCTCAGGTGATCTGCTGGCCTCGGCATCCCAAAGTGCTGGGATTACAGGCGTGAGCCACCACGCCCGGCCTCTTTCCTTTATATTAATGTCTACATATCAGGTTTACATAGTTATAATGTTTATGTCCATACCATGTTGTGATCTGCCTTTTTCACTTAACTTACCACATACTTACCACTTTAATGCCTAAATAGCATTCCATCTGGTCGATAGACTACATTTTTAAGACATTCTACCATTATTGAACATTTGGATTGTTTTCAGTTTTTCACCATTATAAACAGCTGGGCTTGGAATGATCTTACACAGTTTTTCACCTTCTATCCCCTTGTTCCTTTGGGGATTGTTTCTTCGGAATGTGGTCTCAGCAATGGGGGCAGAGGTATAAAGAGCTTTCAAACCAAATTGCTCTCCAGAGAAATACCACCAGTTCAGTGTGTCTGCATGTCATCAGTGATGGGGAGACAATATTATTTTTTATTTTTAAAAGACGGGGTCTCACTCTGTTGCCCAGGCTGGAGGTGCAGTGGCACAATCATAGCTCACTGCAGCCTTGAACTCTTGGCCTCAAGTGATTCTCCTGATTCAGCTCCCTAAAGCTCTGGGATTACAGGCCTGAGCCACTGCACCCCATCGAGTCTATACTATTGGGAAAAAAACGTGGTTTAACTCTTCTCTCCAGGCATAGAAAAGCAACTTGAGAATTCTTGGCTGAAACTTCCTTCCCCACCCCTACTTACCCCACCCTGTCTTCTGCACTGTTAGTGCTTTCCTGGCCTTTTCTTTCTGTCTTTTTTTTTTTTTTTGCAAAGTCTTGCTCTGTTGCCCAGGCTGAAGTGCCTTGGTAGGATCTCAGGTCACTGCAGCCTCTGCCTCCTGGGTTCAACAGAGAGGATCATGCCTCAGCCTCCCAGGTAGCTGGGATGACAGGCACACACCACCACACCTGGCTAATTTTTGTATTTTTAGTAGACATGGGGTTTCACCATGTTGGCCAGGCTGGTCTTGAACTCCTGACCTCAGATGATCCACCCGTCTCGGCCTCCCAACGTGCTAGGATTACAGGCATGAGTCACCGTGCCTGGCCTTCCTGGCCTTTTTCTAACTTACTCTTTCTGTGCAGAATCTTGGAGCAGAAATGGCCATGCTGATACACAACAGGACAAACAGTTTCTGCATATCAATACTAGGCAAAATCTCACAAAACCCACACACAGAAGTGGGAACATGAAAAGTCCTTCGCCAAATCAAACATTGGAGATACACAAATTCATGGACAAAAAGGTGATTTTGGTATCAAAGATTAGCTAATAAGAAAAGACTGTCTTTTTTTTTTTTTTTTTTTAGCGAGAAAAGTCTGACTCTGGATCTGTGAATCCATATCCTTGAATTTGAACATTTAGCCCACTGGATTTGGGGTGCCTGTCCTGACTTCTGTTACAAATAGTCAATGATTTAATTATAATAAGTAATTAAAAAAATATCAAGACCCTTTGCCTCCATTCACTATCTTATTTAATCCTCAGAACAACCCCTGGAGCGAACTCTATTAGCCCCTTTTTGCAGAGGAGGAAACTGAGGCTTAGAAAGACCATTTAACTTGCTTGGAGTCACACAGCTGGGAAGTACCAGAGCTATGATATGAACTCAAGTCTGTCTGATTTGAAGGCCTTTGTACTTGATCTTGTTCTGCCTCTCATATTCTTCTCATTTATGAGATGGTGACTTACAACCTGCCACACTAACTCCAGTGTTGTTTTAAGGATCAAATGAGATTAAAAATACTCCCAAAGTGCCTTGTAAAAAATGAACAAAACATTACACAAATAACATATGCACTTTGTAACTGAAAGGCATTGAGATCACTTGGATTTAATTTAGCTACAGTGATTCTGTAGGACTCTACCAGCCACAAAACCGGCTCAGCCCTAGGCTTTCTGGAGATACTCAGTAGCTTTGGTCCTAAGAATAATTTCTGATGGCTGGGCATGGTGGCTCACACCTGTAATCCCAGCACTTTGGGAGGCCGAGGTGGGCAGATTACTTGAGGTCAGGAGTTCGAGAACAGCCTGTCCAATGTGGCGAAACCCCATCTCTACTAAAAATACAAAAATTAGCATGCCCTGGTGGTGCGCACCTGTAGTCTCAGCTACTTGGGAGGCTGAGGCAGGAGAATTACTTCAACCCGGGAGGTGGAGTTTGCAGTAAGCCGAGATGGCGCCACTGTTTTCTAGCCTGGGTGCCAGAGTGAGACTCTGTCTCAAAAAAAAAAAAAAAAAATTTCTGAGAATGGATCCTGATTATGATTACACTGCGATATTTGCAAATGCAATGCTTACCTGTATGAGACTCACTTGTATTGATGTTTCTGTTCATGATGGTTTTGTGCATATTTTAAGGGAGCCAGAGTACCAGGTGTGGTACTCAGAGACTGTCCTAGAATACTCAGAGAATAATCAGGGAAAGCCAACTATTCTACCTCAGGTCTTTGTTATAGGTGGGTTATTGAGGCAATGTGATAGCAACTGATGGAGGCACTTTCTCTCCCACTTCCTCTGCTAAGAGAGAAACCTGGAGTTAGACACATTGCATTCAGAGACTGTTAACATTGAAAGAGGCCTTGGACATCCTTTCATTGGACATCAGTCCCCCTTTCTCATTTCTTATTTTTGGAATATAGCTTAAATGTGTTTGTTAAAAATGCATGCACTGTCCTGTATGTGGAAAAAAGAAGGCAAATTATGTGCGGAGTGTTGTATGAGACTCTCTCAAAGAAAGCTGTGGTCCAAAATGCCATCAGGCATCCCAGTGTATGCTGCCCATTCCTGTGGGTGACACACCTGCCTGAGTATGACGTGCCTCCCTGCCCCTTGCAGGCATAGTTTCATTTAATTCTGATAGAATCCTATGAGGTAGCTACTATCATTATCCCCATACTACAGACAAAGAACTCGAGGCCTAGAGAGGTTAACGAATCTGCCCCAGGGTCCATAGTTACTCCATGAAACTATTGGGTATATTCACCTCCCAAAAGAAAAAAATGGGCAAGAGGTTGGGGTTGAGAGTTGAGACAGACTTCTAGTTCTCACTCTGCCACTAACTACCTGTATGACTTTGGGCAAGTCTTTCCAGCTCTATTTCATCATCCATTCATCAGTTACTGTGCTGGTTGTTTCCTGGCTTTACATTCAATTCCTTTTTCTGAAATCCTTACAGTTATTTGTGATTACTTGTAACTGGAGTTAAACTTTAGTTGTCCAGAAAAATAAAAATAGAAATGCAAAGTATCAAGGTGCTCCCAAATCAAACATACAGATGGCAGAGATCATCACAGAAATGACAATAAGGACCCTTTTTCCTGTTTGGCAAAGCTGAGTGTTGCTGCCACCTAGCGAGTAAAAGGAAGATGGCTATCATGCAAGGTCAGGCCCTTCTGTGGAGGCCCAGGGAAAAAGACCAGAAATCATCCAGTTTACCAAATATTAATAACTTATGAGATTTCACTAATATGTTAAAATTGCAGCATTTGCTTCAGTATATGCAAGCCAATATCTCTTCCGTTGAGAAAAATGGGATCAGGAGAAGAGCTACTCTGGGCAGTGTTAAGTAGGAGTTATTAAAGAGGAGGTCTTTAAGTAGGAGGTCTTTAAGTGTTAAGTAGGAAGTCTTTGGTTTCCTCCAAACATCTGCTTACACTGTGTCCTTTCCTACTGATCCTCTCCCTCTCCCAGCTGGAATCCTAGAACCCTAAGTCTGAGCAGGAAGGAACCATCATCAGAGAATTTCTAAGGCAGCCCGGGTCATAGCACAGAAGAAAACGGATTTGACCAAGGTCACAAAGGTAGTTAACATAGGCAAGACTGACAGAAGACTAGTCTCAGAACTCTGAAACCTGGTCTGATCAAATCCACCCAAAATGGATGAGATTAGATATTTGCAAAATCACCTTCAGTCTGGAGCAATATTAGGAGATACCATCAATGATATGAACATATATAAGGAAGCCAAGTCGTTCTGGTAGGGAGAAATGGGTGGTCTGGCTGGAAATCTGGAGAAACTGAAGCTGTTGGGAGCTTCAGGCACTAGAAGATGCTCTCTACTGGGATGAGGGAAGAAATCTCTCATCAGGACTCAGAGAGGTCAGGCTGAGTATAAAGGCCCCCCAGTCAACAGATCTCAATCTTCATCAGATACATTCCCACCCATCAGGGAGTGCCCAGGGCTCCCAGTGCACCAGATCTAATCTTACGGTTTCCTCTGCTATTAGGAAAGAATATCAGAAGTGAGATGAGAAGCAAAGCTTATTGCAGGATAACTTGAATCTGCTAGAATGTATTTTTAAAAATCAAAATATTTTATTATTATTATTAATCATTTGCAGCAAACTCACAGCTCCTAGTTTGGATGGCCCCCATTCTTGCAATGATTCCTTTTTTTTTTTTTCGAGACAGATTCTGGTTTTGTCGCCCAGGCTTGAGTGCAGTGGCACAATTATGGCTCACTGCAACCTCCTCTGCCTCCCGGGTTCAAGTGAGAGGCTCATGCCTCAGCCTCCCAAGTAGCTGGGATTACAGGCGCATGACACCATACCCAGCTAATTTTTTAAAATATTTCTAGTAGAGATGGGTTTTCACCATGTTGGCCAGGCTGGTTGGTCTCAAACTCCTGGCCTCAAGTGATCTGCCTGCCTTGGCCTCCCAAAGTGCTGGGATTACAGGCTTGAGCCACTGTGCCCAGCCTGGAATAGCTCTTTGCACTGTCAACAACCTAAGTAATAACAATAATGATGATAATAATAGCTGATATCACCAAGGGCATTCATTGTGTTAGGGACTTTCCAGTCGTTATCTCATATATCTGACAATAGCCCAATGAAGTCATAATTATTATGACCCCTATTTTATAGCTGAGTAAGTTGAGGCTCAGAAAGCAGTTTGCCCAAGGTCACATAGCTCTCCCTGACCATCTCAGCTCTTAATCACTGCCCTATACTCACTGAAGGCTTGGCTTCTGAGATGCACTAATACCAGGAGGCAGGAGGTGAGTGTATCCTCTAACTAGTGGACATGTATATTTTTAACTCTAGGAAGAGATTCCCTCCTTGCCATCCCTAGACTTTGTTGTAAATTAACACATAGGCATTCCAGGATTACAGCCTCTCCTCAGGAAACTGATGGATCACTTGGTAGGCTAGTTGCCTGTAAGGGGAGAGATTACCTCTGGAAAACATTTTCCCTAATGTACAGAAAATTGTTTTCTGGGTGGGGATAGAGCGGGAGACAAACTGTAGGAGGATAGGTGACTAATTAAGGGGAAGAATTTTTGATTATCTGTTGTTTCAGATTATCAGAGTAATCGCTTCTGTCTATTAACATGGATAATTAAGAATTGACTGTGTAGTTAAGTAATTCAAACCTTCCTCTCTCACACACAAAATTCTCTTCAGTAATAAACAAGCATGCACAGAATTATTCACTGAAATAAATGGACTTCCTTCTTGTGTTTGTCAAATACAATCCCCTCTTCCTCTCACTGAATTACCAATTTAGATGAAGAGGTTCCTTAAACAAGAATCTATGTATGTATGTATGTATGTATGTATCTATTCATCTATCATCTGTTCTATATCTATGTAATATGAACCGAATATGCACTACAATGATTTTACTCTTGCTCTCACCTCCCCCCCCCCCTTTATTTTTGAGACAGTCTCGCTCTATTGCCCAGACTGGAGTGCAGTGGCACCATCTCGGCTCACTGCAAACGCCACCTCCTGGGTTCAAGCAATTCTCCTGCCTCAGCCTCCCAAGTAGCTGGGGTTACAGGCATGCACCACCACACCCGGCTATTTTTTTTTTTTTTTGTATTTTTAGTAGAGATGGGGTTTCACCATGCTGGCCAGGCTGGTCTCGAACTCTTGGCGTCAAGTAATCCACCCACCGTGGCCTCCCAAATCGCTGGGATTACAAGCATGAGCCACCATGCCTAGACCTCTCACGACCCTCTTTTGACATTTTTTTGGTTCCTTAGGCAAATAATATATACTAAATCAAGTATAATATTTTATGTTGTTACTCTATGGTTTTTCTTAAGGCAGAGAATAATTAACAGGACAGTTAGAAAATGTGAACAGGAAATAGTTGAATACAAGCTGAGAATGTTGCTAAAAAAGAGGAAGTGAGTTGGAAACTAAAGGAAGCTTTGTGTTTGGAGGGTCATCAAAGGAGAAAAGGGTTCTTTTAAAAAAAAAATAGAGGACTCACCTCATGCCTAGACTCCATGTACTAAGTCTGGAGTACAAGCAGAATTTTCAGCTGTTTCCGGAAACAAGCCTGAGGGGCACATAGACCACAAGTTCCCCTCCAGGGGTTGAGAGAATGTCTTACTTAACATGAAATTCTCCCATGTTTTCTAGCCTAGTGCTTGGCATGTTTTAGGTACCCAGTAAATATTTGGTAAGTCAAAATGAACTTTGTAATTGAGTTCCAGGCTTTGAGAATCAAGTTGGTGATTAAAAATCAAAACAAAACAAAACAACAGCAAAATAAATGAGAAATGATGGAGACTTCATTTTAGAGTGTGAAGGGAAGATTGCAAGGATAGTAAATGTTCTCATCTCATTTTATATGAATCATAACTGTAATAATGCAGGACATGTGGGCAGGTTTTCAGCGACTTGCTACAGCTCCCCTACAATCTAGCTATCTGCCTTTACTGTACAATTCACTCAAAAACAATTATTTAATTTAAAAAACTGCCTCTGATCATGCATGTGTGTGTGCATGCGTGTGTGTGTGCATGCATGTGTGTGTGTATGTTTGTATATGTAATTCAAAGAAGCTAGTACTAAAAAGAATTTTTAGAATTAGAGCAATTAAAAAAACCATTTATTTGTTTATTTATTTTGAGACAGAGTGTCACTCTGTTGCCCAGGCTGGGGTGCAATGGTGCAATAATAGCTCACTGCAGCCTCAAACTCCTGGGCACAAGTGATCCTCCCGCCTCAGCCTCTAGAGTAGCTGGAACTACAAGTGCGTGCCACCACACCTAGGTAGTCTTTAAAGTTTTTTTGCAGAGACAGGGTCTCTCTATGTTGTCCAGGCTTGTCTCAAACTCCTGGCCTCAAACAATCCTCCTGTCTCAGCCTCCTGAGTAGCTGGGATTATAGGCATGAGCCACTACACTCAGCTAGAATTAGGACAATTATTCCCACCAGAAGTCTGTGGTCACTACACAGTGTGCTGCGTGAGAAGTTTCAGGAGATCTACTCTTCTCTCTAGCTCCCCCATGCCTTTCTTCCCAAACAAGCAACTGCAACTTAAAATCCTTGTCTCTAGATGGCCCCTGTTGAAATTATGCATTTGGGAAGCAGTGGGTAGAAACCACCCAAAATCTTGGAAGGGAGCATTTATTATGTGCCAAGCATAGTGCTGGCAAATAAGCACATGAAAAGATGCTCAACATCATTAGTCATTCAGGAAATGCAAATTAAAGCCACAGTGAGATACCACTGCATACCTATTAGGATGGCTACAACTAAAACAAAGACAAAACTGTTCATATGAAACGCTGGCAAATTTGCAGGGTATTTGGACCTCTCATATATTTCTGATGAGAAGTCTTCAAGGAAAGCAGGATGAAAATGTGTAATAATTTGGTCTCTTGTCTAGAATGGAGCTTTTATCATCAAGGGCTAAAAAAAAAAAAAAAATGTGATATGCTGGGCGCAGTGGCTCACATCTGTAATCCCAGCACTTTGGAAGACTGAGGTGGGTGGATCACTTGAGGTCAGGAGTTCGAGACCAGCCTGGCCAACATGGCGAAACCCTGTCTCTACTATAAATACAAAAATTAGCCAGGTCTGGAAACGGGTGCCTGTAAACCCGCTACTCAGGAGGCTGAGGCACGAGAATCTCCAAGTGAGAATCGCTTGAACCTTGGAGGTGGAGGTTGCAGTGAGCTGAAATTCCGCCACTGCACTCCAGCCTGGGCAACAGAGTGAGACTTCATCTCAAAGAAAAAAAAGTGTTATAGAAGCAGGTCCTGACAGGGCCAGTAGCTAAAAACAGTAGTGGCCACGTGTTGTGTGGTGACTAAGTCATTCCAGAGTAAAATAAAGAACCCTGGAGAAAGGCAAGTTCATGATCTCAGCCTGAAGCCTGGTCTAAAGAGAGAAGTTTATTTGATATTATTTATATTAAAATTAGATACTTCTGGGAACAATTTCTACTGGTAAGAGAATATCCATTTTCTCCAATTTGAAGAAATTAATGACTACTTTAGATCCCTCCTAGTAGAGAGGAATTGGTAGAATAAGAGGGAGAGAGAGGGAGAGAGAGAGAGAGAGAGAGAGAAAGAGAGAGAGAGAGAGGGAGAAAGAGAGAGAGACTGTGTGTGTGTGTGTGTGTGTGAGAGAGAGAGAGAGAGAGAGAGAGAGAGGGAGAGAGAAAGAGAGAGAGAGAGGGACACCTTGGTGGCCATTTAGTGTAACTCATTTCCTTTTGCAGGTGAACCTAGTGAGGGCAGAGGAAAGGAAAGTCTTGCCTGAGGTTACACAGTGTGGAGTCAAGACCAACACCCTGGCCTTCTGGTGCCCAGATTAATTCAGTGACTATATCATGCTGCTTTTTAGCTAATAATTTTATGTACAAATTTTCTGTGCTCCAAATTAGTCACAACCATCTGAGTTTCCCAGGATTGGTGACTCCTGGAGAATATCTCCTGATAAGGGGATACATATGGTCATAAGATTTACTGTACCTTTCATAATCAATACTGATTACTCCCCCTCATTAATGACTTCTGCTTTCAGCAAGAGTAGGGCACCTCCCCAGTTCTGTCAGTTCCCTGACAACTATAAATGACAATCAAGGTACTCTCTTATCTCCACCTGACTTGCATCACTCTCCAGCCTTGGGAGCTCTGGGCAGCTTACTACACAGATGTTGCTATGGTTGTGTTTGCCTGACTACCTGCCAATTTGGTTAATATAGGCAAATAAACCTACGCTCTCTGCCTTTTGCTCTGAGAGGGATTTGTCTGGAGTTAATTGAAATCAAGAGCATTGAATAGTCTGAATAAACATATATTGTATACAAGGGGCAATTAAATCAACCTGAAAAGTAATCTAAAGTGATGGTTAATATATATTAATATAAGCAAGAGTCTGTGGTGTTATCACATGTCTGAAGTGCTCATTGGAAGGCCATTTTTTGGACTCTAAAATGACCCATGTTTGTAAAATCAATGGGATTGCCATCTGGTTGATTTCATTCCGGTTAGTTTGGCCAAATACCATTAACCAGAAAACAATCCATCTGACTGGGGTCATTTCTAATTGCTCTGACAGAATTGATTCATTGAGGACTTTTTCAGCCATAGAAATAGAGTTGTTTTTGTATGGTTTTGGTATTTAGGAATTTGGAAGACTTTTTCCTCTATAAAGGGTTCAAAATTTCAATTTTCTAAAAAAAAGAAAAAAGAAAAAAACCCACAAATCTGCCTAAAGGCAGAAGGTTTATAATATAATATGTCACATATTACTTGTATAATGAAACCACTAGACACTTTGAAAATTATCTTCTCCTTCTCAAGTCCTGCATCATCTTGGGGGTGACTTTGATATCTACATCCCTTTCCACCTAGAACATCCTGTGACTCCCAGCACTTACAGGGGCCTATTCAAATGAGGGACCCTGAAATCTACCTGAAATGGAGCAGGTGCTCTTTTTTTTGGCCTAGCACAGTACCTGATGGGACGCATTGCTGGGGTGAATGAAACAGTTAAAGAGAGTAAAAAAGTCCTACCCTTCCCAAATTTTCTATAGGCACAGTGCCAACTTCTAAATAATCAATGTGAACATAAGTGTCTGAGCATGCTTATGTGACTGGAAGAATGGGAAATGAAGCAAACAGCATGCTTAGACTGGCTGAGACTGTGAAGTCCAGGGTATTAGAATGAGTGTTTAAGGCTAGCCACACTTTCGTGGCTACCATGACCCCTCTGAACCTTGCAGAGGGTGGGCAGGAGGCTGCACATAACTGCAAATAGAAGAGAAAAGGAGGAGGGAATCAGAAAATAGTCAGTAAATAGCATTAGAATGAACTAGAAACAATTGTAATAACTGCCACTCACTAAGTTTCAGCCCATGTGCTCAGTACTTTCCCATATGTTATCTGATTTCCTCCCCGTAATATGTCTGTGAGAGAGACGTTGTCTCCATTTTATGCTGTGGAAACCAGGGCTCAAGTTGGTACAGAACTTGACAATATTCCCACAGTAGTACAAGGCACTCAAACCCTGCTTTCTCTGTGTTCAGAGTGATAACTCCCTTTTAACCACTACACTATTAGCTGGAAGAAGAGTCTAGAAACATACACAGCCACCTGTGAGGGATCAGGGCCAAAGTAGCTTCCAGGATGCACTTTGGTCTGTTCCTAGGGAACTGGAGAGAAGATTTGTTTACCTATTGGGCAGGAGACCTGTGGGAGCAGGATTAGCTTGGGCTATGACTAGGGCTAGACACACAGGGTGGGACCAGGCCAATAATGAACACAAACAGCTAGCACCGAGGAGAGCTCCAGGCTTGCTTCTCCTCAATGGGGCAAAGCTGAACTTTGCAAAGCTGCTGGCTTTCTCATCTGCCGAAGGAGCCTCCCCAAGTCAAGTAGTCTATTCCGCAGCGTGGCTGGGTGTTATGTGCTGCTGCTCCTGCTAGAACCTCAGAAGTGTGAGCAGTGCGTCAAGATGAGGGACCAGGCTTCTAAGCTATAGCCCAGCTAAGCCCCCCAGTGCCAATCCCGCCCTCAATTCTTGAGCAGTGGAAACAGCAGTGGCAGTTATGAAAACAAGCAGCCTTTCTTGCTCATCTTGACATTGAGTTACAGAGCACATCATTATTTTAGACAGAATCAGTTAACATCTGTCTTTCCTGGCCCTTATTTAACCTGTTCTAGTTATGAAGCCTCTCCATGTTTCCCCCTCTGTAACTACTGTAAACGATGCAAAAGAGGAATGAGAGATAGAGACAGAGAGAAAGAGGGAAGGAGAATTAATTTACCACTGGGTAAAATGAAAATGTACTGAAGTGTAATGGAATTTCATTAACTTCGGAAACGATGATGAATGCTGTCCAAATAATTCTTACTAATGCATAATTCACAGCTGAAAATAGAGCCAAATTCTCCTAAAAAGCACATCCATTTATGCCCCAAATTAATTTGGTATGTTATTCAGGATGGTTGACAGGATAAAAGATCTACTATGAAATGTAATCATCTATTAAGATAGGGAATCTATGAGTCTTTCTGGTTTAGTAGATGATGGTAGCTGATAACAAGTGGCATCTTGAGAGGCAGACACCCACAGTCCTCATCCTCATAATTTGAATCTCCCCAAAGACATCATTTCAGACATAACCACAGAGAAGTTTGGATGATCTTTGAGATCTCCATAGCAACCATGGCCCAATTCATATATATATCCCAAAAGCAAATTAAAATCAGTTTCAAAAGATTCAACTGGGGTCAGGAAAAGGCCCATACTTTTGCTGACTGACAATATCATTATTAATTAATTGATCAATATTATATATGTATGTAGTATATAAATAATATAGACCAGATATTATATACATTTACATATAATCAGATTGAGAGATTTTAAAATATCTTTCCCACTTTGTGTAAAATAGTCTATCCTATTCCACAAACTCTCAGTGACATTCATCACTTAATGTCTCAAGACTATGAGCTTTTAAATAATCTCTTCATAAAAACCCATATATGCTTTTTGTATACTCTGGAGAGTGGTAATGGGAGAGAGACCTTTTTACCTTTAGATCTGACACAGACCCCACCTGTGGTTGGCAGAGAGAGAAGACTACTATTAAGTAGGAGGCTAGCCATTGGCCCAGCTTCCACCAATGAGAATCTGTAGATTGAGAGGTCAGTCAACACCATACAAGCACCATGGCTCTTCCCACCCATGGGCCCATTCAGCCATTAGAGAGGACTTTGGTCAGACATGTGAATAGTGTAGTCAGGGGTGACTTCTGCAACCCACTGAACTCCTTCCCTAGGGCAGGATGCATTGGGTTAAAGTGGAAGTGGTATGAGGAAGCACAGATGTTCCAGGGTGACCCTTATTGCTTCTAATGCCCTTAATCTATGACATGAGGTACTTTGATGAAATTCGAGCATGCTGGCTGCTGACATAGAGGCTCTGATTAAGTAGGAGGGCAGCCATTAACCAGGTTTCACCAGTGGGAAACTTTAGTAGCGAGGACATCAATGCCTTGCAATGGAGGCATCATGGCTCCTTCCTCCCAAAGGTTCCTTTAGCCACTCAGAGAGCACTTTCTGCAGACATGTGAATAGTAATGTTAGGAATTAGTTCTGCAACCCTCTGATCTCCTTCCCCTGGGTAGAGGGCAGGGTATGGATGTGGAGGTGTCATGTGGGGAGCTTTACTTTCTAGGAACAACCCTGTTCCTCTTAATGGCTCTACTGTAATGATTTGGGGTCCTGGGGTGTGAACAAGTACACAGATTGCTGACACAGAATCTGTGATTAAGTAGGAGGGCTGCCATTGGTCATCTTCTACCAATAGGAAACCTTAGAGGAGCCATCTATGCCTCACAATAGAGGCATAGATGGCTCCTCCCTCTCATGAATCCCTTCAACTGATTAGAGAGAATCTTGCACTGAAATGTGAATAGTAATATATAGGTAATGTATTAATAATAGTATTGGTAATAGAAGTGATGGCCTCGGCAACCCTCTAAAGTCCTTCCCTTAGGGAGGGTACTATGTGTGGAAGTGCCGATATAATAGGGGGAGCACTAACTTCTGGGCTACCCCTGATACTTTTGAAAGGTCCAACCGTATGATTTGGGGTTCTAGGAGTCAAACGCATTGGCTAGTCATACAGTGGCTTTGATTAAATAGGAGTGCAGCCACTGGACAGCTTCCATTAATGGGCAACCTTAGTAGAGAGGACGTCAGGACCTCATGATGGAGGCATCGTGGCTCCTTCCTCCGAAGGGGCCCTTCAACTACTCAGAGAACAGGTTCTGCAGATGTGTAAATAGTAATGTCAGGGATGAGTTTTGCAACCCCCTGACCTCCTTCCCCTAGGAAGCGTGCAGTGTATGGATGTGGAGAAGTCATGGGAGGGAGAGAACACTAATTTCTAGGGCCACCCATGTTTCTTTTAATGGTTCAACCCTTTATTTCGGAATCTGAGGTGTTAAGCACCTTGTGCTGTTACAGAGGATGTCATTAAGAAGGACGGCAGCCATTGGCCCACCTTCCACCAATGGGAAGCTTTAGCTAGAGAGGATATTATGGCTCACAATGGAGACATTATGGTTTTTCCCTCCCTTGGGTCCCCTCAGCCTCTGAGAGAAACTTGTGCTGAAATGTCCTTAGGAGAAGAACTTGAGAGGGCTCTAGAAGTCATCACTTCTATTACTAGTAGTATTACTAATACATTATTATTTACATTTCAGCAGAAGTTTCTCTCAGAGGCTGAGGGGACCCAAGGAAGGGAGGAGCCATTATGTCTCTATTGTGAGGTGTAATGTCCCCTCTAGCTAAAGCTTCCCATTGGTGGAAGGTGGGCCAATGGCTGCCCTCCTTCTTAATGACATCCTCTGTACCAGTAGCCAGAGTGCTTCTTTAACACCCCAGAACCCCAAATCATAGTGTCAGGTCATTAAAAACAATAGGGTTGGCCCTATAAAGTAGTGCTCCCCCCATGACACCTCTACATTCATACACTGCACTCTACCCAGGAGGAGGAGATCAGAGGGTTGCAGAACTCATCCTTGGCATTATTACTAGAATATCTGCACAAGGTGATCTCTGAGTGGCTGAAGGGAGCCTGGAGGGAGGAACCATGATGTCTCCATTATGAGGTATTGATGTCCTCTCTACTAAGATTTCCCATTGGTGAAAGCTGGCCAATTGTTGCTTTCCTACTTTACCAAGGCCACCGTATGAGCAGACAATGTGCATGACTTCTTCCTCCCAGAACTCCAAATCATAGGGTTGGACCATTCAAGGGTGTGGGGTGGCCCCAGAAAGTAGTACTCTCCATATGATATCTGCATGGCAAAACACTGCAAAGTCCTTCCTAGGGGAAGGACTTGAGAGTGTTGCAGAGTTTATCATTTCTATTACTAACACTATCACTACTACAGCACCAATATATTACTATTTAAATATCATCACAAAGTACTTTTTGAGTGGCTGAAGACACCCTTGGGAGGGAGGAGCCATGATGCCTCTATTGTGACGCATTGATGATCTCTCTACTAAGGATTCCCATTGGTGGGAGCTGGCCAATGGCAGCCCTCCTACTTAATCACAGCTTCTGTGTCAGCGGCCAATGTGCTTGTGTTACCACCCTAGGACCCCAAATCAGGATAGAGCCATTAAGAGGAATAGAGGTGACCCTAGAATGCAATCCTTTCACTATGACACCTCCACATTCATACCCTGCACTCTAACCTAGGGGAAGGAGATTAGAGGGTTGCAGAACTCATTCCTAACATGACAATTCACACATCTGCACAAGGTGCTCTCTGAGTAGCTAGAGGCACTCTTAGGAGGGAAGAACTATGCTGCCTCCATTGTGAGGCATTGGTATCTTCTCTACTAAGGTTTCCCCATTAGTGAGAGCTGTCCAGTGTCTGCACTTCCACTTAACCAAGGCATCTGTGTCAGCAGCCAGTGTGCTCAATTCCCACCCCAGAACCCCAAGTCTCAGGGTCAGGTCGCTAAAAAGTATTGAGATGGCCTTAAAATATGGTGCTCCCCATATAATATCTTAATAAAGGGGACATCAATGCCTCACAATGGAGGCATTGTGGCTCCTCCCTCTGGTGGGTCCCCTTAGCCTTTCATTGATAATATTGTGCTGAAATGTGAATAGTATTGTGTTAGTAATAGAAGTGATCACTTTTGCAACTCTCTCAAGTACTTTTCTCAGGTGGGTGCAGTGGGTGGAGGTGCAGATGTCATATAAGGCCACTCCTCTACCTTTACTGGTCTTGCCCTATGACCTAGAGTTCTGTGGTGAAAATCAAGCACATTGGCTAGTCAGAAAAAAAACCTTGGTTAAGCAGGAGGATGGCTATTGGCCAGCTTCCACTAATGGGAAACCTCAGTAAAGAGGACATCAATGCCTCACAGTGGGGGCATCATGGCTCACAGACGATCCCTTCAGTCACACAGAGAGCACATTGTGCAGACAAGTAATTAGTAATGTCAGGGATGACTTCTGAAACCCTCTGATGTCCTTTTCCTGGGTACAATGCTGTGTGTATAGGTCAAGGTGTCACGGAGAGAGAATTACTTTTAGGGCTATCTCGTTAAAAAATAAAATAAAAAAAGACTTGACCCTATCGTATGAGGTGCTGGGTGATAAGCCAGCACATTGACTGCTGTTACAGAGGATGTCATTAAGAAGGAAGTCAGCCATTGGGCCACCTTCCACCAATGAGAAACCTTAATTAGATGCCCCACAGTGGAGGCACCATGTCTTCTCCCTCCTATAGGTCCCTTCAGCCAGTTAGAGAGCTGAAATGTGAATAGCAATGTAGTAGTAATATAAGTAATGACTTCTTCAACCATCTCAGGACCTTCCTGCAGGGCATGGTGCAGTGTGTGGAGACAGAGATGTCATTGGGGGAGTAATAGCTTCTAGGGCCACATGGGTCTCTTCAGCCAGTTAGAGAGAATCTTGTGATAACATGTGAGTAGTAATGTCAGGAAATGTGTGCCTCTCTCTGAACAGCTTCCTTTAGGGCAGAAGTACCCCTACAGAAGGCTGTTTTCACCATGAGTTCACTAAAGTCTCTCTTGATCCCATTTTCTCTCTCTCATTCCCAACTGTCCCAACCTAGTCTTGTGGTGTCACAGACTCCTCACATCACATTAACCTGGTAACTTTTGTTAAACACTCATCCTTGCCCCTCTTCCCAGACCTAGACATTCATGAGTATTCACCTTGAGACACATCATTTACCCTATTATCCTGCATATTTTTCTAAGGCATATCTCTGATTGAGTTTTCCATTCTTCAGAACTTTTGAGAAGTGCTGAGTGATTGCAAAGGAGCCCAGCCTAGCTCCTTAGCAGGCATTCAGGACCTTGTAAGATTTGTCACTTGTTCCCCTCCAGTCTCATTTACCTACCATGGCTCCTTCCCATCATTTCGGCTCCAGGCACTTTACTCAGGCCTCAGTGGAGGAACTACAGTTCTCCCTCTACCGGAGGTGTTGATTCCTTCATCTCCACCAAGACAAATGCCACTTACCTTTCAAATTTGGGTCCATTATCATTTTTGAAGCCTTTTTTCACCCCCTAGTTTTTTTTTTATTTTCAAAAACAACTTTATTCATGACACATTTTAAAAGAAATTCCCACCCCCTGGAAATGAGCTAAAAAAAATGAACAAAATCCACCTCCCACTTCCCTGTTCCCACTTTCTCCCATTCCCTCCAAATAAAAGTGAAAAAAAGGCAAAGGAACAAAACAACAACAACAACAAACTGAAAAACAAAAACCACACCTAAGCCCACCAAAACAAGCTAGTGCGTTTCCCCAGGGGGAAGGAGAATTTATTTTGGAGCCCCTGGGAGTGGAATGGAGATCTTCTGGCTACAGAAACATGCAAAGAAAGACACTCAAAACAGAAAAAGAAGCCTGGGTGCAGTGGCTCATGCCTGTAATCCCAGCACTTTGGGAGGCCGAGGTAGGCGAATCACCTGAGGTCAGGAGTTCGAGACCAGCCAGACCAACTTGCTGAAACCCCATCTCTACTAAAAAATACCAAAAATTAGATGGGCGTGGTGGCATGCATCTGTAGTCCCAGCTACTCAGGAGGCTGAGGCAGGAGAATCGCTTAAACCCAGGAGGTGGAGGTTGCAGTGAGCCGAGATGGAGCCACCGCACTCCGGCCTTGGTGACAGAGCGAGGCTCCATCTCAAAAAAACAAAACAAAACAGTAAAAGAAACACAAAAGGAAACACAATAGATCACCAGGCAATCTGGAGGGTCAGGGACCTGGAAAAGAGGGATGGGTTGAGTGGTAGACCTGGCCAGACAGGAGCAGGCAGGATCCTGCTAGTTTAAATGATCCCCTAGTTTAAATGATCCCTTTTGCTGCTAATCTGAATTGAGACCCTGAGGCAAAGCTGGATCTTTGTCTTACTGCTGGACTAGGTTACTTGCTTAGTAACTTTATCTTTTGCCTTTTTTCTTTTTTTTTTACTTTATTTAAAATTTGTCTGGATTGGATGAATCCTTGGAAGCCATCTCCAATTCTCGTTGGAGGAAAAACAATCAATAGTAAAGAAATCATCTTTCTTGGAGAGTTCTACCCCTAAGCCCTAGCTTGGTGACTCTACCCTGCTGCTTTTCCTACGTGCCCCATTGACTGCATCTCCCATCACCTTGTTCTCTTCCTGCTGCTTCTTATGGGCCTTGATTGACATGAGATGTAGCTGCTTGCCTGGTCAGTGGGTGGTAATCTTCTGGAATGAGCCTCACTACAAATGTGGGATTCTGATGTTTTCATCAGACTCTTCTTCAGTACCTGAGCTGTCCCAGGGAGTGAGTTTGCATTTATTCCATGGTCCCGTCTTCACTGCAATATTGTGTCCTACTTGACCTACTATGACCTGGTCTGAACTATGACATTAAGTGGAGCACAGCTAGGTTGTATATGAATATATTTCAGTCATTGAATACTTTACAAAGTAGAAGAAGCATGTTCATGTATAAGCACAAAAACTGATACAATAATTGTTCACCACAAAATTTTTCCAGGATTTTAGATTCACAAGCTCACTTACCCTTTTGTTCATAAAAAGTCTGAACAGGCACTAGGGAATACTGCCTCTGTTTCATAGAATCATTAGAGGCCTATTGTTTATTTCGGTCTTTCATTAGGCCCAGTGGCCAACACATATCACTCTTATTTAAGAGGTGTAACAGCAATAGAAAAATGTGTGAAGACTTCAGTTAGTTTAATTTCTGACTAAAGTTGATGTTTCTCCATGCTGTGAAAACTCTTGTATTTTTTTTAAAAACACTCACTACTTTTATTTTTTATTTCTTTTTTAGAGGCAGAGTCTTTCTCTGTCACCCAGGCTGGAGTGCAGTGGTGCATAGCTCACTGCAACCTCAAACTCCTGGGCACAAGCGATCCTCCTGCCTCAGCCTCCAGAGTAGCTAGGACTCTAGGCACATGCCACCATTCATGGCTATTATTTTTAGTTTTATGTAGAGACAGCATCTCACTATATTGCCCAAGCTGGTCTCAAACTCCTGACCTCAAGTGATCCTTCTACCTTGGCCTGTCAAAGCGCTGGGATTACAGGCATGAGCCATTGCACCTAGCCAACACCCACCACTTTTTACCTCCTTACCTAACCTATAAAGCATTGTTGCTTTCTCTTTCACACATCACTGCCCATTGCTGCAACACTATAAACCCAGCCTTTTTTCCTTTACCTGCAAAAGGAAGACCCTTTAATTGCTTACCTCTTAAAAAAAAAAAAAAAAAAAAAAAGGATCCATACATTGCACAGACCTTCTAGAGATTCCCTTGGGTAATGCTGATTTTATTTTGTTTGTTGATTATTCAGACATAAAGAGTAAGACCAAAAATTGTCAAATAGGATATGCTGTCACACTCCTAAATTTACTCTTAAGGTTGGGCGTGGTGGCCCACGCCTGTAATCCCAGGACTTTGGGAGGCTAAGGCGGGTGGATCACTTGAGGTCAGGAGTTCCGGACCAGCCTGGCCAACATGGTGAAACCCTGTCTCTACTAAAAATACAAAAATTAACCGGGCATGCTGGCCCGTGCCTGTAGTTCCAGCTACTTGGGAGCCTGAGGCAGGAGAATTGCTTGAACCTGGGAGGCGGAGGTTGCAGTGAGCTGAGTCACGCCACTGCACTCTAGCCTAAGTGACAGAGTGAGACTCCGTCTCAAAAGAAAAAAAAATTACTCTTAAAAGGAAAACTTCTCACAGAAATTAAATCAGTTTAGATAGTTTAATTGATTACATAGATTTATTAACTGGCAAAAAGTAAAATAATAAATACTTATGCTGATACTAAGTACATGGTTTTAGGTTAGTCTGACTTCAAAATGCCTTGAAACCAAGAGGTTTTCTGACCTTGACAGAAACACCTATAAAAATTGACACATTGAAGAAGTCTTGGATGTTTTCAGATGCTGTTAACTTAATTGCTGTAGTAAAAGTGGGGCATCGTTCAAAGCACAAGGACCCAGAAGCTTGTGATAAAACCTTAGCTGACTACTAAGCTAAATATGCAGTTTTCACCAAGAAAATTAGCCCTGTAATCACTCAGAAAAAAGGCTCTTTAGAATAATTCAATGAGATTGTTGTTAACCGTCAGAGATTGGCCTCTTTTTGAAAACAAAGATTTTGGAAAAAACTTTGAAGACTCATTGTACAAAAATAATATTGAAGACCTTAAGATGGCTAACTGGTAGCACCAAGTCTATTAAAAATGGAATTCATTAGCCCGGCGTGGTGGCACACACCTGTAGTCCCAGCTACTCAGGAGGCTGAGGCAGGAGAATCGCTTGAACCTGGAGGCGGAGGTTGCAGTGACCCGCGATCACCTGGTGACAGAGTGAGACTCCGTCTCAAAAAAAAAAAAAAAATGGAATTCAGCAAAAATTCTTCATGGCATTATCCAGAACAGGAGAGGTAAGTTGATAAGTTGGCCACAATATTAAACTGATATTGGTGGGGTAATTTTAGGGGTATTGTCAAAGGTGTTTCCAAAACATGTCCTACCTGCTAACAACATGGTCCTGCTTAACCTGTAAAGATGGGGCACAGACAGGAACCAAAGCCTTGAGGGCCCTTTGAACACCTCCAGATGGACTTCATACAAATGCCTCCTTGATGGGCTGATACATATGCCCGGTTATTGTTTATTTTCAGAATGGGTTTAAACTTTTTCTGTCAGAGAGCCATGGTCCTATATTTGTTTGCTAGGGGTGCCAGAATCTAGCATCACAAACTGGAGGGTGGGAGGGGGAAGATTTAAAACTACCATCCTTGGCCAGGCGTGGTGGTGGACGCCTGTAATCCCAGCTACTCCCGAGGCTGAGCCAGGAGAATTGCTTGAACTCAGGATGGGAGGTTGCAGTGAGCCAAGATCATGCCACTGCACTCCAGCCTGGGCGACAGAGTGAGACTCTGTCTCAAAAAATAAAATAAAATAAAATAAAATAAAATAAAATAAAATAAAATAAAATAAAACTATCATCCTTTAAGTGGCTCATGTCTGCTTGAGAAGGATGCTCAGAAGTGTCCAAAATGACACAAACACAGATTATTCAAGAGAACTTGTTTAAACAACAGAGATCGATTGCCTCACAGTTCTGGAGCATAGAAGTCTGAAATCAAGGTGTTGGCAGGGTTGGTTCTTTCTGTTCTAGGTCCCTCTACCCTGGGCTTGTAGACGGCTGTCCTCTGCGTTTCTTCATATCAATTTCCCTTTATGTGTGCCTGTCTTTGTGCCCAAATTTCCTCTTTATATAAGAATTAGGGGCCACCCTAATAACCTCATTTTAACTAATTACCTCTACAAAGACCATAACTCCAAATAAGGTCACATTCTCAGGTACTGGAATTAGGCTTCAACATGTAAATTCTGAAAGGATGCAATTCAACCCATAACAGGCCATTGCCATAACAAAAAATGAAATCTTGATCTCATTTTTCCAACTTGGGGAATTCCATCTTCTCTCTTTAGTGACAGGAAACTCAATTTTTACTGGGACTGTGATTAAGGAGCTCTGTAAAGTTCTGTCTTTTACCCAGAGACAGCACTGTTCTTATTGTCTACAGGCCTCATAAAAAGAAGAGAGCTAATGCAATTCTAAAACTAAAACTAAAATTAGCAAAGCTCTCAGAAATCCTACAACTTCCATGGCCTAAAGCAGGGGTGTCCAATCTTTTGGCTTCCCTGGGCCACATTGGAAGAAGAACTCTCTAGGGCCACACATAAAATACACTAACACCAATGATAGCTGATAAGTAAAAAAAAAAATCACAAAAAATCTCATAATATTTTAAGAAAGTTTATGAATTTGTGTTAGACCTCTGTATTAGTCTGTTTTCACGCTGCTGATAAAAACATACCCAAGACTGGGCAATTTGCAAAAGAAAGAGGTTTAATGGACTTACAGTTCCATGTGACTGGGGTGGCCTCACAATCATGGGGAAGGCAAGGAGGAGCAGTCACGTCTTACATGGATGGCAGCAGGCAAAGAGAGAGCATGCGTGCAGGGAAATCACCCTTATAAAACCATCAGATCTCATGAGACTTATTCACTATCATGAGAACAGCATGGGAAAGACCTGCCCCCATGATTCAGTTACTTCCCACTGGGTCCCTCCGACAACACGTGGGAATTCAAGATGAGATCTGGGTGGGGACACAGTCAAACCACATCAGCTGCATTCAAAGCTGTCCTGGGCCACATGTAATCCACAGACCAGAGGCTGGACAAGCTTGGCCTAAAGTATTAGATTAACTTTAATGTCTACAAGATCACCCCTGTCTGGGACACACAAGTTATCTAATGAATTAATAATAGGCCACCCTATGTATTTGGTAATTTCACCCTCAGTCTTAGAGTCTGTTTGATTGTAAGTAGACATGATCAATTAACGTAAGTGACCCATACCATAACTCCAGCTCTGTTACCAAGCCTCTGCATGATCTGCAACCTGGAGGTTTAGTCTTCCGGAGAAGACACTGGAGAAAAACTGCTCTTGAACCTTGAAGGTGAGGACCTTATCAGGTACTATTAACAATTGACACAGCAGTAAAACTCCAAGATGTTGGTGCTTGAATTCATGTTTCCCAGTGAAAAGGATATGCATAGTCTCATCCTGATTACTGGACATCCCTTCCGTCTGGAGACCTTAAACTTTGGATTCTTAGAAATCTTCCAGAAATTGGCTGGGTGTGGCGGCTCACGCTTGGAGGCTGAGGCGGGTAGATGATGAGGTCAGGAGTTCAAGACCAGCCTAACCAAGATGATGAAACCCCATATCTACTAAAAATACAAAAATTAGCTGGGTGTTGTGGCAGGCACCTGTAATCCCAGCTACTCAGGAGGCTGAGGCAGGGAATTGCTTGAACCCGGGAGGCAGAGGTTGCAGTGAGCCTAGATCTCACCACTGCACTCCAGCCTGGGTGACAGAGCAAGACTCCGTCTCAAAAATAAAATAAAATAAAATAAAAATAAAATAAAAATCCTCCAGAAATTGCTGGCTTCAGAGGGTGAATAGCTCCCACCCAATATGACAGAACAAGATTAATTTTATGATTCTTCATCCCCCTTTTCAGTTCCTTTACTCTTCTACTAACTTTGCTTATTATTCTACTTAGATGTCTTCTAGAACAGTAATGCAATGATCCCTTATTCATCCTATTATTATTACTGTTGTTATTATTTTGAGATGGGATCTTGCTGTGTCACCCAGGCTGAAGTGCAGTGGTGCAATCATGGCTCATTGCAACCTCGACTTCCTGGGCTCAAGCAATCCTCCCACCTCAGCCTCCTGAGTAGATGGGACCACAGGTGTGTGCCATCACACCCAGCTAATTTTTAAAAAATTATTTGTAGAAATGGGGTCTCACTTTGTTGCCCAGGCTGCATCCTGTTATTTTTGTCTCCTTATGGTCTCCCACCACTTAATTTTTTCCCATAACCATGGCTCTGAAGTTAACTGATTGCTACCTATGTCACCCCTACTCCTGCCTAACCCTGCTGACAAAAATATAATAGCTCTTCCTTTAAACACTTCAGGAGGTAGATTCCCTTTTATAGGTCTCTTATGGTACTCGTTTCCCTCACAGCATTAATCTCAATCTTTAGTTTTGTAAAAATTGGACCTGACCTCACATCAACAAAATGCTTCTGCTGAAGTCATTATAATCCTATCAGCAAGGTGTAGTCAATCAGGAGTGGACACTAACATTGGGAATATCTGGGTGCAATGATCAGTTTGTTCTCTTCAACCTTCTTTGCAGGAGCTGTTTAATTATACTAAAATTATACTAAAAGGACTTGTCTATCTCAGAAGCTACAAATTGGCTCACTCCTTTTGCAGTAAATGATAGTTATACTCCAAATATAATCTGTGCTCCACTCAGGTCTTACTGCTTATATATCTCCTTACATACCTTTTTAATATAAGAAGACCTTATACTTCCTGCCACACACCACCTTATCCTGTGTTTTTAGGGTAATCGTTAGAGATTTAAAACTACCCTCCTTTCTGTGACTATGTGTCCCAGAGAACACCCAGAAGCCTCCAAACTGAGGCAAACACAGGTTATTCAAGGGAATTTCCAAGTGGGATAATGGATTCCCTCTTTTTTTTTTTTTTTTTTTGAGACTGAGTCTCACTCTATCACCCAGGCTGGAGTGCAGTGGTGTGATCTCAACTCACTGCAACCTCTGCTTCCTCGATTCAAGCAATTCTCCTGCCTCAGCCTCCCGAGTAACTGGGATTACAGGCGTGAGCCACCACACCTGGCTAATTTTTGTATTTTTAGTAGAGACAGGGTTTCACCATGTTGGCCAGGCTGATCTAGACCTCCTGACTTCAGGTGATCCACCTGCCTCGGTCTCCCAAAGGGCTGGAATTACAAGCATGAACCACCGCTCCTAGCCTGGATTCCCTCTTTATGCTTGCACTGGAAACTGCAAATCCCATAGTGGGTGTAATACAACTAGAACAGTGGTCTGAAACTTGTCTCTGACACTAGTAAATGTCATAAATGACACACTCCTGCTCTGAAAGCCCAAGAAACTACTCAGAATTCATTAACTAGAGTTGTCATGGGCAATCACATAGCCCTTAATTTCCTCTTCCAACCAAGAGGGAATTTGTGTTGTAGCAAGTATTACTCGTTTCACCTATGTAAGTACTACAGGGAAAGCAGAACTGTTTGTGAGTATGCTAAAAGAAAAAGCCACCTGGTTGTCTCAGATATACCTGGTTGCATTCTGGGATACATTTTCATTGCCTGGGTTTCATAATCTAGGCCCATAACTTTGAGACTTTGAGACCTTTTACCGACATCTGTTTCTTTTCCCTTTTTTTTTTTTTTTTGACGGACTACCCCTCTGTTGCCCAGACTAGAGTGCAGTGGCGCCATCTTGGCTCACTGCAACCTCCACTTCCCGGGTTCAAGCAATTCTCCTACCTCAGTCTCTCTAATAGCTGGGATTACAGGAGCCTGCCAACACACCTGGCTAGTTTTTTTTTTTTTTTTTTTTTTTTTGTATTTTTAGTGGAGACAGGGTCTTGCCATGTTGGCCAGGCTTGTCTCAAACTCCTGACCTCAAGTGATTGGCCTGCCTCAGCCTCCCAAAGTGCTGGGGTTACAGGTGTGAACCACCACGCCTGGCCATGATATCCATTTCTGATAACTGCTTTTGTTAATTACAATTAAGATTGCTGATGCTATCTTCCCAGAGTCCTTTTATATTGAATTTTTTACCATACAGCCATTTTCATATCAGATGCAGCAAGCTGGAGGGACTAACCTCAGTCCAAGTAGAGACTACATTCTCTAAGCCAGCTCCTGATCCGCAATAGAGAAATCTGGGTATCATGGAGTAACATCCAGCAGCCTCACTTTGTCTGCCTTTGACCAAAAGAAGCAGAAAGAAACAGCCCCTCACATCTGGGAACTAGTGAGATGCTCACAGCTAGGCCTTAGCATTGCTACCAGCTGGCCTGGCACTTACAGCTAGACCAAGTTATTCTCCTATTGGATATTAAGGATCTTACAGAATATCAGTGCCAGATAAGTTGACTCTAAGATCATGATAAAGTAAGACAAAACAAGGCCATTTCATAATTAAGTCTAAGCACAGACAAAAACAAGATCACTGTGCAGCCCACAAAATGCCAAACATCTCCTTCTCCTGGATAAGATGAGTGACTGCTGCTTTCTTTCCAATTACTGCTTCAGTCTTGCTCAGTTTGTCCTCCCTAGAGATAGGATTTTCTGATATACCCAATGATAAACTTGTCCTCACTTTCTGATAGCACTGAATCTACAGCGAACCCTTTCTTCTTCTTCTTCTTTTTTTTTTTTTTTTTTTTTTTTTTTTTTTAGGCAGAATTTCATTCTGTTGCCCAGGCTGGAGTGAAGTGGCATCATCTCGGCTCACCACAACCTCTGCCTCCTGGATTCAAGCGATTCTCCTGCCTCAGCCTCCCGAGTAGCTGGGACTACAGGCACGCACCACCATGCCTGGCTAATTTTTGTATTTTTAGTAGAAACATGGTTTCACCCTGTTGGCCAGGCTTGTCTAGAACTCCTGACCTTGTGATCCGCCGGCTTCGGCCTCCCAAAGTGCTGGAATTACAGGCATGAGCCACTGCACCCAGCCAGAACCCTTGCTTCTTTTTTTTTTTTTTTTTTTTTTTTTTTTGAGACGGAGTCTCGCTCTGTCTCCCAGGCTGGAGTGCAGTGGCGGGATCTCGGCTCACTGCAAGCTCTGCCTCCCGGGTTCACGCCATTCTCCTGCCTCAGCCTCCCAAGTAGCTGGGACTACAGGCGCCCGCCACTACGCCCGGCTAATTTTTTGTATTTTTAGTAGAGACGGGGTTTCACCGTTTTTAGCCGGGATGGTCTCGATCTCCTGACCTCGTGATCCGCCCGCCTCGGCCTCCCAAAGTGCTGGGATTACAGGCGTGAGCCACCGCGCCCGGCCAACCCTTGCTTCTTTAAACCCTCCTGAATCACCCAACCAAAGCCCAAATCCTGTAATATGTCTTTTCTAACTCCCTCTTACTGAGGTGCCCCATGGTGTGTGTTTTGCCCTGTTGCAACAAGTAATAAGCTCAACTTGTTCAGCTACAGGTGTGTTCCTGGTAGTCTTTGGCTGGAAGGCAATGAAACTAGAGAACTCTGATGGGTGCCAAGGGCTGCTAATCAGATTCATCTCCAAGGCACTGAAGGAAATGTTTCGGAAAGCTAGACCTCTTCAAGAGGACTAACTTAAGGCACCTTACAGTTTTCTAGCTGGCTTGAAGGGTGTGACCTACTTGGATGACCTTAGCTCACTGGCAGATAACAAGAGGAAGAAGTCTATTGTTGGGTTTTGATAAGATTTGGAGGGCGCTAAGGGAAGGATAATGTTCTTTTTTGTTTGTTTGTTTTGTTTTGTTGAAATGGAGTCTCGCTCTGTCACCCAGGCTGGAGTGCAGTGGCGTGATCTTGGCTCACTGCAACCTCTGCCTTCTGGGTTAAAGTGATTCTCCTGCCTCAGCCTCCCTAGCAGCTGGGAATACAGGCGCCCGCTACCATGCCCAGCTAATTTTTTTTCTATTTTTCGTAGAGACAGAGTGTTGGCCAGGCTGGTCTCGAACTCCCGACCTCAGGTGATCCGCCTGCCTCAGCCTCCCAAAGTGATGGGATTATAGACGTGAGCCACTGCACCCAGCCAGGGAAGGCGAATGTTCTTATAGAAGTCTCAAAACTCAACTGAGTTATGTCTTCTAGTTAGACAAGCCTGCCTCTGTCTTCCCTCTGTCCCAGGTGCCTTTGAAGTCTGGCCTACCCATATATCCAGGGTTATCTGAGCAGGCCTCTGCCCTCCTGGAAGCCCTGCTACTCCTGTTTTGTGTCAAGGACTCCAGCCCTCCAGCCTTGGGGCTTCACTTGTGTTATGGGGCGAGGCTGTAGTGAATCAGAACTTCCTTTGGCCTCATGCCAACAGAACCAATCATCCTTGATATATCAGGATAAAAAGAACCTTGGAAGGTGATTTTTTCTCTCCTAGTATTCCAGAAAGGAGACTGAAGGAGAGGCAGTATGTTTCCATGATGAAATGTGTGATAACACAATGACCCGAATAATAATTTATGCCTGGGGTGGGATGCAAATGGAGGGAATTGCTCGAGGAAGGCTTTACAAAGGAAAAAGAGTATTGTGTTGTCATGAAGGATGAGATGGTCAAGGGGTTGGGGGGCAGGCAAAAGGAGCAGCATTTGCAAAGAATTACTTGAGCCTGGGAGGCGGAGGTTGCAGTGAGCCGAGATGGTACTACTGCACTCCAGCCTGGGTGACAGAGTGAGACTCAATCTCAAAAAAAAAAAAAAAAAAAAGGAAAGAAAAAGAAAAAGAAGGTGGAGAAGTCCAAAAGGGACCAGATCACAGAAGAGCTTTTCTTGCAATGCCACAGGGTTTTAACTTTATAAGTGGTCTCATCTGTCAAATAATTTTGGCAGAAAAGCCACATGGTCAGATTTGCATTGCAGAGAAAGAAATCTACTCTTTTAACACAGGTACATCTTCCTGCTTTTTCCTTTGTCACCTTAGAGTCAATTTTTAGCATAACAGCCTAAGTGATCTTTTTAAAACATGTCTTATCGTGTTATTTTTTTGCTCAAAACTCTGGCTTTACTCAAATCTTGGTTTCTAGACACGATTTTCTTCTAAAAGGAACCAGAGTCCTTAGATAAATGGTGGATTCTAGGTATGAGGCAAGGAAAAATGCAAGATTCAACATGAAACATCTTGTGCAAGAGTGTAAGAAAGTGCTCAGAAAATCATAGGTATATATATGTCAAAAGGACACAGAAGCCAGTTTGAAAGGGCTCCCATTAAACAAATCTGGAACAAATTCAACATCAACATAATAATAGTAATAGATTGTAACTCACTAATTAAAATAGAAATACATGAGTCCATACTGATATAAATGAATGAATAAATATGAGAGAAGGAAAAACTCTCCCTTTCAGTAGAAAGCTGACTAATACATTTAGAAAAATGGTGGAAGTAGAAAACCACCATTTGACAACCATCAGGTAAAAATTAACAATGAATAGTAAAACAATTGGTTGAAGTTTTTTTGTTTTTTTTTTTTTTTTTTGAGACAGAGCCTCACTGTCACCTAGGCTGAAGTGCAGTGGCACGATCTTGGCTCACTGCAGCCTTGACCTCCTGGGTCAAGCAATCCTCCCACCTCACCTCCCAAGTAGCTGGGCCACAGGCGTGTGCCACCACACTTGGCTAATTTTTTCTAGACATGGGGTTTCATGATGTTGCTTAGGCTGGTTTCAAACTCCCGAGCTCAAGCGATCCACCCATCTTAGCCTCCCAAAGTGCTGGGATTGTAGGTGTGAGCCACTGTGCCCAGCAGGTTGAAGTTTTGAGGAGGAACAGGATATTTACACAGGCTCAAAGCATTTCTCCACAAATCTCTTACACATCACTTATAAATTGCAAATGGGAGAAATGTGGTGGAGAAATGTGGTGAACATTACCTTAACCAAGTAATCAAAGTTAATATCCTCAATGATGGGACAAAGTAACATCGTGCATGTGCTGATGTGATGCACTGAGAATGATGCAACATCACTTCTGTGCTGCCAAAAAAGTATAACCTGAGTGACGAGGAAACCTTAGACAAACTCAAATTGAGGGATATTCTATAAAATAGCCAGCCTGTATGCTTCAAAAATGTCAATGTTATTTAAGTCAAAGAAAGGCTGAGGAACATTTCTAGATTAAAGGAGACTGAAAAACCGTGACAACTAAAAGCAGGATCTACATTAGAACCTGGATCAGAGGGGAACATGCAATGAAGGACATTAGTGAGACAGCTGTCTAAATATGAATGTGGACTGTATATGAAGTAGTAATGCATTAATGTAAATTTCCTTATTTTGATAGTTGTTATGTAAGAAACTACTCTTGTTCTCAGGAAAATGCCTGCTAAAGTATTTGGAATGAAGGGACAGGATATCTCCAATTTACACTCAAATGCTTCAAAAATAAATGTAAGGAGAAATAAGGCAAATGTGGCAAAATGTTAACAATTTGCAGAATCTGGACGAAGGATAAATAAGAGTTCTTTGTACTATTCTTATACCACTTCTGTAAGTTTGACGCTATTTCAAAATAAGTTTTTTAAAACCCTGCAATGGCTCCCTGTTCTCCAGAGTAAAACCAAAGTTCTTAAAACAGCCTGCAAGCCCCTGTGTGATTTGGCTTTTTATCACCTCTCTCACGTCTTCGCTCACCGTTTTCCCCTTAGCTTGCTCTGCTTCTGGCACATTGACCTCAGTACTGCCCTTAGAAAGGCTCCAAGCACCCTGCAGTGCTCAGGTTATATCCTCCTGCCCAGAACGCTCTTTCTTCAAGTATCCCCATGGCTTATTCCCTCATTTCCTTCAGGTCTTTGTTCAAACGTCACTTTTCAGTGAGGACATCACAGATCACCCTATTTAAAATTGCATTCCCGGCTGGACGCAGTGGCTCATGCCTGTAATCCCAGCACCTTGGGAGGATGAGATGGGTGGAACTCCTGAGGTCAGGAGTTCAAGACCAGCAAGGCCAACATGGTGAAACCCCATCTCTATTAAAAATACAAAAATTAGCCAGATGTGGTGGTGCATGCCTGTAGTCCCAGCTACTCGGGAGGCTGAGGCAGGAAAATCACTTGAACTCAGGAGGCAGAGGTTGCAATGAGCTGAGATCATGCTGCTGCACTGCTGCACTCCAGCCTGGGCCACAGACCGAAAATAAAAATAAAATTGCATTCCCCGCCCTCCTTCAAGAAATCTCTATATCCCTTTCCCACTTTGCTTTCCTCTGTGGCTTTTTTTCACCTTCTAATATGTTATATGCTTTATCTTTTTTTTTTGTTTGTTTATTGTCTGTCTACATCCAGTAGAACATAATTTCTAAAAGTTGTTTAGTTAATTAATTTTAATTTTATGAACCAAAACTAAATAGAAACACAAAAACCCCAAAACTGTTAGAGACTTTTCTTTATATATATTTTTTGGCCTGTTGAATATTTACTCCACTGACATTATCTACAGAAGCACTTGGCCAGTTTTTACACAGTGATTCCTTATGCACACTGAAAGGGTCTCCGCAAAAATGACACTATATACAAATCTGTACACCCATCCTCCAGAGCAATTCCCCAGCTCCCAGAGGGAGTTATCAACTTAAAGCAGGATACTTGAGGTTTCATGTCTTTAGTTGCCTTATCATGATCCCAAATATACATTTCAGGGTTTGTTTTAGTTTTTAAAGACACTTTCCTTGAATATGTGCACTATGGTTAAAATTAAAAACAAAAGTAATAAAATAAAATGATCGCTGGAAGGAGCTGACCCTCCCCACCCATCTGGGAGACTTCATCTGGCTGCAGCACAGCGAGGACTGTGTGTGTCCCTGGACAGATGCCCGGCACTGGGGTGGCCCCCGGTGGCGCACCTCTTCAGTGGAGTCAGCGAAGGCTCTTGCTGACTTTTAAAAAGGAGGAAGATGAAGAAGAAAAAAAGGAAAAACAAAACCCCAAATGCCAAAGGAATTTCAGTGGGATGAAGTTTCTCCACCACTTAGAGAATATCTGTGGAGCTGCTGCAGGAGCTGGCCCACTATGGTGTCGGAGATGCGGGGGCACACCTCCTCCACCAGGTAGATGGCCCCTCGAAGCTCTTCAGTGGACCCCAAGTTCCCTCCGCACGCCTGGCTCTTCAACTCTGCAAGCAGAGGAGAAATAATTGTAGATAAACACTGAGAGAAAGGCCTCTTTGGGATGTCTTTCATCTTATTTGTCTACATCCGATGGCTGAAGAGCTCCATTCTCAAGATTCTTGGGATCTTTTTCTTGGATTGTGAAGATCCAGTCCCCAGAATCGCTGCCCCACTGAGTCTTGGCCATCTGTTTCCGAGTTGGAATCCTCGGAGCTCGAGTCTTCTTGGCTCTGCTTTGCCCTCCATCTCTTATACCTGTCGATGAGCTCGGTCAAGTAGGAAGTTTTCTTTGTATCGCGTAGTATAAACTTGTGCTTCAATAACTCCTTAGCAGTGGGTCTAAAGCTCAGCTCTTTATTCAAACAGGCCTCCACAAACTCCTTGAGGGGTTTACTGTAGTTTTCTTCCAACGTTGGTGGGTTGTTCTTTGGAATAAGGAATAAAACTTTCATGGGATGCAGCTTGGAATAAGGTGGTTCTCCTTTTGCAAGTTAAATAGTTGTTATGCCCAGGGACCAGATGTCTGCCTTTGAGTCATAGGCCGACTGTTTGATGACCTCGGGTGCTATCCAGAACGGGGTGCCCACAAAAGTGTTCCTTTTGGTCTGGGTGTCTGCCAGTTGGCCAGCCATGCCAAAGTCCACCAGCTTCACCTCGCAGTGCTCAGACAGCAGGACGTTGGCCGCTTTAACACCTCTATGGATTTTCTTCTCCGAATGGAGGTAATCAAGTCCTTTCAGTATTTCTCTTAATATAGTAATGATCTGGGTTTCATCTAACGGGCCAGGTTCTAACAGATCTAGTGTGGAGCCTCCATCAGGATATTCCATTATTATCCATACTTTTGTATCCTTCATACATCCTTCATGTATCCATAATATTTGGTTACGTATGGACTGTCACACTGACTCAACACTGTGATTTCTTGTTGAATGTCCTCTATCTCATCTTCAGCTTCTTCCAGATCAATGATTTTTATGGCAACCACTTTCTGAGTCCAACTGTCAATGCCTTAGAACACCTCGCCAAAGGAGCCCTTCCCAATGTTCTCTAGTTTTGTAAAAAGACTTTCTGGCTCTCTGCTTGGCTGTTATTGGTGTATAAGAATGCTTATGATTTTTGCACATTGATTTTGTATCCTGAGACTTTGCTGAAGTTGCTTATCAGCTTAAGGAGATTTTGGGCTGAGATGATGGGGTTTTCTAGATATACAATCATGTCCTCTGCAAACAGGGACAATTTGACTTCCTCTTTTCCTAATTGAATACCCTTTATTTCTTTCTCCTGCCTGATTGCCCTGGCCAGAACTTCCAACACTATGTTGAATAGGAGTGGTGAGAGAGGGCATCCCTGTCTTGTGCCAGTTTTCAAAGGGAATGCTTCCAGTTTTTGCCCATTCAGTATGATATTGGCTGTGGGTTTGTCATAAATAGCTCTTATTATTTTGAGATACGTCCCATCAATACCTAATTTATTGAGAGTTTTTAGCATGAAGGGGTGTTGAATTTTGTCGAAGGCCTTTTCTGCATCTATTGAGATAATCATGTGGTTTTTGTCGTTGGTTCTATTTATATGCTGGATTACATTTATTGATTTGCATATGTTGAACCAGCCTTGCATCCCAGGGATGAAGCCCACTTGATCATGGTGGATAAGCTTTTTGATGTGCTGCTGGATTCTGTTTGCTAGTATTTTATTGAGGATTTTTGCATCGATGTTCATCAGGGATATTGGTCTAAAATTCTCTTTTTTTTGTTGTGTCTCTGCCAGGCTTTGGTATCAGGATGATGCTGGCCTCATAAAATGAGTTAGGGAGGATTCCCTCTTTTTATGTTGATTGGAATAGTTTCAGAAGGAATGGTACCAGCTCCTCCTTGTACCTCTGGTAGAATGCGGCTGTGAATCTGTATGGTCCTGGACTTTTTTTGGTTGGTAAGCTATTAATTATTGCCTCAATTTCAGAGCCTGTTATTGGTCTATTCAGAGATTCAACTTCTTCCTGGTTTAGTCTTGGGAGAGTGTATGTGTCGAGGAATTTATCCGTTTCTTCCAATCATGAGTGAACTCCCACTCACAATTGCTTCAAAGAGAATAGAATACCTAGGAATCCAACTTACAAGGAATGTGAAGGACCTCTTCAAGGAGAACTACAAACCACTGCTCAATGAAATAAAAGAGGATACAAACAAATGGAAGAACATTCCATGCTCATAGGTAGGAAGAATCAATATCGTGAAAATGGCCATACTCCCCAAGGTAATTTACAGATTCAATGTCATCCTCATCAAGCTACCAGTAACTTTCTTCACAGAATTGGAAAAAACTACTTTAAAGTTCATACGGAACCAAAAAAGAGCCCACATTGCCAAGTCAATCCTAAGCCAAAAGATCAAAGCTGGAGGCATCATGCTACCTGACTTAAAACTATACTACAAGGATACAGTAACCAAAACAGCATGGTACTGGTACCAAAACAGAGATATACACCAATGGAACAGAACAGGGCCCTCAGAGATAATGCCACATATCTACAACTATCTGATCTTTGACAAACCTAACAAAAACAAGAAATGGGGAAAGGATTCCCTATTTAATAAATGGTGCTGGGAAAACTGGCTAGCCATATGGAGAAAGCTGAAATGGGATCCCTTCCTTACACCTTATACAAAAATCAATTCAAGATGGATTAAAGACTTAAATGTTAGACCTAAAACCATAAAAACCCTAGAAGAAAACCTAGGCAATACCATTCAGGACATAGGCATGGGTAAGGACTTCATGTCTAAAACACCAAAAGCAGTGGCAACAAAAGCCAAAATTGACAAATGGGATCTAATTAAACTAAGGGGTTCTGCACAGCAAAAGAAACTACCATCAGAGTGCACAGGCAACTTACAGAATGAGAGAAAATTTTTGCAATCTACTCATCTGACAAAAGGGCTAATATCCAGAATCTACAATAAACTCCAACAAATTTACAAGAAAAAAACAACCTCTTGCCAACAAGTGGGCAAAGGATATAAACAGACACTTCTCAAAAGAAGACATTTATGCAGCCAAAAGACACATGAAAAAATGCTCATCATCACTGGCCATCAGAGAAATGCAAATCAAAACCACAATGAGATACCATCTCACACCAGTTAGAATGGCGATCATTAAAAAGTCAGGAAACAACAGGTGCTGGAGAGGATGTGGAGAAATAGGAACACTTTTACACTGTTGGTGGGACTGTAAACTAGTTCAACCATTGTGGAAGTCAGTGTGGCAATTCCTCAAGGATCTAGAATTAGAAATACCATTTGACCCAGCCATCCCATTTCTTGGTATATACCCAAAGGATTATAAATCATGCTGCTATAAAGACACATGCACACATATGTTTATTGCAGCATTATTCACAATAGCAAAGACTTGGAACCAACCCAAATGTCCATCAATGATAGACTGGATTAAGAAACTGTGGCACATATACACCATGGAATACTATGCAGCCATAAAAAATGATGAGTTCATGTCCTTTGTAGGGACATGGATGAAGCTGGAAACCATCATTCTCAGCAAACTGTCGCAAGGACAAAAAACCAAACACCGCATGTTCTCACTCACAGGTGGGAATTGAACAATGAGAACACATGGACACAGGAAGGGGAACATCACACACCGGGTCCTGTTGTGGGGTGGGGGGAGTGTGGAGGGATAGCATTAGGAGATATACCTAATGTTAAATGACGAGTTAATGGGTGCAGCACACCAACATGGCACGTGTATATATATGTAACAAACCTGCACGTTGTGCACATGTACCCTAAAACTTAAAGTATAATAATAAAAAACAAAAAAGAAAAAACACCACAAAGCAGAATTCATAATATAACTATGGTTATATATATATATTTTAGGGCTCTTCCTTGAAATAATTAAGAAAGTATTGATACAATCTTTTGAAGAGAGTTTTAAATTTCATTTATTGGATATATCTTCCTCTAGGTAATAATAAAAATACATGAAAGAAAAATTCATGTATTTTGGTCACTACTGCAAGAATTAAAGAAAGAGGAAAGAAACATGAAAGGTGGCTTGCCAGTTAAGACAGGTTTATTTTAAAGAAAACAAACCCGAGAGGAGCCTTTTGGCTGAGTTAGGTTAGAGGCACACTTTTTTACAGACTAAGAGTTTTTAAGGATTCAGGGTGGGAGAGTTTATTAGAGGCTTGGACTGCTTCTGTGTTTCTTTGTTGTGTTTATTTGGGAGGGATAGTTGTGTGTTTGTTCCCATACATATTTTTTTGCAGCTGCAAGCATACACCCCAAGTCTGCTTTTAGCTTCCCTATCTTAGTGCACCTGAAGGGAGAGGGAAAAAACAAAAAAAACAAAAAAAACCTTTCTGGATCTGCCTTTAGGTTCTGCATGCCAGGCAGGCCCGACTGCACAGGGAGTGAGCCGTGGCGCTCAGGACGTCCACTTCCTGGGACAGGACGGCCGGGTCACGGATCCGCGGGAGCCGGGAGGCCCGCGGGCCGCGCACAGCCCTCGGGCGGCCGGGCAGGCCAGAGCCCGAGGCCACTCCGGGCTCAGCGTCGAGCGGCTGGTCGGGTCTCCATGCATCACGCCGGGGAGGGGCTGCGGCGGGCGCCGGGCCTCCAGCGAACTGCCGCCACCGCTGCCCTGCCACTGCTGCTGGGCTGGAGCTGCTATGCCTGGCCCCGCCTAGAGCCTTTTCTTTTCTTTCTTTTTTTTTTATTATTATACTTTAAGTTCTACGGTACATGTGCACAACGTGCAGGTTTGTTACATATGTATACATGTGCCATGTTGGTGTGCTGCACCCATTACCTCGTTATTTACATTAGGTATATCTCCTAATGCTATCCCTCCACACTCCCCCCACCCCACAACAGACCCCGGTGTGTGATGTTCCCCTTCCTGTGTCCAAGCGTTCTCCTTGTTCAATTCCCACCTATGAGTGAGAACATGTGGTGTTTGGTTTTATGTCCCTGCGATAGTTTGCTGAGAGTGATGGTTTCCAGCTTCATCCATGTCCCTACAAAGGACATGAACTCATCATTTTTTACGGCTGCATAGTATTCCATGGTGTATATGTGCCACAGTTTCTTAATCCAGTCTATCACTGATGGACATTTGGGTTGGTTCCAAGTCTTTGCTATTGTGAATAATGCTGCAATAAACATATGTGTGCATGTGTCTTTATAGCAGCATGATTTATAATCCTTTGGGTATATACCCAGTAATGGGGTGGCTGGGTCAAATGGTATTTCTAGTTCTAGATCCTTGAGGAATTGCCACACTGTCTTCCACAATGGTTTAACCAGTTTACAGTCCCACCAACAGTGTAAAAGTGTTCCTATTTCTCCACATCCTCTCCAGCACCTGTTGTTTCCTGACTTTTTAATGATCGCCATTCTAACTGGTGTGAGATGGTATCTCATTGTGGTTTTGATTTGCATTTCTCTGATGGCCAGTGATGATGAACATTTTTTCATGTGTCTTTTGGCTGCATAAATGTCTTCTTTTGAGAAGTGTCTGTTCATGTCCTTCACCCACTTTTTGATGGGGTTGTTTGTTTTTTTCTTGCAAATTTGTTGGAGTTCTTTGTAGATTCTGGATATTAGCCCTTTGTCAGATGGGTAGATTGTAAAAATTTTCTCTCATTCTGTAAGTTGCCTGTTTACTCTGATGGTAGTTTCTTTTGCTGTGCAGAAGCCCTTTAATTTAATTAGATCCCATTTGTCAATTTTGGCTTTTGTTGCCATTGCTGTTTTAGACATGAAGTCCTTACCCATGCCTATGTCCTGAATGGTATTGCCTAGGTTTTCTTCTAGGGTTTTTATGGTTTTAGGTCTAACATTTAAGTCTTTAATCCATCTTGAATTGATTTTTGTATAAGGTGTAAGGAAGGGATCCCGTTTCAGCTTTCTCCATATGGCTAGCCAGTTTTCCCAGCACCGTTTATTAAATAGGGAATCCTTTCCCCATTGCTTGTTTTTCTCAGGTTTGTCAAAGATCAGATAGTTGCAGATATGTGGCATTATTTCTGAGGGCCCTGTTCTGTTCCATTGGTGTATATCTCTGTTTTGGTACCAGCACCATGCTGTTTTAGTTACTGTATCCTTGTAGTATAGTTTGAAGTCAGGTAGCATGATGCCTCCAGCTTTGTTCTTTTGGCTTAGGATTGACTTGGCAATGTGGGCTCTTTTTTGGTTCCATGTGAACTTTAAAGTAGTTTTTTTCCAATTCTGTGAAGAAAGTCATTGGTGGCTTTATGTGGATGGCATTAAATCTATAAATTACCTTGGGCAGTATGGCCATTTTCACAATATTGATTCTTCCTACCCATGAGCATGGAATGTTCTTCCATTTGTTTGTGTCCTCTTTTATTTCACTGAGCAATGGTTTGTGGTTCTCCTTGAAGAGGTCCTTCACATTCCTTGTAAGTTGTATTCCTAGGTATTTTATTCTCTGTGAAGTGATTGTGAATGGGAGTTCACTCATAATTTGGCCTGAAGTCTCCTTAAGCTGATAAGCAACTTCAGCAAAGTCTCAGGATACAAAATCAATGTGCAAAAATCACAAGCATTCTTATACACCAATAACAGACAAACAGAGAGCCAAATCATAAGTGAACGCCTAGAGCCTTTTCTACCTCCCCCAGCTGCAACATTAAATGCAGAATCTTTGCTTACTGGGCTCATATCTATTAATGTGACCTGTTCCAACTTTAAAACAGAAACTTTTTGAGGGGAGATAGAGTTATCTGTTTTGTTTGCTGCTGAATCCTTAGCATCTCAGGGTGTTGCCTGTACACGGTGGGCACTCAAATGATTGCGGACTATATGAATACTGTTATGCTTGAAAAATAAGTTGCAGAAGAACAGGTAATAATAGCTAATACTTAATAAAGCATTTATTACGTACCAGGTAGTGTTTTAAGTGCTTTACATGTATTATCTCATTGATTTTATACAAATAATAGAGGTGGATACCATCATCACCATTAACTCATGATCATCATCATCATCATTTCCATGTTGCAGATGAGGAAGCTGAGGCAGTGAGACATTAGGAAAACCATGTAGTATGGCTTCAGAGTCTGTTTTATTAGCTACTATGGTGTACTGTCTCTCTTGTGGTATGGCCCCTTTTATAGTATGTTTAAAAGCATGAGCCTGGTGCAGTGGCTCACAGCTGTTATTCTGGCACTTTGGGAGGCCAAGGTGAGACGGTTGCTTGAGGCCAGGAATCTGAAACCATATGGGCAATATAGCAAGATTCTATCTCTACAAAAAATACAAAAATTAGCAAGGTGTGGTGGTGGATGCCTGTGGTCCCAGCTACTCTGGAGGCTGAGGTGGGAGGATTGCTTGAGGCAGGAATTTGAGACCATATGGGCAATATAGCAAGATGCTATCTCTACAAAAACTACAAAAATTAGCCAGGCGTGGTGGTGGATGCCTGTGGTCACAGCTACTCTGGAGGCTGAGGTGGGAGGATTGCTTGAGCCTGGGAGGTGGAGGCTGCAGTGAACCTTGATTGCGCCAATGTATTCCAGAATGGGCAACAGCCAGACTCTGTCTCAAAGGAAAGACAGACAGACAGACAGACAGACAGAAAGAAAGAAAGGAGGGAGGGAGGCAAATTTATGTGATGTTTAAAAACATGTAGTATCATTATGCAAAATAATACTACACACTGTTAAGAAATGCCCACATATGTAGTGAAAGTATAAAGGAATGCATGGGAATGACAATGAGCAGGCAATCATTGGTAGTTGGGTGGTAGTTTTTAAGTTGGCAATCAAATGTAAGTAAAATTGTCCTTCAAAATCTCTTAAGGAGTTGTCAGCATAGATGATTTTTTCCTCCAGCATTGGACCCTTTTGCTGTTTCTATGGTTGAGCCCCAAATTCAATAGCTGGCTTGCTATTCCCCACCAATTGGCCTGGTGGGATGCTCACACCAGGAAAGGGAGAGGGAATGAAGATGGCTTGGACCTTCAACAGATTAAGGGTCTTTTCTAGTGTTAGAAACAGGGACAGAGTTGCAACAAGTCAATCAGCTCAGCCCTCTCTGTGGGAGGACAAGTAAATCAGCAGAGCCATATGGCTATCTAGGCCTTTGAGTTTCCAGGCATGGATGGCTCATAACATCCCGTGATAGCCTTTTCTGGTGCTTATCAATTCCTATTGTCAATAATGACTTATTTATATCTATCTCACATCTCAGACTGCAATTTCAGCCAATTTCCTACTTCTCTGTAGATATGGAGAGCAGATGGTCAACATTCTCCTCATAACCTTCCAGGGAATGGAAGATACCCGTTGAAGCCCTCCCAGGTGACAATTGTTTTCCTGACAAAAGAGTTCCAATTTCTTTTTTTGGTACAAATTTAATTTTCTAGTCAATTATTTCATTTGTGCTATGTTGGATTTTTAACAAAACATAGTGTTTTTCTTTGAAAAAAAAGAACACATGCAAATGATTACAATTCTTACCGTACAAAAGCATGTTCAGTGAAAACTGAGGTTTCCTCCCACCCAAAACCCCTCAGTTTCCATCTCTAGAAGCAACTATTCTTACCAGGGTCCTTTTCCAGAGATATTTGATGACATATCTAAGTATATATAAATAATTCTCCTCTAAATTCTTTTCTTCATTTCAGCAAACATTAATTAAGCACCTACTATGTGTCAGGCACTGTGCTAACTCCTGGGGCAGGGCACAGAAAGAACAGGATGTGTTTCCCTGTCCTCAGGAAGCTTACACTCTAGTAGGGGAGAAAGGCATAGTTTATGAAGTATTGATTGAGCGCCCTCTATGTGCCAGGCAGCATGCGAACCACTGGAGAACATAGAGTTCCTGCCCTACCAGAGCTTAGTGTTGTGAGGGAGACAGACCAATGAGCAGGCATGGTGTGAAATATAAACACATGCCAGGGAAGTGTCAATATGTTTCTTGGTAATGGCTCCACATCTTCTTGTAGGCTGTGTGACCCCACGTTGGGGACAGGTCACAAAACCTAAGCCTTGTGCCTACTGGAAAGAAGAAGCAGTGGAGTCCTTGACAGAAGCAGTGGTGCTGGAACCTGGTGCTAGGCGCTGGGCCAAGCACTTTACATACTGTGTGTTATGTAATCTTCACAGCAATATGAGGTGAGTTCCATGGTCAGCATTTTACAAATGAGGACACTGGGGGCTCCAGAGAAGTTAGGGAACTAGCCACAAGTCACACAGGTGGGACTCAAACTCAAGCCTGTCTTTCCACAAAGCCTAGGTTCTTATTCACTACTCTGATAACAGTTTGTGGGTTTTGGGGTGAATCATGGATTATTCCAATACACCTCCTCCTTCTCCATTCCCCTGTGAAGAATCCTGGCCTTAAGCTGGGTCGACTCAGCCTCCTATTAGACTGAATTTTCTGTTGAAGATATGAGATGAAGAGGAAAATGCACTGGTTTGGTAGTCAGGACACCTTGGTTCTAGCTCCTGCTTTACCTTTCACAAGCTCTATGACTTTGGATGAGTCATTCTACCCTTGGGACCCCAGGGGCCTCACCTGTAAAGTTCAGAGGCTGACAGGGATCATCTCTGAATCCTCCACGGGATTTTGGTGGTATTTCTGTCACCCCTAAGGGGCTGTAATGACACCTTCTGGGACAAAAACAACATCCCCTTCTTGAGACGAACATAAAGCCAGTTCAATAAATCTATTTACTTTCAAGGCGACTTGAAGAATAAATGTCCAGTGAGGGTAAATAGCTGGCTTCACCTTACAGATGGAGTAAGATGTGAATATGTTCATGCCTCTTTGGCCTTTGCTTTCTGCTCATAGTTCTGAACACTACACCTCCTCCTCCCCACTTTCTTAGTAAAGTGAAATGAGCCTTAGTCAAGTAAACAAGTACCCTTTTAATATATCCAATTTAATTAAAGCAATAATCAACTAGGAACTGAAAATAATCCTTAGTGAAAACTGGGAAAGAGCCCTCAAATTAATGGGTTATTGCAGGGTTGTAATAATCTGAGAACTTTGCCCATGCTGATTTTATGCTCAGGAGAGCAGCCCCATGACGTGCTACAAGCCGCAAAAAGAGGATCTACCCGGATCAATAAGCCCCATAAAGCTAAGAGCAGAGAGGCTGGTTTGATGCAGAAAAGAAGGTGACTGAGGCATGGACAGCAGAAAATGAGTCTCCTGTTTAGTACTTCTTTCATTTCACATCAAACATAGGAATTTAGAGACAAGATCTGGTCATTTGAGGGTGGGAAGTTAAAAGAGTCCAGTTCTCAGGTAAGTGTTTCTCTTCCTCCCTTCCTCCTTCCCTCCCTCTTTCCTTTCCTTCCTTCTTTCCCTCTTTCCCCCTCTCTCCTTCTTTCCCTTAAATTTTTCTGAACCACAAAATTAAGAAATACGCATCATGAAATAACCAAATTGCTTGAAATTGTGTGAGGTATAAAATTCAAGTCTTTAATCCTCACCCTTTCTTTCTCTTTTCCTCTTTCTTTACTTTTCCTCCTTCCTTCCTTTTATGTTTTTTCAAAATTATGAAAGTAATGTATGCTCATTGTAAAAGCAAACAGTACAGAATCACAGGAAGTATAAAGGAAACATTTAATTCCCATTTTTCCTTCCTATCTCTTTCCTCCCCTTCCTATCTTCCTTACCTTCCTCTCTCTCTCCCTTTCTTCCTTTCTCCTTTCCTTTGATTTTTAAAAGTATGTAACTAATTTATAATCTTTGTAAAATAACCAGACAGTACAGAACAGTATGGAAAATTCCTCATGCCCCATCCCCTTTCCTCAACCCACCTTTTCATGCCTTATATATAGACTTACCTTATTCCTTTTTTTTTTTTTTTTTGGAGACAGAATCTCGCTCTGTCGCCCTGGCTGGAGTGCAGTGGCATGAACACAGCTTACTGCATTGTCTGTCTCCCAGATTCAAGTGATTCTCATACCTCAGCCTCTCAAGTAGCTAGAATTATAGGCATGCGCCACCATGCCCGGCTAATTTTGTATTTTTAGTAGAGACAGGGTTTCACCATGTTGCCTAGGCTGGTTTCGAGCTCCTGGCCTCAAGTGACCCAGCTGCCTCAGCCTCTGAAAGTGCTGTGATTACAGGCATGAGCCACCATGCCCAGCCTTTATTCCTTTTAATGGTTGCATAGTATTCTGTTGTGTAAATGTCCCATGATTTATTTATTGGGCACCAGGTAAGTTTCTGAAACATACCTTGAAGTTGTTATAAAAGTTTAGGGGAAATGGAAGAAAAATATAAATTGGATTACTTGCTGCTGAAAATCCCATTTTATAGATAGCAATCATATCCATTTCTATAGCACTTTATGCTTTGAAAATTGCCTTCGAAATATCATCTCATTTGATCCTCTTCAAGAGCAGCTCTGAGAAATATGCAGATTATTATCTCCATTTTTACAGATAAGGAAACTGAGTCCCAGGGAAATTAAGGAACAAAAATATGTATGGCCTCACAGCCAGTTACTGATTCTCAGCCTAGTCCTCTTATAGCACTATAAATTTAAGCTGCATTTCATTTTGCAAGTCATGAAAGATTTAGACACCCCCTTACTTCTAAGCTCATAGTTTAGAAAATCCATCCAACTCATACAAATTCCCTTATTATTCTAATGAGAATGGTGGTAGAATCCTTGGTAAATATGAAGAGCCTGATTAATGGCTGGCATTCATAGCAAGCTCAAGATTCATTTGACTTCCTAATTGGCTTCTGTTACATTAAATGTAAAGTGGGTCTATTCATTCCAAATCCCACTTGGAGGTAGAAAGAAATACAATACGTTGCATTATCCTATAGAAAAAGAAATGTTTAAATCAGTAGTAAATCATTCAGAAGTATATTTCATTTAAAATCAGAAATGCCCATCAGCACCCTACTGCCAATTTTCTGTAACATGTTTCAGTAGGATTTGCAGTTTTAACACCATTTTGTTTGGAGAAAAGAGGGTTTTAAGTGCATTTTCCACATAAGACACTATAGTTACAATTAATTAAGGAGAGAAGCTGGGTGAACATAATGAAATGGTGATTAGATTTCTCTAAACAGATCTGTTTTAAAAATACAAATGATTTGATGAGTTACTTTTGTCAACAAGGTCTTCTTGCATAACATTCCTTCAAGAAATTTAGGATCATTATAACTACAAGTAGTTGAATTGAAGTTTGTGCATTAGGGTTGAATATATCACATTTTGGTTTTTTGTTTGTTTGTTTTTGAGACAGAGTTTTCACTTGTTGCCCAGGTTGGAGCGCAGTGGCGCAATCTCGGCTCACTGCAACCTCCGCCTCCCAGGTCCAAGGAATTCTCCTGCCTCAGCCTCCCAAGTAGCTGGGATTACAGGTGCCCGCCAGCATGCCCAGATAATTTTTTTTTTGGTATTTTTAGTAGAGATGGGGTTTCACCATGTTGGCCAGGCTGGTTGCAAACTCCTGACTTCAGGTGATCCACCCGCTTCGGCCTCCCAAAGTGCTGGGATTACAGGCATGAGCTACAGCTCCTGGCCTCACATTTTGTAATTATGCATTTAATGTCTGTCCTCCCCACAGGGCTAACTGTCCTATGATGGCAGAGATGTGTGTCTTGTCTTCTCAGCACTGTATTCCCAGGGAGCAACACAGTGTCCAGCACATAGAAGGGATTCAATAAAATTTATTGAGCTAGTATATAGATAAATCCATCAGTGAGGTTTCAGCCAGGCTGGGTATCTCTGGTAAATGCCTATCATGTGGTTGGCTGACATGACTTTAAGCAATAGGAAAAAACCCTTAGGTGGTATGCAAAGGAGAAGTGTGGTCACATACGCTTAGAAATTGTATTTTCTGAATATCTGAGCTGGGCATATTTTTGACTTTTTAAACACAGACTTAGACAATGAAAGAACACATCATATATCAGAAGCTTTATGGATTGATTCTCATGTCGAGTTTTATCTTTCTCTCAGGTAAGAAAATGTATTCTTATTATCTCTTTCAATGTCTCATGTATAGTAGGTTATAGAAATAAACCATTTGAAAAATACTACCAATGGAGATTTGCTGGGCTGCCTCTTAATGGTCACCTTTTGGTCAATATGGCTACAGAAGAAGCTGAAGCATCAGTAAGTGAATTAATTCATTCATCATTCTGTACTACTGATAGAGAGCTGGCCTCAAGAAGGCAGTAGCTTGGACTACTACCTTTGACATTTCTTAAAGCAACTCTGAAATGCCATTTGGCGGCTAATGCACACCTAACAGAAGATTTGGGTTTTCTTTTGGACTGTTTCCTCTCCTCCGTAATGCTTTATTTAAAGCTGTCTGAAGCATTGTGATATCATCTTTCTGTCTCCATTATATGTATATGGCAAGAATCATAGAATACAGATGGGGAAACTGAGGCATGCAAACAGCTGGTAACAGATTCATAAAGCAATGGGCATATATTCTGGAAGCACCCAGACCTTCCCTAGACTCTATGACAGGAATGAAAATAATTTGTCTCTATTTTACAGTAGATAATTAAGACAATTCACTGAAGTAGCTGGTAATTTGGAGACTTCAGGAGAAGGTCTTGGTAAACTGCAATCTTGTCCACATTAAGTAAATTCAGTTTGTAGCATTGCTTATTTAGCACATAAGTACTTAGCTAAAAGGTCATAAATGCCAGTGAGTGACAACGCCTGATGAAATTGACCTGTGTTTAATTTGAACGGTCCTCAAGCGTAAGAGCTAATCTGCAAAAATACCAAATCATCATTGCCATCAAGAGCAAACACTGGCTTCTTGCTGCATGCAGAGCCTGATAGGAAACCATGTTTCTTATAATAGAGATTGAAATGGGGCCTACGGGGTACAGTGGCAACTTTGTCACCTGGCCTGGCCTACCTGCTAAAAAGTTGATTTATTTTTCCTCTACCTGTTTCCTCAAGGGCAAGAAACTGTATTTTCCCAATTTCTTTATCCAAAGCATCCAACACAGGCCTTGACACACAGTTTAGGCACTTGGTTCATATGTGCTGATTTAATGAATTCATGCAATTTGAAATGATGAAAATTTTCAACATCTGTATGGTGGTGGGGTATATGACACAAACTCCATTGGTTTTTGTGAAGGGCTACAGGGCATGGTATAGAGCAATCTAGAATAGTGGAATATGGGAATCTAGTGTAGTCATGGAATAAAAAGTGAAGAGTGTGTGGTACTGAAAAGTTTGCATGGGTTTGCGAGGAATGTCACCACTCAGTGAAAATTATTATTATTGTTATTATTATTATTATTTTGAGACAGAGTCTCACTCTGTTGCCCAGGCTGGAGTGCAGTGACGCAATCTTGGCTCACTGCAACTTCTGCCTCCCAGATTCAAGCAATTCTCCTGCCTCAGCCTCCTGAGTAGCTGGGATTACAGGCGTCTGCCACCATGCCCGGCTAATTTTTATAATGGTCAGTGAAAATTATGATAGATGTGCAGGTCCTCAACCTGCAGAGGTCAATTTAAAGCAGTCACAAGGTTTTCCAGACTGTTTAAGTCTCAAATTCATGAGTCAAACAAGTTTTTTTTGTAGGTTATCAAACATTGAATTATAATTGTTCTTTGATTGCCGAGAAATTCATTACTTTTTTCTTGGAAAAAAAAGACCCTGTCCTTGGAAACAACGGCATAACTCAGGTTCAGTTCCCTTCAGGCTCCAGATGAGTCACCAGCCTCCCAACTGTGAGGGTCATTATTGGGGAGAGATTAAGGCCAGATTAAGTGGAGGGTGACTCAGAGATGCTCTAACTGGGAGGAGCCAGAGTGTGGAGCAAAACTGTCTCCATAGAAGAATATCAAGGGTTGAGAAGGAGAAGCCAAATCTGTATTAAAGTCTATGGGGTGAGAGCAGAGCCAGAAAGAAGAGATGAAGACTGAGGTCAAGAGCTGAATAGTTGCAGAATGGAGCAGGAGGTAAAAAATAAGGCATAAATGAGAGAAGAGGGCCTAGGACTTAGGCTGTATGTGGGACTCGGTTTCCTAGTTCTCTGTCTTAGTCTGCTCAGGATGCCATAACAAAATACTATAGATTGGATGATTTAAACCATGGGCATTTATTTCTCATGTTTCTGGAGGCTGAGGGTTCAAGATCAAGGTGCCAGATGATTCAATTCTTGGTGAGGGCCCTCTTCCTGGCTTGTAGACAGCTGCCTTCTCTCTGTGTCCTCGCAAGGCTGAGAGAGAGCAAGAGAGCTCTGCTTTCTTCCTCTTCTATAAGGGCACTAATCCCACCATAGGGGCTCCACCTTCATGCCCTCATGTAAACCTAATTACTTTCCAAAGGCCACACCTTCAAATACCAACACATTAGAGGTTGGGGCTTCAGCATAGGATTTTAGGGGAGGGGGAAACAAACATTCAGTCCATAACATGATTTTCCTCTTAATGGTGCTGGCTATTGGCTGTGTAATGGATATGGGTAGGTTTGGGTTGAAGACATAGGGCTATAGTAGTTGTCCTAAGGTCTTGCTCATACCATGTACACACACACACACACACACACACACACACACACACGCTCACACCCCAAGTGGAGTAGGACAGGCTTTGCTGGCTGAAAGAGTGTAACGTGTTCTGGAGCATTCTTGAGGCAGGAGGCTGGGGTTTTGTGACATTCTTGAGGTGGGAGGCTGGGTTTTTGAGGCACCTAGCCTCTACAGTCAGTAACTTTTGCTCCTGTATTGGATAGGCAATTAGTCAATCTGGGCCGGAATCAACTTTCCTGAGAAGTTGTCACATATGCAGAGACGACCTGACTAGGAATTGTTTTGACACAGGAAAGCCCCAGAGCCATGTCAGAAAATCAGTCCTTAGGCTGTAGAGACAAACTAGGCCAGGGCAGTCAGGACACAGTAGGAGTGTAGAGGTAAAGAAATTCTTCTTCTGAAAGGTGTTTGTGTAGCCAGGGTTCAGGAAAAGCCCTATCTTTTCTTTTTTTAAAAAATTTTATTTTTTAAATTGTAAATAGACACAGGATCTCGCTGTGTTGCCCGGACTGGTCTTGAACTCCTGAGCTCAAGTGGTCCTCCCACCTCAGCCTCCCAAAGTGCTGGGATTACAGGCATGTCCCACCCTGCCTGGTCTATCTTTTCTTGAGAAACTAATTCCACGAGAAAAGAGAAGTGGAGGATAAACTTTGAGCAGAAACTAAATTTCTGTATGAATTCAAGAGTTGAGCTGTCCAATATGGTAATTACTTGCAACATGTGGCTAGGTTTTAATTAATTAAAATTAAGTTAAAAATTCAGTTCTTAGTAATACAAGCCAGGTTTTAAGTGCTTAATAGCTACAGGTGGCTGGTTGCTACCATATTAGGCATTGCAGATACAGAACATTTCCATATCACAGAAGGTTTTATTAGACAGCACTGTTCTAGAAGGTTGTAGAGACTGGCATTTGAGAAAAGATATTTGTTTTAAACAGCTTTATTGGGCTGGGTGTGGTGGCTCATGCCTGTAATCCCAGCACTTTGGGAAGCCAAGGCAGGTGGATCACTTGAGCTCAGGAGTTTGAGACAGCCTTGGCAATATGGCAAAACCCCGTCTCTACTAAAAATACAAAAATGAGCTGGGCATGGTGGTATGCACCTGTAATTCCAGCTACTCGGGAGACTGAGGCACAAGAATAGCTTGAACCCAGGAAGTGGAGGTTGCAGTGAGTTAAGATCGCGTCATTGCATTCCAGCCTGGGCAACCGGAGTGAAACCCTGTCCCTAAAATAAAATAAAATAAAATAAAATAAACAGCTTTACTGAAATATAATTTACATACCATACAGTTCACCCATTTAAAGTATACAATTCAATGGTTTTCAGTATATTTAGAGTGGTGGAACCATCACTACTATCTAATTCCAGAGCATTTTTATAACCCCCAAAAGAAATACCATACTCTCCGTTCCTCCCCCAGCACTCCAGGCCTTGACAATCAGTAATCTGTTTTCTGCCTCTATGAATTTGCCTATTCTGGACGTTTCAGGTAAATGGAATCATACGATATGCAGCCTTTTGTGACTGGCTTCTTCCACTTTACACAATGTTTTCAAGGTTCATCCATGTGTAGCATGCATCAGCAGTTCATTTATTTTTATTGCTGAACAATATTCAATGGTATGGATATACCTCATATTTTTTTCCATTCACCAGTTGATGGACATTTAAATTGTTTCTACATTTTGACTATTATGAATAATGCTGTATGAACATTTGTGTACAAGTTTTGTGTGGGCATATGCTTTCATTTCTTTTGTGAATATACCTAGGAGTGCAATGGCAGAGTCAAATGTAACTTCATGATTAACATTTTGAGGAGCACGCAGACCATTTTCCAAAGAAGCTGCATCATTTTACATCCCCACTAGCAGTGTATGAAGGTTCTGATTTCTCCACATCCTCACCAACACTTGTTATTGTCTATCTTTTTGATCATAGCCATCCTATTGGAAATGAAGTGATACTCCACTGTGGTTTTGATGTGCATTTCCCTATGACTATTAAGCATTTTTTCATGTGTAAAAACAGACATTTTGTCTAACAATACTCAAAGCCTTTCACCTGGGAAATTGTGCATTCTAGACTCTGAAGCATAAGTTCTTTCTTTTTAATTTTTTCAGATACATATTTCCTTGAGTTGGCACAGGCATAGCACATTTGTCTAGCATAGGACAGATGAAAAACGCTCATATGATAGCCTGTTTGAGCTTGAGCATGTCACTTAGGAGGGTGACTGACCACCATATTCTGTCTCAGGCTAGTAAGTTGTACAAATTTCCTTCAACAGTAAAAATATTGACAGGGAATTGCATAGGCTGAAAAGTAGGTCTGAAACAGTTTTCCCCATGTTGTTCACCGCCCGGAGGTGGATGGGCTTCTAGGATCCTTGGCCTGGATTTTTGTTACCTAGGTGCTTTTGAGTTGGTCTATCAAGGTAGGGCTTATGGGAGCTGTTAGCATCACAACATAGAGATCTTAGTAGAGGGCCCTGTATTTCCACTGCCAGGTAATGATCAGTAGTCTTTCCTCTTCTGGAAATGGCTTCTCTGCACACACCATTATGCAAACTTAGGGGCTATCTTTCATTCTTCCCTTTCTCTCACTCTCCACATCTAATCCATTGAGTCTTGTTCATGCCACCACAAAAATACATCCTAAATCTGACCGTTTTCTTTTCTTTTCTTCTCTCTCTCTCTTTTTAAACCATTTTAACTGCTTCCGCCATGGGCTGAGCCACCATCATTTTCTCTTGGCTGACTTCAGTAGCCTCCTAATGTTCTCCCTGCTTTCACTCTTGCTCTGCTACAGTCTATTCTCCACACAGCAGCCAGAGTGATCCTTTAATATATCAAGTCAGATCATACCACTCTTTTACTCAAAACTTGCCAATAAGTTCCTATCAAAATTAGAATATAATTCAAACTCTTTAATGAGACCTAAAAAGCACTACATGATCTGATCTCCCACTGCCTCTTGGGCTTCACTTACTACCATGCATCCTCTTTCTCCCTCTGCTCCAGACACACTGGCTTCCTAGTATTCCGTAAACACACCAAGCACAGTCCCACCAAAAGGCCTTTGCACGTACTGTTACCCATGTCTGGGTCACTCTTATTCCACATCTTTGTACCCTGGCTCTTTTTTCATCCCTTGGGACTAAGCTAAAAATGACTCTTTCTCAGAGAGGCCTTTCTTAACTATCCTACATAATGTAGACATTTCCTTTCCCCTCATCTCTGCTTTTCCCATTACCTAACTCATCAACCTGTCAATTTCTTTCAGAGTACTGTATGTAATTTGTGTTTTTTCCTTTACTTGTTTATTGACTGCATCTGTCCCTGGAATGTAAGCTGATGAGCTCAGGGACCTTGTGTGTTATGTCTCCTCTATTACTGCACTCTAACACTGACACATAGTCAATGCTCAGTGACCATCACTGTTGAGTAAATAATTTTTTTTCAGGGAGCTTCTGGCTTTATGAGTAAGGACATCTATTTTTTTGGGTGAGACATGGGCCTTGAATCCAAGATTTGAAGGAAAAATCACATGACCTATGTGAGGATAATTCCTCTGTCTCCTATGCCAAGAACTCTTGGCAGGCCACAAATGGAGTCAGCAGCCTAGGTACTAGAGGAAGGGATGTGTTGGACAACTCTGTGGCTGGTGATTGGTGACAGAAATGAGGATCAGGGTTGGACGCTTCTATATCTGGTAGGCCTGGTTTATCTAAGGATTAGCCTGGTTACAAGACCAGTGGAAAGTGTGGGCAGTGGGTGGCAGATAGTGACTCTGATTCTCTGTGGTTGTGCACACTATGGCCATGGTGATGTGGGTAATGGAGCTCCCCAGTATCAGGTACCTATTGATTATATCTACTCAGACAGTCATGGGGCTGCTAGACCAGGGCCTGGTCTACAAAGTTTTTCAGTGCTCCAGAACGTTGAATTCCAAGGATTTGTGATTCTAAGAGCCAGAAGACTCCCTCCTCAAGTGAGTATCTGCTCACCTGCCCTTTTATGAGTGGGTAGTGACACTTCCAAGATAAGGCAGACATGGAGTAGCCTTGGTAGAACGCTCACTCTCAGAGTGGCCAGATTCTTCAAAGTATAAACACAACTGATGCCTCTGGTGGGCCCTTTTCCTCAAATCTGCTCTGCAGCCTCACCTTGCTCTCATAGGTATTACCAGGTGATTAGCTGGGTTCTGAGCCCTACACAGTGTTGAGTCAAGTTGTGTCTTCCCAGCATTCATATGTTGAAGTCCTAACCCTCAGTACCTCAGAATATGATCTTCTTTGGAAATAGAGTCATTGAAAATATAATTAGTTAAGATAAAGTCATACTGCAGTAGGGTGGGCCCCTAATCCAATATTATTGGTATCTTTATAAGAAGAAAAAGTGTGGACACACACATGCACACAGGGAGATCACCATCTAAAGATGAAGGCAGATATCGGGGTCATGTGCTTATAGGCCAAATAACACCAAATATTGCCAGAAAACCACCAGAAACTAGGAAAGAGGCATAGAACAGATTCTCTCTCACAGCTCTCAAAAGGAACCAACCCTGCTGACACCTTGACCTTGGACTTCTAGCCTCCAAAACTGTGAGATGATACATTTCTGTTGTTTAAACAACCCAGTATGTGGTATGTTGTTATGGCAGCCCTGGCAAACTAATGACACAGACACTGATGCTCTGGCAGGCTCACTGGGTTAGAATTAAAAAGAGGAAAGCAGGTTACCTCATGGAGAAGAGACAGTGACCAGATCATGCCCAGAGTACCTGACCATGGAAGAACCTCATTTGTCCTTTGCCCTGAACGTAGTGCAGGACAGTGGACCTGGAACCACAGTCCCCCAAACTTTGAAACACTTGAACATTTTAAGGAGAAACTTTGCCTTCTAAGAAAGGGTAGAAAAACCTGTATAGGATATGTCTGATGTTACTTAATGCTGTCATAAGCAGAAAACAAAGGGATTTTGCTGAAAAAAAAAAACAAACCATTCAGATTGTCTATCTCTTAGAGTTTTAAACCATTTACTCTCTGACTTTTTATTTTATTTGTTTATCTATTTTTGAGACAGAGTTTTGCTCTTGTCGCCCAGGCTGGAGTACAGTGGCGTGATCTTGGCTCACTGCAACCACTGCCTCCCGGGTTCAAGTGATTCTCCTGCCTCAGCCTCCCGAGTAGCTGGGATTAAAGGCATCTGCCACCACGCCTGGCTAATTTTTTTATTTTTAGTAGAGATGGGGTTTCGCCATGTTGGCCAGGCTGGTCTCAAACTCCTGACCTCAGGTGATCCGCCCGTCTCAGCCTCCCAAAGTGCTGGGATTACAGGCATGAGCTGCCACACCTGGCCTTACTCACTGACTTTTAAAATAAATGTATTTATTACTTTTGGGGTCTGACAGGGACAGAGAATTCTCCCTTGATCTTTTGCTAAAAGTTCCCTAAAACAGAAGGCAGAGCACGAGTTCAGTATACAGTCCAGAACTTCTCATTCTATGCCAGATGCTTCATTCCTGATACCTTTGCACAAGGGACAGCACTCCATCTGCCCACCCATTAGCCTCCAACTCAGTGCCCTAATACAGGATACAACTATTTATTCAGTAAACAGCTACAAAGGACCTACTCTGTGTCCATGAACTTGGACTTCCCCATCTCAAACTGTACATGAAAATTAACTTGAAATGGATGAAAGACTTAAATGTAAGAACTAAAACTGTAACATTCTTAGAGGAAAGCATAAGGGAGAATCTTCACGACCTTTGGTTTGGCAATGGATTCTTAGAAATGACACCAAAAGCGGCCGGGCGTGGTGTCTCACACCTGTAATCCCAGCACTTTGGGAGGCCGAGGCGGGTGGATCATGAGGTCAGGAGATCGAGACCATCCTGGCTAACATGGTGAAACCCCGTCTCTACTAAAAATACAAAAAGTTATCTGGGCATGGTGGTACATGCCTGTATTCCCAGCTACTCGGGAGGCTGAGGCAGGAGAATTGCTTGAACCCAGGAAGCGGAGGTTGCAGTGAGCCAAGATTGCACCGCTGCACTCCAGCCTGGGTGACAGAGCAAGACTCCATCTCAAAAAAAAAAAAAAAAAAAAGAAAGAAAGAAATGAAATGAAATGACACCAAAAGCATGAGCAATAAAAGAAAAGAAAAATTCGATACATTGAATTTCATTAAAATTAAAAACTTTTACACATCAAAAGACACTATCAAGAAAGTGAAAAGACAATACAGAATTGGAGAAAATATTTGCAGGTCATCTATCTGATAAGGTTCTGGTATCCAGAATTAAAAATGGGCAAAAGACTTGAATATGTATTTCTCCAAAGAGTCTATGCAAATGGCAACAAACATATTTAAAAAAATGCTCAATGTCATCAGCCATTAGGGAAATACAAATCGAAACCACAATGAGATACCACTCCATAACCTCTAGGATGACAATAATAATAGTAAATGGAAAACAACAAGTGTTGGCTAAGATGTGGAGAAATTGGAGCCCTCATACATTGCTGGTAGGAATATAAAATTGTACAGCTGCTGTGAAAAACAGTTTGGCTGTTACTCAATAAGTGAAACATAGAGTTACTATATGGCCTAGCAATTCTACTCTTACGTTTATACCCCAAATAAATAAAAACATGTGTTCAAACAAAACAAATGACATGCATGTTCATAGCAGCACTATTCATAATAGCCAAAAGAGAGAAACAATCCAAATGTCTATTAACGTGAATCAATAAACAGAATGTGATACATCCATATAATGAATCTTATTAAGCCATGGAAAAGGATGAAGTACTGACACATGGTACAACATGGATGAACATTATGCTAAATGAAAGAAGCCGACAAGAAAGGACACATATTGTCTAACTCCCTTTATATAAAATGTCCAGAACAGGCAAATCCAGAGACAAAAAGCAGATTAGTAGTTGCCAGGGGCTGGAGGGGAGGGGCAAACTGAGAGTGAGTGCTTAATGGGTACAGGGTTTCCTTTTTGGATGATGAAAATGTTCTGGAATTAGATAATGGCGATAGTTGCACAACATTATGAATATGCTAAATACCACTGAATAGTAGACTTTAAAATGGTTTAAATGGTAAATTTTATGTTATATGAAATTTCCCAGTACAAATAAAATGGTGCTTGGCACTCCTAGGGTAGTAACAGCCATTTAAGTGAGATTTATGATGAGTTTTTCCTAACACGGAAAACACTTATGCTATGAGTGAGAAAAGCAGGGGACCCAATTTTCCTTACAATATGATCTCAGCCTCACAAAAACAAGCAAAGCCTGTGCACAGAAAAAAACTGAGGAAATATACCAAAATGTTAATGGTGATTATCTCTGAGTGGTGGGACTCTCTGGCTGGCTTTGTTTTCATCTTTTTACTTGCTAATACTTTTCAGTTTTTCTTTAAGAAAACATGTACAGTATCACTTTTATAATGGAAAAAACACCTTAAAAACAGTAAGGAAGACAATAAATGTCATTTAAAATAAAAGGAAACAGTGGATAGAGGCGAAGAGACACAGAGGAGCCAAATCAAGAGAGAACACGCTTCAGGGGAGCAATCATGCAATTTGGACTTGAAAATTGCCAGGGAACAGATGGCAGCATCTAAGCAGACATCTGCAATGGATAGCGAAATCATATGCAAAGACACAAGTGGCCTTTGAAGCAGGCCCTTGAGAGGCGCGGCAGAGAACGCTACTTGCCTGGCCAAACATAAGGGCAAAGCCCCTCTCCACCTTGTCACAGTCTGGCCTCCTCAGAGCCCTGCTGGAGGCCCAGAGGCTGCGGTGGGGCTCAGCTCAGTTGGGCTTCCATGTGTGAGGGTGCAAAAGAGGCTGTGGAGGAAGGAAGAGGCTTCTGATAGTGACCCTGGCAAACATGGCAGCTGACATTTACATGGGGTTGCACAGTTTATAAACATTCTCACACACATAACCTAAATGTTAGTTATGATTGCATCATCTTTTATCATGGCCCTATGAGGTAGGCAGTTATTATTTCCATCTTACTGTGGAAGAACGAGGCATGGAGAAGTGATATGAGCTATTTATTTAACTTTTATATAGTGTTCTCTATGTGCCAGACACTGTGCTGAGAGCTTTCACAGGCATCTGTTGCCTATGTTCACACAGCTAGTAAGAGACAGAACTGGGACTCAAATTTGGCTTTTTAGACTTCACTATACCACATTTCTGCTTATGTCTAAGCAGAATTTACCTATATCTTCAGAATCTTAAGTAAGGCCACAGTGATTCTATCTATCTATCTATCTATCTATCTATCTATCTATCTATCTATCTATCTATCATCTATCTATTATCTATTATTTATCTGTCTACCTATCCATTCATCCATACATCTCTCCATCCATTCATCTATCTATCCATCCACCCATCCATCTTTATTTTTCTGATTATAGGTGTAATACATGATTGTTTAAAACATGCAAATATGCTGAAATAAGTAACATAGGAAGTAAAACATTTCCCTAATCTCACACCTAAAGATAATCATTCTTAACTGTTTAATATGTGCTCTTCCACACTTTTTTCTGTGGGCATACTACCTGCATATTTTTCTTTTAGTTTTTAATAGGATAATACTGCACCTGCACTTAATATAACTCCTATTTCACACAATAGTAAGCCTTGAAAAACTCTCCATGACTATAGAGGCCTATCTTGTTTGTTTCCCTATTCCATTGTATAGAGGTAGCAATTTTCCTAAATAGTCACTTATTGATAGACATACAGGTTCGTCAATTGTTCTTGATTATAAACAATGTGGCAATAAATATCATTGTACTCTCATCTTTGTCTATCTGTATATTTGTCTAAAATGAATTGATAGAAATGAAATTGCTGGGTCAAAGGATACACACAATTATATACAATTAAGATTGCCATAGATAATGGCAAATTGCCCTTCAGAAAAATAATACTTAATTGGCACTCCCACTAGCAGCGTGTAAGAGTGACTCATTTCCCCACAGGCTTGCCAAAGCTGGATATTCTGTCTTCTAAAATTCTATCAACCAAGTAGGCAAAAATGGTGTCTCCTTATTGTTTTAATTTGTGCTTAGAAATAGTAAGGTGGCATCTTTCTATAGTATTGGCCTTTATATTTCTGCTTTTGTAAATTGCTTTTTCCCATCTTTTGGCAACTGGTTTTAAATTAGTATACTGCAGGCTGGGCATGATGTCTCACACTTGTAATCCCAGCACTTTGGGAGACTGAGGTGGGAGGATTGCTTGAGCCTAGGAGTCTGAGACCAGACCAGCCTAGGCAACATAGTGAGATATCATCTCTAAAAAGAATTAAAAAATTTGCCAGGCATGGTGGCATGCGCCTGTGGTTCCAGCTAATTGGAAGGCTGAGGTGGGAGGATTGCTTGAGCCCGGGAGGTCAAGGCTGCAGTGAACCATGTTCATGCCACTGCACTCCAACCTGGGCAAGAGAGTGAGACCCCCCCTCTTAAAACAAAAAATCAAAAACTAAATTAGTATACTGCAGAGAGGAGAGGCCCTTGTAGACCATATGAGATTATGATACATTCTCTTTTAAGGTGCAACTAGGCCCTGGAGATTTATGCTCACCGTAAAACCAGTTCTTAAATGTATCTGACATCATTTCAGAGGGCTGAACAGAAAGGCAGTTAACCAACAATAATTGAGACTTGGGTTTCATATCACTTATTGTCTTGTGGGATTAACTCTTGATTTATTAGCCACACAAAAGATGATAAAGTAATATAATCACAGAAGCCAGGGACAGAAGTAAGCATTTTCTCATTCATCAATGGATAGTTCAGAAATAACTCCCCGGCAGGTGGATAGTATGAGTTCCTGCACATGGGAGTGTGTGATGCAGGTGGAATGTATATGAGTGTGTGTGGGGGGCAGGCATATACATGTTATTGTTTGCTTTTGGAAAATGTCCACTAGAGGAATGGAGGGAGAGAATACTATATGGTCAGAGAATATCTGGAAGCTTTCATTTGGCGGCATCTCCCAGAAGCAGGGAAGTATTTACTTCCTGCTAGCCTCTGTAGTGTTCTGTTATGGCTGTCACTGTTTTAGAGTGGTGGTCCCAACGTTACAACTGTAATTCAGGGAGTGGTTACAGTTCCAATTCTGCCACAGAGCTCTTTATCTTCTGGCTTAGGCTGTACTGGCACTGGAATTAGGTTGATAATTAGGTAATCCTCAGATATTTACCTAGTAGACTGGGGGTGTAAGATTTGTAGTGGTGATAGTATCATCACTCATCTGCAGCTTCTTGTGAAACAAAGGGCATATCCAATGTAAAGTTTCAAAGATACTGCCGAACTACTTACCAAAAGACCGCACCCAATGGACATGTCCTTCAGCAATGTTTAACAAGGTTTTGCATACATCATCTCACTTAATCTTCAAATAATCTTGTAAAGTCATCAGGGAGAGGCTATTATCTGGCATAGACTATAATGTGAATGGTGGCCCTTAAAGTTGAACGGGCATACAATGCTGTGGCCCCAAATCTCCATTTTACTGAAGCAAACATTGAGGTATCAGGAGGGTAAGTTACTTGCTCAAAGTTCCACAGCTGATGAGTGTCAGGGCATGGATTTCAACCCAGGCTGTCTGACTCCAGAGCCAATGGTAACTGGGGTCTATGGCCATCTTGAAACCACTGCAGTGCCCTTGGTGAGGAGACAGAAGGAGGCCATCAGGATGCACCCAGGGCAGTGCCATGTCTTCCATTCCTGAGTACAAACAAGTCCCAGAGTTTCAGTATCGCCCAGCTGGTCATTCTTCAGGCCTCTGTCAGTGCCTTTCAGTGAGAAGCAGTCCCCAGAGACAGAATAAATCAGATCATTTGGCTCAGGAAAAGGCATTGGAGAAACAAATTGCTGTTGCACCATGAATGTAATAAGGCAGTTAGGTGGGCGGAAATAGTTCTCTTTTGATTATATGAGTGAGGATTATGTGTAGCAAATTTGAATTCCAAGCTGCCTTTTCCTTGGCCTCTTCCCTACCCTTTCACTAGCCATACACTTCTAACTGCCTCTCCAAGCTGTCCAGCTGGTATGTGCTCTGGGAACACTAATCTAACTTTTCATATTAGTCCAGGCAAAATATAATTAGGAAGAAACTCTTCTGCCAAAACAAAAATCACATGCTAATGTCAAATAGAGATGATTTTTTACATCTACTATTTTTGTTTATTTGCACCAGTATTGACTCATAATTATATTGTATAACCCAGATTTGACTGTATTGCCAAATACAATAAAACAATTTTTAACAGAAATTTCATTTGTTTTCTCTTTCCCCTCCCCCAAATTTGGACAGATACACTTTCACTAAAAGGAAAAAAGCTGGATTTTTTTGGAAGAGGTGACACATATGTAAGCCTGATAGATACCATTCCTGAACTCAGCCGATTCACAGCATGCATTGATCTGGTATTCATGGATGACAACTCAAGGTATTGGATGGCCTTCTCTTATATTACTAATAACGCCCTCCTGGGCAGAGAAGACATAGACCTTGGACTTGCAGGAGACCATCAGCAGCTAATACTATACAGATTGGGAAAGACCTTTTCTATCCGTCACCACCTGGCTTCATTTCAATGGCATACAATATGCTTGATATGGGATGGTGTGAAGGGCAAATTAGAACTCTTCCTGAATAAAGAAAGGATACTGGAAGTAACGGATCAACCACACAACCTGACACCTCATGGGACTCTGTTCCTAGGGCACTTTCTCAAGAATGAGAGCAGCGAGGTTAAAAGCATGATGCGTAGCTTTCCTGGCAGCTTGTACTACTTTCAACTCTGGGACCACATCCTGGAAAACGAAGAGTTTATGAAGTGTTTAGATGGAAATATAGTTAGTTGGGAAGAAGACGTCTGGCTTGTCAACAAGATCATCCCAACTGTTGACAGGACACTGCGCTGCTGTGAGTAACTTAACAACTTTTTTCCTTAGCAAGGGTAGTGTTGACACAGTACTTCTCTGCTAGCAGTGGCCCCAGGTTGCTAGTTTTGTCATCACTTTTTAATGAGGAGCACATACTGTTTTCTTTTATCTTTATTTTGATATGATTTCAAACTTATAGAAAGATTGGAAGAATAGGATAGAAGAACACACACACACACACACACACACACACACACACACACCACTTATTTGTTTCTAAGTCATTTGAGAGTAAGTTGCAGGCATAATTCTTTGCTACCCCTAAATATCTCAGTGTGTATTTCCTAAGAATGAGGAATTCTCTTAACCAGGCTATAATGATCAAAATCAGAAAAGTTGATGTTGATACAATACTAACATCTAATTCACATTTCACATTCATATTTAGCCAATTATCCTAGTAATTTCCCTTATAACTATTTTTTGCTTGGCCCAGGATCCAACTCAGGATCACACATTACATTTAGTTGTCATGTCTCTTTAGACTAATTTGGAATAGATTCTCAGCCTTTCTTTGTCTTTCATGACCTAGACATTTTTAGCATACAGTCCAGTTACTTTGTCTCTCAATTTATGTTTGTCTAATATTTCCTCATAATTAGATTCAGGCTATGAATTTTTGGTAAGAATACCACAGAAATGATGTTATATTCTTCTCAGTTCATCACATCAGTAGACACACGGTGACAATTTGTCTCATTATTCATAATAACTTTGATCACTTGATTTTGGTGATGTCTGTCAGATTTCTCCACCATAAAGTTATTATTTTTTCCTTTGTAATTGTTGAGTAATTTCTGGGGAGATATTTGGAGGTTATGTAACTATCCCCTTCTTACCATACTTTCACCCAATAGGTTTTACATCTATTCATGATTCTTGCCTGATTCACTAATCACTATGATGTTTGCAAAATAATGATGTTTAAAATTCCATTTTTTTACATTTATTAGTTGGCATTCTATTGTAAGAAAGAGCTTTTTCTTCTTCCATATTTATGTGTTTATTTATTTAAGACACAGGGTCTCACTCTAGCCAAGGCTAGAGTGAAGTGGCATGATCATAGCTCACTGTAACCTCTAACTTCTGGGTGGGCTCAAGTGGTTTTCCTGCCTCATCCTCCCAAAGTGCTGGGATAACAGGTGTAAGCCACCACACCCAACCTTATTTATGTGTTTATTTATTTGAACATGAACTCATGGATTCTCATTTTATTCAATGGGTTACAATCTGCTACTATCATTTATTTTGATGTTCAAATTGGCCCAGGGTTGGTCAGTGAGAGTTTTTCAATCTGGCTCTTGTGTCCTTTTGACAAGTTCCCCATCATTCTTTGAGCATTTTCTTACTCTCTGGCACAACAAGATGTTCCAGGCTCTTCTTGTACGTTTTCTGCTCAGCCCAAGGAGCAGTCATTTTACTAAGGCGTCCCTCTTCCTTTTAGTGGGGAATGATATTTATAAACCAATTCATTTTTTCTTCTGAGAGCAATTATGATATGGGAGAACTCTTTGGAATGGAGTTCTTGTAAGGAACCTGGCTTCTTGGAATTACACCTGTATTTGTCTCCTCTCGAGTTTGGGGAAGGAAAGATGAGATTGCTTTTCTCTGCATAATCCCACTCTGCTCTCAAATCCAGTCCTCTCCACTATCAGCAGCAGCAGTCTTTAGCACAGGTAGTCAGTGATAATAGCATCAAGACAAGATTTTTTTGCATTTCCCAAAACTTTCACTTATTCTTGAAGGAGTATTATTGACTGTTGTTATGGGTTTTTTCCTTCCAGGAGGAAGCTGTTAGGAAAGGAATAGGGGCTAGATCCATGCCTAAAAGGGCTCTCTCAGACTAAGGGGATATGTTTTCACCAACAGTCTGGATGCTGTTTGAGTTAACTGCAGAGGAACATTCCAGGGGATTTCTGTTTCTTTGAGATTAGACCAATGCAAAGGAGCAGGAAAGCTATTCCTTTGTGCTACCACCCAAAGATATTTGTTTTTTCTCTTTTCTGGGGCCTTAAAAACAAAAGAGAATATTCCTAGCTGGCTCTGATTACAAAACTGAGCTACAGACTAGTAGGTTAAGCCTGAACAGCTCACCCAAAGCAGTTTAAAGTAACTTTATCTTTGATCTAAGGAACCGGAAGTATGGCCTTATATCCATGTGCTCAGCAGTGGTGTTTTAAAACCACATCTGGCCAGCGAATGGCCATGAGTTTTCCTACCACTTTGTGGGTAGATAGCTAAATCTAACTGCTGTGTTAAAGTACTAGACAACCCTGTTTTATTTTGCTCTTTTGTACACTTTTTTTTTTTTTTTTTGAGATGGAGTCTCGCTGCGACACCCAGGCTGGAGTGCCATGGTGCCATCTCATCTCACTGCAACTTCTGCTTCCCGGGTTCAAGCGATTCTCCTACCTCAGCCTCCCGAGTAGCTGGGACTACAGGCACATGCCACCATGTCTGGCTAATTTTTGTATTTTTAGTAGAGACAGGGTTTCACCATATTGGCCAGGCTGGTCTCGAACTCCTGACCTCAAGTGGTCTGCCTGCCTCGCCCTCCCAGAGTGTTGGGATTACAGGCGTGAGCCAATGCACCCGGCCTCTTTCATACACTTTTTAATGGACGACCATCCTCTGGGTCTGACTGAATCATGGTGGGCATAATGCACAATCTAACGTAACAAACAAGGAAATTATCACCTCAAACAAACAAAAAAAGGTAGTAAATGTTCTCTCTACTATTCAGATCTCTTCAAGTGTTCTTTCCAAACCTTGGACCAAGAGTTCCTAATCTAGGGGCCAGAATGGCCTTGAAGGAGTTGACAAAGCCCCCGAAATCACAACACCCTAAAAATACAGGGCAGATTTTTTTTCAGAGGGTGCAGTCTATAGTTTCCATCACATGCTAACATATTATGGTAATTGGTGCCTTTTACTAAGTTCTTACCGTGTGCCAGGCATTTTATACAAAAGGAAATAGGGGCTCAGAGAGGTTGAGTAAATTGCCTAATGTCACCAATCAAATAAGTAGTGTAGCTGGGGTTTGAACAGATTGGTCTGGTTGCAAAACACATGTTCTTTTCACCTCCCACCGTACAGGACTATCTCAAGTGAGTCTGTGGCCCCCAAAATGTTATGCTATGTTACTATGTCTTAGAAGCTTCCTTTGGAGGTAATGGCTGGTTTGATAATTCACCTGGGGAAATTAGGCTACTAGCTGTAGTCATTGCCTGCCTCACCACTGAAGGATCTGTAAAATACCATAGAATTTCACCTATTTCGATTTTGGCTGTATGGTATCTGGGACAAAGGGGGCAATATATGAATAAATATGAGTGATTACAACATGTCTAGCTTCAGCTTTTGCCTAATAAATTGATATTTATGGTCCATAGAAGGATTATGACCTTTAAAAAATAAATTTTAATGAGTACATTGCTAGGTTACAAATCTCAATAAATCTATTTACACATAAATTATATATATATTTATATATTCATGAGAACAAGGCTTTTGGGGAACACTGCCTGAAAAACATGAACCCTACCTGGGTTTAATAAACAAGTATTCACTATAGTTGGAAATGTCTTGGAATATTAAACAACATGGTGACAAATAATAACAGTGAAATTTCTAGTCATTAGAAATTTAGTTTTCAAGTAGTTTTAAGCATCTTCTACTTATTTTTAAAAATTACAAATGTAATACATGTGTTTGTGAATAAAATATATTTAAACAATACAAAATCATATGAAATATCAAGTAAAACCTACCCTTCACTATCCTCTTCACAGAGGTGTCTGTTAAAAAATTTTTTCCATGGGTTTGTAATAAGTGTGTGCATGTATGTGCATGAGTGTGTACAGTTTTTAAAAAGGGATGGCACTGGGAGATATACCTAGTGTTAGATGACGGGTTGATGGGTGTAGCACACCAACATGGCCCATGTATGCATGTGTAACAGACCTGCAAGTTGTGCACATGTACCCTGGAACTTAAAGTATAATAAAATAACATAAAATAAAATAAAATAAAAAGGACAGAGTGGGAAATAAAATAATAATAATAATAATAATAATAATATATACATACATGTGGTTCTGCAACTTGATTTATTTTAACTTAATACTATCATGGACAGACACATAGGTATATTTAGATCTGTTTTTAGGGCTACATATATTCCATGCAACATAATTTACATGTAACATAATTTATTTAACTAGCCCATCATTGATGGCCATTTAAGTTGCTTTCAATTTTTTGCAATTACAAATAATGCTACAGTAAATTTCCTCATACATATATCTTGGTACGTTTAGGTTTTCAATTTTGTAAGACACGTTCCTAAGGGTAGAATTTCTCAGTAAAAGCCTATAAGCTGTTACAATTTAAATAGATTTATCATTTTTACTAGTTATTTTATTAATGTAACTATTCATTGAAAATTAATTGACCTCTAAAAGTAAAATTACTAGATATATATGGTAAAAGATTTAAAAATACATAAAAGTATAAATCTAAAGTCTCCTTTCACTTCAATCTTTTACTCTATGTGTCTATCCCCAAAAGCAATGATTGTTAATAATTTCTTATATATCCTTGCGGAAAAAATGTAAAACTTGAATTTACATGTAAATATATTTTTTTTCTTTTTCACAGTTGGGTTCATCATTATATGCATCCTTTTCTGCATCTTTTAAAAATTTAATAATATTTTTGGAGGCATTTTCATATCAGAAAATATAGAGCTATCTGATTCTTTTGGGGGGAGGCTGCTGAATAGTATGAAAGAAAAAGGGTATGGTATAATTTATTCAACAAGCTCTGTTTGAAGGACTTTGAAGTTGTTTCTAGTTTCTAGCTATGACAAAAGTCTACAGGGCTTTTAAAAGTAATGGGTGGTGACAGAAATATCTTGAAGCAACCGTAAAGAAATTATCACAAGCTAAAGTTCCTCTCAAGATATGGCCAGCATAATTTCCTAATCTCAACTCAGACACATGATCAAACAAAGGAATTTTTTTTGACCTGTGAATGTATGAAGAAAAAGAGTCTTCCAAAGACATGCAGATTAAATTCCTTTTAGATCTGCATTTAAGAAATCCTTTCTATTGAAAAGAATGAAATAACCTGAACTGAGTTCATCATGGGAAATCTACACTGTATCAAAGCATAGCATCCCTATATCTGCGGGGTCATTGATTTGCTGAGGTTCGTTAATTGGTCTAATGCTCCAGCTTCTTTGAATTAGTTTATGAATTGACTATTCTTAAAATATGCAGAGATGGATTATATGGTCTATGTCCTTTATAAAGGCCTTTGTTTGGCTCACTATTAATTCCTCTATCCAATTATCAGCTCTGATAGGAAAAGTTCCATGGTGATGGGCTCTACTAGCTAAAAGACAATTTGGTCTTGCCCTCATACATCAATTCTCTGTGCTACCCTCCTTCCTCATCACGAAAAGTAAGCATGAGCTGTTTGTAGTTCACTCAAAGCCTTCTTATTTGTATTCTCCTTCACAGGATGACATTCTCCTATAGACTCAGAGATAGAAGCTCTAGCCTGTCTGTCTATTGCAGCATTCGTTTTTCATGCTTTTGCCTGGAAACTGAATGCAGACACCACTTTGAAAAAAAAAAGTTTCCTTTTCACCTTAAAGATACTCATTTCATATTTTTCTACCCCACAGGCAGATCTGTCTGTGGCAGTTTCTGGTCACCATTATCTCTCACAAATCTAATCAACATGCTGAATTATATTTATAGAGGTCCTGACTGAAAGAAAAACCAGATGTGACATGTGGGCTAGAACGACACATAGATTTAATATGAGGTGATATACCCAAATCACAACCAGAATTTGGTACCTTAGAAAATGTTCTACTTAACATTCTGTTGGCAGGTACATCTGCAACAAAATGCCTCATAAATATTCAGCTACTCTATACCTCTGTTCTCCAGCTCCCAATGATTACAATAATACAATTTTGTGTAGAGTGAAAGAGCAAATGGCAATTAAGCCCACAGACCCCTGTGAATTAGTATGGATTATCTCCACTTTAAAATACAGAGACAGCAAGGCTTATGCAAATTATTTGTGCAAGTGATCACTTGTTCACAAACAGGAACAAAGTGAATATGGCAAATCATGTTTGTGAGCCCTCCAAGGATGGAGGCCTGACCTCATGGCTTCTGTCCAATGTGAATAGATGGATATTCAGTCATTGCTCAAGCACAGTACTGGCTTTTGCATTTGATTTTTTTTTTTTTTTTGAGATAAGGTCTCACTCTGTCGCCCAGGATGTAGTGCAGTGGTGCAATCAGAGCTCCTCACTGCAGCCTTGACCTCCTGGGCTCAAACCATCCCCCTGCTTCAGCCACCCCACCCCGAGTAGCTAGGACTACAGATGTGTACCACCACACCTGGCTAATTTTAATTTATTTTTTATTATTTTATTTTATTTTATTTTTTGGTAGAGACGGGGTCTTGCTATGTTGCCTAGGCTGGTCATTTACTTTTTATTAACTGAATTTTTTATTGAGAGATAATTGTAGATTCACATGCAGTTGGAAATTCTTGTACACTTTGTCTAGTTTCCTCTAATGGTGACATTTTGCAAAGCTATAGTATAACAAACAGAACATTGACATTGATACAACCCACCAATCTTACTCAGGTTTCTCTAGTTTTTATTATATTCATTTATGTCTGTGTATTAAGTTCTATACAATTTTATCACCTGGGCAAACTTGTGTATCTACCAGCATACTGATGCTGAACAGTTCTAATACTAGTAGGATCCCTCATGTTGACCTTTTATAACCACACCAACTTCCTTCCCACCCTTTCCCCCTACGCTGCTTCATACCTAACCCCTGACAACACTAATCTGTTCCCCATTTCTAAAATTGTGTCATTTCAACAATATTATATAAATGGAATCACACATTATGTAAACTTTTAGGATTACCTTTTTTTTTTTTTTAACTCAGCATAATTCTCTGAAGAGCCATCCGGGTTGTTGAGTGTCTCAATAGTTTACTCATTTCCATTGCTGAGTAGTATTCCATGGTATGGATATGTTACAGTTTATTCAATTATTCACCTGTTGAAAGACATTTGGGCTGATTTCAATTTTTTGCTGTTATAAAAAAAATCCCTGCTATGGACATCTGTGTACAGGTTTTTTTTGTGAACATAAGTTTTTATTTCTCTGGGAAAAATGCCTTGGCTTGGCTGTATGGAAGTTGCATGTTTAGTTTTTTTCTTAATTTAAAAAATAATTAAATTTCTGTGGGTACATATTAGGTGTACATATTTGTGTAGTATATGAGATGTTTTGATACAGGCATGGAATGTGAAATAATCATATCATGGTACCCATCCCCTCAAGTATTTATCCTTTGTGTTATAAACAATCCAATTATACTCATTTAGTTATTTTTAAATGAACAATTAAGTTATTATTGAGTATAGTCACCCTGCTGTGCAATCTAATAGTAGGTCTTAATAGTAGGTCTTATTCTTTCTAACTTTTTTTTGTTCACATTAATCCCCTCCTTCCCCTCCCCCAAGTCCCCCTCTACCCTTCCCAGCCTCTGGTAACCATCCTTCTACTCTTTATATCCATGAGTTCAATTGTTTTGATTTTTGTAGCCCACAAACAAATGAGAACATGCGATGTTTGTTTTTCTGTGCTTAGCTTATTTCACTTAACATAATGACTCCCCGTTCCATCCATGTTGTTGCAAATGACTGGATCTCATTTTTTTGTGGCTGAATAGTACTCCGTTGTGTATATGTACCACATATTCTTTATCTGTTCATCTGTTGATGGACACTTAGGTTGCTTCCAAATCTTAGCTATTGTGAACAGTGCTGCAATAAATATGTGAGTGCAGATATCTCTTTGAAATACTTATTCCCTCTCTTTTGGGTATACACCCAGCAATGGGATTGCTGGATCATATGGTAGCTCTATTTTTAGTTTTTTAGGAACCTCCAAACTGTTTGCACATTTAGCTTTATAAGAAACTGTCAGACTGTTTACAAACTGTCAGACTGTTTTACAAAACTGTTTTTCAGTTTTACAAAGTAGCTCTATCACTTTATATTCCACCAGCAATGTATAAGGGATCTAGTTTCTCAGCATCTTTGCCAGCATTTGGTGTTGCCACTATTTTTCATTGTAGTCATTCTTGTAAATTTGTAGTGATATTTTATTGTGCTTTCAATTTGCATTACCCTGATGCTTCATGATGTTGAACATCTTTTCCTGTGCTTATGTGCCGTCTTCCTGTGTTCATCAGTGAAATGTCTGTTCATGTGTTTTGCCCTTTTTTAAAAACTGGGTTGTTTGTTCATTTTATTGTTGAGTTTTGAAAGTAAAAAAATATATTCTAATTTTTTTTTTTTTTTTGAGGCGGAGTCCGGCTCTGTCACCCAGGCTGGAATGCAGTGGTGCGATCTCGGCTCACTGCAAGCTCCGCCTCCCGGGGTCACACCATTCTCCTGCCTCAGCCTCCCAAGTAGCTGGGACTACAGGCGCCCACCAACACGCCCGACTAATTTTTTGTATTTTTTTTTAATTTTTATTTTTTTTATTATACTTTAAGTTTTAGGGTACATGTGCACATTGTGCAGGTTAGTTACATATGTATACATGTGCCATGCTGATGCGCTGCACACACTAACTCGTCATCTAGCATTAGGTATATCTCCCGATGCTATCCCTCCCCCCTCCCACCACCCCACAACAGTCCCCAGAGTGTGATATTCCCCTTCCTGTGTCCATGTGATCTCATTGTTCAGTTCCCACCTATGAGTGAGAACATGCGGTGTTTGGTTTTTTGTTCTTGCGATAGTTTACTGAGAATGATGATTTCCAATTTCATCCATGTCCCTACAAAGGACATGAACTCATCATTTTTTATGGCTGCATAGTATTCCATGGTGTATATGTGCCACATTTTCTTAATCCAGTCTATCGTTGTTGGACATTTGGGTTGGTTCCAAGTCTTTGCTATTGTGAATAATGCCGCAATAAACATACGTGTGCATGTGTCTTTATAGCAGCATGATTTATAGTCCTTTGGGTATATACCCAGTAATGGGATGGCTGGGTCAAATGGTATTTCCAGTTCTAGATCCCTGAGGAGTCGCCACACTGACTTCCACAATGGTTGCACTAGTTTACAGTCCCACCAACAGTGTAAAAGTGTTCCTATTTGTCCACATCCTCTCCAGCACCTGTTGTTTCCTGACTTTTTAATGATTGCCATTCTAACTGGTGTGAGATGGTATCTCATTGTGGTTTTGATTTGCATTTCTCTGATGGCCAGTGATGATGAGCATTTTTTCATGTGTTTTTTGGCTGCATAAATGTCTTCTTTTGAGAAGTGTCTGTTCATGTCCTTCACCCACTTTTTGATGGGGTTGTTTGTTTTTTTCTTGTAAATTTGTTTGAGTTCATTGTAGATTCTGGATATTAGCCCTTTTCAGATGAGTAGGTTGCAAAAATTTTCTCCCATTTTGTAGGTTGCCTGTTCACTCTGATGGTAGTTTCTTTTGCTGTGCGGAAGCTCTTTAGTTTAATTAGATCCCATTTGTCAATTTTGTCTTTTGTTGCCATTGCTTTTGGTGTTTTAGACCTGAGAAAAACAAGCAATGGGGAAAGGATTCCCTATTTAATAAATGGTGCTGGGAAAACTGGCTAGCCATATGTAGAAAGCTGAAACTGGATCCCTTCCTTACACCTTATACAAAAATCAATTCAAGATGGATTAAAGACTTAAACGTTAGACCTAAAACCATAAAAATCCTAGAAGAAAACCTAGGCATTACCATTCAGGACATAGGCATGGGCAAGGACTTCATGTATTTTTTTTTAGTAGAGACGGGGTTTCACCGTGTTAGCCAGTATGGTCTCGATTTCCTGACCTTGTGATCCACCCACCTCGGCCTCACAAAGTGCTGGGATTACAGGCATGAGCCACCGCACCCAGCCCTAATATATTCTAATTTTTTGTTGGGTATATCTTTTGCAAATATTTCCTTCTAGTCTGTAGATTTTTTAAAATTCTTTTTGTATTTATTTGTTTATTTATTTATTTATTTATTTGAGACTGAGTCTTGCTCTGTTGCCCAGGCTGGAGTGCACTGGCACGATCTCAGCTCACTGCAACTTCCACCTCCTGGATTCAAGTGATTCATGTGCCTCAGCCTCCTGAGTAGCTGGGACTACAGGCACATGCCACCATGCCTGGCTAATTTTTGTATTTTTAGTAGAGATGAGGTCTCACCATGCTGGCCAGGCTGGTCTCGAACTCTTGACCTCAAATTCTCCACCTGCCTTGGCCTACCAAAGTGCTAGGATTACAGCATGAGCCACCACACTTGGCCTAAAAATTCTTTTTATATGGGCTTTCACAGAACAAAAGCTTTTAATTTTGTTAAAGTCTAGTTTATTATTTAATTTTTTTAATGAGTCATGCTTTCGATGTTCAAGTTTAAGAACTCTTTGCTTAGCCCTAGATCCCAAAGATTTTCTCCTATATTTTTTCTAAATATTCCATAGCTTTGTACTTTACATTTAAGTCTGTGGTCCATTTTGAGTCAATTTTTGCATAAGATGTGTGAGGTGTAGGTTGAGGTTCTCTCTCTTTCTTTCTTTCTTTCTTTCTTTCTTTCTTTCTTTCTTTCTTTCTTTCTTTCTTTCTTTCTTTTTCTTTTTCTTTCTTTTTTTTGGTCTATTGATGTCCAGTTGCTTCAGTATTAATTGTTGAAAAGGTTATACTTGCTTTATTGAGTTGATTTTGTACCTTTGTCAAAAATCAGTTGAGCAAATTTTTATGTGTCTATTTCTGAATTTTCCATCTTTTCCAATCATCTATGTATCTATCCCTCTGCCAATACCACACTATTTTGATTGCTGTAACTTTACATAAAGCCTTAATATTGGGTAGAGAGATTCCTCTAACCTTATTCTTCTTTTCAAAAATTGGTTCAGTTATTCTAGGACTTGTGCATTTCCATAAAAATTTTAGACTATGCTTGTCTGTTTGCATATAACCTTGATGGAATATTGATAGGAATTGGATTATATCTGTATATCAATTTGAAGAGAGCTGACGTCTTTACTATGTTGAATCTTCCAATCCGTGAACACAGTGTGCTTCTCCATTTTTTAAGGTTTTCTTTGATTTGTTTCATTAGCATTTTGTGATACACATGCTTTGTTAAGTGTATACCTAAGTATTTCATTTTCATTGGAGCAATTGTAAATAGCATTGTGCTTTTGATTTCAGTTTCTGCGTGTTCATTTTTAGGACATAGAAATGTGATTGCTTTTTGTGTGTTGATTTTGTATTCTGAACTCATTTATAAGTTCTGGTAGATTTTTTTCTTGAAGATTCCTTGAGGTTTTCTATCTGGACTACTGCATAATCTGCAATGCCTTAAAAAATTTTTTTTTGCCTTTTTGGGGTGCCTCTAACTTCCAGTACCACGTTGAATCATACTGGTGAGAGTGGACATCCTTGCCTTGTTCCTGATCTTAGCTGGAAAACATTCAATCTTTCACCATTACAGTTGATGTTAGCTGTAGGTTTCTTGATGATGCCACTTACCATGTTGCTAAAAATCCCCTCTATTCTTAACTTGCCCAGAGATTGTATCGTGAAGGGATATGAATTTTTGTCAAATGCCTTTTTTGGATCAGTTGATATAATTTTTCTTCTTTATCTTGTTGATATTGTGGGTTATACTGATAGATTTTCAAAGGTTTAGCCAGCTTTGCATATTTGGAATAGATCCCACTTGGTCATGGTATATAATTATTTTTATATATTGTTTCATTTAGTTTGCTCATATATTGTTGAGGATTTTTGTATTTAATTTCAGGAGAGATATTGGTCTGTAATTTCTTTCTTTTTTTTTTTTTACTGTCTCTGATTTCAGTATCAGGATGACACTGGCCTTATAAAATGTGTAGGAAAGTGTTCCTCTTTTCTGGAAGAGATTCTATAAAATTGGTGTTAATTCTTCCTTGGCAGCAAACTCCAGTGAAATCATGTGGGCCTGGAGATTATTTTGTGAAGGCTTTTAAATTAGTAGTTCAATTTCTTTAATAGCTATAGGGCTATTCAGATTGTCTATTTCCTCTTGATGGAGCTTTGGTAAATTATGGGTTTTGAGGAGTTGTCTATTTCTTCTAACTTGTTGAATTTGTGAACATAAAGTTATTCATAATATTCTCTTATTGTCTTTTTAATTGCTGCAGAATAAGTAGTGATATTCTCTGTTTCATTTATGATATTGATGACTGACTTGTGCTTTTCTCTTTTTACTTTTATCAGTCTTGCTATAGGTTTATCAATTTTATTGACTTAAAAAATCATATTTGCTCCATTGATTTTTCTCTATTGTCTTCTTATTTTTAATTTCATTGAGTTCTTTTATGATCTTGCTTATTTTTTTATTCTGCCTGCTTTGGATTTATCTTGGGGTTTTTTTTAGGCTCTTGAGGTGGGAGCTGAGATTATTGTTTTGAGATATTTCCTCTTTTTAAATGTATGCATTTAGTGCTATAATCTTTCTTCTCAGCACTGTTTTAGTTGTATCTCCCAAATTTTTAAAATTAAATTTAATTTGATTAAAATAGTTTTATTTAATTCAATGTTTTAAATTTTTTTTGTTAAAATGTCTTCTTTGATTCATGGGTTATGCGGAAGTGTGTTGTTTAGAACTTTTCTATGGTCTTTCTGTAATTGATTTCTAGTTTGATTTCATAATAATCAGAGAAAACCATCTTATAAATTCAGTTCCTTTAAATGAGGTTTGTTTTATGGCCCAGTGTATGGTCTATGTTGGTGAATATTCCATGGGTGCTTCAAAAATATATATATTCTGCTATTGTTGAGTGGAGTGCTCTATATCAACTAAAGTCTGTTGATTGTGTTGTTCAGAACTTCTATATACCTGCTGATTTTCTGTTTAGTAGCTTTATCACTTGTTGAGACAGGGGTGTTAAAATTCCCAACTATAATTATGGATTTACTATTTTTCCTTTCAGCTCCATCAGTTTTGCTTCATGTATTTTGAGGCTCTGTTGTTTGATATGTATGCATTTAGGATCACCATGTCTTCCTGGTGAAGCAATGCATTTATTATTATGTAGTGTCCTTTCTTGAGTCCAGTAATTTTCCTTGCTCTGTACTCTAGTGAATATTATTATAGCCATTTTTACTTTCCTTAAACTTACTGCTTGCATGGTATAATTTTTCCATTCTTCTACTTTCAACCTACCTATATGATGATATTCAAAGTACATTCTTTTGTGAACAGCAACATATGGGTTACTTGAGCGTACTTTAATATTCCATCTTGATTTATTTATGGGGTTTTGAGTTTCTCTTTGCATGGTTTTCCTAGTGGTTGGACTTGGTATTACAATATGAAAATGTGACTACTGTTGTCAGCATTTTATCAGTTTGAGTGAGGTATGGAAACCTCACTTCCATTTTGGTCCTTTGACTTTCCTCACCTTTTAGATTTTTTTTGAAGGGATCTTGTTCTGTCATCCAGACTGCAGAGCAGTGGAGTGCAGTGGTATGATCATAGCTCACAGCAACCTCAAACTCCTGGGCTCAAGTAATCCTCCTGTCTCGGTTTCCCAAGTAGCTGGGACTATAGGTGTGCACCACCACGCCCAGTTATTTTTAAAAAAATTTTTTGATAGAGATAGGGTCTCACTTTGCTGCCCAGGCTGGTCTTGAACTCCTGGCTTCAAGCAATCTTCCTGCTTTGACCTCCCAAATTTCTAGGATTACAGACATGAGCTGCCATATCCAGCCACTTTTAAATTTTGTTGTTTTAAATATCAGATGATGTTGCAATTTTTGTCTCAATCATCAAATATGATTTATAAAGCTCATGAGGAAAAGGATCATCTATTTTATGTACCCATATTTTTGTTCTTTCCTTTGCTCGTTTTTTCTTTCTCATTCTCCAAGATTCTTTAAAAAAATTATTTCTGTTTGAAGTAATTCCTTTAGCTAATCTTTTAAAGATAGGTCTGCCAGTGACAAGGTATCTTAATTTTCCTTCATCAGAGAATGTTTTCATTTCCATTTTATTCCTGTAAGATAGCTTTGCTGGATATAGAATTCATGGTTAACAATTCTTTTCTGTCAGCTTTTGAAAAATATTATGACAGCTTCTTCTGGCCTCCTTAGTTCTGGATGAGAAATCTGTCATTTAAGTTGTTGCTCTTCTATAAGCAATGTTTGTTTCTTTCTGTCTACTTTCAAAATTTTTTGTCTTTTAGTTTTCAAAAGTTCAATTATGATGTGCCTTGCCACAGATTTCTTTGGCTTTTATCCTTCCTGGAATTTGTTTAGCTTTTTGAATCTCTAGGTTTGTGTCTTTTGTCAAATTTGGGAAGCTTTTAGCCTTTATTTATTTATTTTTTAATATACATTCAGCCCCACTGTCTTTCTCCTCTCTTTTAAGGCTATGGTAATATGAATGTTGGATATTTTGTTATTGTCCCACAGGTCCTAGTGGCTGTCTTCATTTTTCTTTTCAATGCATTTTCTCTATTGTTTAGATTGGGTGAATTCTATTATTTTATCATTATGTTTACCTGTTCTATCTTCTGTCATCTCTACTCTACTATTAAGTCCATCCAGCTCGTCTTAAAAATTTGGTTTTGTATTCTTTCATTCTATAATTTCCACTTGGTTCCTTTTTTTTTTTTTCAATACAGAGTCTCGTTCTGTCGCCCAGGCTGGAGTACAGTGGCGCGATCTTGGCTCACAGCAACCTCCGTCTCCCGGGTTCAAGGGATTCTCATACCTCAGCCTCCTGAGTATCTGGCACTCAACACCATGTCTGGCTAATTTTTGTATTTTTAGTAGAAACGGGGTTTCATCATGTTGGCCAGGCTGGTCTCAAACTCCTGGATTCAGATGATCCGTCTTCCTTTCCTCCCAAAGTGCTGGGATTACAGGCATGAGCCACCAAGCCTGGCCCCATTTTTTTTCCAAATAATTTCAAAAATTTTAAGTTCAGGATTTGCAGATTTGTTACCTAGGTAAATGTGTGCCATGGTGGTTTGCTGCACCTATGAACCCATCACCTTGATTCTTTCTTAACAATGTTTATTTCTTTTCTGAGATTCTATTTTTTGCATTTCAAGATAATTTGTAATTGCTTGCAGGATTATTTATATGATGATTGCTTTAATATCATTGTCAGATAATTCCAGTGTCTAATTCATCTCAGTTTTAGCATCAGTTGATTATCTTTTCTTACTCAAGTTGTGATTTTGTTGCTTCTAAATATGACAGGTAATTTAAAAAATTGTATCCTGGACATTTTGTCAATTAGGAGATTCTGGGTCTTTTTTAAATCTTTTATTTTAGCAGTCAGTCATTCTGTTTAGGCTTAGCACACAGGTCTTGGTCCATTTTTGTGGGCTGTGCTTCCAAATACAACTTAATTTTTATAGTCTTTGTGATGTTATTTCATCTTGCTTGGTTTATCTGGTACCCCTGAGGCTTCCACCTGTCTCTGCTGGTGCTTCTTGGGTGGGGAGCAGAAGGCATCTCCTTAGGCCAGGCCTCCAGCTGTCTCTCAGAGGGGGATGGATGTGGGGGCATCACCCTACCAATGCCTCTTGACTTCCGCTAGTCTCTGGACAGGAAAGGAAAATCTTGGGCTAGTTTTCGTAGACTTGGCCACCTGCTGCTGGAGAGTCCCTTTTTCTTGTTTCCCCTGCCTACCTTGGTGTCTCTGGGTGAGGGAAGAGAATCTCAGTACTGCAGGGACAAAAAGACTTCCTGGATCAGGCCACTTGCTATTACTGGCTCCCTTTTTCCTCTTATGCCTGCCTGCCTTGGTTTTTCTGAATGGGCGAGGAAAACCTTGGGTTGGCAAAAACAATAGTCTTCCCAGACTGGGTTATGTTCAACCAGTGTTTTTTGGTGGAGAGGGGAGATTCAGGCCTGTTAGGGAAGGAGAGTGCTTCTCTTGGTTGCTTATTGTTAGCAAGGTGCCCAGTCAGTCCCCCTTGCTGGAGTATCCAACTTGCCTGAAGTTGTCAGAGGGACTCCCATTTGATCCAGAAGGGGAATGAGCCTACTTGGACTGACTTCTGTTTCTAGGTTGGGGATTAGGAAGCATAGGGCCTGGGCCGCATTTTTATGCTGGGTTTGGTGAGGGGGAGAAGATAACTGCCACTATGTTGTTCCTTTACTCTTGGGGTCCCAAACCAGTTTGTTTTATTCTTAGCACCTTTCATAGTTCTCCTTTGGTTGTCTCTTACACCATTTCCAGGATTTATAGTTGTACCTTTTGGGGAGGAGCAGGGAAAAGTGGCTCTATGCCATCTTGTTCAGTTGAGAAGTCTGCATTTGCTTTTAACATCAGTTCTTGGGCAGTAAAAGCTCTTGAGTGTGTATGCGTAGACAGATAGGGTGCAACAAAATGACAGAGATAATATCACTGGCATTGTAACTACCTTACTCACTTACAACATTTTCTTTTCTGAGAAGGACAGGCATTAAATTCAATGGAGATAAGTGTGCCATTTAGGATAAAAAAAATCCCTACCACATATAGGGAAAAGAGAAAGATTGATGAAGCAGAAGTAAAGTGAACCTCACTCATTAGAAATGATAGGTGCACAGAAAGTCTGAATTACTGAATTTAAGAAAAACAAAAGTATGTACAGATTAAGACAATAAGGTCACCAATAAACAAATTAAGTTATAAAAGAAATTTATATTCAGTATCAGCCTACATTATACAAAATGATCTTGAATGTTCAAGATCATTTTCAATGCCAACCCATTGCAATTAATTTCTAGACTTAAGGTTTATAGGAATCTTTAATTCCAATGGATCCTGATTCTAAAAAGCTACTGATTGTTTGATTGAATTGTCTTTATCTAGGATATGAATGATTATTCAAGGCATATATCATATCAGGGAATGTCCATAATTTGGGATCCCCACTGAGTTTTGATTCCTGGGCCAGCAAAGTCGCCTTGATGTTTTAGTTTAGCATTGCAATGCTGTCCTCTAAAGTTTGTTTCACTGTTTTGGATGATTGCTGTTTCTTGCAGTGTTCAGCACTTGCAGAACTTGGCATTTAGTATCTAACTTTGTTTCTCCTTGGTACCTTCAGAAAGAGTCTCTTTCTTTCTTTGTTTCTCCTCAGATTGGGGTGTTTCCATATAAATTGAGGGCATACATTTATGAGGAATTTGAGGGCATACATTATGAGAAATTGAGGCATTTCTACATACTGTCTAATTTCTTCTCTAAATCTTTCATCTGTGGAAATCTCATTTCAACACTGCACTTCTCTGGGCCTCATCTGTAAATGAAAGGATTGAATATAATCTCCAAGTCCTGGCTCTAAAATTCTGGGATTTTAATGAATGAAGACTTTAGTCTTTATTAATACAGACTTTAGAGGAAAAATTTGATACAGCAGTCCCTCTGGAAGAAACCTTGCATCTGAAAGATTTAATGGAAGGTTTGCTGAAATATACAAACCCAGGCTTTAGGTTAAAACGGAGCAATGTAACATGCATTATTTCTCGAGATCTCTGGTACTTAAAATGCCACCTGCTTGGCAATTTAGCTCAACTCATTTGTTTTTATCTTTCTAAATCTTATATTCCTTCTTGAGATGCTTACTGGAAGTGTTAATAACAATTGCTACATCTATGGCTCAGCCCTCTCTGATAAAAATACCATGTCTAACTCCCATTCCCCGTCTTCTAAAAGAGTTTTCCACTACTTATGGATTACTCCAATAGTGCTCTTTGAATGCTGCATCAAAGAAGATAACTTAGACTTTTATGGTATTTAGTGTTTTATTGTTTTCCTAAAAAGTGAATGCAGTTCAATCATTAATCTTTTGTAAAGGAGAGGGAATTGTGAACTCTTCTCTCAACAATTAGTGCATTCATAGAGTGATTTCAGGCTCTAGGATGCCACACTCCTCAAATGTGCTAGAAGTGACACTTTCACGGAGGTTTGCTAAGCCAGTTGGCTGGTGTAAACCCACCTACAAAATTGGAAATGAAGATCCTGACAATTCTCCTTTCACGTGGAGTTATGGACAAATTTGAAAGCATAAAGCTTAAAATACTCACTTGGCTGCTGAAATATACCAGTTTCTTGATAAGGCCTAACATAATGTGCATCTGTGGTAATTGGAAAAATGTCATAAAATTAAGTGAAAAAGTACTTTTTATATAGCTTTGTCTTTTCCCCTTAAAAATGTGTGTACTTTTATCAACTCATCTATACAGTCAATTGGAAGATTGTCATTCATTCTACTTGCTAATGACCACAAAATCCTGAAGAACATCCTACACACACCTCAAAATTTCTGGATATGCAAATTATAAGTAATTTTAATGCTCAAGACAGTGAAACAAATCAGTAGATTGTCTACTACCACAATTATTCCTACATCATAGGTAATATGCTTCTCAGATGGATAAATTCAAAATACTAATTTCCCTAAGGTAAATATGGATGTTTGGGTGATTTCAATTGGAGAAAGATCATGACTCAGTCTTGAATTTTACTATGTACCATTTTCACTTGGATATTCACTATCATCCTAAATTCCACTTATCCACGTCTGAACTGGGTGTTTTTCTTCTGAGTGAGGCTGCCTTCCCAATTTTTCTGTTTTTATGAATATTATCACTATTCTCCGAGTTGCCCAGAAGCAAACTTTGAGTTCTCTGAGATTTCTGTCTTCTTTATCTCTTAAATCTCTTTGTTATCATACACTGTCAATTCTTACTTTCCAGTAGATATAGGGATAGGAATCTTCACACTGCTCTCACATCATTCCAAGCCTTATTCAGTTATTCTATTAGCTTACAAATAGATACTAAACATCTACCATGTGCCAGGCACTGGGATAGACACTAAAGATACAATGGTGGGCAACAAAAGATGAGGACTCTGTCCATGTGGTCTAGCGAGGAAGACAGACATTAAAAATCACATGCAAACAAAGGTAAATCTCCAATTATGACGCATTAAATGAAGAAGAGGTATGAGGCGTCATAAGAGTCTAAAATAGATTGGTGTGAGCTAGTCATGGAAGTCAGGGAAGGTAGGTTTCCCTGAAGAGGTGATGCATGAGCTGAGAACTGAAGAATTGGCAGAAGTTAATCAGATGAGGAAGGATGGGAAGTACATTCTAAGTAGAGGTTACAGCAAATGCAATGGTCTTGTAGTGGGAAAGAGCATGCCAAGTATTAGAGAACTAAAAAGAGGAAGACTAAAAAAAAACAGAGGGGACTTAGCACAAATTGAGACTGAAGAGCTAGAGAGGGACCAAATCATGCATAGCTTTATATGCTTTATTAAGAAAAAATTTTCTTTTTATCCTATGAGCAATAGAAAGCAACTAAAGAGAGCTCAGTGTGTGTGTGTGTGTGTGTGTGTGTGTGTGTGTGTGTGTGTGAGAGAGAGAGAGGAAGGGGATCAGATTGGCACTTAAAAAGATCATTTTGGTTGTATTATGGAACAGATTAGAGGGGGTCCAAGAGTAGTGGCAGACTAGTTCAGTTGGGAGGCTACTGCAGTAGTCCAAGTGAAAGATGATGGTGACTGGTTAGGGTGGTAAGTGATGGAGATAGAGATAAACTGGGGTGAGCCAAGAGATATTTAGGAGCTACGATCAATAGGACAAGATTATGGATTGGCTATGGCAGGTGAGAGAGAGAATGAAGGAGACAGAGGGAGAGACAGAGAGTTGGAGCTTGCATAATTTAATGTATGATAGTGTAGGGCCAGTCACTAAAGGAATACCAGAAGAGGACCCAGTTTGGAGAGAAGCTAATGAGTTCAAGTTGGAGAATGTTGAGCTTGAGGTGTTAATGAGATATCCAAGAAACGATATCAAGTAAACAATTGGTTATATAAATGTGGAGCTCAAAATAGAGCAAAATAGAGATCTGGTCAAGAGATATAACTTTGAGATTTGTCTGGGTATAGGTGTAAATTGAAATCCTAGGTGTAGAGAAACTATACAGCCAAATGTGAAGAGGTCCTGGGACAAAGCGTTGGTCAGGTAAAATAGGATGAGTCTAAAAATGAGTGGACAGAGAAGTAGGAGAAAACGCAGGAGTGTGATGTGTAATGGAAAGCAATGAAAAGAGTATTTTAAACTCATTACTTCTACTAAATAAATGTTAATTTGGGAGTTCCAGATTAAAACATTTTCAATCTGGTGTTTAAATGACTGATAGAAGTTTGACCAAGTGAAAGCCAACTGTTTTTTGAGCACTTACTCTGTATAAGAAGCTATGCTAAGTGTTTTATGCACATTAACTCAATCTCATAACGATTTTATAGGATAGGTGTTATTATAATCCTCATATTATAGAGGAGGAAACTGAAGCACGGAGAGGTTAAGCAACTAGTCCAAGGTTATGTAATGGGTGTGAAAGTGATGGAGCCAGCATTTAAAACTAATCCATTTGAATCTAAGGTTGATTTTTTCTTTTTGGAATATTTTAAACTACACAATTCAATTTCTTTAATAGATATAGGACTATTCAAGTTATCTGTTTCTTCTTAACTGAGTTCTTATAGCTGTATTTTTCAAGGAATTGGATCCTTTCCCAAAGCTAATCTTCTTAATCAATGCACTACTGTGGCATGCATCCCTCTTTCAGGAATGTTTATATATTTTATGAAGATACTACGAAATGGATATCTTCCTACCAGTTACTTAACCAGAGTGTTATGAGTACCATATAGAGGTCTTAGAGAGTAGAAAATTATCTTAAGGAAAATCAAGTGATCAAGTGATTTGATTATATCTATGATACTTTCTTACAAAATGAAAAGAAATTATAGAGCTCTTTCTAGTTGTCTCTAATTTCCAAAGCTGAATCCAAAATAACACATTCTTTCTGATTTTTTTAGTTGTTCCTGAAAATATGACAATTCAAGAAAAAAGTACAACTGTTTCACAACAGATAGATATGACCACTCCATCCCAAATTACTGGAGTAAAACCACAAAATACTGCACATTCCTCTACACTATTGTCTCAAAGCATACCTATATTTGCAACTGATTACACAACCATATCATATTCCAATACAACATCTCCACCTCTGGAAACAATGACTGCACAAAAAATCTTAAAGACACTGGTAGATGAGACAGCTACATTTGCAGTGGATGTTTTATCAACTTCATCAGCCATCTCTCTGCCTACCCAGAGTATATCCATAGACAATACTACCAATTCCATGAAAAAAACGAAATCTCCATCTTCAGAAAGCACAAAGACAACAAAAATGGTTGAAGCCATGGCTACTGAAATCTTTCAACCACCTACACCTTCTAATTTCCTATCCACATCCAGATTTACCAAGAATTCAGTTGTATCTACAACTTCAGCAATTAAATCTCAGTCGGCTGTTACGAAGACAACATCTTTATTTTCAACTATTGAGTCAACATCTATGTCTACAACACCTTGTCTCAAACAAAAATCCACAAATACTGGGGCACTCCCTATCTCCACAGCTGGCCAGGAGTTCATTGAATCTACAGCTGCCGGAACTGTACCTTGGTTTACAGTGGAAAAGACTTCACCTGCATCTACTCATGTTGGGACTGCATCATCATTCCCACCTGAGCCTGTGCTCATCTCCACAGCTGCTCCAGTAGATTCTGTATTTCCTAGAAACCAGACAGCATTTCCATTGGCAACAACTGATATGAAAATAGCATTTACAGTCCATTCATTGACTCTCCCAACTAGGCTTATTGAGACCACACCTGCCCCAAGGACAGCTGAAACAGAATTGACATCTACAAATTTTCAGGATGTCTCTTTACCCAGAGTGGAAGATGCCATGTCTACTTCCATGTCGAAAGAGACCTCCTCTAAGACCTTTTCTTTCTTAACATCCTTTTCATTTACTGGGACTGAGAGTGTACAGACAGTTATTGATGCTGAAGCTACACGTACAGCCTTAACTCCTGAAATCACACTTGCATCTACAGTGGCTGAAACTATGCTTTCCTCCACAATCACAGGACGAGTTTACACCCAGAATACACCTACAGCTGATGGACACTTGCTTACTTTGATGTCCACTAGATCAGCTTCCACATCCAAGGCACCTGAGTCAGGTCCCACATCCACAACTGATGAAGCTGCCCATCTGTTCTCCAGCAATGAGACCATTTGGACTTCTAGGCCAGACCAGGCCCTGCTGGCATCTATGAACACAACCACCATACTCACATTTGTGCCTAATGAAAATTTTACATCAGCATTTCATGAGAATACTACTTATACAGAATATTTATCCGCAACTACCAATATCACCCCACTGAAAGCATCTCCAGAGGGCAAAGGTACCACTGCCAATGATGCTACTACAGCCAGATATACAACAGCTGTATCCAAATTGACATCACCATGGTTTGCTAATTTCTCCATAGTTTCTGGAACCACATCCATAACCAATATGCCTGAATTTAAACTTACCACTTTACTACTAAAAACAATACCTATGTCTACAAAACCTGCAAATGAACTTCCTTTGACACCAAGGGAGACTGTTGTTCCATCAGTAGATATAATATCTACTCTTGCTTGCATTCAACCAAATTTTTCTACTGAGGAAAGTGCTTCTGAGACCACACAAACAGAAATAAATGGTGCAATTGTATTTGGAGGTACAACGACCCCTGTACCAAAGTCAGCAACAACACAAAGATTAAATGCCACTGTGACAAGAAAAGAAGCAACTTCCCATTATCTTATGAGAAAATCAACTATAGCAGCAGTGGCTGAGGTTTCTCCATTTTCAACAATGCTGGAAGTGACAGACGAATCAGCACAAAGGGTGACAGCTTCTGTCACTGTTTCCTCTTTTCCTGATATAGAAAAGCTAAGTACCCCATTGGATAATAAAACTGCAACAACTGAGGTGAGAGAAAGTTGGCTTTTGACAAAATTGGTGAAAACCACACCTAGGAGTTCATACAATGAAATGACAGAAATGTTTAATTTTAACCACACCTATGTAGCACATTGGACTTCAGAGACATCTGAGGGAATTTCAGCTGGATCTCCCACTTCTGGGAGCACACATATATTCGGTGAACCCCTGGGTGCTTCTACCACAAGGATATCAGAAACCAGTTTCTCCACTACCCCTACAGACAGGACAGCTACGTCCTTGTCTGATGGTATCTTACCTCCACAGCCTACAGCTGCTCATTCCTCAGCAACCCCTGTGCCTGTTACTCATATGTTCTCATTGCCAGTTAATGGCAGTTCTGTGGTGGCTGAGGAGACTGAGGTTACCATGTCTGAGCCTTCTACACTGGCCAGGGCTTTTTCTACATCTGTGCTCTCAGATGTCTCAAATCTATCCTCAACTACAATGACCACAGCATTGGTACCACCTTTGGATCAGACTGCTTCCACAACCATTGTTATTGTGCCTACCCATGGAGACTTGATTCGTACCACTTCAGAGGCCACGGTAATCTCTGTCAGGAAGACATCCATGGCAGTTCCTTCTCTGACAGAAACACCATTTCATTCACTGAGACTCTCCACTCCTGTGACAGCTAAGGCTGAGACCACCCTTTTCTCTACCTCAGTTGATACAGTAACCCCATCTACACACACTCTTGTCTGCTCAAAACCTCCCCCTGACAACATTCCTCCTGCGTCCTCCACTCATGTGATCTCAACTACGTCTACACCAGAAGCAACTCAACCAATATCTCAAGTAGAGGAGACTTCTACCTATGCTCTCAGCTTCCCATATACTTTCAGTGGTGGTGGAGTTGTTGCCAGCTTGGCTACTGGCACCACAGAGACCTCTGTTGTTGATGAGACCACACCCTCACACATCTCTGCCAATAAGTTGACTACTTCAGTAAACAGTCACATTTCTTCATCTGCCACATATCGTGTACACACACCAGTGTCCATCCAGTTGGTGACTAGCACCTCTGTCTTATCTTCCGACAAAGACCAGATGACCATATCCCTGGGAAAAACCCCTAGAACTATGGAGGTGACAGAAATGTCCCCATCAAAGAATTCTTTTATTTCATACTCCCGGGGTACTCCATCTTTGGAAATGACAGATACAGGATTTCCTGAGACCACAAAAATTTCCAGTCACCAAACACATTCGCCTTCAGAGATTCCACTTGGGACTCCCTCTGATGGAAATTTGGCTTCATCTCCCACTTCTGGAAGCACACAGATTACACCAACCTTGACCTCAAGTAACACAGTAGGTGTTCACATTCCAGAAATGTCTACCAGTCTTGGGAAAACAGCTCTCCCCTCACAAGCTCTGACAATCACCACTTTTTTGTGTCCTGAAAAGGAAAGCACGAGTGCCCTTCCAGCATATACTCCCAGGACTGTGGAAATGATAGTAAACTCCACCTATGTGACTCACTCTGTCTCATATGGCCAGGATACTTCATTTGTAGATACCACAACTTCCAGCTCAACAAGGATATCAAATCCTATGGACATCAATACAACTTTTTCACACTTGCATTCACTTAGGACACAACCTGAGGTGACTTCAGTTGCCTCTTTCATTTCTGAAAGCACACAGACTTTCCCTGAGTCCTTGTCTCTTTCCACAGCTGGACTATATAATGACGGTTTTACAGTTCTCTCCGACAGGATCACTACAGCCTTTTCTGTTCCAAATGTACCTACAATGCTTCCTAGAGAATCCTCTATGGCAACGTCCACTCCTATTTACCAGATGTCCTCATTGCCAGTTAATGTAACTGCCTTCACCTCCAAAAAAGTTTCTGACACTCCCCCAATAGTGATAACTAAATCTTCTAAAACAATGCATCCAGGTTGTTTGAAAAGTCCCTGTACAGCCACTTCTGGGCCTATGTCTGAGATGTCCTCAATACCAGTTAATAACTCTGCTTTCACACCTGCAACAGTCTCTTCTGACACTTCCACAAGAGTTGGGTTATTCTCTACTTTATTGTCTTCAGTTACCCCCAGGACTACTATGACCATGCAAACATCTACATTGGATGTCACACCTGTGATATATGCTGGGGCTACTTCAAAAAACAAAATGGTTTCCTCTGCTTTCACTACAGAAATGATAGAGGCACCTTCCAGGATCACACCTACGACCTTTCTCTCTCCAACAGAGCCAACTTTGCCCTTTGTAAAAACCGTTCCCACCACCATTATGGCTGGGATAGTGACTCCATTTGTAGGCACCACTGCCTTCTCTCCACTCAGTTCTAAGAGCACTGGAGCTATTTCCTCCATTCCAAAGACCACATTTTCACCATTTCTATCAGCAACTCAACAGTCATCACAAGCAGATGAGGCTACAACTTTGGGCATATTATCTGGGATTACTAACAGGTCCCTATCTACTGTGAACAGTGGTACAGGGGTAGCTCTCACAGATACTTATTCCAGAATCACTGTTCCTGAAAATATGCTTTCACCTACTCATGCAGATAGTCTCCATACTTCCTTCAATATTCAGGTTTCCCCATCTCTGACTAGCTTTAAGAGTGCTTCTGGACCCACAAAAAATGTTAAAACAACCACCAATTGCTTTTCTTCTAATACTAGAAAGATGACTTCCTTGTTAGAAAAGACTTCCTTAACAAACTATGCCACATCTTTGAATACCCCTGTTTCATACCCTCCATGGACCCCATCCAGTGCAACTCTACCCTCTTTGACATCATTTGTTTATTCACCTCATAGTACTGAAGCTGAGATCTCTACTCCAAAGACCTCTCCTCCTCCCACATCCCAAATGGTTGAATTTCCAGTTCTGGGAACAAGAATGACATCTAGTAATACCCAACCTCTGCTTATGACTTCCTGGAACATACCCACAGCTGAAGGTTCTCAGTTTCCAATTTCCACCACTATTAATGTACCTACATCCAATGAGATGGAAACAGAGACTCTACACCTTGTTCCTGGGCCTTTGTCAACATTCACAGCCTCTCAGACTGGTCTAGTATCTAAAGATGTCATGGCAATGTCATCAATTCCTATGTCAGGAATTCTTCCTAACCATGGGCTTTCTGAGAACCCTTCATTATCAACATCTTTAAGAGCTATCACTTCCACATTGGCTGACGTTAAGCACACATTTGAGAAAATGACCACATCTGTAACTCCTGGGACCACACTCCCATCAATTCTTTCTGGTGCCACTTCAGGATCTGTAATTTCAAAGTCACCCATTCTGACATGGCTCTTATCTAGTCTCCCTTCTGGCTCCCCTCCGGCAACTGTATCTAATGCCCCTCATGTTATGACTTCCTCTACAGTAGAGGTGTCAAAATCAACATTTCTGACATCTGACATGATATCAGCGCACCCATTCACTAACTTGACAACACTACCCTCTGCTACTATGAGCACCATACTCACCCGAACCATTCCTACACCTACACTGGGTGGTATCACTACTGGCTTCCCAACTTCTCTCCCTATGTCTATAAATGTCACAGATGACATTGTGTACATTTCCACACACCCTGAGGCATCCTCCAGAACCACAATAACTGCCAACCCCAGGACTGTGTCTCATCCTTCATCCTTCAGCAGAAAGACTATGTCACCTTCTACAACTGACCACACTCTATCTGTTGGTGCCATGCCTCTGCCTAGCTCTACAATAACATCTTCATGGAACAGAATTCCAACTGCATCATCACCCTCTACTTTAATTATTCCTAAGCCCACACTGGACTCCCTTCTAAATATAATGACTACTACATCCACTGTTCCTGGAGCCTCATTTCCACTCATATCCACTGGGGTGACATATCCTTTTACAGCAACTGTGTCTTCACCAATATCGTCCTTTTTTGAAACAACTTGGCTGGACTCCACACCTTCCTTTCTATCTACGGAAGCATCGACTTCGCCTACTGCCACCAAGTCCACAGGTACTGCTCCATAATGCATGTGGTGTAGCCCCAACAGAATTCATGCACTATGGGTCATGTGTTCTCCAAAGTGGCCCGTTCTTGGAAGGCAGAAAAGAATGAAGAAGGGTGCAGGTGTTTCTTGTCTCCTTCAGACAGTGGGTACAGTGAGTACCTTGTCCAAATACAAAATTCTCTAGCCATCTTTCTTGTCTTTGCCTTATTGAAATATAATGTAAATGTATGTTTTCACTCAGCATGACAATTTCTAAGCCTACTTTCCACCTGTTTTGTTCTTGACTGTCTGACTCTGATTCTGCCAATGTGCACATGGACTAGGAACCTCATCCCTTCCCAGTAAGAGAATCATACGGCCTTAGGTCTGAGCATGCTGACCACACACCAGAAAACACCAGAAAAAAACACCAGAATATATCTTATCTTGCCTTTTGGATTCCTTTTATGCAGGTCTCAGCCTTCTCCAATCCCTACCTGCAGCTGACTAGGAGTGCTTGTCCAAGGCCAGGGAATATTTGGCTTCCATATTGTTCAAATTTGGAATATTCCTGCAACTTTTAACATTCTACAATAGAAATTTGATAGGATACACAAGAGCAAAAGGGAAAAAAGGAGAGAAAAACCCAAAGCAGAAAACAAGGCACAGGAAGAAAAAAACAGTTACTTTCTCAGAGAAAATGATCTTCTGAGATAATGTTCAGTTTGGCCATTGAGTGGACTGAAAGTCTGTTGGCCAATGAGAGTGGAGAATTGGTGGGATTTGTGGAGTGTCTGTCAACTAGAAATCAAGGAAGTGCCCAAATAAAGCAAAACTGGGATGGTAACGTCCTGTTCTGCTTTTTGATATGGAGCCGAAAGTGTTGGTTCTTGACCTTGGAGTTAAATTAAGCTAAGTTTAGGCATGAGACGTTATTATTTGGTTTACTTTAAAACAGAGAACACTTTTCACCAAATTTACAGAAGTCAAATTTCTTGAACTAAATGAATAAAATTAACCTCCTTATTTTTAATTACAGTTTCCTTCTACAATGTTGAAATGAGCTTCTCTGTCTTTGTTGAAGAGCCAAGGATCCCTATTACCAGTGTTATAAATGAATTTACGGAAAATTCGGTAAAATAATCTTTTGCATATTTATGGCATATATAAATATATGTGAATATATACATTTATATATATGACAGAATATATTAAAACTAGGCTTTACTTTTTTCTACCAATAATAAATTTCACAGCTAAGTAGTTTTTTTTTTTTTGCTGCAAATCTGTCTACTCTGTAAGCAACATCATGAGAATGTATGCAATCTCTCTTTCATAGTGCCAATGTTGAAAGCTTTTATGGAACGTTATTATTTTCATTTGTTGAGATCTGTACATTTCCCTTTAGAGACACAAATTCTGAGTCTTTGCCAAATTTTCCTATTTGGGAAAAGTGGGAGAGCAGTGATAACAAAATGTATACTTAAATACAATGGTATTTAAGTATTATTGTTTTCTGCATTTTATTTCTTTTTCCAACACAATGAATGTTTTACTTATCCTTAATTTTTTCTTGATATGACTAATACATACTCTCTGTAACAAAATCAGACATTGACATCAAAAACCCAGAAAGTAAATGTCCTCTCTCTAATACTGCTCTGTGCATTAACTCCTCTTAATAGTTTAAGGTACATTCTTTTAGATATTTTTTCTGTGCATATTATAACATTGATGCATGTGTGTTCTTTTACAAAATAATTGTAGTTGTACTAGTTATGCTATTTTTCAACTTGCTCCCCCTCCTCTGCACTTAACCATGTATCTTTGCACATATTCATGCTGGTAAATATAAATCATACACTTTAACAGATGCATAGGGTTTCACTACATGGTTGTAGTATAGTTTTTTTTTTAAATCCTTTGGTGGACATTTAAGTTGTTTCTATCTTCTTCTCTATTTAGAAACAATGCTGGGCTGGGCACTGTGGCTCATGCCTGTAATCCTAGCACTTTGAGAGGTTGAGGCAAAAGGATTGCGTGAGCCAAGGAGTTTGAGACTAGCCTGGGCAACATGGCGAGATCTTGTTTTCTTTAAAAAAAAAAAAAGTTTAAGAAAGAAACAATGCTGAAAACAATTCCCTAGAAGTAAATTTTAAGGCACTTAAGTATTTTTATAGGATAAATTCCTAGAATTGGAATCAGTAGATGAAAAGATGTGAACCTTTCACATTTAAATAGCTGTCACTAAATGGCCTCCCAGATAGGTGACACCAACTTGCACCATCTCCCAACAGCAAATAATCATATCTGTTTCCCTTCTTTCCCTGTCAGCACTTATTTTCAAGTGTCTATGGCTTGGTTATAAATCCTTGAAAATGGGTGGGTGTATTAGTCTACTCAGGCTACCATAACAAAATGCCACAGACTGGATGGCTTAAACAACAGATGTTTATTTTCTCACAGTTCTGGAATCTGGAAGTCTAAGATTAAAGTGCTGGCAGAGTTGGTTTCTGGTGAGGCCTCTCTCCTTGGTTTGCAGATGGCCATCTTCTTAACTGTGTCCTCACATGGACTTTCCTCTGTGCATACGCATCCCTGGTCTCTCTTTTTCTTCTTATAAGGACACTGGTCCTGTTGGAGTAGGGCTCCACTTTTATGATCTTATTTAACCTTACATCCCCAAAGGCCTTATCTCTGAATATAACCACATTCGGGGTTAGGGCTTCAACATTTGAGTTTTGGAAAGACACAATTCAGCCCATAATAGCAGGTAAAACGTAAATGGAAAAACTTAATGGAGCAGATGGAAATGTTGAGCCAGCTGAAATAATGAGTGCAGCTTAATGATCACACCATCCCAAGTGATTTTGCTGAGTTAAACTAGAGGAGCAGAATACTAAAACTGATTTTTTTTTGTCTTGTACAGTTGAATTCTATATTTCAGAACAGTGAATTTTCTCTTGCTACTCTGGAAACCCAAATTAAAAGCAGGTATGTGAATGACATTTACTGTGGGTCAAAGGGCAATTTGAGGGCATTTTGGGTCTGTTCCTATCTGGAGGGGATGTCCTATGTTTATGTCTGAGATTTAGGGCTGCCACATTTTTAGTTGCATCTTCCTTCCTGAGTAGGTTCTTTTTGGCATGAGGAAAAAAATTGTATTACTATTGTAGGGCACAAAGCCAATGGGAGAACAAAACAAAAGAAAATCAATAGGGGAAGTCATGCAGTTAGACTGAGTTACCTCTAATGCCCTTTTCATCTCTAAGTTTCTATGAATCTGTGATTTATACAAAAATCATGCTTTGAAGTGCTATGTATGGACAATGCACGAGGATTTATAAGGCCTTTTATTTTGGAATGATTCACTTTCAGAAAAGAGAAATTCCAAAGTGAACTTGAAATGTCTAAAGCAAGAATGTTGACTAATCCAAGATTTGCTTGGGGCACAAATTTCGAAAGGTGATTGCAGTGAAATGGGCAGGCACTGAGTAGTATCATGGAAACTATGGCAAAGGCAATTGCTCACCTGAGAAGTATTTCCTGTATTCTTTCGCTGCACATATACTAGTCCTCTGTAAAGGGACACCCCGCAGAAGCTCTTTGAAAAATAGGCATGGCTCTGTTAAGCCATGGCAAACTGATTTTTAAAACATAAAATGCTACTGCCTGTCTTCTGTACACTGGGACTTTGGTTTCTCTTACATATCCAAGTATTAATTATTAATCAAGTATTAATTCATATACATATTAATAGGTTCAAGAAAATTCATATAAATGAATGGAGGTAAATGTACGGTAGGTTATTGTCTTAGTCAGTTTTGAGTTACTATAACAAAAATGCTATAGACTAGGTGGCTTAAGCCACAGAAATTTATTGCTCACAGTTCCGGAGGCTGGGAAGTCCAAGATCAAGGTGTTGGCAGGTTCAGTGTCTGGTGATGGCCCTCTTCTTGCTGTGCCCTCAAGTGGCAGAAAGCAGAGAGACAGAAAGCTCTCCTGTCTCTTCTTATAAGGGTACTGTTTCAAAAAAATTCAAACTGTTTTTTTTCCTCTGTTGTCATACCAACACAACAATCAATATAGAAGACTTCTACGACCAAACGTGTGGGGATTTTCCCCCAACACACCAAGCAGCTGACACCAGCTGGTTGTTCTCTACTTCAATTCTATTCTGGTGTTATCCTCTCAAAAATAGCTTCAGATCTCACAGGTCCCCAAGACTGCCCCTCACCCCAGACACTAGTCAAAAGTCCAGGCCTCCAGAACTTCTGACTAACTGACTTCAACTTGGGGTTCCCGTGACCCACTCTTTGAGCTTGATTAATTTGCTAGAGCAGCTCAAAGAACTCAGGTAAATACTTATGTGCATTGGTTTATTATAAAGGATACTGCAGAAGATACGAATGAAGAGATGTGTAAGGCGAGGTAAGGGACAAGGGGAATGGAGCTTCTATGATCTCCCTGGGTGCACCACCCTCCAGGAACCTCCATGTATTCAGCTCTTGGGAAGCTCTCCAAACCCAGTCTTCTTGGGATTTTATGGAAACATCATTATGTCAGCATTCCTTTCCCAAGTCTCATATGAGGCAAGACTCTTTCTGGAGAGGGTCTTAAGACTCACAATCAGAAAGGTGAAGAAAGATTAGAGTTCCGCCTTGGGGCAGGTGAAAGGAGGGTGGGAGAAGATCAGAGAGATTCTGTTTGCTGAAGCCAGCTTCTGAGGCCTAGCACACCTAACATTATAACAAAAGACTGTAACAAGGGCTATGGGAGTTATGAGCCAAGAACTGTGGATGAAAACATATGTGTACACACACACACACACACACACACACACACAGAGACACATATAACACATCAGGCACCGATTCCATTCATGAGAGTTCCACCTTCATGATCTAATTACCCCTCAAAGGCCCCGCCTCCTAATATAATCACACTGGGGATTGGACTTCAACGTTGAATTTTGGGAGGACACAAACATTCACAACATTTAACTCACTAAACCAAAACTAGAGATGTCTGGGGGTATAAAACATTCTTTTTAAAAACTGTGTCTATTATTTTTCCTTATTACAAAAGTAATATGTGACCACTGTAAAATCTTAGAGCTTTACAGAAATATATATATATATAACATGGACGGTAAAAATCTCTGAATACTTGCCTTCCCCCACCCCTTCAAGAACTCCTGTTAACAGCTTATTTTATTGATTTTTCTAGATTTGTTTTCACACATTTACTAAGAGAATAAGATTCTCCTCTACATACTGTTTGACAACTTTCTTTTCATGCTTTGTAATACATCATGTATGCCTTTTCAGGCCAATACATGCAGATATAGCTCATTTGTTTTAATAATTGTACAGGATTCTTTTATATGATATGCCATGATGTTTTCCTCCAATTATCTAGTGATGGACACTTGAGTAATTTCCACTTGTATGTCTATTTTTATGCACTTTTGCTGGTACCATTATGGAATAGATTCCAGGATGCAAGGTTAATAAATCAAAGGCTTGCCACCATTTTGGTATGCATATAATAAGCAAGCCCATTGGAAGCATTCCTCTGGAGCCCTAGCATTATTTGAATTCCAGGCTGGGAGAAGTCTACTGTTCTGCCTCAGAGTTGCCTTTCTCCTGATCTCATGCCCTGTATACTTGGTACTATATTTCATTTTCCTATAATTTTGTAATGCTTTTGATACAGGGACATTTCAGAGGAAGAGATGGTCATGGATCGAGCTATTGTAAGTAATTTTTCAAAATGAATCTACTTGTGACCTATCCTATGCCTGATTAGATGTAAGTCAATAGCTCTTCCACCCAAGTATATATTATCAGGCGAGGCTTTGTTGTGGCAATTGGGGGTCAAATTACATTACTTCCTTTGGGATTGGTACAAAAAGCCATCAAGAAAACCATCCCCTGCTTTTTTGAACTATCCATGTGGCAGCTTTTTGAGGCACATTTTCTGGTCTACAGGGATTGTAAATGGTAAGTGAATTTCTTCGTTATAGATGTCTTGCAAAAAAAACCTAGCTCTTCCAAGAGTGACACAATTGTTTGCAAGACTGGCATTCACACAATAAATCCACCCTCTATTTGTCCAGATTTGAAGCCAGAGTGTGATAAAACTATCTCCCATCATCCTTGCCCCAATTCTCAGTTCTTGTTCCATTGCCTCAAAGCTTTACAATAGCACACTCTAAAATGAGTAGCAAGCACACAGCTTTCCAGGTATTTAAGTGTGAGGTAAGTATTTGATGATACAGAATACAATCAAGCCCACAGTACAGGGGCCAGAAGCAGTGACTCACACCTGTAATCCCAGAGATTTGGGAGGCTGAGGTGGGAGGATTGCTTGAGGCCAGGAGTTCAAGACCAGTCTGAGCAACATGGGGAGACCCCATCTCTACAAAAAATAATTTAAAAATATTAGCCAGGCACGGTGGTGCATTCCTGTAGTCCCAGCTACTGAGGAGGCTGAGGCGGGGGGATCACATGAGCCCAGATTTCAAGGCTGCACTACACTATGATTGCACCACTGCACTCCAGCCTAGGTGATAGAGCAAGGCTCTGTCTCAAAAAACAAACAAACAAAAACCTATAGTGCATAGTGCATTCCAAATTATCCACTATCATTAAAAATATTTTCTGTAAATAGCTGAGTCAGAAATTTTGATATATACACATTATAGCATGATATAACTAAAATTCCTTTCAGTAACAGGTGTAAAATCCTTTTGGTGATAATATGGTCAAGCTGCCTGGGTTGGAACCCCTGCTTTTCCACTTCCTGACTATGAGACCTTGGGCAACTTAATTAACTTCTCTGTGCTGGAGTTTCCTCATCTGTAAGATGAGGACTGTTGGAAGGATAAAATGAGATCATCTATGTTAAGTGTTTAACACTGGGCTTAGAACATAGTAAATGTTTGATAGTGTTTACAATTGTCAATTGCATGTTAATATCTAGATCCAGAAGGCTTAGATTCTGCTCCTAGTTCTGTGTCTTGTCAACTGTGTGATACTGGGCAGACCATTTAACTTCTCTGTGACTCAGATTCCTCATGTAACAAAGAGGGCGACAATCCCTGTATTGCCCACCCTACAGGGTTGGTGTGAGGAGTAAATGCATTGATGTTTTTGAGGGTAGTTTGCAGACGGCAATGAGTTACATAAATGTGAAGCATAATTATATAATTGTTGTTAACAATAAGCCCTGTACTCAGTTATGACATTTGTTTAAAGATTTCAGTGACTATGTACTTTTCTTTTGCATTAGTTGGAACAGAGAGAAGGACAAGAAATGGCTACAATTTCCTATGTACCATACAGGTAGGAAGTAGGAACTGAGTTTATTAATAGCTGGCACATTTAGTTCTGATTTTCCTTCCATTTAATTCTGCATGTGCGGCCAGTTGGCCAGAGTTGTCAGAAGAAGATCAAAGTACCCAGTGATTATTTCACATATGCTGTAATTAGGTCCTTGCCTTCATGAAATATGTTGTTTCGGTTGGTCATGGCACAGGCTAGCGGCCAGCCTGCTGCCTCTTTGCAGTGAAGAGAAAAAGGGGTGGTCATAATCTGGGACGGGGGAGTGAAGTGTTTGTTTTGGTCAAAAAGGTCCACGAAACACTTGGCAGGGAAATTGGAAACAACAACAACATGGAAAGTAGCTTCGGTTCTGTTCAGACTCGTGGTCCAGCTCCTCCTGGAATGCTGGCTATTGTTGATCTGTTCGACGCACATCAGGAAGAACATATAGTCAAAAAAGGCCCATGAAGAGGTCTTTGAAATGGAGTAGAGGGTCTGTCGCAAGCAGGAGGAGAGGTTTAAAATGAAGACTCCTCTTCGGACTGGAAAGATGAAAGCTGAGAAGAGCTAGGCTCCAAAGGAAGGAGACAGGATGAGCAGGGACTTCACCAAATATAGATCAAGGGAGGGGCAGATATCACTTAGATTAGACATGGAGATAAGTTTTGAGCAAGTACAGGTATGTCTAACTTGCAACAACTGGCAGGAAACTTAGCAAATATCTTCTTCAAAAAGCCGTGTCTACAAATGGAAATGGAAAAAAGATATAGGTAAGTTTTTGTATCTGAAATGTGCTTCCTAATGGAATATTAGAGGAATTCAGAATATTTGAGGATCTTGCTGTAGAGGATAGAGGATGAAGTCAAGGACAGCTCTATCCTTTCATCAGTGATCTTTTAGTGGACATAAATACTGAGTGAGTTTTTGTGACCATGGGAAACATTATTTCCCTGAGGCTGAGTTCCATCATCTGTGTTATGGGAATAATAATAGCATTACCTCATACGGTCGTTGTGAGAATAAAGTGAATCAGAACATGTGGAGGAAGGGTTTCACAAATGTTAGCTACTATCATTATCATTATCATCATTATTACTTATTATAGAAATGAGCCTTCTTCAGAACACTTCTTTATAGACTAACTGAGCATCATATGCCTATTTGCCTGATTTCAGTAATGATGGGTAAATTGGAGACCAGAAGAATAAAAGGTTCTCTCTGAAATAATAAATCCTGAAAACTCCATCTTCTCTATTAATTATTACAAACTCTTAGAGAAATCTCAAGGCTAGCAATTTCAACACAATGCATACGTTACTGACCATTCTTTTGAAAATAGGTTTTGCATTGTCTGTTTTGGATAAGAGAAAATTTATCAGAACATTTCAGTATGCTGTCTTCCATCACTTCTTAAGATTGGCTGCTTAATAGCTGTAAAATGTTTGACATTTATGAACTACCAATTAAATCAGCTGTACAGAATTTCTGCATTGCAGGCCAAGTTGCACTCCCTTGACATAACTGCAACAATCTTTCTTTTTTATTCTGCTTTGTAGTTGTGTTTGTCAGGTCATCATAAAAGCCAGCTCTTCCTTAGCATCCTCTGAATTGATGAGAAAAATCAAAAGTAAAATACATGGCAACTTCACACATGGAAACTTCACACAAGATCAATTGACGTTATTAGTAAACTGTGAACACGTTGCAGTGAAAAAACTAGGTAATTTTTTTGGGGGGTGGATATTGCAGTATGAACTTACTTCCTTTATTATAAAACTCATAATGCATACTTGGTTAAGGATTCTGAGTTCAGAAAGGAGAGAAGTCATCTTTCTGTTTTTTTTTTCATATTCTTGGTACCCACTTGATCTGATGACCTTTCTACCTTTAAGAACTTATGGAAGAACAGAATGCTGGAGGAGTTACCAGAGACTGCTGGTCAGCTCTGGATATTAGCAATGGCCAATCCGTCAATGGAATGGGAGGATTTTCTCTCTTGCATAAATACACAGAGACCTGAAGAGCTTCCTCATTAACACACAATAAATGCCTAATAGATACTTGCTAATTTATTGATTGATTCAGCCATCTTATTCATCTTGGCAAGTGATCAGGGAACTGTCCCAGATTTCTCTCATGGGGGCATTCTCTGATTAGCAAAGCTTTACTGGTAAAAGTGCAAGGCTACCAGGCCACTCCACCTCCTTCCCAGTGCAGCTTTGTTCCTTTTCCCCAATAGACTGCTGTAGAAATCATTGAGCTCACACAGCTCTAATGCCAGATAACACACACAGGCATTAGAACGCACAATCCTTGGCAACAGACTAATTAAGTATAAGAGGGCAGCCTGTGACGGTGCAGGGGTGTGAGTGAAATGGGGGGCAGAAACGTGTTGAAGCCACAGGTAGAGCCCAACATGTAAATGACACTAATGAATGTGTCCTAAGAATGAGAGGAAGGCACCTTTCACCCTCACTCAGAATGGAGACTGGGATAGCTGAGCAAAGCTGGCTGGGCCACTTCTCACAGCATTCTCTCAACACCTGAGGGAAATATTTCCAGAATCAGGGTCATGAAACCCAGTAAGTGCTCAGAAAAAAATGGGAACTTATCATATAGACTTAGCCCATGTCACATCTCCCTTCGTGTGACAGCAAAACCTTGCCTTAACAGCCCTATGTGGAAGTTTGCCCTGTCCCTCAGCAACATCAAAAACAGAGCCCTAGACTGTGTGCAGTGGCTTACACCTATAATCCCAGAACTTTGGGAGGGTGAGGCAGGAGGATCACTTAAGGTCAAGAGTTTGAGACCAGCCTGGGCAACAAAGCAAGACGCTGTCTCTACAAAAAATAAAAAATTAGCTGGACATGGTGATGCATGCCTGTAGTGCCAGCTTTTCAAGAGGCTGAGGCAGGGGGATCACTTGAGGCCAGGAGGTTGAGGCTGCAGTGAGCCATGATCACACCATTGCGCTCCAGACTGGGTGACAGAGTAAGACCTCATATAACAAACAAACAAACAAAACAGAGCTCCCCTGTCTATACTGATCATGTCAGATACACTGAATTTACTAAAATGAAATCCATCCCAGAGTCCATTAAGAAGGGGGCCATTCCAGAGAGAGAAGTTCGTCTATAGTCTCCTGTCTTTGGATATAAAACTGCTAACAGTGGGTATCTCAGAAGCTGGGCAATTGGTAGGTGGGAACTTTTGACTTTTGACTCTACACTCCACCACGTGGCTTGAAATTTTTCAATTCTTATGTATTGTTTTAAAAACAAGACAGAACAATGTCAGGTGAGGTGGCTAATGCTTATAGTCCCAGATCTTTGGGTGGCTGAGGTGGGAGGATTGCTTGAGGCCAGGAGTTTGAGACCAGCCTCTATAACATAGCAAGACGCTGTCTGTACAAAATTTTAGAAAAACCTATCTCATCAATTCGTTGTTTTAATGAAAAGGACTAAATATGTGGTTATACTGGGTGGTTTATTATTTAAAAAAAAAACACTCCATATAATGATATTTTCAATAAGGCCTGGTCCAAATGGCTAGGTAGAAAAAGTTTTCTTTTTTATTTGCTGATCTTTACGTGCAGCATAATAATGACGTTCATAATAATATATAATATTATATTATTATATAGTAATAATAATAATGGATGTTTGTAATACTTTTAAGTGCCTCTTGTCCTTTAAAATGTGCATACATTTTCTCTGTAGAGCCTGGAAATTGCAAAGCTGATGAAACAGCCTCTAAATACAAAGGGACCTATAAGTGGCTATTAACCAACCCTACGGAGACAGCCCAAACCAGATGCATAAAAAATGAGGATGGAAATGCCACAAGATTCTGGTATGTACAGGCCAAGTTCTAATTGCTGATTCAGATATACAAAGATCTACCTAATTGGGGACATGTTTCTATGTCATTTGTCTGAGCATGCTCCCTTCCTCCACCTCTAGTGCCAGTCTTTCTTTCTATTACCTTTCGTACCTGTTTAAACATACATGCAACATAACAAGAAAAATTTTCAAGGAGACAAAAGATAAAAGTTACCCATCATCCCAGAAGAAAATTCAAGAAGACAAAAGAGAAAAAAGTCACCCATAACCCCACTGCCTGAACACAGCTGTTTTTAGGTTGGCATATATTTTTTTCATGTAACCTTTCTCTGTATGCCTTTAAGTTTTATGTAGCAGTAATCACTATTCTTGTATCAATAATGTAATTTACCATTTCATTCAATGGTTTATCAAACATTTTCCATGTTTTACATTTATTATCTTAATGTTCATTTCAAAATAACGACCTTGGAAACCATCTAGTTGATGGGCTATAGTAATTTACTAAATCACTTTTCTATTGTTGACTTTATCATTTTCCTTTTTAAAATAATCAGCCCTCTTTTCTCACTCTCTGCTGTTCATGGTTTATGCCATTAACTTAAGTGGGCAAAACCAGAGGGGCAGCAGGTTTTGACAGAGGCTTAAAAGCACTCTTTTAGAAAGCAACATTAGGGGCTTTCCTTTTCCTCCCTGTGTCTAATCAGTTGGCAAGTCCTGCAGCTTTGATGGTCATAGTCAGAGCCCACATCTAGCCTTTCCTTTCCAACCCCACTGCCACTACCCTGGTGCAAGCCCTTATTGCCCACTATTAGAGCGGTCTCCTTGCCATCTAACTTAACAGTATCCCTTACCCGCCTCCGCCAACTATATTCTACACTGCTGCCAGCATGATTTTCCTGAAGTATGGCTGCTATCATGCCACTGTCGTGCTCCAGCTCCACATTGCCTCAAGAATTAAGTCCAAACCCCTAAATATAGTCCAGACCGTAGGCTTCCTCTCCTGCTGTCTCACTCAGCATTCTCCCTCCCTTTATCATACGCTCCAGTCAAAATGACCATTTGCTGTTCTGGGCTCAATGGACGCTTCCTGGTGTCTCTTTCTCTGCCTGTGCTGTTTGCTCTTCTTGGGGTTGGGGGAAGAGATTTTTCTCTACCTCTGTCCTTTCAGCACACAGCTCAGCTCAAATGCTGAAAGTAACGTCTCTTTCCTTGGTAGTTTGATAGATTCAGTTTTGTTTATACAGCTTTTCATCTTATATTTGCCCTAAGTTTCGAGTAGTTACACTTAGAATTTTAAACCCCCTAATTACAAGTTCCTTGAGGGAGGGATGAAGCCCCACCCTGTTTGTGTGTGCTACCTATTACCATTCCTAGAATGGAGTGGGTGCTCAATAAATGTGTTAGCTGACTTGAAATGAACTGGCTTGAATTGGGTGAGGCACAGGGGAGGGTGGATGATGAGGGCCGATGGGCCATCGAGGGTTCTATATTAATTGTCTTAAGTTAATATGCTGAGATAGAGACCACATTCGAACAGGAATTTCCCCTTAAAAGAGGAGTAAGAAGGGACAGTGAGAGGAAAGAGTCATGTCTAGAGGACCAGAATCTCTGTCTTGATGCTTGGTCAGTAGGACATTGCCATGCCCCATTCCCAGCTCCCTTACCTGTTTATCCACTCCCCTTCCCCCTTCCCACATGTTGACCCTAGATTCACTTGCTCCCTAAGAGCAAAATTTCTTCATTTCACAAAGAAGTACTGGGCTCCCACCTTTGCTTTCTATGCCAGGAGGCTTGGGGCAGGCGAGGAGAAGGCATGCTAAGGCTATATCCACCATTTGCTTTAAGACTATCTTTGCCTCATCCTCTGATGAGAAAGCTCTTTCCTCTCTTTTTCAGTTCAATCAGCATCAACACGGGCAAATCTCAGTGGGAAAAGCCAAAGTTTAAACAATGCAAATTGCTTCAAGAACTTCCTGACAAGATTGTGGATCTTGCTAATATTACCATAAGTGATGGTAAGATTGTTTTGTACATATAAGACAAATTATGGAACTTCAATTACTTTGCCTACTTGACCCCAAACCAGAGAGAGTATAGGCAAACCCCACTTAGGAAAATCTACCTTACGACAATCCAATTTCAGAACAAAGGTAATTAATGTTGGTGGAGGTGGTGGTGGGACATGAGATGTTAGGACTATCAGTGTTTCAGTGATTTTTGTTTGTTTTTGCTACATATATATATTTGAGATGGAGTTTCGCTCTTGTTGCCCAGGCTGGAGTGCAACGGCGCAATCTTGGCTCACTGCAACCTCTGCCTCCTAGGTTCAAGCAATTCTCCTGCCTCAGCCTCCCGAGTAGCTGGGATTACAGGCGCCCACCACCATGCCCGGATGATTTTTTCTACTTTTAGCAGAGGCGGGGTTTCACCATGTTGGCCAGGCTGGTCTCAAACTCCTAACCTCAAGTGATCCACCTGCCTCAGCCTCCCAAAGTACTGGGATTACAGGTGTGAGCCACCGCGCCTGGCCTTATTTTACTTTTTCGGCTAATTATTGTTTTTATTTTTTTTTAATTTTTAAAAAGTTTTAATAGGTAATACTTCACTGACTTCAATACTCAAAAAACAAAAAGAGTATGTGTAAAACATCTCCCTCCCACTGCTGACCTCAGCCATTCAGTTACTATCCACAGAGATATTTTATGGATCCATAATGAAATGTGTATACATATTTGTGTATGTGTATATTGTATACACACATATACTTGCCCTCACTTTTTGTACACAAAGTGGAGCATACTATACACACTATTCTTTACGTTGCTTTTTTCTCTTAACAATATATTGCAGAGATTATTATATCAGCCTATAAAGAATTTTCTCTTTCTTTTTTCCCCTTCTGCATTGTATTATATATACCACAATAAATGTGCCACAATTTATTTAACCTGTTTCTTATGGATGAGTATTTAGGTTGTCAGTAACATTTTTCTTTGAAAACAAGACTGTACAACTATTTTTGTGTTTTTTTCATTGTAGGGAAAATACTATAACATATTTTTAAAAATACTCACATGTTTGATAGTGTATAAGATGTTTTAGAGTTGGTATTGTCTAAGCAGCTGATATAGAAGGTTGCATTTCTTTCAAAAATACATTTGTAGACCACATTAGCTTTTATTTTTGTTTGTGACACTGTTAGCATAATTCATATTATTAGGCAAAAGAGATTCAAAATAAAGAGTATCTCTTTTAAAAAACCACTGCTTCGATGAATATTACATATATGTCAGAATTTTGAGAAAGTAGGGGTATACCTAAAGCATAAATCCTTGAATGTAGAATTTCTGGGTCAATCATACTTTTGATGGTGTCAAAATGCTCTCTGTAATAGTTACAGCAATTTAGATTCCCACTTGCAAATTATGAAAAGCACCTTTTTCGCAACTCCTTCATCAACACAGCATGTTTGTTATCAGACTTCTGGATCTTTTTGCGATGTGATAAGCAGAAATTGATATCTCAATGTAGTTTACAAACTTTTTAATGGAGATATTTACATATCATAAAATTCGCTCATTTAATGTGTACAATTTAGTGGGTTTTTAAAAGCATATTCACTAGATTGTGCAACCATCATCACTAATTCCAGAATATTTCATCACCCCAAAAAGAAACCCTGTACCCATTAGCAGTCTCTCCATTCCTCCCCCACCCCAGCTCCTGGCAACCACTAATCTACTTTTTTGTCTCTATGAATTTTGCCAATTTGGGGCATTTCATGTTTCTGAGGTTCATCCAATGTTGTAGCATGTATCATTGCTTCATTCCTTTTTATGGATGCATTATATTCCATTATATAGATATACCACATTTTGCTTATTAATTCATCATTTGACAGATATTTCTTTTCCATCTTTTGGTTATTATTAAAAATCTAGCTGTGCACATTTATGTACAGATTTTATGTAGACATATGTTTTCAATTTTCTCGGGTATACACTGAAGAGTAGAATTGCTAGGTCATATAGTAACCCTATGATTAGCTTTTTGAGGAACTTCAAAACTGTTTTCCACAGCAGTTGTGCCATTCTACATCCCTGCCAACTCTGTATGAAGGTTCCAATTTCTTCACATCCTTGTAAACACTTATTACTATTGTCTGTCTTTTAGATTATGGCTGGTAGTAATGCCCCCCAACACACCTTTATTCCTAATTTTAGTAATTTGTGTCTTCACTTTTTTTTATCTTTGTCAGTCTAGCCAAAAGTTTTTAAATTTTGTTAATGTTTATAGACTTTATTTTTTAGAGCAGTTTTAGATTCACAGCAAAATTGAGTGGAAAGTACAGAGCTTCAGCATGTGCCCTCCCCCAACCACCTGCAGACTTCCCCACCATCAACATCCCCCACCAGAGTGGTATGTTTGTTACAATTGAATGTACACTGACACATCGTTATCACCAATAGTTCATAGTTTTACATTAGCGTTCACTCTTGCTATTGTACATTCTGTGGGTTTGGACAAATGTATAATGACACGAATCCGCCATTACAGTATCATATGGGATATTTTCACTGCTCTAAAAGTCCTCTATGCTCCACTTATTCATCCCTCCTTCCTCTCAACCCCTGGCAATCACTGATCTTTTTACTATCTCTGTGTTTTTGCTCTTTCCAGAAGGCCATATAGTTGGAATCTTACAATATGCAGCCTTCTCAGATTGTCTTCTTTCACTTAGTTATGTGCATTTAAATTTCTTCCATGTGTCTTTTCATGGCTTGGCAGCTCATTTCTTTTTGGCACTGGATAATATTCCATTGTCTGGATGTACCACAGTTTATTTATTCATTCACCTACTGAAGGACATCTTGGTTGCTTCCAAGCTCTAACTACGAATACAGCTACTATAAACATCTGTGTGCAGGTTTTTGTATAGATGTTAAGTGTTCAACTCATTTGGGTAAAGAACAAAAGGTGTGGTTGTTGGATTGTGTGATAAGAGTATGTTTAGTTTTGTAAGAAGCTGACAAATTGCCTTCCAAAGTGGCTGTACCATTTTGCATTCCTATCAGCAATGAGAGTTCCTGTTGTTTCACATTCTTTCCAGCATTTAGTGTTGTCAGTGTTTTAGATTTTGGCTATTCTAATAGGTGTGTAGTGGTATCTCATTGTTGTTTTAATTTGCAATTCCTTAATGACATATGATGATGAATAGCTTTTCATATGCATATTTTCCATATTTATGTCTCCTTTGGTGAGGTGTATTCTATAGGCTGAATGTTTGTGTGCCCCAAAAATTCATACGTTGAAATTCTAAGCCCAGTGTGATGGTATTTGGAGATGAGGCCTTTGGGAGGGGATTAGGTCATGAGGGTGGAACCTTCATGAATGAGATTAGCACCCTTATAAAAGAGGCCTCAGAGAGCTTCTTTGCCCCTTTCACCATGTGAGGTTATAGTGAAAAAATGGCGGTCTATGAGCCAGGAAATGAGTTCTCACCAGACATTGAATCTGTTCTTCATAGACAACTTGCCAGACATGGTTCTACTGCATAAAATGGGTCCCTCCCATAGTGAAATGTCAGAAATTGAGGCACAGGCATTCCAGTGCCTCGCAGAAGGGCCAGGGAATTGGCCTTGAAGCAGTGAACTTCTCAGACCTGTTTTCCTTGCAGATGATGCAAGTTTGAGATCCTTGCTGAGGACTATCTAGAAGAATTAGGAAAGCAAGCACAGTTCTGATTATTTCTAGATCAGAAACCAAGAGTGAGGGCAATAGGAAATGTTACAGCTTGAAGTGAGTGGGCGGAAAGTTAGAGGGTTTGTGTTTCACACTGACCTCCGTCCTTCTGAGTGACACATTTTCTTTAGACATGCTAATAGAATTTTCTCTTGTGCAAGAAAAAGTTAATAAACAGTCATAACAACAACAAAAACACTGCACTGGGTTGGGATTTTTAGAAAATTGACTGAGAAGTCATTTTATATATATAAAAAATCTACCGCGGAGTAAAGGAACAGTTGGATGATGATTGTAATGTATATAACTGAAAAGTAAACTATCAAGTTTATTATCTTTGGAAGAATCCTTCTATTCTACTTGTAAATTAGGGGCTTAATGAACAATGAATACAATATAAAGGAAAGAAAAATGTATTCACGTTGAAACAATTTATTTTCTTTTGCTTTCAATCTTGCTGACAAGCATTAGATATCTTGGTTGAAGAAAAACTCTTCTGCTCTCTCACTTAAATGCTCCTTTTTCTTAACTCTTTAATATCACAGAGTTAGAAAAGGTACTTTTATTTCAAAGTTCTTTGGGTTCTCTTCTGTGCTCAATGTTTGTTACCTCCATGATATTAAAGATGCATCAGGCTCTAGTGAAGTTGACTAGAACTTTTCAGAAAACTTTTTCCTGTCTGTATCCATTCCACCATCAGGGCAGGATAGTGAGTGCTTAAGAGAAAACAGTGGTATTCCCAGGAGGTCAGGTAGAAAGACTGCAAAGCACAGCTGTTCCAACCCCCAACACGGTGGAGAAAACGGCCAAAGTCACAGATGCTGTAAAAAGTGATACTGAAGAGCTCAAGCTTTGGAATTAGCACTGGGTTAGAATATTTCAATGTTTTAACTTCTTACTCTATATAAAGGAGATAATGTGAGTACTTTTATGACTAATACAAAGGTTATTGTGATGAATAGATGAGAAAATGCACATATAATGCCTTGCTGTTGTATCTACCTCCAAAATGCCCACCGACTCATTCCCTCTTTGTCAATTGGGAATTGAATCAGGGCTGGCTTGTGACTGCTTAGCCCAGTAGAATTAGGGAGAAGCGGCTTTGCCAATGATGGGACTAATTTTTAAGAGGACTGGAAGTTTCTGCATCCTTTCTCTTGGTACACTCTCATTTGAGATGCTTCCTCAGAGCCAGACACCATGCTGTAAGAAGCCCAAACAGTGGTGTGCTGAAAAATATTTAAAAACCAGCTCTACCCAAAGAAGGTGCTGATTTGTAGCTTTTGCCAGTTTTCATGATATAATACCCTCTCCTCCATGGCTGAATACAAATTACAATGTAACGTATAGTGACTGAACTATAAACTTGGTAAAAGATGCATGCACAGATATATTAGATATGTAAATAATCACAAAAGCACAGATTAGTAAAATGTAGCAAAATAATTAGAAAGTGAAGAGGTTTCAGTATCATTTTAAAATATAATTTATGCAATTGTAAGTTTATATAATTTAATTTTTAATAATGGCCGTGTTTAACAACTCGTTCACAGAATTCCTGAAAATTTAACAATTGGTTCTCACCAGCTGGTAAAAGTTGGCTCCAGCACATCACAAGCCAGACCCAGCACACTACTGAGCCCACACCACTGGGGGAGTCCATGTGTAGGGAGTACAGCCAACAGCTTCAACTGACCAGTCAGCATCAATTGCCTGCCATGTGAGTGAGCCCTCTTGGACATCCAGCCCAGATTAGCCTTCTGATGTATTCAGCCTCAGCTGCTATCTGACTTGAAGTGTATGAGACAATCCAAGTGAGAACACTCAACTGAGCCTAGTTAACACACAGAACCATGAAGGATAATAATACATTGTTGCTTTAAGCCAGTAAGTTTTAGGGTGATTTGTTATGCAGCAATAGATAACCTGGAACACTGGCTCATAGAAATTGCTCAGTAAATAGCAGATATTATTATTTTGAATGTTGCAATTACTGGCAGATTAACTGTAACAGTATTTCAAGGAATGAGGATCAATTTATTCTGCAACAAATAAAGGAGAAGTCCCTTTATTACTTTTGCTTGAGGACCAGGAATTTTTACACGATGAGTGTAATTTAGCTTGAATTTTCCTTAAAAACTATACAACTCCAGAGAAAAAGTCTATAATTACTTTCCACAATATAGTCTCCCATTGGCCTGCTGTTTACTTTCATTCTGCCACAGCAGGGACTACGTGAAAGTGAAATTGCACCACTGAAGCCCAAAGAATCATGACTAGGCAGCTCTTGTTATTCCATTTTAAACAAAGTCTGAGCGATTTAATAAGAGCAGTAGAAAGGTCCGTGAATGAGCTCACTATCTTTTTCTATCCTGCCTAGTCTTAATATTTTCTCAGCTTCTTTTAGTTACCAGAAGATAGATGTTAACTGGGACAAAATGTTAATCGAGAAACAACTACAACCTTGTTTAATCTCCTGTCCTCCTCCCATCTCCTCAGGGAGAACTCTGTCTTTGCTAGTTCAGTTCCTATGTGAGCCATTGTTGGACAAATTGGGGTAATGGTTGGGGAGGAATTGAGAGGATCTCAGTTATGGTTGCTTAATTTACATTGATGAGAACAGAAAGTTGTTTGCAGGAAAAAAAAAGAGAATAAAGAAAGAAAACAAAGAGGAAAAGGAGAAAGCAAAAAGTAGCCTGTGTAGGCTTTTGAAGGTGTTAAGTTGTGGGGAGCTTGGGGTAGGAGAAAGATTTGAGGAGATGCTGATAACTAGGGAGGTCATTGAAAGAGAGGTAGTAAGAGAAATACAGACAGAGAGAGAGGGGATGAATTTTATGCTGAATTATTTTGTTTTCTGAAACAGAGTTGACTATTTGTAGTATAACCTGGGTTAAGTGTGTTATGAGTGTTAGCTCTCTCTGGAATTTTTCTTAACAAATGGTATTTTTTATTATTTTCCTTTATATTTTGGTTATTGGACTTGAATGTGAGTGCTTTAAGCTAGCAAGACACCACAAGAAAGCTCAGCTTTATATGTGTTATATTCAACTAAAATAGAATTTGTGCTGTATTCGTTTAACAAAGCTCTTCACTTTAAAAGTGAGTCATGATTCAAACAAAACAACTATTTAGAAGAAGCATTTATGAGATAAGAACTTTTGGGCACTGACAGGATATTTGATGATTTTGAATATTATTGCTAATTTTTAAATTTAATTTGTTATTGTGGTCGTGACATGTAAAAATCATTTATTTTAGAGATACATACTAAAGTATTTATGGATAAAATGATATCATATTCAGGACTCACTTTGAAATAATATGGGGTTGGGGAAAAGGTGAGTGGAAGTGTAGAGAAAATGCGATTATCCATTCATTGACACTTGTTGAAGTTGGGTTATTCATGAGGAACATGGAGATTCATTATACAATTCTTTCTACTTTTGTGTATGCTTGCAAATTTCCATAATAAAAAGTGAAGAAAAAAGTGGGCGAGTTAATATCCATTGTTCTTACTCTCTGGAAAATCTAAATTAACTGCTTTTTATTATGACGTAGTCCATATTTGCTTTTTTTTTCCTGTGGTTTGATGGTTCTTGACAGGAAAATGTAACCATCACCCTTAATTATGAAAACATAGACTGAGTGTTTGCTGATATTTGAGTATAAGGTGGGATCTACTTAACACAATCCAATACTCAAAAGTCTCAATTTAATTAGAATCAAATTTCAAGATAATTCTTCAGGGACAAAACGATTTCCCTGGTGCATTTGAAAAAGGATTTAATGAATGAAAACTTTTTATGAATAAAAACTTGACTTATGTTCTACTTTCTGGGACTACACCTATTGTAGAAACAAAGGGCCAATATTTTCCTTCTGTAAACACATTACCTTGGTAGGTGTTCTCATCTCACCCTCTTTACTCTTTAAAGGGAAAGAAGCACACCAGAATGGCAGAAGACTAAGTCATGCAGCTTTTATGTCTCAACTTTCTTTCCCCAGAGAATGCTGAGGATGTTGCAGAGCATATTTTAAATTTGATAAATGAATCCCCAGCCCTGGGTAAAGAAGAGACAAAGATTATTGTTTCTAAAATATCAGATATTTCACAATGTGATGAGATAAGTATGAACCTAACTCATGTTATGTTACAAATAATCAACGTTGTTTTGGAAAAGCAAAACAATTCCGCCTCTGATCTGCATGAAATAAGCAATGAGTAAGTACTAATACTTTGGTGAAAGACATTATTTTTAAAAAATTTAAAATGCAGACGGCCCTCTGTATCTGTGCATTCTGCATTTGTCAATTCAAACAACCATAGATTGAAAATATCCTTAAAAAAATCTTGCGTCGATACTGAACAAGTACAGAATTTTTTCTCATTATTCCTAAACAATACAGCATAACAAGGATTTACATAGCATTTACATTGTATTAGGCATTATAAGTAATCTAGAGATGATTTAAAATATACATTGATGTTCATAGGCTATACAAAAATACGACCCTATTTTATATCAGGAACTTGAGCATCCGTGGATTTTTGTATTCATGGGAGTCCTGGAACAAGATCCCTCAAGGATACGAACGGACGACTGTATATATTATCAATTTCTTGGCATATAGACATCATAAATTTTAAAAGTCAGGTAGTTACACATTGAAAGCTCAGTTAGTACAATGCAATGGGGTCACTTTACTAGAATGTTCATTGTGAAAGGATGTATTCAAATTCGAATTGAATCTTAGTGATAGCAAGCTTTCAAGTACACAGTTACCCCAAACCAAACCCCCAGTCTATTCCCCCAACTTTTGTGTTCCCTCAGTGTTCTTAATGTCTATAAAATGTATCCAACCAGTGCTAAAGTGGAAAACTCGAGAACAGTACTAGTTAACTCCTTCTAACTCACAGCCAATTAATAACTAACTCTTGTATGCGGCACTGTACATCCATTTTTAAAATCCCTTAAATATTTTGGTGGAATTCTTTTACTTCTCTCCATCTCCACCACTACCATCCTATTCCTAGCCCCATTTCTCTCACCAGACTGTCTACAATAACCTCCTAAATGGTCTCTCTGCCTCCGTTCTTGACCCTCTATGGGTCATCTTCTACATAGCACCCGGAGTAATCTTTTAATGTATATATCAGGTCATGTCCTTACTTTGCTTTTAAAACCACTCAGTGGCTTTCCATTACACGTAGAATAAAATCCAAATGTCTTATAAAGTCCTACGAGGCCCTGCAGGGTCTGGCTTACATGTAACAATTTCATTAATTTTCACGACAATCTTTAGAGATGAGTGTAATATTACTTTTGACTTTCAGGTGAGGAAACTGAAGCTAAGTGAGATTACTTTATTTGCCCACACAGTTAGAAATTAGAGAAGCTAAGATTTAGGTGTCAACTTGTCTGATTCCAAAGCCAGTGCTCTTATTTAATAATTCCTAAATGATATAAAGATAGTGATTAAAACTCAAAGAAAAGTCTTGCAATAAGGAAATCTTGCAAGGAGGATGGGTTTTACTTTTAAAAGGTAGGATGCTCTTCTCCATCTGTGGTTTCTTGCAGAATTCTGAGGATAATTGAGCGTACTGGTCACAAGATGGAGTTTTCTGGGCAGATAGCAAATCTGACGGTGGCCGGGCTGGCTTTGGCTGTGCTGCGGGGGGACCACACGTTTGATGGCATGGCTTTCAGCATTCACTCCTATGAAGAAGGCACAGACCCTGAGGTGAGTGCAGCTCAGGGAACTGAGAGCCAATCAGCCAAGCACTGTTTCAGGTCTTCATTCATTTACTCCTTGGGAGAGAGAGGGCACTCCGTTATGGTTTTAAGGGGACCTTATGGAAATACAGACATCCCAGGGAAGATTCGTATATAATCTTTAGTAGGCTAACGTCTTGGTTGGAATGGTGTCTGGGAATTGTGCAATGATACCACCTTTGGCCCTGTGACCCCAAATTATCTCAAATGTCAGTTTATTATTGGCCACCATTTAAGGAACACATTATATGTTGGACATTGTGCTACTGCCTCCTTTGTACAGATAAGGAAACAGAGAAGTAATTTGCCCAAGAACACATAGCCTAATGACTAAGCCAGGATTGAAACCTATGTCTGTCTGGCTTTAAAGCCTGGGCCCTTTCCACCATATCATACCACCTTAGCCTTTGGCATGTTATAGGCTGCCAACCCTACTCAAAACAATTTCAGAGGTTAGATTTTTTTTACAATTAAAAAGTAATAAAATGTACATATAAGAAAATGCACAAATCCTAAGTATACACCCTCTGAATTTTGACAAATGCATACATCTATGTAATCCAAACCCCTATTAAGATATAGAATGTTGGCCAGGTGCAGTGCCACACCTGTAATCCCAGCACTTTGGGAGGTCAAGGTGGGAGGATCACTTGAACTCAGGAGTTTGAGACCAGCCTGGGCAATATAGTGAAACCCCATCTCCACAAAAAAATTAAAAAATTAGCCAGGCATGGTAGTGTGTGCCTGTGGTCCAGCTACATGAGAGGCTTAGGCGGGAGGATTGCTTGAGACCAGAAGATCAAGGATGCAGTGAGCCCTGACTGCACCACTGCATTCCAGCCTAGGCAACAGAGCAAGATTCTGTATTTTTAAAAAGATATAGAATATTACTATCACCTCTGAAAGCCCCCTTGTGCCCTTTCCAAGTGAAGCTCTGAAACTACTACCTGCAGTGGCAATCACTGTTCTTATATTTTTCTGCGATAGTTTTTCCTGTTCTACAACATTATATAAATGAAATCTTATAATATGTACTGTTTTATATAAGGCTTCTTTCATGTAGCATAATTTTTTTTTTTAGTCATCCTTTTGTTTCAGTAGTTTGTTCCTCCTTTTTATTGCTGAATAATATTCCAACGACTGGGTACACAACAGATTCCTTGTCTGTTCTCCTCTTGATGGACATTTGGATTGTTTCCAGTTTGGCTATTATGAATAATCCTGCTATGAACCTTTGTGTATAAGTCTTTATGTGATCATATTATTTCTATGTCTTGGATAAATACCTAGGAATGGAATTGCTGGCTCATAGGTACATGTTTATTATTTATTTATTTATTATTTATTTTTTGAGATGGAGTCTCACTCTGCTGCCCAGGCTGGAGTGCAGTGGCACTATATCTCCCCACCGCAACCTCTGCCTCCCAGATTCAAGCGATTCTCCTGCCTCAGCCTCCCATATAGCTGGGATTACAGCCACTCACCACCATATCCAGCTAATTTTTGTATTTTTAGTAGAGACGGGGTTTAGCCATGTTGGCCAGGCCGGTCTCAAACTCTTGGCCTCAAGTTATCCACCCACCTCGGCCTTCCAAAATGCTGGGATTACAGGTGTGAGCTACCTCACCCGGCCTGTAGGTATATGTTTAAATGTATTAGAAACTGTCATAGTGTTTTCTAGAGTGGTAAATGATGTGGAGTAATTTTTCATGTTCATATTTGTTATTTGTATGTCTTTGGTGAAATATCTGTTAAAATCTTTTGCCCATTTTTAAATGGGGTAGTTTTCTTTCTTTATTGCAATAGTTTTTGGGATACATGTGGTTTGGGGTTACATGGATAATTTGTTTAGTAGTGATTTCTGAGATTTTAGTGTACTCGTCACCTGAGCAGTATACACTCTGTCCCCAATATGTAGTCTTTTATCCTTCACCCCCCCCACCACTCTTTCCCTTGAGTCCCCAAAGTCCATTACATCATTCTTATGCCTTTGTGTCCCCATAGTCTAGCTCCTACTTATAAGTGAGAATATATGATATTTGGTTTTCCATTCCTGAGTTACTTCACTTAGAATAACAGCCTCTAGTTCCATCCAAGTTACTGCAAAAGACATGATTTCATTCCTTTTTATGGCTGAGTAGTATTCCATGGTGTATATATACCACATTTTCTTTATCTACTTGTTTGGTTGATGGACACTTAGGTTGGTTCCATATCTTTGCAACTGTGAATTGTGCTGCTTTAAACATGTGTGTGCATGTGCCTTTTTCATATAATGACTTCTTTTCCTTTGAATAGATACCCAGTAGTGGGATTGCTAGATGGAATGGTAGTTCTCAGTTTAGTTCTTTAAGGGATCTCCATACTGTTTTCCACAGTGGTTGTATTAATTTACATTCCCACCAGCTGTATAAAAGTGTTTCCTTTTCACCACATCCATGCCAACATCTATTGTTTTTTGACTTTTTAATTATGGCCATTCTTGCAGGAGTAAGGTGGTATCTCATGGTGGTTTTAATTTGCATTTCCCTGATGGTTAGTGATATTGAGCATTTTTTCATATGTTTGTTGGGTGTTTGTATATCTTCTTTTGAGAATTGTCTACGCATGTCCTTTGCCCACTTTTTGATAGGATCCTTTGATTTTTTCTTGCTGATTTGTTTGAATTCCTTGTAGATTCTGGATGCTAGTCCTTTGTTGGATGCATAGTTTGCAAATGTTTTCTCCCACTCTTTGGATTGCCTGTTGACTCTGCTGATTATTTCTTTTGTTGTGCAGAAGCTTTTTAGTTTAATTTGATCCCATTTATTTGTTTCTGTTTGTGCATTTGCTTTTGGGGTCTTAGTCATGAATTCTTTGCCTAGGCCAATGTTCAGAAGAGTTTTTTCCAATGTTATCTTCTAGAATTTTTATGGTTTCAGGTCTTATATCTAAGACTCTTACATTTAAGACTTTGATCCATCTTGCGTTAATTTTTGTATAATGCGAGGGATGGGGATCCAGTTTCATTTTTCTCCGTGTGGCTTACCAATTATCCCAGCACCATTTGTGGAACAGGGTGTCCCTTCTCCACTTTATGTTTTCACTTGCTTTGTCAAAGATAGTTGGCTGTAAGTATTTGGCTTTATTTCTGGGTTTTCTATTCTGTTCTATTGGTCTACATACCTATTTTTATACCAATACCATGCTGTTTTGGTAACTATAGCCTTGCAGTATAATTTGAAGTTGGGTAATATGATGCCTCCAGATTTGTTCTTTTTGCTTTGAATTGCTTTGGCTATGTGGACTTTTTTGATTCCATATGAATTTTAGAATTTTTTTCTAGTTCTGTAAGAATGATGATATTTTGGTGGGAATTGCATTATCTATAGATTGCTTTTGGCAGTATGGCCATTTTCACAGTATTGATTCTTTCCATCATGAGCAAGGGATGTGTTTCCATTTGTTTGTGTCATCTATGATTTCTTTCAACAGTGTTTCGTAGTTTTCCTTGTAGAGATCTTTCACCTCCTTGATTAAGTATATTCCTGGGTATTGTATTGTATTGTATTGTATTGTATTGTATTGTATTGTATTGTATTGTATTGTATTGTATTGTATTGTATTTTGCAGCTGTTGTAAAAAGATTGAGTTTTTTATTTGATTCACAGCTTGGTCGCTGTTGGTGTATAGCAGTGCTGCTGATTTGTGTACATTGATTTTGTAACCTGAGACTTTACTGAATTCGTTTATCAGATGTAGGAGCTTTTTGAATGAGTCGTTATGGTTTTCTAGGTATACGTTCACATCATTGGTGAACAGCAACAGCTTGACTTCCTGTTTCCAATTTGGATGCCCTTTATTTCTTACTCATGTCTGATTGCTATGACTAGGACTTCCAGTACTATGTTGAACAGAAATGGTAAAAGTGGGCATCCCTTTTATTATTGAGTTGTAAGTGTTCTTTACACATTCTGGATACAAACAATTTATCAGATGTATGTTTTGAAAATGTTTTCCGTATGACTTGCCTATCTATTTTCTCAATAATGTCTTTCAATGAGCAGTTTTTCACTTTCTTGTTTTCTTTCCTTTTTTTTTTTTTTTTTTTTTTTTGTTGTTGTTGTTGTTGTTTGAGAGTGGGTCTCGCTCTTTCACCCAGACTGAAATGCTGTGGCTTGAACACAGATCACTGCAGCCTTGACCTCCTGGGCTCAAGCAATCCTCCTGCCTCAACCTCACATGTAGCTGTGGCCACAGGCACGCACCACCATGCCTGACTGATTTTTTAATTTTTTGTAGAGATGGGGCTCTCACTTTGTTGCCCAGACTGATCTCGAACTCCTGGGCTCAGGCAATCCTCCCACCTTGGCCTACCAAAGTGCTGGGATTACAGGCGTGTGCCATTGTGCTCACCAAAAGTTTTAAATTTTCGTGAAGTCTAATTTATAGTTCTGTTTTCTTTTATGAATAACCATATATGACTTGTCTATGATACCTTTGTCTATCAGGAAGCCATGAAGACATTCTCTTATGCTTTTCTTTAAAAGCTTTATGATTTTAGCTTTTATGTTTAGAACTCAATTAATTGATTTATGTATTGCATGAGGTAGGAGTTGAGGATCATTTTGTTTTACGTGGATATCCAGTATTTCCAGCATCATTTGTTGAAAAGACTTTTCCTTCCCCATTGGCTTGCTTTGGTACCTTTGACAAAAAGTCAAATTTTGTATAAATGTAAGGCTATTTCTGGACTTTCCTATACTGTTTTTTTTTTTTTTTAAACTCGTATGTTATTACCAGGTCGTCTTGGTTCCTGAAGTGTTGAAGTCAGGTAATATGAATACTTCAACATTGTTGCTTTTCAAGATTGCTTTGGTTATTCTAAGCCTTTTGCATGTCCATATAAATTTTCAAATCTGCTGATCAATTTGTATAAAAAACTTGCTGAGATTACGATTTGGATTGAGTTGAAGTTATTGGTCAATTTTGGGAGAATTTATTTCTTAGTAATATTGAGTCTTCTAATCTAGGAACATTTATTTAGTTCTATTTACATTTCTCTGAGCAATGTTTTGTAGTTTAGGTGGGGAGATATTGCATGTCTTTTGATAAATTTATTCCTAAGTATTTTGATTTTTGATACTGTTGAAAATGGAATAGTTTTAAAACTAGATATTCCAATTATTTGCTGCTAGTATATGAAATGCAATTGATTATATATGAAATATTATTTATATTATATGCTATATATATACACATTTTGTTTCTTATGCACTTGCTAAATTCACTTATTGCTTCTAGTAATTGTTTTAGAGATTCCTTAGAACTTTCCATGTAAGCCAACATCATGTGACAATAGAGAGTTTTATGTATTCTTTACTGATCTTTATTCCTTTTATTTCTTTTTGGGGGCCTATTCTGATGTTTAATACTTCCAATAAAATGTTGAATAGAAGTGGTTGAAGTGGGCATCCTTGTCTTATTTTTAATATTAGGAGAAAAGTATTCACTGTTTTTCCATTACTGTGATGTTACCCATTTTTGTTTTGTTTTTTTAAAAGATGTTCTTTATTTGATTGAGGTAGTTACCTTCTATTCTTGGTTTCCTGAAAAGATTTATCACAAATTGTTGTTGAATTTTGTCAAAACCTTTTTCTGTATCTCTCGAAGTAATCTTTTGGCTTTCCTCTTTATCCTCTTAATATGGTAAATTATATTGATTTTAAAATATTAAGCCAATCTTGAATTCCTAGAAAAAACCCTACTGGTCATCATGCATCATCATGTTTATGTATTGCTATTTTCTAAGTGCTTATGTTTTGTGAAGTATTTTTGCCCTTACATTCATGAAGAGTATTGGTCTGAAATTTTCTTTTTTTTGTGATTTCTTTGTCAGGCTTTAGAAAGATTTTGGCAACATTCTAAAAGTGAGTTGGGAAACGGTCCCTCTTCTACTTTCAGAAAGAGTTTGTGTAACATTGCTGTCATTTCATTAAATGCTTGATAGGGTTCACTAGGAAACCCTCTGGGTCTGAAATTTCTTTGTGGGAAGTTTTTTGATATCAAACTAGATTTATTTAGTGGATAGAGAGCCATTCAGATTTTCTGATTCATCTTGTGTCAGTTTTTGGATAGTTGTATTTTTCTAAGAGTTTATTTCATCTAACTTGTCAAGCTTATTGGCAATAATTTATAATATTTTCCTATTTTTTTAACATCTGTAGGATTTATAGCAGGAGTCAGCAAAGTTTCTGTAAAGGGCAGATAATAAATATTTTAGGCTTTGCAACCCACAGGTGGTCTCTGTCTGCTGAATGTTCTTATATGTTTGTTTTTGTTCTGCTCTCCGTTCCTCTTGCCCCCTGCCCTCTCCTCCCCTTCTTTCTCTTCTCTCTTCTCCTTCCCTCCTTTCTCCTGTCTTCTCCTTCCCTCTCTTCTCCTCTCCTCTCCCTCCCTCTCTTCTCCTCTCCTTTCCAGCCCTCTCTATTCTTCTCCTCTTCTTCCCTTGCTGTCCTCTGTTTTCCTTTCCTCTCTTATTCTCTCCTCTCCCTCTGCTTCTTTCTTTGTGCAACCGTTTAAAAATGAAATGTATGTTGTGCAACTCTCACCACCATATGTCTGCAGAACGTTGTTCATCTTCCCAAAGCTACTGGGGAGGTCAGCCTCCTCAGTAGCTGACCCGTTGAATAACAAGTCCCCATTCGTCCCTTTCCTAGCCCTTGACAACCACAATTCTTCCGATCCCTGTGATTTTGACTACTCTAGGTACCTCATGTAAATGGAATAATACCATATTTGTCCTTTGTGACTGGCTTTTTTCACTTTGCAAAATGTCTTCAGGGTTCATCTATGTTGTAGCATGTTAGAATTTGCTAATTTTTTAGGGCTGAATAATGTTCCATTGTATGTATTTACCACACTTTGTTCATCCATTCATACAGGGGTTCTTTTTGAAGTGATGGAAATGTTCTAAAATTGATTGTAGTGATAGTTGCACAACTCTGAATGTGGTGAAAGCTAATGAACTGTATACTTTAAATGGGTGAAGTATATGGTATGTGAGTAAAGTCTCAATAAAGCTGTTACCAAAAAAAAAAAAAAAAGCCACGAAACCTAAAAGTGACATGTAAAATCTATTCTTAGCTCAGGGCAACATAAAAACAAGCCTTAGGAAGGATTTGGCTTGCTGATTCATTTGTCAACCTCTGATTTATAGTAATAAATCCTCTTTCATTTCTGATATTGGTAATTTCTTTTTTTGCTCCTTTATTTTTGATAGTATAGGGATTTTTCCATTTTGTTGATCCTTTTAAACAACCTTTGGCCTTGTTAATTTTCCCTATTACTTGTTTTCTACTTTTTGATATCTGATTTTATGTTTATTACTTCCTTTCTTGTACTTATTTTGGTTTTAGTTTTATCTTCTTTACATAGCTGCTGCTGCTGCTGCTGCCTCCTCCTCCTCCTCTTCTTCTTCTTCTTCTTCTTCCTCTTCTTCTTCCTCCTCCTCCTCCTCCTCCTCCTCCTCTTCTTCTTCTTCTTCTTCTTCTTCTTCTTCTTCTTCTTCTTCTTCCTCCTCCTCCTCCTCCTCTTCCTCCTCCTCCTCCTCCTTCTTCTTCTCCTTCTCCTTCTTCTTCTTTTTCTTCTTCTTTTAAGATGAGGTCTCTCTGTCACCCAGGCTGGAGTGCAGTGGTGTGACCGTAGCTCACAGCAGCTTCGAACTCCTGGACTCAAGCAATCCTCCCACCTCAGCCTCCCCAGTAGCTGGGACTACAGGCACGTACCACCACACCTGGCTAATTTTTAGATTTTTTATTTTTGTAAAGACAGGGTCTTTCTTTGTTGCCCACAGTGGTCTCGAACTCCTAGCTTCAAGCAATCCTCCTGCCTCAGCCTCCCAAAGTGCTGGGGTTACAGGTGTAAGCTACTACCCCTGGCCTGTCTAGCTTCTTAATGTGGATCTATATATCATTCATTTTAGACCTTTCTTCTTTTCTAACATAATCCTAAAAAGCTGTAAATATCTTTCTAAGCACTGCTTTAGCTGTAGTCCACAAATTTTTATATGTTGTATTTTATTATGTCAGTTCAAAATATTTTATATTTTTTTTAGTCCGTGAATTATTTAGGAGTGTATTGTTTAAATTACAAGTATTTGGGGGCTATCTAAGATATCGTATTATTATTTTTTCAGACAGGGTCTCACTCTGTCACCTAGGCTGAAGTGCAGTGGCACAATCACGACTCACTGTAGCCTCAGCCTCCTGGGCTCAGATGATCCTCCCACCTCAGCCTCCCGAGTAGCTGGGACCACAGGTGCATGTCACCACACCTCGCTACTTTTTAAAACATTGTTTGTAAAGATGAGATCTCTCCATGCTGCCCAGGCTGGTCTCAAACTCAGCCTCTCAAAGTGTTGGGATTGCAGGCATGAGCCACCCCACCAAGCCTGAGATATCTTATTGTTATTGATTTCTTGTTTATTTCATTTTGGTCACAGAATATACTTAGTATAATTTCAATCCATTTACATTTGTTGAAATTTATTGTATTAGTCAGAGTTCTCTAGAGGGACAGAACTAGTAGGATATATATGTATGTATATATATATGTATATAAATACACACACACACACATATATATGAGAGTTTATTAAGTATTAACTTACATGATCACAAGGTCCCACAATAGGCTGTCTGCAAGCTTGAGGAGCAAGGAGAGCCAGTCCGAGTCTCAAAATTGAAGAATTTGGAGTCTGATGTTCTAAGGCAGGAAGCATCTAGCACAGGAGAAAGATGCAGGCTGGGAGGCTAAGCCAGTCTCTCCTTTTCATGTTTTTCTGCCTGCTTTATATTTGCTGGAAGCTGATTAGATAGATGGTGTCCATTCCAATTAAGGGTGGGTCTGCCTTTCCCAGCCCACTGACTCAAATGTTAATCTCCTTTGGCAACACCCCCACAGACACACCCAGGATCAATACTCTGTATTCTTCAATCCAATCAAGTTGACACTCAGTATTAACCATCACAAGTCCATCCCTTTTCAAGTTGAACCCATACACATTTCCTGAGATCATACATAATCTTCAAATAAAGACAACAATAAGGTCATAATTATGCCTAACATAATACAACTATCCTTTGTACAACTGGAAATGCACAAATCCCCAACACAAATACTATTACATAAAATTAACAATACTTAAATGCTGATATGAAGTCAGTAAATCCTATGTCACACGATAAAAGAAAAAAAAATAAAATGAAGATTTTTCTTAGTACAAGTGTATACATGCACAAACATGTTTTTAACAAAAGAAGGAGGAAATATTCATGACAATTACAGTCTCCGTTTTTGTAGCTGGTCATGTGGTCGTAGCTGGTATTGATGACTACATTCTTCTGCTACCCATTCTCTATTCCCTTTGCCTTCAGCAAGCACCTCTGCAGGTCGTGGTTTTTTTCCTGGTGGAGTGACCCAAGCCTTCATTTTTGAAGGGTCTGGGCCATTTGTAGTCCTGCCTGGATTGGGCTGTTGTAGTTTCCCATTGACCTTAATCACAGGGCATGGTAATTCTAAGAGATGCCCTAGTGGATCTCCTGTATTCCATGCATACCTTACCTCCGTTGTAGAGTAGTAGACTGATTTCATCTTGATAGTCCGGATCAATCACCCCAGCCAACACTGTAACTCCCTTCTTAGCCTATTGACTTAAAGGTAGGAGGAACCCAAAGTGTCCAGGTGGCAATCTTAACTTCCAGTTTAAGGAGATCGATGTTGTGTCTCTTGGTGGCAGCGTTCCTCCCTCTGGAACTAAGACCTCTAGGCCAGCAGAATGTAATGTCGTGGGAACAGGAAGCAAAAGTTTTGCTAGTGGATCATTAGGGGTGATGGTGAGTGGTGCCACTTCCACTTCCAACTCTTGATTCCTGGAACTGTGAATCCTGGCTATGGGAAAAAAAGTACCATATATTGGACGCTGATTTAGAGCACTTATTTTATATCCCAATGTGTGATTTATTTTGGTGAATGTTTCACATGGACTTCAAAAAAAATGTGCATTCTACAGTTGTTGGATATAAATAGCAATTAGGTCAAGGTGCCAGCAGTGTTGTTCCAATCATCTTTGTTCTATCCTAGTTGTTCTCTAATTGAGAAGGGTGTTAAAATCTCTAACTTTGTGCAACTGTCTATTTCTCCATTTAGTCCTTTCAAATTTTGCTTTGTTTATTTTGGGGCTCTTTTATTAAGCACATATACATTTGTGTTGGTTTGTCTTTCTAATACTAATCCTACCCCTAAACATATTTATCATTATTAAATACCCCTCTTTATCTCTGTCTTGAAGTTATTTTATCTGGTTTGAATATAAAAAACCAAGTCATCCAAGCCTTCTTATGGTTACTCTAAAAGGTATGTATGTATATTTTATATTCATTTGCTTCCTAGCTGTCTTTATATTTAAAGTGTACCTCTTGTAGATAGCATATAGTTTGTGTTTTATTTTTTACCCATCCTGATAATATCTGACTTTTAATTGGAGCGTGTAGTTTTTTTAACATTTAATGTAATTATTTATGTGGTTGGATTTGAGCTACCATTTTATTTTAATTTCTGTCTATCCCTCTGGCTTTTGTTCCTCTGTTCCTTCTTTCCTGTTGTCTCTTGCTTTATTTTAATATTTATTATAGTTGCTTTTTAATTGTTTACTGACTCTTTAATTATATATATTTGCCTTTCTTTCTTTCTTTCTTTCTTTCTTTCTTTCTTTCTTTCTTTCTTTCTTTCTTTCTTTCTTCTTTCTTCCTTTCCTTTCCTTTCCTTTCCTTTCTTTTTGGAGTCTCCCTCTGTCACCGAGGTTGGAGTGCAGTGGCACAATCTGGGCTCAGTGCAACCTCTGCCTCTCGGGTTCAAGCGATTCTCGTGCCTCAGCCTCCAGAGTAGTGGGGACTAAAGGCATGTGCCACCACGCATGGGCTGTTGTTTTTTTATTTATTTATTTTTTTATTTTTAGTAGAGACAGGGTTTCACCATGTTGGTCAGGCTGGTTTCAAACTCCTGACCTGAAGTGATCCACCAGCCTTGACCTCCCAAAGTGCTGGGATTACAGGTGTGAGCCACCATGCCTGGCCTGCATTGTTTTCTTAATGGTTGCTCTAGAGATTATAATATACACTTGTATATTTTTTTACAGTCTACTTAGAGTTAATATTGTACTGCTTCATGTAAAATGTAGAAACTTTAAACCAGACGTGTCAATTTATACCCCCTGTTTTTTATGCTATAATTGTCACACACATATTTTACACAAGAAGATTATAAACTTCACAAGACAATGTTATAGTCATTACTTTAAAAAGTCCTATGTTACTTAAAAAATTGAGAGAAAAAATGGTTTTTTACATTTACCTAGATATGTATTATTTTTGGTGCTCTTCACTCCTTCCTGAAGGTCAGAGTTCTATTTGGTATCACTTCCCTTCAGCTTAAAAAAATTCACTTAGGATTTATTGTAGTGCAGGTCTGATAATGATAAATTTTCTGAGTTTTTAATTTATCTGAAAATGTCTTTATTTTATCTTTATGCTTGAAGGATATTTTTGTTTGTAATAGGATTCAGGATTGGCAAGTCCTTCCCCCAGCCCCCAGCATTTTAAAGATGTCATTTCACTCTCTTCTGGCCTTTATGTTTTCTGAAGAGAAATCAGTAATCATTTGAGTTCTTGTTTCTCTGTATATAATGTGTAATTTTTCTCTGGCTTTTTAAAATATTTTCTTTGATATTCTGCAGTTTGACTATTATATGCCTGGGCATTTTTTTTTTCTTTGTACTTATCCTGCTAAGGGTTTGCTGAGCTTCTTGAATATGTAAATTTATACCTTTTACTGAATTTGGGGAAATTTTCACTGTTATTCCTTCAAATACTGTTTCCTCACCATTTTCTCTTTCCTCTCCTTTTGAGACTCCAATTACTTGTATGTAAGATCTTTTGATACTCCCCCACATATCCCTGAGACTGTTCATGTTTTTAATCATTTCACTATCTATTCTTCCAAAAGGATCATTTATATTGATCTACCTTTAAATTTGCAGACATCTGTTGTTTTCATGTTACTATTGGACCCATCCTGTGCAATTTTTTAAATTGTACAGTTTTTAGAATTCATGCTAAATGAATAGATTTTAGCTACTCTTGCCACAAAAACAACAAAAAAAGAGGTAACTATGTGAGACCATGGATATGTTAATTTGCTTCACTATAGTAACCTTTTTACTCTCTATATGTATCCCGTAATATTATGTTATATACCTTAAATACACACAATAAAATTTACTTTTTAAAAATTCCAATTATACTCAAAGTTTAGAATTTCTGTTTTGTTTGTTTCTGTTTCTTTTTAACCATTATTTCCTCTCTCCATTAATTGCAAACATATTATCTTTTAAATACCTCAGCATAGTTATACTAGCTGCTTTAAAATCCTTGTCTGCTAATTCTAATATCTGGAAAATCTCAAGGTTTAACTCCATTGATTATCTTTTAAAAATGGGTCACATTTTTTCTTCACGTATTGAGTAATTTTGGACTATGTCCTGGGTTTTATAAATGTTATATATATGAACACTCTAGATTCTACTCTATTCTTTTGTAGATTATAGATTTTTGTCATAACAGGCAATTAACTTGGTTGGACTATACTGTAGACACCAACTCTTGATTGGCAGTTCAAATCTCAGTTAATTCCTTTATTCTTAGTGGAAGTATGTCCTGTACATATGTGGTCCAGAGGTCAGGCATATATTTGGGCAGAATTTATACTCAGAATTTTGGATCCCGCTTTCCATTCCAGATGTCCACCACAACCCCCATCACCTCCCAGTGGCTATGGTTGCCCTGGCTTTTGTTTCTGGTTCTTCATTCCACAAAGACTGCAATTAAAAAAAAAATCAAAGTTTTAGATGTCCTTCACAGCATTAGTTTCAGCCTGCCATCAGGCTACAAGATGTAAAAACGGGTACCCCACCTTGTGATGTTACCTTTTTCCAAGTGTTTACTCTTCTCCAGAAACTGTCTGCTTTTGGTAATTTTCCAGTGCCTTCAAGTCGTTGTTACTTTGTATTGTTGTTATATGCAGGAGAGTTGAGTTTATTAGGAGCTACTTAGCCATATTGAAACAGATGTTGAATTCCCAGTGTATTTTGTTTACAATGGGGTTTTCTATCATGAATCTTGGTGGAGAGACAAACCAAACAACACCAGTTGTATTCTTGGTGCCAAACTGCTTACATATTGAAGCTAAATCATGACCTCTCCATGGTACTTGATTGCCCTAGCAGAGTTCATTTCTGCTTAGCAAAGAGCCATATGGGTTTTGAGACTACAAGTCATTTTTAGAAATATTATTCACTTTTAACCCCCACTATACACCCAGCTAGATAATAGCAACTTGAGAGGCAGCATAGATAATTTTAAAAAGTGGGCCAAAATTGCATATATCTTTGTTCACCCACATCCCAGTTGTGTGATCCTAAGCAATTCACTTAATCTTTCTACGCCATTTCCTGTTGCCATAATACAACGTACCTCTCAGAGTTGATAGAGAGATTAAATGGGAGAATGCAGGTAAGTGTGTCCACATATTCTGTTTTGTATGGGAGAATCCAGATTTATGGCTGTGGACTTAGTGTAATTATTAACAAAGCCCTTTTGACTCTCAAAAATGTTCCAGTACTTGTCAAATACTATTACCAATCAACTCAGCAAATACTTCTGATAGTGGATGTCTTGTTCCATTTTGTGCTGCTATAACAGAATACCACAGAATGGATAATTTCTGATGAACAGAAATTTATTGGTTCACAGTTCTGGTGGCTGGGAAGTTGAAGATCAAGGGGCCGCCTGCGGTGAGAGCCTTCTTGCTGTGTCATCCAATGGCAGATGTGCAAAGAGAGGGAGAGAGAGAACAAAAGATTGAACTCACAGCCTCAAGCCCTTTTATAATTGGCATTAATCCATTCAACAGGGTGGAGCCTTCATGACCTAAACATATCCCATTGTGCCCCAGCCCCCATTATTATCACATTGGGGATTAAGTTTCTAGTACATGCTTTTTGGGGGACATATTCAAACCATAGCTGTGAGCATGCAGCAGAATTGCTAAGCGCTAATGCCTCACTTCCCTGCTTCACTTTTTAACCAAAACATTGCTCCATAAACTATGAGGAAAGTGCCTAATATCATTGTATTGTGTTTTTTATTGTTACTTTGTTTTTTCCTTTTAACATATGGAGGAAGGTAGCCTGAGTTCCAAGACTGGTCTTTATTTCTGATAATCAGGGCAAATGACCTAATTTGTCATTTCCCTCTCATCTCTATTATTACCCAGGTGAAAGGAGATCAAAGGGAGAGAACCTCAGGAATAGGCTTAGAAAGGAAAAGATGATGTGTGTTTGTGTCTATGTCTGTGTGTACCAGGATCATGTCTTGGCCTGTGACTGTGTGTGTGTGTGTGTGAAAAGTGTATCATCGCTTATGGAGCTAGTTCCCACCTTTCAGTCCTTTGGGTGATATTCTGAGGCTGAGCTGGGGTGGGAGGTGGGCAGGACTTCACTATGATGAATGAAGACTCCAATTTTCATTTTTTGGCTTTTCTTGGCAGATTTTCCTAGGCAATGTCCCTGTGGGAGGGATTTTGGCTTCCATATATTTGCCTAAATCACTGACGGAGAGAATTCCTCTTAGCAACTTACAAACGATCTTGTTTAATTTCTTTGGCCAAACTTCACTCTTTAAGGTAAATTCTTGCCTGTGGTAACTGTGATGAACTGGCATATGGTGACTCATTGTAATTATGAACTCTTGCTATTTTCATGATGTTCTGCTTATTTTAGAATATGCTGATTGATTCCACAAGTCTTCCAACACAACCCCTGCCCCTTAACATGAATCAACGTCTACTTTAATGATGTTCTACAGTTTTTAGTTTTCACAATATCTCAGCTTTGGAAGGAAACTTAAGGATTATCTGGTGGCTAAACAGAGGCCTCAAGATGTTTCAAAGCCAAAAAAGAACAGCGAGTTCTCCTGATGAAATGATGTTTCGGCTTATCAGTGCTTTCCTCCCAAATCTCCCCTGGCTCCTCAAAGCCAACATGTCCACTATTCTTGGCCAATTCCTTTGAAGTTGGGTGGTATCCAGAAGGACATTTGCCTGCAGGCATTTGTTGCTACTTCCCACAGCCCCCACAGAACTTTCTCTGAAGGCTGCAGTCCTCACCCACTAGAAAACAGAGGCAGCATGATGTGATGCTGAAGAGTGTGGACTCAGGGGCAGGCTGGTTGAATTAAAAGCTGGCAATGCCATATTCTGCCTGTGTGTCCTCAAGCAAGTTACTCAACCTTCATGTGCCTTAATTTCCTTCTCTGTAGTATAGGGTAATAAGAATTCCTTATAGAGCTATTGAAGGATTAAAGGAATTGGTGTATTTAAAGTGCTTACAATACCGCTTGGCACATAAGTACCATGTTAAGTGTTTGCTCTACTATTATTAGTATCCTGTCTTAGGTCTCTGCCTAACAAAAGCCTCATTCGTTTAGACCACTCTGTCTCATCTAGCTATTGGGAAGACAGTAATCAGAGTTTGCATGAATTTGAAGATAATGAACACTATTAATTGTTAATATTTACATTTATTATTTCATCTACTTCTCATGAGAAGCTGATACTCAAAAAGGTTAAGTAATTTTTCCCAAGGCCACATACCTAAAAAGTGGCATAGCTAGGAATCAAACCCAGGCTATCTGACTTCAAAGTTCATGTATTTAAAGTCAATACAATAATTTTCCCAGATGTGTTTGTATTTCTAAAGAGGTTATCCAAAGTAATGAATTTCTAATGGTCAAATATCCACATTTCTTTTGTGGGAGGTTGCACTGGGCCAGCTCAAAATATAGCACATACCCATACCACACGCCACCTCAAATATACCATGTCACCTCCAGCTATGTCTGTAAGACTTTCTGTTCCCCTGGAGTTCTCTAGCCACTCCTTTCTCTCTCTAAATTCTATGTGTTCCTGTGGGCTTAGCTCAAATCCCACCCAGGGTGGCTGCCTGGAGTAAGTGAGTCTCTGCTCTCCTTCCTGCCTCCTGGGCAAAATATTTAGTGGGCAAAACATTTTAATAAAAATTAAAAATATGCTCCACAACACTTTGACCCTTTTGGTAGGCTTACAATTTCTCTTTGTCACTTGAGATGCCATTATTTTGGTCTTAATTTCTCTCCTTTCTTCAGAGGGCTGTGCTTGTCTCGTAGAATAAGAGATAAACTTGTTTTGCATAGATTTCACACTTAATAAGTCATTTTTATTCACTAACACTTTCTACTGGAAGAGATTAAAGATCTTTGCCAAAATTAAACTGCAAACATCATAGTACCAGATGAAGAAGGATTAGAACTAGCCTGCTTCAAATTCAGAGTTGAAAGGGCCCTCCTAACTCATATCATCCCATCTATTCATTTTACCATTGGTAAAAGTAAAATGGATATTGAGGACCTCGAGTCTCAGAGAGGGGAAGGAATCTGCTGAAGGTGTCACAATTTATTCATTCATTCACTCAATCATTTATTCATTCAGCAAATATTTATTTAATTCCTACTGTGTGTCTTGTACGGTGCTGAATGCTGAGGATGCAATGCTGAGCAAGATACATAGTGCCTGCTCTCATGGAACTTCCAGTCTGCTGGAGGGGAAAACAGACCTAAATGTTCTAACATTAAAGGGGTGACCCTAGGCTGGGATCTGTGCCACTGGTTATTGGGGAAAGAGTACTTACAAAAATGCTGCTCTTTAATTCTATTTTTCTTGAATCCCCGAGTATCACAGCCTTGCTTTCGCACTACTTTCTCTAATATTTTTTGATCAAAATCTTAAGTCATTATGACACATAACCTTAGAAATTTGTTTGTTTGTTTGTTTGTGTCTTTTAAAGACAGGATCTCGCTCTGCCACCCAGGCTGGAGTGTAGTGGTGCAATCACAGCTCACTGCAACCTCTAACTCCTGGGTTCAAGAGATCCTCCTGGCTCAGCCTCCCAAGTAGCTGGGAATATAGGTGCTCACCACTGTGCCTGGTTAATTTTCATATTTTTTTGTAGAGATGGGGTCTCACTTTGTTGCCCAAGCTGGTCTCAAACTCCTGGTCTCAAGCCATCCTCCTGTCTCTGCCTCCCAAAGCGTTAGGTTTACAGGCATGAGCCACCGTGCCTGGTCCATAGAAATTGTTGATAAGGCACCACTCTTGGATAATATGTGTCTCCTCCTCCACACCTCCTCTAGCTGTGATTCTCAGGGAGAGGGACAGGCACTAGGCGGTTACAATATGGCACAGGGGCTCTGGGTGCATAGAAGAGGGAATCTACCACTCATCTGGAAGATCAGGAAAGTGCAGTGAGAGAAAGGTCTCAGCGGAGCCCTGAAGTTGAGTAGGAGCTCAAAGATGAAATAGGGCAAAGAGAAGGAGAGAAGAGAGTTTCAGAGAGAGGGAATAGCTTGTCTAAAAGTTCAGAGGTGTAACAGATAAAACTTGAGCCTACAGTGCAAAGGGTGGAAGGATGAGGAAGTTTCTATTCCTTTCCTGGCATGGCTACCGTTTTGTAGTAAGGGAAATGAAACCAGAGAAAAGGCTAATTAAGTTTTGGATCATAGTGTGTGTCTCCTCCTTTGGCCTTTTCACTACAGAAAACTGCGTCACTTAGACTAAGTTGGGAGGATCATTAAATAACATCTAGTCTGCCATCTTTCCTAGTGTCACCAATAGACCAGGAAGGGGTAATAGGGCTTAGGAGGAACAAGAGAGCTAGGGTTAGCCCTTAGCCTTTTGAGTGTCAGCAGGGCCCTTCCCATTATATCTTGCTGTTGGCCATCTCTAAATCAGGTTGCCCCAGGCTGGTTTTGAATGAACAGAACAGGTCAGAAACAGGAAGTAAGTAGAGTCCTAGTGGAGCCCCAGGCTGAATTTGCAACTACCCAGGCTGCAGGGCTCAGGTGTGTAGGGTAGGTAGTAGGGACTGCACACTGTTTCTTCAGAAATATGAAGCCTTGGCATCTTCTAAAAGTGGCCCAGCAGGATCTCCAAGGAATGTCATCTGCGTTCACGTCCTCTAGGCTTTTGTGGGGAAGTCCTCAGAGATTTTTCTTCCTCTCCCTCTTGTCTGGTATCACCAGCCCTACCTGTGGCCTCTTCACATGTGCCTGTGCCCCAGAACAGGCAGCATCTCAGCTGACTTGCATCCTGGAGCCTTGGCCTGGGGTACTTTGGCACTGTTAGTTAGCAAGCCCCACTTCTCAAGAGATACATTCTAGTTTGTTGCCTTTAAACCAACATTTATTAAGCATTCCTGCCCTGTCACCCACTAGCTGAGTGATCTTTATCCATTTAGGCACTGAGCCACTCAAGCCTCAGTTTATCTGAAAAATGCTTATATGGCTTCAATGAGGACTGCAAATGGCATGTGCATGAAAAGCACATAATAAGTGGCTCACTGTGGGCACAAGACACCTGCTGTGTCCTAGGATATGTGAGGAACACCAGGCTATACAATGCCTGGGCTCTGGCCTCAGAGCTCACAGTCCCCTAAGAAGGCGATGACTGTCCTCTGAAATTTGTTTCAAACTGGGTGTTGATCAACCTGCTTCCATCTCTGTCAGAATAGAACAAGAAGTGGTTTATAACTTACAAATGATAGATTTAGGTTTCTTATAGAGGAGCTCCCTAAAAGTAAGCAAGGATGGTTGAGAGTTAGAACTGGGATAAGTTGTGAAATGTCAAGGTCCAGAAAGTTACCAAAATAGAGAATAGTTTCATTTTGTTGCTAGTGCAGTACTGAGTAGCAGGTGCAAAACAAATGCGTGCTAAATACACATTTGGTTGGATGGATGGATGGATTAATGAATTGTTCTAGCTTGGTATAATGGAGACCTTATGTGAAGACAGGAGATGAGCTGAATAACCTTTGACCTTAGCTTGCAATTTTATTTTCCACATTTCTGTACCTAACATTGTGTGTAGCACTTCAAAATTCCAGATTGATTATTAATATGTAAGTAATTAGAAATTTAGGTCCTGAACTCCTCTTTTGTTTCATCTGCAGACCAAAAATGTCACTAAAGCATTAACCACCTATGTTGTGAGTGCCAGCATTTCAGATGATATGTTCATTCAAAACTTAGCTGACCCAGTGGTTATCACTCTGCAGCATATTGGAGGAAACCAGGTAATATATCTATTTTCAGCTCAGAATCAAATGGCCTCAGGAACTCTTCACGACTTTTCTGTTAAAAGTAATTTGTTAATTAACAGATGTGATTCTAACACTTAATGAGGAATGTCCTATTCCAGGTAGCAAATGTGTGTTATAATTGGAACCTTCCAGAAATAATGCCTTATCCTAAAGTGATAGGGAATGATGGGCATTCTAGCACTGTGACAGATTGGTGGGGCAGTGACTGGATCTTTTGGATGTCCCATCACACTAAATGACATGTGATTCCATTTATTTTTGAGCGAGACAAGCAACTTCACTCAAAATAATTGAATATTTGTATTACTTGAATTTCCAGAAATAACATTAAAACGTGTATGAATTATCACCAAAGAACTAAAAGCATAGTCATATGGCATAACATAAGCTATATATTACTAAATAATCAACTTTAGCCTAAGTACAAGTATGAATGACTATTCCATTATTTGACGTTAGTGTATGGCCAGTGTGACGTCTCAATAGATTTCTCAGTTCCCAGTCTAAAAGACCATATAGTTCAGCATACTTTTCACTGGTCTTGATTCTAGAAGGGAAGAAGAGAAGGAAGAGAGGGAGAGGAAATTTAAAGAAACAAATACCAAATGAAACGTGTTAGATAGGTAAGATCTCTCAATTTGGTCTGGGCTACAGCACTTCAATTATCCCCGGTAACTAATTGCTCCTTGCCTGCAGTTTCCTGGAGACTACAGGAGCTGGTGAAGTCTTAGGAATGTTCTGTAGGCCTAATGATGGGGCAGATCAAATTTCTGTCCATAAGGCTTGATCTCAGCGGTGAGCCCCGAATTCCAAAGCTCCAGAAGGAACACATCAGCCCTGCATTGACTATCCATAGCCTTGTACCAGAAGGGCATGGCAATTTTTAATACTACCAAATATTTTAAAGGACATATCAGATCACCAGCCGGTGACATGCTGTTTTCTCACTTGTAAATCCAGAGTTAGATGGTGGAGTTAGTCTAAAAGCCAATTCACAAATGGCCCAAATGTGTATGTGTATGTGTGTGTGCATGTCAGTGTGTGCATGTTTACCATGGGAAAAAATATTGGGAAGAAAACACTTATGTGTATATGTTACTATATGGTAAATATCACAAGGCAAGATGTTTACCTCTGATTTCTTTTTTTCCAGAATTATGGTCAAGTTCACTGTGCCTTTTGGGATTTTGAGAATAATAGTAAGTATTTTTGTTAGCAACTTTGACTTTGCCCCAGACCATTTTCCCACTTGGCAGTTAAATGGGAGGGGGTTGTGCTGAAACTACTGTCTTATCAGACCCTACAGAGCATTCTGAATGACCAAGATACAGGATATGATTTTTATATCAAATTAGGGCATGGGAATTAAGACAACTTTCCTTTTTGATAGGTAAGATCTCTCAATTGGTGCTGGGGCTACAGTGCTCCAATCATGCCCAATAACTAATTGCTCCTTACCTGCAGTTTCCTGAAGATTATAGGAGCTTATTACAAGTATCTTAGGCCCCAAAAATAATTATTTGGAAAATCAGAAAAATTACACAACTCGAGGGTAAGCAAAGTTGGAAGAAAGAAATTTGGAAGGCCCAGCGCAGAGTAGCCTTGAACTGTTTGAAGAAAGTTGAGGAAGGAATACCTGGTTCTTTATCTGTGCTCTCCCACAGGGTTTTGCAAGATCTATGATCTCCTTCCCTTTTTTTTTCCTCACCTCTTTTAGACTGACTGTGTGACCTTGGGTAGACAATTTACCCCCTCTGAGCCCCAGTCTTTTTATCTTTTCATTGAGGAGATGAAACTTCTTGGTTGGTCTCTAAGGACCCTACTTGCTTGAATAAGCATGAGTCTTTGGAGACAGACAGTAGAAGACTGGGAATGGTCATTGCTGACTGGGTTGCTCTTAGCATTGCCATCTTCACTGGAAATATCCAGGGTTATCACCAAATCTCAGAGAATTTCCACACAGAATAAATTTCCCTAAGAACGCCAGGAGTGGCTAAGTGAGGAGTCCTTCTGCCTGTGGAAACTCTGCCTGGAACCTTTCCCTTTTTCACTATCCTTGGAATTCTGGGACAAAATGGAAATTCTCTTCCCATTCGGCTCCCTAGAGTATAAGAATACTACTTCTTTCTGACAAACAAAAATAACACTGCCCTTTCCTGATCCCCTCCAAGTCTCTCAGGATAAAACTCTATAAAGCGATGAGCTTTGTCCCCTACAACCTCAATATGTTGATCTCTATGTTCATTAACGCAAATTGCTGGGGTACTCCCAGGTCACCCTTTGCCCCTGCACCTCTGCCCCGTGGATCTAGAACCTCTGGAATCTATGGCATTATCCCAGATGGACAAATGTTGACCAAACTTAGCTGCCTGCCCGGGGATAACCCCTTTGGTCTAGTGCCACTTGGGAAGTTCTAGTCTCAAATCTGATCTAGTACCTGAGATCTACAGGTTGTGGAGGTATGAGTGTTAGTTCTAAACCTGAGTGTGCTCAGAAGAAACTAGCCAGATGTCTAGTAGAGCAGAGGCTCTAATTGGCCCTGCAGAGCTCCAGACCATGATCTGACTTTGATTGAAAGCACTTGAGACCCTTTGAATTGCGGGTTCAGCTGGGTGTTCAGATGTCTATTCCAGTCCCTCTGAGTAAGCTCAAGTACCAGCTTATATTCCATACGTCCATGTCCTTAAAAATATTCTAGATCTGCTTGCTTCCTATTTATTGGCTACTTAAAAAAAAGTTCATGGTTAGAGTCTGTCCTAATTTGTAGAGGTATGGTACAAGAACAGGAAAAGGGAGAGCCGAAGAAGTTGTGCCATTTACGAAGTCCCCAAAAAGTCAATTTAGTCTGTTAGACTTAATTTAATTTCAGTGTTCAATTATACCCCTAATCTTGCTATCTCAGCAAATAATATTAATTATAACACACGTTTGGATAGTGAATATAATGAAAAGTTAAACATTTCTGAGAAAAACAAAATTGCTTTGAAATTTCCTTCTGTCTCCTACAGATGGGCTGGGTGGATGGAATTCGTCAGGCTGTAAAGTAAAGGAAACAAATGTAAATTACACAATCTGTCAGTGTGACCACCTCACCCATTTTGGAGTCTTAATGGTGAGTTGTCTCTTAGTCACTCCTCGATGGAAGTTTGACAATTTTTATTAGACCAGTAATATATGTGTGAACTGTTATTAAAAAATGGTATGCATTTGGAAAAAAATCCCCCTTCCAATTTGTTCATCCAAAGTAGATCAGATTGAGACAAATATTTATTTATTTATTCTCCTTATAAAATTAATGCTTGCTTCTCAAATTTCAAACAGTACAGAAAAGGTCCCTTTAACCTCCCTCCCAAGTGATCACCACCTTTAACAGGCTAACATGTATATTCATTTAGGTTCTTTTCCTGTGTATATAGGAATGTACATTTTTGTTTTATAAACATGGTATCAAATTATTCATACTGTTTTTACCGATTGCTTTTCTCATTTAACAATATATATTGCACAACTTTCAGGCAAATGTGTATGTATCTATTATACTTCAATTTTTAAAATACCTTTATAGTATACCATTGCTTGGGTTTAACACAATAAATTTAACTAATCCCTGACTAGTGGACATTATAGCTGTTGCTGTTTTTCTCATTATAAATATTGCTGTAATACACATTCTTACTCATGTATCTTCAAACATTGGTGTAAGTATTTTTGCAGGATAAGTTGACAGAAGTAGAATTGCTGGATTAAAGGGTCTGGTCATTAAAATATTTAAATTTAAGAAGGATCATAAGTATTTGCTGAGTTTTTCTTCCAAATGACTCTCAAATGTATTCCTTTTTCTCTACCCGCATCAGAATACTTTCCTGGATTTCTTAGGTAACTTTATTACATACTGTTATCTGAATGTGTCATATGTTACTTATTCCTACAAAGAATGGTTAGCTTTTTGAGGGCTGTGGGTCTGTTTTATATTTATTTATTTTACATATATATATATATATATATGTATGTATATATATATATTTTTTTTTTGAGATGGAGTCTTGCTCTGTCACCCAGGCTGGAGTGCAGTGGTTCTATCTTGGCTCACTGCAAGCTCCGCCTCCCTGGCAGAGGTGGGAAGAATCACCTGAGTCCAGGGAGGTTGAGGCTGCAGTAGGCCGTGGTCAGGCCACTGCACTCCAGCCTGGGCAAAAGAGTGAGAACCTGTCCCAAAAAAAAAAAAAAAAAGAGAGAGAGAGAGAGAGACCAGGGTTCTTGTTCCAGCTCTGTCTGTAACTAACTATGTGATCTTGGTAAGGTTGTTTCCCTCTTTTGGATCTTAGATTTTCTTCTGAAATGTGAATGACTGGAATACACCAGGGTTTCTCAATCTTGGCACTATAGATATTCTGGCCAAATAGTTCTGTCTTTTTTTTTTTTTTTCTTAACGGAGTCTTGCTCTGTCACCAGGCTGGAGTGCAGTGGTGCAATCTCGGGTCACTGCAACTTCTACCTCCTGGTTTCAAGTGATACTCCTGCCTCAGCCTCCCCAGTAGCTGGGATTACAGGTGCCCACCACCACACCCAGCTAACTTTTGTATTTTTTAAGTAGGGACGGGGTTTCACCATTTTGGCCAGGATGGTCTCAATCTCCTGACCTCGTGATCTGTCCACCTCAGCCTCCCAAGGTGCTGAGATTACAGGCATGAGCCACCCCGCCCGGCCCCAAATAATTCTTTGTCGTGGGGGATTGTTCTGTGCATTGTGAGAAGTTTAGCAGCATCCTTGGTCTTTCCCCACTAGATGCCAGTAGCACTCTCCCCAGTTGTGACAACCAAAAATGTCTCCAGATACTGCCAAATGTCCCTGGGAGAGGGGTAACATCACTCCTGGTTGAGAACTACCAAAGTAAACACTGCTTCTTAACCTTTGATGAGTCATGAATCTCTAATCATCTGATGAAAGCTATGGACTTTGTTCTTAGACCAGTGCACACATATATTCAAATAATTTTACATGTCATTTCAGATCTTTAATAGTAATTAATAAATCACTGAACTTTGTGATCTCTAAGGTCCATTTTGTTTGTTAATTTTGTGAAGGCTATTTAAGGACTAAGGAAAAGGACTTTTTTTTTTTTTTTTTTTTTTTTGCTGTTCTGTGTAGTGTTTTGAGATGCTCAGTTCAGATAATTATTCACTTTGCATCCCAAATTCACATCTCTCAGCTTGGTTATATTTTAAATGTAGAACATGTTAATGATGATGAAGCCAAGGACCAAATGTTCTTCCAATGCTATTGATGGCTCCCCATGCCCTGTACACAGTCAGTTGGACTAGGCATACTCAGCAAACAATATTTGGTCTTACCATACATCCATTCACATAATCTGGTTTTAGAAGAGCTATGGCAGAAATGTTATACATCCTGGGAACTTCCTGTTAGTGAACACTGGAAGCATTTTGCCATAAACTTGCTCTGGTGTATGTGTAAAACACAACACATTGTGTTCCTTAGGATTTATCCAGGTCTACAGTGGATTCAGTGAATGAACAGATATTAGCGCTTATAACATACACCGGATGTGGAATCTCCTCCATTTTTCTGGGAGTTGCAGTGGTGACATACATAGCTTTTCAGTAAGTTGATACAGCCTTGCTCTGAGCACATTTAATTTGGTTTGATGGATGCTATTACCATTGTAACTTTGTTAATTTCATGAACACATCACAATAGGAAGAAGTCAGATCCATTAGCTTATGAAGTGGACAGGTTAAAAACAAAACATCAAGGCTTCTCTAAAAATATTTTAATTGGATTTTTGTAAAACAAGGGAGTTGGGATAGGAAAAGATTTCTCTATAGGATATAAGAGCACCAACCCTAAAAGAAAATTTGATAAAGTGGACTTTATTAAGAACTTCTTTAATCAAAAGACACAATTCAGATAGTGAAAGGCAAACCTTACATAGAGAGAAGATATTCACAATGCATATATCAGATAAAAGACTTGTATGCAGAATGTATAAATAACTCCACAAATCAAAAAGCAAAAGACAATAAAGTTTATAAATGGACAAAAGACTTGAACAGGCACCTCACAAAAGAGAATATCCATGCCTAAGCCTAACCCTTACCAAATGGCCAATAAGCATATGACAAAGTTCTTTACATCATTACTCATCAGAGAAATCCTAATTACAACCACAGTTATGTACTTCTCTGCACCCACCAGAATGGCTAAAATTAAAAATAATGACAATAGCAAGTGTCAACAAGCATGTGGAACAACTGGAACTCATACATTTGCTAGTGGGAATGTAAAATGGTTCAGACACTTTGGAAAATTATTCGGCAATACCTGTTAAATATAAATATACATCTCGCTGTTGGCCCAGGAATTTCACTCTTAGATATATACTCAAGACAAATGAGCACATATGTCCACTGAAAGATATGTACAATAATATTTATAGCAGCTTCAGTCACAGTAGCTTCAAATTAGAAACAACCCCAATTTACATTAACAGTTGATTAGATGAATAAATTGTGATATATTTGTAAAATGGAATGCTACACAGCAGTAAAAAATGAATTACTTCTATGCAATGCAACATAATATTTAAATCTCATAGACATAGAATTGAGCAAAGGAAGCCAGAAAAATAAGACAACGTACTGTGTGGTTCCATTTACAAAAAGTTCCAAACACAGGTGAAATCTATGGGGATAGAAGTGAGAGTATTGGTTACCTCTGGTGGGTGATATTGAATGGGAGAAGCATGAAGGAGCCTTCTGGGATGTTGAAACTATTCTACCTCTTGATCTGTGTCGAAGTTCCACAGGTATATACATATGTAAAGATCCATCAAGTTATATTGTTAACACTTGTGCACTTTAATATTTATCTCAGAAAAAAATTCACACAAAATGAAAACAGCAAAATTTAAATCAATAAATATTTAATAACAGCGTAAAATAATCAAAGGGGGTAATACTTTTTTTATTTTGAAAAATACTGGGTGAGTTTCTGCAAAGTAAAGTTGCAATCACTTAATAAAACTTAAGACCATATTTCCATGAGGCCATATATCGGGATCTTTAGAACTATCCAAGTAGCTCTACTTGGAATGGTTTCCACAGTCATCCTGCTATTTGGTAATATGTAGCTCCAGCCTGCTGAAGCAGTGGTGATAGACTCATAGTACCCAGGAAACTCCTTCCTTCTTTCTAAAAGATAAAAAGAAAAATAATAGCCTCTCTCAACTGCGTAGTTGAGAGAGACTATTATTATTTCTGTTAGTTAAGGTCACTATATTTATTATGCTTCGACTTTACCTGGAAAGAGAATGAGGGACTTCAAAGTATAAGCAAAGATGAGTAATTCTTTTATTCTTTCACTTATTATGTAGATAAGATGTGGCGATGTTTAATTAAAAAAAAAAAAACAGACTTTACCTAACAACATTGTACTTTCTCTTTTAGCAAACTTCGAAAAGATTATCCTGCCAAAATTCTGATCAACCTGTGCACAGCACTACTGATGCTAAACCTGGTATTTTTGATCAATTCTTGGTTGTCATCATTTCAGAAAGTGGGAGTTTGTATCACAGCTGCAGTGGCACTTCATTACTTCCTGCTTGTTTCTTTTACTTGGATGGGCCTGGAGGCAGTCCACATGTATTTGGCTCTAGTCAAAGTCTTCAACATATACATTCCAAATTATATCCTTAAATTTTGTCTAGTTGGTTGGGGTAAGTATATCTGCCATTGTTTTTGATATTTATGTCTTAAGTCTGTCTTTCTAATTCTAGCTCTGTTAGATTCTGTTAATATCATAGGTAAAAAATTAAGGATCGCCTTGCTGGTGTTTGGGCATGCATCTTTTTTTTCTGCCTGTATTGCTCTATAAATTCAATTTTTAACCTTTATGGTGAGGAGCTGGTGCACAAATATTTATTGAGCACTTATTGTGTATTGTGCTAAGTGCTGGCTCTATAGTAGTGAACAGATTTTATCCCTTCCTTTACAGAAGTTACAGTCACAACAAATACTGATAAAACAGCTAACACTTAGGTAGCACTTACATGTGCCAGATGCTATTCTAAGTGCTTTATATATGCATTTAATCCTCATAATATCTCCACGGGATAGATTCCATCATTATTCCCATTTAATAGATGAGGAGACTGAGGCACACAGAAAGATGAGGTAATTTGCCAAAACTCACACAGCTAGTAGGCAAGAGAGCTGGGATTTGAGCCAGGAAGTTTGTCTCCATAGTTTGGACTTCTAACCTCTATGGTCTTGCCATATTGTTTAAAGAACAGGAAAAGACTTGAAATGGGTGAAAGAGTGCTGGGTCAGCCAGAACCTGATTCTCATCACACCTCATGACTGTGATGATCACTGCTGGCCTTGGAAGAAGCCAGGAATGGTTCTCAGCATAGATCTTTCTGAATACAAATGTCATTTCATTGGCTTGCTTTCCTGTATTTCTAACTGACATGGTCAGCTCGGCTCCTTTCCTCTCTCTCCCTTGTGTATTCAAGGCAGATTTTGGGTTCAGAAAATGTGTTAGATGTGTAGGAGATGTATATTAAGTAGCATACCTTGGGTACATAGGAACACAGATTTTATCTTCCACTGCCTTTGTGAAGACAATACTCTCCTGATTAGCTACTCATCCCTTTAATGAGTTCATTAACATAGTACATGCTTTCACTGGATACACAGTCAGTGCTATTATCTATGTTAATATGGGGAGCAGAGACAGGCAAATACTGAACAGATCATAATCTAAAAGCTTGTTTTAGTACACTTCGGAATCCATCGGAAGCACAGAGACAAAAGCAGTCGATACACTCCCCTTAGTGCCTTGTGTCCCTCATCTTGATTCAATCAGAGGATTGAAAAATGTGGAAGAGGCTTCATGAATAATCCAAAAAGCAGATAACCCACACATGGCCAATTGTGAAAGGGCTGTAAATATCACTTCATCCTGGCTTTCCTTCTCCCTCATCATCACTCATTCCCAGCTTCTTTTTTAAACCCTTCCTCCAGGACTCACTTCTTATCTCTTTGATCTTCTAATTTCATACACATTTCTTGGGTTACAAGGAGAGGCAGGAAAGGCTAAAGCTTGGTACTTGGAAGCAGGAAAACTTTAGTTACACACAGAAGCTGAGAAGTCTGACTGGCTCAATCAGTAAAGAAAGATACAATAAGCCACTCTTATGTTCAGTTTATTACTTACATAAACTGTGAAAGGAAGAGTACCTAAAAGTGCCATCTTTCACATTCTTGTCCCCCACACTAAAAAGAACGACCCCAAAACAAAGGGAATGGATGACCGCCACGTGAGTTGTAGGATTCCCAGTGGCTGAGGAGCTAGTTTTGAATGGAAGTGATACTGTTTCCTATTCTGCAGCCCTATTCTAAGGGGGCAGGGTACAAAGGCCCACACCTCTGCAGAACCCTGGGAGATGATGAGAAGCTGTCTCCTGACAGCCTCCTGGAGGAGATAGGGAGGTGAGTAGGAGATGGCCCCGGAGCACCTCCTCACAGGCCTCCCACCTTCTCAAATTTGTGGAGGCCTGCACACCGCCCAAATTCAGATAAGCCTTTACCTGTGTGGTCTATGTGGATACATGCACGGTCACCAGGGAGCCACAGCTGAGCTGTCCCACTACAGGGAGTTTTGGAGCATTTCAATATTAGACAAAAGCAATCAACTGTAAGGAAAATAGGTATTAATATCTGTTTATGTTTGATGCTCTGCCTTATGAATGCCAAAGCAACCTGTTGGAAAGGTTTATTACTTTTAATGACAAAAACCACAATTACTTTTGCACCAACTTAATGAACCCCTGTCCAAGACAGTAGATTTGTTTATATTTTTAAAATAACAACAGAAGGGATCTTTTTTTTTTATTTTCAATATGTAAACACAGCTTGAAGACTGCCGCACAACTTCCATCCTAAATATGAGGCCTTCCCCTGTCTCTCCCTTCCAGCCTTCTATTTTAAAAAACATCTGCAGCATTCTAGGTGCTGTGCTTGGGGTGGGCTATACAGATTTGAAGTGACCATCCTGTTTATCACAGAATGGGACAGTGGAGGATTTTTCAAGATACTTGGCATTCTGGGCTTTGGAACAGCTTTGGAAAGCATTTAACAAAACCCCTAAAATGTATGTAGGTGCATGCGCTTAGTCTAGGAGAAATACAATTGAGAGATAAAGAAATCATTTTTTTTTTTGCAAATGTACAAGAAATTGGATTTTTAAACCCTGTGTCTACACTCTCCTCACGTTTGACCATTTTGACTGAACTGATTGCTTTATTATAGTCTGACTGAATTGAGTGGTTGTTAACCGGTCGATCTAGTCAAAATGTCAAACTAGTAACGAGTGTGGAAACAGTTTCCCTGTCAAAAAAGCACTGAAGGCTGCAGCTGATTGCCTGTGCCCTTCTCCTAAGGTGACCTAGACAAAAAGCTATTGGGAACAAAGGGGCGATGTGAAAGGGAGTAAAAATTAGGGGCTCATGATCTAAGAAGAAATGCTTGATGCGAACTTGCATTCCACTCAACTAGATACTTCTTTTGCCAAGTTGATTTTCTGGCACTTGAGCTATTTTTAATAACTAGTGGGCGTTGTATTGGAGCCATTGGCATGCTGTCTAGTTTAGCAGATTGGAGAACTCCTTGAAATGCTTAACTTGGAAGAATTCACAAACATTTTGCAAACAATAGTATTTTGATGCCCGCACATCTGTGGCTTATTTAAACAGTGTCTTAATGTATCATCACCCACAGTCATTGATTAGGTTGCCTCCCTGCTACCTGATGAAATGCCTTTGACTTGCTTTCCCACTGCAGGAATCCCGGCTATCATGGTGGCAATCACAGTCAGTGTGAAAAAAGATCTGTATGGAACTCTGAGCCCAACAACTCCGTTGTAAGTACCAGCATCTCTGTTTCTCTGGTGGTGGGGCTCTGGCCCAGCAGGGTATAGTAAAATGTTCTTGGCCTGGGATTGGTCTTGACCCTTGGCTTCAGGAAGAAATCAACCTAAGTCCTTTTGCCCTAAACATAGGCCACATTTATGTGATGGTTAGTTGCCCGGGTCCTCTATGACCTTGGGCAAGTTACCTTACCTTTCAGTTCAATTTCCTCTTCTGGAAAATGGGGATAATAATGTTTTCTCTTAATGTCCTGTGCAAATTAAAATGATATGATGTATGAAATGTGCTCAGCATATTGCCTGTTCTATGCTGTGTAACTGGCAGGTATTATGATTACAAAGCTCACACATCAGGTCATTGCAAAGAGTTAGTGGCCCCTACAAGGAAATTCTGAGATGATTTGGAAAACATTTTTTACCTTTCAACAACAAAGGTCTTCCCTGAAGAACGCTGAACAGCTTTCCTTTGTAAACGGCCTCGGCTTTATTGTCCTCTTGTTTCTTTTCATTTTTTTCCTTTTCTCCCATTTGATGTATAAGTTCATCTCTTTAGTTCTCTCAACCACAATCACGCGAGAGTAGCAATTCACTTCACCCCACCTCTCCAGAACCTTCTTTTACAGGCATGTAGATAGTTGCCCTGTGGTCCTTTAGGCTGCACAATCTCATTTTACACTTCTGATTGTTCCATTCTTTTTATCATTGCCTCTCAAGTTCTCTTCCACTATAGATTTCCTCTCCCACTGGACTGGAATTAAATGTAGAAGGTCCTGCTCTAAGACTCCCCCATCTTTCATACTGAGATGACAGTTTCCATGGGGTCAAAATTATTTTGCCCTTTGCAGCAGATGCTTTCTAATTAAAATTCCTTGTTATGTTTTCTTTCTCTTCCATTTTCTCTTCCCTTCCTTCTCATCTCCCCCTCCATCCTCCCCCTTTGCCCGTTTTGTGACTTAAAAAGTCCCCAGTGTCTACCTAATGGTGACCCTTCTTGAACCATCAAAAGCAAGAGCAAAAGCAAAATCAGAACAAAATCAACTCCACTTTTTCCCAAAAGAGATTTTTCAGATGTGACTTGGTTAGTAAGAGGCCGACTGCTCTAATAGTTTTTTTTCAAATTATATTTTGAAGAAGTAATTCATGCACATGGAACAAAATCCAAACGTACAACAGGGTAGAGGATGAAAAGTAAGCCCCGCTTCCAACCCCTAGCTACCCAGTTTCCCTCCTGAGGTAACTCTTATTACCAATTTATTACCAACGATCAAATTTGTATGGATATTCTCTTGCACACTTTGTTACCCAAGTGGTAGATATACACCATTTAGCACCTTGGTCTTTCCACTTAACAATATATCTTGGAGGTGATTCTCTACCCAAACATATAACACTATCTCATTTTAACAGTTTTCTGTGGCGTCTTTTAAGGATGCTGATGACATTCAGGGAACTCTAGGTGTCAGAATCTATTAGGAAAATTAAATGTTTTTTTAACATGTTTGCAACACACACACACACAAACTCACACATATGTGTAAGTATCCACGCCAACATAAACGACATGACCAAAAGAGATTTTCCTGGTTTTAGAAAAGAGAGCTCAGCTAAGTTGACACACAGTTAAATTAGTCAAGCTTCTCTGTGTTCAAAAATCAGGGAAAATGCCTCCAGTAATTGCAAATGTTATTAAATGGACTATCTGTTCATATGAATCACTGCATATTTTTTCTTTAATAAAAACCGTAGAGTTGTTAATCAATCCAGTAACCAGTGTTGCCTTTGTCATCCAAATACATCATATTTTAAAGCAGTACACCTAGAGTTCTCTTTTTGTAGCATTTTCATTAACTTTCATAATTTCACCATTGTTTGATGTAGCTTTCAGAAAATCCATTCATTGCTCACATCCTTTCACTGTGATATTTATCATGTAAAGTAGAATTAATCCTGCAAATAAGAGCTTAGGTGTAAGGTGGTGGCGGGGGGGCAGGGCGTGCGGGGGCGGTGTGGGGAGCACGGCGACAGAGAGCCACTTTGGGGGAAAATGTATCATTCGTTTTTCTGCTGTTAACGAAGAGAACCATTTCCTAGGGAATTGGACTGACAGGTTTCTGCATATGTAGGGCAGAAACATCCTCTAGGATTTCTGACTTAGTGTTGGAAAGAACCCTGAACTGGGGCTCAGGAGATTGAGGTTTTTGTCCCAGCTCTGCCTCCAGTTGGTATGAGTGAACTCTGTCCAGTTCATTTCTCTAGGGCAGATGCCCTTAGGGTGAAATAAAATTGACTAGATGATCTTCAGTCTCTGAGAAATAGGACTTTATGTTTCCCTATCTCATGATAGTCTTCTTTGTTTCTTACAGTTGTTGGATTAAAGATGATTCTATCTTTTACATCTCAGTGGTGGCTTATTTTTGCCTCATATTTCTCATGAATCTCTCCATGTTCTGCACTGTTCTTGTTCAACTGAATTCTGTGAAATCCCAAATCCAGAAGACTCGGCGGAAGATGATCCTGCATGACCTCAAAGGCACAATGAGCCTGACATTCTTACTTGGCCTCACCTGGGGGTTTGCATTTTTTGCTTGGGGACCCATGAGGAACTTTTTCTTGTATTTGTTTGCCATTTTTAACACTTTGCAAGGTAACTGGTGCTTTTTTGCCTTTTCTGTGGCCAGCTACACATGCAGCAAAGCTTTTGTTGCTTTGGAAAATAATCACCTGTTGGAAACATTAACTAGATGTTAGTCTTCATTAAATGCACCCACAGCCCACTCTCTCTTGCTCAGTGGTATAGGGAGAAGCCCAGATAGGTAACCCAACTTTAGGTAATTGGAAATGTCTATATCAAACACTGATTGGCAATACTTCTTATAGTGTTCATTGTATCAACACATTGTGCTAGAAAATGTACAGATTCACACTCACGTTGACTTTTTGAGGTACACAATCCAGCTAAACATAGCAATTAACTGGAAAGCAAAAACATTAAAGTTTTGACCCCATAGGCTCTATCTGCATCTGATATCCTAATATTTTGGGAAAGAGCCAGGCTAGACTATCATAGAATCATACAGGAATGAAGGTTAAAATCAAAGGGCTGTGGGAAAGGCCAAGGTTGTAGCCTTGAGTTTGCTGTAAAACAACCTTTAAAAAGTTACAATAATTGGTTGAATTAGATGATCCTAAGCTAAAGGCCCTAGAGCTCTTTTAATTATTTTCCTTTATTCCGATGAAATGAACAAATAATCAATGAAGTGATGAAATGGTAGACAAAAGATGGCATGAGAAGTAAAAGCTAGGGGCCGGGTGTGATGGCTCGTGCCTGGAATCCCAGCACTTTTGGAGGCCGAGGCAGGCAGATCACTTGAGGTCAGGAGTTTGAAACCAGCCTGGCCAACATGGTGAAACCCCGTCTCTACTAAAAAATATAAAAATTATCTGGGCATGGTGGTGTGTGCCTGTAGTCCCAGCTACTTGGGAGGCTGAGGCAGGAGAATTGCTCAAACTCTGGGAGGCAGAGGTTGCAGTGAGCTATGATCGTGCCACTGCACTCCAGCCTGGGCAACAAAGAGAGACTCTGTCAAAAAAAAAAAAAAAAGCTAGAGTCTGGTTCATATAGCTCTGAATAATTGCTGACGTTCATCTTAACTTGATTTTGCCTATTAAAAATATTGGGGGGAAGAGGCATGCAAAATGATTTTGTGTGAGTCTCTAATTCTACCCCATACTTTTATCCTCAAGTGTCGTCCAGTCCATTTGGGCTACTGGGACAGGCTGAGAGTCAAGTTGGCATTTCATTGAGTTAGAGTCTCCCTTCGTGCTCTCCACTATTTTTTTTTCATTCAATAAACCCTTATTTTCCATACTGAAGCCCACTGATGGTACCATGGGATGCTCCCACAAGGAAAAAGTTCTATGGTCAAATAACTTTGGGAAATGTGGCAAATTACATTCCCCCTTTCTTGGAATAGCACTGTATACATTAGCATGGTAAAAGCTCTATTATGAAAAAAAAAAAACCTTTAAAAAGTTGTTTTAATGTAGTGTCTTAAAAACCTCTGAACCTTTTATTGTGGTCATTGTTAATCCTTGAGGAACCTTGAGAAAAATAAATTGACATGCAGTTATTATATGACAGGCACTTGCAAAGTGCTGCGGAGTTGAGGGGGTGGGAAGCAATGTAGCAGAAGGCATGGTTTTTGCATTTATGTTTTAGGACTCAAGAAACTATCTTATTTTAGAGCAATGAGGTGGATCAACGGAAACTTTTTGTCCCACCAGATCCTGCCAACCATATACATCCATGTTCTAATTGGAATGTAAGAAGTCACAAAATATGTTGTTCTTCCTTCACATGCCATTTTTATTGCCTCTGGTAGTAGGAATGGAATTTTTAGAAACTCTCAATACCATCCTCGCTTGGTTCCCTTTGAGGCTACTGGCACTTGGTTGAATTCTAGTGTAGAACTGAAGGTTGTATTCTAGTGTAGGACTGAGGCCCTGGTGATGGTTCTACACTTTTTCTCTGGATAGAACTGTCTGGCCCACACTACAGTATTCTAACCCGATGCTCTAACCTCAAGAACTAACCAGTCATGGTATAGAATGTCCACGGAAACGGTTTAGAACCCAGGTGCCTGTGAAGACTTCATCCACAGTGGTAACTCCAGGCTTCTCTTTGGCTCAGTGATTCTGAGGAGAAATGTACTCACTCTGTGGAAAGAGGGGTTAAAGGAAAGCTGGCAAAAGATCAAGAAAGCTAGGCAATTTCGAGCTTATAAAGGAGGGGCAGGGGTGTTTTCAAAACCACTCTTATGGTGGAAAGTAGCATCTAAGGAAGGAGCCTGCATGGATAGAAGCAGAATTTAATAGGATATTTCTTTTCTTTTCAACATTTATTTCAGATTCAGGGGGTAGATGTGCAGGTTTGTTAGCTGGGTATATCATGTCATGTTGAGGCTTGGGGTATGAATGATCCCATCATCTAGGTAGTAAGCATAGTACCCAATAGTTAGCTTTTTAACCCTTACTTTTTCCCTCTTCTCCCCCTAATAGTCCCCAGTTGTCTACTGTTGCCATCTTTATGTCCATGTGTACCCCATGTTTAGCTTTCACTTTTAAGTGAGAACATGCAGTACTTGGTTTTCTGTTCCTTCATTAATTCACTTAGCGTAATAGCTCCTAGCTGCATCCATGCTGCTGCAAATGACATGATCTCATTCTTTTTTTATAGCTGTGTAGTATTCCATGGTGGCTATGTAGACAGTTTCTTTATCCAATCCACCTTTAATGGGCACCTAGTTTGATTCCATGTCTTTGCTATTGTGAATATTGTTGCAATGAACATAAGGGTACATGTGTCTTTTTGGCAGAGTGATCTGTTTTCTTCTGGATATATACCCAATAATGAGATTGCTGAGTCAAATAGTAGCTCTGTTTTAATTTCTTTGAGAAATCTTCAAACTGCTTTCCACAGTGGCAGAACTAATTTACATTCCCACCAACAGTATATAAGTGTTCTAATTGGGTATTTCTTGAAAACTAAAATCAAAGTCCCATAGATCCAGCACCAAAAGAGCCAAGCTGTCTCTGTCTGTCAGATATGCCTTATGCCCATCAAGCACAAAGTCTTGCCAGTCCTGCCTAAAATGACTGCAAGATAGCATGTGCCATCTTGTAGCAAGGGAGTTTTCAGAGCTCAGAGTTTCAAATTCAAGACACACACACACACACACACACACACACACACACACACACAACCCGAATAACCTCCAAAACAAACAGTGGAACAAGTGAACAAAGTAGTCGTTTAAAAGACAAATGACAAGCTTGCAATGCTGGCTGAAGGGGATGGGGGCGACCTGTGGTCAAGTGGGAAAAAATTATGCTCATGATGAGCTATTTGTGAAGGAGGAATGCACAAATAAAAATGCAGGTGACAAAAACCTGACATCTTCCCTCATGCCTGTGTTTTCCTAGTGAGTAAGCAGATCAATCTGTTATGGGAAAGGAAAAGGAAAGCTGTCAGGCAGAGGGGGAGAGTTGGCAGGCAGTTCATTGGAATTCACAGAATAACCTTTTAAGTCGGAAAACTAAACTCCATGCAAGAAATCAGAGTAGTAATAGGTGCTTGATGTCACTGTCACCCCTTGTACATGCTGAAGTTGGAGGAGTTTTGCCTGCTCTGAGACTGTGGTTTGCTCTCCTCGGGGTGCTGCACCGCCTTCCAGGTGGCTGCTGCTCAGAAAAACAGTGAACACTGCTGAATTCATCCCCGCAGTTGTTTGGTTACACATGGAGATAAAACCCTTGGGAGAGTTAGCGAGACATGCCATTCCGTTTAGCCTCCAGATTGCTGCCTCCCACCTGGAATCCGAGTCTCAGGGCTGGGGCTAGGGAGCCAAGATCTTCCCAATCAAACTTCCCATTGAGTGACAGGAAGTCACTTGCCTCTGCCTGAAACTTTCCAGGGACTAAGAGCTCACCATTCTGTAAAGCAAAGCATTTAACTTCTTATCAGCTCTGATGTGGTACCAGTTTTCCTTACCTGAGGCTAGTATAGTACAGTAGTTAAGCCCTTGTGTTCTATAGTCAGACTGCCTGCATTCAGAACTGGTGCTGCTAGCTCCATGTTAGCCCTGTGACCTGGGTCAAGTTTACTAGACTTCTTGGACTCCAAGTTCCCTCAACTATAAAAATGAGACTAATAGTACAATGCCTGCCATATACTAATTGCTAAATAAACACTAGCTGTGATTTGTTAGTACATGGTTGCTCTGAAACTTTCTTCCATTGCTCCTGGTTCTAACCGGGCAACTGTACAGATACAAGCCTAGTTTGTCCTTTTCATGACAGCCCTTTCAGATCTGTGGCTAAGTAAGCATCTCTTCTCACCCTATGTTTTCCACTCCAAGTTTTTTTTTAATCTAGATACAATATCCCAACTCTTTCAGCTTTTTTTCACTATCCTTCTTCACCGTATTCTTGAATACTTCTGTTTGTCATCTTCCTCTCCTCCCAAACTGAACATGGTGCTGGTGGGAGGTATGGTCAAACAAGGACAGAATATGGCAGGAGACTGTCACTCGCCTCAGTCAAGATTCTTTACTTCCAGTAGTGCTGTAGCTGAAATTTGCTTTGGGACATTTACAATAGACTGGTGCTCAGTTTACAATGGGTTAAGACCTCTTTGATACTAATCATTTACCTTCAGGACAACCAGCCAATTTAGAGGCAAGCTGAACCTGTATAGAGAATAAAGGTTTCCAAACTGCACTTGGATCAAAATAAATATTTTGAGGCTCAAGCAGTTATCACTATGTTGTAGATGGATGTGCGAGTTTGTGTATCAAGTGTCTTGGAGTTCAAATCAACATACATTTATTGAGCGGCCGCACTTAGTGTATCAAAGACAAAGGGCAAAATGACATAAATATGAAAAGGAAACATATCTCGGCCCTCAAAGACTCAACAGCTAGGTGGAGAAATGGGAAATAGACGAATAATTGTATGGCTACATATAGCAAATAATACAAGAAACAAAATGTTATGAGAGTTCAGAAGTGGGAAAAATGAGTTTCAGTTTGAGGCATCTGGAAAGATTTTGTGGATAAAGACTTTTTGTAATGGAACATAAATATAAGTCAGGCTATTGACAGGAGTTATTTCTGCCAATCCTACCCCCAACTGCAGGAAATCTAATTGGTCCTCCAGGGAATTTGCAATCAAGATAATTTTTTTTTTAAGACAGAGTCTTGCTCTATCACCCAGGCTGGAGTGTAGTGGCTTGATTCTGACTCACTGCAACCTCCGCCTCCTGGGTTCAAGTGATTCTCAGCCTCCCAAGTAGACGGGATTACAGACATGTGCCACCACACCCAGCTAATTTTTGTATTTTTAATAGAGATGGGGTTTCTCTGTGTTGACCAAGTTGGTCTTGAACTACTGACTTCAAGTGATCCACCTGCCTCTGCCTCCCAAAATGCTGGGATTACAGGCGTGAGACATCACGCCTGGCCAAGATAATCTTAAGTCATATTTTTATCTTCCAAGGACATATTTTAGAGGGTGGGAATGAGAAATGGCCAGCACTGCTGGCAAAGACTTTCAGCCCTTCCCTCCCCCTTGCAGGACAAAATCAGGGCTGGCATTAGAAGTTGAGGGTCAAATCCATGGTTTCCACATGGTGTCATTATGCCAAAAAGCATGTGTAATAGTTATTTATTGCTATATAACACATTAACAATTTTTACCAGCCTAAAACAACAAAAATTTATTATTTCACACAGTGTCTGAGGATCAGGAATTCAGGGGCAGCTTAGCTGGGTGTTTCTGACTCAGGGACTGTCGTGAAGTTGTAGTCAAGCTGTCATCTGGGCCTGCAGTGATCTGAAAACTTGACTGGGGCTGGGGAATGTGCTTCCAGGAAGGCTCATCCACATGGTTGTGGACTGGAAGCCTCAGTTCCTCACCATGTGGGCCTCTCCACAGGGATGCCAGGATGTCCTCAGGACAAAATACTTGGCTTCCTTCAGAGTGATGAGAGAGGGCTCGCTCTTTTATAACCTAACCTTGGAAGTGACATGCCATCCCTTCTGCTATATTCTATTGGTACAATGTGGAAGTAAACTACACAAGGATGTCAATGCCAGGATGTGGGGATCATTGAGAGCAATCTCAGAGAGGGGCTACCTTACCTCTCACACTCTAGGATGAACAGCAGTCCAGGGGCAAAACAGTGGTTGACATGAAGTCTTGATATAGACATTTTTGCCTTTGGGAGGGAGTCTACAAAGACAAGATCAGAAAGCCAGTAATGGCCCTGGGGTTCCTTGAAAGTAGTATCTCTCATGACAGAAGCAGGCCTGAGTCAGGGCATTGGTGACAGCTGGTGAAAGAAACCAAAAAAGACTGACCTTCTTCTTCTGGCTTAGGATTCTTCATTTTTGTGTTTCACTGTGTGATGAAGGAGAGTGTGCGGGAGCAGTGGCAGATACACCTCTGCTGTGGGTGGTTGCGATTGGATAACTCTTCTGGTAAGATGTCAGTTTGGATGAAGTTTTGAATATTACATGTTTTACAAAACTGATCAGATTAATTTGTCTCCTAACTTGAGTACTTACAGCATATCAGCATCAAAACACAGGCTGTTTCCATGTCATAAAAATGATTTGTGCTTTTGAGCTGAGATGAGTGAAGTCAAGTGAAGAATGTGACTTGGGCCATATTTTAAACTAGGGATGCTTTTGTTTTGGCCCAGATTCCCTGGATTGCTTACCTTCACTGTCACATCAGTCTCAATTCAATTAAAAGAACACTGAATGCGTGCCTACTGTGTTCCAGGCACTGGGTCTCAGGGGCTTCTGGCTGGTAGCCAACAGTGGGTTGAGTGGATGTAGGAAGCAAGGAGTGGTGGTGGAGATGGAGAGAACTTATAAACATTCCTAAGATGCCTGGCCAGTGGGCTGTACAGGTGTACTGATGGCCCACGAACTGGGGGATGTAGTGAACTCAGATGTTGCCTCTTAGCACTGGTGCTTCCCTTGAGAATGTTTCCACTGCAGGCAAACTGCTGTTCTATGTATCAAAAGGATCTTCCATTCAATTCAGGCAGCTTCTCTCAGTCTCAATACAAAGCCTAATCCATTTTCTTTAGTGAAGGCAGCACTTGAACTCTAAGATTCTACAAGTAGCACTGAGATTCCCCCCATTCCCCACTTTATTTTATTTTTTTTCTTCCAGTATTTTATTTTATTTATTTATTTTTTTTATTATACTTTAAGTTTTAGGGTACATGTGCACATTGTGCAGGTTAGTTACATATGTATACATGTGCCATGCTGGTGTGCTGCACCCACTAACTCGTCATCTAGCATTAGGTATATCTCCCGATGCTATCCCTCCCCCCTCCCCGCACCCCACAACAGTCCCCAGAGTGTGATATTCCCCTTCCTGTGTCCACGTGATCTCATTGTTCAATTCCCACCTATGAGTGAGAATATGAGGTGTTTGGTTTTTTGTTCTTGCGATAGTTTACTGAGAATGATGATTTCCAATTTCATCCATGTCCCTACAAAGGACATGAACTCATCATTTTTTATGGCTGCATAGTATTCCATGGTGTATATGTGCCACATTTTCTTAATCCAGCCAGAATCTACAATGAACTCAAACAAATTTACGAGAAAAAAACAAACAACCCCATTCCCCACTTTATGCTGGCCATATCAGCAACCTGCTGGTCCTTGTGCTCTGGGAAAAGCAGGCATCCTTGGTATGTGAATTGTCTCTTCCTATACCACACATTACAGTACAAACCTACTTCTTACAACTTCATAGAAAAGCTGACTCCTTCAGGTACCCGGAATGAACACTGTGCATCAAGCTTTGTTTTTTTGTTTTTGTTTTTGTTTTTGTTTTTTTTTTTGAGACAGAGTCTCGCTCTTGTTGCCCAGGCTGGAGTGCAATGGTGCCATCTCGGCTCACCGCAACTTCCGCCTCCCGGGTTCAAGTGATTCTCCTGCCTCAGCCTCCAGAGTAGCTGGGATTACAGGCATGCGCCACCCCGCCCGGCTAATTTTGTATTTTTTAGTAGAGACCGGGTTTCTCCATGTTGGTCAGGCTGGTCTTGAACTCCCGACCTCAGGTGATCCGCCCGCCTCGGCCTCCCAAAGTGCTGGAATTACAGGCGTGAGCCACTGCGCCTGGCCTAAACTTTGTATTTTTAAACCAGGTTATTGAAGTGTAATTTATATACCATACAATTCACTACTTTAAGTATAGAATTTCATGAGTTTTATATTTTTAACTTTTCTTGGTATCATTTCAGATGGGAGCAGCCGGTGTCAGATAAAGGTTGGATATAAACAGGAGGGACTAAAGAAAATCTTTGAGCACAAACTGTTGACGCCATCTCTCAAGTCAACTGCAACTAGCTCCACTTTCAAATCTTTAGGCTCTGCACAAGGCACACCTTCAGAAATAAGCTTTCCAAATGGTAAGAAAAAAAGGCTGTGTTGTCTACATTTATATTCCAGAGATATTGAATTAATGTGAGACCACATACTGGGTCTTGGATGATACTTCCTCTTCAAAACTAAATGCACATGTGCATGTGTATACCTCGACTCATTCTTGGCTGAGAAAGTGTGTATAGAAGCATAGAAATGTGTACAGAAGTGTGTATAGGTGTTTCTGTGCCTAGTAAATTTAGTAAGTATGAATGTGTTATTAGACTAATAGAGGAAAGAAGAGATGAGAGGTTAGAAAATTCATGAGTAATTAAAAACAATTGTCACAGACCATTAAAACCAGAAGGAACCTTAGACATTGTCTAGTCCAATCCGTTCATTTTACAGTTGAGGAACCTCAATCAGAGAAAAGGAAAATGCCTTATTGACAGTCACTGAGCCCATCTTTACCATCCAGTAGAACTGGGGCCAGTCACTCAGCCCTCAGCCATCCAGCAGAACTGGGGCCAGAATTCAGGTCTTCTGGCTCTCAGGGCTAGTCCTATCAAGAAAACAGAGATACACATCACTCTTAGATGCTGAGCTTCTTCCATAGGAAGCCATATTTCTAAGCTGAGACAGATGTTCAGTTGGGAATGGGGTGTTGTACCTAATTATGTAAAAAGAGAAAGTGTAGGAAAAGGATTGGCCTACAGGCTTAAAGTAAAGAGAAAGGCAAAGTGAGCAAGAACTTAAGAACTTCAGGATGATACTGTGATGAGTCTGCATTGTGTGCTTCTAGTTAGATGATAGTGCAGTGGTCTTTGGTTGCCTTTCTTTAAGACCAAAGTATACTCCAGTTCACACACACTTTGGTGGCCTGGCTGTAGTCATTCTCCTGCCTTCTCAGTGCTGGAGGTAGGACTGCCTCATTCGCTAGTATTTTTCTTTATGTTGGCTCCAAAAACCAGTTCTATGTCCAAGGGCTGAAGGCAATCTGGAAGCAGCATGGTGGGTTAAAAAAGCATCAAACTTGGAGTTGGAAGGCTTTGGTTCAGGTTCCAGCTCTGTCAGTCACTCTGTGACCTTGAGCACATCACTTCTCTGCTTGGAGCTACATTCTTTCTACCTTTCATATGAGGGGACTAGAATGGATAATCTCTTAAGTGCCTGCCAGTTTCAGGACCGTGTATGGGGCAACGCTATTTTCCAGTTTGGGCTGGTTGACTAGTGTATAGCATCTCAGTCTCCCATCTTTGTGTGGGAAAGTTAGTGATGCACATGAGAAAAACCTTTCCCTGGCCACAAGCATTTATCAAACTCTGGCCAAGTAACCTGTGGATATGTCTTGGTGCTCATATAAAGTCACTGGGGTGCCATGACATAGACAAGGCATGGGTTGTGGGAGCTCCTTAGTAGATAATAGTTGGGGCTGGTTGGAAAATAACATTTTTCAAGAGGGTTATTTAGCATTGGATTTCTTGATGTCCCTGGGGACTATTTAATTAGCAAATATACAGCCCAATGTGTACATATTTTGCTTCAGAGGATCAGTAGCAAATACCATATCCAGGATATTGATGTTGTCTTACCAAGCAATCGACCTGGAAAACCAACATTAAAGTGCTCATCAGTTGAGAGGAACTGAGCCAGTGGGGCAGGTAGACCTGCCACAGGTTCTAAAACTGAAATCTGGGTCCTTCCATTGTACTAGTGACAGCCAGAAGCTTGATTCTATTAGCAGAGAGTGAAAAATCATGCCCTCTGTACCACCAGGCATTCTCAAGCTTGAGAAATAGCCAAACTTTCAGTGCAAGAATATCAAATATGTAAGGGGTATAAATGTGTATGTTCACATTTTATGTCATCTTCTCTTGAAGGCCTCCGAGTTTGTACATAAATATCCTCTCCTAGGTTAAGGTTAAGGTCAATAATGCTGCCTCTTATTCACAATGTAGGAAGAACATATGCACTGGTTGTCCAAACAGTGCTGTCAGGATGAATTAATTCACCCCGGATTTTATATAAAACAGTCCAAAGAAAGCACCATATCCTTCCCTTCTCTTCTAATTGCTTTATTTTTTCCTTCATTTGATAAAATTTTCTTATGCTTCTACTATGTGCAAAGTCCCTGATGCCGCAGCTGAAAATTTTCTTTTTTTCTTTACTGCAGATGACTTTGACAAAGATCCTTACTGTTCCTCTCCTTGATTTGTGAAGTTGTGCCTAATTATGTAAAAAGAATATAATACCTGTGGAAATAAAAATGAATTCCAAGTGTATACTTGCTCGGGTGATGGGTGCACCAAAATCTCACAAATCACCACTAAATAATGTACTCATGTAACCAAATGCTACCTGTTCCACCAAAACCTATGGAAATTTAAAAAAAACAAAAATAAAAAGCAAAACAAAAATCCCAAAATGAATTCCATTCACAAACAGAATTTTTCAATAAATCCCAGTAGAGATACTTGCCTCCTCCCAACCCCTGATTGGGGAAAAGGTTGAATTTGTGAAACAATCTGCTCCAACCTTCTATTTTAATTATTATTTTGTAAGGGGAAGAATAACATTTGATAAATATTAAAGTCAGAATAATTCTCCTATTTGTCGTTATACTTATTTCTTTTTTGGATAAGATTTCAGGTTATTGTTATGATATATTAGAGGAGAAATTTCTACAGCATTGGAAATTTTGTTTTAAAAGCTTTAAGTATACACATCCTTAAAAAAATAAAAATCAAGACCAGGATCCTTACTTCCCTGCCATGGGAGCCAAACAATTTCAGGTGGTCAAAGTTTCAGGATGCCCAGTTGGCCTGAAACCCACAGAGGAAGTAGATAGGAAGAGCCACAAGGTCATACATTTTGGAAAAATACTCTGCCCTGTTGGCCTGTCATGACAAAGCACCTGAGATCCCCATTATTCAACTCACACTTTTGATTGAAGCTCTTATTAAAATGTAAACATGTTTTGTGGAAAGGGTGGGTCATCAATCCACAGACACCCATAAATTCCTTAGTAAGGATGAATTTTTCAGCCAATACAGCCCTTCAAGGAATAGCAAGCAGGGTCCTGAGGAATAAAACAGAACAGAAACTGTTCAAAGCTGGTGGTTCTCTCTAGGAAGGAAAGGCCAGGTTGGGGTGAGCAGAACAGTAGAGGGATGGAGTGCAAAAAGGGCCACCCAAAGGCAACAGAGTGATCAATGAAGACGAATTTTGCCAGCTTTGCCTTCTGTGGCTTCCCAGTCAGGTGTGCTGCTCACATTTGTCCTTGGATAGAAATAAGTAAAGGAGGAACATTCTGGAAGGATACACAAGCAACTGGTATCAGTGGTTGCCTTCAGGAAGGGTAACAGGGTGTCTGGGGGCAGAGGAGGAAGAGACATTTACTTTTCACCCTATACCTCTTTGTATCTTTTGAATCTTGTATTGAGAGAATATATTACTGCTTGGAGCAATAAATAAATGAATACATAAATAAATAAGGATAACCAGACCCTTCCAGTGAGAAAGATAAACACCTACATTTCAATACCAAAAATCAAGTTCCCCAGGACCCTTGTGAATATATATGATGCAGTGGGCTGTGGAGACAGCAGAATTGGGTTCAAATCCCAGCTCTGTCACTTTCTAGATGTGCGACCTCGTGATGTAATAATGATCATGCATGCATCCTAAAATTGAAGTGAAACTGAAATAAGATGAGGTCTGAAAATGTTCTAGCACAGTGTAACACAGTATATCTTCACTCCTTTCTCTTTCAAACCCCAATCAGCTTACCACTCATCCCCTCATGGCCCCAACCTACCATGTCTACCCCATTAAAGGTATCACATTGATCTTCTAAGCAAAATTTAATGCTGACTACCAAACAGACTACAGCACTGGTGCCAGTCACTGGTATAAAACTCCTAGGTCTCCATTGTTCCCCCTAACACCTCACATAATATAAAAATTAGGTTGGCCCTTAGGCCCCCGAATATCTGCCATCAGAGTCAAATCCATTGTTCCCCATGTGGCTCCATGTGTACTTTTTTGGTAGGGAAAGGTGAGTGAGTGTGTGTGTGTGTGTGTGTGTGTGTCCGTGTGTGTGAAGGGACTAACATGAATAATGATCAAAGTGTCTTGAATGTTACATGTCTTTGAACCGAAATATTAAGTCACTTTCACTCAAAAATAGATTTAAGGACAAGACTTGGTTGCAATTAGCACTTTTACAAATAAATGCATTTTGCAAGTGATTTGATTTGGGGGATCATTTTGGCTGTTAAAATGCCCATGATTGTATTTATTTTCAACAAGTAATAAAACCTTGATTGTTCTGCTGCTGCTGGAGTGATAAATGTACAGCCTATCTCTAATGACCTGACAGACTGTCGAGAACAGAAACGTTATTTGATAGAAAAGTTCATGATTCCTATCATGACACCCCTTGCTAATTAGGAAAACACAGGCTTTCTGCAATTTCAAAGGCAGTTTGAAATTGCAGGGAAAACACTGATTAAATATCTTACTGGCATCCTTTGGCTTGCTTTTCCTGGGCGCACAAAATGACTGATACTTGTGTGAAGGTGGACCCAAGTAATTATGGAAAAAAGACCCTAGAAACTTTGGACTGCTTTCAATCAACAATCAACTCCCAAGTATTCACAGAGTCCTGACATGGAGGGAAAGATATAGACACATCATACTTAGGCCACTACCTCCAGCAGTTTACTGTATACTTGGGGAGACCAGATGCATACACTGGAATAGTGAATGATTAGAGCAAGGATATGATAGAAGAAAGTGCTTTACAGGTAGGAAGTCACAGAGGATTTAGTCAGGCTGAGAGTAGGGTATTCCAGGTGGGGCCAATGGTGGCGGGGGTGGACATTTGAATAAGACAGGACTCTATTTCTCAATACCACAGGCAAATTGTCTTTATTAAGCATTGATCAGCAAATTTACAAAGCCCCCTGGAACCTCAGGGCATGGACTTTTCATTCTCTGCTGCACCCTGGGTACCCTGTGGGCAAGTGGCAAACACTGAATGGTACTAAACTCTCTCTGAGGCATGTCTGAGGAAGCTCCTGCGCAGAATCCTAATCCTTATCATTTTGTCCAAAGTCCCAAAGATGACAGTGACCATCTGTGATGGCCCACTTCCCCTGTACCCAGGAATATGGGAAGGTTGGGGAGGGGGCAGAAAGCTAAGAGGAGGTAAGGCTTGTATCTCTAATAGCTCAAGCCTATGATGTGTTTCTGGTCCTGACCTTCAAGCATTTAGGGTACACAAGGAGCTTGGAGCAACGAAGGAAGGACCTAATTATACCTGTCTTGATTAGGCAAAACCAGTGGAATGGATTAAATTTATACTTATAATGTCTGGTAACTCATAGACACTCCATAAATATTTGTCACATGCCTGAGTGCATAAATGGTCTAAAATACATGAGCATAGGAAAGCAATGGCTGACTTTTCCTAATCTAGGGTTTGTTATCTTAGTGCTGAGTAGACCTACGCTTTCCATTATTATATAAACTCCATTAGGGCAAGAACCTTGTTTGTATTTTTTACCATTGTACTCTCAGTACCTAGCACAATGTTTTACTCTAGGTTCTTTGGTTGCCAGCCACATAAACCAAATGTCTTTGAGCTGACATTATTGTCAGTTCTGACTAACCAAGGGGACTTGTTGAAAGTGTTTTGGGAATTCAAAACATTTATGGGAAAGTTAAAGAAGAGGTCTAGACATTGTGGAAGACAGTGTGAAGATTCCTCAAAGACCTAAAGACAGAGCTACCATTTGACCCAGCAAGCCAAATGGTATATACCCAAAGAAATATAAATCATTCTATTATAAAGACCCATGCATGCATATGTTCATTGCAGCACTCTTCACAAAGAGAGGAATCAACCCAAATGCCCATCAGTGATAGACTGGATAAAGAAAATGTGGTACATAGACACCGTGGAATACTACGCAGCCACAAAAAAGAAGGAGATCATGTCCTCTGCAGGGACATGGGTGAAGCTGGAGGACATTATCCTTAGCAAACTAATGCAGGAACAGAAAACCAAATACTGCATGTTCTCACTTATAAGTGAGAGCTAAATGATGAGAACACATGGACACATAGAGAAGAACAATACACACCGGGGCCTTGCAGAGGGTGGAGGGTGGGGGGAGGGAGAGGATCAGGAAAAACAATTAATGGGTACTAGGCTTAATACCTAGGTGATGAAATAATCTGTACAACAAACCCCCATGACACAAGGTTACCTGTGTAACAAGTCTGCACTTGTACCACTGAACTTAAACGTTTTAAAAAAAGAAAGAAGAAAAAAGAACAGGGCTTGAAAAAGGACAGGAGTCTACAAAGCAGGAACCATAGTGATTGTCTCCTAACAGGGAAGTAGACTCATGCGGGCGCCATTACTGGGAAGAATAAACAGTAATTTCTATGCTCATACTACTAGCTTAAGACTCAAAATCCTGTGAGCCTGTATCTAATCAGCTGAGCTTAAATTTTGTGCTATACTGAGCAGTGAGAGGAAGGATGTGGCAGAAAAAATCTTCAGGAGCACTTTGGTTTTGATAGTGGTAGAAGTATGAATTTACCATCCCACCAAGAATATCCACAATGGGGAAGAAGTCATTCTACAAAAAGAAAGTAGGGTGTTAGGAATGAATGAGTAGGTAGGAAAAAACCCCACATGTTCACCTCACACAATATAGAAGTGGATATACTTTGGTTGAATGATAACTAATTCAGTAGCATCCTTCTTCAGTGAGGGTGGGATAGTGCTAAGAAGAATAGATCTCTCCCCTACCCTGAGGCCTCATTCAGGTGAGAGGTGAAGCCAGCTGGACTTCCTGGGTCGAGTGAGGACTTGGAGAACTTTTCTGTCTAGTTAAAGGTTTGTAAACACACCAATCAGCACTCTGTAAAAACGCACCAATCAGTGCTCTGTGTCTAGCTAAAGGTTTGTAAACACACCAATCAGTACTCTGTAAAAACACACCAATCAGCGCTCTGTGTCTAGCTAAAGGTTTGTAAATGCACCAATCAGCACTCTGTAAAAACGGACCAATCAGTACTCTGTAAAATGGACCAATCAGCACTCTGTAAAATAGACCAATCAGTAGGATGTGGGCGGGGCCAAATAAGGGAATAAAAGCTGTCCACCCGAGCCGGCAGTGGCAATCCACTCGGGTTCCCTTCCACGCTGTGGGAGTTTTGTTCTTTGCTCTTAGCAATGAATCTTACTGCTGCTCAGTTTTTGGGTCCGCACTACCTTTAAGAGCTGTAACACTCACTGCGAACGTCTGCAGCTTCCCTCCTGAAGCCAGTGAGACCACGAAGCCCCCGGGAGGAACAAACAACTCCTGAAGCGCCATCTTTAAGAGCTGTAACACTCAGGGGGAAGGTCTGCGGCTCCACTCTTGAAGTCAGCGAGACCACGAACCCACCAGAAGGATGAAACTCCAGACACAGCTGAACATCTGAATGAACAAACTCCGGACACACCATCTTTAAGAACTGTAACACTCACTGGGAGGGTCGCCGGCTTCATTCTGGAAGTCAGTGAGACCAAGAACGCAGCAGAAGGAACCAATTCCAGACACATAGGTATTCACTAGTTACGTTTTAAGACTAAAGTGAATCAGGATGTGCTGAGAGAGCTGAAGTGTTAAAGATAAGCGTCCCAGAATGATAGATAAGAGTGCTGTTAGAAAAGGTGATCTTTAGAGATACTGGGTACAGAAGTTGGCCTCACTCTAAGGAAAGCCAATGTATTAAAATGAGCTTTATTGTTTGTCTACGTTGTCACCTTGCCATGTCTCTCCAGACAAGCACCTCTTCAGCCCCAATACTAGGAAATATTCCCCAAACCTCCATTCTGCACCCTAATTACTTAAGCCCAATAAAGACCCGGATCATGCAGGCTGGGAAAGTGTGATTCATTATAAAGTATACCTTTATGTCTTTGCACTTGAAAGGGCATTTTTTTAATTACACTTTTTGAAGGTGCTTCACCATAAAGCTTTTTATGAGTTCCCTTAAATATTTGAAAATATATTTTGATCCCAACTTCCAGGACCTTTCAGCTCTGATTAAGGAGTGCTCTGTTGTCTGAGAAGGAAAGCTAGGAGGAGTGTTACTTCCATTCTCCACCTCACCAGGCTAATGGCATTATGTTCACAAAGTGAGATTCCTAAAAAGGGAGAGGCAGAAGAAATCAATATTAAGTAGTAACTTCAAATACTGAAAAAATTTCATCTCATCTAAATGCGTAAGAAAAGTACAGATGTTTCCTTAATATATGCAGTCCTATGCAAATGATTATGTAAATTAAACAAAAAGTTGGGACTGGCAGATTCCCAAGTTTGCTAAGACTTACTTATGTTAACCTAGAATTCATCATAGAAACAAGGGTAAGGATTGTTGTTTACATCTCCTTCACTTAGATGTGAGGGGAGGCAAGATTGAAGGATATGCTACCTTAATAAAGTGAAGACACTCAAATCCGGGGACATGCTAGATAGATGGTTAGATGAGTAGATAGACAGTTTTCACCTTCAAAATGTTAGCCAACTCATTCATCATGCTCAGTTGGTTGTGGGCAGCAATGGGACTAGAAATGGAAATGAATCTGAGTTGGAGTGAATTTTGATGAAGGCCTAGTTCATGCAAGAAAGATTTTTTTCTTTTTTACATCCTCAGCTCACAAATTCCAAGAGGAATGGAGAATTTTAGAGACAGTTACAGGGGAAGAATAAAGACCTAGTGTAACGGGCTATATCAAATCTTCATGCACTGGCCCTTTCAGAAGGAGAGACATAAAGATATACTTTATCATGGATCGCTCTTTCCTACCCTGCATGATCTGGGTCTTTAGTGGACCTGAGAAATCAGGTTTCTTAGGTTTCTAACTATAGATAGATAGTAACTAACTATAGATAGACAGTTAGGTTTCTAATTACAGATAGATAGATGAATGAGCTGGCTAACATTTTTAAGTTGAAAACTATCTATCTATAGTTAAAAACCTAAGAAACTGGGGCTGGTGACAGTGCAGATAGTGAGGGATAGAAGAGAATTTTTCTCTTCTCTCTGCCTCCTTTAGACCTGAGTCTAGAAATATGAGCAGGTAAAGGTTTCAGAGAGGCTTGGCAGTCTTTGAATCTGGTAGCTCTCTAAGTCCAGCATGCTAGTCATTATGGGCACTTCCTCTGTGCCCATTTCTATGCTAAGCTCCGTAGAGGATACAATGAAGTAAAGGCCACAGTCCTACACACATAAAAATGGGCTGTCCTTCGTGTAATAAAACATCCATACCTACAACAGTTTGTCCACAGTAACATATGTTAATTCTTAAAATTGTGTGGTAGAGACCTTGAAGCATAACAAATAGTAACTACTTAATTACTAGTCCAATTCCACAAATATTTATTGAGAATCCACTATACTTGATGTACTGAACAAGACAGTTCCTAAACTTGTCTGGGGAGACAAGTGTGCAGTAACAATACACTATTTGATACTTTCATATGCTAGGAAGTTTCAATTTATACAACTGGCAGAAGGGCAAACAGGTATAGCCTGTTTGGAAAACTGTTCTGTAGTTTCTAAGAAAGTTAAACACACCCTATGACCCAGCAATTCTCCTGGGCATATACACCCTAGAGAAATGCAAACGTGTCAACCAAATATTTGCACACAAATGTTCATAGCCACATTATTCATAACAGCCAACATGGTGGAAACAACCAAAACGTCCATCAGCAGGTGAATGGATAAACAAATTGTGGGACATTCATCCAATGGAATACTATATAACAGTAAAAAATGAACTATGCACACACACGACAACATGGATAAATATAAAACATGTTGAGTCAAAGAAACCAGACACAAATGAGTCTGGCTTCTTTGACGGTACAATTTCATTTATATGAGCAGACAAAAACAATCGATGATTATAGAAATTGGAATAGTGGTGATCTCTCAGGGAGAAGTCTGTACTGGGAAGGTTTAAAGATAGCCTTCTGGCCAGGCGTGGTGGCTCACGCCTGTAATCCCAGCACTCTGGGAGGCTGAGGTGGGCAGATCACGAGGTCAGGGGTTTGAGACCAGCCTGGCCAACGTAGTGAAGCTCCATCTCCACTAAAAATACAAAAAATTAGCCGGCCATGGTGGTGGGTGCCTGTAATCCCTGCTACTCAGGAGGCTGAGGCAGGAGAATCGCTTGAACCCAGGAGGCGGAGGTTGCAATGAGCCGAGATCACGCCATTGCACACCAGCCCAGGCAACAGTGCGAGACTCCATCTCAAAAAAAAAAAAAAAAACAAAAAAAAACAAAAACAAAACACAAAAAAAGCCGGGGGGAGCCTTCTGGGAGGCCGGAAATGGTGCTTTCATAGCTAAGTACACATATAAAAGTTCATTCAGTTGCACACTTAAAATAATGTACTTTATGCATCTTATTGTAGTATGCTGTCTCTCAGTTGAAAAGTAGAGGGAAAACCCCATTCAAGCTATTGAGCACACTTTAGCAATGTCTATCCAAACTTCAGTGTATATAAACTTAGCTCAGAAATTCCACTTATAGCATTCTATCCTAGCTCAACAATTCAAAAATTTATGGGCAAGGTTATTCAGTGCAACCCTGAAATAGTGAAAACTGGAAATAAGCTAAAGCTTTTCAATATCAGAAGGGTTAAATAAATGTGGGCTATATATAGTATGGAATAATATGCAGCTAAGAAGAAGCTATACCAATTTGATTAATAATACAAATATATCCACAATATATTTTTCTGCCATAAAGAAATTTGCATGACAGTACATGTAGCATGATAAAGTATGTGTAAAAACAAAACTTTGTGTGTGCATGCATGTCCATAGTTATACAGAAAAAAGTAAGGACACACTCCTCATTGTTGATAGTGGTTTACCTCTGGGGAGAAGTATTGATGAGGCTTTCACTTTGTATTTTACATACTTCTGTATATGTTGAATTTTTATAGAGTATCTATAACTTTTGTAGTTTAAAAGTTTAGTAATAATAGGAATATATGCAGTGTGATGAATTTCCCTGAGATGTAACAGTGAAAATGATCAAAGGGTTTTTGTTGACAAAGATGATAAATTCAGTCTTGGACATCTGGTTTTGAGATGCCTGTGGGACATTCAGGTGGAGATGTCTAGAAGGGAGTTGGATATGTAAGTCTGGAGGAGAGAAGAGTGGTTAGGGATGGAAATGGAGATTTTGGCAATATCAATGGTAATTGAAGCCACCTTAGGAGTGAATGCGATTCCCAAGGGGGAGTACACGGAGGAAGAATGGAAGCAAGTAGGCCCAGAAATGAGGAGCACTGAGGGCCAGGCATAGGCGGATCATCCTGCAAGGGACATCCTGAAGGAATGGTTGGAGAGGTAGGAAGGAAACCAGAAATATGAGGTCCCATGTAAGCCAAGGAAACTTTAGTGAGATCCAAGAGGTTGAGCAGTGAGGAAGGAGAAGAGGGCAATGTAGCTCTTTGAATAAACGTAGCCACTAAGTTGCAAAAGTTGGTGGAGGGGTGGAGGTCACTGGAGGAGACTGAGGTTGAGAAAGTTTTTTAAAATGTAGTATTAAGATAAGAGAGAGATGAACACATTTACATGGTTAAGGGAAGTACCTAGCAGAAATATAGAGGTTGAAATATTGAGGGGGGACATAATTTAGCCAGTAGAACAAGGAAGGAAGGGATGGGATCCATGGCACAGATGGAAGGATTCCTCTTAGAAGGTGAGGCACTCCACTGTAACAGGAAGGAAGGTGGCAAGGGTGGGTGTGGACGCAGGCAAATATATAGATTTGGTAATCGGAATTTAAGGGAGCTCTCATCTGATAGCTTCTATTTTCTCTGTGAAGTAGGAGGTGAGGCAACCTGCTGAGAGTGAGAAGAGACTGATAAGATGGAGAAGGTTTAAAATAGCTGCTATAGAGAACAGGAGGAAGAGCTAAGTAGCAAAACAGAAAAATTTGTAGGTCTCCTTAAAGATCCACTTGAGGTGAGAGACTATAGTCTGCATAATTTGGGGGGATTGTGTGGGATCATCCCCTGGGAGAGAGGGCAGAGGTGGAGCATTTACACAGTGTCAAAATCCCTCATCAAATGGGTTAACTGATTCAAATAACTAGTCAATTCAGTGAAGAAAACATAGTGGCACAATTACTTGACACAAGAGCCCAACTTCTGATTACTGCCCCAGCTGAAGCATTTGGATTTAATTCCATTACCCAAGGTTCTGCAGCATGCTGGAGAAAAGGAAACCCTAACAGTAGCATTTCATCATTCTAGTCACAGCTCAGAGGCAGCTCCCTATTCGCACCCTCACCTACAATTCTTTTTAAAATGGAATGCTTCTCATTGCAGCAATATTTATGGTGACAGAGAGTTGAAGGCAATCCGGCATCCATCACCAAGAGAGTGGAGAGGCAAATGTGGTGGATACACGTTCTCAAGTAGTTTGCAGCAATTGGAAATAAGAGATTAGTTGTACATAGAGAAACATGTATAGATTTTTAAAACACAGTGCTGGGTAAAAAAAAAAAAAAAGAATAGCAAGAAGCAGAATAATATATATATAACACAATACCACAATACACAGTTTACAGAAATTTCAAAAGACATTCTTTCAAACTGATAATACACATTTTGTAACAACACATGCAAACAAAAATATCTTAAGCAGAAGACAATAGTTGCTAATGAGGGAGGAAGGAGAATTTGAGTGAAGTGTGGGGATGACAGGGAGTAAATAAATCAAGCAAGTTACCAATGATGATAAATGTGCCATGAGCTGAGTTTGATTAACTCAACCCTCTGCACCTAAGGCACTAACTAAATACAGAAATAAATGAGTTGAAATGCTTTTCTAACCTCTTGTACATTTTGTTTCAAGCAACATCTTTATCTTCAACCCATAACAATTGGCCCACATAGGATCAGTGTTGGAGGACAGTGTGCAGGTTATCTAGGGCTGCCCCTCACCTCATCATTTGTGGGTTTTCTTTGCAGCTTTATTGAGGGATAATTGATAAATCAAAATTGTATATATTCAAGGTATGCAATGTGATGTTTCAATATATGTATACATTGTAAAATGATCTCCACAATCAAGCTAATTAACATACCCATCATCTTACACAGTTAACTTTTTTGTGTGGCAAGATAGTTAAGATCTACTCTTAAAGTCTACTCTTTTATCAAATTTCAAGTATACAATATGGTATTCTTACCTATAGTCACCATGCTGTACAACAGATCCCCAGAACTTATTTATCTTATAACTGAAAATGTGTATCCTTTAACCAACATCTCCCCATTTCTCCAACCCAGTCTATCCCTAGATTACCCCCAGGTAGCAAACCCTTTTACTCGTTAGATCCTACATATAAGTGATATCATGCAATATTTGTCTTTCTGTGTCTGGCTTATTTCACTTACCATAATGTCTCCAGGTTCGTCCATGCTGTCACAAATGGCAGAGTTTTTTCTTTTTAAGGCCTAATAATATCCCCCTGTGTATATACACTACGTTTTCTTTATCCATTTATCTGTTGATGAATGCTTAGGTTGATCCCACATCTTAGCTATTGTAAATAATGCTGCAATGAACATGGGAATGCAGGTATCTCTTCAACATACTGATTTCATTTCTAGTGGATATATACCAAGCAGTGGTATTGCTGGATCACATGCCAGTTCTATTTTTTGTTTTTACCCCACCACTTATTTTATGAATGAGGAAACTGAGGCCCTGAGAAGGAAAATGACCTGGCTAAAGTCACACATTTAGTTGCAAAACCTGGATGTCTCCTGGCGTCTACTACTCTTTCCCCTGTGTACCATGCATACTCATTCAGGGAGATTCTCACTGGCTTTGTGGTTGTGTTGTTGTTGTTGTTTGCTTCTTAAATGAATTAAACTCCATTCTGTGGTTTCTGCTTCATTCATAATTTTTTAAATTTAGAAATAAAAGCAGGAAAAAGGTGTGTCGTCCTGCCTGGCCTACATGGCGGAAGGGTGGTTAAAGTCAGTAAAGCTTACCTGATGCCAAGGGTGCTCAACAATTTTTTAAACCTATTACATTGGCCAGGCCTGGTGGCTCATGCCTGTAATCCCAGCATTTTGGGAGGCTGAGGTGGGTTGATCACTTGAGGTCGGGAGTTCGAGACCAGCCTGGCCAACATGGTGAAACCCCGTCTCTACTAAAAATACAGAAAAAAATTTAGCCGGACATGGTGGCACATGCCTGTAACCCCAGCTACTCGGGAGGCCAAGGCAGGAGAATTACTTGAACCCTGGTGGCGGAGGTTGTGGTGAGCTGAGATGGCACCACTGCATTCCAGCCTGGGTGGCAGAGTGAGACTCCATCTCAAAACAAAACAAAAAACAAACAAAAATAAACCTATGACACAATGTTGAGTACTAGACTTTTTGTTAGTACACTTCAACAGATTTTAAAAATCTAATAAACAAGTCAGTCATAATAATAATAATAATGTTATCTCTATTGTACTCTAACAATGCCTCACAGGACCTGGCAAAAAATTGCTGTTTATCAATATGCCTCAGCCTTGTGTCATACTTCAAATAGAACAGTTGCCTGCCCTAACCATGCTCACTTATACGCCCAGGAGGCAAGAGAACAGGCAGTCTTTCTGCATACCTGTGTGATAGTGTTCTGTGACATTTGATTTTTTAAGATTAAAAAACCCACCAATTTAACAGCTTTATTGAGGTATAATTGATACACAAATAACTGCACATATTTAAGGTGTATAATGTGATGAATTGGAACATATGCACACACCTATTTGACCATCACCACAGTCAAGGTAATAGACATATCCAATACCTCCCAAGCTTTTTGTGTTCTTTCTTTTTGTGGTAAGAACACATATCGTAAGATCTACCCACTTAAGATGTTTTGAAGTGCACAATACCGTATTGGTAACTATAGGCACTATGTCATACAGCAGATCTCTAGAACATATTCATCTAGCATAACTGACACGTTATACCCATTGAACAACAAATCCCCAGTCCACCTCCCTGCTCCTGCCCCTGGACACTTCTTTGATGTTGCTGCACACCTCTTCCCCCTTACATCGAGTTGAACTTCACTGTATATTGTATTGAGTGACATGTTCAACTCAATATTGTCTCTGAGAGTCATCATAATACTTTGTATGCTTGGCTGTAGCAAGAATATATTGCTTCCTTGGCTTCCAAGAAGGGATCAGAGCACCCCTGCTGAGAACCACTGCTCCATGATGCCATAGGATGAAGTTGTCAAGGGTATTGGCGTTGGTATCAGAGAGGCTGGAGTTTGAACACCAGACCTGTCACTGTGTAAGCAGTCTTTGGTAAGATACTTAAGTCTTCTAATTCAATCCCACAAACACGTATTGGATGTACTCTATGCTAAGTACTGTTCCAGGAGCTTAGGCAGTATAGTAGTGGACGAATAGATAGAAATCCCTGCCTTTATGATGCTTATGTTCTAAGAGGGGGAGATAAATGACAAACAATTAAATAAGTATACTATGATGTGCTAGGAGGTGGTAAGTGTCACGGATTAAAGAAAAGGTCAAGCAGGGTCTTCAGACATGGGAATGCTGGGGAGAGGGTACAGGCTGCAGTATCAAACAGGGAGGTCAGGCTATGCCTTGCTGAGAAGGTGACATCTGAGCACAGAATAAAAGGGAACTAGCCACATGACTATCTGTGATAGGTCGAAGCAGTACTGATGAGATCAAGCAATGGGGAGGTAGCAGAGGATGTGGTGAAGAATGGTTGACTTGTCAATTTTTGAAGGTGGATCCATCCTAATTTCATGATAGATTGGGTATGGTGAATGAAAAAGAAAGATATCAAGAATATCTACAAGGATTAAGATACTACCTACATCCGAGAAAGGGTATAATTTGGAGCAGGCTTTCCTTTGTTCTTACCCTTTTAAAAAAATTGTAAATTGGCAAATTATACTTGTTACATTTATGGGGCACAAAGTGATATTATGATATATGCATAAAATACTTTCTTACATTTTCATTGTGGGGAAAGATCAGGAGCAGTGTTTTGGACATATCAAGATGCCGATTTGAAATCCTTGTGGAGGCCAAATGTGGTGGCTCACACCTGTAACCCCAGCACTTTGGGAGGCCAAGGGAGGCAGATCACTTGAGGTCAGGAGTTCGAGACCAGCATGGCCAACATGGCAAAATCCCGTCTCTACTAAAAATACAAAAAATAACCAGGCATGGTGGCACACACCTGTAATCTCAGCTAGTCTGGAGGCTGAGACATGAGAATCTCTAGGACCCAGGAGGTGGAGGTTGCAGTGAGCTGAGATTATGCCACTGCACTCCAGCCTATGTGACAGAGTAAAGACTCTGTCTCAAAAAATAAAATAAAATAAAGAAATTAAAGTGGAGATGATATTGAGTAGGAAGTTGGATACAGAAGTCTGAAGTTCAAGGGAAAAGTCCAAGCTGGAGATATAAATTTGGGAGTCATAGGTATAGAGATGGCCTACAAAGTCATGAGCTCAGATGAGACCACCTGGGAAGTAATAGAGATAGAGAAGAAATCCAATGACTGAGTCCCAAGGCCCCACAATATTAAGAGGTCAGAGAAGAGGCACAACTGGCAAAGGAGACTAAGGAGTGTTTGGTGAAGTTAGAGGAAAATCAAGAGATTATGATGTCCTGGAAACTAAGTGAAGAAAGCGTATTAAGGAGGAGGGAGTAATCCACTGTCTTAAATGCTGCTTCTGGGTCAAGGAAGATTATTATCCCCAAGCACTTAGAACAACACCTGGCATATAGCAGCCCTCATAAATGTTTGTTGGATTGAATTAAAATATTTAAGTATCTTGCCAAAAGTTAGGTACATAGTGACAGGTCTGGCATTCAAACTCCAGTCTCTCTCATACCAAAGCCCATGCCCTTGATGACTCCATCATCTGGCAGCATGGAGCAGTGGTTCTCAGCAGGGGTTCCCTGAGCCCTTCTTGGAAGCCAACTTACAGATTGAGAAGGAGGAGGTTATTGGTGACTTAACCGGAGCAGTTTTTGTGGACTAGTACAGGAAAGAGCCTAACTAGAGTGGGTCTAAGGAAGAATTGGAGACAGAGTAGAGACAATGCTTTAGCGATGTTTGCTGTGAATAATAACAAAGAAATGGGGTAATAACTGGTGGATGAAGCCTCAGTTGTGCTCATCTCTTAGGATTACTGAAAGAATTAAGAAGAGAGTCAATAAAAAGTTTTTGAATACTGTGCTAATACATGTATCATATCTATCACATAGTAGGCACTCAATATATGGTAGCCATTATTTTAATAATGTTTATGCTAGAATTAAAAGCATATTCTGATACCATTTAAAACCATATAGATTTTCATGTCTCAGACAAAGAGATGAGTCATTGTGTGGGGGAGCAAAACAAATCACAAAATGAGTTTTGCTGTAGTGCACATCAAACCACTTCTCACACGATGACCTCCAAAGAACACATCTGCTGAGCTTTCTTCACATTTGTGTTCCCTAGGATGCAGTAATTACATGTAACTACCAGAGGCCTAGGAAAAAAACTTCTTTCAAAAACACAATCTTCTCTCAAAATGAGAGAAGCATCTCCATGAACAAGCATATCTCTTGAATGTGACAGGGCCATAAAGTTTCCTTTTCTGTTTCTTGTAAACACATTATTCTTTTCTCTCTCATTCCCCTAATTGCCAAGTTAAATGTCATAGAAGTAAACTGACATGCGAGAATTTTCTCCTGCCCAAACCAATGCTCCTTAAATCTTTTATAGATGGTGAACAAACAATATTACATAAACTACAAGTTATGAAAACTGAGCAAACTTAAGGAGAGTTTAGTTGTGAAACAAAGCAAAACTTAAAATGAAGTTATTCTGACAAGTATATATTGATATGCATAATTGTTAGGGTGCCATATGTTAATTAGGCGTAAGTGGTAAGAGGCTGGCATGAGAGATTGGAATTATTCTTTTACACAACTGAGCCTGATTGTGTCCCTCCTCTTTGTTAATTATTCAAGTGCTAATATTTCTATTGACAAAGATGTTTTCCAAACAACACATTCTTTAAAAATTTTTTTTTATTTCAATAGCTTTTGGGGTACAAATGGTTTTGGTTACATGGATAAATTGTACAGTGGTGAAGTCTGAGATTTTAGTGCATCTCTCACCCGAGTAGTGTACATTGTACCCAATATATAGTTTTTTATCCCTCATCCTCCTCTCACCCTTCCCCCTTCTGAGTCTCCAGAGTCCATTATACCATTCTGTATGCCTTTGGGTACCCATAGCTTAGCTCCCACTTGCAAGTGAGAACATACAGTATTTGGTTTTCCATTCCTGTGTTACTTCACTTAGAATAATGGCCTCCAGCTCCATCTAAGTTGCTGCAAAAGACATTATTTCATTCTTTTTATGGCTGAGTAGTATTCTATGGTGTGTGTGTGTGTGTGTGTGTGTGTGTGTGTATACATATATATATATATCACATTTTCTTTATCTAGTCGTCAGTCAAGAGCACTTGTGTTGGTTCCATATCTTTGCATCGTGAATTGTGCTGCTATAAACATACATGTGCATGTGTCTTTTTCATGTAATGGCCTATTTTCCTTTGGGTAGATACCCAGTAGTGGGGTTTGCTGGGTCAAATACTAGATCTACTTTTAGATCTTCAAGAAATCCCCATACTGTTTTCCATAGAGGTTGTACTAATTTACATTCCTACCAGCAGTGTATAAGCATTCCCTTTTCCCCAAATCCACACTAACATCTTTGGGTTTTGACTTTTTAGTAATGGCCGTTCTTGTGGGAGTAAGGTGGTATCTCACGAGTGTGGTTGTAATTTGCATTTCCCTGATGATTAGTGATGTTGAGCATTTTTCATATGTTTGTCGGCCATTTGTATATCCACTTTTGAGAAATGTCTATTCGTATCATTTGTTAACTTTTTCATGAGATATTTTTCTTGCTGATTTGTTTGAGAAAAACAACACCTTCTATTCTGTTTGTTTCTTTGCTTATTTGTTAATTCCTTCCTGTTTCAAAGGAAAAGGTGTCCTTCCTTTCTAAGACACATCCTTACCTCACCTCCCCAGGGACCTACCTCCATTAATGTCATTTTTTTCTCCCATCACCCAAATCTGTCCTGCTCTGGTCAGCATGCCCAAGCTTCTGGCATACTAAAAGTCCTTCCTGAGAATCTGTCTCCTCCTCAAGACATCAACTCATTTTTGTTTCTTCCATCACCAAACCCCTCGTAGTCTTCAGTGTTTCATTTTGCAGCCATTCTTTATTCTCCTAAAACCAGATCTTTCCTCCCCTGTGCCACTGAAACTGCTCTGGTGAAGATAACCAAGGACCTAGTAACTGACTAATCTGCTGATTTCCTTTCAGCCCTTATCCTCTGCAACCTCTTGTAGCATCCCAAACTCTTGGCAACCCACTCCATCCTGAACTCTGTCCTTTCTCAGCTTCCTTGATACCACTCTATCCTGGCTCTTGTTGGCCTTTCCCAGGGTCCTCTCCTCAGTCTTCTCCTCTCCTTTCTCTATGTTCTCCCTGAGAGATGTAATTCACTTCTGTGGCTTTCATTATAATAAGCTGATAATTTCTACATCTATATCTCCAGCCCAAACCCCTCCACTAAACTCCAGCCCTATATTTCCAACTCCTGTTGAACATCAGCACCTACATTATTCATAAGCACCTCCAACTCAACATGTTCATATTCAAACTAATGATCTTCATCTCCTCAGTCCCAGCCAGTGCCCAAACTAGAGATCTGGGAATCATTCTCAATTCTCCCCAGTCTCTGGCCACCCATGTTTAATTTGTTCCTCAATTCTGAAATACCTCTGAAATCCTTCCTTTCCTCTTCTCCACATTCCATAGGCTTGGTTCAGGACCTCTGCATCTTTTACATGAAATCTCCCCTCCCCTTCTCGGCCCCTACCACCTGTACTGACTTTAACCACACTGAGCTCCTTAGTCTTCTCTGAATGCCCAATAACTTTTTTACACTAAAGAACAGAGTCTAACCTACTTTTCTGAAATGTATTTCTTATATTGCAGAAAATGTCATCTGCATTCAACTTACAGTATATGCAGACTCCAAGCCAGTTATGTGCTATAACTGAATATTCAGTGCATGGAGGCTCTGGGGCAGATGGGTTACAATGTACTTTGTTGCACTAACAGGGCCCAGATGAGTCCCTTCAGGTCTCTGGCTCACCTGCTTGTGACCCCCTCCCTCTGCCCCTCTCTGGAAGTATTATGCAGATTATATAAGAGGGAGACTAATGACTGGATTTCATTCGGGGAACTCTTGTCTTGTTCTGTGCAATGGAAATTTGTAAAAAGAAAATGTCCATTCTCTTGCCCAAAGCAAAATGGAACCCCACGGTGAGCTGGAGAAAGCAGGCTTAATTCCCTGGCAGCAGCCTTTCCCGGTGCCCTCCACTCACCCTATTTGGAGAGAATAGATCTGATTGCAGGCTCTCTCAGCTCATTGTTAAGAATTATTTAGATTTAACAAAAGTGTATTTTTTAAAGTCTCTGTCTCATTGTTACATTTTTCTTTCAGAAAAGAAACCCTAGCACAGTACACTATTTCTTACCTCTTTCTCTCATTTCTCCAGCCAGAGCACAACTGTAGATCTTAACCACATAATTCCTGGGAGATTATAAGGTCTTTTCACCTCCCATGGTAGTCTGTGGGACTCCTCTTTCCAAACCCATTCATTCACTTTTTTTTTTTCCATTCAGTCTGTCAGTTCATCAGTGAGTTAGCAAGCATTAACAGCTGTGCATTGGCCACTGTGGTAGTCCCTGAGACAGGCGAAGGGGAGGGAGATATAAATGAAACTAGACCCCCTTTAAAAGGTCCACAATTCACTGAGGGAGATAGGCACCTCTGCCTGGAGAGACACTCTTGTCCTCTGTGTGGGCAATTCCTTATCTTTCGACACTTAACTCAAATATCACAGGCAGAGTTGTTTGCTGCTACTCTGTGCTCCCCCAGGTGTTTTGTGTACATCTTCATTGGGGTGCTTGCTGCATTGGATTGAATGTTCTCTGTTATCTCTAGACAGTGACTTCCTTGAGAACAGGGACTGTGACATACTGAACTTTAGATGTGTAGGGTTTAGTACATCAGAGACGGCTCAAACCATCTCTGTTGAATCAAGTAATGTAAGAACAGTAAAAGGTAGCCGAGCTCAGTGGCTCACGTCTGTAATCTCAGCACTTTGGGAGGCCGATGTGGGGGGATATTGCTTGAGGTCAGGAGTTCAAGACCAGCCTGGCCAACATGGTGAAACTCTGTCTCTACCAAAAAATACAAAAATTAGCCGGGCATGGTGGCACGCACCTGTAGTCCCAGCTACTCGGGAGGCTGAGGCAGGAGAATCGCTTGAACCTGGGAGGCAGAGGTAGTGAGCCCAGATTCCACCACTGCACTCCAGCCTGGGCGACAGAGCGAGACCTTGTCTCAAAAAAAAAAAAAAAAAAGAAGAAAGAAAGAAAAAAGAAAACAGAAAAGCAAAAGGTAATGTTAGACTGTAGACTGAGTTCCAATCATATTGCCGTTGGAGGGCAGGGGCTCACCTGTGCTCTAAGTGCCCTCTTCTCCAGCCAGGCAAACCTGCTTGCCATTCCACAGCTAATCAGGGATTCACATTGCTCCAACTCCCAGAGATCCTGCTCTTAGCTTATCTCTCCGTTGGAGCCCAGGGCTTCTCAAATCACGTGGGGGATCTTATTATAACACAGATTCTGAGTCAGTAGGTTTGGAAGTGGGGCCTGGGATTCTGTGTATCTAACGTGCTCCTGGGTAAAAGCCGATGCTACTAGTCCAAGAACCACACTTCGGGTAGCAAAGACTCCAGCTAGCTTTTCCTAGTCTTGGGTCTTCTAGTCACCTAAGTCAGGACCACCATGTATGGTTATGTAGAAATGCTTTGTGCCAAAGCACCCAGCCAAGGAGATCAGTGCTGGTTGAAATCTAAACCATGCTCACCCCAGCCCTGCACTCTGGTACTGGCCACATCCAAAGGGTGGAAGGGGCACACTTCCCCATTTTTTTCCAGTTCCCACAAGGGTTCTATAAGCTACTTCCACCCTCAGGACTATATCCATTAGAAGTAAGCACCTTTTCTAATTGATACAAAGGTGCCATATGGTCCAGCAGCCTTGGCCATGGGTGACACCCCAACCCACCTCACCATTTATCCTTTGCTCCTTTCTGACTGATCCCTCAGGAGGATGGTTTTATATGTGATTTGACTCAGCTCCGTCTCTTTTATGTGCACGCCTGCATTTGCTGATATGTGAAAAGTAACAGGATGTAAAAGAGCACTGTACTCTTCATCAAAAGCCTTCCTTTTTTTAACTAACTTCATGACTACAGGCAAAGTACATAAACCCTCTGAGCCTTGCTTTCCTCATTTATCAAATGAGTACTGGTAAGATCTACTTTACTGGCTTCTCTAGGTTATTGTAAGGATCAAAATCAGCAACCTAAGGGAAAGCCCTTTGTAAATTGTAAGGTTCTGTATGAAGTTAAGGATTATTACAAAGGGACTAGATGGTATATCTTTAAATCCCTTTGCAATTCTCCCCAGCTCCAGAGCTCAGTGCCCTGCATGTGGTGGCTTCAGAGCCCACTACTGGTTGACTAACCCAGGCATGAGCACTCTCTGAATTCTTTCTAACAAAGCCCAGCTTACCTTGGTGAATAGTGCTGTGTGCTAACTTCTGTAGAAACTGTGACCCAACTCCATCAGCCTGCATATTCAGCAAGAAGATAACATCTACAATGTGATCACACAACAGTTTAATGGGAATTAGGCAGTATAGAAACACCAAAGTAAAGACACCAAATTCCAAATAGATGGTTTCAAGAGTAATCTCTCACTGCTATTTTTTTTCGGATTTGTAGGGTTGACTCACCTGTTTATATGCTAAAAAGAACCCCCTTATTTTGATTTCTGAATACTTTTTCTCCTAGTAGTCAAACTTATTATGGAATAAAACATTTTGATAATTGCTTTTTAATATGATGAGAGGTTGGAACCCTTCCCAATGACAAGGAAATGAGGGAATATAATGGAATGATGTCTTGTAATTTTTATAACTTCCAAATAGCAAATGAGAGAGTTGTTCATTTATTCACTGAAGTTTCCTTCCAGAATCACAGAATTACTCCTACACAGCAATTAGAAGAGGAAGATGAATGTTTAAGCGTTAGCTGTAGCTTGTCTTTCTGGGGAGGAGGGGACTAGGGTTTAAGTTATTGGCAATGGGAAAAGTTAATTAACGAATAGAAAATTTTAGATATTACTTATCTATATTCTGAAAAGGTTTTCTAAATTGAGAAATTGAATAAACCTTGACTGTAATTCTCAAAGAGTTTCTTTTAAAAATGAAGCCAAGGTAAATAATCTAGATGTTTGTATTTTAAGTGTTAATATTAGCTTTAAAAATATGGTTCTTTCGGAATTGGGAGCTTTCCTACTTATCACTTTTCAGAGTCCACAGCTAGGCAGCTCAGTAGGTAGGAGCCACATGTTCAGTCCCCTGTAGGCCTCTCAGCTGCTGTCCATTCTAACGTCACAGCCAACCTTGCCAGTGTGTGTCATGGCTCACAAAGGTACTGGCCAAGAGAGTGGGGAAGGCTTCAAACAGAAACCATTCTCACTTCTGAAGAAACAGCTCAGAGTTGATGACTTACTCCCAGTGCCACATTTTCTTTTACACAAGGAGAGATTTGTAACCCATCATGAATTATTTTCTTAATTGCGAGAAAGGCCAGAACGAATTTCAGCATTCAGTTGCAGTAACTTCTTTATCTTTAGTTCCTAGTCCATTCATGTTTCTCCTTTTCTGATGGAGTTATGGAGTTGCAGATATTTTTCTTATCTTTACTTTAACCCACCTGGCTATATTCCTGTATTCATTCTCGCGCTCTCTCTGTCTCTCTCCCTCACTGTAAGCTGCTTCAATTCCTCTTTAGAAGTTGGTAGCTGTTAGATTTAGGGACAGATGACTCACTTGGTAGTGTATCTCAGTGGGCAAAGGTTACTTCATCTTTTACTTTGAAATTTTATTTCTTTTTGACACTTCTCTTCATCTCTACTTGATATTTTTTTCTCACCTGTGTCCTTTATCAGTTAGCTCTGAGAAAGGAATAACAAAAAATTAATGAAAAAGGACAACACGTCTGTCAATATCCTGTGTTTTTTTAGCTCCTCTGAGAGCATTGCTGTTTTGCTGAAGGTTGTGTATTTCTGCTTAGAGTGAAAAAGCAAAAAAAAAAAAAAAAAAAAAAAAAAAAAAAAAAAAAAGCTTTTGAAGATGTATTTTATTTCTTCTTGCTGTAAACCAAGAGATTAGTTATTACAACAAAGTCACTCATTTGCTATTTTCTTCAAACCCCTCCCTAATCCAAATATACATGATTTTCAAGCCACACAATTATTTTTTTCTGGTGTCTAAATAAAAGAGATTTTCCCCCCGTCTGCTGTCTTAGTGTTTTACATGCTATGGTTTGTCTCCATCATTTATTCATAAACTCATCCTTCAATAATCATTCATTCATTCAAAAACATTTATCAAGAGCCTCACTTTGTGCTAGGTCCTTTGCCAGGCCCTGAGGACACAAAGATAAATAGGACAGAGATTAAAAATCCCTATCCTCAAGGAACTGGGTATAAGGAAGAAACAAAACTGTCCTCAAAGAGTTTACACATCAGTCAGAGATACAGACACAGACACAAATAACTACAATGCAACATATAATTTATGTGCTATGAAGGATATAAGTAAAGTTTATGACAACACAGAGATGCAGTGACTAATGCTAAGTTGGGGAGGATGAGGAAGGCTTCACAGAGGAAGCAGTTTTTAAGTTGATTCTTGAAAAGTGAGTTCATCGTCAAAGTCCGAAGGTATGGGAGAAAGGCATTCCAGGCCGAAGGGGCAGCATAAGGAAAACCTTAGAGGTATGGAAGTGCTTGCTGTGTTCGTGTTGTTAGATGAGGGGAGGATGGTGAGAGAGGAGGCTGGGAAAGAAATTGAAGCATTCAGAAGGCCAGGCTAAGGTTTCTAAGGATCAGCCAGCACTCAGAGACCTTCTCAATTGGCTTTCAAACTTCTTTCCATCTTATTCCAGTTGTTGTCTCCCATTTTCCATGCCATTGTTGTTGGTGGGTATAGTGAATGAACTGGATTCCATGGTTTGATTTTCAGTACTCATTAAGGACTTGTACCTTGGCTTCTTTTTGCTTCTCGCTGCCTTGGGTCATAACTCACTTTCGCCTCCAGCCCTCGGGATCCAAAGCCAACCACCTTTGGCCTGTATCCTGGTTAAGTCTCTGCTCCTATCCCCAATTTTCCTGTATTCCTAAGAAAGGGCATGGAGCAATGTGTTCAGACAGAGTCTGTGCTAGTAGCATGGTGCTATGGAATGCTGACTAGTACAGTCTAACTTGCTGTTGCTAGAGGCTGGGTGTGTTCTTGCACCAAAGATCACCCCAAAAAGGAGAATAAAAGTGAAATGAACTTCATATTTTAGAAAATTGGGTTTTGAAACCTCAAGATTCTGTTCATAAGGACAAATATCACAATATCATGGCACCAGTTGCTTCTTGGAAAATAAAATAGGAAAATGTGAATGATTGAGCTGCAGTAAAGATGGGCTGATTTTCATCTGAAATATATTTCTTTTATCTGCATTTTTTCGTTATATAGGTTGCATGGAAAAGTTTAAAAGTATGTATCTGTTCAGTACCATAAAGATATATATCAATTCAGCACTAAATAAAGGTATACGTCATTGATATCTTTAGGCATTCTAGTGTAGTAGTTCATATTTTGTCTGTTTTTTTTTTGTCTTTTTTTCTTTCTACTTTAAGTTTTAGGGTACATGTGCACATTGTGCAGGTTAGTTACATATGTATACATGTGCCATGCTGGTGAGCTGCACCCACTAACTCGTCATCTAGCATTAGGTATATCTCCCGATGCTATCCCTCCCCCCTCCCCCCACCCCACAACAGTCCCCAGAGTGTGATATTCCCCTTCCTGTGTCCATGTGATCTCATTGTTCAATTCCCACCTATGAGTGAGAATATGTGGTGTTTGGTTTTTTGTTCTTGCGATAGTTTACTGAGAATGATGATTTCCAATTTCATCCATGTCCCTACAAAGGACATGAACTCATCATTTTTTATGGCTGCATAGTATTCCATGGTGTATATGTGCCACATTTTCTTAATCCAGTCTATCATTGTTGGACATTTGGGTTGGTTCCAAGTCTTTGCTATTGTGAATAATGCCGCAATAAACATACATGTGCATGTGTCTTTATAGCAGCATGATTTATAGTCCTTTGGGTATATACCCAGTAATGGGATGGCTGGGTCAAATGGTATTTCCAGTTCTAGATCCCTGAGGAATCGCCACACTGACTTCCACAATGGTTGAACTAGTTGACAGTCCCACCAACAGTGTAAAAGTGTTCCTATTTCTCCACATCCTCTCCAACACCTGTTGTTTCCTGACTTTTTAATGATTGCCATTCTAACTGGTGTCAGATGGTATCTCATTGTGGTTTTGATTTGCATTTCTCTGATGGCCAGTGATGATGAGCATTTTTTCATGTGTCTTTTGGCTGCATAAATGTCTTCTTTTGAGAAGTGTCTGTTCATGTCCTTCGCCCACTTTTTGATGGGGTTGTTTGTTTTTTTCTTGTAAATTTGTTTGAGTTCATTGTAGATTCTGGATATTAGCCCTTTGTCAGATGAGTAGGTTGCAAAAATTTTCTCCCATTTTGTAGGTTGCCTGTTCACTCTGATGGTAGTTTCTTTTGCTGTGCAGAAGCTCTTTAGTTTAATTAGATCCCATTTGTCAATTTTGTCTTTTGTTGCCATTGCTTTTGGTGTTGTAGACATGAAGTCCTTGCCCATGCCTATGTCCTGAATGGTAATGCCTAGGTTTTCTTCTAGGGTTTTTATGGTTTTAGGTCTAACGTTTAAGTCTTTAATCCATCTTGAATTGATTTTTGTGTAAGGTGTAAGGAAGGGATCCAGTTTCAGCTTTTTACATATGGCTAGCCAGTTTTCCCAGCACCATTTATTAAATAGGGAATCCTTTCCCCATTGCTTGTTTTTCTCAGGTTTGTCAAAGATCAGATAGTTGTAGATATGTGGCGTTATTTCTGAGGGCTCTGTTGTGTTCCATTGATCTATATCTCTGTTTTGGTACCAGTACCATGCTGTTTTGGTTACTGTAGCCTTGTAGTATAGTTTGAAGTCAGGTAGTGTGATGCCTCCAGCTTTGTTCTTTTGGCTTAGGATTGACTTGGTGATGCGGGCTCTTTTTTGGTTCCATATGAACTTTAAAGTAGTTTTTTCCAATTCTCTGAAGAAAGTCATTGGTAGCTTGATGGGGATGGCATTGAATCTATAAATTACCTTGGGAAGTATGGCCATTTTCACGATGTTGATTCTTCCTACCCATGAGCATGGAATGTTCTTCCATTTGTTTGTATCCTCTTTTATTTCCTTGAGCAGTGGTTTGCAGTTCTCCTTGAAGAGGTCCTTCAGATCCCTTGTAAGTTGGATTCCTAGGTATTTTATTCTCTTTGAAGCAATTGTGAATGGGAGTTCACTCATGATTTGGCTCTCTGTTTGTCTGTTGTTGGTGTATAAGAATGCTTGTGATTTTTGTACATTGATTTTGTATCCTGAGACTTTGCTGAAGTTGCTTATCAGCGTAAGGAGATTTTGGGCTGAGACAATGGGGTTTTCTAGATATACAATCATGTCGTCTGCAAACAGGGACAATTTGACTTCCTCTTTTCCTAATTGAATACCCTTTATTTCCTTCTCTCACCTAATTGTCCTGGCCAGAACTTCCAACACTATGTTGAATAGGAGTGGTGAGAGAGGGCATCCCTGTCTTGTGCCAGTTTTCAAAGGGAATGCTTCCAGTTTTTGCCCATTCAGTATGATATTGGCTGTGGGTTTGTCATAGATAGCTCTTATTATTTTGAAATATGACCCATCAATACCTAATTTATTGAGAGTTTTTAGCATGAAGGGTTGTTGAATTTTGTCAAAGGCTTTTTCTGCATCTATTGAGATAATCATGTGGTTTTTGTCTTTGGCTCTGTTTATATGCTGGATTACATTTATTGATTTGCGTATATTGAACCAGCCTTGCATCCCAGGGATGAAGCCCACTTGATCATTGTGGATAAGCTTTTTGATGTGCTGCTGGATTCGTTTTGCCAGTATTTTATTGAGGATTTTTGCATCAATGTTCATCAAGGATATTGGTCTAAAATTCTCTTTTTTTGGTGTGTCTCTGCCTGGCTTTGGTATCAGAATGATGCTGGCCTCATAAAATGAGTTAGGGAGGATTCCCTCTTTTTCTATTGATTGGAATAGTTTCAGAAAGAATGGTACCAGTTCCTCCTTGTACCTCTGGTAGAATTCGGCTGTGAATCCATCTGGTCCTGGACTCTTTTTGGTTGCTAAGCTATTGATTATTGCCACAATTTCAGCTCCTGTTATTGGTCTATTCAGAGATTCAACTTCTTCCTGGTTTAGTCTTGGGAGAGTGTATGTGTCCAGGAATTTATCCATTTCTTCTAGATTTTCTAGTTTATTTGCGTAGAGGTGTTTGTAGTATTCTCTGATGGTAGTTTGTATTTCTGTGGGATTGGTGGTGACATCCCCTTTATCATTTTTTATTGCGTCTATTTGATTCTTCTCTCTTTTTTTCTTTATTAGTCTTACTAGCGGTCTATCAATTTTGTTGATCCTTTCAAAAAACCAGCTCCTGGATTCATTAATTTTTTGAAGGGTTTTTTGTGTCTCTATTTCCTTCAGTTCTGCTCTGATTTTAGTTATGTCTTGCCTTCTGCTAGCTTTTGAATGTGTTTGCTCTTGCTTTTCTAGTTCTTTTAATTGTGATGTTAGGGTGTCAATTTTGGATCTTTCCTGCTTTCTCTTGTGGGCATTTAGTGCTATAAATTTCCCTCTACACACTGCTTTGAATGCGTCCCAGAGATTCTGGTATGTTGTGTCTTTGTTCTCGTTGGTTTCAAAGAACATCTTTATTTCTGCCTTCATTTCGTTATGTACCCAGTAGTCATTCAGGAGCAGGTTGTTCAGTTTCCATGTAGTTGAGCGGTTTTGAGTGAGATTCTTAATCCTGAGTTCTAGTTTGATTGCACTGTGGTCTGAGAGATAGTTTGTTATAATTTCTGTTCTTTTACATTTGCTGAGGAGAGCTTTACTTCCCAGTATGTGGTCAATTTTGGAATAGGTGTGGTGTGGTGCTGAAAAAAATGTATATTCTGTTGATTTGGGGTGGAGAGTTCTGTAGATGTCTATTAGGTCCGCTTGGTGCAGAGCTGAGTTCAATTCCTGGGTATCCTTGTTGACTTTCTGTCTCGTTGATCTGTCTAACGTTGACAGTGGGGTGTTAAAGTCTCCCATTATTAATGTGTGGGAGTCTAAGTCTCTTTGTAGGTCACTCAGGACTTGCTTTATGAATCTTGGTGCTCCTGTATTGGGTGCATATATATTTAGGATAGTTAGCTCTTCTTGTTGAATTGATCCCTTTACCATTATGTAATGGCCTTCTTTGTCTCTTTTGATCTTTGTTGGTTTAAAGTCTGTTTTATCAGAGACTAGGATTGCAACCCCTGCCTTCTTTTGTTTTCCACTGGCTTGGTAGATCTTCCTCCATCCTTTTATTTTGAGCGTATGTGTGTCTCTGCACGTGAGATGGGTTTCCTGAATACAGCACACTGATGGGTCTTGACTCTTTATCCAATTTGCCAGTCTGTGTCTTTTAATTGGAGCATTTAGTCCATTTACATTTAAAGTTAATATTGTTATGTGTGAATTTGATCCTGTCATTATGATGTTAGCTGGTGATTTTGCTCGTTAGTTGATGCAGTTTCTTCCTAGTCTCGATGGTCTTTACATTTTGGCATGATTTTGCAGCGGCTGGTACTGGTTGTTCCTTTCCATGTTTAGTGCTTCCTTCAGGAGCTCTTGTAAGGCAGGCCTGGTGGTGACAAAATCTCTCAGCATTTGCTTGTCTGTAAAGTATTTTATTTCTCCTTCACTTATGAAGCTTAGTTTGGCTGGATATGAAATTCTGGGTTGAAAATTCTTTTCTTTAAGAATGTTGAATATTGGCCCCCACTCTCTTCTGGCTTGTAGGGTTTCTGCCGAGAGATCCGCTGTTAGTCTGATGGGCTTCCCTTTGAGGGTAACCCGACCTTTCTCTCTGGCTGCCCTTAACATTTTTTCCTTCATTTCAACTTTGGTGAATCTGACAATTATGTGTCTTGGAGTTGCTCTTCTCGAGGAGTATCTTTGTGGTGTTCTCTGTATTTCCTGAATCTGAACGTTGGCCTGCCTTGCTAGATTGGGGAAGTTCTCCTGGATAATATCCTGCAGAGTGTTTTCCAACTTGGTTCCATTCTCCCCATCACTTTCAGGTACACCAATCAGACGTAGATTTGGTCTTTTCACATAGTCCCATATTTCTTGGAGGCTTTGCTCATTTCTTTTTATTCTTTTTTCTCTAAACTTCCCTTCTCACTTCATTTCATTCATTTCATCTTCCATCGCTGATACCCTTTCTTCCAGTTGATCGCATCGGCTCCTGAGGCTTCTGCATTCTTCACGTAGTTCTCAAGCCTTGGTTTTCAGCTCCATCAGCTCCTTTAAGCACTTCTCTGTATTGGTTATTCTAGTTATACATTCTTCTAAATTTTTTTCAAAGTTTTCAACTTCTTTGCCTTTGGTTTGAATGTCCTCCCGTAGCTCAGAGTAATTTGATCGTCTGAAGCCTTCTTCTCTCAGCTCGTCAAAGTCATTCTCCATCCAGCTTTGTTCCGTTGCTGGTGAGGAACTGCGTTCCTTTGGAGGAGGAGAGGCGCTCTGCTTTTTAGAGTTTCCAGTTTTTCTGTTCTGTTTTTTCCCCATCTTTGTGGTTTTATCTACTTTTGGTCTTTGATGATGGTGATGTACAGATGGGTTTTTGGTGTGGATGTCCTTTCTGTTTGTTAGTTTTCCTTCTAACAGAGAGGACCCTCAGCTGCAGGTCTGTTGGAGTACCCTGCCGTGTGAGGTGTCAGTGTGCCCCTGCTGGGGGGTGCCTCCCAGTTAGGCTGCTCTGGGGTCAGGGGTCAGGGACCCACTTGAGGAGGCAGTCTGCCCGTTCTCAGACCTCCAGCTGCGTGCTGGGAGAACCACTGCTCTCTTCAAAGCTGTCAGACAGGGACGTTTAAGTCTGCAGCGGTTACTGCTGTCTTGTTGTTTGTCTGTGCCCTGCCCCCAGAGGTGGAGCCTACAGAGGCAGGCAGGCCTCCTTGAGCTGTGGTGGGCTCCACCCAGTTCGAGCTTCCCGGCTGCTTTGTTTACCTAAGCAAGCCTGGGCAATGGCGGGCGCCCCTCCCCCAGCCTCGTTACCACCTTGCAGTTTGATCTCAGACTGCTGTGCTAGGAATCAGCGAGACTCCGTGGGCGTAGGACCCTCCGAGCCAGGTGCGGGATATAATCTCATGGTGCGCCGTTTTTTAAGCCTGTCGGAAAAGCACAGTATTCGGGTGGGAGTGACCCGATTTTCCAGGTGCTGTCCGTCACCCCTTTCTTTGACTCAGAAAGGGAACTCCCTGACCCCTTACACTTCCCAAGTGAGGCAATGCCTCGCCCTGCTTCGGCTCGCGCATGGTGCGCGCACCCACTGACCTGCGCCCACTGTCTGGCACTCCCTAGTGAGATGAACGCGGTACCTCAGATGGAAATGCAGAAATCACCCGTCTTCTGCGTCGCTCACGCTGGGAGCTGTAGACCGGAGCTGTTCCTATTCGGCCATCTTGGCTTCTCCTCCCTGTTGTTGTTTTTTTTTTTTTTTTAACTTTCTTTTCCTTGGTGTAGGTTTGAGTGAGTAAGACAGATCTGGATTTGAATTCAGGTTTTGCCACATACTAGTCATGTGACCTAAAGCAAATCAGTTAATTTTTTGAAGTCTTAATTTCTTCTGTAATATGGAGATAATAAGCAGTACTTCATTATAGGGATATTGTGAAGATTATAAAAGATAATGCATATAAGACATTCAGCACAGTGCCTGATACATAGTAAGTATTCAGTAAGTTTTTATTATTGCTGTTGTTATCATTATCATTGTCATTTTATTATGTTTCATCTGATACCTTCATTCCCAATTCTGTTCTTAAAATGTTGTCTCTTCAGTATCCCCAATGTGACCAATATTAGGAAGTAAGTATAAGGGTCATCAGTCATCTCTACTTAGAAGTTCAATACTATAACTGATATCAGTGAGAGAACAACCATGGATCGTCAAGTTCACATTAATTTCTCTGATGTTACCCCAAAGAGATAATCAAGAAGTACTGGATACACAAAGACATCAAATAATATGTCCTCAAACTTTTCCTCACCCCCTGTATACCTAAGAAGCTCAGGAAAAATATATTCCAGACTTAAACCAGAAACACTTGTTTCATTGGCCAGAATTACTTAAAAAACCTTGCCAGGCCTCATAGTTTCAAGGAAGCTGTTACTACACCCTGGGATTCCTGCCCCAAAGGTACCCTGACTATTGAGCTCTTACCTAAGAGCACTGGAACTAACTTGTGTCAGACAGAATTGCTGTTTTGTCCAGGAAAGAATATTTGTATGGCCCAGGTAACTGGTCTTTGATAAAAGTATAGAACTCTCCCATACTCAAAAACATCCCATCCATTTTTAAAATCCCAACCCACTGTTAATGGAGCAAATAAAGGGTCACACATATTTAGTGTGCTTATTTAGTTATCTGTGGGTTATTTGAAAGCCTTGTAAACTAATGGAGCACATATACCGACTCACAATCATTTTTTACCAATTGACTTTCCCTCTTTATATTTCCTCAAGTAAACAATTATTGTAAAGCAATTATTCTCTTCTTATTAGTAGTAGTGTTGGGCAAGTAGTGAGAGGTGCTTTTGCAAAATAGACAGGTTTTCTCTCCACCACTTATGTCAACATCGTAAAAAGCATCAGATATAAAATATGATGACTAGAATCATATCCTGTGTTTCTCCAGCCTTACCAGTATGAATGGACTCACATTGTCAGTAATAAACTGCAGTTATTCCTTGGGACCTTGGGACTCCTTAGGAGATGCCTCACATGTACTCACAAGTAATTCTATTGCCTTCTTGGCATCTTCTGGGTATCTATCTCCATATCTGCTGAGCGCCCAATAGTCATGGCTATCTCCTGTTGCATCTGGCTTATGGAAGCTACACAGTACTCTGTTTTTCAGTAGGAAACGAAGTCTTGCTCAGAGAGGAACTTAAGCAGAGATGGTGGATCCCAGTGCCTCCCACTGGGCTCTTACTGCCATATAGATGGTCCTTAAAGCCATGGGACCAGGTAATATCACCTAGTAAGAGAGTGTAGATAGAGAGTGGGGGCCTAGGTCCAAACCATAAGGAATTGCAGCATTAAGGAGTCTAGTAGAATGAGAGGAGCCTACAAAGAACACTGGAAAGGAAAGGCCAGTGAGGTAGAAGGAAAATCAGAAAGATACAGACACCAAGAGTAGAAAGAGTTTCAAGAGGCAAGTAGTCAATGGTCTTTAATGCTGCTGATAGATCAAGTAATTTGAGGGCCCTAAACTGCCCACTGGATTTGTCAAAATGAAGATTGCTGGTGAGATTATTCATAACTGCCTCAGTGGAGTGATGAGTAAAGAAGCCAGATGTAAGACAGCCAAAGAATGAATAGCAGGTAAGGAAGTGGAGATGGCACAATATTTGAAGGCATCTATGAAGGAGTTTTACTGTGAAGGGGAGCAGGGAAATCTTGGAGGGGATATGAGGTTACAGGATTTTTTTTCAAGATGGGAGATAGTAGAGTAAGTTCAAATGCTGATGGGAATGTTCTAGTAGGGATGGAGTAATTGAACATGTAAAAGAGGATAAGCAAAGGAATAAATGCCTTGAGTGGGTCAGAAGTTTTGGGATACAGGTCACAAGTGGTGAAGTTGGTCTTCAAGAGGGAAGAGTGGTGTATTAGTCTGTTCTCATGCTACTAATAAAGACATACCTGAGACTGGGTAATTTATAAAGGAAAGAATTTTAATTGACTCACAGTTCCACATGGCTGGGGAGGCCTCACAGTCATGGTGGAAGATGAATGAGGAGCAAAGTCACGTCTTACATGGAAGCAGGCAAGACAGCATGTGCAGGGGAACTCCCCTTTATAAAACCATCAGATCTTGTGAGACTTACTCACTATCACGAGAATACCATGGGAAAGACCCACCCCCATGATTCAGTTACCTCCCACCAGTTTCCTCCCATGACACATGTGGGAATTATAGAAGCTACAACCCAAGATGAGATTTGGGTAAGGACACAACCAAACCCTATCAAGAGGGCTTGTGCAGATAAAGATAGAATCATGGGTTTGGTAATGAAAATATTCATTCATTCAATGAACACATACGAGGCACTATTTTAGGCTATGTCTGAGGATTCTATGAAATAGACCAGTCCTTATTCTCATGTCATGGAGTTTTCAGTCTAAGGGAGAATACATATGAAAACTTTAAAACATGTAGTATATCGTAGAATTTCAGAGAGAGAGAGAGAGAGAAGTGTTATGAAGAAGCATAAAACAGGCTAAGGGGTTAGTGGGAAATTGAGTGTATGGGGAGTTGAAGTGGTTATTTTTAAAAGGGTAGCCAGAGAAGGAGACTCTGAGGAGTAGAGACCTAAAAGAATGTGAGGAAAGAATGTTTCAGGGAGAGGGAACAGTGAGCAAAAAACTTCCAGGAAAGGAACACATTAGAAGAACTTGTGGAAGAAGCCAAGTGTGACTGGAAACTAGTGAAGAAGAGTTGGAGTCAGGGTTGGAGAAGTGGGTGTGGGAAATTTATGAACATCCTGGCAAGCCATGGCAAAGACTTTAGATTATATTCACAGGCAGTGAGAAGCACTGGAGGATATTAAGTAGAGGAGTGACATGATCTGAATTACTCTTTAAAATGATCAGTCTGGCTACTCTATAGGGAATGAATTGTAGAAGAGCAAGAGAAAAAGCAGGGAAACACTAGAACCCTTGGGGAAAATGTTAAGTGAGACCAGTCAGCATGGCTATGTGCTTTCCTCCAGAGAGGTTTATATGCTCAGGAGCTGGCACAGAGTAGATGAAAAGTTGGGCTTAACCACCATTGAGGTTTTGCAAGACAAGTCGATGGAGGGAGACAGGGATAAGTCATTTGAAAATATATGCAAGAGGGTGATCATAATATTGGATCGTGGAGTCTAAGTTGGGTAAGGAAGGAAGCAAAGACATGAGTGTTTCAATTGGTCCTTGAAAAAGGGATAAGTTTAATGGACTGGAGGCCTAAGTAAGAGTCAAAGAATAGTTGGGGTGGGAGAACTATAGGAAATGAGCTGGAATGGTTGGAGGTGGTAGTGTGCGGCATGCTTGAAGTTAAAATTTTGCAGGTGGTGCATTACATTTTTTCAATAACATAAAGGTCTAAGGTATGACTGGGAGTAAATGGCTGCCGTGGGATGAGGGGGAAAAGAGATGAAGAAAAAAGGAGAAAATTATGGATCTAAGTGGCCAGAGTGTTAGATGAGTTCTATACTTTGAAGTGACCAGAAATACCAGTAGTTTTGGCTGAGAAGACACGAAGGCAGGTATTGAAATCTTCAGTGAATAACTAGGAATGACTGGTGGAGGTGGACGGTGATGATAGATAACTGCAGTAAGGAGAGGATTCTTCTGTTATCTCAAGGAAATATAAAATGAGGTCATCAGCTGAGAATGAGGGGTGTATGAGGCTTAAGGAGACAGAGGATAAGGTATGAAATAAATGTTATGGATAATGAGAAAATGAACTTACCAGGGAAATGTACCAGGATTGACTTGTGGTATTAAGTGTCATTCGATATCTGTGATCATGAATTTAAAGTGAAGGCAGGTATTCCAGTTCTGTGACTGTCTCTAGAAACATGTTGGCTCAGGGGCTGGGTTCAATCAGAGTTGAGCTTTTGCCAGGTGAATACTATGGGGGAGGGGAGAGAGAGAGAGAGCCACAGACTAGGGTCGGGGGAGAAGAGCACAGATCAGGGAGTTGCAATGAAGTGCTTATAATAATGGCTCATGGAACCTAAGCTGGACAAGGAAGAGAGGACAGGAGGAAGCTGAAATTTGAGAAAAAGTGATGAGTCACTGGATTGGAGGTCACGATGCAGTCAAAATATTTACGTGTTTCTGAATCCTAGCTTAGATTAAAACCTGAATGACTCTCCCTCCGCATACCCCATTGACAGAGCCAAATCCTAGCATCTACCCGGCTAACTGGATCCATTGTGCAGCAGTTGATTGTTAAAACATTTGTAGAATGGTTGATACAACGGAATATATGTATATACATATATATACACATATATACGCCTATATATAGGTATACATACATATACATATATGTATACATACATACATATATGCACCTATATACATGTATACATATATGCACATACATACATATATGCATATATACACATATACACATATGCATGTATACACATATATGCATATATACATATATACATATATGCACATATATACATGCATATATATGCACATATACATACATATACATACATATATGCATATATACACATATACATATATGCATATATATACATATACATACATATATACATATATACATATATGCACATATATACATATACGAGTATACATGTGTTAACATATATACATATACACATATATGTGTATATATATACACACACACACACACACACACACACATATTTTGGAGGGGGGGACAGAGTCTCGCTCTGTCACCCAGGCTGGAGTGCAGTGGTGCAATCTTGCCTCACTGCAACTTCCGCCTTCCGGGTTCAAGTGATTCTCCTGCCTCAGCCTCCCTAGTAGCTGGGACTACAGACGCCTGCCACTACGCCCAGATAATTTTTGTATTTTTGTAGAGACAGAGTTTCACCATGCTGGTCAGGCTGGTCTTGAACTCCTGACCTCAGATGATCCTCCGCCTCAGCCTCCCAAAGTGCTGGGATTACAGGTGTGAGCCACTGCACCCGGCCCAGTGGAATATTTTAAATTACTGCATAGTTACATATAGCCTTTGGCTTTACTTTAGCTATATAAACACAAGTCCTAATGAGCTCCTAAAGTCTATGGAGAGTCCCCTTTGGGATGGTCAAGCCCATTCAGGTTTTGCAAACACCCTTTCCTGAGGTCCATCAAACTTTAGGAAATTCACAAATTTTGGTGATAGTCATAAAGAAATTTGACTCTGAATCCTTGCATAATTTTGCTACTGAAACTGCAAAATCTCAATTCTCTGTTTTACAGTACACTCTGTGGAAGAACATGTTCTTCCAGGATCTGGGTTAGAGAGCATTTGGTTGAGATCACTTGGGTAACAAATGCATTCATTGATGACTTTGAAGACAAGACCCAAGACCCAAGGTTTTGTTGTTGTTGTTTGTTTGTTTGTTTGTTTTTGCTCTTTTCTTATTTAGGGTGAGTCCTCTCTCATCCTAGGGGATGACCCCACTTTCCTAGACAGAGGTTAGGCCAGTCTTTGGGATTTTTTTTTTTTAATCCCAGAATTTTAACCCTACTATCCTAGAAGACTATCCGTCTGTTTGTGATTCCTCTCAAAAGGGGCCCAGGGGCCATCGTATAGATGATCTTGTGCTCTGGTCTGTCAGTTCAGAGATTCTGATGTTCTGGAAGTTTCTGGACTTCTTATGTTCTGGCCTGTCAGCTCAGAGTTTCTGATGTTCTGGAAGTTTCTGGACTTCTTGTTTCTGGCCTGTCAGCTCAGAGTTTCTGATGTCACTTTGCAGATCAGGTTCCTACCATACCCTTGCTTCTCTTAAAAAGAAACTATTGGCCAGGCACGATGGCTCACGCCTGTAATCGCAGCACTTTGGGAGGCCGAGGCGGGCAGATCACGAGGTCAGGAGATCAAGACCATCCTGGCTAACACGATGAAACCCCGTCTGTACTAAAAATACAAAAAATTAGCCAGGCGTGGTGGTGGGTGCCTGTAGTCCCAGCTACTTGGGAGGCTGAGGCCGGAGAATGGCGTGAATCCAGAAGGCGGGGCTTGCAGTGAGCCGAGATCCGGCTACTGCACTCCAGCCTCGGCGACAGAGCAAGACTCCATCTCAAAAAAAAAAAAAAAAAAAAGAAAAGAAACTATCAAAATACTGTGAGTTTTTTTTTTAAGCCATTTCACTCTAACTGTATGCTAGCCAATCAGTTAGAAAGTCCTTATAAGGGAAGTAGTATAACATGAGTTAGCACAGGAACTCTACAAGTAAACTGATTCAGTCCCCACCAATTACTAACTGTGACCTTTGTACCTAACTGGTAAGTCTCAGTTTTTTTATCTGTATAATACGGTTAATAATAGCTGGGAAGATTAAAAGAGATAAATCCTGTAAATTACATAGTGCAACCTATGGCTCATTGTAAGTGTTCTAGAAATGTCTGTCATTATTATTATTGCATTACGCTAGAATGCAAGCACTACAAGAGCAAGAATTTTCGTCTGTTTTGCCCATTGCTGTATCCTCAGTGCCTGGAACACAGCTTGGCATACTATAGGCACTCAGTGATTATTTGTTGAATAAATTAATAACATGTGTCTTGTTTCTTGTAATTCCCACAGTTTGGCATATCTAAATAATTATTGAAACCCTGAATCCTAAAATATTATGGTTGGAAAAACCTGAAAAATCAAAGCCAAACTACATAGATTCAAATTTCGAATCTCCCACTTACTAGCTGTGTGACATGGGCAAAGTTACTTGACTACTCTGTGCCTCAGTTTCCTCATGTGTAAAATGGAGATGATAATAACAGCCTCTAACTCACTGGGTTTTTATGAGCATTTTACAAGTTAATATATGTGCCTGGCATTTAATCAATGCTGTATGTATTAGCTAGTAGTAGTAGCAGTAGTTACTGAGTTAGGGATCTTCTTACTTTCAGCCCAACATTTATCAGTTGATTGAGTTAGGTACTTCTCAGCTGGAATGAATGACACTTTTCCAGGTTTCTGGAACTATGTAATTGCTTCTGTGAAAGACAGCGGATTTCTGTGCCTCACATCTCTGTGCTATATCTGGTAGCTTTTCGCTGTAACATTTAGATTTCAAATTCAGCATTGTTTACTTTGTCATCAAAATGAGAATATGTACTTTTCTTGGTGCTGGAAGTATGTTCTGTACCAACATTATTCAGAGTCTTCATCATCTTTTAATTTCCAGTGCCTGGCACATATTAAAGTTCAGTTAAATACTAGTTATTTGTTGAGAGAATGTACCTTTCTATCTTTGCCATATAATTTTACAGAGATAGCAGGAGTCAGCAAACATTTCCTGTAAAGTGTCAGAAAGTAAACATTTTAGGCCTAGGGGCCAGACAGTCTCTGCCACAGCTATTCAACCTGTGCTGTGAAAGCAGCCACAGACAATGTATAAACAAATGGCTGTGGCTGTGTTCCCATTAAAACTTTATTTACAAAAACAGGTGGCCAGCTCATGGGCCATCGTTTGCCAACTCCTGGTTTATAGGGTGGCAAGAAGCTTAGAGGCAAAAATAAATAAGAGTGGTAAATCTAGTTAAAAACATATACTCAAATGGGTTGTAAGCATTGAATTTCCACTTAAACTGTTGAGTGGAGGTTTAAGTCACAGACAATTTCACCTGAATTCTAAGTTTTTCTATTGGATGTTGTCTGGATCTGTTTTACCTATATGGGTAAATGAATCAAACAGCAAAGACCAAAACAAAATTAACTATCCATAAATGAGTTTGAAGGCCAAGAGTACAGTAGTTCACACTTAATGCTTATTTATTCTCTTGGCTTGTTATACATACTTGATTCTTTTTGTGTACCAATAGTTGTACATCATATGACTTAGGGTGTGGCTGGTTAGTGGTTCACAGGTACAGTAAAGGACTCCTGGGGAATCTTACTTTTTTTTTTAACCTATTTCTTCTACCCTCAAACCTACACTATAAAGTCTCTACATACTCTTCCTTTTTAAAATGTGGCAGAAAACAACAGGGAAAAATATTTATTTATTCATTCATTCAATAACCGACTAAGCACCTAGTCTATGCCAATGTTTATAGAAATTAGAGGAGGAAGATAAAAGGTTGAAAAAAATGCACCACCTATTCCTGCTATTATAGAGCTCACAAGCTAGTAGGGAAGACAGACTGGAAAACAGGCAGTAACACTTACAATTCAGGGTGGTATTGTTAATGTCATTGGAAAGCACTGGCTAGTCCCAGAATTTTAAAATCATACCATATATTATTTGGATGCTAGAGACTTATGTTGGAACTCCAGGAAGTTTAGAGCTGGTAGCTGGTGTAAGTAAAATTAATCACTGTTATAGCAGTTAATTTTATATGCATATGGATGTGCTTTAAACTAAATCTTATCCCTAGAAAGAATCCACTCAGAATAAAGAATTTTTCTAATTTGGTTAGCTTATGAAGTAGCCATTAATGATCCGAATTTGTTTGACATTTGTGGGGAAAGTTTGTCTGAAGAAGATGACAAACCCAAAGGGACCTGGAGTCAGCGGCCTTCGTTCTCTCATGATCAATACCAGACTGCACAGAACAGAGTGCAGAAAATCAGGGGGAAATGTCACTTGTTATAAATATGTACCATGACTAACTGATGTATTTGGCATAGGAGAATAATTGGAAATTCTATTTATGGTCCTATTTACACTTCTATTGTCAAAATTAATGATTCACTATGAGTGAGAATTTTTGCCTATATTCATTACCAACATTGCCTGTGACTAAATTAAAATGTGTTTGTATTTCCACAAATCTTGATTTTCATGGCAAAGCTCCAGACCCAGTCAATTTTTATGTGCTAAGATTTCTGCCCAGTAGCCTACAGTCTTCCTTAAATTAAGAAATCCTTACCCTTCAAAAGAGACATTTATTTTTAATAAGTTTTATTAACTACTGAATAGACACAAAAGAAATATATACCATAGGTATAGAGAATGACAATAGCACAAACTCTGAAGTAGCCACCATTAAGAAACAAGAAGTAAGCTCATATTTTGAAAATTAAAATGAGTTTTGTAAGGGTAATGTATCACATGGTACAAATTCAAAATGTACAAAAATGTACAAAATGTACAAAAAAACTGCCATTTTTCCTGTGTCCAGTATGTAAAGCATTTCCTCATTCTTTTTGTTAATAGCTGCATAGTGTTGTATACTTAGCATCGCTTATTTAATCAGTCACCTACTGATTTATATTTAGGCTTTTTCTAATATTTTCCTGTTACCAAAAAATGCTGCAATGACTAACTTTGTATGTAAATCACACATATATGAGTACATCTGTAGAACAAATTTCTAGAAGTTGATCTGTTAGGACAAAAGGCATGTGAATTTTCATAGAAAGACAATTTATACTTTTACTACCAATATACGAGGCATGCTTGGTTTCCCATATTTTCGTCCACAAAATGTGTCATTAAACTTTGTCAATGTTGTAGGTAAAAATGGTATTGTGGCGGAGTTTAAATTTGCATTTCTTATTATTACTGAAGCTGAGCCCCTTTTTATATGTCAACAGCCATTTGTATTTGCTCTTCCACGAGCTGCTTGTTCATCTTCACTTTTTTTTCTATAAGGCTTATTGGTCTTTTACTGATTTGTAAACACAATTTATTTAGGGAAATTTGCTCCTTGATAATAATCCTCTTTCCTCTCCGTTTACTTGTATTTTCATTTTGTTTAGGTGGTTTTTGCCATGCAGAAATTCTTTTTTTTTTTTTGGGCTGGGGGGGAAGATAACATCCTGCTCTGTCACCCAGGCTGGAGTGCAGTGGTGTCATATTTTACTGCAGTCTCAAATTCCGGGGCTCGAGCAATCCTCCCACCTCAGCCTCTAGAGTAGCTGTGACTACAGGTGCATGCCACCATGCCCGGCAAATTTTTGTTGTTGTTGTTACGATGAGGTCTTACTGTATTGCTCAGACTGGTCTCAAACTCTGGCCTCAAGTGATCCTCCTGCCTTGGCCTCCTAAAGTGCTGGGATTGCAGGTGTGAGCCACTGCACCCAGCCAGAAATTCTTTATTATTATGTAATCAAGTGTATCAATCTTTATAAAAAAAGTTTTCTGGATTTAGTGATGTATCTAGAAAGGTCTTTTTTACTCTGAGGGTAAAAACAACAGACATTTAAACAGAGTCGTGATTCATGAGTTTTCCTGCTGCAGAGTTAAAATACTATTTTACAAGTAGTATCTTTATATCTGACCTCCAGCACTGAATGGAATGAACTGGGTAGAAAGGATTTTGCACAGTGAACCTTCACTCATGGAACCCAGTTGCTATGGAAATTTGATCCAGCTCTGTTGCTTAAAAAACGCTTATTATTTGTCTATTACAAGTAAAATACTGTGATAGGCACCTTGTGGGATACCCATATGAAACAGAAAAAAATAGACCTTGTCCTCCAAAGAACTTGTACTGTAGTGTGGGAGATAGGTATATTTATAAAACGAGGAGGGAGTGAAGAGGGCAGTGTTGTGAGTGGTATATAGGGGTGAGTGGTTGGGCTCAATATAGGTTGAGTATAGACCTAGTTATTACTGATGAGTGATGTTCTTATGTAGAGAAGGGGTTAACAAGCTTTATCTGTACAGAGCCAGATAAATATTTTTGGCTTTACAACTGCTTAATCTGCATGAGCAATGAAAGTGGCTGTATCCCCATGAAACTTGGTTTATGAACTGAAATATGAATTTCATGTAATTTTCACGTGTCATAAAATATTATTTTTTACATGTTTTCAAGCATTAAAAATGTGAAAAACACTCTTAGTCATTGGCCATACAAAAACAGATGGCAGGCCAGATTTGGTCCACAGGTCATAGTTTGCCAACCCCTGATGTAGAGGAATAATTGTGAAATCTTATCCCCGGGGGGAAATGATTTCAGAGCGACCTATCAATTACTGAAAGCCTCAAAACTGACTTGAAATTCATCCCTTTATTTAACTTGTGCAACAAGAATCTGGAAGCAATGAATGGGGAAGCCATGAGTATGTGACCTACTGCTGCTTAGCTAAACACTGCCTTGAGGTGGAGAGGATGGAGTTCTTTGAGTCAAATTCACCGATTCCTTCTGTTAAACTGCCTTTCACCTAATATTTCTGTCAGAGGATCTAGAAACTATGGTGATTGATGCCATAGAAACACACAGCGAGAGAGCAGGGTGATGAGTTTGTGGATTGTGGCATGGCTGAGAGGCAAAAAGCTTTTTAGCTGCCAATCTTGAGGTAAAATAATGGAACAAAATGCAATGCAGCTAGCATGCAGGGAGCTTTTCTGTTTACAGAGCACTTTTACATATATTATCACCTTTAATTTTACTCAAAACTCGTGATAACTCTGTGGGGTAGATATTTTTATGATTTAATAGATAAGGATCTGAGCCTTTTCTTATGGTACTATTCACATTGCCTTAAGTATAAGGACCAGATGTCCCTCAATGCTAAGGCTAAAACCACAATTAATAAATGATAGTGAGAAACATGATGATAATAAAACATGCTATTCATTGGATGTTGGCTGTATTTCAAACACTGAGCTAGGCAATTGACATGTGATGCCTCATTTTGGCCTCACAGCTGCTCGATTATGGAATCATTTCGCCATTGTGCTTAGGATCACAAGCTTTGGAGTCAGAAAGACCTAGGTTCAAGCCTTGGTTCTGCCACTTAGAGCTTTGTGACCTGGGAAAATTTAGTGAACGTCTTGGAATTTCAGTTTTAGGATCTGTAAAAGATGGGTGACATAATATTACCTACTTCTAACTATAGTGGGAGATAATGAATGTAAAATGCTTAGCATGGTGTCTCACACCTTCTTAGTGCTCAGTAAATCTTCATTACTACTACACAGAGCTTAAAATAAGTGAGTGATTAAAATAATTTAATAGAATCCACACACTTGGCATTCAGACCTTTTTAATGTAGTCAAGTGTATCGACTAAGTTTGCAACTTCCTGGAAGTTGCAAAATAGTAGAAAGAGTCCTGTGTCCCAGTTTTCCCCAATGGTGACATCTTATATAGTTGTAGTACAATATCAAAACCAGAAATTTGACATTGGTATAATACTGTTAGGTAAACTAAAGATCTTATTCGGTTGTCCACTTTTTAACCTGCACGCACGTGTGTGTGTGTGTATAGTTCTGTACAATTTTACCTCAAGTATAGATTCATGCAGCTACCACCACAATCAAGATACATAACTGTTTCCATTACCACAAAATAACTCCCCTTTGCTAACTCTTTGGATTTGCATGTAACTCCCCACAATCCTTGTTCCATGGAAACCACTAATCTGTTGTTTTTGTCATTTCAAGAATATTAAATAAATGGAATCATACAGTATATCAACTTTTGATATTGATTTTTTTCACTAAGCATAATGCCATTGAGGTCTATCCAAGTCATTGCATGTTATCAGTTGTTCATTCCTTTTTATTGCTGAGTAGCTAGAGTTTCTACAACGGTCACCCATTGAATGAAATTTGGTCTGTGTCTAGTAATTTGCTATTACAAATAAAGATGCTATGAATAATAGTGTTCAATTTTTTGTGTGGACATACGTTTCCATGTCTTTATGCTCTGGAGAGTGATTGCAGAGTCATATGGTAAATGTATGTCTAAATTTATGAGAAACTGTGAAACTGTTTTTCAGAGAATTTGCAACCATTTTATATTCCCAACAGCAATGTTTCAGTGATCCAGTTTCTCCACATCTTTACCAACATTTAGCATTATCGTATGTTCTATTTTAGCTGTTCTAATAGGTATGTTATAATATCCCTTTGTAGTTTTAATTTGCATTTTCCTAAAGGCTAGTGATGTTGAATATTTATTCTTGTGCTTATGTGATATCCATGTCTCCTCTATGGTAAAATATATTTTGATGTCTTTTGCCCATTTTACAACTGGATTAATTGTTCTTTTTACTGTTGAGTTTTGAGAGTTTTTTATATTATAGATATAAGGACTTTGTTGAATATATGGTTTATGTTGTGGGCTTGTGTACCCCAAAAAGATATACGTAGGTCAAAACCCTCAGTACTTGTGAATGTGACCTTATTTGGAAATAAGTTCTTTGCAGATATAATCAAATTAAAATGAGGTCCTATTGGATTAGGGTGAGCCCTAATCCAATGATTGGTGCCCTTATAAGAAGAGAGAAATTTAGGCATAGGCACACAGGGAGAAGACCACGTGACAAAAGAGGCAGAGTGATGCATCTACAGCCAAGGAATGCCAAATATTGCCACCAGCGACCAAAGGTTAGAAAGAGGCAAGGAAGAATCCTTCTCCAGCCATCAGATAGAGCACAGCCCTGCTGACACCTTCATATTGCACTTACAGTTCCCAGTACTGTGAGAGAATACTTTTCTGTTCTTTTAAGCCACCAAGTTTGTGGCAATTTGTTATGGCAGCCCTGGGAAACTAAAATTTCCCATTTGTAAATATTTTCTCCCAGTCTCTAGTGGGTCTTTTCATTCTCTTAACAGGACTTTTCCAGAGAAACATTTTAATTTTAATGAAGTCCAATTTATTCATTTATTTCTTACATGAATTATGCTTCTAGGGTCATGTCTAAGAACTCCTTTCTTAGCTCTGGATCACAAAAATTTTCTTCTATGTTTTCTTCTAAATTTTAAAAATAATTTTATGTTTTCATTTAAACCTATTATCCATTTTGAATTAAGTTTTAAATATGGTGTGAGGTTGTTCTAACACCATTTGTTGAAAGCATTATCCTTCCTCCATTGAATTGCTTTTGTACCTTTGTCAAAAATGAAGTGAGGCTGGGCGCAGTGGCTCATGCCTGTAATCCCAGCATTTTGGGAGGCCAAGGCAGGTGGATCACTTGAGGTCAGGAGTTCGAGACCAGCCTGGTCAACATGGTGAAGCTCTGTCTCTACCAAAAATACAAAAATTAGCTGGGCATGGTGGCAGGCGCCTGTAATCCCAGCTACTCAGGAGGCTGAGGCAGGAGAATCGCTTGAACCCAGGAGGCAGAGGTTGCAGTGAGATCATGCCACTGCACTCCATCTTGGGCGACAGATCACGATTCCGTCAAAAAAAAAAAAAAAAAGCCCAGCACCGTGGGAGGCCTAGGTGCTTGGATCACCTGAGGTCAGGAGTTCAAGACCAGCCTGGCCAACATGGTGAAACCCTGTCTCTATTAAAAATACAAAAAAATTTGCTGGGCATAGTATTGTGCACCTGTAATCCTAGCTACTCGGGAGGCTGATGCAGGAGAATCGCTTGAACCCGGGAGGCAGAGGTTGCAGTGAGCCAAAATCGCATCATTGCACTCCAGCCTGAGCAACAAGAGGAGACTCTGTCTCAAAAAAAAATAATAATAATAATTGAACACATGTCTGTTCATCTATACTAGGATTCTCATTCTGTTACCTTGATTTACATATCTATTTCTTTGCCAATACCACATTGTCTTGGTTCCTATAGCTATATAGTAAGTCTTAACATTAGGTAGAGTGATTCCTTGTAATTTATTCTTTTTAGCAACTGATTTAACTATTCTAGTTCTTTTGCCTTTCCGTATATATTTTGAAATAATCTTGTCTATATCTACAAAACATCTTTCTGAGATTTTGATAGAGAATGCATTAAACCTGTAGATCAACTTGGGGAGAATTGACATCTTTACTATATTGATTCTCCCAATCCATGAACAAGGCATATCTCCCTATTTATTTACAGCTTTGATTTTTTACACCAGCATTTTATAATTTCCAGCATAGAGATCCTATCACATTTTGTTTTATTTGTATCTAAGTAATATATTTTCTTTAGAGTGATTGAAAATAGTATTGTTTTAAATTTTCATTTCTATATGTTTGTTTCTAGTACAGTAGTCCCCCAATCTATCAACCACAGTCTGAACAGTATTTTGGGAGACAATCTCTTACTGTGCCTAATTTATAAATTAGAATTTTATCATATGTATATATGTATGTATGTATAGGAAAAAACATAGTATATATAGGGCTCAGTGCTGTCTGAGGTTTTAGGTGTCCACTGGGGGGTCTTGGAATGTATTTCCTATGGACAAGGAGGTGCTACATAAGAATGTGAGGTAATTTTGCATGTTGATCTTGTATTCCAACACCTTGCTAACTCACCAATTTTATAAGCTTTTTAAAGATTTCTTGATATTTTCTATATAGACATTCATGTCATCTCCAATAGAGACATTTTTCATTCTTTCTTTCTTTCCAATCTTGATGCTTTTATTTCTATTCTTGATTTATTGCAGTGGCTAGAACTTCTAGGACTATACTGAATAAGAATGATAAGATTGAACTTTTTTTAAACTTGTATTTTGATTTTATTTTTGTTTTTGTTTTGCGGGGGGGGACGGAGTTTCACTCTTGTTGCCCAGGCTGGCATGCAATGGTGCGATCTCGGCTCACTGCAAACTCTGCCTCCTGGGTTCAAGCAATTCTTCTGCCTCAGCCTCCCAAGTAGCTGGGATTACAGGTGCCCACGACCATGCCCGGCTAATTTTTTGTATCTTTAGTCTTGAACTCCCCTTGTCTCAGCCTCCCAAAGTGCTGGGATTACAGGTGTGAGCCACCACTCCCGGCCTTAACTTTTATTTTAAGTTCAGGAGTACATGCGCAGGTTTGTTATATAGGTAAAACTGTGTCATGGGGGTTTATTGTACAAATTATTTAGTCACCAGGTATTAAGCCTTGTACCCATTAGTTGTTTTTCCTGGATACTCTCCCTCCTCCCAACCTCTACCCTTCAGTAGGCCCCAATGTGCATTGTTCCTTTCTATGCATCCATGTGTTCTCATCATTTAGCTCCCACTTATAAGTGAGAACATGCAGTATTTGGTTCTCTGTTCCTGCATTAGTTTGCTTAGGATAATGGCCTCCAGCTACATTCATGTTCCTGCAAAGGACATGATCTCATTCTTTTTTATGGTTGCATAGTATTGCATAGTGTATATATACCACATTTTCTTTATTTGGTCTACCATTGATGAGCATTTAGGTTGATTCCATGTCTCTGCTATTGTGAATGGTGAACTTTCTTGCCTTGCTGCTGATCTTTGAGGTAAAGCATTCAGTCTATCACCATTATATATGATGTTAGCTGTGAGGTTTTTGTAAATGTTCTTTACTAAGTTGAAGAACTTCCTATTTCCAATTTGCTTTTTTTTTCTTTTTTACCATGAATGCATGTTGTATTTTATCAAATATTTTTGTGCATCGATTAGTTCGATCATGTGATTTTTCTTTTTTAGCATGTTGATATGGTGGATTACACTGAGTGATTTTCAAATATCAAATTTATCTTGGATCCCTGGAATAATACATGCTTGATCATGATGTGTATGATTTGTTTTATATGTTGCTGGGTTCTATTTGTTAATATTTTGTTGAAGATTTTTGCACCAAGATTCATAAGAGAAATTGGTCTCAAGTTTTCTCTCTCTCTCTCTTTTTTTTTTTGGTACTGTCTCTGTTTTTCATATTAGAGCATCATAAAATGAGTTGGGAAGTGTTTCCTCTTCTTTTATTTTCTGTAAGAGATTGGGTAGTGGCAGGGTGCAGTGGCTTATGCCTGTAATTCCAGCCTTTGGGAGGCCGAAGTGGGTGGATCTCTTGAGGTCAGGAGATTGAGACCAGCCTGGCCAACATGACGAAACCCCGTCTCTACTAAAAATTCAAAAATAGCCAGGTGTGGTGGCACATGCCTGTAGTCCCAGCTACTCGGTAGGCTGGGGTATGAGAATTGCTTGAACTCGGGAGGTGGATGTTGCAGTGAGCCAAAATCGCACCACTGCATTCTAGCCTGGGCGACAGAGACTCTATTTAAAAAAAAAAAAAAGAGAGAGAGAGAGAGATTGGGTAGACAGAACTGGTGTTAATTCTTCTTTAGATATTTAATAGACTTTACCAGTAAAATTATCTAGGCATGAAGATTTCTTTTCCAGAAGGTTTTAAATTATGGATTTGATTTTGTTAATAGTTATTGAAAGATTCAGATTATCTTTATTATATTGGGTAAGTTTTAGTATTTTGTGCCTTTTCAGGAATTGAACTATTTCTTCTAAATTCTCAGATTTATATGTGTATATTGTCTGCAGTAGCCCCTTATTATTTTCCTTATGGCTGCAGGATCTGTAGTATATCTTGTTCCATTCCTGATATTGGTGTTTTGTCATCTCTTTCTCTTTGTCAGTCTTCCTAGAGGTTTACCAGTCTCGAAGAACCAGCTTCCCCAGAACTACTTCCTTCTGACTTTCATGCTTCCAGGTGACAAATACACTGTCATTTGAATTGTTGTTCCTCTGTAAGTAATGTCTCATTTCTCTCTGTCTGCTTTCAAGATTTTGTTCCTTGCCTTTAGTTTTCAGGGGTTTCATTATGATGTGTCTTTTCACATATTTCTGTAGGTCTATTCTATTAGGATTTGCTTAGCTCCTTGAATCTGTAAGACTATGTCTTTCTATAAATTTGGGAATTTTTCAGACATTATTTCTTCAAATATGTTTTCAGTCCCATACTGTTTCTTCTCTCCTTCTGGAATTCCAATGATACAAGTGTTAGATCTTTTGTTATTATCCCACAGGTCCCTGATTCACTTTTCCTCCAGTTTTCTCTCTGTTGTTTGGATTGGGTAATTTCTATTGATTTATCTTTGATTTCACTGAATCTTTCCTCTATTATCTCCAATCTGTTGTCGAGTTTGTCCAGTGAGTTATTTATTTTTTCATTAATTTATTTCAGTTCTATAATTTCCATTTGGCTCTTCTCAGAATGGCTTCTATTTCCTTATTGAATTTTTTCCTCTTTTTTATTTGTTTCAAGAGAATTCATAATTGCTTGTTCATGCATTTTTATGATTTGTGTTTTAAAAAGATTGTCAGATAACTCCAACATCTGGGTCATCTCAGTGTCAGCATTTGTTGATTGTTCTCATTCAAGTGTGATTGTCTTGACTTTTGGTGTAATGAGTGATTTTCTATTGTATCCTGGACATTTGGGGTATTGTGTCAGGAGAATCTGGTTCCTATTTAATCCTCCTTATTAGCAGGCAGCCATCCTATTTAGGTGTAGTGCTAGTGCATCGGTCCCTGGGAAGGTGGATATTCGGCTCCCCATTGGGCCCTGCTGACATCACCCCAGCGAAAGTGATTGATAACTCACACTTCCTCATTGCAGATGGGTGGGGTGGAAGTCCAGCTCCTTCCCCACCTTGATTCTGTGGCAAAAGCAGATCACTGTCTCATTCTGCCTTATTCTACTTGTTGACACTGGGTGAAGGTGGAGACTAATTTCCTCACTGGGTCCCACTGACCCAAGGTTGGGCAGCAAATCAGAATGCAGACCAGACCCACTACACCCCTACCTTGTTTCGTCTCATTGATGCCTAGTTGCAGGTGGAGGCTCACCTGTCTGCTGGGCTCTGCTGGCCTGACCCTGGCAGAGAGATCAGAACACTGCCTGCTTCCTCTGGGTCTGGGGTGGAAGATGAATTCTTTACTCAGCCTTGCTAAAACCATAGGGGCTGGTGCAATTTTTCAACTGGTGTTTGGCTGGACTAAGGCAAGTATTTTCAGCTTCTTTTCTATTCTGTCAGGCCACCCTTTTCCCAGTCTTTTGGATAGGGGGAGCAGGCTTCTCTTGGAGCCCTTTTTTCTCTGTCTGTTGGCAGTGCTGGGTTACAGCACCCTTCTCCAGCACCCTGTCCAGGATACATGGGAGGCAATGGGGAAATCCAGGGGACTCACCACCATGAAAGCCTCAAGTCCCGAGGTCTTAAGATAGTCTACCTTCTTTCCATCTTTCAGAATCTTCCTACGCTTGTTTGTTGTGTTAATTTCAGTGTGTGTTGTGTGTGTGTGTGTGTGTGTGTGTGTGTGTGTGTGTGTGTTTTAGAGACGGAGTGTCTCTCTGTCACCCAGATTGGAGTTCAGTGGCATGCTTATGGCTCACTGCAACCTCGAACTCCTGGGCTCCAGTGATCCCCCTGCCTTAGCCTTCTGAGTAGCCGGGATGACAGGCACATGTCACTATGCCCAACTAATTTTAAATGTTTTTTGTAGAGATGGGGTCTTGTTATGTTGCCAGGGCTGGTCTTGAACTCTTGGCCTGAAGTGATCCTCCTGCCTCTGCATCCCAAAGTGTTGGGATTGCAGGCTGTTCAGTAATTTTTAATTGTGAAAGGGAGGACCTGGGAGGAATGGGCTACTCCATTTTCAATCAGAAGTCAGCTCATGCCTGTAATCCCAGCATTTTGGGAGGCTGAGGCAGGTGGATCAATTGAGCCCAGGAGTTTGAGACCAGCCTGGGTGACACAGTGAGACCCTTGCCTCTCCACAAAAGGAAAAAAAGAGTTTGAGCTCCCCTCATCACTCCCCACTCTTAAAAAAATAAATCAGATTTTTTAAAGATTATTTTCGTATGCTCCTAAATTTGAAAGTGTATTCTGTAAGTGGGTGGATAAAATAATGTCTTTGCCCCTAGCTCTGTTGTCCTTCTTTTAAGTATGTCAGTGTGGATACATTGGTGTGGGTAATGATGACAATAACAAAACTAACAGTTACTGAATTCGTACTAAGTGCCAGGCACCGTTGCAAGCACTTTCCATTAAGAAATGCCTGTCATAGGTCCATAAGCTTATATCTACGATTCCAAAATCCAAAAGGCTCTGAAAATTGTAAGTTTTAAAAATGGATTTGACGGCAAATCTGTCTTGAAATGGCATTAGGCTATTTATGGTCTTTATTTATTCTATTTAATGTGAAGATACACACATTTCACTGCAGAAATATTAATGTGTTTTCTAATGGGATATTACCTCAGACCCCATTAGGGATGTTAACAAATACAGAGCATATATACCATGTTATCTTTCTAAAAGCTAAAAATTTCTGAATTCTGAAATGTAGCTGGCCCCCAACGGTTTTGGATAAGGGATTGTGGACTGATTCTAGCTTATGGGCCTCCCTCAAAGATTCCATTAAGGGAACATTTTCACTAATGCTTTCAAAGCTCTTTTCAAATTATAACTATGGTAATAAAAGTGAACACAAAAGTAAGAAAGAGGTAAACTCAAGCAAATAGGCTAAGCAAATGTCTATTCTATCAACAACCCAATCTCCCTCTCAGGTCATAGGGTAAATGTCTGATCACAGTCTGGTGATACTAAACACTATGACCCAATTCTTTTAATAATCAAAATGCAAGCTTGCACAGGTCTAGTGGCACATACTCCAGGAGGAAGTATTAAAACTATTGATGGAGGAACCCAGGGTCATAAGTCTACCTTGTCTTCACTTATTTTAGTCTTCTGAGGTGGCAGCACACATGAGAATTCTTAGTTACAATAAGTTATTTAACAATTAACGTTAACCCACTGATATAAAGACAAGAGACCAGGCTTACATGCACAGGTCCCTAAACTAGAATATGTCCTGGCAGCTAAGCTCAGTTCCATTGATCTGTGTGGAGAGCTATATTCATTTCATTTATTCATTCATTCAACAAGTAATTACTGAGAACCCACTCTATATGAGCCACTGGAATAGACACTGTGGACCCAGAAATAAACAAGATAGACATATTCTCAGATGTATTTGTCAAGCAACATCTTGAGCTCAAAGTAGAAATTAAATAAAGGATGTTTGTGCTGCTTCTAATTTCCTGAAGATTGAATTATTCATTCTATTAGCCAGTGAGTTTCCAAAGTGTCTTATGATGTGGCATATCCACTGGGAAAAGCATGAAAAAGAACACTGATTACAGTTCTACTGACATAGTGCTGTATCTTCACAAGATAAGAGAAAAGGGGAAAGGGAATAGCTACCCTCCCAGTGGTTAGATCAATATGGTCATTTATTTTCCTCTCAACCCTACTTTGAAAGCCCTGACTCATTCCTAGAGTGTACAGGCCTCCCTTCTTAACAGGCAATGTTAATTTGACGCCCAAGAGAGGCTTAGATACATTTCTAGGCCCTAATATTCGTTCTCAACTCTTGCTGCACATTAGAAATCACCTTGAGAGACTTTTTAAAGCGTGGATGCTAGGAACCCACACCAGACTAATTGATTCAGAGCCTCTGGGGCTAGGCCTAGGCATAGGTGTCTCTTAAAAGAGCCTCAGATGATTCTGAGGCATCATGAGGACTAACAACCACTGTAAATCTATGCAATCAGTGGGTGCATCTGTTGTTTATGCACCCACTGATCATGGTTGCATAAAACCAGTCTTGTGAACCGCATTGTATAACCAGATTTTGTTAAGGTTTTTCCTACTACGTGCCAGGCGCTGTGCTTTACACACATTGTTTTGTTTTATCCTCACAAAGTGTTAAGTCAAGGGGCGACTCGAGAGATGGGGGCTTTATCTGCCCTCCCCTACCTATCTCCATCAGATGCCTTAAAACAACATATATATATACATTCCACTACTCACCTCCCCATATATATATATGGGGAATATACATATATATGGGGAATATATATATATGGGGAATATATATATATATGGGGAATATATATATATATATATATATGGGGAGGTGAGTAATGGAAAAAAAAAACACTGAAAAACACTGTACTTGCTAGGATATTCAAGATAAGCTCCCATTGGCTGTCCCCTCTAACTAAGTCACTCCTATATGGAAATCCAAGAGCTGCCACCGCCTTAAAACAATTCTGTGAGATGGGCATTACCATCCCCATTTTACAGGTGAGAAATAGTTGAGTCACTGGATGGTTAAGTGATTTGTCCAAGGCCACGTAGCTAGTAGTAGAGCTGGAGCCATTTCTATTCACCAACTTTTCAATCCAGTGCAACAGACTGGATAGTGTCCCACCGAAATTCATATGTTGATGCAGTAACCCCTAATGTGACTATATTTGGAGATAGGACCTATAAGGAAGTAATTAAGGTTAAAGGTTCAATGAGTCATAAGGGTGGGGAACTCACCTGATAGGATTAGTGTCCTTATAAGAAGAGACATCAGAAAGCTCATTCTCTCTCTCTCTCTCATAAGCCAGGAGGAGAGTCCTCACCAGGAACTGTCCCTGCTGGGCCTTGATCTGGGACTTCCAGCCTCTAGAACTGTGAGAAAATAAACATCTGTTGTTTAAGCCCCCAATCTATGGTGTTTTGTTATGGCAGCCCAAGCAGACTAATACAGCTAAGACAGATATCATTCAGTCTTAGTTGTTACTTTGTTCTTGGCACCTAGCCCAGTACCTGCACTTGGCACATGCTAGCTGCTCTGAATGAATAGGAAGGTAGCAAAGCTGTGCTCTTTACCACTCTGCACATGCCTTGTCCCAAGGTCCAAGCCCAGGCCTTCCATGTACCCCTGTTCTAGGTTTACACCTCTTCCCTGAACCTGGCATTCTACTCAGGACTCTGGTTGTTATAGTCTGACTCAGCCCATTGCTGGGTCAGCTATTCGCTCCTGCTTAAAGCTACTGGATGTCAAAACACACTACACAAGAGCCAGTGATCACAAGTAACTCAAAGATTCATTACTATATGTTTGTCCCCAGAACCAGGCATGTGCTCATACTTTCCTTCCTTCCTTTCTTTCAGACGGAGTTTCGCTCTTGTTGCCCAGGCTGGAGTGCAATGGTGCGATCTCGACTCACTGCAACCTCCACCTCCCGGGTTCAAGCAATTCTCCTGCCTCAGCCTCCTGAGTAGCTGGGATTACAGGCATGCACCACCACGCCCGGCTAATTTTGTATTTTTAGTAGAGACGGGATTTCTCCATGTTGGTCAGGCTGGTCTCAAAGTTCTGACCTCAGGTGATCCACCCAACTCGTCCTCCCAAAGTGCTGGGATTACAGGCATGAGCCACCAGGCCGGCCCATTCTCTCTCTTTCTTCCTGTGCCTAAACATCAGAGAGCCCTCTTGCCCGAGGGCCCTTTCCCCCAGGGATTTTCCTTTTTCCTCGCTTTGTCTATCTTCCAGGGTGGGGAGGGGGTTGTGGGAAAAGAAAGAAAGACAGAACCAGTTCCTGAGGATATGTATAAAGAACAGGAGCCTGCCTGCAGGATTTTCAAATAATGTCAGAGGCTAATTTCAGGCTATTATCGTGCTGTGGATAATTAGAGATCAAAAGAAGCAGGGCAGGTTGCCTCATAAGGGAATTAATGGGCATAGTGAGTACAGCTGGTGCTTCTGATGGTTTTTTTTGACCTGGCAGATGTAAATAGTTTTGTCAAATGTCATTTTGCTAAGAGTGACTTGGCTCATTTTGCTAAGAGGTGCTAAGAGTTTGGCTCCATTTTTCCACAATTCACTCCCTGACATTTGGTTCATTGTGCCAGGACTCTTTTAAATATACTTACATGCAGGTGGTGCTGGTTGTCCAGACCCAGCTCAGTATGAAACATCCACCTGCTAGCAAGAGGGACCCTGGAACAAGGTGTACGGCCAATCATCCAAGGCTGCAGGGGATACCCAGGAGAAAAGGTCCCTGGGAGTTCAGGGAATTTTCTCGTGTAAAATTTGAGTTATATTGTTAACTGTTTTAATTGGTGGTGCTGGGCTATTTGTATGGCCAGTTCTAAGGTGTCCTATAGTTCCAAGACACTTTTCCCTTAGATTTAGTGGTTGAGGATACCTAAAATCTTGAAGTTTCTGGTACCAGTGATGAGTCTGGGGAGGTGGAGTTGTCTTGTCTGGGGAGGTGGGGCTGTCTTGTCTGGGGAGGTGGGGCTGTCTTGTCTGGGGAGGTGGGGTTGAATTTGGCCCCGGGGCCCTTATCAGCACTCTTTTGTTTAAAGGGCTTATTTCGTGTTAGGATGTGGTAGATTGTGGTATTGAGACTGGCCTGATGGTTGGCCAGTAATCCCTTCAGGGCCTCTTTTACAGGGCCTGCTTGTCCAGTTAGGGGTAGCGGGGATGCCCTGAAATTTGGAGTCCTTCTCCTGATAAATAGCTGTCAGGCATGTGCATCTAGGGAGGTCTTTACAGGGCTGGTAAGGGCATTTCTGCCTTCTAGGCGTTCACCAAAGTGGTGGACCTACTGGACCATACCAGTTCCCTTGAGCAGTTGTCTGCCTTCTCCTAACGAGGTCTAGTTAGTAAGGGCCCTGACACTGAGTACTACTGTGCTGGGGTGGGCTCTTAGTTGGGCCACAAAACTCCAAAGTAGGAGAGAGGGTGTCTCTTCAGGGAATATTGTATTTTGGACAGGCCCCTTTTAAGAGGTCAGTAGGAGCCTGCAATATGTTGCTAACTAACAGGTCACGTGAGATACTTATCACTTGGTGGATCTCAGAAGGGGACAAGTTTAGCTCACAGCCATTGTTGAAGAGGTATAATAGCCAATCAGTCCCTTTTTCATTGTTCATTTGCATGTAACCTTTAATTAGATTTTGAATTTCCAATAGGGTCAGATGTTAGGTTTTACTTTGCATTCCTGTTTCTTACCCTCTAGTTGCTATCTTGTGGCTGATTACGAGGTAAGCTGCTGGAACTTTTACTTCTTGTTGTTCATGGTGGTGGGCTTCCTCCTCTGAGGAGTCCCAGTTTATATCCTCTGAAGCAGCGTTGCCTTCCTCGGCTTTCAGTTTTGCCATGGCAGCCAGGGTGTGTGATTTCATGTTAGATAGAGCCAGCACCTTAGCATGCTGGAATTCTGGAGCACAGCACTAATACCCAGGCTCCTTGGCAGCCAGTTGTGCATTGCAAATAGGATGCAGTGGTGACCTGAGGCCTCTTTGGCAGTGAAGGATTTGGGCATTCAGGGCTGGATTGCATCAAAGATTTTGTCACAGGGCACCAACGATGGGTCTCTATACCTGGGCGAATTTGGGTCTTTGTGACAGAGGCAGAGGCAGCCATAATAGCAAAAGCCGTTAGGGCTTTGCAGGGTTCTCTGTAGCCACCCCCCTTAAGTGGATATGGACCTCAGCATACTGCAGTCACAACAGCCAAGGGGAGCCCCACCAGCAACAATTGACGGGGAGCCAAGGCTTAGGTGAGACAATGCTACTTCACCCGGTCAGAGTAGACTGGCTCCTTCTGCAATCCGGACTAGGTAGGACCCTACCAATTAGCAGAGTGCACTGCAACTAAGGGTGAGTGTTCGCTAGCAGTCAAGAAAGCTGTTCCAAACCTTTGGGGTCTTTGTGCTTACCCAGAGATATGGTTTGGATATTTGTCCCTGCCCAAATCTCAGGTTGAAATGTAATCCCCAGTGTTGGAGGTGGGGCCTGGTGGGAGGCATTTGGATTATGGGAGTGGATCCCTCATGAATGGCTTGGGCCATCCCCTAGGTGATAAGCGAGCTCTCCCTCTGAGTTCACACTAGATCTGGTCGTTTAAAAGTGTATGACACCTCCTCTCCCTCCCCACTCTCTCTGTTGCTCCTCCTTTTGCTATGTGATGTCTCTGTTCCTCCTTCATTTATCACCATGATTGTAGCTTCCTGAGGCCTCCCCAGAAGCTAAGCAAATGTTGGCACCATGCTTCCTGTACAGCCTGTAGAACTGTGAGCCAATTAAACCTCTTCTCTTTGTAACAGTCTCAGGTATTTCTTTACAGCAATGCAAGTACAGCCTAACACACCCAGCTAGTAAGCCAAGAGCAAGAAATGAATTGCAAACAGCCTGACCTCCATGTCTTTCTGTCATGATCCCACCACATCATCCTTGCTCTTGCTGGCTCCTCTTACTAGTCTCTGATACCTGTTAACAGTTTCCTGTCAGCCCGTCTGAATTTCTCTTGTATCTCACCAGATTCTTCATTGCCCCACTACTAGCCCCCACAGCCGTCCCTTCACCCTTACTCCTCACCCCCCATCAGAGGGCACTTCTTTTGGCACAGATATTGATTCCACCACCCACTCACCAATTGCCTGTTGTGGTCACACTTTGCCTGCTGGGCTGGCCTTTGCTCCAGGTCTGAAGTAGAGAAAAGCAGAGGTCTTTACATCCAGTGCTTCCAAGTATCACCAGCTTGTGCTTGTCTCCGGCTCTACCTGGTCCCACTGTTTCCCTTGTGATGCCCCTCAACCACCACAGCCCAGGGCAGCTCAAGCACACCCAAGAAGTCAGTCCACCAAGACTATCCACCCCTTCTTTGGCACCAAAACTGGGAATGGAGAACTTTCTGGAAGAAGCCATACAGAGAAGGCCCCCTTTAAAGCACAGAGGCCCCACTCACCTTCAGGATGTCTGGCTCTGGGATGATGTGACCAGACCACTGGCCATAGCTAAAAGGAGCTAAGGCAGATTGCACATGCCATCACTGCCAGGCAAAGTGAGCCACTTTCCTGGAGGCGTTCCACTGGTCCCCTGGCAAAGTGCCAGGGTACCCAATACTGAGAGCTACTACCTGGTGATCTAAGAGCCGAGACAGCTTCACAGACATAAAAATAAGGGAAGGAAGGCAGAGAAGGAAGGAGAGTGGCAAGAAGGGAGGGAGAGAGGAAGAAGGGGAGGAATGAAGGGAGGAAGGGAGGGAGGAATGAAGGGAAGAAGGGGAGGAATGAAGGGAGGAAGGGAGGGAGGAATGAAGGGAAGAAGGGGAGAAATGAAGGGAGGAAGGGAGGGAGGAAAAAAGGAAGGGAGGGAGGAAAAGAGGAAGGAAGGAAGGAAGGGAGGGAGAGAGAGAGGCAGGAAGGAAGGAAGGAAGGAAGGGTAGGTGGGAAGGAGGGTGGGAGGGAGAGAGGGACTGGACTCACACCACGACTTCCACTCTCCTGTCCCAAGCAGACACAGAGGGCTGCAGCCACCTTAACCTTAGTCTCTTCTAAGCAGTTTAGGGCTGGGCCACGTCCTGCTCACCAGGCTTCCCCTGAGTGCCGGGAGGATCCCAGGGAAGGGTCAGTTTAGGTCATCCTTGCTTTGCTGCACAAAGACATGGTTGGGAACACACTACAAAGCAGGCCCTACAAAATTCAAGAAATCTGAGCCAAGCACCCCTGTTCATCACAAATTATCACATGTGTATTTCTGCCCTGATACCTGCTGGCCCTTGAGAGGGGCAGTCTTTCAATGGAGACCCCATGGTTAGAGATAATACACATCCACCCTATCCAGCAGGGAAAAGTCACCCTTGACCTAAGGCATCCACTGAAGTCTGCTAAGAGGTAAGGTCACGGTCTACACTAAAAAAGCCCCAGGACATAAAGCCTGTGAGGAGAGAACAAGGGGCACTGGAGAAGGGGTCATGGCTGATCAGCCAGCGGTTGGGCAAGGCTGGTGGAGCTGTTCAACCAAGGTTCTGAAGAACAAGATCTGGCACCCCACATGGGGCCTGGTTTGGCAGGGAGGAAGTACACTGTGTGCAATTTCCTTCCTGATCTCAGGCTATGGCAGCCACACAGGACCAGCTACATAATTTGCAGGGCCCAGGAAAAATTAAAACGTGGGACCCCTTGTTCAAAAATTATTAAGATTTTCAAGATAATGACAGCATAAAACGTGGGACCCCTTGTTCAAAAATTATTGAGATTTTCAAGATAATGACAGCAGAACATGAAACCAAACATAGGGCCCTTCTATGCAGTGGGCCCTGTGTAACTACCCAGGTCATGTGCCTGTAAAGCTGGCCCTACAGCTGGAAAAGCCTAGAAATGTTCAGAAAGAGCTGCCAGAGGGAGAGAAGGGTGAAGCCCTTATTAGCAGAAAGTAGGAGAGGCCCACCTGTGGGGTGTCAGGTACCAACTCTTCTATCGGGTATAGCCAATAGAGGTAAGGGACTGTCTCCTTGGAAAAAGAGGGTGAACTCTAGTCCTCAAGAGCTATCCTCTCACAGAAAATGGGACCATGAAGCAAACTTGGGGTGGGAGGGCCCTAAAGGCCAGTCCCCAGGCCTGCCCCTGTGGTATCCTGCTTCCCAATGCCTTAGCATGGAGGAAGGGGGCATGCAGGGTGAAGTGAGGGAAGGGGGATTTTGACCTTGGCATCCAGGCCAATGAGTAGGAGTAGCGAATAGTGGAAACTATTAAGAAGAAAGAGGCAAGGAGGAAGATAGGCCAAAGGCTGACCCCAGCAACCAGAGGAAATATTCCTTTTAAGCATGGGCTCATTCATTTTACTGGTTTTGGTTTTAGAGACATCCTTATAAAATGGGACAGGGGTGAGAGTGAAGGGAAGTAAGATGGATGAGAGGTGGCACAGGTACCCTTAAACATGGCTAGCATTAGAATGAGTTGTAGTCTATGCATAATTTGCAGGGCCCATTATAAATCAGCCAAACTCTTTCTCTCTGTCCCTACTTCAATTCCATCATTGCCAATTCAGTCCTAAGGTAAATAATACTCAATTATCCCAGGGGTGCTTACTTCTTTGGACCCTTTTGAAAGCCCTAAAATAAGTCATCATTAACTAATCAATTTCCCTTATGAAGCAACACATGCTTTTCCCAGGGACAAAGATAAAGCAGAAAAATGAAGAAGAAGAAAAAAAAAAACAAAACCTTAGGTACACCCAGCCTCTGATTCTGCGTAAAAGACACAGAAATAGCAGTAAAGGGAGAAAGGAAGGTAGGTATAGAGTGAGTGAGTCTATTGGCACAATAGAAAAGGGCTGGAAAAGACATGCTAGAAGGGACAGGGCAACAGCTCCCCCATTATTATTTCTACCACAGAATGCTTTCAGAGGTCCCTAAACAGGGGCAGCCTTTTTGGCAAACCAGCCTCTGAGCTGCCTACCAGCCCATCACACAAAGCATGGATCACTATTGATGCACAATTTTCTACCACAAATCACCACCCACACTTATGCTTCCACATAGTTAAAGCTTGAGGATGATAGAAAAGCTGTGAGTAATTCCAGGCGGCTGTCTCTGTAAAAGAAAGAACACAGCTGCTGTATCCCAGAAAAGGGATCTCCTACACCCTGTGTTCGGGGCTGACACGTGTTCTCCAATGTTTCTATAATACTGTGGAGGACTAATGTCAGAGCTCCCTATCTGGTCTTCACATTAAGCCTCCTCCTACATGGACAACCCCTATGAAGGGGCAGCTTGTGTGGACAGGACAGTGACTCTGTCTCTGTTGTTCCCACTGTTCTCTTGACTAATACCGAATCTCTCCATCTGGGTCATCCAACTCATTCTCCCTCTGGGCTTCTTCCAAGCTACCTAGCAAGGGAACGATGTCTCTTGATCCATCTCCCTTATAATCAGTGCACAATTGCTCCTACTGGAAAGAAATCAGGCTCTGGAAAAATGGAAAAGCTGATGGTACTTTCAGTTCCCAGCATCATAGGAAACCCTAAGACAGCTATTCAATTTCTGTCTCTCAGAGAGGAGAGATCTTCAGAGGCCACAGGTGCAAAGAAGCAGAGGCCCATGAACTAGGTTCTAGACCTCACGAGGCAGCAACATTTCCTCCACCTCTTCCTGCTTTCTGTGATTCTCCTTTTGCAATGCCTTTCTGCGCATCAAGTAATGGGAGGATGACTCTTGTTCTGCCCCCCTAATAATCAGTGCACATCTGCTTCTGTTGGAAATAGATCAGGCTCTAAATGGAGCTGCCCTATCTCAGTCTACCCAAGAGAGAGGTGAGGTGTGGAGAACCCACAGTCTAGATTACAAAACAGAGGGAAGAAAATAGAATAAAGGAGAGAGTGTAAGTATTGATCCTTATGTGCAGAGAATGAATCCATTTAGGAAGAGTTTGAATCCTTATTTTCTGGCTTCTGTTTTTATGCTTCTCAAAGTCATGATCACATATCCTTCTCAAGTCACCCTCATTGTAGGCCATTGAGTCACTGCCAAAGACTCAAGGATTAGTCCTGGCTTATTTGTTTTAGAAACCAAAAGAGATAGTGTTCCTTCATCCATAGTAAATGCAGCAGAAAGAGTAAAACGTTACCTTAAATCCAATACCCTTGCCCTGTAAAAGTCCTAACTACAGATGCTTTCAAGAAAATGTGAGCTAAAAAAATGGAGTGAGGCAGACAGCTCCAAGTGCTGAGGACTGTAAGAAGTGCAATCTAGACTCTAGAGGACTCTAGAGTGGCTACATTGGCAAATTGTTGTTTCAGCTTCACTAACATATCCCTCTTTGGTACTCATGGTTGTTGCAATCATATAACCTTTTCAAGATCTGCCAAGAGATCATCTTTGAGATTATGTAACTTTGCATAACTTGATGTGCAGTCAAGCATGTGGGGCGTGTGAGATAAATCTCTAAAACAGTACATTTCATTGCGCTTGTAGGAAAACTTGTTTCCCTACTCTAAAAGACAAGGAAAATTGGAAAGGGGTGATGATAGAGAGGTTTTAGTTTGGAAGCCTTTTTCTCATCCCACCTCTGTTCACCAACCTCAGGTTAATCGGGGGAAGCTTGTCCCCCAATCTCAGGTCTGCGCTGGGCCCCTAGTTAGCTAAGATGAGACTCAGACTGGCATCTAAGTCCATGTAGCAAGCCCAGTAAATAGCCTGGAACACAGAACTGCCTCCCTAGCCTCACGCCACTTCAAGGAGCAGGCCTGGCCAACTGCTCCGAGGATGTGTCAGACATACTTGAATGTAAACAGGAAGGAAGATTGAAAACTTTTTGCATTTTGCTGCAGTAGGTAGCTATCTCTTAGGTGAGGTTGGCTTTGGAGTGATAAAGGCCTGTTGTGCAAGGAACTCCCAGCTTAGTCCTACCTCTTCCTAAACTCCCCCTGCTGCTGCCAAGGCAAGGTGCTCTCTACTGGGGAAGGAAAAGGGCTGGCCCCTTGGCTTTTTACACATGCTAGGGGATGCAGGGGAGCTCATCACCTCCTCACTCTGCTAGAAGGAAAGTGGAGACTGTGGGAAAACAGGCATCTTAGAAGCAATAAAAGAAAGAAAGAAAATGTGAATTGAAGCACAATAACATATTCACCATGCCACAGCACTTTGTTTTGCTTGTCAGCAGTCTATAGTCCACTTCTTATTATTACAGAATTTGTGTGCATCTCCTGAGCTTCAAACTATTTTTGTTATTCACATCTATTAACTCAGCTCATCTATGTGTTTATGTTCCTAGAACTGATATTTAGTTTGTCTCATGGTGTGCGGTGTTTTATTATTCAGATCCTCTGTACTTCTACTAGAAATGTGTTTTAGACACCCAAATAACACTCAGTAATAAAGACACCATAGACATGGTCCCTAGAGACTGGGAGTCTGTCTTCCAAAAGAGGGCTGTTTGGGGGATAAACACTGCTCAGGAAAGTCACTTGTCTCTTGTACCAGACCATAAGGGGTTTACATGGCCTGGGAGAGGGATAGTGCAGATCCTGTTGTATCTTGGACTATGACATCCTCCTGTCCTCACTCCTGGGAATATATGTCTCCCATCTATGCATTCAGTCCCACCCCTCAGTCCACATGATCAGCCTTGGCTTTGAGGCAGAGGGGTATTTAAGGAGCTTTAGGCGAGCATTCTGACCTCAGCTTCAAGCTACCTTTCTTACTTCGGTGGCTCTGCTCTGCTTAATTTAGATGACTTCAGCCCTACCTTTTGTCTACCTTTCCTAAACTTGAGCCCATGTCCCTCTTTGATAATTTACAAGATACACTTCATCTCCCTCCTTAGATGAGGAGTTCTGTTGTTTCTTGGTGGGGTTGGAGGTGTGTGAATCGTAAGTCTGAGTATTGCTGTGAGAATCTGGAAGAATCCCCTGAAACAGCAAGGAATAACTGATCCTCATCCTCCCATTCCATATATCCCATCTTCTCTGATTTATGTACTTCCATGTCTTCCTAGAGCCAGGTAAGAAGCTCTAGCTTCTTAGCTTTATTGTCTACTACTCCCTTCATCACCACCCGCCCCCCACACAAATATGAGACCAACTCATAGAAACCAGGCCAGATCCAGCTATTCAAAACTGATCATCAAGGCCTTGGAGGTCCCAAGTTAGTGTCATAGGAATCTCAGTTGAAGATCATCCAGGTTGCTAATCAGAAAAATAGAGGGAAGGGAGGATGAATAGAGGTTGATACATCTGTATAAATATACAGTTAGAGAGAAGAAATAAGATCTAGTCTAGGGTGACTATAGTTAAGAATAATCTAGTGTACGTTTGAAAAAAGCTAAAAGAGAATAATTCAAATGTTCTTAGCATAAAGAAAAGACAAATAGAGGCCAGGTGTGTTGGCTCACGCCTGTAATTCCACAACTTTGGGAGGCTGAGGTGGGCGGATCACTTGAGGTCAGGAGCTCGAGACCAGCCTGGCCAACATGGTAAAACCTCATCGCTACTAAAAAAAAGTACAAAAATTAGCTGGGCATGGTGGCGGGCGCCTGTAGTCCCAGCTACTCAGGAGGCTGAGGCAGGAGAATCGCTTGAGCCCGGGAGGCAGAGGCTGCAGTGAGCCAAGATTGTGCCACTGTACTGCAGGCTATGTGACAGAGCAAGACTCCGTTTCCAAAAAAAAAAAAAGACAAATATTTAAGGTGATAGATATTCCAATGACACCAATGTGATCCTTACACATTATATGAATGCATCAAATTTTCACATGTACCCTCAAAATATATACATCTCTTATGTATAAATTAAAAATAAGTTTAAAAAGAAAGGCCAGGGTTCTAGAAAGTAGATCTTTTAAATAGCCACACCTGCCTGTGCACCAGATACCTTCACAAACAAAAGGTGCTCCAGCACTGACTCAACTATAAACAGCCTTCATTCCTTGTATCTGATTTTGCCCTGCTTCCAACTCATCGTTGTGGTTCTTCCTTTTTTGTCTGCCCTTGTAGATGAATAAAAAGAAAATGCAACTTGGTACTAGAAAGCTCTGGATTTGAACTCTGGCTCTTCCACTTACAGATGTGTGTGACCTGTCATGCCAAACCCCTGTCAGCTCCAGTGGGGATGGCACCAGGCTCCAGAGGCTGAAGAAGAGACCCAGAGCTAGTGAACAAGACATAGGGTTTTACTGGGGCTTACGTATGGGGAGATAGTCCAGTGGTGGTGGGCTAGGCAGGAGAACTGCAACCACTTGCAAAAAGCATGCAGTTTATATAGCATTTTCACTTAGCATCCTTTCCCTAACAACCTCCATTTGGCAACCTTTACGCAACCCAAAACTTGGGCCCCCAAGCCCCTGTATGGTCCGTGTTCCACGGGACAGGCAGGGGGCTCAGATGTTCCTCATAGACAAGGAAGGACTCCCCAGGCTGGCCACTCTCTAGCTGGGAACACACACTCAGGTGCATGTGCTATACAGAGTGGTTCTCTGGGAATGCTTGTTATTGCTTAGGTGCATTTACCATACATGACCTTAAGCAAATTTCTTTACCTTCTAAGGCTTGCTTTCTTCACCTCTAAAATGCAAAAGAATATCATCTACCTCTCAGAGCTGTCTCAGGATTAAATGAGATAACATACATAAAGAATACCTATAGCACCCAGCCTACAGTAGATGCTCAGTACATGGTGTCTGTCATTCCATCTTGGATCAAGCCATTGAGGTGGCACCTCTTCCACCTATATGCAAGGCTAGTGTAGTCTAATGAGATGACAAAGGAAAATGTGTGTTTTGCTCTTCATATTTGAACCTAGCTATGATTTTTATTTGAGCTAGAACACTTTCCTCCACAACCATGTGGCTTATCTCTCCCAGAGACAGCTCCAGCAAACAGATTTTTTTGTTGACTTGGCCCAATAACCACCTTTTGAAGCCCCTCATTGCCAGTCCCTCACTATGCTCCAATAAGCACTGCTTGTACTGGGTGGACCCAGAAGATGGGAACTGGAAAAGCAAAACAAGGTCAGGCCTTAAAACTAAGTAAGACTTAGAGGCAGTGTGGTCAAAGATGGGATGAAGGACGAGCAGGTCAAAATAATGTTCAGACGTGATTCCAGGGGCACAGCCACTCTGCCATGGTACACCCCTTAGGTATGGTTCAGTGCATTTCTTGAGGGACAAGGTGTGCCTCGTATGTTTTTAAAGGAGCCAAGCGAATCCAGACACCCACTTTAGTTCACTGAAGTGCACAGCCCAACCACAAGTGTAGTGTGGCTGCTACATTCCCAAATTGTCAACCAAAATATATGAGAATGCCCCTGGGACCTCTTCCGAGATTGTGGAGAGGGGTGGGTCCAAACCAATCCCTCTTCTGCTCAAAAAATTAGAAATAACTTCTTATTGACTGCTGAATGAACTGCAGACTCAGCTCACAGCATTCAAGTGTTTTTCACAAGTTAATGTCAACCTGCCTGGCCAGGCTTACTTCACCTTGCTTTCCTATCCACACCCACCCTTCAGCCACACAGCACTGTTCATTCCCTGAACATGCCCCCACACACTCCCACCTCTGTGTCTTTGATAATTATTTGTGACTTCTTCCCTGTCCTTCATCTCTACCTACTTCAATCCTTCACAGTTCCTCTGAAAAAATGGACTGTCCCATGAGTCCTTTCCTGATCCCCCAAGTCTCCTCCAACTGGCCTATTTTCTCTGAACTATGATAGAATTTACTTCTATCTCACTTGTGACATGGATTCTAGTTTGTGCCTAGGTTGTGGCCCTTGCTAGGGTTCCAACATCGCAGGCAAGTCTGGTAATTTGGAGGAACAGTGGTAGGGAAGAGGGCCTCCGAAGAGATAAAGTCTCCTGACGGAAGGCAACAGCCAAGTGCAACAGAGCTGACTCAGGCACGAATCTGCCTCCAGCCCAGAATCCTCGAATGCAGGCCGGTGTCCTATCCAGGGACTTATTTGCATCCATGAAGGAGTCTAATGACAGTGAAGGGAATGAAATCCCTAACCCGGCCCACTGAGGTCAAAGGTATAAGTGATGTCTGTCTAGTGGCCTCTCTAATGGTCCCAATGAGGCCAAACTGCAGAGAATGAGCAATTGTTGTGCCCTGAGAGGACACTTTCCATGGAGGGAGAATTGGAGTCCAGATCACTGGAGAGGGTTCTGGTTCAGGACACTCGGTGGATGCTCCTCAAAGGCAAGAGCTGCATCTAAGCCATGAGAGAGTCAAAATCCTCAGGAACCCAGGCAGGTTTTCTTTAGGACATCTAAGCCTGACAGAGTACAGATGGCACCTTCAGAAACCATCTTGATGAGGATGGATCAAGTCAGCATTCTATGCTGGAACCAGTTGAAACTGGTGGCTGGATTGAGGCCACCTCCGTCTGATGGGGTAGTGGTTATGAGCACAAACTATAGAGCCAGCTCCCTGGGTTCAGCTTGAGAACTTGATTTGCCCTGTGCTTCAGCTTCCTCATAGATAAACGGGAATAACAGAATCAGTCAACTGAGAGCAGCAAGTGAGACCTCCTTGATGTCAGTAGTTGTGAAGTCCATTTTAAGAGGCCCAGCAGACTGTATCAAATAAAGTAGAGGACTGATTTGTGGCTATGTGGATATGCAAAAGCAACCTACAGATTCTTGGCTCTGTTTAAAGGGCGAAACAACAGTTCTAGAAATTTTTCTAGAAAAAATGGGGGAGGGTCTTGATGCCATTATAATTTGGCTATTAAAGGATGAGACCTTACTATTTTTTTCTTTTTTCTTTTCCTTTTTTTGGTTTTTGTTGATTGTTTGTTTGTTTTGAGATAGAGTCTCACTCTGTCACCCAGGCTGGAGTGCAATGGCTCGATCTCAGCTCACTGCAACCTCTGCCTCCCGGGTTCAAGTGATTCTTGTACCTCAGCCTCCTGAGTAGCTGGGACTACAGGCACCCACCACCATGCCTGGCTAATTTTTTGTAATTTTATTAGAGGTGGGGTTTTGTCACGTTGGCCAGGCTGGTCTCAAACTCCTGGCCTCAAGTGGTCTGCCTGCCTCGGCTTCCCAAAGTGCTGGGATTACAGGTGTGAGCCACTGCACCTGGCCTTCTCTTTTCTTTTTTTAAATTATTTTTAGACACAGGGTCTTGCTGTTGTTACCCAGGCTGGAGTGCAGTGGTGTGATCATCATTCACTACAGCCTTGAACTCCTGGGCTCAGGCAAGCCTCCTACCTCAGCCTCCAAAGTAGCTGGGACTATAGGCACGTGCCACTATGGCAGATTAATAAGAACTTCTTTTTTATTTGCAGGCTTATCATACCTTGTCATACTGGCAATGCTCAGTAAACTAGTCGTGATCACTGAAGAGGGACTGCTGTGCTTGGTGGAACAATGCAAAAGACTATAAGTCTTGGCAGAGTAACATAGAGACTGCAGGGCAGAGCATGGGGCACCCAGTGGAACAGCAACAGTGCCAGTGAGAACATACTGGCAGGACTCTCATTGTTAGGGGCTCCTAGAAGTGCTTGAGGTGAGGGCGTTGCAGGAAGCTAAACATTATGTGTGAGCAAGTATGTGTTGGAGCCACAGAAATTCAGATTTTCTGGCTATTTGTGTCCTTTATCTCTTTCATTAACCTCTTTGAGGACAGGTGCTAAGTCTTACTCATCTCAGTATCTCCCAAGAGCAAGAGCCCTAGTCCTGACAGAGGCTGTGGAGACTGCAGGGTGGCCTGATGCCCACTGGATCAGCGGCAGCATTAGGCAGAGCTGGCTCCATCCTGTGCACAGGTGAGACTTGCTAGAAAATGTCCCACTCATCCCTATCCCTCAATGGCATCTGGCCCTGGGCTTACTTTTATTCTCCCCATTTTTCAGCTTCATTGAGGCATAACTTATATACCATAAATGCACCTATTCTAAGTGTAAAGGTTGAGTTTTAATAAATGTATACAATCATGCATCCATCATCATCACACCACATAGTTTTGGAATACTTCCATCTTTCCTAAATATTCCCTGTACTGCTTAGCAGTCATCCCTGCCCCAACCTTCAGACCCAGGCAACTATTTGTGAGTTGTCTATAATTTATGGTTTTGTCTTTTCTAGCAATTTCATATTAAGGAATCATATAGTATATCTGGTGTCTTTCATTGCATACGTTTAAGATTCGTCCATGTTGTAATAAGTATCAATTGTCCTTTTTTATTGCTGTGTAGTATTCCATTGCCTGGGTAAGCCACATTTTGTTAACCCACTTGCTAACATAACAGACAGACATTTGGGTTATTTCTCATTTGATTTTACAAAAAATGCTTCAATGTTCATTTTTCTTACTAGTCTTTGTGTAGATGTATGTTTTCATTTATTTTGGGTAGAAGCCTAGAAGTGAAATTGTGGAGCTATATGGTAAATGTACAATTTTCATTGATTTGAGGCACCTGAACAGGATTAAGAAGTAGGAAGCTGAAAGTAAGCCATATGGGAATGGTACACATGGTTGAGGATATAGCAGAGAATTCCAGGAAAAGGAAGATTACTGAGAAGAAAGATAGAAATGCATTAAGAGAAAAATTCATCTACTTAATAGTTTGTACTTCAATATATGCAGGAAGCCTAAACATTTTATGTAATCACAAAATTGTCTCAATCTATTATAATAGTAGAATTTCACCTGGATCATAGCATACACCATTAGGCATGTGTGGATGGACAAGTACAGTGATAAGGGCATCTATAAAGGTACCTAAGTCTGCCAACAGCCTACATGGTTGTCCACTTTTACAGAGCCATTAAGTTTAATCATGACAAGAATTTGCCTTTAACAAAAAATTCCATTTCAAAGATTCAATTGGAATTTCTACTCTTTGCTTCTACCTCTTGGCTTTCTACTCTACCATGTAGAGTAGAATAGTACAACTGTTCCATGGCACAGTTGTATTTATTTTACCTGGTCTCTGCAGAGGCCATTCTGAACAGTAAGCTCCCCTTGGAATATGAAACTGTACCAATCAGGTTTTAGGACCAGAAGTAATGAAAGAGAACTTTGTGACAACAGAAATAATTATTACATAGCTCCAAACACACCCACATGTCGAATTATATTATCCTATAATTGATCTAACCCAATTAATCTATAACAAAGAAATCCATCCAACTTCCTAGTGCAAAAGTATAAAAGAAGAAAGCTTGATCATTAGAGACTTAAAGATTGAGAGTTCTAGTCATTCAATTTTCAGTTCTTAAATATACAAACAGATTTTGAAATTGAGTAAGAGGCAAAAAGTTTATGCACTTCATCTTTCTCCCATTGGAGAGATCACCCCAAGCACCCTGGATGATTTGGGCATAGATGCCCAAGAGTTCAGTGAATCTGGCTTACCAGGGATTAAGATATATAGGGAGGACAGCCAGCTCCAGGAAGGTTTTTGACATATCTATCACAGCAGAGAGTACCTTTTTCATTAATGAAGACCCACAGAAATATCTGTTGCACCTCAGTATCAGGAAAAAAAAAACCCATGATCCTCTTGGAAGAACTGAATTATTTTTATCCTAAGTGGTTCTCGAGTGTGGTCCCAACCAGCAGCATCCTCATCACCTGGGACCTTGTTCAAAATGCACATACTCAGGTCCCACGCCAGACCTACCAAATCAGAAGCTCTGGAGGTGGGACCCAGCAATCTGTGTTTTGATAAGCCTTCCTGATGATTCTGGGGCAAGCCAAAATTTGAGAACCACTGTCCTGTTTACTGATGGCCGAGAATCTTAGAACCAAATTGGCAGCTTCTCTCTGGCAGCTGTTTTCTAACCCCTCTCCCCACCACCTGAGAGGTAGAGAAGGCTTCTTCAGCACCCTTAGATGCCCAGCTCCTTAGAGACTTAAAAAAACATTTTTACAACACCAACTAAATTGGGCTGTGAACCAGAAAACACAACTTCAGAAAATTGGTAACTTATTCATTCAACTTCTAATACTTTTCTGAGTCAAAAAGCTGCATTAGGATTGTATTACAATTCCTTATCTAAAACCAAGTAGTTGTTTTGAAAATCTTGGATGATAATATTGACCACTTATGTACTAAAAACAAAAAAGGATTTCATCATTTTGTATAGGCCAAGTGCCTAGCTAAAAATGATTAACAAGACATGGTTATCTTTTGCTAGTGAATTATAAGGTTGTAAAAGAGATACAAAAGCAAATGCATTTAAATTATCTATCATGAATCACTGGTTAGCCTGGAAATCTCTTGTTCTTTGGTTAATAGAACACGCAGAAAACCTAAGCCTACAATGCCAAATGAGCAAATATGGCTCATTGTCAGGAACTGAGTGTTTTTCAGCTCTTGTCACTGATTTTTAACCTTTCAGAAGCCAAAGAGAATCTGTGTTTCATCTTAGTTCTGTTGAGAACTTGTGAGACCTTGGGTGAGATACTTTCCCTACTCTGGACCTCATTTCTGCCTCTGCAAAATGAGAGCATTTGATTTGATCATGTCTAGGGTCACTTCCATCTCTGATATTCTGGGATTCTGGAATTCTAGAGATCTAAGACCCCCACTGCTCCAGTACTACTCCAATACAACTACTCTCTCTTGACCGCTCTTGATCAGAAGGAAGAGGGAGAAGAAAAAGTATTCCAGTGGCTGCAGCCTGCTGAAAGCATGAGTGAGATCTGGGAATTCAGATAATCTCAGAAATCACATGCAAGCATTACAGAACTTACAAAACAGTGCCATGTGGAGATCGGCTGTGGTGTGAATTGGAAGACATGGTTTGCTCCTTGGTAAATGATACACAGGAGTCCCAGGGAGATTTTATCATTAGTTTGCTGAGAACAAGATGTGAACCCTTTAAGGAGCCCTTTTCTGTAGAGACAATCTTAAAGAACCAGCCCAGTGTATGAAATTACTAGAGTGTATATATCTGAAAGCTTAGGAACTTGGGTTTATGCAAACACTCCCCCGCACCCCCATTCCCATCAAAGGCAGTTATTTAGCTGAGTGATTCAAGCTGTGGCAATAACTTATAAAGGGTGGGGGATAGGTGTGGTTTGGGGGACTTAAACCACATCTGTCTTCCACCCTTCATGAAATTAAGGAGGTAATTGATTCAATTCATCCACTTCACTTTCTCTGAAGAACTGATTGCCCCTACTAAGTATAAAGAACAACCTTTGTTGTTCCCCCTGTTCATTAGCTAGCCAAATACTTTGCTCTTTTTCACTTCGCTCCCCAGACTACTTTCTAATATGGTTATATTTATGAACACCTCACTACATGGTTTCTAGCTGAGAGATTATGCATTGCATTTGATAATTTCAGAGAATATTTCTTAGCAGCTTCAATTAGTAACTACACTCCAACTGCTAGCTTCCTGCTCCCAAACAGTGCCCCCACCACAAACACATACATATAAAGCACATGGTTATGTTTTCTGTAAAAAGTAGCTTCTCTGGCTGGTACTGAGGTGGTTGCCTTAAATGTGTACTTCTTTCAGTTGATGTAAACATCATCTACATGCCCATCATCCCTGGAGTCACCTATTTCATTTCTTCATCTGCAAATGATGATTTTCATTCTTAAAAGTTCTTTTGTGTCAGGAGCTTGAGCAGTGATGTTCTGTATTGTTTTGTTTTGGAATAAGGCAGGTTAGGTTCCCTTTAACCATTTCTAGAGAGAAAAATCCTAAACAGCCCCTTAAAAGAAAACATGGCATTAAAACAGACAGTCAAACAGTAAAAAGTGGTTTTATTAGGACATTTAGAGACAAAGCAACTGGTGCTGTGCCTGGATTTTTCATCTCTTAAAAGGTTGTTTTGGCTGGGTGTGGTGGCTCATGCCTGTAATCCCAGCACTTTGGGAGGCTGAGGCAGGCGGATTGCCTGAGGTCAGGAGTTCAAGACCAGCCTGGCCAACATGGTGAAACCCTGTCTCTACTAAAAATACAAAAATTAGCCAGGCATGGTGGCGGGCGCCTGTAATCCCAGCTACTCGGGAGACTGAGGCAGGAGAATTGCTTGAACCCAGGAGGTGGAGGTTGCAGTGAGCCAAGATCGAGCCACTGCACTCCAGCCTGGGTGACAGAGTGAGACTCCATCTCAAAAAAAAAAAAAAAATTAAAAAGGTTGTTTTGATAGTGTACAGCACAGCCTGGATAACTGCAAAGTTGGGGTTTACCACGTGACAGAGCTAGGTATTAAGCCCAAGTGACCTGAATGATCACTCCTTGGAGGTGACATAAACCCTGTCGAAGTGTAAATGATCTGTTGCTTCACCATCTCTCTGATATTAAATTTTGAGGAGTGGGTTCAAGGTTGTGCTTCAGGGGACACCTACACTTATTTATCATGTAAAACAAAATGCACTAGACTACCATGTGATTGCAGGGGGATAAATGGTTTTTTTCTTAAAAAAAATTGACAAAACCTATATAGACCATCCTGGGTAGATATGAAAACAGGGTGATTCTAATAATAAATAAGACGATTTAATAGGGTCTAGTTGGTCCCAAGATTCCCCAACAGGGAAGAATAAGCAACTGCAGAGCATTTCCCCAGCCCCCTCCCTCTCCTTATGACAGGACACGCCAATAAAACTCCACCTCCTACTCTTCAGTGCCAGATGGGTAAGCATTTAGCCAAGCATGCTGGGAGACACACAGAACTGAAGCAAAGGAGTATCTGGATGTCTTGGATTTTCTTCCCATTCTGTTCTGTTCTGTTCTCCTAATACCATCTCGTTACTAGACGTAGGCATTGGACGTGACAATCAACTGCATTTGAACTGAGAAGAAGAAATATTAAAGACACAGTCTTCAGAAGAAATGGCTCAAAGGCAGCCTCACTCACCTAATCAGACTTTAATTTCAATCACAAATGACACAGAATCATCAAGCTCTGTGGTTTCTAACGATAACACAAATAAAGGATGGAGCGGGGACAACTCTCCAGGAATAGAAGCATTGTGTGCCATCTATATTACTTATGCTGTGATCATTTCAGTGGGCATCCTTGGAAATGCTATTCTCATCAAAGTCTTTTTCAAGACCAAATCCATGCAAACAGTTCCAAATATTTTCATCACCAGCCTGGCTTTTGGAGATCTTTTACTTCTGCTAACTTGTGTGCCAGTGGATGCAACTCACTACCTTGCAGAAGGATGGCTGTTCGGAAGAATTGGTTGTAAGGTGCTCTCTTTCATCCGGCTCACTTCTGTTGGTGTGTCAGTGTTCACATTAACAATTCTCAGCGCTGACAGGTGAGTTTCTTTTCTCCATTATATTTGCCAGGATGTGAAATTGGGCAAAAAGAAAGGAAAGCTTGTACTTAGCATTTACTGGCTACTATTCTGCTTTTCTCACACTCTGTAACGTGGATGTGAGATTGGAAAATCTGGTGGCATTTAAAATAAAAGTTAGTGTAAGAATGTTAAAATTTCTGTGTTAGCACGGAGGAGAAGTTGAAATTGCATGCTTTATGGATAATTTATTCTTATTGTTTGCTCGGAAGTATACTGAACGGGGTTTTTATTTTTCTCCAGTTTATTAAGTAAAGCAAATTGTTCCAGGTGTAAAGGAAAAAAATTCATGCTTTATACATTAGTGCAGCCTAGTGGTGCAATATAGTCAACATGAAAACCAGGATAGGTGTGAAATTGACCACATATGTATAACTGTATATTGGAAGAGTGGTAAAAAGACACAGGCATCTAATTTATTTGAAATTCATCAAATTAGCTAATGGCAGAAAAACGGTGAGGTTTTCAACTCCCTGGTAACTTAGTGTAATGTCATCACGTAATTCTACTTGTTTTCTCTGTAGGCATTCAGTGACATTATCATTTCCAGAGAAATAAATTAATCTTGGTTGACTTTTAGAGCTCTGTGGAGAGAGCGTGTGAGATCCTCTTGCAGTCAGGGTGTTCAGATTCTGTGTTAGGATATTTTCAGTCCAAGTACTCTGTTTTTCTGTGTTCCTATTGTAGAATAACTGTAAAAACATGAAAAAATTTGAGGCTCCAAATGTTAAAAATGATGCTTTACAAAGCCTGCAAGATTCCTGTAAGTAATCGATGTTTGGCAGTACCAGAAGGAATAACTTCTTCAGATTCTAGAATCTGAGAGGAGGAAAACCTTTCCCTGTGTCTTTTGATGATTTTTGCTTTGACTGGTCTTATATTCTATTTGAGGGCAGACTGGCTTAATGACTGTAGATTTTAAGGTGGATTTGTTTGAATGAGGAGGTATCTCTGTACCGGCACAGGACTTCTGATTGCAACTTTGCCTCGCCCTAAATCTGTCCACTGATCAGGTTGGGCAACGAATTAACACTTACAAACGGGGAAGAAATTAATCCTCTCCTCTTTACCACATAAACCCTTGGAATTCTCTTCTAGGAAGGTTGATAACTGTTCACTCATGAAGAAAGGAAAATTAATTCAGTTTAACATCAGTCACTTATACAAAAGAAGTCTTTTAGGTACCTTAAGTGTATTACACTTAAGGTAATACACAGGTGGTGAATTACTCTCAGTCACACATAAAGTCATGCTGATAAATGTTTATTTGTCCTAAATAGAGAGTCTATACATAAAATTATAAAATTGCAAATCTGGAATATCTCATAGGAGTGAATAATGGAAAAGGAGATTAGCATAAATAAAAATATTGGGATGTATTATGTGCATTTAAAACCATAGCCAATTCTAGTTGGTTAATGTTGACTTGGTTATACACATATGCACGGAGGGTAGAACTGGATGACCACTAAGGTCACTTCTCACCCTAAAATTTGGTAACTTTGACATTTATTTGGACCTTTGCCTCTGATTATGTGTTTCTAGATACAAGGCAGTTGTGAAGCCACTTGAGCGACAGCCCTCCAATGCCATCCTGAAGACTTGTGTAAAAGCTGGCTGCGTCTGGATCGTGTCTATGATATTTGCTCTACCTGAGGCTATATTTTCAAATGTATACACTTTTCGAGATCCCAATAAAAATATGACATTTGAATCATGTACCTCTTATCCTGTCTCTAAGAAGCTCTTGCAAGAAATACATTCTCTGCTGTGCTTCTTAGTGTTCTACATTATTCCACTCTCTATTATCTCTGTCTACTATTCCTTGATTGCTAGGACCCTTTACAAAAGCACCCTGAACATACCTACTGAGGAACAAAGCCATGCCCGTAAGCAGGTATGTATTAATCAGTACTCATGCAAATCTAGTTTGAATTTAGAAGTGAAGTTCCTACTTTTGCACAGTGAGTAACTGTGTATCTTCCTGTTTATAAATGCAATAGCAGTGTAGTATTTTTGTTATGAGCATAGGCTCCGGTTTGAATCCCAGTTCTATCACGTACTAGCTGAGTAATCTTGAGCAAGTTACCTAACCTTTCTGAGCCTCGGTTTCCTCATCTGTAAAATGAAGATGATTACTAGATGATATAGATGAAATGCTTAGGTGCAGAGTAAGTATTTCAATAAATGGTAAGACTACTACTATTAGAGAGGGGACAATTGAAGTTTGAGAGTAGTCAAAATTTTTTACCCCATGGAATAGTGGGGAACACTGCATAAGATGATACTATGAAGAAAAGCATCTTTTGTTTTAGAAAGTGTAACAGAATAAAAATACATAGCATATAGAACTGGCAAGAATCCGTAACACTATTCAATGCAAACCACTTACACACAGATGAGCAAACTGAGGTGGGGAGGAGTGAGGGGAAAGAGTGGAATGCAAGTAGCACGAGAACACAGTGACTCACAGAAGCTTGATTAAGACCACTGCAAGAGCCACGTGTACCCTCCCTCTCATAAATATGGACAGAATAAAAGGAATGTTGCCAAAACATAGTTCCATTTGATTAAAAATATTTTTCTAACCTCTGGGAAAGGGGGAGAGAGGATTCCATTTACCCCTTGATCGGTACGCAGAGAACTGTGCCTTTTTTAGAGCTAGTCCATTCAGTTAGTTTAACAATGGTGCTCATGAGACTGAAGTTGCATATTTAATACCCATGTGAACCAGTTACCTTTGCTCTATTTGTGACCACAGGCTATATATTCACCTAACTTGGCTCATTTCTCTTATTAATAGATGTAGGTAGGATTATCTTCACATAAAAAGGACAGCACATTTTGGATTTACTTCTTTGACTATATGGTTAGAATTCCTATAGAGTAAAAACAATTTTAGTTACCAGCTTGGCAACTTTCATAGACCTCAAAACAATATTCTGACCTAGTCAGCTTCTGCTGATGCAGTGAAAGCAATTTTGTATAGCGTCTCTTTGTTTTTAATTACAGTAAATTTTGGAGAATTCCACGGCATTCTTCGAGTTAACTGCAGACATCCTAGAGTATCTCGAAATTAGGGGGAAAGGTATCTCTGAATTAGAGTTAATGAGCCCAAGATCAGAGGTTACCATGCCAATTGACTTGCTGTGTTATATAGTCACAGGCTGACTTCCTGCACATCCCAGCCAGTTAGCATACAAATGCATGTTCAAAGGGAAATCAGCTGTAATTAACTGTAAATTTCTATGTAAATTTATAGGATAACTTTTTAAAATCTCTCACAGCTAAATGTTTTGTTTTTTTTGTTGTTGTTGTTTTTTGTGTTTTTTTTTTTTTTTTTTTTTTTTTTGCTATGTTTCTTCCCCCTATAGATTGAATCCCGAAAGAGAATTGCCAGAACGGTATTGGTGTTGGTGGCTCTGTTTGCCCTCTGCTGGTTGCCAAATCACCTCCTGTACCTCTACCATTCATTCACTTCTCAAACCTATGTAGACCCCTCTGCCATGCATTTCATTTTCACCATTTTCTCTCGGGTTTTGGCTTTCAGCAATTCTTGCGTAAACCCCTTTGCTCTCTACTGGCTGAGCAAAAGCTTCCAGAAGCATTTTAAAGCTCAGTTGTTCTGTTGCAAGGCGGAGCGGCCTGAGCCTCCTGTTGCTGACACCTCTCTTACCACCCTGGCTGTGATGGGAACGGTCCCGGGCACTGGGAGCATACAGATGTCTGAAATTAGTGTGACCTCGTTCACTGGGTGTAGTGTGAAGCAGGCAGAGGACAGATTCTAGCTTTTCAAGGAAAAATGCTGCTTCTCCTCCCAGCGTGTGTATCCGACTCTAAGCTGTGTGCAGGTGTATGGTGTCCAGATTTTTGTTGTTTGAAAAGTGTGTTGAAATCTTAGGAGTGAAGGATCCCTATAAGTAAGTAAAATACAAACCATTACTTTCTTCAAAGTACAAATAGTAATGTCATCGGGCTTTCTAAATAAAATGAAGCCCCACTAAGTGCAGAAAGACAAGTTTATATATGCCAGTGAATCGTAAGGGAAGTCAAATGGGAAGGAAGGTGTAATAAACAAGATGAAACTTAAAAATCTCATTTGTTGTTTAATCACATCTGTGATGCTTCTAACTCCTCATATACTGTGATTTGCATAAAATTGTGTTTGTGTTTACTGTGTGGTGTAAATCTAGAGATACTTTGTATGTGAAAAGGGGATCACAAAAGAGAGAAAGCATCTCTTAGGCTATTTTCTTAAAAATAAACCTTCACAGAATGGCTGTCCTTTTCCATTAATCTGTATTCCATTGTAGCTGAATCTGTGCAGTTGAAATGAAAATGTTTTGGAGTCAGCGAATATAAAGCACTGAGTAAGGATCTGGGGCACAGTGCTTGCCTTACTGGGTCAACACTTACAACTGCCATGGATTAATAACTGGGCTAAGTTATCATTCACAAATATTGTTAGGAACTTGCCTTATTCATAGGCAGAATAAGTGGTCATGTTTATGGTGTCATTTGAGGACCTCTGTTGAAAAATCTGCAAACCTGCCACAGTGTCTGAAATTCTTCCTTTACAGAAATTCGTTTCTTTCTGGTAAGCAGTGCCCTCTTTCTAAAAACATGCAGAAGTACCATATGAAATCCCTAACCCCTGGGTGTGCAATTGTGATCAGATCATCTTCCTGCTTGACTTTATTAAACCCAATGGGTGCCTAAGTCCTGTAAGTGTATGGCCTAATTAATCTCTGCCCATGGAAATCAGATGGAAAGTTCTGATTTTCTATCCTGTGCTCCTACCTGCTAACATCATTCACTTGTTAATAATTATTGTTTTAAAAAAAAAAACTCTTGTCAATAGACGTGTCAGATTTAGACCTGTGGTTTCAGAAAAATTTTTGGAGCAAATTTAAACATGTTTGGCACTATAGGTAAATTTGTATTTAAAAAAAAAAACAATGTTTGAGTGTGCTTTTGGTAATGCTGAGCTTTCTTTAAATGGCTTGTGGAGTCGTGAACTTTTGCTAATGATGTGGCTCCAAAAGGTAATACATATTAACATTAGACTTTAACTTTCTGTAAAATTGGTTTACTTAAAGTTGGGCGGGGGGTGTGATACTGTATTAGTATTGTTTTAAAGTGGACACTGTAACACGTGTGGAAAAACAAATAAATATGAAATAAAGTTTTAAATGACTCTGTGTAACTTTATATTCTAAAAACAGTATTTCTGACAGAATATAACGGAACCCATTTTAATTCCAAAATGTTACTTTCAAGTCACAGAGCCCTAAAACAATCTTACTATTTTCCTCACTCTGAGTAAAAATTACATCTTTACTCTCCTAAACTCTAATAACTTTTCAGATATAACTTGATAAAAGTACCAGAATACTAAAGTGAAGACAGCTTTTTGGAAGTTCATAAAACTAGAACTCAAAGAACTTTTTTTTTTTCCATTCTCAGCAATCCTTAGGTGAGTTAGGGATATAAAATAATTCCCTAAATGGCTGTGTAGGGCATCAGCCTCCTTCCATCCGTAGTTGTAGTTGGCTTAAAATTCACAGCTTTGCTTTGATTTTTGAGAGGGTGGTCTCTTTTTCAACAGATTATCCTTGTCATGGCTAACCTTACAAGTAGGCCCTAATAGCCACAATTTTTTTCACACTGACTTTTGTGGTTCCAGAAATGTTTCTATGGAAAATTTCATTTCTTTGGAGAGAATTCTAAATGGCGTGGATAGCTGGGATATATACAAAATAAATTCTGTATACATCTCAGTGTTGCTCGGGGTCTTCCCTGACCCAAGACTTAAAACATGGAACATAATACAGTAATACTCCACAAAGCATGAAAACACAGTCACGAAGTTAGGCATTACCAAAACGTCCAGCAGGTAAGTCTTCATCATTGAAGGTGAAAGCACTACAAAACACTTAACGACTCGCTTTTCTGCTGAAAATAGCAAATTTGGGTTTGCAGAATTTCTGCAGTTTGAGTCATCTTAGGTCAGGAATTCATCGATCTTTTTGTCAGAAAGGAGTCTTTTTAGTTCCACTAAGCCTTGAGATTATAGGATGTGGGGATAGGAAAATTCCTGGACAGAGTGGGCTTGAAGGGACCATTTTTTAAAAATCTGATTTGGTATAGTTCAGTAATTTTTCAGAAAGAGTTCTTAGGCCAGATAGGTGAGTCCTATCTGGAGTGCAGTCTCTGCTTTTGTAGGTTAATGTATATTTATCCACCAAGAAGGCTGTGGCCTATTAGGGCAGAAGTACAACACAGATCACCCCATATAAAGGTCAGAGGGAAGAATGAAGCACATATTCAGAGAGAAGCCAGCTATGTAGATTCTTCCTAGGTCCAGCATCCCTTTATGTGGCCCATCTACACTGCAGTCCTGGAGTTTCAGTAGCCGCCCCTATCTTTATAACCCACCCCCCTTTTTTTTTGTTACCTCGAGTGTTTCTATAACTTGCAAGAAAAAAAACTTGTAAAAGACAGGTTACAAAGACAGAGATGCTTTCAGATTACCTCAGTCATTAGGGAGTTATTCTATGAATATGCAGGGAAATGAGAAAAAATAGGAACCAGGCCTCACAGAGACCACAGCATTGTGCAATTATAAACTGCCAGTTCTCACGACCAAACAGAATGCCATTACAGGTACAATGTGTGTACCTCTCAACTCCACTGCCTCACTAGTATAGTGACTCAGTGACCCTTCTTCGCTGCTTCAGCTGCTCCTCTCACCCGTGGGGAACTTCTCCACAGCAGGCCTCTGTTCTGCCTTTTACCTTCCCTGGGAGTATCTCCTTGCTTCTTTGCTACTCTGACCACATCCCTGTATGTTCCATACTCAAACTTTCTGGGAGAGGTTCTTACTGGCTCAGTCAAATCCAGTCTAGAATGCAGAGCTATCTGCCAGGTCACCACACAGACCCTGGGCAGCCTTTGGGCCAGGATGGCTGGGTGACATGGGACATAAGCATAAGGAACCCTTTAAGTCACCTGCTCAAAAGACGGTTGTGGTAGAGCCGGCACTCAATGATATGTGCAGTAGGGTGGTGTCGCATATTATCACCTATGCTGTGAACTCGGGAATGAAATGGGAGCCCAATAACACATTGCTGAAAACAGCTGTATGCTATTTTTGGATCCAGGAAAAAATATTTAGCAAAGTTTAAGCCTAATAAAACTCACATTACCTATATCATAAAAGTGCACACAAATTCAGTTCTCCAAGAGTTCCTGCCAGAATGAGAACTTCATGAAAAAGAAATGTAATTTAAAAAAAAACTAACCCAAACTATTAAAAACTGTTGTTATCGTTGAAACCATAGATTCACACAACTGGTGTGTGGGGAGCCAGGATTTTCTAGAAGTAGTACTCAACTGCTATGTTTAGAAGTGAAGGTCACTGGAATAGTGAAATAATTTCTTCTGGTAAGGTTTTCCCGGACCTCAAGCCCGGGTTATGATATTTATGTTTACACTAATGGGTTCCTTATTATTTTAATGAATTAGTATTTTTTAACAGCCGCTTTCATTTTTGTGCAGAAATATTGGTAAGTATAAACCACAAACAAACGTTTTTTGGGGTTTTCAATGTTTTAGTGTAAAGAGGACCTGGAACCAAAAAGTTTGAGAACTGCTGTCCTCCAGCATCTCATATCTGTCAGGTGCCAACCATCTTAATTCTGTCTCCCCTGAGCTGTGCCTGTCTTGTCAACTCCTGGGTCGCCAGAGCCTCACGCAGTGCCCTGCACTTAGTAGGGGCTCAATAAATACCTGCCCAACTTAAAAATATGGACCTTTTCCTTTTCAGCAATGAGTGTAATTCCTGAAAACAAAGTTCTGTTTAGAACAAAAAGTATGCTGTGTCTTTCTAAAAGAATGACAAAGAAGCGGAGTTTCCCGGCCAATAAAGCTGGTGTTTACACTGGGATGTTTACATTTATGCTTAAGTTTCAAGTTCGAAGCTCGAGCGCCACTGAAATCTGCAGTACAAGAGGCAGGCAACTGCTGCCCTTTCCATCCTTCCCACGGAGTCGAACTCCAGCCAGAGGAAGGTATGAGACCGATAAAGGAGAAGGCTGACACCAGAAAAAGAAAGTTGGCCCTTCTACCCCTCATTCGTTCATTCATTCGCTCATTCCGCATTAGACACCAGAGCCGGTGCCAGGAGTTTAGGCTACCAAGATGAACAAGATCCGGTGTCTATCCCCGGGTGTCGTAAAGAAACAAGTAAAAGACGCGGTTCCTGAGCGGGGGAGGGGCCTTTGGGCGAAGGAGGCGCGTCGTTTTCTCGAAGCCAGAGAAATTTGTCCTGTCCGCCCCACCCACTCCCCTAAGATGGCGCCCTCGCGAAACCCGCCCGGCCACCCCCGCGAGGGAATATTCCCACGCCTTCCTTCCGTTTCCCTCCCGGGCCGGCCGATCCGCCGGGGACCCCGCGGAGCTCAAGGCCCTTGAGGCGCCGCGGGATCCCAGTGGCCCTCGCCCCGCCCCAAACCCGACCCCGGTGGGCGTCGACGCGCAGCAGCAGCGGGTCCCCCCAACCCCGGCGCCCCGCCTCCCCGGGCCTCGCGCCGCATGCCGGCGTCGGCGCTTTTTGACGCCATAGTGGGCGTGTCGGCGCGACCCGCGACGTCGCCACGCGCCGACAATGGCGGCTGCGTCGGCCTGAGCAGGGCTTAGTTTAGAAGTAATTTCCTGACGTTGCCGAGGGAGCCGCAGTCGCCTCAGATCCGGTCGGCGGCGGCGGCGGTGGCGGCGGCGGCAGCGCGCCTGCGCGCTCCCGCAGCGCCCTGGACCTAGCGGCGGTGCCGAGGCCCGGCGGAGCAAGCCAGGTGGGCGGCGGCGCGGCCGAGCTCACAGCATCAGCGCGCGCGCGCGGTGGGCGGGCAGAGAGGGGGGCGGTGCAGCCGCCGAGCGGCCGCGATTTCCCGGGGACTGCTGGGGCGCAGCGGGGAGGCGGGCCGGGGGGCGGCGGGGCGCGAGCAGAGCGCGGTTGACCTCCCTTTCTCTGCTCAGCTCCAGCGTCATTTCGGCCTCTTAGTTCTTCTGAACCCTGCTCCTGAGCTAGGTAGGAAACATGAGCGGCACCAACTTGGATGGGAACGATGAGTTTGATGAGCAGTTGCGAATGCAAGAATTGTACGGAGACGGCAAGGATGGTGACACCCAGACCGATGCCGGCGGAGAACCCGATTCTCTCGGGCAGCAGCCGACGGACACTCCCTACGAGTGGGACCTGGACAAAAAGGCTTGGTTCCCCAAGGTAGGAGAGTGCCACGGGCGCCACTGCAGAGCGGGCCGCCTGGCCAGCCTCGCGGGGCACTCCTTTTACGTTTGCTTTGCTGAGATCCTTGGTCCTTGGTCCTAGCCCCCTTGAATAGCGACGCTTCTTTTTGTTGTGTTTGTTGGGGCACCGATGTGTAAAAGAACGTAAATCTTTAGGGTAGTGTCTTAAATGTAATTTTTAAGTCTTTTCTATGCTTTATTAATCTTGTCTGTGAAGGTCACAGTTGATTATTACATGACTGCTTTTTATTGCAAAGAGGAAAAATACCAAGAACAAATTTAGTAGCTGTCCATTTCTGGTAGCCAACCCCACTTGTCCTAGGAACTCAGATGTTTAGCTTATGTACTATGTGCAAAATGCAGTTTCTTGATTTCTTTTTTAAAGTAGCTGTTTATATAGCTTTACTAATTGAACTTTCTTTGCACCTTGCTTTACTTTCCTAGTAAATTTTGTCCCTAGGCATATATGTTTGAACCATATAACCACAGGAATAAGACTGGAGATACACAGAATACAGATGGAAAATCTGTGTATGTTTGTTTGGAATACTTGGAAATTGCTAAGTATTTTTATTTCAGCTTCGAAGTAAAATAACTAATGTTAAACTTGATTCTGTAAACTTTGTGGTAAAAGTGCCCTTTTAATCTGGCTCTCATGAGCAGGAAAGGGCACACTAATAGCACACAAATTGACTTGCAAGTCAATGATACAAAACCTGTCTCCACTGCGCGACTGGACTGCTATTGTAAAAATTCTTTTGCAACTTTTCTTTCCCATTCTGTATTTGTATATATATTCCAATCCCTCCAGATTGTTAAAATTTACGATTTCACTTCTGTGTTGGTAGTGCTAGTTTGAGTGCAGATTTGGTTTCTTCAGCATTCTGAATACTTTTAACAAAGGTGTGATAATGGATTAATGTGTGACTTTATCCTTTTATGTTGTTGAAGCCCATACCTCTTCAAACTTTGGGTTTTACATTTTCCCCATTCCATGCCTGCCTAATATTGATTGGTATGATGATATAACTATATTTCTTTCGTTTTGCAATAACGCTTTTCCCCCAAAGGGGAGGAAGATAGATATGAGTTGGATTTGTCTTTAATTTGTTCTGATACTAAAATATAACGTCATTTAATTTGTGATAAAGTTAAAATGAGCATTTAGTTTTACAATTGTTAACCCCATTCTTTATATACCAAATCAGAGTTCTGTTCTGTGTGCTCTCTGCATACAGATATTTAAGTACTTATTGTACATGTATATTGGTGCATCTGTACAGTAAGAGAAAATTGGATTCTGTGGTTAGATTATTCATTGACTGTTGGTTTTTATTGTTTTATTATCTGGTTCTTCCTTTGTTGTATGTATTTGTAGCCTTAGTCAAGTAGTGTAGAGAGGTAGTAATTAATAAATGAAACAACTAGAAAAGGTGCCAGCATCACTTAAAATGCTTTAAATCGTATCTCAGACTTTTGCATTGATCATCTAAGTACTTGTGTCTTATTTTTTATCACCGTATGCACAATTTTCTATAGAAGGTGACTATTCTTGCATTTATACCTTAATAACTACAACTATTATCCACAGAAACACTTTTGTGTTAAGTTGTATAACTATGCTGTAAAAACACAATTTAAACTTCTTATGAGTGGAAATAATTTTGAATTTCTCTGTCCGGGTCTGTTGAATTGCTTGTGTAGATTACTGAAGATTTCATTGCTACATATCAGGCCAATTATGGCTTCTCTAACGATGGCGCATCTAGTTCTACCGCAAATGTTGAAGATGTCCATGCTAGGACTGCAGAGGAACCTCCACAAGAAAAAGCCCCGGAACCCACTGATGCCAGAAAGAAGGGAGAAAAAAGAAAGGCTGAGTCAGGTAAGTGGTTCTAGCTTACAAATTTTAAGTGTAAAAATTAAAAATATGGGTGTGCATAGGTACAGTTGCTTTTTCGAGAATTATAATAGCTTTGAAGGAATAAGGTGAGTTTTTTCTTTAAGGTAGTGTCAGTTATAAAGAATCAAGATAAACTGGCCATCTTTTTTCCAGATAGGGCTCTAAAACTAATTATTTCTCAAAAGATTTAAATCTTTTGAAAGCTGGGTAGTGATTTGAGTTAGTTTATCTTGGTCTTTTAAGAGTAACAGAAAGGTCGTCCTGGAAGTTTCAAGAAACTGCTGCTTTGTCAAGATTCCATAATATGACTCTTATCTTTTTTTGCAAGTGTTTTATTTATTTAATTAATTTTGATTTCTAGGATGGTTTCATGTTGAAGAAGACAGAAATACAAATGTATACGTGTCTGGTATGTATAACTTTTTAAACAGGTTTAAGGTAGGAAATACTTAATTTTGAGATTTTTCACGAAGTGATTTTTAGCTTTCAGTTTCTCCAGAGTCCATTTTTTATCATTGTGTCATTTTTTGTTCAGCCATTTATATTAGTAAGGAATATGTGTGTTCATTACAGAACCAAGAAATTTAGTGTGTAACTTTGCATACCAACCTTTAGGCCTGGTTAATGTAACTTACAGCAGTGTGTCCCTTCCCATTCAGTGAGGCCCTCAAGAAAGCATAATTTTAATGTATATTTGAACACACAAAAATGTGAAATTTCTTCAGTTCCGTAAATGTAAAACTTTTACATACATTTAGAAAATCAACATTGCATTCACCTAAGTTATAGATTTCTAATTGGTAGAATGCTAAGTAATTCACCTTCATTATCAATTATAAATGTTTTTTAATTTTTCTTAAATGACAGGTTTGCCTCCAGATATTACAGTGGATGAATTTATACAACTTATGTCCAAGTTTGGCATTATTATGAGAGATCCTCAGACAGAAGAATTTAAGGTCAAACTTTACAAAGATAATCAAGGAAATCTTAAAGGAGACGGTCTTTGCTGTTATTTGAAAGTAAGTTGTATGATCAAATAAGTTTCTTGTATCTTCGTTTTTAACTCAGGAACCAGGGCTATAATTTCTATAGATGATAACCAACACCAAGAACTGTTCAAAACAGGATATGAAGAAAACTGAAATTTCAGTTAGTACCTGTGTGTATCACATTGGTAAGATTATTCACTTGTTTTAAGAAAATATGTTATCAGGTAAAAGTATTATATAAGTATGCGACTGGAGTGCTTCTTCTGTCTTGAAAAATTCTCACTAGAAAGATTTTTTTATTGATGTGTACAGTCAATTCAGACTACATTTTAAAAATTCAAGAAGAAAAAAAGCCAGTAACATTTTAGTTGTCCATTGGAATGAATTACACCAGGGTTCAGCAAACTCGGGCTCTGTTTTGGTAAATACAGCTTTATGGAACACAGCCACACTAATTCATTTATGCATTTGTCTATGGTTGCCTTTGTGTTTCACTGATAGGGTTGAGTGGTTGCAGCACAGACCTTGTGGCCTACAAAGCCTAAAATATTTACGAACTGGCCCTTTAACAAAAGGATTTTTCTGACCCTTGAATTAGACCATGAAGGAGACGATAGCTTATTCTTACTGCTTTAAAATATTTTTTTGAATGTGAGAAAAGAGAGAGTGGTATTAAGAGAAATTTGCAGAACTTCATGTAGTCATAGTACCATAAATTACACAAAGAAACCTCAATGCCAGAGGCAGCCATCATTTCTGGAACACCTGCCACCTTAGGAGCATGTGTTATACATTATCACAGGGTACAGAACAAATGATGACATGTACATAAGTCAAACCTGGAAATAATTACAGAGTAAAGTCAAAATGGTAAAGCAAAAGTACAAACACCACAGGTGTGTTGTGAGTATACAGTATTCCAGTGAGATCAGAAGAGAGTAGGATTAAGCTGACAGCTTTTTGGGAAATAGGTTTTTGACCTGAATCTTAAACGTGATGGTTATGGGACATGAGCATGACCATTTTAGGATGGTAGTTTTGTAATGTTCAAATGTAAGGAGATTTGAGGGTTTTATAAGTTCTTTAAGGATTATTAAAAAATCTGCGAACAGATTCTTAGGGAGTTCTGTTAGATTTTTTAAATTTTTAAAGGAAAAAAATTGAGTTTTGAGACCCATAGAAGTACAAGATTGTCAAAACAGTAAATTGAGTTCCAGGAAAATATAGTGAATTATTCCAGGACCCATATATGTGAGCAGCTGAGTTCAGTTATCCATTTTTCTTTTCTACAGGTCCTCTGATCTTTGACTCTGTTTGTATAGGGCTGATAACTGTCCTTTCTCTAAGACCTGGAATCCATACATGTATTTAATATAAAGTACAAGTCATCAGATAATTGTCTTCTACTTCTCAGTGTATTACAGACTCACAATTTAATGGATGAACCAAAAAATTAAAGGCTGTCTATGGTGTTCCCAATTCCTTGAGTCATCTAGTCTTTTAAGTAAGAGTATTATAGAATTTTAAAAGAAATACACCTTAGAAATCATGCAGATTTGCTCCCTTCATTCTGCAAATGAGAAATTGTGGCCTCAAGAGACAAAATTACCCAATAATAATATTTATTGAACACCTACCATATGTTAGTCCTTATCCTTTCCATGCATTATTTCATTTAATTTTGTCAAGAACCTTGTGATGAAGGTATTAACTATTTCCATTCTACATACGACGATATTGGGGCTCAGGAAGCTTGAATAATTTACCCAAGTTCACACAGCCGGTTAGGGACAGCTGTGTCTCAGATGCGGGTTTCCTGGTTCAGATTCTAGAGTTCTTTATCTCAAAGAGAGAACGAGATCTCGTATATTCATAATATATAAATATAAGAATTTAAATTATTTTATGTATAATCATCGTTCATCTAAAAAACTCCTGAAGTTTTATTTCGTTGTATAACTGACTATATTTTGTCTTACATTTATAAAGAGAGAATCTGTGGAACTTGCATTAAAACTTTTGGATGAAGATGAAATTAGAGGCTACAAATTACATGTTGAGGTGGCAAAGTTTCAACTGAAGGGAGAATATGATGCCTCAAAGAAGAAGAAGAAGTGCAAAGACTATAAGAAGAAGCTGTCTATGCAACAAAAGTTTGTAATTTTTTTCCCTTTTGAAAGGTTCCATATATTCTAGAGTATATTTTTGGTAATAGCCATCTAGTTTTATTCTGTCAAGTGTGCCTACACATTATTTTAAAATAATTTCATTAGCTCATCAGGTACCTTTAGCAATCTATACAATAGGTTTAGATTTAGCAGTGGTGGGGATTTTAATTTTCCAGAGTGTCTATTTGTAATATAATAAGGGCTTAAATGAGCTAAGAGAAGCCATCTGTTTGGAAAACGTTGAACATCAAATTAAATAAGATAGTTTAGGCTTATGTACCAGAACCGTTTACTTCTGTGTGGATTGAAATCAGTGGTACCAGGAGCTAAATTTTTCTATACAGGTTTGTTATAGGAATTAGAAATGACAGGATTTTATAATTGTATTTACTGTAGTTGTATGTAGTATATACATAATGTCATCAAGTTTCTATTATTATTCTGTTTGTTTAATATACTTTGAAATATACTAGTTTTAAGAAATTAGTCAAAATGATAAATACTTTTATCAGAGTAAATTCTAATGACACTTCTAACACCATGCTTAAACTAATTAAATATCATAAAAGCATTTAGTTGTGATGTCTCATTGTTTTTACAAGTGTAGGTAAAATTGATAACCACATATTTTTTAAACAATATCAGTAAAATTTATGATTGTAACAGAGTTGAGTAGTTTTATGTATTTGAGTGCAGTTTGTTTTTTATAATGATAAAGTACCTAAAAACCAATACAATTTAAATATATTTTTTAGCCTCAAGGTATATCTTTCTGAACTCATAAATACTAAGAATTAGAGATTTTTCAAGGGTCTCATTGGAATGTTTGTATAATCAGACAACAGTTGCCCTGAAAAACATTTCATCTGGGGATTTCAGATACTGGGATCATTTTGCCTCTGCCTTTTATTTTATTTTATTTTATTTATTTGAGGCAAGAGTCTCACTCTGTCACACAGGCTGGAGTGCAGGGGTGCAATGTTGGCTCACTGCAACCTGTACCTCCGGGGTTCAAGCTATACTCATGCCTCAGCCTCCCCAGTAGCTGGGATTACAGACGTGCACCACCACGCCTGGCTGATTTTTGTATTTTTAGTAGAGATGGGGTTTCACCATGTTGGCCAGGCTGGTCTTGAACTCCTGGCCTCAAGTGATCCGCCCGCCTCGGCCTCCCAAAGTGCTGGGATTATAGGTATGAGCCACCGCACACGGCCCCCTGCCCATTATTTTTATTTCAGAAAGTTTTCTGACTGGAACTATGACTGAAATACAGTTTGTTGTTGTAAAATCCAGTAATTATCTTTATTAAATACTCAGTAAAGTATTGTATGAACAACTCATTCTTTTCTCTCTCCAACAAGTCTGAAGCAAAATTTACAGTTTGTTGTTACTGCTTCATTGCCTCAGGCAGTTGGATTGGAGACCTGAGAGGCGAGCCGGACCATCCCGGATGCGCCATGAGCGAGTTGTCATCATCAAGAATATGTTTCATCCTATGGATTTTGAGGTAGGAAGTGGTGTGCTTACTGATAGAAATGCTGATAGGCTTTTTTTCTCTCAAGGGAGCCTGGAGCTTGCCTCGCCTCATCTTTGTCTTGTCACCTCCTACGTGTTTGTGCAGCGAGTAGTAAAGGAAGATGGAGCCAAGAAGCTACTTAAGTCTTTTGATTTCCCTTCCCTTTGTTTAGCCCAGTATTGTTTTAAAGTGTATCACAGATAAGACTGTTTAATAACCATACTGCGCCCCAAGCAGCAGCTACTTGGTATGGGAAACCATTGAAAAATATCATCATCAAAAGATTTATGGGAACTGCTTGTGGATTTTCAGTGCAAGCCAACAAGTATGGCCTGATTTTGGTGGGGAGTACCAGCTTCACAATTGTAAATGCAAACTTCAGTTTGGTACTAAAAGTTATAATATTTAATGTCCGTGGAAAATTCCAAGAACAGCAAGTAAAAGTGAATAAGTACATCTGTTATGTATCAACTTTTTTAAGTGATTTTAAAAAAAGTTAATGGAACTGTCCTTCCTCCCCTCAAAAAAGTGAATAAAGGAGAAGCAAAGAACAAGGAGTTCTGAGGAATATTGTCATCAAAGTACCTTGTGTTACATTCTGCCTGTATTCTTATCTCTGTCTACTGGTGTAGACTGACTTTATTGTTGTGGAGAAACAACTCTTTATTCTCTCCCTGGTTCTGAAATTAGTGATAGCAAGTTATACAGAAAGCAGGTTATACAGATAGCAAGTTATACAGAGAAAAATGTTCATAACGTAAAATTCCGTTTTTACCAATAATCTAGTTGTAAATTAGTGCCCATTCCTGACCCTTTTGTGCATTTAAACAGTCAAAATGGTAATATAATTGTAGCTCCCTTAGAGAGGGCCCCAAAATGGACAGTTCAGCTCTATCTCAATGAATAGTGTTGTGATAAGGTTTACTGTGTACCTATGGAGTTTGGGCATCTTTTGAGGTCATTGGAAATATACGTCTGGTTTATTTATGAGATTGATTGATATCTCTTCTGACTAGAAATCTGGAAGAATTTTGAAATATAACAGTTTACAGTTTTACAGTTGCAGTGATAATGAAGTATGGTTTATAAACACGTGCACACCAGATGCATTTTGAAATACTGTTTTTGCCAGCAATAACTTTAAAATGAATGCATAGAATTACAAAAATATTAGCTGGGCATGGTGGCGCATACCTGTAATCCCAGCTACTCAGGAGGCTGATTCAGGAGAATCACCTGAACCCGGTAGGCAGAGGTTATGGTAAGATCGCGCCACTGCACTCCAGCCTGGGCAACGGAGCGAGACTCCATCTCAAAACAAAACAAAATAAAACAAAACAAAGAACCAGATCATAGTCATTAAAGCAGCATATAAAATAAATGCACAGATTGATCACAATATTTAGTCTGCTAAATACAACTCCGGGATTTCCTATTATTTATTACATTTTATCCCCCTGCTAAATAAGTGATTTATTAGGTGACATATTTATTTCTGTGACTCGAGGTCTTTGATTCACACATTTCATACTCCTGCCACCCAAGTGTGAATGTAAATGCAAACCTAATTCAAACTATCTGGAACCTCTGCAAGTAGAAGTCTGTTGTGTAATTTTAATCTATTCTTGTTTCTACCTCCTGCCTTGCTCATTGAAATACCTTATTTGAGTCTAAGGATCACCCCAGGCAGACTTAGCTCTTCCCAGCTTAACAAATATTCTTTCCCCAAAACCACATTTATTCTACCTTGACCCCTATACATTCCCTCCAGTGAATATTTTTAAAGATAGAAGTTTCATGCTTGCAAATTCCTGATTTTTTTTTTAATCTTCTTGGTTTAGTATAAACATTACTTTGGAGTTACAGAGCCTTTATACTACCCTATTTTGTTTCCTTCATAGCATTTATTATTATCTGAAGTAATTTTGACTCGTCTACTAGAATGTGAGCTCCATGACACCCAGTATTTTGTCTACCTTGTTTGCTGCTGTATTCTCAGTACATAGAATTTGCCTGGCACACAGTTGGCCCTTAATATTTATGTGATGAAGAATTGAAAGAATTGCTAAATGAAACCCTTGTTATTTACAAGCCAGAGTCTTTTCATTCAGCCAGTGGATAAAACATTTTCTCTTCAGCATCTTTGCAAATGAAAGCAAATTTTCTTCTTAGATGCTTATTCCACAAAGGATGGTGGGACATTGTCTTGGCCGTGGCGGAATTAGTTCACAAAGAAATGCTTGGTGATGCTATCCTTGTTTGCCCACCTTCCTGGCCTCACATGGTCCAACTAGCTTGCTGAGAGCGTGTCAACAAGAAGAGTGACAAATAATCTTGCTTTTGTTCACTGTCTCTGAGCACCTGAACCTCAGTGTAGACCTGTGCTGTCAGATATGGTAGACTGTAGCCATGTGTGGTTAAATGTAAGTTAATTAAAATGAAATAAAATTCAGTTCATCGCTTCTACTAGGCACATGTAGCTAGTAGCTACCATATTGGATAATGCAGATATACAACATTTTCATTATCACAGAACCTTCTATTGGACAACACTGGTATAGACATTATATAACTTTTGATAGAAGTGTCCAACAGGAAAACCTGCTTTTATTGCATGTTTTGGGGGAGTGTTTGATTTGACTCAAGACTCCATATGAACCTAAAGAACACACAGCAGCATTGAGCTTTTTAGTGGAAAACAAAAACTGAATTGTCAGGTTATCCTGAGATATCTGAAAGGAGTCAGATTTTGGGTGGAGGGGTATATTTTGATTCCAAACAGTTAGAAGCAACATACCTAAGAATACTGTCTGATCTGAAGGCTAACATTTTTAATGTAACTTCAGAGGGTCTTCAGTATTTAATTCAAATCCTTACTTTAAAATGCATTGCCTGGCAAATTTGAATACCAGGACATGAAGAGTCAAAACTCAAATGCATTAGCCGGGCATGATAGCACGCACCTGTAATCCCAGCTACTTGGAAGGCTGAGGCACGAGGATCACTTGAATCCGGGAGGCAGAGGCTGCAGTGAGCCAAGATCGCGCCACTGCACTCCAGCCTGGGCAACAGAGTAAGACTCTGTCTTCAAAAAAAAAAAAGAAAGAAAGCAAAGCACTGAGACATTGGTGTAGAAATGGAGGTGATGCCTACCCCCACCATGGAATCACGCTTCAATTTAAAAGTTGTTAAACATGTTGACACAGTTTTTTTTTTGTTTTTGATATAATCCTGATTTTCCTTGGTGAATAAAAGAGAGGTATTAGAAACAGTTTATCAAATTCTTAAAAAGATTTTCTTGAATATTGGCTTTGTACAAAAGTCTGTGCTATTTTCTGTGAGGTATCTGAAACTCAATAAAACAAAGGTCCTGCCTTCTGAAAGCACTCACTCTAATAGGAGCTAACCCCACACACACACACACATGTCAAAAGCCATAACTTTTATTCTCTACTCCTTATTCTTCTCAGGTCTGATCATTTTGTATAAAGCAAATTGGCTGCTTCTCCAAAATTGAGTTTTATAAGTGGGGAAGTCCAGAGTTCTGCCAACTGTAGTTTTAGAAGCCTCAGATTTATGCAAATGAGTATGATTTTATATTTTTTATTTTAAATCAGATTTCAGTAACTCCCTGCCAGCTTATTTTTGCTTTTTGAAGAACCTTATGGGAGGAAAGCCACAATTCTCTATAGTTCCTCTTTAGCTGATGAGAAAAATGAAAGCGTGTAAGAAAGATAGATGCGCTTAAATGTTTCCTAGAAAGTATAAGTCACCTTCAATAGAAATTTGTAGATAGGATATCTTCATTTATATTTGTATATAGTTGAAATTCAAGCTGATAATGTAGCTTTTCCTGAGCCCTTTTTATGCATTGGTACTTGGAGAGAGATTTGTTAATTCCCAGAGGGAATCTTAAATCATTTTGTTGTTATAGGGAGATTTCCACCCGAACTCTAGGCTACTAGAAACAGCAGTACTTGAATGTTCTTAATAGGCTCATAGTTGCAAGAAAGCAACAGCTAAGAATGTATTTTATTGCATGCTTAATAACAGCTCCTTATTTGTATGGTTCTGTTACAATGTGGTAGGAGACAAGACGAACAGTAATCCTTACGATGTTTATTCTGTGAGTTAAAATAGCATCTTGGAAGCACAAAAATCAATCTTAGGACACTTAGTCAATAAAAGGGATATATTGCTCTCTCTCTCTCCATTACAACATTTCTGTAAATAGGAATGTATCCAAAACACAAAGCAAAGGGCTCTTATCAGTGTGATGTTGATGCCCATGCAGAGCATAGGAATTAGCAGTCTGACTGAATATGCGCCACAGGACTTCCACCATCTTCTCCTGCTCTGCCACTGTAGGCCCCTTCTGCTGCCTGCCATACTTGTCCATTTCCTTTGTTTAAAGCAGGGCAAACCTATAGGAGTAGCAGTGTATGTAGTAGTATAATTTTATTTGATTTTGAGTTTTTAAAAAATTGTATAGAATGAAAAACACAACCTTAAGCAAAACCTTTTTCTGTTTGTTGATTTATCAGAACAAGAAATTGGATTCTCAGGATTTATAGTTAAAGAAGGGAGCAAACCCATTTTAATCATGCATATTTTTCAGGATGATCCGTTGGTGCTGAATGAGATCAGAGAAGACCTTCGAGTAGAGTGTTCGAAGTTTGGACAAATTAGGAAACTCCTTCTCTTTGATGTAAGTTCATGGCTTGGACATATGGATCCTAAAGCAATAATTCCTCCACCTTATAAGTTCTTCTCAGATGTTAGTATACCCCTGAATTTTAGATTAATGTTTTTATATAGTAGTCCACTATCTTGTGATAATCATCTATTAGCAATAATGAGATGAACGTGGATTACAAGCCAAGGATTTGATAGATTTGGTATGCCTTGCTTATTTTCCGTCTTCATTACCCTAGAGTACATGATCAGGTGAAAGAAGGTACAGGAAAAATGTATGAGATCTCTGGTTCCCTATTAGTCACATTTTCCCCTCTTTGTGAATTATTCTCATCCTCCATATTTGGAACAATCAGGGACAATATTCTCCTGTATATTTCCTCTTCTCATCCTCTTTTTACTTCCAGAATTGACACCCAATAATTAAGAGTCACCATTTATTGCTTGTGTATTACAAGCTACTTTACATGTTATCTCACTTCTCAAAACCCTTTGAGGCAGGTTAGCACTATTACACCCATTTTACAGATGAGGAAGCTAACACTTTAGAAATTGAACACCTGGCTCAAGGTTGTTCATTTGGTAACTGACAGAGCCAGGATTTAATCCCAGGGCAATATGACTTCAGAGTTTACACTCTTAACAATTATACTGTCCTGCTTCTCATTAGACAGGGATGTCAGCAGAAACATTTCCAAGGACATTGTGCTTGGTTCTTGCTAGGTAAGATTGAGGTAAAGAAGCAGCTGACTGCACGTGACTGGCTGGGATAAAATGGAAGAAAGACTTCATACATAAAGTCTTTTACTTCAGAGTATCAGAGAGAACACTACTACTTACCTACTTTGTGAAATGTATGTGTTTTATTTTTAATCTTATCATTCATTCCTTTTTTTTCTTTCTTATCTTTCTAGAGGCACCCAGATGGTGTGGCCTCTGTGTCCTTTCGGGATCCAGAGGAAGCTGATTATTGTATTCAGACTCTCGATGGAAGATGGTTTGGTGGCCGTCAAATCACTGCCCAGGCATGGGATGGGACTACAGATTATCAGGTAAATTTTGCTGCTTGTCAAGGGCACACACATTGTTTCATTACCAACAAATACTGATCCTTCAGATCTAAATTTTGGGTTTGGTTTAACCTATTTAATGTAACAATGCTTCTTTTATTTTTATTTACTTATATATTTTAATTTTTTACTCTTCCTCTTAATTATTTACAGTGCTGCTTTTAAATAATATTTTGCATTCAGAAGATAGAGAAATGTTTGAGTCTTTCAGTTTCTAAGTCTGAAAGTTTGAGGCTTGTTCAGAATAGTGATAAGAAAAGAACACATTCAACCAAATGTTACTCTTCCTTTGTATGCTGTAAAGTATAGACAGAGCTCAAATATTAACTTTTTAAGAGATGAGACATTTCTGCAGTACTGTGATATTTGGCCTTTATTTAAGTGGTCTTATTTAAGGTCAACTCTAGTAAATCAAGATGTAAAGTTTTGAAAACTGAAGATGGAATTGCTTTCATTTCCTAATAAGAGATGCTTTATAAAATTAAGGTTGTTTCATCAATATTAGATATGTTCAGAGAAGTAACCTTTTGCCTGAAACTTATTTTAATGGCAGTCTCCATTTATCCACAGGTGGAGGAAACCTCAAGAGAAAGGGAGGAAAGGCTGAGAGGATGGGAGGCTTTCCTCAATGCTCCTGAGGCCAACAGAGGCCTTAGGCGTTCAGATTCTGTCTCTGCTTCCGAAAGGGCAGGGCCTTCTAGAGCAAGGCATTTTTCAGAGCACCCCAGCACATCTAAAATGAATGCTCAAGAAACTGCAACTGGAATGGCGTTTGAAGAACCTATAGATGAGAAGAAGTTTGAAAAGACAGAAGATGGGGGAGAATTTGAAGAAGGTGCTTCTGAAAACAATGCTAAGGAAAGTAGCCCCGAAAAAGAGGCTGAAGAAGGCTGCCCTGAAAAAGAATCTGAAGAGGGCTGCCCCAAAAGAGGGTTTGAAGGCAGCTGCTCCCAAAAAGAGTCTGAAGAAGGCAATCCCGTAAGAGGATCTGAAGAGGATAGTCCTAAAAAAGAGTCTAAAAAGAAGACACTCAAAAATGATTGTGAAGAGAATGGCCTTGCAAAGGAATCTGAAGATGACCTCAACAAGGAGTCTGAAGAGGAGGTTGGCCCCACAAAAGAGTCCGAAGAAGATGACTCAGAGAAAGAGTCTGATGAAGACTGCTCTGAAAAACAGTCTGAAGATGGCTCCGAAAGAGAATTTGAAGAAAATGGTCTCGAGAAAGATTTGGACGAGGAAGGTTCTGAAAAGGAGCTTCATGAAAATGTTCTTGACAAAGAGTTAGAAGAAAATGACTCTGAAAACTCCGAATTTGAAGATGACGGCTCTGAAAAAGTGTTAGATGAGGAAGGCTCTGAGAGAGAGTTTGACGAAGATTCAGATGAAAAGGAAGAAGAGGAGGATACATATGAAAAAGTATTTGATGATGAGTCTGATGAGAAAGAGGATGAAGAATATGCAGATGAAAAGGGGCTTGAAGCTGCTGATAAAAAGGCGGAAGAAGGTGATGCAGATGAAAAGCTGTTTGAAGAGTCAGATGACAAGGAAGATGAAGATGCAGATGGAAAGGAAGTTGAAGATGCTGACGAAAAGTTGTTCGAAGATGATGATTCCAATGAGAAGTTGTTTGATGAGGAGGAAGATTCCAGTGAGAAGTTGTTTGACGATTCTGATGAGAGGGGGACTTTGGGTGGTTTTGGGAGTGTTGAAGAAGGGCCCCTATCCACTGGCAGCAGCTTTATTCTCAGTAGCGATGATGATGACGATGATATTTAATCCCTTAAACTTGCTTTTTAGGGAGAGTCCTCCATCTACATTTGCCTGTGCTTCAGGGTAATTACTAGTAGTGTTACATGAACATGTGCATAGTGGTAGGATGCCATCAGATTAAAGCATTGAAGTGTTTCATTGTTACCTGTACCTAATGGTTTTAAATATATGTTAATTGATTGTTTAGTTAAAATGTCATAGTTACAATGCAAGTAAACTGGATACTTGTTCTTTTGTCAGATTTGTTAAATGCATGCAGAATAATATTTTTAAGAGTATTGATTGAAGTTTGTGATATTCATCAATAAAAATGAGTTGATAATATGCAGAAACTGAAAATTGGACTTGAGTTAAATTGCATTTTAAATTCTTGATATTGCTTTATTTATACTGAAGGTTGGCTTTTCTGAGGACTTGAAGAATCTCTTTGGAGTCTCCTTGCTTCCCGCTGGTATTAGCACGTATGTCTCCATTTCCTCTCTATAAACCAGAACATGTTCCTAAACTCAGAAAACAACCCTCTGGATTTTTTTTTTCTGCCCAGTCCTTGCAAATTAACTCTTGTTTGTTTTCTACCCTCTTTCCATTAAAATTGACTCTCAGATGTGCAAAAGTGAACTTCCTGCAGTCTACAGCTCCCATTATTATTAAAAATCTAAAGAAACAGATTAGAATTCTACCTTGTACTGTTAGCGTCTCTGGGCCCCTTTAGAAGTTAATTCAAATTAGAGGACCTCTTCCCAGAAAAAAATGTACACACTACACTACACAACTTGTGTACTGTTTGGGGAGGTTCATGGATTCCCTGAAGTTGAAGAACTTCATGCATGCTTCAGTTGTTCGTTTTTTTAGAATCATAGTGCCTAGCACTGTGCAAAGTTGTGTAGTCCCAATAAAGTTATGGGTCTTTCTTGATTATGCTTTCCAAATTCAGTAGTGATGAATTTACTTCTGATGTAGCATTAAGAAGCTATTCTTAGAAATTAGGAGCATTAAAATAAACTGCATTGATGCTCTTTCATTACAGTATATGTAAGTGTAAACCTCTAGATAGAGAAGAGTTCCTATACTTCAAGTCTGTTTTTATTTTGAGAATTTTTTACTTGATGTCTGGGATTTCATAAAATCTTCAGGATTTTCACCAGGAATAAGTCAGTAAACGAGGTGAAGAAAAGTTAAGTATAGAAAAATTGCAAACCAAAATAGTGTTTCCTTTACAGATAAGCCAGAAGCATTTAAACTTGAATTTATTGGAAAATTAGTTTTCTAAATGAAAGGAAAAGAATGCTTTACCTTCCATACACAGTGGTTAGGATGCATAACTCTACAACGTAAATTAGCTCTGAGACCATTAGGAGAATTCGTTTCATTCTTTACATTAAAATTTATAATTTTGGAAATCCAGAATCTCTCAAAAGAATATACTATCCATCTAGTCTGTTGTTTTAGATACTAACTGTTGCTTAGTAAAGACTCCCTGCCACAATTTTGGGCTGGGAAATACATTAAAAATAGAGTAAACTTTCACTATTTGGTGGGTTTTGTCTAAAGTCATTGCCACCCCTGGCAGGTTAACCATCTTCTGTGTGAACTCAAGTGTGTGTGTTTGTGTGTGTGCACAAGTGTGTGTGAGTGGATTTCAGTTATGCGATACTGTCCCGAATATTTTGACTTCAATTTGGTTGATATCACATACTCAGGTTCTTTTCATATAAACAACACTGGAAGTGAAAATCACAAACAGCTGTAAAATGGTAAATAATTTATGAGGTGATATAAACAACAGAAATTAGAGTCATAAAGCACACATAGCTACCTGTTTACTGAGTAATCAGATTTTATTAGTCCTGAAAACTGAATTTAATGTGAGGCAAGAATACATCCTATCATCAAAAGAAAATGGGGGCAGGATGGATTTTAAGCCCAGCAATGCTCCACTATCACCTGACGACTACTAAGTTTAATGCTCCTTATAGCTATAATTTACACAAAATATTAGTGCATTCAGTCCTAAATGTATAAACCAGAAGTGGCTTCAGGCATAACTTGAATGGCTTGAATGCCCTGCTGTCTGAGTCCACAAGTACCTTGTACAAGAACAAACATGAAACTTCATGTTAGAAAAAACTATTTCTGGTCTTTGCAATATTAATGAAATACTGAAATTATTACTGCTTTCTACAAAAGAAATAAGGGCAAAATTGGAGTAACTCAAGTATCTGTTTCCCTTCCTTCTCAAGTAGTAATAGCTCTGGGCTCTTTGTGAAGCCCTGAGGAGCCAAGTCCAGTTCATTTGGAAGCCACTACCTCTTCCTTTTCAGAGTATAATCTATTTTCCTGACGTAAATTATTTGGTCATTTCTGAGGCTTGGCAGGAAGGTAGGGATTAGCTAATATTCTGATTATGCCTTTCTCAATCATGTGAGTGATTTTTTGAAAAGTAAACCAAATATTTCTACGTAATGCAGAGAAGTGCTCTTAATTAGTTTGAACAAAGCCATGGCCTGGAGGACAGTAGAAGGCTTACAAATTTGCGCTTTGTGAATATTTGTCAGTTTTCTTATAGATTTTTCCTTATTGAGTCTCTTTCAGATACAAGCTGTATGCCCTTTCTTTGGATGGTAACTTCATTTAAAATGAGTTTGCTCAAACGGTTTTTGCCTCTTATCACACCTCGTTTACATGATGGGCTTTGTGTATATCTTCCTAGTACTTCCCTGATGGAAGAAAAAAATGTTAAAATTATTCCCTTCTAAAATCACAAATTGATACTGCAGATAGCCTAAATTCTTGGATGCCAGTTATTACAGGGGACGATTGCTTGAGAAAAAGACTTCATAGTATAAAGTTGACTTTTAGCTATTCAGAGCCCCACAGGTCTGTTTTACTTTCCATTCAAAACCAAGAAGATACTGCTCTTATGGTATGCCAGATGTGTTACACTCAAATATCACAAACAGATTGGCTTATAAACATATTTGAGTTATCTGTGAAACTTCAAGGCTGTGCTATTAAGATGCGCCGGTCGTCCCAGGCTAAAGAAAGCTAGGCCAGCAGTGGAGCACAAAGGTGGCTTTTTTGCTTCCAGTGTTCTACTTTTTGCACCACTTCTTAATGTTAAATAGCAGTGAGAATTAGAAGAGTCAAGCTCTAAGAATAAAAGACCTTTTGATTTGCCTTCTTCCAGGTTTATAATAGAAATTAGGCTTAAATAATGATAAACCTGCAACATATTCATGTAAACATTTCTAGACTCATCTATGTGTCTGACTTTAAAGTTTGAAAATGTGATTATCTTGACCCCTTCTTTCTTTTTTCTTATTTTTATAATACCTTTTAAATAAACAGCATACACTTTGCTTTTTTAGGTGATTCTTAAGAAATTAGAGAATAGGTTAATAAAAATGTATACAGCACTTGGATGCTTTTAATGTCACGTTTCACTGGGAATATATTGATTATCATATTGAAATACTAGTAGTGTTAGGCTATTGATTTATCATATTTACACTTACTATAGCATCTATTTAATGTGGTTCAATTAGCAAGTTATGTATTTGGCTAGTATGTACCCAATAATATGCTAGATGAAATGGGGCAGTGAAGAAAACGTGGGCCCTCCTCAAATGGCAGTTGTAATGTCTAGATTGAGACAGCCCCCCCCAAAAAAAAAAAACCAAAACAAAAGCCATCAATCCAGCAATAGTGCTTCTATAGCCTAGAACAGTGCCTGGCACATAGTGGGGGCTCAATAAATATTTGTTAAATGAATTAATTTATCCCATGGATAGACTTACACACTCATTCATTTGCTGAGGTTCATTTATGTCACTACCACCTTGTCATTATTCTTGTTGATTTCAATATCAAGGTAATTGATTCTATTCTTCCACTAGTCTTTCTACCTCAGCAGCCCAACTCTTCAAACCAGAAATCTAGGAATCATCTTAGATTTTTTTCTCTCTCTTTCACCTCCCCCACCCCACATTCATTTCCTTTTGGCTCAAACTCCAAATATATCCCACATCTGAATATTTCCCATGTCTACTCCCACCACATTAGTATGAACCACCATCATCTCTCACCTGCTTGCCTAAAAAAGCCTCCAAGATGGACTCCCCATTTGTTCTCTTGTCCTCTTCCAAATAATTTATACAACAGCCAGGGAGATTTAAAAAAATCACTGCCCCAAATGCCCTGATGTTTTTCTATTACAATGCTTTAATAGTACTTGAAATCCAAACTCCCTCCTATGGCCGGGCAACAAGGCCTTGAATGGTTTTGGCCTTGCCTGCCTCTCCAGACTCATCTCAAAACTTTGCCTAGTCCACCACTCTTCAATCATACAGGCATTATTTCAGTCTCTCATGCCTACCTCAGGACCTTTGCACATACCTCCACCTGGGATGCTCTTTTCCCAGCCAAGCTGGGCCTTTCTCATCTTTCAGACTGCTGAATTATTACTTACTTAGAAATCCTCACTATGGTAACCCATCACTCCTCCCCACCCAAATCTCCCTTGATGCTATTACTGATGAACCTTCTCAGAGTAATTATTACACTCTCAGATTATCTTGTTTGTTTACTTGTCTTCCTCTTGCTCCTCCTTCCACCACCCTAGCAGCATGCCAGTTCAAACAGCAGGGCTTTGTCCCAGTCTCTGCTGTAACTCCAGTGCCTGGAATAGTGACTGACACATAATCGACAACCATTTTTTTAAAAAGGTTGAGAATAATCATCATGAATGTGTTGTATTCTTTTAGGAGCTCCACTTTCTTAGAAGAATGTGAAGAACTTTGAGTAGGTCAAGGAAAAGGGAACAGTAACAGTTATTTCTAACATAAAACCAATGAGATAAGATTTTGAAAACACAAGGCTCACAAGTAGAGTTAGTCACTGAGGACAAAAAATTATATTATTACAGTTTTATTCTTCCTAGGGAACTGGATTTCAATAATAGCAAAATGTCTTGGCAAGATGTATTAAGCTTTTGAATAGCTAATCACTAGGGCTTCTCAGTGGGGAGCTTATGGAATTCCTCATTTCTCTTACTAGATGTAAAAATGTCTTTCTTAAATGAACTATGTGAAATTTCTTTTGGAAAACCCCTTGGTTTGATTTCTAAAATGATTTGATTCTCTGATTTCCCCACACTCTTCTTCCCTGCCATTTTATTCTCTCTATCTGCTCTGTAGACGACAAGAAATTTTACCAAAATCATGTTATTTACAAATTTGTTTAGATCCCTTTCAGCCTGACAACATTTATTATCTCTAATCATTAGAAAAGTATCTACATGTTTGATTAAAATGAAGAAATAGGAGCTCAATTCAAATGCAAATGTTTTATTACTGCAGGAGAGTAGGGAGTTGGGCCAATTGGCAATAAGACTATATTTCACTTATTTATTTACCAATATTTCTGTTACAAACTTGGTGTTCTCAGTACCAAGGTACTGAGCTTCATTCTCCATTCCACTTGATATTGAAATCACCAAGAATGATGACAAGAACAATGGTGAAGTCAACAAGCCACTTCCAATGAATGACTAGGAGTGCACATGAATATCCGTGGAGTACAAGAACAGACCTGCGAATCTTAGAACTGTAGCCTGTTTATATCTGAGTTTTTGGGAGTTTGCTTATGAAACTTTCAGAAGTGCTAGTTAGACTGTTCATTGATACAATGAATACAGGCTGTGAGCCAGGCATTGTTCTAGGTCTGGGCATACAAGAATCAATAAGGGGGAATTGAGAAAAGATAGACAATATGCATATATTTTTAAAAAGATAAATTCAGATGGTAAATGCTGGGAACAAATTCAATCAATCAGAATGATGCACTAGAGACAACTTGTGGGGAGAAAATTCTTAAGCTGGGGAGATAGAGTGAAGGTTGCTGAGGAGGTGATATTTAAGCCAATACCCAAATGATGAGAAAGAACTTGCCTGGTGAAGAGCTGGGAGAAAATGATTCTAGGCAGAGAAAGCAAATGAAAAGACACTGAGGCAGGAAGAAGCTTGGTGTGTCCAAGATCCAAAACAGGCCAGTGTGGCTGGAGCAGAGTGAGTGATGGATAGAGCGGTGGAAGATGATGTTTAAGAGGTAATGCAGGCCAGACTGGGAAGAAGAGGGACTTGAAAGTCATAGAAAGAGGATGGTTTTTATTCGGAGTGTAATGGAAAGCCAACAGAGGGTCTATTTTTAAACAAAGCAGTGATGCAATCTGATTTATGTTTTAAAGGGATCTTTTTAACTGCTGTGTGGAGAATGAACTGGAAGAAGGAGATTAGAAAGGAGGCTATTTCAGAAGTCCAGGCAAGCAAAGATGGTGGTTTCAATGAAGGTGGTAGCTATGGAAGTAGAGAGAAGGGATTGGATTCAGGACATATTTTGGAAGTAGATATAACATGAGGGGATGAGGATGTTAAGAAGTTTGGATTTTACAATAAGTACAGACGTTTCTATTATAATGATAACTCTGAAAAACTTTATAGTATGCAAAAGTGTGTGCTAAAAATAATAGGGCTTATAGGAAATGTACGGTTAGGGCAAACCCTCAAAACCCATGGAAATTTGTAATAGAGCATTAAGAAGAACAATAGCAATTGCAATACTGTAAAAATGAAGTTTTCTCTCTGATGACGTTTGCACCCCACATCCCAGCCAGTTAATGCATCATAGACTTAAACTCTGGGTCAGCTTCCTCCTCCAAGATGTGAGTCCTAGAGGACATTCACTTCTAATAGAGACCATTTTCATCAAAGTTAAGAAAGTGATCTAGGACATCGCCTTTTTCATTTTTCATGGTTTAACAAGGGGTTTTAAATGTTAACATCATTTAACATTTATGGCTTTGCGGCATCTTCATCTGTACTCGCAGCCTTGTCAGATAGCTTAACATAGAAAAAACTATAGCCAATATTTAAACCATGTAATTACCCACACTAGTACTAAAGAAAGGTCTCTTTGTAAATTTCCTGCTTTTTGCTCAAGGTCTCCATATATTACTAAGACCTTCTTTTTAATGGTGTGAAAGTTTGCCACAGATCATCTCAAAATGTTAACGTGCTAGAAAAATGATGTGTAAACCAACGCTTTCTATGTTATACCAATATTATTTCCCTAATGCTTATTAAGTAAAAAGAAAGCCTTTGGACCTGTTAAGCAGAGGAGTGATGTGATCTGATTCGTGCTTCAGAAAGATCATTCTGACCGCTGAGAGGAGGACAAACAGTGAAGGGCTGGTGGGAAAAGGTGGCCGCAAGGGGTTGCTGCAGTAGTCCAGTTGAGAGGTGATGGTTAATAGATGGTTAGGCAAGGCTAATAGTGGAGATGGTGAGAAATGTCTGTATTCATTCTAGATATATTTTGGAGGTAGCAGTAATAGTATGTGCTAATGGAGTTAAAGTAGAAATTAAGGGAGACAGATTAAGGGAAAGGATTAAGGGTAAGAGATCAAGAATGACTTTCTAGGATTTTGTCCCGGGCAACTGAGTGACTGACGGGTGGTTTTAGTAACTGTGGTAGGGAAGACTGGGGAAGGAATAGGTTTGAGGAGTGGAGCAGCTGAAGGCTTCTGTCTTGGCTATGTGAAGTTTGGGATGTCTGTATGACATCTAAGGGAGATGCCAAATAGGCAATCAGACTTAGACTTGTAAGTCTAAAGCTCAAGGATGAAGTCAGAGCTGGAGATATAAACTTGGTGACATTAGCATGTTGCTCATATTTAAAGCAAGGGACTGAGGAGCTGTCCTCAGGAGAGAATATAGAGAGAGAAGAGGAGAGGACCAGACCACCCCTCCCACACTTGAGCATTTGGAGGTGAGACACAGGAGAAGGGGCCAGAAAAAGAGATCGAGAAGGAGTGCTCAGTGATGCAGGAGAAAAACATGAGAAGGTGAGTTTCTGGAAGGCTAGAAAAGAAAATATTTCAAGAAGGAATGGTCAAAAAAAAAAAAAAGAAAAAAAAGGAAGGGTCAGCTGTGCCAAATGCTGCTAGAAGGTGAGACTGAGGACAGAAAGCCGGCCATTGCCTTTGTCAAGTGGGAGGTTGTTGGTGATCTTTATTAAAAGTCATTTCAGATCAAGTGTGGTGGCTCATGCTTGTAATCCCAGCACTTTGGGAGGGCAAGGCGAGCGGATCACTTGAGGTCAGGAGTTCAAGACCAGCCTGGCCAACATGATGAAACCCAGTCTCTACTAAAAATACAAAAAACTAGCCAAGTATGGTGGCGTGTGCCTGTAATCCCAGCTACTCGGGAGGCTGAGGCAGGAGAATCACTTGAACCTGGGAGGCAAAGGTTGCAGTGAGCCAAGATTGCACCACTGCAGTCCATCCTAGGTGTCAGAGTGATTCCGTCTCAAAAAAATAAAAAAGAAAAAAAAGTCATTTCAGCAGAGTGCTGTGGATTCAACCCAAATGGAGGGAGTGGAGAAGAGAATGGGAGGAAAGGATGTAGAGGCAGCAACCATGGGCACCTATTTTGAGGAGTTTTGTTGTGAAAGAGAATAGAGAATAGGGCAGATTCTGGAAGAGAATGTAAGGTTATGGGAAGGGTTTTTTTAAATGGGTATTTATTATTGAATCTGGTTGCATAATCATGGGATACTGCAGAATAGAGAAAGGGCTGTGCAAGAGAAGAGAGGACGATTACAGGGTTGGAGCCCTGGAGTAGACTGTTTCCATTGGAGAGATGCAACCAAATTGCTTTTGGTTGGGCAATTCAATTGATCAACGCAATTAGGGAGGCTAACATCATGTTTAGCCTTGCATTGTGTGCAGCAGTTTCTGCATCTCACTCCATCAAGCCATCACACATTTTGTACTTCTGTTCAGTTGCAGAACTGGACTAAGTTTTAAGGGGATTCGTGCAGAACTATCTGCTTAAGTCACCTGTTGAACAGCAGTGGAGACTAGGCACGGCAGAGGTGAGCAGCAACCCTCATCAATTCAGGAGCATATGTGAACACACCCTAGGGACTTCTAAAAATACTTTTCAGGAAGAAAATAGACCTTGAAAGGATTTGGAAGTCTTACAAATGTAGGTGATTAAGGGATCTAGTGGAATTTGAACACTGATATAGAGGTGACCTCACTTGTACCCAGAGATTCAGAGGCTCTGGTAAAGTGAAGTACCCTTAGGTCGGTGCTTCCTAAACTTTAGCATGCAAAATCCAAGGGGCTGTTAAAACACTGGGCTCAACCCCAGAAGTTTCGACTTAGTAGGTTTGAGGTGGGGCCTGAGAATCTGTATTTCTCAAAAGCTCCCAGGTGGTGCTGCTGCTGCAGCGCCAGAGACCACACTTTAAGAGCCACTGGCACAAAGAAGGGACTGATCCCTTCTTGATGGGGGAAGTGAGGAAAAGCTTCATAAGAAAGGCAAATGAGCTGCAAAGATGCACATATGTTGGACAAGCCAAGAACAGGAGGAGAGGAGGCTCTTATTTGTTCACTTTGGTGGCAGCTTAAGCTAAATTGATCATGTGGCGATCAACGTTGATTGTTAGCAAAACTAATGAACACATCTGCTGTGCTACCAACCATCACCTCCCGAAATTTCCTCTTGTCCCTTTTATTATTATTATTTGTTGTAGGAACACTTAACATCTACTCTCTTAGTGGATAGAGCATGAGCTAAATTTTCTCAGCACACACTCACAGGTAACTTTGTAGATGTTAATAGATAATGTTAATTAGTTTGATTGTGGTGATCATGTCTACCTATATCAAAACACCAAGTTGTTGGCCGGGCGCGGTGGCTCACGCCTGTAATCCCAGCACTTTGTGAGGCCGAGGCAGGCGGATCACCTGAGGTCAGGAGTTCGAGACCAGCCTGGCCAACATGGTGAAATCCCGTCTCTACTTAAAATACAAAAAATTAGCTGGGTGTGGTGGTACGCACCTGTAATCCCAGCTACTCGGGAGGCTGAGGCAGGAGAATTGCTTGAACCTGGGAGGCGGAGATTGCAGTGAGCCGAGATCACGCCATTGCACTCCAGACTGGGGGACAAGAGCGAGACTTCATCTCAAAAAAAAGCAAAAAAACAAAACAAAACAAAAAACAACAACAACAAAACACCAAGTTGTACACCTTTTAAAAAAAATCTTATTTTAACAGAGATAGCCTATTACTTTCAACACATCACGAAGAGCCACACCAATCTCTCAATACCAAAAACTAAAGGGAGATGTCCTCCCTAAACAAGGAAATAATAGATTTGATGTTCTAAATTAGAAAATGAAAATGAAACAAAACTTCAGAGGACTCCATCTTCTTCTCCTAGCCATTACCAACTCAGGGTTATAAATATCCTCTTTAAATAAAACTCAAAACTGCAACTTTAAAAAAAGATCTACCCTTTTAGCAGATTTTAAGTATACAATACAGTATCATTAGCTATGGGCACTATGCTGTATAATAGATCTCCAGAACTTATTTATCTTACATAACTGAAATTGTCTACTCTTTAATCATTAATGCTCAGGGGTTCTTAACCAAAGATTTGCCTTAATCTCTCTTGAGTGTGCAGCTTGGTATTTGCCCATTATTATGAGGAGTGAAGATTATGAAATACTGATTTTAAGTAATGCAGTCTTAATGGAGATGTTAGTTTTACCAATTAACTATGACGTAAAAAGATTTGGATGATGCCCGGCTATTTCTGTACTGCAAATTTAGATTCTGTGAATCTCAATTGATTTATAAAGGAGGAAAGAAGGGGGGATAGCCGGGCACGGTGGCTCATGCCTGTAATCCCAGCACTTTGGAAGGCCGAGGCGGGCGGATCACGAGGTCAGGAGATTGAGACCATCCTGGCTAACACAGTGAAACCCCGTCTCTACTAAAAATACAAAAAAATTAGCCGGGCGTGGTGGTGGGCGCCTGTAGTCCCGCGGCTACTCGGGAGGCTGAGGCAGGAGAATGGCGTGAACCCAGGAGGCTGAGCTTGCTAGTGAGCCGAGATCGCGCCACTGCACTCCAGCCTGGGCAACAGGGCGAGACTCCATCTCAAAAAAAAAAAAAAAAAAAGAAAGAAAGAATAAAAGAAAGGGGGACACATGTGTTTTATTTCCTACCATAAAATATAATAGATGATTAATAAACATTTCAGAAAAATAACCACTGTTCCCTTCCTCTTATTCCAGAAAACCTTTGCTTATTTAATAGCTTAAGGGTCTACCCATCCTATGAAGACACAGTTTTACTGTCCCTTGCTATAGACTGATATTCTTTTGTTCGGTTTAGTTAAGTTTAGTTTTTAAATTAAGCAAAGACCAGTAGCATTATTAGTGTCTTTGGAGGTTTGCACAGATGAACACTGTTCATGCTGAAACATCCTAGTTGACTTGCAGTTATCTTATTACAAATTAGAATTTTTTTATTAAATGCAAGTTTCTCTTAAAATATATTTTAATATATTTAAAGAAATGGTATTTCTTTAAATTAGATTTCATAAAGTGGGTTTGCCGCATCATAACTCAAAATTTATGTATTTATGTAAAATTTATGTAAACAAACTTTAAATTATTTTAAATTTTGATAGATTTTGCCAAATTGCCCTCCAGAAATGTTGAATTAATTTACACTCACAAGAGTATGAGAGTGTTCTATTCCCATATTTTTGTTAATACTAGGTATTACTGACCTTCTAAGCTTTTGCCAATCTAATAGTTGAAAATGGTATCTTATTTTAATTTGTTCTTTCCTGATAAGAAAGTTAAGTATTGTTTTAAATGTTTGTTGACTCTGTATTTCTTCCTTTTTGATTTGGTTGTTCATATCTTTTGCTCAGTTTTTTGATTTGGTTGTTCATATCTTTTGCTCAGTTTCCTGTTGGCTTATTTGCCTTTTTTAATGATTCATAGAAGTTTTTTATATTATGGATAGAAACCATATGGTACTGCAAGTAGATTCTCTCAGTCTGCTCTTTGTCTTGTAACTTTATATTGGTTTTAGGTACACAGAAGCTCACCTTGTGTCAACTGGTAAATCTTTCTCTTTATGACTCCTGAGCTTCATGTCAGAGTTGGAAAGGCCTTCCCCACTTCAATATTACATTTATTGTGATATATTTCCCATACATACATTTCTATATATTATTTTAGCAGTTTAATAGTTTAATTTTTTATGTTTACATCTTTAACCTTATAGTATTTCCTTTCATGCGAAGTATGAGAAACAAATTTGGGTGTGGAGAATTAAGAGCTCAGTTTTAGACATATTAAATTTGAGATGCCTGGGCTGGGCGCAGTGGCTCACTCCTGTAATCCCAGCACTTTGGGAAGCCAAGGCGGGCGGATCGCCTGAGGTTGGGAGTTCGAGACCAGCCTGACCAACGTGGAGAAACCCCGTCTCTACTAAAAATACAAAATTAGCTGGGCGTGGTGGCGCATGCCTGTAATCCCAGCTACTCGGGAGGCTGAGGCAGGAGAATCGCTTGAACCCGGGAGGCAGAGGTTGCGGTGAGCCCAGATCGCGCCATTGCACTCCAGCCTGGGCAAAAAGAGCGAAACTCCGTCTCAAAAAAAAAAAAAAAAAAAAAAAAAAAAAAAAACAGTTTGAGATGCCTATTAGAGGAGACGTCTGGGCTGGAGATGTAAATTTGTGAGCCATAGTTACATAGAAGATACTTAAAACTTTGGGCTCGGATTGTCAAAAGAGAGATTACAGAATCAGAGGAGAGATCCCAGAACCAATCAATCCCTGAGGTAATCTGAGATTTAGGGTTTGAACAAAGGAGACTGAGAAGAAAGCTAGTGAGGTCAGAGAAAAACAGTACAAGGTGGTGCCATAAAGTGAATAAGAGAATGTTTGAAGAAGAAAGAAAACTGATCAACTCTGTTGAATGCCTCTAAGAGATTGAGTAGGATAAAGACAAAGAAGTAGGAATGGATTTAGTAACAGTGAGATGATTGGTGACTTTGACAAAAGTAGATACACTGGAAAATGGAAGTTTAATGGAGTGGGTTTAGGAGTGAATGGAAGTGAGAAGTAGAGATAGTGACCAAACATGGACAAGTTCAAGAAGTTTTGCTACAAAGGGGATCATAAAAATGAAAATAGAGATGTGGGAGGGGTGTAAGAAGCGGGAGATACATGGGCATATTTGAATGAAGATGGGAATGATCCAATAGAGATGGAAAAATTGAGGGGGGAGAGAAAGGGGATAATCAAGTTTTAAGATAGGCCTTAAACCTGATGCTTTTCCCCAATGAATAGCCAGTTGTCTCGATATCATCATTTGATTAATCCATCTGTTCCTCGGTAATTTGAAACCTCTAAAAATATGAAATTCCCATATATATTTGTACTCTATATTCTGTTCCACTGATCTTCCATGACTTGGTCTTCCAAACTGCTAAGACAGTTTTCAAGTTATTTCCATTGCTATTTATCTATTTTATTGAGTTATTTTATTTCAGCAATTATGTTTTCAATTTGTAAGAACTCTGTCTTATTCTCTGATTACTTCTTTTTCATAGCTCACCAATTTTACCCTATGAATGCAATATTATCTTTGACATCTCTCAAGATGCTAATTAGGATTTTTCAAACATATTTGCTTCTGTGTTCCACATTCACTTTTCCCTCAGAAGTCCACTGTTTTGCCTTGTCATCTTAGTGTTTCTGTATCATGCTGTCGGTTTTTCTTAAATGTCTGGTGACTGGCCATTGATACAGAGGTCTAGATTGCTATATTTTGGTAACTGGTTTGGGGTCCTCAGCAGTTATGGAGGTTACCATTCACCTGACAGGCCTCCTCTCTGAATGTGACAGAGATGTGCAGGTGAATGGTTGGGGGTGAGCCAACAGGAGGGCTCCTATTTATGAAATGTGGATTGGATAGGCACATTTGTGTTGCAGTTTGGGTAGCTAGTAGCTTAGAGGTTGGGAAAGCCTCTTATTGGGTGTATACTGCTTTAGAGGACTTAACTGCTAGACCTAGATGGCTTTTGTCTCCATATCCTTATGATGGCCTCTAAATTACCTGGGCAGTCCCACTTCACTCTCCAACCACAAAGTCCCTGGTAGGCTCCCTCTCTATGCAAAAGAAGAGCTTTATTTAGAAAGCTATTCTCACTGGCTATAGCCAGGGGTGAATACTACAGCAAGACACTGTGCACAGAGTTGGAACATGGCCCAGAAGCTTTGGCAGACCTTCGACTCACTTCTCTGCTTTCTGCTCCATGACTCACTCTAGCTTCTAGCCTCTGCAAACTCTGAGCTTTTTCTGGTGCTTCATTTGGAAGATACATGATCATTTCTCCAATATGCTTCTCCTATTTCTATGTTAGCAGGGCACGGGTTCCACATTATAATTTTCAGACATTTCCTACTATTTCAGTGAGGTCACATAACATAGCACAGACCCTAGAGGCCAGACTGCCTGGCTTGGACAAGCTATGTAACTTCTCTGTGGCTCTGTTTACTCAATTTTTAAAAATGAGATAATAATAGTACCTGCCTTATAGAACTATTTAAATGCTTTAATACATGTCAATTGCTTAGTGTATTACCTAGCCCACTGTATTTTTCTGGTCTGCTGGTGATACCTTTTCTGGCTTTCCAGCACTGCTCTAGATTATTTTCTTCTTATTTTTATATTTATTTCGGCATTTTAGTGAGAGTTTGGAACGAACATGAGATTAAATACAGTGGCTTCATTTATCTCCTTAAACTGGAAGCAAGCACTTGTATTTGAAAACATAATGGAATGAACATTCTAAGTTAGTTTTCTAACATTTTGGACTTTACCCTCTCTTGATTTACTTAGAGTAGCTGTAAGAAACCTTAGAGATCATCTAACAGAGCACCCTCACTTAAAAAAATGGGCAAAGGAATGAGAAATAACTTCCCCAAGGTTGAAAATCTATTTAGGAAAAGATCTCAGACTAGAGTCAAGATCTCTTGCCTCCTAGTGCAATTTCCCTACCACTAAAAATAAGTAAATAAATAATGGCTAACACATTTGCCAAGATTAGAAACTCCATTATATCTGCGTGCGTCCTATGTCTTTCCTCCTCTTAGAACAGTGCCTCCTTCTATTGAAAGCCAATCCTTCCACCTGAACTTTGATCCCATCCTCTCCACCTGCTTTCTCCAGAATTTTATATTATTAGTAACACTTTATTTCTGTGGTATATTCAACCTCTTGCTCTAACTGGATCCTTTCCATTGGCCTTTAATGATGTCAATACCTATCCCTTTAAGAAAAAGAAACAAAAAACTCATTTAGCCCGCCGAATCCCATCCCCAGATTCTCTTCTGTCTCTCCACTCTTCCACCTCCAAACTCCTACAAAGTACTCTCCATATTGTCAGTACCAGCTCTTCCTCTCCACTTCTCTCATCCCACTTCAATCTGCCTTTGGCTCAACACTCCAGCAAAGACTTCTCACTAAGGTCACTTATGACCTCCATGCTGCTAAATCCAACAGACATTTTTATTAGACTGTTCTACTTCTCAGCAGCATTTGGTACAGGTGATCAGTTCCTCCATCTTCAAATACATTCTTCTTTAGGCTTTAGGATTCTAGCATCCCTCTGGTTTTTTTCCTACCTCCTTGCCCATTCTTTATAAGTAATGTTTGCTGGCTCATCACTTCCATGTGGCCAGTAAATGTTGCAGTTACACAAAGCTTGGTCTTATCCCTGTTTATGTTTCACTGTCTGCTCTCTCTGGGTAAGTTATAGCCCAAGGCTTTAACAGCCATCTGTATACGGCTGGCCCCTAAATGTATATCTCTAACTCAGATCCCTCTCCTGAATAACTGACTTCTGTTATCACTCAAAATCTACATGCTCAAAATGGAAGTCTTTATTCCCTCTCCTAAACATGACACTCTTCCAGTGTTTCATATCTCCGTGAAAGGCAGACTCATCAATCAACTTATGTAACCCCCAAACCTAGGGATTATCCTGATACCCCCCCTTCCTTATGTCAAATTCAGTACCAAATGTGTCCATTTTCTCTTTTCTTTTATTATTTTCTTTTCTTTTTCCTTCCTTCTTTCCTTCCTTCCTTTCTCCTTCCCTCCCTCCCTCTCCCTCCCTCTCTCTCTCTCTCTCTCTCTCTCTCTCTCTTTCTTTCTTCCTTTTTTTGAGATAGGGTATGACTTTGTCACCCAGGCTAGAGTGCAGTGGCGTGATCATGGCTCACTACAGCCTCAAACTCCAGGGCTCAAGCAATCCTCCCACCTCAGTCTCCTGAGTAGCTGGGATTACAGGCATGAGCCACCATACTCAGCTAATTTTTTAATTTTATATTTTGTAGAGATTGAAATCTCACTATGTTGCCCAGGCTGGTCTCAAACTCCTTATCTGAAGCCATTCTCCTGCCTTGGCCTCCCAAAGTGCTGGGATTACAGGTGTGAGCCACTGCATCCAGCTAATTTTATTTTCTAAATGTCTCTTGAATCCATCCACTTCTCTCTACTTCCAACTCCTTTTCCCCAACCTCCAGATGCAGCTACTGTCGTCTCTTCCCTAGACAATGAGAACAGTTCTCTAACTGGCCTACTCACATTCACTGACTCCTTCAATCTTTTCTGCCTACTGCAGCCAGACTGGTGTTTTTCAAAATGCACATCTGATTATTTCATTCCCACTCCCACCGCTTCCCCACACTCCTCAGCACATATATCTTTAAACCCCTTTAAAGGCTTCATATTATTATTAGGAATAAGACAAAACTCTTCAACATGGCCTGCAAAGCCCTGCTTGCTTTGGCTCCTGCCTGCCTTCCCAGCTCTTCTCCCACTGGTTCCCTCTCATTGCCTCCACTCCAATCACATAGCTTCCTCTGCTCCTGTCACTCGGGTTTGCCACGCCCCTCCCATTACACTCTTCCCTCCCTTCTTTGCTTGGCTAACTCCTTGTCTTATCAGATCTGAGCTCAAGCATTACTTCCACAGAGAGGGTACCCTGTCTTCCCTGATGAAGTCAGGGATCCTTATCACAGGCTCTTCTTTTACCAGGCATTGAGTCCTCACCGTTGCAGTTGTACATTTACTTGTGTGAATACTGGGATAATTTTTCTCCCACTGCTACTTCTCATGTGTCCATTCAACAAATATTTACTGAGTCCTCACTACTTACCAGGCATTATTTTGGAAAGGGTGACAAACCGTAAACAAATAAATGTGTAATATGATACCAAGAGGTGAAAAGTGCTATGAAGAAACACGAAGTGGAGCAACAGGCCAGAGACTTTGAAAGGCTGCTACTTTGGATAGGATAGTTAGAGAAGGGGAGCTAAACACTGAGTACACATGGACACAAAGAAGGCGACAACACGCCGGGCATGGTGGCTCACGCCTGTAATCCCAGCACTTTGGGAGGCTGAGGCAGGCCGATCACGAGGTCAGGAGTTCAAGACCAGCCTAGCCAATATGGTGGAATCTTGTCTCTACTAAAAATACAAAAATTAGCTGGGCGTGGTGGCACACACCTGTAGTCCCAGCTACTCAGGAGGCTGAGGCAGAGGAATCGCTTGAACCCAGGAGGCGGAGGTTGCAGTGAGCCGAGATCATGCCACTGCACTCCAGCCTGGGTGACAGAGCAAGACTCTGTCTCAAAAAAAAATAAATAAATAAAAAATAAAAAAAAAGAAGGGGACAACAGACACCGGGACCTACTTGAAGGTGGAAGGAGGGAGAGGATAGAAAAACTACCTATCAGGTACTCTGCTGATTACCTGGGTGGTGAAATAATCTGTACACCAAACCCCCATGACACACAGTTTACCTATATAACAAACCTGCACATGTACCTAAAGTAAAAGTTTTAAAAGAAAGGATAATTAAAGAAGGAAGACATGACTGAGCACAGATTTGAATGGAGTGAGAGAACTCATCACAGGGATGCCTGGGGGGTGGGCATTCTGGGAAGAGCAAATGGTGAGGGTAAAGACTAGAGGGTGTTTAGCCTGTTCAAGGAGGAGCCAGGAAGTCAGCGAAGGGGAGTGGAGTGAAGGGGAGAGTGGTAAAAGATAAGAGCAGAGATGGAGGCAGGGACCGGGTCAGGGAGGGCCTTGTAGGCTATGCTGTGGGAAGAGAAGCAACTAGAAGCTTTTTTAATTGATACATAATATTTGTATGTATTTATGGTGTATATGTGATATTTTGCTACATGTATAGACTGTGTAATGATCAAGTCAGGATATTTGGGATGTCAATCACTTTGAGCATTTTTGTTTGCTTTGTTTTGTTTTGTGTGTGTGTGTGTGTGTGTGTATGTGTGTGTGTGTGTGTGTGTGTGTTTGAGACAGGATCTTGCTCTGTCACCCAGGCTGGAGTGCAGTGGCATGATCTAGGCTCACTGCAGCCTTGATCACCTGAACTCAAGCGATCCTCACCCTCCCCAATAGCTGGGACAACAGGCGTGTGCCACCACACCCAGCTAATTTTTTTTATTATTTGTAGAAACGAGGTTTTGCCATGTTGCCCAGGCTTGTCTCAAACTCCTGGGCTCATGCGATCCTCCCACCTCAGCCTCCCAAAGTGCTGGAATTATAGGCGGGAGCCACTGCACCCAGCCTCCACCTTGAGTATTTAGGTGTTGGGAACATTTCAAGTCTTCTCTTCTAGCTATTTTGAAATACATAATACATTGTTGCTAACTATAGACACTCTATTCTGCTACCAAACAGTAGAAGGTTTGTTTGAATATAGAAGAATACCTTCTATTTAACTGTAGTTTAGAGCCTCTGTTCTTCTTCCTGCTCCCACCCACACACCCTTCCCAGTGTTTGGTATCTATTCTCTACCCCCATGAGACAAACTTTTTTCATTATAATATTTTAAACAAGGAGTGACTGCATTCCATGTTCTAAAATGGTCACTATGGCTGTCTTGGGATGAATGGTTTAGAAAGGGGTAAAGGTGGAGGTCAGGAGTCCAGTTAGGAGGCTGTGGTGGTGGTGGTCCTGGGGAAAAATGATGAGGGCTTGGACTACAGTGAATGTTGGAGAGGTAGTGAGAAAGCACAGATTGGAAAGCATCTGGAAGGCAGAACTTTCAGGATATGTGGATGTGTTCCTCCAACCCCTCTGGTGTGTTTCCTTCTCACTTACAGGAAAAGCCAAAAGCTGTAGCGTGGCCAATGAGGTCCTATGTTACCTGGTCCTCATCTTCTTTTCCCCTCACTCCCTCTCTTCTAACCACACTGGCCTGCCTTTCTGTGAACAGATTAAGCACTATCTCATCTTTTGAATTTGATGTTCCCTCAGGTATCAGGAAAGCAGGTGTCCATGTGGTTTTTCCCCCTCAGGGTTCTGCTGAAGTGTCACCTTATCAGAAAATCCTTTTTTGGCCACCCTCTATAAATTAGCACCTAGCCTACCACTCCCTGTTCTTCTACCCTGCTTAATATCTCTTTATAGTACTTATCACCATCTGGCATTGTAGATATAATGTACATATGTGTATATATACACAAAAACATATAACATTTGTATGTATTTATTCCATGAGGACAGGGATTTGGTATGTTTTGTTCACTATAGAACACAACCTCCAGAACAGTGCCTGGCACACAGTTGGCATTCAATAAATATTTGTTGAATTAATATTGATGAAGTAGACAAAGAGAGGAGCAAACAATGGTTCCAGGATTTGGGGCCTGAATAATGGTGCCACTTACTGAGGTAATATTGAGGGGTTTTTAAAATGAGGATTAGGATCCCCTCCTCCAAACCTCCTGCCCTGAATTGCTTTGCGTATTGCAGATTGAGAGAAGTCCTTTCTCCCTCTTTGGCCAATGGAAGCCTGTGACAAGTCCAGACTCCTAGGGGTCTGAGCTCTCTTTTTCTTCCTATGGAGAGAGAGGGAAAAACTAGAGATAAACCAAACTGACTCTCAGTTCCTGAGACTGATGTGACATCGGCTTGATCTAAACCCCAAAGCTGATGTTTTATTTGTTGTTGACTCTGTGTATGGTTTTGGACAAACAATTGGCCTCCCAGTTTAAGAGACAATCTCACAAAATGCTTTTTTTAAACCAAAAAGAAAGAAATGAAAAAAAAAAAAAAAGAGCTACCATGTTCCTCATTCCTGCAGGTGCCCAACCAGGTTGACTTGTTGGAGTACATTTTCTGCATTCTTAATAGATAGCTAGCAGGAAACGCCTTGTACAGTCCCAGCTAGAGGGGCGGAAAGTAACAAGGAGGTGGGGGTACAAATCCTCAGCTCCTGCTTCCGCAAGCACTAACCTGCTCTGAAGTGAGCCAGGCAGCTCTGGCCATCTTTTCCCAGCCACAGAATCAGGTGATGGTCCAGAATTAAGAGGTAAGAGAATCTGGGGATTTTTTTGGGGGGAGAAGCAAAGAAACTTAACTGGGAAGAAATGGGGGTAGTCATCAAATACTTTGCTCAATGAGATACAATCTGGTCCCCTTGGGGATTTCGTTCCAAGTGATTGGTTTGACAAACTAACCCCTCTGACTTCCCACCCTACCCCAGACTGCTAGGTACCATTTTGGAGAAGTGCGGTAAGTGCGTCCATGCAGGCAGATTGTGGTAGAGTTCTGGCCAAAATGCTGGTTTGGGATTCTGTGCTCAAATATTTCTTTCTTTCTTTCTTTCTTTCTTTCTTTCTTTCTTTCTTTCTTTCTTTCTTTCTTTCTTTCTTTCTTTCTTTCTTTCTTTCTTTCTTTTTCTTTCTTTCTTCTTTCTTTCTTTCATTTTTTGTTCTTTCTTTTTTTTTTTTCAGAAGTGTGGGCAATATTTGAGGGAGCACTTTCTGTCTTTGTATCTTGTGAGATGGGGAAGTTGCAAACTGCCTGTTGTTTAGTAATTATGCCGTTCTGGCGGTACCACTGGTAAAACTTGGCCTTGGGGTTTTGTCTACTACGAGAGGCTTTTGCTATAAGCCAGGCACTGATATGGAAACATCTTCTCTGGGAGACAGCCACCCTTTCTTTAGCCTCACTGACATCCCCTTCTATCCAGCTTTGCAGCATCTCTTTCTCCTAGGCGAGACACACCCCAGCAATTAATTCATGAATGAAGAGACCTCTTATGGAGGGCTCATTTGAGGATGAAGCTCCTCATGTTTCTCCAGAGGTAGAGTGAGATGCAGTTCTTCATAGGACTAAGCCAATGACAGTTCTCAGAATTTTAATATTCCTCAAATACAGTTTCTCTCCACTTTGGTCCAAGTGCAGCCCAGGGAGTTGCTTGTGAGCCGATCCAGAGAAGTGGCCTATGGCTTTCCTTTTGATTGTGTGCGGTGTGGTTGGGGAGGAAAAGAAGGGCATAGGTGGTACTTATTCAGTGAATACTGAATTTATTATTCAGGATGCCCAATTGCCCACGGACTGAGCTCTCCAAGGTGAAGAGGCTGAAACACCACCTCTGACTTTCTCCATCTCTAATATTTCCTGACTGTAGCCAGTTGGCCTGGGGCATCTGTGGATTCTACCCAAGGACACTAGGCACATGCTTCAGGGCCCTAATGTCCTCAGGGTCCTACCAGCTCCTTCCCTTGTGGCTTCAAGGGGAGTTAGCAAAGAGAGATTGCAAGCTGTGTCAAGCCTGAACCTTGAGCAGTGGCCACTGGAAATTCTGAGAATGAGAGGGTGAGTCCTCCAAAGTTGTTCACTGGCCCTTCCAGCAGCAGACAGAGGCTTCAAGGAGAAGCCCTGAGGGAGCAGACAGAGTTGGGAGTTGCTGCCTGCGTTATCTGAAGGAAACCAGATGGCTGGTTTAGGGTTCTGGCTTGAGGCCCCCTAGGGATTAGGAGATAGATGGAGAGACTGAGGCCCATAGAGGAGAAGGGACTATTAGACCCAATGGGTAGTCAATAAGGGATGGTAAAGGTAGGACAGAAGTTAACGCCAGAAAGACCTAGGTTGAAATCCCAGCTCTGCCACTCCCCAGTTGTGTAGCCTAGGCAGTCTATTTCACCTTCTTTAAGACCCAAATTGCTCATCTGTAAAATGGGGATAACAATACCTAATTTGAGGATTATGAAGATTGGAGAAGATAGCTGTGTAGTTTCTGGCACACAGTAGGTGTTCTGTAAACTGCAGCTTTAAAAAAGTACTGCCTCCATGCTTCTCATTGCTTTATAATTCATAACACCTTGGTTTTTATTTCTGTCCCTTCAAGTATCAGAATAGATCATGAGCTTTTTCTCTAAATAAAGGAATAATTTACCTACAGTGAAATGCATAGGTCTTACGTGTAAAATTTGATGAGTTTTAACAAATTTATCCATTCATGTAGTAACCATCTCCCTCATCAAGATGTAGAACCTTTCCAACACCCCTGAGGGCTCCCTCATGCCCTTTCCTAGTCAATCTCTCAATCTCTACCCTACAGGCAACCACAGTTCTGAATTTCATCACCGCAGATTATTTGTGCTTGTTTCATGTATGTGAAATTGTACAATATGTGGCCTTTAGTGTCTGGATTCTTTCACTCAACATGTTTTTGAGATTCATACATGCTGTTGTGTAGATTGGTAGTTTGTTTGTTTGTTCTTTTGCTGAGTAACATTCCATTGTATAAATATGTCACAGCTAATTTATTTATTCTCCTGGTGATAAACATGTGGGTACTTTCCATTTTTGGTTACTATGAAGAAAGCTGCTGTGAACATTCAAGTACATGTCTTTGTGTGGACATAGTTTTTATTTCTCTTGGCTATGTGTACCTAGAAGTGAGATTGCTGGGTCACAAGATAAGAATATGTTTAACTTTATAAGAAATTACCAGTTTTTCAAAGCATTTGTTCACATGTTTTTGGAAAGTAAGGGTGCAATGGATTCGTTTTTGAGCTAGTACCTGGTTACGCTTAGCATGACTGTCAACCAGAGGAAACATTGGTTACTTAACACCTACATTATGCTAGGTGCTAGGAATAAAGAAATGAATATGAAATGCTGTTCTCAAGGATCTCATAAACTAGAGAGAAAGATAGTCTATTAAACTCTAGTCATTTTCATTAAATTGACAAGAATGAATAGGTCAAACCCATCTTTAGCCAGAGCACATGGCAAGTCAGATTCGGTGATCAAAGGTAAAGAAGCATCCTGACAGGCTACTTCCCTAGTAAAGGAAGGCCACAGCATGTCTTGAGGGCCCACGGTGTGCCAGGACCTGGTCTGAATGCAAATAGCCAGCCTCTGCCCACAAGGAACTCTCAAGGTGGGATATGATGATACCAATGATGGAACCCAAGTTTAGGGCAGTTCAATACACAGCTATTGAGCATCTACTCTATTCCAGGCACTGTTCTAGATACAAAAGATGTGCTGGGGAACAGAGCTGACAATCTTACAATCTTTCAGGAGGTTTCCACCAATGGTGACAACATTGGTATAAAAATGTTTTTTTGTACATCTGCATTTTGTTCAGAATATATCTGTTGGAGTCCTTAGAGATGGTGTTGTTTGTAATTGCTAGTTTCTAAGATGGGATGCGGGTAGGTGTAGGACACAGTCTTACATAGATTAAGGCGTCAGGGGAGTAGGAGAATTTGATGTGTTTACTCCTCTGCGTGCGAGTGGTCAAGATGGAAAGCAATGCCTACTATTGAAATTGTCAAGCACCGACTGGATTGCCTGGTCAAGCTCTCCATGGGAGCCCATGGTAGTTCTGGGCCAACCTTGGCTCATTCGTTTAGGAGAAAGGCACTTCCCCAGGAGGCAAGTTACTCTGCTATTTGGCCTCAATGTCCTCCCACCTCCCCATTTCCTGATGCTCTCTCTAGTCAGGTTGCCTGATCATTCTCATTTGTAAGAGAAGGCCCCTTCTCAGCACTTCATGGAGATTTGTCATGTTGTCCCTTGAAGACTGATTAGACAAGGCTTCTCAACAGCATCGTCATTGACCTTTAGGAGCTATGTGGCTCCCTGGGGCCCCAGTGAGCACGTGTACCTGGTGGGAGCAAATTGCTTGCCCCCAAGGACACTGCTCACCCAAACCACAGCCAAGCCACTTGGTAAATAGTGCCAGTGACATTTTGCCTTTGGTCCACAGCTGTCACCTGTGTCATTCACTCACAATGGAAGAAATGAAGAAGACTGCCATCCGGCTGCCCAAAGGCAAACAGAAGCCTATAAAGACGGAATGGAATTCCCGGTGTGTCCTTTTCACCTACTTCCAAGGGGACATCAGCAGCGTAGTGGATGAACACTTCTCCAGAGCTCTGAGCAATATCAAGAGCCCCCAGGAATTGACCCCCTCGAGTCAGAGTGAAGGTGTGATGCTGAAAAACGGTGAGCATGTGGGGAGGGAGGGAGCTGGGATTCCCTATCAAGGCTGCCACGGATACACCAGTTCTTTGATGTACTTGACACACTTGGACACTTATATGTTTGCTAAAGGCAAGTTGCTCTGACTAGTGAGAAGCCACACCCCTTCTTAGAAGTTTAATGTCAAAATGGGGCTGCCATCTACTGCTCCAACCTTACCTCCCCAGCACTGTCCTCCAGAAACTGGCTTCCTTCTGTCCGTCATGTTCGCTTTGATTTCTTCCTGGCCTTTGCACAAACTGTTCCTTGTCTGCAAATCTCTTCCCTCCCTTCTCCTAATTAACCCACATTCATCCCAAGATCACTTCTTTAGGGCAGCTTTCCCTGACCACCCACACCCCCAAGCATTCAAATATCCTATTACAGATTCTCCTACCGTTCTTTAACTCTCCTTCACAGCCCTTGTCACAGTTGCAGTTTTTACACTTGTATAATTATTTGACTATTGCATACTCCTCCATTAAATGAAAGTTCTGTGAGGGCAAGGACCATTGCTGATTTTGCTTAATATTGTATTTCTAGCATCTAGAAACAGTGACTGTGACATAGGGGACAACCAACAAGGATTTGTTGAATGAGTAAATGAACATACAAATATGCAAATTTGTGAGCACTGTATCTAGGTACAAAGAACCTTGAAATTTCCATAAAAGACTAAAACATAAATTAGAATCTTGCTGAATAAGCCATTAGAGCAGAAGTATGTTATGATAGTTTTTAAATGTTGATAATATTTACATTTTATATAATTTATTTCCATAAATGGAAAGTTCCCAGTTGTAGAGAGGTGGTTTTGAAAAGTTTTAAAATCAAAGCTGGCTGGGTGTGATGGTTCACACCTGTAATTCCAGCACTTTGAGAGGCCAAGGCAAGAGGATCACTTGAGGTCAGGAGTTTGAGACCAACCTGGCCAACATAGTGAGACCCTGTGTCTACAAAAAAATTTAAAGAAATTATTCAGGTGTGGTGGCTCATACCTATATCTCTGGCTACTAAGGAGGGTGATGCAGAAGGATCACTTGAGCCTGGGAGGTTGAGGCTGCAGTGGGCCATGATTGCACCACTGTACTCCAGCCTGAGTGGCAAAGCAAGACCCTGTCTCAAAAGAAAAAAAAAAAGTAAAGCTACTGGAAAAAGAAAAAAAGAAGTTTAATGTAAAAATGGGTGCTGTTTAATCAAATCAGTTCACCTATTTTATTATTTCCTCAATCATGTTAAATGCTGGGTTTACTGCTCAGCACACAATGAAACTCCACAACTATTTACTGTAATCATTATCAGTATTTTTCTTCATCTTCTGTTTTTTAGAGACAGGGTCTCACTCTGTTGCTCAGGCTGGAATGTGGTGGCGCGATCATAACTCACTGCAGCCACGAATTCCTGGGCTCATGAAATTTTCCCGCCTTAGCCTCGCAAGTAGCTAGAATTACAGGTATGCGCCACCACACCCAGCTAATTTAATTTTTTTTTTTTTTTGTAGAGACAGGATCTCGCTATGTTGCCCAGGCAGGTCTTAGATTCCTGACCTCGAGCGATCCTCCCACTTCAGCCTTCCAAAGTGCTGGTATTACAGGTGTGAACCACCACACCCAGCTAGTATTATTATCACTATTATTATTACTATAGGCCTGATGGGGCAGGAACACCAAAGCATCTATGAAAAGAAAACGCATGTCCCATGTAGGTGCTCCCAGCCTCTTCTCAACTAATAGTGCATGGTTTGGTGAGCAAGGGTAGGGGCCAGAGGGAAGTAGATGAATAGTCTTGCCACATCCCTTTCCCACCCTTCACAGGGCCAGGTGTGTCTATTTGCTAATTGTTAAGAAATAAACAGTCGTACATCTCAAAACAGTTACTTCAAGATAACTAAGTCAAAATGTGCACATCAAAATATCCAGGTTTGAAGGAAGCCTTAAACATCACACTAGCAGGGGCTGTAGTATGACTTTCACGGACCCTGGACACTTTTGTCTTCATGGACCTCCTTCCTCCACAAAAACATTAAAAGTTACATTTTATGACTGCATTGGTATAAAGATGAATATAATCCAAGCTGAGTTCATGTTTTAAATATATTCAGTATCACTGTCATATTCATTTTTTCTTCTGATTTTAAAACATTTTTGTGGGCCCCTAAAACTATTAATGGGTCCTAGGCACTGTGCCTCCTGTGCCTAATGGAGAAGTCACCCTCGCCAGCTGGATGTCACTCAATATGGCTCCCTTTACCTTTTTGGAAAGTGAGCAAATATATCAGGGTCTGGTGGATTTCAAGAGCTCTTTATTGGTGTTGGTGAGTGCACATGTTGAACGACTTGCTCCCACTGGAAGACGTACGTACCTCCAAGTAGGGGCTTTTGTGTAAAGTGGACAAGTGGGGCCTCTGCCTCCAGGCAAAGAGCTCCCCTGTTTCCAGATGCCATCATTCTGGCTTTGCTTTTTGGGACTGGAGAGGGAGTTGATGTGTATCTGATGTATTCACCTTTGCAGAATTTACTTCTCTCTTAGAATTTACTTTTGCAGTCAATCAATGTGGTTTTCTCAGAGAATCTTGTGGGTTAAATAAATATGTGGAAGGGCATGGGGTAGCAGCAGATACTAAAGGAAATGATGTAGAGCTTGCTGTTAAAATGGGCAGGAGGGGGTGGGTGGGGAGTGGGGAGGTGATGTCTAAGAGTGTGCTGAATAATCACAACAGAAGCAGGAATGACCATGGTCTTGAATCATTTGGGGGATTGACATGTGGTAAGAGCTGAGAAATGTGGTGTGTGGGATTCAGAAGATCTAACTGACTCCTTGGAAGTGTCAAAATCTCGGGCAGTTAATACACAGACAAGTATACTGACTTCGGCTATTTGACTCTGATTTATTTCTGAACACATTGGCTTGGATTCATTATAATCATTCCCTTGTAAGCATCATCAAGCCATGGTCTCACTTTTTCTATTCTACTTGCCTGGTAAAACCCAAGCTGGGATAAAACCAACTCTTGGCCTATTGCCCCATTTCTCTGCTTCATTTTGCAGCAAAACTCAAAATTGGTATTTATGTGTACTCTGTCCTTTCCTCTCATGCTCTCTAAACTCCATTCCACTCATGCTTTCAACCTCATCACTCCTTGAAATCGCTCTTATCAAGGTTACCCAGTGACCTCCACTTTCCAAATCCAATGGTCCCTATCTGTCCTCATCTGATTTGACCTATCATAACATTTGCTGCAGAAGATTGCTCTCTCCTCGTGAAATACCTACTTCGCTTGCAGTCAGCCCATAACATTATGCTTTCTTGGTTTTCCTCCTGCCTCCCTGGTTACTATTTCTTCTCAGTCTCCTTTGCTATATGTCCTTCTCTCTCCAACTTCTAAACATTTCAGGGCCCCAGTACTCAGGTCCCAGACAACTCCTTTCTCTGTCTACACTTACTGTCTTGGTCTTAAATGCCATCTATATGTTGAGCAATTCCAAATGCATATCTGCAAACCAGAATGGATTTCAGACGTGCCTGTCTAACTGCCTACTTGATCTTCACTTAACATGCCTAATAGGAAACTCAAACAAAATAGCTCCCAAACTGAATAAACTCTTAATTTCCCCCTCAACCTGCTCTGCCCACAGTCTTTCCCATCTCAATAAATGGGAGCTGCACCCTTCCAATTCCTTGAAGTCATGCTTAACACCTCTCTGTCTCACACCCCACATCCAATCCTTTTGGAAATTGTGTAGGTTCTATCTTCAAAATATCCAAGATCTGACCGCATCTTCTCACCTCCGTTGTCACCTGGGTCCTAGAAGCTATCATCACCCCCCGCTGAATTGCTGCAGTCACCTCCTAATTGGTCTCATTGCTTCTTCCCTTCCTCTCCTTCAGTCTATTCTTAGGAGGGCAGTCAGAATGGTAGCATTAAAATGAAAGTCACACACTAGCACTCTTTTGTTTGAAACCCTCTGACAGCTTCCCATGTCACTTGGAATCATATCCAAAGTCTATAATGGGGCCCTACCTCATCTGGGCCCCCGTTGTCTTACTGATCTCATATCTTACCACTTTCTGCCTCACCCGCTCCAGTCTAGGCTCCTTGGTATTCATAAACTATGCCAAGGACAATCCTGCCTCAGGCCTGCCCTTTGCACATGGTCTCTCCTATCCCTGGAATGCTCTTTCCCCAGATACCTGCATGGCGTCACCTTTCTCCATTCAAGTCTCCACCTGGATGTCACCACTTCAAACAGTCCTTGTCTGAGCAACCTATTTAAAAAATGAAAGCCCCCACCCTCTCACGTCTGTCTTCTTACCCTGCTTCATTTTTCTTCTTAGCATTTGTCACCACCGGGCACATTATATGTTGTATTTCTTTCTAGACTCCTCTCTCCCCTTACCCTCTGAGCTCCGTGGCAGTAGGGACTCAATCTGTTAACTGCTGCTTTCTAAGTACCTACCACAATGCCTGACACATGGAGGCACTCAATACATACGGCTTGAACGAATGAAATTATGATTTTGATCACAAGGTGTTGACCCTACAGATGGGGGTCACCGTAGAGAGGGAGTACGGTGTGGTGTACAGCTTTAGAACCACTCAGCATGGGGCCAAGCCAGCTCCATCACTTACTAACAGTGTGATCTCCAGACATATCACTTCTCCTCTCTGTGCCTCAGTTTCCTCATCTCTAAAATGGAATAATATTGAATTATAGGACTGTGCTTGTGAGGAGTCAATGAGATAATGCATGTCAAGTGGCACATAGTAAGTGCAATGTAGTCCAAGCTTGAGTTGAGTTTTTGAACAGCTAAGATAGATGTGAGGACCTGTGTTCACAACACCAGGTTCACAGAGCAGCAGGCATCTCCCATAAGCCTCCAGGTTTTCAGGGGGTTCTGTTTCATGGCTGCCATAGAGTTTCCTGTGCCTTCTGATTTCACCTCGACCTTCTGTGAAACCCCTGCCTGCTGAGGGAAGTTGGGCATGGCCCTGTTCCTTGCCCAAGCCAGCCTTCACAGGCCAGATAGAGAGGTGGCTTGGTTCTCCATCTTCCTTCTTGGTTGTTGCATTTTCCCTATAAGAACCCCACAAATCCTTTGACTGTGAAGATGTTGTCTCCCTCACAGAGTGTGGTGCGGGCTAGGCAAATATTTGTCCGCTGATTGAGCAAATGAAGGAAAAACTGCCTCCCTCAAAGCCTCTCTTATCACCACTAGGAGTCAAGTTTCTCATAAGCTCTGCTGCCTCAGGGGAGGGCCCCATGAAAGGCTTCCAGTCCCACAGAGGTTCTCACTGGAGGTGTTATATGACATACATATGGCTTTGAAAATGGTGGGAAATCTTTCAAGTGGCCTTTCATTACTGACTGTTAGTATCCTCTCAAACCCTACAGACCAGCACCAGGCCGTCCAGCCCAGCTAGGCCATTCCAAGGAGAACAGGCTCCCATTCATGGGCTCCCATGGCCGACTCGCCCACATTCTAAGGGCTCTCTGTTGAGCCAAATATGCAAGTCCCAAACACAGAGACCCGTGTGGCTAGGAAATGCCGTCAAATTTCCTGGCTTCTCTTCCCCAATCAGTGTTGTGTTTTTATTTACTTATGTATAATTTATACTGGCTGTACTTCAGAAAAGAAAATACAAGTTGAAGGTATCTTTGAATTATCTCCCTTTTAAAAGGACATTGGGAATTTTAGAATCAGTAACTAGAGAAGCTTCAGTAACTATAGTTTGTAGGGGGCATGGTCCTGGTACGTATGCCACCCTGTGTTCTTCTTGTCCTGTCCCCAGCCCCAGTCCTGAGGCCGGCCTCAGGCCTGGCAACATTGCTCTAGGGCTGCTGAGAGAAGGTGAGAGGGTATATACGTGGGCCTTTAGAGGTCTCAAAGGATCCAGCCTCCTTCTCTCTCCCCTCCCATCTGCCATAATCAGTAAGGGTAGGGAAGAAATGCTGGCTTTTTTTAAAAAAAAAAAGTGTAAATATCTATGTGAGATATAGTCATGCTAGTTGTTTATGGCCCTTGTAAATACTGACAGTTTCCTGTCTTCTTTTCCCGTAAGGAAGAGGAATCTATCTGCACAAACATATATGGAGCTTCCAGCGAATACCAGACACCACACTAAAATTAGTGCATTTTACTTCAGTCCACGAAATCCACTGTGATTTATAAAGTTCAAAGACAGGCAAATCTAACCTATGGTGTCAGAAGACAGGATATGGTTACGTTTTGGGGGTGTTGTGACTGAGAGGGGTACGGTGTGCTTCTGGGGTGGTGATCAGGTTCTGTTACTCGAGCTGGGTGCTCATTACCCAGTTTATGAAAATTCCCCCAGCTGCACACTTCCATTTGTGCGTTTTTCTGCATGTTGGTTGTGCTTCACAAAACTATTTTGCAATGGATATTATTATCCTTATTTTACAGAGCAGGAAACTGCAGCCCAGAGAAGGTAAGTGCCTAGAGATGGGTCACACAGCCAGTGAGTGATAAAGATTGAAACCCAAGTCCATCGATCTCCAGAGCCAGTCTCTTGAATACCCCATTGTCTTGCCTTTGTACACTCTGACAATGCCCCAGCAAGAGGATTTAATACCTATAAGGACTATCGCTAATAATGTGTATAATGGCTAACACTTTTTGAACACTTTCTGTGTGCCAGGCCCTTTGCTAGGGTCTGTCACGTGGATTATCTCACTGAATCTTCACACCAACTCTACTGGTTAACTCTATGTCCATTTTCCTGATGAGGAAACTGAGGCTCAGACAGTCAAGTGACTTGCCCAAGATCTCTCAGCTAATATGGGGAGTCTATAGTATTTGCCGGCAGATGGAATTGATTTCGGATCTTAGCCACTCAGCATTTCGAATACTAGCTCATATTCTGTGTTTGATCTCTGTTTTCAGTTGGGAAAAGGAATCTGGATATTCATCCAAAGACTAGGTACCCCAGGGAGGCAGCTGTGAAAGAGGGGAAGGAACTGAGAGGCCCCCCTGGTGCCCTGGAACAGCACAATCTCCTCTAAGCTCTCCCTCCATCCCCAGTGATATTTTGACCTCAGCTAATGCAAACAATATGCTTTTTGTACTTGGGGGTGAATGGATGAAGTGCAAGTGCCACCAGCAAAGAGGGCAGAGAGGGAAAGTCAACGCGTGCAGATCATGCAGGCCAAGGTTGGACTTTCACAGTGCAAAGTGTGCATGTGTTCAGAGGGTTCTTGATTTCAACTTCATCATAAAATGAGATTTGTAGGCCAGGCATGGTGGCTCATTCCTGTAATCGCAGCACTTTGGGAGGGCCAGGCATTCAAAACCAGACTGGGCAACATAGAGAGACCCTGTCTCTACAAAAATATTTAAAAATTGTCCAGGTGTGGTGGCTCACACCTGTATTTCCAGCTACTCAGGAGGCTGAGGCTGAGGCGGGAGGATTGCTTGAGCCTGGGGAAACTGAGGCTACAGTGAGCTATGATCTTGTCAGTACACTCCAGCCTGGGAGACAGTGAGACCCTGTCAAAAAAAAAAAAATCCCACAGAATTTGCATTAAAAGATGCAGAAAGAGGGAGAAGAGAAGGAAGGAAAGAAGAAAGGATAGATGGAAGGAAATCAGGCAATCATGGATTAGTCGTTCACAGCTGTGACTCGTTTTTTGGGAGCTTCACGTGTCAAGTGGTTTCTTACGTTTTTGCTTAAAACATAATTTTTACTATTTACAAACATAAAATATACTCCTTTTTGGAAATTTAGAAAACACAGATAAGCATTCAGGAAACAAAAACCACATGTACATCCATGGACATGTACTAATTTTTACAACGTGACATCATTTTGCACAGAATGGGTTGTAACCTGCTTTTTTAAAAAATTCATCAATGTCATATCCACTTCTCCATGCCATTAAATGTTCTACTACAACATCATTTTAATGGCTTAAGAGTATCATTTTATAGATGTACCAAATTTATTAAAATTTTTGGATATTTAGGTTGTTGCTAATCTTTCGCTATATTATACAAATCACTTTGAACATCCTTGTGGGTACATTTTTACATGCATCATTGACTATATCCTTAAAATAAATTGCTACAAGTGGAATGCTTGGGTCAAAGAGTACACACAAATTTTAGGGTTTTGATATTTACCGACAAATTTCTTCCTAGAAATGTTATGCCAATCTGCCAGCCCTCCAACCCAAGGAGCATGTAAAAGTGCCCACCTCACTGCATTCTTTGCAATATTGGGGAGGCATAGTTGGTAAGAGCATAAGGTTTGGAATCAGACACCTCTACCACTTGCTAGCCGTGTGTCCTTAGACAAGTCACTTTAACCATTCTGGGTCTCGATTTTCTCATCTGGGTTGCTGTGAGGATCACATGAGATCATGTATGCAGAGTGCTAAGTAAAGTGCCTGGCCCATAGTGAGTACTCAATAAACAAAAACTACTATATATTTACAAATTGTTCCTGCCCACCTCTGATGTGTTATTCCCTGGGAATGGCCACAGACTGAGCAAAGACTTCTGAAATCCCTCTTTTATAACCAGTATCTACTCCAGCCTCCAAACCAGCCCTGAAGTGCTGCTGCTGCCTCTGCTGCTGTTATGGGCCCCTTGGCTCAGTCCTTTCTGCCCCTCCCTTCTCCAGCACTAGGTGACTGTTGGCAGGGAGGGTTCTTAGGCCTCATGCATTAATGACCATCTTGCTTTTTCTCACGTTGATTGTGCTGAGTGTTGCAAACCAGTAAAGAAACCCAGAGTGGCTTTTTAAACTGAAATGATGAATAATAACAACAGCAACAGCTACCACTTATTGAGTGCCAATTGTGTACCAGGCACTGTGCTAAACCTTTTACATGGATGGTCTCATTCAATCTCATAACAGTCTCAGAGGTGGGAGGGGACTTGCTCAGTGTCACATAGCTAGGAAGTGGCAGATCTGGGATTGGATTCCAAGCCTCTCTGACTTCAAAGTCTGTGCTTTTAACCACTTTCATCCTGCTCTCTTCGATTTAGAAAGGTTCAGTGGGGAAGGGTGTGTATGTGTGTGTGTGTGCATGTTTGTGTTAGTGAGTGTGTACATGTTTGCAACGGTGCATATGTATGTGTGTTTGTGTGTAAATAAGTGTGTGCACTCATTAGAATAATACTTTTTCAGGGCCACTATGTGCTAGGCACTGTGCAAGTTCTTGGGGATATAATGGTGAACAAAAGAGAAATGATCTCAGCTCTCGCCAAGCTTACTGAACGATAAAGAAGACCAATAGTGAATGAATGAATGTAAGAATTAAGAAATAAATAAATTACAGTATTACTGCCATGAAGGAAATAAACAGGGTGCAGTCACAGAAAGTAACAGGGTCACAAACTTTAGATTGGAAGTTGAGGGAAGGCCTTTCTGAAAGGGTGACATTTAAGTTTGTATGTTGAAAAACTAATCTGGAATAGGAAGTCAGGGCCTCCATGCAAGGATAAAGTGGAGGGAAGGTACTCTGGAATGGCGGCAAACTCATAAGTGCCTGAAGATGTTTTCTAGAGTGTTCTGGGGCTCCCAAAAGTGTATATGGGTGGAAATGTGTGGCGCCTCTGGGTATGCATGGAAAGCAGGGGGAATGGCCTGCCAGTTTCACCGAAAAAGGGCAGTGCGGGAAATGGAGACCAGCTCTCTCTGGACAGGTTTTGTCTCAGGACCAACAGCATCAGGAATTCTAGAGGGATGAATGGGACTAAGAGGTAGGGTCTAGATGCCCAGGGTTGAAGTTAGTGGAGTGGAAGCCATTTGTACTCCTGCTGAAAGAAAAATCCTAGCCTGCCCCATGTATGCCTGCATCAGGGTGTTTCTTACCTGCTCTCCACTCATTCATGTGGTCAGGGGCTTGAGAAGGCAGCAAATTCTGCCCTGGGGCTCCCTCTCTCACTTCTAGAGGTAACTAATAGGGGGCACTTGGATGAAAAAAATGTCACCAGGATCACTTTTAGTAGCAGCAGCAGCCTTGAGCCAGTGCAGGTTTGTAGTTTAAGAGGTCTTTACCCATCCACAGGGTAGGTGGGAGTGGCTGCTGGAGCAGTTGGCCCAAGAGGCCTGAAAAAGAGAGGCCCACTCAAATCCAGGGTCTCCACTCCATGGGCCACTGACTTCCAAGCCTAATCTGGAATGATGTGTTTCCCCAGGCCACCCAAGGCCCGCTGTTGGATCACTGTGAATTTGGGGTTAGGACACCCTGTGCGTGCCCATAAGCTCCCATCCAAACTGTGCTCTGGGGCACCTGGTGACCATATAGGACTTTGGGCTGTGGCACACCAAACCACTTCCCTTAACATTTCAGAGAATTCTAGAAAGGAAGCAGTTAAGAGAAATATTCAAAACATTCTGGGGCTCTGCTTTCCACATTTCAAGCATTCAGCCCCTAAGTCATATGTATGAGATCTGTAAGGCCTGTTCACATGGAAACTGCCTAGTTGTCAGGGGCTACGCTTTGTTTCTAATTTGTGCTTAGGACATGCAGTACCCTCATTCAATATGAAACACAGACTGTGATTACACCAAATTAGCTTAATCACTCTCTTTGTGCACTGAATTGCTTCTGGCCTGGAGATATCAATTTTCAGAAGTAGCATTCACCCTCACCAAAACAAATCTTAATATATTGTCTTGCCTTTGGTTTCATAAGAAGGGCCAACCATCCCCCATCACTCACTGTGAATGGTGTGAGATGTTGGGGAGAATGTCTTTGCCTTGAGGGCTTGGACTTCTCTTCCTATCCTTTGTGTCACACTGAGTGACGGCACTCCAGTAACACTGGGCAGGCCTTTCAGAATTTTTTATCTTGTACACAATCCAGTCAAACCAAACATTCAAGAGCGCTAGGAGAGGTTTGTATGGGAAAGAGGACCAGTGTCCCAGACATCCTCTCCAGCCGGCTAATCTTCCTTTGTCTCCACACCCACCCTCTCTCCATTATCTTGGATAGATGATAGGCTCCAGGCTTTAAGAACTGTGTGGAAGAACTCTTTCCCTCCTCCCTTCTTGCCTGAGTGGGTGTTGAGAATGGGGAAAACATTCATCCTTGTCCTAAGCTATCCTGGACATTTGAGATCTCAGATTCAGCGGCTATCATAGGCACAATAAGAATAGTGTCTATGGGACCAAAGGACACTCCATCCCTCTTAACCAATCCACATGAACTTCACAAGAAGAAACTAAGTCACCTCTTGACCCTCAGAATTCTGCTTTTGCAAAATGGGGTCCAAGCAACTACTTCCCTCCCCATTACTTATCGTTCCAGCTCACTTCCCTTCTTGGCTAATCTGTTTTTGCTACCTTGGTTCAGTCTCTTAACATCCCTGTGCCTCATATTACTCTGGAAAATGTGGTTTTAGCTCCTAGAGTTGTGTGAGTGACCAGCACAGGTAAGTGTTAAGCCCTTTTTAAAGTTCTGTCGAGTCCCCCTATTTGGTGTATTTAAAACACCAGCTGTAAAATAAAGCTAGATGATAGCAGCAACCAAACACAAATCAAGCACATTTACTTCCAGAAAAGCATCCTTAAGGAGCTGGTTGGATCCGGGAGCAAAGGTATCTATACAGAGATGCTCATTGTAATGCTGTTAGCATAATAGAAAAAAATGGAAATAACCAAGCAGTGCACAAATATGACATTTGTTAATTACTGCCTTACCATGGACTACTTACTGTACAGCACTTTAAAAAGCTGGTGTTTGGCTCTCCCCCTTCCCTTCCTTTCCCTTCCCTTCCTTTCTTTTTCTTTTTTTCTTTCTTACCGAGTCTCACTCTGTTGCCCAGGCTGGAGTGAAGTGGAGCAATCTCGGCCTACTGCAACATCCGCCTCCTGGGCACAAGCAACTCTCCTGCCTTAGCATCCCGAGTAGCTGGGACTACAGGTGTGCACCAACACACCCAGCTAATTTTTGTATTTTTAGTAGAGATGTGGTTTCACAATATTGGCCAGGCTGGTCTCGAACTCCTGGCTTCAAGTGATCTGCCCAACTCGGCCTCCCAAGAAGCTGGGATTACAGGCATGAGCCACTGTGCCTGGCCTATTCATTTCTATAGGAGGCTTTTCATGATATTTTAATGAAGCAAAAATGGCTTGAATAACAATATATGTTGTGAAAACAATGCATACATGAATAGAAACCAATCCTAGAAACAGTACACCTACGGAGGACAATGGCTGTTTCTGGATATTATCATTAGGATGATTTTATTTTAGCTTTTCTGTATTTCCTTCAAGTTAAAAAAAATAGAGTATGTATTAAAAAAAAAACTACATCCATTTTGAAAACAATAAACACCTAACATGTCTTCTAAATCTTTCCTTCTCAGATGATAGCATGTCTCCAAATCAGTGGCGTTACTCGTCTCCATGGACAAAGCCACAACCAGAAGTACCTGTCACAAACCGTGCCGCCAACTGCAACTTGCATGTGCCTGGTCCCATGGCTGTGAATCAGTTCTCACCGTCCCTGGCTAGGAGGGCCTCTGTTCGGCCTGGGGAGCTGTGGCATTTCTCCTCCCTGGCGGGCACCAGCTCCTTAGAGCCTGGCTACTCTCATCCCTTCCCCGCTCGGCACCTGGTTCCAGAGCCCCAGCCTGATGGGAAACGTGAGCCTCTCCTAAGTCTCCTCCAGCAAGACAGATGCCTAGCCCGTCCTCAGGAATCTGCCGCCAGGGAGAATGGCAACCCTGGCCAGATAGCTGGAAGCACAGGGTTGCTCTTCAACCTGCCTCCCGGCTCAGTTCACTGTAAGGAAATGCCTACAGATACTTGGAGGGGTGCCTCTGATTGGTTGTGGTTGAGAGTGAGTTGGCATGAGATGAGGTGCCAAGACTAATTGCTGCCACTCTGGACATAGGGCTGCTGAGGGAAGGGATGTTCTGCTTAAATGTTCCATACATCTTCACTAGGCTTCATTGACATTCACAGTTTAATAGCTAAAGGGTTACATAGATAGCCAGCCAGATGGACTTGGCCCGAAGTACTCACCCTAGCCTGTCAACTTGGCCTTACCTTAGAAAAATGATGGGCTGCTGCGTAATATCGCAGGGTCCTGTGTTTACCTCATTGGGAGCAATTAAATAAGCCATTTGCAGAACAGAGCTCTGTGACGTACCTACAGGCTCAAACTGTAGCCTCTAAACAGGTTGGCAACTTGCAGTGATGTCAGGCTCCAGGCAAACAACAAGGGCAATCTATACCAACCATCTGCTCCACACATTAAAATTCAAAGCGACTGTAGGAGGCAGCCCCATTGCTGCTTGGAGACCTAACAGTGCCTGACTGTCCTTGGCTTGCTCCTGCACTCTGGGATCCTCCTGCTTGGTTTCCCTTGGGTTCCTGCTCCCTGACCACCACCCCTCCCCTGAACTAAAAACACCCTTAAGGCTTACTCACCTCTTCATTCACTCATTCACCCAGCAAATATTTAATTTGCGCCTACCAGATGCAAAATATCCATCAGAAAACAAGGCTCCCTTCTTTGTAAAAGGACGGGGAAGAATTGGCATTAATTATACTTCCACCAAAAAATCAACCTACTCTGTTGCAAGATTTGCCTTTAATATGAAACACTTATAAATATATATTTTATAGTTTCATGGAACCAAGTCTGCATCCTCTGCCATTCTGTACTCTGGACGAATTTTCTTTTGCAGCTTCCTTGTCCATACATAGTGTGGTTCTAGTGTTCCATGCCTGAAAGAAATTACTAGAAGCCATCTTTACACTGAACTAAGCATATAGTAAACAAAAGGCCTGTTCAGCATAGCCTACCTAAGTCAGGCACTGTGTTCTATTCTAATGTGGAAAACAAATTTCCCATTAAAATACCACTCTGTCATTTCCAGAATTTGATTAGGAATGTACTTAAGGAGTAAATCATAGAAGTGTCATGTTTGGGAAACCTGTGAAATTTCCTACCCCTCTACTCTTTTTCAAAAGTCCTTTCCTACTGGATTCACAGGGAAAATTAGGCCAACTGTGCTTGTATATATGCCTGTGCATACACACAGCAAAGCCCTGTTTCGACAGTAGGTTAGAACACAGATGGCTGAAATCATCACCTTCCAAACTTAGCAACTCTTTACAGTTCAAGTCCAATTCAGCAAATATTTAGTGAGCATCTACTGTAAGCAAGGCACATCATGGTGAAACTAATGCAGGCATTGTCCTATTCCTGAAATCTCAAGACACATTCACAAACAAATGGTTATCACCAAGGTCTTCATGCTCTACTCATGTTGACATGAGTTGTATTAATTGGTGACTGGAAGTCCAGGATCTGTTGAGGAAGTCAGTGACCCTTAATCAGGAACACTGCCTTGGAAGGTGGTGGACCTTTAAAACAGAAGCTTCTCAGTTTTTGTAGCATCTGATATGAGAGAATATGCTAGATATTCATAAACTTAGGGCCAGGCAATGTGGGGCCCCTGGAATGCTACTGGGCACTCTCTAACCTAGTCCTAGAAATTTCAGTTCCAATAATGTTTTCTTCTTCTTTTCTAGATAAGAAACTATATGTATCTCGTGGATCTGCCAGTACCAGCCTTCCAAATGAAAGTAGGTATCTGGGCCAGCCTTTGATGGTGTGTGTCTGTATCCTGAGAACGAACTTGAGAAATAAGGCTTCTGTCTACTACTGGAGACACTGGTAGTATAAAACCCAGAGTCTCCAGTAATGGACGGGAGCCTTATTTCTATCACTCAGTGTTTTCATAGATAGAATTTGTTTCATTTTAGCCTCAAAAAAGAGTATATGCACTTCCTATCTTGTAAAATTTTATTTTGCTATAGAAGAAACTCTCCTTAGTTTCTTTTTTCTTTTCTTTCTTTCTTTTTTTTTTAACCTGAGTTTGACTTAACTGAAGTAGCCAAGGTGACTCAGAAAAATTAAGAAATTCATGAGGATGAGGATTAGCTTGCTATGTCCCAGATGTTCAGTTTTCAGCCTAGTATTCTTTTATTTATTTCTTTTTTTTTAACCTGAGCTGGACTTAACTGAAATAGCCAAGGTGACCCAGAAAAATTAAGAAATTCATGAGGATGAGGATTAGCTTGCTGTGTCCCAGATGTTCAGTTTTCAGCCTAGTACATAGGGCCACCCCAGGACTCTGCAGTCAGTGAAAATGTCAACTGAGGCATGAGGCCAGGACTCTGAGCTCCACACTCAATTTGAAAGTGGTGTCAGTGGGAACTTACAAAAGAGGACAATCTGGGTGGAATGACAGGAGGATCTTCATGACCTGGGTTCAGGGTCAATTGCCAGCTTTATTATTTACTTGCTTCAGGAACCTGGTCACATTTCTTAACCACTTCATGCCCCAGTTGCTTCATTTTTGTCAAATAAGCATAAAATAGTGCCCACCTCATTGGGTGAGGTGTGAGGAGTAAATGAAATAATGTATACCAATGCTTAGAATAATGGCTGGCACATTACTCTAAGCGTTGGCATACATTAAACCATCAAGAATTCTTTTTGGAGGGCATCCTGTGTTCCCCAAGCTGTGCTCTGTGTGCTGTGTTTAAGAGAGGACTCAAGCTGGGTGTGGTGCCTCACACATGTAATCCCAGCACTTTGTGAGGCCAAGGCGGGAGGAACACTTGAGCCCAGGAGTTAGAGACTAGCCTGGGCAACATAGCAAGACCCTCATCTCCATAAAAAATAAAAATAGAGAGGATCCAAAGGAAGAGCCACTACCACAGCCCCTGATCTCAGGCATTTGACAGTCTGGTGTGAAGTAGGGGTGAGGGCAATCTATAGACCCCACTAGAATGTCAACCCCATGAGGACTGAGACTTTGAGAGGTATACCACTGTATCCCTAGCACCTTGCACAGTGGTATACAAATTTGTTGAATAAATGAATGAGTGAATGCTGGAAACAATAAAAGAGCATTTAACAAGGAAACAGTAAGAAAATGTAGTAATGTAGTAAAAATTATTCCAATGTAGTAAAAATTATTCTGTTTGATGCCTTCGTGTGAGAGACAAACAAAACAAAAACCAACCCTGGTGATTAATTGGCCATGCCTCCATGAGGAGATTCATTTAGAGCTGGTTCAAAAGCCTTAGCATAGCCAAGGCAGGCATCACATAAGTCCCTGCCCAAGGAAATGAGTTCTGCTGGCCTTCTAACTTATGAAAGGCAAGGATTGTGGTGTTTCCTGAGTACTTGTTAATAGTTTCTACATTTGTTTATTGTGAGTCTCAGAATTACTGATAACTTGATGCTTAAAATTGTTCATAGACTAAAACTAACAGCAACAACAACATGTATTGGGTGTTGACTATGAGCCACATACCACATACTCCATCTTGCTTAGTCCCCACCATGACCTTGTGAGGTGTATGTGAATATGTCCTAGGTGCTTTACTCAACCGATATTCAGTAAATAGTGATTGAATGAATGAATATCCCCATTTTATAGATGAAGAAACTGGATCTCAAAAAGGTGAAAGGACTTGCCTTAAATCACACAGCAGCAAGTGGCAGATGCAGTATTATCTCCTTGCTCTCACAGTGTCATAAAATTATCAGAAACAATTCCAAGTTAAATCAAGTATACAACAGTGAAAATTAGTCACTGGTGAGATTATTTTACCACACATGAGTTCACTGTCTATCTGGGACCAGGGCACTATCCTAAAATAAAGGAAGGGGGATGCAGAAGGCTCAGAAAGCAAGCAAAAGAGCAAAGAAAAATATACCTTTGGGAAAGAAGGTGGGGGATGTTCTTTCCTTGCAGAGAGTAGTTGAGGAAAGGTGGCTATGCCAACAGGCCCAAGTCTGCCTTTCTAACACTGTGGCCCTGGGCAGAGGGAGGTAACATGGAGCTGAGAGGAAGAGAAGGGACTTCCTAGGGCTCCAAGTAAAAGGACAATGGAACCCAGCAAAGCCCATGCTCTTAAGCATGACACCAGTCTCCCAATCTTGCCTGATGGTACGAACCACCTGGGGAGCTTGTTCACTGCCCAGATCCTGCTCCCCCACTTCCTGGGGGAGTAGATTTGGCATGAGACTCAGTTGCCTCTTCATGTTTTATTCTTTTTTTTTTTTTTTTTTTTTGAGATGAAGTTTTGCTCTTGTTGCCCAGGCTGGAGTGCAATGGCGCAATCTCGGCTCACTGCAACCTCCGCCTCCTGGGTTCAAGTGATTCTCCTGCCTCAGCCTCCCAAGTAGCTGGGATTACAGGCACCCGCCACAATGCCTGGCTAATTTTTTGTATTTTTAGTAGAGATGGGGTTTCCCCATGTTGATCAGGCTGGTCTTGAACTCCTGACCTCAGGTGATCAGCCCGCCTTGGCCTCCCAAAGTGCTGGGATTACAGGCGTGAGCCACTGCTCCTGGCCTCATGTTTTATTCTTTATATAATTTATATTAACCTCATTTAAAAGTGAACTACATGAACCTTTCAGTGGAAATTTAGGTTGTTCTGAAAGATTTCCTATGTGAGGCTCCAGAAAAATATTTGTCAAGGAAGGGAGGCAGAGTCTCCTCCTGCCCCTCCGATATGGCCCTAGTCCCCTCATGTGGGCTGTCATGCATCTATGAAGCAGGGGCATGTGGAGCAGAAGAGTCATCAGAGCCAAAAGGGTAGTCAGAGAGACCTTGGAGAAAGACATTCTGGAGGTTAGTCTCACAAATGTTGTTCAAAAGTTTTAGTGAATTTGATTTTATCTTTTGGTCGGTAGAAATAGACATACTGGTTATATATTGCTTCAATGGCTACAAATAATAATAACAGTTGATATTGCTAATTGCCAGATACAGGACTATAATATACATTGGAGATATAACAGTGAATAAAATTGTCTTGGTCCCTGCCCTCACAGAGTTAATAGTTTCGTGGGGAAGACATGCCCACCCCCAAAGGGAAAATACAAAATATTTGCAAGTTATGATAAGTGGAGTGAGGAAAACACATGAGGTGTTGAAATAGGGAAAAATGGGGGCCAACTTTAGATAAAGTGTTCAAAGGAGGCCTTTCTGAGGAAGTGACATGTGATCAGGGACCTGAATGAAGTGAGAGAGCCAGCTCTGGGAAGAATTAGGGCAGAGATGGAGGGAGGTGGAGGAAATTGTCCCTGCAAAAGCCCGAGATGTGTGTGAAGAATGGAAAAAAAAAAAAGACCAGGGTGACAGGAGTGGAGTAAGAAAGGAGAGAGTGTGGTACAAGAGAAGTCTGGAGAGGTAGGCAGGGGCCAGGTGGTGCAGGGGCCTTATGGGTCACATTGGGAGTTGAGATTTCATATTCTAAGCGACATTGTGAGCCATGGAAGGATTTTACGTGTGATCCAACTTGCATCTGATAAGATCACAAAAGCTGTTCTGTAGAGGACACATTGGAGAAAGGGAAGAATGAAAACAAAGAGGCAAGAAGCATGAGAGGATGATAGCCTGGATTAGGTGGCAACAGCAGAGACAGGGGTATTTGAGATCTATGTAGGAGGGTTAGCTCTTAGGACTTGGTAATGGATTAAATAGGAATGGCAAAGAAATGGGAAGAATCCAGGTTATCTCCTAGGTTTCATGTTTCAACAAATGGATAGGAGAATATAACTGTTTTGGCCATGTCAATTCTGAGGTGCCTATAAGACATCCAAGTGGATATACCTTTTAAACAGTTGTATATGTAAGTGAAGAAAGTCTGGGTAAACATTTGGGATGTATATTAGTCCTGTACATAAGTGGTATTTAAGGCCATTGGATGTGATCACCTAGTCAGAGGACGTAGACATAGAAGAGAGGAGAGCTGCAGAAAGAGGCCTGGAGGGTGTCAATATTTAGAGACTGGGGACATGAGGAACAAACGGAGGAGACTGAAAAGGTGTAGCCAGTGTGATAAGAGAAGAACCAGGGCAGTGTGGTACATAACAGAAGCTAAAAGAGGTGAATGTTTCAAAACAGAAGGAGTGATCAACTGTGTTAAAGGCTGTGGAGAGATCAAATAAGAGAAGGTCAAATAAGAAGAAATTCCTATTGGATGTGGCATCAGAGATTTTTGTAGACGTGTTAAGAGCAGTTTTCATTATGTGATGTGGACAGGAGCCAGATTGAAGTGGGCTGAAGAGTGAACCAGAGATGAGAAAGTGGAGATAGTAAATTCGAGGAGCTTCTTAGAGAAATTTAACATTGAAATGATAAAGAGAAAAAAGATGTTAGCTAAAGAGATTAATGGGGTTTGAGAAGGTCTTTTTTTAAGAGGCAAATATTAGAGCCTCTTTGCATGATAATGGGAATGATCCAATATAGGAGGATGAAGGTAACTTGAGGGGTGAAGTCATTGAGAAGACAGAAGGGACATGTAGAAGCATTGAGCTTTCATAAGAACAGGGGCTGTTCTGCCATTGAAAGTATAGAAAAGAAAGCTAATAAGGACACAGATGCAAATTGATTTTCAGGCTTGCTTGTGAGGAGACTAAAAAGTACTAATCTAATGATTTCTATTTTCTCAATCAACTGTGGAGCAAGACAGCAAGAGTGTGGGATATTTAAAGAGAGTGAGAAAGTATGAAGAAGTCTTCTTGGGCATTGGGAAAGCAAAGCCTGATAGTAGACAAACATAAGTAGGATTTCTGGGTGGTGATCTGAAGTCTGAGCTCATGAATTTCAAGTGCGAACTCTCAGTTGGGTTGTGCAATTTTCATCAGTGATGTTAGCTTAGTGTAATGTGCAGAGAAGGCAAATGGGGACGCTTATCTAGGGGTGAGGTTGTGGCAAGTGAGTATGAAGGATAGAGAATAAGGAAAAGGAGTCAAGGGTGGGCAAGACCCATTGAGAATAGGTTGAGGCTGTGGGTTTCCTACATTTTCAAAGTTTGAAAAGAAGCTGAAAAGTCTCAGTCTGGTCCTGATGAATGACATACTTTCACTTGAAAACTTTGGTTTCTCAATCCTAACAAAGTGACCCCCAAATGCAATTGTTGAGAAATCTGATAACTTACTCATTAGAAATTGAGTAAACTGCCCGTCACAAGTTGAATAAATTCTGTTGTGGCTGCAATAGAATTTACTCTGTATCCAGAGCATTTCTTGGATGCAGTTTCATGAGTTTCTGTCTTCCCTTCCTCTGAGGTTGAGGACTCTGGTATCTGACATCCCACAGGTGTTCATCTGGACCCTGGAGGAGACTTACAGCCTTCCATAGGGGCCTAACTGGCTTTCATTAACCATGTAACTTCTCCTTTAGCTCTTTCAGAGTTAGAGACACCTGGGAAATACTCACTTACACCACCAAACCACTGGGGCCACCCACATCGATACCTGCAGCATCTTTAGTCAAGTTGGAGGAGAAAGACAACACTTGGTCTAAGACACGGCAGCAAGACATCCCTGCATATTGTTCCAGATAAAAATGAAAGCTGCTCACACCCACTTGCCTCCCCAATCTGTTAAACAGCTTCGTGTCTAGTATGAGCTCAGTACTTGCCCTGTGAAAATCCCAGAAGCCCCCGCTGTCAATGTTCCCCATCCACACCCTGCTTGCTCCTGTGTAACAGCTCAGATGATGAATAATAATAAAACTGTACTTTTTTGGATGGTGCTATGCCGGGTTCTAATTTCTTTCACATCCATCATTTCATTCAAATTTTCCAGCAACCCTAATATTGGCATTATTATCTTCATTTAATATATGTGGACACTGAGGCTTAGAGAAGCGAAATGACCTGCCTAAGATCACATGACCAGTATCAGGGCCAACACTGAAATCCAGGCCTCTGAACTCAGTGGTCTTTTCTCACCACTGGAATACTTAATATCAGGATATTAAGTTAATGTCAGGATGGCTCTTAGATATTTTCCCCTCCCATCTGCTATGTAAATAAAGAGCACAACTCTTCTATGAGTGGATTGGCGATCTTGGCATTAATACAGTAATTCTCCTGTCTCAAGAACAGTTTTTCCAGTGTATTACATATGTTTCCTAGATTCAGTAAGAGGAAAAAAGGCTTAAGGAGTACATTTTCTTTCAAAGTTATTTACTTTCAAAATCCATGTTCTTCTTTAGGTGATGGTTGGAAAAATTCAGGGTGGAGGCTGATTCTAGAGCACTTGTAGCACATAATTATAGAAGTGTGTGTTTATCTTGGCTGACTCTAGAAAGATTCATCTGTGTTAGAAGATAATATATACCATTAGAAGTGAACTCTTAACATGCAGTTTAGGGAAAAGAAGAAATGATTCCAATAGAATTGGCATATTATGTAGGTTGGATGATCTAATAACATTTCCCTGCAAACCCCTGGAAGCTCTCTCTTGAATAAAACTGAAGGCAGTAATAATTTTTCTACTTTAATAAAGAGGAAAGAAAAGACTCCCTGTTCCTAAGAGACAAACGCTCGCTCCTCTGACATAAGCAGGTAAATTCCTGCTCACATCAACTGATACTAATCTCAGACTCAGATTTCTGGCTTTTCATATCTATCTTGTTTTTCCTTTCCCACCTTACTTCCAAAGAGCTAAGGGGAAAATTATTTCTTTGTATCACTTTGGCATTTTACTCTTGCAATTAAAAAAATACTCTCTCCCCTTGCAAACAAGGTGTATACCACCCTTTACACACAAAGGTGGGGTAATTGACCTCTGCGTGTTGTCCGTGTGACTTCATCTACATGCTAGTTAATAATCTTGTGAGATGCTAACTTGGGCAGAGAGTAGGGGAGGTGGGATTTTTTTTTCCACCAGGTCAATCAAGGTCTTGAAACTGTGGAAAGTCAGGGCCCCATAGGACTAGAGCCTGTAAACCTCATTCACCTCTTTCTCTATAGTTTTGAGAAATTTACAAGTGGCCCGACTGGCTTTGACTTAGCAGCTGCCTCTGCCCTCCACATCACCCACCCATCACACCCCCAACACGCACCCATTCCTGACTTTACAATCTGGAAAAATTGAAATTGCTTCAAATGGACTGGACACTCACATACTCAAATGATGCCTGTCTCTGAAAAAGCAAAAAGGTGGCAATTCCCTTTTTCTGTTAGCAAAGATTATCCTTTAAAAATCTCAGCTAAGACTGTTGTTTGCAGATCCAAATGAGACTTGTGTTTAAGAACATTTCCATTCTAAAAATCAGTGATCATGTTCAACACTGAAAATAAAATCACTCCTCCACAAATAAATGCTAAATAGAATATGTTATTTTTTTCTATGTAAACAATGAACACTGACCTTTCCCTAATTATTTCCCTAGCTTAACATAATTAATTGAAAATAATTTTGTAAACCATTTGTGTATACAATGGTTTCTTTCAATTAATTTAATGTGTAAGATTTTAAAATAGCATGTTAGTATGAATTTTTATAGATTAGTGATTATAGAAATGAACTAGGCTATAGCATTCTCATAAGGATTACAGTTTTATCACTATTTTTATTTTTATTTTTTGTGGTTACATAATGGATGTATATATTTATGGGTTGCATGAGATATTTTGATACAGGCATGCCATGTATAATAATAACGTTAGGATAAATGGGGTATCCATCACCTCAAGCATTTATCCTTTGTGTTACAAACAATCCTCTTACACTATTTTAGTTATTTTAAATTATTTTTGACTATAGTCACCTTGTTGTGCTAGCAAATACTAGGTCTTTCTCATTCTTTCTAACTATTTGTTTGTATCCATTAACCATCCCCATTCCCTCCCACCCACCACCAACTCTCCACTATCCTTCCCAGGCTCTGGTAACCATCCTTCTATTCTCTGTCTCCATGAGTTCAATTGTTTTGATTTTTAAATTCCACAAATAAGTGAGAACATAAGATGTATGTCTTTCTGTGCCTGGCTTATTTCACTTAACATAATAATCTCGAGTTCCACCCATATTGCTGTAAATGACAGGATCTCACTCTTTTTATGGCCGAATAGTACTCTATTGTGTATATATACACATTTTCTTTATCCATTCATCTGTTGATGGACACTTAGGTTGCTTCCAAATCTTGACTATTGTGACTAGTGCTGTAATAAACATGGGAGTGCAGATATCTCATCGATAGACTGATTCCTTTTCTTTGGGGTATATACCCAGAAGTGGGAATGCTGGATTTTATGGTAGCTCCATTTTTAGTTTATTGAGGAACCACCAAACTGTTATCCATAGCGATTGTACTAATTTACATTCCTGCCAGCAGTGTACGAAGGTTCCCTTTTCTCCACATCCTCACCAGCATTTGTTACTACCTGACTTTTTGATAAAAGTCATTTTAACTGGAGTGAGATGATATCTCATTGTAGTTTTGATTTGCATTTCTCTGATGATCAATATTGAGCACCTTTTCATATACCTGTTTGCCATTTGTATTTCTTCTTTTGAGAAATGTCTATTCAGGTCTTTTGCCCATTTTTAATCAGCTTATTAGATTTTTTCCTATACAGTTGTTTGAACTCCTTATATATTCTGGTTATTAATCCCTTGTCAGATGGGTGGTTTGGAAACATTTTCTCCCATTCTGTGTGTTGCCGCTTCACTTTGTTGATTGTTTCCTTTGTTGTGCAGATGCTTTTTAATTTAATATGATCATATTTGTCCATTTTTGCTTTGGTTGACTGTGCTTATGGGGTATTACTTAAGAAATCTTTGCACAATCCAATGTCCCAAAAAGTTTCCCCAATGTTTTCTTTAGTAGTTCCATAGTTTGAGGTCTTAGATTTAAGTCTTTAATCTATTTTGATTTGCTTTTTGTATATGGTTTTGCGGGGTCTAGTTTCATTCTTTTGCATATGGATATCCAGTTTTCCCAGCACCATTTATTGAAGAGACTGTCCTTTCCTCAGTGTAAGTTCTTGGCACCTTTGTAAAAAATGAGTTCACTGTAGATGTAGGGATTATCTCTGGGTTCTCTAGTCTGTACCCTTGGTCTATGTGTCTGTTTTTATCTCAGTATCATGCCATTTTTTTGTTACTATATCTCTGTAGTATAATTTAAAGTCAGGTAATGTAATTTTTCCAGTTTTGTTCTTTTTGCTTAGGATAGCTTTGGCTATTCTGGATCTTTTGTGGTTCCATATAAATTTTAGGATTGGCTTTTCTAGTTCTGTGAAAAATGTCCTTAGTATTTTGATAGGGATTGCATTGAATCTGTAGATTGCTTTGGGTAATATGGACTTTTTAACAATATTGATTCTTCCAATCCATAAACATGGAATATCTTTCCATTTTTTTGTGTGTCTTCTTCAACTTCTTGCATCAGTATTTTATAGCTTTCATTGGAGACATCTTTCAATTCTTTGGTTAATTCCTAGGTATTTTATTTTATTTGTACCTATTGTAAATGGGATTACTTTCTTGATTTCTTTTTCAAATTGTTTGCTGTTGGCAAATTGTTTGCTGTTGCTACTGGCCGGGCGCGGTGGCTCACGCCTGTAATCCCAGCATTTTGGGAGGCCCAGGCGGGTGGATCACGAGGTCAGGAGATCGAGACCACGGTGAAACCCCGTCTCTACTAAGAATACAAAAAAAAAATTAGCCGGGCGCGGTGGCGGGTGCCTGTAGTCCCAGCTACTCCGGAGGCTGAGGCAGGAGAATGGCGTGAACCCGGGAGGCGGAGCTTGCAGTGAGCGGAGATCGCGCCACTGCACTCCAGCCTGGGCGACAGAGCGAGACTCCGTCTCAAAAAAAAAAAAAAAAAGAAAAAAAGAAATGCTACTGATTTTTGTATGTTGATTTTATATCCTACAACTTTACTAAATTTGCTTATCAGTTTTAATAGTTTTTTGGTGGAGTCTTTAGGTTTTTCCAAATACAAGACCATACCATCTGCAAACAAAGATAGTTTGACTTTTTTCTTTCCAATTTGGATGTTCGTTACTTCTTTCTCTTATTTGATTGCTCTAGCTAGGACTTGCAGTACCATGTTGAATAACACTGGTGAAAATGGACATTCTTGTCATGTTCCTTCTTAGAGGAAAGGCTTTCAGTTTTTCCCCATTCGGTATTATACTATTTACGGATCTGTCATATATGATGTTATTATGTCAAGGTATGTTCCTTCTATACCCAACTTTTTAGGGGTTTTACCATGAAGAGATGTTAAATTTCATCAAATGCTTTCTCAGCATTTGAAATGATTATATGGTTTTTGTCCTTCATTCTGTTGATATGAGATATTGCACTAATTGATTTGCATGTATTGAACCATTCTTGCATCTCTGGGACAAATCCCACTTGCTCATGATGAATGATTTTCTAATGTGTTGTTGAATTTGGTTTGATAGTATTTTGTTTAGGATTTTTGCATCAACATTCATCAGTGATATTGGCCTGTAGTTTTCTTTTTTGTTGTGTCTTTGTCTGGTTTTGGTATCAGGGTTAATACTGATCTCATAGAATAAGTTTGAAAGTATTCCATCCTCTTCTATTGGAATAGTTTGAGTAGAATTGGTATTAGTTCTTCTTTAAATGTTTGGTCAAATTTAGCAGTGAAGCCATCAGGTTCCAGGCTTTTCTTTGCTGGGAGACTTTTTATTATGGCTTCAATCCCAGTACTTGCTATTGGTCTGCTCAGGTTTTGGATTTCTTCCTGGTTCAATCTTAGTAGGTTGTATGTGTCTAGGAATTTATACATTTCTTCTAGATTTTCCTATTTAATGATAGATAGTTGCTTATAGTAGCCACTAATGATCCTTTGAATTTCTGCAGTATCATTTGTAATGTCTCCTTGTTCATGTCTGATTTTATTTATTTAGGTCTTATTTCTTTTTTTCTTAGTCTGGCTAAGGGTTTAACAATTTTGTTTACCTTTTCAAAAAGTTGACTTTTTGTTTCTTTGGTCTTTTGTATTATTTTCTCAATTTCAAATTCCTTTATTTCTGCTCTGATCTTTATTGTTTATTTTCTTCTACTAATTTTGGGTTTGGTTTGCTCTTGCTTTTCTAGTTCTTTAAGATGCATCTTTAGGTTATTTGAAGTTTTTCCTTTTTTGACGTAGGCACTTACAGCTATAAGCTTTCCTCTTAGTACTGCTTTTACTGGATCTCATTGGTTTTGTTATTTTGTGTTTCCATATCATTTGTTTCAAGAATTTTAACATTTCCTTCTTAAGTTCTTCATTTGCCATTTTGTTATTTGTTTTCTGGCTGTTTTGTGGCTTTCTCTCCTTTCTTTCCTTCCTTCCTGTCTTCCTTTCCATGAAAGGTGATTTTCTCTGGTGGTATGATTTAGTTTCTTGCTTTGATTTTTTGTGTATCTATTGTATGTTTTTTGATTTGAGGTTACCATGAGGCTTGCAAATGGTATCTTATGACCCATTATTTTAAGCTAATAACAACACCGTTTGCATAAACACACAAGCAAAACGAAAACTAATAAAAACTCTACAACTTAACTTTGTCCCCTCTGCCCCCTGACCTTTAAACTTTTTGTTGTTTCTATTTATATCTTATTGTATGGTCTATGTTTTCAAAATTTGTTTTAGTTATTATTTTTGTTTGGTTCATTTTTTAGTCTTTCTACTTAAGCTAAGAGTAGTTTGCACACCACAATTACAGTGTTACCATATTCTGTGTTTTTCTGTGTACTTACTATTACCAGTGAGTTTTGTACCTTCAGACTTCTTATTGCTCATTAATGTCTTTTACTTTCTGGTTGAAATACTCCCTTTAGCATTTCTTGCAGGACAGGTCTGGTGTTGATGAAATTCCTCAGCTTTTGTTTGTCTGGGAAATTATTTCTCCTTCATGTTTGAAGGATATTTTCACTGAATATCCTATTCTAGGGTAAAGGTTTTTTCCTTCAGCACTTTAAATATGTCATACTACTCTCTCCTGGCCTGTGAAGTTTCCACTGAAAAGTCTGCTGCCACACATATTGGAGCTCCATTGCATGTTATTTTCTTATTTTCTCTTGCTGCTTTTAGGATCCTCTCTTTATCCTTTACCTTTGGGAGTTTGATTACTAAATGCCTTGAGGTAGTTTTCTTTGTGTTAAATCTGCTTGATGTTCTACAATCTTCTTGTATTTGAATATCATTATCTTTCTTGAGGTTTGGGAAGTTCTTTGTTATTATCCCTTTAAATAAGCTTTCTACCCCATCTCCCTTTCTACCTCCTCTTTAAGGCCAATAACTCTTAGATTAGCCCTTTTGGGGCTATTTTCTAGAACTTGTAGGTATGCTTTATTGTTTTTTATTCTTTTTTCTTTTCTGATTGTGTATTTTCAAAAAGCCTGTCTTCAAGTGCATTAATTCTTTCTTCTGATTGATCAATTCTGCTATTAAAATATTCTGATGCATTCTTCAGTATGCCAATTGCAGTTTTCCGCTCCAGAATTTCTGCTTGATTCTTTTTCATTATTTTAGTCTCTTTGTTAATTTATCTGATAGAATTCTGAATTCCTTCTCTGTGTTATCTTGAATTTCTTTGAGCTTCCTCAAAACAGCTATTTTTGAATTCTCTGTCTGAAAGATCACATATCTCTCTGTTTCTGTAGGATTGATCCGTGGCACCTTATTTAGTTTATTTAGTGAGGTCATGTTTTCCTGGATGGTCCTGGTACTTGTAGATATTCACCTGTGTCTGGGCATTGAAGAGTTAGGCACTTATTGTAGTCTTCACAGTATGGACTTGTTTATATCCATCCATCTTGGGAAGGCTTCCCAGGTATTATACCACAATTGGTATTGTGTTGTGATCTTGGTGTTGTGATCTAGGCCATATCTGCGTTAGGGGCAACTCAAGACCAGTAACACTGTGATTCTTGCAGACTCATAGAGGTATCACCTTGATGACCTTGGATAAAATCCAGAAGAATCGTCTGGATTACCAGGCAAAGACTATTGTTCTCTTTCCTTACTTTCTCTCAAACAAATGGAGTCTCTCTGGTTCTGAGCTGGCTGAGGCTGGAGGTGGAATGACACAAGAACCCCTGTGGCCACCACCATTGGGACTGCACTGGTTCAGACCTGTAGCCAGTACTGCACTGGGTCTTGCCCAAGGCCTGCTGTAACTACTACCTGGCTACTGCCTATGTTCACTCAAAGCCCTGGGGCTCTACAGTCAGCAGGTAGAGAAGTTAGCCAGGCTTGTATCCTTCCCTTCAAGGTGGTGAGTTTCCCTAGGCCCTTGGCAGGTCCAGAGGTGCCATCTGGGAACCCGGGACTTGAATCACAAACCTTAAAAGTCTCCCTAGTGTTCTATTGTACTGTGGCTAAGCTGGTACTCACACTATGAGATGTAGTCCTTCCCACTCTTCCCTCCCCTTTCTACATGCAAAGGAGCCACACCCCATGGCTGCCACCAGCACAGGCCCATGGGGAGTACTGCCAGGTTACCACCGATGTCCTCTTAAGGCCCAAGGGCTCTTCAGTCATCTTGTGGTAAATGCTTCCTGGCCTGGGACTCACTCTTCTGGACAACGGGCTCTCCTCTGGCCCAGGGCAGGTCCAGCAATGCCACCCAAGAGCTAAGGCATAGAATTAGGGACCCCAAGAGCCCACTTGGTGCTCTATGCCCTTGTGGCTGAGCTGTTACCTAAGGTTCAGGACAGAGTCTCCTATACTTTTCCCTCTGCTTTTCTGAAGCAGAAGGAGTCTTACCACATAGCCACCATAGCTTGGAATGTGCTGAGTCTCACTTGAGGCCAGCTAGTTTCAGAATGTCACCCAAGGCCATGGCATCCTACCTGGGTATTGCTGCTGGTTTTCAGGGCCCAAGGGCTTTTTAGTCAGCAGGTGATTGGTCCTGCCAGGACTGGGTCCTTCCCTTCAAGGCAGTGGGTTCTCTTCTGGCCCAGGGTGTGTCTAGAAATGCTGTCTGGGAGCTAGGGCCTGAAAAGAGGGCCTCATGATGCTGAGTAGTGCTCTATCCTGCTGTGGCTGAGTTGGTATCCAAAATGCAAGACAAAGCCCTCTTTACTCTTCCCTCTCCTCTCAAGTGGAAGGAACGTGTCTCTTATGGAGCCATGGGCTATACAGCCTGGGGTTAGGAGAGGAGTAATGCCAGCACTACCTTAGCCACCCCAGGTGGTGTTTCGGTAGATCATGTGTCCTTCACATCCACTGGCTTTGAGCCCAGTTCAGCACTAGGAGTTGCAGTCCTTTTGGCCTAGGCTACCTTTCAAGTTTATTTAGGGTTCCAGAGCCCTTGAGCCTATGGTTGGGAGGCTTGCCAGAACTCAAGTTCCAGTTGCTGGGATAGGTGATTGCCCTCCAGCTAGGGCTGGTTAAATATACCCTCCATGGGCAGTTGTCAGTTGACTTCAGTCTGGTTTTGCTTTCTGCTGTGACAGGGCAGCACAGAGTTCAATCCAATATCTCACAATCCCTGTGCTCTTCCTCTCCCAAGTGCACAGATTCTCTCTCCACCCCACACAGCTGCTCCATGGGGATGGGGAAGGGGTAGCATCAGCGATTCAAGACTGTCTTCCCTACCCTCTTCCAGTGCCTCTTTCAGCGATATGAAGTTAAAACCAGGTACGGTGAGTGCTCGTTTGATTTTTGGTTCTTATGAAGATTTGTATGTGTGTGTATATAGATAGTTGTTAAATTGGTGTCCTTGCAGGGGGTGGGAATGATTGGTGGAGCCTTCTATTCAGCCATCTTTCTCCACCCTCTATCACTATTTGTTTTCTGTTTTTATTTAGATTCAATGGGTACATGTCCAGATTTGTTAAATGGGTATATTGCATGATTTTGAGGCTTGGGCCTCTAATGATTCCATTGCTCAAGTAGTGAACATAGCACCTGATAGGTAGTTTTTCAACCCTTGTTCCTCTCCCTCCTTTCCCTTCTTTGGAATACTCAGTTTTTATTGTTCCTACCTTTGTGTCTGTGTGTAGCCAACATTTAGTTCCCAGTTATAAGTAAGAACATGCCATATTTGGTTTTCTGTTCCTGATAATGGGATAATGGTTTCCAGCTGAATTCATGTTGCTGCATAGGACATGATTTCATTACTTTTTATGGCTGTGTAGTATTCCATGGTTTATATGTACCATATTTTCTTTATCCAATCCACTGTTGATGGGTACCTGGATTGATTTCATGTCTTTGGTATTGTGAATAGTGTTTGGATGAACATATGGGTGCATGTGTCTTTTTGGTAGAACGATTTATTTTCCTTTGGGTATATATCCAGTAATGGGATTGCTGGGTCGAATGGTAGTTCAACCCTTAGTTCTTAGAGAAATCTCCAAACTGCTCTCCACAGTGGCTGACCTAATTTACATTCCCACAAACAGTAAAGACATACACAAACAGTGTATGTATTTATATATTTATAAATTGTCTCAAAGTTCTACTCAAATACGTTTAGTTATATTATTCTTCATTTTAAAGATTCTGTATGCTTAGGAGTAAGTCAATGAGCCTATTTATTATATTTACAGCAGTTATACTTACCTTTTAGTTGAAAGCTGTGACCTTCCACTAATCTTTAAAGATGAGAAGCCTTTTCCTAATGCTACTGAGAACCTGGACTGAGAGTTAGGACAGCTGGGTTCTGGCTCTGGCTCTTCCACTAGCTAGCTGTGTCATCTTGAATCAGTCACAGCCCCTCTTCCCTGTTTCTCCAAGTCTCAGTTTCTGTATGTATAAAATAAGTTGATTCCTAAGGTCATTTTCAACTATGTGAGCCTGTATTTTGAAATAAATGTTGTAGATATGAGAAAACCCATCAACAGTTGCCATATTGTGTCTCGAAGAAGAAGACAGGGTCTGGATAACTGAGGAGCAGAAGAGAGAACTGTGGCAGCCATTGAGGGCGCTGCCAGGAACTCCCTTCAAGAAAGAATTCGCCATTCAGTTGCAAGAAGTGTCGTTAGTTGAGTACTTCCACCTATTAGCACCTTAGGATCTGTTTCAGCTATGCTGTTTGTGGGCTTTCCCAGCCAATGGTTGAGCATTATATGGGTACTAGGGCCTGGCCATTTCTGCCCCAATGTGGGACTGCTCCAAGGGGCAATATTTGTTCCAGAACCCCTACTAATTTGGCTGAACTTTTGTCAGATCTGCATCTTGGTCTGAGTCTCTCCCTGCTCAATTCTTCTTCTTCCTTTTTTCTTTTGCAGGTGTTACTTACCAGGCCCCATAAACCCCTCACACCTTTAACTCCTCAGCTCCTGCTTTCTGGAGGACCTGCTGATACAAGGATATAGCAGCACTTTAAGAGAAAATATAAAGGGAGAAATCCCAAGACTTATTGAATAGATGGTGATTAGACTAGTCTGGCTTAAGCAGAGTATTTGGGTTGATGAACAGTTGAAAATTAAGCTGGCAAGATAGATTAAGCTCAAATTGATGGGTTGAATGACAGTGTCACTTAGGAGGCAGAGTTAAGGTTGGTGCCAGATTGGAGCCCTGGCCAGCCCTAGACACATCTTTAATCACCTACCAAGATCATCTTCCAGACCAGCAAGTGACTGTCTCCATATCAAGAGATGGTTACTGTTGCAGACCTATGTGGTCTATATCAGTGGTTCCCCAAATCCCCACTAGACACATCAGTATCACCTGGGGAGCTTGTTGAAAATAAATGCCCCCTGACTCTTCCCTAGACTACTGAATCAGCATCTCTGTGACCACCCCCTACTCCTGCCATTAGTCACATGTGCAACCAGTTGTATCAGTTTTCTAACCTGCTCTAACAAATTACCACAACCTTGGTGGCTTAAAGCAACACATATTTATTATCTTACAATTCTGGAGATCAGAAATCCTCCTACATGAATCTCACTGAGCTAAAATCAAGGTGACCTCAAGGCTGCATTTCTTCTGGATCCTCTAGGGAGGATTTGTTTCATTACCTTTTCCAGCTTCTAGAGGCTGCCCACATTCCTTGTCTCATGGCCGGCCTCCATCTTCAAAGCCAGAAACGTGCATCTCATTCTTCCATAATCACACCTCCCTAGGAATCACTTATTTTGCCTTCCTCACCCATTTTTTAAAAACCCTTGTAATTACATTGGGCCCCAGAAGATCCTTCTGTTTTAAAGTCAGCAACCTTAATTCCATTTGCACTCTTGGTTCATCTTGCCATGTAACATAACATATTCACGGGTTTTGGGGGGATTAGGATATAGAAATCATTTGGGCTATTCTGCCTACCATATCAGGTTTGGAAACCAGCAATCTATGTGGTATAAATGTTTCTTCCCAAGGCTATCATATCTGAAGACATTTGCTCAGCCAATCTGCATAAATGTATTGACAACCTTTTCCTTTAAATGAAGTGACTACTCTTAAAAGTACACATGCCCTTTGAGCTGACAACTTCACCTCTACAGATGTATCTAAAGAAAATAAATTTGACAAATGCACAAAGATTTAAATACACAGATGTTCAACACTGCAGTGTTTATAATAGTGAAAAATCAAGAACAACGTGAATGTCTAACAGCAGGGCATTCATTAAACAAACTATGTTTCATCCCTCTGATATAATATACAGCCATTAAAAATGATGCTAGAGATCTGTATTTATTCATTAAAATGCAGATTAAGTATAAAAAGTTATATACACATATACTGCACACGCACATGCACTTTAAGCTCATTGTAAAAATATATATATATAATTTGAATAGGTATAATTATTTATTACAGCATTGTTAGTAGCAGCAAAAAAACACTGTAAATGACCCCAATTTTTATCAAAAATAAATTGTCTAAATAAATTATGATACATCTATACAACTGAACACTATGGAGCAGGTAAAAAAAATCAGGTAGATTTGTATACACTGATATGGAAAAACATCTAAGATATATCATTAATTGAGAAAAGCAAGTTATGAAAGTCTATTTAATATTACTGCATTTGTGTTTTTTTTTAAAGGGAGATGTTAATGTGTGTGTGTTTGTGTGTGTGTGGAGTTGTTGTTTTGTGCAATGCTGCACAATTCCAAGGGAGACCATTCACATTCTATCACATGATAGTCTGTGTGGCAAAGACTTTATGAAACACAGGGTGTATGTATGTATATGCATGCATGTACATATGTTTATGTGTGTATACATACACACCATATGTGTATACAGTATATGTGTATAGGAAACTCATAGCTAATTCCAAAAAATCTGTTCACAGTGGTTTCCTTTGGGGAATGTGATTGGGGAGACTGTGTGTGTGTATGTATGTGTGTGTTTGTGTGGTGGTATTGGTCAGGGAAATTTTACTTTCACATTATATCCTTCTGTGCTGTTTAAAATTTTTTACAATCCTGTGTCACTTTCATGAGAATATATATATATATTTGTGTGTGTGTGTGTGTGTGTGTGTGTGTGTGTGTGTGTGTGTGACAGAGTCTTTCTCTGTCGCCCAGGCTCGAGTGAAGTGGCACGATCTCGGCTTACTGCAACCTCCATCTCCTGGGTTCAAGTGATTCTCATCTAAGCCTCTGCAGTAGTTGGGATTACAGGCGCCCGCCACCACACCTGGCTAATTTTGTGTAGTTTTAGTAGAGACAGGGTTTCGTCATATTGCCCAGGCTGGTCTCGAACTCCTAAGCTCAGGCAATCCACCCACCTCAGCCACCCAAAGTGTTAGGATTAACAGGTGGGAACCACTGCACCCAGACGAGAAAATCATTTAAATATGTATCTTATTCAGAAAATGTTTAGAAAAATGAGCAGTGGCTATCTCTAAGTAGTTGTAATAATTGTGAGGCAGTAAAATATGCTCCGTTCTCTCCACGTTTCTCTGATAACCCAGACCACTTCATTTTTCCTGTCCTGTTCCTTTTGTAACACTGGAAGAGAATCATACACTCCTGGGGGCAGCTACAGCCTCAAGAGATTATCTAGGCCAGGCTGCTGCCTTCGTACAGATAAATTATTTAAATGATCCAGGAAAAATCATTGCCTATCAGGAAAATGTCAATAACTTTCTTTGGAAAATACTAACCAAATACTAATTACCTGTATTCAGTGATTATTTTCTTTCTTGATTAGTTATAACTTTTGTAGAAATAAACTTGAATTAAAAAAATTTATTGAGTGTCCATTATGAAGTTATTTTCACATACATTGTCACAATTTAAACCTCACAGTGACCCTGTGCAATTGGCTGATGAGGAAACTGAGGCCCAGGCCTCAAGGAGATGTGTATATACTGCTAAACTGGGGAGAGAAGATGGAACCAACATTTATTTAGCACCTACTATATACTAGTTACAGTATAAAACTTACTTCGTTTTCTCTTAACAGCATATAGAAGTTATTGTTCCCACCTTGCTGATGAGGAAACCGAGGCTGTGAGAGGCTCAGTAACTTCCCCCAAGGTCACACAGCTTGAAACTTGGCAGAGCCAGAATTCCAAGCCAGCTCTTTCCTCCACCCCCTACCCCCATTTTTTGTTTTGTTTTGTTTTTTTAGACAGGTTCTTGCTCTGCAACCCCAGGTTGGAGTGCAGTGGTGCAATCATGGCTCACTGCAGCCTCAATCTCCTGGGCTCAAGCGATCCTCCTGCCTCAGCCTCCCAAGTAGCTGGTACTACAGGTGCATGCTACCATGCTTGGCTATTTTTTAAAAAATTTTTTGTAGAGACAAGGTTTCACTATATTGCACAGGCTCGTCTAGAACTCCTGGGCTCAAGCAATCCTCCTGCCTCTGCCTCCCAAAATGTTGGGATTACAGACATGAGCCACTGTGCCTGGCCCAGCTCTTCCTTTTCTGAGAAAAGTGTTCTCCCCATTGGCTTGATGGGATATCTCTGCAATTTTCCCCTGGGGGGCCTTGAATCCCCTTGATATAATCCTGCAATCTTAAAAAAATCAATTTTTAAATTTCACAGATTACAGAATCCTGTATTTGAGGATCTCAAAACTTCTGCTCCTAAGCCTTGTGAGCAATGATGGTTACAAAAATAAACTCAACTCGGAGATTTTAGTTAACAAAAGATAAAAGCATTGCTATTTCAAAATCATTTTTTTGTCCCTGAGGTGGTGGGCAGGGAAAAAGACAGAGCTGTTTATTTTTGTGGTAATTACTGCTTTGGGTAAAAATACTGACCCGTATAGGAATGTCTGTGAGTGATCCCTTGATATAACCATCAGAGTAGGGAAAGGAAAATGAGGAGCTGCTGTTTAATAAATATAGAGTTTCAGTTTTGCAAGATGAAAACGTTCTGGAGGTCTGTGTTGCATAATAATGTGAATATCCTTAACACTACTTAACTTGACACTTAAAAATAGTTAAGATTGTAAAATGTATTTTTTTTATTTTTTTTTTTAGGAACAGGGTCTTCTCTGTCACCCAGGCTAGAGTGCTGTGATGTGATCATGGCTTACTACAGCCTTGAACCCCTGGGCTCAAGCCATCCTCCTGCCTCAGCCTCCTGAGCTGCTGAGACTACAGGCATGGGTTACCACATCTGGCTAATTTTTTAGTTTTCTGTAGAGATGGGGTCTCACTATGTTGCCCAGACTGGTCTCAAATTCCTGGACTCAAGTGAACCTCCACCTCGGCTTCCCATAGTGATGGAATTACAGGCATGATTTTTTTTTTAAAGACTAGTCAAGTGCAGTAGTGAGAAGGGATGGGTGGAAGTAGAACAAGGAGTTCGATCTGCAATTGTGAACAATCAATTGAGATAACCCACTACCTTCGGACGAGCCAAGATGGCAAATTTTATGTTATGTGTTTGTTACCTCAATTTAAAATTAAAAACAAAATATATTAGAGATTTCTGGGAACTTTTAAACAATGTCCAAGAAAGAGAAATATGAGAAAGAGGGGTGATAAGCATGTTATTTTCTTCATTTTAACAGTCTAAGTTTATTGCTTGCCCTTACCCTTGTAATAAATGAAGATCTAGAATCTTCAAATTTCAGACCTGAATCTATGTCAAGGTGAGGAATCAAGACACAGAGCTCATGGTTATAGCGAAGAGTAAGGGAGCTGACCATTTCTTTGCACCTATAATCTATATGTGAAACAATCCACAATGACCTGAGCCCTGAAGGATTCTCTTAAAGAATTATTAACTTAAAAAATATTTACATGTCAGCTATATTTTGCCATACCACTAGATGGTACAAAAACCTAGTTTTCTGGTAATGATTCACTCATGTTGTGAAGGCAATGGTAGAGTATTTAATGTGAAATACTCTGAATATGTTCTTTGTGATGTTGAAAAGTAAAACATGTTGGAGTAACACCTGGAAAAAGTAGCATTACGCTCTCATTTTCTGTTAGTTTGCTTCCAGCTTGCTAATGACAGAAAAGGCACATTTGGGAAGATAGTTTATACATGTCTTTTAAATCTCCCAACCCTTTGACTGGGATTTTGTATCTCAGATCTAGTTTTGATGGTGATATGTCTACTCTGTCTGGCTTAATCTCAGTAACTTCTAGAATTGTTAAAATTATGGTAGAAACATCTCCAATTTTAGGTCACAAGTGCTTGATACTTTGAGAATATATTGGCTTTTCTGAAAAGAGAAATGCTTTGAAGTTCCAAAAGAGGATGTAGCAGTATTTTGTTTAGATAAAGATCAAAAACAGGTTAAACAAATCCGTGTGTTAAACATCAAGGTTCTAAATGAAATAAAACTAGAATTTTAAAGTAAAAACTAAAAAGACCCTTCAATCTGGAAGTTTTAAAAACTCTTGAGTGAAAGGGGGGAAAATCAGAAATTATAGATTTTCTGAAAAATAATGGTAATGAAAACACTACACATCAGAATTTATGGGATTTAAAGCAGTGGCCAGAGGAAAATTCATAGCCCTGGACATCTACAACAATTAAAGGAATAAAAACAAATGAATTAAATTCTCAACTCAAAAAAAAAAAACTGGAAAAAGAACAAGGCAAACCAAAAGAGAGTACAGCAAAGGACATAACCAAGATAAAAATAAAAGTGGAGGTTTCCTTTGGAGGGAGTGGGCAGTGGCTTGAAAGGAGGCCTTGGGGAGGAGTGCCTCGGCGGTGCTGGTAATGCTCTATATCCTGAGCTGGCTGTTGATTACACAATTGTTTTCACTTTCTCACAATCCACTGAGCTGGAATTCACTCTCTCTAGAGAAAGAAAGTTTAAAAGGGCACAAATATTAAGTGGCCATCTCAGTGAATATATATATGTATAATATATAATATTATGTGTATAGTATATAATATTATATATTATATAATATATTATATACATATACATATTATATGTATATATATACACATATATACATGTAAATATATACATATATACATGTATATATATACATATTATATATAAATATATAATATGTATAATATATAATATATAATATATTTTTTAAAATTTTTTTAACAGAGAAGACCGTTTCTAAAAAAATTAAAAAATTATACATTATATATTATATATTATAAATATTAATAATATATATTATATATTATAATATATTATATAATAAATATATATTACATTATATATTTTATATAATTTTATATTATATATTTATATATTATATATTATTTATATTATATTATATGTTTTATATATATTATATATATTCTCTCTATATATATTCTCTATATATAGAGAGGGAGGGAGGGAGGGAGATATTTACATTTTTATGGGTACATAGTAAGCATATGTATTTATGGGGTATGTAAGATGGGGTACATAAGATATTTTGATATAGGCATGCAATGTGAAATAAGCACATCATGGAGAATGGCATGGTACTGGCATAAAAACAGACACATAGACCAATGGAACAGAATAGAGAACCCAGAAACAAATCCACACACCTACAGGGAACTCATTTTCAACAAAGGTGCCAAGAACATACGCTGTGACCTTTTAAACTTCATTGAAGAATTTCCCCAAAAAGAGAAACTGTAATTTTATTATTCTGTTTCCCCCAGTACATTGTTCTCCCTCTGATGCTTAGCACAGTATCTTTCACAGAGCAGGCACTCAATAAATGTGGAATTGCCTTTAATGGCTTTATATGTTTCACCATTGAACCTGCCATTATTGGAATGTGAGGCCATAGATAATGAGAGTAATAGTAATGGTTTAAACACATACAGCACTTTATAATTCAAAGCTCTGAATCCCTGACTTTCATGTAAGTGGAACAGGTTGCCTGGATCCATTAATTATGTGGACCAGATGTACATGTGGAGGTCTCCTGACCTGGAAATGGTGGCTATTCCAGTGATAACGACAAAGTAGGGTAACAACATACTATACTCATCTAGGTTGACCATCCATCCTGGTTTGCATGGGACTACCCCGCTTTTAGCATTAAAAGTCCCATGTCCCAGGAAATTCCTCGTTCCCAGGCAAACCAGGACAGCTGGTCACATTATATCACTTTATGTGCATGATCTCATTAGCCTTCACAATAACCTTATCAGGGAGGGACTATTATTATTTTTATTTTACTGATGAGAAACTGGAGGCTCAGAGGGGTGAAGTCACCTGTGTAAGGTCATGCAGCTAGAAAGTAGTGGAGTCTCGACTTTAGCCCTCTTTGGACTGAATCCAAAGTCAACATTCTTTCCACTCTTCTGCAGCTGCAGAGAGCCAAAAGAGATAGACGACGGCAGTCAGTGGGGACTGAATTACTGAAGTTATCCTATTGGAAAGGACATTCTTCAACTTGTCCAGAGAATGACAGAGAGATTCAAGACCAGCTGGGAGAAGTGCAAATTGGGATAGCTCCCTTGGCCCAGAGCCAAAAGCTATGGTTTAGTGCAGTCATTCTGGACAAGGGGTTGATTAAAACCTTCAAATATGAACAAATGTTGCAGAGTTCTCCCTAGGTAGAGAAGCAAATCCCAATGACCTATTAAATTCATTAGCAAAGAGCTAAATTCCCTGAGGACTTGGAGCAGCTCCTCTGAGTACAGTTTCTAGATAACTTACCAAGCAGGGTGGCCAACTCCACCCAGAGTGGAAATTCAGAATCACAGTTACGGTTTGAGATAATTGATGTCAGTTTTTTCCAAATGACCCACAAAGACTGTTTTCTGATCTTTCAAGTTCATTAAGTCCAGGTTCCTATTATAGACCCAAAGATTCAGGAGGAAATGCAGGGTTGGAAGCTCCAGGATGGAACTTTCAGGAAGCACCTGGACAGAAATAGCGAAAGATGAACATGATAACAAGTAAACAAAGGGCACAGAAGCAGCAATGCCTTCCCAAACCAGCGAAAGAGCATAGAAAATTATATTCAAGAGCTGCCCTGGTGGGATATTCTGAGGTGTGCAATAAGCACATCATTTGAACCTCATTAGTTTCCCAGAAGCACAGCTGGGAATATCTCAACTCTCCATTAATGCAATTTAGCGTGTCCTACCTAAGTGCTCTGCCCCCTGGCAGGTAGAGCAAATCTCAGTATTAACATGCGTGTTCATATCACTGACATTAAGTTTCATTTCACCCTCAAAAGCCAAAGGACGATCAGTCTTCGATATTCTGTTAGCTAATCCCATAACATATAATCATGCAGAAGGTTTCAGAAATTCAGGTGTGCTTTCCTGCTTATAAGCCAACACACTTTGTGACACAAATAATAACAAATAATCAACAGATATTTTAACCAGGCAGAAGTCCATCCAATGGATTATTCAGCCTTGGTTATTATTCTCTGTTACCTGAAGCTGATGGAGTTGGTAATTCTGAATAAACTGAAGAGCACCATTGTCACCCACTTCCTAAAGGAAAGTACCAGCTTTCAGAAGGACAATGCCCATGTCTGAGCCATCTCTGTATTTTATCATGCCTAGCACAGCAACCTAGTTCAGTAAATTTTTTCCCCAAAAAATAAATGAATGAAAATAGCATTGTGTCACTGACCAATTGATATTACTCTTGGCCAACAAATAAAACAAATGAACTTTACAGATTGTTTTTGGACCTTCTCAAGACTGGAATAGCTAACCTCCTCTGATATCCCATGACGCCATGGGCTTCCCCTATCTCCTTGACACCAAGTCACAGCACAGGTCACTTTGTGTTTATCCCAGGTGACTATTTCTTTGTCTGTCTTCCCCACTAGACTATGAGCTAGGTCTGCCGTGATCATCACTGCATCCCCAATGCTATGTTTGTGAATGACTGGTTGCATGAAATATTAATTCTACTCTATGTTCCAGAAGCACTAGTTTGAGGCTAAGGAATAATCAATTTACCACTCTTTCCCCAGGTGCCCTTGCTCATCCAACTGTGTGACCTTGGGTAAACAGCTCAGCTTCCTGGGAGCCAGTGTCAGTTAGAGTAGTGGGCTCGGGGATGGACCTGCAAGGGGGTGCAGGGCATTCCCTGATACTAGGGCTCTGAGGAGGGACCTAAGGCTGGAGGCAAGAGTAGATTGCTCCTCCTGAACAAAGTTGAAAGGGGGAGGCTTGGTTTTCTGGTGATAAGGTATAGAGCCTTTGGCTTCAGATAGATGAAGGCTTAAGGTATATCTCCAGCACTTATGACTAACTTTGGACAATTAACCCCATCCCTCTGAGCTTTATTTCTTTATCACGGCTCATTTTGGCATCTTACCCTAACCATTGTGTATCCTCAAGGTGAATTCATAATTTTGTGTGCATGCGTATTTGGAATTTTAAAATAATATTTGAACAATAAAGGCTACCATTTACTGAGCACTCAACATGTGGTGGGCTCTGGGCTAAGTGCCTTAGATACATCATCTCATTATATCAGCAAAATAACCCTTGGAGGCAAGAATTAGTGTGCTATTTGACAGATAAAGAAATTAATTCTTGGAGTGGTTTAGTAAGTGGTCCAGCCCATGCAGCTGGGTAAGTTGAAGAACAGGGATGCAAGCCTGGTTTTGTCTGACTCCAAAATCTCATCCTCTTAACTGGTACACTAACTGCTGTAATTAAAAGATATTAAAACGGAAACATGTAAAAGCCAAAGTACAAAGTAAATAAATAGAAGAGCTTTTGCTTTCTGTTGAAGGGCCATTAGTTCCAGGCCCATTCTGATGTCAAATGGAAAAAATAATAAGGTTGGTCCATCAGTTAGCAGAAACAAACAGACCACTTTTCCAGTATGCTGGTCCTTTCTCCCCATTACTAGCTAAAATGATTACCATCCACTCAACCACTTTAATGACTCCTGACTCAGAGCTTTCATTTGGCTCTCTTTTTACCCATAAGATATCAAAATATTATGTAGCTAAAAAGTTCTCTCTGAAAGAACTTTGCAAACTTTTTTTTTAAAGCAGAAGTCATCAGTTATCAGTCTTCTAAAGCCAGGAATTCTTTCAAAATTCTATAAGATCTTTTGTCAAATGAATTTAGCTCTGAATGAAGGAAATACTAAGCGCCCTTCACACTGTCCTTCCCCGGAGAGTTTCAGACCTCATGGACGCTGTGTAACATTGGGAATGACTTTGGTGACTAAAACTGGTCCTGTTGCCCTAGTTTCAGGACAAAATTTGCAAACTGCTTAGGTGTCAGGGGAAGCACATTTTAGTCAAACCAAGCACAATTTCCATCCTGTTAGAGACAAGCCAATTACTGTGCCAGGTTAGAGAAGAAAGGAGACAGGCCACAGGCACAGAGGCTTGCATCGTCTATGCACAGGTCTATGCTTTGGGGGCTCTGCTGCTCTCTGCTGGCCACAGGCTGTTGCTGTAGTCGCCGAGGAAGTGATTCATTCAAAGTGCTGCTTCTGGGGTTTCTCCTACTATTGTCACTACCACTAAATAGTACCTTTTATTGAGTGCCCTTTCGGTGCCAGGTTCTGAGCTAGGTGCCACGTTCTGAGCTAGGTGCCACGGAGTCAGAGATGACAAGTTTTGGTCCTCATCCTTGGCAAGCTCAGTCTAGTGGGGAAGATAGATTCTCAAACAGAGAATTATAATAAAGTGCAGCAAATGCCGAAAGAGAGTGTGAGAAAAATCCTTGCTTTCCCTCAATCAGCAGTACTGAGTTCCTACTCTGTGTCAACTGTCTAGTGAGGTTCTGGGAAAATAAGCACAGAACTTTATAGGTGTAGCTGTCCACTCAGTACATGTCTCATCTCATTTCATCATCACAACAAATCCGTGAGGTTTACAGGGCAGATAGTAATAGCCCTATTATATAGATTAGGAAGCTGAGACTCAGAGAGGTTGCATGAGTTGCCAAATGTAACACAGCTAGGTGCTAGGTTATAGAGGCTTGGACTCGATGGACTTCAAATTCACTCTCTTTACTGCTGCACCACACTGCTTGGTGCTGCTTACTGAGAGGTTGGTAGGGTAATGGTTAAGACTAAGTGCTCCTAGAGTCAGGCTGCCTGGGTCCACTCTGACTGTACCACTCTCTTGCATCAGGCAAATTACTTAGCTTCTCTGTGCCTCATTTTCTCCATCTTTTAAATGAGAAGAATAACAGTACTTAACTTACGAGATTATTTTGAGGACCAAATAAGTAAATGCTTATGTCAGTCATATAATAAACAATAAATGTCAGCTCTTTTATTATTATTATTATAAAGATGGGGGTCTCACTATGCTGCCCAGGCTGGCCTTGAACTACTGGGCTCAAACTACCCTCCCACCTCAGCCTCCCAAAATGCTGGGATTACAGGCATTAGCCACTGCACCCAGCGGTCAGCTGTTAATATTACTGTCAACACGTGAGGCAGAACAACTTGGGGCAAGTAGGAAGAAGAGATGTAGATCAAGGAAGGTGCTAAGTGCTGCTAAAGTAACATCTGATTAGTTATTCTTGCTTGATTAACAGGAAAAACCCTTCCAGCTCTCTATACAGAGTCCACTCTGATAGCTCATTTTTCCAGTCCTCCAGGGACAGCCCCTCTTCTCCTTGTCTCCAAGAGTACCCGCACAAGTAATGGGGCTACAGAAAGTGGAAGAACTAATTCTGCCCTGGATAGGTGACCTCTGCCTTTGTAGGGTTGGGGGCAGAATAAAACTGTCAGAAGGACCAGGATTTGTAAAAGCGTCTATTGTAGAGGATTTATAATTGAATGAGTCATCTTATCCATATCTTTAAAACAGGGCCAGTATGGGTTAGTACTAGAAATATGAGCAGAGACTTAATTATATAGTGATATTTAAATTGGATCTTCCTTCTATGTCAATACTCTGGGATGCCATGGCAATCCCCTTCTCCCACTTGGCTGCTTTTCCTCAATTCGCTCTGACAGCTCCTCTTTTGGCTCCTCCATGAGCTCTTCTACCACCCCTTAAATGCTAGTGTTCCCCAGGGATCTTTGCTTGGCCTCCAGTCCTCACACACTACACTCTTTTTCTATGTAATTGCATCATTTCCCACAACATAAATGACCATCTATTTCCAAGTTGATAACTCCAAAATCTCTGTCTCCTGCCAAGACATCTGCCCAAGCTCCAACCTCATAATCTACCTGTCTGCTAGATATCAGCACCTAGAGGCCCCACAGGCAACAGTCCCTGCCAAATGTGTTTCTTCACTTGTGTTCTCTACATTATTTTCTGACATCAGCATTAACCTAGCCAGTCAACGTAGGCACTTGGAAGTCATTCTTTTTTATTGAGATATCACATACCATAATATTTGCCTTTTTAAACTGTACAATTCAGTGCTTTTTAGTAAATTTACAAAGTTTCTCAACCAGTCCCACAATCTTGTTTTAGGACATTTCATCACACCCGAAAAAGTTCTGCTTGTCCATTAACAGTCACTCCCCATCGTCCCCTCTCCCAGTCTCTGGAAACAATGAATCTGTGTTCTGTCTCCTTGGATTTGCCTATTCTGTATATTTCACATAAATGCAATTGTACAATTTATGGTATTTTGTGATGGCTTCTTTCACTTAGCATAATGTTTTCATGGTTCATCTATGTTGTAGCATGTATCAGTCCTTCATTCCTTTATGTGGCTGAAAAATATTCCATTGCATAGATTTATCACATTTTCTTTATTTATCAGGCAACTGACATTTGAGCTGTTTCCACTTTTGGGCTACTATGAATAATGCTGCTATGAACATCCACATACAAGTTTTTGTGTGGACATATGTTTTACTTAGTTTTAGAGTTGCTGAGTATATACCCAAGATTAGAATTGCTGGGTCATTTGGTAACTGTACGTTTAAGCTTTTGAGGAACTGCCAAACTATTTTTCAAAGTGAGCACACCATTTTACAACCCTACCAGCAATGTATGATGGTTCAAATTTCTGTAGGAGTCATTCTTGATTCCTCCCTCTCTCTCAGTCCACACAGATAGTCAATCACCCAAGTCTTGCCAATTTAACAACCTAAACCTCTCTCAGTACTGCAACTGCTGCTCTTGGTCAGTTCTACATCATCTTTCACCTGGACTATTGTAATAGCCTTCAAGCTGGTTCTTGCCTCTGGCTACTCATCCACCTGTACCAGCATGAGCTTTCTAAAAACAAGCCCCAAAGAATGTCAATTCCCTGTTTGAAACCCTTTAATGCAGTGACTCTCAACCCTGCCTGCACAGTAGAATCACCTGGACAGATTTCAGATATCCTGATGCCAGGGCTGCACCCCAAGCTGATTAAATCAGAATATCCAGGTTTGGCATCCAGACATCAGTATTGCTAAAGCTCCCGAAGAGATTTCAATATGTAGCCAAAAACAGAAACATTGCTTTAGTGACTCCCTACTGCCCATAAGATGAAGTTCAAGCTCCCTAGCGTGACCCACGGGTCCTTCATCATCTGACTCCTGCCCACCTATTTATCTGCATCTTGTACCCCTCCCTGCATCACACGTAATACCCCAGCTGTACTGATCTGCATGTGGCCTCCAGCAGAAACATATCTTTCTTCCCTGTCTTCTCTGCCTGGAATGTCCTTCTCAGCTCTCTTTGCCTCGGGAGCTCCCTCCTACTCATTCCTTAGGATTCAACATCTCTAGAAACTCTTCCTTTATCATGTCCTTTTTGTCCTGTGTACTCCTTCAGCGCTATTGGAATTGTTTGTCTTCCCCAGAAGACTGGGAACCACCCCATCCCCCACCCACAGTTTAGCACCTGAAATTTATCATGCCCTCTAAGTAAGAGCTTTTGGGTAAGTGAATGAATTAATTAATGTCCTTGAAAGAGTTGCAACACAGCATTTTGTTGTGTACCATCTTAACAATCAGACCCTGAAGGCATCTGGGCCAGAGTAGACAAGGACCTCAACCATGAAGAAATGGCCCGGTGTACCCAACCCCACCATACCAGCACACAGCTTCTCTAGCCAGGGGAATCTCAGGTGCCACAGAAATTGGACCTCAACCAGAGAAGTTGGCTCTTGACTAGAAAACACTGAAGATGAAATAAATTCGGACCTAACATGAAGTGGATAGCTTAGCAGACCCTTCCTGTAAAATTCGAAAACTCCTGCCCAAGAGAAGAGGGACCACTGCCTGCGCTTGAATAAAGGACTCAAGTATAGGCAAATCGAAGCACCTTCCTTCCCTGAGCCCATTCCAATGCTCATCTGATCTCTGGAGCTTTCATGTTGTACACCTCTCCACCCTATCTTAACCTTGAATCCCAGGTACACTCTGCCTGCTCTGACAACTCTCTACCTACCTACCTGCCTACCTGACTCTCATACCTTAGCTCCACTTTGATCACCTGGTAGCAATGGATTGTCCAACTACACCAAGTGTCAAGCCTACAGGCTCTCAGGAACCCATCTCTGAGAAAGGCATCAGCTTCCCAGCCAACTGCCTGCCCAATGTCCGGCCCCAGACTTGGCCCCTTGATGAGGTATTCTCCTTACATATATCTCAATACTAAAATGACTTACCAACACTGCTATAGACTAAATGTTTGTGTCCCTCCAAATTCACATGTTAAAACGTAATCTCCAATGTGATGGTATTTAGGATGTGGGGCATTTGGGAGGTGAATAGGTCATGAAGGTGAAGGCCTCATAAATGGAATTAGTGCTCTTATAAAAGAGGCCCCAGAGAGCTCATTTGACTCTTCTGTCATGTGAGAACACAGAGAACACCACCATGTATGAACTGGAAAGTGGGCCCTCACTAGACACTGAATCTGTTGGCATATTGATCTTGAGCTTCCTAGGCTTCAAAACTGGAAGAAATAAATTTCTGTTGTTTATAAGCCACCCAGTCTATAGAATTCTGTTATAGCAGTCCAAATGGACTAAGATGAACACTAACACTAATTGCCCATATTGCATGCCAGCTGTAAGAGAAAGCACCATTTGAGGAAACACAAAACTAAACACACATTAGAGTCCTTTTTACAACTCTGCTTTGTTGCTGTTTAATTCATGGTTCTCAACCTTGACTGCACATTGAAATACTGTGTGTTTCGAATGTTTCGAAAATACTGACAGCTATAAGTAGGTAAATCAATCAATCGAATTACCTAATTTTGAAAGTAAATAAATAAAAATACCAATTTGGGGTCTCACACCCAAATATTCTGATTTAATTAGTTCAGACGGCAGCCCAGACAGCAAAAGTTTTATAAGCTCTCCAGGTGATTCTAATATGCAGGCAGGATTGAGACCCACTTGCCCAAAAGCTACAGTCATGTGCCCCATAACGATGTTTTGCTCAATCACAGGACCACATGTACAGTGGTGGTCCTATAAGATTACAATGGAATTAAAAATTTCCTATTGCCTAGTGGCATTGTAGTCATAGTAACGTTGCAGCCCTAACACCATAATGCAATGCAATGCATTACTCATGTTTGTGACACTAGTGTTAACAAGCTATTGCTCTGCCAGTCATATAAAAGACTAGCAATACAACTATGTATAGAACATATACTTGATAATGACAATAAACAACTATGTTACTGGTTTAGATATTTACTATACCATACCTTTTATCATTATTTTCAAGCGGACTCCTTCTACTTATTAAAAAAAACAGTTAAGTGTAAAACAAGCTCAGGCAGGTCCTTCAGGAAGTATTCCAGAAGAAAAAATTGTTAGCGTAGGAGATGACAGCTTCGTGAATGTTACTGTCCCTAAAGACCTTCCAGAGGGGAACAAGATGTGGAGATGGAAGACCATGATACTGATGATCCTGACCCTGTGTAGGCCTAGGCTAATGTGTGTGTTTGGTCTTAGAGTCTAACAAAAAAGTCTCAAAACTGCGCTTGCTTTGGCAGCCCATGTACTAAAACTGGAGTGATACAGAGAATAGTAACATGGCTCCTGTGCAAGAATGACACACAAATTGTGATGCGTTCCATTAAAAAAAACTAAAAATAAGTAAAAATAATAAAAAGTAAAAGTTTTAAAGTAGATAAGCTTAGAGAATAAGGATATACATGATGAAAATATTTTTGTACAGCTGTACAATTTGTGTTTAAGTGTTATTACAAAACAGTAAAACAGGTAAAAAAATTTAAGGTTTATAAAGTGAAAAAATTATAGTAAGCTAAGGTTAATTAGTTATTGAAGAAAGAAAAAAATTATGTATTTTTTGAGATGGAGTCTTGCTCTGTCACCCAAACTGGAGTGCAATGATGCAATCATGGCTCATTGTAGCCTTGAACTCCTGGTCTCAAGTGGTCCTCCCACCTCAGCCTCTCAAGTTGCTGGGACTACAGGTGTGTGCCTCCACACACAGCTAATTTTTAAATTTTTTGTAGAGATGATGTATTGCCATGTTGCCCAAGCTGGTCTGAAACTCCTGAACTTAAGCGATCCATCCACCTCAGCCTCCCAAAGTGTTGGGATTACAGGAGTGAGCCACCATGTCCAGCCAAGAAAAAATATTTTTTATAAATGTAGTGTAGCCTAAGTGTACAGTGTTTGTAAAGTCTACAGTAGCATGGAGTGATGTCCTAGACCTTCACATTTACTCACCACCCACTCACTGACTCAACCAGAGCAACTTCTACTATTGCAAGCTCCATTCGTGGTAAGCGCCTTATACAGGTGTATAATTTTTTAAATCTTTTATACTGTATTTTTACTGTGCCTTTTCTATATTTAGATATGTTCGATACATAAATACTTACCATTGTGTTCCCATTGCCTACAGTATTCAACATAGCAACATGCTGTTCAGGTTCGTAGCCTAGGAGCAATAGGCCACACCATATAGCCTGGGTGTGTAGTAGGCTATACCACCTATGTTTGTGTAAGTGCACTCTGTGCTGTTCACACAACAAAATCACCTAATGACACATTTTTCAGAATGTACCCTCATCATTATGCAACACATGACTGTGCTTCTTAGACTCCAAACATACTTCCCCTGACTTGGTTCTAGGGAGTCAACATTGTCAATGTTACAACTTCGTCTTAGAATGGTTTAGTGCTCCCCCCCACCTTCTTCTTATACCCAGGATCATAAAGGCTTCTTCAAGGGCATTTTGTTGGGCACGGAGCTGACCACCTCCATGTGTTTCCTTCCCTTCAGGCCTTACAGAGCTTATTCTCATTATTCCACCTCTATTTGCAACGGAGCCTGAAACCTATCCTTATTTGCAGTTTGCCATTTAAAAATCATCCCTTCTGGCTTTACTTTTTGCCCTGTTCTTTCTGTGTCCAAACTGAAAGTCCGAAGTGAGAGAAACTCATGCTACAGAGTAACTCGCTGGGGTTTGGTGTCAAATCTTAAAACGCCCACTTTCCAATCAAGGGTGACTAAATTATGAAGTAGCACTGCCCCCACCCCCTCCTTTTTAGCTCTTCACAATGCTTGCTATCACCTATTTTATAATTAGCAGTAGATTAGCATGAAAAAGATCTTCCTTCCTGAATTAGGCACTGCAAATATATTTTCTAACTTTTGACCTAAATTGCAGTCTGATTTAAAGTTTTGTTTGTTTGTTTACCAGTTTTCTAGAGAAATAAGAAAAAAAAATAAAGTTTTGTTTGTTTGCTTGCTTGCTTGCTTTTTTTATTCACTCAACAAATCCTTAGCACATTTTGAACAAAGCAGCTTGAAAGCAGAGTTAGGCTATTTCTGTACACAAATAGAAGAGCAACTAAGCTTGTGTTTTCACCAGTGGTCTTTTGCAGAAGATAAGGGTCAATAGCTATGAGGGACCAAGGCTCAAGTTTCACTTAAGGGAAACTGGATTCACTTCTCCAAGTGATACTGAAAGCTTGTATTCCAGGGTTAAGATTTACCAAATCAGGGACTCTCTTGTTTTCAGGGATAGTGCAGATTCTACATATCGGGTTTTTAGGGTGCACATGATGAATAGTTTGGAAACGTTTCTGCACCAGTTTATCACTGGCAAGACAGAGGTACCACTTGCAGTCCTCTTCCTGAGAAGGTTCCTCCCACAAGGCATCCCACTTCCTTTTCAAATTTTACTTATTTTGCTCATCAGCAATAAAATGAAAATGTGTCTTTCGCTCTCTATAATCATCTCCCCAACTCAGCAACTTAAGGTGCCTCTGTCACTTTGATTTATTCAAATGATTTGAAATGTCAACTTATTGAAGATCTGTAGAGGACCATGGGTAATGTCACCCACTGCCCTGAAAAGCCAACGAATTTTAACTCTCTGAACGGATGTCAGACAAGGGCAAAGCTGAGCCCATGGAATCACTTTTTGCCATGCTTCTCAATGGAGCAATTCAAGGTGACTTCGTCATGCCCATTGAGGAAGCCACATCTGCCAGTTTGTATGGCATCATATTGGCAAAAAGGAAAAATGGTCACTGAGAGGAGACTTTTCCCCACAAGTATGATTTCTTAGAGAGCCATGGCATTATTTTGGTGCTTAATGAAGTGAAACCTTTTTATCCCAGCTACAGTCCGGCCTTACTGGATTGGCAACAGCCCCAGCAAACTGACAATTTAAATGAGGGTGCCACTGCTTGAGGACTTTATGTGAGGCCTCATTAATTAGTCTATGAGGATGGTCTAACACGGTGCTTGGCACAGAGGTAGATAGCACTCGTGGCATATTAACCATTGCTATGATTATGAAAAGTTCATTTCTAGAGAGTTCCACCAGTAGTTAAGAGGTAGGCTTAGGGATTTGACCTCTAACACACTGTGACTATTCCTGTCATTCTATCCTGCTGGTGGCTGGCCTGGTGCTCTAGGGTAGTCAAAACCATTTTAAGAAACCGCAGAGAAATGTTAAATTCTCCTGTTGTGCTGGAATTCAGTGAATGCCAATGGATCTTAAAATAATTGGGTCAGTGTCTGAGGCTTAGAAAGGCAAGAATTCTCTTTTGCCACATGGGATTTTGTGTGAATTTGGCATTAATATCAGACCTGTGCTATCTTGGCTTGCTTCTTTAGGAAGTAAGCTGGTGCTAACCCCTCAAGGAAAGGATAAAACACTTAGCAGAGCCTTGTTTGTTTCTCAGTAGGGAGTGGCACACTAGCTTAACATGTAGGAAGTTGGCAATAAAGTACTATGTATGACGGAGATCTGACCTCGTTCTTAGCTGAGGTTGGTATGGCTTCCTCTAGAGCATTTGCCAAGTGGCCTTTGTGGTTAAACAGCACACTGAACTTTCTCTTAACTCCTTTTAAAGTGAGGACAAAAGGATGGATATGCCTGGCTGCCGCCAATGAACATTACACAGTGCCTCCTCTGTGTTAGGTGTTGGAGGTGCCATGAGCAGCACAGTCCCAGTCCCAGTTCTCAAGTTCACAGTCTAGTCAGAGATACAAACAGTGATGCACTGGAGCCCATTGCTACTGATTCATGAGAGTTGATAGATGTTTAGAAATTTTTGCCAGTCAGTCGTTAAACACAAACTTATTAAAAATAAAATTCTATAAGCCTGCAATTAAAATACATTTCAAACAAAGGTAAGAAACACTCAAAATGTATCACTTCCTAATTATTTTACTGCCATTGCTTATTATATATGCTCTTGAGGTGATCTATAGCTATTGTAGCAGTCTGATGGAAATGCTGTATAATGCTGTACTACTGGGCATTTCTACCCAAATCAATGTGTAGCCTCACGTCGGTAGCTTGAAATTGGTCATGGTGGGAATATTTACACAGTGGAAATTGGCAATCACTATAAACTTGGAATGTTTTCTTTTTTCCTTTCATAAAATCAGTTATTAAACATTTATTAGCACACCTGGAGACATTCTAGCAAATAGATTACAGTAAATCCAGTGGGCCCCATGGCTGTGGGATTATAGCCCATGGTAGGAGAACATGGGAAAGTGTTGTGAAAGGCTTCACACAGGAGGCAGGTGCTTGAAGCAAAGCTCTGAAAGATAATTAGGAGTGAAGGCCCAGAGGCAAGATAGGGCAGAATTGATCGAATGAAAAAGATGTGGGTTTTGCTCTCAGGGGCTCTCAGTTAAAAGGAAACAGGAGAAAGGGAGTGAAGGGTCAAGTGCTCTGTGGGGTCTACTGGGACTGCTGTAGGGGCACAGAGGAGGGCACAGGGCTGGTGGGGGTAGAGTAAGGCTTCCTGGAGGAGGTGATGTGGCATCTTACCACGGAGATCAAAAGAGAACTAGGAGTAGCCACCGTTCCTGGAATGGAGGTAGAAAAGTAATGTCTTCTTATATATTAAAATATATTGCCAATACAATCAGCATAGAAGAGTAATCAATGTTTTAAAAATGTATTCTCAAGAAATGCTTCACTCTTGAGATTGTGCAATCCTTGAAATATTGCCTTGTGAGTGGGGATCTTAGTTTCTAGTGCAGCCTCCCACCTATCACGGGGCTTTGCTTATAATAGCCCTGGCTGAGGGCTTTGAAGTTCTGCCTGAATACTACAGGTGTTGGGGGAGAAGGGAATTGAGTGCATTTGTTAAATTCTGAACTAAATGGGAATAAAGACCTCATTTGGGGAGATAATTATTAAATCCTATATTCAGAAGTCTGGTGTTTGCTAAGCCCTTCAGTTTCATGGACAAAGCATAAACAATATTCCCTTTTCAACACCACAAATTAACTTTTCCAAGAAAAATTGGCTGTGAGATAAGGATAGATTATATTCTGGTATGTGTATGAGGAATGGGGACTTTGAACTGCTCTCAAGTCCCTAACTACAGAAAATCTAAGAAATGATGTTGTCTCACTTTGGTAAAATAACATCTGGGGAAAATACCTACTTTCTCTTTGCATTTAGTGCCTCATTAAAAAAAAAAACAAAAAAAAAAACAAAACTAAAGGTCAGATTAGCAACCTAAAAATGAAACTAGAATGGAGGTGAGGAAAGAAGTAGTGTAACATTTTACCCTGAGGCTGAGAAGAGGGAGCAGATCTAGTTGTGCAAGCACTCAGAGTCTGAAACGTAGGCCCTTAGTGTTACAAACAGGATGAATGCCTTGGCAAATAAACTCTTGAAAAGAAACCTGTGCTAAGATTTCCCAGAGACTCTGAGTTTTCTTTAATCCTTTACATCCTTCTTTTTGTTACAAAAATAAATTTATTTATTATTTATTTATTTATTTATTTGGACAGGGTCTTGCTCTGTCGCCCAGGTTGGAGTGCAGTGGTGAATCACAGCACACTGCAGCCTTGACCTCCAGGGCTTAAGCAATCCTCCCACCTCAGCCTCCTGAGTAGCTGAGACCACGGACACACACCACCATGCCTGGCTAATTTTGTCATTTTTTTGTAGAGACAGAGTTCTCTCCATGTTGCCCAAGCTGGTCTCAAACTCCTAGGCTCAAGAAATCCTCCCACCTCAGGCTCCCAAAGCGCTGGGATAACAGGCATGAGCCACTGCATCCGGCAAATTCTTCTTAACTTTCTTGTTTGCAAGAAATAGAAACCCATTCAGCTAGTTCAGATAAAGGATGGGTGGGAAAATGAAATTAATTCAGAAATATTAACTGACACTCACTATGTGCCGGGTTCTGAGCTAGGAGTCCCTGGTAAGCAGTGACTAAGATGGACACAGTCCCTGTCCTCACAGAGCGTACCATCTAGGAGGAAAAAAAGCACTAAACTAACAATTACACAGTTTGGGTGTTGTTGTTGTTGTTTCTGAGACAGGGTCTTGCTCTATTACCCAGTCTGAAGTGCAGTAGCGCAATCTTGGGTCATTGCAACCTCCGCCACTGGGGTTCAAGCAATCCTCTTGCCTCAGCCTCCTGAGTAGCTGGAATTACAGGCATGTGCCACCACACCACACTAATTTTTGTTTCTGTTTTGTTTTGTTTTTTAGTAAAGATGGGGTTTCACCATGTTGGCCAGGCTCGTCTCAAACTCCTGACTTGAAATGATCCGCCCACCTCAGTCTCCCAAAGTTCTGGGATTACAGGCATGAGCCACTACGCCCAGCCTATTTGTTATTTAATTATAAGCACGATGTGCACTCTGAGGGAAAGGAGTGAGGGGTCGTGAGAGCCCATGGAGCTCCAACCTAATAGGGCTGGATGAAAGGCCAGAGGAGGCTTCACTGGAGAAGTGATATTTGAGAAAACTCAGGAGCATACCTTTAGCTGGGATGAAGGAAGCATTATCTGGTACCCTTGCTTTTCTTTCTAATTCCCTTATCAGGCAATACGTTACAAAATCAGCATGAAATTTGATAAATTAAAACTCAGAAACAATGTAGAAAAAAAAGCCTCCCGATCTATTTTATACTCGCAGGCTCCTTCCACCAATATGCTCAATTATTTTCCCTGAACAGATGTTCCCAGACCTTTCACTCACCCAGGAGTTTATTTCTTGTTTATTCCTGACAAAATTGCTGTTTAGCATAAGATTTAAAATGTGTGCATTTACAGCGCTACATCCAGAATGCACCCCAGAAAGGAATTTTCACCATTAAATGTACAACTTAGTCAGGGTTATGATGACTAAAATGTTGTGGGAATGCTGATTATTTAAACATGACATTATTAAGTTTTAATTCATCTTTGTAAACAATTCTTTATTTTTATACTGCTGCAGAATTAATACCACTGTTGACTTGTGTTTCAGTCTTTACATATCGCATTCCCTGTGCTTTTCACAGGTCTACTGTGTTTCCACAGTTACTTCCCATCTGAGAAGCTGGAGAGGAGGCATTTGCCTTGACCCTCCACCCACCTACAGTCAGGCAAACATGCCTCTGACTAATAGAAACTGCCTGAAGGTGATGACTTGGTACATCCAGCAGACACTGAACTGCTGGACAGAATCATATTTATAGCTTTCTTACAACTATCTTTTGCTTCTCACACAGGGTAGCTACTGGATACAGGAAGGTGCGTCTTCTTTTCTCACACCCATTTCTCTCCTTTGGGTTTATGACTCCACCATTGTAGACATACTTGTCTGGCCTAAGAAAGCAAACTGACCAAAGAGTTGCGCAAAACTCAGCAGATTCCATTTTGTAAACCTTCTCCAGTTGGAATTGCATAAAAGAGCCCTTCTCCTTTAAATTTCACTTTGAACTCTACCTTGGCTGAACCAAAATATCAGAGGGAAACTCAGTCAAAACCACAGTGTAGACCCCAAATAAGTAAAGATTTACTTGAAACCTGAAGATTTTCTCAAAAGCTTTTGAGAAGGTGCAGATAGAAAGGCCAACCTCACTTGGATTTATGATAAGGAGTGAAATCTGAAACCATGGGTTCTAGGCACTGGCTACCACTAGAGGTAGGTGGTAAAATAGCAATAATAATAATAATAATTACTGCTGCTACTACTACCTCTTGTCTTAAGCCTTTGCTATATGTCAGTAGATATTGTGCTAAGCATTGTTTATCTCAATGGCTTATCTCAGCAACCCTCTGGGGTGGGTGTGATATGACATCTCTTTACAGATGAGAAAATAAGGCTTGTTCGAATTCTGCCAATTATACTTGCAAGCATGTATGTGTAGCTCTATGCAATTTTATCACATGTGAAGATTTGTGTAATCACAACCACAATCAAGATACTCAACTGCAGCCTGGGCAAAATAGTGAGACCTCGTCTCTAAAAAAAAAAAAAAAAAAAAAAAAAATACAAAAAAGAGGCCTGGCGCAGTGGCTCATGCTTGGAATCCCAGCACTTTGGGAGGCCAAGGTGGGTGGATTACCTGAGGTCAGGAGTTCAAGACCAGCCTGGCCAACATGGTGAAACCCTGTCTCTACTAAAAAATACAAAAATTAGCCAGGTGTGGTGGTGCATGCCTGTAATCCCAGCTACTTGGGAGGCTGAGGCAGGAGAATCGCTTGCACCTGGGAAGTGGAGCTTGCAGTGAGCCGAGATTGCGCCACCGCACTCCAGCCTGGGTGACAGAGCAAGAGTCCGTCTCCAAAGAAAAAAAATAAAGAAAAATAAAGAAAGAAAAAGACAGAGAGAGAGAGAGAAAGGAAGGAAGGAAGGAAGGAAGGAAGGAAGGAAGGAAGAAAGAAAGAAAGAAAGAAAGAAAGAAAGAAAGAAAGAAAGAAAGAAAGAAAGAAAGAAAGAAAGAAAGAAGGAAAAAGAAAAGGCCGGGCGCAGTGGCTCACGCCTGTAATCCCAGCATTTTGGGAGGCTGAGGCGGGCGGATCACCTGAGGTCAGGAGTTTGAGACCATCATGGCCAACGTGGTGAAACCCCGTCTCTACTAAACATACAAAAAAAAAATTATCCGGGCATGGTGGTACACGCCTGTAGTCCCAGCTACTCGGGAGGCCGAGGCAGGAGAGTTGCTTGAACTCAGGAGGCAGAGGTTGCAGTGAGCCAAGATTGCACCATTGTACTCCAGCCGGGGTGACAAGAGCAAAACTCCAACTCAAAAAGAAAAAAAGAAAAAAGAAAAATAAAACAAAAAAAGAGCCAAGCTCACACCTGTAATCCCAGCACCTTGGAAGGCTGAAGCAGGACGATTGTAATTACAGACGGGGTGGCTTGTGCCTGTACTCACAGAAACTTGGAAAACTGAGGCAGGAGGATGGCTTGAGCCCAGGAGTTTGAGGCTGCAGTGAGCTATGATAGCACCATTGCACTCCAGCCTGTGAGACACAGCGAGACCCTGTCTCTAAAAAAACTAAAATAAATAAATAAAATAAAAGATACTTAACTGTACCATTGCCACAAAACTCTGTTATTATCCTTTTACGGCCACATTCGGCCCCTCTCCCTTATCCCTGGTAACCATTAATCTGTTCTCTATCATAATAGTTTTGCCATTCTGAGAATATTATATAAATGAACTCATAGACTACATAAACTTTTGAGATTGCCTTTTTTTTTCCCCTCAGCATAATTGCCTCGAGATTCATCCAAGTTGTTGCATATTGTATTGTTTGTATTATTGAGTGGCATTTCACGGTATGGACATAGAACAATTTCTTTATTGAAGTTTATTCCTATTGAAGGACATTTGGGTATTTTTCCAGTTTTTGGCTATTACAAATAAAGACAAGTATCTGCATGCAAATTTATGACCATAAAGTTGTTTGTAGTATTTCTTATTATCCTTTTAATGGCTGCAGAGGTTGCTGTGATATCTTTGTTTTATTCCTCATATTGGTGATTTTTGTTTTTTTGGGTTTTTTTTTTTTTTGTATTTTTTTAGGGACAGGATCTCACTATGTTGCCCAGGCTAGAGTGCAAGTGGCTATTCACAGTCACAATCATAGTGTACTACAGCCTCATACTCCTGGGCTGAAGCAATCCTCCTGCCTCAGCCTCCTGAGTACCTGGGACTACAGATGTATGCCACTGTGCCTGGTCTGATATTGGTGATTTTTATCTTCTTTCGTTTTACCTTTGTCAAATTTGCTAGAGGTTTATCAACTTTATCAAGTTATTTCAAAGAACCAGCTTTTTTTTTTTTTTTTTTGAGACGGAGTTTCGCTCCTGTTGCCCAGGCTGGAGTGCAGTGGCACAATCTCAGCTCACCACAACCTCCACCTCCTGGGTTCAAGCGATTCTCCTGCCTCAGCCTCCCGAATAGCTGGGATTACAGGCATGCACCACCACACCCAGCTAATTTTGTATTTTTAGTAGAGGCAGGGTTTCTACATGTTGGTCAGGCTGGTCGCAAACTCCCAACCTCAGTTGATCCGCCCCCCTCGGCCTCCCAAAGGGCTGGGATTACAGACATGAACCACTGCGCCCGACCTGAACCAGCTTTTTGTTTCATCAGTTTTTCTAATGATTCTCTGTTTTCTATGCCACTGAAAACAATGGTATTGACTTTCTCTTCTTTTTCTAGGCTCTTAAGATGTGAGCCTAAATTATTGATTTGAGACTTTTGCCCTTTTCCAATGTAAGCATTCAGTGTTATAAATTTCCTTCTTGGCACTGTTTTAGCTGATTTCCATATATTTTGATATGTTGTGTTTTCATTTTATTCAGTCCTATTTATTTTTAAATTTCCTTTGAGACTGCTTTTTTGACTCATGTATTATTAGGCATGCTGTTTAGTTTCCAAGTGTTTAGATATTTCCCTTTTATTTTTCTGTTATTGATTTCTAGTTTGATTCCATCTGGCCAAATAACACATTGTATATAATTCCATTATTTTAATTTGTTAAATTTTTTTTGTAACCCAGGGTATAGTTATCTTGGTGAATGTTCCGTAGGAACTTGAAAAAAAAAATGTGTATTCTGCTGTGTTTGGGCGGAATGTTCCATATATGTCAATTAGATCCTACTGGTTAATTGTGTTAAGCTATATCCTTGATGATTTTTTGTCTAGCAATTTTATCAATTGCTAAGAATGGATTGTTGAAGTCCCCGAGTATTATTGTAGATTTGTCTATTTCGCCATTCAGCTCTACAGGTTTTGCTCATGTATTTTGCAGCTCCATTCTTTGGTGGTCTTCTCAGTGGTTTGACCCTTTATCATTATGTAATATCTCTCTTTGTCTCTGATAATTTTCTTTGCTCTGAAGTCTACTTTATCTGATATTAATATTGCCACTTCTTTCTTTTGATTAATGCTTGTAGAGCATCTTTTTCTATCCCTTTACTTTCAAACTATCCTGTTATATTTGAAGTGCATTGCTTATGAACAGCATATAATTGAGTCACATATTTAAAATCTATTCTGCCAATCTCTTTTAATTTGTGAATTTAGACCATTTACATTTAAAGTAATTATGGAATTTCTAGAGCTTAAGACTGTCATTTTAATATTTATTTTATGTTCATTCTCTGTTTCTTGCTCCTCTGATATTTTTTCTTGCCTTCCTGTAGGCTACCTGAACAACTTTTAGAGTTCCATTGTATTTATTTATAACGCTTTTGATTATACTACTTCATATAGTTTTCTTAATGGCTGCTCTAAGTCTTACTATACACATACATAAATTATCACAGCCTAATGGTATTGACATTTTACCAATTGAGAGAAGTATGGAAACATTAATTCCATTTAGGTCCCTTTAATCTCCCCACTTTTCAAATACAACTGTCTTAGGTATTTTCTCCAAAATCATTGAGCTCCACGTCAGATAGTGTAACAACACTTCCTTCAACTATAAAATATGATTAAAGAAACTCATGAAGTAAAGAATAGTCCATTACACTTACTTCTATTTTTACCAATTCCATTATTCTTCCTTCCTTTCTGAAGGTCCATATCTCCTTTTGTTAACATTTTCTTGTTCTTTAGAGAACTTCCTTTAGCCATTATTTCAGGGTAGGTTTGATATTGACAAATTCTCTTAGTTTTCCTTCACTTGAAAATATCTTGATTTCCCCCTTCATTCTTAAAGAATGGTTTCACTGGATACAGAAATTGTAATTGACATATCTTTTCTTTCATTACTTAAAAAATGTGCCATTTCCTTCTGGCCTCCATGATGTCATTTGAGAAACCCTCTGTGATTCAAACTGGTCTCCTATAGGTAAGGCATGGTTCTCTCTGGCTGCTTTCAAGATTTTTTTTTCTTCAGTTTTCAGATGTTTAATTATGCTGTATCTGACTCTCTACCTCCTACTCCATCCTTGCAAATTTATGTGGTGTGGATTCATATTGGTGTGAATTTCCTTGGGTTTATCCTAACAGAGATTTTCTCAGCTTCTTGAATCTTTAGGTTTATGTCTTTTGACAACTTTGGGGAATTTTCATCCATTATTACTTCAAATACTTTTTCAGTCCCACTCTGTCTCTCATGCACCTCTCATAATATTAATATTTTTATTTGTTTCAAGAGAACTTGTAAATTCAACAGAATTTGTAATAGATCATTGAAGCATTTTTATGACATCTGCTTTAAAATCCTTGTCAGATAATTCCAGTGCGTGGTTCATCTCAGTATTGGTGTCACTTGGTTGTGTTTTTTTCTGGTATTTGGTATGACAGGTAATGCTTTGTTTTGTTTCACTTTATACAATACTTTTATCTCCTTTTGTTTTTAGTTGACATATAATAATTGTACAAATTTATGAGATACAGAGTGATATTTTAATACATGTATACAATGTGTAATGGTCAGATTATACACTGTACATTTTGCTTTTTTATGTTAGAAGACTTGATTTTATTTAAATCTTCTATTTTAGCAGTTAGTTTCTCTTCTTAGGTTTAGTATGCAAGTTCTGACCTACATATGTGGGCTTTAGTTCCAATGAAAGTTTAGCTTGCTGAGCCTTTGGAAGCCATCATCCTATGGGCATCTGCTCTGGGTTTAGGTCATCTCTCAGGATTACAAAAACCCCTGGAAAAAAAACTGATTGTAGTGTTTCAAGCTGCTGCTATGAAGTCCCAAGGGTTTCTATTAGACCAGAATTTTCCAAGACCGTAGAGACGAAGCTCAAAACCACTCTTCTGCTACTACAGCTGCCAGCATTTTGGTAAATTATGTTGACTAAAGAGGATGTCTTCACAATGTTTGATGCTGATGTTTTTATCTCTTCTACTTAAAATTGATCTGTGTTGCAAATTATACCCTCCTAAAGAGTATGCATACAACTTTTTTTTACTAACATTTTCTTACAGAGTTTGCTCTGAAGCAGTGTTTTCTCTATCCACTTCATGCTATGATGCTAGTTCTTCTGGAATATTTATTTTAAACAGATACATTTCATTCTAACCAAGAATTTTGGAGGATAATCTTTCTGATTGACTTAAACTAAGAATTTTAAAGGTTAGTCTTTCTGATAGACTAAAGGGAGTAATACTATATAACTTTTCCATACCATTCTCATTTTTTAAAAATTACTTTGCTTTCCATCATAAACAAAATGGTGGGTGCAGTTTTAGATAGGATAGTCAGGGAAGACCATTTCAAAAGAAGGTAGCATTTGAGCTGAGATGATACAATAAGAATCTAGCTATATAAATATCTGGGGGAATAGCCTTAAAGGCAAAGGAAACAGAAATGCAAAGGCTCTAGCAGGAACATGTTAGGTGTGCTTGAGGAACAACAAGGAAATCAGTGTGGCTGTAGCAGCATGAGTAAGGGAGCAACTAGTAGAAAATGAGATGAGAGAATGGCAGGAGCCAGTCCTATAGGGCTTTATAGGCCACAATCAGGATTTTAGATTTTATTCTAAGGTATTCCACTTAGATAGACAGCAAGACATTGGAGGATTTTGAAAAAAAAAATTGAAAGACATGATCTGATTTACATTTTAGAAAGATCACTCTGGCTGTGATATAGAGAATGGATTGGAATGGGGCCAAAAGAAAAATTAGAATAGTGAGGACACTATTTCAGTGGTCCAAGCAAGGAATGACTAGTCTCTTTGGACCAGGCTTAAACTAGGAAGAGAATGGTAGAGGTAGTGAGAGGTGGTTAAATTTTGATATACTTTTTAGATATAGCCCATTGGAATTTTTCAGGGTTTATATGGAAGGGATGAAGAAAAAGTTAGCAATCAAGAATGTCCTAGGTTTTTGCTTGAGCAACTATTGGAGTGTGATTCCATTTTCTGAGATGGAGAAGCCTGTGGGGGGAACAGTTTTGCAGGGATATGGTAGAAGGTAAGGAGTCAAATGTTCTGCTCTGGCTATATTAATTTGAGATGTCTATTAGACGTCTAAAGGAAATGATTAAGCAGGAGGTTGCATATATGAACATGGAACTCAAATAAGGGGTCTAGATTGAAGATTAAATCTTTAGAGCCATCAGCATACATAGATAATAGATAAAGCCATAGGATTGGATGAAATAATTTAGAGACTATAGGCAAATGAGAGGGCCCAAGGTTAAACTCTAGATAGGGTTTTGCCATGTTGTCCAGGCTGGTCTCAAACTCCTGGGCTCAAGTAATCCACCCAAGTCAGCCTCCTAAAGTGCTGAGACTACAGGCGTGAGCCACCACGCCCGACCATGATCTCTCTTCCTCACTGGAGTATAAGCTTCATAAGAACAGAATGCAGATTTTCTTTGTTCACTGCTTATATTAGTTTGCTACGGCTGTCATAACACAATACCACAGCCTGGGTGGCCTAAACAACAGAAATGTATTGTCTCACTATTCTGGAGTCTAGAAGTCTGAGATCAAGGTGTCAGCAGGGTTGGTTCCTTCTTGAGACTCTGAGGAAGAATCCGTTCCATGCCTCTCTCCTAGCTTCTGGTGGTTTGTTGGTGATCCTCAGCATTTCTCAGCTTGTATATGCATCACCTTGATCTCTGCCTTTGTCTTTACATGGTGTTCTGTGTGTATGTATCTCTGCATTTAAGTTTTTTCTTTTTATAAGAACATCTGTCATATTGGGTGAGGGCTCACCCTAATGACCTAATTTTAACTTGATTATATCTTTAAGGATCCTATTTCCAAATAAGGTCACATTCTGAAATACTGTGATCTAGGACATCAACATATCTTTTTGCGGGACACAATTCAACACACAACACTGCTCTGTCTCCAGCATCTAACACAGAGCCTGCCTCCGGGCCCCTAATTCCCCTAGTGACTCCTTGATGAATGAATATATGAATGGACTTTAGAGCTTCTGTGAAATGGTAAGCAATGTTGTGAAGGATGTGTGTGTGTATGTGTTTGTGCGTGTATGTGTGTGCATGTATCTCTCTGGAGAGAGAGAGAGCCCCTCTAGCCTTTCATCAGATTCTCAGTGATCCATGATCCTAGAAGTGCCAAGACCCACTAGCTTATAATGTAAACACCACATCTTTGCTGTGATATAGAGGCCCTTCATTATATAGCCCTGGTTTACTCTGCAGCCTGGCCTTTTAAACTACACACACCTGTCTCCAGTCACACTGAATCACCTGTGGTTCCCTTCATGGACCATTCTCTTGTTCACCTCTGAGCCTTTTCATATTCTGGTATCACCTCTGCCTAGTCTAGGATTCATTTTCAATCATCTGGCAGATTCTCAATCATCTTTCAAAAATAAGCTCCAGGGTTTGCCCCTCAAGGAGAATTTTTCTGACTTCTCTGGAGGGTGATAAGCATTTTCACTTCTGGGAACAATGTTCACACATCCACTAAAGCAACTGCCATAGACAGATGGGTCTGTTTCTTCCACTGGACACTGAGATCCTGGAAGATAGAGACCAATTCTTACTCACCTCTGCATCCCTAGGCTAGAAGGGTGTCGTCAGTCACAAAACAAGCCTTTAAGAGTGAATGAAAAAAAAAGAGTGGCTGCCCTGGGGAAGACAGATTCTAACTTAAAGAATAGCCTAGTTCCAACAACAAAATCTGTTTCACAGTGAGCTAAATAGTGTGCAGGTTCTGGACACCACATGACTACTCATGATGGGGATAATCTAGAAAGAGCATATGCATTGGATGGAAGGTCGAGCTGCATCTGGCCCCCACGACCTTTTCCACATCTGAGTATTTCTGATTCCGCGACAGCCCGACCTTCCTTTTTTTTTTCTTGTGACTGGAACCTGGCTTCTGAACTGGAGGGTGTGTCACCCTCGAACTCCCGCTGACTAGGCCAAGGTTAGAAAAGGTACTTTCCAGAAGTTCACCATCCCAGGCAGACTCAAGGTGCCTGGCTTTGCCTTCTCAGCATCTCTGACTTCCCATCTGAAAACTGACTAATACTTGCTAATTGTACGTTCTAAGATCCTTTGATGAAAATGCCAGAGTATGTAAGTATCAAGTATTGTTATGAATAAGAAAAAAGGAATGAAGTTTCTGTTGCTTACTCCTTGAACGACATTATAGAAAATGGATGTCTTTTGCCAAACCACAGGGCATAGCTGCATTGTAGAAAAGAAACTGGTAAAAATGTATTCAACCCCTCCATCCTTTGGATTCAACATTTAAATATCTGCTTTTCTAGGACCCTCCTGATTACAAAAATGCCAAGGAGTCTTTTGGTGTCATTGTGGATTGTGCTCAGCAGTCTTCCATGAAGCCCTGCAATGAAACCTCACTGCAGTGGTGATCTAGCCTGGTGTTCTGTCTACCTAGAGCAGCACTCCCCTTCTGGGAAATGCTTTTTTCTCCACTCCAACCATGCATTTGAAGGATGCCTGCTATGTTCTTCTGGAACTCTGTTGCACACAGTGACTGGTAAAGACATGGGCACCTGATCCAAGCTGTGTCAATTAAAATCCTTCCAGGGACTTTGAATACATGGGCATAGAAAGAGTGAATAGAAAGTCCTCTCTGGAAGCAACTCTGGGGCAGGGGGGTATGAGTACAGAACTGGCCAGCTACCATGCATCAGCGGTGTGGGAGAAGACTGAGAGAATGAAACTGACACTCATGCAGAGGTGGGAGACAGAAAAAAGAGGGAGGAAGGGTGGGAAAGGAGAGAGAGAATGAAAGAGAAATAGACAGACAGAGAGAAATCCTGTTAGTTACTCAAGTCCTTTGTTCTAGTTGTTCCTGCCTTCCCATGGCTCGGTTACATGATCACCAATAAGCCTCTTTTTTTTTTTTTTTTTTTTTTTTTTTTTGCCTAAGCAAAATTCCACCTGGCTTTCAGTCACTGGAAACCACAACAATCCTGACAAATATACACACAGAACATGCTATTAGCTCCAGAAAGAAATGAAGAGCCTTACAGTCTCCAAGTATTTTCAGCTCAAGACAGTTTTTCTATCAAAATGACTTTTCTCAAGAATGTCCACTCTTCCTCCCATGGCAATGACCTAGGAAGAAAAGGAAAGAGAATGGGTTGACATTCCTAAGTACTTGTGCATGAAACGGGCTTTACAGATCATCTGGTCAAACTTCCATTGTACAGATGGGGAATGGAGCCCAGGGATGATGTGCAACTTTGGGAGCACATCATCCCTTCCCCTCCCTGAACTAGAATCGAGTTCTGGCTCTATTACTAACTTTGTACTAATAATGTTTGTACTAATACAAAAATTTGTTACTAAGAACAAATATTATTAGTAATATTACTAATAATTATTACTTATTACTAATAAGTTAGTAATAGAGCCAGAACTCAATTCTAGTTCTCCCAATTTATTCTGACTCACTAGTTTCCTACAGGCCTCCAATCTGAAATTCTGTAAATGAAATTGCAATGCAATTTTTTAAAACACCAAACTTTATTTTATTCCTGGAATACACATCACTCCCCACCCCCACTCATTCTATTTCTTCAAGTTCATGAATATGTAAAATGTCAAGAATTTTAAGTTATATATCTGCTGGAGGGTTACTGTGGCTGTGACACTTAAAATTTTAGTTCTGCAAGCTATTTTGATTCATATCCAATGCTTGACTCTGACATGAAGGTCTAATGAAAAATCAGGCCTCTGGCCTTTTTGTTTTCATCTTGTAGAACTACTGCTACATTTGGCCTTTTAAAAATGATGTGACCAGCTTTCATTTTGACAATTGCATCCTCAAGACTTCCAGAAACTGATGAAATTGTCATTGCTGTGAAATTATCCTGCAATCATTGTGAATATATATATATAGTGAATATATATATATATAATCTTTGTGAATATATATATATATATATGGTAAGTTATAATGTGACTCATGTCCACTCATGTCATTGTCAGGCCCTTTAATATTTCTTCAGAAGGAAATGTGTGCAAGTAAGATATTATTGCTTATTATCAATCAGTCCATTGATTAATCAACCAATCAATCATTGAGTACCAAGTAGGTGCCTAGCACTATTCTAGTTGTTTCAGGAACAAAAGAAATGTAAGGCCCTGAGATATTTAAAAGTATATGAATGCAGATATATTTCCCATCTTAAACATGCAGCAGCTTCCCCATGGTGGCTTACTTTTGTTACAATAGGAAGTTATATGGTAGAGTGGAAAGAACATGGACTTTGGAGTCAGGCTGTCCTGAGTTTGAATGTGTATTACTAAAACTGTGCAAACCTGGAGAAGTCACAGCCCACCACTGCCCCTCACTCTCCTCATTTGTTAAGTTGGAATAATAATAATAATAGCAAAAGTATCTACCTTTATCTACCTTTCAGGGTTGTTCTGATAATTAAATGTTATCATTTACCTGGCATAGATAGGTGCCCAATAAATGCTAACTAGTATTGTAATGAATATGATATATGTTTAGGTCCAGTTGTTCAAGAGAGTATGGTAACTCAGGAAGGTTTAGCAAGCTTAGTAGGCAGCAGTATGGTGTAGGAATCCAGAGCAAGGGCTCCAAAATCCGACAGAATTTGAGTTGAATCCCAGCTGTACCACTTTAACTTGTTGGGTGACCTTGGACAGATTGCTAAACTTCTCAAGTCTCAGTCTTTTCATCTCTCAAGTGGGGATAACGGAATCTACCACAGAGAACTGTTGGCACAACTTAATGAGATGATGACTGGAAAGAACTAGTGTACCACCTGGCACAAAACACTATTTGGTCACGTGTGAAGCTGTTAACATCTGTGCTATAAAACGCCATGGTCACTTTATAAATTACTGTTATTGAGACATCCTTTTGCTTTCCAGTATTCACAGGTAAGAAAAACTGAGCCATTCTTTATTTCCATCTGTTTTTGTCATTTAAAAATAGCATTCATAGCAGAGACCTAAGGATTACTTTTAAGAAGCACTTAAAGATTTTCAAGATAGTGCATCAAATTGCAGGAAGTCTATATTATTTTTCAGAGTAGAGTTGTAGATCTTCAGCAGTTACTCCTCCAGATACTAATGTACTAAGTAATCTACTGTTTGAGGGGTTTTCAGAGAAAAGGTACTTTGTAAATATATAAAATTGCTTACACTGAAATAAAATAAATCCTTTAGGTACTCTGAGATTATGTACACTAATATTTTATATATACGTCCAACTGCTAATATGATTCTAAAGGAAAGGAAAGAAAATACAAGATCAAGAGTGCACTTTTCAAATGCATTTTGTAGAAAACAAAGACTAAAAATTTTTACTGTATTAAAGCACTGCATTAAGAATTCTCAAGTTCATGTCCTTTGTAGGGACATGGATGAAATTGGAAATCATCATTCTCAGTAAACTATCGCAAGAACAAAAAACCAAACACTGCATATTCTCACTCATAGGTGGGAATTGAACAATGAGAACACATGGACACAGGAAGGGGAATATCACACTCTGGGGACTGTTGTGGGGTGGGAGGAGGCGGGAGGGATAGCATTGGGAGATATACCTAATGCTAGATGACGAGTTAGTGGGTGCAGCGCACCAGCATGGCACATGTATACATATGTAACTAACCTGCACAATGTGCACATGTACCCTAAAACTTAAAGTATAATAAAAAAAAAAAGAATTCTCAAGTTAAGTTTCTGAAAATAAACACTTTTTTTGAAATGGAATAAAAAGATTGCACTGGAAGCAGAGTCATGGAGGAAACAGAAGAAAGCTAACATTCATTGACCATCAGTCATATTACTTGATCTCATTTAAACCATGCAACAATCCCATGAGGTGGGTGGTATTATCCCCATTTAACAGAAGAGAAAACTGAGGCCCGGAGAGGTGAAGTAACTTGTCTGAGAGCACACAGCAAGTCCGTTATCAAACCGAGGCCTATTTGACTCCAAGCTCCATGTTCATTCCAGATCTATCCCTTGTGCTGACACCAAAAATCTGAGTACTCCTGAATATGTCATTTACCTTATTCATGTCTTGTATCTGTTCAGTGGCATTTGGCTGCAAGTAGTAGAGTAACTCGCTAACACCAGTTTACACCATAAATACATCTAATTTTCTCACATAATAAAAAGTTTAGAAAGATGTGGTTACAGGGAAGGGACCACAGGTCAGATCCCCAGTTCTATCTTTCCACTATGCTGCCTTCCATGGGCAGGAGATGTCTCTCTTAGTCTAAAATGTACTTAGCAGCTCCAAGCATCACACTATCACCTGACAACCTCCAAAAATAGGAAGTGAATGTAGGGAAAATACTTTATATATGCCTCTCTCTTTGATCAGAGAGGGAAATCTTTCCCAGAAGTCCCCCAGTGAACTTCCCCTTGTTTCATTGACCCAACCTAGGCCACACAGACACCTATAAATACGGCAAGAGGAATGGGATGACCATGCTTGGCTTGGACCAGTGATGATAATGACTAGGGACACCTTCCTTGAGATCAAGAGCTCTTGCCTAGAAAGCCTGACACAAACAGGGTTCTGCTATCAAGTAGGACATAAAGACAGGAAGGCCAATGAGCAGGCACCGAACAGTGTTTGCCCCAGCCATCCATTTCTCTATCAACAAGTAAACACGTTGCTCTGGGCCACCTCTTAGTGAGATTGAGGAGAAGACTCTAGCTGCAGTTAAAAAACAAAGCAAAGCAAAAGCCTGAGACATATAAATACACATAATCAACACATGCAGTGTTAGCTCAAACTCCCAAATAGCACTCCTTCCCCATCTCTCAAACTACACTTGTCTTTTTGTAAATTCTTTTCTCCATCAAAGCTGTCCTTGACATTCCTTTTAAACTAATGTTTATAGATGGAGGTTCTAGGCATGGGAGGAGATAGATAGGTCCTTGTCCCTCTCTGGTCTCCCTCCTCTGTCCACCTCACCATTGTAACATCTGATCTCAATCACTCTGGATTGATGAAATTATTTTGTCCCATGCTATTCATAGAAAGAAATAAGATACAGGGGAAATGATAGTCTGCTGCAGTAAGATAACAGATTCAGAATATTTTTTTCTATTTCATTTCTAAGATAATTATATTTAACCTCAAATCTATCACAATCAGAAATTTTTCGACCACATTTTGTATTGTGCTAAAAAAAATCAACAGTAGTCATATTTTTTAAAGCAGCTGTCAGATTTAATCTTGTAACAGTTTATTGACTCGAAACACCTTAAATAATGGTTTGGGGATCTGTACTGTAGCAAGAATCTTCATTTCTTATTTTGGATTCAATATTACAACATCAGCCTTCTACCTTAAGGAAATGTAGAAACCGAATGCTTTTCAAAATGTTTCATAACCTTTCTAAAATTGCAGCACTTTATTAAAATGGCATTTAAACTGTTTTTAAAATGTACCTTGGATTCTTGATAACACTATTATTTTGATAACACATTGATTTATTTTCCTATCTGTATAGGAAATGCTGTGGGTTTTTTTCCACAAATTTTTCCAAAAGACTTATGGCAGGCCATCTTTATCTCTCCAGTGCAGTGACTCAATCATCATTTCAACTTTTTCATCTTTTCTTTTAAAATGCTTATTGAATCAGGGAAAAAATTGAGCACCTAACTCTTCTGTACAAGTGGCAACTCCATTTATCTCCTCAAAAAAACAAAAATGAAGTGGAGAAAAAGTAATTATCTTTGGAAGACAATCAGTACTCACTGTTGACTGCCAATCTAGAATACCTCACCTCAACTTGGTCTCAACAGCCTTGGGGGAGGAAAGGCAAAAAGGCACTCAAATTATCAGAACTAATTGCCTCCTATTTGGCCTTGATTTTGCCTTCATTTATGCATTTAGTCATCTGCTCACTCACTAAATGTGCCCCTCTTATGTGCCAGGCACTGACTGTTCAGGCACTAAGGAGATAACAATGCACTAGACAAAGATCTCTGCCCTCAAAGAGCTTATGCACACTGTGTATTGGGAAAAACTGACATCATTCAATGAAAACACAGAGAGTAAAAGCATTAAAAAACTTTAAAGTGATCCCAGAGTGGTTCAACATCCTTAATGGATTGATGAAATCTCTGGGACCTAGAGGACCTAAAGTCATACAGCTGGTCCATGGGGCTGGATACAGAACCTATATCTCCCAAATAATCATTGCTAATGTTTACTAAGTGCACTGTGCTTTACATGTATAGGTTGAACCATACAAAATTGCTGTAATTTGATTGGTTTTCACCTACAGAAATGAGAAATTCAGAAAGTTCAGCCTATTTTTATCACATTAAATGCTCACAATTCTTTAAAGTCAATAATACATTATCTCCAATTGACATGTGGAGAAAATTAGGCAGAGAGAGGTTAAGTGACATATCCATTTGATATGACTGGGTTTTGAACTTGGATCTTTTTGATGCTAGGGCCAGAGCTTTTGGCTCTATACTATGCTGCCTCCTGAGTTAGTGGCTGTTAATTTCCACTGTGCTGTCTCTCACCCCAGGAATCATACAATCAGTGAAACATTTAAAAGCAGAAATCTGAAGAAGAGCAAATGAGTGTCCATATAATGGATTTCATTAGAACAGAGCAAAGCCATTGATTTCATCTTCCAAATGGAAATCTCCAAAAAGAGACTGGTGTTTCTGGTAAGAAGTACATCAAAGGCCTTTGTCCTAGGTGAAGGAGGGGTAATGAGAAATCAAAATCATCATGATGGAAATTTGAACTCCTTCGATGGTCTGGAGCACCACCTTCTTTCTGTTCAGGATTATTTGTTTAGTTTGCTTCATGACAATAGAAAAGCCTCTCCCCTTATGAATCTCAAAGAGAACGCTGAATGACATGAGGGCAACCGTCAAAATCCTTAGGTTTGCTTGGGTTCTGGTGTAGAGGCAAAATTTAGTTGCTTACCAGTAATTTTTTTTTAGAACTAAGCATGTCTAATTGGTTCTTTTCAAATTTACCAATCAGATGAATCACTTTACTTCCCCAGGGGGCCAAAGAAGAGAAGAACTTACTATTAATTCCTGGGGGAAAAAAATGCACTGACAAATATTTCAAATCCATATCATGCCTGTTAACAGACAAGTTATTGGGGTAGGAGTCATGAAGAAATTAGCCAAAGACAAGAAGGCCTTCAGAAGATGTGTTTGTTGTTGATGATTTGTAATTGTTTATTTCATTGAATGAAAAGATTTTTCTTTCTTCGACACAAATCTGTATAGCCTGTCCCCGTTCTGCACACCCTACCCAGCCTGCCCTGTCAAGCAACTAGCAAAACTCAAAAACGAGCCCCAGGCCTCACTCAGATTGACCTGCAGTGTCCCCTGAAGTACAGGCATTATAATGAACATAATGATGGCAGTTAAGGGAAGAGTGTGGCTTGTTCCATTCCTTTTGATTAGACATAAAACAGAAACATATGTTTTTACTACCCTTCTCATCTTTGGCAGTATTTTTCTGTCATATGTTGTATAGGGACAATGTAGCTTCATGAACAACTTTTTCTTACAAAATGTGAGCTTGCAAAACAATGCAAATGTCTATCGATAGAGAAATGGATAAGTAAGTTACAGTGCATCCTTCAACAGATGCGTATACATCCTGTGAAAAGCAGGAAGTAGATCTGTATATATCCACATGGGAAGATCTTTGAAATATGATATTAAGTGAAAAAATGGGACACAGAACAATATGTGTATTACAATCCCATTTGCGTTAAAAAAAAAGGAAAGAAAACTAAAGATACATATATATGAGCAAATAAAGTCTATAAGAAAACACAAGAAGCTATTGATAGGCCAGGTGTGGTGGCTCACGCCAGTAATCCCAACACTTTGGGAGGCCCAGGCGGGCAGATCCCTCGAGCTTAGGAGTTCGAGACCAGTCTGAGCAACATGGCAAAAACCCATCTCTACAAAATACAAAAAAAAAGAAGAAGAAGTATTGACAGTGGGTGTGACTTCTGGGTGGCGTAAGGGGACAGAGGTGTTTTCATTTGGTCCTGTACTGTTTGAGGAGGTGTGTTTGAGGAGGTGTTTTGTTTGTTTGTTGTTTGTTCAGGATTTTGTTTTGTTTTGTTTTGTTTTGTTTTGTTTTGCAATGACTATGATACTTTTGTAAATTTAAAAGACATTTTAAAGAGTTAATGATAAAATCTGTATTTATAATAATATGCAAGTGGAAAAAAGAGAAAGAGAGCTGAAGTGAGCCAGAAATTTGTATTTTTAAGAAGTATCCCAGACAATTCTGATGCAGGTGCTCCAAGAATTATACATATATTTTAAATTTATATTTCACTTAAAACTTTTAACATTTTGACACGTTTCTTCTATCTCTCTGGATACATGTGGTGTGTGTGTGTGTAAATTCTGGAACACTGAAAGGTTGCAGACATTTGTCATTTGTTGACAGAAAGAGTCAAACTCTGTAAAATATTTGAAGAGATTTATTCTGAGCCAAATATGAGTGACCGTGGCCTGTGACACATCCTTCAGGAGGTCCTGAGAACATCTGCCCAGGGTGGTTGGGGAACAGCTTAGTTTTATACATTTTAGAGAGGCATGAGACATCAATCAAATATTTAAGAAATATATTGGTTTGGTCCAGGAAGGTGGGACAACTCAAAGTAGGGCAGGGGGTGGAGGGGGGCGTTCTAGGCTACAGGTGAATCTAAACATTTTCTGGTTGACAATTAATTGGTTGAGTTTGTCTAAAGACCTGGGATTCATAGAAAGGGAATGTTCAGGTTAAGGTAAAGATTGTGGAGACCAAAGTTCTTTTCAAGTCTTATAGTGGCTGCCCTTAGAGACAACAGATGACAAATGTTTCCTGTTCAGATCTTAATCTCTTTTGGATTGGGAGGATCTGGAAGAAAAATATCTAGCTATGTTAATAGAGTTTCTTTACAGATGTAAATTTTCCCCCACAAAGAATGGCTTTGCAGGGCCATTTCAAAATATGGCAAAGAAACTTGTTTCGGGGTAAAATATTTTTATTTTCTTCCTTGTCTCGTAATGTTATGCCAGAGTCAGGTTGGAAAGTCACAATATATAGGGTTAAATAAAACCCATCTGATGAGAATTTATTATTTGTAGGCCATGACTCCCCAGGCCCCTTAGATAGGAATTTGGGTAAGATTAAAAAATCAGAGTTTAGTCCTCATATTTTAACAGCACTTCAACCCTAAATACTTCAGCATGTATCTTCTAAGAACCATAAGCACAATGTCACTATCATACGAAGACATTTAACATCAAATGAGTAATGTTAAAAACAGCCAAAATTCATATTTCTCAAATTGTCTCACAATACCTTCAATAAATTGTTTACTGTGATTTTTTTTTTTTTTTTTTTGAAACTGGGTCTCCCTCTGTCACCCAGGCTGGAGTGCAGTGGCACGACCTCGGCTCACTGCAACTTCCGCCTCCTGGGTTCAAGAGATTCTCCTGCCTCAGCTTCCTGAGTAGCTGGGATTACAGGCACGAGCCACCATATCAGGCTAAATATTTTGAGTGAGTGATTGACTGTATCATATATAGTTATATAAACACATAGAAGAAGATCTGTAACCACACTGAACTAGTCATAGTGGGTACCTCTGGGGAGTGGAATTATGGAAGGAGAACTTTCACTTTTTACTTCATAGGCTTCTCTACTAGCTGAAAGTTTATAGCAAACATATCTCATCTTTGTAATTAGAAAAATACCAAAATAGGGATTATTAAAAGTAAAAGAGCTTGAAAGAGCCAAGAAGCTGCTTAGCAGAACATATCAGGCAGCAGGTGGCAGGATTGCCTCAACTTCTGCTTCCCTCTGCCAGGCTAGGGTGCACCAGAGCCCAAGTACATGCTGGCGTGGCACCGGCAGAATGCCAGGAAGAGTGGTGTGAATATGGGGCAAAGGGCTGCAATTAACATATAGCGCCGTGTGGCCCCTGGCCGTCAGTGGCTGCGGACTTACTTCACATTTGTAAAATCTTCTTTGTGGCTTCCTGCATGCTTTGATTCATGGGATTCTACGGCATTGCCCTGCCTTTGAGAACCCCAAGGAGATTCCTACAGCTAACTTCCGGACAGTCAACCAGGCATTCAAATTTACCAGTGTCAGTTGGCTCTAGAATGACCTCTGCTTCAGGTTGCTAAGAATTTCCCAGGTACTGGCTGAGGAGTTTGGGGTTATTGTTTTGAAGCCTTCATAGGTTCATGACTGTAGTCTGTGTACATCTCTATAAATGCATATTTGAAGAAGAAAAATCTAGAAAAATGTGTTCATTAGACACTTTTCCCTCACCCATTTCCTCAAGGTTCTTCTCATTCTATAACAGCTGCCCTCACCAGAGGCATTTCTAAGCAGGATGGTTTTGTCCTTGCCAACATAAGCCAATGGTTAGATGAACGATACCGTGATATGTAGACGAGGCAGAAGGCAGAAGGGCAAGGCAGTGCTCTTGCTGCCAGCCAAGTCTGACTATCTTTTGTGCCACTCTGCTTCCAGGATCTGCTGCAAAGCTCACCTTGGGTTAAGATTTTGCTGTAAGATCCCCTTCCCTGCCAAAACCTGCCACACTGAGACATGCACACGTGTGCACACACATGTTGATGCACACACACACATCTAGCTCTGGCCAGGAAGTTCATAAGAAGCCTTTGCCCCTCTTTATTTTACCCAGGCACCTCTTCCTTCACCCACTCCATGCTGCCAGCTGGCCTCAGTGCTGCTTGGCCAATGTCCATCATCCTGCTGAACTTCCACTGTTGCAACTTGCCTCCCTCTGCACTCCAAACTCCTGACTCTATACCCATTCTGCATAGGCTTCAGTCAGGGCTCCTTTGGACTCAAGGAACAGAGACCCATTCGAGCTGGTTCAACAACAAGCTGTGGGTGTTGGTGGGGCAGGAAGGTGGGGCATAGGTCATTGTAAGGAGACCAAGATCTCATGGTACTCCCAAGACAGCCACCATAGTGGGACCTGGAACAGGTAGCAAGGCAGCTACAATTTCTGGTTCTCTCTCCAGAGGCCCATGATATTTCTCTTGGTGTCTCTGCTCCTCACAGTATACCTGCTCCATTCTCCTCTTTCTACTGACTGATCTCCTCAGAACTTTTGTCCATACATGGCCCCTCACGGTTGACCGAGCTCCATGTCTGTATTATAGCCTTTCAGTTTCAGTATATTAGTCTTTCAGACTCCCAGACTCTTGGCCTTCCAATACCATACCCCCAAGAGAGAAATCCGATTTCCCAAGCTCCAGACCACAGAGGTTCTACATAGAGCATGAACCTGCCTAAAAGGGGGTCATCATCAGATCAGATGATCACCAATCCTGCTGCAATCAGACAAGACTGGGAGCGGGGGCAGTTTCTATAGACATTTAGCGTCCCAGGAGTGATGAGCAGATCCCCTATGGGTGGGCAGGGAAATTATAATCATCTCTAGTACAGTAGGCCTGGAAACTGGTCTGGTGAAAATCTAGACCCAAGGGCTCTGTCTACCTACCAGTATTTGAAAATCCTGCGTGATATTCATGTGTCCCATCTAGTCTTAGAAACTCCCAGAATTTTCAGCTCCTAAGCCCCATCAGGATGATGCCTTTCCTAGCCCCTGTTCACTGGTCCCCATTGTTTCCATTTAAGTTTCTTTGTTGAAACAATATGCAGTCTATTCATACAATGGAATATTATTCAGTCATAAAAAGGAAAGAAGTACTGATACATGCTACAGCATGGATGAACCTTGAAAATATTATGCTATGCAAAAGCAGCAAGACGTAAAATACCACATACTATATTATTTATTTTATTTATTTATTTATTTGCTTATTTATTTATTTATTTATTTATTTATTTATTGAGATGAAATTTCACTCTGTTACTCAAGCTGGAGTGCAGTGGCACAATCTCAGCTCACTGCAACCTCCACCCTTTAGGTTCAAGCGAGTCTCATGCCTCACCCTCCCAAGTAGCTGGGACTACAGGTGCATGACACTACGCCTGGCTGGCTGGCTAATTTTTGTATTTTGTGTATATATATATATATATATATTAGTAAGGACGGGGTTTCACTATGTTGGCCAGGTTGGTCTTGAACTTCTGACCTCAAGTGATCCACCCACCTCAGCCTCCCAAAGTGCTGAGATTAGAGGCATGAACCACTGTTCCTATACATATGATTTCATTTATATGAAAGTCCAGAATAGAGAAACATAAAGAGACAGGAAGAAGATTAGCAGTTGCTTAAGCTGGGAGGCTTGGCGATAGAATGAGATAGCCAGAGGATACACAGTTTCTTTTGAGGTCATGGAAATTTTCTAAAGTTGGCTGTGGTGATGATTGCACAGATCTGTGTGTATATAAAAATTCACATCTCTCAAAATTTCAGAGGCAGAACTGCAAAAAGACTTTCCTAGGACTACTGAGAAATGTTTAAGTAAAAGAAAAATATTAGACACTCTCTAGCTTCCAATAAGCTTTGCCTGGGCATAAGATAACTCATGAAATAGAAAGAGGTACAAATCCCAGCAAAAGATAGTCAAGCATCGTAGTGAAATTCCATGCCAGAGCTCACGATTCTCCCACACTAGTAGGAAGAATGACAGTGTAAGGGGATATATGCATGGATGATGGCATCAGATTTTGCCAAGGAGTTGGTGGAGCCTAACAGAGCAATTGCTTTTGCCTGCGGGAAGTATCATATTTAGGTCAAAACAGCCAGTGTTAGGCAAGGGGTGGCAGGAAGGGCATAACTATTTTGGAAGGCAGAGCATGGCTCAACTTGTTTTACTGACTGAGTGATTTTCCATGTACAGTGGTCATCCCTTATCTGCAGTTTCGCTTTCCGCGGTTTCCATTACCTGAGGTACAGTACAATAAGATATTCTGAGACAGCCAGACACGGTGGCTCATGCCTGTCATCCCAGCATTTTGGGAGGCTGAGGCGGGTGGATCTCCTGAGGTCAGGAGTTTGAAACTAGCCTGGCCAACATGGTGAAATCCCGTCTCTACTAAAAATACAAAAATTAGCCAGACGTGGTGGCACATGCCTGTAATCCCAGCTACTCGGGAGGCTGAGGCAGGAGAATAGCTGGAACCTGGGAGTCGGAGGTTGTAGTGACCCAAGATCGTGCCACTGCACTCCAGCCTGGGTGACAAAGCGAGACACCGTCAAAAAAAAAAAACAACAAGCAAACAAAAAAAGATATTCTGAGAGAGAAAGATCACATTCATATAACTTTTATTACAGTATATTGTTATAATTGTTCTATTCTCTTGTTAGTTATTGTTGTTAGTCTCTTACTATGCCTAATTTATAAATTAAACTTTATCATAGGTATGTATATATAGAAAAAAACATAGTGTATATGGTACTGTCTGCAGATTCAGGCATCCACCAGGAGTCTTGGAACGTATCCCCCATGGATAAGGCGGAGGGACACTACTGCAACAGCAGCATCTGTAGAGCTTCATTCAGGATAGCTATTATCTCATAGCATTTATAAAGGTAAGCAGAGCAGTGTTTCTACAACTAATAGCATAAAAGAAAAACAGGGAAAAGACCTGTACAGAGGGGGTGTGTCATGCAAGAAAAAAAAACTAGAGGGCAAACTTTTTCAAGAGTGACTCCCAGAAAGCCTTATTTATTTATGAGATGGAGACTCGCTCTGTCGCCCAAGCTGGAGTGCAGTGACACAATCTCGACTCACTGCAACTTCCGCCTACCAGGTTCAAGCAATTATCCTGCCTCAGCCTCCCAAGTAGCTGAGATTACAGGCGCCCACCACCATGCCTGGCTAATTTTTGTATTTTTAGTAGTGACGGGGGTTTCACCATGTTGGTCAGGCTGGTCTCAAACGCCTGACCACAGGTGATCTGCCTGCCTCGGCCTCCGAAAGTGCTAGGATTACAGGCATGAGCCCCAGCGCCTGGCAAGCCTAATTTATATTACTCAGCTCTCAGTTTAAAAGTTCGGCATGTCTGTTAGGAGTTTTCGAATTTATTCAGCCATTAAATACTTTAAAATTATAATCTATTGCGAACACACCAGCAGGTACCCATGGATAGCACATGCAGATAGCAGAAAGCAAAACATAGTTTTCACAATTAGTTGTTGCTTACAAATATGACCAGGATGTGATTCATATGCTGATTTAGTCTTTATTACAGAATTGTGTGTGTGTGTGTGTTGGGGGGCGGGGGGGGAGGGGAAGGGTCTCACTCTGTCACCCAGGCTGGAGTGCAGAGGTGCAATCTCCGCTACTGCAACCTCTGCCTCCTGGGTTCAACCAATTCTCCTGCCTCAGCCTCCAAAGTAGCTGGGATTACAGGTGTGCGCCACCATGCCCTGCTAATTTTTGTATTTTTGATAGAGACAGGGTTTCACCACGTTGGCCAGGCTGGTGTCGAACTCCTGGCCTCAAGGAATCTGCCTGCTTTGGCCTCCCAAAGTGCTGGGATTACAGGCATGAGCCACTGTGTCTGGCCAAGAATTTTTAAATAGAGAAATTAAATCAAGTTAAGTGTATCAAAACATGATGTTGAGTACCTTAAACATACACAATAAAAATTAATAATAAATCTTGCCTACTTCCATTGGGCAACTTCTTGTTGCACCTAAAAATAAGAAATTAGATCACTTTAATACTAAAAACTGCAAAATATAACAAGATAGAGCAATATATATTTACATTTTTATATGAAATATGACACAGAACACAAAACATTTACACACGAGAACAGTGAACTGTTCCTTCTCAAAAGATATCCCATAACGCCCATTTAATATTAAGAATGAAGTTCCATTATCCTTATGTCAGGTATAGTATTACGTTTATTCCTGTTTGCTTTTTCTTGTTTTACAAAGGTCTGCGTAGCAAAAGGAAGAACACAAAATGCATATTTTGCAGCATTTCCAACTCTTAGATTAGACTGCTCCCAAACTCATGAATTATTTCATAAGCTGTTGAAATAGCTGCTTCTTTCCAATTTTTAGAAAGTGGGGCTGGGATGGGCCATCCCTACTTAGAAGTATTCTGGTTTTTTGTTTGTGTGATACAGACACAGTGTGAGAGACATAAATCTCTGCTTCTGGTGTTAAAGTTCCTTCTTTCCGTCACAGGCTCATGGAGAATGAACAGATGAAAAACACACATTTAATAGACAAGACACAATGCATTATATGACAAATACATGTAACTGGAATGATAGCCACTGCCTGTCCCCTCATCTCTCTATGTCAGGGTTGCTAGGACAGAAAAATCCTCATTCAGCCTCCATTCCCAGAGATTGCAGGAGAGAGCCAGTCCTTGGAATTTGACCTGGCCTCCAAAATAAAGAAAATGCTTTCCATTTCTTCTGCTAGTTTTTGGGGTTGGTGACTCTGGGATAGGCCTACTTTTTATGCCTCTGGAATGCTCTTCTCCCTTGCCCCTTTGGGCACAGTCTGAAAGGGGAAGCAGAGCTCGAGAGGGCTAGCTGGGCAGGTTTTGTGAAGCTTTGGAAAAAATTTCTCTCCTTTCCAGTATGAATCAGACTGGACCATCCTTGATAACTAATGGGGACCCATGAGAGGTATTAATCCAGGAGAAGCAGATCATCTCCTAAGGGTATGAGCTCTCGAGTCAGGCTGCCTAGGTTCAAATCTACCATTTACTAACTGTGTGACCTTGAGCAATCTTGAGGTTACTAGCTGTGTAAGCTCCCTGAGCCTCAATTCCATCATCTGTAAAATGTTGATAAAAATAGTCCTTACATGATGGAGTCATTGTGACAATTAAATTGCTACATCTCATTGATTCTAAGGCATCACCAATTATAAGATAAACCATTATTTTATGTACCACTAAGAAAGAAAATAACAAGTTGCTCCTTAAACTCTATATGCCACTGATTTTGAGACACATCCTGGTTTCAGAAATGTTAAAACGTGGGCCAGGCGTGGTGACTCACACCTGTAATGCCAGCACTTTGGGAGGACGAGGCAGGCGGATCACTTGAGGTTAGGAGTTCGAGACCAGCCTGGCCAACATGGTGAAACTCTGTCTCTACTAATAATACAAAAATTATTTTGTGGTGTGGTGTGGTGGGTGTGGTGGTGTGTGCCTGTAATCCCAGCTACCTGGGAGGCTGAGCCATGAGAATCGCTTGAACTTGGAAGGTGGAGGTTGCCATGAGCCGAGATCGTGCCACTGCACTCCAGCCTGAGAGACAGAGTGAGACTCCGTCTCAAAAAAAAAAAGTTAAAATGTGAAATAGATGCATTTATTTCAGAATCAATGAGATACAGTAGTTAATACTGATCAAGTACTTAGAGCAGTGCCTGGCATATAGCAAGTGCTCAAAGGTTGCTATGATGCAGTGTGATTTCCCTAAAGCAAGCTTGTCCAACCCATGGCCTACAGGCCGCATGTGGCCCAGGACAGCTTTGAATGTGGCCCAACGCAAATTCATAAACTTTCTTAAAACATTATGAGATTTTGTTTCATAATTTTTTTAAAAGTTTATCAGCTATCGTTAGTGTTAGTGTATTTTATGTATGGCCCAAGACAACTTTTCTTCCTCCAATGTGGAAGATGGGACACTCCTGCCCTAAAGGAAGGTAGTAATTCCCACCTTGAAAATGGAGGCCTTATTGAGAAGGAGGGCCCCACAGCCTTCAACAGGGGAGAGCAAGGCTAGGAACTGGGCATGCTCACAAAGGACCTTGGTGTAAGGATAAATTCTTTCATGTTTTTCTGTTGCACAACACAAAGGCAAAAGCCATTTTGCACGTACAGTGTTGCACCCTTCCCTCCCTCATTGTAATTCTCTTAGTTACCCTTACTCCCAACCCTTCGGTACAGTCCAGTGCTCCTACAGAACTCTGTGGCGGGCTTGTGGGGATTACTAGAGTGAGCAGTAAGGGAAGAAGGTCCTGCACCACATGTGATGTGGGGCTGAGGTCTAGGCAGGGGAGTGGCAGCACATCAGGAAAGGCCACCGTTCAGGAGATCCATGTGGTGACAAGCACAGCTCAGAGGTGAGCAGTGGCCTGCAAGGAAAAATCACTGTGAGTGGCCTGGAGGGATCTAAACTCAGAGAAGTGGCTGCCCAGTGACCATCTGACTGAGGAGTAAGTGTGAGAGGACAAAATCTCTTTCCCCAAGATTTTAGGGGAAAAGTGTCCATTGGGGTGGCAGAAGTGACACGTCCTTAGGTCACATAGATGATAACATTATAAGACAATATGCACAATCTAGACCAGCAGTCATTAAATCAGATCACTATCTTTATTTTCTCACTTTTAAAAAGCATGTTTCAGCCAGGCATGGAGGCATGATCATGCCTGTAATCCCAGCACTTTGGGAGGCCAAGGCGGGTGGATCACTTGAGGTCAGGAATTCGAGACCAGCCTGGCCAACATGGTGCAACCCTGTCTCTACTAAAAATACGAAAAAAAAAAAACAAAAAAAAAAACAGCTGGGTGGGGTGGCATGTGCCTGTACTCCCAACTACTCAGGAGGCTGATGCATGAGAATTGCTTGAACTCAAGAGGCAGAGGTTGCAGTGAGCCGAGATCATGCCACTGCACTCCAGCCTGGGCAACAGAACGAGACTCTGTTACAAATAAATAAATAAACACATTTTTTTCACATCTTATCATTACTGAAATCAGACTGTATAATTATGATGACAGTGGTGGTGATGATGATGATGATGATGATAATAGTTAACACTTAGGTACAACTGAATATATGCCAGGCACTATTCTAAGTGCGTTATCTGTATTAGCTCATTTACAACCCTATAAGTATAGTTATTATACTATTTTTGACAGTTGGGGAAACTGAGGCACAGAAATGTTAAGTTCTCCGAGGTATCACACCCCCACTCCCTCACATACCCACACACACCCTTATTAGGTGGCAGAGGTAGACAGAGTCAATGACCCTAACCATGACACCCAGCTAATTTTTGTATTTTTAGTAGAGACAGGGCTTTGCCATATTGGCCAGGTTGGTCTCAAACTCCTGGCCTGAAGTGATCCACCCACCTCTGCCTCCCAAAGTGCTGGGATTACAGGTGTGAGCCACCGTGCCTGGCTTCAAAAGCTGTTTTGAAACCAATTATGCCTCTTCAGATACCCGATGGTATCTTATAATTGAGGAAATCCAAATAGTGGTTAAATGGTACCTATGGTCCAATTCCAGGCCCACCTTCAAGCATTGTGGAACTCTGAGATACAGTATAGTGTGGTGGCAAATAACACAGGTGGTGGCCTCTCTCTAGTCTGTGTTCAAGTTCCAGCTATGCCACTTACAAGCTGATTAAGCTTGGGTGAGTTTTTAAATCCCACTGATCCTCAGTTTCCTGTAAAATAAACATGATCCTAACATTTTCTATTTCACAGAGCTACTGTGCAGATAAAAAGAGACAATCCTGGTGAAAAAGAGACAATCCTGGTGAAATTCCTTGAACACAGCAAGTGCTTTATAAAGAGAAACCATTTTTACCCTTCATTTGACTTCCTGGTGTGCTCAGATGAGGGGCCTTCCCCTCAGTGTTCAGTAAAAGGGGCGGTTCTGATGTGTTGAAGACTGGTGTCTTTTAAATAGGGGAGCTCATTAGTCATCTCAGGCTTTTTATACTCTTCTCAATGCTTGACAGTGCACAACCAAGTATAAAGTGATCGCTAAAAAGGCCAGCACGCACCTGGAGAACCACTGCTACCACAAACCGGGCACAAACTTGTCCCAGATGGGAATGGGTAACATTTGCTCCCTCAAACACAAAAACAGCTCCTCTAGGTTTTTGCTTCACATCGTCCAAATTTTTGAATGTTTGAAACCTGACTTAGATTTGTGAGAAGCCCCAAAGGACTTTGTTAAGAAAAGCAAACACTCAAGCAAACAAAAAACAGGCACTGCCATCTTATTTATTTTTATTTTTATTTTTTATTTTTTGAGACAGGGTCTGGCTCTGTCGCCCAGGCTGGAGTGGAGTGGTGCAATCTTGGCTCAGTACAACCTCTGCCTCCTGGGCTTGAGTGATCCTCCCAAGTAGCTGAGACCATAGTCAAACAATGCCACACCCTGGCTAATTTTTGTATTTTTATTAGAGACTGGGTCTCCCAGTGTTGCCCAGGCTGGTCTCCAACTCCTGGGCTCAAGCCTGCCTCGGCCTTGCAAAGTGCTAAGATTACAGGCGTGAGCCACCGTGCCCGGCCTGGCACTACCATCTTGAAGCAACAGATGGCCACATGCCTAGTAATAAACTGGAAATTAATGACTCAAGTACTGAAGTGACCCTTAATTAAGGAGTAAAGAGGATGTCGGGAGTGGTCATCAGGCAAATTCCCCTTGTCTTAAATGTAAACTTATATCCTCTTGTTTTTCTCTTTGTGGAAAAGAAGACAAGATTTTAATCTTCCCCTGGGCAAAAACCCGCTTTATAGAGTCAGAATTTTAAAAAGGGGTTTGGAAAGTATGGTCAAGAAGGGAGAGAAAACTGAGCCAGATCACCTAAGTGATAGGTCTCTGAGAGGAAGGGAATGTAGAATTTGAGGTTGCACTCTTACTGAGTTTTCTTCTTTAAGGACATGTTGAAATTTACTTGTGGATTACAGTAAACAAGTACAAGTTTGGCACCCAGCTCCCTGGGACTCTTTCATCCCATCATACTACAAATGCCAGTTAAGTTGTGCCTCTTCAGTTCCTGTTTTCCCTTTGACCTGTTCCTCCAGGAATGTGGACAGATCTTTGGTTTGAAGCTTCAGATTCTTCCCCTCAGCTTATATCCCTAGGGGCAAAACCCAAACTGCACCCAACCATCATACCCTTGCACCTAACAGAAAACTCATGACCCTATCATTATAAGCACACCGCTTCAATCAGCTAACGTAGCATAGCTAAGCCAACCCATTGAACTACAGAACTGTTTTCCCTAAACCCCCAGGCAGGATTTCTCACTATATGTAATAACCAAACTTTGGGCTCCCATCCCAGTATTCAGCAAGATTTTGCTTTGGCTCAGAGTTTCTGAAAATGAAATCAATAATCTCTAAAAAGTAGACTTTCTGCCAGGGCCATCTCTGGGCATGGTGTCCACTCAACTCATGGTTTTCAAATAATACTATGGTGCTCATTTGGGCTTCAGAAGTTCACAGTCCTGATTCTCTAAGGAAGGATCTGGTACGAAAAAACACTTGGGGGAAGTGTGTGGGTGGGTAACAACTATAAGCCAGCTGGTAGACATTCCTCTAGGTAGGTTGAATCCTTAGAGGCTAAGTCACTGCCTCCAATATTTTCTGGAAGTAGTTGTGGAGGAGATAAATAATACATGAAATGAGTGACAGAGGCAGAGTTGAAGCAAATACACAAGAGGAGCCAGAAACACTGAGATGTGGGTAACACCCGTCACAGACAGTGGGCGAAGCAGATTTAGATCCTGTCATACCATTCTGTAGCTGGACAAGTTAATTAACCTCCTTGGGCCTCAGTTTCCTAATCTGTAACATAGGTATAATAATCAGATAGCTACCTTACAGAGCTACTGCAAGATTAAATGTGTTTGTTACTATATAGAAAGTGATTCAAACACAGCCAAGCACATATTTAGCGATGTATATTATGTATATTGTTGCTGAATTCTAGATGTTTCTAGAATGTTCAATCGACTTTGGCTACTATACCAAGTTAGCAAGTAGCCATTATTGACAAAACAATTCAAAGGCAGGTAAGAAGAGAGCCGCAGTGAGTAAAATTTCCCAATTCAGGTCATTGATTACTGCCTGCAAAATCTATTGTTGACATTGTTTTTATGTTCTTGTTCTTCTACACACCCACATTTGAGGGGCAGGGGAAAGTGGGGAGTGTTTCCACATGGAAATTAAAGATTGAGATTGCTTATTTCGGGAAAAGCAAAAATAAACAAGATGGAGGTCCAATTGGGGCCGTCCCCACCTACTTCCTAGGCAGCTTCATAGGAAGCTGGCACTGGCCCTTTGAGCAATGCGGGGTCATCTGAGTCTGGTTCTGTCACACACCTACTCTTTTCTATTCCACCATGTAACAAAGAACCAAGTCACCGTTCTTTGGTTACTGATCACTTTGATGAATGTCACTCTTCATTTCCTAGTAACCGTTTCCTTCCTCATTACTAAGCCCTACCAACCGAAGGCCTCCAAGCTCTTCCACTCTGACTCAGAACAAGAGGCCCGTATGGCAAGCCCATTGCCCTGAATCAGAGCTTTTCCAGTGTTTGTTGATAGGAAGGGAAGAACGCAGGTATGGCAACAGTGATCACAAGATCTACAGCTTTGGAAATCTCTCAAACCAATTTCTAGTCACTCGTCATCTAAAGATTGTTCCTGAGGGGTAAAGCACCTTGATATGAAGGCGGAAACGATGACACAGTGGCTGCGAAGGGTTCCTTCTCTACCCCACCTCATCCTCTACCCCACTCGGTTCCTCAGTCCACGTTTTGGTTCATCCCTCTGGATGGAGTGAAAAGGATTTGACACCAAATTCGCAATAAGGCATGAGTAGTGTGGGTGCAACCGCTTTAGGTCATACTTAAAATTTGAAGAGAATCTCAGATAGGGTGAGAAATCTCTAAAATGGACACCCAAGCCCTGTGACCTCTCATCTCCAAGCCTCAGGGTGAAATGAGCTAGTTTAAGTGAAACCTTTCTTAATTATTCCAGTGAAACCATCTTCCCCATCCTGGTCATCTAACCAATTATCCCATTTCATTTTCTTCATAATCTTTATTACTACCTGAAAGCATCTTGTTAATTTATCTATTTGATTATTGTTTGTCTACTCTCTCAATAATGTTTATGAGGACAGGGACTTTGTCCGTTTGTTCACTCCTGTATCTTTCAGTGCCTAGAACAGTGTCTGGAACACAATAGGTGCTTGATGAATATTTGTGGTGTGAATGAAATAATAATGAACTGAAATGATTTTTAAGCAAGGTCTCCTGAAAATAAATCATTCACCCTTCCCCATAGCCTTTGACAATTCAGAACCCAAACAATTTTTTATGGGGCAAACAGACTACCCTTTGTTCTCCCTTAACATTAACTAGCAGATGTGGCAGTGATAGGAAGTGTGGGTCAGTTAGTCACCATCATGCAATGAACTTTATGTATGTATTTTAAAAAATTTTAATTTGTGTGGTTACATAGTAGGTATATATATTTATGAGATACTTTAGGTATTTTGATACAGGCTTGCAATGTGTAATAAGCACATCATGGAGAATGGGGTATCCATCCCCTCAAACATTAATCTTTTGTGTTACAAACAATCCAATTACACTCTTCTAGTTATTTTTAAATGTATGATTAAGTTATTATTGATTATAACCACCCCGTTGTGCTATCAAACCATAGGTCTTACTCATTCTTTAACTATTTTTTGTATCCACTAACCATCCCCACCTCCCCCTCTACCCACCACCCTTCCCAGCCTCTGGTGACCATCCTTCTACTCTCTACCTCCGTGAGTTCAATTGCTTTGATTTTTAGATTTCACAGGTAAGTGAGAACATGCGATGTTTGTCTTTCTGTGCCTGGCTTATTTCACTTCAGTGGACTTTTGGTGAAAGGTAAGCTGGAGTACAGGCTGCCTAGAGGCCAAGACACTCTCCTGGATATGTATGCACTGGCTCAAGGCCGGAAGGGAACACTTTTCACTTCTAACATAATTGAAATGCTGAAGAGGAGTTTGAAAGGTGAAGATAACAGGTCTCCGCATGACAACCCCACAGCTCTGAAAGTTCAAAGGTTTCCACTTTGTTAGATGTACACCTTTTAATGATCCCCCGCACTCTATGGCCTTTGCCCACGATAACCCTCACAACAGCAATAAGGTGTGTAGGTGGCAAGTATTATTAGGCTCACATACAGGCGGAGAAAGTGAGGCACAACCAAGGCGGGGTGAGGGTGAGGCAAGCCAGGTGAATCAACCACTTTGCTTATTGTTTACTTCATTCGAGTTGCCACTCATTGAGTGCCTACTTTGTACAAGGCATAATGCTTGAGCAATGTCAACCACTAGCCCATGTTATTTCTCCCATTCAGACAGGCCTAGGTTTGCTTGGCTCAGGACGGGGAAAGGCTTCTGCAATAGCTTAGAAGCTGCACTTGAGCATGCAGCCGCAAAAGAACAGAGCTGGGAAGACCAAAGCCCCTGAGGTGATACCCAATGCTTAAGAAGAGTGGGTTTCCTATGTAGAATGAGAGGAATCTTCTGCTTGGTTTGTGATCACAGGGTTCACTAGGGGCCAGGCACTGTGCTTTCCCTGCATTATGACATTTGGGTCTTCACAACCGTTGAGGCGAGACATAATTATCTTCCTTTGACAGATGAGGAAACTAAAGCTCATTGACTTACCTAAAGTCACGAAGCTGGTAAGTGGTAGAGTCACTTGAACATGAATCACCTAAGGTCTATCTAATCGTAGAGCCAATCCAGCTGAAGACATGTCAACCGGTATGCTGCAGCATTCAGGTAGAACACTGGGGCTCTGTTGTCCTATAGTGACCAAAAAGCTCATTCAGCTAGAGTTCAGTGCAGTCACCATTGGCATCTACAATAACATCACAAGCACTTAATAAATGTGGAGTGAATGCATGAATAATGTTCATAATGAAACATATAATCTTCAAGAAAACATGACCACATGTTTAGAGTCTTCTGTTGGGAGATAACATTTCAGGAAGTTTCTTTCCAACAACAGCTATACTTTGGAAGTTTCCACTTGTAAAAGACTGGCCGTCAACTAGCATCATGCATTGCTTGATGACAGGGTTACATTCTGAGAAGTATATTGATAGGCAATTTCCTCATTGTATGAACATCATAAAGTGCGCTTACGCAAACCTAGATGGTATCACCTACTACACACCTAGGCTATATGGTATGGCCTATTGCTCTTAGGCTACAAACCTGTACAGCATGTTATTGTACTGAATGCTGTAGGCAATTGTAACACAGTGCTCAGTGTCTGTGTATCTAAACATATCTAAACATAGAAAAGGTACAGTAAACAAATACGATATTGTAATCTTATGGAACCACCTTTGTATATGCAGTTCCATGTTGACCAAAATGTCATTATGCAGCCCTTGATTGTACTTGAAAAATGAGCTTCTCTAGAAGAGTGTTTCCCCTGATGGTTCTGGATAGTGGACTTGCTTGCCTCCACTGATCTTCCTTCACATGCAGTGAGTAGGCAGTATGCAGTTGCAGTGATGGTGAGCATAGACTCTGAAGTCAGACTGCTAAGGTTCTAATCTTGGCTCTGCCAACTTGCTAGCACAATAACCTTAGGCAAGTTACTTCATCTTTGTGTACCTCCATTTCCTCATCTGTTGTGGGGATTAAGTGAGTTATTATTTGTAAAATACTTAGCACCTGGCACATAGTAAATGCTACGTAAGTTATTATGCTGCTTCAAGTAATAAATGAACCTGTGAATAAAAATTGGCCCATGGATAGGCCACTAAATAGACAAAACAGAAGCATTAAGTTGAAGTTTAAACCTTCAAGTTATAACTTCCGTGCACCAAGCATTTCTCTTTCCTCTTTTCACTGTTGTTGAGATCTGGAGTAGTTAGACTGTGGCCCACCAGAAGCCACACTCTGTGACCATCAAACCCCAGAATTGCCCACCTCTGTCTTCTAGAAACTCTGGGTAGGTGACTCAGCACTCACTTGCTAGTTCTCCTGTAGTACCCTAAGCCTGAGGCTAGCCTGAACCACAACAGTGGGTGATCTTGGCAGTGTCTGTTGGGTGGCCCCTCTCTCTCCTATTAAAAATAGCTTCCTAATCTTTGTTAGTGAACTATAGGACTGATTCAAGACAATTTTGTCATCACCAAGTTGGCTTTTTCCATCCCGCTCCTGATTACATGTCCTCCCTCCTCTTGCCAGGCTACCCGTGAGCTATATCCTCTATTTTTCAAAGTTAGCCGTAGCAAACCACACCTTTGGAGCATCTGAATACGAGGTCTATAACATCTCTATTTACGTTCTCAGTAGTAAAATGCCTCTATATCTTTTAAAAAAAATCTCTAAGCTAATGTTTTCTATTTTTCTCTTAAAGTTAGGAGATTTGGAGAACTCTATATTAGAAAGCTCCAAAGAATAAAAAAGGGCATGATTATCTTTTTTTCTTGATTCAGAAGAGCACATTCTGTCAACAAAATATTACTTCATGCACGTGGAGCGTTCTCACGAAACATTCATCTGTCCTTATGAAATGTTGAATTTTGCAAATAAAAGGTATATGGTGCATAATTTTAATATTGAATTGATGGAATTTCCTCCCTGACATCTGAGTTCTCTTGCTTAACAAACACTTCTCTCTTCACTAAGCAGCCCTATACTCAGGTTTGTTTCTACTCTTCTGCTCTTCTCTCCACTCCTCACCCGTCTCACCTCCACTACCAGTTGCTCATCCCTATTTATTGTTGGACTAAACAAAGATGACATGGTATGCATTGAATTGTGTCCCTTGAAATTAATGGATCAGAATCTCTGGTGTTGGAGTCTTGGGATTTGCATTTTAATGAGTTCCACTGCTCTAAGATCTCCTTCACCTTCACATTTCATGAGTCTATAACATATTATCCACTTTGCCCCATCCCCATAATCTATTTAGAAACAGGATCATGTCTGGGTCTTGTGCTGCTCTTGCCTTCTGGTTTGATCCTTAGTACTACTGGTGATTGAAATCCTAACCCTGGTACTTCAAAATATGACCTCATTTGGAAATATGGTTATTGCAAATGTAATTAGTTAAGATGAGGCCCCACTGGCGTAGGGTGAGCTCTTAATCCAATATAACTGCTGTCCTTATAAAAAGGGGAAATTGGGAGACAGACACGAACACACATACAGACACACGCACACACACACACACACACACGCACACAGAGACAGAGAGAGAGAGAGGGAGAGAGAGAATGCTATGTGAAGATGAAGGCAGAGATCGTTATGAATGCATCTACATACCAAGGAACACCAAAGATTGTCAGCAAACCATCAGGAGAGAGATAAAACAGACCCTCCCTCTGCATCTCCAAAAGGAACCAATCCTGCTGACACTGTGATTTTGTACTGCCAGTCTCCATAGTTGTGAAACAATAAATTTCTGTTGTTTAAGCCACACCCAGTTTATGGTACTTTGTTACAGCAGCCCTAGCAAACTAATACGCTATATATATGTGGTCAATTAATATTTTTGTTTTTGGCTAGGTAAGGTGACCAGATGTTCAAGTTTTTAATACTGTGTATATGTCAAGGGGTCGGGTCTCCTGGGGAAAGTTCTCAACAGAATAGATATATTCGAGGGCCCAGGGATCCAGATGTGTAACTGGATGTGAAATAGCTGGCTGGCTTAGCCAACAGAAATGACACTTTGTCCTTACAGCCTGGCACTCTGGCCCCAAGGAAGTCTGTGTTGCAGTTCAGTCAGTTTACAGGGAACAATGAAGCTGAGGGGGCCAGATCCTTCTTGTGGGTGCCCCTCCCCTGCTAGCACAGCCCATTCAGTCTAAAGCTTCTAGTGAGCAGTAATACTGGCTGTAGCTGGAAACAACAGGCCAACTGGAATCCTTGGCCATTGGTACACACTCACATGGAAAGCCCGGAAGGAAAAAGGACTCTCACTAGGACCATCACAGAGAGGAAAAGGCCCTGGGCTGAGTAACCTGGCATCTTAATTTTGTTCTCAAGGCCCTTGAGCAAATGACCAATGTCTCAGGGCCTCTGTTTGCTACTTTGTAAAATAAATGGGCTCTATAACCATCCTGCTAAGGTAGGCTTTCTCAAAGTAGCCCAGCATGGACCACTGGCAGCACAATCACCTGATGTATTTGTTCCCAGCCCGGATCCACTGGATCAGAATCTCTGGTGTTAGAGTCTTAGAATCTGCATTTTTAATAAGTTTCATTGCTCTAAGATCTCCTTCACCTTCACATTTCATGAGTCTATGATGTATTACCCACTCTGCCCCATCCCTATCATCTATTTAGAAACAGGATCATGCCTGGACCCCATGCTGCTCTTAGCTTCTAGTTTGATCCTTAATACAGCTGATGATGTCCTCAAGTGCTTTCTAGCTGTGAAAGCCATATTTCCACTTCCAGCAAAGAATGATCCAGAGCAAGGAGAAAAGCAAAAATAAAGCTTTAGTGAGAAATAGTTTTGAAAGTACTAGCTTAACATAAACTTTTGATATTGCCTGGCTTTTAATTTTCCAGAACCTGTTTGTCCCTCATGAACACAAACGATCAGTAGGTACCCTCACTATTTCCTTGAACTCATTCCTTTGACCAAAAAAAAAAAAAAAAAAAAAAAAACGGAGAGAAGGGTAGGTTCACTAATCATTTGAGTTCTACCAAACATCACATAATTGTTTTGCATATCAGTATTTTGTCCTTTCCTGCTAAAGGTCTTTCCTTGGGTTTGCAAATAGAAGTTTGAGAAGAGTCCTGGTACTGACTGAGCTTTCTTGGTAATGTCACGAAATTTCCAACCACAAAGTCAATCTTCATTTGAGTCAGAGCAATTAGAGGAAGACTAATGGCTGTGGACAAACTACTGAAATATTTTACTGAGGAAGCTAAGTAGGCAATTCAAATGGGAGAGACTTTTTGTAAGGGTGGAGTACCATCTGCCACCTTCTAGCAGGGAAATGAACAGAAGCTGTTCTTAAAGATGAGGAAAAAATTTGAGTATTCAAGATTCCCTCTGACGAACTGTAGGGAATGGCATTGAAGGATGTTTTACTGGGCCTTATTGTGACACCTGTTTTTCACAGTATTTCTATAATTCAAAGTTTAAACTTTGATTTTCAAATCATCTGGCATTGCCCACATTCCAGTACCTGGGATGCTTGAGTTTGGTTCCTCAGGAAAAGCTGCTTATTTCAATTGATCTAGGAAACTATTGACCAAAGTCAATAACTCTTGGGCTCAGTTTAAAAAACATACTGTAGAGTCAGTTAGAAAAGCACAGAAAGGTCTTTTTTTTTTAGCAGAATGTTGGCTAAAGGGCTAGTACCCTGTTTAGAAGTCAGAATAGCTCTTAGTATACCCAAAGACACCAAATGTTCAAATGACTTTTTTCGCTTGAGAACACAATGGTGCTGGTGGCTTTGTTATTTCCTGAGGTTTGGCAGCCAGTGATGAAGATTTCCTTGTATCAAGAACATGCTTCTTTCATGTAATCTAGGATACTAAAAAGGGTCCATCCTAATAAAAGAGGCCCATGATGCAAATGGTTTGGGTTGGCAATTCCTGTGCAAATCAACAACCACAAATTATAGATTTCAAAGAGTCCTAAGCATTAACTGGCCTCTAAGTAAAACTTAGGGTTAGAGGTTTTCAGCAATGTGACAAAATGCAGTCATTCTTATCAGGATTATAGAGTCTCAGTGACACTTCCATCAGCTGAGCCAGTTAGTGTCAGAAAGATTCTGCTTCTCATGTTGGGATTTAACTTGATGTCCTCCAAGTTGCTAGAATCTTCTTAATTGGTTACCACGGGGGTGGGGTGTAAACCCACCGGGGCACACTCTCCAGCAAACCAAACAACCAGATTAAAAGGATGTGGGAGAGGCTTACACACACACAACCCCCACATCAAGGCCACTGAAACACCTCTTTAGCTGGGAGTAGGTCATGTAGGTGATAGGTGCCAATATAGGATCTAAGTTTGAGGGTGGGAGACTTGGGTCACTAAAAATGACTCATCCAGTGGTACTCATACATACTCCATTTCTCGTGAACTTGATGCGGCTCATGCAGCTCCAACTTAAGGGTCTTTGAAGAAATGACTATCCCTGCCAGAAAAAGTAAAAGCTCTTTGAGGACAGAAGTCATATCTTGAACCTCTTAACCTTGTATCTATTGCAGAGAAATAGGAGAAAAAACACAATTTCACAGTGATGTGATGTCATTAAAGGGAAATATTTTATCATCTTGCCTTCTAAAACAGTGGCTATTAAAATATGAGGCAACATAGAAAAACGCTTATTAGGAAAGGCTAAGTGAAAAAAAGCAGGATGCAAAAATTACATGTATTCTATTATTATAACCATGAAAAAAATATATAAAAATAAGACTAAGAAGGAAATATGACAACAATAGTTATGTTAGAAAGGTAGGTTTTTGAGTAATTGGTAATTGTATTCCTTTTCTCCTTTTTTGGTAATATTGTTAAATTACTTTTATGCTTTTTCAGAATTTTATTTAAAAGAGGGGTTTCTGTGCAGGTATTATACAATCAAGTCCCCAGGCTGAAACCATGAGTTGATTTTTCCCCTCACCTACCCCAGTCTTCCAGAAACAGAGAATCTCAATGGGTTGAGCAATAATCCATCCTCTAAGGGTTGCCCAGGAGAGGCACTCAGCTGGGCTCTTGGCTCTCAGTAATAAGGCCAGAGAAACTGAGTCACCCCAGCCCAAGAGCCATCAGCCTCATTCCCTTCTGTTCCTCTAAGTTGAAGCCTTGGTGCAACCCATTTTTATGAGTGCCTGCCAGGGTGGTTTTAGAAAGCTGAGCCTCAGGAGGAGGATAAGGAACAGTTGGGAGCACCCAATTTCAGCTCAGTGTGGATGGTCCTCAAGTAGGGAAGACAGAGGAAATGTGCATTGGGTACAAGATGGCGCCTCCTCTTCCTGGGAAGGAAGATGACCTTTGTGGCTAAGATTTTCCACTTAGAGCTTTTCCTGGTCTCACAGATCATCAAACGAATCACCAGATTTACCAAAATATTTTTGTGGGGGCCGCTTACTACATTGACCAAAAATATCTCAAAAATACGTTTAAGCCCATTTAGCCATTGTTTATTAAAAAAATGCGGAGTGAAGGTATAGGGCACCAAAGATTCATACCTTGCCCTTGTTCTGCAGCTCATAAACTAATTGAGGAGACAAAAAACAGTTAAGTACCATTGCCTGGTGCTACATAATTAAGTGCCAGGTAAATGGAAGAGAATTCCTAGGCTATCAAACAACAACCTCTGCGAATTACTCCACCACCCTCCAGGCTTTGGAGCTCTTGCCACTTGATTAGGTTTCAGTACTTGATGGTTATGGAAAGTGCCTGAGAGCCAGTGTTCAAATCAACTTGTTTACAAAATCAGTTCCTAACAGGGACAAATTTGGAAACCAATGGAAAAGTGCACAGGGATAAAGCAGGTATAAAGTTATATACTCCATGTGATTCCAGTGATGCCAAATATATGTGTATTTATTTCTTTATTGAGAGAGAATGCATGCGAGCCAGCAAGTCTAGAAGGAAATACTCCAAAATGTTATCAGTGGTTATCTTTAGGTTGTGGGTGCTTTTGTTTCCTTCTTTATATTTTTCTGCATTTTAAAGTTTCCCACAATGAACACTTATCACTTTTCTCATCAGAAAACCAGAGCTCCATCGAGCATTGGTGCGTGAAGCATTCTAAAATGTAGAGCTTCTCCGTGAAAATAATAAGATGGGTTTAAGGGCAATTTTAAAGAAATCCCTGGCTAACTGAAAATGAATTCTTAACAGAAATTAGGCCTGTTTGAGGTAAACTATTTTTCTACTGAGATTCAGGGGGCAGCCACATCCTCCCACAAGTCTGCTGTCTTATCTCAGTGTCTTGACGGTTCACCCAGAGCCTGAGCAAGCAGGAGCTGAGGACCTACTGTGTGCCCAGCATGCAGCTGGCTGTGATGGAGCTGCATAGGTCACTGCTCTCTGTCGTGAGCCCAATGCCCATTAGTTACAGGAAGAATTTGGACTTTATCTGACTACATCCCCTCCAGCATCTCCTACCATAGTGAGAGCCATCATAGCATAGAGGTTAAAAACACAGACCTAGGATTTACACAAATGGATTTTCATCTTTTTTATGTTGCTTACTAGCTTGGCCAAGTAATTTGACCCTTCCCAGCCTTGGTCCTACCCCACAAGTTGCTGCTGGGAGCCTCCAGTGTGGCATATCGGATTCTTAGCATGGACTGGGCATATAAGAAGTACCCACACCATTTTAGTCCCATCCTGTTTCTTTCCCAACCCAAGGCACATTCTGAAGTACTGCAATATCTTGTTAGGTGTCAAACAGGAAAGAATTGCAAAAACATGAGGTACTGGGTGAAGAAAGAGAATGACATTGTGGGATACCATACCCCAGCCATCCACAAGAAGCACAGACTTTCTCTAGATAAGGAAGGGCCAAGTTGTGTGGTAGACGGTTAGTTGCCATAGGAGTTTAGATAAAAGAGGACATCATATGAAACTTCCTGGAAGAAGTACATTTGGGGTGGCTCTAAAGGAGGAGAAAGCATTGGAGGTGAGGCGAACCAAAGTGAAGGCATTATGAAGGCAGAAAGAATGCTAAGCTGTTGGACTAAATTAATACCTTGCTCACAGCAATAGTTTGTGGATAAGATATGCAAGCAGCAAACTCCCTTCTAATTGTTCAGCCCCATCATTTTATATCTAAGAAAACTGAGTCGCAGAAAAAGAAGGCCTGTCACCTAGCTAGTCAGGAGCACAGCCAGTACTGGAATCTTGGCCTTCTGGCCCCCCAGAGCCCAGTGATGTGGTACTAGGATGAGAGAGCCTTGAGGGCAGGGATCCTGCCTCAATCAAAACTGAGTGAGGGGCAGAAGGTGGGGGAATGGGCCATGACTGCTAAAGGGGACTGGGTGTCCTTTAAGGGGTGGTTAAAAAATGTTCTGGAATTAGATAGTGTTGATGGTTGTGCAACTCTGTAAATATACTAAAAACCATTGAACTATACATTTTATAATGAGTGAATCATATGGTATGAGAATTATATCTCAAAAATGGTGTTACAAAAAAATACTGAGTGGACCCATCCTGGGTCCTGGCACAGAACAGGGGCTCAGTCGCTAGGAAGGGAATGGGGCCAGTGAATGAGAGAACAATAGGGTGATCTGCAGTTCAGACCATATAGCAATTGTGGCACTTCATACACCCCAAGTGAAAAGGAAAAGGAAAAGAAAAAAATACTCTGGGTGCCTTTGAGGTAAGATATTGAATTCTTTCTCTGAAGTTCTTAGGTTTGGCCTTAGATACCATTTCTCCCCTTCCTTTCCTCACTCAGGATGCCCTTGATCTCTTCATAAACAGTTGAGATCAGAGGGTTCCCCTGTGTTCAGAGCACCAGGTGTTATGCTCCAGGTGCTGTCAAGGAGCTAGAGCTGGGCATATGGAGACCCTGTGGTATGAGAACTGCCCAAGCCAGCAGAGGTCCCAGACAGCTCCCCCATTGCCTCTAGGGAACGTGATGAGCACCAAAGAAGGGTTCAGTCTTGCTGCTCACCTGGGCATCAGCTTTATAGCTTTCCACAGCTTTTTGTGAAGTTGTAGGGGCTCCTTCGCTTCTTGAACATAGCGGTAGGCTTTTGGTAAATCAAAACAGATATATACACAGCTGTTTTTCTCTGGTTCTCTTTCATTTTTCATTCATTCATTGGTTTGTTCATTCTACAAAACAGATATGGCCCAGGCCCCTGTAGAGTTTATGATCTAGTCGGGGAGAGAGAGATTACTCAAATACAGTAGACACTTGAACGACAGGTTTGAACTACACTGGTCCACTTATACATGAAGACAATGATCAATACAAAAACCTTTATGATAATCCAATTCCACTTAATGAATAGTAAAATTATTTTCTCTTCTTTATGATTTTCTTAATAACATTTTTTCTTTAGTTTAAGTATACAGTATATAATACATATAACATACAAAATATGTATTAACTGTGTATGTTACTGGTAAGGCTTCCAGTCCACAGTAGGCTATTAGTTACATTTTGGGGAGTCAAAAGTTATACAAGGATTTTCGACTGCATGGGAGGCCAACTCCCCTAACCCCCAGTTGTTCAAGGGTCAACTGTAATTCCCGTGGTAGGTAATTCTAAGATGGCCCCTAAGATTCCTACCCCTTGTGTACATGCCTTATATAATTCCCTTCCCTCTCTGTGGGGAGAATCTGTGAGCATGATGGGGTATTCCTCCTGTTATTAGGTTACATTTTAAGGCAAAGATAAGGGGATTTTGCAGATGTAATTAAGGTCCCAAATTAGTTGACTCTTAGTTAATTCAAAAGGGAGGATATACAAGATGGGTCAACTTAATCACCAAAAGAAATTGTAAGATGACAACTGGGACAAATGCTGCAGAAGGAGAATACATGGTACGATTTAAATAAACATAGCTAACACTCAACATAATATATACTATTTCTCAGGTGCTGTTTTTGGTACCTTGCTTAGGTCTCACAATAGCCCTAGGAAGAGACTGCCATTCTCCCATTTCCCAGGTGATAAGATAAAGGCACACCGAGTTTAGTGACTTGTCCAATGTTGTATTCTTGGGGAATGGTAGAGTGGGTATTTGAAGCCAGGCAGTGTGGCTTTGGTCCTGAGGGTTATGCCACACCCACTAGCCCAGAAAAAGCCTTCCTTTTGGGATGGGAGATGTTTGAGGGGAAAAGAAAGTTGAGCTTAGTCCTTCTTGCATTTGTTTCCCACTTTGGTTTCTATGGTACTTGCCAATCCTGGTTCTCTGTTTTGTTTTGTTTTTAAATCCCTCTTTGCTTCTCTTTTTTTCTTTTACCTAATTTTGAGATTGCCCCCGAAGTTGGGTTACTTGCACCCTGCTCTTTCCCCTAAGTTCTCTTTCTTTTTGACAGTGCATTCATTCCGATGAGTGGTCTTTTAGGGTATTATGAAGTCATGCAGTTAATTTTTAGCAATGAATCACAGCTGATTTCAGAATCAAATGTCATATAAATCAATTTGTGTAGAGCTAGTAAAAGTATTGTAACTTGGAGGGAAATGACTATCAGTTTGCAATTCTAGATACCCAATAGAATCACCTGAGGAACTTGTTTAGGTGATTCTAATGTGCAAACAGAGCTGAGAACCATTGGGTTATTATAACCAATGAAGCCATTCAGTACAATCTTACTTTAAGGGAGTCTAGGAGTAGCATGGAGGGAATCCAAATGCCTAAGTGGTCAGGAAGAATGTTACTTTGTTTATAAGACTATTGTGAAAATTGATTCTATGAATTGGAGTTAACTTGTCATACCCAGCTAGAGTTGAGAGACCATGGAGTAAGCACCTGCCCAGAGATTATGCCACAAGCCAGCTACCAAAATGACCTGCCATAACCCTAAGACCAGTTTTACCCACTGCCATCACTCACTGATCAGAGCTTGCCCACTCCCAAAACTTTCGCTAGTTCCAATGAGTTTTCTTTCAAAACAATATGTGACATGTCTCTCTCTCTCTTTTTTTTTTTTTTTAACTTTTTGAGACGGAGTCTTCCCCTGTCACCCAGGATGGAGTGCAGTGGTGCAATCATAGCTCACTGCAGCCTCGACTTCCTGGGTTCAAGCGATCCTTCCACCTCAGCCTCCCGAGTGCCTGGGACAACAGGCGCACACCACCACGCCTGGCCTCTCTTTCTACTAAAACCTCCAACCTTCTCTTTGTTCTTTGGACACACTGAAGGCCAACCCAGTCTGCATGTATGCCCAAAATTGCAATTTTGCTTTCCAAATAAAATGTCTTGTTTTAGAGATTTGACTCTATATCTTTATCTGACTTTGACACCATGCATTAATAAACACAAGCCAGTGCAGCAGTAAAACATTCCACATTCACTGGTGCAAGTGAAGAAAACACAGGAAAACAGAAAAATGATAGTATATCACTTCTCTTCGTGTGTTCCACACAGTTTAATAGGCATTACATAGGTGAGAAAATAAGGTGGTGAGAGGATGGGGGGAATTGGGTGTAGTGTGATACCACTTTACATATGTATTATTGAATCCTTACAATACTGAGAAGCATCCCTATTTAAATATGAGGAAACGGAGGCACAAAGAGTAAGTGACATGCCTGAAGTTATAAGGATAGTAAGATAGAAATATTAATTCATCTTAGGAATGAAGAACATTGCCATTCTTCCTTTTCTGAAAACATCACCAAGAATTATTGTTGAATTTTTTGCTATTTCACTATTTATCACAATAATGTTTTTTCTTTGTTCTGTTAAGTGAATTAGATTAATGAATTTTCTAATATTAAACTATCCTCTTATTACTTGAATGGGTCCCTCTTGGTGAAGGTATGACTCTATTCACATACAGCTAGGTTCCATTTACTAATATTTTACTTGGCATATTTTCAATAAATATTTATGTGTGAGACTGCAGGCAGCTTAATTTTTATGCTCTTTGTCAGATTTCGATATCAATGTCATGCTGGATTTGATTTTTTTAATGAGAATATTTTTATTTTTCTCTGTTCTAGAACATTTGAAAAAGTATCAACATTACTTGTTCCTTGAAAATTTGAAAGAATTCATGAGTGAAACTGCTTCAGCCTGATGTTGTTTAGGATAATTGGCTATTTAAAAACACTCCTTGTTTGGGCCAGGCACAGTGGCTCACACCTGTAATCCCAGCACTTTGGGAAGCTGAGCTGGGTGGATCACTTGAGGTCAGGAGTTCGAGACCAGCCTGGGCAACATGGCAAAACCCTGTCTCTACTAAAAATACAAAAACTGGCCAGGTGTGGTGGTGTGGCCTGTAATCCCAGCTACTTGGGAGGCTGAGGCAAGAGAATTGCTTGAATCCAGGAGGTGGAGGTTGCAGTGAGCCGAGATCATGCCACTGCACTCCAGCCTGGGTGACAGAGTGAGACTCTGTCTCAAAACAAAAACAAAAACAAAAACAAAAACAAAAAAACCCCACAGTTTTCTCTGGATATTAAAAATACTAGTTTATTCCATAGAGACTTAAACCAGCCCAAAGAACGCAGTGAGAGGCAAAGATGTTCATTTTACTCCATTAGGCTGTTTCTTTCCTCTTCTCATTCACTTTTATGAATAGTGATAAACATATGTTTACCTGGCAAATCCCTCTTTTCTTCTTATACAAGTCTGGGTTAATTACAAAACAGCAGTGACTTTTTCCAGGGCCACATCTAGGTGCATGACATACTTTGGAACACTCACAGTATAACTGGGTACCTGATGCAAATTATTTGCATATACAAGCAACATTTGAGTTAAAAGTGTTACGGACTTCCTGAGATTAGCATTAATTTTTTTCTTCTCTGTTTCCTCTACCTTCTCTTTCCCAGCTATTTAATAGAAGCCTCTTTATTAGAGGAGGTGGCTGGAGAAGAGCCACAGAACTAGGTGAGGGGGTGGGGAGAGTGAGTGGAAAACGATCAGAAACCTTTATTGGGAATTAGATTTTCCCTGTCTCGCCCCACCTCCCACCCCAAAAAGCCTACAGTTCTTCCGGGCCATGGTTTGAGCCTGCCATTCTAGAATGTTCCACAATGCAACTATTACTTTCCTGTAGAGGTCATGAAACGTAGATTTTTGGCTTTCCGGTCTTGCTGAAAGATCTTTATTTCAGTGAAATACCAATCCAGAAGCTACTTTGAAAAGTGTCATATGCCATCCCCAGACTTGGTTTAGGAATAACTTGTGCAAAAGCCACAAATGCTCTTCTTCACAAAACCTCTACTGTGGTTTTCGCACATCACTGCTAACTCTAGCACAGTCTTTCCTCTTTCTTACAGGAGTAAGAGAAAGTATTAGCACTAAGTCAGCTCTGTTCACATTTCCGGTTTCAGAGGCGCTAACTCTGAAAATGCAGTATTTTTTACAGTTCACCCACTCTGTGAAGGATATTCCCAAATCTCATCCCAGTGACAGAAAATCCTTATGTGTCCTAAGCTGCAAATAAGCATTCTGCTCCCAGGTGGAAGAGGATTTTGAGATAAGTTTTTGTTAAGAAGCATGGAAATAGGAGCATTGAAAATTGGTGAAATGCGTTAATTCAGCCACATGAGTAAAATCCCGGATTGGCATTTTGTACCTAGTGATGACTAGTGCTGCGAACCCATGGAAGTCTGGGGACAGCAGCATGCAATGTTGGAAGAGAAGAAAAACACCCTCGTGACTCCCCTCCGGTATAGCTCAAAGTCCCCAGGAGACTTCCTTTCCCCAGATACCTGTGGGTCTACCTGGACGCAGAAATGTGTGCTCTCCTGCTCTCAAAACCGTACCTCTCCCCTTGTCTAGTAAATTAGCCAGACATGGCTCTTAATTGAGATAGTGCTGTGAGCTTGGTTTTTTAAGACAACTTCCTTACCTATAATTAGTTGGCCCTTAATCCTCCTTAAGCTTTCTCTTCCCATCCTGGGGTGTGTGGAAGAGGGCCAGGGGAGAGAAGGACTGTGAAATCCTCAAAGTCCCCAGAGCTCTGCCCCCTGACCCCAGCCCTCGGAGGCCCCCTGCCCTCCCTCCACTTCTCAAATTCCCCAGCTTCTCTCAACCCAGTCCTTGCCAGCGTTAAGAGTAGCCCCACCCCCACCCTCCCAGGCAGGGGAAGGGGCAGCTTTAGGGCTTCCTGGAAATTTACTCCCTGGCAGCTTTCCCAGGAGGATTTGCACTTAAAAAGGACACTTGGGGAGGGAGCCTGCCCCTCTGTACAAAGCTTGTCCTTTAGAAGACCTGGACACAGCCGCCAGGTGGGAAGGTGTCACCTGTGTGAGGGAAGTGGGAGGTTATCCTGAGGAGAGAGTGTGTGAACCAGGGTTGGTCTGGGGCGGGGCAGCGGTTGGGTGGGGAGGACAAGACTTTTCTGCCTGCACTACCCCCACCTTCCTTTTTCCCATTTGTTTCACCAAGATTTTCCTTCCTGACTTGTTTTTGGACACTTTCTGCACCCCTCTTGTTCTGTTCCTAAACTGTCCCATGCACCTTTCCACTACCTTCTCCCTGAATATTTTTTGCTGTGTCCTGTTCCTTGTCCTGGTCCCAAATCACTTGGCCTGCCCTTCCCTTGTCCCTGGATCTTTTTGCTGAGTGGCACTATTTTTGGACAAAGAGCCTTTTCCAGTCCTGCCTTGAACCACACTACATAGAAGCCTCCGTGTAGATGATGTGAGAGTCAAAGCTCTAGGAATTAGCTAACTCTTACCTGGGGCTGGGGGCCAGGCTGTGGAAGGACAGAGACTGGAAAGAGAGCAGGACCCCTTCAGCAGCCCTGCTTACCTTCTGCAGAGCACAACAGCCTGGCCTAAACAAAAATGTTCCTAGTGGCAGAAGATACTTCTCCAGAAGGGCTTGCTTTCATCACACTGTAATTATATATACATTCATTCAGTGAAAATTTACTGATCACCTACTATATGCCAGGCACCATTCTAAGTGCTGGAGATACACCAGTGAATAAAAAAGACAAAAAGGCCCTGCCCTTATGGATGGATCTTACATTCTAGAAACCAGTGCTGGACCAGGCATCAAGACCCTAAGTTATTAGCTATGAGACCTTGGAGGAGCTGCTTAACAACTTCCTGAGCCTGGGGTCAGAACTGAAGAGGGCAGCGTGGAAGATAACAGTTAGAATTTGGAGCCTCAGATTTCTCATCTATCAGAGGGGTATCAGGCTGAATGGGTCGACAGATACAGAGGTGTGCTCTTTGAAGAGTATCCAATACCATATAAACATATGGTTTTATTATCGTCTACCCTCATCCTTGCCACCACTTTTAGGGAGTAGTTCCTAGCTTTGGGCCTACAAGAAATGAAGGTACCCTGGGTCTATTTCATTTGGAAGGATTCTGCAAGTGCATGAGAATAGAGAATACAAGTATTAGGTTGGTGCAAAAGTAATTGTGGTTTTACCATTACTTTCAATGGCAAAAATCTGATGATTAAAGATAGATAGATAAATAGATGATGGGTAGATATAGCTATAGATACATGTTTTTTACACAAGTAGCACATATTCATTGTGGGAAACTTCAAAAATATAGACAAGTTAAAGCAAAAAGATAAAGATACCCCAGAACCTATCACCCAGACACAAGTCTTGTGGTACCTTGCAGACTTGTTTCTGTGTGCACATGTAGAGGAGTGTAGAGCATAATCAAAGAGCCATGCGGTTCCTCCGCTTGACTGTGTGTCCTCTGCTGATGAACATCTTTCTGCTCAGGTCATGATTGGAGCAGCATTTCAAAAGATGGAGCCACTTTCTTCTACAGAAGTGTTGTATTAGTTTCCAAGGGCTGCCATAACAAATTACCACAAACTGGGGAGCTTAAAATGATAGAAATGTATTCTTTCACAGTCCTGGAGGCCAGAAGTCTGAACTTGAAGGTGTTGGTAGGGCCATGCTCTCTCTAAAGGATCTAGGGGAGGGTCTTTCCTTGTTTCTTCCTAGCTTTTAATGGTTGCCAGCAATCCTTGATGTTCTGCGGCTTGTAGACACATCTCTCCAATCCCTGCCTCTGTTTTTGCATGGCTGTTTTCCCTCTGTGTTTGTCTGTGTTCAAATTTCCCTCTTCTTATAAGATCACTAGTCATTGAATTAGGGCCCACCTTAATTCAGTTTGACCTTATATTAATTTCACTAATTACATTTACAAAGTATTTCCCCCCCAAAAAAGTCACATTCACAGGTGCCACATGGGCATGAATTTGGGGAGGGGAACACTGTTCAACCCAGAACAGATATCAACCCTACTGCTTATTTGAAACTGCTTCAGATGTGGTTGGTTCCCCGATGTCAGGGGAGAGAGAGGGCTCCAGGCATCAGCCACCCTGTGACAAGGAGTACCAGGACATCCTTCTCCTCAAAGTCAGAAAACATCCTGATGTCAAAGATACGGGCTATTGAGTTATATGTGGAAGTGCTCTAGTGGAAACTGTCCCAGGTCCACGCTTACCAAGATGGCGCAGTTCACCATGGGGCACTGTGATGAAGAAAGATTCCCAACTCCACTTATTCACAGGGGAACACCCGTGCCACAATAGCTATCAAAGGTTGTGGTAATTGTTTTCCAATTATCTACCTGTGGGCAAAAATTAACATGGGTGCAGAGCATGGAGGGGAACTTTTAGCTACTACTCATAAGCACTTTAGGGACACTCTCAACTTATTTTTACAAAACTGGAACTGGGCCGGTTGCAGTGGCTCACACCTGTAATCCCAGCACTTTGGGAGACCGAGGCAGGCGGATCGCCTGAGGTTAGGAGTTCAAGACCAACCTGGCCAACATGGCAAAACCCCGTCTCTACTAAAAGTACAAAAATTAGCTGGGCGTGGTGGCAGGTGCCTGTAATCCCAGCTACTCAGGAGGCTGAGGCCGGAGAATCGCTTGAACCTAGGAGGCAGAGGTTGCAGTGAGCCGAGATCATGCCACTGCACTCCAGCCTGGGCAACAAGAGTGGAACTCTGTCAAAAAAAAAAAAAAAAAAAAAAAACTGGGGACATCCTATTTCTGCCATGATATTTGCACTATCAGTGTATCACAGGGGTCCTTCTAAGCCAGTAATATACTTCTGTACCAAAATGTATTTAACTAGTAATCCTAAATCTTTTGATAAAGCCCTTCCATTTCTCTTCCACCCCTGTGGTCCCTGTGGTACATCTTGTGCTGAAAGATTACCTTCTACTCAAATCTTAACTATTTTACTGAATCTCTCCACCTCCTTTTGCACCCCTTGACTCAGCCAGGAAAAAAATATATATATATATATATTTCCTGCCCCTGGCGTTTCCTTAATCAGATGCAGACATGGCTGGATGTTCTTTGCTGGGCTGCTGAGTCAGAAGCCTGGACGGGCCAGCTTCAGTTTTAATGAAGTGGCTCAGGAAGGAAGTGCTAACAGAGATGGGTGCACAGTGCAGTCAGTGGGTGGGAGCTGATGCTGGCTAGAAGACCTGAGTCTTCCGAGAGGCAGCTTGATTCCTGGAAAAGACTACTGGGCTGGAAGTCAGGAGGCCTGGGGTACTCTCAGCTCTGCCGCTAACATGCTGCATGACCATGGTAAGTCATTGCCTTTCTCCGAGCCTCAGTGAGAAACAGCGGGCCTGGCCCCAGAAGACACTGTGGGAGAACTAGAGGTCTTCTGCGTCAGGCCCCCACTAAGAAGGCAGTCTCCTGTGAGGATACCTAAGAGATGAGTTAGAAGCAGAGGGCACATTTCACAAACAGCCCCCAAGGGGTTGTCAGGAACAGACCACAGGAAGAATCAGAGAGACAGAAATTGCCCAAGCCTGTGGTCTGAACTGAAGAGGGCAGCCTGGAGGACACCAGTTAGAAGTTGGAAAGAGAGAGAGAGAGCCCTGAATGAGTTAAGTCAAGAAGAAGGATCATGGTAGAGGTAAATTGCAGGGTAGGCGGGGAAAGGCTGTGGAGAGGGGTTTCTGGGCAGTGGAGCCAGGAGCTAGCCTACTAAAGTCCTGGAGCTCTAGGGGAGATGCAGAAAGCAGGCTGAGGCCAGGCATGGTGGCTCACGCCTGTAATCCCAACAGTTTGGGAGACCAAGGTGGGCAGATCACTTGAGGCCAGAAGTTCCAGACCAGCCTGGCCAGCGTGGTGAAACCCTGTCTCTACTAAAAATACAAAAATGAGCCAGGCGTGGTGTGCATACCTGTAATCCCAGCTACTCAGGAGGCTGAGACATGAGAATCACTTGAACCTGGGAGATGGAGATTGCAGTGAGCAGAGATCGCGCCATTGCACTCTAGCCTGGCGACGCAGCAAGACTCTGTCTCAAAAAAAAAAAAAAAAAAAAAAGGCAGGCTGAGACTAGAGCAAGGGAGGTTTAAAAAAATGGACTAGAACCACACAGACAAGTCTTAAATGTTCAATCATGTCAGGCTGATATTTGAAGGAAAACAGGTGCCAACTATGTGCCCACCTGCAGAGCATGCCATCCCTGAGACCCTTCACCGTGGAAGAAAGGGAACTTTTTGTTCTATAAACACCTGATATTTCATGTTCCACATTAAGGGCTGACTGGAGAACCTGAGGTGCTGTGCAGAGACCAGAGGAAGGCTTTGATCCCAAGCCTGCAGCCGTAAGAGAAGAACGAGCCCATGAGTTCCAGCCTGTGGGTCCTTCCACATGCTAGTTCCTGTACCTGGAATGTATTCTTTCCTGACCCAGAAAATTCCTTCAGGGCTTCCTCTTCCAGGAAGTCTTCCCTGAGTCTGTCACCTCTTCACCCTCACTCCTTCTGCATGCTCCCAAAATCCCCTGCACTTCTCTACTGTGGATGCTTACCCAGTGCACTGTGGTCCACTCTGGCTTTTGTATCTCCTTAACTAGCAGCTCTGTCTTTTTCATTTTGGATTCCCAGACCTATCAGAGAGCCTAGTGCTTGCCAAATGCTGGGAAAATACTTATTGAAAGGATATTGACTACTCGGTGTTAGCCACAAGGCCCCTCGGACAGTCTTGCCATAGGAAACATCAATGGGAGAACCTTTTGGAATATATAGAGAGATGCTGTGGGGAACTTATGGGTTTGTTTTTTTTGTTGTTGTTTGTTTGTTTGGCTAAACTCACAGCAATAGGTGTTAGAGTCATACAAGGGTTACAATAGCACCCAAGAGCCCACTTATGACTAGAAATTTCTTCCAGAATTCCCTTCAAAGCATGACTCTCCTGCTGTGTTTGGGGTGGGGAGTGTGTGGCAGTGGCGAGGGGACACAATCCTGCCTCTAGGATACAACTCTGGAGTGGATATGTGCCAAGAAAGCTCACCTTGGGGACCTGGGATGGAGGTAGGCATCTGGTAGAAAGGGAGAGTGAGGATTCTGGGCACACTATGAAAACTAATACCAGAAACCAGATCAAGACACCCAACATCCCCATTCCCAACCACACTCATCTATGCTGGAGGTGATTATCCCCACGCCCCTCCTATGTTACTCTTCCTGAGCCATTGGAGTGCCAGAATAAACATAACCAACTAGAAGACTTCTGCAGAATGGAAAAGGATGGAAGATTCCAGACTAGAAAGGCCAAGGACAGCAGATGGACACTGAATGTTGAGATTTGTCAGTGGAGTGCTGCAAGACAGGATGCAAAGTTATGACAGGTGTCTTTGCTTCTAGAGAGGCTTCGCAGACATGCATTCTATCCCACCCCACCCCGCCCCACCCCCTGGGTGTGTAGGTACTCCTCCTTCTTGTTCCCACAGCACTCTGTGTTCACTTCTACAGTGGTGCTTTTCACACTGTTTATGATTGTCTGTCTGCTCATGTATTGGTCAGCTTCTCTGAACTGGAAACTCCTGGCAAAGCAGGGACTATCATCTTTTTCTTTGTATCCCCAGGGTCCAGCTCAGCACCTGGCTCACATTAGGCACTCAGTGAATGTTGATGTGAACAAATGAACTGATTCAAAGAAGTGTCTCCTGAAGTTGCTTCTTTCCAATCCAGCTAACAAATGCAGTATTCTGAATGGAGGTACCAGAGATCACGTCATCTTCAGCTTTCTGCTGCAGATCCACATGAAGAATCACACATATCCTTAATGTTAGATAGGACTTTGCATTGAACACTTTAAAATGTGAAGTCTGGCTTTGAAGAGGGTGTATAACACACATAATTTACTGTGCATCAGTCTCACTAATGGAAAATAAACAATAACCCATAAATCATCTTTCTTCAAGTGTAATGTGTTTAGGTTAAAAGTTGATTGGTCAGTGTTAAAATATATGTAAATTTTAGCCTTCCAGATCCCATGAAAATGTCTGAAAAAAAACTTTTAAAAATGAGTAGTACAAGGTTATTTGTTACAGCATTTAAAAATATCATATGATTGGAAACAACCTAAATGTTCATCAATAGGGGACTAGTTAAATAATTTATGGTACATCATCATTCATGTAATGGGACACTATGAAGTTGTAAAAAAACAGAGAATAAGGAAGTGTTTTGCTGACATAGAACAATCTCCAAGACACATTGTTAAGATGTAGAACAATGTGTTATATACTGCTGGGTGTTAAAAGGCTGAAAGGGAATATCTATGTATTTGCTTGAATGTGCATAAAAGCATCCCAGGAAGATACATAAGAAACTGACAACACTGTTTAACCATGGAAGACTGAAAGGAAGAGATGGGAAAAAGACTGCATTACATACTCTTTCATACTCTTTCATTTACATTTTAGACCATGTGAATGTATTATTTAGTCAAAAATAAATATAAAAAGGAAGAAACCACAACAACCATAGGAAATAAGAAAAGGTGACATCAATGTGACATAAATTTTGAGAGATAGCAACAAGCAAGAAAGGCCATGAATTTGGACTAACAGACAGATCAGAGCAGTAAACATTGCAATTCAATAAGTTGTAAGAGTATGCTTTCCCAAAGAAGCATTAATCACAGAGTCAATGAATGTGAGGAGCAGGGGTGGGCTATGAGGCAATCATTGAAGAGCGGCAGCGGAAACAGCTGGGAAAAGTGGCCCTCTCCCTCTCTCTCCTTTCCCCCAGTGGACCATTTGTTAGCAGCAGCATTTGGCCTTGGCCCTCAGTCTAAAGTTACCTAGAGAGGGCTCTAGGAAGGGTGCTGAGACCTCCACAACAGATAGGAGGACAAAACCAAAAGGAAAACCAATATTAGTCAAGAGTGAAACCTTCTACAAGGCTCCACCCCCAGAGAAAAGCCCTCCTTACTTCATCAGTTGTGGGGGTCCCTGGTCTTCCTGCCTCTCCACCCACATAACCTAAAGGGAAGCCTGACTGTTGACATTTCCTACCCACTTAAACAGAACCCACAGTCAGCCCTCCCATTCCGGAGAGAGGTTTGTGGGGAAAACAGATAGATCAACACAATTGCAGAGGAAACTCATGCCATCTACCCATAATAACCAACACGGGTTTTCATTCATAAATAAATAAATGGCCAAGCATTTGAGAAAAACTAGCAACATAATGAAAAGGACCAAAATAAACAAATGGAACTGACCCAGAGGAAAGAGGGAGAATTAAGGGAATTGAAGAAAATGTAAATATATTCTGACATGTATTGCTAGAAAAGCTAGCCAAGCGCTATTCTCCCAGGTTAGAATATTTTACAACTTCCCCTTCTATCTCTTTAAAATAATATTTAGTAATTTGGCAAACATTTACTAACTCCTTACAATGTGTCAGGAACCAAAATTTCTGGGTTTTTTTGTTTGTTTGTTTGTTTTAATTATCTTTTTCCTCTAATAGCTAATGGTAGAAAAATCAGACAAGTCCATTATGATATGATGTGGCAAATGCTATGATAGATTAAGCACAGAAGAGGTAGGGCACAGTGGCTCACGCCTGTGTAATCCCAGCACTTTGGGAGGCCAAGGCATGTGGATCACCTGAGGTCAGGAGTTCAAGACCAGCCTGGCCAACTTGGTGAAACCCCGTCTCTACTAAATTTACAAATATTAGCCAGGCAGAGTGGTGCACGCCTGTAATCCCAGCTACTCAAGAGGCTGAGGCTGGAGAATCACTTGAACCCGGGAGGTGGAGGTTGTAGTGAGCCAAGATTATGACACTGCACTCCAGCCTGGGTGACAAAGCCAGACTCCTTCTCAACAACAACAACAACAAAAAGATTAAGTACAGAAGAGAGCACCTTGTCAGCTGGAACAGAATATTTCACTTAAACATTAATAGATAGCCGGGCGCTGTGGTTCACATCTGTAATCCCAGCACTTTGGGACACCGAGGCTGGCAGATCATGAGGTCAGGAGTTTGAGACCAGCCTAGCCAATATGGTGAAACCCCGTCTCTACTAAAAAAATTTTGTAAAAATTATCCAGGCGCGGTTGCGCAAGCCTGTAGTCCCAGCTACTTGGGAGGCTGAGGCAGGAGAATCGTTTGAACCTGGGAGATGGAGGTTTCAGTGAGCTGAGATCGTGCCATTGCACTCCAGTCTGGGCGACAGAGTGAGACTTTGTCTCAAACAAACAAACAAACAAACAAAAAACATTAATAGATAAGACAGGAGAGAATTAGCCTTGGCACACAAATAACATGAATAAGCACAGCACATTTCAGGAAATAAAACTAGCTTAAAATGTTTGAGACCTAATGAGTCGTAGACGATGAGGAGAGAAATGTGGGCAGGGGTCAACTCATCTGCCATGTTAAGAATCGAGACCCTTTCCTCTAGTCTAGAGCTTTTCAGGTATATTCAGGGAAAAGAACCCTTAGGAGGCCCTTCATACAACAAACAAAATACTGTTATATTTAACTCTTTCATATGTACTGGAAATGATTTTCCAAGCAGAAATTATGACTGTGTTCTGGGTTATCAATATAAAATCACAACCACAGGCATATTCACATCAAAAACAAACTGTTGAAGTATGATCCATTGTTTTTCTTATTTTTCCCTTGATATTTGCTACAAATCAATCACTAGCTAGCAGAAAAGTAGTAGTAGAAAAGGGTGACCAATATTTAAGAAAATTCTGTGTAAAAATAACTGAAAAATGAGACTTCAATCCATTAACTTAATTCTTTCTGTAAACTTAGAAAAAGATGGTCAATATTTGATTTTGGCTATAGACACTTGCATGCACTCCTATACATGTATACATTTCTTGGAAACTAAGTTTGATAATCATTTTTGGACGTGTTAGGCAGCTGAAGATATTAAAACGGAGCCAACTCCCTGTTAGGGAGAGACAGGCATGAGAGGTTCTGAGACAAAGAACTTCTGATGCAGAATCAGAAATCAAAAAAACAGCCCAAATGAGGAAGCTGGAAAGGTAGCCAATTGTGGCATTATGGTAGAGGACCAGGCAGAAGGATGAGAGAAAGAGAAGGCTTCAACAATTGAGGTACAAGCAGGGCATTCTGGAGTCAGTTGCTGTCAGTGTGAAAGATGGATGGGGTGGGACAGAAAGAGAAACAGGGAGATAAGTTAGGATGGTACAATTCAGTAATCTACAAAGGAGAGGATATATGGGCCTGGAATAGGATGATGGCAGGGGCCATGGAGAGAAGTGGTGGCAACCAAGGTTTTTGGAGGAAGAAGCCACTGGGATTGGGGCAATCTGGGGCAAGAGAGAGTGAAAAATCATGAATGGATCCCAGATCTCTGACTTGGGCAATTAAGTGGGTGGTGGGACCATTCACAGAGATACGGAGAATCTTAAGGGAGAACAGGTCTGGATTGGAATTAGAGTGGTGAGATAAATTAATTTTAGAGCATACCAAATGTAAGATGGCTTTGGGATATCCAAGTAGAGATTTTCAGAGGTAGCTGTGCTTACAACTCTGAAGTTCAGGACTTCAGTTATAGATTTGAGATTTATCACAATGAAGGTGAGATTGAAACCCATGAAAGTTCATGAAACCCATGAATCACCCAATGAAACCATGGAGAACAAGAAGAGAGGGGAGGAGAGGAGAAGGGAGAAGGAAAGGAAATAGAGAGAAGGAATACCAAAGTTTTAAGGGATACAAAGAGGAAAGAAGATAACATGAAGAAGGATTCTGAGAGGCAGAAGCCCTTAAGAATAGGGTGATATAGAATTCAAGTGGGGAGAGCATTCAGGAAGATGACAACAGGATAATAGGTCAACAGAGTAATAGAGAGGTCGCTAAAAATAAACTCTAAGAAGTATTCAGCCAAAACTATTATTGAGCTAATAATGGTGGGATCAATTTCAGGGGAATATTGTGGGCAGAAGTCAGACTGTAGGAGGCTGGGGATCAAGAAGTTGAGGCAAGGAGGTTGGACAACAACTGTTTTTTCAAGTTGGTCACGTGAACAAATCTGTGACCTTCAGCCTCCCCTCCCTCGGGTCTTGGCTGAGCTGATTGCAGGGCCCCTGCAGCTCTGGCACTCTCAAGTTGTATAAAACTGACAGTGCAGAAGTCCTTGAGCCCATTTTGGCTCTCATGATAATTTTCCTTCAGTGGAACTAAGGTTACTTGTCTAAGAACCAAAGCCTCTGACTTGACTGATCAAAGTTCATCACGTGCATCGAAGCCACCTACTTGGCAGATGTAGTGAAAAGCTACATAGATCTGGGCCCAGGACAGGATGCTGGGGCGTGGGAGGGGAAGAAAGCAGGTGCTAACTATATAGATAGCATGCCTATCAGAGCAGTTTTTACGTTTCCTATTTGTCTCTCAAAACAATTTTATAGGAATCATCAAAGCAATTTTATCATGGTTTCTAGACCAGGTTTGGATGTGAGGTAGGGATTTCCACAGCTGCTTTTAGTTTGAAGGAAATCTGATAAGATGATGCAAAAGCCCTTCAGAAATGTGTAATCCTACACACTTCAGTGATTCAATTCATTGTCAAAACTTAAGGTGTTTTTAATATTGTTATTGTTCATTTGGTTTTTACCAACATGTAAGGAGTTGGCAATTATTTGTTAAACTCATGTCTTAGGCTAAATAAATTCCAAAAAATTCAGGATGAGAATTGTTTATTGCTTAACGTGTTTCAAATTTCTTCCATGCACATCTTTATTAGATCTTCACAGCAACCTACAGGATAAGCAAGACAGGTGCAAGTGCCTCCTTTGGGTATGAGGAAACTGAGGTCTAAAGAGATGAAGTGATTTGCCCAAGGCTCATAGCAATTTATTGGTAGAGCAAAGACTAGAATTCAGATCTCTTAACTGCAGCCTATTTTCCCTATTCTGAACTGTTACATCAGCATCAACAATTATCTAATGGATTGGAACAGTGTACACAGGCAGCTTAGCTACGTCAAGTCACGATTTTTACTTTAACTTCAATTCCAGAGTCTTGGCCTGATTTCCCTCAAGACCCTACTTATCTTTGCCTTTGCAAAATTTATTTTTCTTGCATTATCTTTCCAGCTAAATTTTATTTAATAACCATCAGCATGCTTTTTTTGCTTTATGCCATGTAGACTTGACCTGAAAACCTGCCAGGCTTTCATTGAGTTTAGTGATTAAAGAAGTAAAGTTCTGAGAAGCAATTAGTTGATGGGACACCAGTCATAAAATCAATCCAAACTTTTGTTGACATGTGTTTCTTTCTCCATATACCAGGTTCCCGCTTCGTATTAGTAAGATTGAAATTGAAATAAGTCTATTGCTGGTGGATGAATTTGTCACTTTCCTTGAAACTGGTGAACCCAAAAAGTTAGACAGTGATAGGAAAATACTGCCATTGTCTGTTAAGAAGTCTATGACATTTCAAGGCAAGAATGAATATATGGAAGAAGAAACTTGTTTCTTCTTTACTTACAAAAAGGAAAGCCTGGAAGTGAATGATATGGGTATAATTAAAAAAAAAAAAAAAAACAAAAAACCTTTACGTAACGTTTTTGCTGGGAGAGAAGACTACGAAGCACATTTTCCAGGAAGTGTGGGCTGCAACGATTGTGCGCTCTTAACTAATCCTGAGTAAGGTGGCCACTTTGACAGTCTTCTCATGCTGCCTCTGCCACCTTCTCTGCCAGAAGATACCATTTCAACTTTAACACAGCATGATCGAAACATACAACCAAACTTCTCCCCGATCTGCGGCCACTGGACTGCCCATCAGCATGAAAATTTTTATGTATTTACTTACTGTTTTTCTTATCACCCAGATGATTGGGTCAGCACTTTTTGCTGTGTATCTTCATAGAAGGTTGGACAAGGTAAGATGAACCACAAGCCTTTATTAACTAAATTTGGGGTCCTTACTAATTCATAGGTTGGTTCTACCCAAATGATGGATGATGGTAGAAACCAAATAGAAGAATGGTCTTGTGGCATAATGTTTGTTGCCTAGTCAATGAAGTCTCATATTCTTGTCTCTGGTTAGGATCTTGGGATCTGGAGTCAGACTGCCTGGGTTCAAATCTTGGCTCTGCCCATACCATCTCTGTTATCCTGGGGCAAGTGCCTCAGTTTCCACATCTGAGAAATGGGGATGGTATTGGTGTCCATTTCATAGATTAAGTGAGTTTAGCCTTGTAAAAAGCTTAGGAGGGGGTCTGATACATAGTAAGCACTATGTACGCACTAGCTATAATTATTTGCTAAAGTTCTGCTTTAAAAGTAAGCTATTTTTTTATGGAGACAGCTTTTTTCTTTTAAATTTCCAGCTAGGCAAGAAGAGCGTCAATTTGATCTAAAATTTCATAATGCTTCAGATTAACATAGACATGGATAAGTCCCAGAATTTGCAGTCTTTTAGTAAAAGTAGCATTTTCTGTGTAATTCTTCACAAGCACTGATTGTAGTTGCAGGATGCTCAGTCTCCCTCTGAGATGTTTTACATTTTTAAATGGTTAGACTTGCAGGAACAAAAGAGCAGAGTAACTTAGTAGGCTGTTTTGCATTCTTAGGAAAAGAAAACCATCAGGACTTATTTTGTTTTCATGTATTTTTTCACTTCCACTGAGGAGTATAATTGGCTGGTGTTGACAAAATACCAATCATAGATGTAAAGGAGAAAGTTGATTAGTTTTCTGGCTGTTCCTAAAATTCTGGATGCAGGAACTGTGGCTAGAAAGCATCTGGATGATTGCACTTTATCAGGGATACTTGAGTGTCCTCTCTTAGGATCTGGACCTAGAATTAATGTCATGAGATTTTTCTAACAGGATAAGGTGAGGTAGTGAGGGCTGAAGTCATCCACTGGGTTATCCAAATATTAGGTTTCACTGCTGACAAAAGAGGGGGCTTCTGGTCTGGTTGGTTATTTGTGTTTGGCCTGATGTGCTCTGTCAATCAAATGTATGGACATAGGCCTAGCTTCTAAAGGGGCAATAGTGACCTCAGTGGACTGATATTTACCGTACTATTTACATGTGCTCTTAATTACAGCAGAAGCTGCCAGCTAACTGAATCTTGTTTTGAATCTAAAAAATCTACTCTTAAAGCAAGAAAATGGTATAAAATTAGTTGATAATGCAAGTGAATTCTGTACATTTAATTATTCTAAGACATTGGAAAATAAAATATCTTGTTACTTTGAGGATAAAAGATGATTTCTTTAAAAATGCAAATGTTTTCTACAAATACTAAAGTTAAAAGGGAGAGAGATGTAATTAGAACTCGTTAACTGACACATTGCAAATTAACTTCTTTTTATAAAGCACTGCATCACAAACACTAAAATGAAGTGGGCAAATTAGCTCTGCAGAAAACTATTTTCTAGGCTGATGTTTATAATGACCAATCATTACTGAAGCAATGAGAAATGTGACAATTACAGAATATTGCTGCTATAGTATGTTGAAAAAATATGCATTTTGTAGTGAACATTTAGTAGAATAGCTCTGATTTCTACCTGGAGTTTCTGATAACATGACATCTTAATTGCTGTCTTTTATAGATTTTTAAACTGCAAATACAAAATAGCAATCAGCCAATATAATAACTTATTATTCTCCATTTATGCCTGAAAGTCCTCCTCTTGTTGATGCCGTGGAAATGAATGTAGAGGCAGATATCATTAGCTGTATTCTCCTTCCGAATGACATTTATCATATCCTTGTTATTCCAAAATAGATAGAAGATGAAAGGAATCTTCATGAAGATTTTGTATTCATGAAAACGATACAGAGATGCAACACAGGAGAAAGATCCTTATCCTTACTGAACTGTGAGGAGATTAAAAGCCAGTTTGAAGGCTTTGTGAAGGTAAGCAGCTTAATTACTGGTAAAAGTGTCATTGAAATATTTTACTACATTTGCTAGATCGGGAAACTGACAATGCCAATGTTTAAAGATTGGTTATAGACACAGACACACAGACACACACACACATATATATGCATGCAGATATACACACATACATGGGTGTGTGTGTGGGGGTTAAAAAAAAAAAACACAAAGACACTCTCTGGGGAAAATACACCCTTAGGGGCACAGTCACACATATTTGTCAGCTTACATATGCAGCTACCACTAGGCAAAATGATGAAGTCCACCAAGCTTGGTTTTTGCATTGCTGTGTCTCCCCATCCAAACCTTGATGCTCTCGCACTGGGGACCCAGAGTCTGATCCCCATTTCCCAGGGAAGCAATAGCCGTCAACAGCTGCCGTGGCAGCAGGCCACAAGTGAAGGGACACCTGAAGACTGGTAACAGTCTCTGGTGCTTCTCTGATGATGGAATTTTAGGTGTCCTGACAGTGAGATCTTTCCCTTTTACTGGGGAGAGAGGTGCAGGGAATAAGTAATAGACATTCTCAGTGTCGCTCAAACCAGACTCCATATAATATCACTTGCTCATGAAGCCCGCCCACTCTATGGCCGGTCATGACCAGAGGCACAGAGGGTTCAAAGCCTTTTAGCCCACCAGGCTGGTAGCTAGCATGAAGTCACTGCAGTGACTGTGGCTTATAACAGATACCTAAAACAAGAATTTTTAGAACCTTTACATTAATTCCATCATCACAGACATAGGGTCTAGGGGCTCTTTCTCCTGAGGCAGAACATCAAGAGTTCTTTCTGCCTATGTCCCTTTCAGAACACTGAGTCAAATACCCTTGGGCCTCGGCTCACTTAGGGGTCATTTCTAGGAGGCAGCACTCCACATTGAGGACAGTTCTGGGCCAGGTGGGTGGGTATCTGGGTAAACCAACAGGAATTAGTTCTCACATATAGATGATGTGTAATTTAATGCAGGCGTAAAAGGGTTAAGATCTTATTTCTGATCTTATTTCTGCCCTCCTGTACTGTCACCGAGGTGCCATTTAATTCATTAGTGAAGACTCTAACAGCTTATTCCTGAGTCACCTACGGAGAACAGAATGTGGCTCAAATCCGCTGCTTGCTTTCAGGTTCTTTACACTAATCTAGGCTTTAGATGAAACTCCTAAACCCTTTCTTTGCAAGACTGGCCAGCTAGGAAAATGATTTGAGTTTCTTCGGTTCTTCGAGGATTTGGGCCAGTATTACAGAGTATTGGAAGATGTTACCAGTTTAAATGTGAATAAAGGCACTTTCAAAACAATGGCTAATAATCCAAATAACAGACTGAATGTGCTTGGCTATGTGACTTTGGGTAAATAACTTCACCTTTCTGGGCCTCAGTTTTGTCATCTATAACATGAGAAGACAGATTATCTGTAAGGGCACTATCAGCTCTGACATTCTACAATTATGTGATAAGCCTTCAGTTCCCTCCAATGGCAGTGAGAGTGGCTTGTCAGTCCCCCTCGTTTCTTACGGAGACTTTTACGGTTGAATTGTCAATTCCTCACGTCATTATTTCAGGTTGGCTATGTATGTAAAGCTCCCAAAATCAGCTACCGAGGATAGGAGTAAAGAAAACAGTCAGTTTGGCCTCCCTGCTTATGCTTGTATGAAAAAAGTGACAGCTCCAAAGTTTCATATTCTTAAAAGGCAGATCTTCTCAGGCATGTCAGCCAGGGCCCCAGGGATCTCCTCCTTACATGCAACTAAGGAGGCTCCTTGTCTCTACTGCAGCAGGTGTGGAACCCTAGTCAACACCACCTATACCTAGGATTACGTACAATGAGTAGATACAAAGTCCTCCAGCTACCCAATCCTCCCCCAATGACGGATCCCCTTTCCAATACGCTTTCCCCCAAATTTCTCACCCTAAAACAAAATTCGAGACTTTGAAAAAACTCAATAGGACAATTATAGAATAGCTCCAGATTAGATTCATATTTTCTTAGCTAATGTTAGTAGGCTTTCTTTCCGGGCCACAGTCTGGCTGCACCTAAGCAACCTCAAGTTTGAATTTGGAGTCTTTGAATCAGGTCTTGATGGGGTCTTAGAAGTCATCAGATCCAATTCTCAATCCACAACTTCAGTCTTCTCTCCACCTCCTGACTAAGTGGTCATCCAATCTCTGTTTGAACATCTCTAGTGACAAGGAACTCATTATCTCTGGAGGCAGGTAGCACTAATCTGTCATTTTGGGGGAAAGATGGTATTCAGGGCTCAAGTGAGGGTAAGCAGAGGTATTATTTTGAATAGTATAATTTCATATTAAAACTTACAACCCACCACACCTCTGCTAGATGTTCAGTTCCATGATTATTTGCCCACCAATGCCTGCGATGCCTTTGAGAGAGCCAAAGCATTTCTATTTCAAGTTAAAGGGCAACCTGTCCATACCTGCCACATGGAACTCCCACTAAGAGAGAAATAACCCATTCTGGATTTTCTGAAAGTCCACTTTAAAAAGTATTTCAGTTGAGGTGGGGAGTGAAGCAAGAAAAAAAAAAGGCTCTGGGGAGTGTGGTTGGGCGAAAGTTCACGGAAAGGCTAGGCTGGGCTCATGAAACACGAGCTTTGCTGACTTCATGTTTTCATCTTGGCCAGGCCTCAACACCAATGCAACAACTTAGCCTAAAAGTATCTCAACCTTGATCACCACACTCTACTTTTTGAAAAGACACTAAATAGTCATTTGTTTACTTGTGATCTCACAAACATTTTCCTGTCACCACATCTTCATAGTGCCGCGCTTCAGCTCAAATGGAAAGTTGAAGCTCTGGGGCCCATGTGAGTGTTCTGAGGCTCAGGTTCCCCTGGAGGCTCTATGAACTACGCCCTTAAATCTGGCAACTGAGCTGGGCCTACAGCCAGCACTCAACAGTGACAGCACAAATTCCTTCTGGAGGAGGAAATAAAAGGAAGGGTCCTATAGACAACTGATTCCAGGAGTGGGAAGGAGCACAGGACTTTGATTATCATAAGATGTGAAAATACTACTGTCTTCTTCCCTTGTGTGCAGAGGATAGACAGATGGAATTAGCTAAGCCCAGCCTATGAATGCCATCTCACAGTTTCCACTCTTGGTTTAAACCTCAGCTTCTTTGGGTGACCTCATAATGACCAGTTAAGCCCTCCAGGCCTTTTGTTCAGTCTCTTTAAAATGGCAGCAACAGCCTTTATCATCTTCCAACCTGTGTTGATGGAAGTTCCTGTTAGCTTCTTTAAATACCTCTAGACTTCCTTCAGTTTATAAGTGAAAAGAAACCTTTTAAGAAGTGTCGCACTTGCCTTTGAACATCAACACCATTGGGAGATGGCCTGTGTTTCCGAAATGCTGATTATTCTAAGTAAATACAGTGCAACTATCAATAAGAGAATCTCTTCAGCCCATTGAAAGGGATAGCAAAATTAAAAATGTCTGAGGGTCTTTTCATAGTCTGGCATTTCTCCCCAAGGTCAAACTTACTATTATCTTTTCCTACAGGATTTCAGACCAAATTTATTCTAATAGATACACACCATGCTTTATGTTTAATAATATTCCATATACCAGTTCCCAGGGTAGAATCATCTCCCCATTCGGCATTATTTGTCAATATCTGTCAAAGCCAAGGAGGTTGAGGTCATAGGAAGGGTCAGGATCACAGCCTCTGGTCTGGAGAGAGCACTGGAATGGAGATAATAAGGCCTGGATTTTACTTCCAGATTCTCCCCTGGGCTTTCTGGGTTGTTGGCTCATCTGTCAGATCCATGGACTCCCAATTGGCATGATGGAATTAATGACAGGATCTGAGTCTATATGATAATCCTCACCAGAAACAGACAACAGAGTAATGACAGATGCAAAACGAATGATAATTTTAAAACCCCACAGCAGAGCCCCTGTCAAAATGACCTCTTGCAATGCTTCTTATTTTAGGATATAATGTTAAACAAAGAGGAGACGAAGAAAGAAAACAGCTTTGAAATGCAAAAAGGTAGGTTTGCTATTTGCTAATTTCTATGAATGCCTAAAAACTAAAAGGAAGCTTTAGGCTGATCATATTGAACAACCCAGTGTTGTTGCATCAGGGAACTTTTAGCCCTGGAAATAAAACAGGAACACAATTGTCAAATTGACACCTTCTCTGGTCCCTGTGATTTGGAAAGACTTTGTACATATATATTTATGAAAAAAGGATGTGTTCCTTTAATGCCGATGATACCAAATCTGAAGAAATCCCATTATGTTCAATACCTTAATAGAAGCAACCATACAGCCTGATACCACCTACAGTGGAATAAGAAGACAGGAAAGTCATCATTTGGTAACAGTGGCATTCATCACTCATTGATAACAGTTTTTCATGGGGCACAGTGGCCGGTGGAGCCTCTGGGATCAAGGAGTGACAATGTCACAGTGTTCTATTATTTGCCCGGTTCTTAAAGTGAGAGCATCCTGAACATCTCAGGGTTGGAAGAGAACTTGAGAGTTCTCAAATCCAGCACCATCCCCACAACAAAAATCTCCTTCACAATAACACTGACCGTCCAGCCTCTGATCAAACATGTCGAGGGATGAGGCACCTTCCACCTCATAAGGCAGCCTGATCCGTCTTTGAATGGCTCTAATAATACCAAGATTACTATACTACTCCAGAGAAGTCTTTCCTCCTCAAGTCAAACTTTGTTCCTATAATCTCCACTCATTGGTCCCAGTTCTGCTCTTTGAGGCCCTAGTAAACAAAGTATAATTGCTCTCCTACCCAGCAGCTGTCCAGATATGGAAGACAGCAATCATGGTGGCCAAGCCTTGACTGAGCTTTTTCTTCTCCAGGCTAAAGATCCCTGATGTCTTCCACTGTTTCTCCTATGACCCTTTCCAGGACCTTTCTTCTGCCACTCACCTCCTTTTCTTGGACACACTAACGTTTTCCTGTTCTTTTAGAATGTGGCATCGCAAACCAATACAATAATGCGTGAAGTGACTTCAGCAGCAGATTATGGGAAAGACGGGGTGTTGTTAGAGAGAATTTTATATCACAAAGTTGGTGAACATGATGTTATGGCTTCTGCAAATTTAATACACACAAAAACATACATACATACAGGGATAGAGATACTATTTTCTGAGGCAAAGAGAGTACTCAGACCTTGCCTTAACTGTTGTTCTGGATACTAAATGGTCATCCGACTTCCATGAAGGTTTTATCTTCAGAATGACTGCAAGATATGTTGAGTAATAGTACCACGCTGTCTGTTAATTACAGAGAAATCTGAGGAAACAGTTTATGTAGATGCTGCCTAGAAGTCTTCAGGGAAATGATAATATTAACCAAACTGGTCATTTAGGTCATGCAATTTAACTCAACATTTATAGGGCACTTACAAAGTGCCCAATATCAGGCTCATAACTGGACAAAAAGAAACTTCCACACAGTCTCTGCCCTTAGAAGATTGACACATCTCATTAGGGAGCAGGGCTTTAACACAAGAAATAATTAAAGACAGATACAATAGTTCAGCCAGTTGCTTGACCAATTCAGAAACCATAAGAATCTTACTAAGTGTGCAGACTTTGGAGCCCACTAAAATCCCCAGTGTATGGAGTTGTTCCTAAAAGCAAGATTCACGGTATGTTTAATGAAGACCAGTGTTTTTAGCCTGTGTCAATCTATGCAAAATGGAATCGAGTATTGATCAACTGTTAGGAGAATGAGACCGATGGAAACAGCCAATTCAATTACTCAGATATTAGAAACCAACTTTTCCTTCAGTGGGAGAGATGTCAGACCATTTTATCTTTCCTTTTATATAATCTATTTTTGCACAGTCTCTATTACACAGTTGTAGAACTGGACCAGATAGTTTTGTGGGCAGTTTTTGCATTATTTTAGCCTGACAGTTTTTGGTTCCATTTCAGGTGATCAGAATCCTCAAATTGCGGCACATGTCATAAGTGAGGCCAGCAGTAAAACAACATCTGGTAAGTCACACAGCATCTGAGCGGTAGCCACCCAAGGGGAAAGGCTGGGATGCCGAAGTCATGTTACCTAATGGTTAAACTCCTCTTTTCCCCTGGGACCCAATTTACAAACCTACCCCTACACTTCTCCTATTCCCTTCTTTGTCTTCAAAGTGAGTTCAAATGCACAGATGGGACTTAGAGGGACAAAAGGAGGTGGAATGCAATCTGGATGTTCTCATTATGTTCTTGCTCAATGGCTGATTCTAAATGATGAATTACTGGGTGGAGGGACCATTGTTCTGACAACATAGAAGAAATGGCATGTAGTGACCTCCTGACTGGGAGCATCCCTCCTCCTAACCCATCTTCACTGTGTGGAAATGGGCCTCATGGGGTATTTCCTGCCATCTGTCAATCCCTGTATGATTAAGCTCAGCCTCACTGAGGCCAACCTCAGGGAAAGTAAAGGTAAAATCATTCTGTAAAGATCAATAGGTCCCAAGACGTTACATTTTCCAATGAAGTAACAACAGACGACATATTGTGATCTTTTCAACTCTGAACGATTTTATTTCCATATACGTTCTGCCACCATTCTAGCCTTTAGATATTTTTTCCCAAATGTGCATCTTGCGATAACTGGTGCCAAAGAATATGTCGTATCTGATAAATGGATGGAAACATGCACGCTAACATAAAGTCTCCCATCAACATAAAGGCAAGAGCGTCAGAGGAGTCTTTGAAAAATTCTACAGAGTGCTCCGGAATGGAGTTCTAAGCAGTGCATGTGTGTGTGCATATGTGTATGTGTGTGACAGGGAGAGAAAGAGAGATGGACAGAGAGAGAAAAAAGACACTGCTTCATCTCTGAAGTGGCTTGGGCTTCTCAGTAGGCGTAACACATGGACAGTTATCATTATCATGGATCATGGTACCAAAGTAAGAGCACTGAATAGGGAGTTTTTGAACACTGGGATTCAAGGACCATGACCACTGCTTGCTGGGTGACCTTGAGCAAGACCCTTTACCTATGCAGCAGTTTTCTACTTCACCTACTTTACAGGGTGGCTTTGAGCATCAAATCAGCTAATGTGGCCGAAAGTGATGCTGTCGAGTGCTGTACAACCGTAAGGTGACACTACTTAGTTTACTTCACCATGGCTTAGATGTCAAAAGGGTGACATAAAGCCCCTCACTAATACCAGTTAGTTACACAATATTTAATAATTTTGTCAAGTACCCCTTCTCTCTTCTGGATCAGATGACAACAACAGAGAAATCTCCTAGAAGAATAGCTTCCCACTGGTCTTTTTTTGCCTGTATCTAAACCCTTGATCTTGGATATATTTCATAGAGCTCAGATTCTCCCAAAAGGCTTGTAATGGATATCAGTCCTACAATATCTTACAGTCTGCATCACAATAGGTTTCCAGGGGATCAGATGGGAAGACAGTAACATTCCACCCCCACCCCAGTCCCAAACCTCTTCTTCCTACCTAGCCATGCTGCTAAAATCTTGCCCTACATCCCACAGCAAGTACTAAAATTAGGTAAGGACGTACCAAAGTAAACTTACTGAACTAAAAGATTGAGAACCTGCCCTTTTTTTCTCAATAAAATGGTTCAAAAGGGCAAACATTCTAATGAAGCATTGTTTCTGGAGTGGTCTGGAGGGCCCGGATCTGTCAGGCATTTCAGGATGCCTCCCTATTAGTAAAGGGCGAGTCTTACCAGGTGGGATCTTGTGCCCTGATAGACCTAAGACTATCGAATAGGAATTATTTTTTAAAAAGCTCAAGGAAGCAAACACATCAGTACTTTCACTTTTCCTCAACCCTCACCCCCATCAGTCAGTCTAGCTTTCTGTGGGAGCTGAGATTTCAAGTCGGGTGCACACACTACTTTGAACCCACTCAACATCTCAGCCGAGAAAATGGCACACTGTTGGTGGGTACTCTGGCTTAGCCACAAGAATACTGGTACTTTCAAGTTGGTGGCGCCCACTACAATGGGAGATCAAAACATACCGTGAAATGAGCACACAGTTTATTTTCATACTTCCTTGCCTAATTTTAGTCCTTGCTGGGGGAGGCAGATCAGGTTTGCAACAGCATGATCAGGTAGGAAGAAATGGGGTCTTTTCTCTGTGCTGAGGCTGAGCTAGGTAGACTGACAACTCTCTGACTTTGTAAAATTCAAGGCAAGCAAGGTATTCATGGTAATATTAGCAAAAATTTGGTCCGAGTAATTTGGTATGTATAATTTATGATGTCAAATTTTGAAATCATTTGTGCCTTCTTAAGTTCAAGGCAAATTGGCTATAAGAACTCTAACGAGAGAAAGAAACTCACTGTGATCTCTTACTTTATTTAATCTTCACAAGTCTCTGAAATATGCTCCAATATGAGCCCCGTGTTGCAGATGAGGAACTGAAGCTCATGGAGATTTAGAGACTTGCCCAAGCTTAAATAGAGCCTAGATTGGAACATGGCTCTGTCTGACTCTGAAGCCCATGGAAGGGGCCTTGAGAATCCATCCCTATACAAAGCCAATATCCAACATTAAACTATATTTTTTGTCAGAATGTGAACCATGCTCTGCTTCACCTCACCACAAACTTTCCCTTTCTTTGTAACAGTGTTACAGTGGGCTGAAAAAGGATACTACACCATGAGCAACAACTTGGTAACCCTGGAAAATGGGAAACAGCTGACCGTTAAAAGACAAGGACTCTATTATATCTATGCCCAAGTCACCTTCTGTTCCAATCGGGAAGCTTCGAGTCAAGCTCCATTTATAGCCAGCCTCTGCCTAAAGTCCCCCGGTAGATTCGAGAGAATCTTACTCAGAGCTGCAAATACCCACAGTTCCGCCAAACCTTGCGGGCAACAATCCATTCACTTGGGAGGAGTATTTGAATTGCAACCAGGTGCTTCGGTGTTTGTCAATGTGACTGATCCAAGCCAAGTGAGCCATGGCACTGGCTTCACGTCCTTTGGCTTACTCAAACTCTGAACAGTGTCACCTTGCAGGCTGTGGTGGAGCTGACGCTGGGAGTCTTCATAATACAGCACAGCGGTTAAGCCCACCCCCTGTTAACTGCCTATTTATAACCCTAGGATCCTCCTTATGGAGAACTATTTATTATACACTCCAAGGCATGTAGAACTGTAATAAGTGAATTACAGGTCACATGAAACCAAAACGGGCCCTGCTCCATAAGAGCTTATATATCTGAAGCAGCAACCCCACTGATGCAGACATCCAGAGAGTCCTATGAAAAGACAAGGCCATTATGCACAGGTTGAATTCTGAGTAAACAGCAGATAACTTGCCAAGTTCAGTTTTGTTTCTTTGCGTGCAGTGTCTTTCCATGGATAATGCATTTGATTTATCAGTGAAGATGCAGAAGGGAAATGGGGAGCCTCAGCTCACATTCAGTTATGGTTGACTCTGGGTTCCTATGGCCTTGTTGGAGGGGGCCAGGCTCTAGAACGTCTAACACAGTGGAGAACCGAAACCCCCCCCCCCCCCCCGCCACCCTCTCGGACAGTTATTCATTCTCTTTCAATCTCTCTCTCTCCATCTCTCTCTTTCAGTCTCTCTCTCTCAACCTCTTTCTTCCAATCTCTCTTTCTCAATCTCTCTGTTTCCCTTTGTCAGTCTCTTCCCTCCCCCAGTCTCTCTTCTCAATCCCCCTTTCTAACACACACACACACACACACACACACACACACACACACACACACACACACACAGAGTCAGGCCGTTGCTAGTCAGTTCTCTTCTTTCCACCCTGTCCCTATCTCTACCACTATAGATGAGGGTGAGGAGTAGGGAGTGCAGCCCTGAGCCTGCCCACTCCTCATTACGAAATGACTGTATTTAAAGGAAATCTATTGTATCTACCTGCAGTCTCCATTGTTTCCAGAGTGAACTTGTAATTATCTTGTTATTTATTTTTTGAATAATAAAGACCTCTTAACATTATCGTTGTTGTTTGAGTACCTAAAGCTCCCAGCCAGGTTGGGGAAAGAGGAAGCATTTGGAGGGAATTTTCCCAACCTTTGTGATGTTTTCATAAACTTTGTTCTCAAGCTACTTACATTATAAAATATCTTGGTGGCAGCACACTTTCTGGAAGTCTGTGACAGCCTTTGATCGATGATGTGCTAGCCTATTCAGTGAAAAGCAATCTAGGTCTTTATTTCCAGCTTCTTCTGAAAAAGTTGCAGGAGATTGAAAGAACTTTTTTTTATTAATCACAGCCAAGTGAGGCTGGAGAGGGTCCTTAAATAAGGAGCAGTGGCATAGCTTATTAATAGCTGTCTAGGTGGTTCCACTTAGGCAAGAGGAAATGGAGCTGAGAAAACCTGAGGGGAAGTATTGGCCCCCCAGTCTTCCACTGAAGTCAATGGAGCCATTTCTTGTCACCTCCAACAGAGGAATTTTTCATGTAAGAAACCCAGAGTGGTGTGTTCATCTTTACCGGGTAAGTCCTACATGCTCACTGTTGGTTATCTCCCTGGGCTCATGGTTTTAACTTAGCAGCATCTTCAAGCCACTAATGCCATGCCTTTTGTTCTCAACTGTCTCCTAGAATTTGCCTGCATCTCCAAAGGGTGGGCCTAGTTCCTCAAACCCAGTACATTCCAACCGAACTCTTAACTTTTCCCCCCACACAATGGGATCTGTGTTCAATGTTTCCCAGTCCAATGAATGGTGTCTTTATCTACCCAGTTTTTCAAGTCAGAAACCTGGCTTGACTTCACTCTCATCACCCCCATGTTCAATCCCTCCAGCCTATGCTCATCAACCCTATCTCTTAAGTAGTCCTTAATCTACTTCTTTCTATCTCTACTATTTCTATCCTAGTCCCAACTGTCACCATCTCTCTTCTGGAATAGTACAACAGCCTCCTAGATTCCCTGCCTCCACTCTTGCTCCCTTCCATCAATTCTCCATGCACAGCCAGTCCCCTGCTTCTTATGAACCTTGGAATAAAGACCAAAATAATCAATTTCATCTCCTGCTGCCACCTCTCTCGGTCTCTTAAGTTCTAGCCCTCAGTTCCTCTAAGCAAGGTTACAAATGCTTTCCTACCTTAGGGCCCTGGAATGCTGTTTTCTCTTCTTGCAAGACCCATTTCTCTCCCTCACTGCACCCTGCACTTAGCAAGTGCTTCACAGCACTTATCATGGTTGAAGTTTTCCCTACTATGCTGTGAGCTTCTTGAGGACCAAGACCTTGTCCCATTCACCATGATAACTTCAGCGTCTACCACAGGACCTAGCATTGAATTGGCCCTTTATTTGGTGCATGAAGGAATAAATGAATGAATAAATACAGCTGCTTATAACTCAATAGCCCAGAAAATAATTCTGTGTGTTGGCTGAGGCAAAAATTTGCTACACTGAAAGGATCCTCATTAGGTCAAAAATATCTGGATGATAAAAATGCACTCATGGAGTAAAAAATGACTGAGAATTATGCTGTAGCTAAAAACAGATAATATGTTTTTATTATACATTTCATGATAATTTGCAAAATAATATATGTTTGTTCCAAACTTCAATTGAACATTTTCAGCATTTTCCTATAAATGAAAAAGACTCGAGTACATTTCTGATGTACCTGTAATAGTCTGATCATAAATTATCTAACTTAGTTCCATTTTTATAATCATGTCACTTCTGCCTTCTATCTAAGGGGGAGGGTGGGAATGTTTGAAATACCAAATAATTATTTCTAGATAAAGAGAAAATAAACAAGGATAAAATATTACTGCCTCTGTTATTTGATGGTTAGCAAATGACCACAAAACGCAAACAGTGTGCTCTAGCAAGCTGTCAGAACAGGGGTGCCCCCACTTAAACGGAAATGACATGTAAACTTTTGGGCTTCAGGAGAGAATACATTCTGTGCTACATTCAACTATTTTCACAGGGCCCAATGCCACTGTGTTGGGAACTGCACTGCTTTAGACTTTTAAAGTAGTCTGAAGTACTTTGAGACACAGAAACATGGAACTAAGTATGATTTTTATGTTATTTTTCTCTGTGAATCACATCCCCACTAAAACAAAACAAAACCAGAAATGCTCATTGTAGTGTAGTAGTTAAATCTCGAGTCAGACAGATACAGTCTTAATCTAGGCTCCACTATTAACCAGCTTTATAAGTACAGGCAAGTCATTTCACCTCCTCTAGTCCTCTGTGTCTTCATCTGTAAAGTGGGAATAAAAAGAAGACATGCTGGGCCAGGCATGGTGGCTCACGCCTGTAATCCCAGCAGTTTGGGAGGCTGAGGCAGGTGGATCACTTGAGGTCAGGAGTTCGAGACTAGCCTGGCCAACACAGCAAAACGCTGTCTCTACTAAAAACACAAAAATTAGCCCAGCATGGTGGTGTGTGCCTGTAATCTCAGCTACGTGGGAGGCTAAGGCAGCAGAATCACTTGTACCCAGGAGGGGGAGGTTGCAGTAAGCCAAGATGGTGCCTGTGCACTCCAGCCTGGGCGACAGAAGCAAGACTGCATCTCAAAAAAAAAAAAAAAAAGTTTATAAAGATTCAGTGAGATTGTCCACAGAAAGTCCCCAGCAGAATCTGCTCTCTGGAGAAGATCATCATGTAAGAAGCACTAAGGTGGGTCTCTACATGGTCCCCAGCACACCTGTCTGCATTCAGTGGTGCAAGTGGACAGGGTGCCATCTTAAATGGTTGAAACTTCTGAGACCAAGGAGAATGCCTGGCAACCCAGGTACACATGAGAGCCTATGCTCATGTACTAGACCAAAGACCACACCCAATGTGAAGCAAAGTGAAACCAAAAAAAAGAAAGAAAGAAAAAGCAAACATTACAGTAGACCTGTGGATAGCAAAGACCCTTTTTTTATGGTATAGTTTTATTGTCAAAAACTGCTAAGCGCTGGGGGCTTGGAGTTGCCAAATTTTTCAGTAGGTTTGAGAAGATTACATATATATATATTATATATATATATTATATATATTATATATATATTATATATATTATATATATATATTATATATATTATATATTATATATATATATTATATATGTTATATATATATATATATATATTTAGATGGAGTCTTACTCTGTTGCCAGGCTGGACTGGAGTGCAATGGCATGATCTCGGCTCACTGCAACCTCTGCCTCCCAGGTTCAAGCGATTCCCCTGCCTCAGCCTCCCGAGTAGCTGGGGCTGCAGGTGCATGCCACCACGCCCAGTTAATTTTTTTTTTTTTTTGTATTTTAGGAGAGATGGGGTTTCACCATGTTGGCCAGAATGGCCTCGATCTCCTGACCTTGTAATCCGCCCGCCTCAGCCTCCCAAAGTGCTGGGATTACAGGCATGAGCCACCGAGCCCAGCCGAAGTTCTATATTTAGGAATGTTTCTTTAAAAGACGATGACCATTGATTCCCAGTCTAAGGGGCATCAGCACACAAACCTCCCCCTTCCATACCACACTTTCACACTCCTCTGAGTCATTCTTCAAGCAATTCAGTAACTTTCAGGAAACTGCCCCACTCCTGCAGTTCCACTGAGTTATCTATAAGGTAGCTGCATCCATGGGTCTGGAGATCAGGAGAAAAGTCAGAATGGAAAACTGTGGACATGGGAGTCATCTGCATTTTGATAAATGAAGTTATGGGGGTAGTCAAGGTTGTCTAGGAATAGGCTATAGATTGGAAGAGACGAGGAAAAGAGGATCAGCAATGTTCAGGGGACAGCCTAAGGAGGCAGGTCCAGCAAAGGAGACTGAGGGGTGACTGAATGAATGCCAAGAAAGTGTGGGCTCATGAAAACCAAGGAAGGAGAGATTCATCAAGAAGGCAAGGGTCAAATACTGCAGAGACGTCAAGGTGAGGATCGAAAAGCCAATGGATTTGTCAATTATAAGCTTAATAGTGACTTCACAAAGGTGGATGGCTAAGGTAGGAACCTTAGCATGTACCAAGTGTGCAGGAGGATACGTGATAGAGAGAGCATGGGTCCAAGAGTCAGACAGACTAAGGTTTCAAATTCCAGCTCCACCATGTACTAGCAAGTTACTCAACATCTCTGTGCCTCTGTTCATTTGTAAGTGGAGATAACAATAGTAAATACTTAATAAGGTTGTTGTGAGGCTTACATGAGCTTAATCGTGTAAACCACTTAGTACAGTGCCTAGCACACATGAGATGCCATGTTCTATCTATTGGCTCAGAGCAGGAATCATAAACCACTGAAGGTATCTCAGGCAGAAAGATAATCAGTTGTCTACAAAACCATTGGGCTACATAAGTGGAAGTCAGGGGAAGTCAGGAGGCTGCCACTGGACTAATGGCTTCAAGGTCATATCATTGCAGTTGTGATCCACATGTTAGGAGGCTGCTGCCACCACTACAGTCTCTCACTCACAAAGCTGTGAATAGACACACTGGAATGTGGAGTACAGAAGCCACAAACACATCTTTGGAATCACCTGCTGGCCACCAAACCCCAAGAAGATAGCCTCTGCCCAACTTAAGCCTTCCAAATTTTGTTGGCAGAAGTGAACATGTATCTGAACCCACATTTTATCCAGAACCCTAGCTGCAAGGGAGTCTGGGAAATTGATTTTTCAGCCTTTATGTTTTTGGAAAGAAACAGAAAAGGGGTAGGAATGCATGTGGAGCAGCAGATAATTTCCACCTCATCAATCTTTAAGTGGAACGAATATTTCCATCCTGAGTGCTGACACCAGCATTCCAACTGTGGTCAAAATATAGGATTATCACTGATTGACAAAATCCTGCCAAATTCAAAGAGGAATCAGGACAGGAATAAATATCAAGGGATAAGCTTGAGCAGGAAAATACATTTTTCTCTAATATCAAAAAGCAGATGGTGAGCAGGGATATAATTTATAGGTTTGGGCCAGAAGAAGAGAGGTAGAGAAGTTAAGGAAGGTTCTGTCTCAGGGCATGTATTATCTCTGTAAAGTTGGGAGCAAATGTCATCTGCCCTGAGTGAAAAAGGTTGAGACTGGCTAGAGGGCTTGGTGAGAGCAGACTAGCTAATGAGGGAAATGGGAGAGGAAGCTGACACAGCACAAGAAATCTTTCTGCACACCGGCTAGCAAAAAAAGAAGCAAAAGACTTATTTTTATAAAGCACTGTTTATTTTTATGTATTGAAAATGTCCATTTTAAAAGTCTTCAAAATAAAAACAAGTTAGAAAATTTGAGCTTGTGTTAAGAAGGGGAAGGACAGAAAAGGAACTGAAAGGCCTCTACGGGCAGCAGTTTAATTACAGGGCAACAGGAACCCATTTATAGAGTATTGTAAACAACACAACTATGGCGACACTGCTCTCAGATTAACATGGCTTCATTTCCTTTATATTATAGTTTAGTGTGTAAGCATGGTTACCACTCTGCACAAGCTTCGTTATCCAGAGTACCGAGGGCCCCTCATCAGAAGGGCCAAGTCCCCGAAACATGCATATGTACTCATCACTGTAAAATGAAGACCTTTCAATATTTTCAGCAATCAACTAAAGTATTCCGTAATCACAAAAATGTTTCCTATAGATGCAGTTTGCACATTTATTGCAAGCCATTGACTAACCACAGAATGGGCAGATGTGAAGATCTGTGTTGATGTTGTTGGTGGTGGTGGTAGTACTGATGTTTTTAATTTTTAAGTGAAGGATGTTATATCTAAATGGCTGTGCTAAAAAACAGAACAACAGCCATTCCTAGAAATTTCTTTACTCTTCAGCTTCCAAACACGGCTGTGTGTGGTTGGCTGATGTTGGACTGCAAAAATAGTCCATTTCCTGTGGATGGTGTAATTTCTGCTGTGCAGCAAGCAGACAACAGCCCTGTACCATGTAGCTATGGGACCTTGAGACTCTCAGTACCAAAAATAAAAAGGGCTCCTCAGCAAGCTGGGGGTTTCAAACTTCAAGTTTTGTTTTTTCAGAGACAGAGGTGTCTCTCTGTTACCTAGGTTGGAGTGCAGTGGTGTCATCACAGCTCACTGCAGCCTTGACCTCCTGGGCTCAAATGATCCTCCCACCTCAGCCTCCTGAGTAGCTGGGACCACAGGTGTGGGCCACCATGCCTGGCTTCAAGTTTGGTTTTTAAACAATATTTGCAAAACCCACATTTATAGGCATCCATCAAATATATTATAAAGGCAATTCTGATCAGCCCTTTGGCCTCAATTTCCAGTGACCTTCCCCATCTGGCCAAATTTCTCTTGTCTTTTGGGGAGGGAGGGGTGAGTGGCACTGAGCCTTAGGCCAACTTTCAATGGCGCTGAATTTGGATGTGTGCTGTTCTGTGACTGTCTTCTAAACCTGGTTTCTCACAGTTCTAGTTTCTGGGATAAAGTGGATGATGTGATTCAATGAGCAACTTGAGTTAATCAGTCCTGAATAATCCAGCACACAGCTACTAGAGGGGCCCTTTTGTTCTGGATGTACAAGTTGGACCAGAAGCATATTTCTGCAAATACTGCTTAGAGTCCCACCCAAAGAGGCCAATTAATATTACAACTTCTCACAGCATATATGAGAGAGTAATAAAGTGAATGAAAGCTGTCTAGTAGGGCACAATATCTTCTTAATGCAGATTGTTTTGAAGGATAAAACATCACAGTTTGAATATGCAACGTACATAAAGTAACTCCTCACAGTCTAACTACATTTTTTTAAAAAGTAAGCAAAGCACATACATACTAGTTTACACACCACTTGGTAAGGTTGGCTAAAAGTACTGGGGAAATAGAAAACTTACACACTAGGCAGAATGAGGGAAAGAAACCTATCATGCAATGGGAAAAGGCGGTCAACTCTGCTACTAAAAGGGAGGATTGTCCAGTAGAATTTGCTGATGGATTTGGTGTTGGTGTGGGTGACCAGAGCTTCTGCCCCCCTGAGTTACAATTTACATGACACAAAAGGAATAAGGGTACTACAGTTTTCTTGGTCTTATAGACAACATAGGGCAGTAATTTTAAAACCTGTGATTGAGGGGAGGCATGTGATGGTCTAAGGAAGGGCAGCTGGATCATTGGGCAGATGTGTTTGTCTTTCATCCTACTCAAGCCATAGTCTGGAAGATTTGCCTTCGGTAAATTAAGTACTAAGAGGCTTGCAGGTACAGGAAAGCCCTGGGGAAAAGTTGGGTTCACATTTAATAAGCCTTGGCCAGCTGCTTTGCAAGGGCAGCCAGCCCAAAGAATGTGACCTGAGGGCAATGGCTGTTGCAGAGGCACTGTGAACTGAAGGCAATCTGAAGACCTTTTAAGTAACTGGCCTGCATTCCCTTTCTCTTTCTTACTGAATGGAAAAGACTCTGAGGCCATCTCTACCACCACTTCCTGCTTTTTCACCTGTTGAAAAAAAAAATGAACAACCAACCAATAACCAAACAACAGCAAATGCCCAAGCGCGCACGTGCACGCACACACATATGCACACAGCGGGGAGAGAAAGAGAAGAGAGAGGGAGAGAGAGAGAGAGACTCAAACACAAAACAAAAGCCAAAGAAGTGAGCAAACTGAGTCAAATCATTCAGCGGGACATTTCAAGATGCCCTGAAGGCACACTCCACCCAGTGGCACAGTGATGGTTATGGAAGAATTGAGGTCTTGCTACTGGACTCGCCTCGAATACACTCATCTGTTTGCTTCAAAAGCCTCCGCACCAGCTTTTCTAGGTCCCTTCTTGATTTCAGTTCTTCTTCCAGGCATTGCTTCATTCTTTTATTTTCCTATGATGGGGAAAGATTTGTTGATTATCAAACAGAGGGGGGCCCTTCCAAGGGCTCCTCCTGCTCATCCTCGGGGCAGCTTTCATCACTGACTCTCTTTCTTTCCTCGACCTTCCCTCCCTCAGCATCTATGACAAAGCAGCCTGTCGATTCTCCTGCCTGTCTCTGGGAAACCTTTTGGATTCTTCTTCCCTGCCCTGATCCTCTTCTAATTTAACTTGCTTTTCACTTAGTGTCACTTCTGTTTCAACCCAAGTGTCTATTAAGGGGACTCCCAAATATCTCTGGTACTGACCTTGTCTCCTGAGAATCGGGTCCACAATCTCAACTGTCAGCCTGGTATTTCTTCTTCTTCTTCTTCTTCTTATTATTATTATTATTATTATTATTTTATTTAAGAGATGGGGTCTCACTCTATTGCCAGGCTGGAGTGCAGTGTAATCATGGCTCACTGCAGCCTCAAACTCCCGGGCTTAAGTGATCCTCTCACTTACCTGAGATTACCTGGCAGCAGCTTGGTATTTCCACCTAGATATGTCACAAGCACCTTAAACTCATCAGGTCCTAAAGTGAACTCAGTATCTCTCTCAACACCCCAAACTTCTCCTCCTCCTGTGATTACTGATCTCCATGAAGGGGCACCACCATATGCAACCAGACACCCTGGGAAGAAGCTTCATCTTTAATCCCTGGCTCTTTCTTAATCTCAAAATCATATTATCCTCGTCCATAGGTTCAAACTCTGCAGTATGCCATCCTTTACATTCGTTTCCTCCTCCCCAGCCTCATTACCCTGCCTCAGTTCAGGACTCTGACAGGTTTCACCCTGAGTTTTGTAAGAACCTCCTAAGTGGTCTTCTAGTCCCTGGTCTCTCTCCCCTCGCATCCATCCTTCACTCTGTCACCAGATACAGTCAGTCCTCACACACAAGGCACAGTGTGCATCACGGAGCACTAGGCCACATCGGCAGAAAAGCCCACAAACCATGATGAATGGTTCTCTTTACACTTACACACTCATGAATGACTAGTCTTTTCTTAAAGTCTGTTTATGGATGTCAGAGAACAGGAAAGTTGTAACTAACTTTGGGACTCTATTGTGAACTACTACATAGAAATACAAGCAAGCCTCGGAAATTTAAATTCAAGGCTTACATGATAAAATCAACAAAACCTACCTTGATGACACAAGGAAAACAAAAATCCCCCCTCGCTACCTTGCTCCTAGGCCTTCCCTGAAAGCATGAGCAGCGTGAGGCAAGAAAAAGAGAATGGTTCTATTACCCGAGAAAATGATTTTATATTTTATTACCTGCTTCAGTTCTCTGACCTCGTCCTTCAAGGCGTAAACAGTATCAACAAGGCTCCTAGAAAATAAAGATAAAATTCAGAGACAAATGGCTTGCACTGAGGTACTGTTAAAATACTTAACAATAAAAGCCACTTTATAAAAATACAGATCCTGAAAAACAGTGGACTTTCTAGCTGATTGGGAATGGTACTGCTCTAAATGGTTTCCATCTTCTTGACTTTGATGGAAGAACAACCACCACCACACATGCTTAGCTAAATGCAATGTCATTACACCTTTTCTATACTTCCCTCCTCCTTTTCTACTCACTTCCCAGCTTGGGTGAACAAAACACAAGAGACTAGGGCCCGTCACTAAGTTTTTCTTTTTCTAGCTTTGTTGAGGGATAATTGACAAAGCTGTACAATGTGATGTCTTGATATATGTATACATTGTGAAGTGGTTACCATAATCAAGCTAATTAACATATCCATCTCCTCACATAGTTACCTTTTGTATGTGTGTGGTGGAAATCTACACTCTTAGCAAACTTCAAGTATACTCCATTGTAAACTATGCAGTCTTCCCTCCCTCGGTATCCATGGGGTATTGGTTCAAGGACCCCCATGGATACCAAAATCCACAGATGCTCAAGTCCTTAACATAAAATGGCATAGTATTTGCATATAACCAATGCACATCTTCCCATACACTTTAAATCATATCTAGATTACTTATCATACCTAATACAATGTAAATGCTATGCAAATATTTGTTATACCATATTTCTTAGGAAAAAACAATATGGTATAACAGTGCATACATATATCAAGACATCACATTGTACACCTTTGTCAATTATCCCTCAACAAAGGCGGAAAAAGAAAAACTTTACTAGGTATGAAAAAAATCTGTACATGTTCAATACAGATGCAACCATCCATTTTTTTCTGAATATCTTTTTGATCTGGGGTTGGTTGAATCCACAGATGCAGAGCCCACGCATGCAGAGGGCCAACTGTAGTCAACATGCTGTACATTAGTTCTCCAGAACTTATTCATCCTGCATACCTGAGATTTGGTACCCTTTGACCAACATCTCCCCATTTCCCCTTTCCCCTCAGTCCCTAGAAACTACCATTCTGCTCTCTGTTTTTAGGAGTTCGACGTTTTCAATTCCCGTCATAAGGTTTTGATTTCTCTAGCTTTGGGGCAGGAATGAACATCACCTATCATATAATGAGAGGTATCACAAGATTGCCTAGTCTACAGTATCTGTGCTATGACATTGCCCTTCCCAGTTCTCTGACTGCACATGACACAAAGTCAGAGGCATTCTTTCTGGAATATCTCAACCATACAGTACCCAAAAAAGTAATTTTTTGGTAATTACTGGGTTGCAGAACAGCCTTTTCCTCTCTGGGTCTCTCCCTGGACAAAGATTTTGGAGATCTAAGTTTTGGTTCTGATCCTGCCACTTACTAGTCCTCTGTTCTCTGGGAACCAGTTTCCTTCTCATCCTCTCTTGGTCTTAGTTTCTTTACATGTAAAATGGGGATAATAGCACATTTTCTGAAAACCTCACAAAGTTGTAAAAATGAATATCGTTATAATAAGAATTAACTAACATTATTTATTGAGCTAGCCTTTATACTTATTTCACTTAACCTCACAACAACTCTGAAAGCATTACCGTCATCCTTATTTTACAGATGAGGAAACTGAGGCACAGAGAGGTGAAGCAACTTGCCCCAGGTCACACAGCTAATGAGTAGCAGAAGTGGGAGTTGAACCACACTGTTTTTTGCTTGAGCCCAAGTACTTAACCATTTTGCTGTATCACTTCACACATCAGATGTAAAATGCATTGACAATGCCAAGCACCTTGAAATATGCTGTCCTATGCAAATTTAGGCCTGACTTCAGAAATGACTCAAGTTTAGACAAATGAATTATTTGGCTACTTTGTGTTAATTTTATGAGCCAGAAGGTACTTAACCTGATTTTCCCCCATTAGGTCACCCACACTACTGTGTAAAGGTAAGTCAGAGACATAATTTCCCTGAACTTCCTGTACCTCAGTTTCTTTATCTGTGAAAGTGGTGAGAGTAATGTTTATCTAACCGGATTGCTGTAGGATTTTAAATGATGTCAAAAATGTGAAAGCACAGCTTCTGACTCAAAACATGTGAGTGGCATCTCTCCGGGCAAGGAAATTGGTTCTGTGGCTGGAATTCCCAGCCACTTCCTAAACCCATCCAGGGCATTGATATTCCCATGTGCTCAGAAGCAGCTTACTGGATGGGGAGCTGGCTGCAGGGGCAGCTGCCAGCTGGAGCTGCCTTGGAGGGCTCTGTCACCGCTGCTTTTCCTTCCTCTTTCCATTTGTTAGTGGGCAGCCCTCTAAAGTCTCCCAAATGCATGCACAGCAAAGCAGGCCGCATTCCCAGGTAAGGAGGAGTTGTCCCTCATCATAGACTCTCCAGGAGCTCCCCGTCCTACCAGACCTTCTTGCCAGCCCCAAGAGAAACTAGGCAAGGTTTTGCCTGCTCTACTCACTTTTCTTCCATGATGGTCTGGCCGTTGCTTCTGGTTTCTTCAATGATGAGTTTCTCTTCCTCAGGGAGTAGGACTTGTGGAATGGAATCTTTTCGAGTACCTACAAACAAGGGTTGCAAGATGGGGGAGGAGGGAGAGTTACTAGTGAAGAGTAGAAATAGTGGGTGTTAGTTCTTTTCCACTATTGTTACAGAAGGGTCTTTGTTCATAGCATGTTGCTACATTACACCCAGAGGACAGTCACCCATCATTTGCTGACTAAATTTTCCTGACATGAGAAATTCTAAATGGCCAAATACACTGATTCAATCTTCCCGAGGTGGGAAGCATTTTGTATTCAGAAAAATAATGCAAAAGAGCCCCTGTAATACCTGTCCACAACCAAGACCTCCATTCTTTCCTGTTTTGCCTCCTCCAGAGCAAAGAGCTGACCAGTGATCACTCTTCCCTGCAAATCTCCAAGGAAGGACACACTACATCCTATGCTACAGTGTTTTGTCATTGTAGTAAAAGGTTGACAGTAGCACTGCACTGAAACACAATGTGCTTAAAGGGCCTCAGAAGCATCATCACCCCCATTTGTTCTCTTTACAGTCTTATAGGGTAAGGTAGGTATGTCTCCTAAGACCATTTTCATCAAGGGTGGAGTGAGGTTTGGAGATTATCACATCATCAGCAAAGATGTAGGTGTCCTCTGCCCAGAATGTCTCCAGGCTCTGGGACAGAAGAGGTGACAGAACAGGCATGGGGGCCCAACCAAACAGCTCTCCTGCACCTCCCTCACTCTGGATCCTCCCTCTCAGAGCTCAAGTGCTTAATCTTGGGTCTCCCTGAGCCACTGGCTTCCTCTCTTCTAGGCCAAGTTCCTTCAGAGGTGTGCACACTCACTGCCTTCACTTGACCACCTCCCCTTTCTTGAGGTAAGATGTGTCTCTGCCTTCTCCAGGGCCTAGCACTTTGTAGGTGCTTAATACAGGTGGCCCCCCATATCCACATGTTTCACATCTGTGGATTCAACCAACCGTGCATTGAAAATGTTCAGAAAAAACAAAAAACAATACAAATTTAAAACCCAATGCAGTATAACAACTATTTACACAGCATTTACATTTATGAGGTATGATAAGCAATCTAGAGATGATTTAAAGTATATGGGAAGATATATGGAGGTGATAAGCAAATGCTCCACCATTTTACATCAGGGACTTGAGCATCGTCAGATTTTGTTATCTCTGGGGGTCCTGGAGCCAATCCCCTGCAGATACCAAGGGACGAATATAAGTGGAAAGCAAACTGACTGAATGACTGGCTGAATGCAGTAAGAGCCGAGGGCAGTCAGTTCTAGAGAAACAGGGCTTCTGGTTAGAGAGGGATAGAGGATAGAAGGTCACCACGATGCTAAATGATCTGCTGTGTGACAAGCACAGTGCCAGACATCTTCCACATGTAAAAGGTTGGGTAGGGAGCAAGGGTGAAGACGTGTCTTTTTAAGCCAGAATATCTGGCTGCACTTCCCAGCTGCAGACCCATCCACTCTGTCAAATATAAAAATAGGTGGTGCGGGAGGAGATGAGGTCAGATTTTGTAGAAGGGATGCTTCTGGTATCTCTTTGTCCCCCTCTCTTCTCTAGTTCTCAAAACTAAAGCTGCCCTCACTTTCCTCTCCTGGCTCCTTGAAACATGTTATCAGAGCTATGCATGCCCAAAGCCACAGCCAGGTTTTCTCTGTGAAGCAGAGTGCGACAGTCCTCTCTTCATGGCCAAATGCGTCAACTTTCACATTGAATCATTGAATGCTTTCTTTCTCTCTCTCTTTCTCTCTCTCTCTCTCCCCCCACCTCTCGTTCTCTTGTATTTATTTATTTTTGATGGTGTCTCACTCTGTCACCCAGGCTGGAGTGCAGTGGTGCAATCTTGGCTCACTGCAACCTCCACCTCCCGGGTTCAAGAGATTCTCCTGCCTCAGCCTCCCAAGTAGCTGGGACTACAGGTGTGCGCCATCACACCCGGCTAACTTTTGTGTTTTTAGTAGAGACAGGGTTTTCCCATATTGCCCAGGCTGGTCTTGAACTCCTGGCCTCAAGGGATCTGCCTGCTTTGGCCTCCCAAAGTGCTGGATTACAGGCGTGAGCCATCATGCCCAGTAGAATGCTTCTTTTATGTCAGCCTTAGAGATGCATTACTTTGAAAGAATATGTCAAGGCACCTAAGAAATCCCCTCCCACATTCAAATGATTGGTCACTGGATGTCCAAAATGGAGTACTATGGAGTATTCATTTCTTATGCAGGTGCAAAAACTTCACAAAAGGTATTCTGAATGTCTATAATAATGGGAGACAAAAGACATAATCGAAGTGACCTGTCTTTTTAAAAGCATAAAGATGAATCAGAAAATATTATCTTGCTTTCAGTTTGTAACCTGAAAGTTGTTTGGGGAAATACCCTAACCTAATAACTCCCTGATCAACTTTATACATTTTGGACAACCTCTGCTAAGCAGCTACCTTTCCAGATTTTCAGAGCAACTTTGAAACTTGAGTTTGGTGAAGCATTGTTCGTTTAAATATGCAGCTGATCAAAGATAGTATTTTGACTTCCTTTCCAAATCTGCCTATAAGAAGAGATTAGCATCAGTTCACAGACACAGGAACTCTCTAGGCCCTTTAATTCCTAACTAGTGTTGGTGAAGGTATCTGTGTACTTCAAAGGAGAACAACTTTAAAAAAAAATTTTCACTTCTATCACCTCCAACTCTTTTACTCTTGCATCTCTCTTTCTGGGTGAAAAACAACAGTGGGTAAACAAACCGCTTGGTAGCTAAAACCACCTTATCTGAAAGATGCAGTCCTGCACCACTCCTCTGCACCAAGTCACCTGCTTTCCACACCCTGCAACCCATCCGGGTTGCTTTTCTCTTTTTCTAAAAGACACTAAACAGTAAGGAAGAAACGTCACTCACTAGAGAAAGTAGTTTGGGGGAACCTACTTGAGCCATGGCCTTGTTGAAAATTTGCGCTGGTGCAGTAGGCTTCGATCACTTTAAGGATTTGAGCATCCTCTTCCAGAGCAGCTGTACCTGTGAAATTTAATTCATCATGACTTTTCATAGATATATGCTTTTGGACCCTCAAAATGATGCAGCACACTCCACTGCCTGGGACTGGCTTCTCTGACCAGTAGAGTTTGTGAAAGGCAGGAGAAAGAGCTGTCCAACGCTGGTGATGGAGAAGAGTGACAGCATCCTCATGGAGCTTTGGAGTCAGCCTCAGTGAGCTCAGCTTAGTGGAGGGCCTACTCCTGAAGCCCAGAGCTCTACACTGGGACCGGGGTGGGGGGGGCGGTGTTTTGTCAGTGGTCTCAGTGAGGCCAAAATCACAGCACTGAGCTTGTTGCTAGCTTAGCTCCCATCAATATACCCCAGCCTTCCTCTCCTTTAAATTTCAAGGCTCACCTTTAGGAAGCTTTCCCTCATTAACCCCACTCAATTTTCTTTTCTTTTCTTTTCTTTTTTTTGAGACGGAGTCTTACACTCTTGCCCAGGCTGGAGTGCAGTGGCGCGATCTCGGCTCACTGCAAGCTCCGCCTCCCGGGTTCACGCCATTCTCCTGCCTCAGCCTCCCGAGTTGTTGGGACTACAGGCACCCGCCACCACACCCGGCTAATTTTTTTTGTATTTTTTTTAGTAGAGACGAGGTTTCACCATGTTAGCCAGGATGGTCTCGATCTCCTGACCTTGTGATCTGCCCGCCTCAGCCTCCCAAAGTGCTGGGATTACAGGCATGAGCCACCGTGCCCGGCCAACCCCACCCAATTTTCTAACCAGTCAGCATAGTCACTCATTTTCCCTTCTCCCTTCTCCTCTACTCCAAACTCATTCTTGCAATGGCTGGATGGCAGCACCCTGTGAACACGCCAGTGTGCATAACCAGGTGTGGGGTGGGGGGTGGGGCATGCCAAAGCTGAAGTGGAGCAAATATTTATCCAAACTATATTCCCAGCTGATACACACAATTCTGTCACCTCTTTGTGAGACATCACTTACTCCTTCACATGTGTCCCAAAGTACCTTGTGTCCCAAAGTACCTTGTTCACAGCCTTATAGCCAAATATGTCCATATCGACTGGCTGACTGACTTTGCAGTCTGTCTCCAAATGAAACTATGTTTCTAGATGTGGGCAGGCTGATTCCCTGAGTAACTGAGAGCATCACTGAGCATGGGACTTCTGGAAGGACTTCAGCCTTCGGGTCTATTTAGTCTATCTCCCTGCAGAAAAATATCTCAAGTATCAGAAACTAAGAGGGAAAAAATGTATCCATAGGAAATGGGTCCCTTTAGAGGTTCTAAACCAGGTGAGGCAAAATACTCAACACAAAAATGATACAGATGACATCTGCCTAAGATGACATGAAGTGCAGCCGTAAGAAGCTTATTCAAATGTTTAAGAAGTGACCAAAGCTTTCCATGCATTCTTCTTTATATGTAAAAGACGATGTCAAGAAAAAATTGCTCCAATCATCTGCTTTCAAATAAATCCTCACATAAAAGAAGATTCTCATGTTAATTTATCCATAAACAACTTTCAGAAAGTACAAAACACATACTTTTCCTAATCACATATTCCTCCTCCGATGGTTTTCTCTCAGTCTTCCTTTTATGAAGAAATTTCTTCATCGTTTTAGGGCTTTTACTAGACTCCTGTGAGGACAGAGGTTTCTTAATGAATTAAAATTCTCCCTCAAAAACAAAAGTAAAAGCATGAATGAAACTAAGTAGAATTCCTCTCTCTTATTTTGACAGTCTCAGTTAGGAGTACATCAATGTTTAATTCTATGCACAATTAAAATGGTTCCAATAAACTCTAAAAGGTTAAATAAAACAGAGGCAATGACATTATCCTCTCAACTTGCACAGAGGTGGGACTAAGAGTGGAGTGTGCCTACTGAAGATGTGGCAGATTCTCCAGGAGGCCAAATGGCTTTAGGGAACCATCTGCAGAGAAAGTAAGGGATGTCAACCCTAAAAACGTAACAGTATTCCTAATTTGGTTTACGTTCCCCACTGATACAGTTTTAGGGGAACTAAATAACCACTGTAACCACTAATGTAGTAATGATCACTTTTCAAAGAGCTTCAAAGCTATTTAAATAATTCTGCCTTAGAAACAGTCCCACAAATAAGAATATAATTTCCATTTGTGAGACAGAAAAATTAAGGCAGAGAGACTAAGCCATTTTTCCGCAGTCAAAGAGAAGAACCAAATGAAGGATTTCCTAAAAAATAATTTTGGGTTAGAAGTAACACACCCACAGCCAAACTTAACTATCCATATATAAAGCCATGTATTTAACTAGTAGACAAAATAAATGTATTGAATTTGTTTTTGCCATATGAGTAACCAGCAGGTCAAAAAAATACTCATTGTCAATATCCTTAATCCTTAATCCAATAATCTGTAAACAGATTACAACCTTAGACTTAGGAAAAAACTCTCATGATCACCTAATCCCAATTTTCCAAGAAATGTGTATACATGGAGCATGGATATTAATTATTAATAGTACCTTAAAAATATAGGAAACAAATCATTTAATTTATTTCACTTAGCCACAGTACTTACACTTGAAAACAAGACAGATATGAAAAACTCTCACATGACAAAAATAACAGGAAAAAACAGAATTTAAAAAAAAACACAGGAAAATGGGCATTTTAGGGCATTATGACATTTTTATATGTATTTCACACAAGCCTGCTTTTTGAACAAAGTACTTACATGTCAAAATTGCATCTTCATATTTTAGCCACCAATTATAACAAGGGACAAAACAAGCATAAGGGAAAGCTTCATTCATCAAAGGTTACAGTACAGCATTATGATGTCACTGTAAGCCAAAGATATTGTACTACCCTTACCTTTAAGATATAAGACATCCTCTAAAATGAATATGTAAAGAAAGAGAAGATGAGCGTGAGAGGTCGATGGTTATAATGACCAAATCCACTTATCAATAATTCTAAAACAACATTTGAAATGTTAGTGTTATCATAAATTACACAGAGGGAATATAATCACATTTCCCACATTAGTTTCAGATGCAATATTATCATGCAAAAGCCCGAGGAATACAGTTCTGTGCAGAATAACAAATGCTGAAAACAACTGAAATACATACTATCTAGTAGGAATATATTAATAACTCTCTTCCCCCAGCAGAAACAAAGTGATCATGCCTTAGTTTTAATAGATTAGTTTTGTGAAGGATTAAGTCAACTTTACTCTTCAAAGCTCACCCTTAATTTGAACTTAGTAACTGATAATTACAAAATATCCATCATTAAAAAGGGGGCCTAGGTAACTATCAAGTGGCACTCCTGGTTTACATAATCAAAGAAGAAAATTGGATGATTGCAAGAATTGCACGTAAATTTCCAAAGCAAATCTGTGGGACTGCTTCCTGACCAAATTCTAAATAGAGTTATATAACAAAGATTCAGTTCGAGGGTTGTTTGTCCTATCATGTCAAGTTGAAAGGATCAAAAAATCCTCCAGTGTCCAAATATTGTCCTATTTTTACTGCACTTAGAGTTGGTAGCAACAATTAATCGAAACAAAAGCATGGTGGTTTCAATCAAAACACTCAAAATTGAGCTAAGTCTGCATCACTCATCAAAACACACGTTTGATATAGAAATATAAGCCACCTTTGCCCCATAATTCTAAGACTCATCTCATAACTGTCACAAACTTAATCTTCACTCAACAAGACCAATTTAAAGAACAGTTACTAATAAATGAGCATCATTTCTGAAATCTGAAATGATTTGAGACAGGTTAGGGATAAAGCCACTGTTTGGATGGAAAAGTAATACTCCACACAGTTACAGAAGCTAGTGAGTGACACTTCCTGACTGCAACTTTGAGAGAAAAAAAAAATACACAAAACCTTTAAATCCCCACACTACCCAAATATCAAATGGCCTTTAAGGTTGTCTCTGAGAAGCCTCTTTTTAAAAGACACTGCTTTCATCAAATTCTTTTCTCATTCCAATTGCAGCAAATATCACTTTTATAGTTTGGACTCATAGCTTGGTCCCATAACACTTTACTAATTTGGTTCAAATTGATCAAAATGATCCCAAATGCTGAATTAAGTCTGCTTCATTGGCAACTCAACTACAATGAAGTGGCTCTTGTTTGAGATTTGTGTACATTATTAACAAATCTAAAGGATTATCATAATAATCATTAAGGTAAACCAGAGGCACTTCAGGAGGAGACTGGGAACACTCAGGCAGTGCACATAGATCCTGTAGATATTCAGTACATATTTGCAGATGGACAATGGGAAATGGAAAATTAAGAAATCAAACAAATCACTGAGTCTGGCAATTCAAGACTGACTCACATAATACCATCTATCTTAAATTCTAGCACATTCCCACAGAACTATTTGTAATAAGCTACGAAATTAACTTGTCAGAAGCATTTTATACCATAGGTAGCAAAATTACCTCTTTATAACCTAGTGCTGCTGATGGTCTAAGTGGAGGTGCAGGTCGTAGACAACTTAAACTCCACGGTTTTATAATTTGAGGAGGCTCCAAGGGTCCTCGGGGCTGTCCGGTAGAGCTAAAAGACTGGGAAAATGTCTGATGAGATGTTGGCAATCTGCCATCTGAACCCGACCTTGTGCCACACAGTGAGAGAACAACAATAGCTTCATTGGATTAGCAAAGACAGCCATAGAAAGGGATAGATGGAAAAACAAAAGTCTCTAGTTTGAGAACTGGTTCTTTCCAGTCCAGATTATCGGGTCTCTAAGAAACAGCACAAAATTGACTCAACATTCCATGATCCTGTCCTCTCTTTCTCATCTGGAATTTAATTAATTTAATTTTCTTTCCTCTGTAAGGAAGGAAAATGGAGTAGCAGTCAACATTTGAGTTCAGTGATATGTTTGGCACTCTAGTAGGTGCTTAAATAGGTTATTTCATGAGAACAGCCTAAGACATAGACTCAGTCAAGGGAAGCAACTAACTAGTAATTGGCAAAGCCAAGATTTGAACCCAGATCTGAAGCCAAAGTCCATATTCTTCCAACCACAACACACAGTCCTCAAAACTGGAATTTTGGCATCATAGGTTTGTATGTTAACAAACAACACAGCATATCTTCCATCTCACTCAGCAAGTACAGTAAAATCTCATCAATTCAAATTCCAATGTCTAAATTTGTGATAACTCAGAAGGAGATAATGCTAAAAGTTTACCTTTGAAGAAGGTTACTGAGCAAATGTGAGAGCATGAGTGAGATGACATGGAGATGTTTAAGTACTTAGGGAGGTAAACTATTTGTTTCGACTTAGCCCACTGTTAGTAGGAGAATAACCATTGCTCATGGAAATAAGCCTTGCTTATCATTAAAATATTTTAGCAGGACTTCTGGTTAGAAATACTTTGCTAGCAGTTAGTTGGGGTATCTGAATACTGTCAAACAGAACTGCACACTCTAAGTAAACCTTTTCATTAATTTGGATGGGCCTCATAATGAGAAATCAGAATGAGTGAGGTTTAACTGTACTTCAAAATCTACAAATATAGGCTGCCCAAAAGACTAAGGGTGTGCTCGCTGCTTCTTGTAAGTCTCCAGCAGGCAGGAGTTGACGAAAGACTCAATAATCTCTGGACAGAACACATGGACTACTTACAGAATGAGCACTACATGATGACGATGAGGTTTTGGATAATGAACTGCAAGAGGCAGGTCCTCTGATCAGTCTGTTCAGCTGCTCCAACCATTCCTGGAAGTCCTGGTTGTTGTTACAATGGACCACAATTCTCTCCACTGTGTTACCTACATCCCCCAATTATGATCAGTTTGAAAACAAAAGGCAAGGAAAAACTTGAGCTTGTCCCATTCATAAATAGACTTCATACAACTAGGACTTGGGTGTGTATTTTCAGGGGTTTTCATACCTATGGGATAACCCTGCTGAAATTTCTATATCAGAAACAGATAACCTGTGATTACAAAGTAAATAAATATTCATGTCTGATTTAGAAAACTGTCCTTGATTTTTACTGCTTACAGAAGCTTAAAAGTAGTGTAAAACTTCACCATAAACAAACTTGCAATCCAAAAACATAAGCACATAGTCCATCTAGTTAAGTCTAAAGTGGGAATATTGTCCTGGTTCCCCTGGTATCAAAGTTGGAACAAGATCCAACTAAGACTATTTACAACCTTTTGGCAAACACCAAACCTTAAGCTCCTTCTTGGGAAAGAAGAGGGTAAGGCCATGATCCCAGTCTTAGCCACTGTGCCATATCAGCACCAACAGTCAGGCCACTACATATAAATGACACAGACCTGGCAAAAGGGATCATAAGCTAAAATGTCAGGGGGCATTACTGAAGCCTGGCATTATGCTCAATTTGTGAAGAAAATTTGATGGCTTTTCAGAACTTTTTAGAAATACAACCAAATCTTACTAACTCATGGGCTGATGATAAAATTGCTGATAAAAGTCCATATCTTTGGCTCCTCTGCCACCAGGGAACAAATGACAGAGGGGAAGAAAATTGCGTTTACATCAGTCCATTTCGTTATTCCTTAGCTCTCACAAGTAGCTCTCATGCAACAGAAAATTGAAACTAATGGCAAAGCCATGGCTTTTGAATGAGAGGAGACTTCTCTGTGCTATTGCTGTACCCTAATTATCCCAGGAAATGGAATATACTTTGCCATGCCCGCATAAAATTTGCTCGTGGCCTATGTAACAGGAAATAATGGCATTTATTTATTAAATTCCCCTTCATTCCAAAAAGAATTGGAAGTAGTTACATGAAAAAGAGAAAATTACCTACCAGTGATTTCAAATGTGCAGTCATTCCCTTCAATTTCATCTAATCTAGTCACCACCGTTCCTGCTATTGGTATTTTTCCCTATTAGAAAAAGAACATTCTCATTAATTCTGCAGTTATACAGGTCTCTGTTTATTTCACTTAGATTTTCTGACCCTCTCAGCAAGGCAAAACTATGGCTAGACGTATTTCTCCAGTCTGTCAATAGATAATATGTTTCCCTGCTCTAAATTTTAATCAGACTAAGAAAGCAAGGGGAAAATGTGGATTGTGTTTGGCTAACACACCCTAAACTATAAGATCAGGATTTACAAAGCAGTTTACTTTTCTAACACATTTTCATAAGAATCAGTAAAAAAAAGTGAAGGCTCAGATGTTATGAAAATTATTAATTGCCAGGCCAAGATGGAACAGGCAATAGTAACTTATAATACTCTATATGTTGGGAGCTGACTGAGGGACATTTAATTTCCTAAGGAGTTTAATAACATGCTTCTTAGAAGCCTGAATCATGTGCTGTGACTATAATAAGACAAACATAGGAGCAGGTCCCAGCTTTATGTTTTCTCAGCAATAATGACATGGGCCTGTACAATACTGCTGCTAATTTATCTAGTTTCCATTTATGCATGCAAAACCTAGTGCATAACTAAAGCGGTGGATATATTCAAGATAAACTCATTATACTAATACAAAGGTCTTTGATCTAAGGAACATCTGCTCTTACAAGCTCTTTAATTACAATGAAGGGTCAGAACATTCTGGTTCTCCTGGCTTGAGCTTTTAATGCCATAGTGGAGATATTGCATCTGGATGGAAACCTGTTTTCGTTAGGGGGTCTGCTATGTGTTTTATATGAAATTTACTAACCTGATAGATAAAGCCACTCATCCGAGGACTTGCAGATAACATTATCAGGACATTTGAAAATAACATAAGGTACCGCTCCTCTTTTTCCTGAGAGGGAATGAAAATAATACATGAAGAACAGAATTGGACACTTTATCTGTTGAGAATTTCTGGAATCACTGCCTTATAACATAGACCTTATATAAACAACTGAAACATTAACGGTAATTTTTTTTTTAAAAAAGATACCCAACTTGAAAACACAAAACTAGTTGAATTTTACTTTGACATGGACATAAACCCACAGTTTATCTCTCTTCTTCTTATACATAACAATTAAATACAAATAACCATGCTTGCTTTCCATGTATGAAAGCCTGAGAAGTCACCACAGTTTATGCAGCCAGTGAGATGTGCTAGACCTGGGCACAAAATAAGTCTCCAGGTTCACAAAATGAAAATATATTTTACTTTGAAAAAATGGCAAGATGAAGGGGTTTTCAGGTGATAAGAGATTTAGTATGCTCTAACATGTTTGTTAAAGTCGTATTCATAAAATTAGCTTTGGTCATTAAGAACAAGATAATTATTGGATTTATGTAAAACATAAAAGTAGATACACTTTCTTTTTTTTTTCTTGAGACGGAGTTTCGCTCTTTTTGCCCAGGTTGGAGTGCAATGGCACGATCTCGGCTCACCACAACCTCCACCTCCCGGGTTCAAGCGATTCTCCTGCCTCAGCCTCCCAAGTAGCTGGGATTACACACATGTGCCACCACTCCCGGCTAATTTTGTATTTTTAGTAGAGATGGGGTTTCTCCATGTTGGTCAGGGTGGTCTCAAACTCCCGACTTCAGGTGATCCACCCACCTCAGCCTCCCATACACTTTTTAATGGCACTGAGGAAACCTTGAAACGTGAGGGCTGCTGTGAGCCCCTTCAACAGATATGCAATTAGTATACGCAAAAATTACGTTTGCCTTCCATGCCCAGCCATCTTAGCTACAATTATCCTTATGCCTGTCTCCATCTCCTTCCTTCCATTTGAGAAGAGCAACCCTTCCAGGCTAACTATTCTAACAAGTGCTCCACATTCTCTCACATCTTTGTTTCACTTAGTTTTCCTCTACAGACACCTCTTCTTCTCCCAGCATCCTCTTCTCTTTTACTAGCTGTTCCTCTTTTTCTTTAACATATGTACACCTCCTATCCTAACAGACCTTGGCTTGCCCCCATGTGGCCCTTTATGCATAATATCCCATTTCTTGACATTTTATTGGCAAATTACTTGCTGCCTTCATTTTCTCTGCATTGATCCATCCCTAACTGCACCCCCATTGCTCTTGGAAAGTCATCAGTAACTGCCTTCTAGCAAAATCCAATGGCTTCCTCTTGGTCTTCACATTCCTTGCCCTCTGAACCTTCAGCAGCAGTCAGCACACTGGCCATTTTCAAATGCTCCTCGTGGAATTTCCATGACACCATGCTCCCCCAGTTCTTCTCTACCTTCCTCTTTGTCTTTTTATTTTTTCTGGCACTGATTCCTCCTGCCTTCACCCAAGGGGTTTATCCCAAAGGTGTGAATGACTAATAGTTAGACTCACTGCAGTAACCTTCCCTGGGGTATTTGCATTTTAAATGAGATTGCTTATTAACCCAAAGTAATGAATCTCCGCCAAAGACGTGTCAGAGAGCGTAGGAAGATGTTTTGGGAGAAGGAAGACAATTCTAACACCCGATACATCAAACCAGGTGCCATAATCAACCTTTCTCCCTTTCCCTGGCTCCTTCCTAAAAGAAATAATCCATCTTCAGCTCCCCCCACCCCCCGGGCTTCTCTCTGGATATTTACTTCCTAGGAAGGCACATCTGTTAGGGACATCTAAGTCTCTGCCTCTAACTCTGACCTCTCACTCACATTTCCATACTACATTAACAGCTGCCTATGGGACATCTCCACCCAGATATCTACAGGTCTAAAATTATATTCTTCATCTCCTCTAACCCAGGGGCACCACTTCCTGTTGGCTTTCCCTTCTAAAGATGCCTCCAATTTGCTCCTTCTGCTCCATTCCCAGTGTTACCACCGTCTTAGGGGACTCCTTCTCACTTTCCATCCCAGCTGGCCTTTCTGCTTCTCGTCCATTCCCTCCAGTTCATTTGACATATATAGGTCGCAGATTAGTGTGAAACATCCCTTTCGGAGTGTTGTTCTATGACTGTGGACTCTTTCATTATTTCCCATGGCCTGTTGCATCCATCTGAACTACTCTTGCCTGATGTCAAGCTTCTGCATAGTCTAATTCTACCTGACTCAATCAATCTTTTACTAGGGCCAAGTTGCTTCTTTTGCTCCCTACAGGCTGGTTTCCTTACTGTGCTGCAGCAAACCAAAGCCACATTTCTGTTCTCTCCTAAGATAACAATGACCTCTGCCTTGCGAAATCCTCCCCTTTTGTTTTTGTGCCCCCTCCTCAAGTCCTGTCTCCGTAAGGTCTTCTTGATCTCTCCCTCCTGTGAACTTCTATGGACTCTTGTTGAGATTGCAAAATCGAACATTGACTATTTGGTTTGTCAGCTAGTTGCAACTTGTGTTTTAGTCTGTTTTTAATGAGTTCTTTGAAAACAGGGATCATTGCTTGTTCTTTTCTCCTATCTCCCACAGCACCTAGCAGAATGTTCAACAAAGAACAGGTGCTCAGCTTCTGATTTGAATGTTGTAGCATTTGACTTTGATGGAAGAACAAGGAAGAAAAACTACTTAAGAGGCTCAGGCAGGAGGATTGCTTGAACCCAGGAGGCAGAGGTTGCAGTGAGCCAAGATGGCACCACTGCACTCCAGCCTGAGTGACAGAACAAGACTCCGTCAAAAAAAAAAAAAAAAAAGGAAGAAAAATACGAAAGATGGAAGAAATAATGTTGAGATTTGAAATACCTTACCTCACATGCTCCATACTGCACCATTACTTGTGACATAAAAATCACATTTCCCAAGTTTTTAATATCTTCTCCTTCCCATGCCTGAATAGGTTCGGACAGTATCTGTAACTCCAGCTGTTTTCTCTTCCTCAGATCTTGACATTGCCCCTACAGAACCAAAGCAGAACATAATGGAATAGGAATTCTTATGAAATAGACTAAAATAAGACCAAAGTAAGATGTGGCTTCTGACTCTTTGGTTCCCACTGAGTCCCTATTCCTCATCATGAATCCCATGACCCAGGCCTGTTCTTGATAGACAGAAAGATCCACTACCCTAAATCTCTAGGCTTGAGCCCCCAAAGGTTTTGTGAGGAAGGCCTATTTTTCATTTTGCCAAAGCATCAAAACATAATGCTAGAAAGAGCTTATTTCTCCCTCCCTGTAAAGAATATGGGAAAGCAAGCAGCCAAATCACACTGACCAGAGCCAGGTGAGGACCTGGTAGATTCAGATCTACTGGTTGGTGCCCCTGCTTTAGCTCCTCTTACCTTGTCTATCTTTGCATAAATAGGGCTTTAGTGACAAAATAATTGTATTTCTAACATATGCTCAATTTTCAACAAGGTAACATCTTGAAAATAATAAAAAACAAAAAATTTCTCCTGGAGTTATAGTGAAAGAGAAAATTAAATTCTTTATGCCACAGTGAATCAAACTTATAATGAAACCTAGGCACTGCTGTACTTTGTTTAAGGACCAAGATTGCTGTGAAAAAAATACTAAATTAGTTTTTATTCCTAAAAGGATTGGAAAAAAGAGATACAACTGAATTTCATGATGACATACTGAAATTTCAAACCAAGAAAAAATTACAGTTTGCCAACACTATGTGGGGTATGAATACTCTTTCTATATATATGTGTGTGTATGTGTGTGTATATATATATATATATATATATATATACACATATATATATATATATACACACATATATATATACACATGTGTATATATATATACACATATATATATATACACATATATATATACATATATATATATATATATATATATATATCTCACTGCTTAAGAAACTGTGAGGTTATCTTAGAGTAATTTAACAGCATGCCTTCCAAATTGAATACAAAAATAAGCACATGGTTAGTTCTGTTACTGTTTCCAAATGAATGTAAGATAATATTTTGGGGTTATATTTTCTATAAAATCTCTGCTGTCCCTTTCAGCTACATGGAAACTCAAAGAAATAAATTCACTGTACACATATTTTAAGAGCACCTATAGTAGGAATAAATATACTAAACCATCAAGGCAAGTTATATAATATAATCAGAAAGAAATACAGGTTTTTAAAAAGACTCATTTTACATTCCTATTTATACAAGAAAAAATAGAAGAACCATAATTATAATAAATGCTGTGGGTTTCACTGGGCTGTTCTATTAGCTTGCGCCATGTAAAACTGCCAATATTGGACTGTTTTTGGCATATAACAATGGCAATTTTAATCTAATACTTACTCTGGTCTTCAACTTACTGTTCAACTACAGACACGTCAATTACTGATCTTTCAACAAGGATTAATAATTAAACATTAGTCCAAATCACTTATAATGCTACAGAATTGTGTGAAATGAAGCTAAGTTTAATCAATTGCCCAAAATGAAGTTTTCTTTCCTCCTAAAATGGCACCAAGTGGTTTTATATCAGTGGGTTCAAGAAGATACATTAACCATCATACTGAAGATACAAGATCACGTGTACCTTTGATAGCAACCTATATAAAGCACTTGCATTTTAGTTCTTTAGGTTTTTTCCCCCCTTTTAGATTTGATGAAGGATTTCTTCTTCATATGCAAAGAAAAAACTCATACCCTTTGGCATAACTAGTTGAATCCAGTATTGATGCAAATCAGTGAATGATGAGTTACACAGACTCGTCATTAGGTGAGCAATGGGGGTAAAGACAAAGAGACAAAAGGAAACCCCCCACCTACACACCAATGCTTAATGTGGCTTAATGTGGCTGAGACTGTAAATGTGATTGCTTTATACCCTCAGCCTGGCAACCTTTCTTTAGGTAAGCATGATTTTTGGAGGACAAAATTAAGTGAAACAATCACTGCTATACTGTCATGAAAGCTTATTTCCATTCTAAAGACCTTTGTATAGGGAAAGAAATGTTACACACAAATCGCTCTTTCAGGAATAAAGTATACAAAATGGAGAATTGTGATTTTAAAGCATCACCTACCATGAGAGTTTTGAATGCTACGATTGCTTTCAGAATATCCTGATGATCTGGATGAGTATCCTATCAAAGGAATACATTTGAAAACAATGTTAGAGGAGAGAGGATCAGCAGTTGCCAAGGGTTAGGGGTAGAAAGAGAGTATGGCCACAAAGATAGCAAGAGAATTTTGGGGGATGATGGAACTGTTCTGTATTTTAATTGTGGTCATGGTAACATGAATCTATACCTGTGTGAAAACTCATAGAACTGTGCACCAGAAGAAAAACGTTAATTTTACTCTATACTAAAGATTAAAAAATAGAGCAGCATGGGAGCATTTGGAATCTCAGTGACTCTAATTATTAGGTGATTAAGAAATTAAGAGAGTTGGTAATGCATCATATATTTAGTAACAATGTAGTAAAAGGCAAGAGTTCCCACTTCCCTTTTTGCTATTATACTTTGGATAATGATTATTTAATAATAAATATAATAATTAAATAATTATTCGGGGTACATCATTAGGTCATGTTGTTGGTAGATGACAGGAGGTAGGGAATGGTGGAAACAAGAGTCGTGGTTAGAGAAAAATCAATCTATCAGCCGGGCATGGTGGTGCATGCCTATAGTCCCAGCTACTTGGGAGGCTGAGCTGAGAGGATCAGCTGAGCCCAGAGGTCGAGACTGTGATGAGCTGTGATTGTGCCACTATACTCCAGCCTGGGTGATAGAGTGAGACCCTGTCTCAAAACAAACAAACAAACAAACAACAACAACAAAAACTCAAGAGAAAAATCAATCTAATTCCATTTCCTAAAATGCCTCCATTTTCTTTCAGCAGTGTGAACATGGCAGATGGGAAAAGATTCCAAGTTTCATACCATATTTTCCTTCTTAAGCAAGGCTCTTACACATGGCCTGCAATCCTGTGGTACTTGCAATTCCGAAAGTGGACAGATTCAAAAACGGCTTAGAGGAATCCATAATTCCATAACTGTTTATGAAGGGAAGACACAGATTCTTATGGGTAGATGTGCACCTAACATTGGGGCATAGGGGATATGTCCTTTGGAACTCAGCTGGAGTAAGGGAAGACTAAATCTCCTGCCCCACTAGTCTCGGGTGATAAAATACAGAGCTGAACAGATTAGGGGCCTGACCCAAGCCAAGAATGACATTGCTCATAAAAAGTAAGGTTGTATTCCTTTACAGTAAAATTTATCCTTATCCAAATCAACTGACAAACAAGAAGTTCAGGCTTTATTCTACTGTTAGCAGCCATGCCAAATGCTCTGAAATCTGCACAAAGTGTCTCACCCAGTGGTGAACTAGTTCTAAAGGCTTGTATTTTCTGATGATGGGAAATGAGAGGCAGCCAAAGACATGTGACCCACAGCAAATGGAAGCAGGAGGAGAACAGGCTCCACTACAAGAAAGACTGAGATATAGGATCCAGGCAGCAGGAGCATCTGGGATTTGTTTCTCCCCAAAATAAGTGCATATTTGCATTTCAACACTGAAAAGTAATAGAAACTGAGGCCACTCGTTTCTGGATTTTTGTGATAAGCAAGGAGGGGCAAACCTCAAACGGTTCAGCAAACTGGTTTAGCTTATGGAAAGGCATCCAGAGGTCAACACCTTCCTGAGCCCTAACTGAAATTTCACACTGACAGGCTTTGCTCACCAGCTCCCCACTGCCTCCGGCTTTCAGGCAGGTCAAATACCCTGAGAATGTGGTTTCGCTCAGAGAACATTCTTTCAATCCTTACAAATGCTGACAAGCCCGGCAGAGTGCGGGTGCACTCTTTTTCTTTAAAGATAATCAAACCCCTTGAAACCTCAAAACCTTTCCCCAGACACAGGAAGAGCAACTAGGGTAAATGCAGCCTCCTCCAGCAGGCCCTCCTCTCCCACCCACACTTAAATCCCCCATGAACAATCACAAAAGAATGGCTCAAGGAGCTAGCTCTGCTGATTGGTTTTTCATAACATGAGGCCTTTGGTTCTTGGTGAAAAAATATTCAATTATCAGGCCTCATTGCAAAATCTTAGAATTTAGAAAAGATTATAGCTATGCTACAACAGTTGCAAGTAAACTGTAGGCTTATAAATAAAAATGTGGGGGGACTCTGATGTACATGCATGATGTGTAGAGAGATACCACTAATATTGTATCCATCCATTAGTCTTTAAGGAATACCAGAATCTTCCACTGTTATCCAGAGTCAGGAAGTTGAATGATGGCAGAATTCTAGAGATAAATATTCCTGTCTATAGTGAACTTGTTCTTTGTACATTCTGATGTTGTTTTGCTCTATCTCCCACAATAAAGTTGGTTAATATACCAGAAACAAAGAAGATTTCTTAGTTGGATTTTGACCAAACTACTGAGAGGGCAAAAGAAAACTCAAGTTAGCAAGTAAGCATAGACTTAAGGGAAGCCACAGGACCAAGGCTTGGAAGAGAAGAGCGAAAAGGGAGAATGATCATTAATATCTAGTAGCAAAGAGTAAGGATCTTATTTTGCTGCATAAAAAGGAAAACTAGAAGCCTGAGAAGAGGGAAGAACAGATAAAGTAAATTTTGAATCCAAGACCTTGATTCCTCTGCAAGGCCATTTTGGAGGCAAATTGGCTGCGTCCTCCAGAGCACAGGACCATACTTGGCACACGAGCTTGAAAAAGTTCACCTTCCCTTACCTCCATATGCCGTTCTAACTCTTGCAAGAGAGTAACATATTTCTCCAGTCGCATGAATGGTTTGCTGAGGTTTGTTGTTAAAATGAGGATACCTGGGCTCGATGCACCTTGATTTTCCATGAATTGTTCCAACTCATCACTAGCAAAAGAACAAATATAATTTTGTTACTGTTGAATATCTCATGTAAAGAATTATCAACCTAAAATTATTTTACTGTATTTCACACAATATAAAGCCAAATAAAAATGTGTTTTACTAGTCCAAATGCTGTTCAATTTGTTTTGGCTCAACTAAATCAGGTTTTATTAAGCTCCTTCTGTAAAATCAGCACCAGGGCTCCTTTGGTGAGCCAGACACTCATGATCCCTGGTGTCACACATTCAACAATTACTGATTGAGCATCTACTAAGTGACAGGCTCTGTTCTCTGATGGGGCTACAGCAGTGAACAAAAAAAAAAAATCCCCACCCTTAAGGAGCCTACATTCATGGGCGTGAGATATACAGTGTATCAGATGACCCAGAACTTAAAGTATAATTTAAAAAATAGATTTTCTTAATCACTTCAAACGTCCTAGTTATTGGCTGGTCAGGTGCCTAAAGATAACAATCCACAAGGTTGTATCACCCACTTGTAATGTTCTAGAATCACTTCCTGCATTTAGATACCAGCATGTTTGTATGACTAACCACAAAGTCACTTAGCCCAATATCAAAAACCAGTGAAGCAGGTTAACCAAACACTTCCATAAGGCAGTAACTTGGTGAAAAAATATATTAATATTTTATGAACTGTGTGCTGTAAATGTCTAATTCTAAGCCAGTGCTTTTTCTGCTGTTTAGCACCGTTCCAAACTGTTTACTTTCCACCAACAGGGATATTGAGTCCTGGGGCTGCAAGATCATTTTGATACATATTTAAGCAAAATATACTTAGAGGAGGAAACCTACTGCCTAAGTGACAGCTTATGTTGAAACTTCTGCTTTATTACATGGCCCTTTTACCTCTTTGGTTGGCCATGCATATCCAGTCAGTCACAAATCTTCTTGGATCTGTTCATTCCTTTCCATTCCTGCTGCCACTGCCTTAGTTCAGGATTTCAGCTCATTCCATCTGGCTCACTTCAATAGACCAACTGTTTTCCTGGCTTCCAGGCTTTTTCCAGGTCCTACAGACTACCATTTTAGCCTCACTGCTTTCCTACCCAAGAGGCTGAGTGCCTACAAGATCAAGTCTTAACTTTTTAAACTCCTACTGGCTCCACCATCTTTCTCACTACTCCCCAGCAGGAAACCCCTAGTGCAAAGTGACCTACTTATTCTCCCTAGAACACGTCTTATGCCATGGTTCCCAACTGTGGTGTGCTGCTATAAGGTGTGAAGTGTGTTCAAAAAACTTGCTATCAGTAATAAAGTACTAGGAGGCTGGAAACAGAGCGGATTGCAGGTTATCCCTGCAATCCCCACCCACACTCTCCCTTCGTGGGCTTTTCTGAGCAGGAGAGAAAAGATGGAGTTTCAGCTAATGCAACAGCAGCCTTGAGTCATGCAGTATGGCACATATGTTGGGCTGGGAATGGCTGCCTTAATGGAGTCTAGATCACATATGAGAGGTCATATCTAGCAATTGCTGCTAATCCTTTTATAAAACTTTTACAAAATTATAGAGACAGGGTTTTGCCATTTTGCCCAGGCTGGTGTCGAACTCCTGGGCTCAAGCAATCCTCCCACCTCGGCCTCCCAAAGTGCTGGGACTACAGGCATGAACCACCGCACCCAGCCTGCTGCTAATCCTTTTATCAGTTTTCGTAGTCTTGTTCCAGAAGTAGCCAAAGGGAGGGAAATGTCCTAGACTTGGAGTCATAAAAGAGAGTTGGCAACCCTGGATGAGTTGCCTGAGCCTCAACTGACTCATGCTTATAAGAGAGATAAAACCTACTTCCTAATAAAATTGCAAAGATTAAATATTGGGGGTTTTAATGCTACTATTTCATGCTAAGAATTGTACATGCATTCATTCTTGTTTAATGACAACAACATTTCAACATAGGTGTTCTCCCCATTTTACAGATGAGAAAACTGAGAGGAAGGGTGATAGTAAGTGGCTACAGTGGGATTCATACTCAGGTCTGAAGCCAAAGCCTCAGGTCTTTTTAGGATGCCATACTGGCTCTCTGCAGGACAGGATTTTGTAAACTTTAAAGTAGTCAGTGGATGCATTATTATTATTATTATCCCAAGACAAATACCTTGCTAAAATCACATCTTTAAAAACTACCAGTACCTGTGGTTTCCAACTTAATGGAAATTCAATTGATGTTCAATTGCCAACCAAGAGCATAAAGTGCATAAAGAGGTTTAAAAATTCATTGCATATAAAATATAATTAGGGAAATAACTCGGGTTTGGAGTGCATTTGAGTAGAAATGTAATTTGGAGAAAATCATTTTCCTAATTTCTTTTCAATTTAGTAAACAAGTTTTATTTTTTCTTTCAGTGACTAAATGACTGCCCGCATCCTCAACATTTTACTCTAATTGATGCAAGAGTGAAAGCAATTAAAAGCAAATGCTAATGTGTACCTTATTATTACCTTCCATGCAGCATTCTAACTTCTAGGCTTGCTAAACATCATAAAACAATTTAAATTTATTTCAGTACAACATGAGATCACTATCTTGGATTAAAACACTGGTTCTTCAGAAAAGATAATTTTACTAGGGCAACAAAAGAACAAAATTGTCCTAAAATGCCTTTTATCTATGATAAATAGATCCTAAAAGACACATTTTATTTAGCCAAATAAACATAATACACAAATTAGTATCATTATACACAAATATAATACATAAATATATATTGTTATACCAAAGAACAATCTGTCTTTTAAATGTAGAATTTTATACAGCCCATTTGAAATAGCAGTGGATTAAGACTTGCTTTTCAAGCTTAAAATGTTCTGTATATGTGACATGATACAATAGAAGCAGTTCTCAGTGTATAAATGCTGTTTAAAACAACATACATTTATTTCATAGAATGCATGGTGGATGGGGCTCTGGGATATTCTGGGTTGGACTGGAAAGCTGAAGAAAGCTATGTATACTATAATAACACTACAGAGCTTAGCCATCTCATATAGAAGTGCTTCTGTGGCATCTTTGTATAGGTTTCTAATTTGAATGATCATAACTCTACCTAGCAGAAGGTCAGAGATTCCTCCTCTCCACCTCAATTACTACCCCACCAGCCCTTCGGGGGAAATCACTGTGGTCCAAAAGGGGTGGTGAGGCAAGAGGAGCTGGCTGCCACAGCCTCTGGCCAGTGGAAAATTTCAAGAGTGCCACTCACACTGGGTAGAGTGGTTCCCTTTCTTCTCTTTTTCATTTATCCAGCCCCAGATATTAGGTGGTGTGCTTCTTTTGCTTCTTTTTTTGTCCCCACTCCTTTTTTTTTTTTTTTTGAGACAGTCTTGCTCTGTTGCCCAGGCTGAAGTGCAGTGGTGCGATCTTGGCTCACTGCAACCTCCACCTTCAGGGTTCAAGCGATTCTCTTGCCTCAGCCTCCTGGGTAGCCGGGACTACAGACGCACACCACCACATCCGGCTAATTTTTGTGCTTTTAGTAGAGATGGGGTTTCACTATATTGGCCAGGCTGGCCTGGAACTCCTGACCTCCAGTGATCCACCTGCCTCGGCCACCCAAAGTGCTGGGATTACAGGCGTGAGCCACCGCGCCCGGCCTTGTCCCTACCACTTTTTGTTTGTGATCAGTCTTACTTGCTCCCTTCTCTGGCCCTTCAAAGACAGAAAAGAACAGAACCTAGGCTCAGAATTTTTTACGTGCTCCCTGCCCCCAGAGCAAGTACACAACTTTTTGGGGGGTTTCTCAAAGTCTTCATTGCTGGCAACCATGGTAAACAAAGAGTGGAGAGAACTAACAAGAGCAAAAGCACAGCACAGCAGAGACGGAAGTGAGGTCCGGATCTGTCTTAGCACCAACTCCTCTTCTCTCTGATCTCTCATTTAACCCTCTCCCTCGTGAAAAAGGATGAATGCCACACTGAAGCAAGCACAGGAGAGAAGAGGGTATTTTTGTAAAAGAGAGGTTATTCCCAGGAAGAAACAGGAGCTACCATAGCAAGCTAGCAGGGGAGAGGGAGGGGAAATCCCGAAATACCTCACCCAGGGGACAACAAAAGACTAGAGCGGCCATTCAAATATATGCAAATATGGGGACACATCAAGGTTGGGGTCTGATTACATATCCAAATTCAGGCCATACACGACTGCATTTTTAACAAGACAGCTGCATGCAATCATACAATTTTAAGGCTGGATCCCTTCTCAGGGCCAATTGTTATAAGCATTCCTGGTATGGTATTGCCACCTAAAGGCCGAAAGGAAGAAGTTCACCTGAACATCACAGCTTCAGCAAGGAAAGAACAGAAATCCACCAATGTCCCTATTTCAGCTGAAATCTTCATCTAAAAAATGTTTAATGTGAATTTTCTGTGAATTTCATTTCACTGTGCTTTGCCTTTAATAGGTCAGCATAAATTGCCACTAGATGCATGTAAAATAGTTGAGATTATATTAAAAGCACATGTGAGAAAAACCTCAAGTATTTTAATTTTCATCCCTTTTACCTGTAAATAAACCAGTAAGATAAAAATTTAGTTCTATGAGGACTCCAGTGAGTCTTCCATCATTTCAAGGGATATTATAAAATTCTCAAAAACACCGTTAACTAAAATTAAACAGGGCATTATACTTCACCAAAAACTTGAGAATCTTTTAAATCAACTGTGTAACAAACATCAAACCATAATGTTTGAGGGAAGCTTTACTTAATTATAAAATTAAATTCCCAACATAGGTAAATGTAGTCAGTAACATTTTAACACATAGAGTTACAATGGAAACTTCTCTAAACACCACAGAAAGTCTGCCACTTGAGGTAAACCATTTCTTTCCAGTATTCATCCAGAATATTGTTTTCATATCAAAAGGAGAACATGTGCTCATTTTACTGGTGTTAAGGAATTTGCCCTTATATTCACAGGACATTTATGAATTCATCAAAGGAAAAAAGTCTGTGAATCATTTTTTCTTTATTGTAGATATGTAGAAAAGTATGAAAACATTCCTGGAAATGACAAAAACAAATTTAGGACTGTGGTTCACTCTGGTGAGGGAGAGAAGAGCAGGAAATATTGAAGGGGATACACAGAACTTGAATTGCATCTATAATTTGTTTCTTAAGCTGAATAGTGGGTACGTGGATGTACTTTATATTATCTCTGTTCTTTGTATGCTTGAAATATTTTATACTTTTTTTCCTAAAAAGAAACTAGTAGCTGGTAGGTAGATGTTTAAAGGACACATAGGGCATGGTGACACAGTGCTGGGTGCTTAGTATACATTATTTCATTTAATACTAACATCAATCCTGCAAGGTAGGTGGTTTGACCCTCATTTTACAAGTGAGGAAATTAAGGCTTAGAAATGAAGTGAATTGCCTTGGGTAAAACAGCCTCTAAGTGGTAGAATTGTGAAGTGAGACATTAAAAAAGTGATAAAAAGTTTAGGCTCAGATCAGGCAAGGGCACAGAAGGACAGAAAAGGAAACAGTAAGGAGTTCCACTTTTGAGATGGTGGCATGAGATTCATTGGATGCACTACTCAGTTAAAAAAAAGCGTAGCAGGTGAAAACCATTTAGGCCAGGCGCAGTGGCTCACACCTGTAATCCCAGCACTTTGGGAGGCTGAGGCAGGAGGATCACTTAAGCCCAGGAGTTTGAGACCAGCAGACTCTGGTCAACATAGTGAAAGCCCTGTCTCTATAATTTTTTTATAATTAGCTGAGTGTGGTGGTGTGTGCCTGTAGTCACAGCTGCTCAGGAGGCTGAGGTGGGAGGATTGCTTGAGCCCAGGAGTTCAAGGCTGCGTTGAGTTATGATTGTATCACTGCACTCCAGCCTGGGTGACAGAGCAAGACCTTGTCTCTGAAAAGCCAATAATAATAAAAATAAAAATAAATAAAATATCTAGAAGTTGTCCTAATGATATAAGATAAATGAAAAAAAGTATTTATTCAGGAAAATCTACTAAAACTCAGTAAGAACAGGGAGAACTTACAGCATTTGAGCTATGACCAGCTCTCCCTTTTCTCCCTCCTCCCAACTCAGCTTGACAGAAGCTCCATTCCGGGCAACTGTGACCAAGTAGAGAGGCCTCCCTGGCCTCTCAGCTACCAGTCAAAAAATATGATATCTCACCAGGAGGGACAGGTCATCAGCACATCTCTCCCCTTCAACTCTGTGTAAAAGAGGCTAAATTCCTGGTAAGTGTGCCTGAGAGGTCGAAAGCTCACTTCACGCAGCCCCGACACAGGCTGGAGAGTAGGCCCAATCACCCTCACCCCAGCCCAAGTGTAGGGTAGAGAGTTCCATGCTGGAAAAGGCAAGCTGGAAGAGGCAACCAGAGGGTACCCATGCTGCCCAGCTCCCAGAGTAGTGAGATTTTGCCCAGAGGGAGACGCAGTCCATGGGAACAGAAGAGTTCTGAAGCTCTCCATGAAGAAATTGGTTTTATTTGGAAAAAAGGCATGTGGGGATATTCAAGCTTAAGAGCTCTTGCCAAAACAAAGGAGATTTTGGTAGTAAGCCAATAAAAGGAGGCAGGTAGCTCCTGTCACTTAAGTGCAAAAAGCTAACCCATAGGCCAGCTAGGTCACCAGAGAGAGAACCAGGGAAACAGACAGCCAGGAAGTGCTAAGAAGGATCAGAAGAAACCTCAAAGTCTAGTCTCAAAAAGTGTCTCCACTTGAACTTAATTAGATCAGATGGTGGAGCAATTTATGTCCCCATGAAATTATCAAAAATATTAGAGCCAATCAGCTGGAAATTAGGAGAGCCTAACACCTGGATGTGATACCAAACGGGGCTTAAAGGAGAGATCAGGGAGTGAGACAGTCAAAGACAGCTCTGCTAAGACCACTGTCATTCCAGAGTGACTGCATGCCTGACCAAGGCTGTGCCCTCTGAAGAGCGATACCAGAGATTGTACTCTGTGAGCGAAATAGACTTCACTAAAATAGTCAAATCGAGTTACTAAACAAACACATAAGCAAACAACAAAAACATGTCCCAGAGAGTGGGGAATGAAATCAGTATCACAGTTGTGAAATCTAAAATTACCTAAAATGTCTTGTTCTCAACAACAAAAAACAATATGGCACACAAAGAAACAGCAATGTGTAACTTACACAAATAAGAAACAACAGAAATTGTCAGTAAGAGGCAAAATGTCAGACTTAATAAAGTCTTCAAAGTAGCCATTATAAATATGTGCAAAGAACAAAAGGAAACCATGCTTAAAGAAGTAAAGGAAGCTATGATGACAATGTCTCACCACATAGAGAACATCCATAAAGATGCTGAAATTGTAAACAAAAAGAAAGAAGAAGAACCAAATGAACATTCTAGAGTTTAAAAGTAAAATAACTGAAATTTAAAATTTCATTAGAGGGGCTCAACAGCTGATCTGAACTGGCAGAAGAAAGAATCTGTAAACTTAAAATACATCAATAGAGATTATGCAATATAAAAAGGAGAAAAAAGAATAAAGAAAAACGAATACAGCCTCAGAGAAATATGGAAAATCTTTAAGCAAAAGAACATATACATAATGGAAGTACTAAAAAGAGAGGAGAGAGAGAATGGAGCAGAAAAAATATGCAAAGAAATAATGACTAAAATTCCCAAATTTGAGAAAAACATCAACCCACACATACAAGAAGCTCAATGAATTTCAAGTAGGATAAATGCAAAGAGGTCCACACTCAAACAAATTATAATAAAAATCCTGAAAGTCAAGGAGAAAACTGAAAGCAGGAAGAGAAGAACAACTCGTCATGGGCTAGAGAACCTAGATAATATTAACAGCTGATTTCTCATCAGAATCTTGGAGGCCAGAAGGCAGTGGGATGACATACTCAAAGTACTGAAAGAAACAGAACTGCCAACCAAGAATTCTGTATTCATCCAAACTATCTTTCAAAATGGAAGGTGGAATGAAAACATTCCCAGACAAGAACTAAGAGAATCCTTTCTTAAAAATCCACCTTACAATAAGCACTCAGTGAAGACCTTCAGGCTGAAAGCAAGTAAACCCAGACTTAAATTTAAATTCACATATTAAAACAAAGAGCACCAATAAAGGTAAATATGCAATTATGAAAGACAGTATAAATACATGCTTCTTCTTCTCTTAACTGATATAAAAGCAATTGGCCAAAGCAAAATTTTATAATTTCATTGTTGGACCTATACACACATAAATTTAATATATTTGAAAACCACAGCATGAAGGAGAAAGGTGGGAGCAAAGGTCTGTTGGAATAAGAATATAATACCAGATAGTAACACAAATTCACAGGAAAAAATGAAGGGAAATAGAAATGGTAAATAAGAAAGTTAATATAACAAACACTATAAATATATTTTTCCTTTCCTTTCTTCTCTCAGTTGTATTAATGGACATAAAATTAAATAACAATTATAGCATGTATTATTGTGTATATGGAGTTCATATTTATAATAATAATAACAAAAAGGGAAGAGGAAACAGTTATACAGGAGTCACATTTTTATATATAACTAGAATTAAGTTAGCATAAAAAATGAAGTCCATTCTGATAAGATATATATGGAAAGTTTTAGAGTAACCACTAAAAGACACCCCAAAATATAGTGAAATATTATAGAGAAAATTTATAACAAAAACGTTTAAAATAATAAAAAAATAAAATATAGTGAAAAAATCATTAAAGCACTTCTGATTTCAGCTCTGACATCGAAAGAGCTTGGAAGTCATCACACTATAGTCATAATTAAAAAAATACTGAACAAACTGAAAATCAATGACTTTTGTTAGATTTACTGAGAATTGAGATCACAGAAAAAATCACCACCTCAAAATCTGGAGAAACAGTGAATACAGAGAATTACAGCTGAGATTAGCTTCCCTAAAGCAGAAGCCACTGGACCCAGTAACTGGCAGGAACACTTGCATAGTGATTTTAATGAATTCCTGGAGTCTGAATGTGGACCCCAACTTGAGATTTAAAAGCTCCTGGAGAACCATCTTGAGGCGGGGCAATGCTTTTGTGGGTTTGGGATCCAAAAACCCAAAAATGTTCCATAGTGAAGATCAGAGAAAAATCCTCTCATGTTTTGGGATAGGAGTGGGGGCGGGGTGGAGCATCCATTTTGAAATAATCCCAGAACCTTTTCCAAAACAAAGGCCTGTCTTCCAAGGGAAACTATGTTGCCAAGTCTTATCTGACCTGAGGAAGGTACAATAGGCCAGCTTCAGCCCTCTCTCATCTTCCTGCCATATGTGAGAGGACTAAAAAAGGCTAAGAATTGCTTCTGGAGGTCAATTTCCAGGGACTCAGGTCTACTAAAAAATTGAGACTTGTTCATAACATTATAGAATGTGTCCCCTTCCCCAACACCTTATCACCACATTGACAGGGCCCCAATATATAATAACAGTGGATTACAGGGAGGGATCTGCAAGACACAGACTCTATTTAAGAAGGAGTTCTTAAGAAACCCAAAGATAGGCAGGGCGCGGTGGCTCAGGCCTGCAATCTCAGCAGGATTGGGAGGCTGTGGCAGGTGGATCACTTGAGGTCAGGAGTTTGAGACCAGCCTGGCCAACTTCATGAAACCCTGTCTAAACTAAAAATACAAAAAAATTAGCCAGGCGTGGTGGCACATGCCTGTAATCCCAGCTACTCAGGGGGCTGAGGCATGAACATTGCTTGAACCTGTGAGGCAAAGGTTGCAGTGAGCTGAGATCGCGCCACTGCACTCCAGCCTGGGAGACAGTGAGACAAAAAAAAAGAGGAAAGAAAGGAAAGAAAGAAAGCCAAAGTTAATAAGAGAGAAGGAAAGGAAACAAAAAAAATCTAAAGCCCCTCATACTTACAGCTACAGCAAACATTAAACACAGGCAAGATCCTAGTCAGATTAACAGAAAACCTCACAGTAAACACCTAGTTACCTCAGTTCCTATTACTTAATTTATCATGTCTGCCTTCCAACAAAACATTACAAGGCATGCTGAAAGGCAAGAAAAAAACAGTCTGAGGAGACAAAGCAAGCTTTAGAATCAGACTCAGATATGACACAAATTTTGGAATTATTAGGGAATTCAAAATAACTATGGTTAATATGTTAAAGGTTCTAACAGATAAAGATAGACAACATGTAATAAAAGATGGGTAATGTAAGCAGAGTGATAGAAACACTAAGAAATGATCAAAAGAAAATGCCTGAAATAAAAAACACTGTGACAGAAATGAAGAATGCCTTTGATAGTCTAACAAATAGGCTAAACATAGCTGAGGAAACAGTGAGCTTCAAGATATGTCAATAGAAATTTCCTAAACTTAAATGTAAAGAAAAAAATTTTAAATGGAAGAGAATACACAAAAACTGTGGAACAAGTACAAAAGGTGTAACATGCATAATGGGAATATAGACAGAAAAGAAAGAGAAAAGAGAAGAAATATTTAAAATGTTGACCCTATTAGGCCAAGAATTTTGCAAAATTATTGACAGACCCCAAACTGCTGATCCAGGTATCTCAGAGAACACCAAGCAGGATATATAGCAAAACATATCTACACCTAGCCATTTCATATTCAAGCTGCAGAAAGGCAAAAGCAACGAGAAAATCTTGAAAGAAGCCAGACAGGGAAAAACACCTTACCTGTAGAGGAACAAGGATAAGAATTGTATCAGACTTCTCATTATAAACCATGCAAACAACAGAATGGAATGAAATATTTAAAGTGTTGAAGGAAAAAAATGACAACCTAGAATTCTGAATACTTTCTCAAACAAACAAAAAATGTGGGAAATTGTGGCCAGATGACTTGCCTTGCAAAAATGTTAAAAGAAGTTCTTCAGAGAGAAGGAAAGTGATATAGATTTAAAAACAACAAACAAAACTTGGATACATGGAAAAAAGTATCAAAAATAATAAATCCAGGTAAAACAAAATATTTCATTTTTCTTTTTTTTTTTTTTTTTTTTTTTGAGATGGAGTCTCGCTCTGTCACCCAGGCTGGAGTGCAGTGGCGCCATCTTGGCTCACTGCAAGCTCCGCCTCCCGGGTTCACGCCATTCTCCTGCCTCAGCCTCCCTAGTAGCTGGGACTACAGGCGCCCACCACCACGCCCGGCTAATTTTTTGTATTTTTAGTAGAGACAGGGTTTCGCTGTGTTAGCCAGGATGGTCTCGATCTCCTGACCTCGTGATCCGCCCACCTCGGCCTCCCAAAGTGCTGGGATTACAGGCGCGAGCCACCGCACCCGGCCTCATTTTTCTTATTCTTAATTGATTTAATAGATAACTGTTCAAAGTAATAATAGCAACAGTGTATTGGGTGATTTTACTTTATAGAAAAGTGAAATGAATTACAATAATATTATAAGGGATAAGAGGGAGGAATTGAGAATATTCTGTTATAAGTTACCTATGAAATTGTGTAGTGTTATGTGAAAGTGTTGTTAGATTTAGCTGTAAATACATAACATAAACTCTAGGGATACTGGTAAAATTTTTTAAAGGGAGTATTATATGCTAAGAGAAAAGTGAAAATAAAATGTTTACTAAAAACAGAAAAGGCGGAAAAATAGAGGTAAAAAAGAAACAAAGAACAATTGCAATGAATAGAAAACATGGCAGATACTAATCCAAATATATAAATAATCACTTAACATGTGAATTTTCTAAATACGCCAATTAAAAGAATGAGACTGTCAGAGTGGATTAAGAAACAAGACTCAAATATATTTTGTCTACAACATATATTTTAATCTATGACAATTAAAAGTAAAGAGATGAAGAAGGATATATCCTATTAACAATAATTGAAAGAAAGCTGGACTAGCTGTATTAATTTCAGACAAAGCAGACTTCCGATCAGGGAAAATTATCAGAGATAAAGAGGAAAAATATACAATGATAAAAGGGCAAATTCTCCCACAAAACATAATAATCCTTAATGTGAATGCACCTAACAACAGAGTATCAAAATACATGAAACAAAAATTGATAGAACTGAAAAGAGAGATAAATCTATTGTGGTTAGAATTTAACATCTCTCTATCAGGAACTGACAGATCCAGCAGCAGAAAATTAGTAAGCAGGCAGTTGAACTGAATAGAACCATCAGTCAAGTGGTTCTAATTAACATTTGTAGAATATTTCATTCAACAACAGTCACACTTTCTTCTCACACTCACATGGAGCATTCACCAAGATAGACCACGTTATGGGCCATAAAACACAACTTCAATTTATAAGAATAGAAATCAACAAATGGTGCTGGGACAACTAGATATCCACATGCAAAAGAATAAAATGGAACCATATGCACAAATTAACTCAAAATTAATTAAAGACCTAAATATAAAAGCTAAGATTATAAAACTCTAAGAAAATAAATAGGCATGAATCTACATGACCTGGATTAGGCAATAATTTCTTAGATACAACACCAAAAGTGCAAGCAACAACAACAAAACAACATATTGGACATCATCAAAATTAAAATGTAAAATCAAAATTTTTGTGCTTCAGAGAACACCATCAAGAAACCGAAAACACAACCCAAAAAATGAAAGCATATTTTTTCAAATCATATATAGGCACACCTCATTTTATTGCAGTGTACTTTATTGAACTTCACAGATAATTGCATTTTTTACAAATTGAAGTTTTGTGGCAACCGTGTGTTGAGCAAGTCTATCGGTGCCATTTTTCCAAAAGTGCGTACTCACTTTGTGTCTATGTGTCATATTTTGGTAATTCTTACAATACTCCAAACTTTTTTTATTTTTTTTCCTGAGACGGAGTTTCACTCTTGTTGCCCAGGCAGGAGTGCAATGGCGCAATCTCGGCTCACGGCAACCTCCGCCTCCCAGGTTCAAGTGATTCTCCTACTTCAGCCTCCCAAGTAGCTGGGATTACAGCCATGTGCAAGCATGCCCAGCTAATTTTGTATTTTTAGTAGAGATGGGGTTTCTCCATGTTGGTCAGGCTGGTCTCAAACTCCTGACCTCAGGTGATCCGCCCGCCTTGGCCTCCCAAAGTGCTGGGATTACAGGCATGAGCCACCACGCCCAGCCAATAAAGTATTCTTTAATTAAGGAATGTACCTTGCTTTTTTAGACATGATGCTATTGCACACTTAATAGACTATACAGTAGAGTGTAAATATAACTTTTGTATTCATTTGGAAACCAAAAAGTTCATGTGACTCACTTCATTGCAATATTCACTTCACTGTAGTGGTTTGGATCCACAGTATCTCCAAGGTAGACATGTATCTGGTAAGAATCTAATATCCAGAATATATAAAGAACTGTTGCAACTCAACAATGAAAAGATAGCTAACTGAATTTTTTAAATGAGCAAAAGATTTAAATAGACATATTCCCAAAGAAGACATTAAAATAGCCAATAAGCAAGATGAAAAGATGCGCAACATCACTAGCCATTAATAATGAGTGACTGTTACTGGGGACAGGTTTTTAGAGGGGAGTAATAAAAATGTTCTGGAGCTAGACAGTGGTGATGGCTACACAACCTTGTGAATATATTAAAAACCACTGAATTGCGTAGTTTAACATCGTGAATTTTATGTTATATAAATTATATCTCAATAAAAATACACATAACCCAATTTAAAAACAGGCTAAGGATCTGAATAGACATTTCTTTGAATGAAGGTATACGAACTTCCAGTAGGTACATGAAAGATGCTGTATTAGTCCGTTTTCACACTGCTATAAAGATACTATCTGAGACTGGGTAATTTATAAACAAAGGAGGTTTAATTGACTCACCATTCCACATGGCTGGGGAGGCCTCAGGAAACTTACAATCATGGTGGAAGGAGAAGGAAAGGCAAGTACTTCCTTCACAAGGTGGCAGGAAAGAGAGCAAGAGCGACGGGGGAAGAGCCCCTTATAAAACCTTCAGATCTCGTGAGAACTCACTATCATAAGAACAGCTTGGGGAAAACCACCCCCATGATCCAGTCACCTCCCACCTGGTCCCTCCCTCGACATGTAGGGTTGACAATTCAAGATGAGATTTGGGTGGGGACATAGAACCAAACCATATCAGATGCTCAATATCATTATTCCTGAGGAAAATGCATATCAATCTCACCATGAGAAACCACTTCATATCCACTAATATGTCTATAATCAAAAAGACTGACAATAACAAATGTTTGGTGAGGGTGTGGAGAAAATGAAACCCTCATACACAGATAGTGAGAAAATAAATTGGTGCAGTGACTTTGTTTTGTTGTTGTTGCTGTTGTTGTTTTGTTTTTGTTTTGTTTTTTGTCTGAGGCAGAGTCTTGCTCCGTCAAGTGAAGCCAAGGTGGGCGGATCATTTGAGGTCAGGAGTTCGAGATCAGCCTGGCCAACATGGTGAAACCCCATCTCTACAAAAATTAGCTGGTCGTGGTGGTGCGTGCCTGTAATCCCAGGTACTCTGGAGGCTGAGGCAGGAGAATCGCTTGAATCTGGGAGGCAGAGGTTGCAGTTGTGCTCCAGCCTCGGTGACAGAGCAAGACTCTGTCAAAAAAAAAAGGAAGGGAAGAGGAGGGGAGGGGAGGGAGAAAAGAAAAGGGTAACTTTCTATTGCTTAAGCCAGGTGGTAGATACACAGGTGCTCATTTTATTGTGATCCTTTAAATTTGCATTTACATTATTCTTTCTGTGGATAAAATATATGTCTTAATAAAAATATTTTTTAGAAGTCTGACAGACCTGGATTCTGGCTCAACCACTTAAGATCTATGAGTTCTTGGGCACATTACTTAACCTAAGCCTTCCAATGTCTTATCTGTAAAGCAGAGATGGTAATAATAATAACTCCCTCATAGGCTTTTACATCATGTGCCTGGCACATCGTCAGTGCTATTACTAGCTAATGTTAGCTATAAGCAGTTGAGCCACTTGCCTAAAAATGCCAGGTTCATGACCTCTCTTTCTTTAAACTCCAATTTCCATATTTGCTATTCCATAAGAGTTCAAAATTTATCAGAGGAATAAAATTGACCTTCAAGCAGGACTTACTGCGTTCAACCTTTAAAATGTCCTTACATAACATCTTTGTAAAGCCAATAAATATTGCACCTTAATAAACCAGGACAAGAACCAAAATTTCTGTCATTTCTGGAGGCTCGTGTCAACTAATGTTCTAGCCTAGCTCTGGGAGCTCAAATCTAGGTCAGATTAAGAGAATATTATTTTCAGTCTTGAACAGCTTCCAGAATCCATGTCCATTCTGCATCTTAGTCTCCAAGTTAAGTCAAGAGTCTCTATATGTTGGACTTGCTTTTGTCCCACCTGGATTTCCAGCATATGACTTCAAAGGTAAAATTCTGTCACTAAGCCTGTCCTACAGTTTTCTGGCCCAGATGAATGTGTCAGTGAATGTGTCAGGGGTGGGTAGTCAGAAGCTAAGGATGGCAGGAGAGGTGTAACACTTATCTAGGTCCCTTGCAAGGACTCGTATTCTTAAAGGAGACACTATTCTATTGTTCATCATGAATCGGAAGCAACTTATATTCATGTATAATTATTATCAGAGCCCTTTGCTTAAAGTATCTGTCACACAGCTCACACCTGCTTTGTAGCTACATCATTGCCTAAAACTTTCTCTACGCAGACTAGGGAAGGCAAAAAGAGATGAAGCTACACAGTTTAGCTATGTGTCAGCAACTCAGAAAAAACATTCATTGGGGTAGGGGAAAGCTAAATGATAGGCTCGAAATAGAATTTTGCTTCAGGAAAGCCCTCCCTGACCCTTTCTTCACATCCCACTAAGTTGATATCATGTTAATGTTATCTCACAGAACCCTTTTAATTTACTGTTTCATAATATGACACGTTTACAACATTTAATTTAATATCTGCATTTCCCTCAAGATTCTGTGCTCAATGAGGGGAAGGACCTCCTCCTCCTTGTTCATTCCTGTATCCCCATCAGCTGGTACAGGGCCTTGCACATAGTAGGTGCTCAAGAATTTATTCATTGGATTAATGGACAATCAATCCATGTAACAATGAATCAATTCCTGGCATCATGAACAGGGATAATCAAGAGTCCAACTGAAGACCTTGGATTTCCAAATGACGTGGTCCTAAGAAAGGATCTCATTGCAAAAGTTGGGGAAATGTTAACTATTTACCTGTGCTGAGTGAGCACATTTACAGCTGAAGGATGGTTTGCACAGTAAGCCAGATACATAGATTTAAAATGAGGCATGAGACTCAGTAGACAACCTCCTACTTTGTGCTGGTTTTCTGGAAACCTGTAAACAAAATGGACAAAACACAGAATGTAAAATAGGAAACAGGAGGCAAAGGAAGATTATTCCAATTAAACCTGGCAGCATGAAAGCCTTCTGAATATTTTGCCAAGGTTAAAAGAGAAACTATATTATAACCATTTTACCCATGAAACTCAAATTCTTGCCCACTGCTTTAAACTCTAGCCACCAAACACAGTTGTAATACATAGGGTCAGATACTTACTTGGAATTAGTAGGTATGGTTGCTTGTTTGTTTTTAAGATGATTATTTTCAAATTTAGCTGGGTACACTAAAAATATTCTTGGTTAATTTATCTAAAGTTTGAGTACAGACAAAACTAATCAAATCCAAAAATGACATACCACAAAAGAATATTATGTAATCTTGGAGGCCTGGTGTTTGCTACGCAGGGTGGCCTCAAAAGTTTTTAAATTAATGTTTTAAATTATAAGCCACCTGTCTTCATTTGTAGAAAAATCAGAAAAGTGTAATAAGAAAAATGAATTTCTCAGACTCCCACCATTTGGAGATACTGACTCTAAAAATGTTGACATGTTTCTTGGGCTTTTTTCTACATGTTTCTCTATAAAATGGAAAACATAAGGATTATGAATCTAGTTTGTAATCTGCCCTTCTCGCTTAGTGAACATCTTTGCATATCAATAATCTAGATCCCTCTTGGCCCCTCAAGTCCCTTTAGTGTGGGCCCTCTCCATCGTTCTTCCTGGACAACCACCTGTGTCCTATTAAGCTTAAATAACAGGTAATCACCTCAATTTCCCTAGAGAGATGAAAGCTGCCAACTTCTTTAAGATACGCTGCTTGAAAAATTAGTCTTTCTATAGAGACATATTGCCTGATGATCATTATAGTTCACTGTAGTATGAAGTTAAACATCTGGACAATCTAGCTAGCCATCAAAAATGTGTTGGTTCACATAAAGATATACTTTTCCTTCCCCCACTTTCTGTGTGTTTCAACTCTTAATATAATAGACATAGTATCAGGAGCAATTCAAAGACACCAAATCTGTGAAACTGAATGAATCATTTGAATGACTTTTCCAAGTAATTTGCAATGTACAAAAGAAAATATGTAATCAGTGCCAGAGGTGTCATTCATGGTCAATTAAGACCTCATGTGTCTCCAGGGAGGGGACCATCACACACTGGGGCCTGTCGGGGAGTGGGGTGAAAGGGGAGGGAGAGCATTAGGACAAATACCTAATGCATGCAGGGCTTAAATCCTGGATGACGGGTTGATAGGTGCAGCAAACCACCATGGCGCATGTATACCTATGTAACAAACCTGCACGTTCAGCACATTTATCCCAGAACTTTAAGGAACATTAAAAAAAAAAAAAAGACCTTATGTGTCTCTTATACTGACCAGAAACAGCAAACTGATGTATTTTTTAAATAAAGTCAAAAGTAATTTACAAGATATAGACTTCTAATATACAACTAGTGGTTTGACACTGTGAACACTGCCACCTAGTACACTGTCTATGTATTGCTACTTTGTTCAGAGCTGTAACAAATACTTAACTATGAAGTGTCCTTATCAAAGGCAACAGGTAAAAGGAAAACAAAACACAAACAGCAATGTTGCTGGCTATCCTATCAGAAATATGCCACACTTACTTTGAACATTCTTCCAAGGCTTGGCAGAGTGTCTGTTGAAATGTGCATACTTCCTCGAAGTTTCCCAGTAAAGATGTAACCTCCACAGTACTCAGACTGAAAAAAAAATACAGTACATGTAGTTATCTATTGTAGTCTAGTTGGCTAATAGTTTGCTAATATATGGTAAATAAAAGGGAGGTAATACCTATATTTTAACTTTTGCTTTTTAATTTATAACAACTCTATTGTCTTAGGCAGCTTCTTAAGCTTCTCCCCTTGATTTTCTTTTATATAATAAGAATAATGATCCTAAAGAAATGGAGTGGTCGTAAGGGACAATTAGGTATTTTATAAAGCAACAGGTAAATTAAAACAAGTGCTTAATACTGAAGTATACAAATAGATAAAAATACATCATAGCTGTGAATAAGTGTAAAAAACTCTTGAGTACCTTCCTCTGGATGAACTGGAACAGTAATTGAAAGATATTATATATGCTCATATAATACACAAGAAAAAATAGCAAAATCAACTTTCTCCTAAACTAAAATGCTCATACATCAATTAAAGGAAATCTTTATGAGATGAAGTAGGAGGAAAAAAATAGTATTGATTTGTTTGTTTCTGGAGTAGAGTGAAGTCAAATAAAGGCAAACTGAACCACTTTATCCAGGGCCTCTGTATGAAGAATGTTCTTATCCATTCCTCCCCTACCAAACAGTAAGTGATAATAATAACAAGAGTCAACACTCATAGAGCACTGAACACTTACACAAGCATTTTACAATTAAAACCTTATTTTAACCTTACAATAACTCTTTAAGGTAGGTATTATGCCAGTGCTGTTTCCATTTTACAGGTGGGGAAACCCAGGCATAGAGAGGTTAAGCAAATCATCCAAAGGTACAAAGCCAGGAAATGCCAAAGACAGAAATTGAACCAAAACATTCTAGCTGCAGAGTCCATGCTCTTAACCACTTTTTGGGAGAAAACGTTTCTGAAGATTTGTTTAAAAAGCCAAGGTTGGGCTGGGCGTGGTGGTTCATGCCTGTAATCCCAGCACTCTGGGAGGCCGAGGCGGGTGGATCACTTGAACCCAGGAGTTCAAAACCAGCCTGGCCGACATGGTGAAACCCCGTCTGTACTAAAAATACAAAGAATTAGCCGAGTGTGGTGGCAGTCGCCTGTAATTCCAGCTACTCGGGAGGCTGAGGCAGAAGAATTGCTTGAACCTGGGAGGCGGAAGTTGCAGTGAGCTGAGATCGTGCCACTGCACTCCAGGCTGGGTGATGGAGTAAGACTCTGTCAAAAAATAAAAAAGCCCATGTCTGCCACATGTTCTTCTCCTTAAGTGTATAGTAACACTAGGCCGGGTGTGGTGGCTCACGCCTGAAATCCCAGCACTTTGGGAGGCTAAGGCAGGCAGATCACTTGAGGTCAGCAGTTCAAGACCAGCCTGGCCAACATGGCGAAATCCCATCGCTACTAAAAATACAAAATTGCCATGCGTGGTGGCACATGCCTGTAGTCTCAGCTACTCAGGAGGCTGAGGCAGGAGAATCGCTTGAACCTGGGAAGCAGAGGTTGCAGTGAGCCGAGATCTCACCACTGCACTCCAGCCTGGGGGTGGAGTGTATTGTATATGCTATATAATATATATATTATATATTATACATATATATATATATATATATATAGAATACCAGGGGAGTATTCCCAAGAGAATATTTTTTTGCTGACTAAGAAAGAAAGGGAAGAAGACCAAAACAAACATTACCAGTAACTCTGAGAGAATAAAAAACTGCCAGTTCCTCTGCTGTAATGCCATCCTGAATCACAAGCTGGAAAACCCCTATTCTAAAGTGAAACCTTTAGCCAACCAACTTCCCTGGTTGTTGCTCTCTCAGAGCAGTGAGAACTTAAGTTGGGGCCTTACCTGAACTTGACTGGGGGCTTATCTGGCCCCTTCACGATCAGATAATAGTCAGTCTGGTTTGCTCAAATCACTTTGGGGCCGACAAGATAGTGAGAAGTAATGGAAACTTACTATCACTGCATTCTGAATTCATTTAGGAACAGTACAGGTCTGACTCAGGTCTCTCACCTCCTTGGCCCTGACTCTTTTCCAAGGAACTCAAACAAACCAGTAAGAAAAAAAAACAAATAATCCCATCAAAAAGCAGGCAAATGACATGAACACACACTTCTTAAAAGAAGACTTACAAATGGCCAACCAACATATGAAGAAATGCTCAGTATCACTAATCATCAGAGAAATGCAAATTAAAACCATGAGATACCACCTCCGCCCAGCCAGAATGGCCATTATTAAAAAGTAAAAAATAATAGATGTTGGTGTGGATGTGGTGAAAAGGGAACACTTACACACTGCTGGTGGGAATGTTAGTACATTAGTACTAACATTAGTACAGCCTCTTTGGAAAGCACTACAGAGTTTTCTCAAAGCTAAAAGTAGATCTACCATTCCATCCAGCAATCTCACTACTGAGTATTTAGCCAAAGGAAAAGAACTCATTAAATCCTCTTATTGTTTCTTGATCACTAATCAGTCCCTCTCCTTCATTTAAAATCTTACCGTCTCCCCTCCCAGAGTTACCACTTCAGTTTCCATCTCCTCTGCCTGTCACTTCCAGAAAACAGAAAGCATGTTTCACTTGGCAGCAGGGGGCACAGTGGCTCCAGCCTGGCCATGTACTGGCTGTGGGATGGGCAAGGCAGTAAACCTGTCTGGACTTCAGCTTCTTCTCTATTTAATAGAGATAGTCATTTCTCCCAGGATACTAGACCCAATGATTTACAGATTTACTTCAGCTCTAAGAAATATGATTCACAGAACACTTCATATTTCACATGATAATAACAAAAAATACTTTGTTTTTTGTTTTGTTTTGTTTTGTTTTTTTGAGATGGAGTCTCACTCTGTCCCCCAGGCTGGAGTACAGTGGCATGAACTTGGCGCACTGCAACCTCCGCCTACCGAGTTCAAGCGATTCTCCTGCCTCAGCCTCTTAAGTAGCTGGGACTACAGGTGCGCACCACCAAGCCGAGCTAATTTGTATTTTTAGTAGAGATGGGGTTTCGCCATGTTGCCCAGATTGGTCTTGAACTCCTGGCCTCAAGTGATCCACCCGCCTCGGCCTCCCACAGTGCTGGGATTACAGGCGTCAGCCAACGTGCCCAGCCAGCCACTGCACCTGGCCCAAAAAACACTTTGTTGTTGATCATGTTTAAACTCTTACAACACAGGAATAGAAAATTTTTTCATACTGAAGTAGATTTCCATAGTGCCAGGAGAATAAACAAGTGGGAAATTTAGCAAGAACAAAGGCATTATAACTAAACAAGTATAATTTGGAAAAGGGGAGAATTTTTCTCACAATATTTTTTCTTTTCTTTTTCTTTTGTTTGCTTGGTTTTGTTGTTGTTGTTGTTGTTTGTTTGTTTGTTTTCACATGGAGTCTTGCTCTGTCTCCCAAGCTGGAATGCAGTGATGTGATTTTGGCTCACTGCAGCCTCCGCCTCCCAGGCTCAAGCGATTCTCCTGCCTCAGCCTCCCAAGTAGTTGGGATTACAGGCTTGCACTACCACGCCCGGCTAATTTGCTTTTGTATTTTTAGTAGAAACAAGGTTTCACCATGTTGGCCAGGCTGGTCTTGGACTCCTGACCTCAAGCGATCTGCCCGCCTCAGCCTCCCAAAGTGCTGGGATTACAGGCTTTTCAGCCATCACACCCGGCCAAATTTCTCAAATATATTAACTTATTTAAGTTTGAAGCTGATAGTTTAGACAACTGTTTAGCAATAGTAAACTCTTTCCAAGGTAAAAAGAGAGGGGTTTTTTCTGCATTATATGGGCTGACTGGTAAATTTTCTATATGATCATGATCTCTAGTGAAATTTAATTAATTAAAATAAAAACAAATAAATGCAGTTCACCACTATTTGTTAAATATGCTGTGCCTACAAGGATAAAAAAAAAATGGTCACTACTTTTCTTTCATGAAAACTAAAGCTTTCAATTCTTTCAATTCAGGCTTTACACAATCACTTCAGATTTCTAAGACCAGAGTAAGGTTTGAACATTTTGTCTTTAAAAACACTTTAGCATCTCTTTATCATTCACATTTGCCTGGGTGAAATAATGGCTTGAATAGCTCTTACAAGCATTCACAAAATGCCATACTCTTTCCATTCTCAGAGCATGGGAAAGAAGTTCTGCCCTGGCAAACAAAGGTCAGAGTGAGCATGAGAATTTCCAGTTTATGTGCTTTCTGAATAAAAGCACCAGGGACTTCTTTTCCTGTAAGGTAAAACCAAGCACATCACTTTTTTTTTTTTTAATGTACAAGATAAAAATTGTGACAGGAAGAAACACAGATCTGCTCATTCCTTTCACAGCCAGAAGAGAAAGAAAGCCAAGCTCTCCAAAAGCAATATCTTGCATAATTTCTGTTGCCCTGACCATGTTCTTGGCAACCTGTGATCTGTGGAAATTCTTCTAAAGGGCAAAATCAATTATTCAGTGACATAAGAATAATGATTCCATATGTTGACATTATGTTGCTTTACTTAGTGAGGGATTTAAAATAAACATCTTACTTGTTATTGGACTGCAGGGGTCTTAAGTAAGTAACAAGAAGAGACTGAAGTTCTTTAGCATATTCTTTTTCAGTGTCCAGGATGTTCTGTAACACCTATGGAAAAAAAAGTCAATGTATTATAATCATCACGATAGTCTAAGGCAAAATGTAGCTTTGATCTTTTAACCAAATTACTAGGAAGAAAAAAGGTCCTATTTACTCAGGCTACCATTGCAAGCAAGGAACACAAAATCTGAATGCATTTTCTTTCAATCTAGCAAACTACTTTAATTATTGCATGACAACTGGTTATATTGCACAATTCATATGAATACAATTTTTCAGTTGCCCATAACTGAAGGGGCCTTGCGATTTACACAGTACTGCTTGGTTATTTATTTCTTGTAGAGACAGGATCTCTCTATGTTGCCCAGGGTGGTCTCAAACTCCTGGTCTGGAGCAATCCTCTTGCTTCAGCCTTCCAAAGTGCTGGGATTACAGATGTGAGACCACATCAAACCCCACAGTACTGTTTAAAATGTTTTCATGTGCTGTAAATGATTTTATCCTCAGGAAGTTCTCAGTTAGTTAACAAAGAATCATTATTCCTCTTTTATGGAGGAGAAAATTGAGGCCAGCTACCTTAGACATAGAGACTTAATGTCAGTATAATTTAAGGATCACTGTGATAACAAACATCACAAGAGATTTTTGTTTAAGTTATGTTTGTGATAAGACCTTTGGGGAACAAAATCTGAGGATACAGTGAATTTTTAAGCAGAGTTAAAACTAGTCTTTTCTTAAAGGCAAAAGGTGCTACCATAAACAATTCAAAGAACAAAGTAGGCTGAAGTGTGAGGAATTTAACAAGAGAAATAAAAATTATCATTATTATTATTAATGTAATTAGAATCCTATAGGCAAAACAACCAATATGGGGGATCACAATTTCTCTTCCCCTACCAGTTCTAGGGTCATGTCACAACCCATTTCCAAGCCTCTTCTAGTGACAGGTAAAACCTTCATTTAATACCTAATGTAAATGACGGGTTGATGGGTGCAGTGGGCCAGCATGGCACATGTATACCTATGGAACGAGCCTGCACATTGTGCACATGTACCCTAGAACTTAAAGTATAATAATAATTTTAAAAACCTTCATTTAAGCTCTTAGGGACAACCCAGTTAACATTCTGGTATATTTTCTTTCATATATTCTAATTCATTCAACAAAATCGACTGAGTGCCTATTCTGCCAACTGCCGTGCTGCCCACAGGGAGTTTATACTGTATTTGCAGAGACATTAAACAGAGAGTTACAAGACAGAGTGAAGTGTCCTTAACTAGGAGAAGTGTATTAGCCTACCAATATGCCAGCCATATACTCACAAGACAATGCATGATGATCTGCTTTTGAAAGGTGGAATGGTCAAAACAAGTGGAGATCCTGGTAACCGTGGGTTCTCTGGGAAACCACTGGAGTGCAGGGTGGTAGTCCTGACTCTGCTGCTGACTGAGAGGTTGCTTCAGTTTAAAACTTTGCTTACATCATCTCAGATTATGATATTGCACCTACCTGGGGGACCATTATGAAGATGTAGTGACACACTGTACAGATAGGTGCTGGGTAAGTGGGAAACAGACCTACCAATTTAAAGGGTTAAAAAAGGGTTTCTCAATAGCAACATTATTAACCTTTCAAACCAGATAAGTCTTTGTTGTGATGGAATGCCCATATCATTGCCATGACATTGCCAAATGTCACCTGAAAGGCAATATTGCCCCCAGTTGAGAATCACTGGCTTAGAAGAACACAGGATGGCTTCAAAAGCTCGGGCTTAAATTGTAACCCCTATACCCAGCCACTCATGTCTACTTTCAGTTCCTCTATTCCTCAGAAACTACCCTCTAAAAGTGTAAATGCAGGGTTCTGGAGGTATTGATGTTCTCGGAAATTAACCCAGTAATGGAATAGAAATATTCCCCTCTATAGAAAGTCCAAGCGCGAGAATGGAAATTAGAAACTACTTTGAGATGAATGAAAATGAAAACACAACATACAAAAACTCATGGGGTGCAGTTAAACAGTGCTTAAAGAAAACTATATACTTATAAATGCCTATTTTAAAAAAGAAAAAAAAGACTTTCATTTTTCAGTCTGACATGTAAGGAGCTTAGAAGTCATTACTCCATCCTAACAGGAAGGAAATAGCTAAACAAACTGAAATAAACCATCGTTTTCTCTTAAATCTGTCAGAAAAGAGAGGTCACAGGGAAAACTGCTACTCCAAAAATTGGAGAAACAGGCAGATAAAGAGAATCACAAATTACCAGAGCAGAAGTCCACAAGCAGAAGCCTCCACAGGAACCAGCACTAGGGCAGAAAAACCTACACTGTAATTGACAAACTTCTGGGGGCTCTGTACAGGCAAGTCTGAGAGTTAGGAACTCCAGGGGCCCAATATTAGGACAGCACACTCACACTTTTGTGAGTTTAAGCTCCAGTTTCTCTCAGTGAAGATTAGAGGAAAATACCCTCATGCTTCAGGCAGAGGGAGGGAAAAAGTTGCCTTTTTGAATATGCCAGAGCACTCTATTCTTCTTAACAAGGTCTGCCCTCAGGAGAAACTATTTTACCAGAGCATAACCTATTTTTTGTTTGTTTGTTTGCTTTGTTTGTTTGTTTCTGTTTTTGTTTTTTGAGACGCAGTTTCGCTTTTGTTGCCCAAGCTGGAGTGCAATGGCACAATCTCGGCTCACTACAACCTCCACCTCCTGGGTTCAAGCCATTCTCCTGCCTCAGCCTCCCTAGTAGCTGGGATTACAGGCATGCGCCATCACGCCCAGCTAATTTTGTATTTTTAGTAGAGATGGGGGTTTCACCATGTTGGTCAAGCTGGTTTCGAGCTCCTGACCTCAGGTGATCCGCCTGCCTTGGCCTCCCAAAGTGCTGGGATTACAGGCGTGAGCCACTGCGCCCGGCCTGAGCATAACCTATTGAATTTTTATCAGATGCTAACTGTTATGGGGGAAGGTCAATAAGCAACTCCAGCCAGCTCTAGCCTTCCACATGGGGGAAGGAAGATAACCCAACTCCAGCCCTTTCTAGCCATCCTGTCCCACCTAAGCGGGAGAACTAGGAAGCACGGGTGAAGTTCACAGTCCAGGGACACAAGCTCATTAAAAACTGAGACCTAATCTGGAAACATAGAATGTTTCCCCTCCTTCTACACCTTACCACCACATTACTAAAGGATTATTTACCACAGTTCCTTTACCCAGTACATCATGTCAGGCTTCCAACAACAATTTACAAGGCATATTAAAAGGCAAAAAATACAGTATGAAGAGACAAAGCAAGCATCAGAACTTAAGTCAGGTAACACAGGAATGTTAGAATTATCAGACCAGTGTTTTTAAGTAACTGTGATTAATATACTAAGGACTCTAACAGAAAAAGTAGACAACGTGCAAGAATAGATGGATATTATAAGCAGAGAAACAGACATTCTAAGAAAGAATCAAAAAGCAATGCTAGAGATTAAAAACACTGTAACAGAAATGAAGAATGCCTGCACATGATGGACTCAATAGTGATCTGGGCATGGCTGAGGAAAGAATCTTTGAGCTTGAGAATATGTCAATAGAAACTGCTACAACCAAAAAGCAAAGAGGAAAAAGACTGGGGGTAAAAATAGAAGAGAATATGAAAGAACTGTGGGACAACTACAAAAGGTGCAACATTCATGTAATGTGGAAATATCAGGAGAGGAAAGAGAAAATAATAGAAGAAATATTTGAAACAATAGTGGTTGAGAATTTACTCAAAATTAGTCAGACACCAAATCACAGATCCAGGAAGCTCAGAGACCAAGTAGGATAAATGCAAAAGAAAATTCTAATCATGTGATATTCAAACTCCAGAAAATCAAAAATAAAGAAAAAAGTATTGAAAGAAGCCATGGGAAACAAACAGTTTATCTATACAGAAGTTCAAATAAAAGTTACATCTGACCTCTCCTCAGAAACAATGCAAGCAAGAGGAGAGTTGAGTGAAATATTTAAAGTGTTGAGAGAAAAACCCACTAACCTTGAGTTCTGTATCTTGTGAAATTATCCTTCAAAAGTGAAAGACATATCAAGACTTTTTCAGACAAACAAAAACTGAGGGAAACTGTCACCATTAGACCTGCCTTGCAAGAAATGTTAAAAGAAGTTCTTCACAGAGAAGAAAAACAATATAGGTCAGAAATCTGAATCTACATGAAGAAGGAAAGAATATTAGAGAAGGGATAAGTAAAGATAAAATAAAAACTTTTTTCTTATTTTTAATTGACCTAATAGATAACAGTTTATTCAAAATAATAATAGCAGCAATGTATTTGATTATGTGTGTGTATATACTAATGTGTATTTATGTGTAAGTAAAATGAGTGACAGCGATCATACAAGGGATGGGAGGTAATAATTAGGAATACTATGTTATTATAAGGTACTTGCACTACCTGCGAATATAGTATGTATCTTTGTATAGTATTATATGAAAGTGAACTGGGACTAGCTATCAAGGCATAGAGCAACCACTAAAAATGTTTTTCTTAAAGAAATATAACTGATAAGTGAAAAAAGAGAAATGGAATCATATAAAATGCTCAATTAAAACAAAAAGCAAAAAAATGTGGAAGACAAAAAGCGAACAACGAAAAGGGCAACAAATAGAAAACAGTAACAAGTATGGTAGGCATTAATCCACCTATATCAATAATCACTTTAAATGTCAGTGGTCTAAATGTACCAATGAAAAGACAGACATTTTCAGAGTGAATCAAAAAATAAGACCCAACCATATGCTGTTAATAAGAAATTCAATTTAAATATAAAGACACTTATAAATTAAAAGTAAAGGGATGAAAAAGGAGATATCATGTTCATACTAATCAAAAGAAAGCTGGAGTGGCTATGTTAATTTTAGACAGAGCAAACATTAGAGCACGAAAAATTATCAGGAATAAAAGAGGCATTACATAATAATAAAGAGGTCAGTTCTCCAACAAGACATAACAGTCCTTAATATGTATGTGCCTAAAAACAGAATCAAACTACATGAGGCACAACTTTTATAATCAAATGAAAACTCTTCCATCAAAATTGCAGTGGAAGCGTTCTCCCTTCAATCAATAATAAAAAAAAATTAACACTCTAGTTCCTTGTCAGTGCAAATGACAATAAATTTGCTTATTTAACCCATTCTCATTCAAAGACCAGGTGAATAAAGTATATTGATAAATCTGAAAGTATATTGATATATCTAACTTCCCAAAGAATGACAATAACAATTATGAAAAACTGTTAAATAATTTATACAAATTTCTTTATGCATAGCTTTTTAGAACTTTTAGTATGATAAATATATTTTGAATCTCTAAGCAGGGCCAATATGATATTGTGTTTTTCAAACATATTTGACAATGGCATTGTGTATTTTTTAGGCATTTTACACACATTGGTACTTGCTAATTGCTATTCCAAGAAATGAACAAAGGAACAAAAGAAATGAACAAAAGAAACATTTTCTTTGGCTGAGTTATATTTTAATATTATGCATTTCAGTGAGAACTGACATTAGAAGTAGCTATATAAAAGGCCATCATAGTTGTAAACTATTGTTGTAAACTATAGTTAAAGACATTGTCCAGTATGTTGACTGGCATTCTTGGAGTAAATTCCTCCTGTGATTTAATACTTGGTAAAAAAAAAAAAAAAAAAAAAGTGAGGCAAAAACTGCTAGAACTTCAAGTAGAAATAGATAAATTTATTGTAGTTGAGACTTCAATACCCCTCTATCAGAAATGGAGAGATCCAACAAGCAGAAAATCAGTAAGGACATACTAGAACTCAATAGTACCATCAAGCAACTGGATAGAGTTGGCATCTATAGACTACTTTATCCAACAACAGCAGATTACATATTCTCCTCAAGCCTACATGAAACATTCCTCAAGACAGACCACATTATGATCCATAAAACCCACCTTAGCAAATTTAAAAGAATAGAAATCATGCAATCTATGATCTCAGACGACAATGTAATCAAACTAGAAATCAATAACAGAAAAATACTTGGAGATTAAACAACACATCTCAAAATACATTTATTTTCTAAAAAGATATTTCAAGAGAAATTTTAAAATATTTTGAACTAAATGGAAATGAAAGAAGAACATTAAAATGTGCGGAATGCAGTGAAAGCAGTGCTTGTAGGGAAATTTATAGCACTGAATGCATATATTAGGAAAGAAGAAAGATCTAAAATAAATAATCTAAACTTCCACCCTAGGAAACTACAAAAAGAAGAGCAAACTAAATCTAAAGCACACAGAAGAAAAGAAATAATAAAAATTAGGGCAGAAATCAATGAGATTGAAAACAGAAAATCAGTAGAGGAAGTTAAAACCAAAAGGTGGCTCTTTGAAAAGATCAACAAAATTGATGAACTTCATTGAAAAAAAGAGAGAAGATACAAACTGTTAGTATCAGAAATGAAATGGCAGGATATCACTAGCGATCCCATGGACATTAAAATAATGTTAAAGGAATATTATTAATAACTCTGCCTACAAATTTGATAACCTAGATTAAATGGACCAGCTTTTTAAAGATACAATCTGCCAACACTCACAAGAGAAGAAATAGATAATCTGAATAGGCCTACATCTAGTAAAGAAAATGAATTGGTAATTAACATCGTTCCAAAACAGAAAGCATTAAGCCCAGATAGGTTCACTGGTAAATTCTACTAAACATTTAAGGAAGAAATTATATCAATTCTTTACAATCTCTTCCAAAACACAGAAGCAGAGAGAATACATACTTCCTAACTCATTTTATGAAGCCAGAATTATCCCAATACCCAAACCAAAGACATTACAAGAAAACTACAAACCAATATCTCTAATGAACATAGTTACAAAAATCATCAACAAAATATTAGCAAATAAAATCCAGCAATAGATAAAAAGAATGCTACAACACAGCCAAGTGTGATTTAACAAAGTATGCAAGACTAGTTCAACATTCCAAAAAATCACTAATGTAATCTATCACATCAACAGGCTAGAGAAGGAAAATCACATGATCGTATCAACAGATGCAGAAAAGGCATTTGACAATATACAACATCCATTCATGATTTTTTTTTAATTCTCAGAAAACTAGGAATAGTTTCTCAACTTGATAAAGAACAGCTACGAAAAAAAAAGGGAAAAAAAAGCTAACAAAAAACCCCGACATCTAACATCATACTTAATGGTAAGAAGCCAGATGCTTTCCTACTAAGATTAGGAACAAAACAAGAGTGTTCCCTCACACCACTCCTTTTCAACATCATATTGAATGTCCTAGCTAATGCAATAAGAAAAAAATAAAAGGTATACACATTGGGAAGGAAGAAATAAAACCGTCTTTATTTGTAGATGACATGATTGTATATGTAGAAAATCTGAATAAATCAAAAAAATTTCTGGAGCTAATGAGTGATTATAACATGGTTGCAAGATGCAAAGTCAATACACAAATGTCAATCATTTTCCTTTATATCAGCAATAAACAAAATCTGAAACAAAAAAATAATATTTAGATTAGCACCTCTAAAAATGAAATACTTAGGTATAAATCTAAGAAAATATGTACAAGATCTATACAAATAAAACTACAAAACTCTGGTAAAAGAAATCAAAGAACTAAATAAATGGGGAGATATCCTATATTCATGGGTAGAAAGACTCAATATTATCAAGATGTCAGTTATTTCCAACTTGATCTATAGATTCAACATAATTCCAATCAAAATCTCAGTAAGTTATTTTGTGGATATTGACAGATTCAAATTCCAAAAATAAAAATAAAACCAGTATGTTGAAGAGATATCTGCACTCCCATGTTCATTTCAGCATTATTCATGATAGCCAAAATATGAAATCAGCGGATGCATGGACAGAGAAAATATGGTATAAAAACACAATGGAGGCTGGGCATGGTGGCTCATGCCTATAATCCCAGCACTTTGGGAGGCTGGGGAGAGCAGATTGCTTGAGCTCAAGAGTTTGAGACCAGCCTCGGCAACATGGTGAGACCCTGTCTCTACAAAAAACTAAAAAATTAGCCAGGTGTGGTGGTGCACCCCTGTAGCCCCAGCTACTTGGGAGGCTGAGGTGGAAGGATTGTTTGAGTCCAGGGGGCAGAGGTTGCAGTGAGCCAGAATCACACCACTGCACTCCAGTCTGAGTGACAGAGCAAGACCCTGTCTCAAAACAAAACAAAACACAATGGAATACTATTCAGTCATTAAAAAGATGAAAATCCTGCCATTTGCAACAACATGGATGAACCTAGAAGACATTATGTTAAGTGAAATAAGTCAGGCATAGTAAGAAAGATACCACATGATCTCATCATATGTGTAATCTTAAAAAGTTGATCTCATAGAACTAGATAATAGAATGGTGGTTACAAGGGGCTGGGGAAGTTGGGGGAGCTGGTTGGGATGATGTTGATCAAGGGATATGAAACATCTGTTAGGAGGAATAAGTTCAAGAGAGCTCTTGTGCAACATTGTGACTATAGTAAATAACAATATATTGTACTCTTAAAAAATGCCTAGAGAGTGAATGTTAATTGTTCTTACCATAAAAATGATAACTCTGTGAGGTAATATGTGTGTTAATTAGCTAGCTTTAGTCATTCCACAATGACTAAACATGACAGAACATCATGTTGTACACAATTAATACATATAATTTTATCTGTCAATTAAAAAAAAAGACCATTCAGTGGGGAGAGAACTTTTTTTTCAACAAATGGTGCTGAGAAAACTGGATATTCACATGCAAAAGAAAGAATTTACACCCCTACCTCATACCATATACAAAAACTAACTCAAAATGGATTTCAGAGTTAAATCTACAAAAGTCTTAAAGTAAACAGAGGAGGAAATCTTCATGACTTTCAATTTGGCAATGGATTCTTGGGTGACACAAAAAGCAAAACAAAACAAAAATAAGTAAATTGGAATTCATCAAAATTAAAAACTTTTGTGTGTTAAATGACATTATCAAGAAAGTGAAAAGACAACTCATAGAATGGAAGAAATATTTGCAAATCATATATCTGATAAGAGTCTAGTATCCACAATATATATAGAACTATTACAACTCAACAACAAAAATAATCAATTAAAGTTGGCAAAGAATTTGAATAGAAATTTCTCCAAAGAAGATATACAAATGGCCAATAAGCATACCCAACATCATTAACTATTAGGAAAATGCTAATCAAAACTACAATTAGATACTACTTGATACTCAATAGGGTGGTTATATTACAAAGAAAAAAAAGCAGACAATAACAAGTGTTGGTGAGGATGTAGAGAAACTGAAACTCTTACAATTGCTGGTAAGAATGTAAAATGGTACTGCTACTGTGATAAACAGTTTGGCCATTCCTCAGAAAGTCAAACATAGAATTACCATGTGACCCAGCAATTCTGCTCCTAAAGAAGTGAAAACATATGTCCACACAAAAACTTGCACATGAATGTTCACAGCAGCATTTGTAATAATAACCAAAAAGTGGCAGCAACCCAAAGTCCATCAACTGATAAATAGATAAATAAAAGCTGGTCTAACCATACAATGGAATATTACTTAGCTATAAAAAGAAAGAAGTACTGATACATTCTGCAACATGGATGAACCTTGAAAATATTATGCTAAGTGAAAGAAACCAAACACAAAATATCACACATTATAGAATTCCATGTATGTAAAACTTCCAGAATAGGCAAAATCCATACAGACAGAAAGTAGATTAGTGGTTGCCAAGGGCTGGAGGGAATGGGAAATGGGAAGTGACTGCTAATGGATAGAAGGTTTTTTGGTGGGGTGATAACAATGTTGTGAAATTAGATGAGATAGTGGCGATCATTGTGCAACTCTGTGAATACACTAATAACAGTGAATTGCACACTTTAAAATGGTGAATTTTATGCTATGTGAATTGTACCTCAGTAAAGCTATTATTTAAAAACAAAGCACAAATTTCTCACCTGTCAATAAAAACTCTTCTGTTTTTTCTCTGACTCCAAGTCCTTATGCAGGGTCATGGCCCTCAATACTCAAGCTTGTTCATCATGATAGCTCTTTGTCCATCTGTGTTGTTGTTCACTGCAGTTCCTCAAGTAATCACTTATACTCAGCACTGATATTCATTTTTTTTAATTCATAGAAATGGAGAGAAATGCACTAGAATTCAACAGTACTATATTTTATTAAGTAAAAAGGAGGAGGTAAGGCTCATATGCACATTGCTTTATTTAAAATATTTATTTGGGCCAGGGGGAGTGGCTCATGCCTATAATTACAGCACTTTGGGAGGCCGAGGCAGGCAGATCACTCGAGGCCAGGAGTTTGAGACCAGCCTGGCCAACATGGTGAAACCCCCATCTCTACTAAAAATACAAAAATTAGCTGGGCATGGTGGCTCATGCCTGTAATCCCAGCTACTTGGAAGGCTGAGGCAGGAAGATTGCTTTTACCTGGGAGGTGGAGGTTGCAGTGAGCCCAAATCAAATCGCGCCACTGCACTTCAGCTGGGCGACAGAGGGAGGGTCTGTCTCAAAAAATATAAAAATAAAAATAAAATATTTACTTGGTTATCTATAGTATTGGTGTTGAGATTCAAAAAGGATAGGGCCCTTTTATATTCGGGAGGGAATTAAATCTTCTAATCTTTTTGTTCACACTTCTCTTTTCTCTTTTTTTCTTTCTTTTTTTTTTTTTGTTTTTTAGACGGAGTCTCACTCTGTCGCCCAAACTGGAGTGCAGTGGCACAATCTCGGCTCAATGCAACCTCTGCCTCCTGGGTTCCAGTGATTCTTCTGCCTCAGCCTCCTGAGTAGCTGGGACTACAGGTGCATGCTACCATGCACAGCTAATTTTTGTATTTTTAGTAGAAGCGGGGTTTCACCATATTGGCCAGGCTGGTCTCGAACTCCTGACCTCGTGATCCACCCATCTCGGCCTCCCAAAGTGCTAGAATTAGAGGTGTGAGCCACCATGCCTGGCCTGTTCACACTTTTCTAAAAAGACCATGTCTGGTAACAAGCCATCTCACATCCTCACCCTTCCTTTCTAACATTTTTTAAATTTTTTTAATTATTCATTTATTTTTTGTTGTGTGTTTGTTTGATTGTTTTTGAGACAGGGTTTTGCTGTGTCACCCAAGGAGGAGTGCAGTGGTGCTATCTTGGCTCACTGCAGCATTGGCCTCCCAGACTCAAATGATCCTCCTGCCTCAGCCTCCCAAGTAGCTCGGCCTGCAAGCACATGCCACCATGCCCAGCTAATTTTTTATTTTTTGTTGAGACAGAGTCTCACTATGTTGCCCAGGCCGGTCTTGAATTCCTGGGCTCAAACTATCCTCCTGCCTCTGCCTCCCAAAGTTCTGGGATTACAGGCATGAGCAACCATGCCCAGCTGTCACCCTCCCTTAAAGCACTGTTGTCTATAACTGTCATAGTCCCTGAATTATAGTATCTGTTGAAATAAAGAAAAACAACAGCAAACAGTCATTGCTTGAAGGGAATTTTTAAATTAGAAAAATCATAGATATTATTTTCATCATAAAATGTGATTTTTAAAACAAACACTACTTTAATTCCGTGGTTGATATAATTCACTCTGCTTCTCCCCCATTGAAATAGCCTTAATATTTCAACTCCCTTTAAAATGCTACCATCTGGGGCTCTTGTACCTGAAATTGCTAAGATTCTTCAAGAAAGATGCCAAGTGTCCTGCTCCAGTGGGTTTATTTGCTAGGTGAGGCAACACACTTTCTAGGGTACCCATCTCTGCTGGAACCACTGGCATAGGGCAGTTACTTCCCATGGGAGGGAGGCACGCAGACACTTCCTGCTGCCTTGGAGTGAGTTCTGGAGAGCTAAATGGAAATATACATTAAACTCCTATGACTGCAAGTTTTGAGAGTGGCAGAATGGACTTTACAAAATTAAAATGACAAAAGTGGTTAATAAGTCTTTTTATCAAATTATGCCCCCCCCCCAAAAAAAAACGTGAGTAGTAATATACTAAATAGAACTTCTCTTGCTGTGGTTGGATGAGCAGGAATGTTCATCAGGGTGGATGTTTGGGATTCCTTCCCAAAGTCACTCAGAACTTTATTGCTTTCTTCAATCTCAAAAGATCAACTGATGAACTTCTGAGACTGGTTCTTTATTTTTCAGGCCACAGGGCATCTAATGTAAAAGGATAAGAAGGGAAGCAGACAGAGAAGGCTATGTGCTCCCAAACAGAAGGCCTCAGTGGTGACTCAGAAGGCAAGGAGTTTGCCAGGCCAAGCAACTTCAGAGCAGTACAATTTGATCTGATGAAATCCATTCAAACTCACTAAAATAGACTCTGTCCAGACACTGCCTTTGCCTCCCTGACTCTGTCTTCACAAGGACAACTGGGCATCCTTTTGCTCAACCAACCTTTGCCTGAATTCAGAATAAAATAGACAGTGAGAAACCACAGGAAAAAAAAAGGTGGAGGCTTTTGCTACCACCATCCTGGGCTATTGATTTTCCAATAAAACACATTTCCCACATTTCCTGGAGAGGCTTTAGAGTGAGTTTGTATAACTATGTTTTCCAAAGGGAAGGAGTCATAAAAGTATAAAGAAATTATTTTAAGAAACTAAAATGCATAAACAATGGCTGAAAACAGAGATATCTCCAATGATAAAGGAGACTATAATGGTCTCAGGAAACCTTAAATCAAAGCAAAAATATTACATTATAGGAATTCTGAGATAATTATGGTGCCTATGAAAATGAGCTAATGTTGGTAAAGTTCTTTGAGAACAAAAAGGGCAATATATTATAATATTTATGTCATATTTGATTTCTATGCCAGTAGAACCGCCTGCAGTGATTGATTCTGCACGCCCAGGTCCTTAGCTTTCACAAAACAAGCAGCACTACTCCCCATTATCCACAAATAGATTCACGAACTCCACAGGATCCTGTCACTTCCTCCACCTCCAGCCCTCACATGGAAGAGCAGTATGGAGGAGTAAGATGGGAAGAGGGTAAGAAAGAAATAAGAGCGGATATGGAAAAGAGAATCAATGGATAGATGTGTAAGGTAGTTTAGGCTAGTAGAATTAAAAAGGTGGGTGAGCACTAGAAAGGTAGAAAAATCCAGGGTGGCAGAGAGAGGTAGATAGATGAGTGAGAGAGAAAATGAGGGTGAGCAGAAGGCGGGAAGCTACAGCAAAGGTTACCCGAGGCTTCCTAGGATTTTTGTAATGTAACATGCCACAGCCTTCCTCCCACATTTTCTACTGCAGGCAGGTTCTATAAAACATGCCCTTTAGGCATCTACCATTATGTTACATAAAGTAGGAGAAAGCAAGAACAAAATAAATGATATTGGTCCTTAGTGATTATATTTTCCTACTTGGATGGGGGGAAATACCACCTTTCACTCTGCACACAGATGCTCATCCCCAGAGTTGAATATTAGGATTACTGTGAGTCTGGCCTATTTGTGACAGCACAAAGGCCAGCTTTATTAAGTGTGTTGCAATAGTTGCAGTGAATAAAGAATTTCATCTTACAAGGGATATTTGGATGGGAGAAGAAGAGCGTGCAGTCCACTCTCTGACCTGCAGGGACTAATTACAGACAGGCACATTCTTGCCTGGGAGAATTTGCTCATATGGCTCCCCCTGTCTGAATAAGCTTTCAGCTCTTCTCTGCTTGTCTAACTTCCGACCTTCCTCCAAGATTTGCCTTGAATCCTACATCCTCCATTCAACCTTTTCCTTGATTGGTTCTCATATTTTAGGTGAAGTGAGCATCAGAGCCACCTGTGTGTTAAGGGGAAGTGGTTAAGGAAGGAGTGGGAGTTGTTTAAAATGCTATTTCCTGGAATCAACAGCCAGAGAATTTGATGTAGCAAGTCAGGTGTGTGGCCCAGATGTCTGTAGTCTTTCTTTCTTTCTTTCTTTTTCTTTCTTTCTTTCTTTCTTTCTTTCTTTCTTTCTTTCTTTCTTTCTTTCTTTCTTTCTTTCTTTCTTTCTCTCTCTCTCTCTCTCTTTCTTTCTTTCTTTCCTTCTTTCTTTCTTTCATTCTTTCTTTCCTTCTTTCTTTCTCTCTTTCTTTCCTTCTCTCCTTCTCTCTCTCTTCCTCCCTCCCTCCCTCCCTCTCTCTCTCTCTTTCTTTCTTTCTTTTTTGAGACAGAGTCTCACTTTGTCACCCAGGCTGGAGTGCAATGGTGCAATCTCGGCTCACTGCAACCTCCGCCTCCCAGGTTCAAGCAATTCTCCTGCCTCTGTCTCCCAAGTAGCTGGGATTACAGGCCTAGGCCACCATGCCCAGCTAATTTTTGTATTTTTAGTAGAGACGGGGTATCGCCATGTTGGCCAGGCTGGTCTCGAACTCCTGACCTCAAGTGATCCACCCACCTTGGCCTCCGAAGGTGCTGGGATTACAGGCGTGAGCCACCACACCCGTATGTCTGTAGTTTTAACAAGCTCCCCAGGTGCCTCCGAGACAAAGGATCCCAACCGCATTTTGAAAAACCCACCTTACAACACCTTACAACCTTACATCATTCTCTACCATGTGGCTTACACTATCATGTTTGACCTGCCCTCCCAATGAGACCATGGGTGCCAAGACCTAAGTGCTGCACACAAATAAAGCCTGACAACCAAGCTGTATCAATTCCTTTTTCTGACTTTTACTTTTTAAATCTTCCTGGCATATAACATTAAGTTACAATGAGCAAAGAAAGACAATGGGCAGAAGAAGATTATTAGAAAAATAATTAATAGTGAGAGAAGTTTAACATATGGCAGCAATAATTGAGGACAATTAAGGAACCAAGGTCAGGGGCAGCAAAAGCTTTCTCTGGACTGCCATGTCCCTCAAGGATGCTAAGTTCCTATTCAAAACAACAAGCCAGGAGTGGCCAAGTCTCAGTTACCCACATTAAACATGCCTAGTGGCAGGTGCGGGTCTGAGCTGGGTGCCCACAGCCACTTTGGTCACACTGGACAACTATGTAACATTTCAAAATTGACATGACACCAGAATTGCATCAAGGCCTAAATGGGGCTGAAATCAGCAGATAATCCCTTAGAAACTTGAAAAAGGGGAGAATATGTCTACAGATTTACAAATTCCCAGAGGTCTCTATCCTGCCCAAGTTTACAGGATGTGATGATTAATTTTATGTGTCGACCCAAGTTGGCACATAAAATTAATCATCACATCCTGTAAGCTTGGGCAGGATAGACAGGGTGCCCAGATATTTAGCTAAACATTATTTCTGCATGTGTCTGTAAGGGTTTTCCAGATGAGATTAGCATTTAAATTAGTAGGTGGAGTAGAGCATATTGCCTGCCTATTGTGAGTGGGCTTCATCCAATCTGCTAAGGACCTGAATAGAACAAAAAGGTAGAAGAAGGGAGAATTTGCTTTCTCTGTCTGCGTATTTGAGCTAGAAAATTGATCTTCTCCTGACCTCAGAGTGAAACTTACACTATCAGCTCTCTGGTTCCCAGGCCTTTGGACTTGTACGGAATTACACCACCAGCTTTCCTGGGTCTCCAGCTTTGAGACAGTAGAGTGTGGAATTTCTCAGCCTCCATAGTCACATGTGCCAATTCCTTATTCATTCTCTCTCTCTCTCTCTCTCTCTCTCTCTCTCTCTCTCTCTCTCTCTCTCTCTCCTCCCCCACCGCCCCCCACCCCCCACATTGGTTCTGTTTCTCTGGGAAACCTGACTAATACACAGGACCAAAATAAAGGGAGCCCTGGGCTGGCAAAGACTCATTAAATGGAAGAGCATAAGAACAGGTCTGGCTGGGAGCAGTGTCTCACACCTGTAATCCCAGCGCTTTGGGAAGCCAAAGCGGGAGAACCACCTGAGGTCAGGAGTTCGAGACCAGCCTGGCCAACATGGTGAAACCCCGTCTCTACTAAAAATACAAAAATTAGCCGGGAATTGTGGTGCATGCCTGTAATCCCAGCTACTCGGGAAGATGAGGCAGGAGAATCGCTTGAACCTGGGAGGCAGAGGTTGCAGTGAGCCAAGATCATGCCACTGCACTCCAGCCTGGGCAACAGAGTGAGACTCCATCTCAAAAAAAAAAAAAAAAAAAAAAAAAGAACAGGTCTGGTCAGAGACAAGTATTATTGGGGTATAGGGATAGAAAATCTTTATGGGCCAGGCACAGTGGCTCACACCTGTAATCCCAGCACTTTCGGAGGCCAAGGCGGGCAGATAACGAACTCAGGAGTTCGAGACCAGCCTGGCCAATATAGTGAAACCCTGCCTCTACTAAAAATACAAAAATTAGCTGGGCGTGGTGGCGCTCGCCTGTAGTCCCAGCTACTCGGGAGGCTGAGGCAGAAGAATTTCTTGAACCCGGGAGGCGGAGGTTGCAGTGAGCTGAGATCGTGCCACTGCACTCCAGCCAGGGCGACAGAGTGAGACTCCATGTCAAAAAAAAAAAAATCTTTATGAAAAAGAAAGAATACATAATTTCCTGTTTTATTTAAAAATTTATATACACACATAGATATTACAGGCTATATATACATATATATGCATATATATATATACACTTACACCTACCTTAAAGAAAATTTGGCATGAAATTCACTAACATGTTAATAGTGATTATTTCTAAGTGGTGGGATTACATGTGGTGTTTATTTTCTTTTTTACATTATTTCTGTATTGTCTGATATTTTAAAAACATTTATATAACTAGTTATATAAAAGAAAAATGTTATTTCATTTTTTTAATGAAGTAAAAATCAGTCATTAGTATTCTTATAGATCTAGCAACACAAAATATCTACAATTAATGACTCTTGGAGGGAAGAAGATTTAATATACCATCAGATGAGGGCACTTTTCATGTGAGTGAAATTGATTTTACAAGTCTACAAATCCTGTGGATGAAATAGATTTTTTTTATTCAACACAGATTAGGAGGACAATCAGAACACTCAAAACATATTTTGAATTAATTGACACTAAAAATTTGCCTAACTATTCAAAGCCAGAGAAATGTGGATTTAAAAAAACCAACCAACCAAAATCTCTTCACATCCATATCTAGTTACAATATATCCAGCTGGCCAATAATTAAGCAATATTCACATCGAAGTTCTACAGGTTCTTCACAGGCTATCATGAGTTCCGCAAGACATTTGTTTTCTTTATTAGGTCTGAGGTTTGGGATGATATCTACCAAAAAAAAACTGTTAAACATATATGTCCTTTGACCTAAGCACTTAACTTTCACCATACAGATCTTTATATACTTTGGCAAAGTGATATATATAAGCTATTCAATGCAGAATTGTCTATTACAGCAAGGAACTAGAAACAACACACGTCTTCCAACAGGAGGTGGGTTATATAAACTGCAGCATGTCCAGAGTTCGACCATTATATATATAGGATTGATATAAATTCCATGAGAATCACAGAGTATACTCTGCCTTGGATAATCCCAACCACACTTTAAGTTGGTAGAATCAGCAGAGGCAGAGAGAGATCCAAAGCAGAGTGATGATATGCTCCAGACCCACAGAGAGAAGCAGCTATGGTAATATTTTCATCCACCATTCCACTACAACCTTTCTTTAAAAATTAAATCATTAGGGGTTATCTAAAAGCTAAAAGAATTGGTCAGGAAGTAAGGGAGAAGGGAACCTACCTCTGCTGGGTAATATATTTTAGCCTTGGAAATGTAAGATAAAAGATATTAACAAAATAGTCGACTGTGATTATTTATTGTCCATGTTACCTAGAGAGTTCCTTCTTGATTTTTCATATTCTCTATTGCTCATGTCATCATTATAGAGCAAATTCACTGAAGAGTGAAATTCAACTTTTTGAAACCAAATGATATTCACATACCTGTATAGAGATGTTTAAAAACTCTATCCATGCACAAAGGGAGATGAGTACGCAAGACAAACGCACATAGAACACTGGGTAAAAAGTGAAACTGTATTTCAGCTGAGGTGGTGAGGCAGGGCCGGGGGAATGACAAGGCTACCAGACAGGGAAACTTAGAGGTTAATCATGACTTGACCTTTAAATTAGTGACTAGGCCAAGTCTGGAAAGGAGACATGAAGAGAAAGCAGAGAGTAGATGAAGGAGAATGATGCGATTTCTTTTTCAAACAGGAATTTATTTTGAGTATTGCACATACCCTATTTATAGCTAACATATTTTGACATATCTGTGTTTAAGCCAGAGCCATGTCATTCCTCCCACTGTGCCAAAGGGCAGTTTTCCTTTTGGGCTCTCTTTAAAGGATGATAATATTCCAGACGATATAATAATGAAGTCATTGATTCTAAAGTAAAATTACAAAATGCAACCACTTAAAATTTATTGCATTACAGGAACTTGGAAATTCACCTTCTAAATATCTGGTAAGGGTATGTCTAACTGCTGAATTTCACCATAATTCTTACATACTAGCCAATTTCTATTTCATGCTGTTTAATAGGGCTTGCTGTGAATCCGTGCTACCTTTGAATTTTTCAGCACAGTAGATGTAAGACTTCTAGACATCTGCAAGAAGCATATAAGTAAAAGAGCTCCACTGTAATGCGAATGGCATTAGACTCATGCATGCAACTTTATTCAGTCTTTCCTTTGTGTCACCTCAACACATCAATGGTTTGACAAGTGAAAAAGTTCCATATAGAGTCAAGAAAATTTTTATTCATCATCTGAACACTTACCACAGTATAATAATTCTTGGTAAGTGGAGCAGTTTCAAATCCTTTGACGGCTTTTGGGGAGAGAGGTCTCTCTGTGAAAAAAACATTTAAATTATGTTAATATCACAGAAGGCTATGATGAACATTTTATAACATGGGTCAACTAACATACTATAAAGATTCCCAGTGGAAGGATCAATGGAAATGTACATTCCTAAACAAATGAAACTACAACTGTGCTAAACTATAGATGGTCAAAGTTAGATCTTCTTGTCTAGACCCCTCAATTTCCAAAGAAGGAATAAGCCAAGGAGTTAAGACCTAACTAAGAAATAGCAGGGCCAGGGCAAGAACTTTACTCCCAGTTGGGGTTTGTCTGCCCTCTCCATTCAACTTATTCAAAACAGATACGCAAAACCAATACTAGCCAAATGTATACAGATAGTCACCAACTTATGATGGTTCAACTTACGATTTTTCAACTTAACAATGGTGCAATAGCGATACACATTCAGTAGAAATCATACTTTATTTTGATATTTTCCTGCCTTGGCAAACTACTGTGTACATGACCTAATAAATACTTTATTATAAAATAGGCTTTGTGTTAGATAATTTTGCCCAACTGTAGGCTACTGTAAGTTTTCTGAGCACATTTAAGGTAGGCTAGGCTAAGCTATGATGTTCAGTAGGTTAGGTGTATTAATGTATTCTTGATTTATGATACTTTCAACTTATGATGGGTTTATCAGTATGTAACCCCATTGTAAGCCAAGAAGCATCTGTACTTATAATGTGCAATTTACTATACAAGTATAATAAAATATAAGTAATGGCAAGCATACTTTTCTTGGGTCTGTCTACTATGCCAACAACAAAATGATCAGAAGGTTTAACTCAATGAAAACTAGCAGGAAATTATTCTCTTTTAAGTATAATTTTAATATTATTCCACTGCGTTGTAAAATACTGCCCTTCTTTTACCTAAATTAATTTTACTTATTAAACTCATGACTAAAGGAAATCCTAGGACATTCTTTCTTTTTTTTTAAAAAAAAAACAATAAAAATATGAGACAGTCATAACAAATTTTTAGCAGTGTCACAACATAGCATCTTTCCTACTGCATTTTCTCCTCTGCTTCACTTTGGTTTATATTTTAATTTTAACTTGCTATATTTTATGCTGTTTTAAACCCTTTCTAAAGTATAGCGCAGTATAAATAACCAAATAATACTATATCATCAGACCTTGATTTTTTTAATAATATTTTCAAGTTATAAATCTATTGCAGTCCCACCCCCAAAAATTTAAAATATAGAATAGAAAATAAAACCCAGCAATTAGCCAATCACCTAGAGCTAACCATCATCATTTAGACTGTTTTTGAAGTGTGTCTTCCCATTCTTTTATGTATGTTTGTGAACACACATATGCACACACTCTTGGATCTTTCTAACCTTACCTGCAGTTTTATAATTCTTCTATTACAATATTATTTTATAAATATTTTCCCATTTAACCTTGATTTTTAATTATTATTGTATTGGAATATCCCTAATATTTATTTCATACTTAATAGCTTTTAAGACATATTATTTGATATTTACAACAACGCTGACAGGCAGACTATCTTCTCATTTTACGGAGGAGGCCACTAAGATTCAAGGAAGTGAAGTCAGTTATCTCAGGTCATGCAGCTAGGAAATGGCAGAGCCAAGATTGAAGCCCAGGTATGTCCTGACAAGAGCCTGTGTTCCTAACCAATATGATACCCAGAGATAAAGCTACTGAAGGTCTTGGTCAATGGCATGGGCAGGGGTTCCTGCTGGAGTTCAGAGGGGCTGTGAGTTTGATCTGGGATGGTTAGAGAAGACCTTGCTGGGAAGGAGGTACTCGATCTGGCCCTGAAGGGCAGATGGAATTCAAACAGGCAGGGAAGGCAGTACAGAGTTTTCTTTTCAGGGAAGATTTCAGAAACACAGATGTAGAAATGGCAATGCTCAAGGCAGAACTGTTCTTGCGACAGTGAGTTATCCAGTGGGGCCAGGTTGGGTAGAGTGAAAATAAGGCAGAAAAGTAGCAATGAGGGACAATTCTGTCACTCTCCAGAGAGGACAAGTGGAGCATAGCCAGTTCCTGGAAGCTTTATGCTAGTTCAGGATCCGCCTGGATCCACTGGTGGTTCATAAGGCTTTCCTGGGAAAATGTGACCACTATCAGAAATGAAACAGGGGACATCACTCCAGACCCTGGAGATATAAAAAGGATAATAATGGAATACTACAAACAACTCTACACACATAAATTTGACACTTATGTGTGAAATGAACCAATTCCTCAGAAAACAAAAACTACCACAACTCACCCAATATGAAATAGATCATTTGAATGGCCTTATAACTATTAAGGAAATTGAACTTATAAATTTAAAACTCTGAAAAAGGAAATCTCCAGGCCCATAAGGTGTCACTGGAGAATTCTATTAACTGTTTAAGGAAGAATCAATACTAATTCCATATAATGTCACATAGAAAATAAAAAACATCACTTCCCAAGTCATTTTATGAAACCACTATTACACTGACACCAAAACCATACAAAGGCAGTGCAAAAAAGAAAACTGCAGACCAATATCCCTCATGAATATAGATGCAAAAAAATTTACAAAATATTAGCAAGTAAAATTCAGCAATATTTTAAAAGAATTGTATACTATGGGATTCATCCTAGGTTGGTTAAATATTTTAAAATCCATTAATGTAACCCATGATCTTAACACTCTTAAAAGAAAAAAGTCACATGATAATATTAACCGATGCAGAAAAAGCACTTAACAAAATTAAACACCTATTCGAAAAAAAATAACTCATGGAAAAAAATAAGAATAAAGAAGAATTTCTTCAACTTAATAAAGTGCATCTACAAAAAACCTACAGTTAGCATCTTACATAATGGGGAAAGACTGAATGCTAAATGCTTTCCCCCTAAGATCAGGAACAAGGCAAGGATGCATGCTCTCACCACTATTAATTCAGCATAGCACTGAAGTTCTAGTTCTCTCTGCAGTCTTGGTCTAGGATGGGGAATTAACACAAAGAACAGAAGGGAGACAGATTTGGAAGGATAAACTTGGAAAGTCTAAAAAAATGTAGCCCTTGCAAATGACTGGCTCCATGAAACAGTACAAGAGGGAATGCAAAGAGAAAAACACCAGCACTATGACCTCAGTGACAATTTCTGGCCTCTTGTCCCTCCTTTGCTCCCCACCCCGACCCCTACCACTTCTTACTCCCGCCATGTGAAGGATTCTTTGAAACCCACACTCAGCAACATGCAGAGAAGGAATGAATATGTGGAGGTTCCGAGGAGACAAGTTCAGTCCCTGGGTGGTGGGGGGGATTCAAAGTGCCCTAACTAGAACGAACATGAAAATGTAAACATTTTAGGTGGTGTTCTAAGGCAATGAGGAGACTGGGCAATCCAACCAGTGCGGGGGGAAATCAGTCAATATAGTGAAGAATTCCAATGGATTGTTCGTATAATATAACTCAAACAAGAGTGTCACACAAATACAGGCATAAGAAATCCTCCTGATCCTGATGTAAAGACTCCTTTCCAATTAACTTTTGATTCTTTCTCTTCCTTTGCTGGTGTACAGATTACTATTGCCTGTTGGTGGTGATAAGACAAAAAGAAATCTAGTGACAAATAGTCTCTCTGGACAGGAAACATCTATGTGATACACCCAGGGGATTAAAACAGGAAGTCTAAATATAAAGCTCAATCCTAGCTTTGGTTATAATGAGCAGGAAGAGTGATTTCTTAATATGCCTTAATACAAATTTAATTAACCATGTACCTAATCCCCTCAATTGATATCTATATTTACTGCTAATAAGAAGTTTTAGAAGAAGGATTTGATGCCCTCTTAATTGAATCAGTGGGAGAAAATAGAATTTGTTTAAAATATCTGCTCAATCACACTTGCATCAATAATTTCTTGGCTTAAAAATTTTGCCAGGAAATTTTTAATGCAAAGTCCCAACAAAACCCTCAACCTTTCTAGGTAACAAAACAGAGACAAAAATTTAAAAAGGATATAATTACCATTATGTTGCCACTGTGCTAGCAGAAATTACTTTGATGTATAAATAACAAGTTAATTTACAAGTTACCACTGATTTTTCAAAGAGAACGGAAAATTGTATAAGTGGCTAATTTTCTCATTTATAATGTATGTGACTCAAATGAAATACAAGAGCAAAGTCCCTTAATATATGTTATGTAACTTATATAATGACTAAGTTATTAATACATGTATTTTTCATGAAATAAGATCCTTAAAAAACATATTTTTGGTCAAAATAGGGTTTTTCTCATGTAATAGGAAATCCAGAGGTAGGCAAGCAGAATTGGTGACAATGGCTTCATGATGTCATCAATGTCCAGGTTCAATCATCCTTGGAAAGAGGTTTTTATCATCATGGTCACAAAAACTTATTCTACTTTCAGCCACAAGCTCATGTTAAAAAGAGGTGTGTGTGTGTGTGTGTGTGTGTGTGTGTGTTTCACACTCACGTCTTCTATTTCTTAACTTTCTATAGTATTAGGTGGGTGATTCTTTATGCTATACGACCTCTGAAATCGGCCTCCTCTCAAAGAGCGGGAAAAAGCTATCCCCAGAGCTTTGGCCGTAATTATCTCTAGATGAGAGCTACAGTGGAATCCAAAACTTAAAACGCCACTCCCCAAGGGCAAATTTACCAGAGCACAAAGTGCTCTTGTCAATGACAGGCTCAAGGGAGGAAAACTACGCACAGCACTCCCATGGCACAGCAATCTGCAGGGTGAGGGTTGTATGGCTTTGGGCTTGTTTTGTTCTGCTTGTAAGACATTACAAAAGAATGTGTAGTATCAGGCTAAATGTCCCTCCACCCTCCAGGCTGCATGTATGAATGTGTCAGAATTACTGACTCTTCGAGTGGCCACAGTGTTATATGTTTGACCCAATAGTAAGCAGACTGAGATCACTAAAGATTTTTAGTTCCATGCCTGATTGAACTTTATAAATGGCCTAAAAGGTTGTATGGCAATGGGGTTTAAAACTCTACGTTGGCTGGGCACAATGGCTCACGCCTGTAATCCCAGCACTTTTGGAGGCCGAGGCGGGTGGATCACCTGAGGTCGGGAGTTTGAGACCAGCCTGATCAACATTCTTTACTAAAAATACAAAATTAGCCAGGCGTGGTGGCGCATGCCTGTAATCCCAACTACTCGGGAGACTGAGGCAAGAGACTCACTTGAACCTGGGAGGCAGAGGTTGTGGTGAGCTGAGATCGCGCCATTGCACTCCAGCCCGGGCAACAAGAGCGAAACTCCATCTCAAAAAAAAAAAAAAAGGGTTTCACTACATCACTTTTTTCAAACTCCTTAAAGACAAATTTTCCTAAGCTTATACATTAGTATGGAGTTCATTCAAAGAAATAAAGCCCGGGCACGGTGGCTCACCTCTGTAATCCCAGCACTTTGGAAGGCCAGGGCAGGAGGATCGCTGGAGCCCAGGAGTTTGAGACCAGCCTGGGCAACATAGTGAGATCCCGTGTTAAAAAAAAAAAAAGACAGAGAGAGATTAATTAATTAAAAATTTACAAGTATTTTCTAGACCAAACATAACACAACATAGCATTTAATTTAAAATATTCCTCGGCAGCATCCTAGATAGGTTTTGGCTTACCTACTATTTTGTGGTGGTGGCAAGAGTTGGGGTAGGAAAGAATTCAAGTCAACACAGATTTATTGAGCACCTAATTTCCCAGCAAGACATTTTTGTTACCTGAAGCTAGTCTCTTCCATTGTCCATCAAGCTCACTCTGTTCAGTCCTACCACAGAATCGTGGTGGGTTTTGTTTTCCCTGAACAATCACTGTGATTTAGATTGTCCTTGCCTCTCTTCTGGGCCTATTCACAGCTTACCTGTCTTTCAGTGTTCAGCTTAAGCCCTATGTCCTCCATGAAGCCTCCCCTAACCTCTTCAGGCACAATGCACTCTCTGTGTCTGAATACTGATGCTCTGCTATATATTTTATACTTCATCGTCCACTGACCTATACTGTCAGTTGACTCACCACCAGCTCTTATCTCTCTCCTGTGCTCCATAACCATACTGCCAACTACTTGCTAGAAATCTTCAGACCTATGACTCGGTGCACCTCTACTCAAGTACAAAACAGTTCATCATCTTCAGTACCAATCACCCGCCCAACACAGACACACACAGAGACATGCACACACAACCTCTGCCTCCTCCTGTCTTCTCTATTAACGGAGTTCAGCACACTTCAAATATTTCCAATGTCTAAAGCACCATGTTAGGCATATGAAGACAAGACAGTATACAAAGATGAACAAGTCCCCTTGACTTCCCTGTCAAGATGAGTTATGCTCCTCTCTTCTCCTCCCACCTCTCCATAGCATACTGTATTTAGCTCTATCACTAAACTTATCATATTGTATTCTAATGATGTCTTCTTACACTACAGTATGAACACCCTGAAGGCAAAAGCCATGTCTTATGCTTCTCCACCACACCAGTGTCCAAGACAGAGACTGACACCCTCATTAAGAGAGATCAACCTTTGTGGGCTGGCTAGAAGCATGACACTGCATGCCATTAAGGCGTTCACCATCAAGCTGGACCTCTAGACTTGGTATTGTTCTCATCTGTTCCCTTATCCTCAAAACTAATCATCAGCAAGTTTTTAAAATTTCATTTCAATAGTATATACTGCATCCATCCACTTCTCTTCCTCCCCACTATCCCCAGAGTAATCCACACCACTATCTGGATTGCCTGGACCTTAGCAGTAGCCTCTGCTAGTTTCTCTACACCCTTGCTGGTTATTCCTACCACTTCCCTGAAATCCATCCCCCACGCTACCTCCAGAAAGATCTTCCTAGACCATGTTATCCCTTGCTTAAAACTTGACATTGACACCGCCTCTTAATGTAGCTCCAGCTCAAGGTCCCATTCCTTATCATCATGCATCTGATTCTCAACCCAAATCACCCCACCATCCACTCTTACTTCCATGCTTGAACTTAAAAGTTCCCTCTGATCTTCTTCTCCCAGTCAGAAGCTTCTTCTATCCTTCAAGACCCAATTCAAGTGCTTCCCCACTCCTTATGTTATTGTTAATCAAATTGTTTCTTCACTGTTCCTACAGCATCTTACTCAGTCCTTTGTCTGTGCTACTTACTGTGTCCTGGCCTGTAACAGTTAGTTCTGCACAGACCTGTGTTGATTACTAGACTGTAAAGGTGCTAGGGGACGGGGTCTATGAGGTATAGATTGCGCCTAGGAGGTACTCAGTGAACAAGCTGAACAGAATTGAATTACCTACGCTGTAATATTCATTCATTTTACAAATATTTACTGAGCATAAACAAAACGAATGAAGTCTCTGCCCTTGTGGTATTTACAATTCTAATGGTAAAATGTAAACAGTAAATGAAATAAATAAGTAAACGTGTATTATGTTAGACGGGGAAAAATAATAAGCAAAAAATTTAAGCAGGGAAGAGGGATAGAGGGAGTGGGGATAGGGTTAAATTTTCTCCTGGGTGACCAGGAAAGGCCCTCCTGTGAAGTAGGCAAGTGAGTGGACCTGAAGGAGATGAGGGAGCCAGCTGTGCTGATAGCTGGAGAATGTTCCAGACAGGGGGACAGCAAGTGAGGCAGGAGCCTGTCTGGCACAGGCAGCCAAGAGACCAGTGTGGCTAAAGTGGAATGAGTGAGGGGAAGAGAGATCAGAGAGGAAGCCAAAAGGGCAACGGAAGGCCAGATCCTGGAGGACCTTGGAGGCTATTGTGATGGCCTTGGCCTTTTCTTTTATTGAGATGGGGAGCCATGACCCAAGTTACATTATTATTATTATTATTATTTTTAGACAGAGTCTCACTCTGTCACCCAGGCTGGAGTGCAGTGGCACGATCTCAGCTCACTGCAACCTCCGCCTCCTCGATTCAAACTATTCTCCTGCCTTAGCCTCCCAAGTAGCTAGGACTATAGGCATGCGCCACCATGCCCAGCTAATTTTTGTATTTTTAGTAGAGATGGTGTTTCTCCATGTTGCCCAGGCTGATCGCGAATTCCTAACCTCAAGTGATCCGCCCGCCTCAGCCTCCCAAAGTGTTGGGATTACAGACATGAGCCACCGTGCCCGGCCCCAAGTTACATTTTGAAAGAATCACTCTGGGTACTGAGTTTAGACTGGATTATAGGAGTGACAAAAACAGGGGCAGAGATGCCAATTAGGAAGCTGCTGCCATAAGCTAAATGAGAGAGGTTGTTCCATACACTGCTAGTTCCAGGCCTTCCCTGACTAGCACTCATTTCCTGACCCAAGCAACTCAGACCTGTCCTTGACAGTTGGGTTAGATGCTTCTAAGGGTTACCTAAGTGCTCAAGTCAGAGTCGGAGCTTGCCACATGAATCCTAAGCTGAGTCCTAAACCAGAGAGAATATAGGAGAAATTTTAAAATGAAGGCCCCTAAGACCAGAACAAATAACCTGGGGCAGTCTATAAGGGAGTGGCCAGACTGCTACAAGGAGTCACAGTGAGGGACATTATAAGGAGAGTCGTCAAAGTGAGGGTGTGCTGTTCACTTCCCAGGTCCCCTCGCAGTGCTTGGGATTCCTGGACAAAATTACTGCTCCTTTTAGTTTTGCAGATAAAGACACTGTATCAGGGAACAATGTTAGAGTGAACCTGGAAAATCTTTTAGGGATTTTCCTAAATTATATCAACAAAATTATATCGATTGAAAGATGTAGTGAGAGGTAAAAATCGTCTGTGAATATCATCAAAACCAAGGAAATTCCAGGCAAAGCCTGTGGAAATACTCCAGGGCTCAATAGAACCTTCTTGATTCCCAGTAATTAAAAATGCTAAGAAGTCTCCATATACGTATATAATTATAAATCTGTTAGTAAACATATTCCATTAAAGGGGATACCCCTTTTAACACAACATAGAACACAGAAAAGTGTGAAAATTAATTTTATCTTAAACACTTTAGGAAAAAGCTCCTAACTCTGGTTGTCGGGGGGAGAGTGCAAAGAGAAGAGGAACTTTCATTATCTACATTATACAGCTGACCCTTGAACAACATGGGTTTGAACTTTGCAGGCCCATCCCATTTATACGTGAAGACAATGAAAATGAAGACCTTTATGATGATCTACTTCCACTTAACTAAGAGTAAATGTATTTTCTCTTCTTTATGATTTTCTTAATAACATTTTCTTTTCCCTAGCTTACTTTATTATAAGAACACAGTATACAATACATATAACATACAATCAGTAAGGCTTCCAACCAACAGTAGGCTATTAGAAGTTAAGTTTTGGAGGAGTCAAAAGTTATACATGGATTTTCTTTTCTTTTTTTTTTTTTGTGTGTGTGTGTGTGTTTTATTTATTCTCAGTCTTAAAGTCGTAACTTTAGGGCAGTGATGAAAATAAAGCAATGCTCTGAACACTAGAATCTAGAAGTAACTAATAAGCCCTAATGATCCTACTGCCTTTAAGGGTCTTCAAGTTCCACATGTTTGAAGAAGGAAATTTATGTATTGAAATCATTCTAGAGAAGGCAAGGAAAGTGTGGGAAATCCTACCAAGTTACTCTGGAGAAAGACAGCTGCCTCCAAATATTCACATATTTCCCTCTTGATGAAATTGATGGAATGCTTCTTGATATTCTTAGTGTCTCATCCAGTACCTGCTCCATATTGAATGAATTGAGCCCTTAATGAGATGCCACTCAGGTGCCAGCCTTCAAGAATATCAAAATGAATCAGAAATTTTCAGCTCTCAAGAGCTCAGAGTTATATACGGATTTTCAACTGCATGGGGGCTCGGTGCCCTTAATCCCCATGTTGTTCAAGAGTCAACTGTAGCCAGGCGCAGTGGCTCACGCCTGTAATCCCAGCACTTTGGGAGGCTGAGGCGGGCGGATCACAAGGTCAGGAGATCAAGACCATCCTGGCTAACACGGTGAAACCCCATCTCTACTAAAAATACAAAATTTAGCCAGGCGTGGTGGCAGGCGCCTGTAGTCCCAGCTGCTGGGGAGGCTGAGGCAGGAGAATGGCGTGAACCCGGGAGGCGGAGTGTGCAGCAAGCCGAGATTGCGCCACTGCACTCCAGCCTGGGTGACAGAGCAAGACTCCGTCTCAAAACAACAACAACAAAAAAAAATAGAGTCAACCGTATATTTCCAGAATGTTTCATTTTACTTACAGTGAGCCTAAAATTTTATTAATTAATTAATAGTATCAATTTTGAGGCATTGAAAAAGCAATAAGATATTTACAAAAGAAATAATGCGCTGAGCTAACCACTCAAAAGAGCCCTTGTGTAAATATTTTTGAAAAGTAAAGAGATGTAATAATGTGAATAACTAAATGCTGTTTTATGTGTATTGTGAGGGACATATTCTTATGTATAAGGGTTTGCTGGGTTTTTTGCAATATCAGAAGAGCCTACCTTCTTAAACAATAAAGGGCAAGTGAATTATCAAAAAAACTCTAAGGAAAACTACTGAAGAGTGGCCAGGCACAGTGGCTTATGCCTGTAATCCCAGCACCGTGGGAGGCCGACACAGGAAGATCACTTGAGCCCAGGAGTTCAAGACCAGCCTGGGCAACACAGGCAGATCCGTCTCTACAAAAAGTTTAAACATTAGCTGGGTGTGGAAGGCGTGCACCTGTAGTCCCAAATACTTGGGAGGCTGAGGCAAGAAGATCACTTGAGCCCGGGAGGTCCAGGCTGCAGTGAGTTGTGATAGCCACTGCACTCTGCCTGGGCAACAGAGTGAGACCCTGTCTAAAAATAATAATTAAAAAAAGAGAGAGAGAGAAGAAAAGACTACTGAAGAGCAATTCGATTTCATTCTCTGGCTATTGTTACAAAAAAAAGGTAAACAGCTAGCAGTATTCAGTGAGTTAAGGGCAATCTTGTTCAGCATCAAAGCGGCCAGACAGCTTCCTGCAGCCCTATCATTATTATCTCTCATGTCTGAGGCATTTAGTCTCAGGTCTGCTTACAGGGCTTAAGGCTAAAAAAAGGAAGTTAGCACATGGCCTCTCTTATTATTGGATTCTGCCATGGTAAGTTTTAGAGTGGTGAGAAGGACTATGTACTATATTACATGGGCTAGAATTAGTAGACATAAAGGGATACAGTTAGGGTGGACCAGTTGTCTGAGCTTTGAATTCCTTTGCTTTTTTTATTTTTCTGCTGCCTTAATGTAATCTAAATACAATTTGTTTCAAAATATCTAATCACAGATTTTTCCCAGTTCTGTTCTACTCTTATTTTTGGCATACACATACAAGTATAAACAGCTTCTGTTAACCAATTAAAACTACACAATTTTCAGTAAGAATACCAAGAAAGTACAAGAGTCACAATCAAAAAGCCTTTTAAAAACTTCACTTACCACTGGATTTAATTTCACGGACATAATTACTGGGGAACCAGCCTGTTCTCCCATTTAATGTGCCTTCCCACCAGCCTCCTTCTTCAACTCGTGTGACGTAAATGATGTCCCCCTTACAAACTGACAGTTCATCCTCATTAGTCTGCTTAAAGTTGAATCTTGCTTTTACTATCAACTGATGACTTCCATTTTCCGTCATCTCCTAGAGAAACAAAAGCCACACCAGATTAAGCACTCATCTAAATAAGGCAGGGGTAGAAATGATATGGATATAGGCAAATAAAGTGGAGGAAGCAAAGACAAAACCCCAGATCCATCTCAGTCCTGAGTTTTTAACTTAGGAATCCATGAATGGGTCTCAGAGGGATTAATAAATCCCTCAAAACAGTATGTAAACTTTGGCATTTGTGAGAATCTGTATTTTGAAGTGGGTCATAGCTTTCATTTTTCTCTCCACACCCCTCCCCATTATCTAAAGATTATCTATTTAACTAAGCCAGATAACAAAGTAGAGTGATAAGCTATTCCACCCTGGATAAGCTATTCCACCCTGCCTCTACTCAACACACAAACAGTCCACATAATTATATAACCAAGATGTACTAACCTACCCTCCATAAAATCTGCCTCCCATCTCCTAATTACTAAGGATATCTTAATTTGGCTAAGACTTATTTATATGCAAAGATCAAATAACCCATAGTTGCCTAAGTCAGGAATTCTTTTTTCCATTTTTTTATTTTTATAGATTTAGGGGGTACAACTGCAGTTTTATTACATGGATATATTAAGTCAGGAATTCTTAATCTGTCATGTATAAACTGGACTTCCTTTTTGAGGGTCACAGACCCTTTAGAGAATCTGATGAGCACAACATATTTTTGTCTAAATAAGTTCATACACATGGGCTTTTGTATACAATTTGAGAGGGTACCAGGGGTGTAGAGACATAGTGTTCATCAGCCTTTCAAAGGGATCTGTGATCCAAAAAAGTTAAGAACCACATGCTCAAGTGCTTTGGAAGTAATAGGTCATAATGTCTTACTGCAAGTGGGTGGCTTTTGACAGGAAATAAAGGTTTCACCCAAAGAGCAGAAGATGAGGCATTTCCTCCCAAATAAAAGCTCCCAATAAGAGCAAGTGAAAAGGCAACTGGGAGATCCTAATATAGAAGCTCATCATAGACTGAAATTTAAAATCAAGCCTTCCTCATTAGGAATGGAAAGAGAAAAATAAAAATGGCAATAATAATGAGGATACTAATCAATATTTATTGATTGCCTACTATGTGTCAGGCACTATTTAGTTCTAATAAAACAAGGGATAGGGAAATTAACAGCAAACTGCCATCAGAAAGTAGCCATAATGACTTCCATTTGCATAGCATTCTCAGTTAAGTGACTTGCCTAATTCTCGTAAGGGACAGAGCTGGAGCTTCAATCCGGATTTTTGCCCCACCACATGCCTTTGATTTGCTCCTTCGGGCCAGCCTGAATTGGTGCTCGGTTTATAATTAGTTTTCTCAGTGATGCCCAAAACAACCCGGATGGCTGTCTCACCACATATGGAGATGCAACTAGGATATCAATCTAATTTTATGGATTTTAAAACAGACGGAGAATTGGGGACTATACTTACCACTGTCTTTGACTGCCTTTGCAGCCCTGAAACTGTGCTAGAAACTGCTCCCTGTGGGTTTGTCTGAGAAGTATTAGCAGCACTAAGAGAAGAGGAACGTCCACATGGTCTTTCTGATAGCTGATCTGTGAAAAGAGGAAAAGGCATGTTAAAGGAACCACTCAGATCAGAAAAACATCTACCGCATAACATTATCTTTCTCAGGATACTATCAGAGGCATCCTGGCTGTAATTCTAACTGTTATCATTATGAACATGCCAAGTGTATTTCAATCCCCCTTCCCTTTTTGGTGGCCAACTTCCTGTTCTTAACCTTACTGGCCATCGTGCTCCAGTAGAATGAAAAACAGCGACAGAACCACATTTTCTCTTAACCATTTCCCTACAACTCTTCCCTCCTGAACCAGTTGCAACAGTATGCCCTGTTATCCAAGGCAGAACTATATTGGGTACCAAACAGCTGTTTGTGGCTCTTATTACTTTGAAATATTTCAAATTTCTCTCTTTGTTTTTTGGCCCATAACTCAGTGGCTCATTTCTTACTCACACGTAACAATATGTGTGGCATATATGATGTAAAATCTCCCTGATGTGTGTGGGGCAGGGTGGAGAATGAGAGTGAAAGAGAAGATGTGTTTGGGAAAGATGTAATCTTGATACTAGAATAATTTTTTTAACAATCAGATTCAAGAGTCTTCTCTTCCTTGAAACCTTGTGAAATTCGACCAGGCCAGAGCTGAGCTGGATGTTTTCAGTTTGTTGAGAGTATACAAAAGAGAGGAGCTGGCTTCTTGACAAATTTCAATAAGGGTTCTTTTCCTCTCCATTTATTTTTAAAAGATATAAACTGCAAAAGTCTAAAGCCCAAACATTCCCTAGGCGACAAGCTCAGTATCCAAGTAATTTCCTTGATGCTGTGGGTTTTAACTTTCACCTCCTTGTATTTTATAAATATCTGTGGCAAGGGAAGAGACTGTAAAACTTGCTAGGAGAGTTTGGCAAAGGAACGTATAATTTGTGTGGCATAATGTTAGAATTACACGATCCTCCCTGACTAGAACTGGATAGTTGTCATGTGTGTTAAATATAGTTACTTGAATTAGCTGTACTTTCAGCTATACGCCTTGCAATAGCTCAAAAGCATTTTTTTTTCCAAATAGCAAAAGAACAACTTTGGAGAAGTATTTTTACTTGTATTGCTATTATATACAGCTCTTTTGACAAAAACTATAATTACTCGATAGCTTCCTAGATGCTCTAACCTATTTGGCACTTGATTATATTGTCTGCTCTTGTCCTCTAATTGTTTCACGTGGGTAAGTTGAGTCTCCTTAAATAGACAGTAATTTTCTCAAAGGCAGGGACCATAGCTTTGACATTTTTTGTAGCACCTGGCGATGCTGGGCACACAGCCTCTTGACTCTACAACAGTTTGAGCAGCAAGCCTCGTGCTTGGGCATAAGGGCTCTGTAGTCATTCAGATGTGGGTCTGAATCCCAACTCAGCGACTAACTTTCTAGTTGGGCAACTGTTGGCCTGACTTTCCTTATCTGTAATATGGACCTAATAATAATAATACCTACCCCCAGTGTTGTTTCAAGGATTGGATGAGATCACCTGTGGCTCTTATGACAGCCTAGATCCAGGGCAAGAGCTCAAAGCATTTTAAGTATGATTATTACTATTCAGCTGTTGGTAAAATATACCAGGGAAGGAGTGAAGCTACATTCTAAGTGTATCATCATTTTCTTCACATTTACTAGCATTTATATTTAATACCTCTAGTGTGGTAGGTGTTAAACATTTAAATAAAAGATATTATTTTCACTCCCTATGACCCCAAGATTTCATTTTTGGTGCAAGGCTACTGAGGGGTTCCTTTACATGGACAAAGGCATACATAAAACAATGAGAAAAATATGTCTCTAGTGGGGAAAGGGAAGTGACGGCTGTATTTTGTAAACTCTATGAAAAAGGGAACTGGTCTTTCCTTTTTCTTCTCTGTTTTGTTATACTCAGTTGGTGATTCAGAGCTTTGAATGGAATAGTTTCTTAGTTCTTATCATTATATTAAGGGCATTAGAATAACATCTATGATAGGTATATTTTAAATCCTAAGCCATGAAAAATTCAAGCATTTGACATTTGTTGGGGTGTATTTGGGGGAGCAAGGGGAAAATTTGCATCACGAGAACAATCCTGGCCAGAGTTGGCTCCTAGGGTAATCACAAACACATGGATTCAAAAATGTCACCCAGAACATATAAATCACAAGCCCGGCTTACCTTCTGTTGCTTTGTTGACAGCTAAAAGAGTACTCAGTACCTTGGAGAAATTGACCCCTGAATAAAGGTCATCAGGATCAAATATCTATGAGAAAGGAAAATTGAAACCGTAAGACACTACAAGTATTCAACTCAACAAACAAAACTATCAAAAGGCCACTTCCTCCAGCTCTCCGGAAAAAAAAAAAAAAAAAAAAAGTGTAGAAGCCAAGACACAAACCTCCATATACCTTTGGGAGAAATGAGAGCAGCAGTTGAGCCGCCTAATGACATGTGGCAGGCCATCAGTGAGTCAGAGCAAAGCAGTAATGGGAAATGAGAGCCAAGCTGAGAAGGCAGCGCCCACCAGGAAATAAACAGTGCATACTCAGACCCACTCTTCTGGCCTGAATGTATCAATAGTTTCAGCCCAGTTACAGGAAGCTCATATGCATGGGTTACAATCAATGCCCATCACCTACATAATGTCCTCGACAGTCCATAAATAAGGAGGTGGAGCCTTTTTGACATGGTTGCATCTGTACAGTTTATTAGCTGTGCCTAGTTGAGTCACTGTCAAAAGTGCCTTTTTCTCTGCTCTCCTTCCTCCCAACTGCCACCCGCTGCATCCCAACTGCCTAGGATCCCAATTCCATGTTGCCCAAACTTTCTGCCCAGGTCTGCCTTTTGCTCCCAGCTTCAGTTCTGTTTCTGCTGTTTGACCTTGCCCCTCTCAGCTCATCATGAATTCAAGTATTTGCCTGCCTGGGCCTATGGGCTCTTCCTGGCTTTAGATGACTTTCCCAAATATGACCTCTGGCCTGTCTAATACTACTCAACTCTTGGCAAAAAACACATTAAGGAAATACATTTCACTTTACCAGTCAACTGTCAATCTGATATGCTATTGTCCCCAGTGAAGATACCAATCAGATGTTGTTTTCAATACAATTTACCTGTTACCTTTGAAATGTAGTCAGTGTGTTAAAATATATTGAGTCTCAAATATGTATATTTGAAATTAGAAGTGTTCTCATGCACAGGTACAATCTATTAATTTGCCAGCCAACAATGTAAGTATGCATATCTGAAGGTAACCAGATGCCCACCTTCTGGATGGAAATGCCCCTTCTAAAAACATTTTGTTCCAGGATGTCTAGAAGTCTCTTAAAGAAAACAGATTGCATCATTTTTTCCCCAAATGTGGTGATGGAAATAAAATGTACCTTTTCATATGGGACATGATTGGTAATGGGCATAGGATTTTAAAGGGTCTGTCTTCCCATTAGGTAGAGCCATTTGTTCCATTTTTAAGCTGCATATTTTCTGGGAACCATATCAAGACAAATTTCTATCTTTTTTGTACATGTTCTTGAAAACCTATAATCTGTTTTTAGAGTGAAAATATATAATATCAATTTTTCACGTTTTGGGGGGTCAATAAAGATACATGCAAATGCAAACCTACACAAGTCTGCCTATTCTAGGATTCACTGCTTTATTCATTTAATCAATGAATATTTTGCATTCAAAGTTAAAATGACCAAAAAGCCCAGATGCATCTAAAAATGAGACATTAATATATTTCTGGTAAAAGAGTAATGCTAATATTACTAAAGAGTTAAACAACAACACATTCCAAATATATTTCTGAATGCTACAATATAAAATTCAAACTTTTCCAGAAATACATTGACAAGAGTTTTGTTTTAGTTTGTCAAAGCCTGGGTGAACAAGAGGCAATAGACTAGAGAGAGTGTCTAGTATCTCCGGGGATTTCAGACTTATTGAGTCTCCCTTAGAACTGATCAACTGGGAAAATGTTAATGACATGTATGCCAAAATAGTAGCAAAGCAAAAAAAATCACTTGTTTTTAGCCCATCAGTCCTAATGGGAGTGTGCATGTGTGTGTGCATGTGGATACATGTTTTGGGTGGGTGTGGTAGAGATGAGTAGATCTAAAATAATAAGCAGAAGTTAAATATTAGCAGAATAAGGCATGAGAGCAAAAGTTGTGATAAAAAACCTCTCCCTCTGGTTTTAGTTGTTCCTTATCCAGGGTTATTAAATGCCTATACATGGCAACACTGGTATTATTCACTTGTACAAGTACTTGACTGATTTTGAAAATAAATAAACTAATCAGAAAATGAAATGTGCATCAAGAAGAGTCATTGCATCTGCTTGAGGGAAGTTTCCTGAACTGTACTCGGTTCTCTTTTGAGAAAACCCCAATATACTCAAGTTTATCCATGGACACTGTTCTTGCTGCAAGCCTATTCTGAGGCACTAGAAACTACAGAGGAAGGAGTTGGAAGAAGCCTCTGGGAACTGCTAGAGAAAGCAACGCCTAAGCATTATTATTTCAGAGTAGCTGGAGAATCAGATACAACCACAAACACCCTTCACCACACTATACCTTCTAAGTCCTAAATTGAATGATATTGAAAATTCCACCCTAGATCTTTCTTCCATGCACTTCAGAGAGCTCCCCTATGAAAATGGAAATATTATCTGGAGGGATCACAACATTTTCAGCCACTATCAGTTATTTATGTCTTAGTGGAAATGAGCAGTGTGAGACCAAGTTTAGAGATGTTGATGTGGAGAAAGACTAAGGGCTCTGGTCCCCAAATAGGAGAAAGCAAAGGAGAATTCCCCAATGTAGAGAGGGTGTGAGAAGAACAAGGAAAGGTAGATTAAAGTACAGACCACTTTTTCTAGGACTAATCCCACTCATTTATACATCCAAAATAGAGAACCAATTCCCTTTTCTGTCTGCAAAGCACTGGAACTTGTTAAAAAGGTAATGTAAATTTGCACATTTATGCTGTATGTAATTTTCCAAAGTCATTTTCAATGAAATTTTTCAAAGTCAAAGTCAAATCATGGCAAAGTCATGATGATACTCATCTTCTAGTACCCTGTGCAAGCCTCACTAGTCTGTTCAGTGTCTCTGGTTTGTGACTGAGTCCCAGATTAGCTGAACTTTCTTTATACCTATTTTGGTGCACAAAAAGCCAGTTAGTTCCAGTTAGATCCGTGAAGGTCAGATGAACAGCAGGATTCCCTCCCTCCATTCATCTTACCACTACTGTGACTCAGACAAGAAAAAAGTATTACTTCTTAGACTACGGCTAGATGGTGTCAAGGTATCATTCCTGCAATCAGATGATGCAATGTTCAAATCTAACAACAATAAAAACATTTACTCTAACCAATAGGACAGACAGGGATTAAACTTTATTAAAGATATTTTAAGTATTTACATATAGCCAACCTAAGTTGCATTCCTACATCAGTAGATGAAATCAAACTTTTTTTTTTTTTTTTGAGGCAGAGTCTCACTGTATCCCCCAGGCTGGAGTGCAGTGGCATGATCTCAGCTCACTGCAACCTCCGCCTCCCAGTTTCAAGCAATTCTCCTGCCTCAGCCTCTCGAGTAGCTGGGATTACAGGGACCTGCCACCATGCCCGGCTAATTTTTGTTTGTTTGTTTGTTTGTTTTTGTTTTTGTTTTTGTATTTTTAGTAGAAATGGGGTTTCATCATGTTGGCCAGGCTGGTCTCAAACTCCTGACCTCAAGTGAGCCACCTACCTCAGCCTGCTAAAGTGCTGGGATTACAGGCGTGAGCCACCGCGCCCAGCCCAGACATTTAATTTTTAAATGTTTCCCTACAGCTTTTTATTCTAGATATCCCCAATGACAGCAAAACCTATTTGCAAACCACTAAACACCAGGTGTTAATTGTGAATTATTGGGGATCTGCCAATGTAAACTGCAAGAAGTTAATATTTCTATAGCATTACAAATAGAACCTTTTGGAGTAGTTCTCAGTTTCAACATGTATGCTATTTTATGACACTTTCCCTAAACTGCAAAAAGCCAGGAAGCATATGAGAATAAACTTTCCCAACTCCCTGTTCCATTCCCTCACTTATCTTATAGCTACTGTTTACTGATTTACTGAGCTCCTGCTATGTTCCTGGCACCACGCTTGGACATCACATACATATTGCTATGATCTGAATGTTTGTGCCCTTCCCAAATTCATATGTTGAAACCTAATCACCAGTATAATGGTATTTGGAGGTGGTGGCATTTAGAGGTGATTAGATCATGAGGGCATAGCTCTCATGACTGGGATTGTTGACTTTATCCAAGAGGCCCCAGAGAGCTACCTTGTCCCTTCCACCATGTAAGGACATAGAGAGAAGGTACTATCTATGAATAGGGAAGTAGGCCCTCACCAGGATACTAAATATGTCTTGATCTTGGATTTCTGGCCTCCAGAACTATGAGAAATACACTTCCATTGTTTATAAGCTACCTGGTTTATGGCTTTTTGTTCTGGTGGTCTGAACAGACTAAGATACAAATATATTTTTTTATTTGCATTTGATTCTCCCAGCAAGCCCATGATGTCAGTACAATTATTTTCCCCATTCCACGGATGAGTAAACTAAGACTCAGAGTAGTTAAGTCACAGGGCAGGAAAATGATGGAGCCAATAAAGATACACAAGAAAATGCTCTGAGGGGCATTGTAGCCCTGCATGTACACCTTATGTTTCCATGAGACATAGAGAAAAAATGAAAAAGCAATCCATGAGTCTGTATGCGAAAAGAAATCCTTTGCTTCTGTCAATACAAGTAGCATCTGTATCATCTGCATCGAGTTTGTTATAGCCTCTAAAATGATTAATTCAACTAATTGTAGCAAAGAGAAAATTTTCCATATTACAAGACTGTCTCCACAGGGGCCTTGCCTAATTCCTGTGCTGTCCTTCCCATTTCAAGGGTCAGCCTTCACCTAGGAGGCACTTGGCCACATTTGCCAAAAGAGGGGAAAAGCTACACTAAGCTCCTCCTATTTGTTGAACCAGGTCTGCCTCGTGAGCCACGATCCATATTTGTGAGGTCCTGGTCTGGTAGGGGTCCAGCTCGTGATTACAGAACCAAGCTAAAACATCTGTGCCACGTGCAATGACACCTAGCCTCCTGATTTTCTTGACATCATGCTCTAACCACCTGAGTTAACCAGTCACAGCAGTCTAGCCACATCTTAGTTAAGAAAAGAAGGCATACCCTACCCTGGTTCAGAACTGGTCATCTTTAATGTCATGTGGTTTCAGTAACACCCAATCAACTGCTATTTAAAGGTAATTTAAGGTTGGGGGTGATTATAATAGGTTCCATTACTCAAGAGTTAAAAGTCTAATCAACTGAAAAGCAAGTGATACATTGGGACCACAAGGACATATAGCTTATATTTCAAGCCTGTTTTTTAAAAAAGATTCCAAATATTTAGGAACATTCCAGCTCTTCCTTGTTCTTATTGCTCTTATTGAACAAAATCTTAAATTAACTTAGCTCATCTTGAATCACATTCTTTAATTCTCACAGCTGAGCACACTGCCTCTGTTAACCCCTGAACTTTGGTGGAAATGTCATTACATAGTGCAACAGAGCAAGCAAATCTGAGCTGCTTAGTCATATTTCACTGGGTGGTACCGCTCCTGGCCCTGTGAACGTGATCTGGGATGTGTGCACATAGCTCCTACTAAAAGCAGTCACAAAGTCAGCAACAAATAATGCTCTTAGCTCAGAAATTGGATTCATTACCCACTGGTATTCCACTTACTAGAATATAGTGGATGGCATTTCTACTCTGCCTGGTTTTAAATAATAGCTGTTCCTATTTGATATGGACCAAACTTAAGGGAGCAAATCTTGCTCTCAACTTTTATTTCCTCCCTTTCTCTCCAAGATCTAATTTGTGCCTGTAGCTGAAACAACATACAGTGTATTGGAAAGAGCACTGATGTGAGAGTCAGAAGACTTTGACTCCAATCTCAGCTTTGTCACTATTGAGCAGTTGTGAGGACCTTAGGAAAGCAACACTACCTTTATGAGGCTCCATTTCCCATCTGGAAAGTGTCTTTGAGCAAAGGAGCTCAGTGAGAGGTCTTGTGGTCCATCATCTAAATAGGAGCTTTTAAAGGCAGCATCTTGGCTGGGTCCCCAAGGCCCAGAATCAGGTCTTCAGTTCTCAAGGCTCTTGAGAATGGACTCACACTAGCCAAGCTCATAAAAGGCCAATGCATAAACCAAAAGGCCAATTTCTTAATTTTTACTAAAAATAAATGAAGCACTAAGAAGATTAAATACTCCCATTTTCTGGCCAGGGCACTCTCTCCCAATAGAGAAATCTCTCTGGTGAGCTAAATTATAATGAGAAATGTGTTGAGTACTACAGAATCAGAGCAAAGAGAGTCTAGGGTATTGCAGCCTAACATGCTTACAACCTGTTTACAAGCTGATTTTTCAAAATGTCATTTTTAAATGACCTATTTATAAATTCTGGCTTTATCTTGCTGCCACTGCATCGTGGCATTTGGACTGTGATCATGGACAGCTTTAACTCTCTATGTTTTCTTTTTGGCTCTGTGGATTTCTATAAAGTCACTTTACATAACTAATATGGACTCCTAGATTACTCGAACCTCATAGAATCTAGAGCCAGGAAGTTCAGCTCCATGGAGCTCCTATGACAGAAGCCAAGATCTGAGCTTTCTCCCTCACTCTTCATTAAGTCACAAATCTCATTCCCTGACGGCTACCTCAGCATCACCATAGGACTCCCATTCTTCCTTGTTAGCACTCCTATAGGGGAGAACCCCTTTCTCTATAACAGAGACTTTAGTTGAGTATTAAGTGTTCAGGTAAGAGGGGAATGAATGAAGAACAATATAGGCATCTTAGTGGGGCCAGTCACAGGATTAAATAAAGGGAGAGCAAAAGAGAACAACTGATGGCTGGGCACAATGGCTCACACCTGTAATCCCAGCACCTTGGGAGGCCGAGGTAGGTGGATCACTTGAGTCCAGGAGTTCGAGACCAGACTGGCCAGCATAGTGAAACCCATCTCTTCTAAAAATACAAAAATTAGCCAGGTGCAGTGGTGGGCACCTGTAATCCCAGCTACTCAGGAGGCTGAGGTAGAAGAATGGCTTGAATCTGGGAGGCGGAGGTTGCAGCGAGCTGAGATTGCACCACTGCACTCCAGCCTGGGCAACAGCGAAACCCCGCCTCAAAAAAAAAAAAAACAACGAAAGAAAAGAAAAGAAAAAGAAAAAAGAAGAAGGAACAACTGGTTTTGAATAATCTCACCAAAAAGAGAGTAGGCATGAAGGAAAGGGAAAAATGAAATATCTCTTGTCAATAGCCCTTGCCAAGCCAAGGACAGGAAGCAGGAGGCCTAGACTCAGCTGCCTCACAGTCAGCCAGCCATTGTGGCTTGGCGGGCTCCCACCCCTCCTCCTGTGCTCCTGTCACCAGAGCCTTTGCAAAAGCACACTGGTTGCCAGTTTTGCGGTGTGGGGTGGATGGGTGATCTCTCAGCTGCTGGAGCATCTGTGTGCCAGACATGAGGGTGTCTTCCCCAATGCCCCCACTCCCACCCCTTTAGAAACAGGGACTGACTCCCTAGTGTTCCAAATTGGAATGCGGAACACATTTTCCCAGAAACAGCATCACACCTGCCACTTAGCCTCTGTGAGTTCTATAGTTCAGCCACATTAAGTATTCAACAGGCTGTTGTGGGCCAGCCAGAAAACATAATCACCGTGTTGAGCCTTGTTTCTATGGGAAAATGTTTTCTGTGTCCCTAATAATCACTTAAAAATGAACTTTTGGAAAATAATTTGTTTTTACATTGAAGAGTGGCCAGACATGTGTTCCCAAATCAATGTCCAACATCCTTTATGCTTTTTCCTTGTCCCTTCATATAAAAGATGAACAAATGCCCTAGACATTCAGGGTACTATTTATTTTAGAACTCTTAGTGATGAGAGAATCAAGGTAAATATATGAAGTCCGTGAGAATACCCTCAGAAATTTCAGTAGTCAGCAGCTCCTCCGTGCCTGTTTAACAATCCAGGCAGTTAGAGAGGAGCCTCACCTATGGAGAGAAGGCTCCCTTGGTCCCTGCTTTCCTAGCAGCTACTAAGATTTAGGGTAGGAGCCCCAGAGCCTACCAGAATTTACAGCAGAGACTGGTGGTAAATAGCCCCACACAAAGACTAGGGAGAAACGAGGGCCATGAAACAAAAGAGCCACTGCTAGTCGCCTTCAGCAGCAGCCCTTCCAAGTATCACCTGTTGCTATCCATAATGTCCTCACTGACCTACCTTCATGTTTCTTTTTTCCAAACAGCTACAGCTTTATAGTCTGTAGAGATGTTGTAAATTTAAGCTGTCAGTGGTCTATCAGCCCAATATTCTTTATTCATTATGCAGGTACTGAGATTAGTCCTGAATTTCCTATTAAAAGGTAGGCTCTTTGAAGTCCGCATTCCCCCACAGACCTGGCCCCAATATTCAACATACACGAAATACTTGATAAATAACCATTCATTGGTTGATTGACAGGATGCTCTGTCAGAGAGACTTATAAAGGTAAATTATGCCTAGAACGTAAGCCCCATGATGTCAATTTTTTTTTCACTTCTGGATCCTCAGTGTCTAGAAGAGTGCCTGTCACGCAGTAGGCACTCAATAGATATTTGGTTAATTAATGAGAGTTTAGCTGTTCTCATCAATAGATGATTAATCATACTTGAAGAAAAAGTATTGCAGAAAGTATAATAAACTCAGAAAGAGATATCACTTAGGAAAGAAAAAAAACAATCTCCACGCAATTTTCCAGGAAACATGTAACATCTAAAATTAGATGTACCTGTGCTCATCAGCAAAATTAAGCTCTGTGACCACGAGGTGACCAAAGGTGCTTCAGACTCTACGGTTGTTAATTTTTTAAGTTGTGTGCTGAGTGTGGGCAACATCTGCAACTGCTTGCCTGTCCCAGGTAATAGAGGTTCCTCTAAATGCCATCACAAAGCACCATGACCTCATTATCATAGAGAAGAGAAGTTGCAAAGAACTGTGGGATTTTACTGCTTTTTCTGGAATTGGTTATATTTTCAACCGTTTTTGTTGTAAAACTGAATAAATGGCAAACACTACAAGCCACCCTCCCCTGTTCATGCCTATGCTCTAAAACTAGCTCCAACTCACAGCCAGAGCACAATGGGACACGGCAAAGCAACTCACCAGCAGCAAGAAGGGGTAACGTGTAATTGGAAAGACTACAATTCACATGCCCAAAATCCTCCTAACACCTGCTAAACTTGGAGGAAAGGATGCTGTGCCAAAGTTATTATTATTTTCTCTCTTTACTTAGAGATTACCTTCAGCCATTCATTTGGCAAAGACTTTTGGCTCTTCCCATTTATATATCTGTGTGATTCACTTTTTGAAAAGTATGTCATTTTCAGAGACACTCATCAATGCCTAACAGACATAAATTAATTAGTGAATCCTGCTCCAACTTACTCCAAACAGGATTTGCACTTAGGAAACAATCCAAACACTGTTAGGTGGGCATTCAGGAGCTCAGATCTCACAGACATCAGAAATGGTGCTTTTAGTTAGCACTCATGTCTCTCAAAACACAGCAAAGGCATCCAATAAAAAGCCTAATATAACCCAAGATCAAGTCCACCCTCTTCAGACTAGCATTCAAATTACTTCTCAAGGCCAGGCGCAGTGGTTCATGTCTGTAGTCCCAGCACTTTGGGAGGCTGAGGTGGGCTAATCACTTGAGGTCAGGAGTTTAAGGCCAGCCTGGCCAACATGGCCGTCTCTACTAAAAATACAAAAATTAACCAGATGTGGTGGCACACGCCTGTAATCCCAGCTAGTGGGGAGGCTGAGGCAGGACAATCGCTTGAAACCAGGAGGCGGAGGTTGCAGTGAGTTGAGATCGCGCCACTAGCCTCGGCAATCTAGCCTGTCACGCTCTAGCCTGTCGCACTCTAGCCTGGATGACAGAGCAAGATGCCATCTCAAAAAATAGTAATAATAAATAAATTTAAAATAATTTCTTCTCAAGCATCTCTAAGGTAGACCTTAGCAGGCCCATCGTTTCTCACCATCATCTCCTTATATGCTCCAGAATCTTCTTTCTTCACTGTGCCTCTCTCTGACATTTATACTTCTCCTTCAGAAAGTTCCCTCAATCATCTGAATGCTAGCTATCCTTCAGGGCCCAATCCAAATCACTCCCTTCCATGGTGTTTTCCCCAAACACTACGCCTCAGTACACAACAGGCTTCCCTATTTCTGAATTCCTCTTGCATTTAGGCTCTAGATTCTGGAACCACTAACTTGGACACCTAACCATACACTGCTAAATGCTGTTAAATTCCACTCTTTCACACATACATGCTGCCTCTGTCCAATAGGCAGGAGCCCACAGTGCCAGGCATGGTGCTCACTTTACAGACATTGGACAAGTTCTTGCTAAGTGTCAGTTTTCTCTCCCAGTCTAAAATTCAAACAGGTATGTCTTCCACCAGAAGCACCTGCCCTTTGGGCATGCCTTTCCGAGAAGGAAAGAGAGGAGGAAAAGGCAAATTTTTTAAAGTAGAATTTGATAAATCAAGGCTCATATATTTTCCATCACCTGCTAAAAATAAATTCTTTTTTTTTTTTTTTTTTTTTTTTTTTTTTTTTTTTTGGGACGGAGTCTCGCTCTGTCGCCCAGGCTGGAGTGCAGTGGCGCCATCTCGGCTCACTACAAGCTCCGCCTCCTGGGTTCACGCCATTCTCCTGCCTCAGCCTCCTGAGTAGCTGGGACTACAGGCACGTGCCACCACGCCCGGCTAATTTTTTTGTATTTTTAGTAGAGACGAGGTCTCACCGTGTTAGCCAGGATGGTCTGGATCTCCTGACCTCGTGATCCGCCCGCCTCGGCCTCCGAAAGTGCTGGGATTAACAGGCGTGAGCCACTGCGCCCGGCCAAAAATAAATTATTTTTTTTTTAAGAATATGATTTTAAAATGCTGACAAAGCATTTACCTCACCGAAAAGAAATGAAGTTACTGCCTGAGATCACTTTGGAGAAAATCACAGTCAGAGAATCCTCACATGAAGAGCTCACACCTTGAAAGCCCAGTGAAAGCAAGAGAGTTTCGGTAATAGAAGAAATAAGAAGTAGCCTAGAGACTGGAAAAGTAGAAAAAGGCTTCCATATGACATCACAGGAGCTAGTATCTCACACCTTTAATTTTCTTTTTTTTAATTTTTAAAAAACTTGAAACAAGTACCCTAGCTTGGCATAAAGTAATGTTATCTTAGGGGAAACCCAGCTTTCTTTCTGTCCTCATTTTTACCCATTAAAGAGTCATTTTTATGAATAAAAGTCAACTCCTGACCATCTACATGTAGACTCTTAAATACACAAGCTATCTAAAATGAAATTTTAGAAGTTCATTTCCATTCAAATACCCATTCATTATCCATTCAACAAATATTTGTTGAACACCTGGTGTCTATGCCAGGCAGTAATACATAAATTTGTTTTAAGATGAGAAATAAAAAGAACCCTATATAAAATCTGGCAAATGAAGTCACCCACAGGTACATTAGCCCTAAAACCATTTTCTATTCTGTTGTCTCTACTTGAAGGTGATTTTTTAATCTCAAATCAAGATTTGCCCCAATACACAACACACTCCCAAATACCAATCCTTCTTCAGAGAATGCAAAGTGGTTATACAAACAGTGTAAACGCTTATTTCCACTATCACAATGTATATTCTCACAAAAAAGTTGTTAAACTTCTTTTGTTAGTGAAAGACTGCAGTCTCCTGATCTGCATACATTTCTCAGAAATTATTAGTACATACCTCTCTTTTGCTGGAGACCTCCTCATGAAGAACATACAAATTAGTGTTCAGGCCTGCTTCACAGGCAGGGCTTTTCATAAATGATGTTAAGAGTTTGACACCTTAAAGATGCCTCTTAAGGCTGGCGCGGTGGCTCACACCTGTAATCCCAGCACTTTGGGAGGCCGAGGGGGGCGGATCACTTGAGATCAAGAGTTCAAGACCAGCCTGAGCGACATAGTGAAACTAAAAATACAAAAAATTAGCCGGACATAGTGGCACATGACTGTAATCCCAGCTACTTGGGAGGCTGAGGCAGGAGAATCGCTTGAACCAAAGAGGCGGAGGTTACAGTGAGCCAAAATCGCACCACTGCACTCCAGCCTGGGCAAAACAGCAGGACTCTGTCAAAAAAAAAAAAAAAAGCCTCTTAAAATAATGTCCATGCTTCCAAGAAGTAGGGAAACATCTTTGTTATTGTTGAGGGTGAGACAAGTCCTTAATAATAGTTTCACTTGCTGCTTTGCAAACTGCTGCATTTTATCTCACCTTAATTTAATTCCTTCTTTTCCCTGTTGCCCTATTCACTCACTCAATTGACATGTCTGATCTCTGGAATAATATTCAAGTCCCCAAGAAAGTATAAAGCTTGGATTTTACCAGATTTGCCTAAGTAGAACTTAATTAGGAAGGTAAATCTTCTGCCAGAAGTCCAATAGAAATGATACGTGACTACATGCTGTTTTGGATGATCCACATCTCTAAGCCCATACATCTCTTTGTGTGATAAGGCCCAGTTTGCCAGGGTATGACAAAGCCTGGAGCTAATCGGACAGATATCTAGTGTCATAGGTCTTTCTTCCAGCTGACAGCAGAGGAAGTGCCATTGCCCATGTTGAAATGCAGATACAGAGTAGCTTCTGGACTAAGTGGACATAAACAACCCCCTCTAAAAAACTGGTAAAGGGAGGGCCCTAAGAAACTGGCAAGTGCCTTCACACTTCCTCATTTGCAATTCAAAGGACCAACTCTGCATTTCCTCTTGGTACTAACCCCAAATGTCATCACCAATCGCTCTGCATACCTTATGCTGTGCTGGCAACATCACATCACCTCTCAGACTGATCCTTGAGGGCCACCTCAATGATAACAATAAGACCAAGTTAGAATGGGGCTGGAGTAGGGAATAGCTGGCCAAGATTGTGTGGTTTGAATAAAGAGGTATATTGTGTTCTGTTGTCCCCAGAAACAGCCTGGATTACAGTCAACATTAAAACCAAATTAGAGTGAGTTAGATTTAAAACAAGATAATTTACATCTCCAGTCAGGAAGATTCTAATAATTAATCAAATTTTCTAACAAAATGCCTTCCTTTTGGTATATGTTTGGTACATTCACCCCAATTCAGAAACAATGCCTTTCTTTTTTAGATATTACATACTGTGTTTTTTAAATAGAAGCCATTGATTTTTATTTTCCCCCTCAACTATGCCAAATTCATCAGGTTTATTGCTTATTTCCTGAAGGCAAGAGGTTTTTGGCAATCATCACCAAAAATAAAAGACCATTCATTGTATTGTTTAACTTAACTTAAACGATCATCTTGCTTTGGGGTGTATTTTAAAATTTCAAGCTATTTTAATTTTAAAATAAATATGTCTGTTTTAAAAGACAAAAATTAAACTAGTTCATCCAGGTAAACATGAGCAACTGAAAATAGTCTTTTCTCACATTCTTCTAGTTTATGCATAGACTAGAAAAGAATGAAAAGATCTGATTTTTCAATACCCAGAGGAATCCATCCAAACTGTTTCTATTATTAGAACACAAAATGGTAGCTCAAGAAGTTACTGTGGTTAACAACTGAATAATTCATAGTCTCTGAAGAATTCAGTTGCTTTGTCTTCTCCAGTTCCTCTTTACAACTGGATCCCCAAATATATTTCTAGTCCTGAGCTGTTATAAAGGAAACCATACACAAATTGTTTTCAGCAGTTAAAAATTGACCATGCTAAGCATTGAGAACAACAGCAAGACAATAAGCTAGGGAAAGAACAAGAACTCTTACAAGGAGTTCCTAAAACTCTTCAGATTGCACATATATTGTCTGAAACTGTAGTTAAAAGTTCCAATCTCTGTTCCATGGATATCACTGGGCTGCAATATCACGGAAATTTAAACTGTCTTTATGTAGCCTTCCAAATAAAATATAAAAAACCAATTAAATATAATATCTAAATTATTTTAAACATATTTCAACACACTGTAATCTAAATTTGAATTATTTTCTATGATGAAAAGCACAGAGACAAACTCAGAAACGAAAGCACTTTAATAGTGAGTGAAAGATGCTAATAATGTTGAAGGATTAATTTCTGCTGTTAAGCATGGAGAACAGAGGCCAAGTATGACATCACTATTCATCTAAGACGCCCAGAAATATTCAACTTTGTTTTGCCTTCTAGAGATGTGTTAAGTATTAGAAAATATGTGAGGATTTTACCTTTGACTTTATTTTTAAAAACATTTTGCCAAAAACAAGTGGTCTCTGCCGAATAGAGCATAGTACTGAGAGAGAAAATGGCTGGATTTTTTTTTCCTATTTCAAGTTTTAGCCCTGTCTCAATTGCAAATGTAACTAGTAAAACCTCAGAACCCTTGGAAAGCCCACAGTTTACCCTTCCATTTTTTTTCTTTTTTTTTTTGAAACGGAGTTTCGCTGTTGTCGCCTAGGCTGGAGTGCAATGGCATGATCTCAGCATCTCAGCTCACTGCAACCTCCGCCTCCCGGGTTCAAGCGATTCTCCCACCTCAGCCTCCTGAGTAGCTGGGATTACAGGCACCCGCCATCATGCTCAGCTAATTTTGGTACTTTTGTGGAGATGGGGTTTCACCATGTTGGCCAGGCTGGTCTTGAACTCCTGACCTCAGGTGATCCTCCCGCCTCGGCCTCCCAAAGTGCTGGGATTACAGGCGTATGCCACCATGCCAGCCTGCCCTTCCAATTTTTTTAAATGTTAAATTTTCAAAAGGAAATCTTTCTAAAAATCAATGACTCACCTCTTAAACAGAGTTAGCTTACCATAACTGAACTAAGTGAACTTTTTTAAAAATAATGCAATGTTTTTTATCTAATATATCCCAGAACACTGATCTACTGGGATATATTAAAATTCCAATTAGGAACTAGCTTTTATTGAGAGTTCACTCAGTGCCAAGGACGGTGCTAAGTGCTTTACTTGCTTTCTTTCATTTAACCCTAGGAAGAGGCATATACTTTTTTTCTTTTTTTAACCAGAGTCTCTCTCTGTCGTCCAGGCTCCAGTGCAGTGGCACAATCTTGGCTCACTGCAACCTCCACCTCCCAGGTTCAAGCGATTCTCCTGCCTCAGCCTCCCAAGTAGCAGCAATTACAGGCTTGTGCCACGATGCCTGGCTAATTTTTGTATTTTTAGTAGAGATGGGGTTTCATCATGTTGGTCAGGCTGGTCTTGAACTCCTGACCTCAAGTGATCCGCCTGCCTCAGCCTCCCAAAGTGCTAGGATTATAGGCGTGAGCCACTGTGCCCAGCCAGAAGCATATACTTAATAAGTGGTATTACTACTACCTCCTAGGAGGTTAGCATATACCTAATAAGTGGCCAACCAGGTCAGTCCATGTCCAAAGCTCAAGCTCATAGTCCCTGCACTGGTATACAACTTCTCAAGAAAAAAAAGGCTGCCCTAACCAGGAATCAAACCCAGACCAAGGCAGGAAAAGGAACATATTCTAGCGACTAGACCACACAGCATGCCTGACACCACATCAAAAGTCCCCAGAGAGTTATGTGTTTGGGGGTCTGCTTTTTATAGTTTTTCTGTCTCCTTTGCTGACATGCTTTTGATTTCAGTTATTCCACGTTGTACATAGATATATAGAGTTTCTGCCATTGCCAGTGTATCTAATCTAGGGCAGCCCCTCATTTCCCTTTATCACAACTTTCTATTTAGATGCTATTTTCCAGTTTACAATGTGCTTTCACATACCTTACCTCATCTCATTTAATCTGCTATTTCTAATCAGTTTCAGGGTGAGCAACCAGATTACCCATAATGCTAACATGCTGAGATAAGTAAAAGCAATTAGGCTTTGAGCAAGGGCCTGAGGCAGTGTCCTATGAATAAAGTACATAATTCTTAGTGCAAAGATGGGATGTCTCCTTTGCAGCCCAGATCTTCTCTGAGTACTCAGTCATTCTATCAATCTTTCATCTAACAAACCCTTCCTAAGCACTTGCTCTGTGCCATGTCCTGTACTGGGCGCTAGGGTTATAAAGATGATCACGGCCGGGCACGGTGGCTTACGCCTGTAATCCTAGCAGTTTGGGAAGCCAAGTCGGGTGGATCACTTGAGGTCAGGAGTTCAAGACCAGCCTGGCCAATATGGTGAAACCCCATCTCTATGAAAAATACAAAAATTAGCCGGGCGTGGTGGTATGTGCCTGTAATCCCAGCTACTCAGGAAGCTGAGGCAAGAGAATCGCTTGTACCTAGGAGGCAGAGGTTGCAGTGAGCAGAGATCGCACCACTGCACTCCAGCCTGGGCAACAGAGCGAGACTCTGTCTCAAAATAAATAAAGAAATAAAATAAAGAAGATCAGGCTCCAGTTCCTACCTTTGAAAAGTTCTGAGACTAGCAGATGTGTTCACAAAAAAAAACAAAGCAAGGGTGGACGAGCAGTATAAAGGTAGCTTGGCACAAGGGATTATGGGAAAATAAGTGTAAGCTGCCCAATTTTGCTGAGAAGACTGTCCAGAAGATTCCAGGCTGAGAAGAAAGTTGGTATCTCCTTCTGTATGGTTCTCAGCTTAGTGGCAGACAGTTGAGGTCACTAGGTTGCTGAACGCTGGATAAACCAGGGAAATGGTTCTCAACTCTGGATACACATTAGAATCACTTGCAGAGCTTTCAAAAAAAAAAAAATCACAAGGCTTGTCTGATTTGGGAAATGGCTGGACAGTACCTACTAAAGCTGAACACATGCAGACCCTATGACGTAGCAGTGACACTGTAATGCATAAACCCAACAGAAATGGGTGTATATATTCTCCAGGAGACACTCACGAGGATCTTCATAGCAGCATTGTTCACAGCAAACAAAAACTGGAAACAATGTAGATGTCCATCAACAAGTGAATAGAAAAACAAAACATGGTATATCCATACAATGAAATATTATACAGCAAGAAAAAAAGTGAACCACTACTACCTGCAACAACACGGGTGACTTGTACAAATATTATGCTGAGTGAAAGAAACCTCATACAAACAAGTACATACTGTATGAGTCCGCTCATATAGAGTACCAAAACAGGTGGGAAGGCAGGGTATCTACTACGATAGTGGTGGATAGTCATGATAGTAGTGCCCCTTGGTGAGGCATAGTGACTGGGAAGGGGCACGAGGATAGCTTCTGGGCACCAATCCTGTTCTGTTTCTTAATAAGGGTGCAGACTGTATGAGTGTGTCAGTTTGCGAAGATTCACCAAACTATATACTTAGGATTTGTGCAATTTCCCGAATGTAAATATAAAGTTGATTTAAGCATTTTTTTAAAAAAGGAATACCAGTGGCTGGGCCTCATTGCGGACCAATTAACTCAAAATCTCTGGGTTATAAGACCCCAAAATTTGTATTTTTAAAAAGTATCCCAAGTGACTCCAATGTACAGCCATGTCTGAAAACAAAGGAGCTAGGTGTTCCTGTATTTATCAATAGCTTTGGGGGCAACAGCAGCCTAGCACAAGGCAAAGGGAATGAGTTCTGGAGTCAGGTACATCAGTGATTACATTCCGGTTCTTCTTTGCACTGGCAGTGTGAGGCATCAGTCTGGATCATCTCCAAACCTTGGTTTCCACCAGGGTATAATGAGTACAATGCCACCTACCTCCCAGGAGTGTTGCAAGGGCTAAATATGATAATAGATTTAAAGCACCTAGCATAGTGCCTGGAACATAGGAGGTGCCTGAGAAATGGTAGATACTCAACTCCTTTTCCTCCTTTGCATCTACGGTCCTAAGCACAGTGATAAACAGATTGCTATAAAAGAACAAAACTCATACTCTTCAATTTCCTCTCCTGAATGAGTTTCTTTGTAAAGATTGAAGTAATGTTATACTTGGACTAATGATGTCAAATGAATATCAGAAATTTCTGGGCCCTGGCTACTCACTCTATTCAGCACCTGCTCTCCCTGAATGTGAGTAGAGAAGAGGCAGACTGTAGGTAAATAGAAACCACAGACCATCCTTTGAAAAACTCTCCTCCTGTCCTTACCCCTAAGAACAGCGCCAGCCCTGCACAAGCAAAGACAAGGCTGAGATGTGAGTAGGCAAAAAGAATAGAAAAAATTAGTAGCTTGGAAGACATACCATCCATAAAATGTGCCACATAAAACACTTTTGTATAAAATGTCACATTTTAGTAAAAATAAACGAACAAAGAAAAAACCTAGGCTGAAAGCAGGAGGTCCAGGTTAGAGTTTTGATCCTACCAGTGATAAGCTGTATGACTTCGATTAACTAAACTTTTCTGTTTCTTTGTCAAGTGAAAGTAATGCCATCTCTCCTACATCCTTTACAAGGGCACGGGGAGTTTCAGATAACTAGAAGGCATTCAAAAAATTAAGCACCAAAGAAATGCAATATGAGAATAGTAGCTGGAAATTTACTTTGTTCAAAACTCCAATCATCTGCACAGCACCCAGACTAAGACAGAACACTCCCTTGTTTTAACTGCTCTAAGCACACCCAAAGAGTACACCAGCCTGAAGCTGGCTTATTATGTAAGAAGGGACTGCAGCATTGCCTGGCATGTAGCATAATACTTTGCTGAAGAGAAATCCTTGGAAATGCCTCAGCTGAAGCACAAGGGCAGGCCCAGGCCTTACATTTTGGAGAGAGGTGCTCTCAGTCACAGAATTCCAGACTGTGGCTGGAGCAAATGATGTCATCAGAGATCCTCTTACCATGGTCAATGTCAAAATTAAGATAGGAAGTCCAAGGACACTATGAGTTTTCCAGGCAAATATAAGTTTAAAAAAAAACAGTTTGAACCTTTGAATCTTGCCTTTAAAATTATTAATACTTTACAGAGCATAAACTGAAATTTATCCTATTTTGTGAGGTTTTTTTTGGGGGGGGGTTATGCAAAGTTTTTATTGACCAAAATATACATAATTGCAGAGGAAAATATATTCATTTACTGTATTTTTACTCCCACTACACATTAAGAAAAGGGAAAAATATCATGTGAGTTACCCCTCTATCCAAAAACAATAACAAATCAAAAATGAAAATATAAGACCTTTGAAGAGGCAGAGATAAACTTGAGGGCTCTCCGCTGCAGAGCTAAGAAACGAAATAGCTCAAATACCTGTTGGGTTCCTAAATGACTGGAAAATGAAAACTTGTAATTAACTACAGGCACTTTGGAACACCTTGTAGAATACAGGTCTTTTCCATCTACAAACCATTCCTGCGACAGATCTCTGTACTTAATGCAGAAAACATCTCCAAATGTATGGATGCTCGGGGTTGGGAGGGCATCACAGTAGTATTAAAAATGGTACTGTTGACTCCTGCTCTGGTTCTGGGGGAAGGAAAGAATCCAGTCGGATGCAAACCTTGCGGCCAGAGCTGGACAACTCGCCCCTAAGTTTGGCGCGTCCTCGCTCTGCGTCCTTGGCCCTCATCTCCCCCTTCCCGGCACCCTGGATCTCAGCGAACTGTGAGGCCCTGGCAGAGAACGGACCCCGCAGCTGGGGCTGCGAGCCACGGCAGTGGGGAAGAAGGGCGGTTCCTCTCCAAAGGGGGTCCTTCGGCACCCACCCCCGGGCCCTCGCGCGCTCCCCTTCCCCTGACCCTTTTGCCCCCAGGCAGGTCACCTGGCTCGGCCGCTGCCCGCCTGTCCTCCAGCTGCTCCCTCACTCCAGCCGCGCCGCCGCCGCCTCCTGGAAGCCGTTCGCCCTCCCGAGTCACGGGGCCGGCGAGCGGGCGGGCAAGCCTGTGCCAAGGCTGCGGGAACAGATCAACCCAGCCGGAGCTGGGACCCTGCCCTGAGCGCGGCCGCCACCAGGGCGAAACTGGAGAGCTGGGCTAGGCTCGCCCCAGCGGGGAGGGGCGGCTGCAACTTTGCGCCTGGACGCGGGCGAGGAGGGGGCGCCCGTCTCCAAACTCTGTGCCGCGCCCGCAACCTCTCCAGCCCAGGGATTGTTTTTTAATCTAAAGGGAAGTCAGAGTCTTGTCCTCAAGTTCTTGTTGCCATAGCCGTGCCGCTCGGCGGGCGGAGGATCGCGGGGCCGAACTGGGGGTGCCGGAGGCGCGCCCCGCTGGGTGCGCTGGCTGCGAGCCGGGCGAGGGTGCGCGGGGTGGCGAGTGGAGGGGAGCGACTGCCGGGGGAGCCAGCCCGCGAAGCTTCTCCAGACCACGCTCAGCTACCCGCGCCGGTCCCCTCCTGCCCGCAGCCGGAGCCGAGCAGCGGAGGGAAAGCGGCCTGGAGGCACTGGGCCAGCAGCGGGTAAGCAGTGACCCGGACCTGGATCGCAGAAGTAGGAACTGGAAGTGACAGCGGCGCAGGCAGAGCAGCAGCAGCAGCAGCAGCAGCAGCAGCAGCCCTGGTAGCTGTGGCAGCAGCAAAAGCCGCGGTGTACCCGCGGCGGCCACACTGCGCATGCTGCTGCCGCCCGCTTCAGCCCCTACCCGAGGGCTGCCGGTGCCTGGCATGTTGCGGGTCACTGCCAGAGCTTCGGGCGGGATTCCCGGACTCATGGACTAGCCCTTTCTGGTGGCCTGCTTCCTCCCTCACCCCCAGATGCAACTCAGAACCCCCAAACTCTATGGTGAGCCGCTGAGACACCCGAGAAGCGTTGGCTCTCCAGAGGCCCTTCACATACCACCCTTCCTCCAACTATCCTAGATGCCCTTCCCGGCCTCTCTGATAACAGGCCCCAAATCAAATAGTCTCTTTGAGAGAGAACGAAAATGTTCATGATAGATGGGAAATATTTAAAATCTTATTCAATGTCTAATTTTTACAGAAATACGATGCAATCTGTAAAACATTAGGATAGCCAGACTCATGGGTGACATTTAATGTAACTCTTGGAAATTCCATTAAGCATGTCAGATTTGCACAACAGAAGAAAAGAACTTGCCAAAATCCTCTTTGGTCTTCCTACTAGTTCCAACTGAGCAGCTAAATATGCAAAGCTTTGCCTAGCGGAAACTGATGGAAATGGGCAAGTTAAAAACAGACATTACAACCATTAGACATTACCCAACCCCTACTCTAGTCTCCTCATTTTACAGATGACTCAACTGAGGCCTGGGAAAGGAGATCCTGACTTCACACAAGTGGCAGGGTCAGGGCTTGAAGCAAGATCTGCTGATACCCGTTACAACTACTGGTAATTGTAGTGGTTAGGCCGGGCCTTGTGCCTAACTCCTCCCAGGAGGCACCGCGCTGCTAGATATTTAGTCTTGACTCATGATCATTAGTAGAGCTGCCTTACTTTCAGAACTGCTTCCCTGCAGAGCAGCCCCTGGGAAATGGCAAATCGTCCATCCCACAAGCCTCACTTTGGGGAGGGCACCCCTGCTGTTCCGGTGACAAGGCAGATGGAGTGACTCAGGGAGACAGGAGGGAATGAGGGGGTGGGGGCAGAGAAAAAAACATACTGCTACCAGCTGGTACTGGAAAGAAAGAAAGAGAGAGGGGGAGAAAGAGAGGGAGAGAGAGTAAGAGAGGGGGAAAGAGAGGAGGAAGAGAGGGAAGGAGGAAGAAAGAAAGTGAAATAAGTACTAATTGAATCTCATATACATTCAGTGAAATCCTTCCAGAATAAAATATCTTTAAAAAAAAATAAACTTGGGGCTGGGTGCGGTGGCTCCTGCCTATAATCCCAGCACTTTGGGAGGCAGATGCAGGTGGATCACTTGAGGTCAGGAATTCGAGACCAGCCTGGCCAACAGGGCGAAACCCTGTCTCTACTAAAAATACAAAAATTTGCGGGGCATGATGGCGGGCACCTGTAATCCCAGCTACTTGGGAGGCTGAGGCACAAGAATCACTTTAACCCGGGAGGTGGAGGCTGCAGTGAGCCTAGATCACGCCACTGCACTCCAGCTGGGTGACAGAGCGAGACTCCATCTCAAAAATAAATAAAAATAAATAAATAAATAATAAACTTGGCTCAGGAGCAGAATAGGAGATGGTAGGGTGTCCCTGGCAATGGGTTGGTAGTAATGGTGGAAGAGGACAAAGGCAGATTACCTTCTGGGGATAAGGCAGAGGAAAGGGTTGGCTAACAGGAAAACCATAGGTTTAGAGCTTTCAGAGACCAGTCGGTCATGTAGTTGTAGCCAGGACAATGCAATCAAAGAGGTACTACCCAGGCCATTCTTGACTGATCGGAAGAATTGTAGGTGTCCCCAACTCTCAGCAACTTCAGGGGCAACACAAAAATAAAACTGCCATTGCTAGAACTTGTGTTGTTGAGAGACATCAGTGACCCTCTACCTAGACAGGAGGATTCTTCCATATATTCTGGAAACTTCACTTGGGACCTGAGTATTTTCCCTGCCTTCTCCATTCTGTAAGAAAGTAAGAAAGATATATTTGGTTCACAAAAAGGAAATACAAATAGACTATAAAGGGATAAGAGGATGTCCAAACTCATTAGTAATCATGAAATACAAATTACAGCAATAAATGAAATGCCATTTTCATCCATCAGTTTAGCAAACATTAAAGACAAATAATATCCAGTGTTGCCAGGGACAGGAAGAAGACACTGTTTACACTATTGCTGAGAGTGTAACTTGGTATAACATTTTTGAAGGGCAATTTGACATTATCTATCACAATTTTACACAGTAATCCCATTTCTGTGAAGAAAGATCCTTCAAGAATAATCACTGATGTGCACAAATTTCTATGTGCATATATAACATGATCTACTGGGTTTTATCCCAGGAATGCAAGATTGATTTAATATATGAAAATCAATTGATGTAATACAGCATACAAATATAATAACAAACAAAAACCAGTGATCATTTTAACAGACGTAGAAAAAGCATTTGACAAAATCCAACTCTTTTCATGATAAAAAACAAAACAAAACACTTATAACAAACTCAGAATATAAAGAAACCTCAATCTGATAAAGGCCATTTACCAAAAACCCACATCTAACATCGTACTCAATGGTGAAAGACTGTCTGCTCTCATCACTTCTATTAAACATTGTACCAGAGGTTCCAGCCAGAAAAATTAGGGAAGAAAATGAAATAAAAGGCATCCAGATTGTAAAGGAAGAAGTAAAACTATCTCTATTCACCAATGGCATACTCTTGTATAAGAAAACCATATGGGAATCCACTAAAAAACTATTCAAACTAATGAATAAGTTCTTGGAAGTGAAGAATACAAGATGAATATTAAAAAATCAATAGGGCAGGCACCGTGGCTCACACCTGTAATCCCAGCACTTTGGGAGGCCAAAGACAGGTGGATCACTTGAGCTCAGGAGCTCGAGACCAGCCTGGGCTACATTGTGAAACCCTGTATCTATAAAAAATACAAAAATTAGCCAAGCATGGTGCTCCACACCTGTGGTCACAGCTACTCAGGTGGCTGAGGTAGGACAATCACCTGAGCCCAGGAGTTTGAGACTGCAGTGAGCTGTAATCACACCACTGCACTCCAGCCTGGGCAACAGAGTAAGACCTTGTCTCAAAAAAATAATTATATTTCTATACACTTGCAGTGAACAATTTAAATACCAAATCAAGAAAACAATCCTATTTTTTTATAACACCAAAAATAATAAAATCCTTTGGAATAAATTGAACCAAGCAGGTATAAGACATGTACACTGAAAAGTACATAATATTGCTGAATGAAACTAAAGACAAATAAGTGGAAATACATCCCATAAGACAAATAAGTGGAAATACATCCCATGTTCATGGATTCAAACATTTAATATTATTAAGATGGCAACACTCTCCAAAGCAATCTATAGATTGAACACAATCACTATCAAAATCTCAGCTGGCCTTTTTTGTAGAAATTGACAAGCTGATCCTAAAATTCATATGGACATGCGAGGGATCCAGAATGGCCAAAGTGATTTTGAAAATGAAGAACAAAGTTGAAGGACCCGCTTTTAAAACTTACTACGTAGCTACATTAATCAGTTCAATGGAGGAATTGGCTAATGTTGTCTTTTCAACAAATGTTACTGAAACAACTGGATGTGCATATGCAAAAGAATGAATTTGGACCCGTACCTCCTACCATATACAAAAATTAACTCAAAATAGATCAAAGACCTTAATGTAAGAAGTAAAACTATATTATTCTTAGGAGAAAACAGGAAAAAAATTCTTCAAGACATTTGATTATGAGTTTCTTAGATATGACACCAAAAGCACAAGCAACAAAAGAGATGAATTTGACTTCATCAAAATTAAAAACTTTTGGACAGGCAATAACAAATGCTGGAGAGGATGTGGAGAAAAGGGAACCCTCATACACTGCTGGTGGGAACGTAAATTAATACAACCATTATGGACAGTTTGGAGGTGCCTCGAAAAACTGAAAATTGAGCTACCATATGATCCAGCAATCCCACTGCTGGGTATGTTACCCAAAAGAAAGGAAATCAGTATATGGAAGAGATAACGGCGCTCCTATGTTTGTTGCAGTACTGTTCACAAATAGCTAAGATTTGGAAGCAACCTAACTGTCCACCAACAAATGAATGGATAAAGAAAATGTGGTATGTATACACAATGGAGTACTATTCAGCCATAAAGAAGAATGAGAATCAGTCATTTGCAACAACATGGATGGAACTAGAGATCATTATGTTAAGTGAAATAAGCCAGGTACAGAAAGACAAACATCACATGTCCTCACTTATTTGTGGGATCTAAAAATAAAAACAATTGAACTAATGGGCATAGAGAGTAGAAGACAGGTTACCAGAGGCTGAGAAGTATATTGGGGAAGGAGGCAGGAATGGTTAATGGGTACAAAAAAAATTGAAAGAATGAATAAGGCCCATTTGATAGCACAACAGGGTGACTATAGTCAATAATAATTGTACTTATTAAAATAACTTAAAGAGTGTAATTGAATTGTTTGTAACACAAAGGATAAATGCTTGAGGGTATGGATACCCCACTCTCCATGATGGGATTATTACACATTGCATGCCTGTATCACAACATTTCATGTACCCCACAAATATATACACCTGCTATGTACCCACAAAAATTGAAAGTAAAAAACAAAAATGTCTAATTAATAAATTTTTGTGGGCCAGGCACAGTGGCTTACGCCTGTAATCCCAGCCTTTTGGGAGGCTGAGGCAGGTGGATCACTTGAGGCCAGGAGAGGCTGGACAATATGGCAAAACCCCGTCTCTACTTAAAAATACAAAAATTAGCCAGGCATAGTGGCAGGCACCTGTAATCCCAGCTACTTGGGAGGCTGAGGCATGAGAATCACTTGAACCCAAGAGGCCAAAGTTGCCGTGAGCCAAGATTGTGCCACTGCACTCCAGCCTGGGAGACAGAGCAAGACTCCGTCTCAAACAAACAGACAACAACAACAAAAAAAATTGTGTTACAAAGGACACTATCAAGAAGGTGGTGGGGTGCTTCCGAGAGCACTTTGTTCCCAGATGTCTCAGCAGACTTTCCTGATCAGTTACTAAATGTGTGATCCTCTAAAGACCCTAAGACATTGTAGCCATATGAGAACACACAGATGGGGGTTACTTGGAGAAGCCGACTGGCCACCCAGAGGACCAGAAGGCAACAGCTTTTTTAATGTCGTCACCATGCCCCAGAGCCCAGTACTCAATTTGTCGGTACGGTGCTGCATCTGCGGCTCCATTTTTCTGCATTTCCAAGCTGACAATTTCAAGCCGGTATGCTTTCTTTAGATAAATAATATTGTGTTCTAAGCAACAGTCAAGCCCTGCTCTTCTTGCTTTTTGTACATCTACAGTTTTATAGGGTCAACAAAAATCTATTAGGTATGTCCTATGCCAGGCACTGTGCCAGGCACTTTGGGCCCGAGAGAGACTCTATCCAGGGACATTTGCAAATATTTATGTTTAAGTCTGTCTTCCAGCTACCTGGAAGCTTCAGACAAGATGATGAGTCTTCTTGGCTGCTTCGTGCTCCCCAGCTCAGCTTTCGGTCTCATTCCTTATGTATTGATTTTATTAGTCTTCTTTCTGGGTTCTAGGAGTGCCTCAATATGGCTCCTATATATACCTTACAAGAATAATTTTGCACACAACAATGCAGAGAACATTACCGAGTAATAACACCACAGAAAACAGCTATTGTGTATGCCTTATGTGCAGTGCTATATTAAGTGCCTTGGATGTATTATCTCATTTGATCCTTAAAACAATCATATACAGCAGATACTATTAATGTCTCCATTATACAGATGAGGAAAAAGGAGCATAGAGAGGTCAAGTAACTGTCCCAGAGTTATGCAGCCAGTAATTGACCAAGCCAAGATTCTAATCTAGGTCTGCCAAACTAGAGAAGGCATGTGCTTAACCACGATGTCAGATATTGCCTCATTACAATATTCATATAATGCCCAGGTCAGCATGAATTACCAAAAAGAGATAAAAGTGTTTCCAGTGCCTTTTATTTAAGAAGAGAGAAAATTAAGACATACATTTTAGAAATATTTCTATCTTGTGCTCACTTCAGCAGCCCATATACTAAAATTGGAACGATACAGAGAATATTCATATGGCCCCTGTACGAGAATAACACAAAAATTTGTGAAGTGTCCCATAAAAAAATAAAAGTAATAAACATAATTTTTTTAAACAATAAATATTTCTATCCAAAGTGGAAGAATATTTTAAGCATTGGTGCTTAAAGGAGTAAGCATTAGTTATCAGAAAAATCCTGAACAATGCCTAACCTGGAAGGTGTTTCTGTATCATCCAGTATTCTTAGAACTGCAAAGAAGCTAAGTAAACCTTCTGGCAGCTTTAGAATGCAGAAATCATTGGCAACTTCACCATGTTTTTATTTGAAAAAAAAAAATACCATAGTATTGGCCAGGCGTGGTGGCTCATGCCTGTAATCCCAGCATTTTGGGATGCCAAGGTGGGCAGATCACTTGAGGTCAGGAGCTTGAGATCAGCCTGGCCAACATGGTGAAACTCCGTCTCTACTAAAAATACAAAAATTAGCCGGGCGTGGTGGCGCGTGCCTGTAATCCCAGCTACTTGAGAGGCTGAGGCATGAGAATTGCTTGAGCCCAGGAGGCAGAGGTTGCAGTGAGCAGAGATGACACCACTGCACTCCAGACTGGGTGACAGAGCAAAACTCTGTCTCAAAAAAAAAAAAAAAAAGGAATAAAAAAGAAAATATCATAGTATTTATTAAAGAAAAATTTAAAATTTCCTGAAGAGTCTGGACCATAATAGAAAAAAAAAAGAAAATTCCATAGTAGACATTATTCTACAAGGGATATAAAGTGGTCACCCATCACACCTACCTCAAAAGTCACACACACAGACCCACACATAAATAGAGAGAGAGAAAGAAACAGAGATTGAGAGAGAGAGTGCAAATTAGGCAATAGGGGAAAATGGAATAAAATATTCTGAAACAGATATAACCTGGTCCTAGGGCTAACTTTAGGAAAAATGGTGAAGGAAGCAAAGTTTATCTGGGGCAAAGCTACCAGCATTGCTAATAATAATATCTACCATGCAGAGAATACTTACTACATTCCGGGCACTCTTCTGGGGCCTTTACATATATGAATTCCTTGAAATGTCACATGATTCTATCAGACATTCAAAGAAAAATTGGTACCAATCCTTCTAAAACTATCCCAAAAGACAGAGAGAGATAATCCTCCCTAAATCATTCTATGAAGCCAGTATTACCCTCAAACCAAAACCAGAAACAGACATGACAAAAAAAGAAAACTACAGACCAGTACCCCTGATGAACATAGATGCAAAAATTCTCAACAAAATACTAGGTAACTGAATCCAATACCATATCAAAAAGATAATACACCATGATCAAATGGGTTTCATACCAGGGATGCAGGTTTGGTTTAACACATGCAAGTCAATAAATGTGATACACCACATAAACAGAATTAAAAACAAAAATCACATGATCATCTCAATAGATGCAGAAAAAGCATTTGACAAAATCCAGCATCCCTTTATGATTAAAACCCTCCACAAAATCAGCATGGAAGGGACATACCTTAAGGTAATAAAAGCCATCTATGACAAACCCACAGCCAACATTATATTGAACAGGGAAAAGATGAAAACATTCTTCCTGAGAACTGGAACTGGACAAGGATGCCCCCTTTCACCATTTCTGTTCAACATAGTCCTGGAAGTCCTAGCCAGAGCAATCAGACAAAAGAAAGAAATAAGGGGCATCCAAATCGGTAAAGAGGAAGTCAAACTCTCACTGTTTGCTGATGATATGATTGTATACCTAGAAAACCCTAAAGACTCATCCAAAAAGCTCCTAGATCTGAAAAATGAATTCAGTAAAGTTCAGGATACAAAATCAATATGTCAGTAACACTACTATACACCAACAGCAACCAAGCTGAGAATCAAATCAAGAACTCAACCCCTTTTACAACAGCTGCAAAAAAAATAATATACTTAGGCATATACCTAACCCAGGAGGTGAAAGATCTCTACAAGGAAAACTACAAAACACTGCTGAAAGAAATCATAGATGACACAAACAAATGGAAACACATCCCATGCTCATGGATGGGTAGAATCAATATTGTGAAAAAGACCATACTGCTAAAAACAATCTACAAATTCAACGCAATTCCCATCAAAATACCATAATAATTCTTGACAGAACTAGAAAAAACAATCCTAAAATTCATATGAAACCCAAAAAGAACACACATAGCCAAAGCAAGATTAAACAAAAAGAACAAATCTAGAGGCATCACATTACCCGACTTCAAACTATACTACAAGCCTGTAGTTACCAAAATAGCATGGTAGTGGTATAAAAATAGGCACATAAACCAATGACACAGAATAGAGAACCCAGAAATAAAGCCCAATACTTACAGCCAACTGGTCTTTGACAAAGCAAACAAAAACATAAACTGGGGAAAGGACACCCTATTCAACAAATGGTGCTGGGATATTTGGCAAGCCACATGTAGGAGAATGAACCTGGATCCTCATCTCTCACCGCATCTCTCATCTCTCACCTCTCTACAAAAATCAACTCAAGATGGACCAAGGACTTAAATCTAAGACCTGAAATCATAAAAATTCTAGAAGACAACATTGGAAAAACTCTTCTAGGTATTGGCTTTGGCAAAGAGTTCATGACCAAGAACTCAAAAACAAAGGCAACAAAAACAAAGATAAATAGATGGGACCTAATTAAACTAAAAAATTTCTGCACAGCAAAATAAATAATCAGCAGAGTAAACAGACAACTCACAATGTGGGAGAAAATATTCCCAAACTATGCATCTGACAAAGGTCTAATATCCAGAATCGACAAGGAACTCAAACAAATCAGCAAAAATAAATAAATAGATAAATAAATAAATAAATAAATAAATAAATAAATAAATAAAGTAGAAATAAAAATAAACAAATAGGCCGGGTGCGGTGGCTCACGCCTGTAATCCCAGCACTTTGGGAGACCCAGGCGGGCGGATCACCTGAGGTCAGGAGTTTGAGACCAGCCTGGCCAACATAGTGAAACCCTGTCTCTACTAACAACACAAAAATTAGCCAGGCATGGTGGCGGGCGCCTGTATTCCCAGCTACTCAGGAGGCTGAGGCAGGAGAATCGCTGGAACCAGGGAGGTAGAGGTTGCAGTGAGCCAAGATCACACCACTGCATTCCAGCTTGGGCAACAGAGTGAGACTCAGTCTCAAAAAACAAAACAAAACAAAAACAAAAAACAAATAATCCCATCAAAAAGTGGGCTAAGGACATGAATAGACAATTCTCAAAGAACATATACAAATGGCCAAGAAACATATGAAAAAATGCTCAACATCACTAAGCACTGGAAATGCAAATCAAACCACAATGAGATATCACCTCACTCCTGCAGAAATGGCCACAATTAAAAAAAAAACAAAAAATATTAGATGTTGGCATGAATGTGGTGAAAAGGAAACACTTCTACACTGCTGGTGGGAATGTAAACTAGTACAACCACTATGGAAAACCTTAAGTATGGAGATTCCTTAAAGAAGTAAAAGTAGAACTACCATTTGATCCAGTAATCCTACTACTGAGTATCTACCCAGAGGAAAAGAAGTCACTATATGAAAAGGACACTTGCACACACATATTTATAGTAGCACAATTTGCAATTGCAAAGTTATGGACCCAGCCTAAATGCCCATCAGCCAAAGAGTGGATAAAGAAAATGTAATATACATATATATAATATGTATACATACACACACACACACACACACACACACCATGGAATACTACTCAGCCATAAGAAGGAACAAAATAATGGCATTCACGACAACCTGGGTGGAGGTGGAGACCATTATTCTAAGGGAAGTAACTCAGGAATGGAAAACCAAACATCATATGTTCTCACTTATAAGGGGGAGCTAAGCTATGAGGATGCAAAGGCATAGGAATGATGTAATGGGCTCTGGGGACTCAGGGGGAAGGGTGGGAGTAGGGTGAGGGATAAAAGACTCTACATTGGGTACAGTGTACACTGCTCAAGTGATGGATGCACCAAAATCTCAGAAATCACCACTGAATAACTTATCCATGTAACCAAACACCACCTACCTGTTCCTCCCAAACTATTGAAATAATATTTTTTAAAAAGGTCACACGAGTCCTATGAATTCGGTGCCACTATTATTCCCATTTTGTAGGTAGGAAGACTGAGGCCTAGAGTCATAGTTAAGTAACATGCCCAAGGTCACAAAGCTGCTAGTAAGAGAGAACTGAGATTTGAACCCAAAAAGTTTAGCACCACAGTCCATGCTTAAACCACAACTATTTGTCCACGGATAATATGACTAATACTAGTCTATTAATATAGAGTACTTCTTCTGTCCCAGGCCCTATGCTAAGGACTCTACATAAATTATCTCATAGATCTTACAAGGTTGGAGCTCTTGGCCCTAAATTATTATGCAGTATCTTATTTGATTCTTTTTTTTTTTTTCGAGACAAGGTCTCTTTCTGTCATTCAGGCTGGAGTGCAGTGGTGCAATCACAGCTCACTGCAACCTCCACCACCTCTTGGGTTCAAGCGATCCTCCCACCTCAGCCTCCCGAGTAGCTGGGACTACAGGCACAAGCCACCACGCCTGCCTAATTTTTGTATTTTTTGTAGAGTCACCATTTCACCATACTGTCCAGGCTGGTCTCGAACTCCTGGGCTATAGCAATCCTTCTGCCTTGGCCTAGGATTAAAGGCATGAGCCATCATGCCCGGCCTTATTTGATTCTTAAAGCAATCCCATGAGTTGGCTATTAGCATGTCCGTTTTACAGATAAAAATACTGAAGCACAGAGAAGTTAAGCAACTTGATGCTCGTGTGGAAGTATCACCTCCCTTTCAGTAACACTTCCTATACACACTGTAGGGATCCATATAATATAAAATAATGCCACAAAATTTACTATACAATTTCTACCTCAAAGCCAAGTTCTCTCAGCTTTTCAAGGCCTCTGTTCTAAAGTGTTAATGGGAAGGAGTAACAATGGCCTTTCCTCTTTTCTCAACTTGGGAGGATTACAGTGACCCTCTCCAACAGTCAGTGGCCCACTTTTGGTTCCCCTTAGTAGGAGAACACACCCACACAAGCTCTGTCACTGGAAGCCTGTTTACAGGGCTTGGATGCTGTATATAAAAGGCATTATTGTGTGAGTTTTTATTTTGTTTTGTTTTGCTTGGAACTGGTTTCTGGAAAAGACAGACTAGCAATCCATTACTGGGGACCACCAGTCTGCTACCTCTGTTTAACTCAGTGGCCAATGACAGTGAAAATAAACAAGTACTCTTACTACCAATCTTGATTAGCAGAGCAAAAAAACGATGACAACAGGGAAGGCACCCGGGGTAGGCTTACTTCCACTTGGAGGGTTGCACATCCTTTCAGGAAGTCATTGATGTTGTTGATGCAGTCAGCTTCAGTTTGGGGATCCAGACAAAACTAGAGGAACACAGTGAAATGTCACTTGGAGATTGTCATCCCATGCCAAGCAAAGTATACTCATCATTTGCTGATAACTAGAGAAAGCAGGCCTCTTAAGGTGTGGGGCAACACTGCTGTCAATCCAGGAAGAGAAATAACCACTGAAGGAAGTGATGCAAAAATCTAAACGGTCGATCTTTGTTTCAAATGTCACCAAACCTTTAGTGGCAAGCCATGTCTACTTACAAGCTTTCTCTCATGCCTTCTGTTCCAGTGTGCTGATGGCAAATTAGGGAGACCAAGACAGTTTTTTGAGCTTAGTTCTTGCTTTCAAGAAAGGAAGCAATCCCTGGTACCTCTCTCTCCTCCTTCCCCCTGATAATTTAATAAAATTCTATTTCCCCTCTACATTTGACCACACTTCTTTACATTTTATCACTATTTAATCACTCTTTCTCAAGTTTAAGAAATTATAAGTAAATTTATTTGCTCAATAAAAATACAAACTGGCTCATGAAGGCAAAAGTGCTATGCTCACAGTCCATGATGACCTTAAGAAAGTAAATGTAAAATTGTACCTTTAAGCTTACTTAAAGTGCCTACTTTAGAAATTATCTATTCTCGTGATCGTGGATTTCCAGCTATTAAAAATCTTGAATTGTTTTAAAGAGAGTAAAGTTAGTTTCACTTTGAACGCACATTGCATTCGAAACATATATCTGGTTTCTATTGCTTTTACAAACTTTATGTGACATTTTGAATTATTTTTTTCCTAGTTGCTATATAGTCTCTCCTTCAATGGATTTTTCTAAAAGGAAATCTACACTGATTTTAATCAAACTGCCAATAAACACCACCAAGATCTGTTATAAATCATTCTATTTTTCCACAGACTCATAAGTACCCCAAGTTCAAAACATGTCCTCGGTACACAAGGAGATGTAACATGCATCTCCATGATAGAGCAAGCTTGTGATATGAGTGTTCTCCTTGTCCCTTGTTGCCAGTGGTGTCACAGGTTTTCCCTATACTACAATTTGGGGGCCAATTACTAAAGAATAACGTTTCATTTTCTTACATTTTCAAACTACAAAAACAGTAAGAAAGAATGTCTAACTCTTAGAAAAATATTAAAGTAGGAGATTCCCATGGCCTGGGAAATAGAAAAATCTCAAGAGTTACATGATTGCTGCTCTCTGGTGATAAGCAATCCCAAAGAGACTGCAAATTTCCCTTACCTTTTCCACAGAGCCAGGCATGAGTCTGTTGATCAGTTTGCACAGAACTACCCCATTTTTCAGCGAGGACTTTAAAAACTCCTCCGGATCACAGATGGTCTTTTTAGGGGACTCTAAAACTCCCAAAGATATAAGCCATGTCACGATTTGTTCTTCTGGATTCATTACTGAGGACGGTACACTCCAAACAGCACTCTGGGGCAGCTGCAAGGACTAAGCCACATCCGCGATTGCATCTGCTGTTGTCTTCCTTTTTATGAGTTCTCTTCGGGTGCTTGCAGAGCAAAGGTTTAAAGCAACTTTTCTTAAACAACAGCGGAACCCACTCAAAATATGGGATTTTAAAACCACAGAGATCACGGTCCAAGATGTGGAAACAGATAAGAATTAATTTAACAATCCTGGATAACGCTGGTTTTTCCTTTTCAAAACCTGCAAAACAAATTCGTTAGGATAAAAAAAAAGAAGAAACGCACATGCACACACGCATACACACACACGCACACAGAGTGCAAGAAGTTATAAGGGAAGAAAGTGAAAAGGATGCTGGGGAGGGAGGAGAGACAAGCAAGCAAGTGCTTTGGGAAACAGAGGTGAGCCAGCACTTCAGGGGACCTTGGAAATGAGACACTCATGGGCCAGTCTGGGAAAACACTGTCAATAAATAGTCTAGCCCCAGTGAAAATCTGGCTTCTGTTAGGAGGACGATGCCAACTGGCTCTTAGGTCAGACAGATCTGAGCCTCATGGGGAGATGTGCTGGCACAACAGGGCTCAAAGAAGGTAGACAGAAAATTCTTCCAAGAAATAGCCGGATGTCCTCATAGTATCTCCCAGAGATGGTGTGTCACGATCATTCCTTGCAAAACACGTTGAGTTGCATGGTGACAACGTGCCAAGCAAACGAAGATTATGCCTGCTGTCAGCCATCACTGTGTATAAGCAGAAGCTAGAAGAATGGCATTTTACTTTGCAGCCAAAAAGCTATGTTTAGGGAAATAGGCTAAGGATAACATCTGACATCCTGTTTACTTGCATTCTTTAGCAATTCTTTTTCTGGACCTGGTTCCACTACATAATCCAGCTGCAGTACCCTTAGCAAAGGCTCAGACTCAGTCACATAAGTGGGTAAAATACACTTGAAAAAATAGAATGTTTGAGAACAAAAGAGCACTTGTCCTCTGTCTACACTACAATATGGAAGATTCTTATTTTCCCAACAACAACAACAACAAAAAAACACTTTGCACTTAAAATACTGCTCTGAAAAAAAAACTGTCTATAACAAGAGATCTTCATCATTCTCAAACATTTTCAGAACCACTTGAAATAGGCATACTATTGGGAAATTTATGATAAGGCCAACTTTAATAGTATAACCCTATGTTGGCAAATGTGTGGCACTTACCATGATTACCTCTCCTCGTGCATGGGAGACATCAGATCATGTATAGCTCTTTCCTACTAAGCCTCAGAATTCTTTTCAACACAGCTTCAGGCATCTACTACCAAAGAATCAGCTTAGATAACCCTACTAAACATTTTCAAAGCTGCCCTTTCTTGCTCTGTCAGGACACTTGTCACACTTTACTATTATCACTTGTTGATCTGATGATCTGACTCCTCCACAAGAATGTAAACTTCCTAAACTCGGGGTCTTGTTTTTTTTTATTTAACACTGTGTTACCAGCAGACTGCCAGGTATACACAGTAGATGTTAAAAAATGCTGAATGAATAAATGAATGTATTCAGATGGTGTCCCTGATATAGACAGTAACTGATTATAGCAAGGATTTTTTGTTTGTTGGTTGGTTTAAATGGCTTAAAACAAACATTTTTTCTTGTTAATGATTTTTACCATTTTATTAAGCTGTAATTGACACATAAGGAACTGCATATATATGATTTAATGAATTTTGACATATACATACATCTTTGATACAATCACACAAATGCAATCCAGATAAGCCTTTCCATCACCCCCAAAATTGTCCTCGTGCCCTTTCAATTCTTTCTTTCCTCTTTGCCTCCAAATGCCAGGCAACCACCAATCTATTTTCAGTGTCTATAGATTAGTTTGCATTTTCAAGAATCTTATATAAATGGAAGTACACAGTATGGTACTATCTTTTTTCTGGCTTCTTAACTCAACATCATCATTTTCATACTCATTCATGTTATTGTGTCTGTCCATAGTTCTATAACAAGGTTTGCTTGATGTACTTGTGACTTAAGCAAAATAAGTATAATCAATCAAAAGTTTTCATTGACGTTGACCCATGGCCAAATCTATGTAATGGAAATAAAAACAGAATACATTTGTTGATAAATAAAATTCCCAAATCTGACGAACTTAAACACATTTTTATATGTCATCTGAACAGTTTTCACAACTGCTCATCAAAATTTTACTCTACAGACAAACAAAATCTGGCAGTATTATTGAGGTATCACTTACATCTTCTGATGAAGAACAAAGCCTGAGTAAGTTTTGTGAACCCAGCCTCCTCCAAAACAGTCTTGAGTTCACCAAGGTCATCTGGATAAAACTCTGCCTCATTTTGGACACTCACTATAGCAAATATTACTATGAGTAATAAAGTATATCAGAATGGCAAGGCCACTGCCTCAAGGCAAAAGAACCAGTTCTATTTGTATAAAGATTGGAAGTTACAGTTGGTGTGGTAAAATGTCAACAAAGCAAGGAATTCCAGGGCAGTGGCAAGCATATAGGTGAAATGGGTACCCATGAAACCCAGGCTGGTTAGGGACTCAAATGAAGCTAGAAAGGAGCTGATGAACTGAGGGAATAGGGGAAGAGGGGGAATTCAAAGACTGGGGGTCACAGCAACACAAAGAGCAGGCTTCACACAAGAGCATGAGAAAAAAAAGCAAAGATCTCTCACCCTACCTCAGATCCTCAGTACCACACCCTCTGGGCCACTGAACCTGCCTCTTCAAGGGCTTTCCACCTCCATCCTCTCATCCTAATGAACTCTCTAACAGGGCACATTTGGGTTGATTTTCCAAAAACACCTCTAGTGTTAATACCCCTGTTCAAAAACCCTCAAAGGCTCTCTATTGCCTAAAGCAGGAATTGACAAAAAACAATGTTCATATGATCATCTCCTGTGAGGCATAAAGGAGAAAGGAAGGTGAGAGTGGAACTTAAGCTAAAATAGGTAACATTTCATGAAAAATCAAAAGATCTTCAGGAAATAAGGCAAATGTGAACATTTGTTAAGACTGAATGCTGGGTACACTGGTACCTGTTTTACTATTTAGTTTTGTGTGTTTAAAATGTTACTAACCGATTCTCTTTCATTTCAAATCTACTAAGGCACTTACTAAAAAAGAATATTTGGGAGCTCTCTTCCCAGATACTCCAGTTCAGAAGATCTGCAGTGGGAAAAAGGAATTTGTGTTATCAAAGTATCCCACTTGATTCTGATGCAGATAGACCAAGGTCACACTTAGAGAAATGAGTTTATTGGTCTCTAACCTTCTACACCACTCTAATTTCTGCCAACACTTGGGTCATTTCAATATCCACAAGAACAACAATCCAACATCAAGACCTCTCAGTTCCTTGAACTTCTCAACCTGTAATCAATTTATTACCTCTCATTTCCCCTTTATGCCTATTCTGTGAAATGGACCTGGGACCTTGAAATATTTCTGACTTTGCCAGCTGGCATGATACAAAGTTTTATCAGTAGGCAGTGGTGGAGAGACATTGCAGGAAGAAGGGGTTTTACTTCCTGTTTTCTGTGCGCTCACTCCACAAGCTCCTGCTGAGCTCCCAGCTTTCCTATTGCCCACCTTCTGCAGCACTGGTTTTCCCAACAAACAGTAGGTAGCAACCTCCCCAGGCACTACCCTTGAGTGTTTAGGCAGCAAAGAATCTCTGATGAGACAGACACCTTCCATGTGAACCAGCACCGTAGAGGGGTATATTTCAGCAAGTTCCAGAGAATGTACATCCAACAAGTTCCACCAACTCAGCACCAGAGCAACTTCTCCAATAAGGCCTGGATCTCGACCGTGGGTGGAGAGGAGGGTTATCACAGCTCTAGAGGTATCGGCCATTACATATTATTTTTATATTGTCTGCTATTTATATCTGCTATCCCATACTTTTTAGAGTTTCCTTTATTTATTACTAACCAATTCTTCAACACTCCAATCCCCTGTTATTGTTAATTCTTTATGTTAAACTCTTCTTGTTAAAATTACTATGTAGTAGGCTGGGCACGGTGGTTCACACCTGTAATCCCAGTACTTTGGGAGGCCAAGGTGGGCAAATCACCTGAGGTCAGGAGTTTGAGACCAGTCTGGCCAACATGGTGAAACCCAGTCTCTAATAAAAATACAAAAATTAGCCAGGCATGGTGGCGGGCATCTGTAATCCCAGCTACTCTGGAGGCTGAGGCAGGAGAATCGCTTGAACCTGGGAGTCAGAGTTTGCAGTGAGCTGAGATCGTGCCATTGCACTCCAGCCTGGGCGACAAGAGCCAGACTCCATCTCAAGAAAAAAAAAAAAATACTATGTAGTGTCTATGTTCTGATTGGACACCAACTGATACACCTTGTTATCTTAAATGTATACTTCCTCTCCACTTTAGCTAACCTCTTGGAAGGTTACACCTTGTACTTTTTTATCACACAAATTTCTCTGTCTCCTAAGTCATGAATTCCAACATTAGTTTTTTTTTTTTTTTTTTTTTTCGAGACAGAGTCTCGCTCTGTCACCCAGGCTGGAGTGCAGTGGCGCCATCTTGGCTCACTGCAACCTCCACCTCCCAGGTTCAAGCGATTCTCCTGCCCCAGCCTCCTGAGCAGCTGGGACCACAGGCGCGCACCACCAGGCCTGGCCAATTTTTTTTGCCTTTTTGGTAGAGACGGGGTTTCACCGTGTTGGTCAAGCTGGTCTCGAACTCCTGACTTTGTGATCCACCCGACTCAGCCTCCCAAAGTGCTGGGATCACAGGCATGAGCCACTGTGCCCGACCCAACATTATATTTTCTAAACAACCTACCATCTTTCCAGCTTGCTTGTTACTCCCACTACAATTCCTTGACCTCATAGGTATCTGCAAATCTTTTTTTTTCTAAAATGATTATACAAATTTACATTCCCACAAGCAGGGTATGATTTTCCATTGCTCCATGTCATAGGTAAGACTTGATATTTCAGACTTAAAATTTTGTTATTTCATGGGTATGAAATTTATATTTCTATGATTACTAATGAGGTTGAGCATTTAATATGCTTATTGGCCATATATGTTTCCTCTTCTGTGAGATACTCCTTCCTACTGCCCATTTTTCTATTGGGTTGTTTGTCTTTTTGTTATTGGTTTGTGAAAGTTTGTTATATATTATAGATACGAAATTTATGTCATTTATGTGTGTTTGCAAATATCTTCTTATATCTTTGTTTTTCATTTTATGTGTATTTTAAAGAACAGAGGGTCTTGATTTTTAAAAATAAAATACTTTATCTCACTGTTGCGTAAAATAAATGTAGAATTTGGGTTTCCAAGCCTAATATGCAGCTTCGTAATCATCAGAGACCCAGGATTCTACTCTCCTGCCATAATTAGCTTGTCACCTCATAGTTCAGAATGACTATTTATGTAAACTTGGCTTAGGCAATGGTTTCTTAGATATAACACCAACAAAACAAGCAACAGAAGGAAAAAAATTGATAAATTGGTCTTCACTAAAATTAAAATTTTTGTGCTTCAAAGGTGTATTAATCCATTCTCATGCTGCTAATAAAGACATATCCAACACTGAGTAACTTATAAAGGAAAGGTTTAATTGCCTCACAGTTCAGCATGGTTGGGGAGGCCTCAGGAAACTGACAATCGTGGCAGAAGGGGAAGCGAACATGTCCTTCTTCATATGGTGGCAGCAAGGAGAAGTGCCAAACAAAAGGGTGAAAAGCCCCTTATAAAACCATCAGATCTCTTGAGAACTCACTCACTATCACGAGAACACAGCACGGGAGTAACCGACCCCATGATTCAGTTACCTCCCACCAGGTCCCTCCCATGATATGTGGGGATTATGAGAACTACAATTCAAGATGAGATTTGGGTGGGGACACAGCCAAACCATATCAAAAGGACACCATCAAGAAAGCGAAAAGACAACTCACAGAATGGGAGGAAAATATTTGCAAATCAAATATCTGATAAGGAAATTGTATCTAGAATATATAACGAACTCATAACTAAATAATAAAAAGACAAATAAGTATAATGGATAAAAATTGAGTAGACAATTCTTGGTTTTTTTTTTTTTTTTCTGAGACGGAGTCTCACTCTGTCTCCCAGGCTGGAGTGCAGTGGCGCTATCTCTGCTCACTGCAAGCTCCACCTCCATTCTCCTGCCTCAGCCTCCCGAGTAGCTGGGACTACAGGCACCCACCACCACACCCGGCTAATTTTTTTTTTTTTTTTGTATTTTTAGTAGAGATGGAGTTTCACCATGTTAGCCAGGATAGTCTTGATCTCCTGACCTTGTGATCCGCCCGCCTCGGCCTGAGTAAACATTTCTACAAAGAAGAGGTACAAATGGCCAATAAGCATGTGGAAAGATGCTCAACATCATTAGCAATCAGAGAAATGCAAATCAAAACCACAATGGGATTCCATTTCATACCCATTAGGATGGCAATAATAAAAAAGACAGACAATAACTAGTGTTGGCAAGAATGTGGAGAAACTGAAATCCTCATACAATGCTAGTGAGAGTGTAAAGTGATGGGGCTGCTGTGGAAAACAGTTTTGCAGTTCCTCAAAATGTTAAACATAGTTACCATATGGCCCAGTTATTCCACTCCAAGGGAAATGAAAACATATATCCACGCAAAAACTTATATACAAGTACTCACAGCAGCATTATTCATAATAGCAAAAATTGAAAACAACTCGAATGTCCATCACCTGATAAATTGATAAATAAAATGTTATAATGGAATATTAGTCATAAAAAATTAATGAAGTACTGATACATGCTACATCTTGAACGAACCTTGAAAACATTATGCTACATGAAGGAAGCCAGACACAAAAGACAATATATTGTATGATTTCACTTATACGAAATATTCAGAATAGACAAACCCCTAAAGACATAAAGTAGAACAGCAGTTGCCTAGGGCTGGGGTGAGTGTTGAGAGGAAATGATAAGTTATCACTCATGGGTATGAGGGTTTTAAGGGGGAAGGGGAGCAATAACAAGAATGTTCTAAAATTGATTTGGTGATGGTTGGACAATTCTATGAATATACGTAAAGCCATTGAATTGTACACTTTAAATAATGTACAATAGTTTTTCAATAGTTAAATGGTTAAACAAACTGTGGTACATGCATATCACGGCATACTACTCAGGACTAAAAAGGAATAAACTATTGATATATGCAACAACTCAGATGGATCACAAGGGAATTATGCTGAGTAAAAAAAGCCAGTCTCAAAAAGTTATATGCTGTATGACTTCATTTATGTAATATTCTTGAAATGAAAGATCCCCAGGGGTCTCACAATGCCAGAGGTACAGTGTGTGTGTAAAAATATTGCCTCTGACAAACAGTACAAAGGCATAGAGGATTATATAGTCTGTTTTCCCAAGGAGAAGTGAATACTCTTCTTCTGGAGGGGCAGCTTGGGTTCTGGAGGTATTTTGCTGACAATCTGGCCTCTGGTGGTACATCAGGAGTCATTTTCAGCTTTTTCTACTCCTTAGGTTTTGCAAGAACCCACTGGGCAACGAATATTGGGAAACCTGTCAAGGGAAAAAAATTCAAAGGCATAGAAGACTGTGTGTAAAATCACTAAATTGGATGGCCAGTGTGTTCTCTTCCCTACTCCATACTGCGATGGGGTAGGTGATGATGCAGTCTGGTCACAAAGAACTGACATCACATATAACGGAAACTTCATATATTGTGGGGTGAAGATTTTAAAGATGAATGTGGAAAAGCCTTTAACAAAGATGCATAGTCCAATGTTCTCAGGGGCATTGGTGGAATGCTCATTCTGTATGACAAACTGAAGAAACCATCTAAGTGCAATCTAACTAGAAATGAGAACCAAGAGAATCATGAGAATATGTACCATACTTATTATTTTCAACCACTGAGAAATTTCCATTGTCTTTTTATCCAGGCCAGATCATGTCTGTAGACATGTCTGTAGAAAGATACTGAGAAGGAGACCCGCTGTGACCACATTTGATCATTGGAACTGATTATTCTGTATATTGATCATGGTCGGAAGTAGCAACCATCATTATAGGTCTACAGAGGACAGATCTCAAGCTAAGCAGATCTAGAAACCACTTAGTTTAAATGTTTCTTATAGTACCATCAAGTTTTGTTTCAGTATTTTTTTAAAGCAGTCCCATTTGTACTAAACCACCACATACTATTTTTGCACAGTTGAATACTTGCAATATTGCTCTATGTTGGGCATTCTGCCATAAAATAATAAATACGCAAAATACTCTTTTTTTTAAATCAAATATCAATGGAGCATTGACTTAAATTATAATGCACCTATCAAATCAAATACTTAAGCAGCTTCTAGAAAGAATGATATAAATCATGTACTGACATGGAAAGATATCCAAAATATGCTAAGTTTAAAAAGCAAATTGCAAAATAGCACATATGGTCTGATCCCCTTTGTAAAAATAGATGCTTAATTGTACTTATTTAAAAAAACACGATGGTCAGGCACAGCGGCTCACGCCCGTAATCCCAGCTACTGGGGAGGCTGAGGCAGGAGAATCTCTTGACCCCGGGAGGCGGAAGTTGCAGTAAGTCAAAACCAGTCCAGGCGACAGAGTGAGACCCTGTCTCAAAAAACAAAAGGACTAGACACGCAGCTCTTTTTACTGAATATTCATTAAATGTTTCCTCAACTTCAGATGCAGACGGTTAAATTGATCATACTACTCAGTTTATCATACATATAAAAACTCTCCTCCCATTTTTTTCCTTCATTCACAAACACTATTCCCCTCACTGATGCCATTCTAATATGCATAATAAATGTCATTAAATATCCATGTTCTCTCACACTGTATGTAATGCGCTTTTCTGTGCAGAAAAGAGGTTCAGGTTGTCCATTGCACAAGAGCCTTACAAAGCAGTGCTATTCACGATCACAGATATCTTAATATCTGTGATTTTTTTTTTTTTTTTACAATTCAAAGACTCTAAGTTTAAGAACTCAGGGATTTCAGATTGGTGATTTCAATATGACCATACACGACCAATTCAACATCCTGTTTTCTCAGTTCTTTGAGGAAAAGCGAGTTTGGTGAGTATCAGGAGCTGTTTTTGGCATGTCATAACAATTGAAAAGGCTATTTGTCATCCAAGTACAGGTTCTCCTTAAAGCATTGAAAGAAGTTAGAAATTATTTGACAAAAACTGAACAGTACTATTTAAGAAAAATTTATTAATAATGCTAAACGAATTGTATGGTCTCTTAAAATTGACACCAACTTCTCCAGTATAGAAACACTAGAAAAAGGCAAAATACAATTCATTTCAACTGTATATCTGAGCCCATATATGATCTATATAACCCCACAGAGCCAATCTATGATCAATTTCAAATTCAACTTTTTAAAATATTATATAAATTCCTTATAAATTCTGGATATTAGACTTTTGACAGGTGCATAGTTTGCAAATATGTTCTCCCATTCTGTAGGTTGTCTGTTTACCCTGTTGATAGTTTCTTTTGCTGTGCAGAGGTTCTTTAGTTTAATTAGATCTCACTTATGAATTTTTGTTTTTGTTGCAATTACTTTTGAAGTCTTCACCATGAAATTTTTCCCAGGGCCTATGTTGAGAATGGTATTCTGTTGGGTACTATCTTCATTACCTGGGGCAATAATCTGTATACCAAACCCCTGTGACATGCAATTTACCCATGTAACAAACCTACCCATGCACTCCTGAACCTATTATCAAAATAAAAGTTGGAAAAAGAAAAAAATCGTTCCTATCACGTCGGGGTCAATGGGCATTTTGGCCAGTCGCGGTGTCTCACGCCTGTAATCCCAGCACTTTGGGAGGCCAAGGCAGGCAGATCACCTGAGGTCAGGAGTTCGAGACCAGACTGGCCAACATGGTGAAACTCCGTCTCTATTAGAAATACAAAACTTATCTGGGCATGGTGGCCCACGCCTGTAATCCCAGCTACTCGGGAGGCTGAGGCAGAGGTTGCAGAGCAAGGCTCTGTCTCAAAAGAAAAAAAAATCATTGTATAAAATATCATATTTAGCTCTTTTCTGGCTGAAACCATACAGGGTGTCAAAGAGAAGAAGTTTCCTGCTGTTCCAGAAACCCTTAAGAAAAAGTGGAGGAATTTCGCAGAGCCCGAGAGAGAAGTTTGCCCAAAAGATGCTTTGAAAGGCAAGGAGGAAGCTTTTGTAGGAAAAAAATGAAGCACTATCACAAGGAATATAGACAAATGTACAGAGCTGAGAGTAAAATAGCTAGGATGGCAAGAAAAGCTGGCAACTTTCTATGTACCCACAAACCCAAATTGGCATTTGTCATCAGGATCAGAGGTAGCAATGCTCTGAGCCCAAAGGTCCGAAAGGTGTTGCAGCTTCTTCGCCTTCGTCAAATCTTCAATGGAACCTTTGCAAAGCTCAACAAGGATTCAATTAACATGCTGATGATTGTAAAACCATATATTGCATGGGGGTACCCAAAGCTGAAGTCAGTAAATGAGCTAATCTACAAGCGTGGTTATGGCAAAATCAATGAGAAGTGAGTTGCCTTGAGAGATAACACTTTGATTGCTTGATCTCTTGGTAAATACAGTATCATCTGCAGGGAGGATCTTGTTAATGAGATCTATACTGTTGGAAAACACTTCAAAGAAACAAATAACTTCATGTGGCCCTTCAAATTATCCTCTCCAAGAGGTGGGATGAAGAAAAAGACCACCCATTTTGTAGAAGGTGGAGATGCTGGCAACAGGGAGGACCAGATCAACAGCCTTCTTAGAAGAATGAACTAAGGTGTCTACTGTGATTATTTTTCTAATCTGGTCAGTTAATAAACAGTACGTGCTTTCAAATTGAAATAGATGAGTAAATAAAATATCATATTTAAAGGAAAAATTTATAATAAAGATTATAATGGCTGTATTCATTTCCTATGGCTGCTATAACAAGTTACCACAAATTTAGTGGCTTAAAACAACAGAAATGTATTTGCTCACAGTCTCCTGGAAGCCAGAAGTCTGAAATCAAGCTGTCAGTAGGGCCATGCTTCCTTTAGAGATTTCAGGAGAGAATCCATTCCTTGCTTCTTCCAGCTTCTGGTGGCTGCTGGCATTCCTCGGCTTGCAGCCACAATCTGTCTGTCTTCACAGTACCTCCTCTGTGTGTCTGTAGTCTCCCCCCTGCCTCTTTCCTATAAAGACACTTGTGATGGCATTATGTCCCACTTGGACAATCCAGGATAACCTCCTAAGCTCAAGATCCTCAACTTGGGCTGGGCATGGTGCTTCATGCTTGTAATCCTAGCACTTTGGGAGGTGAAGGCAGGGAGACTGCTTGAGCCCAGCATTTCAAAACCAGCCTGGGCAACATGGTGAAACCCCGTCTCTACCAAAAATACAAAAAATTAGCCAGGCAAGGTGTCAGGCACCTGTGGTCCCAGCTACTCGGGAGGTTGAGGTGGGAGAATCACCTGAGCCCAGGAGGTGGAGGTTGCAGTGAGCCAAGATTGTGCCACTGCACTCCAGCCTGGGCAACAGAGCAAGACCCTCTCTCGGAAAAAAAAAAATCCTCAACTTAATTACATCTGCAAAAAAATCTGCTTTCCAAATAAAGTTACATTTATAGGTTCCAGGAATTAGGAACTGATATCTTTGGGGGACCATTATTCAGCCAAGTATAATTGCCTTTACAGTGTTCTAAAAAACATATATAACTTAAGTATTATAAAATAATAATATAAACTAATAATAAAATTAACAAATACATCTACAAAAATTTTACAACTGAAATGACTGATGAAAATATATATGGAGTGTGATATTGATGATTTTTAATGTGTGAGGAACTAAAATCTGGAACTAAAAAGTTGATTACTAAAATCTAGTGAGAGTCTAGGCCAGACGTGGCTTATGCCTGTAATCCCAGCACTTTGGGAGGCCGAGGCAGGAGGCTAACTTAAACCCAGGAGTTTGACACAAGCCTGGGCAACATAGGGAGACCCTGCCTCTACAAACAAAAAATTTAAAAATTAGCCAGACGTGATGGCACATTCCTGTGGTCTCAGCTACTTGGGGGGCTGGGGTGGGAGGATTGCTTGAGCCCAGGAGGTCGAGGCTGCGGTGAGCCCTGTTCGTGCCACTGCACTCCAGCCTGGTGACACGGCAAGACTCTGTCTCAAAAAATAAAAAATAAAAAAAACTATTAAGATTCTTGTTGAAGTGCTGCAACGTATTTGCAGCAATAATTTATCAGGTACATTTGCAAATAGCTCATGAGCTCTCAGGACATATTAATTTTGTCAACAATGGCCACCATTAAAGAATGTATCTTCCCAAAATTAAAATTTATTAAGAACTACTTAATATGTACAATGTTAAAAGACTGTCATATATAGTGACAAGCAAGCAAGCAAGCATTGAAACTGCCGTAAAGAATTTTGTTTTGATAAAAGCAAAATGTGAAACTATTTTATAATAAATTATTATATCCTGGTGGCTTTGAGTTCCTAATTGTGATTAAATTTTGGGATTGTCTATACCTTTGTGTTCAATATTTGATTTGTACAATTTATTCAAAATGAGTATATGGGTTTTGTAACCATTCTTATTGGAAAATAAATAGAATATTAATTGTTTTCTTCTACTTGAGGAAGAAATAGGGCTTTTTGTTTGTATTGTTTTATTTTCACACAGGAATAATATGGCCTAGCAGTGGCTCTGTTTGAAACAGATTTTTCATTTGGCTTCCATGACTCCACACAGTTTTCCTTTGGCCTCCTTGGTTTCTGTTTGTCTCTTTTGCCAGTTTCTCCTCATCTTTCAGGTTATGAAATATGGGAGTGCTTTAGGACTCAGGCCCTGGGCAGCTTCACTTTTCTATCTGCATTCACTCCCTAGGTGATTTCATCCAGCTTCATGGCAGTAAATCCCCAGCCCTGACCTCTACTTTGAACTCTAGACTCATATTTCCATTGCCTACTCACTATCTCCATTTGGATGATCTAATCTCAAACTCAGTATGACCCAAATTGGGCACCTAATCTTTTCTCCCAATGCACGCATCAAGCCAGTTCTTCCTAAAGGAACTGAGAGGCAAGGAGGTTTGATTGATCTATGTGAATACTGAAATCATCAAGTCTAAAAACCTTGGAGTTGTGCTTTACTTCCTCTCCTTCTCTTACATTTTGTATAAGGGCAACCAACAAGTCCTGTCAGTTCTACACAAGTCCAGAACCAATGCTCCTCTCACCTCCTCCCCTGCTGCTACCCTGGCCTAAGCCACATTGTCTCTCACCGGGATCACTGCCAATAGCTCCTCACCTGGGGTATCCACTTCTATTCTTTCCTTTATGCAGTCTATTCTCTACAAAGGAGCCAGAGTAATTCTTTTAAAACACAAATGAGATAATCTCCTTCACCTGCTCTCAACTCTCCAATGGCTTTCCATCATAGTTAGAATAAAATTCAAAGGACTTAGATAATCTGACTACTAGGCCCTACAATATCTGACCCTTGCCTACTTTCAAGCTTTATTTTCTTTTTTTTTAACCTTTATTTTAAGTTCAAGGGTACATGTACAGGTTTGTTATATAGGAAAGCTCGTGTCATGGCGGTTTGTTGTACAGATTATTTCATCACCCTGATATTAAGCTTAGTGCCTATTAGTTATTTTTTTCTGATCCTCTCCCTCCTCCTGCTCTCCATCCTCCACTAGGCCTCCCAGTATCTGTTGTTCCCCTCTATGTCTCCATGTGTTCTCACCATTTAGCGACCACTTATAAGTGTAAACATGCAGTATTGGTTTTCTGTTTCTGCATTAGTTTCATAAGATGATGGCATCCAGCTCCATCCATGTTCCTGCAAAGGACATGATCTTGTTCCTTTTTATGGCTGCATAGTATTCCATGGTGTCTATGTACCACATTTTCTTTATCCAATCTGTCATTCATAGACTTTTAGGTTGATTCCATGTCTTTGCTATTGTGAACAGTGCTACAATGAACATACACGGGCATGTGTCTGTATGACAGAATGATTTCTCTTCCTTCGGGTATATATCAGTAATGGGTTTGCTGGGTCGAATGGTAGTTCTGTTTTTAGCTCTTTGAGGAATTATCACACTGCTTTCCATAATGGCTGAACTAATTTACACTCCCACCAACAGTGTATAAGCACTCCCTTTTCTCTGCAACCTCATCAGCATCTGCTATTTTTGGCTTTTTAATAATAGCCATTCTGACTGGTGTGAGATGATATCTCATTGTGGTGTTCATTTGCATTTCCCTAATCATCAGTGATGTTGAAGATTTTTTCATGTGTTTCTTGGCTGCATGTATGTCTTCTTTTGAAAAGTGTCTGTTCATGTACTTTGCCCACTTTTAAATGAGGTCGTTTTTTCCTTGTAAATTTGTTTAAATTTTTTATAGATGCTGGATATTAGACCTTTGACAGATGCATAGTTTGCAAAAATTTTCTCCCATTCTGTAGGTTGTCTGTTTACTCTGTTGATAGTTCCTTTTGCTGTGCAGAAGCTCTTTAGTTTAATTAGATCCCATTTGTCAGTTTTTGCTTTGTTGCAATTGCTTTTGGTATCTTTGTCATGAAATCTTTGCCTCTTCCTATGTCCAGAATGTCAAACCCTATTTTCTACTACACTTCTCTTTGGTTGGTCTGTTCCAGACCCACTGGCCTCCTTGCATGCGTGCAGGTCCCAACCTCAGGGCCTTTGCACTTTCTTTCTTTTTTTTTTTTTTTTTAGACAGAGTCTTGCTCTGTCGCCTAGGCTGGAGTGTGGAGTGCAGTGGCACAATTTCGGCTCACTACAACCTCTGCCTCCCGGGCTCAAGCAATTCTGCCTCAGCCTCCCGAGTAGCTGGGATTACAGGTTATAACCACCATGCCCAGCTAATTTTTTTGTATTTTTAGTAGAGACAGGATTTCACCATGTTGGCCAGACTGGTCTCGAACTCCCAACCTCAGGTAATCTGCCCGCCTCGGCCTCCCAAAGAGCTGGGATTACAGGCGCCAGCCACCACACCTGGCCTGCACTTGCTTTTCTTTCTGTTCATAAAATATTATTTCTTCCAAAAGCCTTCTTTTTGACCATACTATTGAAAATCCACCATCACTCTTTCTCTTTTTTTTACTTATCATTATAGCATTTATCACTAACCTGATATTACATTACATATTTAATTGTTTATTTGTTAGTAGCTCCCACTATAAAGTAAGTTTCATGATAGCTAAGGTTTTGTTTTGTTTACTGCTATACCCTCAGTGTCAAAAAAATGCCTAGCACATAAAAGGCATTCAATAAAAGCTTGTTGAATGAATGATAAATGCCAGTCAAAATGTCCATGACCTCCTCTATGTTAGTGCTATTGTGGGTGTATTGGGAAATTGTGGGAGACTTTTTCTTTTTAAATTATGTATTTCCATAGCATTTCATTTTATACAGTAAGAATGTATTGCCTTTTTAACCAGAACAAAACAATTGTAAGATGATACATTCCTGTATGACATGAAAAGGAGAAAAAGGTCATAACATAGACACTATTTTAGTGTCTGAGTGTGTATAGAAAAACTTCTGAAAAGACATACATCAAAATGTTAACAGTTATGAACTACTGATATGCCCAACAACATGGATTAATCTCATGGATGTAACTTTGAACAAAAGAGGACAGACATAAAAGAGTAAATACTGTATAATTCCATGCAGATAAAGTTCAAAAACTGGTAAAACTAATCTACAATGATACAAATCAGAATAGTGGTTCTTTCTGGTGAATGGTATAGACTGTGGAGGGGCACGAGGGCACTGTCTGTGTTGATGGCAGTATTCTGGGTGATGAGTACACAAGTCTATTTATATGTAAAAATTCATTAGGATTTACAGTATGCAAGTTATCCTTTAATAAAAAAATAAAAGCCAGGCACAGTGGCTCACGCCTGTAATCCCAGCACTTTGGGAGGCTGAGGTGGGTGGATCACGAGGTCAGGAGATCGAGACCATCCTGGCCAACATGGTGAAACCCATCTGTACTAAAATTACAAAAAAAATTAGCCGGGCATGATGGTGTACACCTGTAATCCCAGCTACTCAGGAGGCTGAGGCAGGAGATTCTCTTGAACCTGGGAGGCGGAGGTTGCAGTGAGCCAAGATCACACCACTGCACTGTAGCCTGGGTGGCACAGTGAGACTCCATCTCAAAAAAAAAATAAAAAATAAAAACACTGCAGTGAGCTATGATTGTGCTACTGCACTCCAGCTTGGAAAACAACAGTGGGAGTATGTCTCTAAAATAAATAAATAAATACAAACAAAATGTTAGTAATACTCATCTCTGTGTGGTGGTATTATGATTGCTCATTATTCTATTTTGTTGTTGTTGTGTTTTGTTTGTTTGTTTATTTGAAACAGGGTCTCACTCTGTCACCTAGACTGGATTGCAGTGGCATGATCTTGGCTCACTGCAACCTCCACCTCCTGGGTTCCAGTAATTCTCCAGCCTCCACCTCCCAAGTAGCCGGGATTGCAGGTGTGTGCCACCATGCCCAGCTAACTGTATTATTCTATTCTTTATACATACATATACACACACACACACACACACACACACACACACACACATAAAACTTTTTTATTATACTTAAGGTTCTAGGGTACATGTGCACAACATGCAGGTTTGTTACACATGTTATTATTCTATTCTTTATATCTTTCTTTGTTGCCTATTGCTTGTCATAAGAAAGTGTTACTTTTGTAAGCAGGGAAAAGAAATGCCATGGTGTTTGCGCAAGAATGAAGTACTTTGAGACTCATAGGATATATAGCTTTAATTCATGCACTCCTAGAATTGGTGATATTCTGGGAAGAGGAAGACCAATTTGACTGCCATTGCCACAATCCAGGCAAGGGAAAAGAGGACCTGGGCTGCAGCCGTGAGATGCAAATGAGGAAACAAAAACCCAGACTGATAAAGGGGGTAGGCTTGACAGGAAATGGGTATCAAAGAAAGTGAATGTTGTCAGCAAACGGATGTTGAATGGGAAGAGAGAAGGAAGAGTCTAGATGATTCTTTACTTTCTGGTTCAGCTGAATGAAATGCACAACTACCATTCAGTAGGCCTGGGAAAGAAGGGAAAGGGGTCCACGGAAAGACTCTGAGTATGTTTTCAAATCTGTCAATTGTAGGGTATCTATGGGCTATCAAATGGAGGTATCCAGAAGAAACTGGATACATTAGAATCTGGTACTCAGGAGAAATATCTGGAAATGTGTTCCGTGAGTCATTTCCATACAAGTAGTAGTTGAGGTCATGTATATGAATGAAATTCCTTAGGGAGTGTGTTCTTCTGTGGTTCCAAAACTTAATATGCATCAGAATCACCTGAAGATTTTAATAAAAATGAAAATTCTCTGGGGGTGGGAGGCAAGGGGAGGGTGAGCATTAGGACAAATACCTAATGCATGCAGGGCTTAAAACCTAGATGATGGATTGATAGGTACAGCAAACCACCATGGCACACATACCTACATAACAAACCTGCATGTTCTGCATAGGTATCCCAGAACTTAAGGTAAAATAAAAAAAAGAAAATTATCCACCACCAACTTCCAATATTCTGTTTCAATAATACAACAACAATAACTAATAATAATAATACAGAATTTTTGGAGGAGTCCTTACTTTGTCATAGGCACCATTTTAAGCATCATATAACCATTATCTCATGCAGTTGCCCAAGTAGTCCTATGAGGTAGGTACAATCTGCATTTTTAGCAAGCAGCCCAAGAGATTATGATCCACTTTAAGCAACATTGGTATTTTCAGATGACAAAAAATAAAAGCTAAAATGATGATGAACATCAACATTCAGTGGGAAGCTTGAGTAAAATGAGCCAGAGAGCAGAATGAGATGGAATGACAAAGCAGGTAGGAGGGGCCAGGTGCGGTGGCTCAGGCGTGTAATCCCAGCATTTTGTGGGGCTGAGGTGAGCAGATCGCTTGAGCTCAGGAGTTCAAGATCAGCCTGGGCAACATGGTAAAAACCCATCTCTACAAAAAATACAAAAATTAGTCAAGCATGGTGGCATGCGCCTGTGGTCCCAGCTACTTGGGAGACTGTGGTGGAAGGATTGCTTGAGCTTAGGAGGCAGAGGTTGCAGTAAGCTGAGATCACGCCACTGCACTCCAGCCTGGACGACATACAAAGACTCTGTCTCAAAAAAAAAAAAAAAAAATTAGAAGGAATACTAGAGTAAGTTCATGGGACATGCGTTCGTTTTCCCTTTCACACACACTCTCTCTCTCTTCATTTCAAGTTATGAGTACACGTAAGGCATTCACTTTAGCTCCTTCTACTTTCTTCCTTTATTCAGGTAACCACTACTGTGAGGTTGAGGTGTTTTCTAACAGTAGGTTTTATATTTGTATTTGAAAAAAATGAAATATAATTTACATATAGCAAAATTCACAGATCTGAAAGTACAGTTCAACCAGTTTTTACAAATGCACTCACTCAGGTAACTCAAATCAAGATATGAACTTTTCCATCACCCCAGAGAGTTCCTTCATGCCCTGTCCCAGTTAATCCCATGTCCTCCCCACTGAAGTAACCACTGATCTGATTTCTATCACGATAGATTAGTCTTTCCTATTCCATAACATCAGATAAATGGGAATTTATAGTATGTATTTTTTACCTGACTTCTTTCATTCAACATATTTTTGAAATTCATCCATGTTGCATACATCAGTAGTTAATTCATTTTTATCAGTGAATAGTATTTGATTGTATGAATATACCATAGTTTATCTGTTCTTCTGGTGAGGGAAATCTGCTCTGTTTCTAGCTTGGGGCCCTTATGAATAAAGCTGCTATGATTGTCCTTATACAAGACTTTTTGTAAACTTAAGCTTTCATTTCTATGGAATACATACCTAGAAGTAGGATTGCTGTGCTGTAAAATATGTACATGTTTAACTTTTTAAGAAACTGTCAAGCAGTTTTCCAAAGTGATTATATCATTTTATACTCCTATTGGCATATATGAAAATTTCAGTTGTTTTACATCTTTGCCAACATTTGGTGTTATCATTCTTTTTGATTTTAGCTATTCTTGTGTGTAGTGATATTTCATAGTTTTAATTTTAATCTCTCTGTTGGCTAACAACATCGAGCACCTTTTCATGTGTTTATTGGCCACTCACATATCTTCTTTCAGAAATGTGTTTAAATGCTTTGCCCTTTTTTAAAAGTTGGTTTCTGTTTATATTATTGAGTTATAGGAGTTCTTCATGCATTTTGAATACAAAACTTTTGTCAGGTGCATGTAGTGTAGATATTTCTCCCAGTGAGCTAAATATTAAGATAATTGAACTCATGGAGATAGAGAGTAGAAGGATAGTTACCAAAGGCTAGGACAGGAGTTGGAGGGGGAAGGGGAGATGGTTAATGAGTACAAAAAAATAGTTTGAAAGAATGAATAAGACCTAGTATTTGCTAGCACAACAGAATGACTATAGTAAAAAATAATTTAATAGTTCACTTTAAAATAACTAAAAGAGGCTGGGTGCAGTGGGTTATGCCTGTAATCTCAGCACGTTGGGAGGCCAAGGTGGGAGGATTGCTTGAGCCCAGGAGTTCAAGACCAGTCTGGGCATAGGGAGACCCTGTCTTTACAAAAATAAAATTTAGCTAGGCGTAGTAGCACACAACCGCAGTCTCAGCTACTTGAGAGGCTGAGGTGGGAGGATCGCTTGGGCCCAGGAGGTCAAGGCTGCCGTGAACCATGATCACACCACTGCACTCCAGCCTGGGTGACAGAGTGAGATCCTGCCTCAAAATAATAACTTAAAAAGTATAATTGGATTATTTGAAACACAAATGATAAATATTTGAGGTGATGAATACCCTGTTTACCCTGATGTGATTAATATGTGCTGCATGCCTGTATCAAAATCTCAGGTAACCCACATATATACCAACTATGTACCCACAAAAATTAAAAACAAAAATTAAAAAATATATATTTCTCCCAGTGTTTGGCTTGCTTATTTAAGGTATCTTTTGATGAGCATTCGTTTTTCCATTTTGATGAAGTCCAATTTATCAATTATTTTTCTCTGCAATTAGTATATTGTGTGTCCTAAGTAGTCATTGACTATTTCAAGGTCACACAGAAATTCTTCTGTTTTCGGCCTTGTGCGGTGGCTCACGCCTGTAATCCCAACACTTTGGGAGGCCGAGCTGGGTGGATCACTTGAGGTCTGGAGTTCGAGAACAGTCTGGCCAACATGGTGAAACCTCGTCTCTATCCAAAATATAAAAATTAGCCAGGTGTGGTGGCACGTACCTGTAATCCCAGCTATGTGGGAGGCTGAGGCAGGAGCATCGCTTAAACCCAGTAGGTGGAGGTTGCAGTGAGCCGAGATCTTGCCACTGCACTCCAGCCTGGGCAACAGAGTGAGACTCTGTCTCAAGAAAAAAAAAAAAAAGAAAGAAAGGAAGGAAGGAAGGAAGGAAGGGAAATTCTCCTGTTTTTTCTCCTGTTTTCTTCCAGAGCATTATAACTTTCGTTTTTACCTTTAAGTGTGTAATCCCTCTCAAATTTATTTTGTGTATTGTATTGAGTAGGGAGGTTAAAGATCTAGTATTTTAACTTCCATATAAATATTCAGTTTTTCAACTACCCTCCATTGAAATGACTTTCCTTTCCCCTGTCGAATTGCTTTGGGTTGCACACATTCTTAATTTCACTAGGCACTGCCAGATTGCTCATCAGAATGGCTGCACAGGTTTAACCTCACACTAGCAGAATCCAAGGATTTGCTCTCATCCTATCATATTTTCACAACCACTTGATCATTGAACTTACTTTTGACAATGTGATGGGTCCAGACTTATATCTCATTGTTGTTTTCATTTGCGTTTGTCTGATTACTTGTGAGGTAGAGCATCTCTTCGTACATGTTTAGTCATTTTGGTTTCCCCTTATGTGATTTGCTTATTCAAGTGCTTTGCCCATTTTTCTTTCTTTTTATTGGGACAAAGTCTCGCTCTGTGACACAGGCTGGAGTGCAGTGGCATGATCTCAGCTCACTGTAACCTCTGCCTCCCAGGTTCACGCGATTCTCCTGGTCTCAGCTCCTGAGTAGCTGGGATTACAAGCACCCACCACCACACCCAGCTAATTTTTGTATTTTTAGTAGAGACGAGTTTTTGCCATGTTGGCCAGGCTGGTCTCAAACTCCTGATCTCAAGCGATCCACCCGCCTCAGACTCCCAAAATGCTGAGATTATAGGCATGAGCCACTGCGCCTGGCCTTTTGCCCATTTTTCTATGGTGTTGCCAGTCTTTTCAGGTAGTTTTCAAAGAATTCCTTTAAAATTTTGAATATTAGTTTTTGCCAATTTTATACATTGAAAAGATCTTCTCTCAGCCTGTCACCTGACTGTTAGTATTATCTATGGTATCATTTTTTGGCTTTGGCTATTTAGGCAACTATAAACCTTAACAAGGCATTCACTGACTTCTACTTCTCGTTTCTTGTAGTTTCCTCTTACATTTATTTCTCTTTGTATCAATCAGTTTTCTTAGCTGCAAACAAGAGGAGATGACTCTGGATGGTTAATTACAAAGCAAGTTCATTAACTGGATATTGAGGTCACAGGATTGTTGAAAAGGCATGTGTCAATAGTTCACTCATTTTTATTGGTTAGTAGTATTGCATCATATGGATGTACCACAGTTGATTGAATTATTCGCCCATGAAAGGATATATGGGTTGCTTTCAGCTTTTGGTTATTATGAATAAGTAGGTACAAACATTTGTGTGTGGGTTTTTGTGTAAGCATAAGTTTCTCTTTCTCTGAGATAAATGCCCAAATGTGAAATTGGTAGGCTGTGTGATAGCTGCATGTTTAGGTTTGTAAGAAACCGTCAAATTTATTTCCAATGTGACTGTATAATTTTACATTCCCATCAACAACATACAAGTGATCAGTTTTTCCAAATTCTGGCCAGCATTTGGTGTTCTATTTTTTACTTAAGCCATTTTGATACATGTGTGATATCTCATTATAATTCTAACTTCCATTTACCTGATGGCTAATGATATTGAACATCTTTTCTTGTGCTTATTTGACATCTGGATATCCTCTTCAGTAAAATGTCTGTTTATATATTTTGCTCATTTTCTAATTGGATTGTTTTCTTACTGTTGAGTTTTGAAAGTTCTTCATGCAATTTTGATACTAGTCCTTTGTCAGATATGGGGTTTGCAAATATTTTCTCCCAGTCTGCCAGTCTGTAGCTTGTCTTTTCATCCTCTCCACACAGGCTTTTGCTGAGGAAGTTTTTAACTTTTATGAGGTCCAATTTGTCAATTTTTCCTTTTATTGACCATATGTTTGGTGTCTAGTCTAAAACTGCCTTGTCCTAAATCCTAAGAATTCTCTCCTATGCTTTTTATGTTTTACATTTAGGTCAGTGATACATTTTGAATCAATTTTTGCATAAGATGTGAAGTTTAGTTTGAGGTTCCTTTTTTGTATATGGATCTTCAATTGTTCCATTGCCATTTGTTGAAAAGGCTATCTTTTCTCATTGAATCGTTCTGGTACTTTTGTCAAAAATCAAATGTCAGCTGGGCACGGTGGCTGACACCTGTAATCCCAGCACTTTGGGAGGCTGAGAAGGGCGGATCACTTGAGGTCAGGAGTTCGAGACCAGCCTGACCAACATAGTGAAACCATGTCTCTATTAAAAATACAAAAAAATAGCCAGGTGTGGTGGTGCACGTCTGAGGTCATTCTGACAACTGAAGGATGGTGAAAGTAGAGAATTTTACTGAGCAATTAAAATAGCTCTCAGCAGAGAGGAGAGCTGGAAAGGGAATGGGAAGGGCAGGTCATCTTCCCCGAAGTCAGGAGGTCTCTTCCCTGAAGTCAGGCCATCTCTCTCTCTCTACTGACTGAGTCTGGGGTCTTTATAGGTACAGGATGTGGGCAGAGCGGGCCATAGGTAGTATTGGAAAAGGCAACATTCAATTGGTTAAAAGGCATTATTCAGAAAGAACCAATCAGGAGAGAGCAGGCAAACAGGAATAGAAGTTCTCACTCTGGGCCCCGGGTTTCAGGTTGTTTTGGGTTTGAAGGTGGGGTTTCACCAGGGACCCGCCCCTATCTGCCTAGGCATTTGGCTGCCTCCAGTCACTATCATTATAATGGAATATTACTTAGTCATAAAAACGAATGAAGTTACCAATACAGGCTACATCATGAATGAATCTTTAAAGCATTATGTTAAACAGACAGACACAAAAGATCACACACTGTATGACTCCATTTTTATTTATTATCTGGAACAGGCAAATCCATACAGATAGAAAGTACATTAGTGGTTGCCAGGGGCTCAGGGGGAGGGGAGAATGAGGGATTTCTTTCAGGGTTTCTTCATAGGATGTTATTTGGTAAAGGGTTTCTAAAGTTGATTGCAGTGATGCTGGCACATGTCTGTGAGTATACTAAAAATCTGAATTGTACACTTTAAGTGGGTTAATTGTATGATGTGTAAATTATATCTCAATAAAGCCGTTTACATATATATTTACATATATATATTTAAATAAGAGATGGAGTCAACATCACCAATACCCTCATATAGCCAAGACAATTTTTTAAGAGAACAAATTTTACTCATAAGATATGAAGTCATACTGTAAAGCTATAATAATTAAATAAGTGTGGTGCTGATTTGGGATTAGGTGAGCAAATCACTAGTGCCCAGAAACTAACCCATGCATTTGTGGAAATTTGGGTTATAATATTTCAAATCAATAGGGAAAGAAGACTGACTCCTCAATAAATGAGACTGAGACAATTTGCTATCTATCTGGAAAAAGGTAAATTTCTACTTCCTACCACACACACACACAAATTTCAGAAGGGATGGATTAAATATTTATATGTATAAAACCCAATTAAAATTGTATTTAAAGAACATGTAAGAGAATATGTTTTTTACCTTGAGGTAAGGAATAGCTCTCTAAAAAGAACCAAAACAAACAAACAAAAAAGCAACCAAAATCACAAACAGTAGGCTTCCTTAAATTGCATCCCAGAATTAGGCAGATTTACTAAAGTGAACACTGCCAACCCTTTAATGACGAGTGCACCCATCCTCCAATTTCTGGGAGTGCTGCTGCTAACAGCTTATAAATGCTACCTTCTCCATAAACTTGCACTCAGCTGTTGGGAAATACCTTGTTCTATTAGTTTTCTATTGATGCAGTAACAAATTGCTACAATCTTAGTGACTTAAAAAAAAACACATGTATTATCTTACAGTTCTGTAGAAGTCCAACATGGGTCTTTCTGGGCTAAAATTAAGACAGAGGATAAAGTAACTAGGTGCCATCTTGGAAGCAGAGATCAAGCCCTCACCATGTCAGAGGCGTTTGAACCAGAGCAACTCCATCTTGAATAGGAGCAGGGTAAAATAAGGCTGAGACCTACTGGGCTGCATTCCCAAGAGGTTAAGGCATTCTTAGTCACAGGATGAGATAAGAGGTTGGCACAAGATACAGGTCATAAAGACCTTCTTGATAAAACAGTCTGCAGTAAAGAAGCTGGCTAAAACCCACCACAACCAAGATGGCAATGAAACTGACCTCCGGTCATCCTCACTGCTACACACCCACCAACACCATGACAGTTTACAAATGCCAAAGCAACATCGGGAAGTTACCCTCTATGGTCTAAAAACGGGAGGCATGAATAATTTACCCCCTTGTTTAGCATATAATCAAGAAATAACCATAAAAATGGGCAGTGCCCTCGGGGCTGCCCTGCCTATGAAGTAGCCATTCTTTTATTCCTTTACTTTCTTCATAAACTTACTTTCACTTTGCCCTATGGACTTGCCTCAAATTCTTTCTTGCACGAGATCCAAGAACCCTCTCTTGGGGTCTGGATCGGGACTCATTTCCAGTAACAACCAGACACCAAACCTGTCCATTCCTTGATCTTGGATTTTCCAGATTCTGGAACCATGAGAAATAAATCTCTGTTGTTTATAAATTACCTAGTCTGTGGTATTTCATTATAACAGCACAGACTAAGACACCAAGTTACCATTACCATTGTGTTAGCTAATTGGCTTTATCCAGGGGAAAAATAAACTTCTCATATCTTTACGACAGGAGGTGATTCTGACACTTGGAGTAAGATGGCGACCAAAGTTAGGCTGCTACCCTCCCACAGGAACTGGGAAATGAGGGTGCTTTCTCCCTTGATGTCTACATTTCAAAGAGATGACTCTTAGGTCCATTCTTGAGAAAGACATTTGTGGGTCACAAAGATGGCAAAAGACCTACTTAGTCTGCAAAAGGATTTATGTACATTTAAAAGAGAGGAGAAAGTACTTACAATTATAAGTTTTCTCAAGTAAATGTTCTGGAAAAAAAGGAGGGGAGAGAAATCTCATACCTTATTTTCAATGGGAGTAATTAAGCCTCTTATTGTTAATTTGTATCTGTCCTTACAATCTCCTGCCTGTGTTACTATAAAATAGTAACGTGAACATTTTTTTAGTTATCTTTATTGTGGTTTTTTTCCCTTTCTCTGGGCAGTTGTAGCCATCTAAAATCAGCAAATCTGTAGTAAAATACAAAGCAAAACAATTATTAGAAGCATGATAGAACATCAGAATTACTAAATTTGTAGAAAGTGAATTTTTTAGAAATTTTTATCTGCCTTGGGGAAATAACCTTTGAATATATTATACTAATGCTGAATAGTTAAATCTGAGTTTTAAAAGATATTTGAAATACACTTTTATTCTGATTCTAAACAAAAAGGAATGGCAATGATAGTAACAAAATTTCCCCACTGAACAACATAAGGATGTTTCACATACTCATACCAAATCTCTATGCCAGTTAGGCACAACTGAATATTGTGATGTGACAGTAGCAGTCTTACATTTGAAACTCAAGAAGAAATCAATTGCATTCCCAAACAGCTAAATATGCAGGTCCAAACAATGAAGGTATTTTTTAAACTGTCACATTCACTCCAAAGCCCATTCATCTCCTTCAGCATCCCACAGATGGAGCACATGTTGCCCTTAGCTAGATAATAAAGTGGCACACACAGTGCACCACTTGACATCACAGAACAGCTGCCTATAAAACTAGACTTTTGACACTGGGCTCCAGCTTCATTCTCACAGGTCATCATCCTCATCTGGGAGAGCAGTTGTCTAAGCAACCTCTAAATCATGCTCATACTAAACTGCCAAATTTGGGTCCATGACAATCTCTGGTGAGGCAAGAGCAGGCATGGCAACAAATTCCAAGTTACGGTCTCCAATGAGCTGTCTAGCAAGCCAGAGGAAGGGCTTTTCAAAGTTGTAGTTACTTTTTGGCATTTATGGCAGAAATGTCATAATACTGAAGATTCTTCTTTCAGTAGAAGACAGTAGATTTTTCCTTCACTTTCCCATACTTAATATCCATTTTGTTGCCATACAACATGAGGATGTTTTCACATATTCATACCAGATCTCTATGCCAGTTAGGCACATTCTTGTAAATAACTCAAGATGTTACATCAAACATTATAACGGCACACTGGGCTTGAATATAATAGCCATTTCTCAGTATACCAAATTTCTCCTGGCCAGCTGTATCTCATATAGTGAACTTAATAGATCCTCTGTTGGTGTGGAACACAAGGTGATAAACCTCAACACCTAAGGTGGCTACACACTTCTCAAATTCACTGGTCAGATGACATTTCATGAATGCAGTTTTTCCAGTACCACCATCACCAACCAATACCAATTTGAACTGGACTTGGGGCTCTCCTTGGGCAGCCACCATTACGTTCCTTCCAGAAGTGTCTCTGTGCTTATCCAGCTGAGGCTGAAAAGATGGCAGAAGCCCAGAGTCTTGATTAGCAATGAAAAAATGTTTTAGTCATACATTAATTTTATAAAGTGTTGTGATGTCTTTATTGCTTGTACTTTCAAATGATTAACTATGGAGCATTATTTTGTAGTTCCTCATGAAGTCTTGCCCAATCCAGGCCTATAGAGTAGCTTAACTCAGGACCCTGCTAATTTCAAATTTTAATTAACAGTTTTTCTTTGATGCCCCAATAAATTTCTCCTGAGTTTCCATCAATTACATGAGTAACATCACATTTACATGGTAATTTAGGCTGTTCAGTGATTGCTCCATTTCCTAAATAATTTTAAGATGAGAAGTAGAAAGAAATCCATGGCCATCATCTAGTTAAAAGTCTTACGAGGCACTGATTTTAGAGTACGGATTGAACTTCTAGTGTTTAATGTGCACAACTTTAATTTGCTTTGTGTTTGGTTTTTGGTTTTTTGTTCGTGTTTTTTTGTTTGTTTGTTTTGTCTTTTTTTTTTGAGACAAGTTCTCACTCTGTCGCCCAGGCTGGAGTGCAGTGGCATGATCATAGCTCACTGAAACCTCAAACTCCTGGATTCAAGCAATTCTCCCACCTCAACCTCCCAAGTAGCTGGGACTATAGGCACACACCACCACACCCAGCTAATTTTTGTATTTTTGTAGGGATGAGGCCTCGCTGTGTTGCCCAGGCTGGTCTTAAACTCCTGGGCTCAAGCGATCCACCTGCCTTGGCCTCCCAAAGGGCTGGCATTACAGGTGTGAGCCACCATGTCCAGCCAACTTTAGTGTTTTAAGCCTTAAGGAAAAATCCATCTTATGGGCCATTTTTTCCATTGGTCTAAATAGTTATATAATTAAAGCAGTCAGCTAAATCTCTATAAATAACAGGCATCCACCTTTGTTTATCCACCCATACTGGAGAAAACCTGCCTCCCAATGTTAGTAGTGACACTATATCTGTCTTTTGTAGTTGCTAGTAATCTGTAGGTACCAGATTTCTGTTCATCTGTTAATTAGATATTTTTCTTTTCTATGTCATTCTTTCAATCAAGCCAGTTGATAAAACATTTTTGTGTTAAAGTTAGAACTTGAGTACCTGGATGCATACTAATTACTTTAACTTTGTTATTATCAAAAATTACTAATGAGGATGATCTCACTTGTACTCGGCCAGTAATCCAGAGCATATCCACAATGGGAGTACAATTTAGAGCTCATTGGAAATACGTGTTTGGAGGAACCATTACTGGGAATGCAGAAATTTGGTGTAATAATGTTTGCTTTCCAATAAATGTGATTCTTTATTGTGGTGATTCAAATAACCTCTGTCTGAGTAGTACTATGAGAATAGCAATCAATTTTTTAGAACACATCTTTTTGAGGCAAGAGAATCATTAGAATCTGGGAGGCAGAGGTTGCAGTGACCGAGATCACGCTATTGCACTCCAACACTCCAGTCTGGGGGACAGAGTGATACCAAGTCTCAAAAAAATTTTTTTAAAAATAAAGAATACCTCTTTTCAGTTGAGTTCAGTACCAATATCCATTACTCTAGTGAAGTTCTTTGTGGGAACAACTGTCTAGTCCTCCTGCAGTGCTGGTTTCACATAGAAAGCATGAATCCAGCTATGGTTCTCCTTCACTTTGATAGCAGTATGAGTGATCAGCAGCACCTGAAAGGGTCTCTCCCAATAGAGTGACAACCTGTCTTTCCTTTGAAATACCTTTATGTGGATGAAGTCTCCTATCCTATAAGGGTGGCAGACTGACTCAGGCAAGTCCTTATGACTGTAAGTCTCAGGGTTTCTAGGGAAAAGAGAAGGCCTTTTAACTATTGAACATGATTATGACAGGATTCAGTTAAATTGGGAACAGAACATGGTCTCAGACCCAAGTTCATAGGCCTGCCAACCATAAGTTCAAAGGGAGAGATACTATGCTTGCTTGCAGGGGTCACTCTAATTTTTGATAAGGTTAGTGGCAAAGCTCTAAGCCATTTTAACATGTTAGATTACTAAATCTTGGCCAAATAGCTTTTTAGAGTTTGATTTATTCACTCTACTTGTCCAAAGGACTGAGGCTTATAGGAATCTGCACACATTTGGCATAATTCCTGGGCAACAGTAGAAGTAAAATGACTTCCTCTGTCCTAGTCAATGTGCTCTGGTATCCCAGAAGTGGAAATTGTGAGTTTTAAGAGAACCTTTACCACTGTCTGAACAACAGCTTTTTATTTTTATTTTTATTTTATTTTAAGTTCTGGGATACATATGCAGGACGTGCAGGTTTGTTACATAGGTGTACACGTGCCATGGTGGTTTGCTGCACCTATCAACCCATCATCTAGGTTTTAAGCCCTGAATGCATTAGGTATTTGTCCTAATTGCTCTCTCTCCCCTTGCCCCCCACCCCCCAACAGATCCCACTGTGTGATGTTCCCCTCCCTGTGTCCATGTGTTCTCACTGTTCAACTCCCACTTATGAGTGAGAACATGCGGTGTTTGGTTTTCTGTTCCAAACATCAGCTTTTTAAATTTTATTTGATTGTGGTAAGAACATTTAACAAGAGATCTACCCTCTTAACAAATTTTTGAGAGTACAATATAGTATTACTGGTTATAGGCACAATGTTGTATGGTAGACCTTTAGAGTTTATTCATCTTGCTTAACTGAAGATCAGCTTTTGAAGACAGAAAGATTTCAGGCCATCCAAATGTCACACATACCACAACTAGACAATATCTCTTACCGAAATCTAACTGCCACCACGTTCCTGGTAAAGCTGGTTAGACAGAACTTCCTGTGCTTATATTTGGAGTGGCCCGTAAAGAATAGCACATCAATAGCATACATTACATAGCATAACTCTTTAATATGTTGTGAATAATTTTATCTTTTTGGTAGGCCTAGTAGGGGTCTAATGCCTTTAAAATTCCTCTTTTGTTCAGATAATTTTGTCAATGACACACCACCACTAACCAAGCAAATTGGGACTGAAGTATAGGAATTACTGTTGGGTAATTCCCACAGTCCAATCAAATTTCTTTTAGCTCCTTTTTCAATTCATTTGCTCATTTATTTTTGTGAAGCACATTTTAAAAAATGAACAAAAGCTTCTTGTTGTATTAAAAACAGAGCTTCTAAGTTTGGAGCCAGCCATGTTTTAGAAGCAGCTTTTGGCAGGGCACAGTGGCTCACGTCTATAATCCCAGCACTTTGGGAGGCTGAGACAGGCGGATCACCTGAGGTCAGGAGTTCGAGACCAGCCTGGCCAACATGGCGAAACCCTGTCTCTACTAAAAATACAAAAATTAGCTGGGTGTGATGGCACATGCCTGTAGTCCCAGCTACTCGGAAGGCTGAGGCAGAAGAATCGCTTGAACCCAGGAGGCGGAGGTTGCAGTGAGCCAAGATCGTGTCATTGCACTCTAGCCTGGGTGACACAGAGAGACTTCATCTAAAAAATAAAAATAAATAATAAATAAAAGCAGCTTTTACAGCTCTATCAGCAAAATGAATTACTGGTATCTGAGAAAGCAGGTGTAAAGTCCCTAACAAATCAGCTATCAACTTTCCATGTGATTTTTTTAGTTGTTATTGAAGTCAAAAATCCTCTGTTTAAAAAAAGTTCTCTGTTGCATGACAGACATCAAACATATATTTATTATGTATATATTTTTATGTTTATTTTTAGTCCAGAACTAAGAATTGCAGTTCTACTAACTGGTATTAACTCATCTGCTTATGCAGACTTAATTGCAGATAAAGCATAAGCTTCCGAAGCTGCATGATAAGTCACTGCAGCTAGGAAGCTTTTTGAGTGGCCACTTTTAGCCATACTACATTACCAATTGATAAACATTATTATATCATCATTTTGAACAGGAATATTACATAAATCACGTCAGATTTTTCAAACTTTGGACATTTCAAAGCTAAGAGAGAGGCTATCCCCAATTTCCCTTGTTCAAAAGTCTCTTCAGATTCTAGGGACCAAACGAGAAGATCTGAAGGATTATCATGTAGTTGCTCCATCAGAGGTTTTGCCCACTCTGCAAAACCTGGAATCTACTCTCTTTGGTACTGCATTAGTACCAAAACTGTGTCTAAGTCCATTTGGGCTGTTATAACAAAATGCCATAAACTGGGTAGCTTACAAACAACAGGCATTTATTAATCACTTTTTGGGAGGCTAGAAAGTACAAGATCAAGATGCTGGCAAATTCAGTGTCTGGTAAGGATTCACTTCCTCATAGATGGTGCCTTCTGGTTGCATCCTCACATGGTGGAAGGAGCCAGGAAGCTCTCTGAGGCCTCTTTTATAATGGCATTCATCCCATTCATTAGGGCAACACCCTAATCACCTCCAAAGGCCCCATTTCTAATACCATCACATTGGAGATTAGAGTTCAACATACGAATTTGGGAGAGAATGGGACATAAACATTCTAACCATAGCACTACATTTGGCTGTTAGATCTGCAAAATGAGATGACCCCTAGATTATACCACTCTAAGGCCCACAGCTGAACACAGATGCCTTAAATAGTTTACTCAGAAAAGCAATGTTGCAATTTATCTAGTGAGGCCTTATGCCCTTGTGAAGCAAAGAATTGTAACAAAGCCAAAGTGTTAGTTTTGCATTGCTCTTTAGTTTCTGAGGCTACCAGCAAAATCATCTATATTTTGAAAAATTATAGATCCTTCTGGTGAAACAAATTTATCTAAGTGTTTCTGTAAATGACTAGAGAAAACATTAGGGGAGTCTCAAAACCCTTGAGGAATTGTCTGCTATAAGTATCAGACTCCTTTATGAGCAAGTAAGAATTTAGACTTGTCCACTTATAAGAAAAGAAAGAGGGGGAAGGAAAAAAATAAGGAAGGAAAAAAGGGAAGGAGGAAAGGAGGGAAGGAAGGAAAGAAGGGAAGAAGGGAGGAAGGGAGGAAGAGAGGAAGGGAGGAAGGGAATGAGGGAGGGAGGGAGGAAGGGAGAGAGGAAGGGAGGGCAGAACATAGAACATAGAACAACAAAAAAATTTTTTTCAGACAATTATACTGAGATCAGAATAGTTGCAGGATTAGGAACTACAGGTGTTAATGGCACAACAAATTAATTTACTTCTCTAAAATCAGTACAAATCTATATAGAGCTTACCCATCTTTATGAAATTTACCTTTCTTCTTTACTGGAAATGTGGGATTACTACAGGGTAAGTGCCCCTTTTTAATTATCCTTTTTCTTTCTTTTTTTTTTTTTTTTGGTTTTTTTTTTTTTTTTAAGAGACAGGGTCTCACTCTGTTACCCAGGCTTGAGTGCAGTGGTGTGGTCACGGCTCACTGTAACCTCAAACTCCAGGATTCAGGTGATCCTCCCATCTCAGCCTCCCAAGTAGCTAGGACCACAGGCACCTGCCATCACAGCCAGCTAATTTTTGTTTAATTTTTTGTAGAGATGAGGTCTCACTATGTTGCCCAGACTGGTCTCAAACTCCTAACCTCAACTGATCCTCCTAACTTGGCCTTCCAAAGCATGGGGATTACATGTTTTTCTAATTCTTTTATAACTGGTTTTATTATGTTTAATTGAGCTCTCAAAAAAGGATATTGTTGACACATGGCCATGGCTCATCTTTTTGGTAAGCTATTTTCTATATCTCAAATTAATCCGGTATTGTCATTCCCTTTGATTAAATGCTCCTTTAAGTCTTTTGCTTACTTTTAAATTCAGTTGTCTGATTATTATTATCATTACTATGATTGAGTTGTAAGAGTTCTCAATGTATTCTGGATACAAGTCCTTTATCAGATATATGATTTGCAAATATTTTCTCCCAGTCTGTGGCTTGTCTTCTCATTTCCTCAATGGAATAATTTGAAATGCAAATTTTTTTCATTTTTTATGAAGTTCAGTTTATTCATTTTTTTCTATTATGGGTCATGCTTTTGGTGTTGTATCTAAGAATCTTTGCCTAACCCAAGGTCATGAATATTTTCTCCTATGTTTTATTCTAAAAGATTTATAGTTTTTTACTTCACATTTAAGTGACTTGTTTGAGCTTGTGGGGACTTTTCCAGCACAGTATGAGACTGCCACTCTCTGCCATACCTCTTTTCTTTCAGAAGTATATAGTATCCAAATCAGGTGCCTTTTCCCAAAAGGCTCCACAGACACTTCATCCACAGTACAGAATATAGTAGCTATTAAGTTGCACAGCAGGTCTCTCACCAGTAGGTTTATAGGAGATTCAGGAGAAATGAAGAACACATGTTCCTCAGTCAAAGGACCTATCTCTATGGGAATTACAGAGGAAAGGGGACAAGTAGAAGGCTGACCCAAAATATCCATAACCTGAATTAACCTGTCACCAGATGGGAAAAGTTACTGACACATTACAGTCCACTAGTTCTCACCTTTGTGATTCCCTCAATTTGTCAATTTTGAACCACTTGACAAGTATTTCCTAGCTGAAAGTTTTGTTCTAGGCTCTCCTAATTCTCTTATCTTTGCAGTCTCTGCATCATCCAGAGTGTCCTTCTGCAATCCCTCTTCCAACACCCTGGCTTATTGCAATAACAACATACAGCCTCCCATCTTTCTTTCTTCCCCTTCTGGATTGGTCATTGTAGGATTATTCCCTTCAGTAAAGAGTTCTAACTAAGCAGAGAACACAGCAAACTTTAATCTCTTCTTTTCTTTTTTTGTTCTTAGATTATCCCAAAACTGAGTAGCTGCTGCTAAGATTTGGGTAATAGTTTGCCTTTGCCATCCTACTACCTTTTCCTTAACTTGGGTTTGGATAGTCAGTGAGAGAGCTAAAATAAAGGTGGTTAGAGCCAGAGGGCAATTTTTATATGACCTTGGATCCATGCCAATAAACTTTTAGAATGTCTGAACAAGTCACTGATGGAAATCAATGAGGTACTCACCTGTCTTATGAGTAAACAGCTGCAATATCTTCCAGTTTCTCTTTACAAGAAAGGTTTCAAGGAACCTCTATCCTCAGATTATCCATATTTGTGAGGGATGGTGGATAGTCAGCTTCTCTTGACCACCATACCCCTGATGTGGTAATCTTCTGGACACTAACATCCTTGCTCCATCAAAGGATCAAAGTCTGCTCATTGCAAAATTCCATGCAGTAGCTGGTGCACATCTCCACACATGGAGCTGTAAACTGAAAACATGCTGCATAGTAGTACTGCAAATTTCTGGGGCACAGGGAAGAGAAGCCTTTAAATGAGTGAGAAAAGGATCTGAACCACCCAAGAGTCCTGGGTAGCTACTCAATGGCATCAGTTTTGCTGGCTATCCAAATAGGAAGGTCTGGTTTTCCTCACATTGAGACAATAAAAATGTAAATTACACAACACTTCAGTTCCAGTTTTGACATTCATAAGTTTAATACCTTGGTTGCCTGTCTTTTTCCAAGTGACAAGTGCAGCTACTCTCCATTCTGTTGCCTCATGGGAACACAGTCTGTCTTAGCCAATTTTTTGTTGCTATAATTGAATACCACAGACTGAGTAATCTATAAAGAACAGAGGTTTATTTCTGGAGGCTGGGAAGTACAATATCAAGGTGCCAGCATCTGGTGAGGGCCTTCTTGCTGTGACATAACGTGCTAGAAGGTATCACATGGCAAGAGAGTAAGAGCATGTCAGTTCAGGTCTCTCTTCCTCTTCTTATAAAGCCACCCGTCCCATCATGGGGGCCCCACCCTAACGAAATTATCTAATCCTAACTACCTCCCAAAGGCCCCACCTCCAAATACTATCAAATATGAATTTGGGGATTAAGTTTCCAACACATGAAATTTGGAGGACACATTCAAACCAAAGCACAGTCTTTTATCCAAGTTCTCAATCATCCCATGATCCTGTCTCTTTATTATTTCTGCCTTTCTAGTTGTGTGTTGTGTGGTGTGTAGATGATAAGACCTCCTGGAGGTGGAATCTGGTCTAAAACATAAAGTAGACTTAGAGCTAGGCCACCAGGCACACAAACTTGTATCCTCAAATACAGCAGGTAGCGGTAGAAAGTTGTACCTTCATCTCCCTTTACAGGGAAATCTATTCATGAAGGGAGCCACCTCTCTAAAAGATCATCACCTCCCCCTTGCCTGGGAGCCACTACAGTCAGTTAGAAGCAAAGAAGCATAAGGACATGCAGGGGAAGCAGAGGGAGCAGGAACAGCAGAGAAAGGAGGAGAAGGTTTCCATGAAAGAGAAAGTGCCTTTAATTTTTGCATTTCCCCTCTTTTTTCTTTTCATCTGGCTATCCAAATCTTTTTTTTTTTTTTTTGGATGGAGTTTCGCTCTTGTTGCCCAGGCTGGAGTGCAATGGCGCTATCTCAGCTCACCACGAGCTACAGGCCTGCGCCACCACGCCTGGCTAATTTTGTATTTTTAGTAGAGATGGGGTTTCTCCATGTTGGTCAGGCTGGTCTCGAACTCCCACCCTCAGGTGAACTGCCTGCCTGGGCCTCACAAAGTGCTGGGATTACAGGCGTGAGCCACCATGTCCAGCCTATCTGAATCTTTTAAGCTACTCAAGTAAAACAGTGGGAGTGGAGAAGACACAAAGAAATAACCAGTTGTGATCAATTAGTTGTAAACACCACCGTACTTTGACCAGCCCTAAATCATTTTTAACTCTCCTCTTAGAACAATATTTATCCCATAATACCAGGAACTCATTCATTCAGGATGAAACCCCTCCAAGGATGTGTTAATCTATCCAAATCAAAAGACCCATCCTCCCACCACTACAGAACTGGATTCTCATGTGCATAACCATCACAAATGTGACAGAGAGATATTAACTATTTGAGAGAGAGACTTGAAGGCAACATTCCTGTCTTCCCATATTTTCCAACCATATGATGACCCTGATTGAATTTTAGAGTCTACATTACCCATGTTTATTTAATAGTAACATATTGAATTTGGACAGGTTGGATTCTCTAGGTAGTAGTCCCAAAAAAGAGAGCGCTAGAGGGAAGACTTTTTATAATTCCGAGTCTCCTACCTGATTGTTTTATGGTTACAGACTGTCAGTTGTCTGCTCATGTCAGGAGCTACCATATATTTCCATGTTCTCATCACCAAAATTGTTGGGGAAATATAATTAAAAACAAAATCTTCTCCTAACCCAGAATTCCTCTCCACAATGGTAGTAGAGAAAGAACGTTTTATTATTGAGTCAGCATTAAATCAGAGCATGATGCACATTCCAAGTAACTCACTAAGAGATTGCAAAAACAGAAAGGAATCTCACCCCCTAATATAGCCAAGCAGATACCATTATTTACATGTTTTCGAGTAAATAAATAATGACTAGTCCTCAAGTAAGAAGACTTGGCAGCATATTTTGTCACACATATTTCACCCAAACTTTACCTAGTAATTGAGGTGACCATCCGTGCTAGTTAATTGGTTTTATCTAGAGGAAAAAAATTATCATATCTTTATAACAGGAAATAGTTTTGCAATTTGGAGCAAGGTGCCCACCAAAGTTAGGTTTCTACACTCCCACAAAAACTGGGAGATGGGGTGCTACCTCATTTGATGTTTACATTTTTAAAAAATGGCTCCCAGGTCCTTGAGAAAGACATTTCTGGGTCATGAAGCTGATAAAAGGTCTATGTAGTCTTCAAAAGTCTTCATTGAAGTTTCAATGAAATATATATACATATATGAAGAAAATATAGTTGACCCTTGAACAATGTGGGGGCTAGAGGCGCTCCCTGTGCAGTTGAAAATCTGCATATAACTTTTGACTCTTCAAAAACGTAATCACTAATAGCCTACTGTTGACCAGAAGCCTTACTGATAACTCAGTCGATTAACACATATTTTGTATGTTAAATGTATTATATACTATATTCTTACAACAAAGCAAGCTGGAGAAAAGAAAATGTTATGAAGAAAATCATGATAAAAAATGTATTTGCTATTGATTAAGTGGATCATCATAAAAGTCTTTGGCCAGGCACGGTGGCTCATGCCTGTAATCCTAGCACTTTGGGAGGCCGAGGCAGGTGGATCACCTGAGGTCAGGAGTTCAAAACTAGCCTGGCCAACATGGCGAAAACCCGTCTCTACTAAAAATACAAAAATTAGCTGGGCGTAGTGGAGCGTGCCCGTAATCCCAGCTACTTGGGAGGCTGAGGAAAGAGAATCGCTTGAACCAGGAGGTGGAGGTTACAGTAAGCCGAGATCGTGCCTCTGCACTCCAGCCTGTGCAACAGGATCGAGACTCCATCTCAAAAATAAATAAATAAATGAAATAAAATAAAAGTCTTTGTCCTCGTCTTCAGGTTGAGTAGGCTGAAGAGGAGAGGTTGGTCTTGCTGTCTCGGGGTGGCTGAGGTGGAAGAGGTGGAAGGGTAGTCAGGAGACACAGGCACACTTAGTGTAACTTTATGGAGATTAAATACGTGGTAATTTCTGTCTTTTTTGCTATTTAATTTCTCTAAAAATGTGCCTATACAGTACCAATTCTTCCACAGTTTGCTTTAGTTTCAGTGCATGCATCGTAGAAGGGTACATGTCATAAAAGAAATCAAGAGCAATCTTGAATAATCAGAACCCTTCTGCTAAATTGCCTAATGTCAATGTGTTTTCTCGCACCGCTTCTTCTACATCTTCTTCTTCATTGTCTGGCACAGGTTCAGAAACGCTCATCTCTATCAGGTTGTCTTCTGTTCATTCCTCTGGTGTGGTGCTGATCAGCTCTTTAATTTCTCCAAGATCCATATCTTGAAACCCTTCCCCCCACCCACCACCACCTTTTTTTTCCACCTCCACAATCTCTTTCATGATTTCCTTGATTGGCTCTGTTGTAAATCCTGTGAAGTCATACACACCTGGACACAGTTTTCTCCAGCAGGAATTTATTGTTTTGGGCTTGATGGTTTTCATGGCTTTTTCCATAACAACGATGGCTTCTTCAATGATGTAATCCTTCCAGACTTTCATGATGTTCTGTCTATCAGAGTTCTCTTCCATAGCACTGACAATCTTTTCCACAGTGTACCATGTGTAATGAGCCTTAAAGGTCCTTATGGCTACCTGATCTAGAGGCTGGATTAGAGACATTGTGTTTGAGAACAAGGAGACCAATTCAAAGCCTTTGGTGTTGAACTCATAGGGATCTGGATGGCCAGGGGCATCATTCAATAAAAGGCAGTCCCTTACTGGCAAGGTACTTCCTGACTTCAGGGACAGAGCATCTATGGAACCAATCCAGAATCAGGGTTCTTGTTGTCCAAGCCTTCTAGTTATACAACCGGAAGACTGGCAGCTGGTGTTTATGTTTTCTCTTCAAGGCTCAGGGGTTAGCTGTTTTATAGATAAGAGTAGTTCTTATCATAAAACCAACTGCATTTGCACAAAACAGTAGAATTAGCCTGTCCCTTCCTGCTAAAAATCTTGGTGCTTGCTTCTCTTCCTTACTAACAAATGTCCTTTCTGGCATTCTTTTCCAGAATAGGGCACTTTAATCTGCATTAAAACCTGTTCAGGCAGATATCTTTTCTCCACGATGATTGTCTTAATGACATCTAGAAACTTGTCTGCTGCCTCTTGATCAGCAGAAGCTGCTTCTCCTGTTATCTTGACTTTTTTTTTTTTTTTGAGATGCAGTCTTGCTCTGTCGCCCAAGCTGGAGTGCAGTGGCGTGATGTCAGCTCACTGCAACCACCTCCCGGGTTCAAGCAATTCTCCTGTCTCAGCCTCCTGAGTAGCTGGGATTACAGGCATACACCACCAGGCCCAGCTAATTTTTGTATCTGTAGTAGAGATGGGGTTTCACCATGCTGGCCAGGCTGGTCTCAAACTCCTGGCCTCAAGTGATCCGCCTGCCTCAGCCTCCCAAAATGCTGGGATTACAGGCATGAGCCACCGTGCCTGGCCTATCTTGGCAATTTTTTTTTTTTTTTTTTTATGAGACGGAGTCTCGCTCTGTCACCCAGGCTGGAATGCAGTGACGAGATCTTGGCTCACTGCAACCTCCACCTCCCAAGTTCAACTTCAGCCTCCTGACTAACTGGGATTACAGGCATGCACCATCACGCGTAGCTGATTTTTGTATTTTTAGTAAAGACAGGGTTTCGCCATGTTGGCCAGGCTGGTCTGAAACTCCTGACCTCAAGTGATCCACCCGCCTCAGCCTCCCAAAGTGCTGGGATTATAGGTGTGAGCCACTGCACCTGGCCAAAAGCTGCATTTTCAATACAACATAAAAAGGTATTTTGCAAAATGTTCAAGGTTTTCATACCTACTGGCACAGCTGCAGCAACAACTTCATTAATTTAATTTCCTTTTCTTTTTCATAATAGTCCTTACACTGGATTCATTTATCTTGAAATGGTGGGCAACCAAATGTCGGGCGTGGTGGCTCACACCTGTAATCCCAGCACTTTGGGAGGCCAAGGCAGGCAGATCATGAGGTCAGGAGATCGAGACCATCCTGGCTAACACGGTGAAACACCATCTCTACTAAAAACACAAAAAATTAGCCAGGCGCGGTGGTGGGCACCTGTTGTCCCAGCTACTTGGGAGGCTGAAGCAGGAGAATGGCATGAACCCGGGAGGCGGAGCTTTCAGTGAGCCGAGATTGCGCCACTGCACTCCAGCCTGGGCGACAGAGCGAGTCTCTGTCTCAAAAAAGAAAAAGAAAAAGAAATGGTGGGCAACCACGGGTGCAAATCTCGATCTATGGTACATATCAAGCAATTCACCTTTTTTCTTCTAATGTCATGATTTTTATCTGCTTCTTAGGAGCACTTCCAGCATCACTAGTGGCACTTCATCCCATGGCGTTATTCAAGGTTTGTCCCACCATAGGTCCCACGGTGTTATTCAAGGTTGATGGTATTGCACTGAACACAATGAAAAACACATGAAAATTGCAAGAGATCACTTTTTATTGTGATATGCAATTTACTGGAGAGACAAACTACTCATGCAGAGATGATTAGTGTCCCATGCAGTTCTAAGCAGATGCCCACAACACCTGGGCTCACAACAATAGCAACAGGAGGTGGCTACAAAATTGTTACAGTAGTACAGTATATACTACAGTTAATTTTATGCAGTTATGATTTAACATTGCATCTCTACTGTTCTTTATATTTCTTTTGGACTGCAAATGTTGCTATATATGGTATATGTTTGTGTGTACATGTGAGATGCCACACTTTTAAATGACCAGATCTTGAGAGCACTCACTCGCTATTGTGAGAACAGTACCAAGGGGATGGTACTAAACTATTCATGAGAAATTTAACTCGATAATCTAGTCCCCTGCCACAGGGCCCCATCTCCAACATTGGGGATAACAATTGAATGTGAGATTTGGTTGGGGACACAAATACAAACCATATCACCAGGCTCAGGAGCAAATCATAAGAGAAGCTAAAATTCAGAGAAGGTTGAATTCCTCAGTTCCAGTGAGTCTCCTACACCAAAACCAGGGTCCCAGTAAAGAGTGGGACCCCAAGACTTGGAAGAGAGATTACTGAGTAGATGCATTTGGGAACCTTGAACCCCAAGATCCTCCAGAAACTTCTGGACATGCAGAAGTGCTGCAATCCTCCTTTTAGAGGACAGCAGTCCCCCACCGCACCCTGCCCCAATTGAAGATCATGAAAGGAACTCAAATGAGGCATTGTCTGGGACAATGCCTACCCATCTCAGGATCTGCCCCCCTCCCTTCCCAGCAATTAGAACAATAACTATGGTCAAATTTCAACATGGGATAACGGGAGAAGTGCTTGATCTGCTGAGGGAGGAGAGGAATTATACACAAAGAGAGAGTCATTATATACACAAAAGGAGCTGCAGAACTTGGCTTACGTTTACCAGCAAAAACTGGAAGAGTATATCTGAGGATGCTGGATCTACAGGACAGATTACAAAACTGAATAGAGAAAAGTGTGTTAATATGGAGGTACTCTCCTGTGACACAGGATTCAGCACACTGGCAAGTACCCCAGAGGCCAGTTTTGAAATGGTTTTAGGAAGGTAGAATAAAGCAGTGGTCCACACTAAATGAAGCAGCAATACTAGAACTTAGTGGTAGACTATAGAGGAATAGATCAAAAAGCTTAGAGAAGTGAACATGTTAGGATGGATTTATTACATGAGAGAAGAAGACCGACCAGTTGACTATGTTCATTGGAGGGGCCCAGAGTATAGTTCACTTACCAAAACAATAAGGAATGTGATAGTGAAGGGACACCAGCATTATTGAAAAGCTTCAGCTGGGCGTGGTGGCTCACGCCTGTAATCCCAGCACTTTGGAAGGCCAAGGAGGGCAGATTATTTGAAGTCAGGAGTTCGAGACCAGCCTGGCCAACATGGTGAAACCCTGTCTCTACAACAAATACAAAAATTAGCCGGGCATGGTGGCACATGCCTATAGTCCCAGCTACTTGTGAGGCTGAGGCACGAGAATCACTTGAATCTGGGAGGCAGAGGTTGCAGGGAGCTGAGATTGCACCACTGCACTCCAGCCTGGCCAACAGTGAGACGCCGTCATAAATAAATAAATAAATAATAAATAAATAAATAAAAGCTTCATGGTCAGCTGGGCATGGTGACTCATGCTTTAATCCCAGCATTTTGAGAGGCCAAGATGGGTGGATCCTTTGAGCCCAGGAGTTCAAGACCAGCCTGGGAAACATAGGGAGATCCCATCTCTACAAAAAGAAGAAAAAAAGAAAAAAAAAAAGAAAAGCTCCATAGTAGTAGCTGTCCTCTGTAAACCAGGGCTGATGATAGGAGATGCTCATACAGAACTGGGCTCCCTAGTGCTAATAGAGGTGATAGGATTCTGAAATAGGGGAAACTAGGTGACAACACTTAACCGTCAAAAGTGAATTGGTTATAAGTATAGGCAGCAAGGTTGGAATGACACCAAGGGATGCCTCCTGACTCACAGGGATTTAATGAGATGGCCCATAGAACATTGTGTTCCTAGGGGCAATTCAGAAAAACAGCCAGCAAGGGTATTACTATATATAAATATATAGATAAGCAGAAGTCTGAAGTCAGTTGCCCCAATGGAAAGTCACAGCTCCTTTTCTAACTTCCAGACCTAAGCTAGTTCTCAGACCCCAAGCCCATAAAATGAAAAAGAGGTCAGGTTCCCATGAGAAAGGGCCCTATAACAACATGGTAAGTATATTTAGTAGCATTCTCCAGGCCTTCTCCAAAAGTGTCTATGACCATTTACTCAGATAGCTGGGGAAAGGGGAATACAGAGACTCTCTCAAGTCTACTGGACCCAGGAAATAAATAGACACTGATACCCAGGAGCCAAAGTGTTACTGTGGCCCACTTGTTAGGGAGAGGCTTATGGGGGTCAGGAAATAATTGGGATATTGGCCCAGGTTTGTCTCACAATGAGTCCAACAGTCATCTCCATGACTCCCAAATGAATCATCGGAATGAATACATTAGCAGTTAGCAGAATCCTTACCTCAGTTCTTTGCTCTATAGAGTGAGAGCTACTGTAATAGGAAAAGGCCTATGAAAGCCCCTGAAAGTCACCACCACCCCCAAAGAAAAACCTTTCAATGGCCAAAACAGTAAATAAAAACCAATATTACATCTGGGGGAAGGGAGAAATAGCAAAGATTAGTGTCACCCTCAAAATATTAAATAATGCAGGAGGCATGGTCCTCGTCATATCTTTCTTTAATTAATCAGTCTGGGGGCCGGGCACGGTGGCTCACACCTGTAATCCCAGCATTTTGGGAGCCCAAGGTGGGCCAATCACTTGAGGCCAGGAGTTTGAAACCAGTCTGGCCAACATAATGAAATCCTGCCTCTACTAAAAATACAAAAATTAGCCAGGCATGGTGGTGCATGCCTGTAGTTCCAGCTAGTCAGGAGGCTGAGGCAGGAGAATCACTTGAACTCGGGAGGTGGAGGTTGCAGTGAGCCAAGATCACACCGCTGCACTCCAGCCTGGGCAACAGAGCAAGACTCTGTCTCAAAAATATATATATATATATATCAGTCTGCCACCTGCCCAGTAAACATAATAGTCCCAATTGTATCTACTGAACTTGATGTAGTATCTTAACTAAAGCAAATTAACACACCTCTGGTAGATGGTATATGGCTATTGATTTGGACCAATACATTTCTTTCATACGTGTCAGGAAGGAAAATCAGAAACTGGTTCTATTCACATGAACAGACAGAAGTATATATTCCCAGTCTTACCCCAAGGCTGTTATTTTTCCTGCTCTCTCTTATAACTTAACGGGACCTGAAGCAACTAAATACTTTATAGAACATCATATCAGTCCACTCTATTGATGGTATCATGTTAACCGGACCTGATGAGCAAGAAGCAGAAGTACCCTGGGTGTCCTAATAAGATGTACATTCTAGAAAGTAAAAGATAAACACTGCAAAGATTCAGGGATGAGCTACATGAGTGAAGTTTTTAGGGATCCAGTGGTCTAGGGTCTAGGGAATGCTGGGACATTCACTCCAAAGTGATGGACAAATTATTGCACCTTTAACCTCCCACCTTTAAGAAAGAGTCCAAAGGTGGGACTCTGGGTAGGGAAGCAATATGTTCTACACTTAGAAGTACTGTAATAACCCATTTATTGAGTGACATAGAAGGCTACTAGTTGTGAGTGGAGCCCTGGACAAGAAAGGCCTCTGTAGCAAGTCCAAGCTGCAGTAAATGCAATCGCACCACTTGGGTTATACGCTCCAAAAGATTCCTTGATATGAGACGTATCTGTGGTAGAAGAAAAATGTGGACTCCCTAAGAAGCCCAAATAGGAACCGTGCGGTGCAGACCCTTAAGGTTCTGGAGCAAGGCCATGCCATCTAGAAGCAGAAAGCTATATACCATTTGAAAGGAGCTCCTGGTATGCTCCTGGGCCCTGGTAGAGATTGAGCACTTGCTCTTCAGACTTTTTTTTTTTTTTGAACCTGAGTCTCACTCTGTCACCCAGGCTGAAGTGCAATGGTGCGATCTCAGCTCACTGCAACCTCCGCCTCCCGGGTTCCAGTGATTCTCCTGCTTCAGCCTCCCCAGTAGCTGGGATTACAGGCATGGGCCACCACACCCAGCTAATTTTTGTATTTTTAGTAGAGACGGGGTTTTGCCATGTTGGCCAGGCTGTTCTCGAACTCCTGACCTCAGGTGATACACCCACCTCAGCCTCCCAAAGTGCTGGGGTTGCAGGCGTGAGCCACCGCACCTGGCCCAGATTCTTTTTTTTTTTTTTTGAGTACTTGCCCTTTGGATATCAAGTAACCGTGTTCCCAGTATTGCTTATCATGAGCTTGGGTCTGTCAGACCCACCCCATCATAAGGTTGGGCAGGCCCCAGCAGCAATTTATTGTAAGATAAAGTGGTACATCCAGCAGGATTGGGTGCTAGCAGGCCAAAAGACCCAAGTAAGCTACAGAAACAGGTGGTCCAGACACCTATGTCATCCACAACTGATGCACTGGTGCTTCTTCCTTAACTGACACCAATGGGCACATGGAAGGGGAAGTATTCCTTATGATCAGCTGGCATAGAAGGAAAAATCTCAAATTTAGCTCATTGATAGATCGGCTCAGTATTTGTGTACCAGCTGAAAATATGTAGCTACTGCCCTACAACCCCACTCAAGGGTGACTCTGAAAGACAGTCAGCAGAGCTTTTGGTGGTACACTTGGTCATCCACTTTGTGTGGAAGAAGTGGCCCAAACTTATAATATATATATATTGATTCATGGGAAACAGTGAATGGCTTGGCTGGTTGGTCAGGGGATTGGAAGGGAAAGATGGAAAGATTGGGATCAAGGAGGTCTGGGGAAAACGCATATGGGTGGAACTATGGGAATGGGTACAAAGTGTGAAGGGTTTTGTCTCTTCATTTTAACATTAATCAGAATGCATTTGCTGCAGAAGAAGCACTAAATGACCAAGAGGACAGGATGATCTGGCCAGTAGATGTCAGCCAGTCTGTCCTCTGCCATCCCAGTGCTTGCACAATAGAGTAGCCACAGTGGCAAAGACGGAAGTTATGCATGCCCAACAACATTGGCTTCCTCTCACCAAGACTAATGTAGAGATGGCTGTGGCTGAATGTCTAATTTTCTAGCAACAAAAACCACACCAAGTCCCCAATATGGCACCATCCCTTGAGGATATCAACCAGTCATGTGGGGTCAAAATGATTACATTCAACCCCTTCCCTCTAAAAAGGTCAGTGGTTCATTATGACAGAGATTGACACATATGCTACATACAAATTTTGCCTTCACTGCCTGCAAGGACTCAGTCAGCACCACTACCTGAGATCATGATGTATCTGATCTACCAACATAGGATCTCTCCTAATGTCACCTCAGACCAAGAGATCCACTTTATGAAAACTGTGATGCAGCAGTGAACACACAACAATGAAATTCATTGGCCCTACAACATTGTGCACCATTCAGAGGCTGCTGGTGTAATAGAGTGATAGAAGGGCACTTTAGGGCTGGTTGCAGTGGCTCACACCTGTAATCAATCCCAGCACTTTGGGAGGCTGAGGCCGGCGGATCACGTGAGGTCAGGAGTTCGAGACCAGCCTGGCCAACATGGTGAAACCCTGTCTCCACTAAAAATATAAAAATTAGCCGGGCATGGTGGCGGGCGTCTGTAATCCCAGCTACTCAGGAAGTTGAGGCAGGAGAATCTCTTGAACCCGAGAGGCAGAGGTTGCAGTGAGCCAAGATTGTGCCATTAAACTCCAGCCTGGGCTACAAGAGCAAAACTCTGTCTCAAAAAAAAAAAGGCACTTTAAAGGCACAGATGAAGCACCAGCTTTGAAACAATCCCCGTGAGGATGGGGCACTATCCTTCAAGATGCAGTATATGCAGACAGTCCCTGACTTATGATGGCTCCACTTAGAATTTTTTGACTTTATAATGGTGCAAAAGTGATACACATTCAGTAGAAACTACACTTTGAATATTAAATTTTGATCTTTTCCTGGGGAAGTGATATGTAATATGATACTCTCTTGTGATGTTGGGCAGGGGCAGCAAGCTGCAGCTCCCACTCAGCCAGGCAATCACGAGGGTAAACAACCAATCCTCTACAGTGTACAATGTTGCCAGATGAGTTTGCACAACTGTAAGCTAATATAAGTGTTCTGAGCATGTTTAAGATAGGCTAGGCTAAGCGATAATGTTCACTAGGCTAGGTGTATTTAATGCATTTTTGACTAACAAAGTTGAGGAGCATCTGTACTCTAAACCAGGGATCAGCAAATTATGGACAACGTGCCAAATCCAGCCCACTGCCTGTTTTGATAAATATGACTTTATTGGAACATGGCCATGCTCATTTGTTTACATACTGTCTTTGGCTGCTTTCATGTTATAACATCAGAGTTGAGTAGTAGCAACAGAGACCATATGGACTGCAAAGTCTAAAATATTTACTGTCTGGCCCTTTATAGAAAAAGCTCACTGACTCTACCTCTAACTCAGAGATCATTATATAGTGCTCTGGCCCCAACAGGTAAAAATACATGGGTGTAAGAACCAAGACATGGAAGTAAGAGTGACCCTCTCACCATCACTCCTAATGAACTACTTGAGGATTTATGCTTCCTGTCTCTACAACCTTAGGATCTATGCATCTAGAAGATCCAGTTCCCAGATGGGGATCACTTCCACAAAGAGACGTAGCAAGAGTCCAACTACACCTAAAGCTACACGTATTGGCTGGTCACTTGGGCTCCTTCTGCCAATAGATCAACAGGTATGAAAAAGAGTTACCATACTGACAGTGGGAATTGGCCCTAGATTATCATGAGGACGTAAAGTTGCTGCTATATAATATGAGCAGGGAAGAGTATGTTTGGCATTCATGTGACCAATTGGGGCATCTCTTGCTACTGTAATGCCCAGTTTTAGCCATGAATGGGCAAGTGAAGCAACCACAGACTTGATAAGGGCATGAAAATGGGCTCAGACCCACGGCAATGAGGGTATAGGTCACCCCATCAGGAAAGCCACCTAAACCAGCAGAAGAACCAAACAAGTTAGGGAAATCTAGAATGGGTGATGAAAGAAGGAAAAAAGAATATCAGTTAAAGTCTCAGGACCAATCAGAGCAGTCAAGGCTGTGGTTTGTTTAAATCTCCTCTTGCAAGTTTCCCAAAGGAATTCCCACCAACTAGAATCCTGGAAAAACCATGCCCAAATAGAATGAATTTAATAGGAAGTAGCAAGTGGATCTGATTGGTCCAAGGAATGAACTATAGTAGACACTGTTGGTGCCTTTCATTGATCACCTTCATTAACTGATGCATCCATCCCCCAGCTACATTGAGTGCTGTGGCTAACAGTTTACACCTTTAAACATGTCCAAATAATTACCCTTTGCTAAGGGGAGCCACCTCTTCTGAAGACAACTGGGAAATCCAAACACCTCCCACCCCCACCCCTCACCACCACCGCCAATAATGACCAATGACTGACTGATAGGCCTAACTCCCTTGCCTCCTAATGGAAAAACTCCTCAAGTTCCTCATTGCTGCATGAAACAACTCCTGACATGTTACAGGCCATGACCACACACATTCCTCCCCTGTATCTTCCTACTCTCATTCTTTTACAGGTTTTTCCTAAAGAGCCCTCCCTCAATAAATCACATACACCTAAATGCCTGCCTCAGGCTCTGCTTCTGGGCCTTTCATGCAAAGGCAGAGCCATTTTCCTTAAGCCTACTGACCATAGCACATGCTCCCTGCAGGCAGGAATACCCCAAAGAAAGGGGATAAGTCACAGATGCCAAATTCTTAGTCCCAAATCACAATTTAGCATGTCACTCCTCCTCCCATGAGGAGCAGCGAAGGGCATAGAAAAGCCTGGAGTGTTACCTGAATATGTGTCCCTTCACCTGAAAACTGGGTAAATTAGGAATAAGTAATCCCCCTTGTCTTGGGTTGGCTCCCCAGAAGCAGGCTCTGAGATGAGGATTCAAGTACATGCAGTTAATTTAAGGAAGTGCTCCCAGGAGACCTCAATAAGGAAATGGAGGAAGCAGGACAGGAAAGCGGAAGTAGCTAAGCAAATGTGTAATTTCAGGCAACATCCTATGGAGGGTTGCTTCCACATGATCCCACAGGAGAATGCCAAGTGTAAATTATGTCACAGGGTTTGTCCCTACTCAAGACAGAGGAATTAAACTTTCATACTTTCCCTCAATAACCTTCATTTGGTAAAGACTATCCAGAACTTGCAAGTGGAAAGGGGTGGGGTTGCAAAAATATGAATGTAAATTCTCAGGCATTGTCAGTTCTCTGCACATACAAGCAAAGCAGCTCCTTAAAACAGGCTTCCAAGAGAGCCAGAGAGGCAAAGGTACAGGCCTTTAGAAGTAAATATACACAGCCGGGCGTGGGGGCTCATGCCTGTAATCCCAGTGCTTTGAGAGGCTGAGGCAGCCAGATCACCTGAGGTCAGGAGTTTGAGACCAGCCTGGCCAACACAGAGTGAAACCCTGTCTCTACTAAAAATACAATAATTAGGCAGGCGTGGTGGCGTGTGCCTGTAATCCCAGCTACTTGAGAGGCTGAGGCAGGAGAATCACTTAAATCCGGAAGGCAGAGGTTGCAGTGAGCCGAGATTGTGTCACGGCACTCCAGCCTGGGTGACAAAGCAAGACTTTGTCTAAAAAGAAAAGGAAGTAAATAAACACAAAAGCCAGGGAAGGAGTTCAAGAAATTGTTAAAGGAATCTGAGAGGATCTGGGCAGAACAACAGTAATCAGTACAACCTCCTAACATTTAACAGTAGTTTTTTTTTCTTTTCAACTGTCTTTATACATATTTTACATATCATATAATGCACCCATTTCAAGTGTACAATTCACTGATTTTTAGTAAATTTACCAGGTTGTGTAACTATCATCATAAATCCACTTTAGAATATTTTTATAACCCCAATAAGATCCCATTTATTGTTACTCCTTTTCTCCATCATGAGGACCAAGCAACTACTTTCTTGTCTCTATGGAATCATACCATTTGTAGAATTTTGTGACTGGCTTCTTTCACTTAATGTTTTCAAGGTCCATCTAGGTTGGAGCATGTATCAGCACTTCCTTGCTTGTTATGGCTGAATAATATTTCATTGTTTGAATATACCACATTTTGTTTATCCAGCCCTTAGTTGACGGACATTTGGGTTGTTTCCACTTTTTGGCTATCATGAATAATTCTGCTCTGAAAATTCTTGCACTAGTCTTTGTGTGTACAAGTGCTTTCATTCCCTTTGGGTATACACCTTGAAGAGGAATTACTGGGTCATATGGTAAATTTATATTTAACTTTTTAAGAAATTGCCAAACTGTTTTCCAAAGTGAGTATACCATGTACGTGCCCATCAGGAATTTATGAGGATTACCATTTCTCTGTATCTTTGTCAACAATTCTTTACTGTGTGCTTTTTTATTTCTGCAATTCTAGTGGGTATGCAATGATATCTCATTGTAGTTTTAATTTGCATTTCCATAACTAATGATATTGATCATATTTTCATGTTCAATGTTTTAAAAACAGCTTTCTTGAGGCATAATTTACATACCTTAAAATTCACTGGTGTAATTGCTCAAATCAACAATTTTTAGTAAATTTCCAGGGTTGTATGTACAACCATCACCACAATCTACCACAAAGTTTCCATCAACCAGAGGAGATCCCTAATGTTCATTTGCAGTTAATCTCCACTCCCTTAAGCCTAAGGAACAACTAATCTATTTTCTATCTATACACATTTGTCTGTTCTGGACATTTAATATAATACTGGCCAGGCGTGGTGGCTCATGTCTATAATCCCAGCACTTTGTGAGGCCGAGGAGGGTGGATCACTTGCAGTCAGGAGTTCAAGACCAGCCTGGCCAACATGGTTAAACCCCATCTCTACTAAAAATACAAAAATTAGCCAGGCACGGTGGTGCACACCTGTAGTCTCAGCTACTCGGGTGGCTAAAACACGAGAATCGCTTGAGCTCGGGAAGTGGAGGTTGCAGTGAGCTGAGATTGTGCCACTACACTCCAGCCTAGGTGACAAAGTGAGACTCTGAAAAAAAAACAAACAAAACAAAAACAAAATGTCAGTTTATAGCATTGCTCAAGTCTTCAGAATGTTTGTTCTATCCATTACTGAGAGCAATAATGAAGTCTTGAACTGTTTCATTTCTGTCTTCAATTCTATTTTTCTTCTTGTATTTTGGGGCCCTGTGGTGAGTATGTGTACATGTTTATAATTATCGTTATAATTCATGTCTCTAATGAATTGACCTTTAGTCATTATATAATGTTTTAATTTCTCTCTAGTTACATTTCCTTGTGTATTAGAGTCTACTTTATCTGATATTAATATAACCATACCAGTAGTCTTATGTTTACTGTTTGCATGGTACATCTTTTTTCTTGTTTTTAGTTGTTTGTTTGTTTTTTTGAGACAGAGTCTCACTCTGTCGCCCAGGCTGGAGTGCAAGAGCGTGATCTTGGCTCACTGCAAGTTCTGCCTCCTGGGTTCAAGTGATTCTCCTGCCTCAGCCTCCTGAGTAGCTGGTATTACAGGCACCTGCCACCACACCTGGCTAATTTTTGTATTTTTAGACAGGGTTTCACCATGCTGGTCAGGCTAGGCTCGAACTCCTGACCTCAAGTGATCTGCCTTCCTCAGCCTCCCAAAGTGCTGGGATTACAAGTATGAGCCAACATGCCCGGCCATCGTTTTTCATCCTCTTAATTTCAACCTACTTGTGTCTTTGAAATTAAAGTACATCTCATGTAGACAGCATATAGTTGGATCTTGGGATATTTTTCCCACTCTGACAATATCTTCCTTTGATTCAGTTGTTTAATCCATTCACATTTATTATTGGTATGATTGGATTTATGTTGGCCATTTTGATAATTGTTTCTATATGTCTCATCTTTTATGTTCATTTGTTCCTCTTTTACTTTCTTCTTTTGTATTAAACATATATTTTCTACTGTACCTTTTTAATTCCTTTGTTGAATGATTTCTCTATTTTGAGGGTTTGTTTTTTTAGTGGTTGCTCAATTCTTTTGTACTAACGTACATATTTACCATTTGTGGTACTCTTCAATTTTTTCTGTAGTTTCAAATTCTTTTTGGTGTCATTTACTTACTGTAATGTAGTTTCATCCCTATCTCCTTCTTTATGCTATTATCATCATATATATCACATCTTGGCTGGGCGCGGTGGCTCACCCATGTAATCCCAGTATTTTGGGAAGCCGAGGCAGGTGGATCACTTGAGGTCAGGAGTTTGAGACCAGCCTGACTAACATGATGAAACCCACCTCTACTAAAAATACAAAAATCAGCCGGGCGTGATGGTGCACACCTGTAATCCCAGCTACTCAGCTATTCAGGAGGCTGAGGCAGGAGGATTGCTTGAACTCGGGAGGCAGAGGTTGCAGTCAGCTGAGATTGTGCCACTGCACTCCAGCCTGGGCAACAGAGTGAGACTCTGTCTCAAAAAGTAAAAAATTAAAAAATTTTAAAAATCGCATATATCACATCTTTATATGTTAAAAGTCTAAGAATATGATTTTATAATTGCAGTTTTATGGAATCATTTTAAACATATTAAGAGAAGAAAAGATTAATTGTACACATACACATATAAGGAACTTCAAAAAGTTTGTGGGAAAAATGGAATTAAAAACAAAAATGTAAGGTCAGGCATGGAGGCTCATGCCTGTAATCCCAGCAGTGTGGGAGGCCGAGGCAGATGCATCACCTGAGGTCAGGAGTTCGAAACCAACCTGGCCAACATGGTGAAACTCCGTCTCTACTAAAAATGTAAAAATTAGCTGGGTGTGGTGGCGGGTACCTGTAATCCCAGCTACTTGGGAGGCTGAGGCAGGAGAATCGCTTGAACCCGGGAGGCGGAGGTTGCAGTGAGCCGAGATCATGCCATTGCACTCCAGCCTGGGCAGTAAGAGCAAAACTCCATCTCAAAAAAAAAAAAAAAAAGTAAATATAAACTTTATTTCTCAACATAAGCTCCATCAAGTTCAAGACACTTTGGTAAGGGATGATACCAGTCATTTAGTCCATCCCTAAAGAACTGAGGGTTCTGGGAATTTAAGCATGTCTATGTTGTCTTTTTTATATTACTAGCTGAAGAAAAATGGGTGCCCTTTACAGATTCTTAAGATTAGGAAACAAAAAGAAGTCAGAAGGAACCAAATCAGGACTATAAGGCAGATGCCTAATTATTTTTCGTCAAAATTCTCACGAAATTGCCCTTATTTGATGACAATGATGAGCAGGAACATTGTTATTGTAAAGAAGGACTCTCTGGTGAAGCTTTCCCAGGTGTTTTTCTGCTAAAACTTCGGCTAACATTCTCAAGACATTCTCATAATAAGCAAATTTTATTGTTCTTTGGCCTTCCAGAAAGTCAACAAGCAAAATGCCTTGAGCATCTGTAAACACTGTTGCCATGACCTTTGTTCTTGACTACTGTGCTTTTGCTTTGACTGAACCACTCCAACTGTTGGTAGCCATTGCTTTGTGCTTTGCCTTCAGGATTGTACTGGTAAGGCAACGTTTCATATCCTGTTACAAGTCTTCAAAGAAGTGCTTCAAAATCTTGATCCCGCTTATTTAAGATTTCCTTTGAAAGCTCTGTTCTTGTCTGAAGCTGATCTGGCTACAATGGTATTGGCACCCATCAAGTAGAAAATTTGCTCAACTTTAGTTTTTCAGTCAGAATTGGGTGAGCGGAACCAACTGAAGGGTCTATGATGTTGGCTATTGGTTCTGTCGCTGATCATTGGTGATTATTAGGTACTCCTTCAATTAGGGCATGAGCAAGATGAACTCATGCCTTAATTGAAAGAGCACCAACTGAAGGAGCAACTTTTCTCCTCACAAACTGATGTGGATGGTCTGCCACTGTGGGCTTCATCTTCAACATTGTCTCATCCCTTCTTAAAATGAGTTATCCGTGCTGGGCACAGTGGCTGACGCCTGCAATCCCAACACTTTGGCAGGCCGAGGCGGGCAGATCACTTGCAGAAGTTCAAGACCAGCCTGGGCATTATGGTGAAACTCTATCTCTACAAAAAATACAAAAATTAGCTGGGCATAGTGGTGCACACCTGTAGTCCCAGCTAATAGGGAGGCTGAGGTAGGAGGATCACTTGAGCCTGGGAGGTTGAGGCTTCAGTGAGCCATGAACATGCCACTGTACTCCAGTCTAGGTGACAGAGCAAGACCCTGTCTCAAAAAATAAAAAGGAAATGAGTTATCCATTTGTAAACTGCTGATTTCTTTGGAGCTTTGTCCCCACAAACTTTTCATAATGCATCAATGATTTCACCATTCTTCCACCCAAGCTTCACCATAATGTTTGTTCTAACTTCAAATTTGGCAGAAGTCATGTTGCTCTGATAGAGGCTATTTCCAAACTGATGTCTTATCCTTTTCATACCTCAAACTAGAGGTTGTTAAGGTATGTTATAACAAGTTAGTGCAAGTTTATTTGGATGCTAAAATTTTTGGAATCCATGTATAGTTTTTTCATAATATTGCAATTCCATGAACTTTTAGAAAACTCCGTGTGTGTGTGTGTGTGTGGAGATACATACACCTTACACGGTTTATAATTGCCTACATAATTACTTTTACTTGTGCTTTTCATTTGTTTCTGTGGATTAGATTTAATCTCTAGTGTTCATTATTTTCTCCCTAAAGAACTTCTTTTGGCATTTCTTTTGGGTTTATTCTTCTAATTTCTTGTAAGGCAGTTATGCTAGCAATATATTTTATCATTCGTTTGGGAATTTATTTTGCCTTCAGTTTTGAAGAATACTTTTGCTGCATATAGATTCCTGCTTGAAAGATTTTTCTTTAAGCACTTGGAATATATCATCTTACTGCCTGCTGGCATCCATTGTTTCTGATGAGAGGCCAGGTGTTAATCTACATGTTTCTTACATGTGTAGATTCATGGAATCATCACCACAATCAAAATGTAGAATTGTTCCATCATGATAATGCTCCTTCATTCAGTCTCTATAGCCACATTCAGCCCCTCCATGCCCCACTCCTTGGCAACTATTGATCTGTTCCCCATCTCTATAATCTTGTTATTTTAAGAATGTTATTTAAATGAAATCATACATTATGCAACCTTTTGAGGTTGACTTTTTCACTCAGCATAATTCTCTGGAGATTTATCTAGGTATTTGCATGTATTGATAGTACATTCTTTTTTGCTGTGTAGTATTTCATGATATGGATATAGCACATTTTGTTTAACCATTCACCCATTGAAGTATGTTGGGGTTATTTGCAGTTTGGGCTAGTATAAAGAAAGCTGCTTTCAGCCAGACACAGAGGCTCATGCCTGTACTCCCAGCACTTTTGAAAGCCAAGGTGGGCAGATCGATTTGAGGTCAGGAGTGAGACCAGCCTGGCCAATATGGCAAAACCCTGTCTCTACAAAAAATACAAAAATTAGCCAGGGGTGGTGGCAGCAGAGGTTGCAGTGAGTCAAGATCACGCCACTGCACTCCAGCCTCCTGGGTGACAGAGCTACGCTCTGTCAAGGAAGGGAGGGAGGGAGGGAGGGAAGGAGGAAGGAAGGAAACAAGGAAGGAAGGAAGGAAGGAAGGAAGGAAGGAAGGAAGGAAGCTGCTTGAGGGAGGGAGGGAGGAAGGAAGGAAGGAAGGAAGGAAGCTGCTTTCAACATTCACATACAGGTTTATGAACCTAAGTTTTCATTTCTCTAGGATAAGTGCCCAAGAGTGCACTTGCCGTATCATACAGTAAGTGAGGTATAATTTTTTAAGAAACTACAAAAATATTCTCCAGAGTGGCTATACCACTTTTACATTGTTACCAGCAATGTATGAGTGATCCAGCTTGGTAAGTCCTTACCAGCATATGGTGTTGATATGGTTTGGCTCTGTGTCTCACCCAAATCTCATCTCGAATTGTAATCTACATAATCCCCACGTGTTGAGGGAGGGACCTGGTGGGAGGTGATTGGATCATGGGGGTATTTCCCCCATGCTGTTCTCACAATAGTGAGTGAGTTCTCATGAGATCTGATGGTTTTATAAGTGTTTGACAGTTCCTTCTCACATACTGTCTCACCTGCCACCACGTAAAATGTGCCTGCTTCCCCTTACACCATGATTGTAAGTTTCCTGCGGACTCCGGAGCCATGCAGAACTGTGAGTCAACTAAACCCCTTTCCTTTATAAATTACCCAGTCTCAGACAGTATCTTTATAGCAGTGTGAGAATGGAATAATACAGGTTGTCACTATTTTTTTTAATGTTAGCCAACCTGATAGTTATATAGCGATATCTCACTACAGTTTTAATTTTCATTTCTGTAATGGCTAATGATGTTGGCCATCTTATTATGTGCTTACTTACCATCCGTTGTCCTTTTCAGTGAATGTCTGTTCATATCTTTAGCTCAATTTCTTTTCTTTTTTTTTTTTTTTTGAGACCAAGTCTCGCTCTGTCACCCAGGCTGGAATGCAGTGGCAAGATCTCGGCTCACTGCAACCTCCACCTCCCAGGTTCAAGCGATTCTCCTGCCTCAGCCTCCCGAGTAGCTGAGATTACGGGTACCTGCCACCACGTCCGGCTGATTTTTGTATTTTTAATAGAGACAGGGTTTCACCATGTTGGCCAGACTGGTCTCGAACTCCTGACCTCAGGTGATTCACCCACCTCGGCCTCCCAAAGTACTGGGATTACAGGTGTGAGCCACCACACCCGGCCCTCTTTAGCTCAATTTCTAATTGAAATGCTTGTTTTTTTAACTGTTGAATTTTGAGAGCTCTTTATATATTATAGATCCAGGGCTTTTGTCAGATATGTGGTTTGCAAATATTTTCTCAGTCTTGGCCTAGTCTTTTTATTCTCTTAACAAGGTCTTTTGCAGATCAAAATTTTTTTATTTTGATGAAGTTCAATTTATCCATTTTGTTTCCTTTGTGGATTGCACTTTGGTGTCAAATCCAAAAACTCTTCACCTGTCTTTAGGTCCAACAGATTTTGTCATACTTTTTTTCCCAAAAGTTTTATAATTTTACACTTAATATTTAAATATGAGATCCATTTGGAATTAATTTTGTATAAGTCATGAGGTTTAGGTTAAGATTAGCTTTTTTTATTTTTAACCTAGATGTCCAATTGTTCTAGCACTGTTTGTTAAAAATGCTATTCTTCCTCCCTTGAGTTACTTTTATGCCATTGTCAAAAATCTTTTAGGCAGCTAGGCGTGGTGGCTCATGTCTGTAATCCCAGCACTTTGGGAGGCTGAGGCAGGCGGATCCCTTGAGGTCAGGAGTCCAAGACCAGCCTGGCCCACATGGCAAAACCCCATCTCTACTAAAAAACAAGCCAGGTGTGGTGGTGCATGCCTGTAGTCCCAGCTACTCGGGAGGCTGAGGCAGAAGAATCACTTGAACCCGGGAGGCGGAGGTTGCAGTGAGCCAAGATCATGCCATTGCGCTCCATCCTAGGCAACAAGAGCGAAACTCTGCCTCAAAAACAAAAAACAACAAATGTCTTAGGCATATTTGTGTGGGTCTATTTCTGGGTTGTCTATTCTGTCCTGTTAATCTTTATGGCTGGCTACCCCTCAACCAATACCACATTGTCCAGATTATAGGATTTATGTATTAGCCTTTAACATCAAGTAGAGTAATTTCTCCTACTTTATTCTTTCTCAAGTTTGTTTTAAGTATTTTAGAGACTGTTCCTTTTCATGAAAAATTTTGAATAATCTTGTATATGCTTTCTGCATCAATCAATATAATATTATTTTCTTTTTGGTGGGGGGCTGATGGGAGGGCTTGGGGAACAGGGTCTCACTGTCGCCCAGGTTGGAGTGCAGTGGCGCAATCTTGGCTCACTGCAACCTCCGCCTCCTAGGCTCAAGCGATCCTCCCATGTCAGCCTCCCAAGTAGCTGGGACTATAGGTGTGTGCCACCATGCCCGGCTAATTTTTGTGTTTTTGGTAGAGACAGGGTTTCACCATGTTGGCCAGGCTGGTCTCAAACTCCTGACCTCAAATGATCTGCCCACCTCGGCCTCCCAAAGTGCTGGGATTACAGGTGTAAGCCATCGCATCCAGCCTATTTTCTTCCTTAGTCTATTGATATGGTGGACTACATTAATTGATCTTTGAATATTGAGCCAGTCTTGCATTACTGGTTTAAATCTCTTAACCTGTTTTAGTCAAGGTTCCCCAGAAAGAACCAATGGAATATACATAGAAAGAGATATATGAGAAGGGATTTATTAGGGGAATTGGCTCACTCAATTATGGAAGCTGAGAAGTCCTACAATAGGCCATCTGTAAGTCTGAGAACCAGGAAAGCCAGTGGCATGGCTCAGTTCCAGTTCAAAGACCTCCAACCCAGGGAAGCTGATGGTGTAATGCTCAGCCTGAGGCTCAAGGCCCCAGAGCCCAGGTGGCTGCTGGTGTGAGTCCCAAAGGCCAGAGAAACAACTGGATTTCTTAAATCTAAGGGCAGGAGAAGAAGGGTGACCTGGCTCCAGAAGAAAGAGCAAGAATTTTTTTCTTCCCCCAACCTTGTGTTACACCCAGGCTCACAGCTGATTGAACGGTGCTCACCAACATGAGGGCAAATCTTGTCCATTCAGTTCACCAACTCAAATGCCAATCTCCTCTGGAAACACCGTCACAGACACACCTGGAGCAGCCAAATCATTCTAATCAAATGCCAAACTACCTGAGTTTCCCTTTAAGCAGAAGAGGGATGGGCTCGGTGCTTAATGAAACATTAAGAATAATGAATTATTTACCAGTTTTCCAGAATTCCTTAACCAGTCGACACCCAAAATCAATCATCACAGTTGTGGTATATAATTTGTGTGTTGCTGCATTTGAGATACACACACACACACACACAAACACATATATATATATTTGAGACAGTCTGGCTTTGTCACCCAGGCTGGAGTACAGTGGCATGATCACGGCTCACTGTAACCTCCACCTCCCAGGTTTAAGCGAATTCTCCTGCCTCAGCCTACTAAGTAGCTGGGATTACAGGCGTGCACCACCACTCCCAGCTAACTTTTGTATTTTTAGTAGAGACAGAGTTTCCCCATGTTGGCCAGGCTGGTCTCGAACTCCCAGCCTCAAGCAATTTGGCTGCCTTGGCCTCCCAAAGTGCTGGGGTTACAGGTGTGAGCCACTGGGCCCAGCCTGATTTGCTAATATTTTATTAAGGATTTTTGTTTCCACATTTATTATGAGAGACATTAGTTTATAGTTTTTGCTTTTGTGCTCTCTTCAGTTTTGGGATCACAGTAATAGTGGCCTCATAAAATGAGCTAGGAAGTGTTCCATCCTCTTCTATTTCTGGGGGGAGATTGTGTAATACTGATGTTAATTCTTTAAATGTTTGGGATGATTCTTCAGTGAACAAAGTGATATAAGCACGGAGATTTCTTTTTTAGAAGCCTTTTAGTTATGAATTCATTTTCTTTAATGGTTAAAGGACTATTCTGATGATTTGGGGGTTTTTTGTTGTTGTTGTTGCTTTTTTTTTGAGATGGAGTTTCACTCTTGTTGCCCAGGCTGGAGTGCAATGGCGCCATCTCGGCTCACTGCAACCTCTGCCTCCCGGGTTCAAGCGATTCTCCTGCCTCAGCCTCCCGAGTAGCTGGGATTACAGGCATGCACCACCACGCCCGGCTAATTTTGTATTTTAGGTAGGTAGAGATGGGGTTTCTCCATGTTGGTCATGGATGGTCTCGAACTCCCGACCTCAGGTGATCTGCCCGCCTCAGCCTTCCAAAGTGCTGGGATTACAGGCACGAGCCACCGCGCCCAGCCGTTGTTGTTTTCAAACTACTGTGCTCAAGTGAACCTCCCCTCAGCCTCCCAAAGTGTTGGAATTACAGGCATGAGCCACTGCGCCTGGCTCAATTTGTTTTATCTTGATTTAGTTTGGGTATCTGCATGGTTTTGGAAAAACTGACCAGTTTCTTCTAAGTTGTCAAGTTTATGAGTGTCAAGTTGGTCCTAATATTTTCTTTTTCATTTTTTTAACAACTATAGACTCTGTAGTGATATCACTGTTTGAATCCTGATAGTGGTACTTACGTTGTCTCTCTTTTTATCTTTGTCAGTCTTGCTACAGGTTTATCAATTTTATTTTCATTTTTTAAGAATAACTAGTTTTAGGGAGGCAGAGGTTGTAGTGAGCCGAGATCGCACCACTGCACTCCAGCTTGATGACAGAGCAAGACTCTGTCTCAAAAAAAAAAAAAAAAAAAAAAAAAAAAAAAAGAATAACCAGGTTTTTTGCAACATAGATTTTAACATTTTTAATTTTGTTATTGATACATAATAGTTGTACTTATTTATTGGATACATGTGATATTTTGATATGTGTACAATGTATGATAATCATATCAGGGTAATTGAGGTATCCATCAGCTCAAGCCTTTGAACATTCCAAATTCCACTCTTTCAGTTATTTCAAAATATACAATAAATTAGAGATAACTATAGTTGCCCTATCATGCTAGTGAACATTAGATCTTATTCCTTGTATCTAACTGTATTTCTACCATTAACCATCACTTTTTATCCTCTCTTCCCACTACTCTTCCCAGCCTCTGGTAACCATCATTCTACTCTCTATCTTCATGAGTTCAATGTTTTTTTTTTAGCTCTCAAATATGAGTAATAACATGCAATATTTGTCTTTCTGTACCTGGCTTATCTTGCTTAACATAATATCTTCCAGCTCCATCCATGCTGTTACAAATGACAAGATTTTCTTCTTTATTTATGGATGAATTTCATTGTGTATATGTACCACATTTTAGAAGAACAAATTTTTGTTTTATTGGTTTCTCTATTGTTTTCCTGTTTTCAAGTGATCTTTTTTTTTTTTTTTGAGATGGAGTCTCACTCTGTGGCCCAGGCTGGAATGCAGTGGCTCAATCTCGGCTCACTGCAATCTCCGGCTCCCGGGTTCGAGCTATTCTCCTGCCTCGGCCTCCCAAATAGCTGGGATTACAGGCATGTGCCACCACGCCCAGCTAATTTTTGTATTTTTAGTAGAGACAGTGTTTCACCATGTAGGCCAGGCTAGTCTCAAACTCCCGACCTCAAGTGATCCTCCCACCTCGGCCTCCCAAAGTGCTGGGATTACAGGCATGAGCCACCACGCTCGGCCTCAGTGATTTCTCTTCTTGCACTGTTTCTTCTGCTTTCTTTGGTTTATTTTTTAACTTTTTTTTTAGTAGAGATAGGGTCCCACTAGTTGTCTGGGCTGGTCTTGAACTCCTGGGATCAAGCAATCCTCCTGCCTCAGCCTCCCCAAGTGCTGGGATTACAGGCATAAGCCATTGCGTCCAGTCCTTTGGTTTCATTTGCTTTTCTTTTTCTAGTTGCTTGAATCAGGAACTTAGATTATTAATTTAGATTATTAATTTGAGATCTTTCCTTTTTTCTAATATAAGCATCATTTAGTATTATAAATTTCTCTTTCATGAAATTGTAAAATGGTATAGCCACTTTGGAAAATAGTTTTGTATTTCCTCAAAATGGTAAACAATGAGTTAGTTACCTTAGGACCCAGCAATTCTACTCTGAGGTATATACCCCGAAGAACTGAAAACACAGGGGTTCTTACCAAAACCTGCTCAGGAATGTTCACAGCAGCATTATTCATCATAGACAAAAAGTGTAACTCCCAAATATCTATCAACTGATGAATGGACAAAGCAAATGTGATACATTCATACAATGTAATATTATTTGACCAAGAGATGAAGTACTGATGTGTACCTCAATGTGCATGAACTTCAAAAACATTCTAAGAAGCCAGTCATGAAAGACTAAATATTGTATGATTCAATTTATATGCAAGTACAGAATAGGAAAATTCATAGAAACAGAACGTAGTTATTTCCGGGCCCAGGGACAAAAAGGAATAGCAAGTGACTAAGAGTAAGTATGGGGTTTCTTTTTAGGGTGATAGAAATTTTATTTTTTTTTTTTGAAACAAGGTCTCACTCTGTCAAGCAGACTGACGTACAGTGGGTGTGATCATAGCTCACTGCAGCCTTAACCTCCTGGGCTCGAGCAATCCTCTTGCCTCAGCCTCCCAAGTAGCATGGACTACAGGCACGTGCTACCTACCATGCCTGGCTAAAATATTCTTAAGTTAGATAGTGGTGACGGTTGCACAACTCTGTAAATATGCTTTAAAAAGAAAAAAAAACCCAAAACATTGAATTGCACACTATAAAACGTAAATTAAGCCGGGTGCAGTGGTTCATGCCTATAATCCCACCACTTTGGGATGCCAAGGCAAGAGGATCACATAAGCCCAGGAGCTCCAGACTGGCCTGAGCAGCGAGACCCCATCTCTACAAAAATAAAATTAGCCAGGCGTGGTGGTATGTATTTCTATTACTGATTTCCAGTTTGGTTCCATTACAGTCAGAGGACATATTGTGTGTGGTAGGCAGAATAATGGCCACCCAAAGATGTCTACATCTTAATCTTTGGAACCTGTATATATCTTATGATACATGGCAAAGAGGAATTAAGATTGCAGATGAAATTAAAGATGCTAATCAGTTTACTAAAAATAGGAGATTGCCCTGGTTTATCCACATGGGCCCAATCTAATCATAAAAGTGGAAGAGGTGCCAGGCAAGGTGGCTCACGCCTGTAATCCCAGCACTTTGGGAGGCCAAGGTGGGTGGATTACCTGAGGTCAGGAGTTCGAGACCAGCCTGAGCAACATGGCGAAACCCCATCTCTACTAAAAATACAAAATTAGCAGGGCGTGGTGGCGCATGCCTGTAATCAGAGCTACTTGGGAGGCTGAGACAGGAGAATCGCTTGAACCCGGGAGGTGGAAGTTGCAATGAGCCAAGATCACGCCACTGCACCCCAGCCTGGGCAACAGGAGCGAAACTGGGTCTAAAAAAAAAAAAAGTGGAAGAGGGAAGCAAAAAAAAGAGTTGCAGCATGACAAGGATTTAATCTGCCATTGCTGACTTTGAAGATGAAGGAAGCGAGACACAAGCCAAGGAATCTGTTAGCCTCTAAAAGCTGGGAACATCTTCAGTTTATAGTCTACAAGTAAATATGGACTTCATTCCTACAACCACAAGGAATTGAAGTATGTCAACAACTGAGTAAGGAAATGGATTCTCCCTTAGAACCTATAGAAAGGAATGCAGCCGGCCAGGCACAGTAGCTCATGCCTGTAATCCCAGAACTTTGGAGACTGAGGCAGGTGGATCACCTGAGGTTAGGAGTTCGAGACCAGCCTGACCAACATGGAGAAACCCCATCTCTACTAAAAATACAAAATTAGCTGGGCATGGTGGGGCATGCCCATAATCCCAGCTACTCCGGAGGCTGAGGCAGGAGAATCGCTTGAACCCGGGAGGCAGAGGTTGTGGTGAGCCGAGATCGCACCATTGCAGTCCAGTCTGGGCAAGAAGAGCAAAACTCCATCTCAAAAAAAAAAAGAAAGGAATGCAGCTCTTCTGGTGCCTTGATTTTAACCTGAGACCCATGTCAGACACCTGACTTACAGAAATGTAAGATATTTGTAATTATCTAAACCACTAAATATGTGGTAATTTGTTATAGCAGCAACAGAAAATGAATATGCTCTGAGTTGAATTTTTCTTTAATTGAGTTTTATGACCCAGGATATGGTTCTATCTTGGTGAATAGTTTATGGACACTTGAAAGTAACGTGTATTCTGTTGTTGGGTAAAGTGTTCTATAAATGTCAATTGGATCCTCTTAGTTGATGACATTCTTCAGTTCTTCTATATCTTTGCTGATTATATTTACAGTAGTCTGTCAATACTGGGTGTGGATACTGAAATCCCATCTACAATTATGGATTTTTAAATTTCTTCTTAATTCTATCAGTTTTTATTTATGTAGCTTAAGCTTTGTTGTTTGGTGCATACAAAAGTAAGGATCATTATGTCTTCTTTAGATTGATCCTTTCATCAATAAATAATGCCCCTCTTTATCCCTAGTAATTTTCTTTGCTTTGAAGTCTACTGCATCTGATATTAATACACTCCTGATTATTTCATTAGTATATTAATACTTCTATGACACATCTTTTTCTATCCTTTTACTTTCAACTTACCTATGTCAACCATGTTTTGAAGTCAGCTTACTGTACATAGCACATAGTTGGATTACATTCTGTATCTACTCTTCCAATTTGTATTACAATTAGTGTATTCAGATCATTAAAATTCATAATAATTATTGATGTGTTAGGGCTTATGTTTGCCATTTATTTTTTTTCTGTCCCTTCTGTTTCTCAGTTTCTCATTCCTGTTTTTCTTTACTTTCTTTCATGTTTTTTTTTTTTTTTTTTTGAGACAGAGTCTTGCTGTGTTGCCCAGACTGGAGTGCAATGGCGCCATCTCGGCTCACTGCAACCTCCACCTCCCAGGTTCAACTGAATCTCCTGCCTCAGCCTCCCGAGTAGCTGGGATTACAGGCATGAGCTACCATGCCCGGCTAATTTTTGTAGTTTTAGTACAGATGGGGTTTCACCATACTGGCCAGGCTGGTCTCGAACTCCTGACCTCCGGTGATTCGCCCGCCTCAGCCTCCCAAAGTGCTGGGATTACAAGCGTGAGCCACCGCGCCCGGCCTCATGTGAGTTTCTTAAACATTCTGTAGAATTATATCTTGAATTAGCTATAGTATTTTTGAACATATCACTTTGTATAGGCTTAGTGGTCACTCTATCACAATATAAATATATAACTAGTCACAGTCTAGTGATATCAACAATTTATACAATTTATATTTTGAATGAAGTGCAGAAACTTTGCTTCCATTTAGGTCTCTTTACCCTCCCCACTCCTAAAACATATTTATGTATTACATCTATTTAAAAATATAATTATATGCAAAGTGTATGTAGTGACAATGTACATTTCCTCTACAAACACTGAGTACCATATCAGATGATAAGACTTTGGTTCAACCACCACATATTTCTAAAACTGTTGAAGATAGTCTATTATTCTTATTCCTACTTTTACCTATTCCATTGTTCTTTTTTCTTTTTGAAGTTCCATGTCTTCTGTTATAATTTCCTTTGTTTGGAGAACTTCCATCAGCCATTCTTTGAGAGTAGGTCTGCTAGCATCAAATTCTCTGTTTTCTTTGTGTAAAAATGTCTTTATTTCTCCTTCATTCCTCAAGGATATCGTCACCAGAGATAGAATTTGTAATTGATAGTTATCTTCTTGAGATAACTTGAAAAATATTGTGCCACTGCCTTCTGACCTCCATTGTTTCAGGTGAAAAATTTGCTGCCATTCAAATTGGTGTTCCCCTATATACAACACATCATTTCTCTGTAGCCACTTTCAAGACTTTTCCTTTTAGTTTTCAAAAGTTTCATTAAGATGTGTCTTAGCAGGTCAGGCACGGTGGCTCATGCCTGTAATCCCAGCACTTTGGGAGGCCGAGGCGGGGGGATTACCTGAGGTCAGGAGTTCAAGACCAGCCTGGCCAGCACGGTGAATCCCCATCTCTACTAAAAATACAAAAATTAGCTGGGTGTGATGGTAGGTGCCTGTAATCCCAGCTACTCGGGAGGCTGAGGCAGGAGAATCACTTGAAACCGGGAGGCGGAGGTTGCAGTGAGGCGAGATTACGCCACTGCACTCCAGCCTGGGCGACAGAGTGAGACTCCTCTAAAAAAAAGAAAAAAAAAGTATCTTAGCATGTATTTCTTTGAGTTTATCCTCTTTGGCATTCATTCGCAACTTCTTGAATCTGTAAGTTTATACCTTTCACAAAATTTAGGAAAATTTCAGCCTTACTTCATCCAATATATTTTCAACCCCACATTTTCTCTCACTTCTTATTCTGTAACTCTTGCGATATGTGTTATTTACTTCTTTTGTTATTGTCCCACAGGTCTCTGGGGCTCTATTCAGTGGCGTGATCTCAGCTCACTGCATGCTCTGCCTCCCAGGTTCACGCCATTCTCCTGCCTCAGCCTCCCTAGTAGCTGGGACTACAGGTGCCCACCACCACACCCGGCTAATTTTTTTGTATTTTTCGTAGAGACGGGGTTTCACCATGTTAGCCAGGATGGTCTCGATCTCCTGACCTCATGATCCGCCCACCTCGGCCTCCCAAAGTGCTGGGATTACAGGTGGGAGCCACCACGCCCAGCCCCACCTTTTTTTTTCTGTGCACCTCTTCCCTTTCTTTCCTTTCTCTACCTTTCATTGGCCTCCCCTTCTCTAATTTTCCATCTGTTCTCTTCTCATCTTTTTTTTCTTTTTTTTCTTGAGATGGAGTCTCACTCTGTCACCCAGGCTGGAGTGCAGTGGCGTGATCTCGGCTCACTGCAACCTCTGCCTCCCAGGTTCAAGCCATTCTCCCACCTCAGCCTCCTGAGTAGCTGGGACTACAGGCACCTGCCACCACACCCAGCTAATTTTTATATTTTTGGTAGAGACGGGGTTTCACCATATTGGCCAGGCCAGTCTCAAACTCCTGACCTCGTGATTCGCCCACCTTGGCCTCCCAAAGTTCTGGGATTACAGGTGTGAGCCACCACACCCTGCCTAGAGTAGTCTTTACTCTAGGAGGTGGTTCTTTCCCCTAAGGTGTGGTTTTTCAATTGAATGCCTATGATGTTAAAAAGTTCTCTCCACTCTGGCTAGGTCAGAACCTCATATTTCTCAGCACTGTGCAACCTCTAGTATCTCCATTCTTTTTTTTTTTTTTTTTTTTTTTTTGAGACAGAGTCTTGCTCTGTCACCCAGGCTGGAGTGCAATAACGCAATGTTGGCTCACTGCAACCTCTACCTCCCAGGTTCAAACCATTCTCCTGCCTCAGCCTCTCAAGTAGCTTGTACTACAGGCATGTGCCACCATACCCAGCTAATTTCTGTATTTTCAGTAGAGATGGGGTTTCACCATGTTGGCCAGGCTGGTCTCAAACTCCTGACTTCAACTGATCCACCCACCTCGGCCTCCCAAAATGCTGGGATTACAGGCATGAGCCACTGCACCCGGCCTTCTCCATTCTTCTTTCAACCCCATAGCAGCTGCTCTTTTCTAGGCCTCACAGAATCTCATACTATGCATGTACAGCCCAGCCCTCAACAAAAGACCCACAGAGGGCAGAGGGAGAAGAGATTGGCAAGATGGCACCTGGCGAGAGATTCTCCAGCCACTGCTGACATCGAGCAGACAAGTGAGGTACTGTCCCCACTACCCTCCCTTCTTCCTCCCTCACCCCTGGAGACCTTCTCCTTCCCCTCCTCCCTCCACCCGGGGGAGCGGGGCAGGCATGGTTCCTGGGACATCATGTAGGACTCTAAGGAAGAGAGCCAGGACCAGCACTGAAAATCATCGTGCTAGGGAACAGCACCTCCCGGAAGACCTCCTTAGCTACAGATTTTGCTCAAAAAACTTTCAGGAACCAGTACAAACTATAGGACTGGATTTCTTTTGAGAAGGATAACATTGCCAGGAAACTTGAATGTTACTCTCTAGTTTGGGATACAGGAGGCCGGACAATAAGAAGCAAAATGTTGGACAGATCCATCTATGGAGCACAGGAAATCATCTTGGTATATGGTATTACAAGTTATCAAAGCTTTGAGAATTTTTAGAAGATTAGTGAAGAAAGTGAGTGAAGAGTCAGAAACTCAGCCGCTGGTTACCTTAGTGGGCAATAAAATTGATTTGGAGCATAATCAAACAGTAAAACCTGAAAAACACTTACGGTTTTGCCAGGAAAATGGTTTTAATAGCCACTTTGTTTCAGCCAAGGCAAGAGACTCTGTCTTCCTGTGTTTTCAAAAAGTTGTTGCTGAAATCCTTGGAATCAAATTAAACAAAGCAGAAATAGAACAGTCACAGAGGGTGGTAAAGGCAGATATTGTAAACTACAACCAGGAACCTATGGCAAGAGCTGTTAACCCTTCTAGAAGCTCTGTGTGTGCAGTTGGGTGAGCTCATTTTTCCATTGTGTTGATAGTTTTGGCTGCCCTTCACCTCTGGGTGTGTCTGAGAACTTCTAAGAACTTGTTTTATCAGTGACCATCTCTGTAGTTCAGTTAACACTTTCCTCCGAACTTGCTTCATCTTTAAGTGTTCCTCCCAACCGCAGGCATGTACTTGGGTTCAAAAGAATTCAACTTTGGGACCACACACTTTGCATTCAAACTGGAAGTCTCATTCTCTGGAATTAGACTGTTTCATTGAAAAAGAATGGTGTCCGGCCGGGCGCGGTGGCTCATGCCTGTAATCCCAGCACTTTGGGAGGCCGAGGTGGGTGGATAACCTGAGGTCAGGAGTTTGAGACCAGCCTGACCAATATGGTGAAACCCCATCTCTACTAAAAATACAAAAAATTAGCCGGGCACGGTAGCGCACACCTGTAATCCCAGCTACTCGGGAGGCTGAGGCAGGAGAATCGCTTGAACCCGGGAGGTGAAGGTTGCAGCCAGCCGAGGTCACGCCATTGCACTCCAGCCTGGGCAACAAGAGTGAAACTCCATCTGGAAAAAAAAAAAAAAGAAAGAAAAGAAATGGTGTTGCTTCTCTGTATGTTCTTGCTTTTTTCCCTGATGTAAATTTTTTTTTTTTTTTTTTTGAGACGGAGTCTCGCTCTGTCGCCCAGGCTGGAGTGCAGTGGTGCAATCTCAGCTTACTGCAAGCTCCGCCTCCTGGGTTCACGCCATTCTCCTGCCTCAGCCTCCCGAGTAGCTGGGCTACAGGAACCCGCCACCACACCCAGCTAATTTTTGTATTTTTAGTAGAGACGGGGTTTCACCGTATTAGCCAGGATGGTCTTGATCTCCTGACCTTGTGATCCGCCCGCCTCGGCCTCCCAAAGTGCTGGGACTACAGGCGTGAGCCACCACGCCCGGCTCCCTACTGTAAATGTTTTAAATATGAAAAGTATCCAAGTCTTGATCATCAGCCAGGATCTTGTCACAGTGGTTTCATTATCTCATGTGAACTCACATATGTCGAAGTATACTTCAGGATGCAAACATCACACAAGTAACATATTTTGCCTATAGATACTTGAGAAGGTATTCTGTTGCTATCAATTGCGAGTAAAAATAAAGCTATCATCTAACTGAAAATGCTCAAAATAAGCCTGTAATAGAAATTTTTTTTCATTTTTAAAAAGGAGCCTGGCCGGGCACAGTGGCTCACATCTGTAATCTCAGCATATTGGGAGGCTGAGGCAGGTGGATCACCTGAGGTCAGAAGTTCGAGACCAGTCTGGCCAACATGGTGAAACCCTGTCTCTACTAAAAATACAAAAAAATTAGCCGGGCATGGTGGCAGACGCCCGTAATCCCAGCTATTCAGGAGGCTGAGGCAGGAGAATGGCTTGAACCCGGGAGGTGGAGGTTGCAGTGAGCTGAGATTGTGCCATTGCATTCTAGTCTGGGTGACAAGAGCAAAATTCCGTCTCAAAATAAATAAATAAATGAATAAATAAAAAGGGGCCTAAATTGCCTATTTTGTAGTTTGTAGTCATGATGTATTGTGTAATACTCAGTTTACATGACTTTATGAATTTAGATAAATGTTCAGCTGATGCTCCACCTGGAATTTCTCCTGCAAACTACATAAGAGTAGTCCAGGAATGAGTTATGACAGGTTTTTTTTGTTTTGGGGGTCTGTCTGTTGTGGTGGTGGGTTTTGTTTTTTTATTTTTTCGGGTTTTTTGTTTTTGAGACAGGGTCTCCCTCTGTCACCCAGGCTGGAGTGCAGAGCCACAACCACACTCACTGCAGCCTCGAACTCCCAGGCTCAGGCAATCCTCCCACCTCAGCCTCCCAAGTAGCTGGAACTACAGGCATGTACCTCCACACCAGCTAATTTTTAAATTTTTTGTAGAGATGGGATCTCACTATGTTTCAAGGGCTGGTCTCAAACTCTTGGCCTCAAGTGATCCTTCTGCCTTGGCCTCCCAAAGTGCTGGTAGTACAGATGTGAGCTACCACACCTGGGCAGTGACATACTGTTGAATCTTTGTAGATCAGACTGTACCTGATGTTCAGATGTTTTTCTCTCACAAATTTAAATTTTCTGAAAAGACCCACAGGGGCCGGGCATGGTGGCTCATGCCTGTAATCTCGATACTTTGGGAGGCCGAGGTGGGTGGATCACCTGAGGTCAGGAATTCAAGACCAGCCTGGCCAACATGGCAAAACCCCATCTCTACTAAAAATACAAAAATTAGCTGGGCATGGTGGCGGACGCCTGTAGTCCCAGCTACTTGAAAGGCTGAGGCAGGAGAATCACTTGAACCTGGGAGGCGGAGGTTGCAATGAGCCGAGATCACAACACTGCACTCCAGCCTGGACAACAGAGTGAGACTCCATGTCAAAAATAAAATAAAAACTTTTAAAAAGACCCACAGGGAACACCCACACCAACATCCGGGGGACACTGTCTATGTCCTTCCTCTTCAAAACCCAAACTGTGATCTTTGCTTCCTTTGTCCAGTGAGAACAATGTGCCGTGTTTGAACTTCACCTTCCTGTGCTACAATCCGAAAACTGCCCCTAGTCAGAGAACTGAGTGAACATGGGGCTCTCCTCGTGTGGCTTTCGTTTCTCAAGGATTGTTCTCCTAGAGTACTTATTGTGCAATGTCTCAAAATAGTTGCCTCATTATATGTTGGTTAGTTTTACAGTTGTTTATGGGGAGAGAGTAGGTGCAGTATCGATTATCCCATCATTTCCAGAAATGGAAGTTGCTTTGTTTACTTTTCTGTGTGTTACAGTTCAATTTTTAAAATCTTTTTCATGCTCATTTTTGTGGTGGAATAAAAATGGTTTTATTTATTTGTTTTATGAGACAGGGTCTCGCTCTGTCACCCAGGCTGGAGTACAGTGGTGTGATCACAGCTTACTGCAGGCTTAATAGGCTCAAGCAATCCTCCGGCCTCAGTCTCCTGAGTAGCTAGGACTATAGGCAAGTGCCATCACGACCAGCTAATTTTATTTTTCATAGAAACAGGGTCTCACTATGTTGCCTAGGCCTCAAGCTATCCTCCCAAAGTGCTGAGACTGGCCTCCCAAAGTGCTGAGATTATGGGTGTGAGCCATCACACCCAGCCAAAATGTTTTTTAAAAGCTAAAGGAAGATTATTACAACATCACACAGGCTTAGACCCCTCAGGATTGAAGGTTTAGTAAACCAAGTAAAATACCACCATTAACTGAGGTAAAAAAAAATATATATATATATATATATATATATATATATATATATATATACACACACACACAAAATGGATATTTTAGGAAGAATATTATGATTACCAATTATTGCCTTGTGACCAGTTACCTAAGCAAGAGTCATAGTCTCTACCTGAATTTCTCCTTTTACTGTATCATACTCTTGTTTTCTCTTCTCCCAATATTTTATATAGAATGTTTAGGGATACATTTTAACATTTTCAGTTTATGTATTGGAAAAATAAGATTGCAGACATTCTGCACTTGGAGTTGAATAAAACTATTCACAAAACTTTAGGTTGTCTTTCTTTGGGGTAGCCATAAAGCAGTACACTTGAAGATGTATGCCAAATAGTTAAAGTATGTTAGACAGTGGTATTTTTAGAAGAGCAAATGAGAAGTGAAGCATATTCATTCAATTAACACATACTTGCTGAACTACTACTATGTTCTAGGCATCATCTCAGGCTTTGGGGATACAGGAATAAACAAAACAGGCAAAGATCCCTGATCTTATGGAGATTATAATTCTATCAAGAGAAGACAAAAAGAATGGGTTTTTAAAAATTGGTAAGTCAGCCCGGCACAGTGGCTCACGCCCATAATCACAACAGTTTGGGAGGCCGAGTTGGGCAGATCATTTGAAGCCAGGAGTTCGAAACCAGCCTGGACAACATGATGAAACCCCATCTCTACTAAAAATACAAAAATTGGCCAGCCATGGTGGTGGGCACCTGTAATCCCAGCTACTCAGGAGGCTGAGGGAAGAGAATCCCTCAAGCCCAGGAGGCGGAGGTTGCAGTGAGCAGAGATCATACCACTGCACTCCAGCCTGGGTGACACAGTGAGACCCTGTATCAAAAAAAAAAAAAAAGGCCGGGCATGGCAGCTCATGCCTGTAATCCCAGCACTTTGGGAGGCCAAGGCAGGCAGATCACGAGATCAGGAGTTCAAGACTAGCCTGACCAACATGGTGAAACCCTGTCTCTACTAAAAATACAAAAATTAGCTGGGCGTGGTGGTGTGCACCTGTAATCTCAGCTACTTGGGAGGCTGAGGTGGGAGCATTGCTTGAACCCGGGAGGCGGAGGTTGTGGTGAGCTGAGATCGTGCCATTGCACTCCAGCCTGGGCAATAAGAGCGAAACTCCGTCTCAAAAAAAAAAAAAAAAAAAAAGGTTAGGGAAGAGGATCAGCAAACGACTGAAGTAGTGATCAATGGAGTAAAAGAAAAAGTGAAGTATCCTAAAATTAGGATACTATCAGGGAAGGAGTGACTAATGGAGTCAAATATGGAAGAGGAAAATTTGGATTGAATCTAACAATGCGCAGGTGACTGGTGACCTTGACAAGAGCAGTTTCGGTGGAATGATGAGAGTGAAAACTTGACTGAAATGAATTAAACAGAATGTGGGAGGAGGAATTGCAGACAGCAGGCATAAGTGACTCTTTTAAGACATTTGGCCACAAAGAATAAGGAACTGGGGTAGTATGTGGACAGCATAGTGTAGTGCATAGTTATTGTTGATTTTACTGTCCCATATCCATTCTACCTTCTCATGGTACATCAACTTGTCTTCCAGGAGTTACTTCTCCCTCATTGTATACTTGCTTTGTGGGACCACGACCTGCACTCAAGCTGTAAGTGTTGCTAGAGAAAAATATGTAAGCATGCTTAACTGGTTTCTCTATAAATTCATGATACAAATCTCAAATGGGACTCAAAACTACCAAATACTTCTCTAGTTTGTTCACTTTCCAACTTTTCAGATGACTGTCTCATTTATTATCTCTCCTCAAACCTCCACTTCTCACTCCTCCTCACTTTCAGCAGATAACATTGCCTCTAAATAACTAGAAAAAAGATACAATATTAAAAGTTTCCTGGCAGGGTGCAGTGGCTCACGCCTGTAATCTCAGCACTTTGGGAGGCCAAGGCAGGCGGATCACACGAGGTCAGGAGTTCAAGACCAGCCTGGCCAACATGGTGAAACCCTGTCTCTACTAAAAATACAAAAATTTGCTAAGCGTGGTGGCAGGCGCCTGTAATCCCATCCACTCGGGAGGCTGAGGCAGGAGAATCCCTTGAACCCGAGAGACAGACATTGCAGTGAGCCGAGATCGCACACTGCACTCCAGCCTGGGGAACAGAAGGTGATCCATCTCATTAATAAATAAATACATAAATAAGTAAGTAAATTTCCTTATTTTCCCATAACCTAATCTACTAATCTCCTGCTTGTCCACCCTCATTCTTTGCCTTCCTTCCCTTATAGTGTGGTGGATGAAATACTTCTGCTCTTAACGTCGCCCTGTGACTTTTTTGGCTTCCATCTTCCCTTATCCAAAGACTTCATTAATACTGTCATCCCCTCATTCTCATGTGTCAATTTCTCCCCCTTTACTGGAACAGTCCCACAAACCTATATTCTAGTGCCGGGCGCGGTGGCTCATGCCTGTAATCCCTGCACTTTGGGAGGCCGAGGTGGGCAGATCACATGAGGTCACGAGTTCGAGACCAGCCTGATCAACACGGAGAAACACTGGCTATACTAAAAATACAAAATTAGCTGGGCGTGGTGGCGTGCACCTGTAATCCCAGCTACGGGAGGCTGAGGTAGGAGAATCACTTGAACCCGGGAGGCAGAGATTGCAGTGAGCCGAGATCACGCCATTGCACTCCAGCCTGGGCAACAAGAGCGAAACTCCATCTCAAAATAAATAAATAAATAAGACATTCTAGTATCTCCCATTTTAAAAAAATACCTCCCTTGACCCCACATCCTCCTACTCTTCTGTCCTTCACCACAGCAACATTTCTCGAAATAGCTCACTCTAGTTCTTGTCTTTCCTTCTGTGCCATTCTCTCCTCAACCCACTTCAAATAGGGTTGTGCGCCTTCCATCCCCCTGAAATGGCTTTTGTTAACTGTGTGTTAGTATGCCCAACGCATGTAGCATGTTGTGTCGAATGCTCACTCCTTTTTCTTCACCTCTGAGCAGCATTCAACAGTCATTCTTGCAACTTTCTCTTGGCTTCCTAGAAACCACACTATCCTGATTTTCCTCCTACCTCTGAGCCCATTCCTTTTTAGATTTCATGCTACATTCTCACCTCGTGGGCCTCTAAAACGTTAGAGCATGCCAGCATTCAGTCCTTGGACTTCTCTAGTTACACTCTTCCTGAGTGATCTCATCCACTTCGATATTCATACCTTATAGTGCCATCCACATGCTTATGACTCCCAAATTTACCTCCAACCCATACAACTCCAGCAACCTCATTACTTACACCTAATTCTACATGTGACATTTCTGTGTGGATGACTAAAAGTCACCTTAAATGATTCATAAAGTATTACATGTATTAACATACATGACAGGCAGTGTAGCATACTAGTTAGAAACATGATTTCTGGAACAACACGACTTGAAATCTAAGTCTATCAGTATATAGGTATGTGACCTTGCATTATTTATCTATGTAACAATTTCCTCACGCATTCAATGAGGAAAATAATAGTATTTACCTGATGAGTTCCTGTGAGGAGCAAATATGTTAATGAAAAGTACTTAGAACAGAGTCTGGGCCTGACGCTGCAGCTCACGCCTGCAATCCCAGCACTTTGAGAGGCAGAGATGGGTAGATCACCTGAGGTCAGGAGTTCAAGACCAGCCTGGCCAACATGGTGAAACCCCGTCTCTACTAAAAATACAAAAAATTTGCTGGGCATGGTGGCGGGCACCTGAAATCCCAGATCTTCGGGAGGCTGAGGCAGGAGAATCACTTGAACCCAGTAGGCGGAAATTGCAGTGAGCCAAGATCGCACCACTGCACTCCAGCCTGGGCGACAGAGTAAGATGCTGTCTCAAAAAACAATAAAAGCTAAAGGAAGATTATTACAACATCATACAGGCTTAGACCCCTCAGAATTGAAGGTTAAGTAAACCAAGTAAAATGCCACCATTGACTGAGGTAGAAAAAAAATAACAAAATGGATATTTTAGGAAGAATATTATAATTACCAATTATTGCTTGTGACCAGTTACCTAAACAAGAGTTATAGTCTCTACCTGAATTTCTCCTTTTACTGTATCATACTCTTGTTTTCTCTTCTCCCAATATTTTATATAGAATGTTTACGGATACATTTTAACATTTTCAGTTTATGTATTAGAAAATTTGGAGATTAGATTCCAGACATTCTGTACTTAAGAGTTGAATGCAACTATTCACAAAACTTTTTTGGTTGTCTTTCTTTGGGGTAGCCATAAAGCAGCACACTTGAAGATGTATGCAAAATAGTTAGTGTTAGGCAGAGATATTTTTGGAAGAACAACTATGAGAAGTGAAGCATATTCATTCATTTAACACATATTTGTTGAACTCCTACTATGTTCTAGACATCATCTCAGGCTTTGGGGATGCAGGAATAAACAAAACAGGCAAAGACCCCTCGTCTTAGGAAGATTATATTCTATCAAGGGAAGACAAAAAGAAACAATGGGTTTTTTAAAATTGGTACATTAGGCCGGGCACAGTGACTCATGCCTGTAATCCCAGCACTTTGGGAGGCCGAGGCAGGCGGATCACGAGGTCAGGAGATCGAGACCATCCTGGCTAACACAGTGAAACCCCGCCTTTACTAGAAATACAAAAAATTAGCTAGGCGTGGTGGCAGGCACCTGTAGTCCCAGCTACTCAGGAGGCTGAGGCAGAATGGCGTGAACCCGGGAGGCGGAGCTTGCAGTGAGCTGAGATCGTGCCACTGGGCAACAGAGCGAGACTCCATCTCCAAAAAAAAAAAAAAAAAAAAAAAATTGGTACGTTGACCAGGTGTGGTGGCTCACGCCTGTAACCCCAGCACATTGGGAGGCCCAGATGAGCACATCATTTGAGATCAGGAATTCAAAACCAGCCTGGCCAACATGGTGAAACTGCATCTGTACTAAAAATACAAAAATTAGTCGGCCGTGGTGGCACACACCTATAATCCCAGCCACTCAGGGGGCTGAGTCATGAGAATCACTTGAGCCCAGGAGGCGGAGGTTGCAATGAGCAGAGATCACACCACTGCACTCCTGCCAGGGTGACAGTGAGACCCCCTTCTCAAAAAGAAGAAAAAGAAAAAAAAAAAGGCACGGAAGAAGATCAGCAAGAGAATGGAGGTAGTGATCAGTGGGGTAAAACAAAAAGGAAGTGTAGTATCCTAAAATTAACATAAAGAAATTATTATCAGGGAAGGAGTAATCAATGGAGTCAAATATGGAGGTAAGAGGAAAACCTGGAGTGAATCTAACAATGTGCAGGTCACTGGTGACCTTGACAAGAGCAGTTTCAGTAAAATACTGAGAGTGAAACCTTGACTGAAATGAATTAAACAGAATGTGGGAAGAGGAACTGCAGACAGCAGGCATAAATAACTCTTTCAAGACATTTTGCAGCAAAGGAGAATAAGGAACTGGGATAGTAAGTGGACTGCGTAGTGTAGAGCATAGTTACTATTTTTTTTTTTTCGAGACAGAGTCTGGCTCTGTCGCCCAAGCCGGAGTACAAGGGTGCAATCTTGGTTCACTGCAACATCCGCCTCCCGGGCTGAAGCAATTCTCCTGCCTCAGCCTCCTGAGTAGCTGGGATTACAGGCACCCACCACCATGCCTGGCTAATTTTTGTATTTTTGATAGAGACAGGGTTTCACCACGTTGGCCAGGCTGGTCTCAAACTCCTGATCTCAGGTGATCCACCTGACTTGGCCTCCCAAAGTGCTGGGATTACAGGCATGAGCCACTGGGCATGGCCATTACTGTTGATTTTACTGTCCCATATCCATTCTACCTTCTCATGGTACATCAATTTACCTTCGAGCATTTACTTCTCTCTCATTGTATATTTGCTTTGTGGGACCAACACCTGCACTCAAACTGTAAGTGTTGCTAGAGAAAAATATATAAGCATGCTTGACAGGTTTCTCTATAAATTCATGATACGAATGTGAAATGGGACTCAAAACTATCAAATATTTCTCTAGTTTGCTTGCTTTCCAACTTTTCAAATGACTGTCTCATTTATTATCTCTCCTCAAACCTCCATTTCTCACTCCTCCTCACTTTCAGCTGATAACTTTGCCTCTAAACTAGAAAAAAGAAACAATATTAAAAGTTTCCTGGCAGGGTGCAGTGGTTCACGCCTGTAATCTCAGCACTTTGGGAGGCCGAGGGGGGTGGATCACTTGAGGTCAGGAGTTTAAGACCAGCCTGGCCAACATGGTGAAACCAAGACTCTACGAAAAATACAAAAATTAGCCGGGCGTGGTAGCAGGCGCCTGTAATCCCAGCTACTCAGGAGACTGAGGCAGGAAAATCACTTGAACCTGGGAGAAAGAGGATGCAGTGAGCTGAGACCACGCCACTCCACTCCAGCCTAGGCAACAGAGGGAGATCCATCTCATAAATAAGTGTCCTTATTGTCCCACAACCTAATCTACTAATCTCTGCTTGTCCACCTTCATTCTTTGCCTGCCTTCCCTCATAGTGTGGTGGATGAAATACTTCTGCTCTTAACGTCCCGTGACTTTTTGGATTCCATTCTCCCTCATCCTAAGACTTCAGTAATCCAGTCATCCCCTCATTCTCGTGTCAATTTCTGCCCCTTTACTGGAACAGTCCCAAAAACCTATATTCTAGTATCTCCCATTTATTAAAAATACCTCCCTTAACCCCACATCCTCCTGCTTTTCTCTGTCCTTCACCACAGCAACATTTCTCGAAATAGCTCACTCTAGTTCTTGTCTTTCCTTGTTTCTGTGCCATTCTCTCCTCAACCCACTTCAAATAAGGTTGTGCGCCCTCCATCCCCCTGAAATGGCTTAACTGCATGTTAGTATGCCCAACGCATGTAGCATGTTGTGTCGAATGCTCACTCCTTTTCCTTCATCTCTGAGCAGCATTCAACACAGTCATTCTTGCAACTTTCTCTTGGCTTCCTAGAAACCACACTATCCTGATTTTCCTCCTACCTCTGAGCCCACTCCTTTTCAGATTTCTTGCTACATTCTCACCTCCTTGGCCTCTAAAATGTTGGAGCATGCCAGGATTCAGTCCTTGGACTTCTCTAGTTACACTCTTCCTGAATGATCTCATCCACTTCAATATTGATACCTTATAGTGCCATCTACATGCTCATGACTCCCAAATTTACCTCCAACCCATACAACTCCAGCAACCTCATTACTAACACCTAGTTCTACATGTGACATTTGTTTGGATGACAAGTAGTCATCTCAAATTTAATGATTCATAAAGTATTACATGGATTAATATACATGACAGGCAGTGTAGCATACTAGTTAGAAACATGATTTCTGGAACATGACTTGAAATCTATCAGTATATAGGTATGTAACTTGGGTAATTTATTTATGTAACTGAATTTCCTTATAACTTCAATGAGAAAAATAATAGTATTTACCTTAAAGGTTCTTGTGAGGAGCAAACTTTTTTTTTTTTTTTTTTTTTTTTTTTTTTTTTATTTGAGACAGAGGCTTGCTCTTGTCGCCCAGGCTGCAGTGCAATGGCGCGATCTCAGCACACTGCAACCTCCACCTCCGGGGTTCAAGCGATTCTTGTGCCTCAGCCTCCTTGAGTAGCTGGGATGAGAGGCGCCCGCCACCACGCCCGGCTAATTTTTATACTTTTATTTTAGTAGAGACAGGGTCTGGCCATGTTGGCCAGGCTGGTCTTGAACACCTGACCTCCAGTGATCCGTCAGCCTTGGCCTCCCAAAGTGGTGGGATCACAGGTGTGAGCCACCGCGCCCAGCAATGAGGAACAAATATGTTAATGAAAAGTACACAGAACAAAATCTGGGCCTGGCACATGGATCATGCCTGTAATCACAACACTTTGGGAGGCCAAGGCAGCTGGATCACCTGAGGTCAGGAGTTAGAGACCAGCCTGGCCAATATGGTGAAACCCTGTCTGTACTAAAAATACAAAAATTAGCCGGGCATGGTGGTGGATGCCTGTAATCCCATCTATTCAGGAGGCTAAGGGAGGAGAATCACTTGACCCTTGGAGGCGGAGGTTGCAGTGAGCCGAGATCGCACCACTGCACTCTGCCCTGAGGGACAGAGGGAGACTCCGTCTCAAAAAGAAAAAAAAAAAACATAAAAGCTAAAGAAAGAGTATCACACAGGCTTAGAACCCTCAGGATTGAAGGTTTAGTAAACCAAGTAAAATGTCACCATTAACTAAGGTAAAAAAAAAAAAATACAAATGGATATTTTAGGAAGAATATTTTAATTACCAGTTATTGCCTTGTGACCAGTTACCTAAGCAAGTGTTATAGTCTCTACCTGAATTTCTCCTTTTACTATATCATACTCTTGTTTTCTCTTCTCCCAATATTTTATATAGAATGTTTAGGGATACATTTTAACATTTTCAGTTTATGTATTAGAAAACTTAGAGATAAGACTGCAGACATTCTGCACTTGGAGTTGAATGCAACTATTCATAAAACTTTAGGTTGCCTTTCTTTGGGGTGGCCATAAAGCAGTACACTTGTAGATGTATGCAAAACAGTTCAAGTGTGTTAGAGATATTTTTGGAAAAACAACTATGAAAAGTGAAGCATATTCATTTAACACATACTTGTTGAACTTCAGGCTTTGGGGAGACAGGAATAAACAAAACAGGCAAAGATCCCTCATCTTATGGAGATTATATTCTATCAAGAGAAGACAAAAAGAAACAATGGGTATTTAAAAATAAGTACCCCGGCAGGTCGCGGCGGCTCACGCCTATAATCCCAGCTCTTTGGGAGGCTGAGACAGGCAGATCATTTGAAGTCAGGAAATCAAAACCAGCCTGGCCAACATGGTGAAACCCTGTCTCTACTAAAACTAGAAAAATTAGCCAAGTGTGGTGGTGAGCGCCTGTAATACCAGCTACTCAGGAGGCTGAGGCAGGAGAATCACTTGAGCCCGGGAGGCAAAGGTTGCTGTGAGCAGAGATCACACCACTGCACTCCTGCCTGGGTGACAGAGTGAGACTCTGTCTCAAAGAAAAAAAAAAAAATGGAGGTTAGGCAAGAGGATCAGTAAGAGACTAGGAGTGATCAGTGGGGTAAAGGAAAAAGAAAGTGGGCTGGGCACGGTGTCTCTCGCCTATAATCCCAGCACGCTGGGAGGCCGAGGTTACTGGATCACCTGAGGTTGGGAGGTCGAGACCAGCCTGGCCAACGTGACAAAACCGCTTCTCTACCAAAATTACAAAACATTAGCTAGGGGTAGTGGCGGGCGCCTGTAGTCCCAGCTACTTGGGAGGCTCAGGCAGGAGAATCACTTGAACCCGGTAGGCGGAGGTTGCAGTGAGCCGAGATCATGCCACTGCACTCCAGCCTGGGAAATAGTTAAGACTCCATCTCAAAAGAAAAGAAAAGAAAGTGTAGTATCATAAAATTCAAATAAAGATATTCTATCAGGGAAAAAGTGACTAATGGAATCGAATATGGAAGAGGAAAATTTGGATTGAATCTAACAATGTGCAGGTCACCGGTGACCTTGACAAGAGCAGTTTCAGTGGAATGATGAGAGTGAAAACTTAACTGAAATGAATTAAACAGAATGTGGGAAGAGGAATTACAGATAGCAGGCATAAGTGACTCTTTTAAGACATTTGGCCACAAAGGAGAATAAGGAACTGGGGTAGTATGTGGACAGCATAGTGTAGTGCATAGTTATTGTTGATTTTACTGTCCCATATCCATTCTACCTTCTCATGGTACATCAATTTACCTTCGAGCATTTACTTCTCCCTTATTGTATACTTGCTTTGTGGGATCAACACCTGCATTCAAGCTGTAAGTACTGCTAGAGAAAAATACATAAGCATGCTTAACTGGTTTCTCTATAAATTTATGATACAAATCTCAAATGGGACTCAAAAATACCAAATACTTCTCCAGTTTGTTCACTTTCCAACTTTTCAAATGACTCTCATTTATTATCTCTCCTCAAACCTCTACTTTTCACTCCTCCTCACTTTCAGCTGGTAACTTTGCCTCTAAATGGGAAAAAGAAACAGTATTAAAAGTTTCCTGGCAGGGTGCAGTGGTTCACACCTGTAATCTCAGCACTTTGGGAGGCTGAGGCGGGCGGATCGCTTGTGGTAAGGAGTTCAAGACCAGCCTGGCCAACATGGTGAAACCCCGTCTGTGCTAAAAATACAAAAATTAGCCGGGCATGGTGGCGGGCGCCTGTAATCCTATCTACTTGCGAGGCTGAGGCAGGAGAATTGCTTGAACCTTGGAGACGGAGGTTGTAGTGAACCAGATCGTGCCACTGCACTACAGCCTGGGCAACAAGAGCAAGACTTAGTCTCAAAAAAAAAAGGACATACATTAAATGCATTAACGTGATTGCCAGTGGTAGGTGAATGAATGTATGGGAGTGGGAATGGGGAAGTAAAGTAAAAACAAAATGAGGAGGGCTCTGTGTGTACTAATCAGAATACACCAAAATACTTGAGGAGTATGACGAGCTCAGGAGACGAAGAAACTCAGCTTATCTTGTCCTTGACAAAATGCTGATCTAACAAAGTGCTGGTTCCTTCCCCTCATTCCACCCCTAAAGATGACACACAAGAAGAAAATTGATGAAAATAATAAAATCTAACACTTATGCAGCATTTACCATATGCCAGGAACTATTAACTCATTTATCTTAGCAGCCAATGCTATGAGATAATTATTATTCCCATTTTATAGATGAGAAAACTAGTGAGGTTAAGCAACTTGCCCAAGGTCACACACCTGGTAATGCTGAAACTGGGATTTGAACTCAGTCTAGATAGAACAGAGAAACACCTAGAGGAGGGAGAGGGTGAGTTTGGGGTAGGAATGGAAGTCAGGGAAGGGTAGCCTAAAACGGAGGAAGAGGGGGCTCCATGGACAGAGGAGAAGCTAGGGGTGAAATGTGTCATTGTGCCCTTTCTCCTCCAACATTGCACCAGAAAGATCATCTCCCACCTCATCACCACAGCAAGACAAAGAACATCTGCGCCAAGCCAGCTGGAGGTGGGTTCCATTTAGGCAGCACTGGAGCCCAGTTGGATGGGGGGGCATATTACATGTGCAGGCACACAGGCCACCCTGAAAACTACACCTTCAGCTAGTCAATACAACTTATACTTTCAAGGCAAGGATTTGGCCATATGTTCCTTGAGGAATTCTTTCCAAAAAAAAAAAAACCCCTGAAGAAATTGACATCAGGGTATCTTATTCTGTTTTCTGTTGTTATAACTAAGTACCTGTGACTGGGTAATTTATAAAGAATTGATTTCTTTCAGTTCTGCTTGCTGAGAAGTCCAAGGTCAAGAGGCCACATCTGGTGAGAGCCTCCTTGCTGGTGGGGACGCTGCAGAGTCCCAAAGCAGTGCAGGGTATCACATGGTGAAGAAGCTGAGCGTGCTAGCTCTGGTCTCTTCCTCTTCTCATGAAGCCACCAGTCCCAGTCCCATGATAATCCATTAACCCATTAATCCACGAATCACTGAGAATTGAGTTTCAACATGGGAGGGGCACAGTGGCTCATGCCTATAATCCCAGCACTTTGGGTGGCCGAGGCAGGCAGATAACTTGAGGTCAGGAGTTCGAGATCAGCCTGGCCAACATGGTGAAACCCCGTCTCTACTAAAAATATAAAAATTAGCTGGGCGTGGTGGCACCCATCTATAATCCCAGCTACTTGGGAGGCTGCAGCAGGAGAATTGCTTGAAGCTGGGAGGCGGAGGTTGCAGTGAGCCAAGATAGCGCCATTGCACTCCAGCCTGGGCCACAAGAGTGAAACTCCATCTCAAAAAAAAAAGTTTCAACATGGGTTTCGGAGGGAACATTCAAACCATAGCACAGGGGTTCACCAACAAACAGCACCCACAGTGAAGCACAGTAAAAAAGCCCTCAGAGATTACAAACATGTTAATCCCCTCTCTTCTTATAATCATGAACACAGAGCCAAAACTTTCCAATTATTTGAGGAAAGCCCCTAGTAAGAAGTTTGAAGTAGAAAAAAACAGCAATAGTAACTTCAAAGGAAAAAAATCCACTCTGCAGGAAGAAAACTTTAGGACTTTAAAAAATTAGTATCCTTAGAGAGCTTACTATAAAACTACAGTAATCAGGCCAGGCACAGTGGCTCACGCCTGTAATCCCAGTACTTTAGGAAGCCAAGGCTGGTGGATCACCTGAGGTCAGGAGTTTGAGACCAGCCTGGCCAACATGATGAAACTCCATCTCTACTAAAAATACAAAAAGTAGCCAGGCGTGGTGGTGGGTGCCTGTAATCCCAGCTACTCGGGAGGCTGAGGCAGGAGAATCACTTGAATCAGGGAGATGGAGGTTGCAGTGAGCCGAGATCATGCCATTGCACTCCAGCCTGGGGTGACAAGAGCAAAACTGTGTCTAAAAAAAAAAAACACCCTACAGTAATCAAGGTAAGGATAGACATAGACATTACCGATCAATTTTTTTAAGTACAGTAACGGACCCAGGTATGTATGTTTCCTATTAAGATACTGAAGTACTGGAGGCTAGTCTTTTCAAAAAAAGATGCTCAAAGGCCTATCTGTATTTGAAAAAATCAATTTCAACACCTACCTCATACCCAAAAAAATTCAAAATGGATTACAGACATAATATAAAAGTTAAAACCACAAAACTTGTCCAGGCATGGTGTCTCATGTATGTAATCTTAGCACTTTGGGAGGCCTAGGCACGTGGATCCCTTGAGCTCAGGAGTTGAAGGCCAGCCTGAGCAACATGGTGAAACCTTGTCATGAGGTTTTGAGACCCAGTCACAAAAAAACTTACAAAACTTCTAGAAGACAGGAAAAAATATTTATGACCAGGCAGTAGGCAATTTTGTTAGGTCACAGAAACCAAGAACCATTTTTGTTAAATTAGATTTCATTTGCTCATTGAAAAAAATAAAAAATAGGCAAGGCAGACTGGGAGAAGATATTCGTAACATATCTGACAATTTGTATCCAGAACAAATAAATAAATTCTGTAACATTTAAAAAGCAGGCAACCCAATTTTTAAGACAGACAAAAGTCTTAGACACTTTGTGAAAGTAGTTATACACACGGCTAATTAAGCACGTGAGAAACTGCCCATCAGCCTGGCCAACATGGCGAAATCCCATCTCTACTAAAAATACAAAAATTGCCGGGCGAGGTGGCTCACGCCTGTAATCCCAGCACTTTGGGAGGCCGAGGTGGGTGGATCACAAGGTCAGGAGTTCAAGGCCATGCTGACCAACATGGTGAAACCCCATCTCTACTAAAAATACAAAAATTAGCTGAGCGTGGTGGCGCATACCTGTAATCCCAGCTACTCAGTAGGCTGAGACAGGAGAATCCCTTGAACCCAGGAGGCAGAGGTTGCAGTGAGCTGACAGCATGCCACTGCACTCCAGCCTGGACGACAGAACAAGACTCCATCTCAAAAAAAAAAAAAAAAAAAAAAAAAGCAAAAATACAAAAATTAGCCCGGCATATGGACTGGGCACGGGGGCTCACGCCTATAATCCCAGCACTTTGGGAGGCCAAGGTGGGTGGATCACAAGGTCAGGAGATCAAGACCATCCTGGCTAACATGGTGAAACCCCATCTCTACTAAAAATACAAAAAATTAGCCGAGCGTTGTGGCGGGCGCCTGTAGTCCCAGCTACTCAGGAGGCTGAGGCAGGAGAACGGCGTGAACCCAGGAGGCGGAGCTTGCAGTGAGCGGAGATCGTGCCACTGCACTCCAGCCTAGGCGACAGAGCGAGACTCAGTCTCTAAATAAATAAAGTAATTAAATTAAATTAGTCCAGCATAGTGGTGGACGCCTGTAATCCCAGCTACTCGGGAGGCTGCAGCAGAACTGCTTGAACCCAGGAGGTGAAGTTTGCAGTGAGCCGAGATTGCGCCACTGCACTCCAGCCTGGGTGACAGAGCGAGACCCCGTTTCAGAAAAAAAAAACACAAAACTCCCAGTATGAAGTGCAATGTGAGATACTGGAGTAGATCCTGCAATGGAGAGAAGACAGTAGAAAATATGTGAAATCTAAAGTCTTTTTTGAGACATGGTCTCACTGTCACCCAAGCTGGAGTGCAGTGGTGCCATCACGGCTCACTGCAGCCTCAACTTCCTATGCTCAGGCCATCCTCCCATCTCAGCCTCCTGACACCACACCCAGCTAATTTTTGTATTCTTTTGTAGAGGTGGGTCTTGCTATGTTCTCCAGGCTGGTCACCTGGGCTCAAGTGGTCTACCTTGGCGTCCCAAAATGCTGGGATGACAAACATGAGACATCACACCCAACCTAGTCTGGAGTTTAGTTAATGGTAATATACCAATGTTAATCTCTTAGTTGACAAATACCATAATAATGTAAGATATTAAAATTAGGGGAAATTGGGTAATGCGTATGAGAACTCTCTACTTTGCAACTTCTGAGAATTTAAAATTATCCCCAAATAAAGCCTTTTTAAAAAAGTGCTCAGCATCATTAGTCATCAGGGAAATGTGAATTAAAATCAATACTACCCCACCCACCAGAATGGTTAAAATGAAACTGATCAATAGCAGCACATGTTGTTAAGGATGTTGTGGAGGAACCAGAATTCTCATAAATTGCTAATGAGGCCGGGCACGGTGGCTCATGCCTGTAATCCTAGCACTTGGGAGGCCAAGGAGGGTGTATCACCTGTCAGTTTGAGACCAACCTGGCCAACATGGCGAAACCTCGTCTCTACTAAAAATACAAAAATTAGCTGGGTGTGGTGGTGGGTGCCTGTAATCCCAGCTACTTGGGAGACTGAGGCAGGAGAATCGTTTGAACCCAGGAGGCAGAGGTTGCAGTGAGCCAAGATCATGCCACTGCACTCCAGCCTAGGCGACAGAGAGGCCGTCTCAAAAAAAAAAAAAAAAAAAATTGCTACTGAGGGCATAAAATGGTACAACCACTCTGGGAAAACTCTGGTAGTTTCTTAAAAATTAAACATACAGCAGATCTTTTAAAAACGTCATTTTAGTGAACATCATTTTGTTGAGGAAAAAAAAAAAATCAACTCCTGGCTGGGACCACTGTGCGGAGTTAACACATCCTTCCCGTGTCTGCATTGGCTTTCTCTCTGGGTACTCCTGTTTCCTCCCATATCCCAAAGGTAAACTTGCAAGTCTGAATGGTTCCGATCTGAGTGAATGTGGGTGTGAGCATGTCCTGCAATGGGATGGTCTCCTGGCCAAGATCGGTTCCCACCTTGGCCTTGAGCTGGCTAGACAGGTTCTAGTTTCCTGAGACTCTGAACTGAAATAACTGGGTAAATAACTAGATAGCTTTTCAACTCTTCTTAAGTAACTGGGTAAAGAACTATATAGCTTTTCAACTTTTCTTAAACGTATGCACAGCTCACGTTTATTTCAATGTTTAGTATTAGATGTGTTTTGGCTTTTATTTGGCACCAGGCGCAGTGGCTCACACCTGTAATCTCAGAACTTTGGGAGGCGGAGGAAGGATTGCGAAATTCAAGCCCAGCCTGGGCAACAAAGGGAGACCCCCGCCGTCTCTTTAAAAAAAAAAAAAAAAAAAAAACGCCAGGCATGCTAGCACACGCCTGTAGTCCCAGCTACTTGGGAGGCTGAGGTGGGAGGATTGCTTGAGTCCAGGAGGTCAAGGCTGCAGTGAGTCATAATAGCACTACACTCCAGCCTGGGCAACAGAGTACAATGTCTCAAAAAAAGTTTGACACTTTTAACTACAAATATGTTGCAGGAACTTAAATTTTTTGTCAATTAGCCTACGGTAAAGCTGGTTTCATTATAAAAGTTTCCAAGAACCCTTCAAGAAATCTTCAACAATGTTAAGATTTACTGTATTATCTACCCTGTCACTTCATGAATTCCACTCGACATTTACCAAAAATAAACTGTTACGTCCAAGACTCGTACAAGAATACTCATAGCAGTATTTGTAATAGCCAAAAATTGGAACTAGCCCAGATGTCCATCAATAGTTACTTCATGCACTGCAACTCTACTCTGCAATAAAAGGAATATACATGCAACTATGTGGATGAATCTGAAAACATTCTGTAAGCAGCTAGACATAAACTACATCAACAGAATTTACATAATCAAAATTTGCAAAAAATATCTTATGATGGAAATCAGGTCAGTGTTTGTTGCTGGTGTTGGGAGGTGGTCTATTGACTGAGAAGGGGCACACACAACTTTCCGGAGCTAAGTTCTGTGTCTTGATGTGCTAAGCGTTTCTCAAGACTGATCAAACTGTACATGAGATCAGTGCATTTCACCATACTTTTTTTCAAGTACTACTCATTGCTGAGAGGATAAGCCACAAATTCACCATAAGGGCTAAACTGTTAACACCAGATACTGACAAGGCATGGAATAACTCACACATCATTGGCTAAGTGTTTCCACAGTATTACTTTGGAAAAAATGCCTAGCCATCTCTCAAAAAATGTACATCTATCCTGATTCAGCAATTCCACACCCGTTTTCATCTCAGTAATTACAAAAACAAAAGCTACTGTGAGAACATTTATAGCAACTTTATGCATGAAAGCCAAAAACCAGAAAAGGCCCAGGTTTCCATGAATGGGAAAGCATACCATACTCGGCAACATGGAACTACTGATGTATACACGGCTAAAACTCAAGTACTTTGAGATGATGGTAATTATCCATCATTGATAGAGTATACATTTCTCAGTTCATAAAACAGTACCCTTAATACTTGAGTATTTCAGATTTAAATGTTATCTTAAAAATTGATTAAAGTTGAACTAATTGATACAAAAGTTCAAGTTACTTTTCAGGAAGTATACTGACATGTGCAACATAAAGTATTGACGGGATGAGTAGAGAGATGTTTTCCTGGAACAATAGGTATAGAACTGGCTGCGCGTTGTAGCTCACACCTGTAATCCCAGCACTTTGGGAGGCCAAGGTGGGCAGATCACTTGAGTTCAGGAGGTTCAAGACCAGGCTGGCCAACATGATGACAACCCCATCTCTACTAAAACACAAAAATTAGCTGGGTGTGGTGGCGCACGCCCGTAATCCCAGCTACTTGGGAGGCTGAGGTAGGACAATCGTTTGAACCCGGGAGGCGGAGGTTGCAGCGATCCGAGATGGTGCCACTGCACTCCAGCCTGGGGGACATGGTGAGACTCCATCTCATTAATAAACCCCCCCAAAAAAACAGGTGTAGAGCTGAGATTATTTACAGAATGACAATACTTAGGGCTTTCTCTGCCATCTTAATGCTTAGCTGCATTCTTTCTCCATGTGCTGAGTTCTGTTCAACTGACTACATAACCCAAATGCAATGCCCAGTTTTAGACACAAACGAACATCAACTAGTCAGATATATACAGGACACTAGGTAAAGCAGAGAAACTGAAAACTGCAAATTCAGAAGCATATTATCACATGCATTGCTTGACCCAAAGTATTTGGAATCCACAGCCACAACTGAGTTGTTGCTGACCTGTTTTTCCCCAAGAGGTAAGCAGGAATTACATAAAAGCACTACAGTTGACTCCTGGTTTATTTAGCCTCTGCTTCTTAGGTGTGTGATTGTGCTTCCATTTAACTTTTAGGGTGAGGACTGAATGAAGTCATCTACATTCCCCCTGAAGCTCACTCTCAATAAAGGAGGCCTAGTCACAAAAACAGCCTCAATGACTCTGGACATTCCCATGCAAAACTGATTAAGTGCCATCAATGCAACAGAGGTAGTGTTTGGGGGAGGGGGACATGGGAAAAACATTTAAAAACATAAACCCCTAATTTCTAAGTAAAGAAGAGCCCCTTGCCACAAAAAAAGATGCCATGTTAAAGTTTTATTAAGTTTCAATACAAAACATTCCAAAAAGTGAAAAGTGATCTATAATACCCAAGTTCTATGTTCAACTACCAGTTAAACAAGGAAAACATTTTCTGTATCATTCTGTTTTACAACCAGTATAAACCCAGAAGAATCAAGATCTGATTCCTTTTCCACACATCTGCTAGGTCAGTAAACTATCAAACAGGTATCTGGTCATTTTAACATACTCCTTATATTCCTATTTGGTACAATCTCTATATCCTATACTATCTTCAAGATATCTAAATATCTTAAATATTTAGGGTATCTCAAGAGCCAGAAGGTCCTCACAGAAGCGTTAACCCAAGTAATCGTAAGAGTATAGAAAGATTGGGCTAAGACAACTATGGAGTGCAAAAACCACATAAATTTGGTCATTACCCTTGTGGTCTGTGATTAGTAGTAGGTTGTCAAATGAGAGTTAAAAATGTTGTATTATCCCTAGTTGCAAATGTTCCAAATAAGACAGTGCCATAACTACACGACAAAAACAAAAAAAAAATCATATAAGTTGGGTTAGTTCCTCTAATCCAACAACTCAAGTCTGTTTCCTTTGAGAACATTATACTATTGGCTCTAGTCTCCAAACCAATAAAAAACTAAAACTTGTTTCCAAGACTGGGAGGTAAAGTAGGCTTATAAAACAATACAGCAAAAGAAAGCCAAGTGGCCTAATTGTTTCCAGTGTGCTTGCCATCTTAGCATGGTTACTTTCCAGATGTCACTCATAAGTTTTATTCTACAACTAAACTGTTTGTGGATAAGCCACCACCAAAAAATGTTTCACTTACTGACAGACACTTCACTAGATACAGCTACCACTTATATCCATCATTTTTATAATTCAACTTAAGTTCTAAATTGAAGAGTTGTCCCCATGACTTTAGCTAAACAAAATGAAAGCCAAAGCTGTAAAATCTATGTGAAGAACCACAAGAACTTCCTGACTACCTCCACTTACCAATTTCCTTAATTACTTCCCCTTTTCCATTTGGTCAATTACTTGCTTTAAGTAACTACCAGTCACTCCCTAGTTATGAGTGTTAATCAACACTGATGCCTTCCTCAGATCCACAGGAACCCCTGAAGGCAAAATCTATTGCCTGCACCAAACCAATTCTGACAGCACTGCTTATGCAACTGTAGTGACTTATTGACAATCAGCCGCCTTCTGCTTCAACAACTCTGTAAAATGAAAAACATGGGATCCTGTTACATAGTATTTGTTTTACTGTAAAGTACTTCCCCCCAAACTATCATTTAAATATATACTTTTTTGTTGCTTTAGCTGAAAATAAAAGTAACTGCTTTAAAAAGCAAGCAGGCGCAGTGGCTCACGCTTGTAATCCCAACACTGGGAGGCCGAGACAGGCAGATCACTCAAGGTCAGGAGTTTGAGACCAGCCTGGCCAACACAGTGAAACCCTGTCTCTACAAAAAGTACAAAGATTAGCCGGGCACGGTGGTGCACACCCGTAGTCCCAGCTACTTGGGGAGTCTGAGGCAGGAGAATCGCTTGAACCTGAGAGGCAGTGAGTTGAGAAGCCATCTCAAAAAAAAAAAAAGAAAAAGAAAAAAAGAAAAAAAAAGAAAGCCGCATGCAGTGGCTCACGTCTATAATCTCAGCACATTGGGAGGTCGAGGCGGGCGGATCACCTGAGGTTAGGGGTTCAAGACCAGCCTGGCCAACAGTGAAACCCTGTCTACTAAAAATACAAATAATAATAATAATAATAACCGACATAGTGGCAGGCACCTGTAATCCCAGCTACTTGGAAAGCTGAGGCAGGAAAATCACTTGAACCTGGGAAGCAGAGGTTGCAGTGAGCTGAGATCACACCATTGCACTCTAGCCTGGGCAACAAGTGCAAAACTGTCTCAGAAGAGAAGAAAAAAAAAAAACCACGCAAGCTTAAAAAATCAACCATAGGCGGCCAGGTGCGGTGGCTCATGCCTATAATCCCAGCACTTTGGGAGGCGAGGCAGGCAGATCACAAGGTCAGGAGATCGAGACCATCCTAACACAGTAAAACCCCATCTCTACTAAAAATACAAAAAATCAGCCGGGCGTGGCAGTGTGCACCTGTAGTCCCAGCTACTGGGGGAGGCTGAGGCACAGGAGAATGGCGTGAACCCGGGAGGCAGAGCTTGCAGTGAGCCGAGATCGCGCCACTGCACTCCAGCCTGGGCAACAGAGCAAGACTCCGTCTCAAAAAAAAAAAAAAAAAGGTAATATTGAAATTACATACTATGTCGTCATTATGTCAATGTCAATAAAATTATGTTAAACAGGGAGCTTGCAGCCACAGTTGCATCATTAACTCCACATTTAGTCAATTTGTATTGTAGCTATGCAAATGAGCAAGCACTAACTAGTAACAACGAAAGTATATCCTTTTACAAAATGCACTGAGCAAATTTTTTTTTTCCTCTTCTTGAGACAGGGTCTTGCTGTTGCCCAGGCTGGAGTGCAATGGCGTGATCTCGGCTCACTGCAACCTCTGCCTCCTGGGTTCAAGCAATTCTGCCTCAGCCTCCCCAGTAGCTGGGATTACAGGCGCACACCACCACGCCCGGTGTTTTTTTTTTTTTTTTTTTTTCTAGTACAGATGAGGTTTCACCATGTTTGCCAGACTGGTCTCGAACTCCTGACCTCATGGTCTGCCCGCCTTGGCCTCCCAAAGTCCTGGGATTAAAGGCACGAGCCATGGTGCCCAGCTGAGCAAACTTCTTACGTGTGTACTTCCTTGTTGAGAATGCTTGCATATGAAGAGCTATAAGCAAGCTTTATGGGTTCAAAAATAGCTAAGAATAATCTCATGAATGAGCCAGACTCACGGAAATGTAACCTCACTCTAAATTCACAATGAATGTGTCAGGCACTACACATTAAAGCACTTAACTTCATCAATTCCAAGCAGCGTTTTCTTTTACAGATGAAGTGAGGACCACAATAACTTGCCAATGTCACAGCTAAACTAAATGGTAGTTACACAACATTTAAACCTTCAAAGGCCATTGCTTTCAACACTTACCTTAGCATTTCTTACTGCCAGCTTTATCTACTGTGAATCAATCAGCACTCCACGACCATAATGAGCAAAATCACCAACCTGCAAAAGTTAAATAAATGAAAACTAGTTATCTCTCTTAAGGAAATTCTTTTAAAACTTGCCTATTACTGCCCTCTTTTCCAGAAAGAAAAGGCAAGTTCAGACTTGCAGCTTAATATATTTCATGTTCTACTATTTGTCTTAAGTGGTGGAAGATTCACTGGCTCGGGATGGACTGGAATGGCTTAAATTGTTAAGTTGCATGGCTTATGGATTGTCATTCTGTTCCAATGGTGCACTGCCACGTTAAATCCATAAGTTGAACGAACAAAACTTATTTGAAGGAATAAGTGCAGTATAAGGATTTTTAGTTGGAGGTCTTCAAGTTTACTATATTCAAGAGCATCTTTTTCAACTTCATGGCTGGACCTGGGTCATGCTGCCTCAGGTTTTGCTTTTTAAAGACCACTTGCAATAGATTTTCTCCATACAGTGTAGTTTCATAGAACTAAAAACAAGTCAGGCATCCAACTAAATGTCAAGTTTGCAATGGCTTACAGGGGTAAAAAGGGGGACCCCAAACTTAAGCCATTTCCTATATTGACTAAAAGACTAATTTGAAAAAAATGTTAAAAACATACGAAGCATGTTTAAAGGTCTTCATCAAAAATGGACTTTGAAAAAAATACCCCCTCCCAAGCCCCAGATCGCCATTGGTAAACAACAGCTCTATTAATAAAGCCTTTAAGTGTCACACATGCTTTAAAAAAAAAAAAAAAAAATCCAAGTGTTGAATTTGGAGGACTTCTAATACGCTATTGAATATTTCTTTTTTCCAAAAGTTTTTTTTAATCTAGAAGGCATTTCCATTGCCTTGAGGTACAGTATGTTTCACTGTACTATGAGGAAGGTAAGTGTTCAATTTCGACTTAGACGGAAAAACTAGTTTGCTTTGCTTACCATCTTTGCTGTTTCACAGGCATTTGATGCTTTAAATCTGATGTGGAATGCTGATAGATTCACTTTTTAGAAGTCATAAGCCTTTAGGAAGTTGGAGATAACTTCATTGCTTATCTATTTTCTCCTTTGCAATCAAGCTGTTCCTTTAAAAGTGAGACACTACAGAGTTGCAAAAATTTGAAACAGTAAGAGCAAGCACCTTTGCAGCTTCATGGTTGGTTTTGGCCAAACTTTTTATTTAGTATTCTGTAGTTGTTTAACACACACTTAAATGGTCTTATTGGGGGAAGGGAAAGGGGAGGTTCTTGCAGATTCCCAAGGAAATGTCAGAAAGGCAAAATGGCCAGCATTATCCATTTGCTTTTTTGGGTTTACTGGGTGAATAGCACTTTCCTTACATAGGCATGTGATTTCAGGTTTTTCGTACTGAGAACATTGAGATTTCAGTTGGAAGACACCCTGAAATCTTATGAGTAGCATACCCCAACCACCCTCTAATAGCTAGCTTGTTTGTATAGGTAGAATGATTCATCTCTCCATTTTAGATGGCTAGATGTTTTGTGGAAGATCTTAGAATTGCCTGCCTCATTTGCTGGGAAAAATCAGATAGGAAGTGGCCTTTAGGGGATACTTTTACTTGGAAAGTTACAACACTAGTACAAGTCTTAACACATTTAACATTTGCTTGTTGAAAAGCAATGCGAAAGTCAAATAAAATTAAACATGTTTTACTTTTTTCCTCACAAGAACATAAAAATTATGGAGGGGAACTTAACAGGGAATTTAAAAAAAGTAACACAATTTTTCCTTTTAGTAGTCCTTGGGTAGTTATGATAGAATAGTTTCCACTTTTTGTTTCTTTGAACTGGGATTTTGGTCCAAAGTTTTGTTTGTTTCTAGTATCTGCTTCTGCCTCCCCCTCTATCAGATCGGCTTCCTCCACGGCCACCACCTCTTGGTGCTCCGCGGCTTGAACTGCTGTAGGAATCACGTGGAGGAGGGTACCCCCTTTCCATAGAAGGGGGAAGCCCTCTTTCTTGTCTGCCAACCCGATCACGACCACTTGAGTAGAGATCACTTCGGCTGCTTGAGTAACTGTCTCGACTTCCACCATATCCGTCACGTGAGCTGCTGTAATCATCATAGCGACTGCTTCCACCATAAGATGGCGGGGGCCCTCGTGTAGGTGGAGCACTACGTGAGTTACCTGCAGGGTCAATGGTCAGGTAATATGGCAACACTATAAATTGTATATATACAACATTTTAAATCTGAATTTACAGAATTCTTGTATTAAAAGTTTACTTTCTCAACTGGGTGGGAGGTTTTAAACTCTGCCATTGCTGGCCATAACAGGGATTTGCTCATCTGCTGAGATATGGAATTGGATTCATTTTAATGTTTGTTTGAAAAGACTGAAGACGGTGTGTATTTCAAGAGGATATTCCAGAGAGCTTGTTATTTTATAGTAGACACTCAGCCACTTTCCAGTGATAAGTTGCAATTTTGAACTGTAGAACTTGCCTTCATATTGCAATGGTAAATATTTGATCTTGTTAATAAAATTTTTAAATTGTATTTTCACTGTTGGGGGAAAACACATAAGGCTGCCAATTTAAGCAAGCAAAATCCCCTCCAAAGCAAGCAAACAGCCTCAAAAGAAACTTAGAAAAACAAAAAAAGCCCCTCACAAAACTAGGAAAAGCCCAGCTGATAAAGTTACCCCTTTAAAAGCAAGCAAACATCCCTTTAAAAGCAAGCACCACACAGCCTAATAAACTGGCTCACGAACCTAAAAACTCAAGCTGGTGATACTAAAGACCCTTAACCAGTATCTTACCATAACTCTCATATGAATCTCTGTAGGAACCTCCACTTGGATGATCTGAATAGTCACGATCACGACCATATCCATCTCTATCGCTAAATTAAAGAGAAACCTTTAAGTCCCAGAGAATCAACTTTCATTGCAACTTTTCTTACATGTAAGCCACAGAAGCAAAGTCACTTACCTATATCCTCTTGATGGATAGTCATCACGTGAACTGGAATGACCATAATCACGGTAAGTATAATCTCGTGGTGGTGGTGCATAATCTCTAGTATCACGAGAACTTGGGTAATCTCTGCTTGAATAGCTACAAAGCAAAAGTTTTGGTTTATGCTTTTGATAAGCTTTCCTTCAACCTTAATTATTAATTTAAAAAGCTGCACTTTTCTATTACCTGTCTTTAGTAGAATACCCATCATCTCTTGGGGACAAATAAACATCTCTACGAGAGGGCAGCGGTTCCCTTCGAGGTGGACCTCCATAACTATCTCTTCCACGTGATACAGGAGCTTAAGGAAAAATATCATTTTTTTAAACATAGCCAGAGAAAAAAGTTAAAACGTGAACTTACATTCAGGCTATGAAAAATAATGAGACTGACTTCAAAGATGACATTACGGAGGCTAGATCACCTAATTTTATTTTCTACAATTTCCCATTCATATTTTAAATTTTTTTCAGTGCTAATTCCATTTATCTAATCACCTAGAACACATGACTAAAAGTTTTGTTTTTTTTTTTTGAGATGGGAGTCTCGCTCTGTCACCCAGGCTGGAGTGCAGTCGCGCAATCTTGGCTCACTGCAACCTCTGCCTTCTGGGTTCAAGTGATTCTCCTGCCTCAGCCTCCCGAGTAGCTGGGATTACAGGTGCCCACCACCACGCCCAGCTAACTTTTGTATCTTTAGTAGAGACAGGGTTTCACCACGTTGGCCAGACTGGCCTCGAACTCCGGGCCTCATGATCTGCCCACCTCAGCCTCCCAAAGTGTCAAGATTACAGGCGTGAGCCACCGCACCCAGACTCCATGAATAAAGTTTTTTTTTTTTGTTTTTTTTTTTTTTTTGGAGACAGAATCTCACTCTGTTGCCACGCTGGAGGACAGTGGCATGATCTCGGTTCCCTGCAACCTCTGCCTCCCAGGTTCAAACAATTCTCCTGCCTCGGCCTCCCAAGTAGCGGGGATTACAGGAACCCGCCCTACACTCAGCTAATTTTTGTATTTTTTAGTAGAGACGGGGTTTCACCACATTGGCCAGGATGGTCTTGATCTCTTGACACCGTGATCCGTCTGCCGCGGCCTCCCAAAGTGCTAGGATTACGGGCGTGAGCCACCACGCCTGGCCAATTAAAATTTTAAGCATCATTCACCTCTCAATTCTTTGTGTTACGGTAGTAGCATAAATCATCATACATGGAACATTTACCTCTTCCTCCCATTCCACTGCTACTGCGAACTGGTCCTGAAGGTGCAGATCTCTTAGGAGGAGGACCCCCACTTCTTGGTGGTGGTCCTCTTTTTACTGGGAGTGGTCCCCTGGAAGAACTCATGTTAAAATTCATGGAATATCCACCGTCATCTGCATCAAAAATAGAAAAGAAAAATATTACTACTCACAAGAATCAAGAAAGATATAAAAGTTTTTTTTTTTTTTTGAGAGTCTCACTGTCGCCCAGGCTGGAGTGCAGTGGCTTCATCTCGGCTCACTGCAACCTCTGCCTCCTGGGTTCAAGCAATTCTCCTGCCTCAGCCTCCCGAGTAGCTGGGATTACAGGTGTGCGCCACCACACCCAGCTAATTTTTGGTGGTTTTTTTTAAGTAGAGACAGGATTTCACCATGCTGGCCAGGCTGGTCTCGAACTCCTGACCTTGTGATCCGCCTGCCTCAGCCTCCCAAAGTGCTGGGATTGCAGGTGTGAGCCACCAGGCTCGGCCACTATAAAAGTTTTCTTTGCTTCATCAAGAATATGACCATTATTGGGCCGGGCACAATGGCTCACGCCTGTAATCCCAGCACTTTGGGAGGCCAAGGCGGGCGGATCACCTGAGGTCAGGAGTTCAAGACCAGTCTAACACGGTAAAATCCTGTCTCTACTAAAAATACAAAAATCCAGGTGTGGTGGTGCATGCCCGTAATCCCAGCTACTTGGGAGGCTGAGGCAGGACAATCGCCTGAACCTGGAAGGCAGAGGTTGTGGTGAGCCAAGATCGTGCCACTGCACTTCAGCCTGGGCAACAAGTGCTAAACTCTACCCCCCCCCCCCCAAAAAAAAACCATTATTGATTTGGGTAGTCTAGTTTCACTTGTACTTGATGGAGCATGCACTGCAGTCATAGAAACTGGGGAAATAAGAACTGAAGGTAGTCTTAAAAAACTTTTTTTTTTTTTTTTTGAGAGGGAGTCTCGCTGTTCCCCCAGGCTGGAGTACAGTGGCACGATCTCAACTCACTGCAACCTCTGCCTCCCAAGTTCAAGTGATTCTTCTGCCTCAGCCTCCGTAGTAGCTGGGATTACAGGCACCTGCCACCACGCCCAGCTAACTTTAAAAAATAAAAATGATTTCATTTTCATGTCCAACACCCTGGCCTATCAATTTTTAAATGCCTTTCCTACAGAGTGAACTACTTGGACAAGAAGTAACACTGTCCACGGTTTAACACCATAATCTAAAACATGCTTCCCATGCTTTCAATTGGCAATCACTTTGGTAGATGAACAAGTGTTGTCAATTTCAAAAGTTGGCACCTTTCCTCAAGGACTTAACCAAAGCATCCACTTGGTGTGAGCTTGCAGTCCCTAACTTATACACCAAACCCGAGGTCCACGCAAGTTATTACCCATGTGTCCTCCCCGTGAGGGAGGTCCCCTGGTTCCTCCACTTCCTCCTCTTCCACCTCTAAGACCTCTTGGAGGGCCTCTACTTCTTGGAGGTGGAGGCGGTCCACGTCTACCACTTTCAAATGATGGTTTGGTGGCTTGTTCCACCTTGATGGCTTTTCCATCTAATGACTAAAAAAAAAGATACGATTAAATTAAATCAAGATTTAAAAATAATTTGCACATCTACTATGCACTAAGACACTAACTGGTCCTTCAAAATGCAGTTATGGGTAAGTGTTGCTCATTAGTCTAAGAAAAAACACTGCAAATATAGTCAGTTTACATAAATGGGGCTTTTCCGCTTAAAATTCTTAATACTTAAAACCGATACTGATGATCTGGATTGAAACATAAGGTGAACCCACTGCATTATTGTATGGTAAAATTTAAAACAAGGCCAAGTAGGTATCAGCTTGTTATCAAAACTAGTAGCCAAAACCAAAAGCCAAGTTATCAAAATATGGCTTATGGATCTCAAGATAAAATGTATCATGTTGGCTGGGCGCAGTGGCTCGCAGTGTCTCACACCTGTAATCCCAGTACTTTGGGAGGCGGAGGCAGCTGGATCACCTGAAGTCAGGAGTTTGAGACCAGCCTGGCCAACATGGTGAAACCCTGTCTCTACTAAAAATACAAAGTTAGCCGGGCGTGGTCGCGCATGCCTGTAATCCCAGCTACTGGGGGGGGGGGGGGGGGCTGAGGCAGAAAAATCGCTTAGAACTCGGGAGACAGGCTGCAGTGGGCACTGCACCATTGCACTCCAGGCTAGGCAACGGAGGGAGACTATCAAAAAAAAAAAAAAAAAAGTACCATGTAATGCCATAATTATTCTGAACTGAGAGAATGTTACGAGCATAAGATATAACTCACTACTAGATTTGGTTCTGCAATTACAGAATACTCTTTGGAACAGGATCACAAACAGGATGAGTGGATCCCAGACAGGTATATACTGAAAAACAACGAAAACTCAAAAGCTGTCCTAGACCAGACTTGGACAACTACATGTTATTTTATGCACTAGTAACAGGTTATCATCCATCGTGTAGACAATCTCACCTTTCCATTCATGTCTCTGGCTGCATCCTTAGCGTCTGCTGGGCTTTCAAAGGTGACAAAAGCAAATCCTCTTGATTTGTTGGTTTCACGGTCTTTCATCAAGAGTACTAAAAAGTAGTTTTCAGAAAAATAAAGTGTTACCCTAGGTCAAATGAAATAACCAAAGTAAATGTGTAAACAGAAAGCTCAGAACTTCTTAGAGGACAAAAATACATTATCATGTCAGACGATCAATGCAATCAAATTCATCATAGCTTATATTTTAATTATAATAGCCCAGCCTGTACTGCCAGACAACTCACCTTCCACTATTCGTCCATATTTGCCAAATACTGCTTCAAGAGCTTTCTCATTTGTTTCCGTATTAAGCCCACCAATGAAGAGCTTTCCTGGGCGATCTGCTTCAACCATGTTTTTTTTTTTTTGGGCCGGTGAGTCTGTTGAAAAGGAATAGTATTACCTCACTGCAAAAAGTTCCTCAAGTTTATTGGACACTTTTACTTTCGCACATTTCTCATATTTTCCACTAAAACCATTGTTCCTTAATAACTAAAGAAAACGATAACGAGCTAAGCCTCAGCCACAGTAGGAAGCAATTTGAACTAAGTAGTTTAGTAACACTGCAATTTACATAAAACTGGTTAAAAGGGCCAACTTAACTTTTACCACTACCCTTGATCACCCTTAGCTGTTCTTAAGCAACAGCTGCTTAACATTTGAAAAAGCAACTTTTAGTTCCAGTCCTCTTGCCTTTGAAAGATTCAATTACTCATCACACCCTTCCTAACGATGGTTTTAAAAGACTCCCAAGGTCACAGGCTAGACACAGGACCTTAACACCAAGCCCTCTTCCAACGACTCCTCTTTTCCTCATTAGGATTCCCTACTAAATCCAAGGAGAAATGTGAAGTTTAAGCCAAGTTATGCCGCCCCTCTTCTTCACCGGCCCCCGCCCTACCGAAAATTCTACTATCCGGCCAAAAAGATAAAAACAAATCGTCAACATCGTTTGCTATTAAGTAACGGAACGCGGACGCACACACTAACACTCGACACTCCGTGACTGCAGCGGAACCTAATTAAAACTCGTCATTAAAAACCGCGTGTAAAAGACAAAATGGCGACACTTGGATTCAACCCAGAACCACCGACACTGGTCAGGGGACTAACTTTTACCACCAACATTGGCTGGGAACATTCAGAGGGCTTCTTCTCCGGGGCCGCCAATGAATACGAAGCCCGCAGCCCGCATGGAAGTCCACATGCCCATCATTAGCGCCAGCGCCATACCAATGCAGGTATCGCCGTGGTGCGGTCGCTCCTCGCCCCGCTCCAGCCTACAAAGCCCCGACCTCCGCTACCAACTCCCGCAGATGGCAGCCAAACTTTCTCGAGAAGCATACAACCAAACGGGCCCCCTCATTTGTTTTCCCTCGACCCCCTCAGCTTTATTTAAATAGGTCGGAACCTTTGGGTTCTTAAAATGGCGCCCGCCACCCCCATCTCCAGGGAGATATAATCCCCAGTCCTAACACGGGGAGAGTGTCACGAAAAACGGACTGAGGAAAGGAGACACGTACCGGAGGGGTGACAATGGGTTCAAGCTCCAACGAGCTCGGCGATAGGGGCTTCCTAGCAGCTCAGCACCAGTGGCGGCTGCCGGGTGCGAGGACCGAACCGCGAAGCCGCTAGCACTACTGCGCAACGAGGGCGAACAAAGGAGACAGCAAACTTTATACTGCCCGGGAACGAGGCTGAAGGACCCGGATGGAAACGGAGCTTAGAATTTGAAACGCAAAGGGAGGGGGGAAGTAGTTCCCAGTCTCCCCATTGGCTGGCTCCTCTGTCATTCACCCTTCTCTCCTCCCTTTTTCCCGGGCCCTCGGTGTTGGGTCGACAGACCTTTCTAACCGTTTTCTCTACCCCCACCCGTTCTTTACAAACGCGCTTTTTTTGCTTTACGCTAAAATGGTGCACAGGCTTCCTTTAATAAAGAACTGAAGTTTATTGAGCGTCCTAGTGGGCCGGGCACGGTGCAAAACTTTACTTTTACTTTTCCATTAACTCTTCTAATTGTCAAAATGTGATGAGGGTAGATACTCCTACTATACCAATTTTGCAGAAACGGAAAACAAAGAAGTTTTGGCAATATAATATATTTTCAAAAATTGTCTTTAACAAGTGTTTTTAGTGAGTGTGGGAATTTCTGATAAATACATGTAAATTTCAGATGAGTAAAAAACGTACAAAACAGCATGCAGATAGTACATTCATATAGAACAATTACTGAGCACCTTGTAAATGGTGGGCTCTGGGCTAGGCCAGGAAAATACAACTCCAGGGAAAAGACAAGAGTCAGGCCTGTGGGTAAGGATGCCGGATTTAATAAATGAAAATACCAGGCCGGGTGCAGTGGCTCACGCCTGTAATCCCAGCACTTTGGGAGGCCAAGGTCGGTGGATCACGAAGTCAGGAGATGGAGACCATCCTGGCTAACACGGTGAAACCCCGTCTCTTTTTAAAAATACAAAAAATTACCCAGGCGTGGTGGCACGCGCCTGTAGTCCCAGCTACTCGGGAGGCTGAGGCAGGAGAATCCGGGAGGCGGAGGTTGCAGTGAGCCAAGACTGCGCCACCGCACTCCAGCCTGGGCAGGCGACAGAGCGAGACTCCGTCTCAAAATAAAAAAGAAAATGCGGGACGCTAATTTATTCTGCGAAGCTGTTAAAAAATTTTAAATAAAAATATGGGACGCGGCCGGGGCGCGGTGGCTCATGCCTGTAATCCTAGCACTTTGGGAGGCCGAGGCGGGCAGATTGCCTGAGCTCAGGGGTTTGAGACCAGCCTGGGCAACATGGTGAAACCCCGTCTCTACTAAAATAAAAATAAAAAATAAAAAAATTAGCCGGGCGTGGCGGCGTGTGCCTGTAGTCCCAGCTACTCGGGAGGCTGAGGCAGGAGAATTGCTTGAACCCAGGAGGCGGCGGTTGCAGTGAGCCAAGATCATACCACTGCACTCCAGCCTGGCAACAGAGCGAGACTTCGTCTAAAAAAAAAAAAAGGGACGCCCAGTTAAGTTTAAATTTCAGATAACGAATACTTTTTTTAGTATAGTATGTCCCAAATCTCATATTTTAAAAATTCGCTGTTTATCGGAAATTCAAATTTAACTGAGCATTCTATATTTCATCTGCCCATCCTACTTGTTGAGGGGGGAAACCAAAAAATTTTTTAATTTTTTTCTTAAAGAAATTGAATACAATTAACAAAAGAATGGCATGTTGTGATTAATGCCAGGGAGGAAATAAACTAGTTGCTTTGATGGACAATATTAGGGAGAACAAATTTGATTAAAACATCAGGGAAGGTCTATGTGAAGAGGTGACTTTGGAGATCAGAGCTGAAGGAAGAAAAGAAACTAGCTATGGGAACAGCTGAGGGAAAAACCTTCAGGAAAAGAAGAGAATAGTAAACACAAAGTAGAGAGGAAGAGCTTGGCATATATCAAGGGACAGAAAGAGGGCCAGGTGACAAGAATATGAGGGGCATGAAATGAGGGAGCCAAGATTGGCAGGACCTTTGAGCCCATTAAATGACTGTAGGGGGTAAGTGTGGGAAAAAGGACACTAATAGGGCTGTGGGAGCAGACCAGAAAGAGAGGATGGTGGCTTGAATCAGGGTGGCGGCAGTGGACACGGGGAGGAAAGAACAATTGTTAGATGAATATGATAGGTATCGTGTTTAATGGTGCTATGGTCTAAATGTTTGTGTCCTCCCCCAAATTCATATGTTGAAATCCTAATACCCAAGGTGATGGCATTAGGAGGCGGGGATTTGGGGAGAAGATTAGGTCACAAAAGGGTAGGGTCCTCATGAATGGGATTAACACTTTTATAAAAGAGGCCCCTGTCCACCATGTGAGAACACAGTGAGGTGCCACTTATATGAACCAGAAAACTGGTGGTGGTGGGCCCTCACCAGACACTGAATATGCTGGCGTCTTTATCTTGGACTTCCCAGCCTACAAAAATGTGAGAAATAAATTTCTGTTGTTTATAAGCCAGCCAGTTTATGGTATTTTGTTATAGTAGCAGGAATGGACTAAGACAGATGGGAAAGGGGTGGGGAAGAATTGCGGAAAAAGAAAATCATTATGGATGACTCCAAGTATCTGGTATTAGTGGGACAGATGGTAACAGTCATTTACCAAAATGGTTTCAGAGGAGCAAGTTTGGGATATAGGGGCAGAAAAATCTGAAGCTCAGAGCATAGATCTGTGCTAAATTATCATCTCAGAGATGTAATAAAAGCCATCAGAATGAATGAAACCACCAAACAAGAGAGTACAGTGGGAAAAGAAGGCCCAAGATCACATAATATGAGCTATTAAAAAAATACATATGGAGACAAAATAACTGGGAGGAAATATGCCAAAATGTTACCAGTTTATCTTGGAGTGGTAGAATTTATGGACAATTTTCACTTTTCTTCTTCTTCTTCTCCTTTTTTTTTTGTTTGTTTTTTTGTTTTTTTGAGAAAGAGGTTCGCTCTCATTGCCCAGGCTAGAGTGCACTGGTGCGATCTTGGGTCACTGCAACCTCTGCCTCCCGGGTTCAAGCGATTCTCCCGTCTCCGCCTCCTGAGTAGCTGGGATTACAGGCATACGCCACCATGCCCGGCTAATTTTGTATTTTTAGTAGAGACAGAGTTTCACCATGTTGGCCAGGCTGGTCTCAAACTCCTGACCTCAGGTGATACGCCCGCCTCGCCCTCCCAAAGTGCTGAGATTACAGGCCTGAGCCACCGTGCCGGGCCTTTTCTTCTTCATAGTTACAATTACCTGCCCATGGTGAATTTTGGTATATGCCAGGCAGGTTGTAGTAAATAATATTCAGGTCACGGGTAAAAGCCCCCAAGGAGCTTCGAAACCAGCTCTGAATTATTAACATTAATAGGGGGAGTAATGCCCAGTAGGACAAGAATATTTGTTCTTGTTTTTTTTCCCCCAGCCAAATAATAAAAAGTAAGGCAAAACTCATGTCCATTTGCCTTTTGAATGAGTTCTGTAAATTATAGACTCTGGAGTCATTTGGGAACTGGCAAAAATGGCTTAAATACCAGGCTCAGCAAGCAGAACTTGTACTCCCAGAGGTAGCCAGGAGAAATCCCTCACCCTGTGGAAGCAGGCACTCTCTTTCTCTGTCTCAAATCCAAAGAGAGACTACAGGACTCTCCTCTAGGCTCTGAGTGTAAATCAGGTCTCCTCTAGTCTAGGGCAAAATGGGGCAGGCTCGACAATAGATAACCCTGTCCTCCTGGGTCTCAAAAAGGAAATGTGCATCCCCGTAGACCAGCTCACTTTGGCCTCTGCAGTTCACACCCAGGAATGTGGGGGAGGAGAAGTAGCATGCTGGCGGTGTTGGATGCAAACACAATTCCCAAGGACCAAAAGCGAGTGGGTGGGGTGGGGATGGCTAAGTTAAAGGAATTGTAGGAGGGGATCAGTTGGCCATATCGTCCAGGACAGAGAGGAAAAAGAAGCAGCTTGTGGGGGAAGCAGAGTGCTACTGACTAGATCTAGAGGGCAATGGAGAGGGGAGCCTTTTTTTTTTTTTTGAGACGGTGTTTCGCTCTTTCGACCAGGCTGGAGTGAAGTGGCGCAATCCCAGCTCACTGCAACCTCCGCCCCCCGGGTTCAAGCGATTCTCCTGTCTCAGCCTCCCAAGTAGCTGGGATTACAGGTGTCCACCACCATGCCAGGCTAATTTTTGTACTTTTAGTAGAGACGGGGTTTCGCCATGTTGGCCAGGCTGGTCTCGAACTCCTGACCTCAGGTGATCCACCCACCTCGGCCTCCCAAAGTGCTGGGATTACAGGCGTGAGCCACTGAGCCTGGCCGAGAGGGGAGCCTTTTTAAGAGGTGGAGTAAGGTAATCAGATTTCATCTTAATGAGATTACTGTGGTTGCAGTCTGGAGACTGTATTGGGGGAGGGAGAGACAGGAAGCAGGGAGACAAATCAGAAGGGTATTGCTGATGTAATGCAGGAGAGGGGGGACGTGGGCGTGCTGAGTGTGAGGGACTCTGGCCAACAGGCAGTTGGATAAGCAGGTCTCACACTGCCCAAAAGTAATTTCCGAATCCCATCCCTCCTCCTCATGGATCTTCTAGATTTTTCTCTTTGCCTCTTTCTATTTACTCTTTTATATTGTCATTAAATGTAGTTGCGTTTTTCTCTTTGCTATAATTTTCCCTTTGCCTTATTATTTTGTCTTCAGATGCCATCTCAGTGATCGACGGATACACTGAGTCAAACGATATTACTTCACTACTAGGTAATCTTGGAATATAATCAGTGCTAAATAAATGGCTGAATTGACTTGCAAGCTCTTCTTATTCTTCATGGCACTTAGCATGAGATGGGTGCATAGGAAGTTTTTATTTTATTTTATTGTATTTTATTTTAATTTAATTTAATTTTATTTTATTTTTGAGATGGAGTCTCACCCTGTCGCCCAGGCTGAAGTGCAGTGGTGCAATCTCAGCTCACTGCAATCCCCACTTCCTGGGTTCAAGCGATTCTCCTGCCTCAGCCTCCTGAGTAGTTGGGATTACAGGTGTGCACCACCACGTCTGGCTAATTTTTTTGTATTTTTAGTAGAGATGGGGTTTCTGGTCTCGAACTCCTGACCTCAGGTGATTCACCTGCCTCGGCCTCCCAAAGTGCTGGGATTACAGCCGTGAGCCACCACACTTGGCTGGAATTATGTAATAAATACTGGTGGCCTTGTCTTAAATCCTGATTTAATTTCAAGGGGCTCATATTTTATATTAAAAAAGGAAAAACAATAAACAAACCCATACTTTTAAAAGTTGCAACCAATTAAATTTAAGAAATAACCTTTCAGGCCGGGCACAGTGGCTCATGCCTGTAATTCCAGCACTTTGGGAGGCTGAGGTGGGCAGATCACGAGGTCAGGAGATCGAGACCATCCTGGCTAACACGGTGAAACCCTGTCTCTACTAAAAATACAAAAAATTAGCTGGGCGTGGTGGCGGGTGCCTGTAGTCCCAGCTACTCAGGAGGCTGAGGCAGGAGAATGGCGTGAACCCAGGAGGTGGAGCTTGCAGTGAGCCGAGATCACACCACTGCACTACAGCCTGGGCCACAGAGCGAGACTATCTCAAAAAAAAAGAAAAGAAAAGAAAAAAAGAAAAAAGAAATAACCTTTCAGTCATCAAACATCAAACTAGGAATCACTCTGGGATGAGTAAACTGAAGTTCTCCTGTCAGGCTTGCATTTTTACAGGAAGGGCATTCGTAATGTCACTCTGTTTCCAGTTATGCTTGTTCTCCAAACTACAGAAAGATAACCCTGCCACATGTTAAAAAAAAAAAAAGTCTGTAATCTTGTGCAAAGCAGGAAGGAAGAAGGGAAGGAAGAAGTAGATGTGATTAAAAATTGGGAAACTTTCCAAACCACTTTAAGTAGCCACCATCCAGAAGATAGCCTACTTAGCTTAGCTACAAAGAGCAAGAAATAAAAACTTTTTAACCAACATATGGCTCTGGTATCTATCTTGGAACTGACTAAATAAAGATAAAATTCTACTGTATCTTTCTCCACAATGAAGGAGATGATGCATTTTAACCAAACTTCATATCCAATTAAAAGGAACCAAAGTATGCCTTAAGAAACATTTGGGCCAGGCATGGTGGCTCATGCCCGTAATCCCAGCACTTTGGGAGGGCAAGGCAGGTGGATTGCTTGAGGTCAGTAGTTTGAGACCAGCCTGGCCAATATGGTGAAATCCCCTCTCTACTAAAAATACAAAAATTAGTGGGGGGTGGTGGCACGCGCCTGTAGTCTCAGCTACTTGGGAGGCTGAGGCATGAGAATCGCTTGAACCTAGGAGGCAGAGGTTGCAGTCAGCCGAGATCGTGCCACTGCACTCCAGCCTGGGTGACAGGGCAAGACTCTGTCTGAAAAAAAGACCAGGTGTGGTGGCTCACGCCTGTAATCCCAGCACTTTGGGAGGCCGAGGCGGGCAGATCACCTGAGGTCGGGAGTTCAAGACCAGCCTGACCAACATGGAGAAACCCCATCTCTACTAAAAATACAAAATTAGCCGGGCATGGCGGCGCATGCCTGAAATCCCAGCTACTCAGGAGGCTGAGGCAGGAGAATCGCTTGAACCCGGGAGGCAGAGGTTGTGGTGAGCCAAGATCGCGCCACTGCACTCCAGCCTGGGCAACAAGAGCAAAACACCATCTCAAAAATAAAAAATAAAAATAAAAATAAAAAAAAAAGAAGAAACATTTGATGGGGAGGGGGTGCGATGAATTGTTTAATAAATTGTGTCAAGACAATTAGAGAGCCATTTGAAGGGAAAATATCTGGATCCATGCCACACTTTTTACTCCAAAATAAATTTCAGCTCAAAGATTTAAATGTAAACAATAAAACCATTGAAGACTAGAAAAAAATGGGTAGATGCTTTTATAATCTTGTCATGAAGACGATTTATACATTTATTCATTCTTTTAGCACATATTTTTTCAATGCCTACTATGTGCCAGCACTGTTTTAGGTGCTGGGAATACATCAGTGAACAAAAAGACAACAATCCCTGCTCGCCTGGTGCAAACATTTTATTGAAGGGGTGCTATGGTTTAAATGTTTGTATGCTCCCCAAATTAATATATTGTTTTTGTTTTTTGTTTTTTTGAGACGGAGTCTCGGTCTGTCATTCAGGCTGAAGTGCAATGGTGTGATCTTGGCTCACTGCAACCTCTGCCTCCCGGCTTTAAGCGAATCTCCTGCCTCAGCCTCCCGAGTAGCTGGGATTGAACCACCACACCCAGTGATTTTTTGTATTTTTAGTAGAGATGGGGTTTCACCATACTGGCCAGGCTGGTCTCTCGAACTCCTGTCCTCAGGTGATCCGCCCACCTCAGCCTCCCAAAGTGCTGGGATTACAGGCATGAGCTACCGCGCCCAGCCTCTTCTTCCTTTTTTTTTTTTTTTCTTCTAAGAGACTGGGTCTCACTCTGTCACCCAGGCTGGAGTGCGGTGGTGTGATCCTAGCTCACTGCGGCCTCCAACTTCTGGGCTCAAGAGATCTTCCTGCCTCAGCCTCTGGAATAGCTGGGACTACAGGCACTGATCACTATACACAGCTAAAATTCATATATTGAACTCCTAACCTCCAAGGTGATGGTATTAGGAGGTGGGGCCTTTGGGAAGTGATTAGGTCAGGAAGGCAGGTGGAGCCATCATGAATGGGATTAGTGCCTTTATGTAAAAGACCACAGAGTGACCCTCACCTCTTTCTCCTAGTAAGTACACACGGAGAAGTCAGCAGTCAGCAACTGTTCCTTGGCGAACAGGTATATACAAACCTACCCCCAAAACCTGAGCGAAGCGAGAGGCCAAAGAAATGGCAAATCCAGGCCAGGCGCGGTGACTCACGCCTGTAATCCCAGCACTTTGGGAGGCCAAGGCAGGCGGATCATGAGGTCAGGAGTTCGAGACCATCCTGGCTAACACGGTGAAACCCTGTCTCTACTAAAAATACAAAAAAGCTAGCCAGGTGTGGTGGCGGGCGCCAGTAGTCCCAGCTACTCAGGAGGCTGAGGCAGGAGAATGGCGTGAACCCAGGAGGCAGAGCTTGCAGTGAGCTGAGATCGCGCCACTGCACTCCAGCTTGGGCGACAGAGTGAAACTCCATCTCAAAAAAAAAAAAAAAAAAGAAAGAAAGAAATGGCAAATCCAGTTTCTCAGAAAGAAAATATTTAGGACGGGTGTGGTGGCTCACACCTGTAATCCTAGCACTTTGGGAAGCCGAGGCAGGCAGATTATCTCACGTTGGGAGTTCGAGACCAGCCTGGCTAACATGATGAAACCCTGTCTCTACTAAAAATACAAAATTAGCTGGGCATGGTGGTGTGTGCCTGTAATCCCAGTTACTCAGGAGGCTGAGGTGGGAGAATCGCTTGAACCTGGGAGGTGGAGGTTGCAGTGAGCCAGGATCATGCCACTGCACTCCAGCCTGGGCGACAAAGTGAGAATCCGTCTCCAAAAAAAAGAAACAAAGAAAGAAAATATTTAATAGGGACTTACAAAGAAAAGCAATGCTTATGGCAGCCACGAGATGGTGGATCGGTGCACCCGCCCTCCAGAAAATATTCTTATTAAGCAAGCTTTTAGGGTAAAGCAGGTGCAACTGGTTACATCTCAGACTGTCTTGCCAAAACTCATCACCGCTGGGGAAATTAGATAAGTGTCTTTATGAGGAGTTATTTATGCTTCAGGCATTGTTCTAAGACCTTGCTGCAGAACAACACTTTGGTATGCAGGAGTCAAACATCAAGTCATTAAAAAAACAACAACAACATATCAGTCACATGGCGGTTTCACTTCCAAGATGGCATCACTCTTGCCATGCAACAGGCTCTTTTCCTAAAGCAACCCAGAAGAGGGTCCTCACCAGAACCCAGCCATGCTGGCATTCCGATCTTGGGCTTCTAGCCTCCAGAAATGTGAGAAGTAATTTTTTTTTTTTTTTGAGATGGAGTTTCGCTCTTGTTGCCCAGGCTGGAGTGCAGTGGTGCCATCTCGGCTCACTGCAACCTCCGCCTCCCGGGTTCAAGCGATTCTCCTGCCTCAGCCTCCCGAGTAGCTGGGATTACAAACATGTGCCAGCATGCCCAGCTGATTTTGTATTTTTAGTAGAGACGGAGGTTTCTCCATGTTGGTCAGGCTGGTCTCGAACTCCAGACCTCAGCTGATCCGCCTGCCTTGGCCTCCCAAAGTGCTGGGATTACAGGCGTGAGCCACCGTGCCCAGCCAAGAAGTAACTTTTTATTGACCCAGTCTATGGTAATTCGTTATAGCAGCCTGAACGGACTGAGAGAGGATATAGAATATAAACAGCAAGCCAAATAAATAAGTAAATTAGAAGTATGTTTGAATGTGGAAAGTGCTATGAAAGAAATAGAGCATAGCGGTGTCGGGGGGCGGGGTGGGGTGCAGGGCAGTAAGAAGTACAAGTGGAAGAGTACAAATCTGAAACAGTTGGCCTCACTAAGAAGGTGACATTGGGCTGGATGCAGTGGCTCACGCTTATAATCCCAGCACTTTGGGAGGCTGAGGTGGGCGGATCACTTGAGGCCAGGAGTTTGAGACCAGCCTGGCTAACATGGCAAAACCCCGTCTCTACTAAAAATACAAAAATTAGCCGGGCGTGGTGGTGACCGCCTGTAATCCCAGCTACTTGGGAGACTGAGGTAGGAGAATCGCTTGAACCTGGGAGGCAGAGGCTCCAGTGAGCTGAGATCGCACCACTGCACTCCAGTCTGGGCGACAGAGAGAGACTCTGTCTCAAAAAACCCACACACAAGGCCGGGCGCGGTGGCTCACACCTCTGATCCCAGCACTTTGGGAGGCCAAGGTGGGCTGATCATGAGGTCAGGAGATCAGGACCATCCTGGCTAACACGGTGAAAACCCCGTCTCTACTAAAATACAAAAAAAAAAAAAAAAAAAAATTGCCAGGTGTGGTGGCACGTGCCTGTAGTCCCAGCTACTCAGGAGGCTGAGGCAGGAGAATTTCTTGAACCCAGGAGGCAGAGGTTGCAGTGAGCTGAGATCGCGCCACTGCACCCCAGCCTGGGCGACAGAGCGAGACTTCATCTCAAAAAAAAACCAAAAAAGTCACACATGCTTAAGAGAGGTGACGTTGAAGCAAACACAAAGGAGGAAGTAAACACGTAGATATCCAGGAGAAGAGCATGCTGGGAAGACTGAAATATACCTACCATGTTCTAAGAACAGTAAGGAGGTCAGTATGGCTAAAACTGAGTGGGAGAATACAAGAGTAGTAGTAGGAGATGAGGTTGATAAGTAGCAGAGGAGTCAAATCATGTAGGTTCATGTAGGCCATGGTAGACTTTGGCTTTTACTGTGTGTGAAATGGGAAGTCACTGGAGGGCTTAGAGCACAGGAGTGATGTATCTTACTTACATTGCAACAGGATCACGTTGGCTGCTGTGTTGAGAATACACTGTAGGGAGCAAGGGTGAAAGCAGGGAGACCAGTTAGGAGACTTTTATAAATAGTGCCTTGGATCAAAGTGGTAGCAGTGGAGGTGGTAAGAAGTAATTGGCTTCTGAATATATTTTGAAGGTAGAACCAAAAGGATTTCCTTACATAAAATCCAGATGGCATGAAAGAAAAGACTGACTCATTTGACAATAAAAGCATTCATTCATTCTCAAACTACTTTGATGGTTCATTCTTCTGTAGTGGATCTTTAAATGTTAAAGTTTCTCCAGCTTTGTCGCTAGACCCTCTTGTCTTTTCATTCTGTCCTTACTCCTTAGGCAATTTCATCCATTCCCAGGGTGTTAATTACAATAAATATTCCTAAGACTCTCAGATTTATATTTCTATGCCAAATCTTAGTCTTGAGCTCCCCAACTTGCATATCCAACTTCCCACTTGACATTATCACTTGGCTGCCTTAAATTCATTCACTAATTCCCTTGATGAATATTTATTGCGTACCAAATATGCGTTAGACACTATCGTATAGGGCTGGTATACAATGGTGAATGAATACAACAGATTTGGCCCCCTGCTCTCATGAAGCTTCCAGTCTAGTGAGGATGGGGGTGGGGGGCAGTGAGAAAATAAACAAAAAAACAAACAAAAAGTGAAAGCTGCTATAAAAAAACAAGTTGCAGTAATACAGAATAAAAAGTATGTATGTGCAAGGGGAGGAAATCTACTTCGAATAGTCAGAGAAAAGCTCTCTAAAGAAGTTTCATGGAAGCTGAGAGTTCAAGGATGAGAAACAACCACCCATGAGAAGAACTGTAGAAAGAACAGTGTAGACAATAACAACAGCATATGCAAAGGCTCTGTTGAGGAAAATAATTTCATGTATTTGAAGAACTGAAATGAAGCCACTATGGCTGGAAAACAGTAATCAAGGAATAACAGTGATAAATGATTAAGCTGGAGGGTTAGGAAAGTGTCAGATCATCCAGAACCTTGTAAATCATGGCTGGGAGTTTGGGCTAAGAATGAGAAGCCGTTGAAGGACTTTAATCCAGGAAAATAATTTGAGCTGATTTGTAGGTTTTTTGTTTTTGTTTTGAGACGAAGTCTCGCTCTGTCGCCCAGGCTGGAGTGCAATGGCGCTATCTCAGTTCACTGCAACCTCCGCCCCCTGGGCTCAAGTGATTCTCCTGCCTCAGCCTCCCCAGTAGATGAGATTACAGGCGCATGCCACCATGCCCAGCTAATTTTTGTATTTTTAGTAGAGACGGGGTTTCACCATGTTGGCCAGGCTGGTCTAGAACTACTGACCTCAGGTGATCCGTCCACTTCGACCTCCCAAAGTGCTGGGATTACAGGCGCCAGCCACCGCACCCAGCCTGATTTATGTTTTTGAAAGACCACTCTGGCAGCTGTGTGGAGAATGAGTTACAAGGGGCCAAGTGTGGAAGCTGGAAAACCACTTAGGAGTTAAAGGCAGTAGTTTGAGTGAGAGATGATGTGACTCAGACTAGGTTAGTGGTCATGGAGATGGAGAGAAGTAGATAGATCAGAAATATATTTAGGAAGTTGAAACAATGCACACTAGCCTAGCTAAGAACATGGACTCTGGTGATAACTGCCTGGCTTGAAGCGCAGCTCTGCCACTTCCTAGCTGTGTGAATTTGGGCAAATCCATAATCTCTCTCTGCCTCAGTCTCCTCATTTACAAAATGGGGATAGTCATATTTATAGGAAGTGTGAGGAGTAATATTCACAAAGCATTTAGAACCATTCCTAGAGCACAGAAGCACTATATTAATTGTTAGCTATCAATAATGATAGTGGATGGCTGGGTGTGGTGGCTCATGCCTGTACCCATCACTTTGGGAGGCCAAGGCGGGAGGATTGTTTGAGCCCAGGAGTTCAACACTAGCCTGGGCAACATAGCAAGACCCCATCTTATTTAAATATTAATAAAAAATGATAGTGGATTGACTGTGGGGAATGGGGGCAGAACCAAAGGTGATTCCAGGTTTTGGCATGAGCTATTGGATGTTTTTTTGAGATACTAGGGTGACAAAACCTCAGTCTTGGTGGAAGCCACTAATTCATTGTCTACATCAACTGGAAAAAGTCACAGATTTTCAATGGAGTAGATTGAGTCTATTATAAAATTCATGATCACAGATGTCAAATGACAGATCCATATATCACCTAACAATTCTACTTTACATCTTTGGTCAATTCACTCTCCTACCTTCTGCAATCATTTTTGTTAAACCTATTCCATTCTTCTGTAACCTTCTACTCCAGCACCAAGTCCCCCCTGCACTCACACTTTTAATATTTGACCCAAACTCCTATTTTACAGAGAAAAAAGAAGCCATCTGATAGGAACTCCCTTATCTTCTGGTTACCAAACATATATATCTACCCAGTTCTGTACCCATCCTATCTTCTTTTTCTCCTGCTACACAGAATAGTGATTCCCAAAGTGTTGTTAGTTCCCCCAGAATAGCAGCATCAACACCGCCTGGGAAGTAGTTAGAAATGCAGATTTGCAGCCTCATCCCCAACCTACAGAATCACAAATTATGGGGTAGGGTGAAGGAAGGGGCAGCATTCTATGCTTTAACAATCCCTCCAGGAAAATTCTGGTGCACTCAGGTTAGAGAACCACTGCAACAGAAAAAAATAATACCTCCTTTCATCTAAGGCCTACCCTTCTACTTGTGCTTCAGATAATGTTCTCTCTGCCTTTTTTTTTTTTTTTTTAAGAGGGAGTCTCACTCTGTCGCCCTGACTGGAGTGCAATGGTTTGATCTCGGCTCACTGCAACCTCTGCCTCCTGGGTTCAAGCAATTCTCTCGCCTCAGTCTCCTGAGTAGCTGTGATTACAACCACCCACCATCATGCCCGGCTAATTTTTGTATTTTTGTAAAGATGAGATTTCACCATGTTGGCCAGGCTGGTCTTGAACTCCACCCACCTCGGCCTCCCAAAGTGCTGGGATTACAGGCGTGAGCCACCACGCCTGGCCGTGTCTTCTTAAGAATTTTATATCATTAATTGTTCTTTTTTTCCCTCCTGTGTATTCAACCACTCCTTCTCAACTGGAACTTTCTTGTATACATAAACATGCTCAAACCTTTCTCATATACAAAAACTCCTCTCTTAATGGTTCATGTCCTTCTAGTTACCTCATGATAGTTTTCCTCTCCTCCACAGCCAAACATCTTAAAAGAGTCGTCAGCATAAAAAATAAAGGAAATCCTGCAGTATATGACAGCATGGGTGAATTGACATTATGCTAAGTGACATAAGCCAGTCACAGAAGGACAAATACTACATGATTCCACTTGTATGAAGTAGCTAAAATAGTCAAACTCATAAAAGCAAAGAATAGAATGCTGGTTGCCAGGGACTAGGGAGGGGAGGAAATGTGTAGTTGCTAATCAATGTGCATTAAATTTCAATTATGCAAGATGAGTAAGTTCTAGAGATCTGCTATAAAACATTTTGCTTATAAATAACAATACTAGGACGGGCATGGTGGTTCACGCCTGTGATCCCAGCACTTTGGGAGGCTGAGGTGGGCGGATCACTTGAGGTCACAAGTTCAAGACCAGCCTGGTCAACATGGTGAAACCCCATCTCTACTAAAAAAAATACAAAAATTGGCCAGGTGTGGTGGCGTGCACCTGTAGTCCCAGCTACTCGGGAGGCTGACCCACAAGAATGGCTTGAACCCGGGAGGCAGAGGTAGAGGTTGCAGTGAGCTGAGATCGCACCACTGCACTCCAGCCTGGGTGACAGAGTGAAACTCCATTTCAATCAACAATCAATCAATCAATCAATCAATAAAACATAAAAAGTGCAAATAGTGTCTATTAAATTTTTATTTTATTTTATTTATTTTTTAGATACAGGGTCCCACTAAGTTGCCCAGGCTGCTTGAAACTCCTGGGCTCAAGCAATCCATCTGCCTCAACCTCCTGAGTAGCTGGGACTAAAGATGTGCTCCACTGCACCTAGCTGTCTATTAGAAATTTTTTTTTTTTTTTTTTTGAGATGGAGTTTCCCTCTTGTTGCCCAGGCTGGAGTGCAATGGCGCGATCTTGGCTCACTGCAGCCTCCATCTCCCGGGTTCAAATGATTCTCCTGCCTCAGCCTTCGGAGTAACTGGGATTACAGGCATGTGCCACCACGCCCGGCTAATTTTTCATTTTTAGTAGAGACAGGGTTTCACCATGTTGGTCAGGCTGGTCTTGAACTTGTGACCTCAAGTGATCCGCCCACCTCCCAAAGTGCTAGGATTACAGGCATGAACCACCATGCCCGGTCTGTCCATTAGAGTTTTAAATAAGCATACCCTTTTTGTTGTCTACCCTAGAGAAGAACCATCATACAGGCCCAGGGGAGCATGTATGAGGCTTTTTTTTTTTTTTTTGCAGAATTGTTAGTGACTGGGGAAAAAATGAAAACAACTGAAATGACCATCAGTAGAGGAATGGCCAAATAAATTATGATATACTCATAATATATAATATCAAGTATCTGTTAAAATAATGCAGTAGTTTATTCTATACATCATGTTATACTATACATAATATGTATATGTAAAACATATATATAAGTATATGTAAAATTATATTATATATGATGATAATATATTACTACTTAGAAAAAAACAGGAAGGACACACACCAAACAAATAACAAGGATTACCTCTGAAAGGTGGGGGAGAAGACTAGATTGGTGGCAGTGGTTAAAGGGGATTTTAGTCTTCTCTGTAATATATCAATTTTTAATTTTATTTTATTAATTAATTTATTTTTGAGGCAGGGTCTTGCTCTGTCATGCCACCATGCCCAGCTATTTGTTTTTGTTTTTGTTTGTAGAGACAGGGTCTCGCTATGGTGCTCAGGTTGATCTCGAACTCCTGTCCTCAAGTGATCTTCCCATCTTAGCCTCCTCAAATGTTGGGATTACAGGCATGAGCCATCGCACCCCCTCGCCTGTTTCAATTTTTAAAAAGAAGAATATATATACATATATATAGTATATGTAGTACTTATGTTATTAAAAACAAAGCTAATGAAAGAAAGGGTTGTCTATACCAACTAACTCCATTTTATCACCTCTCACTCAATTCTCAACCTGCTCCAATTTGGCTTTTATTCTGATCACTTCTCGCAAATAGCTCTCTTTCATGTCACCAATGACGTTCACATCACCAAATTAAAAAACAATTTATCATAAGAAAATTAGCCAGGCGTGGTGGCACGTGCCTGTGGTCCCAGTTACTTGAGAGGCTGAGGTGGGAGGATTGCTTGAGCCAAGGAGGTTGAGGCTGCAGAGAGCCCTGATCCTGCCACTGCACTCCAGCCTGGGTAACAGAGACCCTGTCTCAAAAAAAAAAAAAGAAAAAAGAAAGGAAAAAGGACTGGTCCTACCGGATTACGGCCACCCACTCTCATGACCTCATTTTAACCTAATTACCTCTTCAAAGACTGTCTCCAAATAGAGTCACATTCTGAGGTTCTGGGGGTTTGGACTTCAATATATAAATTTTGGGGCAGAGTGACACATTTGAGTGCATACCATGAAGTAACTACAAATAGCCTTTCTGCTGGTTCTTCCACATCTGGTTTGGCCCCTCTGTTATCACATCTTCATGAAGTAGTCAGAGGAGCTGATAATGTTACTGGCCCTCCTCCACAACATGCACGTACACTCACATAGTTATAATTCTCCAGTGACTTTCCAATGTGTTTAGGAAAAAGCCTTTCTTTTTTTTTTTTTTTTTTTTTTATAGGGCCAACAAGACAATAGTAGTCTGACTTCTGCTGATGCACTTGTTTCCTTGCCTAAAACACTTCCCCCCTAACCCAACTGGTCCCCTAACCTAATAATTTCACTTATTCTTTGAAATCTGGATTACTGCCCCTACCATTGAGTCAATTCTTTGTTTTTAAAATTGCCTTTATTAAAGTATATTTTACATATAAAACTCACCCATCTTAGGTGTACAATTCAATGATCTTCAGCAACTTTACTAAGTGGCACAGTCATCATGAAAAATCAGTTCTAAGACATTTGTAGCCCCCAGTTATTAGGGGTGCAAAAGTAACTGCGGGCCAGGCACGGTGCCTCATGTCTGTAATCCCAGCACTTTAGAAGGCCAGGGTGGGTGGATCACCTGAGGTCAGGAATTTGAGACCAGCCCGGCCAACATGGTGAAACCTCATCTCTACTAAAAATACAAAAATCAGCCGGGCATGGTGGCACATGCCCGTGATCCCAGCTACTCTGGAGGCTGAGGTGGGAGAATTGCTTAAACCTTGGAGGCAGAGGTTGGTGGCTCATGCCTCTAATCCTGGTACTTCGAGAGGCCAAGGTGGGTGGATGACTTCAGGTCAGGAGTTTGAGACCAGCCTGACCAACATGGTAAAACCCCGTCTCTACTAAAAATACAAAAATTAGCTGGCTGTGGTGACACATGCCTATAATACCAGCTACTTGGGAGGCTGAGGCATGAGAATTGCTTCAACCCTGGAGGGAGAGGTTGCAGTGAGCTGAGATGGTGCCACTGCACTCCAGCCTCTGCAACAGAGCAAGTCTCCATCTCAAAAAAGAAAGTAATGGCAACAACTGCAATTATTTTTGCACTAACCTAATAAGTGATCCCTCATGCCCATTTTCAGTTAACCCTGTCCCCAACTCCAGTGCCAGGCAACTGCCAATCTACTTTCTGTCTATAAATTTACCTTTACTGGACATTTTATTTTATTTTATTGAGACAGGGTCTTGCAATTTTGCCCAGGCTGGCCTCTAACTCCTGGGCTCAAGGGATCTTCCTACCTCAGCCTGCTGAGTAGCTGGAACTATAGGTATGCACCACCACACATGCTTTTGCACATTTTTATTTTTATTTTTATTATTTTTTTTTGAGGCAGAGTTTCCCTCTTGTTGCCCAGGCTGGAGTGCGACGGCACGATCTCAGCTCACTGCAACCTCTGCCTCCCAGGTTCAAGCAATTCTCCTGCCTCATCCTCCCAAGTAGCTGGGATTACAGGAGCCTACCACCATGCCCAGCTAATTTTGTTGTATTTTTAGTAGACACGGGGTTTCACCAGGTTGGCCAGGCTGGTCTAGAACTCCTGACCTCAGGTGATCCACCCTCCTTGGCCTCCCAAATTGCTGGGATTACAGGCATGAGCCACCACACCCGGCTGGACATTTTTTATTTTAAATTATACAATATGTGGTCTCTTGTGTATCTGGCTTTTTAAAATTTTTTTTTTAATTTTTTTTTTTTAATTTTTGAGAATCTTGCTCTGTCTCCCAGGCTGGAGTGCAGTGCTGCGATCAAGGCTCACTACAACCTTCGCCTCTCGGGTTCAAGTGATTCTTCTGCCTCAGCCTCCCAAGTAGCTGGGATTGCAGGCACATGCCAGCATGCCCGTCTAATTTTTGTATTTTTGGTAGAGACAGGGCTTTGCCATGTTTGCCAGGCTGGTTTCGAACTCCTGATCTCAGGTGATCCACCTGCCTTGGCCTCCCAAAATGCTGGGATTACAGGTGTGAGCCATCGCGCCCAGCTGTGTGTCTGGCTTTTTGCGCTTAGTGTGTTGTTGAGAATTCTCCATACTGTAGCATGTGTCAGTAGCTCATTCCTTTTTACTGCCAAATAGTATTCCATTTTATGGATACGCTATTGGGAGAAAAGCTGAGTGTTGGGAGAGAAACTGAGGCAGGGCTTGCATGTCTGCTAGACTTGCTGGCTCCTTGCTTCTAGTACTCCCATTATCTCAAGCAGCCATATGTTTCTCATTCACTTGATACACTGTTTCCTTTCAACCCCCACATCCTCACCACCTGTTCCTTTGTTTGAGCAACAATAAATAGCGTGGGCTCCCAGAGCTCAGGGCCTTCGCAGCCTCCACGCTTGCAATGGCCCCACAGTCCCACTTTATCTCTCAAACTGTCTTTTTCTCATTCCTTTGACTCCGCCAGACTTCGTCACCCCCACAACCTGGTGTTGGGTCTGATCACTCCAACAATACGCTATATATTGACTATCCATTCATCAATCAATTGACATTTAAGTTTTTGTTTTACAGCTTTTGGCTATTATGAATAATGCTTTATTATAAATAATGCAAATGCTATGAATATTTGCATAAAAATATTGTTGTGGACACCTGTCATTATTTCTCTTAGGTTTGTACCCAGAAGTGAAATTGCTTGCTTGTATGGAAGGTTTATGTTTGTCATTTTGAGGAGCTGCCAAAATGTTTTACAAAGCAGCTGCACCATTATACAAGCCCACAAGCAATGTAAGAATGTTGCAATTTCTCTACATCCTAGCCAACATTTATTATTGCTTGTCTTAATTTTTATAGCAATTCTTGTGGTTATGGAATAGTATCTCAATGTGCTTTCAATTTGCATTTCTGTACTGATAAATGATGTCGACCACCTGTTCATGTGCTTTTCATTTATATGTCCTCTTTGATGAAATGTCTGTTCATATATTTTGGCCAGTTTTCATTGAATTGTTTTATTATTGAGTTGTAAGAGTTCTTCATACATTCAGGTTACAAGTCCTTTATCTGATATGTCTTTTGCAAATATTTCCTCCAAGTCTGTGAGGTTTTTTTTTTCTTATTTTCCTTATTATTATTATTATTTTTTGAAATGGAGTCTCGCTGTGTTACCCAGGCTGGAGTGCAGTGGCGCGATCTCGACTCACTGCACGCTCTGCCTCCTGGGTTCACGGTATTCTCCTGCCTCAGCCTCCCGAGTAGCTGGGACTACAGGCGCCCACCCCCACGCCTGGCTAATTTTTTGTATTTTCAGTAGAGACGGGGGTTTCACCGTGTTAGCCAGGATGGTCTCGATCTCCTGACCTCGTGATCCGCCCGCCTTGGCCTCCCAAAGTGCTAGGATTACAGGCGTGAGCCACCGCGCCTGGCCTAGATTTCCTTTCTTTTTTTTTTTTTGAGACAGAGTTTCGCTCTTGTCACCCAGGCTGGAGTGCAGTGGCTCGATCTTGGCTCACTGCAACCTCCGCCTCCTGGGTTAAAGCGATTCTCCTGCTTCAGCCTCCCGAGTGGCTGGGATTACAAACGCCTGCCACCATGCCTGGTTAATTTTTTGTATTTTTAGTAGACACTGAGTTTCATCATGTTGGCCAGGCTGGTCTCAAACTCCTGACCTCAGGTGATCCACCCGCCTCGGCCTGCCAAAGTGTAGGGATTACAGGCCTGAGCCACCGTGCCCGGACCTAATTTTCTTAATGATGTCTTTTGGAGTGCAAACATTTTGAATTTTTGTAAGGTCAAATTTACCATATTTTTTCTTTTATGGAACATGCCTATAGAGTTGTATCCATGAGATGTTTGCCTAAGCCAAGGTCTCAAAGATTTTCCCCTATGTTTTCTTTTAAAAGTTTCATTGTTTTAACTCTAAAAATTAAGTCTAGTTTTTTGTTAGTTTGTTTTGTTTTTTGAGACAGAGTCTCACTCTGTCGCCCAGGCTGTAGTGCAGTGGCATGATCTCGGCTCACTGCAACCCCCGCCTCCTGGGTTCAAGCTATTCTCCTGCCTCAGCCTCCAGCGTAGCTGGGATTACAGGCGCCTACCACCACACTTGGCTAATTGTGGTATTTTTAGTAGAGACAGGGTTTCACCATTTTCACCAGGCTGGTCTCAAACTCCTGACCTCACGCGATCTGCCTGTCTTGGCCTCCCAAAGTGCTGGGATTACAGGCATGAGCCACTGTGCCTGGCCAAGTCCATGATATATTTTGAGTAAACTTCTTCATAATGTGAAGAGGGTCCAGCTCATCTTTTTGCATGTTGCATCTTTCTGCAGCACCATTTGTAAACTATCCTTTTCCCAGTGAATTGCCTTAGCACTCTTGTCAAAAAACAACTGACTTTAAATACAAGGATTTATTTCTGGACTCTTAATTCTGATCTATATGTCTATTCTTATGCCAGTACCGCATTGTCTTTTTTTTTTGATATGAGGTCTTACTGTGTCGCCCAGGCTGGAGTGCAGTGGTGTGATCTTGGCTCACTGCAACCTCTACCTCCCAGGTTCAAGCAATTCTCCTGCCTCCGCCTCCTGAGTAGCTGGGATTACAGTTGCCCGCCACCACGCCTGGCTAATATTTGTATTTTTAGTAGAGATGGGGTTTCACCACGTTGGCCAGGCTGGTCTCGAACTCCTTACCTCAAGTGATCCACCTGCCTCGGCTTCCCAAAGTGCTGGGATTACAGGCATGAGCCACCGCACCCAGCCTTTTTTTTTTTTGCATTTTTGAGATGTAGTCTTGCTCTGTCACCCAGGCTGGAGTGCAGTGGCAAAATCTTGGCTCACTGCAACCTCTGCCTCCCGGGTTCAAGTGATTCTCCTGCCTCAGCCTCCTGAGTAGCTGGGATTACAAAAGCACGCCACCATGCCTGGCTAATGTTTGTATTTTTAGTAGAGGTAGGGTTTTGCCATGTTGGCCAGGCTGGTCCTGAACTCCTGGCCTTAAGCGATTCGCCTGCCTCGGCCTCCCAAAGTGCTGGGATTATAGACATGAGCCACCTTGCCTGGCCTGATTAACTTATATTTTATTAAGGATTTTTGTGTCTACATGTATGAGAGACATTAGTTTATGCTTTTTTCTTTTGTGTGCTCTGTTTTATATATTGATCTTATATTCTGCACTTGCTTTGCTCATTTATTAGTTCTTTTTTTTTTAATTTTTTTTTTTTTTTTTTGAGACAGAGTCTTGCTCTGTCACCCAGGCTGGAGTGCAGTGGCGCGATCTCGGCTCACTGCAACCTCTGCCTCCTGGATTCAACCGATTCTCCTGCCTCAGCCTACCGAGTAGCTGGGACACCATGCCCGTCCAACAATTTTTTAAAAAGGTAATTATCACATAAAAAATAAATAAATAGGCCGGGCACGGTGGCTCACACCAGTAATCCCAGCACTTTGGGAGGCAGAGGCGGGCGTATCACCTGAGGTCAGGATTTTGAGACCAGCCTGGCCAACACATAGTGGAAACCCGTGTCTACTAAAGGTACAAAAATTAGCTGAGTGTGGTGGCGCACACCTGTAGTCCCAGCTACTTTGGAAGCTGAGGCAGGAGAATTACTTGAAACTGGGAGGTGGAGGTTGCAGTGAGCCGAGATCACGGCACTGCACTCCAGCCTGGGCGACAAAGAAATAAATATTGGCACAATACTATTAAACTAAACTGCAGACTTTATTCAGGTGTCACCAGTTTCCCACTAATGTCCTTTTTCTGTTTAGGATCCAATTCAGGATCCCACATTGCATTGAGTTGTCTGTCCAGTGAAGGATTTTAAAGAGCAGTGAGACATGATCAGATTTGCACTATCAATTTGGGAGAAGCATATTTAGATTGGGGGAAATTGGGAGGAAAAAAGTGAGTCAAGGCAGGAAACCCAAGGGGTAGGCTAGTTTGGTCCTGTCAGCACACAGCATGAAAGGTAAGATGTGGCCTCTGGAGCTGGCATGCTTGGCCTACCATGGACATTAGTTCCCTTTTGGAGGTTCCAATAAACTGATCTAGAAACATGGCTTAAATAGAACATGATTCCACTGGATCACAGTATTCCTTTGTTCACTACTTAATTTGGGTATGTACATATTGAAGTGAACTGGAAAGAGGATGGAAACTGCAGCTGGGATAACTTTAACTGTAAATGATTAGAAACTTGAAAAAATTATTAAAGACCTAGTAGTTGTAATAATCTGGCTTTTTGTTTGTTTGTTTGTTTTTGAGACAGAGTCTCTATCACCCAGGCTGGAGTGCAGTGGCGTGATCTTGGCTCACTGCAATCTCCACCTCCCAGGTTCAAGTGATTCTCCTGCCTCAGCCTCCCAAGTAACTAGGACTACAGGCCCCTGCCACCGTGACCGGCTAATTTTTCATAGAGACGGGGTTTCACCATGTTGGTCAGGCTGGTCTTAAACTCCTAACCTCAAATGATTCGCCTGCCTCAGCCTCCCACAGTGCTGTGATTACAGGCGTGAGCCACTGCACCCAGCCCTGTAATAGTGTTTTTTTTTTTTTTTTTTTTTTTTTTTTAAGACAGAGTTTAGCTCTGTTGCCCAGGCTGGAGCGCAGTGGCGCTCTCTCAGTTCACTGCAACCTCTGCCTCCTGGGTTCAAGCGATTCTCCTGCTTCAGCTTCCCGAGTAGCTGGGATTACAGGCGCATGCCACCATGCCCAGCTAATTTTTGTATTTTTTAGTAGAGACAGGGTTTTGCCACGTTGGCTAGGCTGCTCTCAAACTCTTGACCTTAGGTGATCCGCCTGCCTCGGCCTCCCAAAGTGCTGGGATAACAAGCGTGAGCCACCGCACCTGGCCAATAGTCTGATTTAGAAATTTTCTTTAATGTGGCCTGAAGCACCTGGTTTGTAAAGTGCCATAATTTGCTTTTCTCTCTTTTGCGAAATTGTTTGAGTGACACCACCTATCACAGATTTTCCAGTTAACTCTCTCTAGGCAGTATTCTCAAAGCTTAATGCCTAACTTGACATTCATATGGTCCACCCAATTTTTTTTTTTTTTGAGACTGAATCTCGCTCTGTTGCCCAGGCTGGAGTCCAGCAGCATGATCTTGGCTCACTGCAACCTCCACCTCCTGAGTTCAAGTGATTCTCCTGCCTCAGCCTCCCTAGTAGCTGGGATTACAAGCGTGCGCCCCCATGCCCAGCTAATTTTTGCGTTTTTAGTAGAGATGAGGTTTCACCATGTTGGTCAGGCTGGTCTCAAACTCCTGATCTCAAGTGATCTGCCTGCCTCAGCCTCCCAAAGTGCTGGGATTACAGGCATGAGCCACTGCACCCAGCCTTCACTCAATCTTTTGTTTCTGAAACATTTTTAATGAACATAGCTGGAAGATTAACAGCTATATTACCTCATAAAAGGAGTTTTAAAAATTAACAAATACTTTATACTTCCTTTTAATATCATTATTGAAAGGTGAAGCCAGCTGGACTTCCTGGGTCGAGTAGGGACTTGGAGAACTTTTCTGTCTTACAAGGGGATTGTAAAATGCACCAATCAGCACTCTGTAGCTGGCTAGAGGTTTGTAAAATTCACCAATCAGTGCTCTGTAAAAACGCACCAATCAGCACTCCGTAGCTACCTAGAGGTTTGTAAAATGGACCAATCAGCGCTCTGTAAAATGGACCAATCAGCACTCTGTAAAATGGACCAATCAGCACTCTGTAAAATGGACCAATCAGCAGGACATGGGCAGGGACAAATAAGGGAATAAAAACTGGCTGTCCTAGCCAGCAGTGGCAACCTGCTCAGGTTTTGCTCTTCACAGAAAATCTTGCTGCTGCTCACTGTTTGGGTCCGTGCCACTTTTAAGAGCTGTAACACGGCCGGGTGCCGTGGCTCACGCCTGTAATCCTAGCACTTTGGGAGGCCGAGGTGGGCAGATCACCAGGTCAGGAGATCGACACTATCCTGGCTAACACGGTGAAAACCCCATCTCTACTAAATATACAAAAAAATTAGCCTGGCATGGTGGCGAGCACTTATAGTTGCAGCTACTTGTGAAGCTGATGGCGTGAACCTGGGAGGCGGAGCTTGCAGTGAGCCGAGATCGTGCCACTGCACTCCAGCCTGGGCGACAGAGCAAGGCTCCGTCTCTTAAAAAAAAAAAAAAAGCTGTAACACTCACTGGGAAGGTCCGCGGATTCAATCTTGAAGTCAGCGAGACCACAAACCCACGAGAAAGAACCAACTCCGGGCACAATTACATTCAAGAACTGTATTAGATATAAGAAGACCGGCTTTCTTTCTTTTTTTTCTCGGAGACGGAGTCTTGCTCTGTTGCCCAGAGCTGAGGTGCAATCCTGTGATCTCGGCTCACTGCAACCTCCACCTCTCGGGTTCAAGCAATTCTCCTGCCTCAGCCTCCTGAGTAGCTGGGATTACAGGCGTGCACCACCACGCCCAACTAATTTTTGTATTTTTAGTAGAGACGGGGTTTCACCATCTTGCCCAGGCTGGTCTTGAACTCCTGACCTCGTGATCTGTCCACCTCCGCCTCCCAAAGTTCTGGGATTACAGGCGTGAGCCACCGCACCCAGCCAGAAGACCTGCTTTCTAACCTCAGCTTGGTCATCTATTAGCTATGTGACGTTGGACAAGCAAATTAACTTCTCTTCAATTATCTCACATAAAACAAAGAGATCAATAACTAACCTGCCTACCTGATACGAACACTAGGAGGATCACATAAAATGACTAGGAAAGAACTTTGTAATTTCTACCGCTACATAACAAGAGGGAGAGGGCATTATTATCTTTGTCATCTACACTTACTCTCATTTTAAAAAATTTTATTTGGTCGGGCACAGTGGCTCACACCTGTAATCCCAGCACTTTGGGAGGCTGACGCAGGTGGATCACCTGAGGTCAGGAGTTCGAGACCAGCCTGGTCAACATGGCGAAACCCTGTCTCTACTAAAAATTACCTGGGTGTGGTGGCCCATGCCTGTAATCCCAGCTACTCAGGAGGCTGAGGCAGGAGAATCACTGGAACCCAAGAGGCAGAGGTTGCAGTGAGCCGAGATCACACCATTGCACTCCAGCCTGGGCGACAGAGCGAGACTCCGGTTCAAAAAAAAAAAATCTGAAGAGCAACTGGTCAATCTCTTCCAGGGTCCGGAGCAAACCAGGAGCTGCTTTCAAATGGTATATAGCTTTCTGCTTCTAGATGGCATGGCCTTGCTCCAGAACCCTAAGTGTCTGCACCACCACACTCGGCTAATTTTGTATTTTTAGTAGAGATGGGGTTTCTCCATGTTGGTCAGGCTGGTCTCGAACTCCCGACCTCAGGTGATCCACCCGCCTCGGCCTCCGAAAGTGCTGGGATTACAGGCGTGAGCCACCGCGCCCGGCCACTTTTTCATTTTTATTTTTAACACAACAACCAACCAAGTAGGGTTTATTCTAGAGACACAAGGCTGATTCGGTACTTGAAAATCAAGGTAGGCTGAGTGCAGTGGCTCATGCCTGTAATCCCAGCACTTTGGGAGGCCGAGGCGGGTGGATCACTTGAGGCCAGGGGTTCAAGACTGCTTGACCAATATGGTGAAACCCCATCTCTACTAAACATACAAAAAATTAGCCGGGCATCGTGGTGCATACCTGTAATCCCAGCTACTAACGGGGCTGAGGAAGGAGAATTGCTTGAACCCAGGAGGCAGAGGTTGCAGTGAGCCGAGATCGCGCCACTGCACTCCAGCCTGGGCCACAGAGCAAAACTCTGTCTCAAACAAACAAACAAAAAAATCAGCGTAATCCATCACATTAATAGTCTTCAGAAAAAAAGAAGATCATAGCAATTGGTGCAAAAAATTTGATAAAATTCAATATGATGAACACTTCCAGCGAACTCAGAAGGCAACTTCCTTCACCCAATAAAGGGCATCTATAAAAATCTGTTAATCTCACTTAATGGTGAAAGACTGAAATGGTTTTCTCCCAAAAACTCCACACTCACCACTTCTACTTAACATCATATTGGAAATCCTACCAACAAGGCAAGAAAAAGAAACAAAAGGCATACATGTTGGAAAGAAAGAAATACAGCTGTTCCTGTTTGCATACAACATGAGAAAGTGTACAGGGCTGGCCAGAGGTGGCAGGCGGGGAGGCTAGTACCTGTCCTTGCCGTCTCACAGGCTTTGTTGTTGGAGAAAACCAGGCCTGCCTGGTGGATGCTTTTGCTGCTCTGGGTCCTCATACATGTTGCAGGGTTGTAAGGAAGCAAAAGATGAACATGGTTTGGATGGGCCGGCTGACCAACTCCTAGAGCCTCCAAAATATACAGAATATGCTGGAATGGGTTAATAGGCTTCTGGAAGGTAGTCGTGTTGCCCACATCAGCTGAGTAGCCCGTGGTGGGTGTGCTGTTTACGTGGATGGTGCACAGTCTCAGCTTATCTCCAGGACTGGCTTGGTGCCCAGCAGGTGGCTGGAGCTGGCGACAACAACACACTGGTGGCATCAGGAGAGCTGCGTCTTGTAGACTTTGGTGATGCTTCACTTCTTGAGGTTGACATAGGCATACGCCGTCCCTGCAGGGAGCCTTAAAGGAAGACCTCAATGTCACTGTTAGAGTCTGACCAGGGTCGGGGCCTACGTCCTGGAGGTGACCTGGGAGGCAGGGATGTAAAGCTCACACCTTCTTGTGGAGCGGCGGGCCCTCCTAAGGTTTGCTTCCTTGGCACCTGGAGGAGCTGGTATCCAAGCTCCAGGACTAGGCCTGGGAGGCTGTCCTGTTTTTTTTATTATACACGTTTTCAACCAAAGGCAGACCAGAGAGCCATACTAATGCAGCGGTAAAGCACAGAATTTTTATCCAAGCTCTGGTTACTTCCAACCGTGACCGCTCTCACGCTTGCTAGCTCCAATTTCCCATTCCTCTTCACAAAGGATGTGCCCTGGCAATCATGCTATTCTGCCCTGCAAATCTTGACATGGGCTTCTCCACTCCTTTTGATCAAGTTCAACCTTTTCACTCTCACAATTCCCTTATTTCTCATCATTCGCATATTTCCTTTCATTTCTCCTACAACTTTTTCAACATCTCTAGTCCAAGAGTTAACTTGATATATTTCTACACGCCTCGGCTCACCGCCAGCACGATGCCTTTGTTGTCTTGAATCGCCGCCTGCCAATCACCAGGAGACACAGACCTCTAGGAGCGAGGGAACTTGGACAGAAAGGCACTTGGCAAGGCGCACACGACTCAGCGTAAACAAGTGACCTCTTGTTCTCCAAAGCTCTTGAAACACAAGAAGGAAAAATAACAAGCTCTTCTACTATCTGTGTCCTATCATACCTACAATACTCTCTTGGTCCACATGCAAGCACTTTGCATTATAGTACACCACAAGGAGAAAAAGGTAAGACAGGATTCTTAACAGAGGTCGTAAAATAAGGTCCCCGCCGCTAAGAGAAAGAAGACTTTCTTCCAATAGCATAGAGCAGGACTCCACCTCCACCTCCCTTTTCTTTAGTCTTTTGCCCTTCCATCCTCCTTCCAAGACTAGCGTTATCCAATAGAAATATAATGCAGGTCACATACTATGTAATTTTACATTTCCAAGTAGCCACATTAAAAAAATTAAAAGAAGCAAGTTAAATTGGTTTTAGTAATGTTTTATTCAACGCAGTGGACCCCAAATATTATGATTTCAATCACCCATGCAGTAATTAGAAATGTTTTCTTTTTCTTTTTTTTTTTTTTTTGAGACGGAGTCTCGCTTGTTGCCCAGGCTGGAGTGCAGTGGCACGATCTCGGCTCACTGTAACCTCCGCCTCCCGGGTTCAAGCGATTCTTCTGCCTCAGCCTCCTGAGTACCTGGGATTACAGGCGCCCGCCACCACGTCCGGCTAATTTTTGCATTTTTAAGTAGAGATGGGGTTTCACCATGTTGGTCAGGCTGGTCTCGATCTCCTGACCTCGTGACCCGACCGCCTGGGCCTCCCAAAGTGCTGGGATTACAGGAGTGAGCCACCGCGCCCGGCCCCCCTCACGCTTTTTTTTTTTTTTTTTGACGGAGTCTCGCTCTGGTGCCCAGACTGGAGTGCAGTGGTGTGATCTCGGCTCACTGCAACCTCCACCTCCCAGGTTCAAGCAATTCTTCTGTCTCAGCCTCCCGAGTAGCTGGGACTACAGGCGCACGCCACTACGCCCGCTAATTTTTGTATTTTTAGTAGAGACGGGGTTTCACCATATTGGTCAGGCTGGGCTCGAACTCCTGACCTCTGGTGATCCACCCACCTCGGCCTCCCAAAGTACTGGGGTTACAGGCCTGAGCCACCGCGCAGGTCGAAATGTTTTACTTTCTTTTTGTCTTTGGTAGCTGGAGTGCATTTTACACTTACAGAACATCAAACTCGGAAAAGCTGCATTTTAAGTGCCTCATAGGCACCGCACTGGACCGTGCGGCCCTAGAATGCCACACCCCCTAATTCCTGCAGCCAGAAATGAAGATGGCAGGGGCGGTAACACTGCTAGTTTGGGACTAAGAAAGGCAACCTCGGGAGGAGGCGAGCCCCTGCTATGATGAAACTTCTAGGACAGCCTCCCTTCGCCCCCCCCAACCTGTGCAGGGCCTAGCGTGGCTGCAAGCGAGGCAGAGCGCAAGGCACCGCCAGAGCCACGGGAAAGGGCGAGGCGGGGAAGTCTGGGGATGGCGGGGCGGGGCGGGGCGGCTCGGCTCGGCGGGGATCCCCACGCATGCGCACCGCGACAGCTCACGATGCCCGCCTACTGGCGCCCTAGCAACCGGGTTGCGAACCATGTTCTATCCCGACTAAGTGGCCGTCCTGGGAGTTATAGTGCCACTAGCCGGCCTCGGCTGTTCCCTGTCCGAGGCTCTTGTCATTTCCGCTTATTTCCTCCACGGGTGCCGATTTCATGTGTGTGTTCCCGAGTGCCTGAGCCGGCTCCCGAAATGAGTACTCGTGGTTTCCGCGTGGGAACCAACCTCGAGCGCCAGTGGCCCGCCCTCTCCGGGCTGAGGTGGCTGCTGAGGCTGGGGCTGCTCCTGAGGCTTCAGGGCCGCCCGCTGCACGGCTTTCTACCTTCCCAGGTTAGCCGCGGTCAACTTCTGCCAGGCGGAGCGAGAAATCGCATTTTGTCAGGTGAGGATTGGAGGGAGTGAGAGAGATGTGAGGGGAAGGCTTCGGGTAGGGGTATAGGGCCGATAGGGGACGACCAGGGCCGAGAGCTCATGGACTTGGACCCGGAATGCCATTGCCTTCCCTGTGGGTATGTCTCAGGGGCTTTCAATCTCGGAGTCTCCCACTTCGCGGATCTTTCCCGCCCTCTCAGTATCTCCTCCTTCCTCACAGTTCCTCCCCTTCCTCTTCTTTTTCTGCTCCCTCCCTTCCCTCTCATCTCGTCTTCTTCCTTCTCCCTCTCGGCTCCAACGCCTACTGTTTCGGCCCCACCTTCTTATCTTGGCTCCTCCCCTTCCCCCCCTTATCGACTCCTTACCCAGTCTCTTTTTGTTCTGCCAGTGCTCTCTCGGCTCCTCCCCCTCCTCCTTTCTCCTGGATGCTACGCCCTCTCCCATCTCCTTCTCTTTCCCCTCCCTCTCGGCTCCTCTCCCTACCCCTCCCTCTCTTCTCCTTTACCTTCCTCCTCACTGCTGCTTTTTCTAGTCTCTTCCCCTCTGCTCTTCTGTTTTCCTTTTTACTGCTCCTCCTCCTTCCTCTAAGTCCTTCCCACTTCCCTCCCTATTGGCTGCTCCTCCACCTCCCTTTTGGCTTCTCTCCTGCCTCAACTAACTCCTCCCCTCCTCCCCAACGCCTTCGGTTCCCTCTCAGCATCTGTAACCCTTCCCTTCCCTCCACCCTTTCCCTCGTGTTCTTACACAATCTTCCATTCTGGACACATACACTCATTGTGGTCTTTCTTAAATACATCCCCACCATGCTGTGTTACCCCTCACTCATATGGTCTCACACTCTTACCCCCCTAATTCTTGTTAATCCACTTGGGTCTCCTGGGTCCTTTCTCTGCAAACATAGTGTTATTTACTTCTAGAGATTTGTGAGAATAAAATGAGATAGTACATGAAAAGCACTTACGACGGCACCTTGCACATAGTAAGCTTTCAATAAATGGTAACTGTCATCATTATTACTTTTCTTTAGCCAGGGATTCCTGGCACAATTCCTCTTCAGCGTGTCCCTCAACCACCAGTAATTTCTTGGCTCCCTTCCTTAGTAGCCTCGTTGTTTTCATTGTAAGCTGACTCAAAAGGAATTTTTCTTGCAAGTAATCAATTCAAAAAGTATTAATAAATAAGACTTATGTTCTGATCTCTAGTTGCCTAATCTAGGGTGTAGGGGGGTATTCTGGTAGAAGGCATCACAAATGCACACAAAGTTGAGAATGGTGCTGGTGCCATCTGACTATAGACTTAGCCAACTTTAAGGTTCTAGGAGTTTTTAAAGGCTAGTTCTAGGTGCAGCATGTTTACTTTTCAAACCTGGAGCTTGCCTTTCCCTGTGAGAAATATTGATAGCAGTGTTTTGAGCAAACCTCTTGCCAAACACATGTAAGAAATAGCATCCTTTTTATATTTTTTATTTGCCTTTTCTCTGACTGTTTATATCTACTCCTTGCTCTTTATTCTTTATTTCAGCAGGCTCCCTAACAAAGAAACATGATTAGTAACATCTGGAACCTTTCCTTTCCTTTCCCTTTCCCCTTCGGCTTCCCCTCTTCTTTCCTTCCTTCCTCCCTCCCTCCCTCTCTCTCTCTTTTTCTTTCTCTTTCTTTCTCTTCCTTCCTTTCTCTTTCTTTCTTTTCTTTCTTTCTTTTCTTGCTTTCTCTTTCTTTCTCTTTCCTTCCCTTTCCTTCCTTTCTTTTTCCCTCCCTCCCTTCCTCCCTTCCTTTCTTTCCTTCCTTCTTTCTTTTTTTTGAGATGAAGTCTCACTCTGTCTCCCAGGCTGGAGTGCAGTGGCACGATTTCGGCTCACTGCAACCTCCACCTCCTGGGTTCAAGTGATTTTCCTGCCTCAGGCTCCCGAGTAGCTGGGATTATAGGCACCCGTCACCACGCCCAGCTAATTTTTTTTTGTTGTTGTTGTATTTTTAGTAGAGATGGGGTTTCACCATGCTGGCTAGGCTGGTCGAACTCCTGACCTTAGGTAATCCACCCACCTCGGCCTCCCAAAGTGCTAGGATTGCAGGTGTGAACCACTGCACCTGGCAACATAAACTTTCTATACTGAATGAGACCTGTTTCCGGTATTTGGGGTTCACACATTTAAGTCTGTGATACATTTTGGGTTTTTTGTTGTTGGAAGATGTGAAAGGTTGAGATTAACTTTTTTTTTTGCCTATAGATATCTAATTTCTTTAGCATGGTTTCTTGAAAAGACTATCTATCCTTCCTCCGTGAAATTGCTTTTGCACCTTTTCAAATTTTTTTTGGCAGAGGCTTGCTCTGTCCCCCAGGCTGGAGTGCAGTGGCACCATCTTGGCTCACTGCAGCCTCCACCTCCTGAGCTCAAGCGATTCTTCTGCCTCAGCCTTCTTCTTCTTCTTCTTTTTTTTTTTGAGATGGAGTCTTGCTCTGTTGCCCACGCTGGAGTGCAGTGGTGTGATCTCGAGTTCAAGCAATTCTTCTGCCTCAGTCTCCCAAGTAGCTGGGATTACAGGCATCCGCCACCATGCCCGGCTAATTTTTTTTTGTATTTTTAGTAGAGATGGGGTTCCATCTCTACTACATGGTTCCATCTTTCTACATGGTTCCAACATGTTGGCCAGGCTGGTTTCGAACTCCTGACCTCATGTGATCCGCCCACCTTGGCCTCCCAAAATGCTAGGATTACAGGTGTGAGCCACCTCACCTGGCCCTGCCTCAGCCTTCTGTGTAGCTGGGACCACGCCCAGCTAATTTTTGTAGTTTTAGTAGAGACGGGGCCAGTCTGGTCTCAAATTCCTGACCTGAAGTAATCCACCTGCCTCGGCCTCCCAAAGTGCTGGGATTACAGGTGTGAGTCACCGAGCCTGGCAACTTTTTCACCTTTGTAAAAAATCACTTGGGCATAGTTGTATGGCTGTATTTCTGAGTTTTCTGTTGTACTGTTACATTGGTTTGTGTGTCAGGCATTAGCTTTTTGATGATTAAATTTGCATGCAATACCTTTGTGGAGTGCCATTGTTCTAACAGGAAAGTGTACCTTATCAAGAAATGCTATCCCTTGGACTGAAGAAACTTGGCAGTGTAGTACAACTCTGCTGCCAATAAGATTCTTTTTTGGTTCATATTTGTATTATTTCAGGACAGTAGGTGCTAAAATATGACTCTGTTTTTCATTGTTTACTCATGCTCATTATTTCCTGATTCATAACATTGGCACATTTCATCTGAAGGCTCTGGAAGAAAATAATAATAATAATAATAATAACACTGGGCCAGGTGCGGTGGCTCATGCCTGTAATCCCAGCATTTTGGGATGCCGAGGCAGGCGGATCACCTGAGGCTGGGAGTTCAAGAACAGCCTGACCAACATGGAGAAACCCTGTCTCTACTAAAAATACAAAATTAGCCGGGCATGGTGGTGCATGCCTGTAATCCCAGCTACTCGGGAGGCTGATGCAGGAGAATTGCTTGAACCTGGGAGGCGGTGGTTGTAGTGAGCCGAGGTGGTGCCATTGCACTGCAGTCTGGGCAACAAGAATGAAACTCCGTCTCAAAAACAAAAAACAAAAAGTAAAAAAACCACTGGCACTTTACCTTGATAATCCTCCATAGCTAGACCTTGTAAATAAGAAATTTTGTATTAAAAGTATCAAATATTTTATGATCACATTCTTTTGGTAACAGTGTTATTCAGAGAAAAATCACGTACCATATAATTCACCCACTTAAAGTGTCTAATTTAGTGTTTTTTAGTATATTCACAGAGTTGTACAACCACCACTACCATCAATTTTATTGTCACTTTTAAGTGAAGGATTGTATATCAGGGTAGTTCTTAGGAAGCTAGGGTGGATTTCATATCCCACCTTGTATGTTATTGAAGAAGACAAATTCTTCTCTTCAGTGATGACAGCATTGTGTGTGTGTCTAGTTGTAATCATTTCAGTTACAAATGAAAAGTAGAAGAGGAAAATGTAGAGAATAATGGCATACTGAAGTCTTTGAAGAAGTTTTACCTGTAAGATAAATTGCTTATTTCATATCCCACCTTGTATGTTATTGAAGAAGACAAATTGCTTATTTCATATCCCACTTTGTATGTTACTGAAGAAGACAAATTCTTCTCTTCAGTGATGACAGCATTGTGTGTGTGTCTAGTTGTAATCATTTCAGTTAGGAATGAAAATGTAGAAGAGGAAAATGTAGAGAATAATGGCATACTGAAGTCTTTGAAGAAGTTTTACCTGTAAGATAAATTGCTTATTTCATGACATTTGAATTATAAACTTTAGCCAAATCTCTTAATATTTTCAATTTTTTTCTTAACAGTTTTAACAAAACAGAAATGTGTAAAAATTTGTGTAAAATCTTACGATCGAGACCAAATGGACAAGCTGGCTTTTTTTGAAGAAAGTAATACGACTGAATTACTAGCATCATTGGTAGGTTTGGCATCTGAAATAACATGACTTGGCTGGGTGAGGTGGCGTGCCACCTCAGCACTTTGGGAGGCCAAGGTGGACAGATTGCTTGAGCTCAGGAGTTTGATACCAGCCTGGCCAGCGTGGCGAAAACCCATCTCTACTAAAAATACAAAAATTAGCCGAGCATGATGGCAGGCACCTGTAATCCCAGCTACTTGGGAAGCTGAGGCACATGAGAATTGCTTGAACCTGGGAGGCGGAGGTTGCAGTGAGCCGAGATTGCACCACTGCACTCCAGCCTGGGTGAAAGAGTGAGACGCTGTCTCAGAAAAAAAAAAAAAAATTAACATGACTCAATTAATTTTTCAATTCCTTTCAGAAGTTTTTTGTTTGTTTGTTTTGAGACAGGGTATTGTTCTGTGGCCCAGGCTGGAGCAAAGTGATGTAATCATAGCTCACTGCATCCTCAAACTCCTGGGCTCAATTGATCCTCTTAGCCTCCTGAGTAGCTAGGACTACAGGCATGTGCCACCATGCCTGGTTAAGTTTTGATTTTCTTTTTTGTCTTTTTTTTTTTTTTTTCTTGAGACAGAGTCTAGCTCTGTTGCTCAGGCTGGAGTGCAGTGGCGTGATCTAGCACACTCGAAATCTCCACCACCCAGGTTCAAACAATTCTCCTGCCTCAGCCTCCTGAGTAGCTGGGATTACAGGCACCCGCCACCACGCCCAGCTAATTTTTGTATTTTTAGTAGAGACGGGGTTTCACTGTGTTGCCCAGGCTGGTCTTGAACTCCTGACCTCGTAATCCGCCCGCCTCAGCCTTCCAAAGTGCTGGGATTACAAGTGTTAGCCACCGTGCCCAGCCTTTGTTTTTTCTTTTTTGCTGTCACCTTATTTTTTTTTTATTATTTTTATTTTCTTTTTGTAGAGACAGGGTCTAGCTATGTTGCCCAGGCTGGTCTTGAACTCCTGGCCTCAAGCAGTGCTTCCACCTTGGACTCCCAAAGTGAGTCACCACACCCTGCCAAAAAAGTATTCTTTATTTTTTATATTTTATTTTATTATTATTTTTTGGATATAGGGTTTCTCTCTGTCACCCAGGCTAGCGTAAAGTGGCACCATCTTGGCTCACTGCAACCACCACCTCCCGGGTTCAAGTGATTCTCGTGCCTCAGCCTTCTGAGTAGCTGGGATTATAGGTGTCTGCCACTACACCCGGCTAATTTTTGTATTTTTTTTTTTAGTACAGATGGAGTTTTACCATGTTGGCCAGGCTGGTCTTGAACTCCTGGTCTCAAGTGATCCACCCGCCTCGGCCTCCCAAAGTGCTGGGATTACAGGCGTGAGCCACTGCACCTGGCAGTGTTTCTTATATTTCAGTCATTTCACATACCACCTTGGTAATTTTTGCTATATGTCAAGCACCTGTATTATTATTTATCTACTTTAAAAAAATCCGTTATTTAAGGCCAGGTGCAGCGGCTCATGCCTGTAATCCCAGCACTTTGGGAGGCTGAGGCGGGTGGATCACTTGAGGCCAAGAATTTGAGACCAGCCTGGCCAGCATGGCAAAACTCTGTCTCTACTAAAAATACAAAAAAATGAGCCAGGCATGGTGGCACTCACCTGTAGTCCCAGCTACTTGGGAGGCTGAGGCAGGAGAATTGCTTGAACCTGGGAGGCAGAGGTTGCAGTGAGCCCAGATTGCACCACTGCACCCCAGCCTGGTCAACAGAGGGAGACCCTTACTCAAAAAAAAAAAAAAATCCATGCTGTATTTAGAAAGGAAACTATAATACCCTAATTATAGATTTACTCTACTACTTATCTTTTTTATTCATCTAATTTCAAGTAAATATGTAAAAGGTAAAATTGTTTTTCCATCTACTACCTAAAATCATCTTGTATATCTTCAGTGCTATGTATTTTTCACAATGGGAAGCAGTGAGATAAAGAAGTAAAGAAAATGGGAAGAGAAGCAACAAACAACTGCTTAATTGATAGTTCTTTGAAAGCAAGGGTAAACTGGCAGAAGAAAGGAGTTAATGAACAGGAGAAATGTTCATTAATATGGTCTGTGTTTGAGACCATATATGAAAGTGGGTTCTTAGGGAACATTTAACGACGACATCTTTCAAGATCAAGTCTGGGAAGAAGAAAGGGACCAATAGGATGAAAAACCCCCAGTTGGCAGGAGTAGCAATAACTTTACCAACATTTGTAGGTTGTCAACATAAAATTACCAAGGTTAAGTAAAAGCTTAAATAAGGCCGGGTGCAGTGGCTCACGCCTGTAATCACAACTTTGGGAGGCCAGGGCAGGTGGATCACAAGGTCAGGAGTTCGAGATCATCCTGGCTAACATGGTGAAATCCTGTTTCTACTAAAATACAAAAAAAAAAAAAAAAAAAAAAAAATTAGCCGGGCGTGGTGGTGCATGCCTGTAGTACCAGCTACTCGGGAGGCTGAGGCACGGGAATCACTTGAACCCAGGAGGTGGAGGTTGCAGTAAGCCCAGACTGCGCCACTGCAGTCCAGGCGTGGCGACAGAGTGAGACTCTGTCTAAAAAAAAACAACAACAAAGCTTAAATAAAACCAGCAGCTACTTTTTGCTATTTCTTTTATATAGTGATACTCTTTCTTGTGAATTTCCTCTTCCTCCTCTCCTTCTCCTCCTCCTCCTCCCCCTCCTCCTTCTTCTTATTCTTCCTCTTCCTCCTCTTCCTCTTCCTCCTCTTCCTCTTCTTCCTCTTCCTCCTCTTCCTCTTCTTCCTCTTCCCCTTCCTCTTCTCCTTCTCCTCCTCCTCCTTCTCCTCTTCCTCCTTCTTATTCTTCCTCTTCCTCTTCTTCCTCTTCCTCCTCTTCCTCCTCTACCTCCTCTACCTCTTCTTCCTCTTCCCCCTCCTCTTCTCCTTCTCCTCCTCCTCCTTCTTCTTCTTTCTCACTTTGTCACCCAGGCTGAGTGCAGTGGCATGATCACGGCTCACTGCAACCTCGACCTCCAGGGCTCAAGCCATCCTCCTTCCTCAGCCTCCTGAGTAGCTGGGACTACAGGCGTGTGCCACCACGTCAGGCTAATCTTTGTAGTTTTTGTAGAGATAGGGTTTTGCCATGTTGCCCAGGTTGGTCTCGAACTCCTGGACTCAAGTGATCTGCCCGCCTCAGCCTCCCAAAGTGCTGGGATTACAGGTGTGCACCACTGCTCCCAGCCTATTTTTATTTTAAAGATATTTATTTTAGATAGATACTGATGTCCTCCTCCCTTCACCCTGACACATAGGCTCCTTTTCGTTGAAAAATGAAAGTTTCAGGCAAGTTTCAGAAAAGTTTATAGGCTGGGCATGGTGGCTCATGCCAGCACTTTGTGAGGCCAAGGTGGGCGGATCGCCTGAGGTCAGGGGTTCAAGACCAGCCTGGCCAACATGGCGAAACCGATCTCTACTAAAAATACAAAAAAATTAGCCAGGCGTAGTGTTGGGCGCCTGTAATCCCAGCTATTCGGGAGGTTGAGGCAGGAGAATCACTTGAATCTGGGAGGTGGAAGTTGCAGTGAGCTGAGATTGCTCCACTGCACTCCAGCCTGGGCGACAGAGCAAGAATCCATCTCAAAAAAAAAAAAAAATAATAAGAAGTTGTTTATAGTGCCATTGATCATATCAGTGGGAATAATTATACCAATTATTTTCAAAGTGTGGTCTGGGGGCCTCTGAGAACTTTTCAGGGAGTCTGCAAGGTCCAAACTATTTTCATAGTAGTACTAAGCTGTTACTTGCCTTCTTCACTCTCATTCTTTCATGAGTGTACGGTGGAATTTTCCAGAGGCTACATGAAGTGAGATGATGATCTCAACTTCTTGGGAGGCTGAGGCAGGAGAATCACTTGAACCCTGGAGACAGAGGTTGCAGTGAGCCAAGATCACGCCATTGCACTCCAGCCTGGGTGATTGAGTGAGACTCTGTTTCAAAAAAAAAAAAAAAAAAAAAAAAAAAGTTAAAAAACTCCTTTTTTGGTCTAACACACTAAAAGTCAAGTTTTGATAATTTATTTGAAGAACTATTAGATAAATATAGTAGCAGAGAACAATGGGCTAGAATAGAGTCCAGAAAGAGACATAAATATTTATGGAAGTTATTTATGGGAATTTCAGTTTATCATAAAGGTGGTGTTTCTTTCTTTTCTTCTTTTTTTTGAGACCGAGTCTCGCTCTGTCGACCAGGCTAGAGTGCAGTGGCACACGATCTCGGCTCACTGCAACCTCCGCCCTCCGCCTCCTGGATTCACGCCATTCTTCTGCCTCAGCCTCCCGAGTAGCTGGGACTACAGGCACCTACCACCATGCCCGGCTAATTTTTTTTTGTATTTGTAGTAGAGACGGGGTTTCACTGTGTTAGCCAGGATGGTCTCGATCTCCTGACCTTGTGATCTCCCCGCCTCAGCCTCCCAACGTGCTGGGATTACAGGCATGAACCACGGCGCCCTGTGTTTTTTTTTGAGATGGAGTTATGGAGTTTCAGTCTTCACCCAGGCTGGAGTGAAGTGGTGCGATCTTGGCTTACTGCAACCTCCGTCCCCCAGGTTCAAGCAATTCTCCTGCTTCAGCCTCCCGAATAGCTGGGATTATAGGCGCCCACCACCATGCCCGGCTAATTTTTGTATTTTTAGCAGAGACGGGGTTTCACCATGTTGGCCAGGCTGGTCTCAAACTCCTGACCTCAGGTGATCCACCCGTCTTGGCCTCCCAAAGTGCTAAGATTACAGGCGTGAGCCACCGTGCCCCACCAAAGGTGGTGTTTCAAATTAGCGAAGACAGTTCAATAAATGATGTGGGGACTGACAACTGTTTCAGGACAGGAATAAAATGATCTTGGTCTATACTTCAGTCCTTATACCCAAATGAACTACAAGGGAATTAAAACTTTAAACATTAGGAAGATAGAAGAAAACATGGAATGAGGAGGCAAGGTACTGTATAAGCTCCAGAAACTATAAAGGAAATGACGGATGAATCTGACTATGTAAAAATAAAAACAAAAAATCCTTCTACATGGCAAATAAAATAAATAGCAAAGTCAAAATGCAACTGATATACCAAGAAAAACTATTTGTGATTTGGGGGTGATGAAAGATTGATTTCTTTCATCCAGAGCCCATATGCAAACCAATCAGGAAAAGGCAAACAGACCAAAAGAAAAATGGGCAAAGGCTACAGTCTGCTTTACAGAAAAATAAATGCAAATGGACAAAGAACATGAACCTATACTCAACTGCAGCCATAATTAAAGAGATACAAATTAAGACAACACTGAAAAGCATTTTTTTTTTTTTTTCTGAGACTGAGTCTTACTTTGTCGCCAAGGCTGGAGTGCAGTGGCTCGATCTTGGCTCACTGCAACCTCTGCTGCCCGGGTTCAAGTGATTCTCCTGCCTCAGCCTCCCAAGTAGCTGAGATTACAGGCACCTGCCACCGTGCACGGCTAATTTTTGTATTTTTAGTAGAGACGGGGTTTCGCTATCTTGGTCAGGCTGGTCTCGAACTCCTGACCTCATGATCCACTCGCCTCAGCCTCCTAAAGTGCTGGGATTACAGGCGTGAGCCACTGCGCCCAGCCGAAAAGCAATATTGTTCATCTGTTGGATCTACAAGCATATTAAAGGGTGATGCCTAGTGCTGGCTAAGATGTAGGTAAACACACTATTATAGTAAATTGATAAAGTCTTGCTGGAGGACACTTGGCTGTAGCTAGTAAAATAGAAGAAATGTGTGATAATGCGTAGTAATAGCAAAACTTATGAAATAACACACAACAATAATATATATATATGTATATATATATAACAAAATAAAAAAAGATACATATATTTGACCTGGTAATTCCACTGCTAGGAATTCATTCTCCAGATAACCTGCAAAGGCTTGCCAATATGCACATCCTGTGAGTGTGTTTAGATGAGAGAGCTCTTGGCAAGGCTCAGTTGGTGGAGTCCCACTGTGACCCTCAGCTGACTATGTTGTGTTAGTAAGACAGTGTGTATAGAACAATAACTATGGTTAAGTGAAACCTCTGCTTGTTTTTCTTTTTGTTTTTTGTTTGAGAGGGAACCTCACTCTGTCACCCAGGCTGGAGGGCAGTGGTGTGATCTTGGCTCACTGCAGCCTCTGCCTCCAGGGTTCAGGCAATTTTCCTGCCTCAGGCTTCCTCAGGCGTAGCTGGGATTACAGGCACGCACCACCTAGCCCCGGTTAATTTTTGTATTTTTTTAGTAGAGATGTGGTTACACCATGTTGGCTAGGCTGGTCTTAAACTCCTGACCTCGAGTGATCTGCCTGCTTTGGCCTCCCAAAATGCTGGGAATACAGGCGTGAGGCACCGCACCCGACCTTCTGCTTATTTTTCTATATTGATCATGTACCACTTTAGCTTATGGAATTGTGGCAATACAATTTCAGTTTGTACATCTACTTTGATTTGCTGTTTCTGCATTCTTGTTTTAGCACTGTATTAGAGGTAGTTTTTTCAAAATTCATGCCAACATAAATAGCTTCATCCCCAGGAGATGATCAGTGCAAAAGTTTCAATTACTCCTGTCACTTTTTTTTTTTTTTTTTGATGGAGTCTCGCACTGTTGCCCAGGCTGGATGCAGTGGCATGATCTCAGCTCACTGCAAGCTCTGCCTCCCGGGTTCATGCCATTCTCCTACCTCAGCCTCCCTAGTAGCTGGGACTACAGGCGCCCGCCACCATGCCCAGCTAATTTTTTGTATTTGTAGTAGAGACGGGGTTTCACTGTGTTAGCCAGGATGATCTTGATCTCCTGACCTCGTGATCCGCCCGCCTCGGCCTCCCAAAGTGCTGGGATTACAGGCGTGAGCCACCGCACCCGGCCTCTCCTGTCACTTTTAAAAAAGTTACTCCTCATATCTATTGGCTGAGGAGATGGAAGTGTTTCTGGGGATTTGAGATGCTAAGATGATGATGTTTTAGGCCCACGGCCATGGCACCTACTTTTGTTCTATTCAGCCTACTGAGAGGTGACAGTGTGCTGGCAGCCCTCACAGCCCTCCCTCGCTCTCAGCGCTTCCTCTGCCTGGGCTCCCACTTTGGCGGCACTTGAGGAGCCCTTCAACCCGCTGCTGCACTGTGGGAGCCCCTTCCTGCGCTGGCTGAGGCAGGAGCTGGCTCCCTCAGCTTGCGGGGAGGTGTGGAGGAGAGGCGCGGGCAGGAACAGCAGCAGTGTGACTTCCGGGTGGGCGTGGGCTCGGTGGGCTGCACACTCAGAGCGGCCAGCTGGCTCCGCCGGCCCGGGGCAGTGAGGGGCTTAGCACCTGGGCCAGCAGCTGCTGTGCTTGACTTCTCGCCGGGCCTTAGCTGCCTCCCTGTGGGGCAGGGCTCGGGACCTGCAGCCCGCCATGCCTGAGCCTCCCCCCGCCATGGGCTCCTGCACTGCCGGAGCCTCCCCGACGAGCGCCGCCCCCTGCTCCATGGCACCCAGTCCCATCGACCACCCAAGGGCTGAGGAGTGCGAGTGCATGGCGTGGGACTGGCAGGCAGCTCCACCTGCGGCCCCGGTGCAGGATCCACGGGGTGAAGCCAGCTGGGCTCCTGAGTCTGGCGAGGACTTGGAGAACCTTTATGTCTAGCTAAGGGATTGTAAATACACCAATTGGCACTCTGTATCTAGCTCAAGGTTTGTTAAACACACCAATCAGCACCCTGTGTCTAGCTCAGGGTTTGTGAATGCACCAATGGACACTCTGTATCTAGCTACTCTGGTGGGGACTTGGAGAACCTTTATGTCTAGCTAAGGGATTGTAAATACACCAATTGGCACTCTGTATCTAGCTCAAGGTTTTTAAACACACCAATCAGCACCCCGTGTCTAGCTCAGGGTTTGTGAATGCACCAATCGACACTCCGTATCTAGCTAATCTAGTGGGGACGTGGAGAACTTTTGAGTCTACCTCAGGGATTATAGATGCACCAATCAACACCCTGTCAAAACGGACCAATCAGCGCTCTGTAAAACAGACCAATCAGCTCTCAGTAAAATGGACCAATCAGCAGGATGTGGGTGGGGCCAGATAAGGGAATAAAAGCAGGCTGCCGGACCCAGCAGTGGCAAGGCGCTTCGGTTGTCTTCCATGATGTGGACGCTTTGTTCTTTTGCTCTTTGCAATAAATCTTCCTGTTGCTTTCTTTGGGTCCACACTGCCTTTATGAGCTGTAACACTCACCGTGAAGGTCTGAAGCTTTACTCTGGAAGCCAGTGAGACCAGGAACCCACCGGGAGGAATGAACGACTCCAGACACACCGCCTTAAGATCTGTGACACTCACCGCGAAGGTCTGCAGCTTCATTCCTGATCCAGCGAGACCATGAACCCACCAGAAGGAAAAAACTCCGGACACATCCGAACGTCTAGAAGAAACAAACTCCAGACACACCGCCTGTAAGAACTGTAACGGTCACCGCGAGGGTCCGCGGTTTCATTCTTGAAGTCAGTGAGACCAAGAACCCACCATTTCTGGACACACTACCATGCCAGAGATCCAGGTAGGTCTCTGGATCTTTGAGACCCCCACCTCACACCTCCTTATTATGAAACATTATGGTTTTTACAATTACAAAAGTAGTATAGGCTTGTGAAAACCTCCTACAAAACTCTTTATTTGGTATAGAGTTCCAAGAGTCTCCTCGTAATCCTCTCCAATTTTAATAAATTTTTTTTATGTATACTGTGTATAACTTCATGTGAGATTTTATATATGTATGTATGTGATCTTTTATGTCTTTACTGAGAAGTTTATGATGGACTTCTTTCCATGTTCATATATATATAATACATATTTTATATCTATATCTATATTTGTTATTTATTTATTTTTTTGGAGACAGAGTCTTGTTCTGTTGCCCAGGCTGGAATGCGAGTGGTGTGATCTTGGCTCACTTGCAACCTCTGCCTCCGGGGTTCAAGTGATTCTCGTGCCTCAGCCTACCAAGTAGCTGGGATTACAGGCATGTGCCACCACACCCGGCTAATTTTTGTATCTTTAGTAGAGACAGGATTTTGCCATGTTGGCCAGGCTGGTCTCGAACTTCCGACTTCAAGTGATCCACCTGCTTCGGCCTCCCTAAGTGCTGAGATTGTAGGCGTGAGCCACTGTGCCTGACCCATATTTTTTATTAATAATGATGTGGTCAACATTCTTTCACCTCTTTAGTCTCATCTGTAAAATGGAAATAATCAGTGTTCTTTCACCTCTTTAGTCTCATCTGTAAAATGGAAATAATCATAGCGTATACTATAAAAATTAGCTGGGCGTGGTGGTGCGTGCCTGTAGTCCCAGCTACTCGGGAGGCTGAGGCCTCCAAAGTTGCAGTGAGCCAAGATTGCGCCACTGCATTCTAGCCTGGCAACAGAGTGAGACTCCGTCTCTAAAAAAGAATCGTGTGTACTGTAATACACAGGGTTGTTACAAGGATAAATAGGATAATACTTGTAAAGTGCTAGAGCAGTGTTTAATACATAGTAGGCACTCAATAAATGACAGCTATTGTTGTACAGCCATCTATGTAGTCTTAATTATTTAGGATAATTACTAATTATTTGCTGGGTCAAAGGATACGGACTTTGTAGAGGTGGGGTCTTACAACGTTGTTCAGGCTGGTCTCCAACTCCTGGGCTTAAACGATTCTCTACTGATAATTACTTTAGGGTAATTAGTAATTAATAATTATCCTAAAGTGGTTGCTGGGTCAAAGGATACGGACTTTTAAAAAAACAACCCTTTTGTTGTAAAATACAGACAGAAAGCCACAGAGAACAGAAATAGCATTTAATGAATAATTACAAGGGGGACACCTTCGTAAACCACAACAGGGCCAAGAATAGAATTTGGCCAGGTACCTCAGAAGGATTCCATGTGTCCCTGCCCATTTACAACATGCTGCTTTCTCCCAAAGTAACCACTATTGTAACTTTTATACTAATCACTTCCTTGAGTTTCTTTTGTAGTTTCACCACCTAAATATACTTCCCTAGACACTATATTTTATTTTTATATTTGAGATGGAGTCTTGCTCTGTTGCCCAGGCTGGAGTGCAGTGGCGCGATCTCGGTTCATGCAACTTCCACCTTCTGGGTTCAAGTGATTCTCCTGCCTCAGACTCCCAAATAGCTGGGATTACAGGCGCACACCACCGTGCCTGGCTGATTTTCATATTTTTAGTAGAGATGGAGTTTTACCAGGTTGGCCAGGCTGCTCTTGAACTCCTGACCTCAGATGATCTGCCCACCTTGGCCTCTCAAAGTGCTGGGAATACAGGTGTGAGCCACCACGCCTAGCCACAGTATAGTTTAAACTTGACTTTTTATATGTCTTTTGTCAACATTTTACTATGAGCATTTTCAAACAGAAAACTTGGGTGGGCCAGGCGCAGTGGCTCACGCCTATAATCGCAGCACTTTGGGAGGCTAAGGTGGGAGGATCGTTTGTGCCCAGGAGTTGGAGATCAGCCAGGGCAATATTGCAAGACCCCATCTCTCCAAAAAGTTTTTAAAAATTGGTGCATGGTGGCATGCATCCGTAGTCCCAGCTACTCAGGAGGCTGAGGTGGGAGGATCGCTTGAGCCCAGGAGGCTGAGGCTACAGTGAGCTGTGATAGCACAACTGCACCCCAGTCTGGGTGATAGAGTGATACCCTGTCTCAAAAAAAAAAAAAAAAAAAATAGAATTATATAGTGGACACTCATCTATCCAACATTTATATTCTGCAATTACCATTTTGCTCTATTTGATTTATCACATATCTGTCCATCCCTGTATCATTCAATCCAATCCATTGTGCATGTTCCTGTGTCCTATATTTCCTGCAAATTGGCAGCTGGATCCAGTGGCTTGATCAGATTCAGGTTTGGCTTCTTTGAGAAGGTGAGGTGGCAGTTGTGTTCTTTCATCAGGAGGCACATGATTTTTTTTGTCTCTCTTTTTTGTTGTGATACCTGGGTTCATTCATTCATTAGGGGCTGCAGCATGCTGAAAGAAAACAGAAGCCTGTGGAGTGAGCCAAGATCAACCAGGAAATAAACCCTTTCCCTTGCGATGTCTCTCCAGCGCCCTCTACTGACAAACCTGCTTTAGTGCCAGTTTGTAGAGGTAAACTATTTAAAGGGTCTGAATTATTTTCATGGGGGGCAAAACTCATGAATTTGGAGCTGAGAGGCAATATATCAATAACAGACACACCTTACACGCATGTACGGACCAGATAAGGAAAACTCTACATATTTCCAGAAACTTATCTGTGTGCAGCTCTGTTCTCTCTGGTCCTCTGCTCCATGAATTCTAGTGCCTTTGGCCTCCCTGGACTTTGAACTTTGTTTTCTCAACCCTAGGAGACTGCAGGGCTGTGCATGGATACCTTTTCCCTGTGTCACAGCCTGGAAATTTTATCTAGGAAGTAAGCTGGAGGCAATAGTAGGGCTTATCTTATTTGTTCCCCTTCCCTAGGTGATCACTCTTATATTTCTTGTCCAATGTTTGGAAACTGTTGCTTTACATATTTTACTCATTTTTAAAGTTGTGTAAGTAGGAGGGTAAATCTGGTCTTTGTTATTCTACCATGTCTTGGGCCAAGAAGGAAGTCCCACCTCCTTATTTTCTTTTTTAAGAAACATATTTTTATTTATTTATTTATTTATTTATTGAGATGGAATTTCGCTCTTGTCGCCCAGGCTGGAGTGCATTGGCACAATCTCAGCTCACTGCAACCTCTGCCTCCCAGGTTCAAGTGATTCTCCTGACTCTGCCTCCAGAGTAGCTGGGACTACAGGCACCTGCCACCATGCATGGCTAATTTTTGTATTTTTGGTAGAGATGGGGTTTCGCCATGTTGGCCAGGCTGATCTCGAGCTCCCGACCTCAGGTCATCCACCTGCCTTGGCCTCCCAAAGTGCTGGGATTACTGGCGTGAACTACTGTTCCCGGCCTGTTTTATTTTTAATTTTAATTTTTACTTTTAAAGTTGACAAAGTGTTTATATTTACGGTGTACAACATGCTGTTTTGATATATGCTTGCATTGTGGAATGACTGAATCAGGCCACCTTTTTTTTTTTTTTTTTTTTTTGAGACAGAGTTTCACTCTTGTTGCCCAGGCTGGAGTGCAGTGGCGCAATCTTGGCTCACCGCAACCTCCACCTCCTGGGTTCAAGCGATTCTCCGGCATCAGCCTCTTGAGTAGCTGGAATTACAGACATGTGCCACCATGCTTGGCTTATTTTGTATTTTTAGTAGAGACGGGTTTGTCCACGTTGGTCAGGTTGGTCTTGAACTCTTGACCTCAGGTGATCTGCCTGCCTCTGCCTCCCAAAGTGTTGGGATTATAGGCGTGAGCCACCGTGTCCGGCCTTGCTTTCTTTTTGTATGCATTTGCTTGGTATAACTTTGCTTATCCTTCTATTTTTAAGTTTTCAGAATCTCTTTGTTTTAGATATGTCTCTTGTGTACAACATATTGTTTGTTTGTTTTTGAGACCGAGTCTTGCTCTGTCACCTAGGTTGGAGTGCAATGCCATGATCTTGGCTCACTGCAACCTCTGCCTCCTGTGTACAAGCAATTCTCCTGCCTCAGCCTCCCAAGTAGCTGGAATTACAGGCATGCGCCATCACACCTGGCTAATTTTTGTTTTTTTAGTAGAAACGAGGTTTCACCATATTGGTCAGGCTGGTCTCGAACTCCTGACCTTTTGATCCACCCGCCTCGGCCTCCCAAAGTGCTGGGATTACAGGCGTGAGCCACCACACTCAGCCTATGTCTACACTTTTTATTTATTTTTTAATTTTACTATTATTTTTTGACAGAGTCTCGCTTTGTTGCCCAGGCTGGAGTGCAGTGGCACAATCTTGGCTCACTGCAACCTCCACCTCTGGATTCAAGTGATTCTCCTGCCTCAGCCTCTCAAGTAGCTGGGATTACAGGCATGCGCCACCATGCCCAGCTAATTTTGTATTTTTAGTAGAGATGGGGTTTCACCATGTTGGCCAGGCTGGTTTCAAACTCCTGACCTCAGATAATCCACCTGCCTTGGCCTCTCAAAGTGCTGGGATTACAGGTGTGAGTCATTGTGCCCAGCCTATATCCACACTTTTTAGGAACCTCTTTCTTTAGATGGTCTCATGCAGTTTCATTATGTGTTTAGTTATGGATTTGTTTTCTTTTTTGCTTTTAATCCTGTTTGTAATTCCTTGGGTTTCCTTTATTACTGTCTTCTATCAGTTCTGGAATTCTCAGCCATTGCCAGATATTTTCTTCTTTCCTTTTGAGACTCCATTTAAAGCTATGTTAAATGCTCCTTATTTTCTGCCCCATATATAACTTCTCTTCTATGTTTTCCTTTTTTTTCTTTGTGTTATGTTTTCCTGGCCTATCATCCAGTCTGTAAATTCTCTCTTCACCTGTTTCTTATTTTCTGCTTTTGTTTTTTTTTGAGACAGAGTCTTGCTCTGTCGCCTGGGCTGGAGTGCAGTGGTGCCATCCTGGCTCACTGCAACCTCCACCTCCTAGGTTCAAGCGATTCTCCTGCCTCAGCCTCCTGAGTAGCTGAGACTACAGGTGCCCACCACCACGGCCAGCTAATTTTTGTATTTTAGTAGAGACGGGGGTTTTACCATGTTGACCAGGCTGGTCTCGAACTCCTGACCTCAAGTGATCCACCCACCTCGGCCTCCCAAAGTGCTGGGATTACAGGTGTGAGCCACTGCAACTGGCCCTTGTTTTCTTTTTCATGCATATATTTTCACACTTGCTTTTTTATTTCTTTTAAATATATTAACTTTAGTTCATTTAAAATCTGCCTCTGATAATTGCTGTATCTGAAATCTTTGCAGGTTTTTTCTAGTTCTTGCTCATGATGTCATTTTTCCTTTTGTGCCTCATTATTTTGAGTACATACTCATTGTCCTTGAAAATCATTTGTGGGGTTTCTTTAAGTTGTAGGGTCAAAGTACATTGCTCCAGAGAGGACTTTCGTTGACTTCTCCAAAGTGTCTTTGGGGATTACCAGTCTGGGACCATCTTAAAACAAATTCACAACTTGAAATTCCTGGGCTACCTAGGTGATATGAATCCAGCCTGTAAATTTGTTACAGGCGGTCTCTGGCCAAAACTTTTCTTTTTTTTTTTTTTTTGAGACAGACTCTCTGTCACCCAGGCTGGAGTGCAGTGGGGTGATCTTCGCTCACTGCGACTTCTGCCTCCTAGGTTCCATTGATTCTCTTGCATCACCCTCCCAAGTAGCTGGGACTACAGGCACACGCCACCACGCCTGGCTAATTTTAGTGATGGGGTTTCACCATGTTGGCCGGGCTGGTCTCGAACTCCTGACCTCAAGTGATCTACCTGCCTCGACCTCCCAAAGTGCTAGGATTACAGGTATGAGCCACAGCACCTGGCCTGGCGAAAATTTTTCAAGGCCAGTTTTATTCCTCCACCTGTTCCCGGCCACCCCCTTGTTTGTTTAGTATCAGGGCAGTCTTCCTAAGTTTGTTGGAGGCATGGAGCAGGTTTACTTCTGGCTCACCTTTACCTTGAGGGTGTGGCCTTTTGGGGGAGGTGGGTGGTCTCAGCTTCACGTACAGAGGGTCTCATACTAGCCTTTTCATCTGGGAGGGCCCTGGGCCCTGAGTTCTTTCCTCCTCAACCCATGAGGCCACCAAAACTGAGGTCCACGTTTGTCCTGATCAGCAGTTATCCTCAGGGCAATAGCAGCATCAGTGCTCCCTACCAAGCTTACCTCACTGGTCTGCTTTCCTTTAGAAATTTGCATGGTAGTTCCTTATTTTCTTGTCAGCTGATGTTGCTTTTAGGGAGATATGTGCTGCATTTTATTTAGCACTTGTAGTTTTCAGCAGGAGATTTGGCCCAAATAAGATTGAAATTGGAAATCTAGTTAAATTTTAAAGCACACACCTACTATAGGAGGAAGGAAATTAACATTTATTTACTCTCTTATTCTGTACTAGGAGCTGTGTTGGGTCTTCTCATATCATACAGCCAAAAAAAACGTAAGGTCGAGAAAGATTAATTGACATACAAAAGATTGCATGTGGCAACTTTTCAATTCCAGCCCAATATTTTGTTTTTGTTTGATACAGGATCTCACTCTGTCACCCAGGCTATAGTGCAGTGGTGCAATCATGGCTCACTGCAGCCTCCACCTCCTGGGCTCAGGTGATCCTCCCACCTCAGCCTCCCGAACAGCTAGGACCACGGGCACGCACTACCATGCCCAGCTAAGTTTTCTATTTTTTTGTAGAGACAGGGTTTTGCCATGATACTCAGACTGGTGTCGAACTCCTGGGCCTTGGCCTCCCAAAGTGCTGAGCCACCACGCCTGGCCCAGTCCAATGTTTTTCTATCCGGATTTCGCTTTCTTTTCTTTTTGACGGAGTCTCGCTCTGTCGCCCAGGCTGGAGTGCAGTGGCCGGATCTCGGCTCACTGCAAGCTCCGCCTCCCGGGTTCATGCCATTCTCCTGCCTCAGCCTCCTGAGTAGCTGGGACTACAGGTGCCTGCCACCATGCCTGGCTGATTTTTTTGTATTTTTGGTAGAGACGGGGTTTCACCGTGTTAGCCAGGATGGTCTCGATCTCCTGACCTCATGATCCGCCTGCCTCAGCCTCCAAAAGTGCTGGGATTACAGGCGTGAGCCACTGTGCCCGGCCTCTTTTCTTTTTTCTTTTCTTTCTTTTCTTTCACTTACTTTTCTCAAGACAGGGTCTCACCCTGTCACCCAGGCTGGAGTGCAGTGGTGGGATCTCGGTTCACTGCAACCTCCTCCTGGGCTTAAATGATCCTCCCATCTCAGCCTCCTGAGTAGCTGGGACTACAGGCGTGTACCACCACGCCTGGTTCTGTTTGCTTTCTACTATAGCAAACTATGTCTTGTATTTTTTGAGTACCTACAGGGTCTCAGCTTTGAGGATACAGTTAAGAAGTGCCTGACGTGTATGGTAGATCAAAAATATTTGTTGGGCTGGGTGCAGTGGTTCACGCCTGTAATCCCAGCACTTTGGGAGGCCATGGTGGGTGGATCACCTGAGGTCAGGAGTTCGAGACCAGCCTGGCCAATGTGGTGAAACCCCATCTCTACTAAAAATACAAAAATTAGGCTGGGTGTGGTGGCCCACACCTGTAATCCCAGCACTTTGGGAGGCCGAGGCAGGCGGATTGCCTGAGGTCAGGAGTTTGAGACCAGCCTGGCCAGCATAGTGAAACCCTGTCTCTACTAAAACTACAAAAATTAGCTGGGCATGGTGGCAGGCACCTGTAATCCCAGCTACTTGGGAGGTTGAGCCAGGAGAATTGCTTGAACCTGGGAGGCAGAGGTTGCAGTGAGCCAAGATCACACCATTGCACTCCAGCCTGGGCGACAAGAGTGAAACTCCATCTAAAAAAAAAAACGTGTATATATGTATATATATATAGGGGTGTGTGTGTGTGTGTATATGTGTGTGTGTATATATGTATATAAATATAAATCTATAAATATAAATATATTAAAAAATATATAAATATATATATAAATATAGAATGAGTAAAAGTGAGTGAATGAATGACTTGTAGCATGAAGAGCTGCAGACAAAACTCCTCAGACACCAGATTAAAGAAGGAAGAGGTTTATTCGGCTGGGAGTGTCGGCAGATTTGCATCTTAAGAGCTGAGCTCCCTGAAAAAGAAATTCTTGGCCTTTTTAAAGGCTTACACAACTCTAAGGGGTCCACGTGAAAAGGTCATGATAAATTGGGCAAGCATGGGGAACGTGACTGGGGGCTACATGCATCAGCTAACAGAACAGAAAGTTTTGCAATGCTTTTTCATACAATGTCTGGAATTTACAGATAACACAAGTAGTTTAGGTCAGGGATTGTTATTATTATTACTTTTTTAACTTCTAGGGCCGCGGTGGTGGTGCCAAGGTTGTCTGGCTGTTTATCTTTTGTTTCTTTCCAACTTTTTGCTTTCTCTCTTTTCTCCTGTTTTGTGAACTAGGCAAGGTGGGGGGAGGAGGGCAGCAGGAATAGTAGTGGTCTCCTTCCTTATCCCCCTCTTTGAGAATTTCACTAATTAGTGGAGTTCTCACTTTTATTTTTACTTTGAGTCTCTTTGCGAGACAGAGTGATAGTGTTTTATGTAATACACTTGTGCTGAAGTTTTTTGACAAACCATGGTAGCTACAAAACCTTTTATCATTTGAAGGAGCAAGCGTAATACACAGGGGAGCAGCAAGCAAGTTTCTATTACTAGTAATACACTTACAATGAGGGTTTTAAATTCGCTTACAGCTAGAAACTATTTTCTAAATATAGACCTAGGATCAAACCTGTGTTAAACCTGTACAGGCAAATGTACCAACTTTGTCATGTCCTAAGCAGGTTAGTTCTTTTACTGGGTTTTAAAAGCTTTTTCGTAGCGAGTAACACAGTATTTCTTAATAATGGAAGTTTTTAAGAGCCAGATGCTTGAAATTGTGGCGTCTGTTTGGGGAAAGAGTTAGTTAAAGTAAAGTTATCTTGAGGCATTAACTCTTTTGCTTCTCAAGGCCATTGGTCTCTTATGTTAGCCTTTTTATAAACATAACATGAGGAAACGTCTAGGCTGCCGGCAATGTTTTCAGCCAGCTGAGCAAATAGGTGTTTTTTTTTTTTTTTTTTTTTTTTTTTTGCTAAAGGAGGATGCTCTGGTAAACTTCTGGTTTATATGTTGAAAGAATGACTTAAAGACTCGGAATTGTTGCTGGGTGGGATGGGCCTGGGTTTCCTGACTAAGTAGTATGTGTACAGTGGGGATACCTTATATAGGTGTTTCTTCTAGCATGGTTATGGGGGGTAACAACAACAAAACAATGTACAGCATATTCATATCCAGCAAAGACAAAAGAGGTCCTTACCTGGGAAAAAGGTTGAATACAGAGACAGAACAATAGGAAAACAGGTAGTATTACAGGAAAACTACTAGTCTTAAGATTTTTAACTACATCACTTGGCTTGGTAAGTCCTTAAGCTTTGGCTGTGAGTAGACTAGTCAGCTGCCAGTGTGACTAGAGCAGGGCTTGTTTCAAGCTTCAGCCATGCATAGACTGGTCAGCCTCTGGAGTGACCAGAGCAGGGCTATCGTCCTCAGCAGCAGCTTGGTCTCATCTCAGGATCAGCCGGGTTGGATGATCTGTGTCCTGCTGGCTGGTCTGCTTGTCCTGAGCTGCCAGTGTTAGCTGACTGGGATGGATCTGAGACACAACACCTGCAACTTCTAACAGCAGTAGGAGTAGACAAGATTACAGTATAGGGCCCATCCTATATGGGTCCTAGAAAAATTAGATTTTACTTTTTTACTTTAAACAGAGTCACTAGATTTAAAGCGGTGTCAGGCTTATAGGCATTTGTATGTATTTAATTATGAACACTTTGTATGGCTATTTCTAAAAACTGCATTTGCTTTCTTAAGGTTAATTCCTTTAGTTCCTGGAGGTCACCTCTAATTTGACCTGTAATTTGGGGGTGGCTGACCGAACAAAATCTTACAGAACAAATACCTAGTTTGTTTGGTGGGGGTGCACCTGACTCGGAGGAGGACCATAGGCAAAAACCTGATTTTATCTTAAATGTATTTCCTGGCAATATTTTTTCAGTAGCTGCTCAAGTGTCCAGTTCATGCATTCCACCTTATCTTGAACTTTGCGGCCAATAGGCTGTGTGTAACTTCCATTTTAACAGTCTTGTTAAATCTTGCACTAGTTCAGCTACAAATGCTGGCCTATTGTCTGACTTTAAAGTTAGAGGCAGTCTAAACCTGGGGATAATGTCTTTTAAACAGTACTTTAGTTACTTTTTGTACTTTTTCTGTCCTGGTGGGGAAAACTTTAACTTACCCTGAAAAGGTGCAAACAAGCACTAGCATGTACCGATAGCCTCCAGCATGGGTCAGTTCTGTAAAGTCTATAAGCAAGTTTTCACAAGGTATGGCTCTTTCTCCTGTTTAAGTTTCTTGGAGGGGTTCTTTTTCTTCCCCCCCTTTATAACTCTATCTAGTGGCTTAGCCATCAGTGAGAAATTGGAGTCCAAATACGGCAGAATCCTGCTGCTTTTAACTTCTAATGTGACCATGGGCTCCTGGGAGCCTAAAGAGAAGGTGCCTAGTCTGCCCTAGTCTTTACATTCTTCAGCTCCTGCCAGCCTGATCAGATCAGTATTTGGTTCCTCCAAGGTGCGGCAGCCCTTGGCCGATGGCCTCTTTGTCTTGCCGCCTTGGCCATTTCCTTTATTGCCTTCTGAACATTCACCCTTCTAGTGTCCTTTCTTTTTGCATCTCGTACATTAATCCCTCTCTAGCCTTGTCCGGCTCTTGAATCCTTGCCTAACGTGACTTCTTCCACGTCTATGTCCGCATCCACGTCCTCTCACATTGCTAATCTCTCTTTTTATAAGAGCTGTTGCTAACAGATTGGCTTTTTTAAGTCTTTAATTTATTTATTTTTTTCCTTCCTGAGTTCTCCTGCTCCTACGGCCAGCTGGCAGGGCCAGGCAACAGCACGGGCCCTGCCCCCGCGCACTGCTGTCTGTCTCTCTTGTTTACTTCTGATTCTCTTTTTCACACTTAGTCTTAGTCTTTCTTTTTCTTTTGGTCTTTTCCCGGCGCCAGTCCCTGGCTCCTTCTTTTTTTAGATAGAGCCAGGCTGGGGAGAGGGACTTAATCCTTGGCGTGCCTAGCTGCTTCGATTGTTGCTTTTGCTCTTTCCCTTTTTGTTCCTTGGTCCCAGTTAACATACACCTTGGTGGCCACTTTTATAGACTGGGTGGTATTCATGCCTGCAGCTTCTGCTTGATGTTATTCTGGGCTTGCTTTACAAATGAGGTATTCACTATATACTGATTTTTCAGCAGCCTCAGGGTTAAATGGGGTGTAAAGCCAGAATGCTTTATAGAGTCTCTTATAAAACTGACTTAGGCTCTTGTCAGCTCCTTGAAGCACTTCTGAAATCTTTTTTATATTAATTGCTTTTTTTCTACCAACTGTTTGCCTCTGCAGAAGTGCTTCTCAGTATCTCTGCAAACGCTGAAGCTGAGTTGCATTCTCTGGGTCTTTTTCCTATTTTTCCTAGAGTTTAACAGGCCCTTTTCTTTATTTAATTATCCATGCACTTGGAGGGTTAAACAGGCATACCGAGAGTCAGTGTAAATGTTTACAGTCTTACCTTCACTGAGTTCTAAGGCCTGAATTAAAGGAATGAGCTCAGCTTAGCGACAATGTCCAGGGTTATCACCATGTATCCTGCACATCTGTCTCCTTGTGGGTTGATGAAGCTGTTCCCATCCACGTATAGCTCCCAGCCTACTGATGCCCAAGGCTGGTCCTGGAGGTCAGGTCTGCTAGAGTAAACTTGAGTCCAACACCTCTACACAGTTATGCTCGACAGGGCTCTAGTTGCCAGGAGCAAGGTGGCGGGTTCAGGGTGTTTCCAGTTTAGTAGATCAATGGTTGAAAAGGGCTGATAGATGAAAGTCTGTTGTCCCCCCGGATGTGGGCCTGGTCATTATAAATAGACAGGTCCTCACCTCTCCCTGAGAGGCATTTGCATAGCTCGAGCAAGACCAGATCTGAGATGGCCCACTTGACTATCTTGACTTCCTTCCTTGGCCTCTCGAGGTTCCGATTCTCCCCTTCGAGGTGAGACCTGGGGTGTGTTAGCTCCTGAATCTGGTTTCTGAGGGGGCTGTTGGCCTCGGTAAAGGGGGGTAGGCTAGGACATATGGAGAAAGAATTTCTGTTTATCTCTGGCGGCTTCTGCAAAACTGGCTTCTCTTGCTGTTTCTGGGACTCCCTTTTTAACTCTGTGTCTGCTGGCGAAGCTGCTCTTACTTTTACTTTTGGCTTTTTTGCAATAAGCTGTTAAACAGGGCTAAATTTATGCCAGTTTTGTCTATATTATATTTAACCATGAGTCAATATAAAGGAATTGCTACAGGTACACTGGCTGTCCTCCGACCCCTGTCACCACCTTAAATACATGGCCAATTGTTCCCTGTCTGTAGTTCCTTTGGTGGGCCATCCAACACCAAAAGAGGGCAATTCTAATTCACCCAGAGTTCTTAACCTCTGGGGGGTTAACTTAACTCTATAATCCCCTGCAAAACCTTTCTTAAGGTTTTGTAACATGCATTTTAATAGAGTAAGTTTTGATGATTACTTTCCTTTTATTTTTCTTTTCTTGGAATTTTTTTTAACACAGTTTCTAGCAGAGTGGGCTTACTTTGTGTCTGACCTATTTTTCTCTCGAGACAAAACAACATTCACACTACAAGAAGGAAAGGGTAAAAGGTCACTCACTCGTCTATTTCACACTAAATCAAAATCAAAACTAAAACCAAAGTGTCGTTAAAGGCACCTCTGTTCGTCAAGCAATTTAAGCCAAGTCAAAATCAGAACCAAAACCAAAGTGCCAATAAAGGCATGCCTGTTTATCAAGCAATTCAAGTCAAGTCAAAATCAAAACTAAAACCAAATTATCAAGCAATGCAAGTCAAGTCAAAAACAAAACCCAAAGTGCCGGTACAGGCACGCCGTGGGTGATCATGCCATGCTTCCACTCAAATGGAGTGGGCAAGTTCCAAAGACCAGTCTTACCAAGTTTCAGATGTCCAGACTTAAAGTGCCAGTTCCTTCCCAGTGTTCAGCCACTGCATTGGTCCTTCATGTGGGCTTGCCATGCACCGCTCTGATGAGGCGTTGTACCGGGGCAAATGCCTGCCTGGGAGCGCTCATCAGGATCTACATTGCTCAAGCTGGCCGGAGTCCCCCACAGGGATGCTCTACAGGGCAGGCATAAGCTGCCTAAGGGGCTGTGTCGACCGTCCATTAATCACCTCGCTTCCCGGTCAGGGAACCAAGAAATGTAGCAGGACAAGCTGCAGACAAAACTCCTCAGACATCAGATTAAAGAAGGAAGAGGTTTATTCAGCCAGGAGCATCAGCAGACTTGTGTCTTAAGAGCCAAGCTCCCTGAAAAAGAAATTCTTGGCCTTTTTAAAGGCTTACAACTCTTAAGAGGTCCACATGAAAAGGTCATGATAAATTGAGCAAGTGTGGGGAACGTGACTGGGGGATACATGCATCAGCTAACAGAACAGAAAGTTTTGCAATACTTTTTCATACAATGTCTGGAATTTACAGATAACACAAGTAGTTTAGGTCAGGGGTTGATGTTGTTATTATTACTTTTTTAACTCCTAGGGCCGGGTAGTGGTGCCAAGGTTGTCTGGCTATTTATCTTACTTTTGTTTCTTTCCAACTTTTTGCTTTGTCTTTTCTCCTGTCTTGTGAACTAGGCAAGGTAGGGGGAGGAGGGCAGCAGGAGTAGTAGTGGTCTCCTTCCTTAGAATGACCCAGACAGAGTTCTTAATTTTGTGATGTACTGGGGAACACAATTTACTAGGGGATATAAATGTGTAAATACACCAACTACAATTTGATGTAAGTGACAATAGAGATATGAGCTGAGTGCTGTGAGAACACAGTACAGAATTCTCTTTAGTAATTTAGCAGGTTAGAAGTAGAGGCTGTCGCGTGTGATGAGTCTGGAGAGATAGGTGGGATCCAGATACTGAAGGACCTTTACCTATTACATTGAGTACTTAGTTTATGCCGAGCAGTGGTTGATATACTTTGCCTGAGTTGATTTAATCCTCACAGCATCCTGTGGGTACTGTTACCATCTTTACATTACAGGTACAGAAACTGATACACTAAGAGGTTACAACATGGCAAAGATCACACAAGCTAGTACAGAACATATCTGAGCTTTGAATATAGGTAGTTTTATTTTTTTCTTGTTTTTTTTTTTTTGAGACCTAGTCTCACTCTTGTCACCCAGGCTGGAGTGCAGTGGCATGATCTCACTCACTGCAACCTCTGCCTCCCGGGTTCAAGCAATTCTTCTGCCTCAGCCTCCCGAGTAGCTAGGATTACAGGCATGTGCCACCATGCTTGGCTTATTATTTTGTATTTTTAGTAGAGATAGGGTTTCACAATATTGGCCAGGCTTGTCTCAAACTCCTGACCTTGTGATCCGCCCGCCTCAGCCTCCTAACATGCTGGGATTATGGGCGTGAGCCACCACACCTGGCTTTTTTTTTAAAAATTGAGACGGAGTCTTGCTCTGTCACCCAGGTTGGAGTGCAGTGGCGCGATCTCGGCTCACTGCAACCTCTGCTTCCTAGGTTTAAGCAATTCTCCTGTCTCAGCCTTCTGAGTAGCTGGGATTACAGGTGCATGCCACCACGCCCGACTACTTTTTATATTTTTATTGGAGAGAAGGTTTTGCCATGTTGGCCAGGCTGGTCTCAAACTCCTGACCTCGTGTGATCTGCCCCCCTCGGCCTCCCAAAGTGCTGGGATTACAGCTGTGAGCCACTGCCCAGCCGAATATATGTAGGTTGACTATGGATCTACATCCCTAACCACTATGCTGTGCTTTTTCTCTCTAGTAGTATGGATATACTTTCTTACTAGCGTATGCAAATCTACTAGCTGTATTTTATTTCTCTGTGTGGTTTTACTATAATTTATTTAACTGGATTGATAGAGATTGTTGGTTGTTTCTAGTTTTTAGCAGTTACACATAGTGCTTTAGTGAGGAGTATTTACTTCCCACCTCAAGCTGATTGGGGCACACTCTCACATGATCACTCTTCCCTTCTTCATCATTACTGTATTAAATGATCTCCAAAATTCCTTCAGGGCCATCACCCTAAATTCTGAGATTTGCAGAGCCATAATTCTTAATCTCAAGAGCTGTATATATTGTAGATTACTTAATGTGGTAATTGTCAAGGCTCGTTTGTACTTTTTTTTTTTTTTTGAGATGGAGTCGTCTTTTGTTGCCCAGGCTGGAGGGCAGTGGCACGATCTCGGCTCACTGAAACCTCCGCCTCCTGGGTTCAAGAAATTCTCCAGCTTCAGCCTCCCGAGTAGCTGGGACTACAGGCACGTGCCACTGCGCCCAGCTCATTTTTATATTTTTAGTAGAGAAGGGGTTTCACCATGTTGGCCAGACTGGTCTTGAACGCCTGACCTCAAGTGATCTGCCCACCTCGGTCTCCCAAAGTGCTGGGATTACAGGCATGAGCCACTGCACCCAGCGAATTTTCGTATTATTATTATTATTTTTATTTTTTAGTAGAGACAGTGTTTTGCTGGTCTCGAACTCCTCGGTCTCCCAAAGTGCTGGGATTACAGGCATGAGCCACCGCACTCAGCTGTACTCATTTTCTAAGGATTGAAGGCCTGGGTGACATATTAGTTAACATGTATTGAAGGTTTCCTATACCAAGCATTCTACTAAGTACTTTACATGCATTATTCTAATTGTCTCAGCAATCCTGTGAGCAATTATATATATTGTCCCTCTTCTTAAAATGAAGAAACTGCTGGGCGCGGTGGCTCACGCCTGTAATCCTGGCACTTTGGGAGGCCGAGACGGGCAGATCACGAGGTGAGGAGATCAAGACCATCCTGGCTAACGCGGTGAAACCCCGTCTCTACTAAAAATACAAAAAATTAGCTGGGCGTGGTGGCAGGTGCCTGTAGTCCCAGCTACTCGGGAGGCTGAGGCAGGAGAATGGTGTGAACCCAGGAGGCGGAGCTTGCAGTGAGCTGAGATCACGCCACTGCACTCCAGCCTGGGAGACAGCGAGACTCTGTCTCAAAAAAATAAAAATAAATAAAAAAATAAAAATAAAAATAAATAAATGAAGAAACTGAGACTTGATGTGTCTATGGTCATATAGCTAGTAAATAGCTCACTGATTGCAAAGCATATATATATATATATATATATACACACACACACACACACACACACACACACACACACAGAGAGAGAGAGAGAGAGAGAGAGAGAGAGAGAGAGAGAGAGAGAGAGAGAGAGTGAGACAGTCTCACTGTGTCACCCAGGCTGGAGTGCAGTGTGGCATGATCACAGCTCACCGCAGCCTCTATCTCCTGGCTCTAAGCAATCCTCCTACCTCATCCCCCCAAGTAGCTGGGGCTACAGGTGTGCATCACCACACCTGGCTAATTTTTAATTTTTTTGTGGAGATGGGGTCTCGCTGTGTTGCCCAGGCTGGTCTTGGACTCCTGGGCTCAAGCAGTTCTCCCTCCTCAGCTTCCCAAAGTGTTGGAATTACAGACATAAGCCACTGCGTCCAGCCAATGCTTGTATTTTTAACCCTGGTATTAATTATTTTGCTAGGGCTGCCAGAACAAAATACCACAAACTGGGTGGCTTAAACAATGGGAATTTAAGGCCGGGCACGGTGGCTCACACCTGTAATTTCAGCACTATGGGAGGCCGAGGCGGGCGGATCACGAGGTCAGGAGTTCAAGACCAGCCTGGCCAATATGGTGAAACCCCGTCTCTACTGAAAATACAAAAAATAGCTGGGTGTGGTGGCACGCGCCCGTAGTTCTAGCTACTTGGGAGCCTGAGGCAGAAGAATCGCTTGAACCCGGGAGGCAGAGGTTGCAGTGAGCCGAGATCACGCCGCTGCACTCCAGTCTGGGCGACAGAGCGAGACTCCGTCTCAAAAGACAAACAAAAAACAAAACAACAAAAAACAATGGGAATTTGTCACTTTGCAGTTCTGGAGGCTAGAAGTCTGAAACCAAGGTGTTGGCAGGGTTGATTCCTTCTGAGAGCTCTGAGGGAGACTGTTCAATGCCTCCTTCTAGCTTCTGGTGATGGCCAGCAATCCTTGGTGTTCCTCAGCTTGCAGCTGCATCATTCCAAACTCTGCCTCTGTTGTCATGTAGGCACTGTATGTCTCTTATTTTCTTTTCTTTTTTTTTTTTTAGATAGAGTTTCATTCTTTTGCCCAGGCTGGAGTGAAGTGGTGTGATCTCGGCTCACTGCAACCTCCGTACCCCAGGTTCAAGTGATTCTCCTGCCTCAGCCTCCTGAGTAGCTGGGATTATAGGTGCCCGATACCACACCTGGCTAATTATTGTATTTTTAGTAGAGACGAGGTTTTACCATGTTGGCCAGGCTGGTGTCGAACTCCTTACCTCAAGTGATCCACCCGCCTTGGCCTTTCAAAGTGCTAGGATTAAAGATGTAAGCCACCACACCCGGCCTTATGTCTCTATTTTCACATGGTCTTTTTCTCTTCTTAGAAAGGCAACAACGATATTGGATTAGGACCAACCCTAACAGCTTCATCTTAACACGATTGTATCTACAAATACCCTATTTCCAAATAAGGTCACATTCATAGGTACTGGAAATTAAACCTTCAACATCTCTTTAGGGGACACAATACAATCCGTAACAACTCTTACTGCAAAACTGTCCTCAAATCCCCATGGAAAAATAGTTGTTGACTCTTCTTTAACCACTCCCACCGAAAAAGAACAGCCGAAGAGTTCTTTTGAACTGGAGCAAAGTTTTTTTTTTTTTTAGACGGAGTTTTGCTCTTGTTGCCCAGGCTGGAGTGTAACAGTGTGATCTTGGCTCACCGCAACCTCTGCCTCCCAGGTTCAAGCGATTCTGTCTCAGCCTCCCAAGTAGCTAGGATTACAAGCATGTGCCAACACGCCCGGCTAATTTTTGTATTTTTGGTAGAGACAGGGTTTCGTCATATTGGTCAGGCTGGTCTCGAACTCCTGACCTCAGGTGATCCACCCGCCTCGGCCTTCCAAAGTTATTGGATTACAGGTGTAAGCCACCGCGCCTGGCCTGGAGGAATAGTTCTTGAAGTGTGTTCTGAGATCAGCAGCATTGATATCACCTGACATACAGAATCTCAGGCCTCATTTAGGATCTAATGAATCAATCTGCATTGTAGCAAGACCCCTGAGTGATTTGTATGAACTTTGATTTTTTTTGTTTTTCAACGTATTACTATCTTTATTATGGTATAGAGTAGTATTTTATACATAGCTCATTTTATAGCAAAAACATTTATGTACAACTGTAGAGAAACCACTACACAGATAGCTCCAATTTAAATTAGAAAACATTTTGCCGGGCGTGGTGGCTCACACCTGTAATCCCAGCACTTTGGGAGTCCGAGGCGGGCGGATCACCTGAGGTCAGGAGTTTGAGACCAGCCTGGCCAACATGATGAAACCCCGTCTCTACTAAAAATAAAAAAATCAGCTGGGCATGGTGGCCGTGCGCCTGTAGTCCTAGCTACTCGGGAGGCTGAGGCAGGATTCATGCCAATCGCTTGAACGTGGGAGGCAGAGGTTGCAGTGAGCTGAGATTAAGCCACTGCACTCCAGCTTGTGCAACAGAGTGAGACTCTGTCTCAAAAAAAAAAAATTAAAAAAAAATTGCAGCTTATTTATCTCTACAAGGTGTTGCCAACGAGAAATAAAAGAGGAATTAAAAGGTTTAGGGCATATTTATAAATAACAGGAGTAAACATAGCTTCTAAGAGATGCCAGGAAATGCCTTACCAATGTCAAGGACAATCACTCATGCTTTTTTATGTCACTTCTGATATTTGGAAACAGAATTAAGGTGATGGACTGTGAGGTCTGACTCAGGCTGCTTGCTCATATTTGAATGGATTTGGTTAAAAAGGTAGTAAACAAAGTGTGATCATACAGGAAGCTAATCTCACCAGCTATGTGAAAATCAAGCTTAATGCTTTGTAGTCACATCTCATATTCTCATACTCAGAGGAAAAAAGCCAAGAAAATAATCTTCTACAGTTGTATTTATTCTACACTGCCTACAGAAATAGTTTATGTGTACATACAATCAAACTTTTATCTAATCGCTGTAAAGGTCATTTATATAGGCCCCCCGAGGGCAAGGACTGTGTTATAATTTATCTTTTTCAGAATTAAACAAGCTGCCCAAGGCCATGGAAGTGAGTTAGACCTAGCTGTTTGCTAGGTCTACAGTCTTGTGTTTTATTTTAGGCACTGTGGCTGGCTAATAATTTCCCTGACTTTTACCATAGTTAATCATCTCTTTTTCTTTTCTTTCTTTTTTTTTAAGAGACAGGGTCTCACTCTGTCACCTAGGATGGAGTGCAGTGGTGCCATCATAGGTCACTGTAGCCTTGAACTCCTGGGCTCAAGTGATCCTCCCACCTCAGCCTCCTGAGTAGCAGGGACTACAGGCATGCACCACCATGTCTGGCTGTATTTTTATTTTTATTTGTAGAGATGGGGTCTCGCTATGTTGCCCTGGCTGGTCTTGAACTCCTGGCCTCAACTGATCTTTCCACCTCGGCCTCCCAAAGTGCGGGGATTACAAGTGTGAGCCGCTACACCCGACGTCTTATTCTTAAAATACTTGCTTCATTTGAGTTTTAGGTTACCAAGCTTTCCTGGTTTCCTGTCTCACTGGTCACTTCTTACTGGTCACTTCTTAATCTCCTCCTCATTTTTGTAAACTCCTAATGTGGGAGAGCCCTCAGACTCAACTCAGTCTTTGAACTTTTTATCTTCTTTAGTTATACTCATACTTTGGTAGTCTTACCTGTCTCATGGTGTTACCATGATGACTGTTAGATCTCTAGACTTGTATATTTATCTGTCTATTTGACATGTCTGCTTGTTTTTTTTTGTTTGTTTGTTTGTCTTTTTTTTTTTTTAGACAGAGTCTTGCTCTGTTGACCAGGCTGGAGTGCAGTGGCGTGATCTCTGCTCATTGCAGCTTCTGCCTCCTGGGCTCAAGTAATTCTCCTGCCTCAGGCCCAAGCGATTCTCCTACCTCAACCTCCTGAGTAGCTAGGATTACAGGTGCGCACCACCATACCTGGCTAATTTTTGTATTCTTAGTAGAGACGGGGTTTCAGCATGTTGGCCAGGCTGGTTCTGAACTCCTGACCTCAAATGATCTGCCCGCCTTGGCCTCTCAAAGTGTTGGGACTACAGGCATGAGCCACAGCGCTTGGCTAGGACATGACCACTTGGATGTGCTTCCCCTGTTGTTTTTCCCATCTCAGTAAGTGGCAACTCCATCTTTGCAGTTGCTCAGGCCACAAATCATGGCATCACCCTTAATTCCTCTTTTTCACTCTTCACTCATACCCCCTATTCAGTCCAATCCTTTGACAGACCATGTGGCTCTCTCCCTTTGAAATATTTCAGAATCCACCACTTCTCAACTCCTCTACCACTATCATCTGGTCCAAGATATCATTTTACCTCACTTGGACTATTGCAAAAACCTAGCCAGTCTCCCTGCTGCTACCCTTATTTTCTAGGGGTCTGTTCTCAATACAGTATTCAGAGCATTTCTTTGGAAATGTCAGCTCTTTTCAATCCTCTGCTTAGAATCTTCCATTGACTTCTCATCTTACTTAGAGTAAAAGCCAAAGTTCTGAAACTGGCCTATAAAGCCTTGTGCAGCCCATATATAAGGCCAGAGGTTTATAATAAAATAGTGCTTCTACTTCGGTGAGAGCTCTTAACATGATCTTTGCTGCATAGTCTTTCTCATATCAAATGAAGATTTTTCTGTACTGGGTTCGTACTTACACAGTAAACCTTAATGTGGATTATCACGCAGTAATTTAATTGTTCTCTTTAGTGTTACATTTTGATCTGTAGCCTTAAGAATCATTTTTTTTCATGGTTATAAAGCTAAAGAGAATTAAAAACAAACAATAAAAAACAAAAAAATCATAACTTTAAAAATTTATAGTTGTTTTAAAATGTGTTCTGGGCCGGGCACTGTGGCTCATGCCCATAATCCCAGGACTTTGGGAGGCTGAGGTGGGCGGATCACCTGAGGTCAGGAGTTCCAGACCAGCCTGGCCAACATGGTGAAGCCCTATCTCTACTAAAAATACAAAAATTAGTCAGGCGTGGTGGTGGATGCCTGTAATCCCAGCTACTCGGGAGGCTGAGGCATGGGAATCGCTTGAACCTGGGAGGTGGAAGTTGCAGTGAGCCGAGATCACGCCACTGCACTCCAGCCTGGGTGAAAGAGTGAGACTCCATCTCAAAATAAGAGACTCTGTCTTAAAATAAAATAAAACAATAAAATAAAAAGTTTTTCAGCTTTAAATAGAATTTATTCATTCTAGAAACACTTAAAAGGGCATATTATGTACCAGGCACTAGGGTTACAAAAATGAATAGAAAGAGATGCACATCAGTAATTTTTCCCAACTGTGAGTGAATGGTTTTATTATGCATACACATGTATAGACAATTCCATAAAGATTACCTATTATTCATTACACAGAAGCCAAGGGATAAATTGTATGCTGAGTAAGTAAATCAAAAGGGAAGCATCACTGTTTCTCCTTTTTATTTTTCTCCTATTTTTCCTTTATTCCTCTTTACATTTTGAGTAGTAAGTCTCCACATCCCTGACCAGGCATTTGCTAGCTGCATCACTCCTCTCTGATTTCAAACTTCTCTAGTTTGTTTCCATCTTCTATTTTTAAAGTTTTTTTCAGACAAAAAGGTCATGTAGATTATATTTTTGGTATCTTTCATTTCTAAGCATGCTGCTTTATACACAGTAGGCCCTCAAATCTTTGAGTGCTTATAAATATGATTTTTGCTTCATCTAATTCTCTAGACATGCAGTTAAGATTACAGGATGGGTTACTTAGTATATTGAAAAAGAATGATATGAAATATGAAAAACAAAGCCATTTAAAAGATATTCATGACACTCTAGTGCTTTACTTGCCCCTGGACCAGATGTTTGTGTTCATGGGTCAGTGACTCTTAGCTCCGGACTGTATTAGTGGTGCTTCACCAAAGGACTGATTTCAGGCTATTCTTTTAATAGGGAAAACCCTTTATGACTATGTAGATCTATGTATTTCCATTTTTAGTCTTTTTTAGACTGTGTATCATATATATATATTTGTATACGTGTGTGTGTGTGTGTGTGTGTGTGTGTGTATATATATATATATATTTATTTTTTTTTTGAGATGGAGTCTCACTCTGTTGCCCAGGCTGGAGTGCAATGGCATGATCTCAGCTCAGTGCAACTCTGCCTTCCGGGTTCAAATGATTATCCTGCCTCAGCTTCCCAAGTAGCTGGGATTACAGGCACCTGCCCCCATGCCTGGCTAATTTTTGTATTTTTTTTTTTAGTAGAGATGGGGTTTCACCATGCTGGCCAGGCTGGTCTCAAACTCCTGACTTTAGAGGATCCGCCCGTCTCGGCCTCCCAAAGTGCTGGGATTACAGGCGTGAGCCGCTGTGCCCAGCTGGATATCATATTTTTGATCCAGGTTTTGTTACACTCAGTTTCATCTAAGGCTTATTTTTTATAGCTTCAGATATTCTTTCCTGAGACCAAACCCTAATTACTGTATTTGGGGCTAGGTCTCAAATCTCGAAAATTTACAAATTGTGCTTGGTTTGTGTCATTTCTGTAGATGGCCTGACAGCCATTATAAAATGATTCTTCCTAATCTCATTCTGAAAGCAATTCCACATTAGGAATACCTCGCTTTTGTCCCTATGTATCACCTTTAGTGGTTATCTCCATTTTATAAATGAGGCTACTGAAGCCCAGCAAGCTCAAGTAATTTTCTCAGGTTCACAGCTAGCAGGTGGTGCAAGTGATATTCAAAACCATGTCTGTCTGGCCCCCAAACTCAGTTTTTCTACTATACCATTCTGGCTTTCTTTCTTAAGGGTCTATTATATTTTCTGCCTCAGAGTCACTGTAAAGAAAATGAGAACCATTTATGTTAGAAATGTGTGTGTGTGCCTTGAATCATCTAGCTAGAGGTCAGGATTACTTGATCCTACATCCTGTAGTTTACCCAAAGTACGATTGGTGAAAACAGGCAATTTACTAGTCCAATAAGTATAGTCCAGTCTTCTAATCTTTGGATGAAATACAGAAGTGTAATCTGAGGAAAGGAATGAAATGCACTCTGAAGGGGCCGGGCATTGTGGCTCGTACCTGTAATCCCAGCACTTTGGGAGGCAGAGACGGGCGGATCACCTGAGGTCAGGCGTTCGAGACCAGCCTGACCAACATGGTGAAACCCCATCTCTACTTAACATACAATAATTAGCCAGGCATGGTGGCAAGTGCCTGTAGTCCCAGCTACTTGGGAGGTTGAGGCAGGAGAATCGCTTCAACCTGGGAGACAGAGGTTGCAGTGAGCCGAAATCACGCCATTGTACTCCAGCCTGGGTGACAGAGTGATACTGTCTCAAAAAAAAAAAAAACAAAAAAAGTGAAATGTACTCTGAAGACATTTAATAAACCTTTCTTCAGCTACTGAGAATAGAATACTATTCAAAGTCTAAGCTATTATCATAAGTTGATTGAAAGCTGAGGTCCTTATACATTTTTGTCAGTTATCAATCAGTTATTAAACATTTAAATGTAAGGACTTTTATTCTTATAGTAAAAACCACAGGAAAACACATCTAAATTGAAGTTCGGATTCATATCAGGAACCTACATAATATGGTGCTAGTGGTCTGTCAGGAAGCAACTGTAGCCATCAAAAAAAGCCATACCAGGCCGGGCGTGGTGGCTGACGCTTGTAATCCTAGCACTTTGGGAGGCTGAGGCAGGCAGATCACCTGAGGTCAGGAGTTCAAGACCAGCCAGGCCAACATGGCGAAACCCCGTCTCTACTAAAAATACAAAAATTAGTCGGGCATAGTGGTGCATGCCTGTAATCCCAGCTACTTGGGAGGCTGAGGCAGGAGAATCGCTTGAATCCGGGAGGTGGAGGTTGTAGTGAGCCAAGATCGTACCACTGCACTCCAGCCTGGGCAACAGAGCGAGACTCCGTCTCTAAAAATAAAAATAAAGCCATACCAAATGGGAAAATTTTGGAAAATCCCCTTATTTCAGGTTAGGTCTCAACCCCTTGTTCCTCAACAGTCAAGTCTAATTCTGGAAGCAATTCCAGAAGAGGGAATTTTCTTTTCCCATTGAAACTTATTTAGTGTACCTAGAAGGCCCTTGGCTTCCAGAGGTGTTACACTGGAAAGAACCAGACACAGTTGAATTAGAATCTTGGCTCTGCCATTTACTGCTGTATGAACTTGGTTAGGTTACTTTGCGCCTGTTATTTCCGAATTTGTAAAATGGAGATAAAATATTAACCCCATTTGATTGCTGTCAGGGTGAAGTGAGCTAACATGAAATATTTAGCACAGTGCCTAGCAAGTAGTACACATTTAATGTTTCCTATTCCTCCTTCTCTCCAATATAGGTTCTCCAAGACCTAGGGAGCAGTTGATTTATAAATGTCTCATACAACATTAGCTCATGCATGCAGAGAGATGATTATGCAGTGAGAACATACTAAGCTACGATATTCTCTATCTGAGTGCCAAAACGTGGCTGTTCTAGTTAGGGGGAGGGTGCAAGGAAGAGTAATGACATATATCTCTAATAGTGCTCTTTCTTTATTTTCTTGTCTTGGGTTGAAAAATGCTTTATTTTTGTTTTTGATTCCCAAGTTTTATTCAAGAAGTCATAAAATATTCCAGATAAGTGAATTTTAATCCTCATCTTCCTCCTCTTCTGCATCCTGGTTAATTTGGGAGTAATGTAATTCCTGACTCTCTGCTGTTAGCAACTATGTGCAACTAATCAAGTAGGTGATTTCTTCTTCAGATATTTTTTGGTGAGATATTTAAAATATCTTTTGGTAAAAAGCACCTCAGAAGTCACAGTAATCTTGCTCTTGCTTATTTTGATGGTCATACCCCCTCCACCGAGACTCTCAGCTTTTCTGCTCACTTTGATCCTTTCCTGTAAAAATTGCACAAAATTGGCAGTATCATGATTCCATCTTCTACAGAGTGGGTGCAATCAAGAGTGAACTTGAGAACCTGCTTTTTTTTTTTTTTTTAAACCCTCCTTTGCCATAAGCTTCTTTATGGGCACTGTGGCGGCAGCAGAGGCAGAAAGGGAGGTGGGTGAACTATGCAGGCCGGAAAAATGCTTTTTTTTTTTTAATAAAAAAAAACAATTATAATGGTGCATATCAACATTTCCCAAAGTGCATTGTGTGGAACACTAGTCTAGTCAAATAAGTTTGAAAAATGTTACTTTCTACTGCCTCCTTTCTCAGCTTTACAAAACACATTAGTAAAGTGTTTAAAAGTCTCCTAATCTCATTCATAGTAAAGAAATGTCTTGACTGAGCCTAAGTTAGCATTTTACAAACGTGTTCGACTCTGGAGTTCCTTTCCTTCCTTTCCTTCCTTTCCTTCTCTTCCTTTTTTTTTTTTTGACAGAGTATCGCTCTCTTGCCCACGGCTGGAGCACAGTGGTGGGATCTCGCCTGGTTGCAACCTCTGCCTCCTGGGTTCCAGCGATTCTCCTGCCTCAGCCTCCCGAGTAGCTGGCTAGGATTACAGGCGTGATCCAACATGCCTGGCTAATTTTTGTATTTTTAGTAGAGATGGGGTTTCATTGTGTTGACCAGGCTGGTCTCAAGCTCCTGACCTCTGGTGATCCACCCACCTCAGCCTCCCAAGTAGTTGGGATCACCTGGCTTCCCCCCCCTCCCCCCCGTATTTTTAGTAGAGATGGGGTTTTGCCATTTTGGCTAGGCTGGTCTCAAACTCCTGGTCTAAAGTGACCCACCTACCCCAGTTTCCCAGAGTGTTGGGATTACAGGTGTGAGCCACTGTGCCCTGCCTGGAGTACTCTCTTAGGTTAGGGTAGCATTTAGATCCCACTGTGGATGCCATTTTGGCTACCCCAGGTACCCATGGTGGTTGTGTCTTAGAGTAGCTCACAAAATCCTACAGAACCTGCAACATACCTCAAACTTTCAGTGTACAAATGAGAAGCAAAGCTTCGTATCTTGGTAACTGTAAGTATAAAAGAACTGGCCGGGCGCGGTGGCTCACGCCTGTAATCCCAGCACTTTGGGAGGCCGAGGCGGGTGGATCATGAGGTCAGGAGATCGAGACCATCCTGGCTAACAAGGTGAAACCCCGTCTCTACTAAAAATACAAAAAATTAGCCGGGCGCGGTGGCGGGCGCCTGTAGTCCCAGCTACTCGGGAGGCTGAGGCAGGAGAATGGCGTGAACCCGGGAAGCGGAGCTTGCAGTGAGCCGAGATTGCGCCACTGCAGTCCGCAGTCCGGCCTGGGCGACAGAGCGAGACTCCGTCTCAAAAAAAAAAAAAAAAAAAAAAGAACTTAACCTGCATTACGGGCTATGAAGGATTTTGTCAACTAACTGAGTAGCTAGTCATCACTTATTGAATTGTTTCAGTGGGAATGATAGAATTTGAAAATCACTAGTTCTTCAACCTCCAATTAAATATTGATTCAGGTCAATATGATCAATGAATGTTAAAATTGTAGGTGAATGAGTGTTGGGGAAACTGGTTATTCTTACAGTGGCAAGGTATCACTCTATAGACTGTACACCCTACAGCCTGTAGTATCACCCTACAGACTACTTGCTAACTGCTAATGGAAAAATATAAAAGCGAATAAGTAAATAAACATGAGTTCATATGATATCTCAGACCCTCATCCAGCACCACAGCATTTCTTCTAGCCTTTTCCCCCTGGTTTAGCTGTAATTTCTTTTTTTTTTTTTTTTTTTTTTTTTTTTTGAGACGGAGTCTCGCTCTGTCGCCCAGGCTGGAGTGCAGTGGCGGGATCTCGGCTCACTGCAAGCTCTGCCTCCCGGGTTCACGCCATTCTCCTGCCTCAGCCTCCCAAGTAGCTGGGACTACAGGCGCCCGCCACTACGCCCGGCTAATTTTTTGTATTTTTAGTAGAGACGGGGTTTCACCGTTTTAGCTGGGATGGTCTCGATCTCCTGACCTCGTGATCCGCCCGCCTCGGCCTCCCAAAGTGCTGGGATTACAGGCGTGAGCCACCGCGCCCGGCCTTAGCTGTAATTTCTTTACCTGAAAGTGAGAAACCTGGCTCTCATCATCTATGATGCACTGACTTACTTATTCAACCCTAGCATATATGCAGTTACAGAACTGCTAACACATATCCTTGTGAGAAACATATTCATTCACTGGAGTACAGTGTTTATACAGCACTTTTGGAGCACAGAAATATCTTATCTGGTGTGTATTTTACACTTACAGCTCATCCCCTTAGGACCAGACACGTTTCAAGTGCTGAAGAGCCACATAGGACCAGTGGCTGCCATATTGGCACGGATCTAAACCACCTCATGTGTAGCATCTGTTCCCTTTCCTCTGTGCTTCTGCATGTTTTTTTCCCCCCTTTCGCTGCTTCTCATTTCCAATACAGAAAATTTCACCAGACTGTGTTTTATTCTAGGCCCTTGACTGGGAGAAATACACTTAGATGTGCTTCTGGTGCACAAAGACGTGTTTTTATTTTATTTTTTTTGAGACAGAGTCTCACTCTGTCGCCTAGACTGGAGTGCAGTGGTGTGATCTTGGCTCACTGCAGCCTCCGCATCGCGGGTTCAAGTGATTCTGGTGCCTCAGCCTCCCAAGTAGCTGGGATTATAGGCATGTACCACCATGCCCGGCTATGGCACACAGACATTCATGTGGCCAGTGGAGAGGGGAGATGCAATCCTGACACAGGGTTGGGGTTGGGGAACATGGACAGGAAGTTAAACTCTGTGCACATGATGAAGCACTTACAGATGTCAGAGCCATGCAACAGTTGTGGCTCCTCAGTCACCTGGATCATGATCTCCATTCTCCTGTACTTGTCTTACCACCTTGCTGCAGCCACCTGCAAACTGCTGTTTGAACCCAGAGCCTATAATCATCAGCTGAGCTTGTGGGTCTGAGCCCCTGATCAAGCCTAGACACAGAGAAGTTCAAAGGCAATATAATAATTTTTAGTTTGAAAAGGTTTTTTTTTTTTTTTTTTTTTTTTCTTTTCTGAGACGGTGTCTTGCTCTGTCACCCAGACTGGAGTGCAGTGGCACGATCTCAGCTCGCTGCAACCTCCGCCTCCCGGGTTCAAGTGATTCTTGTGCCCTAGCCACCCGAGTACTTGGGACTACAGGCACGGGCCACCATGCCTGGCTAATTTTTGTATTTTTAGTAGAGACGGAGTTTCACCATGTTGGCCATGATGGTCTCGAACTCCTGACCTCAAGTGATCCACCTGCCTTGGCCTCCCAAAGTGCTGAGATTATAGGTGTGAACCACTGCACCTGGCATGTTTTTTTTTTTTCTTTGAGATGGAGTCTCCCTGTGTTGCCCAGGCTGGAGTGCAGTGGTTTGATCTTGGCTCACTGCAACCTCCGCCTCCCGGGTTCAAGCAATTCTCCTGCCTCAGCCTCCCGAGTAGCTGGGATTATAGGTGCTGTCTGCCACACCCAGCTAATTTTCGTATTTTTAGTAGAGACGGGGTTTCACTATCCCAGGCTGGTCTCGAACTCCTGACCTCAAGTGATCCACCCATCTTGGCCTCCCAAAGTGTTGGGATTACAGGTGTGAGCGACCACGCCCGGCCCTATTTTTTTAATTAACTGTCATGAAAATGCACTTTAATGTTTTCAGAAAATAATACAGGTTCCCAAACCAGTGTAAAATTTGGCATTTATAATACATTTGTTCAGGAGGGATGAGTCATAAAGATTAACATTTGAGTGAAGACCTTTTGTTTATCAATTTATATGTTTCTTGAGTGCCTATTATGAACCGAGTGCCTATTATGAATTTATGAATGCCTGTTATGAATTATGGACATTGAATGCCTATTATGAATTATTGAATGCCATGATAAAGTGTTTCTATTCATAATACTTTGCTTTAAAAATGTACTGTCTTTTTTTTTTTTTTTTGGAGACAGAGTTTTGCTCTTGTTGCCGAGGCTGGAGTGCAATGGCACAATCTTGGCTCACTGCATCCTCTGCCTCATGGGTTCAAGCGATTCTCCTGCCTCAGCCTCCCGAATAGCTGGGATTACAGGCATGCGCCACCATGCCTGGCTAATTTTGTATTTTTAGTACAGGCGGGGTTTCACCATGTTGGCCAGGCTGGTTTTGAACTCCTGACCTCAGGTGATCCACCTGCCTGGGCCTCCCAGAGTGCTGGGATTACAGGCATGAGCCACTGCGCCTGGCCAAAAATGTACTGTTTTTATATCACCAAACAAAGGCTTTTTGGTTTTGTTGTAATCACATTAATGTTAGCTATATATTTGAGTTACATAAGCTCCATTTGTTGGCTAGCCTGGGACCCTAGCTAAATTTAAAGCATTGTGTCCAGATACGGTCACCTGAGGTCAGGAGTTCAAGACCAGCCTGTACAACATGGCAAAACCCCATCTCTACTAAAAATACAAAAATTAGCCCAGCATGGTGGTGGGGTCCTGTAATCCCAGCTACTCAGGAGGCTGAGGGTGGAGAATCTCTTGAACCCAGGAGGTGGAGGTTGCAGTGAGCCAAGATTGCGCTACTGCACTCCAGCCCGGGTGACAGACTGAGACTCTGTTTCAAAAAAAAAAAAAAAAGTGTGTGTGTATATATATATATATACACATATATACACACATATATGTGTACATATATATGTACATATATACGTGTGTATATGTGTACATATATGTACATATATATGTGTGTATATATGTATATATGTGTGTATATATGTATATATATGTGTATATATGTGTATATGTGTATATATATGTGTATATATGTATATATATGTGTGTGTATATATATGTATATATATGGTATTGCTTTGATTTTCAGGAAGCATGGACCATTAACTGAATTGAGAATTCCAAAATTTCCCCTCTGGATCTCAGTTTCACCATAATAAATTGAGGGAGTTGAACTCGATTGGTAATTCTCAACCCAAATCACAGTGATGTCTTCTTTCACAGTGATGTCCTCTTTTTTTTTTTTTTTTGAGATAGAGTCTCGCACTGTCACCTGTCACCTGGATTGGAGTGCAGTGGTGCGATCTCTGCTCACTGCAACCTCCGCCTCCCAGGTTCAAGTGATTCTTCTTGCCTCAGCCTCCCAAGTAGCTGGGATTACAGGCGCCTGCCACCATGCCCGGCAAATTTTTTTGTATTTTTAGTAGAGATGGGGTTTACTATGTTGGCCAGGCTGGTCTCAAACTCCTGACCTCGTGATCCACCCTCCTCGGCCTCCAAAGTGGTGGGATTACAGGCGTAAGCCACTGCGCTTGGCCAATGTCCTCGTTTAACAAGTAGTTTATAACTCTCCTTTTACTATTTTAAAATGATGCTAATAGGTAAGAGATAATGAAACTTGTCTATATACATAGTTTCAATAAACATCAATATAACTTCCTAACTACAATATAAAGGAGAAACAAAAGGGAGGTAACTTTTAATAAAATATGTATTTAGGTATATATTTCAGTCGTTGTCAGATGCTTGCACCCATGGGTATAATTATTGTAAATGTGGCAACACATGCATATAAAAATAGTATGCACTGGTGGCTCTAATACCACATAACTCTAAATGATGCCATGATTTTCTGAAATGATTAATTTTGGCAAAATTCCAAGCCAAACGTACCATTTTCCTTCAACTGACATAGTAGTTGTGTTCTTGGGAAAAAATATCAGCGAATATTGAAACCGTGAAAAAATACTTTATCTGTAAAAGGGAGTTGGGAGTTAGGGCTGGGTGCAGTGGCTCACGCCTATAATCCCAGCACTTTGGGAGGCTGAGGTGGGAGGATTACTTGAGCCCAGGAGTTCAAGACCAGCCTGGGTAACAGAGTGACACCCTGTCTATATAAAAAAAAAAAAGGCCAGGCGTGGTGGCACACCTGTGGTCCCAGCTACTGAGGAGGCTGAGGTTTGAGGATCGTTTGAGCTTGGAAGGTCGAGGCTGCAGTGAGCAGTGATTGCACCACTGCACTCCAGCCTGGGCAACAGACAGAGGCCTTGTCTCAAAATAAAATAAAGGTGTGGCTGAGTTAGAATCTAGGCTCAGGTAATCATAAGCAGTTTTGCACCCACATGAAAGTTGAGTGGGGCATTTGAAAGAGTTGTAAGACACTGTACAGTTCTCAGTTCTCCATTGTGTGGGTCTCCCTGTGCCTTGCAGGACATCTCTGTTAATACCAGCAGCGTCGCTGCACATTCTGATTGTGCCCCCTAGAGGGTGCTGCTCCTCTTGTTGAGAACAAGTGGACTAGAAGATCGAATTGCCGGCCGGCTTGATTCTTTTTTGAGTCCCTGCATGATTTTTTTAAATTTACATTTTTATTTATTTATTTTTTTAGACGGGGTCTCACTCTATCGCCCAGGCTGGAATGCAGTGGTGCGATCTGGGCTCACTGTAGCTTCGACCTCCCAGGTTCACGCCATCCTCCCACCTCGGCCCCTCAAGTAGCTGGGAGCACAGGCGCGCGCCACCATGCCCCGCTAATTTTTGTATTTTTTGTAGAAACGGGGTTTCGCCATGTTTCCCAGCTGGTCTCAAACTCCTGAACTTGAGCGGTCCACCCGCCTCGGCCTCCAAAAGTGCTGGGACTACAGGCGTGAGCCACTGCGTCCGGCCCCTTCATGAATTTTTATTGAATGAGACCTATCATAGGGTACTGTGTCATGGATCAAGAAGTCTTGTATGGATCAAGAAGTCTTGTATGTTTCTACATTTGCTGCTTGCGCCTCCATTATTACCAACGTTAGAGACCTGTTTACCTCATATGATATTATGAGAATTGCTGTCTTATAAAAGATTTTGAAACTCTAGAATGTAAAGAATGCAGCATAATTCATTCATTTTTAAGTGGGTTAAAAATAGTTTCTACCACTTAGTTATCTTTTTGCATTTGTCATTTTGTTCTCAAATATGCCTTAGGATTTTTAAATAATTTTTTACTTTCCTAGGGAAAAGTAATATGTGTTGTGGTCTGTTATTTCCAGTAGATGGCAATGTTTGGTGCAAAAAATGACCGTATAGCAATTGCAGATTGCCCTGGCTCTCTTTGTACTTAAAATCCAAACTTCATAGCGCGTGTTTGAAAGTACTGCTCTTTTTTTTTTTTTTTTTAATGACTTGATACGCATTAACTCAGTTAAACCAATGGATAGGCTGATAAAGAGGTGCATGTAATTCAAATTTTCACAACATAACTTACATTTTACTGTTGCAAAAAATTTTTTTAAAGGAGTTCCTAGAAAAATGCAACAATATTTTAATAGAAGGCTAAGTTCGTTCATGAAGTATTTACCTTTTGATTTATCAGTTCTATAAATTATGATTTTCTTATAGGTTTTTTTTTTAAATAATTTATTTTGAAACAGTTTCAGACTTACAGAAGAATTGCCAGAATAGTACAAAGAATTCCAGTAGTCCCTTTAGCCAGATATCCCTACTGTTAACACTGTACCTCATTTGCTTCATTGTTCATTCTTCTGGGTGGGTGTCATTATCATTAGTCTTTGAATCTTTTGAGAGCTAGAGGTTGTCTAATCACCCCTAAACACTCCAGAGGGTACTTCCTCAAAACGAGGTCACTCTCCTACCAGCATACAACCCTCTGAATCAGGAATCAATACTGTCCAATCCATATCCATCCATGCAGATTTTACCAGGTGGTCAACAGTGTCACTCTTTCCCTTTCTGGTTCACAGTCCTATCCAGGATTATGGTTTTGGTCTCCTGCGATCTAGACTAAGTTCGTTAGTCTTTCATACCCTTGAAATTTTTAAAGGGTACAGACATTACATTCTGTATGATGACTGTCATCTTGAGTCTTAAGGATGTTTCCTCATGATCAGATGCCTGCATTCTTGGTAGGAATACATGAGGAGGCACATGATGCTAACCTGTCCCGTCACTGGTAATGTTAATGATGGTCATGTGGTCATCAGGATTTACCTCAAATCTATTGTAGGATTAAAGCCCATTTTAAAAAAGCTTTTTTTTTTATGTTTTTATTTTTTATTTTTTAGGCTGGGTGCAATGGCTCCCACCTGTAATCCCAGCACTTTGGGAGGCTGAGGTGGGAGGATGGCTTGAGCCAAGAGTTCAAGACCAGCGCTGGCAACATAAAAATTATCTAAGAGTAGTGGTGGTACATGGCTGTAGTCCCAGCTACTTGGGAGGCTGAGGTGGGAGGACCGCTTGAGCCAGGGGAAGTCAAGCTGCTGCACTCCAGCCTGGGTGACAGAGCCAAGACGCTATCACAAAAAAGAATAAAAAGATAAAAACATTCGTAATAATTTTTTCCCAAATTTTTGTTTCTTTTATCTTTTTTTCCTGGCTTATTTTTCCTTCATATAAAACTCATTTTAATTAAAATCTTTCATTTGGGTTTTTATTTTTTAAAAAAACAACATATAGTGACTTTCTTCATATGCCCCAAACTTCATAAAAAAAAATCCAAAGATATTTCAAGCATAGCTTGGCCAATCTGTGCCTGTATTTTTCTTTTGCTAAGATCATGCCATAGACTTGAGGGGTAATAACACTGCAGTAATGGCTTAAGTATTTATTGGGGGTTATAATTTTTGTTTCGGAGATGGAGTTTCGCTCTTGTTGCCCAAGCTAGAGTGCAATGGCGCAATCTCGGCTCACTGCAACCTCTGCCTCCTGGGTTCAAGCTATTCTCCTGCCTGAGCCTCCCGAGTAGCTGGGATTACAGGCATGTGCCACCACGCCTGGCTAATTTTGTATTTTTAGTAGAGACGGGGTTTCTCCATGTTGGTCAGGCTGGTCTTGAGCTCCTGACCTCAGGTGATCTGCCCGCCTCTGCCTCCCAAAGTGCTGGGATTACAGGCATGAGCCACCGTGTCTGGCCGGGGATTATCATTTAAGATCATAATATATTGGCAATATCTTAAAGCTCTTGACAAGTTGAATTTGATCACACATCAGCAGAAACAACTTCATTCATAATTGTGTTTTCTTATGTTTTATTCAGTACTGAAAACTACAACATAAAAGAAAATCTTTTTTTTTTTTTTTCTTGAAACAGGGTCTCACTCTGTTGCCCAGGCTGGAGTTCAGTGGCACAGTCACAGCTCATTGCAGCCACAAACTCCCTGGTTCAGGTGATCCTCCCACCTCAGCTTCCTGGGTGTCTAGGACAACAGGCAGTCACCACCAAAATACTTAACATACAAAAAATGTAAAATATAAGAAATGGGCAGGGCGTGATAACTTGTGCCTGTAATCCCAGCACTTTGGGAGGCTAAGGTAGACAAATTGCTTGCACCCAGGAATTTAAGACCAGCCATGGCAACACAGTGAGATCTCATCTCTACGAAAAACTAAAAAATTAGCTGGGCATTGTGGCGCACACCTGCGGTCCCAGCTACTTGAGAGGCTGAGGTGGGAGGATCACTTGAGCCAGGGAAGTCGAGCTTGCAGTGAGCCGTGATCATGCCACTGCATTCCAGCCTGGGCGACAGAGCAAGACTCTGTCTCAAAAACAAAAACAAAAACAAAAAAAACCCAAAACCAAAAAACAACAACAAAAAACAAATGATGGGTTAAGTAGTTGAACAAGGTTTTATAATCAAACAAAATACTCTAATAACAAACCTATTTGCAGAGGGTGGAGTTGGTGGGTTGCAGTGAAGCAAGTTGTCTTTTAGTTGAATTTAAGTAATATCAATAAAATTTGTATATTTGTATATGGTGAAGACTTCAAACCAAATAGAAAAGGTATAAGTAAATCTCTCCCTTCCTTTACCCTCCAATTCCTACTCTCTCCATCTAACAGTATAAGCATTATTTTTTCTTATTTATCCTTCCAGAAAAATATTTGTTACCTACAAGATATGTATATCACGTTCTTGGGAAAAAGTGGAATCTTGCCACACATACTTTTCACCTTTCTTTTTCACTTAATGCTGTTTCATAGAGATATTGTCACTTATAGATGCACATCATTCTTTTTAATGGTTGCATATTATTTGCATGGATTACCATAGTTTATTCTCATTGTGATGGGCATATTTGGTTGTTTCTAGGTTTTTAAATTTACAGACAAAGCTACAGTGACTCTCATTATATATACTTTTGTGGACCTTTGCAGATGGAAATATGATCAGGACAAAAGGGACAAAATGAAATGAAGTATGGGGTGGATTTACGGTTACAGAAAAGTAGTAGCAAAGAGATGCTATTATTGGTGAATAGCAGCAAGCTAAAATTATTTTCTCCTAGTCTCTTTTAAATGAGGTAGAATATTAGGAAATTAAAATAAGAAGGCTGGGCGCGGTGGCTCATACCTGTAATCCCAGCACTTAGGGAGGCCGAGGCGGGTGGATCACCTGAGGTCGGGAGTTCGAGACCAACCTGGCCAACATGGCGAGACCCCCATTTCTACTAAAAATACAAAAATTAGCTGGGTGTGGCTCATGTCTGTAATCCCAGCTACTCAGAAGGCTGAAGCAGGAGAATCGCTTGAACCTGGGAGGTGGAGGCTGCAGTGAGCTGAGATCGTGTCACTGCACTCCTGCCTGAGTGACAGAGTGAGACTCCATCTCAAAACAAAAACAAAAATGAAAACAAAAAAGAAAAAAGAAAATTAAAAAATGTCAAAGTAGATCATATAATTCCATGAAGTTAAAAGTAAAGAAATGGAGAAAGTACATGCAGAATCGTTTTTCCATTGGTTTCAGGATTTATAACCAGCAAAAACTCAACTAACATTTGGTCATATGATTTTATATTCCTGTTTTAGGAAAACAAAACTGTCAAGTGGGCTTCTAGGTGGGATTAGATTTTGGAGTCTGTGCCTCATGCTAATATTCAGTGGTTTAGGTAAGCACTTCATGAAGTAAAAAGTAAGTAGTTTTGAGGTAGAAATGTAAATATATATATATTTAAATTAACATATTTTGTTATCACAGATGATCTTGGGTTACATCTTTTTCCTTCTCTGTGACTGTAGTTTCCTCTCTCCTCTTCTCCCTTCCACTCCCCACATACACAATGAAAAAAAGATAAATGTGTTTTAAATATGTTAGTGTTTATGCTGAAGGGAAAGAGCAATCCGAAATGTCATGGAGATACTACGTCTGCATGGAATGAATATTGGGGTGGAGAGTCAGTGAGATATGACTGTGGAAGTTGACACTGTGCAAGAGATGAAAAATAAAATGGAATGGAAACTTCTGTTTGTGGGTTCAAAAAGTTCAGGCACAGTAGAGAGTTAGGAAAAATAGTAACCAGCTGGGGTAGAGGAAGGTAAGGATGTCATAAAAATCTGGGAAGCGGTGAGAAAAGGGTGAAAGGATTTCGTGTGACAAACCCACAACTTGAAGTGGCTGTGTAATCAAGGCAGGTCATATAGAGGAGAGGATCGTATGGAGATAATGTCTGCCAGTGAAGGACCATTTACTCTTTTTAGTCCCTATCGTGATGCTATGGTAGGCTTTGAGCTCAACAGTGAATAAGGCAGAGGACATGCTAGTGGACCCAGACTGAAAGGACTTGATTCCTTGGGAATCTTCAACAGGATGAAACCACAGAGTTAGAAGTCTGTGACTATGGAAAGAGTGGTTTCACATGGGGATGGACTCAGTGAGAGATGGACCAACTGAGAACATAACTAATGATTGGGGCTGTGATAAAGTGCTGAGAGTGGGAGTAGGATGTGAAGTTAGTAACTTAGGAGACTGAACAGAGAAGCTGGTCAAAAAGAAGTGAATTAGTCCATATTGTATTTTATTCCTTGTTGTCTTTATATCCTGTAATAAAGCAATCATGGGTCAAAGGAGATTACAAAAGTAAAAATGAAAGTAAGGGCCCAGTGTGGTGGCTTGCACCTGTAATCCCAGGGCTTTGGGAGGCCGAAGTGGGAGGATCACTTAAGGGCAGTAGTTCAAGACCAGCCTGGGCAACATGGAGAGACCCTGTCTCTAAAAATAAAATAAAAATTAAAAATTAAAAAAGTGAAAGTAAGGAATGGTGTGATACTAGGAGTATGGTCTTCTGGAGTGATGATTCTCCTTATGCTCCCATTGACTTTAAAATGAAAATACCCTTTCTCTCCTTTCCTTGTTCCTATTATTCCTCCTCCTCCTCCTGCTCCTTGTCCTCTTGCTTCTTCCTATGGTAGCTTTTCCAGAGAGGCTTCTGTTTGGGCAACAGTTCCAATCCCATTTTGTCACGCCCCAGAAGTCTCCTCAGATACAATTTATTTAAATGGTTTCTCCAAAGGGGTTGTGAAAGTGAAGGACCTCTAGATAGATTATGAGGGCTAATTCTGGTAGTATTAATGTAACAACAAAATGTACTGTATTTTAGTTTCTGTCATGACTTAATTTACTTACAACATTTAACAGACATTTAGACATCAGTAGCCTTATTGGCGTCTCACTAAAACAGTGCTGGACTTTTCATAGATTCTGGTGAAACTTTGTGTGTGTGTATGGGTTTGGTTGGGGAGGTGGGATGGCAGAAGGCATTGGCTTTGATTTGGGGATAGTTTTTAAGTTTTAGATTTAGAAACAGTAAGTAAGAGCTGGTAGATAAGTGGTCCTTGGGATCTTTGCCCTGAAGCTCATAGAGTAATAGAGTTAAAGACTATGGCCTTGATCCATTGGCTAAGAAGCCAGTCAGCCATTAGTTCAACCTGTGTCTCCTGAACTTAGGTTGTCAGTTCCATGCTCCCAAACTAAGTTTGTGTGACAGATCTTATTTACTTATTTCTCTTTGAGAAGGTACTCTTAAAGTTTTCTAAAAATAACCTTAAGAATAGTGTTGCTTCTATTACTTTATTTGTAATACTCTTTTGTAACATAACTTTAAGTTCACTTAATATATTGATGCATTGTCATTGATCTAAATTTAACGTTAGAAAACTGATTTACATAATGATAATTTGAATGTCTTTCTTTTATATGTACGTGCATTTTTTTCAGTGCTCAATTAGGAAGTTTTGAGATTTAACTTCTCTTTTTTTCTTTCTTAAATTTTCTAGTATTGTGAATTCCTTTGTTGTTATTCTTTTCTTATCTGGAACGGTGGCTATCATATTAAGGATTCTCCATAAAGATATTATCAGATATAATAAGATGAATTCTCCCATAAGTAAAAAATGCATATGTTAGATTCAACAAATACTTAAGTGCCTATTCTGCCCAGTTTTCATCAATGTTATATTTCTACTTAGAGTATTGCACCTTGAATACAACACATTTTTTATGCCTAGTGATTTTGTATGTTATACCAAATCAGAAAGTACAGAGTTGAGTAAATTTTTTTAAAAGAACAGGGAGGTTTATTAGAGAGTTGTTTGTCATCAACTTTTTGGTTATATCCTTTTTTATGTGTTTCTGAACTCTCAAAATATCATTATTAAAGATTTTCATTGATTAGAAGTATGAGATAACAATATCAAACATTGCAAAATACTGTAATTTAGGTTATACTGTTTATACTGTTTTGACTCTTGTGACCACTTGTGTATTGGTCAATTTTTAATTGCTATAACATTGGTCAAGTTCCTTATGTAGGTTAAATCATTTTGCTTTCTTCATGAGAAGTAAATCAGTTGTGTGTTTTATGTAATTAACACACTCCCTCGGATGCAAAACTTCGAGGAAGGGAGTGATTCATTTGTGTGGCAGGATCATGTACCTTTCAGAGACCTGCTAAATTCATAATGAGCCATTGGTTTCCAGTTAGTCTGCCTTTAAAGGAAAATTCTGTTTCAACTAACTTTCAGAGCTCTTGTAACTTTCTGTCATAGTAGCTTGTATGTTTGTTAGAGACTTTCTTATGTGTGGGAGGATGCCCAGCAGGAGTTTGGCTGGAAGATGATTCATGCAGTTGTTTTCAGGCCCCCAAAGAACGCAATGTTGCTGTCAGCCTTCCTGGGTCAAGGAACACAAATTTTGTTTGTTACCTTTATTACTTTAAATGAGTACACTCAGATATGTCTTAAACATTCATAGTAAGCTGCCGGCATATGTTAAACTTTGAGTCCTTTGTACAAAGGGACTTGGAAAATTATACCCTAAAGTTAATGGAAATCTGTGTTTTATAATGTTTACATTTCTGTCTTCTCAAATTAAGGATATTAGTCTAAGTATCTTCCTATATCAAGCACCTTCCATAGCTTCTTTAGTTCTGAATAGTTTATTGTAAACTCCAATATGTATATTCCTTGCTTTGCAAAATAAACGCATTCTTAAAATCAGTACATGAGTAGAATCATATTTTAAGTGGGCTAAGGGAGTTCATGATTTGAAAGCTAACATTTTGAAATGCTACAGCAAGCCTAAGTGCTGGTCTTTAAGTGTATAAATGGAATGGCATCGGTAGTGGGCTCACAACAGCTGATGAACCCTAGTGCCTTCATTTATAAACTAAAAATGGAGCTTGTCAGTTTTTGATAGCCAGAGTAGTGATTTTCGTAAACAAAGCTGCTGTAAAAAATGGCTCATTAGATGTTTCAGATGTCAATGATAATTTCAAAAATCAGCTTTTAGGGTTATATTTTCCTGAGACCAATTCTCACTTTGATTTTTTTTTCATTCCTGAGCTTGAATAAAAGGAAACAGAAGGAAATTTCTTTGGGAAAAAAAGAAGTGCTGTTTTTGGAGTGACTACTGAAGTGGGAAAGGGGGAGATATTTTGTGTAATTTTGATTTAGACAGTGAAATTAAGGCTAATTCAACTTATGAAAACTTACTTCCACTTACCTTGAATGGAAAATCAGACTTTTTCATTAAGAAAAAGTGTCAAGTACTTAGCCAAGCAAATAACATTTGCTTATAGCATCCCTTGCTTGTAGTACTCCCATTAGATAATTTACTTGTGTGCCGTTTCATATAATGTCTTAATAAGGTTGTGCTTAATTTCTTATAAAGTCCTATGTACTTTTGAGACTATTATTGTTGCTGGTTTTCTATTTCATTTTTGTGCCTTTAGGTCTGGCCTGCCTTGGTTTTCCTTCTCCTGCCAATGGAGGAGCTTTAATGACCTGTGCCATTGTGTTATGGGTCCTTCTGGGAACCCCTGCCAGATATGTGTCTGCTATAATGTATAAGAGTAAGCATTACAACTGTTATTATTCCAGGAAGTTGTTGCGTGAAATGTAGAAATTAAAAGGCTGTGAAGTAAAAAATAAAAAAAATTGCATGGGGGAATTTTAGCCGACTTATGAAAATTTAATTGTGCCTTGATTACTCTAAAGTATTTGTAAAGTTGACTAAATCAAGTTGCTAAAGTAACTATTCAGTTTTTTACTTCCTTAGCATTTAGAGGTGCTAAGTGGAAGACAAATGCCTTGCTGACAGCACTATTATGTCCGGGGTTAGTATCTCACGTTCTCTTTTCCCTATGCAATTATATGCTTCCTTACACTTCATCTTGGAAAAAAAAAAATCATTGTATACTATAACAAAAAGTAGGAAGGACATGAATGACCATTGTGCTTTGTGTAGTCGCAGCATTCCCTTTCTGTTGTATCTGCATTCTTTTTATTTTTTTGTACATCTTAAGCTTTAGTACAAAGAGATGGCGATGGTGGTGCAGTATTCAATTTTTTTTTTTTTTTGAGACAGGGTCTCACTCTGTCACCCAGGCTGGAGTGCAGTGGCACAATCTCGGTTCACTGCAACCTCTGCCTCCCAGTCTCAAGTGGTCCTCCCACCTCAGCCTCCCTAGTAGCTGGGACTACAGGTGCACACTACCATGCCCAACTAACTTTTGTATTTTCAGTAGAGATGCGGTTTCGCCATGTTGGCCAGGCTGATCTCGAACTCCTGACCTCAGGTGATTCACCTGCCTCGGCCTCCCAAAATGCTGGGATTTACAGACATGAGCCACCACTCCCGGCCAGTATTCAATTTTGATCTTTGTTTTTGAAGCAGATTTCATAAATGTTTATCTCAGTTATACATTTTGCATTCTGTCATGCTAGACTTGCAATTTATGCACGACATTTTGTTACTCTCCTTGTTGCTGCCTTCAGTGATTATTTCTTCCTGTCTCACCTAGTTACTGCAGCGTCGTTAGTGACTGCAGTTTCAAGGTACAGTCATAGTCAAAGTGAGGGTGGGAGTGATGCTGTGCAGTGGCTGTGAGAGTAGCTTATCTAGTGTCATAATTATATAGATGCAGAATCTGTAGCCAAACTACGAACTAAAGAACAACTTGTTCTGGGTCTCACTTGAAGTCAGTAAAAGGGCCAGGCTGTATATAACTCAGTGTCCCCTCTCCTGCATCCTATCCATTCCTCTTCCTGCAATACTTGACTGATAAAGTGCTGAATTGCTTAGGGTTTTGTCTCCAAATTCCTTGATATGTTTTTGTCTTAGTCAACTTGGATTGCCATAACAAAACACCGTAGACGGAGTGGCTTAAAAACAGGATGCTGGCATAGTTGGTTTCTGGTCAGAGCTCTCTTCCTGGCTTGCAGATGGCTGCCTTTATCCCTGTGTCCTCACATGGCAGGGTGGGGGGAGAGAGAGAGAGAGACAGAGAGAGAGAGGGAGAGAGAGAGAGAGAGAGAAGAGAGATAGAGATAGAGCTGTCTCTACTTATAAGGGCACTATCCCATCATAGGGACCTACTGAGGTCTGAAAAGCCCCATCTCCAAGTATAATCACATTGGAGGTTAGGGCTTCAACATATGAATTGGTGCGGGGCTGGGATGTGCACAATTCATTCCATAGCATGTTTCATTCACTCATAGAAAGAAAAAAATTGTCTCCTTGATATGTTCTGAAGGACAGTCTTTTTGTTTTGTTTTTAAGGAAGTAGTAATGAATTATATCTTAATTGTTATGTGGTACTTAACTTACTATTTGTAACAAAATTTCCACGTCCTTAATGATGGAAGTGTATCATAATAGGAAAAGAGGCCCTACACTAAAAATTTTACAGAGTAAATTCAGTTACATGGACATGATGTACTGATTAGTGACAAAATGAGAGTAGATGAATTCATAATCCTTTGTAACTGAGTATAATGCCATCAATGATGCAATTCAGTGATATATTCAGTAGACTGATAATATTTTATCTACATGTGGCTTATTTATCCCTAAACTCCATGGAAATAAGATCATTGAAAGATGAGTAAGCATATGTACAGAAAGAAAAAAACAGGCCATTGATAGAATTGAACATTACAAACTTGCACATTAAATACATGTACCTCAAAATTTTTATTTTTTTTGAGACAGGGTCTCACTGTCACCCAGGCTGAAGAGCAGTGGCCCAACCATGGCTCATTGCAGCCTCGACCTCCTGGGCTCAAGCGGTCTTCCCATCTCAGCCTTCCAAATAGCTGAGACTACAGGTGTGTACCACCTTGCCTGGCTAATTTTTTAAGTTTTTGTGGAGAAAGAGTCTTGCAGTGTTGTCCAGGCTGGTCTTGAACTCCTGGCCTCAAGTGCTCCTCCTGCCTTGGCCTTCCAAAATATTGGGATTACAGACATGACACCACCATGCCTGGCCAGAATTTTTTTTTTTTTTTTTAGATGGTGTCTCGCTCTGTCGCCCAGGCTGGAGTGCAGTGGCACAATCTTGGCTCACTGCAAGCTCCACCTCCTGGGTTGATGCCATTCTCCTGCCTCAGCCTCCCGAGTAGCTGGGACTACAGGCACCCACCACCACGCCCAGCTATTTTTTTTTTTTTGTATTTTCAGTAGAGACGGGGTTTCACCGTGTTAGCCAGGGTGGTCTCGATCTCCTGACCTCGTGATCCACCTGCCTCAGCGTCTCAAAGTGTTGGGATTACAGGTGTGAGCCACCGCGCCCAGCCTTTTTTTTAAAATTATACTTCTGACTTACTTAAAATGAGCCTAATGCACCCACCACCCCCAATCTTGTAGAGCCATCTGCTTTTTCTATAACTTTTGAAGGGAATTAGAATGGGTCGTCTTTCCTGAGGTGATTTTTTTTTTTTTTTTTTTTTTTGAGACGGAGTCTTGTTCTGTCGCCCAGGCTGGAGTGCAATGTCGCAATCTCGGCTAACTGCAACATCCGCCTCCCAGGTTCAAGTGATTCTTCTGCCTCAGCCTCCCGAGTAGCTGGGATTACAGGCATGTGCCACCACGCCTGGCTAATTTTTGTGTTTTTAGTAGAGGCAGGGTTTAGCCATGTTGGCCAGGCTGGTCTTGAACTCCTGACCTCAGGTGATCCACCCACCTTGGCCTCCCAAAGTGCTGGGATTACAGGCGTGAGCCACTGCGCCCAGCCGAGGTGAACTTTTTAATATATTTATGTAAGTAACTGATGTCCTTGACATTTTTTCAAACGTTTATTGCTTCAAATTCAAGACTCAGATGAATCCATAACTGAATACGTTTGACAACAAAAGTGCCATTGTGCGAAAGTCATTATACTGGATTGTAATACAAAGAATATCACATGCAAGAATCAATCAGTAAACCATCTACTACTCTCTGCATTATTTATTCAACATCCTTATTGTGGGTTTTGCGGTTTTGTTTTGTTTTTATTTTTACTATATTTAAAGCACAATGCAAAGCACTGTGGAGGAAAGAAGTATAAATTGCTCCTGAAACTTTGCTTTCAAATAATTCATAATCTAGTGGGTTGTTGGGGCAGGAACAGGAGATAAGACATGTAAAATAGTAATAATTTTATTTCATAGTAATTAGGAAGAGTTATCAGACAGTATGTTTAAAATGATGTAGAGTTTCAGGGGAGGAAAAGGTAGTTTCCACTTTGGGGCTCCTGGGAAGGCTTTCTGGAGGTAATGATGCTTAATTTATGATTTGAAAGATACTTAGAACTTGGCTGCTTCTGTGCTTGATTCTGTTCCCTTCCATTTCTTTCACAGTCTTGTTCAATTCATTACTGCTCCTTTCTTGCATATCTACTTTATCTCTCCACTGAGGCCCCTTTTTTCTGCTTATAAATATATTCGGCTCTTCCCTTTCTACCCCTTGGGCCCACCACTTACGCTTTCTAGACATTTTTTTGTAAATTTAAAAATGATTATATATTTTATTCTTGAGATAATGTTGCAGTTATCACATAATGCAAAGAACCACACGCAGACATGCTATTTAAATATATATTTATTTCAAAAATTCATTCTTTTTGGTGTACGATGCTTTGAGTTTTGACAAATGCGTAGAGTCGTGGAAGCACTACCACAATCCAGATGCTGAAAGATTCCATCAGTCTAAAACTTCCCTCGTGCTATCCCTTTGTAGTCAACCCCTTCCCCAACCTGAAACCCTGGCTGCTATGAGTCTGTTCTCGACCCCTGGAGTTTTGCCTTTTTTAGTATGTCATATAAATAAGCCATAGAGTGAGTCAAATAGAGCCCTTTGGATCTGGTTTATTTCACTTCTTAATTTTTAATTACTGAGTAGTATTCCATTGTATGGGATGTGCCACAGTTTATGTATTCACCAGATGAAGAACATTTAGGTTATTTCCAGTTTTTGATGGTTATGAATAAATAAGCAGTTTTTGATGGTTATTTTCAGTTTTTGATGGTTTTTGATGGCTATGCCATAACTGCTGTCAAACATTCATAAAACAGGTTGTTATGTGAACGTAAGTTTTCATTTCTCTTGGGCAAATACTTAGTGGAATTGCTAGGTCATATGAAAAGTATGTTTGACTTTATAAGAAATTGCCTAGGCCGAGTGTGGTGGCTCATGCCTGTAATCCCAGCACTTTGGGAGGCCGAGGAGGGTGGATCACCTGAGGTCAGGAGTTCCAGACCAGCCTGGCCAACATGGTGAAACCCTGTCTCTACTAAAAATACAAAAACTAGCTGGGCGTGATGACTTGTGCCTGTAATCCCAGCTACTCGGGAGGCTGTGGCAGGAGAATCGCTTGAATCCAAGAGGCAGAGGTTGCAGTGAACTGAGATCGTGCCACTGTGATAAGAGCAAAACTCTATCTAAAAAAAAAAAAAAAAAAGAAACAAACTGTCCGATTGTTTTTCAAAGTGGTTGTTACCGTTTTACATTTCTACCAGCAATGTATGAGAATGCTAGTTTTGTTCACATCATTGTCAGCACTTCGTATTGTCAGCTTTCTCTTTTACTCATTCAAATAAGTGTGTACTGGTATTTCATTGTGGTTTGAATTTGTATTTCTGTAATGACTAATGATGCTTAACATCTTTGCATGTTTTTATTTGCTATCCATGTCTCTTCTTTGGTGAAGTGTCTGTTCAAATCTTTTGCTTGTTTTTTAATTGGGTAGTTTGTTTTCTTATTGAGTTTTGAGAGTTCTTTATATATTCTAGACAAAAGTCCTTTGTGAGATATGTGATTTAAAATATTTTCTCAGTGCTTATCTTCTTAATATCTTAACAGGGTCTTTTGCAGAATGAAAGGATTTGATTTGGATGAGTCCTGTTTATCAATTTTTTTCATTTATGGGTATGCTTTCTGTATTGTATTTAAGAACGCTGCCTAATCCAAGATCACAAAATTTTCTTCTGTTTTCTTGTAAAAGATGCATAGTTTTATGTTTTATGTCTAGGCCTCTGATCCATTTTGACTTAATTATTGGATATATGTGAGTTGTGGCTCAAAGTTTTTTTTAATTTTGTTTATGGGTGCCCTGTGGTTTCAGTACTAATTGTAGAAAAGACTGTTCTTTTTCCATTGAATTACCTTGGCAACATTGTCAAAATCAATTGCCCATGTATGTTTGGCCAGTTTCTGCACTCTGTTCTGTTACATTGATCTATGTGTCTATCAGCTCACAAATATCAGACTGTCTTGATTGCTGAATTTTTTTTTTTTTTTTTGAGACAGAGTCTCACTCTGTCACCCAGGCTGGAGTGCAGTGCCATGATCTCAGCTCACTGCAACCTCCACCTCCCGGATTCAAGCGATTCTCCTGCCTCAGCCTCCCGAGTAGCTGGGATTACAGGTGCCCACTACTACACCTGGCTAATTTTTGTATTTTTAGTAGAGGCAAGATTTCACCATGTTGTCCAAACTGGTCTCAAACTCCTGACCTCAAGTGATCCGCCCGCCTCGGCCTCCCAAAGTGCTGGGATTACAGGTGTGAGCCACTGCGCCCAGACTGATTACTAAATTTTTGTAACAAAATTTGAAATTAGGTGGTGTGAGTCCTCTAACTTTGTTGATTTTTCTTTAAGATTGTTTTGGCTATTCTTGTTTATTTTCCTTTCCATATAAATTTTAGCATCAGCTTATTAATATGTACAAAAAGTTCTGCTGGGATTTTGATTATGATTGCATTGAATCTATAGATCAATTTGTGGACTATTGATAGCTTCATAATATGAAGTCTTCCAATCAATGAGTACAGTATTTCTCTCCATTTAATTAGGTCCTCTTTAGTGTCTTTCATCAGTGTTTTGTAGCTCCAGCACATATTTTGTTAGATTAATACCCACATATTTTTTTCTTCCTTTTCATTCTTTTGTTTTTTTGGTGCTATAAGTGGTATTTTACAAAATGAATTCCAGTTATTCATTGCAGGCATATAGAAATATAATTGATTTCAACATATTGCCCTTGTATCTTCTCACCTTGCTAAACTCACTGATTTGTTCTAGGAGCTTTATTGTAGAGTCTTTGTGATTTTCTGTGTATGTAATTATGTCAGCTGTGAATGGAGACAGTTGTATTTCATCCTTTCCAAGCTGGATGCCTTTGTTGATGTTGCCATATAGCACTGGGTAGACCTCCAGTATTATATTGAAAAGTGGTAAGAATGGATATCTTTGCCTTGTTCCTGATCTCAGAGGGAAAGCATCTAGTCTTTTACGACTAAGTATGTTAGCTGAGGGTTTTTCATATATGAACTCTGTCAGGTTGAGGATGTTTCTTTCTATTCTTCCTTTGCTGAGAACTTTTTATCAGTAATAGATTTTGGATTTTGTCAGATGCTTTTTCTGCATTTATTGAGATGATCATATGGTTTTCTTTTTTTTAGTTTATTAATATGGTGAATTACATTGATTTGATTTCTATTTTTGACCAGTTGTGCCTTCCCAGGATTAATTTCAATGCTTGTTATCATTAAATTTTCAAGAAAACTCTAAAGTTAATATTACAAGAAGTGGTACTTGAAGGTATGTAATATAATACAAATACAAGTAAAATGCTCTGAGTAGCCTTGTCATGGTTTTTATTCTTTTTATATATGGCTAGATTCGGTTTGCTAATGCACATAGTCCCTGACTTATGATGGTTTGACTTATGATTTTTCGATATTATGATGCTGTGAAAGTAATATGCTTACAGTAGAAATTGTGAAAGCAATATGCTTACAGTAGAAATTGTACTTTGAGTTTTGAATTTTGATCTTTTCCTGGGCTAGCAATAAGCTGTATGATATTCTCTTGTAATGCTGGGCAATAGCAGCGAGCTGCGGCTTCCAGTCTGCCACACAACATGAGGGCAAGCAACAGACACTCTACAGTGAACTGTGTTGCTAACATTTTTGGATGTTGTGTTTTTTGTTTTTGCATCCCATCATGTCTACAAAATGCCCATGCTAGTCAAAGCTATGATGTTTGATAGGTTAGGTGTATTAGATGCATTTTCAACTTACGATATTTTCAACTTACAGTGGGTTTACTGGGATGTAACACAGTTGTAAATTAAGGAACATCTGTATTTGTTGAGGACACCTGACCTGTCCTCTAAATTTCTCATTTTTTTCCTCTTGTAATTTTTATCTCTGTATTTCTGCTCTACTTTATAGATTTTGAATTTTTATATTGATTTTTGTCATTATTGCCATTAGATTTTAGCTCCCTAGAGCTCTTTTTTAATCTCCTTCCTTCCCTCCTTCCCTCCTTCCCTCCTTCCTTCCTTCCTTCCTTCCTTCCTTCCTTCCTTCCTTCCTTCCTTCCTCTCTCTCTTTCTTTCTTTCTTCTTTTTCTTTTTTTTTTTGAGAGTCTGGCCCCATCAACCAGGCTGGAGTGCAGTGTTGTGATTTGTGCTCACTGAAACCTCCACCTTCCAGGTTGAAGCTATTCTTGTGCCTCAGTCTCCGGAGTAGCTGGGATTACAGGCTTGTGCCACCATGCCTGGCTAAGTTTTTTGTATTTTTAATAGAGACAGGGTCTCACTATGTTGCCCAGGCTGATCTCGAACTCTTGGCCTCCAGTGATCTGCCCACCTCGGCCTCCCAAAGTGCTGGGATTACAGGCATGAGCCACTGCGCCTGGCCTTGTTTTCTTAATGTTCCTTTAAAAAAGCATCTTGTCAGTGTTCCATGAGTGTAGTATCATATTATACCTCTCTTGGGTTACTAATGATAAGTATTTTTTCTCAATGAATAGTATCATTTTCTTCAGACTGACTTTCCCTTTTTGTTTTCATTTCTATCTTTCATGCTACAGGATTTCCTCAAAGGTCTGGCAATGGCTGGTTATATGTACGCATATGATGAAAAGTGTGAGAATAAAATACTAAATGAAAATACTAAATGAATGTTATGAGTGTGTAGGGAAGCTTATAGAATTGGCGCTTCACTGTTTGCTGATCTAGGTGTACTGTTTTTAGTGGACCCTCTTCTGTCAATATCTTTAGGGTTTAAGCCTTGAGATAGTAACTTTTCCCAGAGAAAACCTGGAAATTCTGATCTCCTGGCTGAAGGGTTAATGTCTGGCTGTCAGCATTCTGGGAGGTGTCTAGGGGAAAGGAGCCAAGTGTCTTGACATGTGCCATGTAGCTGCATATATACCCAAGCCCTTAATCATGTCTGATGTTCTCCAACCTGGAGAATAAACCTCCAGATATATGCTATAGTTAGAGTGAGGGAGATGATGGATATATCTACTTCTCAAAAAGCTTTCACAAAATTCTCTTCCATTAGTCACCCCACCACACTTAACTCACAGATTACCTGTTGCTGCCAGTTTCTGAGCTTTTTGTGGATTCTGTAGTATAAATTGGGTTGGCTCTCAGCTTTCTCCACTGCCTGCAATAGTTTCTGGCTTCCTTTTATTGTTTCCTGCTATCTGCTCTCCTGTTCTCCCTGTCTGAAGATTGTTTAAAAAAACACTTTTTATAATTTTCCTGTGGTTTCAGAAGAAAGATTAAAGATATGTGTATTCAGTCAGCCATGTTAGCCTAGAATTCTCTATTTTCATGTTTATTTTTTCCACCTATAATAATAAATTGTTGTGATAGAACATTTAGAGATGCAGAAAGAGCATAAAGATTAAAATAATAATCCCCTACAGTCCCATCTTTTTGACTGAACTGGTGTTGACCTTCTGTTATGTTTCCAGTCTTTTTTTCTGTGCGTGTAAATTATGATGCCACATAATGTATACATTTTTTTCCAGCTTTATTCACTTAATGTGTCGTTAAATGTTAAGTCTCAATATTTTAGGTAATCATTGGAAATTCTCTGATGCCATTTTTAACAACCACAGGTATTCTCTTGTATTGATGATAATAATTCACCCTTATATAGTACTTAACTATATGTCAGATATTGTTCCAAATGCTATGCAAATACTAACATATTTAATCTTCCCATCAACACTATGAGGTAGATATTATTGTTGTTATCCCATTTTGCAGATGAGGAAATAAGGCACAGAGTAGTATAGTAACTTGCCCATGGTCATTCAGCTAGTAAGTGGTAGAGTCAGAATTCAGATTCGGCTGGGCGTGGTGGCTCACACCTGTAATCCCAGCAGTTTGGTAGGCCGAGGTGGGTGGATCAGGGATTGAGCCCAGAAGTTTCAAACCAGCCTGGGCAACGTGGCAAAACCCTGTTTTTACAAAAAATACAAAAAAATTAGCCGAGTGTGGTGGCATGCGCCTATAGTCTCAGCTACTTGAGAGGCTGAGGCAAGACAGTCGCTTGAGCACAGGATGGGGAGGTTGCAGTGAGCTGAGACTGCGCCACTGCACTCCAGCCTGTGCGTAAGAGTGAGACCTTGTCTCAAATAAATAAATAAGAATTCAAATTTAAGCAGTCTGGCTTGAGTGTCTATTCTCTTAATCATGATACCAGACAATGCTTCTATATTTGTGCAATCATTTATTTTTTATGCATTGTTAGAAAATTTAGGTTGTTTGTATTTTACATTAATTATAGATTATGCGTGGACAAGTGTCTTTTTGTGTCAGGTTTTGTGCACTTCAGTTTATTTGCTATTGTCCTTCTACATCCTTTCATGTTCCTGTCCCATATCTCTTCCTTTCTAATCATCTCTCTTTATTTTTATGACCCATTCCTCTTAATACTGGCAGTTTGGATCTCTCTTTTGAAAAGCATTCCTGAAAGTTGACAGATGACCTTTCTTCTTGTCAAATTCATTGCATTCATTCCTAGTCTCCTTGATCAGTCTGTAACACTTGACAGACTATTAGTTACACTCATTTTTTTTTCTTTTGAGATGGAGTTTTGCTCTTGTTGCCCAGGCTGGAGTGCAATGGTGGGATTTTGGTTCACTGCAATCTCCGCCTCTCAGGTTCAAGAGATTCTCCTGCCTCAGTCTCCCGAGTAGCTGGGATTACAGGCATGCGCCACCACGCCCGGCTAATTTTGTATTTTTAGTAGAGATGAGGTTTCACCATGTTGATCAGGCTGGTCTTGAACTCCTGACCTCAGGTGATCTGCCTGCCTCGGCTTCCCAAAGTGCTGGGATTATAGGCGTGAGCCACCGTGCCTGGCCAGCTACACTTATCTTTATGAAAAGTTCTTCTCTTTCACTATTCTTGTCATTGTAGGCTTCTAGTTCTTTCACCTCTTTTTTCCTTCTCTTAACTCCCTTCTGTCATCCTCCTATCAAATGTGAACCTTCTTCCTAGTTATATCCTCACCTGTGGGTTCTTCTTTCCTTCCTCTCCCTCTCTTTCTCCTTCTCTTCCTCCACCTTCTTCCTCTCTCCTCTTCCTCTTTTTCTTGATTTCTGCATTCTCTCTCCTTGAGTGATGGCATCCATTTTCATAATCAGTTTCAAGTACTATGTCTTTATAACTGAATTTATTTATTTCTATTTGTCAAACAAGTTCTCTCACATGAAGTTCTTGTTTTTGTTTATATTATCACCACTGTTTTGGTCACGTAGGCTAAAAACCGTATTCATTCTTAGTTTTACCCTTACTCTTTATTCTTCTAAAACATTTATATATCATTCACATACCATAAAATTCACCCTTGAAAAGCCTACAATTCACTGGTTTTCAGTATAGTCACAAAGTTATGAAACTGTCACCAGTATCCTAATTCCAGAACATTTCATGACCCTCAAAAGAAACCCTGTTCATGAGAACACATGGACACAGGAAAAGGAACAACACACACTTGGGCCTGTTGGGGGATGGGGTTGGGGGAGGGAGAGCATTAGGAAAAATAGCTAATGCATGCTGGGTTTAATACCTAGGTGATGGGCTGATAGGTGCATCAAACCACCATGGCACATGTTTACTTATGTAACAAACCTGCACATATACCCTGGAACTTTAAATAAAAATAAAAAAAGAAACCCTGTTCTTATTAGCAGACACTCCCCGTTTTCCCATCCCCTTGGCTGTGAATTTACTAATCTATTTTCTATCTCTATGGACTTGCCTATTCTGGGCACTTAATATAAATGAATCATGAAGCATGTGATATTTTGTGTCTGACTTCTTTCACTTAGGTAATGTTTTCAAAGTTCATTCATATTGTAGCATGTATCAGTACTTCATTCCTTTTTATGATTGAATAATATTCCTTTGTTTGGATGTACCACCTTTTGTTTGATGGACATCTGGGCTATTTTTACCTTTTGGATATTTTGAATTATACTGCTATAAACATTTTTTTTTTTGAGACGGAATCTCGCTCTGTTGCCTAGGCTGGAGTGCTGTGGTGCAACCTCTGCCTCCTGGGTTCAAGTGATTCTCCTGCCTCAGCCTCCTGAATAGCTGGGACTATAGGCACATGCCATCATGTCTGGCTAATTTTTGTATTTTTAGTAGAGACAGGGTTCACTGTGTTGGCCAGGCTGGTCTCAAACTCCTGACCTTGTGATCTGCCCACCTTGTCCTCTCAAAGTGCTGGTGTTACAGGAGTGAGCCACCGCGCCCAGCCTATAAACATTTTTGTACAATGTTTTGAGTGAATATATGCTTTCAGTTCTACTGTATGTATACCTATGAGTGAAATCACTGGGTCATATGGTAGCTTTATGTTTATTATTTTGAGAAACTGTCAGCCTGTTTTCAAACCTGGCTGCACCATTTACATCCCTATCAGTAATGTATTAGGGTTCCAGTTTCTTCGTACCCTCACCAACACTTGTTACTATCCTTTCTTTTATTTCTTTCTTTTTTTTATTATAGCCACCTAGTGGGTGTGAAGTGTTATTTTAGTTTTTTAAAAAATTTAGAAATTTATTCTGTTTAATCCACAAGCTTTATATAGCTTTAGTTTAAAAAAAAAAAACGAAAAAACATCAAAACAAAAACAGTGAAACCAAGACACTATTCCAAAGTCTGGACCCTTCCAGCCTTCCAAATACAAGAGCTCTGAAAGTTGTATATACCGATTGGAAGAACAAGAGAAAAATATGAACAGAGCCATGACATTTCATTAAACAAAATTGTATGTAACTGAAGGATCCTTCCTGGGACTAGCTCATTGCCTTTACAAAAGATAAAACAAAAACAGAAAACCAGAAGAATAAAATGAGAGTCCAGTGTTCCAAATCAACTAGATACACATCAATATAAATCCACAGTGTCCTGGCAAACAGCATGCTTTCATTTTCTGTCTCATCCTAGAGCTCGAATCCTGATTCATCTCAGCAGAGACTCCACAGGCAACAGGAAAGATTATGGCATTGAAATACTCATTTATACTTTTATGGTAGTTCAAAATGGTGGTCTTATTTCTGGGCAAGCTTACAGACCATACAAGGTCAGAAGCATAACTTAAACGGGTGCTAAGACTCAAATGAAAAAAATGTAAAGAAAAAGAAAAACAGAAAACCAAAACCAAACCAAACAAAAAAAAAACCCTCTGGGAATAGCCAGGGCATTTAAAGGAACCATAAAAATGCTAATAGTATTTAAACCTCCCTTTTTAAAAAGGGGATTTTTTTTGGCTTAAAATATTTCACTCTGAATGAATTATGTCAACTGTCAATGAAAGAATGTTGCTAATACAGTGTGGACAACTTTTGCAATGTAAATCCATGCCCCTTGTTTTTACATGGTGAACTTCAACCTAGCAATTATTACAACAAATGTTAGAGTCTAAAGCTCAAACACATTTTAGCAATTTTGAAATTGAACTGCCTACAAACCAAATAAAATTTACATCACAACAAACATTTCCGCCTGACTGTGGGGACACTTGGGCCTTCCTCATTGATCTCAGGACCTTTTCACACAGGTGCTTTTCTTTTTTATTTTTATTTTTCGGAGACGGAGTCTCACTCTTGCCCAGGCTGGAGGGCAGTGGCGCGATCTCAGCTTACTGCAACCTCCGCCTCCTGGATTCACACCATTCTCCTGCCTCAGCCTCCCAAGTAGCTGGGACTACAGGTGCCCGCCACCACGCCTGGCTAATTTTTTTGTATTTTTAGTAGAGATGGGGCTTCACTGTGTTAGCCAGGATGGTGTCGATCTCCTGACCTCGTGATCCACCCGCCTCGGCCTCCCAAAGTACTGGGATTACAGGCATGAGCCACCGTGCCTGGCCAACGCAGGTGCTTTTCTAAGTCATGAAGGTTATCTTCAGCTTCACTTTCAGTATCCTCCTTCGGCTCTGGCGCTGCCACTGGTTCTTCCTGTGATAATGTGGTTGTGGCAGCTGCAGTGGCTGCAGGGGTCGCAGTGGCTGCAGCCACAGCCTTTTCCTTGTGTTTTTTGTGCTGCTTGTGCTTATCCTTTTGGTGTTTCTTGTCCTTTTTTTTTTAAATATATGATGCAATTTTATTACCATTTTTTCTATATAAGTGACACAAAATTTAGACCGATAAAAACAATTTCTTCCATGAAATTTCAACAGCTGAGCTGTGTTGGGAAGAGCTAAACTGCTTGATGTCGGAGTTTTTTTTTTTTAATTATTTAAGTTCTAGGGTACATGTGCACAACGTGCAGATTTGTTACATATGTATACATGTGCCATGTTGGTGTGCTGCACCCATTAACTCGTCATTTACATTAGGTATATCTCCTAATGCTATCCCTCCCCCCTCCCCCCACCCCACAACAGGCCCTGGTGTGTGATGTTCCCCACCCTGTGTCCAAGTGTTCTCATTGTTCAATTCCCACCTATGAGTGAGAACATGCGGTGTTTGGTTTTTTGTCCTTGCGATAGTTTGCTGAGAATTATGGTTTCCAGCTTCATCCATGTCCCTGCAAAGGACATGAACTCATCATTTTTTATGGCTGCATAGTATTCCATGGTGTATATGTGCCACATTTTCTTAATCTAGCCTATCACTGTTGGACATTTGGGTTGGTTCCAGGTTTTTGCTATTGTGAATAGTGCTGCAATAAACATACGTGTGCATGTGTTTTTATAGCAGCATGATATATAATCCTTTGGGTATATACCCAGTAATGGGATGGCTGGGTCAAATGGTATTTCTAGATCCCTGAGGAATCGCCACACTGTCTTCCACAATGGTTGAACTAGTTTATAGTCCCACCAACAGTGTAAAAGTGTTCCTATTTCTCCACATCCTCTCCAGCACCTGTTGTTTCCTGACTTTTTAATGATTGCCATTCTAACTGGTGTGAGATGGTATCTCATTGTGGTTTTGATTTGCATTTCTCTGATGGCCAGTGGTGATGAGCATTTTTTCATGTGTCTGTTGGCTGCATAAATGTCTTCTTTTGAGAAGTGTCTGTTCATATCCTTCGCCCACTTGTTGATGGGGTTGTTTTTTTTTTTTTTTTTTTTTTTGAAATTTGTTTGAATTCTTTGTAGATTCTGGCTATTAGCCCTCTGTCAGACGAATAGATTGCAAAAATTTTCTCCCATTCTGTAGGTTGCCTGTCACACTGATGGTAGTTTCTTTTGCTGTGCAGAAGCTCTTTAGTTGAATTAGATCCCATTTGTCAATTTTGGCTTTTGTTGCCATTGCTTTTGGTGTTTTAGACATGAAGTCCTTGCCCATGCCTATGTCCTGAATGGTATTGCCTAGGTTTTCTTCTAGGGTTTTTATGGTTTTAGGTCTAACATTTAAGTGTTTAATCCATCTTGAATTAATTTTTGTATAAGGTGTAAGGAAGGGATCCAGTTTCAGCTTTCTACATATGGCTAGCCAGTTTTCCCAGCACCATTTATTAAATAGGGAATCTTTTCCCCATTTCTTATTTTTGTCAGGTTTGTCAAAGATCAGATAGTTGTAGATGTGTGGTTTTATTTCTGAGGTCTCTGTTCTGTTCCATTGGTCTATATCTCTGTTTTGGTACCAGTACCATGCTGTTTTGGTTACTGTATCCTTGTAGTATAGTTTGAAGTCAGGTAGCGTGATGCCTCCAACTTTGTCCTTTTGGCTTAGGACTGACTTGGCAATGTGGGCTCTTTTTTGGTTCCATATGAACTTTAAAGTAGTTTTTTCCAATTCTGTGAAGAAAGTCATTGGTAGCTTGATGGGGATGGCATTGAATCTATAAATTACCTTGGGCGGTATGGCCATTTTCACGATATTGATTCTTCCTATCCATGAGCATGGAATGTTCTTCCATTTGTTTGTATCCTGTTTTATTTCATTGAGCAGTGGTTTGTAGTTCTCCTTGAAGAAGTCCTTCACATCCCTTGTAAGTTGGATTCCTAGGTATTTTATTCTCTTTGAAGCAATTGTGAATGGGAGTTCACTCATGATTTGGCTCTCTGTCTGTTATTGGTGTATAAGAATGCTTGTGATTTTTGCACATTGATTTTGTATCCTGAGACTTTGCTGAAGTTGCTTATCAGTTTAAGGAAATTTTGGGCTGAGATAATGGGGTTTTCTAGATATACAATCATGTCATCTGCAAAGAGGGACAATTTGACTTCCTCTTTTCCTAATTGAATACCCTTTATTTCTTTCTCCTGCCTGATTGCCCCGGCCAGAACTTCCAACACTATGTTGAATAGGAATGGTGAGAGAGGGCATCCCTGTCTTCTGCCAGTTTTCAAAGGGAATGCTTCCAGTTTTTGCCCATTCAGTATGATATTGGCTGTGGGTATGTCATAGATAGGTCTTATTATTTTGAGATACGTCCCATCAATACCTAATTTATTGAGAGTTTTTAGCATGAAGGGTTGTTGAATTTTTCAAAGGCCTTTTCTGCATCTACTGAGATAATCATGTGGTTTTTGTCGTTGGTTCTGTTTATATGCTGGATTACGTTTATTGATTTGCATATGTTGAACCAGCCTTGCATTCCAGGGGTGAAGCCCACTTGATCATGGTGGATAAGCTTTTTGATGTGCTGCTGGATTCGGTTTGCCAGTATTGAGGATTTTTGCATCAATGTTCATCAGGGATATTGGTCTAAAATTCTCTTTTTTTGTTGTGTCTCTGCCAGGCTTTGGTATCAGGATGATGCTGGCCTCATAAAATGAGTTAGGGGAGGATTCCCTCTTTTTCTATTGATTGGAATAGTTTCAGAAGGAATGGTACCAGCTCCTCCTTGTACCTCTGTACCTCTGGTAGAATTCGGCTGTGAATCTGTCTGGTCCTGGACTTTTTTTGGTTGGTAATCTATTAATTATTGCCTCAATTTCAGAGCCTGTTATTGGTCTATTCAGAGATTCAACTTCTTCCTGGTTTAGTCTTGGGAGAGTGTATGTGTCAAAGAATTTATCCATTTCTTCTAGTTTTTCTAGTTTATTTGCATAGAGGTGTTTATAGTATTCTCTGATGGTAGTTTGTATTTCTGTGGGATCAGTGGTAATATCCCCTTTATCATTTTTTATTGCATCTATTTGATTCTTCTCTCTTTTCTTATTTGTTAGTCTTGCTAGCGGTCTATCAATTTTGTTGATCTTTTCAAAAAACCAGCTCCTGGATTCATTGATTTTTTGAAGGGTTTTTTGTGTCTCTATCTCCTTCAGTTCTGCTGTGATCTTAGTTATTTCTTGCCTTCTGCTGGCTTTTGAATGTGTTTGCTCTTGCTTCTCTAGTTCTTTTAATTGTGATGTTAGGGTGTCAATTTTAGATCTTTCCTGCTTTCTCTTGTGGGCATTTAGTGCTACAAATGTCCCTCTACACACTGCTTTAAATGTGTCCCAGGGGTTCTGGTATGTTGTGTCTTTGTTCTTGTTGGTTTCAAAGAACATCTTTATTTCTGCCTTCATTTCATTATGTACCCAGTAGTCTTTCAGGAGCAGGTTGTTCAGTTTCCATGTAGTTGTGTGGTTTTGAGTGAGTTTCTTAATCCTGAGTTCTAGTTTGATTGCACTGTAGTCTGAGAGACAGTTTGTTATAATTTCTGTTCTTTTACATTTGCTGAGGAGTGCTTTCCAACTATGTGGTCAGTTTTGGAGTAAGTGTGATGTGGTGCTGGGAAGAATGTATATTCTGTTGATTTGGGGTGGAGAGTTCTGTATATGTCTATTAGGTCTGCTTGGTGCAGAGCTGAGTTCAATTCCTGGGTATCCTTGTTAACTTTCTGTCTCATTGATCTGTCTAATGTTGACAGTGGGGTGTTAAAGTCTCCCATTATTATTGTGTAGGAGTTTAAGTCTCTTTGTAGGTCTCTGAGGACTTGCTTTATGAATCTGGGTGCTCCTGTATTGGGTGCATATATATTTAAGATAGTTAGCTCTTCTTGTCAAATTGATCCCTTTACCATTATGTAATGGCCTTCTTTGTCTCTTTTGATCTTTGTTGGTTTAACGTCTGTTTTATCAGAGACTAGGATTGCAACCCCTGCCTTTTTTAATTTTCCATTTGCTTGACCTTCCTCCATCCCTTTATGTTGAGCCTATATGTGTCTCTGCACGTGAGATGGGTTTCCTGGATACAGCACACTGATGGGTCTTGACTCTTTATCCAATTTGCCAGTCTGTGTCTTTTAATTGGGGCATTTAGCCCATTTACATTTAAGGTTAATATTGTTATGGGTGAATTTGATCCTGTCATTATGATGTTAGCTGGTTATTTTGCTCGTTAGTTGATGCAGTTTCTTCCTAGCCTCGATGCTCTTTACAATTTGGCATGATTTTGCAGTGGCTGGTACTGGTTGTTCCTTTCCATGTTTAATGCATCCTTCAGAAGCTCTTTTACGGCAGGCCTGGTGGTCACAAAATCCCTCATCATTTGCTTGTCTGTAAAGTATTTTATTTCTCCTTCTCTTATGAATCTTAGTTTGGCTGGATATGAAATTCTGGGTTGAAGATTCTTTTCTTTAAGAATGTTGAATATTGACCCCCACTCTCTTCTGGCTTGTAGAGTTTCTGCCGAGAGATGCTCTGTTAGTCTGATGGGCTTCCCTTTGTGGGTAACCTGACCTTTCTCTCTGGCTGCCGTTAACATTTTTTCCTTCATTTCAACTTTGGTGAATTTGACAATCATGTGTCTTGGAGTTGCTCTTCTCGAGGAGTATCTTTGTGGTGTTCTCTGTATTTCCTGAATTTGAATGTTTGCCTGCCTTGCTAGGTTGGGAAAGTTCTCCTGTATAATATCCTGCAGAGTGTTTTCCAACTTGGTTCCATTCTCCCCGTCACTTTCAGGTACACCAATCAGATGTAGATTTGGTCTTTTCACAGAGTCCCATATTTCTTGGAGGCTTTCTTTGTTTCTTTTTATTCTTTTTTCTCTAAATTTCTCTTCTCTCTTCATTTCATTCATTTGATCTTCCATCACTGATACCCTTTCTTCCAGTTGATTGAATCGACTACTGAGGCATGTGCCTTTGTCACGTAGCTCTTGTGCCCTGGTTTTCAGCTCCATCTGGTCCTTTAAGGACTTCTCTGAATTGGTTATTCTAGTTAGCCATTCGTCTAGTCTTTTTTTAAGATTTTTAACTTCTTTGCCATGGGTTTGAACTTCCTCCTTTAGCTCAAAGAAGTTTGATCATCTGTAGCCTTCTTCTCTCAACTTGCCGAAGTCATTCTCTTTCCACCTTTGTTCCGTTGCTGGTGAGGAGCTGTATTCCTTTGGAGGAGGAGAGGTGCTCTGATTTTTAGAATTTTCAGTTTTTCTGCTCTGTTTTTTCCCCATCTTTGTGGTTTTTATCTACCTTTGGTCTTTGATGATGGTGACGTACAGATGGGGTTTTGGTGAGGATGTCCTTTCTGTTTGTTAGTTTTCCTTCTAACAGTCAGGGTCCTCAGCTGCAGGTCTGTTGGAGTTTGCTGGAGGTCTACTCCAGACCCTGTTTGCCTGGGTATCAGCAGCGGAGGCTGCAGAACAGCGAATATTGCTGAACAGCAAATGTTGCTGCCTGATCGTTCCTCTGGAAGTTTTGTCTCAGAGGGGTACCCGACTGTGTGAGGTGTCAATCTGCCCCTACTGGGGGGTGCCTCCCAGTTAGGCTACTGGGGGGTCAGGGACCCACTTGAGGAGGCAGTCTGTCCATTCTCAGATCTCCAGCTGCATGCCGGGAGAACCACTACTCTCTTCCAAGCTGTCAGACAGGGACATTTAAGCCTTCAGAGGTTTCTGCTGCCTTTTGTTTGGCTATGCCCTGCCCCCAGAGGTGGAGTCTACAGAGGCAGGCAGGCCTCCTTGAGCTGTGGTAGGCTCCACTGAGTTCGAGCTTCCTGGCCGCTTTGTTTACCTACTCAAGCCTCAGTAATGGCGGGTACCCCTCCCCCAGCGTTGCTGCCGCATTGCAGTTCGATCTCAGACTGCTGTGCTAGCAATGAGTGAGGCTCCATGGACGTAGGACCCTCCGAGCCAGGTGCGGGATATAATTTCCTGGTGTGCCGTTTGCTAAGACTGTCAGAAAAGTGCAGTATTAGGGTGGGAGTGACCCGATTTTCCAGGTGCCACTTGTCCCCCCTTCCCTTGGCTAGGAAAGGAAATTCCCTGACCCCTTGTGCTTCCCGGATGAGGCGATGCCTTGCCCTGCTTCGGCTCACACTCGGTGCACTGCACCCACTATCCTGCACCCACTGTCTGACAATCCGCAGTGAGAGGAACCTGGTACCTCAGTTGGAAATGCAGAAATCACCCGTCTTCTGTGTCGCTCACGCTGGGAGCTGTAGACTGGAGCTGTTCTTATTTGGCCATCTTGGAACCACCCCCCTCTTGTCCTTTTTCTTCTTTTTTTTCCCACCTCCTTCTTGATCTGGCTTTCTTGGCGGTGATGCTCTTGGTGTTGGGCTTTTGGCCTTTTTGACTGGTACAGCTGGTGTCCAGTTTGTAGATGGTGACTGAGACTGGATGGGGGATGGAGGTGCTGGGGGCTTTTAAGCTGCTGGCTCTGGAGACCTGGAGACAGATCAGGATGATGAGACCCTCATTATAGACTGTGGGCTTGGTGAAGCAGCCTTTTTTGTTTTTTTAGGTTCCAGAGTCCTGGAGACTCCCCTAAAGGGCCTAGTATTTGGAGACAGGGACTGCCTTCTTTGGGGTGATGACGACCCTGCTCTTCAAACAAGTGGAGGACTTGAGGTCTGAGGAGCTCGAGGCCGTGGTGAGGGTGAATGTCATTTGTTTGGTTGTGGTGATCGGGCCTCGTGGGTAGAGCGGCTTGGGGAAGACCCTTTCCTATGCTTGGATGATAATGAAGGTGAACGTCTCTTGGTGACTGAGGAGCTTCTTTGTTTGGGAGGTGGAGAATGGGAGACCCAATGCTTGGGTGGTGGAGATGGTAATGCTCTTTGTTCAGGAAGGGGAGGAGAAGAAGCCATTCTTCTCTTTGGAGGTGGAGAAGGAGAGTATCTCCTCTGTATTGGAGGAGAGTATCTTCTAGGAGAAGGTGAGCACCGATGTGAGGGAGGAGAAGGAGTTCTTTTTCGTGGTGGTGGTGTGGGAGAACTGTGCCCTCGAGGAGGAGGGGCAGGAGAAAGAGACCATCGCCTTCTGGTGGGTGGTGGGGATGGAGTTCTCCTCTGTCTACCACGAGGGTAAGTCTCTTTTTGGCGCTTTTGTGGTGATGGAGAGGCACTCCGGGAAGGGGAATGTCTCCGCCGCCTGCCAACCTCACCATTCTTCACATGGGATCTCATGGGTCGTTCATCTTCTGAAGAGGAGGAGGAGCCAGAGTCAGATGAAGACTGCTGGTTTAGTTGTCTGTATTGGTGTCTCTGCTGCACAGAATCTGCTGCAGCCATTTTACCATGTTTATCTTCTTCTGATTCAGACAACTACTTTTCTAGGCTTTGGTGCTGGTGAACGGCACTCCCTTTTCTCAGTACCTTTATGTTTTGTTACTACCTGAAGTTCTCCCTGGAGACACGGAAACATGATTTTTTCTTGTACAGTTTGACTGCTGGGGTGTTGGGGAATGCTGAGTTTTGGGTGGTGGAGTTGCAGGAGGAGATGGCCTGTACCTTCGCCTTGGAGGACTTGTTGAAGGAGATAACTTACGAGTTTTTTGAGGGGGGCTGGATGTCCTCTTGGGAGGCTTCTTTGGTGGTGACCGGGAATGAGATGAAGAGGATGATGAGCTATTCCCAGACAAGGATGCTGATGAACGTCTTCTTCATCTTACTGGAGATCTACTCCTTCTATGCCTTGGTGGAGGAGGCATTCTTCTTGGTGGGGTTCTTCTTCGAGGAGATGGCTGCCGCCTTGGGCTTGGCCACCTTCTAGGTGAATACGATCTTGATTGGGATCTATGGCGCTGTCTAGGTGGAGTGTGAGAAGGACAGTGGGGACCGCATCTGAGATTTTGATTTGGAGTGTGACTGAGATCGTGGTCGGGTCTTCTTCTGCTTTTCTTTTTTGGAATTTTTTTCCGGAGAAGGTTCTTTAGGCTCTGGTACAGGTTCAGGTTTGGAAACTTTCAGAATGTCACTAGTAGAAGTGGCCTGTTGTACTGAAGGTTCTTTTACTTTCACTGAAGGTTCTGGGAGCTCTGGAGTTTTTTCCTTCTTTTCTGGAGCAGGAAAAGGACTCTGGCCCTTGGTTCTTTGTTGGGGAGATCGAGAATGACTGTGCTTTCTCTCTTCTAACAGGGGAAGATTGTCTTTTAGGGGAAGAAGATTTGTGTCTTCTTGGGCTACGAGACCTCTCCCTTTTTTCTCTGCTGCTTTCTTTTTCTAACTTATGCCTTTTATCTTTGTCTTCATCTTGCTTTTTCATAGACGCCAATTTTTCTTATTCAATCTGTCTTTGTTTTATTTCTTCTTTCTTCAGTTCTAGGAAAGCAGAAGAGATTCCCGAGATGTTTTCTTGTGCACTTAGCAGCAGGGGCCATAGTTCTCCCGTAAATTCTCGAGCATTTTTTCCATTCGAAAATCCATTCAGGTTGATTTGCATCATTTTGGAGTCTGGATTCTTCACTTACAGCTGGTTGAATATAAACTCAATCACAACATCATCTTCAAACCCAAGGATTTTTGTTACTCTTTTTGTTATCCAAGGCTTTATAACTTCCAAATTTACTTTGCTCGTGTCCACCTTTTTTTCTAGGCATTCTGCAAATTTCAGCTGCTTCAGTAGTTTCTTCTGTTTGTTGCTGAACCGATTATACTGTTCTGCACTTGATCGGTGGAAGAATCCTGAGTCCATCTTGCCGCCTCGCTTGGAGATCGCTCCCTATCCCAGGGTGCACCGCCTATTTTATAGTTTTAATTTGCATTTCCCTGATGACTAATGATATTGAGCATCTTTTCATGTGCTTATTGACCATTTGCATGTCTTCTTTGGAAGTATGTCTATTAAAATCCCCATTTAAAAACTGGATTATTTTTCTTTTTATTGTTGCGTTTTAAGAGTTTTTAAAATACATTCTGGATACTAAATCCTTATCAGGTATGTGACTTGCAAATGTTTTCTTCTATCCCATGGACTGTCTTCTCAGTTTCTTGATTGAATTCTTTGAAGCACAAAATTTAAATTTTGACAAAGTCTGTCATTGGTTGCTTGTGGATTTCATGTCACATTTAAGAAACCATTGCCTAATCTAACGTCACTAAAATTTATTTCTGTTTTACAGTTTTATATTTTTATGTCTTAAATTTAAGTCTTAGATCCATTTCAGGTTAACTTTTGTATATGGCACAAGATGAGTCTAATTTCATTCTTTGCATGTGGATATCCAGTTTGTCTTGACACCATCCGCTGAAAAGACTGTTCTTCCCCTATTTAATTGTCTGGAGTTCCTTGGTGAAAATCAAATGGTCATAAATCTATGGGTTTCTTTCTGGACTCTCAATCCTATTTTATTGGTCTATCCTTACATGATAATCCTTATGCCAGTACCACAACATCTTGATTACTGTGGCTTTGTATTAAATTTTCAAATTAGGAAGTGTGAGTTCTCCAACATTCTTCTTTTTCAAGATTGTTTTGGCTAGACTTTTGCATTTTCATATGTATTTTAGAAAGAACTTCTCAATTTCTTCAGAAAGTCAACTGTAAGCTGGGTGCAGTGGTATGTGCCTGTAGTCCCAGCTACACAGAAGGCTGAGGCAGGAGAATCCCTTGAGCCCAGGAAGTTTAAGGCCAGCCTGGGCAAAACAGCAAGACCCCATTTCAAAAAAATAAAATCCAAACAGAATAAAACAAAAAAGCCAGCTGTGACTTTGATAGGTATTGCATGGAATCTGTGGATTAATTTGGAGAATATTGCCATCTTAGCAATATTAAGTCTTCTAGTTCGTGCACACAGGATATCTTTCCACTTGTTTGGCCTTGTTTAATTTATTTCAATGACATTATACTTTGTATGATTTCAGTTCTTTTCAATTTATTGAGACTTTTTTATGGCCCAACACGTGGTCTACCCTGGAGAATGTTCCATATATACTTGAGCAGAATGTATATTCTGCTCTTGTTGGATGGAGTGTTCTGTAGATGTCTGTTAGATCTAGTAGGTTTATAGTGTTGTTCAAGTCTTTCATTCTCTTGTTGATCTTCTTTCTAGTTGTTGTATCCATTATTGAAAGTGGGGTACTGAAGTCGCCAACTATTATTGTAGAGTTGTCTATTTCTTCCTTCAATTCTGTCAGTTTTTGCTTCATATAATTTGGGGGCTCTGTGGTTAGGTACACATATGTTTATAAATTGCTATTTATTCTTGATGTATTGACTTTTATATTGTCACAGAATGTCCTTTATGTCTCATAACACTTTTTGTCTTTACGTCTATTTTACATGATAGAAGTGTAGCTACCCCAGCTCTCTTTTGGTTACTGTTTGCTACACACACACACACACACATACACATTTTATACTTTTACTTTCAACTTAATTTGTGCCTTTGAATCAAAATTATACCTCTTGTAGACATCATATATTTGGATAATTTTTTGAACACTTTTTCCAATCTCTTCTTTTTAATTTTCATCAATTTACGTTTAATGTAGTTATTGATAAAGTAGAATTTGCATCTGTCATTTTGCTATTTTTTCTATGTATTTTATGTCTTTTCTGTTCCTTTGTTCCTTCATTACTGCCTTCTTTTGTGTTAAGTAGGTATTTTCTAGTGTACCATTCTTATTCCCTTGTCATTTCTTTTACTTTTTTTTTTAGTTATTTTCTTAATGGTTGTTTTATGGATTGCTAATATCTTAATTTATAACAATGTAGCTCATATTAATACCAACTTGATTTCAATATTACACAAAAGCTTTGCTCCTCTACAGCTCCTTTCCCTCCCCCTCCTTTGTGCTGTCATTGTCATACAAACTATACCTTTATACTTCATATGCCCATCAATATGGATGCATAATTATTGCATTATGCAATTGTCTTTTAAATTAGATAGGCAGCAAAGGAGTTTCAAACAAATAATGTTTACTAATCATGGAACTTTGGGCAAGTTCTTTAACTTCTCTAAACTTAGATTTCTTCATCTGCAGTATGGAAATAATGATATTATTTACCTTGTATGGTTGCTGCAAGGATTAAGTGGGATAATGTATGTAAAGCATTTAGAACAGTGCCTAACACAGAATAAGTACTCCATAAATGGTAGCTGTGGTTATTAGTTACTATTTTCTTTTACCATCGTGCCTTTGCTCATGATGTTCCATCTATTTGTAATTTCGTTTTTTTTGTTTGTTTGTTTGTTTGTTTTTTGACAGAGTCTCACTCTGTTGCCCAGGCTGGAGTGCAATGGTGTGATCTCAGCTCACTGCAACCTCCGGCTCCTGGGTTCAAGTGATTCTCATGCCTCAGTATTCCGAGTAGCTGGGATTACAGGCGTTTGCCACCATGCCCTGCTAATTTTTGTATTTTTAGTACAGACGTTTCACCATGTTGGCCAGGCTGGTCTCAAACTCCTGACCTCAAGTCATCCACCCGCCTTGGCCTCCCAAAGTGCTGGGATTACAGGCGTGAGCCATGGTGCCTGGCCTATTTGTAATTTCTTCTTTCGAATTTCCCTATGACAGTTTTTTTCATTCTCAAATACCACCACTTCCATGCTCTTAACTTGTACAGTGTCTATTATCACTATTACAACACTTATCACAGTCTTCCTTAGATTGTAGTTATTTGTAATATGTCTTGTCTCCCATTCTAGATTTTAAAACTCACGAGGGCGAATACTATGTCTTCTTCACCTCAGTATTTTTCACAGTGTGTAACTCAGTGCCTTATAATGGAGTAAGTGCTCAGTAAATGTTTACTGTATCACTGAATAATGTGAATAATTTAAAAATTCAAAACAGATTGAGTTTTCTAGTTCTGTTAGTAGATCTGAATGCAATTTTAAAGCGATAAACCAAGAATGATACAAAGGATGTACTTCCCTTAAGTGGTTTATGGACTTTCTCAGGTGAATAGGAGAGAGAGTCATAAGATACTGGGATTCTTATTTCTCAAAATGTGGTAGATTGAAAGAGAATTTCAGTGCCTCACAGCATATAAATGGATTTGGATTCATTAGGTTGGTGCAAAAGTAATTGTGGTTTTTGCAATTCCTTTCAGCTACAAAATTGCAATTACTTTTGCACCAGCTTATAGATGGAGAAGCGATTAGACTAATGAACATATATATTCCCTAAAAGAATGTGAAGACAGTAAAGTTTATTAAACAATGTAGTTTTCCTCCATGTAACCCCCAAAGCGGTAGGTAGGGAAGGGAAGAGGCAGCAGAGTTTGATGGGTATGCATCGAAACTTTAAAATAGAAAGAAGAAAGTTTGAATTTCAGCACTCAATATTAGGCGAGTGACTTTGGGGAATGTCCTATAACATTTCTGATTGCCCATTTCCTTGCATGTAATGCCTATGTCACAGAGGTGTTTAGAGAAGTAAATGAACTAATGGATTGTGAAATTGTTTTGTGAGTTACAAAGCATTTTTGGTCACTCTTTTCTTCTGGGTTCTTACTGCTCTGTGTTCATCATTCTGCCATAGCACTTCCCATGTTGTATTGTAATTTATTTGTTTATATCTGTCTCCCACTAGATTGAGCTTTTTTCAGAGCTAAGATTTTTGTTTTATTTATCTTTGGACACCAGGGCCTAACACACTGGTACTCAATAAATGTTTGATAAATGTGTGAATAAATGTTTCAGGTCGGAGATGAACTCAGGTGACCTATTAAGTTTCCTTCTAGTTTTGCTGTTTAAGATTCTGTGAAAAGGTCTAGAAATAATTAGAGATTGACATAGGAAGAAATATTTAGAATGTGAAAACATGAACTTGGAGGACAGTTACAGATTTGTTAAACACATATTAACATTCTAGAGTGTACTTTCAAAAGGGAAATTGTTGAGACGGGTTAATTGAGTTTATATATAAAAAGGGAGGTTATGATTTGTCAAGTGAGAAGTAATTTTTCTGGCCAAGGAATGATAACAGCTGAAACGAATCTCTCAAAAGCTAGGAAATTTGGCAGAGGAATATTGTGGCTAAACAAATTCATTAGAGCAGAAAGGTATTAAAAACATTTTGAGAAGTGGAGTTAAATCATGGAAAACCAGGCTTCCTTATTAAGATGCCAGAAACTGATGAGACATAAGGTGGAGGTTTTGTTTTGTTTGAAAGAGCTTGAAGCTACATCAACAGGAGCAAAGTATGAGCCTTTGGAGAGCAGAATAGCTATACCTACTGAAAAAGTTGTTAGTAGACAGAAGAAATTGTAAACACAATTTACAATGTAAACATTGTAGAAATAGTAAAATGAAAGAACAAATGACTGAAGTTGATTGAGTAAAGGCCAAATCACTTGTAATGAGAGATGAAAAACCATCCAAAACAATGATTGTAAATAAAAAATTGAGAAGAGATGACAAATATGATGGCATAATTAAAATGATAGACTTGGAATGGACCTTGGGAGAACTTACAACGAAAGAGCTAACCAGAGATTCCCTGAACAGTAGACCTCAAAGCCTAAACTGGTAATATCGTAGAGTGGCTATTAATACAGTCTCTCTCTCTGGTCTCTGACAAAATGTCCAGGAGGGGAGAAGACAGATGTAATTTGTGGAGTGGGTTCAGGGATAATTTTCTCATCATAGAGGCTTATTTATTTATTTGTTTTTGAGACAGAGTCTATGTTGCCCAAGCTGGAGTGCAGTGGCGTGATCTTTGCTCACTGCAACCTCCGTCTCCTGGGTTCAAGTGATTCTCTAGTCTCAGCCTCCCGAGTAGCTGGGATTACAGGTATGTACCACCACTCCTGGCTAATTTTTGTAGTTTAGTAGAGATTGGGTTTTGCCATGTTGGTCAGGCTGGTCTTGAACTCCTGGCCTCATGTGATCTGCCCACGTTGGCTTCCCAAAGTGCTAGGATTATAGGCATGAGCTACTGCACCCAGGAAGAAATATTTAGAATGTAAAAACATGAAGTTGGAGGACAGTTACAGATTTGTTGCACACATATTAACATTCTAGAGTTATCATCATAGAGGCCTCATCATAGAGGCTTTATTATAGCATAGTGTAACGAGAAAAAACTTGCACTTAAAAAATCAGACACACCTGACTTAGAATCCCAGCTCTTCCTCTTTTAGTGGTTTGACCTTGAGCAAAGTACTTAATATCCCTAAAAGACATTAATAAGGAACTCTGTCCCCTTCCATAACTCCTGTTTTTCGGATGTCTGGGTTGTTCATCTAATTTTCCTATAATTTTTTGCCTGTTTTCAATTTTTTTAAATGCTGCTTTCTAAGACAGTTTATCATCTCTATCTTCCAACCCTTTTATTGAGGTTTTAATTCCTCTTGTCATATTTTTAATTCCCAAGAGGCTCTTTTGTTTTCTCAATAGACTTTAAAATTTCTGTTTCTTGTTTTATGGTCGCAATATCTCCTCTAATCTTTCCGAGGATGTCAATGATAGATTTTCTTTTTAAAAGTTTCCTTCTAAGCTTCAGGGATCTTCCCCAAGAGAACAGACCTCCAGTATTCTGCTGGTGTTGGGGAAGGGAAGTTATTTGGCCCTGCAGAATAGGGCAAGGAATCTGCAAGTCAGCTTCCTAGGCTGACTTTCAAGCAGTCCTCCTGGTTATTACCTCTCTTTCATGCCTACTTGCAGGGGTACCTGGTACTACAAGTTCCTGAGCCCTTTTGGAATTCTGTGGTATAAGTGGATTTGCGTTTCAGCTTTCCCTACTGATGACTTGGGATGCAGGTTTCTCAGTTCTGGTGATTCAGTTACTATTTGTTCAGCTGCTATATCTAGTTTCCAACATTTGTTGCTAGTATCTTCTCTCCCTATTCTCCTACCTTGTGTGTTTATGCCATTTTATAATTCCCTTACTGTAATTTTATCAGGGTTTTGAGGAAGGAGCAGAGCTAAACGTGTGAGTTAAATTATCTGCCATCTTTAACCACAAGTCTCTTAATTCTTTTTTTGTTTTTTTAAATTATTTTATTTTACATTCAGGGGTACACGTGCACATTTGTTTCATGGGTATTCTTAACTCTTCATGTCTTTTATATCCATCTCTTTTCATTTTAACCATCACCACATTATACAGCTTCTTACCACTTCCTATCTGGGCTCCTTTCCTCTATCATCTCGTCCCTTAGGTCTGTTTTCCACAATGTTGTGGATTCTTCTTCCCAAACAACTGCACTGTGTATCAGAGTTTTGATTGTAAAAGACTCTTCTGTTGCTTCTTAATGCCAAAAGGAGAAAATCAAAGTCTTCCACAGTCTAGCCTCTGTCTACTGTTTCAACCTTATTTTTTAGGCTTTCCGAAACACTCATATCCATATCCATACCCATCTCCACTTGTAGCTTTGGTCAAACTTGTCTGGTGTACCAAATAAGTAGGGGCACAGCAGCTCGGCTTGCCTGGTGATGTATCCAGTAGACTTAGAAGTTGGCCTGTTGATTTTGAGCAACCAATTTAAAACTCCTTAAGTGAATACCTGTCTAACTTGAAGGCATCTTATGGCCCCTTTCAGCCTAGGATTTGAAAATCTATTTTCCATATATGCTATTTCTTGATTGTGTTCACTATATAGCATATAGAGTTTTTTCCATGGTCTATTACTCACACCTTATTTACCTTCTGCTAGACTTTGAAGGTGCAAGGATGAGTAGGCTGTGGAAATTACATCCTATAAGAAACTTCCATCTTCTTTCTTATATGGTATTAAGTTTAAGCCATAGCTCAATGACTGGGTATACACATTGTGATTTAATATTCTTCTAGGATTTAACATTGTCATTTATTATATCCTTCTTATGAAAAGAATATCTGGATATTCATAGGTGTGATGGCTCTTGCCCACCACTCCAGTGCTTTGAGAGGCTGAGATGGGAGGATCACTTGAGCCCAGGAATTTGAGAACAACTTGGGCAAGGTAGTGAGACTTCCTCTCTACAAAAAAGGTTAGCCAGTCCTGGTGGCACACACCTGTAGTCCTAGCTGCTCAGGAGGCTTTAGTGGGATGGTTGCTTGAGTCCAGGAGGTTGAAGCTACATGTAAGCGATGATTGTGCTGCTGCACTCCAGCCTGGGTGACAGGGCAAGCTATTATCTCAAAAAAAGTTACGTTTATAACATTTTCCTGAAAGTATATTGTTTTCTTTTGTTGTACACATTTTTAAATTAAAAATTTAAAAATTTAATGGACATATAATATTTGTACATATTCTTGGGGTACATAGTGATATTTCAATGCATATAATGTATAGTGATCAAATCAGGGTAATTAACATATCCATCATCTCAAAATTTATTATTTCTTTGTGTTGGGAACATTGAATATCCTCCTCCTAGCTAGCTATTTGAGACTATATGACATATTATTATTAATTGTTGTCACCCTACAGCATTATAGAATGCTAGAACTTACTTTTCTTATCTAGCTGTAATTTTGTGGCCTTTAACAAATCTCTCCCTACCCCTTGTTTCCTAATGACTTTTTTCTCCCTTCAGAATTGTCTTTGCTGATCTCTTTATTATGATGAAAATTCTCTGGATGGAAGGGTCATCAGCTGCCGTCTCCTTTGCTACTCTGCTAGATATCCTTACAATTTGGTTTAGAATTTTAGTACCACTAACATTTTTTGGTGCATATTTTGGAAATAAAGAAAAGGTAAACTCTTAAAATACTGCTTTTGGCCACTGAGCGATGACTGAAATAATACCTCAGTGTATATATTACACATGAAATACAAAAAGTCCCACTGGAGAAAACTACAGAGAATAATCATTTTGGAATAAAAGATACTTTAAAAAATTAAGTAAAGGACAGTAACACTTTCAAAGACATTAATGCATTTCCTACATTATCAATTGTTTATACTGCCTTTTACCTCTGATGAACCAAATTAAAAGGACATATTGTAGAAAGGCTGACATCAGCCAACTCAGGAAACTAATAGGGTTATACAGTGGGATAAGGAAGTCAAGATGTAGTCCAAGGAATGGGGCTATTCGGTTTACAGATTTGAAGTTAGCCTATTCCACATATCGGAGAAAGGTATAGGATACCAAAAAGTCTCAATGAGGCCACACAGCCAAAAAACTCTTCAAGGATATAGCATGAGATTGCAGAGGAAATGTTGGAAAAGACAAAATGGGAGGTGGAGTTCCACAGAGAGCAGCAAAAAGAAAATTTTCTGAAAACTATTGACACATTCTTAGACAAATTCTAAGAGAGAACTTTTGGACATTTTAGATTATTTTGCATTAGAATAGTCACTGGTAAATCTTTCCAGTCTCTCCCTTGGAAATTATAAAAAAGGATAAATATCCTCATTGATTGTTTAGCTGTGTGTCACTTAGTATGGTGCCACTGGTCGCATGTGGCTGTTGAGCACCTGAAATGTGGCTGTCGGAATTGAGATGGGCTCTATGTGGAAAATACACACCAGATTTTGAACACTTAGAACAACGACAAAGATAACGTAAAATATTTGCTCAATAATTTTATATTAACACAAGTATAAATCATAATATTTGGACATGTTAGAATAAATAAAATATGATGTTAAAATTAATTCCATCTGTTTCTTTTTACTTTTTTAAGGGGGGCTACTAAAAAATTTAGAACTACACATGTGGCTTGCATTATACTTCCATTGCACAGCACTGGCCTAGCCCCTGCCCACATGACTGCTTTTTGTTATTTTCTTTATACTATTGTTGTTTTCTCAAAGCTGCCTTTGAGAAAAATGCTCCTGTAAATATTCCATGCCCTCTTCAGATTCAAGATTCTGTTTTGTGATAATATCTGTATAGATGTTTTTCAGTTTCATTTCATTCTGATTCTCACTTCATTTATTTCCGAGCAGATTAGTTGTCCAGTTCAGACAAACCAGATCCCCTGTCAGATTCCTCCATAGAACTTCTTTACAAAACCACTTCTTGGCATCATAATTGGTGGCATTTTCCCCTTCGGCTGTATTTTTATTCAACTCTTTTTCATTCTGAACAGTATTTGGTGAGTATTACATCTTCATAATCTTAAAAGTGTTAGTTTTTAGTAAATTAACATTCCTATAGTTTAAGGAGGTTAAATTCTGATATGATAATACTTCATTTACCTCCCTTTATCCAGTAAATAACAATCTGACCTAGAAGAATTTCCTAGAGAACCGAGACTTAATTCATGACTTTAAAAATATTTATTTTTAATTTTTGTGGGTACACAGTAGGTGTATATATTTATGGGGTACATGAGATGTTTTGATACAGGCATGCAGTGCATAATAATCACATCTATGGAGAACGAGGTATCCATCCCCTCAAGCATTTATCCTTTGTGTTTCAAACAATACAATTATACTCTTTTAGTTATTTTAAAATGTACAATTAAATTATTATTGACTGTAGTCACCCTGTTGAATTCACAATTTTTAAAAGGCACGTTTTGATGGAAATATTTATAAAGATTTACTTTTTTGGCTGGGCGCAGTGGTTCACACCTATAATTCCAGCACTTTGGGAGGCTGAAGCAGGTGGATCACTTGAGGTGGGGCGTTCGAGACCAGCCTGGCCAACATGGTGAAACCCCATCTCTACTAAAAATACAAAAATTAGCCGGACGTGGTGGTGACTGTCTGTAATCCCAGCTACTAGACAGGCTGAGGCATGAGAATCACTTGAACCCGGGAGGTGGAGGTTGCAGTGAGCTGAGATCGTGCCACTGCACTCCAGCTTGGGCGACAGAGTGAGACTCCATCTCAAAAAACAAACAAACAAAACAAAACAAAAAAAAAAACAAGCTGCAAAGTAGATGATACTAACCATATTTTCCAGATGTTCTTGATGGGAAAGTAGTTTTAAAATGGAAACTGAAAGGTTTTTCAGACAATTAACTTTCATTTCAGTGAAAAGCAATGTGCTTGTTTTTTATTTTACTTTTGTTTTTTATTTTTTTGAGACAGGGTCTCACTCTGTCACCCAGGCTGGAGTGCAGTGGTGCGATGTCGGTTCACTGCAACCTCCACCTGCCTCCCAGGTTCAAGCAATTCTCGTGTCTCAGCCTCTTGAGTAGCTGGGACTACAGGCGTGCACCACTATGCCCAGCTAATTTTTGTATTTTCGGTAGAGACAGGGTTTCAACATGTTGGCCAGGCTGGTCTTGAAGCAATGTATTTGTTGCATACAACTTTGTATAAATTTATTATCTAGGGAGATGCTTCTCAATACTCATCCCTCACTCTCATACTCAGGTATATATTTTACATGACATTTTTAGGTGGCGTATTGATCGGTTCATCAATTTCTTTTTATTTCCAAAAGGCTTTTTAAAATGGATGTTGTGGCTGGGTGTGGTGGCTCATGCCTTTAATCCCAGCATTTTGGGAGTCTGAGGCAGGGGGAATCACTTGAGGCCAGGAGTTCAAGGCCAGCCTTGGGCAACATAGCAAGATCCTGTCTCTACAAATGAAATAAAATAAAATAAAAAATTAGCCAAGCATGGTGGCACGTGCTTGGCTAAAAAATTAGCCAAGCATGGTAGCCTGTAAGTTCCAGCTACTTGAGAGGCTAAGGCAGGAGGATCACTTGAACTCAGGAGGTTGAGACTGCAGTGAGCTGTGATTGCACCACCGCACTCTAGCCTGGGTGATGGAGTGAGACCCTGTCTCTAAAGTATTAGTTAATTAATTGGAATGGGCATTGATCATCCCAACTTAGCTCAGGTCTATAATAACCAAGAGAGTTAACTGCATTCTTTCAAAGTTTCACCTAGATGTAATCCACACACAGATTTTTTTAAAAGGCACATTTGAAAGTATATTTAATAGAATTATGTGTGCTGTGCTATAAAGACATATTTGGAAAAGGTGAATGTCAACAGGCTTTCTAAGGCAAAAGTGGTATTTGAATCTGGTTTTCTGTTTTATGATGTCGTTGTTGGTATTTATGGCATTTGCAGCCTTCAATTTCTAAAGAGAATGTTTTTAAATATGTATGGAGAAAATTATGGTGATATTGATGAGTCTCAAGTGAGAACTAACTTATATGACCAGAGAAACATGGGTAAGTAGCAGCACTGGTTCTGACTAGAGAAGATACGGCCAAACTCTGAAACTGCATAGGTAAGGGACTATTTTTTGGTACTTAAAGGATAAGTGGAGATTTGGAATACAGAGTTGAATGTTTAGGGGAAAAAAAGAAAAAAAAAGGTTTAGAGAAGTGTATGACTGTCTATTGTATAGATTTGGATTGATCTTTCTGTGTGTACTGTTAAGTTAAAGTTTATTTAAACCTCTTATTTTTATTTTCAGGTCTCATTAGCTGTACTACATGTTTGGCTTCCTTTTCTTAGTCTTTATAATTCTTGTGATTACTTGCTCAGAAGTTACAGTTTTGCTGTATTATTTTCATTTATGTGCTGAGGTAAAGCCATAAGAAACTAATGCATTTGCTATACTTGCATTATTGGAATTGGAAGTCTGTGTTTAGAAAAGAATTGAAATAAATGATAACTGCATGTTTCTACAACTTGGGATCAGTTTTATATTGTGTTTTCCTATTAACACATTTTGACTTTGATGTGGCTGTCAAGTTAAGGCTGCTTTGATGGAAAATTTAAATAGAAAGTTATTTCTCTTTGGCTGGTTATTGTAATTGCTGCATGATATTCAGTTAACAGAAAAATATAAGGGACTGATTTAATATTTATCAAGTTCAATGATATTTCCTTTTCTTTTTTTGAGACAGGGTTTCACTCTGTCGCCCAGGCTGGAGTGCAGTGGTGCAATCTCGGCTTATTGCAATCTCTGCCTCCTGGGTTCAAGCGATTCTCATGCCTCAGCCTCTCTAGTAGCTGTAGTAGCTGGGATTACAGGTGACCACCACCACACACAGCTAATTTTTGTGTTTTTAGTAGAGACGAGGTTTTGCCATGTTGCCCAGCCTGGTCTTGAACTCCTGGGCTCAAGTGATCCACTCTCCTTGGCTTCCCAAACAGCTGAGATTACGGGCATGAGCCACCACGCCCGGCTGATGTTTTCTTTTTAACAATTAAATTTTTTCTTTGCAGCTTAAGCCAGCATTCTGGTTTGTTGGTTTGAGATAGTGGCTAAAGGTCCTTTCTCTTCTTTCATTTTATTGCCTTTTGGTTACCACAGACACAATAGTTCTTTTTACCCCAGTCCCATTTTCCCCCGATATCATTCTGGATAACTGAGCTGGTAGTGTACATTGTTCTCTTAAATCCCCTAAATCCGTTTTATTTTGGTAGTTAAATATGACTCTTCAAAGATAACAGACAATAGAGGGTTCAGGGAATGATTCTTATATACATGTTTTCTTAGACATTTTCTTCTTGTGCTATTGGTATAGAGGTACAAAATATAACTATATATATACTTAAATATACTTATGTAGTATATTTATACTTAGCTGGTGTATTAGTTCATTTTCACACTGCTGATAAAGACATACCCAAAACTGGGAACAAAAAGAGGTTTAAGTGGACTTACAGTTCCGCATGGCTGGGGAGGCCTCAGAATCACGGCGGGAGGCGAAAGGCACTTCTTACATAGCAGCAAGAGAAGAATGAGGAGGAAGCAAAAGCAGAAACCCCTGATAAACCCATCAGATCTCATGAGACTTATTCACTATCACGAGAATAGCATGGGAAAAACAGGCTGCCATGATTCAATTACCTCCCCCTGGGTCCCTCCCACAACTGGGAGATACAATTCAAGTTGAGATTTCAGTGGGGACACAGCCAAATCATATCAGCTGGTCATTATTAGTATGGTACATTTTGCCTTAGAGAATCTGCAGCAATCATTAATGAGGCATACAACAATAAGCATATAATGGATATGTTTTTATTCCTAAGAAAATGTTTTAGGGGGTCCTGAAGACTACCCACATGTTTGGTGACTCACTAGAAGGACTCGTGGGACTGGGCATACAGATGCATACATGGGTAGGCTACAGAAAGGATGCCCACAGGATCAGTGAGGGAAAAAGACAGGTGGAGCCTGGAGAAATCCAGGCGCAGCCTTCCTATGTTGTTCCCTCCCATTAGAGAGCACACTGAGTATGCTTCTTTCTCCAGCAGTGAGAAATGCAGTAATAAATATGCAATGTTCTGCCCAGGGAAGCCCGTTAGAGATTTCAGCATCCAAGGTTTTTATGGGGAGTAGTCACATAGGCACCCTCTGCCTAGCAACTACAAAATTCCGGACTCCCCAAAGGAAAGCAAGTATCGACCATAAATCACATTGTCTGTACAGTCTAGGCATAGCAAACCAGTCTACATCAGTCAGGAAATGACTAAATGCCAAATTCCCAGATGCAAACCAAGGGCCAACCTGGCAAGCAGGCTTTTTTTTTTTTTTTTTTTTTTAATTGATCATTCTTGGGTGTTTCTCACAGAGGGGGATTTGGCAGGGTCATAGGACAATAGTGGAGGGAGGGTCAGCAGATAAACAAGTGAACAAAGGTCTCTGGTTTTCCTATGCAGAGGACCCTGCGGCCTTCCGCAGTGTTTGTGTCCCTGGGTAGTTGAGATTAGGGAGTGGTGATGACTCTTAACGAGCACGCTGCCTTCAAGCATCTGTTTAACAAAGCACATCTTGCACCACCCTTAATCCATTTAACCCTGAGTGGACACAGCACATGTTTCAGAGAGCACAGGGTTGGGGTTAGGGTCACCGATCAACAGGATCACAAGGCAGAAGAATTTTTCTTAGTACAGAACAAAATGAAAAGTCTCCCGTGTCTACCTCTTTCTACACAGACATGGCAACCATCCGATTTCTCAATCCTTTCCCCGCCTTTCCCCCCTTTCTATTCCACAAAACCGCCATTGTCATCATGGCCAGTTCTCAATGAGCTGTTGGGTACACCTCCCAGACGGGGTGGTGGCTGGGCAGAGGGGCTCCTCACTTCCCAGTAGGGGCGGCCGGGCAGAGGCGCCCCTCACCTCCCGGACGGGGCAGCTGGCCGGGCAGGGGGCTGACCCCCCCACCTCCCTCCCGGACGGGGCGGCTGGCCGGGCAGAGGGGCTCCTCACTTCCCAGTAGGGGCTGCCGGGCAGAGGCGCCCCTAACCTCCCGAACGGGGTGGCTGGCCGGGCGGGGGGCTGACCCCCCCACCTCCCTCCCGGACGGGGCGGCTGGCCGGGCGGGGGGCTGACCCCCCCACCTCCTTCCCGGACGGGGCGGCTGGCCGGGCAGAGGGGATCCTCACTTCCCAGTAGGGGCGGCCGGGCAGAGGCGCCCCTCACCTCCCGGACGGGGCGGCTGGCCGGGCAGGGGGCTGACCCCCCCCACCTCCCTCCCGGACGGGGCGGCTGGCCGGGCAGAGGGGCTCCTCACTTCCCAGTAGGGGCTGCCGGGCAGAGGCGCTCCTAACCTCCCGAACGGGGCGGCTGGCTGGGCGGGGGGCTGACCCCCCCACCTCCCTCCCGGACGGGGCGGCTGGCCGGGTGGGGGGCTGACCCCCCCACCTTCCTCCCGGATGGGGCGGCTGGCCGGGGGGGGGACTGACCCCCCCCACCTCCCTCCCGGACGGGGCGGCTGGCCGGGCAGGGGGCTGACCCCCCCACCTTCCTCCCGGACGGGGCGGCTGGCCGGGGGGGGGACTGACCCCCCCCCACCTCCCTCCCGGACGGTGCGGCTGGCCGGGCGGGGGGCTGACCCCCCCACCTCCCTCCCGGACGGGGCGGCTGGCCGGGCGGGGGGCTGACCCCCCCACCTCCCTCCCGGACGGGGCGGCTGGCCGGGCGGGGGGCTGACACCCCCACCTCCCTCCCGGACGGGGCGGCTGGCCTGGCGGGGGGCTGACCCCCCACCTCCCTCCCGGATGGGGTGGCTGCCGGGCAGAGACGCTCCTCACTTCCCAGACGGGGTGGCTGCCGGACGGAGGGGCTCCTCACTTCTCATATGGGGCAGTTGCCAGGTGGAGGGTCTCCTCACTTCTCAGATGGGGCGGCTGGGCAGAGACGCTCCTCACTTCCCAGACGGGGTCGCGGCCGGGTAGAGGCGCTCCTCACATCCCAGACGGGGCGGCGGGGCAGAGGCGCTCCCCACATCTTAGACGATGGGCGGCCGGGCAGAGACGCTCCTCACTTCCTAGATGGGATGGCGGCTGGGAAGAGGCGCTCCTCACTTCCTAGATGGGATGGTGGCCGGGCAGAGACGCTCCTCACTTTCCAGACTGGGTAGCCAGGCAGAGGGGCTCCTCACGTCCCAGACGATGGGCGGCCAGGCAGAGACGCTCCTCACTTCCCAGACGGGGTGGCGGCCGGGCAGAGGCTGCAATCTTGGCACTTTGGGAGGCCAAGGCAGGCGGCTGGGAGGTGGAGGTTGTAGCGAGCCGAGATCACGCCACTGCACTCCAGCCTGGGCACCATTGAGCACTGAGTGAACCAGACTCCGTCTGCAATCCCGGCACCTCGGGAGGCCGAGGCTGGTGGATCACTCGCAGTTCGGAGCTGGAGACCAGCCCGGCCAACACAGCGAAACCCCGTCTCCACCAAAAAAATACGAAAACCAGTCAGGCGTGGTGGCGCGCGCCTGCAATCGCAGGCACTCGGCAGGCTGAGGCAGGAGAATCAGGCAGGGAGGCTGCAGTGAGCCGAGATGGCAGCAGTACAGTCCAGCTTCGGCTCGGCATCAGTGGGAGACCGTGGAAAGAGAGGGAGAGGGAAAGGGAGAGGGAGAGGGAGAGGGAGAGCGAGAGCTAGAGCTCGCAAGCAGGCTTTCTAAAGATAGTAGCCTCAGATCTGCTATGTTAATTCTTTTCTGCACTGTCTTTCCTGATGGTCCTTGGCCACAGTGTCTTTGCAATAATATTATCATCAGTAGGAGTCCATGGAACAGGGTGAGACCAACCTGCAGTATTGACCTTAGTCATGCCATCCATGGGTCCTGAACTGAGCCAGTTAAAGCAAATCTTATTAACCACAAGGTCTAGCCTAAATTTCTATATTATCCCCCTTTAAAAAAAAAGGCTAGCCTGAGGCATCAATAGGCATAGCACAATTCTGGCCAGTATGTAGAAGCTGAACTGAATGCCTTCCAGGGCTGAGGCAATGTTATGATAGCCTGCACACATTAAAAGTCCCAATCCCAGAGGGCACATGTGGTATCCCTGGAAACAAAGAGTTGACAATTGTTAGGATACCCCAAGCAGGACATACATTACATATTTTATTAAATTTCTTATAAAAGGTTCTCTTTTATTCCTTTTAATCCATTATTTTATGGAGCTTATCTTGTGTTCTTGTTATAACTGCTAACCCATTTATGGTTAAAATTTCATCTGAAAAGTCATTTTTTTCTACTTCTTTTTACAGGATTATCATTGGTGGTGGCGATTTTTAACCAGAAGCTTTATAGCTGTTTATCTTTTTACGTATGCAGTTCATTACTTCTCTGCCAAACTTCAAATCACAGAAATTGCGAGCTCTATTTTGTACTTTGGGTACATGATGATCATTGTGTTGATTTTCTTCCTTTTCATAGGTAACTACAGAATTACTCAGTATATTTCAGACTCTCTTAAGAGTCTTGGAGATAGCCATAATGTAATAAACATCAATTAACAATTAGTGGAAGGAAAAGGGAACAAAGTCATCATGTTCATTTTTATGCATTGCAGATAAAAGATTGCAAAGCTGAGGGACCTGGGGGGACCTTATGTACTTAGCTACAAGACTGTCCCTTGTGAATGTTTTAAAACAGGGATATGTTCCAAAGCACAGAAAGGGTTATGTGTAATCACCTTTGAACAGCCTCCAAGCATAAAAAATAACCTACTTGAATAACTTTCAAATTAGTAAATTAGATTAATTAAATATGTCATCATATAAGCAATTATATATGAAGGACAAGATGTATACTTCTCAGGATTATTCGTTTGGGGTTGTTACTTGGATTCATATGTGATGGGAACTTCTGTCTAGATTGATGCTTGAAGCAGGTGGAAAAAAATGGAATGTTTTATAAAATGCTCCACTTGGAGAAATAATGAAGTTGGAGAGCTCTGGGACCTTCTGAACTCAAGCAAAGTAGCATTTCTGTCTGTGTCATGTCAAGTTCTGGCTTTAACTCAAGTCATATCACTTGCATAGGTCAGATTGGAAAGTTCAAGGATTTTCTCTGATTTTAACTCTCAGGTTCAACAAATATATAAAAATAAACAATGGACATTTGTTAAAAATCAAGACATTCAGACAAATGTAAACATTATCTGAGAAACCCGGCATCTTGGTGGTGGTTCCTTTTTCTATGTAATATCTAAAATATATATGACCTCTTATGTACTACTGGTCTCAACTGCTCAGTAAAGAAGAGACCATGTAGTCCCACTCTAATCTCTCAGCCACCAGCAGTTCTATTTAAAACTGAAGGCCTAAGAGCTTCTCACCATTCTAGTCCAAGGAGTAGGCTCCTTATGCTTTAAAAAAAAAAACAACTTTTAATTGAAGCATGTGGACGGAAATGCGCATGTATCATAAGTGTACAGCTTGATGAGTTATCACAAAGTGAACACACCTTTGTAACTAGCACCCCCACCAATAACCAGTACATGATTATCAGCCCTGAAGCCACTGTTGGACTTACTTCCACTTGCTTTCCACAGGGCACCCACTATCTTGACTTGGCTCTAAAAGGGAGAGTGTAGGAAGGAAAGATTGATACGCTGATAAAAACTAGAGTTAAGTGACAGGAAGAGGAGGGAAAGCAAGAAAAAGCACAGAATGGTACAAGGGGAATCATCCAAATGATGTTGAAATGATTTCACAGAATAGGTATGGAATGGTGTTAAAGATGCAAAAGAGGGTGAAGACCAGGGAAAGGCCATTCAATTTTGCAAGAATCACCCTTTGAGAGGCAGTGTTCAATGTGGCGTGAACTGCTGCTGCCTGTTTTTTGAGGTCTTTCTGCACAAAGTGCAGAAAGAGGCTGGTCACCTCAGCCCGTAACAGAATAGATTAATTTGGCCCATCTTTGAGTTGTATGTAAATAGATTTACGAACACCACATAATAATACTCTTTTCTGTCTGATTTCTTTCGTGGCTGGTTTCTTGCCCTTTATATTGCTTGCGAGAGCCCTCCACATCACTGTGTGTAGATGTGTAGTGTCTTTTGTTTTGGATCCTCCTCCTACCTTGCCCAGTGAGTAACTAGCTTTTATATTTGTGTAGTATGCAGGTTGGATGTATGCAGCACAATTTCAGACTTACGTTTTCCTCATTATCTAACACTTTGACTCAGGTTGCCTTTTTCTGGGAGTCTTATATTACAACAGCTTCTTTTAAAACAGATGTACTCTTGAATGGTCACATTGTCTACAAAAATCTTTTTCTGTTCTTGGCTCCAGCATCTGCATTCTAGATTCTGTCACCACACCACATTGAACACTGCCTCTCAAAGGGTGATCTCTTACCAAATTAAATGACTTTTCCTAGTCTTTGCCTTCTTTGATTTCTTTAGTTAATACCACTCAACATCTATTTTGTGAAGTCATTTTAACATCGTTTGGATGATTCTTGTACCACTCTGTGTCTTTTCTTGTTTTCCCTCCTCTTCCTGTCACTTAACTCTAGCTTTTATCAGTATTTCATTACTTCCTTTCTATACTCTCCCTTTTAGAGCTGATTCAGTCCCATGGCTTCACTTATCTCCTCAATGCTGACTGCTCCCCAACCTGTATTTCTAACCATAGTCTCTATCTGGCTGAATTCTGAACATTTCCATGTCCCACTGGTACTGCAAACTCACCATGCTCCCAAAATGAAGTTAGCACTTCCTTCTCTACAAACTGACTTATCTTAATTTCTTTCTCTCTTTGACTATCATCACTAATCTCTGATCTCCTTGACCTATTTTGAATAAATTCTTAACATAGCCCTTCTGTATTAGCCCATTCTCACGCTGCTGATACAGACATACACGAGACTGGGTAATTTATAAAGGAAAGAGGTTTAATTGACTCAGCTCTGCATGGCTGGGGAGGCCTCATGAAATGTACAATCATGGTGGAAAGGGAAGCAAACACGTTCTTCACATGGCAGCAGCAAGGAGAAGTGCAGAGTGAAGTGGGAGAAAAGCCCCTTATAAAACCATCAGATCTCATGAGAACTCACTATCAGGAGAACAGCATGGAGGTAACCACCACCATGATTCAATTACCTCCCACTGAGTCCCTCCCATGACACATGGGAATTATGGGAACTACAATTCAAGGTGAGATTTGGGTAGGACACAACCAAACCATATCACCTTCCATGATTGATAGTAATCAATCATAACTTCCCTATTTATTCTTCTTAGAAACCTCTTGTTGCCATTTATTCCTTTTTTTCATACTCCTACAGTCTTTATCCAGGCCTTTATTTCTTTGTCCTTGGATCATTGCAATAGCCTCTTACTTGGTTTGCTGAACTCTAGTCTCTGGAGTTCTTTAAGTTATTTGAAACCAATAAGAACAAAGACACAATGTACCAGAATCTCTGGGACACAGCTAAAGCAGTGTTTAGAGGGAAATTTTTAGCACTAAATGCCCACAAGAGAAAGCAGGAAAGATCAACGACACCCTAACATCACAATTAAAAGAACTAGAGAAGCAAGAGCAAACAAATTCAAAAGCTAGCAGAAGGCAAGAAATAACTAAGATCAGAGCAGAACTGAAGGAGAGAGACACACGAAAAACCCTTCCAAAAAAGTCAATGAATCCAGGATCTGGTTTTTTGAAAAGATTAAGAGAATAGACAGACCACTAGCCAGAATAATAAAAAAGGGAGAAGAATGAAATAGACACAATAAAAAATGTTAAATGGGAGATCACCACTGATCCCACAGAAATAAAAACTACCATCAGAGAATACTATAAACACCTCTACTAAAATAAACTAGAAAATCTAGAAGAAATGGATACATTCCTGGACACACACACCCTCCCAAGACTAAACCAGGAAGAAGTCAAATCCCTGAATAAGCCAGTAACAAGTTCTGAAATTGAGGCAGTAATTAATAGCCTACCAACCAAAAAAAGCCCAGGACCAGACGGATTCACAGCCAAATTCTACCAGAGGTACAAAGAGGAACTGGTACCATTCCTCCTGAAACTATTCCAAACAATAGAGAAAGAGGCACTCCTCCCTAACTCATTTTATGAGGCCAGCATCATCCTGATACCATAACCTGGCAGAGACACAACAAAAAGAATTTCAGGCCAATATTCCTGATGAACATCGATGCAAAAATCCTCAGTAAAATACTGGCAAACCGAATCCAGCAGCACATTAAAAAGCTTATCCACCACGATCAAGTTGGCTTCATACCAGGGATGCAAGTCTGGTTCAACATAGGCAAATCAATAAACGCAATCCATCACATAAACAGAACCAATGACAAAAACCACATGATTATCTCAATAGATGCAGAAAAGGCCTTCGACAAAATTCAGCACCCCTTCATGCTAAAAACACTCAATAAACTAGGTATTGATGGGATGTATCTCAAAATATTAAGAGCTATTTATGACAAATCCACAGCCAATGCTGGTAACATTCCGTTTGAAAACTGAGACAAGGCAAGGATGCCCTGTCTCACCTCTCCTATTCAACATAGTATTGGAAGTTTTGGCCAGGGCCATCAAGCAAGAGAAAGAAATAAAGCGTATTTAAATAGGAAGAGAGGAAGTCAAATTGTCTCTCTTTGCAGATGACATGATTGTATATTTAGAAAACCCCATCGTCTCAGCCCAAAAACTCCTTAAGCTGTTAAGCAACTTCAGCAAAGTCTCGGGATACAAAATCAATGTGCAAAAATCACAAGCATTCCTATACAGCAAAAACAGCCAAATCACAAGTGAACTCCCATTCACAACTGCCACAAAGAGAATAGAATACCTAGGAATCCAACTTACAAGGGATGTGAAGGACCTCTTCAAGGAGAACTACAAACCACTGCTCAAGGAAATAAGAGAAGACACAAACAAATAGAAAAACATTCCATGCTCATAGATAGGAAGGGTCAATATCGTGAAAATGGCCATACTGCCCAAAGTAATTTATGGATTCAATGCTATTCCTATCATGAAGAGCTACCATTGATTTTCTTCACAGAATTAGAAAAAACTACTTTAAATTTCATATGGAACCAAAAATGAGCCCGTATAACCAAGGCAATTCTAAGCAAAAATAACTAAGCTGGAGGCATCACACTGCCTGACTTCAAACTATATTACAAGGCTGCAGTAACCAAAACAGCATGGTACTGGTACCAAACTAGACATATAGACCAACAGAACAGAACAGAGGCCTCAGAAATAACACCACACATCTACAACCATCTGATCTTTGACAAACCTGACAAAAGCAATGGGGAAAGGATTCCCTATTTAATAAATGGTGTTGGGAAAACTGGCTAGCCGTATGTAGAAAACTGAAACTGGACTCCTCTTTACACCTTATACAAAAATTAACTCAAAATGGTATAAGATTTAAACGTAAGACCTAAAACCATAAAAACCTTAGAAGAAAACTTAGGCAATACCATTCAGGACATAGGCATGGGCAAAGACTTCATGACTAAAACACCAAACGCAATTGCAACAAAAGCCAAAATTGACAAATGGGATCTAATTAAGCTAAAGAGCTTCTGCACAGCAAAAGAAACTATCATCAGAGTGAACAGGCAACCTACAGAATGGGAGAAAATTTTTGCAATCAATCCATCTGACAAAGGTCTAATATCCAGAATCTACAAGGAACTTAAATTTACAAGAAGAAAACAAACAACTCCATCAAAAAGTGGGCGAAGTATATGAACAGACACTTCAAAAGAAGACATGTGGCCAACAAACTATGAAGAAAAGCTCATCATCACTAGTTATTGGAGAAATGCAAATCAAAACCACAATGAGGTACCATCTCACACCAGTTAGAATGGTGATCATTAAAAAGTCAGGAAACAACAGTTGCTGGAGAGGATGTGGAGAAATAGGAATGCTTTTACACCATTGGTGGAGTGTAAATTATTTCAACCATTGTGGAAGACAATGTGGCAATTCCTCAAGGATCTAGAACCAGAAATACCATTTGACTCAGCAATCCCATTACTGGATATATACCCAAAGGATTATAAATCATTCTACTATAAAGACACATGCACACGTATGTTAATTTCAGCACTATTCACAATAGCAAAGACTTGGAACCAATCCAAATGCCAATCAGTGTTAGACTGGATAAAGAAGATGTGGCACATATATACCATGGAATACTATGCAACCATAAAAAAGGATGAATTAATGTTCTTTGCAGGGACATGGATGAAGCTGGAAATCATCCTTCTCAGCAAACTAACACAGGAACAGAAAACCAAACACTGCATGTTCTCATTCATAAGTGGGAGTTGAACAATGAGAACATATGGGCACAAGGAGGGGAACATCACACACTGGGGCCTGTTGTGGGGCGAAGGGCAAAGGGGCGGGATAGCATTAGGAGAAATACCTAATGTAGATGACAGGTTGATGGGTGCAGCAAACCACCATGGCACATGTATACCTATGTAATAAACCTGCACGTTCTGCACATGTATCCCAGAACTTAAAGTATAATTTAAAAAAAAAAGGAAAAAAATAGTGCAATTCAGTCCAAGATTACTTTTTTTTTTTTTGAGAGATGGAATCTTGCTCTGTCACCCAGGCTGGAATGCAGTGGCATGATCTTGGCTCACTGCAACCTCCACCTCCCAGGTTCAAGCGACTCTCCTGCGTCAGCTTCCTGAGTAGCTGGGACTACAGGCACACACCCCCACACCCAGCTAATTTTTGTATTTTTAGTAGAGACGGGGTTTCACCATGTTGGCCAGGATGGTCTCGATCTCCTGACCTCGTGATCCACCCGCCTCAGCCTCCCAAAGTGCTGGGATTACAGGTGTGAGCCACCGCGCCTGGCTCCAAGATTACTTTTAACAGGTCAACTCATATTTACAGAATGCTTACACTGTGCTGGACACTGTGTAGGTGTTGGGAACACAGTGGTGAAGAAGACAGATAAGGTTCCCTGTTTTTATGGACCCTTCTAGTGGAAGGGAGACATATTAAAGAAAAATTGTGGGTTTGGTGAGCTTTGTGAAATAAGTGATGTTGAAGAAGAGGTGGATGGTCAAGTGTTCCAAGCAGAGGTGGCAGCATGTTTGGAAGTCCTTAGTGGGAAGTAGTTTGACATCTTCAAAGAACACAGAAAAGTCCAGCATGGCAAGGGAGGGAGGTGGCAATAGTGAAGTTAGAAATGTATGGAATAGGACGGGTGCAGTGGCTTATGCCTATAATCCCAGCACTTTGGGAGGCCAAGGTGAGAGGGTCCCTTGCACCCCGGAGTTTGAGACCAGTCTGGGCAACATGGTGAGACCGTGTCTCTACAAAAAATTAGCTGGGTGTGGTGGCACATGCTTGTAGTCCAGCTGCTTGGGAGGCTGAGTTTGGAGGATCACCTGAGACCGGGGAGGTTGAGGCTGCAGTGAGCCATGATCACTGAACCGCTGCACTCCAGCCTGGATGATAGAGTGAGACCCTGTCTCAAAGAAGAGAAGAGAAAGGGTGGGAGGGAAGCAGGCAGGAAGGAAAGGAAAGAAACAGATCTTATGAGGATCTTGTAAATGATATTAAGGAATTTGTTTTATTGTGGGAGTGATGGGAAGTTGAAGGGTTTAAACAGTGTAATAGGCCGGGCACAGTGGCTCATTTCTATAGCCCCGGCACTTTGGGAGGCCAAGGCAGGCAGATCACTTAAGCCTAGGGGTTTGAAACCAGCTTGGGCAACATGATGAAACCTTGTATCTACAAAAAATATATTAAAAAACATAACCAGGAATGGTGGTGTGTGCCTGTGGTCTCAGCTACTCAGGAAGTGGTTGGATCATTTGAGCCCAGGAGATCAAGGCTGTAGTGAGCCAAGATGGTGCCACTGCACTCCAGCCTGGGTGACAGAGCAAGACCCTGCCTCAAAAATAAAATGAAAATAAAACAGGGCGATAATGCCATTTTCCCTATTCAAAAATTGTAATAGCATCATATTTCTTCCTCCGTCAAGGTCTAAGCTCACCTTGGTGTTGGGAGCTTCCATAATGTGGTCTTGCCCGTTATTCAGTGTGTTTTCTAAGCCTCTGAAAGATGAACTACTCACTAAGTTCAAGCTTGTGTCCTGCCCTTTTTTTTTTTTTTTTTTGGAGATGGAGTCTCGCTCTGTCGCCCGGGCTGGAGTGCAGTGGCACGATCTCGGCTCACTGCAAGCTGCGCCTCCCTGGTTCACGCCATTCTCCTGCTTCAGCCTCCTGTGTAGCTGGGACTACAGGCGCCCACCACTACGCCTGGCTAATTTTTTGCAAATTTAGTAGAGACGGGGTTTCACTGTGTTAGCCAGGATAGGCTCGATCTACTGACCTCCTGATCCACCCGCCTCGGCCTCCCAAAGTGCTGGGATTACAGGCGTGAGCCACCGCGCCCGGCATTTCCTGACTTTTTTAGCATGTTTCCCCAACTAGATCGGCATCTCCTTGAGAGCAGGGACTACACTGTATGCCTATTTTGTGTCCTTCAGAGTGCTAAGCCCATATTCTTCTTGACTTCATAGAGTATGGAAGAGAGGAGATAACATCATGGGATCATTTTTGCCCATCAGTTTTAAAATTAAATCATGGGTATGAGAAACCTCCAAAGTAAATTCTGGGTACCGTTCATATCACACACACAAAATAAAGAACTGTGATTTTGACATCTGTTTTCTAGAACTGTCCTTTAAGAAGCTGTCTTCTTACAGACTCTTAAATGGCATTTCTTTATATTTTATCATTATATGTTGAGGTTCGTAGCAGGAAGCAAGGCTTATTACCTATTTTCATGTTTCACTTGTGAGGAAGAAGTCCTTAATTAAATAATTAGGCTTGAGAATATAGATGTACATAAAAGTACAATTATTAATTTGTGATTACCCTTTCTTCCTGTGGACATTTTTAAAATTAGCAATACTTACTCATTTAAAACATGCTGAGGAACTTCACACTTATTCATGCTTATTGATTCAAACTTATTTAGAATAATTATGCATTCATTCGAAGCTCTTCGTTGTGGTCACCACATTCCCCTTTGGTGCTTGAATTCATCCATAGCATCACAGCAGAAGTACAGGACTTAATAGCTGTCACCTTTCTTTCTTTTTTTTTGAGACAGAATCTTGCTCTGTCGCCCAGGTTGGAGTGCAGTGGCATGATCTTGGCTCACTGCAGCCTCTGCCTCCTGGGTTCCAGTGAGTCTCCTGCCTCAGCCTCCCGAGTAGCCAGGATTACAGGCGCCCGCCAACATGCCTCAGCTAATTTTCCTATGTTTAGTAGAGACAGGGTTTCACCATTTTGGCCAGGCTGGTCTTGAACTCCTGACATCAGGTCATCTGCCCACCTCGGCCTCCCAAAGTGCTGGGATTACAGGCGTGAGCCACTGCACTGTGCTATTGATATCTGTCACCTTTCAATATTGAGTATTGTGACTGTAGGAAGACACTTTGTTTATATAGTAAGTACTTTTCCATGTTGCAATATACCCTTCATATTTATCATGTTTATGGCTGCATATTGGGCAGATTACTTTGCTGAACCATTTCTTCACTATTGAACTTGTTTTTCTCCCCCATTTTGGATTATTTCCTTAAGATAGTCTGTGAAGTGGGATGACAGGGTCAAAAAAACATGAATTTTTTTTTAATGCCTTTCTGCTGTGACCTTGCCTGGCATTGGGTATTATTTTTAAAAAGAAAGAAAAAGCAGTTTTCTTTTTTGTTCATGCAGCATGTCTCAAATGGCACCCCATTGTTTTCTTCCTCTTGGTTTTGGAGCAAAAGGAAGTGATACATATTCTGGCTGGTGTTCCTCTACCCAATTTTTATTTGGTAGCACACTTACAGATGTGTAATGAAAAGTCGAAATATGACTCAAGGGACAGGAATAGGGAGGATAAACCACAGCATACCAAGAAAGGGTACCAGGAGTGAAATTTTATATTTTTATAGATAAATGCAAATGAATTTCAATTAAGGTTGGATGACTTGCCCCAAATCCTAATTAGTTTTCTTTCTTTCTTTCTTTCTTTCTTTCTTTCTTTCTTTCTTTCTTTCTTTCTTTCTTTCTTTCTTTCTTTCTTTCTTTCCTTTCCCTTTCCTTTCCTTCCCTCTTTCTTTTCCTTCCTTCCTTCCTTTTCTTCCTTCCTTCCTTTTCTTTCTTCCTTTTCTTTCTTTCTCTCTCTCTCTCTCCCTCTCTCTCTCTCTCCCCCCCCCTTTCTCTCTCTCTCTCTCTCTCCTTTCTCTCTTCTTTCTTTCTTTTCACGGCGTCTCACTCTATCACCCAGGCTGGAGTGCAGTGGCACGATCTCGGCTCACTGCAACCTCTGCCTCCCAGGTTCAAGTGATTCTCCTGGCTCAGCCTCCAGAGTAGCTGGGATTGCAGGCGCCCACCACCATGCCTGGCTATTTCTTGTATTTTTAGTAGAGACGGGGTTTCAACCATGTTGGCTAGGCTGGTCTTGAACTCCTGACCTCAGGTGATCTGCCCTCCTCAGCCTCCCAAAGTGCTTGGATTGGAGGATAGTGATTTTTTATTTGATTCAGGATTTTGTTTTAGATATCAACAAATGAGTTAAAATCTTAAAGTGAATTAAAATAATATATTTCTATTTTGATATAATGGACTTAAGATCAAAATAATCAATTAAGATCTAACACTTGGGTTTCCTTGTCTTAAAGCCTCAAAGCTGTCTAGTACTATAATAATGGAATTTGTAGTTAATTACAAACTTTGGGCTGGGTGTGGTGGCTCACACCTGTAGTCCCAGCACTTTGAGAGGCCAAGGTGTTCAAGACTTGAGGCCAGGAGTTCAAGACTAGCCTGGCCAGCATGGCAAAACCCTGTCTCTACTAAAAATACAAAAATTAGCTGGGTGTGGTGGCACACACCTGTAGTCCCAGCTACTTGGGAGGCTGAGACAGAATCGCTTGAACCTGGGAGACGGAGGTTGCAGTGAGCTGAGATTGTGCCACTGCACTGCAGCCTGGGTGACAGAGCGAGACTCTGTCTCAAAAAAAAAAAAAAATTGGCTGCCATTGCCATTGGGTAGTAAATTAAATATTTTATACAATGATCTGTATTTTAGGGAAGGAGTTAAAAATGTTTGCATTTAGCTGCAGTCTCTTATTCTAGAGCAGTGGTTCTCAACTGCGGCAATTTGCCCACTACCCCAGGGAACATTTAGCACTGTATAGAGACATTTTTGATTGTCATGACTGGGAGGATACTAATGACATGTAGTGAATAGACATCAGGGACACCACCAAATATCCCACAGTGTGCCGGACAGCTTCCACAACAAAGAATTATCTGGCCTAAAACGTCAATAGTGCTGCTGTCAAGAAATCCTGGTCTAGAGTGAGCCATTTTTGAACCTTACATTTACTTGGGAGTTAATGCTATTTTCAGAATACATTTTTGATCATTTTGAGAGATTATGTCGAGAGTCTGAGACCCTGTACCACCAATCACTGGGCAGTGACTGAAGCCAGTGTGTTACAAAGAGATTTTAAGACCCAGAAGTATTAGCCAAATGAAGAGTGCTTTTCTGTTGGCTTTCTCACTGTCTGTGCTTTGAATATATTTTTATTCATTAAAAGAAGCTAATGAAGTTCAGTATATTTTGGGACAGTCTACTGTGTAATATTTTATCACTAAATTAAAGAAGATTTCATGTTTTCACACAGAACAAGATGAAATATACTGAAGGAAATGTCCAATTATCTTAACACACAAATGTTAGCTATAAGGGGCCTTTTGTGTTTTATTATACCAAGTTGTTGCTAGCTCTACCTTATTAAAATCTTCAGTTTTAAAGGCTGAAAGATCAAAAAGAGATAAAAATGTATTAATGCTGATTGTTAACCAACCAGTAAGTATTTATTAAGCATCTTCTATGGGCTTGGTAACATATTAATTGAGAATAAGGAAACATTAAGATATAATACTATTTTTATTGAGTTGATTATGTGCCAGCTATTTGCACACATTTATCTCACTTAATTTTTACAATTGCCAACTGAAGCCCAGAGAGATTGACTTGTTCACAGTCACTCAGCCAGTAAGTGGTAGAGCCATGATTCATTCAAACCTAGGTTTGTCTGACCTCAAAGCTCATTCTTTCAAAGTACAACTCTCTATGTCCTCCTCAAGAGGCACTTTCTCGAGCTAGAGCCAAACCAACAACTAAAGGGTGCCTCCAAAATCTGCTCTGTAGTCCTCTATTTGACCAAGTGGACTGCTCTTAACTGGGGGAACTAAGACTGGTGCATGTAAAGCAATACAATATCACCCTCAGGAATAAAGGATGACAATAGAATATCTCTGGTCTTTCCCATGCCCCTTCAACCCTTCTTTAAAAAAAACATCCTTTCTGTTTTACTACATGATTCTGGGATACAGGGAGTCAAGGCTAGTGTAACCTCTGGAATAATTCCATTACGTTCTTAATTCCAGTTTATTTTGATCTCAGTTTACATTTATGGACCGAAGAAAGTGGTAGGTTCTGTAGGAGAACAGGACACAGTCATCCCTATTCTCAAGGATACAGAAAACTTCTGGGTCCTGTTCTTTTACTCAGTGCAAGTAGTTATAGACTAACTATGGGCCTTGTGGTGTTCAGTATTCTTCGAGTTTTGAGTATCATACTAAAAAGTTTCAACAGAAAGTCTCCTCTTAAAGAGGTGTTCTATTCCCCCAGAGGTAATCAGAAGCTGCATTCTCTGGCATTCTTGTGTTGTGCATTTCACGTCCTCTGGCATCTCATGACTGGGTTGGTCTCTCTACCTTTTCCTGTCTAACTGCTGCTTGTTTTTTGAGGTCTTTCTGCACAAAGTGGTTTCTGGTCACGTCAGCCCATATTGATATCTTTCCTAGAACAATCAAGGGCAGAATCGGCTTTGACTCCTATCTGCTATTTATTGGGTATGTATTATAAGGCAAGTCACTTCACCTCTTTGAGCCTCCATTTCCTTGTGGAATGCGGAAAATAATAGTACCTGCCTCAGAAAAGCACAACTGAATGTCATCACACATGTGAAGCCTGTAACTCAGAGACAGGCATATAATTTAGTAAAAGCCAATTATTATCATCATCTTCTTGAAATACAAATTTGATTGTCTTATTCTCTGGCTTATGTATCTTCACTGGCTCCCAGTTGCCCACATGGTCAAATCCAAACTTCTTAACTTGGCATGCAATATCTGGCCCCCTTATCTACTCTTGCAGTGTTTTCTCCTATAAAAAAAAAAAAAAATTAGGCCAGGCACGGCGACTCACGCCTGTAATCCCAGCACTTTGGGAGGCCGAGGCGGATCGCCTGAGGTCAGGAGTTCGAGACCAGCCTGGCCAACATGGTGAAACCCCGTCTCTACTAAAAAATACAAAAATTAGCCAGGTGTGGTGGCAGGCGCCTTAATCCCAGCTACATGGGAGGAAGAGGCAGGAGAATTGTTTGAACCTGGGAGGCAGAGGTTGCAGTGAGCTGAGATCAAGCCATTGCACTCGAACCTGGGGGACAAGAGCGAAACTTCTCTCAAAAAAAAAAAAAAAAAAAAAAAAAAAAAAGAGGATCTCACTCTGTCACCCATGCTGGAATGCAGTGGTGCTATCATAGCTCACTGCAGCCTCGAGCTCCTGGGCTCAGATAATCCTCCCACTGCAGCCTCCCAAGTGCCAAGGAGTAGAGAGGCATATATGCCCTCTTTAGTGCTCCCTTAATTGTCTATCTTACACTTTTAATGCTGCAATCCCTCTGTCATGGTTCTTACTGTTCCTTAAAACTGCCAGGGCTTTGAGTGTTTTTTTAGGCCTTTATGGGAACTTTATTCCTCTCTCTGGAATAGTAGTCTCCAATCCTCAAATGTGTCTGAACCCAGCTTTATAGAACTTTACTCTATGATGCCTGCTCCAAAGTCCCACCATTCATTCATTCAGTAAGTACATATTGAACGTCAACTGTGTGCCAGGCTCTGCTGTAGGTACTGGGGTTTTAGTGGTGAGCAAAACTATAAAGGGATAAAAATCCTGATCCTCATGGAGCTTACATTGCTAAGCAGTTAATTTAAATACTTCAGTTTAACAAATATGCATTGTCCACCTACAATGTGCCCAACACTATGCTAAGCACTGGGGGCATAAGATTAAAGACTTAATTCCTAGCCTGAAGGCTATAGTCTTAAGAGAGAAGACCCTTAAATGGGTCATCTCCATGCATGGCAGTGCAGAACCTGATACATTGAAGCCCAGGGTTTTGTGAAAGCACAGAGGAGGGCACTTAGCTCACTTGGGGAGAGTGAAAGAGGGAAGGAAAGACTTTTCTCTAGAAAGTGATAGAGATGTGTCTTATGTTTTGAGGGAAGACTGAATCTTAAAAGTAGAAGGTAAAGTTGACAACTGAGCAAGGCATGGCATATAAATATCTCTAGATAACTTGGGGTTGCTGGAGTTTAAAATTTTAAGGTGTAAACTGGCAGGAACAAGGCCTGAAGGAGTAGGTCATGACCTGACCCTGGGGGGCCTTGTGTGCCAACACTAAGGAGTTGTAATTACTTATTTTATTTTTTAGAGACAGGGTCTCACTCTGTCACCCAGGCTCGAGTGCAGGGGTGCCATCATAGCTCACTGTAACCTTGAACTCCTGGGCTCAAGCGATCCTCCCACCTCCGCCTCCAGAGTAGCTAAGACTACAGGCATGTACCACCATGCCCAGCTAATTAATTTTTTTTTTTTTTTGTAGAGACAGGGTCTTACTATGTTGCTCAGGCTGGTCTCAAACTTCTGGCCTCAAGTAATCCTCCCACCTCAGCTTCACAAAGCACTGGGATTATAGGCAGGAGTCACCACACCTGGCCAGGAGTTGGAATTTTTGCCAGATAAAGCTTGGACGTGCATCAGATTCACTTGCGGCAATTATTTAACATCAACTAAAACCAATAAATCTGATGTCCAGGGACTATCCAAGAGCCTATGGGTCAGAATCCCTGTTGATCTGTATTTCTAATGGCTTAACCAGTTCCTAATACACTCCAGGGCTTGAGTACTTTTGCTATGGGGAAGTGTTTTTTTTTTTTTTTTGAGACAGAGTCTGGCTCTGTCACCCAGGCTGGAGTGCAGTGGCATGATCTCGGCTCACTGCAACCTCCACCTCCCGGGCTCAAGCGATTCTCCTACCTCAGCCTCCCAAGTAGCTGGGACTATAGGCGCTTGCCACCATGCCCAGCTAATTTTTTTGTATTTTTAGTAGAGACAAGGTTTCACCATATTGGCCAGACTGGTCTCGAACTCCCGACCTCAGGTGATTCGCCCGCCTTGGCCTCCCCAAGCGCTAGGATTACAGGCTTGTGCCACCATGCCCGGCCAGGTTTTTAAGGGCATGACAATCAAATTTTGTGGCTTGGAAATATCACAATCACATTGACAGAGTAGAGAATGGATTTGAGAGGAAGACTGGAGGTAGGGAGAGAAGTCAACAAACGGTTAAGTGAGAGATGAAGAGGGAGTGGCTTAATATCCCATGGCTGTGGAGATAGACGGATATGGAGGAGAGGGATTCAAAAGCTATTAAGGAGTTGCAATTTGCAGGACTTGGTAACTGACAAGATGTGGGTGCAAAAGAGGGAGGAGTTAAGGGTGATTTCCAGGTCTCCGACTTTGACCTCTACATCAATAGTGATGTGTAGCACAGCCACCAACTGAGATTATTTTCTACAAGAACCCCTTTTCTATCCCTCACACTACCTGGCAAGTGCCAGGCCCAGAGAAAGTGCTTAGTGAACGCAAAATGAAATGTGGCTAAAGGGAGTCAAGGCCCCCAAGACCCTTATCCCCAAATAAGCTTTCCCTTTATTATTTTGCACAGTGGCTGAAATTCCAGCTTTATGGACAATCTTTTTCCTGCATGTCTTATTCACTGCTGCAAGTTCTTGGAATTTAGTCTCCATGGTGGCTGTGGAAAGACTCTTTAGAAATTTTTTTTGAGATGAGATCTCACTATGTTGCCCAGGCTGGCCCCAGCCTCCCTAGTAGCTAGCACTACGGGTGTGCACCACCACACCCCCACCAAAAGATTTGTTTATGTTGAATAGAAAGTAGTAGACTTTCAAAATGTTTTATTTAACTAGTTTCTTTTTCTTTTTTTAGTGTAGTTATATGACCACATTGGGAAACCCTTAGAAGAAATGTACGTTGGATACCTATCCCAGGATCAGACTGAATTATTTTCATTGTAGAATTGCAATTAGGGAAGGGAAAGGGGAAAAATGGGTTTCTCTGCTTTTCTTGGACTGCCTCATTCAGGATCCTGTGGTTGGATTGTCTTTTGGTTCTGTATCATTATGAAAGGTTCTGAAGCTTAGAAAGAAGCTAGGGCGGCCGGGTGCAGTGGCTCACGCCTGTAATCCCAGCACTTTGGGAGGTCGAGGCGGGTGGATCACGAGGTCAGGAGATCGAGACCATCCTGGCCAACAGGGTGAAACCCCGTCTCTACTAAAAATACAAAAATTAGCCGGGTGTGGTGGCACGTGCCTGTAGTCCCAGCTACTCAGGAGGCTGAGGTAGGAGAATCACTTGAACCCGGGAGGCGGAGGTTGCAGTGAGCTGAGATCATGTCACTGCACTCCAGCCTGGCGAAAGAGGGAGACTCCATCTTAAAGAAAGAAAGAAGCTAGGGCATTTTTAATATTGGTTTAGTGCTTTCTCTGACCTGAAGCAAAAGTAAGCAAAGATATCAGGGTGATAATTCTCCCCGTTTTTGTTTTATCTGCTGTTTTCTACTCTTAAATTGTGATGCAAGCAATTCAGCTGTAGAAAAAAAATTAATCTCTCCAGATCCTTTAAGTTGCTTTTAACTTGTGTGGTTCAGTGGCCCTTTGGTTCAGTGGAAGACGGAAGGAAGGAAGGGAGGGAGGGGCAGACTAGCTGAGAGGGGAGCTTTTTGAAATCTTGACTCTCAGGCTGCATCCCAGATCAATTAAATCAGAATCTCTGGGGGTGTCACCCAGGTGGTAGTATTTAAATCTCCCCAGGTGATTTCAATGTGTGGCCAATGTTGAGAATTATCACACCAATCAGATAAACCCCATGTGATCATAAATTTCAAGCCCCACATCAGAACATTAATAATAGCTATCATTTCTTGAGTGCCTACTCTGACAGGCACTCTAATATATCTTGTCCTTTTTCTCTCAGGAAAAGCCTTAGTTGCATAAGTGGAATTCCTTTTCACATTTGAGAAACAGAGGAGGTAGGTAGCTTGTTCTACATCATATAGCTAAGTGTCTGCTTGACTCCAAAGTCCAGATTGTTTAGCTCAGCTGACTACCAAAATAGTGTGAGGGTTGATGGATTTTTGTGTTTTAGGTAGGAGACAATTGTGTATTTTAGGTAAAGCATCAAAAAGTTGAGAATTCATAAACATTTCAATGGTTTATGGGGAGAATAGGCAGCAAATCAAAATCAGAGATGTTTTTGATTCTGAGACATGTGTTAGCTATACACCTGCCATCTCCTGAACCTTTGAAGTTGGATTCAGAGAAGGAAGCTTAGAGTAAGAATAGGTATTATCATCCCCATTTTCCAGCTGAGAAAACAGAGGCTTGGCAAGATTGTTACTTGCCCAAGATCAGACATCTAGTAAACCAATAGAGTAGATCTGTGTTACTCTATACCCATGGTCTTAATCACTATACCATACTGATTCCTGATGAGCACTGAAGAGTAGAAGGAAGTGGTATGATATATTGGATGGAAAGTTATCCTAAGTTTGGAGTCTGGCAAGGAAAAAGGTACCAACTGCTGCCTAAAACTTTCTGCCATCTCCTTATTGAGTAAGATGTTTTCCTAGATGAATTGTCCTGGGGTGCACCATTAGACTATAGAATCTGGAATTTTCTTTGATTAAGTCATTGAACCATAATATCATCTGAAAAGTTTTTAATAATATGAATGTCAATGAAATCATGTATTAAAGAAAAATTTGCTCATAATTATATCATCCTGAAATATAAAGGTGCCTTCTTTTATGTATGCTCTGCTCTATCTGGTCCACATATTTATGCTTATATTATGTTCACACTGGTATGATACCTGGGAATCATTTAAGGCCTTTTATCACCTGATACCATATTATAAAGATTGCCTTATGCTGCTACATAGTCTTTACATTGGTCATTTTTGTATTATTTCATTGAGCACTCGGGACATAATTTAGCTAATTGCCTATTTTGGTCGCATTTGGTTTGTTTTTAATTTTCTTTATATATATATAATTTTTATAAATCATAGTATTATCACCATTTTGCATGTAATTTTTTGAATATGGGGCCATTTCTTTAGGATAAATCCTTCCAAATGAGATGTTTTTCTCATTTATTTCTTTATTCACTTATTTATTGAGATGGGGCTCGCTATGTTGCCCAGGCTGCATTTGAATTCGTGGGCTCAAGCGATCTCCCGTCGCAGCCTCCTCAGCTGGGACCACAGGCACGTGCCAGTGCACCTGACTCCAAGATGGTTTTAGAGTTTAAATAAAGTTTAAGGCCAGGCACAGTGGCTTATGCCTGTATTCCCAGCACTTGGGGAGGCTGAGGCGGGCAGATCACTTGAGGTCAGGAGTTTGAGACCAGCCTGACCAACATGATGAAACCCTACAAAAAATACAAAAACTAGCTGGGCATGGTGGCAGGCTCCTGTAATCTCAGCTACTCGGGAGGCTGAGGCAGGAGAATCGCTTGAACCCTGGAGGTGGAGGTTTCAGTGAGTTGAGATTATGCCACTGGACTCCAGCCTGGGCGACAGAGTAAGACTGTCTCAAAAAAAAAAGTTTAATAAAATTGTTAAAGTTTAATGATACAAAACTTTGATTTATAAAACTAATATATGCTCTGGATATGCAAATAAACAAGATTATTACCCCCTTTGGCTATGGGTAGTGATAAGGGTTATTTACATTTTCTAAATTGAAGCAAGTTATAAGAAGTTTTTTTGTATCAGAAACTAGGCTTGGACCTCTTTTATTCTTTTTGAAATGGAGAAGTTAAGCTACTAATTTTGTTTTCTTGCTTTGGTTAGAGACCTGCAGAATTCAATCAGATGGATTCTCACACCCGTTTGCAGATGACTGCCTCTGGCCCTGTTGCTCATCCTGTTTGCTCAGCAAGAGAACCTGTTGGTTTTTATTTGATAAATGTACAAATCTTGAGAGTTGGGAGAATCAGTAGCCCACCTCAAAACTGACATGCTTTGTGTTTTTGAGAAAGCTACTTTCATTTGCTATGACGTCTGGCTAACAAAGATCTTTTTCATTTTGTTTCAGAGACAGTTGGATTTTTTTCCTGTTTCTGGTTAATTGCTAAAATCTACAGTGTGCTGAAGGTGGAGTAAAGTATTTCCCCAAAGGATTCCAAGCACATCTCCCTTGCCCTTGAATATCTGTATATCTATATGAACATCAATTGAGATATATATGTGTGTGCCCCTAATTACATAATTTTAAGCATATATATAAAAATGTAAAATCTCATTGTCTGGCCTCAGTTTGTATGACACAAAATACTGATTGTATGGAAGAAAACAGATTGGGAAACAGATTTATTCTATATCATATTTTCCTGAAAAGCTACCTTAAAAAGATTTAAATTAAAGCAATTAGAGCAAGGGAGGCACATTTCTTTAAAAAATTAAAGTTGAGTACCATACTGGTTTTTCAGATGAAATTTTCTTTTCCTTTTTCTCCTTCATATTGCTCAGAGCATCTAATTCCATCAGAACTATTGTCAAATAAATTTTATGTAAAATGTGTATTTTTCTAATGGGAGTTGATTATACAAACTGTATTACACCTTTGTATCTGAGTGATCATTTAAAAATGCATATTGGTTTAGCACATAGAGTTTATGAAATGCCAGATAATGCTCTTATTCCTCAGTGAAATCTGCACATTTCTAGTTGTTGGTGGTCTATTTCTGTTTGCTGTTCCTTGGAGGGGGGCTGAGAATGTTCAAGTTTGACTTAGCTGTGTTTAAGTAATAAATCTTTGGAGTCAATTTTCTCGGGTTTATTTGCTTTGCCTAAACAATAGTCAGGTATCACATCTCCCAAAATGCTGGGAATTTGTATTGCAAGTATTCTACTAGCTTGTAGTTTTGGGAGAGCAGTCATGAAAATCATACATTTTCTACATCAAATTGTATTGATAAATATGGGTCTCATTTAGGAAAATGTTTGAAAAGTGTCTACACATACCCTTCAATTAAGGAATATTCTCAAAGCCATCCTTAAGCTGAGGAGTACTTGTTTGTGTGTGCAGGGATCAAAGGGTTTATGTTGCCCCTGGATGGGAGATTGGAATGAGGAGGGATAGGGTCAGAGAGTTGCATTCTGAAATAGAGTGAAAGGAGGAGAAGGAGTTGACTAGTTACCTCATGGAAGAAGAAAATAATTCACTAGCCAGTAATGTGTCTGTATTGGAAGGGTCAGGGCTACGACTGGTGGCAAATGGGCCTGGGGCCTAGAGCAGCCTGGTGGGGGAGGGAGTGGCTAGAGAAGGCTACAGAAGGTTTCTTGACAGTGGAATTTTTCACCTCCTCTCAACTCTCTCCCAGTCAGTCTCATAACCTAGGGCTGAGCCCTTAGCCCTGCTTGACAGGAGAAACTGCGGTTATGAGGCCCATTGGAGCCAATTCTATTCTCCTCTAAATACTCTGAACTAAGTAGTGGTATATTGAGCTTCAGGGACCTCTTTTCCCACCAGGTTGGCTGCTTGATTGTTTTATCTGAGCTCCCAAGCCCACTTATTTGCATTGATGGTAGTAGTTTGCTAGAAAGGCACATTTATTTCTGCAGCTGGAAAATGTCATTGCCTAGATGGCGTTCATAGATTAAAGTGAAGGCAGCCACCTGCAGGTCTCATGGCAGCCATCTTTGAACATCCTGAAATAGTCAGCATTTAGCTTGATTTTGGAGTGAAAAATGGAGAAGAGCACTTTACTTTGATTGCAATGGGGCTGAATAGCTCCCTGAGCCTCCCAGTGTGGGCCCACGAATACCGCTTTGGAGGCAGGAGGCATGCAGTTCCTCTGCTACCAATGAGTATCAGAAGAGGAGCTACTAGTAGGTCAAGTACTTCGACTCAATAGGAACTAGGGGCTCTTAGGTTTTAGACATATTTGCCTATCTCATCTGTGTACAGTAGTTTCACATGTAATGGTTGCAATAGAGGTATAACCATTTTCTGAAAGGAGGGCTTGAGGGAACGTGCTCTTGCCCTCCTGTTCTATAAACCCTGGTGAGTTGGGGCTGAACCAAGGTGTGTGTGGAAACTAGGCCAGGCTGGGCTGAGTTGCGTGGAGGGAAGTGGCCTGGGCTAGAGTGGTAGGGCAGCAGGGGCTGGAGCCCAGTGGCGGTGACCTGGGTGCTAGGCAGTACTGTTTCCTAAAGACAAAGGCTACTCACTGTCCTCCCCCCATCCCTTGCCCCTAGACTTCATTGTCTTTAGAATAAAGTTGGGCATTTGAGAGTTCCACAAACCATCTGGCCCCAGATTTTCTCTCTGCCCACCCCCTCCCTCCTTTTGAAATCCTTTTCATTCATAGAAGACCAGGCTTATACTCTTCCAGCAAGCCCTTCCTGCTGACCCCTCTCCATCCCTTGCATATTCCTTATATTAGAATACTGGAATATGAAATATTGGAGCCCATATATTTCATTCTACTTTGTAATGCAGTTAGTTGTTCATCCCCTGTCTCCTCCACTCAAGCAAAAGAGAAGGGATGGAGACCAAGGTATCTGTCTCCCTCACTGTTTCCTCAAGGATCTTGGCATAAAAACCAGATACACACATAAAATTTGACTTTATTTAGAATATTTAAGAGGAATATACCAAGGATAGAATAACAGCACCTATTTAAGAAACACAAACATCACTTAATAATACTTAGTTAAATCACAAACATCAATTTCTCCGCATTTCCCAAGCAGGAGTCCGTTATTCCTTTCCAGCAAAAGAAAAAAAAAGGCATTGTAACCATTTTAGAAAGGATCCAATTAAAGCCAACCAATATGTGAAACCTTGGCCTTGGGCAGAATCTCTGGGACTGCTGGCCCATGTAATAGTGTTGATTTATGAATTTGATTGGGGTGTGAGTGGGATTCTCTTCTTGTTGAGGGGAGGAAGATAAAGCCTACCTGTTTTGTGCACCTGAAGGTAAGTCGTGCCAATGGGAACTTGGCCTCAGGACTGTAGTTTGACAATCCTTTGAGAAGGCACTTTTCAATTACAAATTCTTACTGTTTTTAAAGAAAAATGAAACTTTTAAATTCAAACGTTAAAATATTAAAGAGAACTATTTATTGATTAAATACATTTTTCTGTTTTCAGTTTCAAAGCAGCTCACAAAATTTGGTATTAAAGGCAGTTTTAAAAACAATTTAATGAGGGTATATATAGTTTTTTAGTTGTAATATTTTGTTCTGAAAATATAACAAAATCATCTTATAGTTTTCTTTTCTTGTCTGACACAAATTCCATTGATACAGTACTGTAACTATCAAACACCGTAGCTGTGACCCCATAGAGGAGTCCCACTACCTCTCTATCTAGTTAGCCATCCATGCTGTCTCTATCTTGTCTCTCAGACAACCAACCAAAGGGGGAAAAACAGAGCAGCCTTTTTCTGGGTTTTGCTACTGCTTTAGGAGGGCATGGATGGTCACATTATGGATCTGCCAAGCGCGAAACCTGTCAGTTCACGGTCAGGTGTTGGTTGGGTCTTCAGGGTGCAGTATTCTTTTCGTCCTGCTAACTGGACTCTACTTGCCTATCCTGGAGTCCTTCCTTTTTAATGGAGAAGGATGGTCTTCTTTGAGTTTGCATTCTATATATTCAGTGAATAGAAAACAGGCACACCAGTGCCAAGTGTGTTGTGGAAAACTGTCAGCAAGGACTTCAGCCACGATGATTAGTTCACACTAATGACCAATTGTACCAGAATAAGTCCTCACCTGTCATATATCATATTAGGGATTTAAGGAATGAAAGGCAACACTTCCTGCAACCCCACCTTGGCACTATTTTACATATCCTGTAGTATATACTTCAAAAATAAATTTAAAAAACAAATGTACCATGTTCTACATCAGAAACTGACTAAGTTGTAGGTCACACATAGAATTTGGCATGCATTTTATTAACTAACTTTACAAGTACATACTACCTTTGAGGACAACACTATCTACAAACACAATCTAATATCTAGCACCGTATCTCCAAGAACACTTACATTTTATATACAGTTATAGTTTACATTTAGGAGAATTACTACAAAAAATACTACATCACTAAAGATGAAAATACCAAACTTTTAACATTAAAGTTGTAGCACAGATGAAGAGGGGGGAAAATCCACTCACGTTTGAAACATCAAACTAAAACCAATCTTGTTTTTCTCTACATTTTAGAACAAGACAGATAGAATAATTATTCCTCAGACATAGTAAACCTCCTGCTGAGTGTCTAAGTCACTGTGGTTTTCCCTTGGTGTGTGTACTCTGAGATATGGAGGCTTTGGGAGGCAATGATGGAAACACTTGACACCTATTAGCAACCTTCGTTTACCTTGAGGATTCTTATTCTATTTACCAAAGAGCAGTGAACTTGTCAGTGACCTGGCAATCTGTGGCCAGGTTCAGTGGATTTTAGCTTCACTGTTTCTTCCTCTAGCCAGTTTTGTTGCTTAGGGCAAAAGACTGCTGTAAGCAAGCTGGGCATTTGACGTAGAGGAAGAGATCATTGCTAAGTAATTGGAAAGAATTTATGACAAGGATTTCTCTTCTTTTTGGATTTTAGACTATCGCATTTGCTGTTTCCAGCTCATTGCTTCTGTCTCCTCATGCCTTAGCTTAGAGGGGCTTTGAGGGGCCGAGAGCACTAGTCCAGCCCATGGAAAGTAAGAGGAAGAGATAAGGAGGGAGAGGGTTAAAAGCCATTGAGTGGCCAGATTTTCTCTCCTTATCTTGGCCACTGGCTAACAGCTAACTGTTCCTGTAATCTTTTGTCTGGTCTAGAAGGAAACGGCATTTTGCTTAGAGAAACCTCTCCTGACAGCGTGAGGTCTTTCTTAAAGAGGAATACAACAGAAAAGACATTATGAGGGGAAAACACGTTATTTTTTTCCTCAAAATATTGGGCAGGGTGGTTATGAGAGAAAAATACAGTCCAGTAGTTTAAATTGTTGCTCATTGTTTTATCCCAACAACCCATGAGAGTTTTATCTTGAGAGTCCAAATTACCAGATGATGCGTATTTTTTTTCTTCCAAATGATGTGTTTCAGACACTTTTAAAAGCTTTTTTGGCAAAGTCTAAGTAAGCCTAGTTTAATCATGTAAATTATTCTTCAGGTAGTATGAAAAAATCTTCTTGAAGTAACTTTACCTAGCTTAATTGGCTAATTATATATAAAATAAGGCAATGTTAGGCATCTTATAATTCTGTAGGTGAAACATTTTTTAGTGTTCTATTTTTGCTGAAATAATTGGACAGTATCTACAGTATTGACTATTCCCCCAATGATGTGTAATATCGAGTGCTTTTTTGGTAAAAAATTAGGTGCCTACCTTCTACTAAATAATAACTGGCACTTTTCCTTACCTGTTGAATTTGAAGTAGGTATCCCGTCATCTCTAAATTGGATTGGAGTTGGGTAGGAGACAGAAAAATACCTTTCATTGCTCCTATGGCTCACTTCTCTCCTTCCCTGCTTCCATAGGCCCCCAGGTCCCTGTGAATCTGTCAGCTCTGGGTTGGGAAGGGATGGATGGGGAGTAGGTGAACACGCAGAGCTTCAAGCATGGACTATTCCTGAAGGGCCAGTGCAGCAGAGGGAGAGGGAGTGAGGCAGGTGAAGGCAGTGGGCTGATGGCAAGAGGTAGGCAGGGAGCTGGAAGTGCAGAGGCCTTCCAAGCAGCTGGTACTTGTGGTGTCTCAGAGAAGTGGGACCCTAGCATCACAGAAGTCACAGAAGCCCAGGGCTTGCTCCTTATTACTGCCTTCCCAAGCTTGTGGAAATTGGTGTGTTAGTCAAAGCACCTGCGACTTCTTGGCAAACTAGATGCTCTATTATTCGTAAATAAGGAAAATCATTAAATTTAAAATCACATCATTTCATAGTCTGGTTTGTCTGGCCCCTGTACTTTAATGGGATTTTTTTTTTTTTTTTTACTGCACATATGAAGTGGCCTTGGCAAAAGAATACATCCTTTAAAAACATTCAGGGAAAGCTATTGCACATGAGGATCTGTGAGGCTAATGATGACTTTTTTTGTGTGCTTTCAGATTTTCAAATGACAAAACAGTATGTGCAGTAAAACCTCATTAAGTTGATAGTGCTTTATTCAAAATAGCAAAAAATTTCGAGTACTTGCTATCTCCAAGCTAACCATAGGCCTTATTGTTCATTTAGAAGAAAATGTCATCAAAGCAGAATGCTCTTAATTAAAAGGTCCTCTTTTCCAGGCTCATAGTTTCAAAAGGTCTTCACTTTTGAGGAATCCAATTTACCAAAATAATGGACAATGACTAAAATAGGGAAAAGAGGAACTTCAAAAAGGAAAGGGAATCTCAGTGCCCTTGAGAATGTTGTGTGTGCTGTTAAATGGACTTACCATACTTGTACAGGTTCTGGTTCCATTTTGATTTGAGATTTTGGCAAACAATTTTCTCTGATACACTTTGAAGGGGGTGAGCTTTAAAAATAAAACAAGAAGTTCAGTTTTAACACAATGTTTGGAGACATTTATGTTTGAAATCCTGTTTCCTACCCAAGTAAGCATTTCTACTCAAAGGATAGGCTATAGCTACCTTGAACTCCTTTGACAATTTGAACAGACCTGAAGGCACTGCCCCTCCCCTGTAGGAGGATTGATCACATAGGCCATTTCTTCACCCAGATATCCTTTAAGGAAAGGTCAGTTCAAGAGTTTGGCAATAAATTGGTAGAACAAATTTATGACTGTTAATTCACTTTATGCATTTTGGTAGAAAAATAAATGATAGTGTAAGGGTAAACTTTAGCCCCCATGCCTTGTCTGAATAACTACAAGTTCCAAATTAATGGAGTTGGAATTAATAAGGTTATCATGGTATTTTTATTGGATGGGTCAGCTCTATATTATTTGGTTCTATTCCCTCTACTTTCCTAAATTCTGAACATGGCAATCCCAAATTCCCATGCAGAGTTATTCACAGTCCAAATACATTGCTGTTTACCCCTTGAGAAGTTCATGTTGAAATCTGTGAGGAGGAAGAGATAAAAAAAAATAAATGAGCTGGGCATTTATTTAAATGAAACTTGAGTTCTAATAAAGGCATGACAATCACACAAGAATGAGGCTAAACTCTGAAGATGGTCATCTTACATCATACAACTACCTGATTAACCATTTTCAACCAAACACTCCCTCCACCCATATTGACAGTGGATTTCTGCATGAACAGTTGGTTGACTCTGGAGTTGCTTTAACTTGTTCTGTAGGAGGATCAAAAACACTGGCTTGACTGTTTTTTTGGTTCCATGTTACTTGGTCACATACATACGGCCCATGCCCTCAGAAATGTATATGTATATCCCTGCCCAAAGTTATTTTGCGGTTTGGGATTTGAGGAATGTTCCTGTGAATTGACCCTAGGGATAATTTAGATATTGTTAAAGTTTTCCCAACGTGATTTATTTCAACAGCATTAATTAGGATATGTCTGATCTGAATGCTCTGATTTTAGGACTGTTTGGAATAGGTTACATGTTTTCTAGGTATTGTGAAATCATCCTCTTTGTCATTTCTGACTCTCTGATATTTCTCTTTCACATCTGCAGAGAGCTTAAAAGCTTTAAAGAGAGCCACAGGTGGAAAAGACACATGGGTGTGCCTGGAGGAAGAAAAATGTTCATTCTGCCTTCCTTGCTCCCCATGTGGAGATCACATTTATTGTCTATGATCTCATGGACACAAAATATATTTCTGATGAACAAATTATTCCTCAGTGACATCATGAATTTTGTAGGACTTAGGCCACTTCTAGTTGAATTTCTTTTTTTCTGTAAATACTGTTTGACTAAAAAAGGCTTATTTGACAAAAACAAACCAAAAGAAAACAGAAGTGTTGGCAGAGATCTGAAGAATTCCCACCAGCATCTCAATTCAGTCACATAAGGGAAGTTGTAAAATAGTGGCATGATTTCTGCCCCACTATTATTCAAACAGGAGACAGAAAATATTTGTGTCAATTGACAATTTACACTTAATGACCTCAGTTCCAGCCCATGCATAAACCCAAGATTTTATAGGAAAAAAAGTCAACTGTTTAGCTCTCCAGATGTGTGTTATTTCTCAATCTTTTCCCTTGGACTAGCTTCCCATTTCATACATGTCCTTCTACTTTTCTGGATCCCTTTAGGGGATCTAGAAACCTTCTTGAGATTCTAACTGTAGGAGGCCCTTTGTTTTAGTTTGTGTAACAGTCTTTGCACCCGACTGTGGGGCTGTTCAGTTCAGAATTTGGCTCATATGTTGATCAGTCCATTAGGTTCTGTTTCTTGGGCTCCATGAATGATTTGGTCCATTGCCTTTCTTTCAGTTGAACACAAGCTGTAGCTCTGGCCCATGAGCTCCCGACCCGAGGGCCGAAAAGTCCTTAAGTTCACAAGCATCATCTTCCCTTTCCTTCAGAGCTAAAGTTGGCATGTTGTAGCTCTGGAAAAGATAGAATACCAACTACAAGTCCAAAATGGATAGCCCTTGTTGCTTTAAGAAATGTAGAGCCTAATAATCTTTGGGGGGAAAATTTCAGTCAGAATCCTCAAGTCCATGCTTTTACGGAAAGACCCCAGTTCCTGCCTCTTCTATATATTTATCTACCTTGTGGTGAAGAGCATGTGTGTGCAACACCTTTGCCTGAAATGGTATGGTTTGGCATTAATGAATTGTGGGTCCATTGAAAAGAAATCTCCTCTTGTTTCTCGTGTTATGGACAGTTCAAGGTTTGCCTTAGAACTAACTTCAAGGAAAAGTAGCAGAATCGTAGGAAGGGACAATCTTGCCTTCAGTCCCACCCTCTGTTCCGGGCAGGTCTGGGTGGCTATCTTCTTTCGGGGGCTTTTCCTTGCAGAAGAACTTCTTCAGCATGTCCTGGATTTCCTTCTTAATGGTCTTGTGCATGTAGCCATAGACATAGGGGTGGATGCAGCACTGCAGGAAGAAAAGCCAGATGATTATGGTGATCACCCACTGGGGTACCTGGGTTTCGACATCCACCCACACGGCCAGGACTGCTAAAAAGCAGTAGGGCCCCAGGGATAGCACATAGGAGAAAATGATGATGAAGATCACTTTAGCAGCTTTGCACTGGTAGCACCTGGGCAGAGGAGGGTTGCTGTTGCTGTTACGACGACTGGGTGGGAGGCTCTCCGGGATGTTCACTGCCTCGACGTCATCCTCACTGAAATTGATGTCGTCTTCACCAAACTCCATGTCATCTTCACCCAAGTCAATGCTGCACTGGTTGACCTCTGTGCGACCCTTGTCTGCCTTCATGCTGTTCTCCTCAACTTTGGTGCTGCCTTCCTTACCCTCCATGCTGCCGTCGCTGGCCACCGTGCTGCTCTCTCTGACCTCCTCGCTGCCCCTGGCCTCTACACTACTCTCACTGGTCCCCGTGCTTCCTTCCTTGGCCTTCAGGCTGCCGTCCTTGGCTTCCATTCTGCCCTCCTTGGCCTTGACCTCACCTTCATGCTGGCGGCGAAACTCACTCTCATCCTGGAACTCCTCCTTCTTCTCTGCTCCCTCTTCATCCTCATTCTCCACACAGTCCTTGACTCGCACTTCCAAGCTGTGTCTCTTGACATTGTACAGCAGAGCATGCTGCCTCCGGGCTGCACAGAACACCACGGAGTAGCAGGCAATCATGACAATCAGTGGAATGACGATGAAGGACACCACGCTGAGAATAGTGTAGCTGGGGCTGGCCCCCCAGATCATGGAGCAGAGAGCATTGCGCTCATCAAAGGCAGCCTGGCCCCAGCCGTAGAGTGGAGGAGTGCTCTGCAGGATGGCCACAATCCAGGTGCCATAGAGGAGCAGGTAACCGCGGCGCTGGGTCATCTTGGACGGGTAGGAGAGAGGGTGGATGATGGACAAGTAGCGATCCACTGACACCACGACAATGGTGTTGACGCTGGCGAAGGCGAACAGGTGGGTGAGGCTAACCAGGGCCGTGCAGAAGTGGCTGTTGAGGGGCCAGAAGAGAGGCACAGAGGTGGCCACCACCCAGGGGGCCACGAGCGAAATCTGCAGCAGGTCGGTGACGAGGAGGTTAAAGATAAAACGGTTGGTCACCTGCAGCAGCTGCGGCTTGCGCTGCAACACTAGCGCCAGCACTATGTTGCCGACGAAAGAGGCGGCGAGGAAGATAACCAGCACGGTTGAGCGGATGATGCCGTGGGCCAGGCTGATGGGCATTTTGGAGAGGGGCATGCACGTGTGGCTGCTGTTACTCTCGCGCGTGCTGTTGGTGCAGGTGGACGTCATGGCAACAGCCAGAGGGCGTGAGACAGGTTGCAGGCTCAGTGCCGGCACCGGTGGGTGGCAAAGGGGTGCACAGACCGCACTCAGTGCCTATGCTGGTGACAAAAGAAACACGCAGGCAGAGTTAGTCACCCGTCAAGGGGAGAAGCCTCCGCGCCCAGCAAGGACGCTGCAGGACCCCCTACCCCGGGTTTCCGCACGGCTCCATCCCCAGTGCGGGCAGCTTCTATGGCTCCTTTCCGGACTCTCCAGATCTGTCTGCCTGTCTCTCTCCAGGGCTCTGATTTCCTCTCATCTGTTTCTCCTGCTGGCGCGTGCGTGCGTGCGCTTTCTCTGCTTGTCTCTCACACTGTCTCTGGCTCCGGGGAGTTTTGGTCGCTAGCGCTAGCGCATGCGCGTGCGCTCTCTGTTTCTGTCTGTTTACGACCGTCAGTTTCTGTCTCTTCTCCAGTGTCTCTCGCTAGCGCACTTTTTTTCTTTATCTCTCGGGTTGTGTGTCTGTATGTGTCTCACCGTTTCCTGATTCTTTCTCATCCTTGTCTCTCACTTATGTCTGTCTCTGTTTCTCCGTCTCTCGATAGCACGTGCACGCTGTCTCTTTCCTGTTACTCTCATTTATCTCTTCCACTCTGTTTGTCACTCAGTCTCTCTGTGTGTGTCTCTTTCGCTAGCGCACTTTCTCTGCAGGGCTTGCGCTCTCGCTCCCTATCTTTCTCACAGTCTTGCCCGTCTCTCCCTCAGTCTCTTTCTGATCCATTCTGTCTCTCTGTGTCTCTGCCTGTCACTGTGTCGCTCGCTAGTTCATGTGTGTCTCCGTCTTTCCCTAGTGCTCTCTTGTCTCTCCATTTCTCTCTCAGTCTATTTCCCCAGCAGTTCATCTTTGTGGGTCCCTAGCGCACCTGTTCAATGTCGTTCGCTGTGTCTCTGCCCGTCTCCGTGTCTCTCCAACTCTCTTGTTTCTGCGTCTCCCTCGGGTTCTCTGGGTGTCTCCTTCTGTCTCTCACTGGCACGTGTGCGCTTGCTCTGTCTTTCTCGGACCCTCTTGTCTCTGTGTCTCTCCGTGTGGTTTCTGTCTCTCCCTGCCTAAGTTCTCTCTGCATTACTCTGCCTCTCTCTCCATTGATCTCTAACACTCTACTGCTTGTCTCACCTGTCTCTCAAGCTATCTCTTTAGTGTGTGCACTCTCTCGTTGGTTTCTCTGTCCTTCACTTTCCTGTCACCCCAGGACTCTGGCTAAACACTTGCTTTGTATCTTTGAGTGTGTGCGCATCTCTATTTCTCTACATCTTTTTCCCATGGCCCCTCACCTTGGTTTTTCTCTGGCTGGATCTCTGTCTCTTTGGATCTCTGTCTCCCTGTGGACTTTATTTTGCCGTGGAAACCACCTGCCGCCCCGGCCACCGCGGGCTTTGGTTAAAAAACCCTTAGTTTATCAGCAGTGCAATGGAGACTGGAAAATGCAGAGAGGATGCCTATTGAGCTCCCCTACCCTCACCCTCCACAGCCCCATCCCCATTCCCAATTTGGCATCCTCTTTGCTTTCTCCGGATCTGCTTGGTGTCGGTGACAGCCGAGGGGAGTGGGAAAGGAGCTGGGGAGAAAGGCAAAAGAGGCAGGGGTGCAGGGTGGTGGAGAGAGTCAGAAAGGCAGGGCGAGAGAGACTGAGAGGCAGAGAGACAAAAAGGAAATGAGAGACAGCGAAAGAATGAGATACATACAGAGAGACAGAGAGAATGTGAGCAACAGAGAGGGAGAAAGAAAGAAAAAAGAAGAAATGGGAGCGTGAGAGTGAGAGAGAATGAGAGAGCAAGACAGACTGGGAGAGACGCAGACAGAAAAAGCAAAAAATAATAAGAAAAGAGAACAAGCAGAGGAAGAGGGAAAGGATGAGGAAAAAACGAGAGAATGGAGAGGAAGGGGGAAAAGAACGCACGAGAAAAAGTGAGAGAGAAAACGCGAGGGCGGGAGGATGGCTAGGGAAAGGCGAGAAGGGGCCGCACCGCGGGCCACCGCGCCTGGTAGCTCAGCAGCCGTCGGGACGCTTCAGAGGGGGCGTCGTGGGCTCCCAGGCTCGGGGCCCTGCCGGGTGCTGGGGGCCACGGAGCCCGGAGTAGGGCCGGGCTGCTTACCTGTTGCTGCTGCAGACGTGGCGTCGCGGGCGCCGCGTGCAGGTCCTTCGGGGCTCCTCGCGCTCGTCCCGGCCGCCTCTCGGGGCTCGGGCGGCTGCGAGCTGGCACGGGGCAGCGGGCGCTGCGGGCGCGGCAGGAGCGGGGCACAGCGTCTGTGCCCGCACGTCCGGCCAGCGCGCCGCGCTGCAAGCTCTGAGAGGCAGCGGGGGCGCGCGGCGTCTTAAGGCAGCGCGGTGCCCTCACCTTGCGGTGCCGCCCTCCCCTCGGCCCCCGCCTGCGCCCGTGACGCACGAGGCCGCCGCAGCCCAGGGAGCGGGGCTGGCAGGTGGGGGGCCGTGCACCAGACCCCACTCAGATTTTCTCACTCCGGGTTCCCACCCCTGGGGCCCCGAGTCCACCGAGAGCTCACAGACTGGGGATTGTCACCGGGGCTGATTTTCGTGCAAACCCCGTGCCTTCCTAGCCCCCTGATTTCGGGCCAGCTCCCAGGCACAGACCCTGCACTATCCTTCCGATTCTTCCAAATAGGAGGGCCCGGGACTCCCCTCGACTTCTGAAAACCCTCCAAAGTATGAATAGCCCCTGAGCCCGAGAAAGGAATCGTGACTTTAATGTCAACGATTTTCCACGAATTTCTCTAGCTCCCAGGAAGAGCTAAGCGGCAGTGCTTTCCCTGTGGGATTTGGAAGCATTTCATTTAAGACAAGCCACATAATTACCCACTATATTCTTTGATTGAAGTATGTCTGTCTGTAAGTCAGTCAGCATCTCTCCCTCTCTCCCTCTTTCTCCCCCTCTCTCTGCCAGGTACTGTGTTAAACTGTTTACACAGAGAATACCGCTGAATCTTTACCCCAGCCTTGTGAGATAAGTACCGCTATTATCTTCATTTTATAGAGACAGAAGCAGAAGCCAAGAAAGATTACCCTACTTGCCTAAGTTCAAGTAAATATTGCACACGTTCTATTAGCCAAGACATTCTGGTCTCTCCTAAACACATACTGGGTATTTGTTGTATATCAGGACTGAGGAGGCCCCCTCTTCCCTGCCCCCAGAAGGTAGGGAAGGTGACCCAGACCAGGGATCATTTGCATTAGATTTCCAAGGGATTAGGAGGTGTTTTCTAGGCAGGGCACAAGGGGAAATGTGTTCTGTAAAAAGAAGATGCATGGGGTAAAACTAGGGCTGCAAGAGAGACTTGAGTTCCAAAGGCTGGGAAAACAGGCTGCAGCATGGTGAGTGCCAGGAGGTTAGCTGGTTAAACTGGGTAGAGACAAATCCTGAGGGGTCTTGAATGCCAGTCTGCAGACTTCGGACTTTACCCTGAGATCCCTGGAGGTCGTCGGAGAGTCGTTTTATTATGAAAGACTTCAAGCATACACAAACGTAATGAGAATAATAAAATAATCCTCCATGTTCCTATTACCCAGCCTTCACAAGGGTAAATAATTTGCCATTCTTGTTCATTGGTGGGTTTTAGGTAGGGCGATATTCTAAAATCAGGGCTGGTGTTGGATGGAGAAAGCTGAAGGGAGGCTGTGGCAGGAGACAAAGAGGGTCTTGACAGGTCCAACAGAGCGGGGCAAGCAGAGACCTACAGAGAGGCAAATTGACAGGGAATAAGGGCAAGGAGGTGTTGGGGAGGGTCTAGAATGAGCACAGGGTTTGGAGTTGGTTGATGGGCTGGATGGAGATACCTCCTCCCCTTCTCGTCACCTGCCTCTGAGACAGGGAGATGAGACAGGTGTATAATCGGGCCTCAAGAATGCTCTTTGGATCTGGAGTCCTGCATTTGCTCTTAGATCATTTGTCCTTTTTCTGCTATGCCTGATTTTATCTCCCCAAGGTTGAATGGTAAAAACCTGGTCATTTTTCCTAGAGACAGTTTCCGTGATAATCACTCACAGTTATTATTAATTCCTAGCTTCGTGCTGGCCATGGTACAGAATCCTGGGTGGCATGCACTGTCAAGCGGTAGTTTGTTCAGACTCAATGATTTTACAATCACTTGGGAGGCAGTGAAGCTGCTAGAAGTGGCCAGAGACAAAGGCCAGTCTTTCTTGACCTTTCCTATTTTTATTGTGGTTGTGACCATGCCCGAGACTGCTAGGTTCCAGCAGGGGACCCTCTAGACACATGTTAAAGATTGGTGCCTCAGAGGGATGGGCTCATGGAGTCTGCAGCTGCACTTTTGGGCACGAAGGGGGATAATAGGGAGTGGAAGGGGTTGGGTGGGATGAGGCCTCTGCAACTGAGACAAGCCTGCCAGCCGGAGATAGGAAAAAAGCCAGAGAAGTGCTAGGAAATAAATACCAGCTATTTTTCTGTATAGGGAGATGTTTGAGGGTGGTTAATCCTCCGGTGTCTTCTCTTTCCCTCCAGATGTGAGCAGAGTAGGTATTCTTGGATTTCAAAGACATCCAAATATCAGTTCCCCAACTGGAAGTATGTGGTGGAGCTTTGGGGAATGTGGATTTGGCTTCCAGCCCTGCAGGCTCTGATTCTGATAGCCTTGAAGGAGCCCTTCAACTGACAAGCCTCATTACATTCTGGGGAGAGTCTTTGGGATGAAACAGGGAGACTTTGGGATGATGGCTTAAGAAGTCACCTAGTCCTTTTCCCTACCTTCATAATTCAGTAGCAGCAGAGGCACGATCAAGCTGATGATATTAATGGACCAGGACTAGAGGGCAAGAAGCTACCAACAAGAAAGGGCCCAAGGTCCCATTGACAATCACACGTTGCAACACTGGTCAGTAGTGTGCCGGCCTCAGGCTTGTTCACCTTGTCAGACTAATTGCCCCAATTGCTGTACCAATAGCTAGATGAGGGAAGTTGGGAAACCCAAGACTCAGCCAAGTATTAGTTCTAGTCATTCATTCTAGTAATAAACGGTGCAAGAGTCCTTGAGTGCCTACTTTATGCTTGCTGTCTTGTATTAAATCCTTGAGGAAGCTCTGCAAGTTAGGAAACAATACCGTATTTTCTGAAAGCATGACACAGTACATACCACTAGGAAATGGAAAAATGCTGAACATTTAACCATCATACCATGGCTAACAAGATACATCTTGATTTCAAAGATGCTAGAATGTGAAAAAAAATGTGCTTTAGAATCAATGTAAGACAGTATCATCCCTGTCTTTACAGAGGGGTTAAGTAACTTATCCAAGGTCACACAGCAAATAAGTTTTGGAGCTGAGAGTTAAAGCCTACTCTAACTCCAAAGCAGGGGCATTTCCTAGGCTACATCAAGGAAGAGTGCAGAGACAAGACAGAAGGGCTCCCAGACCCAGCTCAGATAAAATTTTTGAATCTAGGTGAAAGGGGACTAGGAGTTGCTAGAATTGTGAAAAGACAAGTGCATTTGCAGTGGTAATGGTTTCTTTTTGTAGGACAGACACATGGTTCCCATAGGTGGTAAAAAGACTAAATCAGTCAATCTAAGTTCTAAGTCACACTCCTTTTTGCTTAGCGAGTTCATAATAAGTCGATGGGGAAAAATATATGGTTTTGTTCTGGAGTGCCTACCCATGGGGGTGTTTTACATTTTTCAGTGTTATGTGTTACTCTGGAATTCACTTCAGGCCAACTCCTAGAAGCTGTGTTTGCAAAACTGAAACAAAATCAAGTACCACCTGGGTGTGAGCTAATATTGCACATTCTGTGGGTTTGGGCAGTACAGAAGTTCTGGATTTCAAAGCTATGTCTATCCAAATAAACTAATTTGGAAGAGAAAATCAGCAGAAAATAACTTGATGGATTAAAACTAGAGAGCAGAAGACTTGAATTCTAGCCCTAATTCTGTGGCTAACTTGCATGTAACTTTGGGAAGATCCCCTTCCTCTCTCTGATCTCACTTCTGTAATCCACCAAATGAATGTGTGTGTGTGTGGTGGGGCTAGGGGTTGGATGTTAGGTAGTCTCTAAGGATCCTGTCAGTCTATGACCTTTGATGCCATCTACTTTCTATCTGAGTGTTATTTTTAAAAACCCAAAACTAATCTGACCCAAATATTAAAAAAATTGAAAGCTGGACTCTGCTTCTGGCCATGAAAGAATAAGAGACAGGATTTACCCTTTTATCTTAAACAACTAAAAAAGTGGACAACATACATAAAATAATAGTTGTTAGACATTGGAAAATAGACAGTACAGCACAGTGATCTTCAAGAAAAGAGAAACAAATGAGGTGAGCCCTACAATTGCCTCCGTTTACTACCTAGAGAGAATTTCCAGTCCTCTGTGCAGGAAGAAAGAATCCAGGCTGAGCCTGGAAGTCCGCCTAAATTTAGGAGACAAAGTTCAGAATTCAAGGAGGTGAGGGTGGGCAGAATTTGCAGAGCAAGGTGCCAGAGGGGCACTGCACAGAAAGAGTACTCCGGAACTCTGTAAAAGATTTCCCTCAAGGCTGAATACTGATCAGCACATGCATGTAAAGTATGCAAGGTTGGGATAGAACCACTCAAAAGGAGTAGGAGGAGTGATTTGTAGAGCTCACACAAGACTGGGAATAGCTCAGTTTCCCAGTAGTCAGAGAGAAGAGACTTCATAAGATACAGTGCATCAGACTAAGTGCTCAGAGGAGGATTGCCTCAGTAGTGGAGCCAAACTAGCCTTAGTGTCAAGTATGCTCTGATCCCACATATGAAAGCTTAAAAACAGGCCCCGGTGTGTGATGTTCCCCTTCCTGTTGTGGGGTGGGGGGAGGGGGGAGGGATAGCATTAGGAGATATACCTAATGTTAAATGACGAGTTAATGGGTGCAGCACACCAACATGGCACATGTATACATATGTAACAAACCTGCACGTTGTGCACATGTACCCTAAAACTTAAAGTATAATAAAAAAAAGAAAGCTTAAAAACAAGTTTTGAAAATATCAAACTGTTTGCAAGTGGCTTTACTGCACCGAGAGCAAGATTCAACAATAAGTAAAGGAATACAATAATATTTAAAGGAGCACCCAATAAGCTAAAATTTGCAAAATGTGAAATCCAATAAAAGATTATAAGGCATGCAAGGTAAGAAAATATACTCCTAATGAGAAGAGAAATTTTTAAATAGAAACAGACCCAGATGATAGAATTAGTAAACATGGATATTAAAATGGCTTTTAAAATATAATTCATATGTTCAAGAATGTAGAGGAAAGTATGGGCATGTAAAAGCGAGACATGGAAAATATAAAAATATAAAACAGACTCAAATCTTACTTCTAGAGGTAAAAAAATACGTTTGGTATAGAAAATACACTGAATGACATTATTAGCATGCTAGACACTGCAGAAGAGATTAGTGAACTTGAAGACACAGTAATAGAAACTGTGCAAAATGAAACAGAAAGAACAAAGATAGAAGTAAATAAGAAGAGCAACAGTGAGCTGTGGGATAACTTGAAGTATCCTAATATATGTTAATTGGAGTCCCAGAAATAAGTAGGGAGGCAGAAACATTATTTGAGGAAACAATGACTGAAACATTTCCAAATGTAATGGGAATATAAACCCACAAATTCAAAAACCTCAACAAAACTCAAGCAAAAGAAATATGAAGAAAACCATGCCAGGCCACATCGTAATGCTTGTAGTTTCTTTGTAAATCCTCACTATATTTTTGGCAAGGATTTGGAGAAACTATAACTCTCATACACTGATTTTTGAAATGGAAAATAGTATAACCACACTAAAAAAGTTTGGCCAGTTTTAAAAAGTGGTAATCATCTACCTACCATATGACTCTGTCCATGTGAAGATGTACATGAATGTTTATAACACTTTCATTTGTAACAGATAAAAACTAGAAATCAGCCTAATGTCCATCGACAAGTGAATGGAATATCCATACATTGGGATAATATTCAGCCAAAAAAGACAATAAGTTATTGATGTACACAAGAAGGATGAATCTCAAAATAATTATGCAGAATGAGAGAAACTAGACAAAAAAGAGTACATACTGTATGATTCCATTTATGTAAAATTACAGAAATTCAAACTAATCTAATGTGACATAAGGCAAATCAGTAGTTGCCTTGAGATGAGCGAAAAGAGAGCGGGAGGAAGATAAATTACAGAGGGTCATAAAGAATCTTCTTGGGGTGATAAAAGTGTTCATTATCTTGATTGGGATGATGGCTTTTTTGGTTTATACCTATTTCAAAACTCATCAAACTGCACTCTTTAGATGTGTGCAGTTTTATCTACTTTTCTTAAACCCAAATAAAACTGTAAGAAAATAATCACTGGGGGAAAAAAAAATCCCAAAGCCAATGATTTACATGTCCAGGATCCTGTTCCTGGTATTAGAACACTGGCTTTTCCGTGAGAGGACCATAGGCCACCGATCACATCTGTCTTGGCTCTCATCAGTCTACTCTGCGTTCCAGCACAGTACTATTGTGTTGTAGTAATCAGCATCCTTTTTCCATTTTCATTCTGTGATGGGAACGCAATGTGAGCTCATCTCAAGTACTTGCAAAATTTTGGTCATTACCTCATGGCAGATAATAGCTCCCAGTTACTCAATATTTACCCTTCACCTAGTACCTGACCTCTCCCTGCTCATTTAATGACTGCTGTGAGATAGATGCTCTCATCGTTAGCCTTGTTTTATGAATGGGGAACCAAGGATCAGAATGGAGTAATGGTTTACATAGAGCCACTCAGGAACACAGAAGGCTAGATTTTGAAGTTAGGACTGACATTGACTTTAAAGTTTGGATGCTTAGCCGCTACTCTATTTTGCTTTCCTATCGTAGGGAATTTATTTATTTATTTATTTATTTATTTATTTATTTATTTATTTATTTTCGAGAAAAAGTTTTGCTCTTGCTGCCCAGGCTGGAGTGCAATGGCACGATCTCGGCTCACTACAACCTCCACCTCCTAGGTTCAAGCGATTCTCCTGCCTCAGCCACCCGAGTAGGTGGGATTACAGGTGCCCACCATCACGCCCAGCTAATTTTTTGTATTTTTAGTAGAGACAGCGTTTCGCCATGTTGACCAGACTGGTCTCGAACTCCTGACCTCAGGTGATCTGCCCGCCTTGGCCTCCCAAAGTGCTGGGATTACTGGCATGAGCCACCGCGCCCAGCCAAATTTGTTGTATTTTTAAATGTATCCCTGGAAAGGAATTTTATACTCCTTGTCTCATCTCATTCTCCAACAATTTTGAGAGGTGGTTAATGTTAATATTCCTTATTTTATAGATGAGAAAACTTTGGTTAGATAAGCTAAATAATTTGCTCAAAGCCACCCCAATAGTGTGTGGTTGACTTCAGAGCCCACTCTTTGTAGCTGCTTTGCTTACTGTCACCTCCAGGTCCATGGCAAGAAAGCCTTAAACGCGCTCATCTCAGAACTATGCTTGATCTTCTCCCATCTAGTTGCCCAGAGGCTCAAGAATTTCACAACATAACTTTGGTGTGGTATCAGGTGCTGGGAGCATTGGAATGGCCTACCTTGTTCTACAACATATATTTCTTGAATGGAGGGATTGGATGGTTAGAACTGACATATTGCTAATCAGTATTAATTATTCAAAGTATCAAACACTGCAAACCTCCCATGGCTCTGTGTTAAATATCAGGGACTACAGGGTTTTAGAAGGCTCATTTATATATTGTTTGTCATTGAGTTAGGATGTTCGGAAGTTTGACTTCATAAAACAGTACAAGAACTGAGATTGATGGCAGTTACGAATCAGGAGAGTGCCCTGGAGCCAGTGAGTTAACCAGAGAAAGGTGATTCATCAAGTGTGCTCAGGTGCTTTGCTTGAACTGTTGGTATTGTTTGTTGGCTGTAGAGATCTTGCCAAAATGCCTCAAAATGGAGACTACGGAAAATAGGATTATGTTTCCACATTTAGGCAAATATTTCTGCCATGCTCAGATATTAGCATTAGAGGTGGAAAAATCAATCTGTCTAAGCCAAACTAGAATGGCCACATAAGTTTTGAGTTTTTGCTCAGAGGAATGCAAAGGGTGAATTGTGAATAGTGCTGCTTTGAACATTCATATATAAGTTTTTGCACTTTTCTAGAAGATACTCATGTGAAATTCTTCAGAAAGACTGGTCTGTGGTCACAGCAGCATTGTGCCTGGAGACGGTCCATACCAGTTGGTGAGAGCTGATTGTTACATTTTCAGGAATTTTGCAAGCAATTGTTAAAATGTGAATGATATAAAATTGTAGTTAAATAAATTACATTAAAAGAAGGTAATAAATACTCAAAACATATCACTTCTTAATATTTTTATCGCCTTTTATTACTATGTGTGATCTTGTGGTGCAAATAATCTACAACAGTGAGCTTCTACATATTTCTTCCCAGCTCCACGTTCACCAATAGCACATTGGTTGCTTGACATTGGCCATGGGAATATTTTCACCATGAAAAGCATCCAACACTACAAGTCAGGACTTTTTGTCATCTGAGAGTCAGATGTTAAACATTTACCAACACATCGCTGTCTGTAGAGCACTTTATTTTTGTTTATATACAGTATTGAGACATCATCCACATGCCATACAATTCATCCCTTTAAACTGTACAATTCAACTGACTTTAGTATAATTACAGATAGGTGGAATCATCACTAAAGTCAATTTTAGAACATTTTCACAATCTCAAAAAGAAACTCCTTACCCTTCAGCTAATGGTCCCCTATCATCCCACACCCATCAGCCCCCAGCAATCACTTATCCTTTCTGTCTCCATGGATTTTCTTTTTCTGGCCATTTTATAGAAATGGAACCACACAGCATGTGGTCCCTTATTCCTTACTTTATTACTCTATTTTTTATTTTTTTGAGACAGTGTCTCACTGTCGCCCAGGCTGGAGTGCAGTGGTGCGGTCTCAGCTCACCACAAGCACCGTCTCCTGGGTTCAAAAGATCCTCCTACCTCAGCTTCCTGAGTAGCTGGGATTATAGGTGTGTGCTGCCATGCCCGGCTAATTTTTTTTTTTTGTTTTTTTTTTTTTTTTGTAGAGACGGGATTTCGCTATGATTCCCCAGGCCAGTCTCGAACTTCTGAGCTCAAATCGATCTGCCTGCCTCAGCCTCCCAAAATGCTAGGATTATAGGCCTGAGCCACCGCGCCTGGCCTCATTGTACAGATATGCCTCCTTTTGCTTATGTATTCATCAATTGATGAACATTTGGGATGTTTCTACCTTTTGGCTATTGCGAATGGTGCTGCTTTGAACATTCATATATGAATTTTTGCTTGAACACCTGTTTTCAATTCTTCTGAGTATATGCCTAAGAGTGGAATTGCTTGCTCATATGGTGATTCTGTTTAACTGATTGAGGATCTGCCAAATTGTTTCCCACATTTTATATGCCCACCTGCAATGTATGGGGGTTCCAACTTCTCCACAGCCTCACCAACACTTGTTGGTTTCCACTTTTTAATATTATAGCCATCCTAATGGATGTGTAGTGGAGTCATATTGTGGTTTTGATTTTCATTTCCATACTGACCAATGATGTCAAGCATTTTTTCATGTGTGTGTTGCCATTTGTGCATCTTCTCTGGAGAAATATCTATTCAGATCCTTTGGTAGAGCACTTTAAAAATATTTCTCATCCTCATAGCAACCTCGCAAAGTGTGTGTCCTGATTCCCATCTTACAGTTGACGCAACTGAGACTCAGAGGTGAAGACACTTGCTTAACTTGTACATAGCTAGAAAAGGAGCTGGGATTTGAATATATCTGACATGGCAACCCATGATCCCTCCATTACGTCCACTGTTTCCAAGACCCTTGGTCTGTCTGCTGATGCTTAAAGGCTGATAATCTCATCCAGGGACTGTGGTCTTGAACAAAGTGTTCTGGCCTGGGTTCTAATCCTGGTTCTGGCTCTAGATCTTCATATCCTCATCTCTCAAGGGAGGAGTCTGAGCTGGATGACCTCTATATTACTCAGTTGATCTAATAGCAAAATTTGCCCTTTCATTTTTTGATGCAGATGTCCTGAGGATTTGTACAAAGGAGGCTTGATTGCTTGGTGTGTTATTTTGAATGGTTAATGGGATTCTTTTTCTCAGTGCGTTATGTTACACTTGCCTACACTGATGCTCACCTGCTACTTTCCAGCCCACTCACACAGCTTCTCAGCATCTTCCTGCAGTTTAATCTAAAGAGCTTAACATGCTACTACCCAGAAAGGTTGGGTGTTGCCTGGAAACCTGAAGTTTTTACTAGACTTATTCTCTTCCACATAATTTTTGAGTAAGTCAAATAAGACATATCTCTCCACCAGTCTTTGATGGGAGGCCATAGTGTCTACACTTCTCTCCCTAGAGAAGATCAGGTTTATTCCTCTGTTCCCTGTCCCTATGCCTGTTGCTTATTCATGATACAACCACACCTCAATCCCATAGTGATTTGGCACTATGTTTTCATGGTCCCTTTTTTATTTATGTGTGTTTTCACCATTTAAAACTTTTTGATAGATAGGTCATGCATGACTACCACTTGTGTAAAATGTTGTCCAAGTGGTCATTGAGCCCATCTTTTGTTACAAAAATCACGTGTTTGCAAGCATGTACCCTAGAGTCTCTTTAGAAACCTATCTTATGAATGGAACTCATATTGGCAAGGTTCCAGTCTTTGTCATGTGGGCCCTCGGTAAGGACAAGCTGTATCTATTGACCTAGTTTCATGAGAATATTTTAGCCCTCAGTCTTAGTGAAGGGTGCATATTTAGGCTATTCTTTAGGCCTTGGACATCCACAGCATTTGCCCCTATCTGGTTCAGTGCATGGACAATTTCAATGAGCTGTGAGAAATGGACATCCCAGTGATATCCAGTTTGGTATCCATTCACTTCCTGGCCTGCCAAGCAGAGCCGCTTTCCCAGCTGTTGATTTTTCCCACTGATGGATTGTCTTGCTGGCATTCTCCCTAGACTACCTCAATGGGCTCTAAGCTTTGGCTTTCAGGTACCTTGCCTGGTTCTTCTCCAGTTCCATTGGTGTTCCCTGATTTTTAGTTTGCCTCTGACTTTCTATTTGTGGGGAGTGTCTATGTTCCCTCTGCTTGAGCTCCTTTCACACTGCTCATCTGTCTCACTTGGCTATTTAGTTGCTCAAACATGATTGTTTCCACGTTTCTGGGATTTTGGACTCTCGGCATACCCTGGATTGTCTATAAGATGTTTTTTTAAAACTGTCTACAGGCCTCTTGTGGTTATTGACTCGTTTGTTTAACTCTTTCTTTCAAATTCTTTCCTAATGTTTACATTTGGTCAAGGTTCTATTTGCTAGAATGAAGTAAATAAGCATGTGGTGGATTTCTTTGGCTTTCCCTTTCCCACTGGGTTGCTGGCCCTGGTTGTGCTGGGATCAGCATTTTTGAGGACTTTATTCACAATTAACCTGATGAGTACTGATCATAGGCCTCCATATTCCATAGGAGCCCAGGAAGAGGATGGATAAAGCCAGTGGGTGCTTTGAGATCATCTATGGTGTTCGAGAATCTGGCTTTTAGCCTGTCTCAGTCACTGCCTTAGTCAGTTTAGGCTACTATTGAAAAGCACCATAGACTGGGAGACTTATAAGCAACAGAAATCCATCTCTCACAGTTCTGGAGGCTAGAAGTCTGAGATCCCAGTGCCAGCATGGCAGAGCTCTGGGGAGGATTCTCTTCTGGGTTGCAGACCTCTGTCTTCTTTTTGTATCCTTACATGGTGGGAAGAGAGATAGAGAGCTTTCTGGGGTCTCTTTTATAAGAACACTAAACCTATTCATGAGGGCCTAACCCTCATGATCTAATGACCTCCAAATGACCTCCTAATGACCTTCTCATACCATCACATTGGGGATTAGGATTTCAACACATGAACTTCGGGGAAACACAAACATTCAGTCTGTACGATAGAAGGTAGGTCCTTTTCCTTCTCTGGATTCAATTCAGTTTCCTCATTTTAATGAAGGATCTGGCTTACGGGAGGGATGGGGATGTAGAAATGTGGTCTCAGTGGTTCGGTGTGCATCACCGCCTTGTTAATGTTCATTATTGCCCATAAGTAAGGAGTTAGATTCAGATTGACTCAGCCCTCGGCAACATTTTTGAACCCCTCCAGTATCTGAAACCTGAGCTCTGGATTCATATCTGGGTTGGTGCCTGGGACTATCTGGCTGTGGAGAAAAGGGTCCTAAAGTTCCCAGTTCCACCACGCCAGCCCTGTACTCTGGCTCTCTAACTTTTTCCACAATGCGCTGGGAAGCACTGCTGACCAAGCTTAGAGTTTCTTGAGAATAGTGATTTTTGCCTTTTTAGTTTATGTTTGGATTAGGGACTTTTTTGGGAAGATGATACAAGCTAGGAACTCTAACTATAGAAAAGTGGGCATAGCATACGTGCATGCGGATGCACACACACACACACACACACTCAATTGCAAGGGGTTCATGGACCTATGAAGGCAATCCATAGAGTCTGGAGTCCAGGGACGCTGGTTAGAAACCCTTGCTCTAGAAGATGGCTCCTAGCCTGTGCTGATCTCAGTGGCCTCCCCAGCAGCTTGGTTATACTCTGACTTCATGGACTAGAACAAGTGTGGTTGATCAACAAACCACCAGAATTGATCCAGAGCCTTGATTGTTTCTGGAAGGAGCCATTGGCTTTTGGACACTAATTCTATAGCTGAAAAGTTATACTAAGCCATACCAACAATTAAAAAGGAGAGGGAATGAGGGCCAAACGAGCAGATTCTCACAGCCTCTCAGGCCAAGGAGCTTTCTCTGGTGGAAGGATTCCTGGTGGACATGGAATGGCTGGCAAGTGCTTCTGTCATTGGCAAATTGGAAGGAGATTCCACTGCTTTCTATTATAACCCCCAAAATCTATTTAAAAACAGCCAAGTGAACAGTAAGATAAATGCTTATTTGAGGGGGAAGTATGTTGAAATGCAAAGTGGCAGTCTGAATAAGGGTGAAATGAATAGACTTAGAAAGCCAGTGGCCTACAAAAGAAGTGAGCCTAAGAAAAAATAAATAATAGAGGAGAGGGAATGTTCTTAGGGGGAACCTCTCTTGCCCTGGTATCTTATTTCTTGATGGAGATGTCATGATTTCCTGTGGGTGCCATGGAGCTGTGGGAGAAATGTGAGAGGGATGTTGGGATCCAGAGAGTGGAAATTTGAAGGAGTGGGCAAAAAGCACTGAGGTGTTGTGTGGTGTAGGCAGATCATCTTTAATATAACTGGGCTTGGTCCATTTTGCAACAGAATGTCCTTTCTAAAGGCTAAGCTGAGTTGACTGCTGGATGGACACACCACCTTGAACAATTATGGAGAGTGACGATCTAAGACATGGAGCTTGTGAAAGAGCTTTGGCTAGTCTGGTACCATTAGAGAAAAGCTCCTTTGGAGACAGTAGGCAGAGGAAGAGGGGGGTCAGCTAATTGAAATTAATTGTGTCAGCCTTGGGCATCTACTTGGCATCATGAATTTACTCTTGGTATTGGCCCATCCCAAGAGCAGGAGTGACAGCTGTAGTGTAATTGTGACAGGAGGAGTCCTACTTTTCCAGTCATGTATTCAGGTGGGACACACCAATGGGGCTTGGAGGCTGAATAGCTTTCTTTGCTCAGATGTAGCTCTTTCCTTGCCTAGGGCAACATGCTGTTTCTGTGGGTGGCTGTGGATGCGCTCGTGGGGAAATAACCCCAGGAACGGTTTAATATCAATCACTTCGGAGGTGGCGGGGGTGAACTGCTGCTAATGATCCACTCACTATCACTTACTTGCCACTCCACAAGTAGGCAGACTCAGGTCTGCTCCTTTTGAAGTTTTTGTTTTTTAAAAAATTATATGGTTTTTTTTTTCTTTTTATGAGATGGGATCTCGCTATGTTGGTCAGGTTGGTCTTGAACTCCTGGCCTCAAGCAGTCCTCCCGCCTTGGCCTCTCAAAGTGCTAGGATTGCAGGTGTGAGCCACCATGCTCAGCCTAGAAGTTTTTTTTTTCTTCCTTTCTTTCTTCTTAGACCTCTCTTAGCATCTTTGCTATCCAATACTGGCTGGGGACACTTTCCATCACTTTTGTTCGCTCTTGTTTCGCAGGTGATGCTCTCAGTCTCAGATTCAACTGCTGGAGCCATGTCCAGCAGAGGCATTTCCAGAAATGATATGGCTCATTTTATGATCCATGGATGGTAGGGATGGTAGGAATAGGGGCTATATGGGGCATACTAATGTCTGCTGTGCTTAACTTTTGGTTTTAGATGAAATAGCCAATTCCATAGCTATCTACTCAGGAAACTGGGGTCACATCATTGTTTGTGAGTTTTGTTTTTGATTTTGGTGTGGGCTGTTTGGATCAGAAATGGACATCTGGTTCCTACCTAGGCTGGCACCAAGGGTTTTGCCTAACAGTGGCCTTGGCATTTGGGCTAGAGAATGCCAAGAGGCTTGGTCAGTTGGTTGTGGGAAGGCAATGGGCAGGAGATGTAGAGATATCATGAGAGGCACATGAGGGGGAGAAACAGAGAAGCAGGCCTCCAGAGAAGACTTAGTTCCTGACGACTTTCAACTTCCAAGCCCCTCATCTCAGTTTTTAATTTTTATTTTTTATTGTTGAAATTTTCAAGCATACGCAAAATTAAAGACAATAGCTTAACAAACCCCATGTTCTTATCACCCAGCTTAAGTGATTACTGACTCATGGGCAATCTCGTTTCATTTAATTCCCACCCACTCCTCCTATCCTCTGGAGCACTAAAAGCAAAACAGCTTTATTGAGACATAATTTGCATACTATAAAATTCACCCCTTCTAAGTGTAAAACTCAATGTCTTTTAGTAACTTTACAGAGCTGCACAAATATCACCACAATTCGGTTTTAGAATATTTTTATCGTGTTGAAAAGATTCCCTGTGTCCATTTTCCTTCACTCCCATTCCCATCCTGAGACCCTGGCAACCACATATCTGCTCTCTGTCTCTACAGATTTACCTTTTCTGGGCATTTTACATGAAATGGAATAATACAACATGTAATCTTGTGCATCTAGCTTCTTACACTTAGCATAATGTTTTTGAGGTACATCTACATTATAGAATTTATCAACGCTTCATTCTTTTTTATGGCTGAATAATTCATTGTATGGATATACCACATTTTGTCTATCCATTCACCAGTTGATGAACATTTATGTTGTTTCTACTTTTTGGCTATTATGAACAATGTTATTATAAATATTCACTTCTAGAGCAGTTTGAAGCAAACCCCAGATATCATATCATTTCATCTGTGAATACTGCAGTATGTACCTTTACATTAAACACAGCAGTCTTTTAAAAAGCCAAACACAACACCATTATCACATGTGAAATAATTAATAATAAATCTTTAATGTCATAAACAATCCAATGAATGTTAAAATTTCCAATTATCTCTTAAATGCTGTAGGATTTTTTGTTTTACAGTTGGTTAGAACCAGGATCGAAATAAGCTCTACATATTGTGATTGGTTGATATGTATTTTAAGCATTTTTTATCTATATGTTCCCCTTCCTCCATCTCTCTCTCTCTCTTTATCCAATCTATTTGTTGAAGAAATGAGACCATTTGTTCTGTAGAGTTTCCCATATTCTGGATCTTGCTAATTGCATGTCTGTGATGTCTTTTACTGTGTTCCTCTGTCAGTTGTATTTCCTGTAAATTGGTAGTTGGGTTAAGGCTTGATGAGATTCACATTTGCCTTCTGGCAAGACTCCTTCAGAAATGGTGATATGTGCAACGGTGTCATCATGAGATGCATGATGTCTGGTCATCTCTCTTTTTGTGATGTTAGCAGCTACTGGGCATCATTGACTAGATTCTTTCATTCACGAGGTGGACCCTTTCTGAATGCAGCCTGAATGAGACTTTCTGTCCCTTTCAATCCAAAGGACCTAACTAGCCTGAGGAACTCATGTTTAAGCCGAGGTAGCAGCTCAGCATTGGTTCGGGGTGCTGGTGAGGGGTGCAGAGGGGAGGATCTGGAAACTCTGGACTGGTGGGAGGATCTGGAAACTCCATCATCATGACATCTGTGCATATGTGTGTGTTTTGGATGGAGCTACTTGGGTGGTAAGCATGGTCTAGCAAGGAGTCCCGCCCCTCCAGTTCTTGGGTTCTGTAATATTCGTACCGAACTTCTTCTTTTTTATTTTTTATTTTTTTTAGATGGAGTTTCGCTCTGTCACCCATGCTGGAGTGCAGTGGCGCAATCTCAGCTCACTGCAACCTCCGCCTCCTGGGTTCAAGTGATTCTCCTGCCTCAGCCTCTGGAGTAACGGGGATTACAGGCATGCACTACAATGCCCCACTATTTTTTTTTTTTTTTTTTTTTTTTTTAGTAGAGATGGGGATTCACCATTTTGGCCAGGCTAGTCTCGAACTCCCAACCTCAAGTGATCCACCAGCCTCAGCCTACCAAAGTGCTGGGATTACAGGCGTGAGCCACTGCACACAGCTCCATACTCAACTTCTTATATCCATACTACTATAACTTCCCTCAGTCTCCTCAGTTATTGGATCCCGTAAAATCCATACGCCTTGTTGCTTTCTGACTTTCCAATGTCTCTTCTCCACATCATCCCCTCCACACTGTGCCTTTTATCTTCTTGTTTCCTCATTAATCCTCCCTTACTCCCCCTCATTCATTACCCATCTTTCCATTTCTTACCAGTAACAGCCAGTTTGGGTACTGCATTATGCGGGAGTTGGGGGGTATCTAGCCCAGCAGGTCTGATTGCTACAGAACAGGCTAAGCACATTCTAGCAACTGATGGAGAAGATGGGAATCTGCTGGATGACAGTGTTTCCTTTTAACATTACTTTGTATTGGCCGGGCGTGGTGGCTCACGCCTGTAATCCCAGCACTTTGGGAGGCCGAGGCAGGTGGATCACGAAGTCAGGAGTTCAAGACCAGCCTGGCCAAGATGGTGAAACCCCGTTTCTACTAAAAATACAAAAATTAGCCAGGCGCTGTGGCAGGCGCCTATAATCTCAGCTACTCGGGAGGCTGAGGCAGGAGAATCGCTTGAACCCAGGCGGCAGAGGTTGCGATGAGCCGAGATCACGCCACTGCACTCTAGCCTGGGCGATAGAGTGAGAGTCCGTCTCAAGAAACAAACAAACAAACAAAAAAGCAAACAAACAACAAACCCCATTACTTTGTATTTGGCTTCCTATAGCATAGGTGAGTACCTGTTATCAAAACACGGGTGCAAAAGAGAGATGAAACAGGGATGCAAATGAAGAGAGGATGAAATGAACATTGCGCTGTGCAAAGGAAATGATTCACATTTTCACAAATTCAGTGGTCTTTTTATAAACTATACCTGTCAGCAGACCTCACTGTTTGAAGTAAACAAGCTCAAAAACCAGAAAAAAAGCAAACAAGGCTATCTTTTTTACTTGGTGGAAAGTGGTAGATGTTCTAAGTAGAGACGCAGCATAATTCAATTTCACAACTCTCTGAGAGCTGCTATGTGCCCAATGCTGACATGGTTTCTGCTCCTGTGGTTCTCATCAGCCCACTGGGGAGACAGACACACAGGAGAGAATCAGAGAACAGGAGATGGAAGCAAGCAAGTTGCTATAAGGTGGTTCATACATCAAATGCTGGGGGGAGGTCAGAGGTAGAAGAAGCTGATGTGGGCTGAGAACTTCTGGGAGGAGCTAAGACCCTAGCATCAGCAGTTCGTACCAGTGTGCTTGGTAACACCTCGGGGCCAACTGGACACTTTTCGTTCCTCTGTGCACAGAAAGCAGATCTTGCAAATCCTGGCGAAAGCCCATGCCCGAGTCCGAAAGAAAAGGCTTTGGGTGTCTGGGGCCGCTGCAGCTCCTGGTGTGTGCAATCAATTCCTAACTCAAGTGCAGAAGGCTTCCTTCCCTCAACCAGCCTGAGATACAGCATTCAAAGCACACCAGAGAAAGGTTGGGGGGCGGGGGGACGTTTCCAAGGTGAACACCGATTAGAGCCAGCTTTATTTTCATGAACTCATATGCATATTTTTAGCTCCCATATTTCCTGCTGGTTTGAAGAAGTGTATAAGCAACCATGTGGACAGCTGTGCTTCCCATCAGTGAGGCAGTGCTGGGAAGTAAAAAGAACATGGGTTCCGTGTGAACTTGAGAGGTTCTACAACCCCTCTGAGCCTTAATTTCCCCTTCTGTAAGTGGGGAAAGTGGGGCTAACAAGAGTAACTCATGGGAACTATCTAGTGGGGCTAACTAGAGTACCTCATTGTTTTAAGGATCAAATGATTGGTGTGAAAGTGCTCACAGCAGCGGATGGCAAGTAGTAGGTACTATTGTGATGATGATGGTGCAGTTCCGTGGCGTCCCATACAGGTAGCCCCCTGCGGTGTATGGGACCTCAGTATCTTCCAGGCGGGCATACCTCCGGACATCGCCAGCTCTGGGTGATTGTGAGGTGCCGCACGATGGGGTCTGACGGCAATTGCTCATCCTCAGCAGTTTAAAAATGACATTTGGTTGAGTTGCCGTAGGTGTTATGGATGCTTCCCCCTCCTTCATTTGCGTTTTGCTGAGTTGTCGTCAGATATTATGTGGTCGGATGTTCCCGAGAAGTGCAAGCCCCTCCCCGTGGGCCGCCCAGGGGTGGCCCGCGGGCGGTGCGGGCGACTAGCGGAGGTTGGAGTGGGCTTGTAGACTCGCTCTTACTCCCACCCTCTGGGAGGCCCCTAACCCCGCCCTTTCCCTGCTCGCGGCGAAGGCAAACTGCGCGCACGGCGCCCTCTAGTGCCCAGGAGCTGTCACTGCGCGGGTGCCCGCGGCCCCAGCTCTCCCCGCCCCACCAAGGGTGTTTGTGAAGATCCCTCGGCACGGCCGCATACCCCAATCTTCATTCCTGGGTGTCCTGACCATCCCCCACAGACCCATAAGACGCAGATCCGAGACCGCTTCTTGTTTGTTTATTTATTTATTTAGCTAAAAGTTTACTAAAACCGGGGGGCTCTGTCGGTTCTTGACTTTGCGGCACCTGCCCCCGAAGGCGCCGTCTCCTCCAGAGAACAGCGCCTGCGATAGGATTCAGCAGGGGTCACCCACACCCCTAACTCAACTCGAGGTGCGAGTCCCCATCTCGCAGCGCCCTCGCGACTGTCATCTGCTGCCTTCGCTACCATTTTTGTTTGGAGAAGCACTGAGAGGAGAAAGGGGCAGTCTACTCCTCACTAAACGTAACCCGGTGGCCCCAGGCGCAGCCCCATCTCCTCGGATGCCAGGAAGATGCCCGCGTGCCGCTCGCGCGCAGGCGCTGTCGTTTTAGAAAACCCGGTGTTTGGTCAGACTTAGACATCGATTTCTACCACCCTCGCAGCTTCTGTCTATTGCTTGGCAAACTGGTAGAGTAAACTGGATTTAACAAAGGGAAAATAAATTTGCCAGGGCCTGCTGTGCCGAAATGTGGGTTGCTATCAGCACGGGCGCTTAATGAGGACTGAATTATCATTAATACGTGGATGAAATTTATAGTGCTCATTAATACTTCTGAAAGACAACATTCCAGGCGTTGTCTACCTCTTCCCTCTGCAAATGTGGATGGGATTCAAAACGTGTGTCTGGCTCGCGAGCGCACTTTGAAAGGCAATTTAATTATCATTCATTTCTGAATTTGGCCATGGGGCTTGTAACACTGGCCTTCATTTCCCCCCTTCTCTGTGTTCTTAATGACACCAAGGTTTCTCTCTGTTGCCACCTAATGAATTTTACTATTGAATAGCAGAGGCTGCGAGAACATGTATTCATCCCTTCCAATGTTAAAATGTTTTAAAGTACAAAGTAAGAAGAATTATTATTGCTTGAATTATGGCATTATCTTCTCTTATTTGATTTTTTTTTCCTTCTCCCCTCTCCTTTTATGTAAACTCGGTAGGACAGGTTCATCACAAGTAGAACATTCCAATTCAGTACCCATCACTAAAAGTCTTTTCTGTGAAAGGGAGATTTGTAAGAGGCTGGAGAGAGAAAATGATAAGAGAAATACAATTGCAAAAAATATTGCATGCCACCTTCAAACAATCCAAAGCTTACAGCAGCACTCATATTGTATGGGTCTTCTTAAATGCGTGTTTTTCTTCTTTTTCTTTTTCTCCTCTTACATCCTCTACATTTTAAAAGGCCAGTGTTCTAACCCCTGGGCTATGCAGCGAACTGCACATATTCTCTATATGTTAAATTCTATTGTCCGACATGTACAAAATCCAAGGTTCAAACTTGATTTCTTCTGTCAGTTTTCAAATGCTTGCTCCTCTCTGCAACTGTGCAACTTCCTTGCAAGTAGAAGAATTGGGAGGGAAGAGTAGGCCAAATATCAAAGAAGATTCCCACTGCTCACGACTTAGCAGAGACTCATATATCTTTGGCTTACAGGGAAGTAGGCAAGACCCCTGAGAGAATTAGGCAGAGGGCCTGAGGGGCGTACCTCGGCATGGTTAGTTTGTTTGTTTTCTGTATGAGGCGTTCTTCAGTTGGGTTGGTAGGCTGGACTCCCAGAAAGGGCTACTGGGTATTCTCATTGGTGTCACCAGCACTTTTCAAGTTGGGAGGGAAGGACTGACGTAGATCTCCAGGCTGGATGGTGGGTGGGGAGTTGGGCTAGCCTGAGGCCCCTGGGGCACATTTGGCAACTAGGAGTTAAAGTTTGGACTCTTCCTTCTCCGAAGTACTAGTACTTTGAGTGGTTTCCCTCTGACTCAGAGCCTCAGTTTCCTCATGTGGAAATGGACAACAACCACCTACAGGGCTGAGTGAGGATCAGAGAGGTTCATCAAGTGGGAAGCTCATAAGAAGAGTTTAAGTTGTTGTTCATTCTGCTTTTGGTGAGATTGTGGATCCTGAGAACCTGTTGATTTGAGGTGGGGGTGGGGGCACAGTAGAAGGAGAAAACACCTGTCCACTAGAATTCTTTTTTCATGAGAATAGTGAAGTGCAGCAACTCCTAGGAAAGAGAGAGAGGAGGATTCATGTTCAAGAGGACTAGTGCTAGGGTGAGCATGGCGATTGAATAGGAATGTTTCTGAGTTTGTTAACCTATGGACCAGGCTGGATTAAAGAGCTGAGGACTTATCCCAAAACTGACAGGATGCTGAACCATCATCAAATCTACCAGTTGGGTGTAAGGAAAACAATCTCCAAAAGAATGAGAAGCACTGACAGAAGAAGCAAGAAGAATGGAAGTTAGACTCAGAAAGAACTCTGTGAGTGAGGGCTGTGATCAGTGTTCAGCAAAGGGAGGAAATGAAATCCCATTCTGTGGAAACACAGTATTTCTAAAGAGCCTTGCCTGGGAGCACAACCCCGCTGATGGGCAGGCAGTTAAGTGGATGCTTCTGGAGGCATCTTTCTGCTTCACATTTTCGCATAAATACAGATTTCTTCTTACTGTTTTCAGTGAAAGCCAAAATTGATATCTTCTGTGCAGGATTGGTCTGAGAAAAAGAGATTTTTAGAATCAAAGTTTCCCCTTTCCTGAACAGTGTTAGCAATGATGGAATGGATTTTTATTCCAAGGGAGCCTTTTTATTCACATGCTCATTTATGGGCACACATCGAATGCCTGACTATCAGGAAGATTTTAATTTTCACAAGGCAACAAGCAGTTTTGGTTGCTATGGCATTTGTCAGTATCATTTTCACTATACAACGTCTTACAGAGCCTTCTGTTCTATAAAACCTACTTAGAACTTCAATCTTAATGCTGCTGCTTTTTTGTTGTTGTTGTTGGTCAAATGTGTGATGGTTATAGCATTAACAAAGCTTGCTTGGACAACGTAGACTCCCCTTTTCAAGGATTAACAATCTGAGGGGAGCTGTGACATTGCAGTTCTTTAAAGTCTTTATCAGGATTTCTGCACAGATGACGACTTTGAATCTTGTATTCTTTTCTGCCTGACTGGAAAAGTCAGCTTTTGCGAATACATTTAAGGGGAAATTAATCTGCAGCTAAGTGGGAGTGGGGGAGCTATGTGACATGTTATGTAAGCTTCTAAAATGTCTTCTTCCTTCACAAATACAATTGAGAAAATCCCCTTTGTAACTAAAAGTCAATTTCTGCTGGAGGTGGGGTTAGCTTTCATTAGAAACATGATTAATAAGCTTTATAATGCTTATTAATTAGAATGTCTGTCTAGTGGTTGCCTTAAGGAGGGTGGGATCAACCCTTTACCCCTAACTGGTTTGGAAGTTGAGGCTGCTGATGTCACACATGCACCAAGAAGTATGAAAAGGCATACTTGCATCATGAGACTTTCTTGGGAGGGCAGGGCAGGCCCCCCAAACAGGTCCAAAAGCAGACACCAAAGGCTGAGTGAAGGAAGGGGCTAGTGGCTTTGATTTTATTGTAGTTAGGGCACGGGGTTGGGGTGAGAGTTCACATGCATGGGCTGAAGTTTGCATGGTTTGAACTTCCCCATGGGCTCCAAAGGAAGTATTACCTAGACTTTCTTATGGGCTTGCTTAAATATGGGGAAAAAGGGAAAGGGGATAGTTGGGATTGAAAGCTGTTGGCAGTCAAACACCAAAATCGAAGTGAGACTCTGTTGCAATTCACCTCTGATGTTTCACTGATGACTGAATTGTGCTACGTTTTATTTAATTGAATTTGAACTTGTTTAAGTAAGCCATTATGGTGCTCTATGAGGCCTGCAGCCTGAGACCAGTAAGGGAGGTGAATGTTTCTTTGAATATCTTGTTTAAGATACCAGCATTGTGGATTCTGAGAAGTGAAATGAGTGCCTTGGTCACTGTCAATGATGTCTGGAACTCTGAAGAGGATAATTAGTTCCTTGGTGAGGCCTTGTATTATGGTGTTAAATATGTGCTTGATTTGTATTTTGGTTATTTGTGAGGGAATAAATTTCCAGAATTCTTTGCCTTAAAGGGGGAAACCTTGGATAAGGGATCGTAGGTGCCATTGGTTAGACCAGATGGCCGGATTGTTGGTAACATCCTTGATCAGGGACATCCAGGGTAGGAGATAGACAGCAGCAGCTCTCCAGCAACACTGCCATGTGTAAGGTGTACAGACTCCCTTTTCTTATCATCCAGTTGATCCCAAGGGGCTCCCCATGTGGTCATTGCATCTGAGACATGGGTAATCTCCTTTGCATCTCTTAAAGGACTGGGAACAGGAGAGGCCACCCCTTCCTTTCAGTGGAATATGCCAGAGGGTCCAGGTTTGGCTCCATCATGTAAGTATCATTTTCATTTCAATAAGGAGGGGTGTGGCCTTCATGATCAAAAGCATAATGGGCAGCTGGGTGCAGAGAGCCCCCTGTCAGAGTCTCCGTCTCCAAAACAGCATAGTATGCAGCCAGCAGTTGCTGCTCTAATGGTATGTAGTGTGGGGCTGAGGAGAGTAGGTTTTTCTTTCACATCAATAACCCACAGACAACTTATGGTCATCATAGGTGGTCCAGAGACTCCACAAGACACAAGAGGTTGCTAAAACCTCTACAGTGAAGAACTCTTTGGAGGGCACTAATAGAACTGCCATTGCAGTTTAGACAGATTCTGGAGCCTTTTGTAGCAGGAGGTCCCATACAAGATGGGCTGAACTTAAGCAAAAATTGTGTAAGTGAGCTTAAGCAAAAATTGTAAACAAAGAATATGTTACCTCTAGGACCAAAAATGTCTGAAAGATGTTGGGCTTCATTTAATGATGTGGGTGCTGAGAGGGTCCAGCTATGTAGGGCAATGGGCACTATGACCATGGGCAATTTAGTTAAGGCAGTAGTTCTTGATGGTTAAGGTGAAACATACTTGTTTGTTTTCTATTTTTATATCTGGTAACTTCCGTAAGTGAATAGAAGATCCCACATTTACATTTAGTGGACCTCCATGTATAACTGTGATTTGAGCCCTAGTATCAATTAAGGCCATGAAAGTTTGCCAGTTAATGCATTTCAGCAGATGTTAAAGTTAATTTAGAATCTATGTCAGGTGCAAAAGCCAATCAGCACTCTTTCATTTTTCTGTTGCATAAATTATTTTAGTAAATTTTGGATATACAATTTGGTCAAATTTCAGACCTCTGCTTCAGCTACTCTTTCCTCACCTTGTATTAATTTTTTGTTTTGTTGTTGTTATTGTTTTGGTGGTTACCAGATATACCTTATGGGGGGAAAGGGGTTGTCTCTGATCATGTTTATAAATTTCTTCCTCCAGAGAGTCCCAAATCAGTATCATCAGGGTTAGGGGCCTTTAATATGGCAATTATTATTTCACTGGGTCAAGGTACACTAAACTTAAGTCAAGTTTGAATTAACTCCTTGGCATGTTGATCAGCTGTGGCTCTCAATAGGACCTAGAGTCTTCATTGGTCCATTTTACAATTATCCAATAGGGTGATGGTGTCCTCTGGCTCTTTAAGAGGGGTAGGGGAAAAACATTTAGAGTGCTTTTCATAAGGGTTTCTGTCACGGGGGTGTCATGGGTGTTTCTCCTCATAATTCTGAGGATCAGGATCTTTTTTGCACTAGAAGCACTTAGGGTCCTAATGAGCCAACTTCTTTTAAGAATGTGACCTCAGCACTTGACATAGTGACGGCCTATTTTCTTCCTCACACCAGCAATCACCCATGACCACCTGATGGGCCTGCATATTGCACATGGTATCAATCTTTTTCTTGAACACTCTATAGAATGAGACCAATGCATGGCTGAAATGCACAACCAATAGACACAGAGTAAGAGTCATCTCTCTGAGTCTAGCATCAGTCCCAGTTCATGCTGAAATTGAGGCACATGATTCAATCTGAAACAGATAGGTTTGGGCTGGGATACCAAAACTGGGGCCATTTTAAGGAGGGCTGCAATCCTGTACTCTTGTCCCTAAATGCAAAACTTCTGACTTAGGGCAACAACTCTAACACAAACTTACTAGCAGGCAGGAGTGCAGCTCAAAGAGCACACTCAGGCAGCAGCTCTGAGTGCATGCTTGCCAGCAGGCTGCAGAGCCAGTTAGTAAACTGAAATCAAGAGAAGAAAGCCCTCCAGGAGGCAATAGTCATCTCTTAGACCATCCAGCTCTCAGCACCAATGGTCTTGAGGTTTCTTCTCAGAGGGGAAGGCCAAGTCCCTTACCCCTACCCAAGAGTTTAGATCTTGAGACTGATGATGCCACACATGTACCACGAGGGTATGAAAAGGTTTATTATTCACATCATGAGGTTTTCTGGAGAGATTAGGGAAAGCACTCAAGCCTGTCCATTGGGCTGAAGTAAAAGAGGCTCTGGTTTTTAGTGTGGTTAGGAGTGGAGTAGGAGGGAAGTTCTGTGCATGTGGGCCAGAGTTGTTTTTTTTTTGTTTGTTTTTTTTTTTTTTTTTTGGTTTGAGCTTCCTCACTGGCACAAAGGAAAAGGGAGGGAGTGTTTGGGCTTTCTTACTGACTTGTCTAGATGTGGGGCAAAAGTGGAAAAGGGGAGTGGGGAGTTCAAAAGCTGTCAGCGGTTAAATATAAAAGATGGAGCTGGACTTCTTGTTACAATCTCCCTGTCACTTTGGGTGATATATTACATGCGCTAGTACAGTTAATGGGGAATGTAAGATGAATAAAATGATGAAACTGCCAAATTACTTCAAGGGAAAAATATCACATATTGAGTCCAGAGGAAATCAGTTGGGATACAAAAATGATCACATACCACTGAAGCAAAAACAGAGCTCTGGGATGAGATAATTTTGGCCAAAGAAAATAGAGCATTCTTTGCTGGTGCCATGGTCACTTCCTGAGTGCTCCCAAAGAGATGAGAGAAAGTAAACTCCTAGCATCATCACATTTAATACGTTTTCAAGGAAGGTTAAGGCTTTAAAAAAGTTCTTTGTCTACACTTAAACCTAAGCTCCCCATATCTCTGTCTCCTTTCTCTTCTCATGCTAATCACCACTTTTGGGGTAACCAAATTGCTTTCTCAAGCTACATCATTGTCCAATCTGGTGACTGCTAGCCATGGATGGCGTTGAGCACTTATAATGTGGTTAGGATGAATTAAGTTGTGCTGGCAGTGTACAATACACAGACTTAGATTTTGTATTAATTTGTTAGAGTTGCCATAACAAAGTACCACACACTGAGTGACTTAAAACAGGAGAAATGTATTGTCTCACAGCCCTGCAGGCTTAGAAGTCCAAGGTCAAGGAGTTGACAGGATTGGTTCCATCTGAGGGGTGTGAGGGAGAATCTGTTTAATGCTTCTCTTGTAGCTTCTGGTGGTTTGCTGGCAATCTTTGGCATTCTTTGGCTTGTAGAAACATTACACTAATCTCCGCTTTCATTTTCACATGGTATTCTCCCCGTGTGCATGTCTGTATCTGTGTCCAAATTTCCCCTTTTTATAAGGACACATGTCAGATTAGGGCCCACCCTAATGATCTCATCTTGATCATCTGCAAAGATCCTATTTCCAAATAAGTTCCATTCACAGGTACTAGAGGTTAAGACTTCAACATCTACTGGGGTGACACAATTCAATTCATAACAGATTTTGAAGACCTAGTATGATAAAAAACGTAAAACATCTTATTAATAATTTTTTGTTCATTACACATTGAAATGATAACATTTTGGGTGTACAGTTAACCTTTGAACAATACTGATTTGAACTGCACAGGTCCACTTATACATAGATTTTCTTCCATCTCTGCCACCTATGAGACAAAACCAACCCCTCTTCTTTCTCCTCCTCCTCAGCCTACTCAATGTGAAGACAATAAGGATGAAGACCTTTATGATGATCCATTTCCACTTAGGGAATAGTAAGTATACTTTCTTTTTCTTAATGATTGTATTCATAATTTTTCTTTTCTCTAGCTTACTTTATTGTAAGAATATAGCATATAATACATATAACATACAAAATATGTGTTAATCGACTGTCAATGTTATTGGTAAGCCTTCCAATCAAAAGTATGCTATTAGTAATGTTCTGGAAGAGTCAAAAGTTATATGTGGTTAGGGTCAGTTCCCCTAAGCACCGCATTCATTGTTCAACGGTGAACTACATTGGTTTAAATATAATATATTGTTAAAATTAATTTCACCTCTTTCTTTTGACTACTTTATTTATTTATTTATTTTTTGAAACAAAGTCTCACTTTGTCACCCAGGCTGGAGTGCAGTGGCATGATCTCGGCTCACGGCAACTTTCACCTCCCGGGTTCAAGCAATTCTCCTGCCTCAGCCTCCCGAGTGATTGGGACTACAGGCACCCGCCACCACACCTGGCTAATTTTTGTATTTTTAGTAGAGACAGGATTTCACCATGTTGGTGAGGCTGGTTTTGAGCTCCTGATCTCAGGTGATCCGCCTGCCTTGGCCTCCCAAAGTGTTGGAATTCCAGGCATGAGCTACTGCACTAGGCCTCTTTTGACTTTTTAAAGTGTGGCTACTAGAAAAGTTTATAATTAATTATGTGGCTTGCATTTGTGGCACAAATTCTATTTCTATTAGACAGGATTGCTAAAACAAAGGTTGGCAAACTACAGCCTGCACACCTGCCCACTGTCTGTGTTGTAAATGAAGTTTTACTGGATAACAGCCATATTCACTGATGTATGTGTTGCTGGTTTCACATTACAATGGCACATTTGATTGCTTTTGACAGAGATCAGATGGCTTACAAAGCCTAAAAACTTACTATCTGGCCTTTAACAGAAAATGCTTGCTGACATCTGCTGTGAAACATGGCTTTAATCCTGTCAATGCCCTGCTCCAGAACCTACAGTATCTCTCTATTGTTTATTGGAGACCCTCCAGCCAGCCCACTCTGGTCTTGATCATGCCTTATCCTTCTCACCAATCATTAGAGAATAAGCTGAGCCCTTGACTCCTCTTGTAGGTCCTACACTGCCTAGCCACTGTCTGGCACACTAGGGCCGTAAGGAGAGAGTCATAGAATTCGTTGCAAATGTCACAGGCACTTGATTGGCAGGCGGGGTGTGAAGAGAGGTGACTCCTAACAGAGCTGACCTTTACAGGGCTTCCATTGCCTCTCATCAGATGTGTGAAGGAAAACTCATATCAAGGCAGTTCCAGGTTCCACCTGCAGGCACTGGAGGGTTCCATATGTTTGAACATTCTACTGCTGCTTTTGATACCTGCAGCTATCATTTATTGAGAGCTTACTGTGCGCCAGGCCTTTTGCTAAAAGCATTATCCAAGGCATTATTTCATGTAATTTTCTCTAGCCTGGAAGGTTGGTACAGTTAGTTCTGCTATAACTCTTGTTTTGAAAAATGTGAATTTGCTTTATGTGATTGACAATATTAGGGAACAATTTGGGCATAACATGAACTTTTTGTTTGCTTATGGGCAATTTCTTCCACAAAAAACACTAAGTGAACACAAGAACCTGTACCCAGCTGAATTGAACCACACAGGAAAACACAAATCATGGGCATTCCTGCGTGCATACACACACACACACATACACACACATCCAACATTTACCAGCTACCTCAGTTCACCAAGATGTGTGGGATGAGCCACACTGGGCCACATCTGCTGTTAAAACTTCTATTTGATTTCAGATCACCATCCTTTCACCACTTCACAAGAACTCACAAACTGTGACTCTTCCAAGAGTCACTTCCACAAGCAAACTTCAGGTCTTTTTAAAGTTCCACATTTATTGTGGTATTCGTCTGCAAAACTGTGATGCTGTTTTCATTAGGTTCTTATCTTTTGAAATGTTTTGATGAAGTTTTTGAGTGTTGTACCTCTAAAGCCATTTTTTTCCCCATAAGCCCTCTGACTTTTAATGCACAATTCTGCACAGTGTGGAAATTTTTAGGAACACATATGTCACAGTTTAGCAGAACTAGCTTACTATAATTACTCCCATTTTGCATGTGGCAAAACTGAGAGCTTAAGAGAAAAAGTGACTTGGCTATGGGGCTATAGAGTTGGATTTTGAATCCAGATCTCCCTGACTCCATAGCTTAAACTCTTGACTATCCTACTCCGTTAGTTTACAACCTATAAAATAAACGGTACTTTTGGCTACCCAAGTTTTTAAAACAAAAGTTGGAGAGATCTGGTGGAAAGTAGGCCAGAGCCTTTAGTTTACTTATGATGCTTTTGTTTTGCTTTGTTTTCTTGTGGTTTGGGGGTTTGATAAATGGACTCAGGGTTTTGTTGCTTTCCATACTTCTCCAATTGTAGTACTGAGGCTGGAGGGAAGATTGGGAGTGGCTAGTGAACAGGAACCTCTTACAAAGGACTAGAGAGGAAATCAATTCTCTCTTTGCCTAGAGATGCAAGCATAATGGAAAGATCTAGGCATCATAGGAGGCCATAGAGTGAGTCAGCAAATCAATGCTGATTGTTTTTTGAAAGCTAATGCAATGCTGTGATGTGTAATAATAACAGAAATACAACCTACAGGAATCATAAAATAACCTTTAGCATTGATCAGGGCCTTATTAGAGTAGTGTGATTAGCTTGGGGTCTGTAATTGAAGAGAGATGTGAAGAAGTCAGAGGAAAGAGAAAGCTGTCGTGGCTTGTCCCTGAATACCGTGCGCTGCAAGGACTCTGTACACAGACTCCCTTCTCATACTCTAACTATTGCACCGGGTGTTGCTATGACATCATCCTGAGCCTATAGGCCCTGAGAGAATGAAAGATGAGGATAGAGCATGAGGAATATGATTTGCCAGGAGGCAGAGCACCTAGGTGGTAAAGGCAGAACAGGGTACTTAGAGCAGAGACTAGGCAGGAAAGCTGCAAAGGGACACAGTTAACTCAAACATCAGCCAGAAGTGCTGTTTACACTGGCAGCTTGCAGTCAAGGTAGGTTTGCTGAGGGAGAAGCAGAGCATATTGTCAGGTTAGGACTGCAGAGGGGGTGAATCTGTTCCAAGTGGAGAGCACCCAAGGACTGGGGATGATTACTGAGAACTCCAAAATCTTTGGTTGGTTAAAAGCAAAATTATTTTACAAATTTGAATACAAAAGAAACACATAATTATTGTAAAGGATTTGGAAAATAAAGAAGAGCAAAAGAAGAAAATACCAGTTCCCTCATATCCTACCACTTAGAGATAAGGCCCTGGTAACACACTGGTGTTTTTCCTCCCAGTCTTTGTTCCTTACATGTTCAAAACTGTGCATAAAGTAATACTATATTGTTAAAGAGCTTGGCCTCTGGAGTCAGGCTCCCTGGGTTTGAATCCTGGTTCTGGCATTTAGTAACTATGTGCCCTTAAGCAAAATCATTTATCCTTTCAGATTTTCAATTTCCTCATCTGGAAAAATTGAGGGTGGCTGGTCATGGTGGCTTGTGTCTGTAATCCCAGCTACACAGAAGGCTGAGGTGGGAGGATCACTTGAGCTCAGGAATTTGAGGCTGCAGTGAGCTATGGCCATACCACCGCACTCTAGCCTGGATGACAGAATGAGTCTCCATCTCTACAAAACGAAAAAATTGGGATGATGTCAGTAACTGTCTCACAACGATTATGAGATTAAATGTTATGTTACACCATATATAGCTTTAGCATAAAGCTTGACACATTGTGAGCACTCAATCATTTTAGTTATTCAATTAGTATAAATGTTAAATTATATATACATGTTATATATTATATATAACCAGATATTTTATATACATATATATAATATATTTAGTGATTATTAAGCCAGGCATTATTATTTGCCAGGGACTGTTCTAGGCACTGTGTATACAGCAATAAAGAACAAAAATATGCATACTGCATATGTACTTCTGAGTTTTGCTTTACCAACTTAAATGAGCATTTCCCCATGTCATTAAATGTCTTAAAAATAACCACTTTCATTGACTGTATAGTATTCCCTTATAGTACTCGTCCAGTCCCTAATTGTTGGACATTTCAGTTGTCCATTTTTTAGCATTATAAATGAAAATTACTGTACATAATTTTTTTCTGGATTCCCCCAGTTCCTACCAGATTGAACTCTAAAAGAGGCATTGGTAGGTCAAAAGCTTATGATGCAGAGAGCTAAATTGCTTTTCAGAAAGTTTTCCATCATCTTCGTTAGGCCATTCCCTCTTCCTACTGCTTAACCTTCATAAAGAAATCCTTTTAAGGTCTTAAATGACTTTATTTTAATGTTCTCTGGTGCTCATGAATAAAAATTACCTGGTTGGATAAACTCATGAACTTTGAAGAACATAAACTTCTGGAAGGCTGGACTGCTCCTCAGAAGATCCTGAGCCACCATTAAGATGGGACTATGTTCACTTGAGAGTCACTGGTAAGGCAAGTGGAAGGCTTTGTCAGGCAGTGCCATGATCTCCTTAGTGATTCAGAATGGGAACTGTGGTGGTTTTAAAATATGGCTGCAAATTCTTTGACACACTTCCCATTGAGAGGTGGGATCTATGTCCCCTTCTGCTGAATCTGTGTGTCATGACTGCTTTGACCAGTAAAGTATGAGGGAAGTGATGCTATGTGATTTCCAAAACTACACATAGAAGGCCATTCAGTTTCCACTATGTTCATTTAAATATTCATTCTTGGAAACTGAACCAGCATGTAAGAAGTCTGGTTACTCCGAGATACCAAGCTGTAAGGAAGCCCGAGCCACATGGAGAGGCCACATATAGGCACTCTGGCAGACAGTCCCAGCTGAACCCAGTTTTTAAGTGATCTCAGGCCAGGAGCCAGACCTATGAGTGAAGAAGCCTCCAGATAATTTGAGTCCTTAGCTGTTCATCTCTTCTCAGCTGAGGCCTCAGACATCAAGGAGAAGAGAAAAGCCTTCCCTGCTGTGCTTTTTCCAAACTCCTGACCCCTGGACTCTCGGGGCACAAAATATGGTGGTCGTTTTACACTGCTATGTGTTTTGGGGTGCTTTGTTAGGCAGGAGTAGATAAATGGAAAAATCATTCTTGCTTCTCAATGGAGAATGGCTTGGAAGGAGCAAGAGTGGAATTGGAGAGAGTAGTTAAGAGTTGCTGCTGTAGGCCGGACGTGGTGGCTCACACTTGTAGTTCCAGCAGTTTGGGAGGCTGAGGTGGGTGGATCACTTGAGGTCAGGAGTTTGAAACCAGCCTGGCCAACATGGTGAAACCCCTTCTCTACTGAAAATACAAAAATTAGCTGGGCGAGTTGGTTGGCACCTGTAATCCCAGCTACTTGGGAGGCTGAGGCAGGAGAATTGCTTGAATACGGGAGGCCGAGGTTGCAGTGAGCCTAGATTGTGCCACTGCACTGCAGCCTGGGTGAGAGAGTGAGACTCCATCTCAGGAAAAAAAAAAAAATTATAAGTTGCTGCCGTAGTCAGGGTGGCCTGAGCTAAGGTTGTGGAAGAGGAGATGAAGAAATGCCCATGCATTTGAGAGATAGGTAAGAGGTACAGTCCAAAGGACTTAGTGATGAGCTGAACGTAGGGAGTGAGGGAGAGAGAAGCCCAGGATGACTTCTAGGTTTTGTCTTGAGTGACCAGTTATATGGCAGTGCTTTTAAAGAGGTGGGGAAGAGTGAGGGAGGGACAGGTAGGGACAGGGGCGGAGGGTTGGATATTGTGAGTTCTATTTTGGATCTCTAAGGAGCTCTCACAGTGGTCCTGACAAAAGATGATGGTGGCTTGGAGTTGGTCATTTGCAAAAGGGAAAGAGAGGAGAAGAGGGGCTAGATTTGAGACCAGCTAAAGAGGTGAGCTTAAAAATGGATTCTGTGTCCTTAGGACACAGAAAACAAAGATTATAAAAGAAAAAAATGATAAACTAGATTTTATCAAAATTTGTAATTTCTTCTCACCAAGTGACACCCTTCAGAAAATGGATAAGTAAGCCACAGACTGAGAGAAAATATTTACAACACATAAAACAAAAGATTTATATCTATAATGTATAGAGAATGCTTATAACTCAATAATAAAAAGACAAGTAATCCAATTTAAAACGGGAAAGTGATTTGAACAGACACTTCCCAAGAGTGATATAATAAATGGCTAATAAACACATGAAAAAGTGCTCAACATCATTAGTTATTAGGAAAATACAAATCAAAACCTCTAGATACTACTACACAACCACTGAAATGGCAAAAATAAAAAGAGTGACAATACCAGGTGTTGACAAAGGTGTGGCACAATTGGAATATTTATACACTGTTGGTGGGAGCGTAAAATGGTACAACCACTTTGAAAAAAATTCTAGCAGTTTTATATTTAACTATGCATACTTTACCCTCTATCCCAGCAATGCTGTTTTTGGGCATTTACCCAACAGAAAAGAAATGAAAGCATACATCCACACAAACACTTGTAACAGCATGCTCATAGCAGCTCTATTTGTCATAACCTCCAAATGGGAACAACCTAAATGTCTGTGCACTGGTGAAGGGATAAACAAACTGTGGTACAGTCATGTATTGGCATTCTACTCGGCAATACAAGGGAATGAACAACTGAATAGATAAATCTGTATATGTGGCCTCTCCATGTGGCTTGGGCTTCCTCACAGCTTGGTATCCTCAGGGTAATCAGACTTCTTACATGCTGGCCAGTGTCCAATAATGAATATTTAAATGAACATAGTGGAAACTGAAAGGCCTTCTATGTGAAGTCTTGGAAATCACATAGCATCACTTCCTTTGTACTTTACTGGTCAAAGCAGTCATGACACACAGATTCAGCAGGAGGGGACATAGACTCCACCTTTCAACGGGAAGTGTGTTAAAGAATTTGCAGCCATATTTTAAAACCACCACAATTCCCATTCTGAATCACTAAGGTGATCATGGCACTGCCTGACAAAGGCTTCCAATTGCCTTAGCAGTTGAAATAGACCACGTTGCAAACAATCAGACCAGTGGTTGCCTCTGAGTATGTTTGTCCTCACCATAATGGGGCATGAGGGAAATTTCTGCGGTGATTGAAATGTTCTATATCTTGATAGGAGTTTGGGCTATCCCAGTATATGCGTTTGTCAAAACTTACTGAATGTTGCACTTAAGATTTGTGCATTTCTCTATAAATTTTACCTGTAACAATTGTAAAGGAGCAAACAGCGGATGGGATATAGGTACCAGGATGAGACCCGCCATGAGCAATTGCAGTGAGTTGGGCATGGTAAAGTCTAGGTAAGCCCCTCCCTGAGAGCAGCAGCTTGGATTCATTGGTTGCAACCGACTTCTGGGATTCCTCGTGGGGAACTGCCACCAAAGTGAGTGGCCTCTCTCTGGCAAGAAAATCACCTTTATCTACCTGACCAAAGAGTTACCTATTCCAGCTCAGGGAGAGCCTAAGAGTCAATTGGGGTACACAAGAGCTGTTATTGCTTTGCACTTAACATGCAAGAAGAACCATTAGGAAATTGATTCTATTTCTGATGTGAGAAGTTTCTGAGTGAACCTAAATTGCTCCAGTTCTTGGCTCTGCCCCTATGCTCTCCTCCTCCCAGTTTACTGTTGTCTCCCACTTGGAACAAAGCAGTTGTTGGCCTTCAAATTTGCCTGAGGATGGTCTATTATGATCAGCCCAGACACAATGAGGGAGAAAGCTCTTACTGTTGCATAATTATTTTTGGTAATTAGTAGAGCTGGGGAGTATGAAAATGACTTCCAATGTTTGTGGCTTAATAGCATGACTCTGTTTTCTTTGCAACTTTTCTCCAGTGCGAAAGTTTGCAGTCCCACAGGCATGCTCATTATATTAGTCCCCCCTTATCCACAGTGGATCTGTTTCAAGACCCCCAGTGGATGCCTGAAACCACAGATAGCATCAAACCATGTATATATTATGTTTTTCCCTATACAGACATATCTATTGATAAATTTAAACTTATAAATTAGGCAGAATAAGAGACTAACAACAATAATAATACAATGGAACAAGTATAACAATATACTGTGATAAAAGTTATGCAAATGTGTTTGAGCTCCCTTTCTCTCTCAAAATATCTTATTGTATATATTTTCAGACCATGGTTGCGAGTAACTGAAACTGTGGAAAGGAAAATCACAGATAAGGGGGGACTACTGTTTGTAAAAACAACAAAAATAGCTTTTTTTTTCTTTTTTTCTTTTTTCGTAGGCTCAGCAGAGATCCAGTCCAGGGGAAAGTGAAGAAAATGCAACCTGTTTAAGGACAGCCCTGTTTTTCTTTGAGATTTTTTTCCTGCCATGACTGCTAATGAATGATCCAAGATGTTCTTGTCGCAGTGTGATTTTTCTCCTGCTTGTTCCTAAAGAGAAGCCAAGAAGCCGAGGAATTAATGATGTCACAGTAAAATTGTAGGGATTACACAATATGATTCTGGAAGTTAGGCTGGTGAATTTCAGATAGGAGTCAGCAGAAGCTGGGTTTCTGGGGAGAAAAAGATGCTGCGTTACAGCCAGCATTTTTTGATGAATGCAAAGAAATGTGCCTGTTAACATAGGGTGCTTCTCCTTTCTTGAAGCAGGCAGTCAGGGTTTGCATTGAAAAAATCAAAGAGCTTGCCTTGGAAGTGCTGCATGTTGATGAGCCAACAAAGATCATAGTCGTGATGTGGCTGTTCTGATAGCTCCTCTCTGTTTCTCATCACTTACATTGACTCCAACTTATTTTCTTATTAAGCCATATAATAAATGTTTACAAATCAGCATCTAGAGAAAGCACGGGGAGTCAGGAAGCCTGGGTTTGAGGCTTGGGCCTCTCATTAACCAGCTGTATTACTTGAAGGAAGTCATGTAACATCCTATGTCTTAATCTCATCATTTAGAAAGTGTGGAGGGTAGCACCTATCTATGCCTAGCCCTCTCCTCAGGATTATTGTCAGAAGAAACGTAGAATAATGTGAGGCAAAGTACTTCACAAGAATATAATACAAATACACCCGGTATCATATCTGTGAAATGCTTGTCTCATACACAGTACTTATGTGACCAACCAATGACAATGGGTTGTTAGTTGGTTATTCATGCTGGAATTAGGCATAAATATTTTTGTGGAGGATAGCTGGAGTGAAATTGTATAGCCATGGATTGAGCTAATTGCTGTCCAGTATATATCTGTAAGCCCCAGGAGGGGTAAATGCAATCTCATTGCCAGATGGTCTCTAGGATTTGAGTGGCCAATAGCCAAGTAGCTGCCAGTTGGTTATTTGCATGTAGTAAAGGGGTCACACCACACATAGATTTCACTCCATCTCTCTTGTGCATGTTGGTAAAGATGCAATTTCCTCCTGGGAAGCCAGAGCTACTTGCAGAAGCCTGCATGTTAAAACAGGAGGTGTCTGATGCCTGGGAAGGGTAAGAGAGGCACCAAGATGAGGGGGTGCACCCAGCTCTGCGTCAAAAAGAGTTGGTTAACTCTTCTACCCAGACCGATTGGGAGGTGGGGTTTCTGGTTAACCAACTGCTTTGCTTAATAGATATGTGCCACATGAATGGATGGCACATGCATAAAGGCACAAGAACACAGAAAATTTCTTATGGCAAAATTATATTCCATACAATCGAATGTGCCTTTGTTGATTCAAAAAGCACTTTGGGATCTTGCAGCTTCTCTCAGCAGCCACATGAACCGAGGTTACCACTGCATTGTAGATAATGCCACTTTACATTTATAGGCTGCTTTAGTGTCTGCATGCAGCATAGAGCACTTTACGGTGTCCTATCCTCTCATCACGATTTTGATTGTCACAACAGCCCTGTGCAGTAGGTGCTGTGATTTTCTACATTCTCCTGATAGAAAACAGTTCAGAGACGTGAAATGACTTTCCTCAGGATTGGACAGCTAGAAAGGAGAAGAACTAGGACTTAAACCCAAGTGACGTGGCAATGACAGGAGTCCTGGGGTCTAGTGTGCAGAACAAGCCAATTTCAGCTATATTACAGGCTGTGGAAAACCTATCTCAGTACTTAAAATAATACATATTTTCCTAAAGAACAGAGGAAATAATTAATTTTTCTTGGTTTTGACATGTGGGTCAATACTAGGAGTTGAGTAAGCACTATTACCATTATTCCAAGGGGCTTCACTAAGCTCTCCATTTTTACACTATCACTACAATGTAGTGATAATGTAAGTCACTCCATTCCTCCTCTCCTTCTCCCTGCCTGCCTCCCTGCTCAGCCCCCTCTTCTCTAAGAGTAGATGCAGGTATTATTAGAGAAAAATGATTATAGTTGTAGACAGCTGCTAATGCTGGTCCATGTGGCATTTGACACAGTCCCAAAAATGGGAGAAGAAAAAAAGCCAAATAGAGCACTTCCTTTGACCAGTGAGTTTTATCATCAATAAGTAGTTGGATGCCTTCTGTGCAAATAAAGGGAGAAATGTTTGCCGAGTACATTTCTAAACTGACAATGAATAGTAGTATTAGGAATGTCATCAGGCTGAGAAATCTCTTAGCAACAACTGAAAAAGCGAGACTATATTCACTTTATATTGACTTTACTGAAGATGTACTCACATCTTTTCAATGGTTCCGGGCTGGGAATAGATTTCTGGCTTGTCTCAGAATCATAAAAACTTCATCAAGTCAAAGTGTGTATTCAGCAACCCTCCCAGGGCTGTACCCATAACCATTACTCACAAAGTCTTTCATCAATGCATGCTTTAAATGGTTACCAATTGATATTTATAAATTTCTTACTCCTCCTAAAGAATGGCGCAGGGAGAATTTGCAGCAATATCCAGGCAGGATATTGAACTGGTGAAGCATTTTACCTAAATGGGTATTATTAGGTCTCTGCTGTAGTACAAAGGAAAGGAATTCTCTAAACAAGTCTACAAGGGCTCTGCGAGTGGCTCTTATAACTTGACTTTGGGGCTGCTGACAGGTTATGGGAATGCCATTAGAAGCTGTTTCACTACTTGATTTTCTAAACTAATATGAGACATTTTGAAGAGAGGTGCAGGGAAAAAAAATCTGGTCTCAGTACCAGGGAACTTTATGTAGAATTACTCTTTGCCAAATGTGGTGTTTCCACAAACTTCCACTGCAGCAAATGCAGCTGTTGAGAGGAATTGTACTCATGATCTGTGATTCACTAGTGGCAGACCACATGCTGGCCTGAAAAATGGCAAACTGGGAATGTTCTCTCTCTGGCTGACAGTCTCCCGTGAGCTAGTGAAAATGCAAATTCCTCATTATCAATTTGAGTTTTCATGTGGCTCACCAAGAAGCAAATTTCCCAAGAACCAACGGTCTTTATGGGAAGAAAATAACATGGCAGAAAAAGAAGGACCTGCTTCCACAGCCAGGCATTCAGCCTTATAACCTAGGTCTTCCTGTTTCTATTTATAAACAAAGAAAACCGAATGCATTCAGAGTTATAATGCCACATTAATATTGCTAAAACTTTTCTTTCATTCTTTTTTTGCTTGTTTTTGACACAGGGTCTCATTCTGTCACCCAGGCTAGAGTGCAGCAGTGCAATCACGGCTCACTGCAGTCTTGACCTTGCAGACTCAAGTGATCCTCCCACCTCAGGCTCCTGAATAGCTGGGGCCACAGGCATGCACCACCATGCTCAACTAATTTTTTTTTTTTTTTTCAGAGGCAAGGTCTTACTATGTTGCCCAGGCTGGTCTTGAACTCCTGGGCTCAAATGATCCTCCTGATTTGGCCTCCTAAAGCACTGGGATTACAAGCTTGAGCCACTGCACCTATTCTAAAACTTTTCTTCATGCAGATGGATCATGGAAATAGAGCAAATGTGCAGCAAGCATGGGTGACGTTTATGGACCTTGGTAACTTTCTAACAGTGCTTATTACAACATTTCACTGGCATATAAAATGATTTGGACATTGTCATGTTCTCAGGTTACATGTGAAACAAATTTCTCTCCCTTGAGGAATATTAAAAGCCAGACTGAGGAGGAGAATGACTAAAGAGCTCTTAGAGGCTTGCATACTCACACACAGAAACAAGAGATGTTTTACTGTGCCTTAACTCTGCTGAAGGCAGCCTAGCAAGAGGGAAAACCCTGGGGAAGAAATTGAGCATTTCCAGTTCATATAGGGATGTGAATTTTACTCACTAACGAGAATATTATAGACACATTTAGTTGATAATGTGCTTTTCACACCAGATCCTCAGTTGGGTGTCTCAGCTGGGTTTCACTTGAATTTGTTACCTTACAAAGTTAAACACAGGTTTAAGACAGACACAAAAGACTGCATATTAACACAGAGTAGCATCTTAGACCAACTTCTTGAGGTCTATAAGAGTTAATTCAGTTGGCTATCAGAGATAGAGAGAAACGTGGGAGGCTGGGAATGAAAAGTGAGAAGAGAAAGGTGGTAGAAAAGTTCAAGAGTTCAGTAAGCCCCCCAGTAAATTGCCAAAAATATTGTTTCCTGGATTATTCAGAGTGAGATTTTCAATAGAATCTACAGGCAAATGCTAGACATCACTAGTGCCTCTGACAAATGGTTCAATCCACTGTTTGCTTTACTGGAGAAAAAAGATCATGAAACCCTTTTTCTCCATTGCTTGTTGATTACAGTGCTCCCAGAATTTCAAAGGCAATATGTAATCCAAGGGATATGACATGACGTTTAATTATGGCATCAATCCCATTCAGAATGGCTTTTGGTTTTCTTCCACACTTGCTCAAAGGTTAGCCATAGGTTGGTTGGCCATTGCTTGCTCAGGCTATTTTGAAGTCCCTCCCTGCCTTTTTTTTCTTTTTGTTTTTTTTGCAACTCCCACATCCAGAAAGTCTCATTGTTTGGCCCGGGGATGTTAGGTTGGCATAATATGCCCAGCACCAAAAAACAATTCTTCCTTGTGTCCTTTGTCGCACTCAAATGCAAAAAGCTCGAGACTTAATGAGAGTGTTAAATTAAAGTAATATGCTATTTGCATGAAGGTAATTGATCCATGAAACATATATCTTACTTAGCAATGTGGTTTGGTACATCAAGCTTATGTTGAGATGACTACTTCCTGGGCAATAAATATGCTAGAATATTTTATCAGTAGGGGCAGGAGAGACAGCTTGAAAGATGTATTTAAAGGTGGTGGCAAGGACGGCCAACTGGCAATCGGTTTGCCAGTGCCCATTTGTCTCCAAGAGGCCACCTAGCAAAGGAGCTTGTTCTCTCCTCTCACAGACATACATCAGACAGATTATGAATAGAGTTGTATACCATAAATTAACTTGTTACTGGAGTAAAAAGTGAAGGAGAGTTGCAGTGAGAAGTAGTTTTTTCCTGTTTCACTGTGAATAACCCCCAGGAAGCCAGCTGGATTCTGGCCACTCCAAATCAAAGGCCAAATAGCAACTGGTTTCCACTTATAGCCCTTCCAGGGTCTATGAATGTCTCTTGGAGAGTGCACACTTTCTGGAACTTATCATTACACTTTGAGGAATTTTTCAGGGAAAAGTTTTTCAATTCAGAAAGAAACCTGATTTCTCATTGCCTGTTCACCACAAAATTTTGAAAGGGCAAACCAAATGCTAAATGTTGAAAAGGAGGAAGAAACCCAATTGTCAAATTGCCTTCAGAGTCTGTCGCACATTCCTTTGAATCTCCTCAGTGGTGACAAATCTTTGTCCTCAGAATAGGCTATATTTGAACAAACAGCTAGAAGTCATCAGGGCCCACACTGGTGGATAAGGTGGGTAATCATGCTCGGTGATGAATGTTTTGGATTTAGAAAGGAGCTGTGTCTCTCTGGGAAGGACTTTCTTGTGTGGCTTAAAAGTGAGTTTTGGAGGACATTGTGACAAAAAGTGCAGCAGAAAGTTTGGAGCACTGTTTATGTCCTTGAAATCAGTGTATATCCTCCCATGGGTACAACTCAGAGTGGTATCATTCACTTGGTTTTGGTGGTTGGTTGAAAAACAGAAACCATATTTGACTTTGTATTCATCTGTTATATGAATGTGGGATATAACACCTGGAGCTCTTTATAATATTTGCCCATTCTGAAAACACAATTCTTGTTTTTTTAAATTTTGTTTTATTATTATTATACTTTAAGTTTTAGGGTACATGTGCACATTGTGCAGGTTAGTTACATATGTATACATGTGCCATGCTGGTGTGCTGCACCCATTAACTCATCATTTAGCATTAGGTATATCTCCTAAAGCTATCCCTCCCCCCTTCCCCCACCCCAAAACAGTCCCCAGAGTGTGATGTTCCCCTTCCTGTGTTCATGTGTTCTCATTGTTCAATTCCCACCTATGAGTGAGAATACGCGGTGTTTGGTTTTTTGTTCTTGCGATAGTTTACTGAGAATGATGATTTCCAATTTCATCCATGTTCCTACAAAGGACATGAACTCATCATTTTTTATGGCTGCATAGTATTCCATGGTGTATATGTGCCACATTTTCTTAATCCAGTCTATCATTGTTGGACATTTGGGTTGGTTCCAAGTCTTTGCTATTGTGAATAGTGCTGCAATAAACATACGTGTGCATGTGTCTTTTTAGCAGCATGATTTATAGTCCTTTGGGTATATACCCAGTAATGGGATGGCTGGGTCAAATGGTATTTCTAGTTCTAGATCCCTGAGGAATCGCCACACTGACTTCCACGATGGTTGAACTAGTTTACAGTCCCACCAACAGTGTAAAAGTGTTCCTATTTCTCCACATCCTCTCCAGCACCTGTTGTTTCCTGACTTTTTAGTGATTGCCATTCTAACTGGTGTGAGATGGTATCTCATAGTGGTTTTGATTTGCATTTCTCTGATGGCCAGTGATGGTGAGCATTTTTTCATGTGTTTTTGGCTGCATAAATGTCTTCTTTTGAGAAGTGTCTGTTCATGTTCTTTGCCCACTTTTTGATGGAGTTGTTTGTTTTTTTCTTGTAAATTTGTTTGAGTTCATTGTAGATTCTGGATATTAGCCCTTTGTCAGATGAGTAGGTTGAGAAAATTTTCTCCCATTTTGTAGGTTGCCTGTTCACTCTGATGGTAGTTTCTTTTGCTGTGCAGAAGCTCTTTAGTTTAATGAGATCCCATTTGTCAATTTTGGCTTTTGTTGCCATTGCTTTTGGTGTTTTAGACATGAAGTCCTTGCCCATGCCTATGTCCTGAATGGTAATGCCTAGGTTTTCTTCTAGGGTTTTTATGGTTTTAGGTCCAACTTTAAGCCTTTAATCCATCTTGAATTAATTTTTGTATAAGGTGTAAGGAAGGGACCCAGTTTCAGCTTTCTACATATGGCTAGCCAGTTTTCCCAGCACCATTTATTAAATAGGGAATCCTTTCCCCATTTCTTGTTTTTCTCACGTTTGTCAAAGATCAGATAGTTGTAGATATGCGGCGTTATTTCTGAGGGCTCTGTTGTGTTCCATTGATCTATATCTCTGTTTTGGTACCAGTACCATGCTGTTTTGGTTACTGTAGCCTTGTAGTATAGTTTGAAGTCAGGTAGTGTGATGCCTCCAGCTTTGTTCTTTTGGCTTAGGATTGACTTGGTGATGCGGGCTCTTTTTTGGTTCCATATGAACTTTAAATTAGTTTTTTCCAATTCTGTGAAGAAAGTCATTGGTAGCTTGATGAGGATGGCATTGAATCTATAAATTACCTTGGGCAGTATGGCCATTTTCACGATATTGATTCTTCCTACCCATGAGCATGGAATGTTCTTCCATTTGTTTGTATCCTCTTTTATTTCATTGAGCAGTGGTTTGTAGTTCTCCTTGAAGAGGTCCTTTACGTCCCTTGTAAGTTGGATTCCTAGGTATTTTATTCTCTTTGAAGCAATTGTGAATGGGAGTTCACTCATGATTTGGCTCTCTGTTTGTCTGTTATTGGTGTATAAGAATGCTTGTGACTTTTGTACATTGATTTTGTATCCTGAGACTTGGCTGAAGTTGCTTATCAGCTTAAGGAGATTTTGGGCTGAGACAATGGGGTTTTCTAGGTATACAATCATGTCGTCTGCAAACAGGGACAAGTTGACTTCCTCTTTTCCTAATTGAATACCCTTTATTTCCTTCTCCTGCCTAATTGCCCTGGCCAGAACTTCCAACACTATGTTGAACAGGAGTGGTGAGAGAGGGCATCCCTGTCTTGTGCCGGTTTTCAAAGGGAATGCTTCCAGTTTTTGCCCATTCAGTATGATATTGGCTGTGGGTTTGTCATAGATAGCTCTTATTATTTTGAGATACGTCCCATCAATACCTAATTTTTTGAGAGATTTTAGCATGAAGGGTTGTTGAATTTTGTCAAAGGCCTTTTCTGCATCTATTGAGATAATCATGTGGTTTTTGTTTTTGGTTCTCTTTATATGCTGGATTACATTTATTGATTTGCATATATTGAACCAGCCTTGCATCCCAGGGATGAAGCCCACTTGATCATGGTGGATAAGCTTTTTGATGTGCTGCTGGATTCGGTTTGCCAGTATTTTACTGAGGATTTTTGCATCAACGTTCATCAAGGATATTGGTCTAAAATTCTCTTTTTTGTTGTGTCTCTGCCCGGCTTTGGTATCAGGATGATGCTGGCCTCACAAAATGAGTTAGGGAGGATTTCCTCTTTTTCTATTGATTGGAATAGTTTCAGAAGGAATGGTACCAGTTCCTCCTTGTACCTCTGGTAGAATTCGGCTGTGAATCCATCTGGTCCTGGACTCTTTTTGGTTGCTAAGCTATTGATTATTGCCACAATTTCAGCTCCTGTTATTGATCTATTCTGAGAGTCAACTTCTTCCTGGTTTAGTCTTGGGAGAGTGTATGTGTTGAGGAATTTATCCATTTCTTCTAGATTTTCTAGTTTATTTGCATAGAGGTGTTTGTAGTATTCTCTGATGGTAGTTTGTATTTCTGTGGGATCGGTGGTGATATCCCCTTTATCATTTTTTATTGCATCTATTTGATTCTTCTCTCTTTTCTTCTTTATTAGTCTTGCTAGCAGTCTATCAATTTTGTTGATCCTTTCAGAAAACCAGCTCCTGGATTCATTAATTTTTTGAAGGGTTTTTTATGTCTCTATTTCCTTCAGTTCTGCTCTGATCTTAGTTATTTCTTGCTTTCTGCTAGCTTTTGAATGTGTTTGCTCTTGTTTTTCTAGTTCTTTTAATTGTGATGTTAGGGTGTCAATTTTGGATCTTTCCTGCTTTCTCTTGTGGGCATTTAGTGCTATAAATTTCCCTCTACGCACTGCTTTGAATGTGTCCCAGAGATTCTGGTATGTTGTGTCTTTGTTCTCGTTGGTTTCAAAGAACATCTTTATTTCTGCCTTCATTTTGTTATGTACCCAGTAGTCATTCAGGAGCAGGTTGTTCAGTTTCCATGGAGTTGAGCGGTTTTGAGGGAGTTTCTTAATCCTGAGTTCTAGTTTGATTGCACTGTAGTCTGAGAGACAGTTTGTTATAATTTCTGATCTTTTACATTTGCTGAGGAGAGCTTTACTTCCAACTATGTGGTCAATTTTGGAATAGGCGTGGCGTGGTGCTGAAAAAAAATGTATATTCTGTTGATTTGGGGTGGAGAGTTCTGTAGATGTCTATTAGGTCTGCTTGGTGCAGAGCTGAGTTCAATTCCTGGATATCCTTGTTAACTTTCTGTCTCGTTGATCTGTCTAATGTTGACAGTGGGGTGTTAAAGTCTCCTATTATTATTGTGTGGGAGTCTAAGTCTCTTTGTAGGTCACTCAGGACTTGCTTTATGAATCTGGGTGCTCCTGTATTGGGTGCATATATATTTAAGATAGTTAGCTCTTCTTGTCGAATTGATCCCTTTACCATTATGTAATGGCCTTCTTTGTCTCTTTTGATCTTTGTTGGTTTAAAATCTGTTTTATCAGAGACTAGGTTTGCAACCCCTGCCTTTTTTTGTTTTCCATTTGCTTGGTAGATCTTCCTCCATCCTTTTATTTTGAGCCTATGGGTGTCTCTGCACATGAGATGGTTTTCCTGAATACAGCACACTGATGGGTCTTGACTCTTTATCCAATTTGCCAGCCTGTGTCTTTTAATTGGAGCACTTAGTCCATTTACATTTAAAGTTAATATTGTTATGTGTGAATTTGATCCTGTCATTATGATGTTAACTGGTTATTTTGCTTGTTAGTTGATGCAGTTTCTTCCTAGTCTCGATGGTCTTTACAATTTGGCATGATTTTGCAGTGGCTAGTAATGGTTGTTCCTTTCCATGTTTAGTGCTTCCTTCAGGAGCTCTTTTAGGGCAGGTCTGGTGGTGACAAAATCTCTCAGCATTTGCTTGTCTGTAAAGGATTTTATTTCTCCTTCACTTATGAAGCTTAGTTTGGCTGGATATGAAATTCTGGGTTGAAAATTCTTTTCTTTAAGAATGTTGAATATTGGGCCCCTTCTTCTGGCTTGTGGAGTTTCTGCGGAGAGATCCACTGTTAGTGTGATGGGCTTCCCTTTGTGGGTAACCCAATTTTTCTCTCTGACTTCCCTTAACATTTTTTCCTTCATTTCAACTTTGGTGAATCTGACAATTATGTGTCTTGGAGTTGCTCTTCTCAAGGAGTATCTTTGAGGTGTTCTCTGTATTTCCTGAATCTGAATTTTGGCCTGCCTTGCTAGATTGGGGAAGTTCTCCCAGATAATATCCTGCAGAGTGTTTTCCAACTTGGTTCCATTCTCCCCGTCACTTTCAGGTACACCAATCAGATGTAGATTTGTTTTTTTCACATAGTCCCATATTTCTTGTAGGCTTTGTTCGTTTCTTTTTATTCTTTTTTCTCTAAACTTCCCTTCTTGCTTCATTTCATTCATTTGATCTTCCATCACTGATATCCTTTCTTCCAGTTGATCGCACTGGCTCCTGAGGCTTCTACATTCTTCACGTAGTTCTCGAGCCTTGGCTTTCAGCTCCATCAGCTCCTTTAAGCACTTCTCTGTATTGGTTATTCTAGTTATACATTCGTCTAAATTTTTTTCAAATTTTCAACTTCTTTGCGTTTGGTTTGAATTTCCTCCTGTAGCTCAGAGTAGTTTGATCATCTGAAGCCTTCTTCTCTCAACTCGTCAAAGTCATTCTCCATCCAGCTTTGTTCCATTGCTAGTGAGGAGCTGCAGTCCTTTGGAGGAGGAGAGGCGCTCTGCTTTTGAGTTTCCAGTTTTTCTGCTCTGTTTTTTCCCCATCTTAGTGGTTTTATCTACTTTTGGTCTTTGATGATGGTGATGTACAGATGGGTTTTTGGTGTGGATGTCCTTTCTGTTTGTTAGTTTTCCTTCTAACAGACAGGACCCTCAGCTGCAGGTCTGTTGGAGTTTGCTAGAGGTCCACTCCAGACCCTGTTTGCCTGGGTACCAGCAGCAGTGACTGCAGAAGACCAGATTTTCGTGAACCGCGGATGCTGCTGTCTGATCGTTCCTCTGGAAGTTTTGTCTCAGAGGAGTACCCGGCCGTGTGAGGTGTCAGTCTGCCCCTACTGGGGGGTGCCTCCCAGTTAGGTTGCTCGTGGGTCAGGGTTCAGGGACCCACTTGAGGAGGCAGTCTGCCCGTTCTCAGATCTCTAGCTGCATGCTGGGAGAACCACTGCTCTCCTCAAAGCTGTCAGACAGGGACATTTAAGTCTGCAGAGGTTACTGCTGTCTTCTTGTTTGTCTGTGCCCTGCCCCCAGACGTGGAGCCTACAGAGGCAGGCAGGCCTCCTTGAGCTGTGGTGGACTCCACCCAGTTCGAGCTTCCCCGCTGCTTTGTTTACCTAAGCAAGCCTGGGCAATGGCGGGCGCCCCTCCCCTAGCCTCGCTGCCGCCTTGCAGTTTGATCTCAGACTGCTGTGCTAGCAATCAGCGAGACTCTGTGGGCGTAGGACCCTCCGAGCCATGTGCGGGATATAATCTCCTGGTGTGCTGTTTGCTAAGACTGTTGGAAAAGTGCAGTATTGGGGTGGGAGTGACCCGATTTTCCAGGTGCCCTCTGTCACCCCTTTCTTTGACTAGGAAAGGGAACTCCCTGACCCCTTGCACTTCCCGAGTGAGGCAATGCCTCGCCATGCTTTGGCTCGCGCATGGTGCGCTGCACCCACTGTCCTGCACCCACTGTCTGGCACTCCCTAGTGAGATGAACCCGGTACCTCAGATGGAAATGCAGAAATCACCCGTCTTCTGCGTCGCTCACGCTGGGAGCTGTAGACCAGAGCTGTTCCTATTCAGCCATCTTGGCTCGAGCTCCGTTTTTTTTTTTTTTTTTTTTCCTGAGACAGGGTCTCTCTTATGTCACCCAGGCTGGAATGCAGTGGCATGATCATGGCTCACTGCAGCCTCCATTTCCCAGGCTCAAGTGATTCTCCCACTCAGGCCTCCCTATTAGCTACCATAGGCTCTGCCACCACACCTGGCTAATTTTTAAATTTTTTGTATGGACTGTGTCTCATTACTTTGGTAAGGCTGGCTTCAAACTCTTGGTTTCAAGCAATCTTCCCACCTCAGCCTCCCAAAGTGTTGGAATTACAGGCGTGAGCCACCACATCCAGCCTGAAAACACAATTCTTAGGGGTGATGTGGGAAAGCAGAAAGGATCAGACAGACCTAGTTTCACTTACTAGTTCTGTTGAGTTTTGAGCTAATTTTCTTTATCTGTAAAGTGAGGTAACAGTAATACCTACTTCACAATATAGTACTTTTTATGAGTATTGAAGGAGACCATGTACATAAAAAAATGTAGTGCCATGCCTGGCACATATTAAGGACTCAACTAATTGTAGCTATCATCATCGTCATCATCATCATCATCATCATCATCATCATCATCATCACTGCTGCTGCTATTACTACTATTAAGCAAACATCCAATGGTCAAGAAATGATTAGAGGACTATTTTGTAAGCATCCACTGATAGGATGGCACTGCTTCAGGCAGGGGATGTGGGAGTGGAGGAGGGAGAGGCAAGGTCTTGGGCAGACGAAACTATGAGGACAGAATGAAGGTGATTTGGGACTGCCCATCTCCGTCTGTTTGTGGGATTTCCATTTTTAGCAGGTAATGTTTGTTTTTTAGGGAAGTTGGTAATGAGAGATTTGTTTAGAGTTTATTATGTAAATGGTTAGGGGTCAAAAAACCATATTGATATTCCCCTCAATTAGGCTGGAAATATTTAAAACATTTGGACAATTAACTGCCTTGTTTATATGAACACTATAATAAATTAAAACATACCAGACTGGTCAGAAATCACCACACAAAAACAAATAAACAAACGAAAAACCCAGGATCAACAAGGTGAAATTTTAACTGGAGCTGAGATTTTTTTTTCTCTCCAAGTCACTCTGTGCCCATCAATTTTGTGCTGTTAGGTCACTTTTGCCTTGGAGTCCCTTTTTTTAAACTGATGAGTTTTACAGTAATGAGGATATTTAAAAGTAGGCTCTGGGGTTTAAAAAATGTGTTATGAATATGTTTCATTTGCAGAAAGTGACTTAGTTGATGCACAAACTTAGGCAAAAGTTCACGTGGAGTGACTTTGAGAGAGCTCCTGGTAATAAGAGATATGGTTGAGATGAGCAGCTGCAAATTTCTCCTTGCTGTTCTTTAGCGGGAGTAGAAAATTTCTCAGTATCAATTGGAAGACAACTGGTGGGAAAATTCTTGTCTCATACACTTCTGCCTCCTTAGCCTCCTACCCTGAAGTAAAGCTCACTAGCAGGATCATAAATTAAGAAGATCCAGAAGTCATGCTAATGGAAGAGAGGTATGTCTGTTGAATACAGGCCTTCATTTGAAAGGAAAGGCACCATGGGAGATGCCTGTGCCTGTTGGATTTATTCCACTCCACCAAGGCTCTCTGACCACTATGGAATCTTCATCTTCCATTCCTTTATTGTGATAAAAAGCACATAACATGAAACTTACCATCCTATTTTTTAGTATGTAGTCCAGTAATGTTAAGTATATTCACATTTTTGTACGACAGATCTCCAGAACTTTTTCAGCTTCCCAAACTGAACTTTAGACCCTTGAAATACCAACTCTTATTCCCCCCTTCCCTCAGTCTCTATGAATTTGACTACTCTAGTTATCTCATGTAAGTGGAATCATACAGTATTTGTCTTTTTGTGACTGGCTTCTTTTACTTAGCATAATGCAGAATTTCTTTTCTTCTGAAGGCTGAGTAAGATTCTATTATATAGATATTTTACATTTCATCTATCCATTCATCTATCAATGAACATTGGATACATCTCATTTTAAAGGGATCTTTCCTCCACTGACCCTACCTTACATTCCCACACAGCATAACATTTGAAAAGATTCTGAAGGCAATTAGGGAGAGTGCACTTCATGAATTAGCAAAATGAGAGAAGAGAGAAGAACATTATTTAATTTGTCCTGATTCCTGCGTGCTGACGAAAACCCGTAGCTGAAGTATAAGTCAAAAATGTCTTGGGCTTGGGATTTTCTCCAAATCTCAGTTTTCATAGACACAAGAGCCCCCCCCTTTCTTTCTGTTAACACAACCTCTAAAAAATAATGAACAGGTTTTCAAACTGTATAAGATTTAGCTTGTCAATAATATAATAAAAAGAGGGATTGTGTATGAAAACCTCTAGCACACTGGTTAGTGACATAGAAGGCTTAACAAATACTGGATAGAATAATTATTAACATACAATTAACTATTTCATGAATATGGATCGTGTGCCTTCTATGTGCAAGGCCCTATTGAGCGTTCGATATAAAACATTTGGCAACTGGGAGGGGTTTAGAACTATGAATCAACATAGCTACTTTTTCCTGAGCTTGTAAAAAAAAAAATCTGAGAAAATTTGACAAAGGCTGTTTATTCATAAACTTGTGGCCATCATTTTCGTTTTAGTGGGGGTACAAAAGTGTTAGAAAGGACAGTAAGTTCTAGAATATAAAAGAGGAGATACTGAGAAAGCCTCTGATTGGCAAACATTTTATTAGAATGGGAATTTTAGAATGAGGGGAGACTTTGTAAACGGTCTTCAGGTATATTTGGCAGTCCTTGGTTGGCTGCAAGGGGGCAAACAAGCAGTTTGGTGACATTTCAAAAGAGAAAAAAAAGTATTCAATGTTAAGGGTAGAGGATTTTCTGACTGTTTCCCTGAATAAGTAGGGGTCGATGGAGTGTCTTTGGTGTCAAACATTTGTCACGGTCCTTACAGTAAAGGGTTGTCATGCAAGCAGCTCTCGAGCAACTTCTGTATGTCAGGTTCTTAGCCCATGTTACATCACTCTAATCAGCACAGCAAAACTGGGGAAGAAATGTATTTCAAGACGAAGAAACTGAAGTACACAGAGTCTAAATAACTTGTCTGATGACACACAGCAGGTAAGTTGCAGGGTCAGGACTTGAATCCCCTGCTCTGAACCCTTCTTTGATATTCCCTAGAAAAGGTGATCTATAGGGAAAGATGGGAAGGAAAAACACTAGTTCTGTTACAGAAAAGAAAGCTAAGACATGTGCATGGTGGGGAGGCATTTGTTCTTACCATTAAAATTATCATCATCATCATCATCATCATCATCATCACCATCCCATTAAACAATATTTATGAAGTGCCCAGACACCATATGCTGTATGAGGGCTTTTGGACCCCAAGAGAGAAGTAAAAGATTTGTTTTTCTCAGTGCAAAGAAGAACATTTTGTGATTTTTTTTTATTTGGTCATACATTTTTTTTCCTATCTTAAGATAATCCAACTTCATTTTTCTTCAATTGCTATTGCTTCTAAAAGGAAAAATGAAAACAATTGCAGAGCAAAATGCTTCTCGGCACCAATATTCTGCATTGTCATTTCTCAGAAGTTCCAACAAAAGATTGGAAAGAAAATTTCGTTGGGCCAGTGAAGGAAGAGAGGGAATGACTCTCATCTTAGGCATCTAAGAAAGGCTTAGATGATCTTGAGTTTGAATTTGATGGGTGAGAGAGCAAAATAGCACACTTCCAAGTAATGTATTCTGCTAAGTTCAGTTTAGGGCCCTAAAATGAAGGAGGGAGCCAGCAGAACTTTCTCCAGAAGTTTTCGGGCTTCCATGTTGCTTGGACTAAATAATTTGAACTTTAATCCAACAGGTGCCATAAAGGAATGAACCTAATTGTTCTTCTGCCCCACCCATAGGGAATTTCCCAGCTAGTTTCTGGGCAAAAGGGAAAAAAGTTCCATCTTCGAAACAACCACAGTCATAGTCACAACCACAACCTCAAAACAAGGGATTCAAAAGCCATAAGTAGACAAAGTATCACCTAAAATCCTATGAAATGTCCCTTGCCTTCTTTCTTTTTTCTTGGTCCTGCCTTTCTTTTTCTTTCTTCATGTGGGTTTGTCCCATTCATTCTCCACCTGCATCCAGCAGCACTGCCAGCATTTCTGTTTGAGGACCTATGAGAGATATATGGGTGTGTAAGAACTTCAAGCAGACAGGAAGACATCTGCTCCTCCAACTGTTGCATGTGCAGGAGGGCAATGAAAAGCTTGATCATCAGACCTGCCCTTTAGTGAATGTTCACCGTGCTTTGGGAAGGGCATATATCTTGTCTCTTTTAATCTTCAGCAGAACTCAGTGGGGTAGGTACTATTAATAGCATCCCCATTTTACAGGTGAGGAAACTGGGACTCTGGGGGGTTATGTAATGTGCTCAGGGTCACACAGTTAGGATGGGGTGGAGTTTGGATGCAAACACAGATCTGTCTGCTCTGTTGGACCTGATGTCTTGAGATTTTTCTCTGACTCAAATTCCTAATCCATATGTTAAGTACTAAAACCTGCTCACTGTAGACTTGTGAAAGTTCTGCCTTACAAACATGTTTAGAATAGAAATTCTGGAGACCTTGGGGAATTGGTCTGCAAAGGCTGAAACAAATCTACGGATGATCAACAGCATCCTTCCTCCAGTTTTGGAGACTTTGGCCCTTTAGTGGGAAGCAGGAATCTGAGCACAAATATATTAGGCACATGTGCTTCAGTGGTGGTGCAATGACAGTTAAGAGAAAGTAAACTGGATCTGGAGAAACACTAGCAGGTAGGATCTGGATGTCATGTCTGAGCTGACCTCATTTACTCCCTGCATTTTACTGATGAGAAAACTGAGGCTGAGAGAGTGCCAGAGGGGTTACCAGGTGAATTAGTGGCAGATCATGGACTTGACTCTGGGTCTTCCAGCCCTGAATTATTCAGTCTGACTTTTGCTGCCTGATTTTTCCCTGGGACATTTCTTCTTTCTTGAGCATCATTGCTAGTGACAAGAATTGGTGGCAGCAGGCCTGGGAGCTGGGAGTGCGTGCTTCTACACTTTAAGATGGAGGGCAAACAGAAGTGAGGACCATTTCTCTTGAGGTAACTTTGAGGAACTGAGGTCCAAAATAGTAGTGCTAATTACAACTATCATTTTGCTGCCTTGATATGGCATTACCAGTTTGACTCAGTTGAAAAACTTAAGAAAGTGTAGACTGTTGTCTGTCATAAAGCAGCCATTTGATCCTAGTGCCTGATACTTAAATATCATCTGCAGTCCAAATCGGGGTGCATATGGCCATCTCAGGAAAGTCCCAGGTGACTCTTGTATCTGTCATAAAACCTAAGCACATTTGGACACAATTATCAACATTTCTCTTGTAATGAGTCTGATTAATCCATACAAACAGTTGAATGTACTGCTTATTAACAATCCCCATGTGAACACTTCACAGCAGTACTTTTATTTCCCCTGTTGAATGTCATAAGGTTTCCAGAGAAAATTCAATACAGCTTTGCAAAGAGAACCTGAAAAGATCACTAAGGTCTTACTTGGCCCTATTTGCTTTCTGTTGCTCATGTGTCACCCTCCCTGCTCCCACAGCATCTTATGAAAAAGCCTTTCTACGTTGAAGAAACACAAGAGCGGGCCAGCGGAGGCATTTTTTTTATTGTTTTTTTTATTATTATACTTTAAGTTCTAGGGTACATGTGCACAATGTACAGGTTTGTTACGTATGTATACATGTGCCATGTTGGTGTGCACATAAATGACGAGTTAGTGGGTGCAGCACACCAACATGGCACATGTACACATATGTAATAAACCTGCACATTGTTCAGGGGAGGCATTTTATAGGGGCTTCTTCATCCTGACTTTTGCATTTACATCTCATTCCTTTTCAGGCTCTGGATGGTTGGGCCGGTGCTAATTGGTGAAGCTGGTTTGACATTTAAATGAGTTGAGTAGCAGGTGGAGCAGCTGATGGGAGAAAGACCTCTGGGAAAGCCAGGGATGTGGCTGCTGGGGAGGGGGAAGAATCTGGTGGAGCTGTGTCTTCCAGAGGCTGCTAGCAGCAAAGAGTAAAACTCCCCTCCCCCACCTCGCCAGGCCTTGGGGCTCACACAGCCACCCAGATTCCTTATAATCTATGGCCACCAAACACCATTGGCACAGCCCATTTCAAGTAACCCTGAGCTATAAAAGTCCACATGCCCACAGATGTTCTATCTAAGAGGACAATTTTTTTCCCTTGTTAAGATGATTCGCTTTAAAAAAAGGAGTCACCATGAGAAATCCTATTTATTTATTTATTTATTTATTTGTTTATCTATCTATTTATTATAGACAGGGTCTTGCAGTGTCACCCAGGCTGGAATGCAGTGGTGCCATCATAGTTCACTGAAGCCTCAATCTCCTGGGCTCAAGTCACCTTCTTGCCTCAGCCTCCAGTGTACCTGGAACTACAGGTGCATGCCACCATGCCCAGCTAATTTTTATTTTTTATTTTTTTGTAGAGAAGAGGTCTCCCGATGTTGCCCAGGCTGGTCTCGAACTTCTGAGCTTAAGTGATCCTCCCATTTTGGCCTCCCAAAGCCTTGGGATTACAGGCTTGAACGACCACCCAGCTATGGAATCCTGTTAAAAACAAAGCTCTAAGATAGCACTATCCTTGTGCTTGATGTGTACCACAAGACTGATGGTGAGGGCTTGGGTGGTCATGTTACTAGTAATGGACCAAAGTTTCAGTGACTCAAGAAGTTTAAGCACATTCAGAGTTGACCCTCTATTGATGTTGCCCTCATTCAATCGCACCTGAACCTGTTTCCTGAAATGGCCGACAGTGAGGAGGTATGACTAGAGATGTGGAAACAGCAGGGACTACAGTTTTGCCTATGCCTTTTTCATGCATGGATATGTCCCATAAGGCAGGAGAATCACTGTGAAGAAAAAAGATGGAGAGATGCTGCTCTTGAATATCAAGGGCACCTTTTGTGTTTGGTGTGAGGTAGTAGTAAAGATGGAGCTAAAAAATAAAAGAGAATAGAAAGATATGCCAGAATCTTGAATCAGTTCTGCTGCTAACAAGCTGTATGATGTCAGGCAAGTCATTAACCTTAATTGGAAATTAAAGGAAATTGCATCAGATCCTTGCTACTCAATGTGTGGTCCATGGAACAGCAGCATCTATGTCACTGGGTTGCTTGTTAAAAATGCTGCCTCTGCCCCAACTCTACTGAATCAGAATTTGTATGTTAACAAGATCCCATGTGAATTTATACACATTAAAATTTAAGAAGCATTGGACTAGATCATTGAGTCTTAACCCTGGCTGCACATTATAACCTAAGGAGTTTTAAATAAACACTGATGCCTGGCTCCAGCTCATATCAATTAAACCAGAATCTCTTCTGCTGATTCTATTGTATTTTATTTATTTTAATAAGCATTTATATCCTGTTCACTTATGTGCCAGACACTGCTCAAAGTGCTTTACAAATATTAGCTTGTTTAATCCCCATTACAGCCCTATGAAGAATGGGCTATACCCATTTTACAGATGAGTAATCTGAGGGACAATTTCCTGTTTAAGGACAAACAGGCATTCTTGCTATAGTGTTTGTGCACTTCACTTCCATACTATGAATTTGATTATCTCTAAGTTCTGATCCAGCTCTGGCATTCAGCATCTACAAGTTTCCAAACTGTAACGGAAGGTTTAAAGTTGGGAGAAAACCAGGACCTGGGAGTGGAATGCTGCTATATTTCTGATATTTTGATGTGGTGTCTCTTGTATGCTGGCAGCATGAGGTGGGTCTCCTTGGGCCTCTCTTGTTCTTCCTTTGCAGACTTCTTAGTGGGCCCCCTTTCCTTCTTTCATGGCTTAAATGTGAATGTTGCCTTAGGCTTTATCCTCAGCCATGGTCTTCTCCTGAGCTCCAAAACTACATAGGCAATTGCCTATTTAACATTTCCATCTGGGTCACTTATGGGCATCTCAAACCCAACAGATCTAAGACCAAGCCCATCACCTTTTTTTTTTTTTTTTTTTTTTTTTTTTTTTTTTTTTGAAATGGAGTCTCGCTCTGTCACCCAGGTTGGAGTGCAATGGTGCAATCTTGGCTCACTGCAACCTCTGTCTCCTGGGTTCAAATGATTCTCTTGCCTCAGCCTCCTGAGTAGCTGTGATTACAGGAACACACCACCATGCCTGGCTAATTTTTTGTGTGTGTGTGTGTTTTTTTTTAGTAGAGATGAAGTTTCACCATGTTGGCCAGGCAGGTCTTGAACTCCTGACCTCAAGTGACCCACCTGCCTTGGCCTCCCAAAGTTCTGGGATTACAGGCATGAGCCACCGCACCTGACCCCCATCACCTTTCTTGAAAATTATTCTGTCTCTGGTGTTCTATGTCACAGTGAATGATATCACCATCCACTCAATCACCCAAACTAATGATTTGGCCCTTAAGACGCCTTCCTGTCATTCGTCTCCCTGTTCTTTGAATTTGAGATGACTCCCAAATCCCTGGCCCAGACCTCATTCCTGAGATACACGTACATAAGTCCAACTGTCTATTTGACATTTCCACCTGGGTGACCAACAGGCACCCCAGACTCCACAAGTGTAAATCAGAACTTGCCATTCATCCTTTCATAAAATTTGCATCTCTCCCTTAGTGGCTGGATCTATGGAATGTGGGGAAAGGGGAACACAAAAATGAGATCTAGGTTTCTGCCTTAGCTCTTCTGTCTTAGGATTGTCATTCATTGAGATGGGGAAGATTGAGGGAGAGGCAAATTTATTGATATACTGTGTGGAGGGGGAGAGGGAGATTGATCCTCTGTTTAATTTAAGATTCAAGTGGAGAAGACAAGTAGGCAGTTGGATACATAAGTCTGGAGCTAGGATAGAGTTTGGAGCTCGAGATATAAATTTGAGAACCACCTTTGTAAAGAGGTTCTCTTTTCTTTCCTTCTTTTTTTTTTTTTTAAAAAAATACAAATCATGGGGCTACATGAGATTACCTAAGGAAAAAATATAGAAAAGAGAAGAGGGGCCTAGGACTCAACTCAGTCCTCAGTCACTCCCATATCAACAAGTTGTGAAGAGTAGGAGAATGATCCTGATAAAGAAGAAAGGGAAGCCACACAGGTAGGAGAAAACTCTGGGGAGTGAGGTGTCCCAGGAGCCAAGGGGAGAGAGAATTTCAAAAAAGAGGGAGCAGTCACGGGATTAAATGCTGTTGAGATGTTCAGTAAGATGAGGATTGAAAATTCACCATTGGACTTAACAAAACAGAGAAGGCCTGGAGAAAACATTGATATAGAGAATAAGGCAGGAAAGCCTGGAGCACGTTAGAGGAATAGGAATTACTTAAATTTACCTTGAGTGTAGTGTATGTGAAAGGGGTGTTTTGTATTGGGAAATACAGTTGGAAATGTTGATTGGGAACCAGGAAGTTAGAGGGCTTTGGCTGACAGGCTCATGTATTTTATTTGGAAGGCAGTGTGGGGTGGGCTGAGAGCACCAAGAGGTGTTTTGACAGGTGAGTATCATGATCAGTCCTGCAGTTTTGGAAGATGTGTCTGGAAGCAGACCATGAGAGCTTACCTTTTCCTCTGAAGAGTATAAGGCATTAGAAATCTCTCTTCCATTTAAACAAGTAAGTAATAAAGAGTCACATTCAAAAATCTGTTCAAATGCTTGGCAAAACAAGTGAGGTTTTATCTTTTCACTGTTCTGGAGTTCTGCAGTGCTTTGGGATAGCCATGGTCTTAGGTTAGTGCTCGGCAGCATCCTAACTCTAGTTTTCAAGCAGAGATTAAGAGGGTCAGGCAGACCAGTGACTTTCTTCCCTTTCTAGGCCTAGAGCCAATGGAGAGCACTCAGACACTAAGATCCTGGGGAAAGTTATGTACTTTAGCACTGAAGTCCTTATTGTAACTTCGTTTAGTTTTTCTGCATGACAATCACACATTTCGGGTCCTTAAACCCAGGATAGTTATTGAAGCCAATTACAATAGCAATTTTCCCCAAGATACTGACTTTGTTCTGCAAATGGCACATCCACAATTATATTATTTTTATGCGTCACCATAAAATACTAAGAGTCATCTAATGTATCACTGACAAGAGGTAAGTTTTAGAAAATTTAACGTAAATTGGTAAAAAAGTTAGGTGACTCATTATTTTTCTTTTAGAACCAAAACAGCTGCTGCCTGTGATTGAAAATCACATCTGATTGGCTGGTATCAGCATTTGGGTTATCAGCAAGGGAACTGGAAAAGAGCCCAAACTCATATTTTGTAATCTTTTTTTTTCAATCACTTTTCTCCATTATCCTTTGATCATGGAATATAGCTGTGGCCTTCTGTGCTGGCAACTTTTCGGTCTTCTGCTTTCCCAGAAGAGGCCTCTCTCTTTTGTTTCTGATTCATGTACTTAATAACATTTCTGAATATCGTCTCTGACATTAAACTAGTGCCATGTGGGGACAATGCCTAAAACCCAGGCTGTTGGTTAAAGGAATGGGATGAGATGGAGGAATTTCTCATTGCTGTTCTGAAAGGAGAGTTTGCCTATAATATGTAAAGAATGACTGTAAGGTCATGAGCTTGATTTTGACTTTTAAACTTGGGAGGCTGTATAGGTTACCTCTAAGGATGCTCCCATTCCTCAAAAGCCACCTGGAAACAGGCTTCCTTGGAATATCCCTTTTCCCTTCAGAGCCAATATACCAACCAAAAAAGACAACCACGGCTTACTACTTTGGAGTCACAGGTGGTGCTTGCCTTAACTAACATAGTATCATTCAGCCTTCCACCCCAACCCTATTCCTACTCCCACCCCCACCCCAGGCAGGCTCCAACAGATCTGGTTCCAAATAGCTTATGACTGTTTCCAAAACCCTATGCCCTTTCTCAAAAGATGAAGACGTGAAGCCATCAAGAAGGTTGCATGAAACCTTATGCCCTTTCTCAAAAGATGAAGACGTGAAGCCATCAAGAAGGTTGCAGGGTTGGGCTGCAGGTCCTGAAGGCAGTTTCCCAGGGGGTTTTCTCTCTGGGGAGTGGAGGGCCTCTTGAGGGGATCAGCATATCAAAGAACACCCTTGTGTCAATGGTTAAGGTCAACGTCATCTTCCTTAGGAATTTTAAACATATAATAACTTTATTCCTTTTTTAATTACAAAAGTAGTCCATGTCCATTGTGGAAATTTTAGAAAACACAGTCAAAAGGAAGAAAATACAATGTATTAATAATACACTCCCTATCCAGAGATAGTCTCTGTTCAGATTTTGGTGGCTATTTTCCAAGACATTTTTCTAGACACAACACACACTCACAGATATATATCCATCATTAAGTGCTGTCAGTTTTACTTCTTAAATTTATCTTTATGCTTTATTTCTGCTTCCTCAATTACTACCACAATCGAAACATCTCTCACTTGGACAACTGCAATCGCTTCCTAACTGGAATTCCTGCTTCTGCCCTTGCCCTTCTCCAAACCCTTTTCCATTGTGTGGCCACTGTGGCCTTTTAGAAACACAGATGAAAGTCCTTAGAATCCTCTAAGGAGTCTTGTTATGAGGATAGAGACAAAACTTCTATGGCCTACTAGGACCTCGTGATCTGTCCACTGTTTTCAGCCTTGCCTTCCCTATCATTCCCTGCACTCCAGCCACTCTGGCTTTCCGTCATTTCCTTAACCTATTTTTCATCTTGAAGTCTTTGCCCTAGCAATTTTTCCAGAATGCTCTCTTCTGTTTTTTTTTTTTCTTTTCTTTTCTTTTCATGACAGGCTCCTTCTTATTCTTTAGGTCTCAGTCTACATATTGCTTCCTCAGAGGTCCTCCCTGGCCACTCTAACCAAATCAGGCCCTCCCTATTATCTTATTTCCCGCTATGGCTGAGTCTAATCAGAACCTACCCTACCTGCCTTGGCCTGGCAGGAGTTTTCAGCTAGGGGGCAAAGGGAAAACACTGTTGGAATTGAGCAATCCCAAGATTGACCCTCAAAGTCCTGCCTTACTCTCACATATTTTCCAGTTTCTGATTCTTCTGGGCCCTCACTGGTCTTCCTGCTGTACCCTCCTGGTCTCTGAGCTATTCCAACCTATTTTCTGACATAGCCCCAGGATTAAATACATTTATTGCCCCTGACATCTAAATTCTGTTCTCTTCTACTGGCACTTGGCTCTTCTTTCCAGGGAATTCACAGAAATCTTGGGAGGGCAATGGGATTTCCAAAATTTATGGAAGACGAGTTATACATTCCATACAATGGTAAACTGCTCAGTAATAAAAATGAGTGAACTACTGATACATGCAATAGTATGGATGAGTCTAAAAAACATGTTGAGTGAAAGTAGAAAGACATAATTGATTACAGACTACGATTCCATTTACAAGATGTTCTAGAATAAACAAAACTCATATATGGTGAAAAAATGTAACAGTGGTTACCACTGGTGGGTGGGTAGGGGTTACTAGATGAGAGGGTGGCATAAGGAACCTTGCTAGGGTGATAAAAATGTTCTATACCTTGGTAAAGTTTGGGTTATACTGGTTTATGCATTTGTCAAAATTCATTGAATGATACACTTAAGATGGATAAAAAATTTTGAACTCTAGTTCAAAATGCGTGCTGTAGTGTTTTGGGGTGAAGTGTACTGATGTTTGCAATTTACTTGGAAATACTTCCATAAGTAAGATAGATAGATTAATGGATGGATAGATGTGTGATAAAGTTAATATAGCAGAGTGTTAATTGTGGAATATAGGTTATGGGTATATGTGTGTGTTATTACACAATTCTTTTATAATTTTTGGTATTTTTGATATGATAAGTATTTCAGTATTATTGATATTTTTATCAAAAATATCAATTATAAGGTTTTATCATTTTAATAATAAAATATTGGGGAAAATGCCCTAGACTGAAAACCTCTCTGCAGTATAAAACCTTTTGTAAAGTAAATAATTATTGGGTACTGGGAATGATTTCTACTTAATTTATCTGCTTCAGAGTATAGAGAGTATTTTGAAAGAAAGGCCCATCTCTAAAGGGTATATAGATAAAGAAATGAGGTCTTAACAAAGTAATTATGCCAGCCTCAGGAAGCTGGGAGCCAGGGAGGTACTTTGCAAATCACTGAGAAACAGAAACCAGGGTGTGTCTGTACGCGTAGAGGGGATCAGGGATTCCCGACTCAGAGTCCAAACCACCTAAAACTGAGCCTTCCTTGCCACCTAAACTCCAGGCTCAAAAAGAAGTAAGTGAGTTTGGCAAACTCATTGGCCTCACAGCCTCAGAATGGGGTTGTTCCAGAAGCTTTGAGACCAGTTTCCTTGAACTTTAGGGTCACCTTTCTGCACTTTTCTATCCGGAAAAAATGGGAGGGAACAAAAATGCTCAGAGAGTCTGAAAACTCCCTGGTCTTCAATATCCTGGGAACTCTGCTAGACTATAAGCTACGTGAAGGCAGGGACACAATCTGTCTTGTTCAACACGGTTTCCTTGGCACTCAACACAGAGCCTGGTACCATAGTTAGCACTCAACAAATACCCACTCAATGTATGAATGTTTCGCTGAGTGAATAATATTTGTTGATTCCTACATTGCTAATTTCTAGTCATCATTCAAGTCTCAGGTCAACTGCCACTTCCTCCAAAAGTCAGTCCCTGAATTCCCCCTTACCATCCCAGGCCATGTTAAGCCCTTCTTTTATGCACTTCTTTAGTTATTCTTCTAATCATTTAGTGCATTTTTAAATGATAGTTTTGATGTCTATTTTCCCCCCTTGCCTGTAAGTCCCATGAAAGCAGGGATGGTGTGCATCTTTGTTACCGCTGCACACTTAGTGTCCAGTATAGGTGATACATAGATTTAATGAATAGGTGCAGTCTTTCCCTCATCTGGGTAAATTATTCTACCATGTGTTTTTGCTCTGCTTTTCCCAGCAGAAATTTGGGAACTAGAGAACCAGAGGCATGGCATTTAACTCCTTGACTCCTTTGTTTTGCTGGGCACAGAATGGATATAAATCAAGCACGGTTCATGATGGCTCCATCATGAAACACAGTGATGCTTCTTCTCTCTGGGGACAGCTGACACTGAGGTTCTGCCTACAATACACAATGATCAAACAGATTTAATAGGGACTAAACCCACAGATGTAAATATCAGTGGTCTAGTCTGACAGAAGGCCTTTTAATGGATCATATCAAACTATTGCCAAAGCCAGGCTCAGCCATGTTAAGAGGAGGTTAAGTAGAGACAGTTAAATCAGCCAATGTGGTTTTTGGCCCTTGGTTCTCATCTCTGCCCCTACAAATCCCAGGGTTAGCTAGGAGTGATTGGAGACTTGTCTGAAAGCTGCCCAGTAGCTGGGGGCAGTGGCTATAGAATAAAATTATCTTCTTCAGACGGCAGTCCAGGAGAGGCCTGGGGATTGGGGACCATCTGCCCTGGTGTGGCTTCAGGCACTGTCATGCAATGTGGCCTGTGGACAGAAAGAGTACAGGAGGTAGAGCCTCAAGAAGAATGCCCTCTAGCTCCAGGAAGACATCCTGCTTATGCTGTTACAGGACCCGATGCCGATGTAGACTAGTTCCTGATGTAAATGAACCCGGGGGCTGTGGGACAGGCTCCTAGTACCACTCTTAATTTCCCTAATGATCTGCTTCCATGTGCCATGTGGAGCCACAAAAAAGGGGATAGCTTGTGCCAAAAAAGAGAAACTACTGTTGAAAACGCCCTAGTAAGACCTTCACTTAGGATTTTTTTTCTCCCCTTTGAAAACATATAACTTAAGTAGCAAGTATAACCTTGACTAGGATGACCACATAATTTATTGTCCAAACCATGACCCTTTTGAAAGTGAAAGAGGACCCTGTTGATAATTATGCTGGGCCACAAACCTAACCTGAGACTATCCCAGGCAGTTTGGGATGTATGGGACCTGCAGCCTTGACCATCATCTTGGATGAGCTTTAAAGCTCTCTTGGACCCTGGCATCTAGCCATGTGGAATGTTTCAGATGGTTGATAATCTGCAGTAGGAAGGCAGAGCAGCTGGGCAGATCTAACAGCAGAGTCTGTGAGCAGCAGAGTCACAGAGCCATCTAGCCAACTGATGATGAGCATCTGCTGTGTGGACAGGACTGTTTGGTCATCCATCAATCACTTTTCATGCTCAGAGCTGTATGCACAAGCAGGATGACTGTCAGCAGACTAGTCTTCAAATGTAAATAACGGCGGCTTACCATCACAGAATGCTTCCTATGTGCTAGGCATTGTGCTAAGCACTCCTTATACCTTAGGTCCTACTGTATATTTGTTGATGTTCATAGCAAAGCCTTCCATATAGAAAGATTTTTGTATTTAGTGATTACCTTTATATTTACTGTCTTATTTGATCCTCACAACAATCCAAGGAGGTAGGTGTTCCTATTCCAATGGCCAGATGAGGAAAGTGAGGCTTACCAGATAAAATAGCTTGTAAATAACTGCTAGAACTGGGACTTAAATCCAGGTATGTTCGACTGCAAATTCTATACTCTTTTTTGATATCACACTTAGTTAATGTGTTAATTCAACAAATATTTGCAAGTTAGACACCATGTGGCAAAGACTGTGCTAAGTGCTAGGTGTATAAATATGCATTGGGCAGTGGGCTCAAGCTGTGAAAAGGTAGAAACATTTTCTGCCTCAAACAGCTCCTTTAGCAGGAGAGACAGGCACACAAACACATAATTTGAATACAATAGACTCGACACCATACTCTACATAATATTTCAATGAAATATAAAATACACAATAATATTGTATGATATATTAATATCATATGAACTACATTTATATATTCTATTATGTTTCTATTTTATAAATAAATATGTAAGATATGTACAAAGTGCTGTGGGAGCACAACAGAGAGGAACCTGAGAAGGTTTCACAGAGAGGGTAACATTTAGGATGGGCTTTGGAGGGTACCTAGGAGTTCGTCAGGCAGAGAAGTGAGGGAACCAAGCCCACACTTGGTGGAAGGAATAGACTGTGAAAAGGCACAGGAGAGAATGAGATGTTTGGAAAACAGCAAGCAGGTTGATGAGTCTTCCTCTGTGAAAATGGCCCACTTGAGGATTTACAGGTAAATTTATATGATACCTGAGGTTTGCTTTAAAATGCTCCAGAAAAACCAAAGTGTGTGGAATGGGGAGGAGAGGAAATAGATAAAACAAGAATGACAGGAATTGGATAATTTTGAAGCAGCAGGATGATAAGTATAGGGAGATTAATTTTAGTATGCTTTTCACTTTTGCATATGCCTGAAATTTTCCATAGTAAAATCTTTTTTGAAAGAAAAAAAGCAGTTTGGTGGAGATGGCACAAAGAAAGGGTGGAGGGAAGTGTTCAAATGTGAGGCCGATGAACTAAGTGGCATGGTTGCTGTGAGGGTGGGAGGGCAGAAAATGAAAGGTCCTCACAAGCCAGGCTAAGTATTCGGGACTTAATCCAGTATTTAATAGGGAGACATTAAAGGATTTTAATCATGGAGTTGACAAACTCATTGCATATTTAGAAGAGATCATTGGCTCTGTATAGGAATGGATTATGAGGCAGGGATTGGAGAGGTGGGGAAGCAGGTCCAGGTAAGAAGTGATGGGGGCCCAGGCAATTAAGGAAAAAGAGGTCAGAGTTACAGTCTTTGGGTTTTCTTCTGAGTACAATGGGAAATCACTGGAGGGTTTTAGGCAGGGACCAAATATGATTTGATTTACATTTTTAAAAGATCCCTTGAGCTATTATGTGGAATCTGGACCAGGGAAGGGTGGGCACGGGTAGAAGTGGGGAGACTGATGAAGCCTTTTGCCAAAGTCCAGATGATGTGACTTGGATTCGATTAGTGGCAGTAGAGTTGACAGGAGTAGATGGATCTGAGACATATTTAGGAAATTGAATTGGTGGGAATTGGAAATGGATAGATTTGCTGTGTTGTAGAAGAGGGAGAAATAAAGGATATCTCCCAGGTTTCTGGAGTAAAGACTTAGGTGGAAGGTGGTGCCATTTACTAAAGTAGGACACAGGGAGGAAATGAGGAGTCTACCATGTGAAAGAAAATGGCAGCTGGCAAAGGTTTTCAAGAGGGAATACCTTTCTGAAACTTGAAATAAATTTCAGTGGATTTTGGTAGTGCATATAGGTTACAGAAAAATGTACTTAGACTGTGAGTCCTGCAGTTCCTACAACCAATACTCATTAGAGTATATTATTTATTACTTTATTGCATAAAAGAGCTAATTATCAAAAAAATATGAAAAGTTTAGCAATCATCCAGGCTTCATTTTATGAATGTTCAGAGAAGAAATGATTTGTACAAAGTTACAGTAAGTTTGTGACAGGTCAAGGTCTACAAGCCAAGTCTCTTGGCACCCAATTTTGTTTTCTTTCTGCACAGAAATTTATATTCTTTCTGAGTTCTTTCTGAATTAGAATTGACTGTGTTCTTGACCCTTTTCTCCCTGTCTCCTTGGACCCCTTTTCTCTGCCTAAGTGTGTGTATATAAGCAAATATATGAGAAATGCCATCTAACTCCTTTCTTTCTTTCTCTTTTTCTTTCTTTCTTTCTTTCTTTCTTTCTTTCTTTCTTTCTTTATTTCTTTCTTTTTCTTTCTTTCTCTTTCTCTGTCTCTCTTTCTTTCTCTCTTTTCTTTCTCTCTGTCTCTCTTTCTCTTTTCTTTCTGTCTGTCTCTCTTTCTTTCTCTCTCTCTCTTTCTATTTCTTTCTCTCTCTTTCCTCTTTCTTTCTTTCTCTCTCTCTCTCTCTTTCTCTCCTTCCTTCCTTCCTTCCCGACTTCTCTTTTTCTTTTTTTTAAAGATGGGGTCTTGCTCTGCCAGGAGGCTGCAGTGCAGTGGCACTACCATAGCTCACGGCAGCCTTAAGCTCCTGGGCTCAAGTGATGCTCCCACCTCAACCTTCCAAAGTCCTGGGACTACAGGTCCTGGCTACCATGCCCAGCTCACAGAATTTCTTTATGATTGGGCCATATGTCTTTTTTTATGAATACATATATTATTTAAAAATATTTTTGCGGCCTTTGAGAATTTAACTTGGAAGATATTAAAAGAGAGGGTTTAAGTTGGTAAAAAAATTATTTCTGAAAACAAAAAGTATAAGGCTATTATTCATACTCATGAAGCAGATACTTCATGTGAGTCTGTTGCGCTGTTTTCTCTGAGTTCTGAGATCTTTCCTGACTCCTTTTTTGACTTCTGAAGGCACATTGAGGGCACGTCTGTGTTTATTGAAACAAATGACCTGATAAACGTGCGATTGCAGAGCCAGTTGTTCCTCTAGCTGTAGGGAATGTTTCACATTGCACTTAGACCCTAATCCTCCCAAAGATAGTCCATAGGATTAAAGGCTCTAGTACTGTCATTCTGGTGTTTTGGTTAGCTCACTATTTAAAACGCTTGCCTTTTTCTGAACTGAAGTTGTCTTCAGTGTATTTCACTCCCTCCCAAGGTTGCTTGATGAGCTGACAATTGATTCCTACAGTCTCGCTGGGAGATGAGGAATTTTTACAATTTCCTACTATCTAAATACAATTCTATTTTTGCAGTATCTCCATGCCCTAGTTTGGTCCCCTTGTTTCTTCTTTATAATGATTTAGCTTTTCTCACCTTTTCTCTACTTGTTGAGGGAGATTGACTCCAGGAATAATGTGGACAGGCTTGATTTCATCTGTACCAAAAATTATTTAAGCCCATAAAGTCTATATGTATGGACATTCACAGTGCCTGATATTAGCTACCTTTTGTTGAGTGCTTATGTGAGCAAAACACTAAGCTAAGAAATTTACATATATTATCTTATCACATCCTTACAGCACCCACTTGAAGCATGTTATGGGCTGAATTGTGTGACCCTCCCCAGTTGATATGTTGCAGTCTTAACCCGTAGTCCCTCAGGATGTGATCTTATGTGGCCTTTAGAGAGGTAATAAAGGTAAAACGAGATGATTAAGGTGTGTCCTTATAAAAAGGGGAAATTTGGATACAGGCATGTGTGTGGGGAGAACATCATGTGAACATGAGGACAGCCATCTACAAGCCAAGGGAAAAGGTCCGGAAGAGATCCTTCTCTCACAGCCCCTAGGAGAAACCAACTCTGCAGACACTGTGATCTCAGCCTTTTAGCCCCCAGAATTGTGAGATGATACTTTTCTGTTGTTTAAGTAACCTTTCTCCAAGTTTGTGGTGCTTTGTTATAGCAATCCTAGCAGACTAATGCAAGAGAGTATTACTATTAACCCCACTCTACAGATGAATAAGCTGAGGTGCAGAAATGTAACTGACATGTGCAAGGTCACAAAGTAAATAAGGGCAAAGCTGAGATTTGAACCCAGTTCAGTCTCACATGAGAATCTGCTCCCCGTTGTCATGTGCTATTTGCCTACAGTCTCTGGCTAGCCCGCAAGACTAGCTTATTATTGTACCTCCTTGAATTTTATAACTACACAGCAAAACAATAGTCACTTAAAAGCCATATTGAAATGATTTTTACTTTTAAGAACTTTTTTGGGGGAGAGGCAGGGAAAAGGCATAGCTGGGAGATAGATGCACTTATTACTGAGAAATTGTTCCTGGGGCACCCAGAGCAATATTTCTTAGCCTAAAGCTGTCAAGTCAATATTGCCCAACAAATGGCCTTCTGTAGTCATTGTCGCTCCCTGCAATGTGGGGCTCTGAGACTCAGTTTAGTCGTTTGCTGGGATACTTCCTGAGACTGGTTAGGCCAGCACAATCTGATTTCTTTCCTTTTGTTCATGTTGGAAAGTGATGGAAAGGCAGAACAAGCACTAAATCACTTCTATTCTGTGTGTTCAAAGGCTGGTTTTAAGTTACTTTCTGTGAAACAGTTGAGCCTAAATTTACTTGATGTGGATACAAAAGTTTCTCTGTGGAAACATATCGGGCTTATTAGAGACTCTCCCAGGGTAGGACAACAGTTTGGATTATGTAGCAAAACATTTCAAACCAAGTACTATGTGCTAATGGTTTATATACAAGTGATAAGATAAAAGGGCCTTTTGGAGTTATGCTCGAAGACACTAATTAAATTCGCATCAACAAGTCAACATATTGGTCTCATATGGATTTGAGCACTTTGGAAATGCTTTTGTTTTGATACAATTAATTAAATTCACACATTTTGCTGATATTGATTAGTCACCTTAAAACACAGATGGCAAAAGTTGAAGCTTTGAATAGCACTTTTGAATGCATTTCTATGTTGCTGAGTAAATTAGAATAGTTTTTCCTTTCAAGGAGCTAATTGACTCGAATTTTCAAAATTTCATGGCAGATAGTGAACAGTTGATTCTTTCTCAACAAATTCAATCCAAATGATGCATGCTTTTACTTAACTGCTACAGGCTTAACTGCAGTTTTAAATTATTCTCAAAGCAGAGGCAATAAAGCATTTCAGTAAATATGTCTCAAAGGAGAAGTTAGGAAGAAAAAGCACAAGTATTCCCAGTAGCCACTGTTCAGGTCACTGTTTGAAACTACAAGGCACATGTCAAAGAATTATGACCTGCCATGGGCAGTATTTTTCAGTTAGGAGCTTATAAATATCTCAAGGGCCTGAAGAAATGACTCCAAACAGAAAACGAATAAACCCTACAGGAATACTTCATTTGAAAACTAAATATCTGTGGCCTTGTCTTGTCAACAAAATTGGATTTCTCTCTGTTATTATGTTGTTTCTACTTATGACTGCATCATAATGGAAATCTAGGGAGAAAAGCACGTGTGTGGAGTCTTCAACATGGCTGTGCCTTAGCAACAGGAGCTACTTGCCAAAATGACGGAGTTTGCTTCCTGACATTCCTTCTCCTTGTTCTTGGCTCCTTAAATCATGAGTTGCAAAAGGCCAAAAGGATTTGCTCATTTTGCCCAGCTTGAAAACGTAATCTGCGCTTTAGAACACTAAGATGGAGAATTAGATTCGCTTCAATAGATGTTAATCTAGTGATGATTGTGCGTAAAGCCCTGCACTTGGTGCTGGCAAGCTGGTGGGAAAGAGGCAGGGTGGTAGAGGTGACAATGATAAAGAGATGAGTGAGGGATGGTGTCTACCCTCTTGAATAATAGCTAACATTTAGTGAATACATCCTATGCCTCAGACACTGTGCTAAGCACTTAAAACCACTTACTTAATTTAATGACTGTATAGGTAGGTGCTATTTGTTTATACATTATACAGATGATAAAACTGAGGCTCAGAGAAATTAAGTAACTGCTCCTGCTTCTCATTCACCTTTGCTGGCACATCTTCCTCACCACCTAACTCTGCAGCACCCCGGGGCTTAGTATTTGGCTCTCTTCTTGGTCTATACTCACTCACCTCATGATCTCATTTAGTTTTGTGGCTTTAGATACCATGTATATTTTTAATAGGCATCTCAGACTTTACAGGTTCTAAATAGAGATCCTGATCTTCCCCCTCCTTAAAAAGTGCTCCTTCCCTTGTCTTCCCAGTCTGAGCTGATGGAAACTTCATTCTTCCTCTTCTTAGGCTAAAAACATTTTTTAAGTATATCTCACTTTTTTAAAGTATATTTTTAAAATATACCTAAAAAATAAGTATAAAATATACTTTTTAAATATACTTTTTTAAAAGTATATCTCACATCTTTTAAGTATACCTGGAATCTGACTACTCTTCATCTTCAAGGCTACCATTTTGGCCTGAGCCACTGTCTTCTATTGCCTGAATGACTACTGTAGTTTCTTAACAAGCCTCTCAGCTTCTTTCTTGACAGTTATTGCTGTGTAATAAATTGCCACAAACTCAGCAACTTAAAACACTCATGTATTATCTTGCAGTTTTGTAAATCAGAAGTCCAGAGGGCTCAGATGGGTTCTCTGCTTAGGGTTTCACAAGGCTGAAGTCAAAGTGTCAGCCAGGCTGGACTCTTACTTGAAAGCTTTGGGGTCAGAATCCACTTCCAAGCTCATCTGGGCTGTAGGCAGAATCCAGATACTCATGGCTGTAAGTCTGAGGCCTGTTTTCTTGCTGGCTGCTGGCTGCGGGGGGGTCACTCTGGAATGCTACAGGCTACACACGTTTCTTCTCAAGCAGTCCTCTCCATCTTCAAAGCCAGCAATAGCATACCAAAGTCCCCTTGTGCTACAGATCCATCTAACTCCCTCTTCTGCTACCAGCTGGAGAAACCCTCTGCTTTTATTATTATTAATAAATTATACTTTAAGTTCTGGGGTACATGTGCAGAAAGTGTTTGTTATATAGGTATACACGTGCCATGGTGGTTTGCTGCACCCATCAACCCATCATCTACATTAGGTATTTCTCCTAATGCTATCCTTCCCCGAGCCCCCGACCCCCTGACAGGCCCTGGTGTGTGATGTTCACCTTCCTGTGTCCATGTGTTCTCATTGTTCAATTCCCACTTATGAGTGAGAGCATGCAGTGTTCGGTTTTCTGTTCTTCTGATAGTTTGCTGAGAATGATGGTTTCCAGCTTCATCCATGTCCCTGCAAAGGACATGAACTCATCCTTTTTATGACTGCATAGTAGTCCACGGTGTGTATGTGCCATATTTTCTTTATCCAGTCTATCATTGATGGGCATTTGGGTTGGTTCCAAGTCTTTGCTATTGTGAACAGTGCTGCAATAAACATATGTGTGCATGTATCTTTATAGTAGAATAATTTATAATCCTTTGGGTATATATCCAGTAATGGGATGGCTGGGTCAAATGGTGTTTCTAGTTCTAGATCCCTGAGGAATCGCCACACTGACTTCCACAATGGTTGAACTAGTTTACAGTCCCACCAACAGTGTAAAAGTGTTCCTATTTCTCCACATTCTCTCCAGCACCTGTTGTTTCCTGACTTTTTAATGATCGCCATTCTAACTGGTGTGAGATGATATCTCATTGTGGTTTTGATTTGCATTTCTCTGATGATCAGTGATGATGAGCTTTTTTTTAATATGTCTGTTGGCTGCATAAATGTCTTCTTTTGAGAAGTGTCTGTTCATATCCTTCACCCACTTTTTGATGGGGTTGTTCATTTTTTCTTGTAAATTTGTTTAAGTTATTTGTAGATTCTGGACATTAGCCCTTTGTCAGATGGATAGATTGCAAAAGTTTTCTCCCATTCTGTAGGTTGCTTGTTCACTCTGATGATAGTTTCTTTTGCTGTGCAGAAGCTCTTTAGTTTAATTAGAATCATGTTTGTCTATTTTGGCTTTCGTTGCCATTGCTTTTGGTCTTTTAGTCATGAAATCTTAACCCTCTACTTTTGAAGGGCTCACTTGATTGGGTCAGGCCCAACCAAGTCATCTCCATACCTTTAAGGTCAACTGACTTGGAATTTTCATTATTTCTGTAAAATCTCTTCAGAGCTGTACCCAGATCAGCATTTAGTTGAATAAACAGGAAACAAAAATTTGGGGGGGGCGTGGTGGGGGATCCATATTTAGAATGCTGCCCATAAAATAAAAAAGAATTAATATTAGAATGCTGCCTACCATACCTCCCTGCAGTTTTTTCTCCACTCGGAAGCTAGTGTGATCCTGTTCAAATGTAAGTGAGATCCTGTCATTTCTGTACCCACAATCCTCTAGTGGCTCCTCATCTCCTTACCATGTCCAAAGTCAAACTCTTCATCATGCCCCACAAGGCCCTCATGGTCTGGACTGTGCCCCTTATCACTCTGACTTCTTCTCCTACTTTCTTTCACTTACCCTCCCCCTCACTTGTTTTCCCTCTGGACATACTTGAATGCTCCAAGCACGATCCCACTTCAGGGCCTTTGTATATGCTGTTTGGTCAGCTTGGGATGACTTTCCCCTTGATAACTACTTACCTTAATATTTCTACTCAATTTTCACCCTCTCACTAAGGTCTTCTTTGACAACTTTTTTGAAGTTACACCCTACTCCATACTCCCTAAGCCCCCTTCCCGCTTCAGTTTCTTCCAGATCCTTTATTACTCTCTAACATAAAATATGTAAATACATAAAATATAGTTTACACTTTTATCTTGTTTATTGCCTTTTTCTTAGAATGTAAGACCCACAAGGGACTTTGTTCACTGATGTATCCCTAGCACCTAGTACAATGTCTAGAACAGAGCAAGCACTCAATACATATGTGTTAAATGAATGAATCAGTGAGCTTGCCCAAAGTCACACACACTAGTAGTAAGTGACAGAGTTGGAATTTGAACATGAAACACATACCACCTCCCTGTAGCTTAGAACCCAATGGTAAGGGTGAGGATAAACAAAGTTAAGACTATAGTAAAAAATGCTCTAAGGAAAATGCTGTAGAGGAGATGCCAACCGAAGATTCTAGAATTTTCAAGGATAGAGAAGTCATACCTGGCTGTGGTGATCACAGATGAGACAGAAGGGGAAAAGACAGAGACAGGGAGGACAAGCAATGTGGAAATGGAGGCAGAGATTGGGGTAATGAAGCCACAAACCAAGGAAAGACGAAGAATGCTAGGCAGCCACAGTGAGTATGGCTTTGCTGACACCTTGATTTCAAACTTCTGGTCTTTATAACTGTGATAGAAAGAAGTTCTGTTGTTTTAAGTCACCAAGTCTATGGTAATTTGTTATGGCAGCCCCATGAAAGCACTGAAAGAGATTTGAAGGATGAGTAGGATTGCTGTCGATTCTGCGCTGCACTCCTTCAATTCCGTCAGGTCCAAAAGATTTGTTCACCCAGCTCCTTGGGTTCTGTGGGTTGCCAGTCTTCAGCTGTCAGCCCTTTATAGGAACTATTTCTGCCAAAGTGGGGACCTTGTCCATAGCAACGTCCCTGTCCTGCAGAAAGTTTGCATCCAGTGACTGTTCAAAATGGGGGTTGTATGAGTTATCAATTGATCCATAATAAATTATCACACAGTTAATGGCTGAAAACAACACATATTTATTATCTCACAGTTTCTGTGGGTCAGGAGTCTGGACATAGCTTTACTGAGTTATCTGTATAGGGTCTTACAAGGCTTTCAAGGTATCAGCCAGGACACATTGTCATCTGGAGGCCTGTCTGGGGCAGAATTCACTTCTAAACTCAGGTTGTTGGCAGAATTCATGTCCTTACTGTTGTAGGGATGAGGCCGCTGGCTTCTGGCTTCTTGCTGATTATTGGTTGGAGGCTGCCCTTTGCTCCTGGAGGCCATCGGACAGTCCCATACCACATGGGCTTTCTCAACTTGGATATCTTATCAATCCAACAAGTAGAGTCTCTAGAATGACTTTGGTAGCAAGACAGTCTTATACGGCATAATATAATCATAAAGCTGACATCCTATTTCCTTTGCTGTATTCTGTTGATTAGGAGCAAGTTACCAGGTTCAGTACATGCACTAGGAGGCAGGGATGACTCAGGGAGCATCTTAGAGTCTGTTTGCCACAGGAGTATAAAGGCCTGGTCCTCTTGTTTTCACTGGAGACAGCTGCGAAGGGCCATCCTGGGTTTTTATCTTTTTGTGGGCTTAGCTGTGGCATTGTGTGATCACACTATGGCCCAGATTTTCCCTCTGCTCACTCTGACTTCATTTCCTTCCATTCCACAGGTTGATCCTGACAGCATTCCCTTATAAATGATCTTCACTCTCATTTCCATCTCAGAATCTTGGGAACTTCATAGGCGGAAGTGAAGAGGCTATTGGAGGGTATTCCAGGATGAGGGAACATATTAAAATACTGAATAAAAATGTAGGGTCTGTGGGTGAGGGAAACAATGGAATATCCAATTAGAATGGGTTAAAGAAAAGGATGGAATGTGAGGCTAGAAATTCAGGCTGGGGCCACTGTGTGGAGGACCCTGAATGGCATACTCAGACGAGTGAGGCAGTGGGAAACCTTGGAGGGTTTTGAGCACAAGACATTAGCACCAGGCTTTGATTATGATTCTGACAGCAAACTGTTTCAAATACTTTAGGAGGGCCTTATATCTGTTAAAAGAATGATGTAGTAAAAATATGTAAAGTGGCTTCCAGGGGAGCTCCTCTTATACATGTAGGCATAGAGTTTTCTCTCTTAGGGACAAAATGAAGCCTATGGCTGTTATGAGTTGAACTGGAATTCATATGTTGAAATCCTAACCCCCAGTACTTCAGAATGTGACTCTATTTGGAGATATGGTCTTTATGTAGGGATAATCAAGTTAAGATGGTGTCAGCACACTTCTCAAAAGATGACATTTATGCAGCCAACAAACATATGAAAAAAAGCTGAACATCACTGATCATTAGAGAAATGCAAATCTAAACCACAATAAGATACCATCTCATGCCAGTCACAATGGCAATTATTACAAAGTCAAAAAACAACTGATACTTCTGAGGTTGCAGAGAAAAAGGAACACTTTTATACTGTTGGTAGGAGTATAAATTAATTCAACCATGTGGAAGACGGATTGTGAGGAATTGTGAATCCCTCAAAGACCTAGAAGCAGAAATTTAACCCAGCAATTCCACTACTAGGTATATACCCAAAGGAGTATAAATTATTCTATTACAAAGATGCATGCATGTGTATGTTTGTTGCAGTAATATGCACAATAGCAAAGACATGGATTCAACCCAAATGCCCATCAGTGGTAGGCTGGATAAAGAAAATGTGGTACATATACACCATGGAATACTATGCAGCCATAAAAAGGAACAAGATCATGTCCTTTGCAGGGACATGGATGGAGCTGGAAGCCATTATCTTCAGCAAACTAATGCAGGAACAGTAAACCAAAACACTGCATGTTCTCACTTTTAAGTGGGAGCTGAACTATGAGAACACATGGACACAGGGAGAGGAGAAACACACACTGGGGCCTGTTAGAGAGTGGGGGTAGGGGAAGGGAGAGCATCAGGAAGAATAGCTAATGGATGTTGGGCTTAATACCAAGGTGATGAATTGATCGATGCAGCAAACCACCATGGCTCATGCTTACCTGTGTAACAGACCTGCATATCTTGCACATATACTCTGGAACTTAAAATAAAAGTTGAAGGAAAAAAAAGATGAAGGCAGTAGTCTGGGCCCTAATCCAATATGATTGGTGTTGTTATAAAAAAGGGAAATTTGGTGTCCATCAATGGATAAAAAAAATGTGGTACATATACACCATGGAATACTATGCAGCCATAAAAAGGAATGAGGTCATGTCCTTTTCAGGGACATGGATGAAGCTGGAAGCCATCATCCTCAGCAAACTAAAACAGGAAAAGAAAACCAAACACTGCATGTTCTCACTCATAAGTGGGAATTGAACAATGAAAACACATGGACAAAGGGAGGGAAACAACATACACCGGGGCGAGTTGGGGGCTGGGGGGCGAGGGGAGGAAGAGCATTAGGACAGATAGCTAATGAATGCAGGGCTTAAAACCTAGATGACGGGTTGATAGGTGCAGCAAACCACCATGGCACACATATACCTATGTCACAAACCTACATGTTCTGCACTTGTGTCCCGGAACTTAATATAAAATTTTAAAAAAGGGAAATTTGGGTTTGTGGATGCACACACACGCCCACACACGCACAAGGAGAATACCATGTGAAGATGAAGGCAGAAATTGGAATGATGAAGCTGCAAGCTGAGGAATACCAAGGATTGCTGGCCATCACCAGAGGCTAGGAGAGAGATACGGAGCAGTCTTCCTCAGAACTCTCAGAAGGAATCAACTCTGCCGACACCTTGGTTTCAGACTTCTAGCCTCCAGAACTGTGAAACGACAAATTCCCATTGTTTAAGCCACCCAGTTTGTGGCATTTAGTTATGGCAGCCCTAGCAAATTAGTACAATAGCTCTTTCTCCTCAGTTTCCTGGCTGTGAGCTCTGTGAGAAAGAGACCATGTCTGTGATTGCTCACTGTATCAGTTAGGATGCTTCAGGCTTCAAGCAACAGAAAACTTAACTAAAAGTGGTTTGAAACATAACAACATTTATTATTTCACATGAGAATATCAGAGGTAGGGCTGTCCCAGAATGGATTAACTCAACAGTTTAGTGATGTCAGGGCTTAAGTTTAGCTACCTTGCTCTGGTTTCAGGGCTTGAGATCTTTGGGACCACTCAGATGATCCTAAGTAGGGATAGAATCCACGTGAGGTATGGTTTATTTCCACTTCATGCTGCCTGTTATCTCATCTTTTCAGGTCCCAACCCTAGATGATGGGTGGTTTTTAGGGCTCCCAACCTTTGCAGACACTGTATTCCACATTTTTTTATTACCCTGTATTCCACATTTTTTATTAGCCTGTATTCCACATTTTTTCTCTCCAATGCTGTCAAAAATGTTGCTCAGCCTCTCAGTCACTTCTATATTGGTGAAAGCCCCATGGACAAAAGTGGATCAAATACCTCTCTTGGTTTCCTGATTCAGCTCTGTTTCCAGCCTTGGTAATTCTCCACTCTTTCATTATTTCTTTGATAATTATAGAAATGTGTTCTTTTAAAAATAGTGTCTTTTCTCAGTTTTCTTTAGCAGAAAGGCAGGTCTGAATTAACTCATCTTTAATGATCAGAAACAGAACTCTATCTTTTTAGACTTTATCACTAAAACAAAAATTATACAAGCTACTTCAGTAGCCCCCCTCTCTCTCAAGAAGGAACCATTATTTTGAATTTAGTTTTTATAATTTCATATATTTGATACATAGGTGTGTATCCTCAAACAATGCATGGTATTGTTGTTATAAATGGCATTATACCATATTCTTCTGCAGCTTTCTTTTTCTGTCTAGTATGTTTTTGATATTTATTCCATTTTGTTATGCTAGAGACACAGTATATTAATTATACTTGCCTCATAGTATTCCCTTGTATGATTGCACCACAATTACTCATTCATTCTCCTGTTGATGAACATTGGGGTTATTTGCGTTTTAAAATGTGCAGTCTGGTCCAGGCCACAATATTTGTATTTGACTCAACAAAGATGAGAAAGTAGTGCCTCTTAGACAATCAAAAGGCTTAGATGAAACTTCCATGCTCAAAAATGTCCCAAGGGAAATTAAAAATTCTCAGTTGACAAATGAAGACCAGAACTTAATAACTCTACAAAATTCTTTGAGTAAAAATTTGATCACATATGATGAAGGAAATGGGGGCCCCATCCTTATCCAAAGGTCCTAAGTGTCCACTGGTACAAGGTGCTGGGATAGACAGAGGACAGAACTGGTCACGTGGCTGTGGTACTGGATCCCCTGCAGGGCAGGGGAGCTGGCTGTTGAGATGGCTTTGCTGCTGCAGAGTACACAGACCTTGGTTCCAGACCTGGGCCATCATCGGTTTCCTTACCCATATTGATGTTTTGCAATCTTTTTATGGACTTACTCCTTTTTGATAAACTTTAAAATCCTTTGCCTCCCTTCATACTGCTTTTTCATCCTTTGCTTTTTTCCTAACGCTTTCTTATGAAAATTTTCAAACATCCAGCAAAGTTGAAAGAAATTTGCAATGAACAACCACATGGTACCATTGGATTTTATAATTAACATTTTGCTATTTTTGCTTCATTATCCATCTGTCCATCTATCTATGTCTGTTCTCATTTATCCATCCATCTTATTTTTTTTTCTGTTGCATTGGACAGCAAGTTGCAGACATTAATATACTTTACCTCTAAACCCTTCAGTATGAATATCATTAAGTTCAATATTTGTTATTTTTTAATTGAAGTAAAATTCACATACAATGAAATGCAGTGATCTTATGAGTACCATTCTATAAGGTCTGATAAATGCACATACCATATAATCCTAGCCCCTATCAAGATACAGAACATTTCCAATAGCCCAGAAAGCACCCCCACGCTCCTTCCAAGTCAATCTCTGCCTTCACCCTCCACAGGAAACCATGGTTCTGATTTTTCTACCAAGTCAATCTCTGCCTTCACCCTCCACAGGAAACCATGGTTCTGATTTTTCTACCATAGTTATTTTAATAACTTTTATTTGGAAATAATTTCAAACTTAAAGAAAAGTTGCAAGAAAAATAATACTACAAAGACCACCTAGATACTCTTCACCCAGATCCACCTCTCATTAACATTTAACTAATTTGATTTGGCATTTGCTTTCTTTCTATGTATATAGATTTTTTTTAACCTGGAGTGATGGCATGCACCTGTAATCCCAGCTATGCAGGAGGCTGAGGTGGGAGGGTTGCTTGAGTCCAGGACTTTGAGACTAGCCTGAGCAACATAGTGAGACTCATGCTTCTAAATTTTTTTTAAATAAAAATAATTTTTTTTTTCTGAAGCACTTGAGATTAAGTAGCATGCAACCATAGATTAGTTTTGCCCCTTGTAGAAGTTCATAGAACTTCACACAGCATGACTTTCGTTTTTAAATTTTTAAGAAGGTAATATATTCACATTGTTAACAGAATCAATAGTATGGAAAGCGTTAATGAAAAACAGCAGTCTCTTTTTTTTAAATTTTATTATTATTATACTTTAAGTTTTAGGGTACATGTGCACAATGTGCAGGTTAGTTACATATGTATACATGTGCCATGCTGGTATGGTGCACCCATTAACTCGTCATTTAGCATTAGGTATATCTCCTAATGCTATCCCTCCCCACTCCCCCCACCCCACAACTGTCCCCAGAGTGTGATGTTCCCCTTCCTGTGTCCATGTGTTTTCATTGTTCAATTCCCACCTATGAGTGAGAACATGCGGTGTTTGGTTTTTTGTCCTTGCGATAGTTTACTGAGAATGATGATTTCCAATTTCATCCATGTCCCTACAAAGGACATGAACTCATCATTTTTTATGGCTGCATAGTATTCCATGGTGTATATGTGCCACATTTTCTTAATCCAGTCTATCATTGTTGGACATTGGGGTTGGTTCCAAGTCTTTGCTATTGTGAATAGTGCCGCAATAAACATACGTGTGCATGTGTCTTTATAGCAGCATGATTTATAGTCCTTTGGGTATATACCTAGTAATGGGATGGCTGGGTCAAATGGTATTTCTAGTTCTAGATCCCTGAGGAATCGCCACACTGACTTCCACAATGGTTGAACTAGTTTACAGTCCCACCAACAGTGTAAAAGTGTTCCTATTTCTCCACATCCTCTCCAGCACCTGTTGTTTCCTGACTTTTTAATGATTGCCATTCTAACTGGTGTGAGATGATATCTCATTGTGGTTTTGATTTGCATTTCTCTGATGGTGAGCATTTTTTCATGTGTTTTTTGGCTGCATAAATGTCTTCTTTTGAGAAGTGTCTGTTCATGTCCTTTGCCCACTTTTTGATGGGGTTGTTTGTTTTTTTCTTGTAAATTTGTTTGAGTTCATTGTAGATTCTGGATATTAGCCCTTTGTCAGATGAGTAGATTGCAAAAGTTTTCTCCCATTCTGTAGGTTGCTTGTTCACTCTGATGGTGGTTTGTTTTGCTGTGCAGAAGCTCTTTAGTTTAATTAGATCCCATTTGTCAATTTTGGCTTTTGTTGCCATTGCTTTTGGTATTTTAGACATGAAGTTCTTGTCCATGCCTACGTCCTGAGTGGTAATGCCTAGGTTTTCTTCTAGGGTTTTTATGGTTTTAGGTCTTACGTTTCAGTCTTTAATCCATCTTGAATTAATTTTTGTATAAGGTGTAAGGAAGGGATCCAGTTTCAGCTTTCTACATATGGCTAGCCAGTTTTCCCAGCACCATTTATTAAATAGGGAATCCTTTCCCCATTGCTTCTTTTTTCTCACGTTTGTCAAAGATCAGATAGTTGTAGATATGCGGCATTATTTCTGAGGGCTCTGTTCTGTTCCATTGATCTATATCTCTGTTTTGGTACCAGTACCATGCTGTTTTGGTTACGGTAGCCTTGTAGTATAGTTTGAAGTCAGGTAGCGTGATGCCTCCAGCTTTGTTCTTTTGGCTTAGGATTGACTCGGAGATGTGGGCTCTTTTTTGGTTCCATATGAACTTTAAAGTAGTTTTTTCCAATTCTGTGAAGAAAGTCATTGGTAGCTTGATGGGGATGGCATTGAATCTATAAATTACCTTGGGCAGTATGGCCATTTTCATGATACTGATTCTTCCTACCCATGAGCATCGAATGTTCTTCCATTTCTTTGTATTCTCTTTTATTTCATTGAGCAGTGGTTTGTAGTTCTCCTTGAAGAGGTCCTTTACGTCCCTTGTAAGTTGGATTTCTAGGTATTTTATTCTCTTTGAAGCAATTGTGAATGGGAGTTCACTCATGATTTGGCTCTCTGTTTGTCTCTTATTGTTGTATAAGAATAACAGCAGTCCCTTTTAACCAATCCCGCAATTCTGTCCTGTCCTTAAGAGTCTATATCTTTTTATTCTTTTAAATATTCCTTGTGGTAGTTACTTCCTGATTCGTAAAATAATGTTATATTATTGTTTTTTGTTTCAGCAATTTTAGACATTATCTAGTCATTTTACATTATGATAGATCCATTCATTATTACTATTCACTCATTAATCCATTCATTCAACAAATATTTTTCTGGGTGAACACAAATTTTTATTTCACCTGAGTAAATAGCTAGAGGTGGGATTGCTGGGCCATATAGTCAGTGTATGTTTAACTTTGTAAGAAACTGACAAACTAATTTGCAAAGGATATGTGCCATTTTGCGTTCTCATCAGCAATATATAAGAATTCCAGTTGCTCTGCCTCCTCACCAGGTATTGTCAACATTATCAACTTTAGGCATTCAAATAGGTGTGTTGTGATATCTCATTATGGTATACATTTTCATAGCTCCAATGACTAATGATGTTGAGCATGTTTTTAATGTGCTTATAGACATCTCTAAATAATTTTTGGTGAAATGTCTATTCAAGTATTTTGCCCATTTAAAAAACCTTATTATCTTATTAATTTTATTATTGTTGAGTTTTAAGAGTTTATTGTATATTCTAGAAACAATTTATTTGTCAGATGTGTGGTTTTCAAATATTTTCTCCCAGTCTGTGACTTGTGTTTTCAGTCTCTTAATGGTATCTTTTGCAGAGGAAAAGTTTATAATTTTAATGAAGTCCTATTTATTATTTTTTTCTTGTATTGATAATGCTTTTGCTGTTGTATTTTAAAACTAATTGCTAAACCCAAGGTCACAAAGACTTCTCCTATGTTTTATTTTAAAAGTTTTTATAGCTTTATGTTTCATATTTAGGTTTATGATCTATTTTGAGTTAATTGTTGTATAAGGTGTGAGCTTCAGATGTAGGTTAATTTTTTTTTGCAAATGCATGCATACGGTTCCTTTCGCCATTTAGTTTTTCTGGGGCCCAAAATTAATTTGTCATATTTGTGTGAGTCTATTTCTGGACTCTGCATTTTGTTCTGTGTGTTCTATATGTTTGAACTATATGTTTCTTTTTTTTTTGAGGTAACAAATATTACCCCTGCTACCCTTGTGTATCCATCTAGAGATATTCTTTGTATATGTAACTATATATGTAAGTATATTTGTTATTCTTTTTGAGCTTACTGAAATAGTCACATAATTTAAACACAATTTTGCACTTTGCCTTTTAAAAACTGATACACTCACTATAATCAGGTTTTCTACAACTTGCTGCAAAAAATAGTCCCATTTCATCTCATGGGCAAGGTTATACACACACACGCGTGCACACACACACACACACACAGAATGTGTGTGTGTGTGTGTGTGTGTGTGTTGAGTGTCCCTAAAGCAAATGCTCCAAAATCAAAAACTTTTTGAGCACTGACATGATGCTCAAAGGAAATGCTCATTGGACTATCTTGGATTTTGGATTTTGGGATTAAGAATGTTCAACCAATAAGTATAATGCAAATATTCCCAAATCTGAAAATATCCCAAATCCCAAACACTTCTGCTTCCAAGCATTTTGGATAAAGGATACTCCACCTTTACACACACACACACACACACACACACACACACACACTCACACACAAGCATATCCAACCTAATTCTTCTCCCTCTAGTGGTTTCTGGGCTGACGGTTTTCAGTGTGATTGCAAGGATATTGGATTTCAAGGCTATTCTTAAGCTGAGGAGAGTGGTATGGGAATAAGTTCAGTTAAAATGCCTCAAAGCTCACTCTTTTACAGAAACTCAGCCATTTTTCTTGAATAAATACTCCCCAGATTTCTGAAGTCCCTTGGTTAATTTCCAGAGTTCTTAAAATGTTGGTTCTGACAAATTATTTTCCAGTGTTCTCATTGCTTCTATGGGGAAAAGAATTTTTGGATATCTTTATTCCACCATTCCTACTGATGTCACTTGGGAGATTTTCATAAAACAGATTTTTTCCTGCATATTTTATTCTTTCTAAGTTTGGGTTCCCTTATTTATTTATTTATATTATAAAGAATATATTTATTCTTTCTAAGTTTGGGTTCTCTTATTTCTGTTTGGTTTGTTTGCTTGTTTAATTTTGGAGGTCTTTCTCAAATTTATTCATTCATTCAACAAATATTGAGTGTCTAAAATGTGCCAGGTACTTCATGTGAACAAAATTAAAACAAAGACCATACTGACACAGAGTTTACATTCTAGAGGAATGGTAATAATATAATGTTAGATGATGTCTGCTGAGTGCTGTGAAGAAAAATAAGGCAAACTATCCAGAGCAAGAGAGAGATGCAGAGCAAGAGAGAGATGCAGTACAAAGGCACTGACATGAAAAGATATTTGATATAATTGAATAGCCAGGAGACTTAGCAAAGGAAAGAGCAGTAAGAAGTGGATTTGGAAAGGAAAGGCCTTTGTGCGCCTGGCAATGGACTTTGGCTTTTATTTTGATCAAGGCAGGAAACCATTGGAGGCTTTTTATAAAGAAGAGTGACATCTTTTGGGTATGTCTTAAAAGTCTAATTGATGATTCTACTGAGAATAGGCTGTAAGAGGGTGAGGGTAGAAGATGGGAAACAAGTTAGGAGACTATTGCAACAATCCAGGTGAGAGATAAAGGTGGCCTAGGTGAGGGTGGCGGAAATGGAGGTGATGATAAATGGTAGGATTCAAATATCTCATGAACCTTGGCAGTCTGTATGTATTTAAAAGTGAGGCACAGAAACATTTATTGAAAGCCTGTCTGTGGTTGAAGATTGTTGACTGGTAGTCTACAATGAAGAGTGGTTAGGCAAGGAGCCAGACTTTTCCATTGGGACTTAAATCTCCTATGTAGAAATCTTTTTTGCTCAGATAGGTCATTTTTTTCAACAATAATTCTTCCCTATCTTGGAGCATGTTGGAATATAAGCTTGGCTCCTGTCAATTTTAAACCTAGCAAGGGAGAACTTGGAAGTGGGGGTGGGCTCAGCCTCACAGGTTCAGGAGCAAGTGTTCAAGACATCTCCCTGTTTTAGGCTATAAGACTTACCCCCTGCTCACCAGCATAGCTCGTGTCTTTTAAACCCTAGACATCTTCATTTAATATAAACTTCATTTAATGTTTCCAGAAATAAAACCTCGTTTCTTGCCTGGATGCTTACTATGAAGGTGGGAACCTCAGAGAGTATTTAGTTCATGTACAGATATTCAAACAATGTCCTATTTTCAGCTCTGTACTTCGGACCTGCCTTATTGGTGCCTCTCAGGTCTTAAAGAGCAAATCAACTGGCTATGTTCTGCATCCTCCTCTGCAGGCATTTAAAGTTGTAGCATTCTTCTCTTTGTTCTACTTCCAAAAATTGTTGAAATTTTTCACCCACTGATGTCTTCTATCCTAATCTTTTGGGTCCTTATATGTTTATGCCTTTTAAAAATTCATTTGCTGTCATTTTGGGAGCACTTGGAAGGGAAAGGAGATAGATAACGTGCTGTCAACCAGCATCTTTACCCAGTAAGTATACTTCTTTCACACTCCCTATGACCCTCTGAAGATTTGGATTTCCTTTCCCTACACTGAGAACCATTGATATATTGGGCATCTATCATCGAATTTTAGGGTTCTACTTTAGAGACAAACAGATATGAGTTCGATTTCCACTTACACTTTTACTAGTTGTGTGATCATGGAAAAATCACCTAAGTTACTTGGGCCTCAGTTTCTTCATTTTAAAATAATATTACGTTTTATGTGTGTATATGTATATATATATATATATGTATTAAGTTTTATGTGTGTATATGTATATATATATGTATTACGTTTTATGTGTGTATATGTGTATATATATATACATATACAGACATATATGTATTAATTATTCACATCCATTTTAAACATGAAGAAACTGAGGGTTCTGGGGATCTGATGTACAGCACAATCATTGTAGTTAATAATACTATATTGTTTGCTTGAAATTTGGTAAGAGAGCAGATCTTAAATGTTTTTAATACACACACACAGTGGCAACTGTGGTGAATGATGTGTTAGTTTGATTGGGATAGTCATTATACAATATATACATATATTAAATCATGTTGTATACCTTGAATCTATACCATTTTTATTTGTCAATTATACCTCAATTGAGTTGGAAAAAAATTGGGGTGATTATTATACCACATCAAATTGATGTTATAAATGCTTAATGTGCTAATCTATGTAAACCTCTTAGCACAGACTGATCCATGCTTAATAAATGGTATATATTTCACTTAGCATAATGACCTCCAGTTTCGTTCATATTGCTGCAAGTGAAAGGCCCAGAAAGACAAACATGGCATGTTCTCACTTATTTGTAGGTTCTAAAAATCAAAACAATTGAACTCATGGAAATAGAGAGTAGAAGGATGGTTACCAGAGGCTGGGAAGGTTAGTGGGAAGGTTAAGGTGAAGTGGGGATGGTTAATGGGTACAAAAAAATAGGACGAATGAATAAGATCTAGTATCTGGTAGAGGAACAGGGTGACTATAGTCAATAATAAATTAATTGTACATTTAAAAATAACTAAAAGAGTGTAATTGAATTGTTTGTAACACAAATTATAAATACTTGAGAGGATGGATACCCCATTTTATGGGACGCGATTGTTATGCATTGCAGTCCTGTATCAAAACATCTCATGTACTCCATAAATTTACACACCCACAAAATTAAAAATTAAAATTAAAAAAATAAACTTCTTATCTAAACTGATCATTCTGCTGGGAGGGAGAATAATTTGGTGGGCATGGGGTGTGCTTACATTCCATAAGCTATGATTCCTTAAATTGTATCTGTTGTTTGTAAATAAAAGAAGACCTTTTCAGTAGGAGGTATGAAGATTGCCTAGTTAATCTTACCACATGATTATGTGTAAACATGAGTAAACACTCATCATCTTTATTCATTTGGTCATTCATTCTTTAATTCATTCATTTAACATTTGTTGAGCTCTTACCATATGTCAGGCACTATGATAGGTGGCTGGGAGACAGCACAGGCAAGACTCAGCAAAGCAGTTAAACAGGGTTCTCCACTTCAAGTATATAGCAGGCCAGGGGTAGATAGACAAGGAAGGGCGATTTTGAAACAATGTAATTGTACTATGATGCAACACATGTTGCTGTGATTAACTGTTTGATGTCTCTCTTTCACTATAAAAAGACCTCATCTATCTTGTTTATCACTGTTGTCCCGGTGTCTAGCATTGTGCCTGGCACATGAGAGGTCCTCAATAAAACTTTTTTATTGAAAAAATGATGTGTAATGAAAATCTTTCTTTGATAAGTTTACATAGAAAATATATTTGAAAATTTTACCTTTAATTCTTAAGAGGAGAGCATTCCTGCAATGTATGTGTGTTCGGTGAGTGAGTGCATGACTGAATATTTGGCAAAGGGTGAGTCAAGGATAAGAGGAAGTACACCACAGTTCAACAAATATTTCCTGGGTGCCAACTCTGTGCCAGGCATAGTGTAGGGTATGGAGGATACAGAGATGAATAAGACATAGCTTTTGCCCTTAAGGATCTCCAAGTCTAGCCTGGAGACAGACATGTGAACTGTGAATTACAGTACAGTATGATAAAGGCCATAAATAAAACTCAAATAAGATGTGAATCTTAAGCTTGAGGGCTTTGGGTAAGGCTAGAGCCATTAAACATGATTCTGAAGACATGTTCCATTTTCTACAATAAGATTCAGTGGGAAAACAATTGCTCAGAGAATCTATTATATATTTTTCAGAGAAAGTATGGAAATCTCATTATTGTTAATGGCAATAGAATAGAGAAGAAAATAGAATGAAAAGCAATATCTAAATAAGCTATCATTATATATGAAATAGAGTCACTTAGTGGTTAAGTGATTTTTGTTAAGAAGTTATCTTGGCAGTCGCTTTTGGAAAAAGAAGATCAAAAGCATACCAAGAATGCCAGTTAATGCCATCATTATTTACTTAGTATAAATTTACAGGAAAATATGTTCATGGAAATAAAACATCATCTAAAGAATTGAGTGTGATTTTCATCTTTATTGTTGTGTATCACTTTTCCTTTAAAAAGCAAACAAACTATTTATAACTTTACTATAGGAAACAGTGACTGAGTTGATAAAGAAGGTATACTAGGTAAGAAAAATAAGTAACAATGGCTTAGAAGTCACCACTCCATCCAAACAACAAGTAGAAAACTGAAAAAACTGAAAAATCAATACATCTTCTTAGATCCATCAGAGAAGTGAGGTCTTAGGGCCAACCACTGCCACAAAAGTAGAACAGACAAGCAGATACAGAGAATCATAACTTACCAGAGCAGAAATCCCAAAGGAGAAATCTCCCCATAAACTAGTTCTGGGGTAGGAAAGCCTTAATCGTAATTGAAAAATTGTTGGAGGCTCAGTGTGGACAACTCTCAGAGTTAAAAACTCCAGGGGGATCAAGTCATAGGGAGACCTATATTTTGTAAATTTTACCTCCAAGAGTTCTACATGTCCTCACAGTGAATATTGGAGAAAAATCTCCTTGTTCTTCCAGCAGGCGTTAGGGGGAAAGAAACCATTTTGAGATACAGCAGAGCATTCTGTTCTTCACAAGTCCAGCCCTCAGAAGAAACTATTTTTACCAATCTAAACTGCTGGGGTTATATCAAAGCCTAACCCACCTGGGGGAAGGGAAATAACCAGCTCCAGCTCCAGCTCCCTGTAGCTTTCCTCATGAGAAAAAAGAAATACCCGACTCCAGACCCCTCCAGCCATCTTTCCCCGCCTAAGAGTTGCTGGGGGATGGTGGAGGGGGGAGGCATGACTGAAAAACAGTGGTGAAGTTCACAGTCCAGGGGCACAGGCACACCAAAAGACTGAGACCTAATCATAGGATTATAGAATGCTTTCTCTCCTCCCGCACCTTAACACCACATTACTAAAGGCCTGTTTACTGCTGTTGCTTTTAGCCAGTACATCACGTCCACCTTTCACCAAAAAATTACAAGGCATACTCAAAGGCAAAACAAAAACAAAAACAAAAACAAAAACAAAAACAAAAACAAAACCACAGTTTGAAGAGATTGAACCAACATCAGAACCAGGGTCAGATATGGCTAGAATGTTGGAATTATCAGATCAGGAATTTAAAAAATTAGACAACATGAAAGAACAGATGGATAATGTAAGCAGAGAGCTAGAAATTCTAAGAAGAAATTTAAAAATACTCAAGGTCAAAAGCATTGTAACAGAAATAAAGAATGCCTTTGATGGGATCATCACTAGACTGGACACAGTGAGGAAAGAATTTGCACTTGAGGACGTGGTAATAGAAACTTCCAAAACAGAACAATGACTGGGAAAAAAAGAGTACAAATATCTAAAAAATGTGAGACAATTACAAAAGGTATAATATTCATAATAGAATACCAGAATGAGAAGAAAAAGACAAAGGAACAGAAGAAATGTTAGAAGCAGTAATGACTAAACAAAACAAAATAAAACAAGTCTACACCTAGGCATATCGTTTTCAAATTGCAGAAAATCAAAGATAAAACAAAAATCTTGAATGAAGCCAGAGAAACCACCTTATCTCTAGAGAAGCAAAGATAATAATTACATCTGGCTTTTCCTCAGAAACCAGTGAAGCAAGAACAAGGTAAAATAAAATTAAACATTTAAAGTGTTGAGAAAAAAAGACTCACCAACCTAGAATTATTTGCCTTACCAAAGTATCCTTCAAAAGTGGAGAATAAATACTTTCTCAGAAAAATAAAAATTGAGGGAATTTATGTCAGTAGACCTGTCTTGCAAGAAATGTTAAAAGTTATTTGGAGAGATGCAAAATGATATAGATCAGAAATGCAGGTCAATATAAAGAAATGAAGAGCATCAGAGAAGGAATAAGTGAAAGTAAAATAAAATGTTTTATTTTTCTTATTCTTAGTTGATCTGACAACAGTTTATTCAACATAATAATAGCAACAATGTATTTGGTTGTGTGTGTGTGTGTGTGTGTGTGTGTGTGTGTGTGCATTTGCTAGGTATGTTTATATGTAAGGGAAATGAATGACAGCAATGAAACAAGGTACAGGAGGGGATAGTTAAAAACATTTTGTTATTGTAAGGTACTTGCCATATCCATGATACCCATTTGGGTGACAGATACTATAAAGTGGTATGCTGTTATTTGAAAATGGATTTGGATTAGCTGCAAATATATATTGCAAATTCTAGGGTAACCACCAAAAATAGTTTAAAAATTATAAAACATATGTTAAGAAGGGAGAGAAAGTGGAATGATATAAAATGCTCAATTAAAACCACAAGAGGCAGGAAAAGTATGAAAGACAAAAATAGGAAAAATAAACAAAGGCAAGAAGTAGAAAACTATAGTAAATATGGTAAATATTATAATAATCCAACTATATCAATAATCACTTTAAATGTCAATGGTCTAAATACACCAATTAAAACAGATTTCTGGTCAGCTGCAATGGCTGATACCTGTGATCCTAGCACTTTGGTAGGCCAAGGCAGGAGGGTCTTTTGAGGCCAGGAGTTCAAGACAAACCTGGGCAATATAGTAAGACCTCCATTTCTACAAAACATTTTAAAATTAGCCAGGTGTGGTGGTGCATGCCTATAGTCCCAACTACTCAGGAGGCTGAGGCAAGAGGATCACTTGAGCCCAGAAGGTTAAGGCTGCAATGATCTGTGATTTGACACTGCACTCCAGCCTAGGTGATGGACCAACACATTGTCTTAAATAAATAAATAAATGACGGATTTCACAGAAAGACAAATACCACATGTTCTCACTTATAAGTGGGAGCTAAATAATATATACACATGGATGTAGCATGTGGAATGACAGACAATGGAGATTTGGAAAGGTGAGGGGGTGAGAGGTGGGTGGGTGATGAGAAATTATTTAATGAGTACAATATACATTATTTGGGTGATGGATACCCTGTAAACTCTAACTTCACCAATAAGCAATCTATGCATGTAACAAAATTGCACTTGTACGCCATAAATGTATACAAATAAAAGAGTTTGTCAGAGTGGATTAAAAAAATCTATGTGTTGTCTACAAAAAAACCACTTAAAATATAAAAACAGGAGGGTGGAGCCAAGACGGCCGAATAGCAACAGCTCCAGTCTACAGCTCCCAGCGTGAGCGATGCAGAAGATGGGTGATTTCTGCATTTCCAACTGAGGTACTGGGTTCATCTCACTGGGGAGTGTCGGAAAGCGGGTGCAGGACAGTGGGTGCAGCGCACCAAGCGTGAGCCGAAGCAGGGCGAGGCATCGCCTCACCCGGGAAGCATAAGAGGTCAGGGAATTCCCTTTCCTAGTCAAAGAAAGGGGTGACAGATGGCACCTGGAAAATCGGGTCACTCCCACCCTAATACTGCACTTTTCCAACAGTCTTAGCAAACAGCACACCAGGAGATTATATCCTGTGCCTGGCTCAGAGGGTCCTATGCCCACGGAGCCTCGATCATTGCTAGCACAGCACTCTGAGATCAAACCACAAGGCACCAGCGAGGCTGGGGGAGGGGCGCCCGCCATTGCCGAGGCTTGAGTAGGTAAACAAACCGGCTGGGAAGCTTGAACTGGGTGGAGCCCACTGCAACTCAAGGAGGCCTGCCTGTCTGCCTCTGTAGACTCCACCTCTGGGGGCAGGGCATAGCCAAACAAAAGGCAGCAGAAACTTCTGCAGACTTAAATGTCCCTGTCTGAAAGCTTGGAAGAGAGTAGTGGTTCTCCCAGCACGCAGCTGGAGATCTGAGAACAGACAGATTGCCTCCTCAAGTGGGTCCCTGACTCCCGAGTAGCCTAACTGGGAGGCACCCCGCAGTAGGGTCAGACTGACACCTCACATGGCTGGGTACTACTCTGAGACAAAACTTCCAGAGGAACAATCAGGCAGCAACACTTGCTGTTCACCAATATCCCCTGTTCTGCAGCCTCTGCTGCTGATACCCAGGCAAACAGGGTCTGGAGTGGACGTCCAGCAAACTCCAACAGACCTGTAGCTGAGGGTCCTGACTGTTAGAAGGAAAACGAACAAACAGAAAGGACATCCACACCAAAACCCCATCTGTACGTCACCATCATCAAAGACCAAAGGTAGATAAAACCACAAAGATGGGGAAAAAACAGAGTAGAAAAACTGGAAACTCTAAAAATCAGAGCGCCTCTCCTCCTCCAAAGGAACGCAGCTCCTCACCAGCAACGGAACAAAGCTGGACGGAGAATGACTTTGACGAGTTGAGAGAAGAAGGCTTCAGATGATCAAACTACTCCGAGCTAAAGGAGGAAGTTCGAACCCATGGCAAAGAAGTTAAAAACCTTGAAAAAAAATTAGACGAATGGCTAACTAGAATAACCAATGCAGAGAAGTCCTTTAAGGACCTGATGGAGCTGAAAACCATGGCATGAGAACTACGTGACGAATGCAGAAGCCTCCGTAGCCGATGCGATCAACTGGAAGAAAGGTTATCAGTGACAGAAGATCAAATGAATGAAATGGAGCGAGAAGAGAAGTTTAAAGAAAAAAGAATAAAAAGAAACGAACAAAGCCTCCAAGAAATATGGGACTGTGTGAAAAGACCAAATCTATCTCTGATTGGTGTACCTGAAAGTGACGGGTAGAATGGAACCAAGTTGGAAAACACTCTGCAGGATATTATCCAGGAGAATTTCCCCAATCTAGCAAGGCAGGCCAAGATTCAAATTCAGGAAATACAGAGAATGCCACAAAGATACTCCTCGAGAAGAGCAACTCCAAGACACATAATTGTCAAATTCACCAAAGTTGAAATGAAGGAAAAAGTGTTAAGGGCAGCCAGAGAGAAAGGTCGGGTTACCCAAAAAGGGAAGCCCATCAGACTAACAGCTCATCTCTCAGCAGAAACTCTACAAGCCAGAAGAGAGTGGGGGCCAATATTCAACATTCTTAAAGAAAAGAATTTTCAACCCAGAATTTCATATCCAGCCAAACTAAGCTTCATAAGAGAAGGAGAAATAAAATACTTTACAGACAAGCAAATGCTGAGAGATTTTGTCACCACCAGACCTGCCCTAAAAGAGCTCCTGAAGGAAGCATTAAACATGGAAAGGAAAAACCGGTACCAGCCACTGCAAAAACATGCCAAATTGTAGAGACCATTGAGGCTAGGAAGAAACTGCATCAACTAACAAGCAAAATAACCACCTAACATCATAAAGACAGGATCAAATTCACACATAACAATATTAACCTTAAATGTAAATGGGCTAAATGCTCCAATTAAAAGACACAGACTGGAAAATTGGATAAAGAGTCAAGACCCATCAGTGTGCTGTATTCAGGAAACCCATCTCACATGCAGAGACACATATAGGCTCAAAATAAAAGGACGGAGGAAGATCTACCAAGCAAATGGAAAACAAAAAAAGGCAGGGGTTGCAATCCTAGTCTCTGATAAAACAGACTTTAAACCAGCAAATATCAAAAGAGACAAAGAAGGCCATTACATAATGGTAAAGGGATCAATTCAACAAGAAGAGCTAACTATCTTAAATATATATGCACCCAATACAGGAGCACCCAGATTCATAAAGCAAATCATTAGAGACCTACAAAGAGACTTAGACTCCCACACAATAATAAAGGAAGACTTTAACACCATACTGTCAACATTAGACAGATCAACGAGACAGAAAGTTAACAAGAATATCCAGGAATTGAACTCAGCTCTGCACCAAGCGGACCTAATAGACATCTACAGAACTCTCCACCCCAAATCAACAGAATATACATTCTTCTCAGCACCACACCACACCTATTCCAAAATTGACCACATAGTTGGAAGTACATCACCCCTCAGCAAATGGAAAAGAACAGAAATTATAACAAATTGTCTCTCAGACTACAGTGTAATCAAACTAGAACTCAGAATTAAGAAACCCACTCAAAACTGCTCAACTACATGGAAACTGAACAACCTGTTCCTGAATGACTACTGGGTACATAATGAAATAAAGGCAGAAATAAAGATGTTCTTTGAAACCAATGAGAACAAAGACACCACATACCAGAATCTCTGGGACACATTCAAAGCAGTGTGTAGAGGGAAATTTATAGCACTAAATGCCCACAAGAGAAAGCAGGAAAGATCTAAAACTGACACCCTAACATCACAATTAAAAGAACTAGAGAAGCAAGAGCAAACACATTCAAAAGCTAGCAGAAGGCAAGAAATAACTAAGATCAGAGCAGAACTGAAGGAGATAGAGACACAAAAAAACTCTTCAAAAAATCAGTGAATCCAGGAGCTGGTTTTTTGAAAAGATCAACAAAATTGATAGACCGCTAGCAAGACTAATAAAGAAGAAAAGAGAGAAGAATCAAATAGATGCAATAAAAAATGATAAAGGGGATATTGCCACTGATCCCACAGAAATACAAACTACCATCAGAGAATACTATAAACACCTCTATGCAAATAAACTAGAAAATCTAGAAGAAATGGATAAATTCCTTGACACATACACCCTCCCAAGACTAAACCAGGAAGAAGTTGAATCTCTGAATAGACCAATAACAGGCTCTGAAATTGAGGCAATAATTAATAGCTTACCAACAAAAAAAGTCCAGGACAAGACGGATTCACAGCCAAATTCTACCAGAAGTACAAGGAGGAGCTGGTACCATTCCTTCTGAAACTCTTCCAATCAATAGAAAAAGAGGGAATCCTCCCTAACTCATTTTATGAGGCCAGCATCATCCTGATACCAAAGCCTGGCAGAGACACAACAAAAAAAGAGAATTTTAGACCAATATCCCTGATGAACATCAATGCAAAAATCCTCGATAAAATACTGGCAAACCGAATCCAGCAGCACATCAAAAAGCTTATCCACCATGATCAAGTGGGCTTCATCCCTGGAATGCAAGGCTGGTTCAACATATGCAAATCAATAAACGTAATCCAGCATATAAACAGAACCAACGACAAAAACCACATGATTATCTCAATAGATGCAGAAAAGGCCTTTGACAAAATTCAACAACCCTTCATGCTAAAACTCTCAATAAATTAGGTATTGATGGGATGTATCTCAAAATCATAAGAGCTATCTATGACAAACCCACAGTCAATATCAAACTGAATGGGCAAAAACTGGCACAAGACAGGGATGCCCTCTCTCACCACTCCTATTCAACATAGTGTTGGAAGTTTTGGCCAGGGCAATCAGGCAGGAGAAGGAAATAAAGGGTATTCAATTAGGAAAAGAGGAAGTCAAATTGTCCCTGTTTGCAGATGACATGATTGTGCATCTAGAAAACCCCATCGTCTCAGTCCAAAATCTCCTTAAGCTGATAGGCAACTTCAGCAAAGTCTCAGGATACAAAATCAATGTGCAGAAATCACAAGCATTCTTATACACCAATAACAGACAAGCAGAGAGCCAAATCATGAGTGAGCTCCCATTCACAATTGCTTCAAAGAGAATAAAATACCTAGGAATCCAACTTACAAGGGATGTGAAGGACCTCTTCAAGAACTACAAATTGCTGCTCAATGAAATAAAAGAGGATACAAAGAAATGGAAGAACATTCCATGTTCATGGATAGGAAGAATCAATATCGTGAAAATGGCCATACTGCCCAAAGTAATTTATAGATTCAATGCCATCCTCATCAAGCTACCAATGACTTTCTTCACAGAATTGGAAAAAACTACTTTAAAGTTCATATGGAACCAAAAAAGAGCGCACATCGCCAAGTCAATCCTAAGCCAAAAGAACAAAGCTGGAGGCATCATGCTACCTGACTTCAAACTATACTACAAGGCTACAGTAACCAAAACAGCATGGTACTGGTACCAAAACAGGGATGTAGACTAATGGAACAGAACAGAGCCCTCAGAAATAATGCCGTATATCTACAACCATCTGATCTTTGACAAACCTGACAAAAACAAGCAATGGGGAAAGGATTCCCTATTTAATAAATGGTGCTGGGAAAACTGGCTAGCCACATGTAGAAAGCTGAAACTGGATCCCTTCCTTACACCTTATACAAAAATTAATTCAAGATGGATTAAAGACTTAAATGTAAGACCTAAAACCATAAAAACCCTAGAAGAAAATCTAGGCAATACCATTCAGGACATAGGCATGGGCAAGGACTTCATGTCTAAAACACCAAAAGCAATGGCAACAAAAGCCAAAATTGACAAATGGGATCTAATTAAACTAAAGAGCTTCTGCACAGCAAAAGAAACCACCATCAGAGTGAACAAGCAACCTACAGAATGGGAGAAAACTTTTGCAATCTACTCATCTGACAAAGGGCTAATATCCAGAATCTACAATGAACTCAAACAAATTTACAAGAAAAAAACAAACAACCCCATCAAGACAAGCGGCTGAAGGATATGAACAGACACCTCTTAAAAGAAGACATTTATGCAGCCAAAAGACATGAAAAAATACTCATCATCGCTGGCCATCAGAGAAATGCAAATCAAAACCACAATGAGATATCATCCCACACCAGTTAGAATAGCGATCATTAAAAAGTCAGGAAACAACAGGTGCTGGAGAGGATGTGGAGAAATAGGAACATTTTTACACTGTTGGTGGGACTGTAAACCAGTTCAACCATTGTGGAAGTCAGTGTGGTGATTCCTCAAGGATCTAGAACTAGAAATACCATTTGACCCAGCCATCCCATTACTGGGTATATACCCAAAGGATTATAAAACATGCTGCTATAAAGACACATGCACACGTATGTTTATTGTGGCACTATTCACAACAGCAAAGACTTGGAACCAACCCAAATGTCCAACAATGATAGACTGGATTAAGAAAATGTGGCACATATACACCATGGAATCCTATGCAGCCATAAAAAAGGATGAGTTCATGTCCTTTGTAGGGACATGGATGAAGCTGGAAACCATCATTCTTAGCAAACTATCACAAGGACAAAAAACCAAACACTGCAAGTTCTCACTCATAGGTGGGAATTGAACAATGAGAACACATGGACACAGGAAGGGGAACATCACACACCGGGGCCTGTTGTGGGGTGGATGGAAGGGGGAGGGATAGCATTAGGAGATATACCTAATGTTAAATGACGAGTTAATGGGTGCAGCACACCAACATGGCACATGTATACATATGTAACAAACCTGCACATTGTGTACATGTACCCTAAAACTTAAAGTGTAATAAAAAAAGAAAAAAATATAAAAACACATATAGATTAAAAGCAAATAAACTATGATAACACTAATCAAAACAAAGTCGAATACACTATATTAATTTCAAACAGAGCAGACTTCAGGGCAAGGAAAGTTATCAGGGATAAAGAGGGGCAATGCATAATGATAAAGAGGTTAATACTCAAGGAAGACACAGTAATCCCTAATGTGTATACACCTAACAATAGAGAATCAAAATACATGAAGCAAAACCTGATAGAATTATAAGGAGAAATACATGAATTCAGTGTTATTGTTGGAGACCAGCACCTCTTTATCAGAAATGAACAGATCCAGCAGGCAGAAAATTAGTAAGGACAAAGTTGAACTCAACAGCACCATCATTATGTAATATTCTAAATACTTTGTTGTCATTTCAACAATGTTCATAGCATCTTCACTAGGAGTAGATCCCTTCTCAAGAAACCACTTCCTTTGCTCATTCATAAGAAGCAACTCCCCATTCATAAAAGTTTTATCATGAGATTGTAGCAATTAGGCTCCCCTTCTAATTCTAGTTCTCTTACACTTTCTACCACATCTGCTGCTGTTTCCACCACTGAAGGCTTGAACCCTTCAAAGTCATCCATAAGGGTTGGAATCAGCTTCTTCCAAACTCTTGTTAATGTTGATATTTTGACCTCCACCATATTTGACCTCCACATATTTGACCTCCATTCAAGAATCATGAATGTTGTTAATGGCATCTAAATGGTAAATCCTTTCCAGAAGGCTTTCAATTTATTTTGCCCAGATCCATCAGAAAAGTCAGTGTCTGTGATAGCTATAGCCTTATGAAATGTATTTGCTAACTACTAAGACCTGAAAGTCAAAATTATTCCTTGATCTCAGGGCTCCATAGTGGATGTTGTGTGTTTTAGTCCATTTTTGCACTGCTCTAAAGAACTACTTGAGACTGGGGAATTTACAAAGAAAAGAGGTTTAATTGACTCACAGTTCCACATGGCTGGGGATGCCTCAGGAAACTTACAATCATGTGGAAGGTGACAGGGAAGCAAGACACGTCTTACATTGGCAGTAGGGAGGTGGGGGGACTGCTGCACACTTTTAAACCATCAGTTCTTGTGAGAACTCACTATTACAAGAATAGCATAGAGGAAGCTGTCCCCATGATCAAATTATCTCCCATCAGGTCCTTTCTCCGAGGTCCAAAGTATCTTCCACTTTGTTTTGATTAGTGTTATCATAGTTTATCTTTATTTACTTTTAATCTATATGTGTCTTTATATCTAAAGTGTCTTTATATTTAAAGTGTCTTCCACTTTGTTTTGATTAGTGTTATCATAGTTTATCTTTATTTACTTTTAATCTATATGTGTCTTTATATCTAAAGTGTCTTTATATTTAAAGTGTCTTTATATTTAAACTCCCATCTCCCTGGGACAGAGCACCTGGGGGAAGGAGTGGCTGTGGATGCAGCTTCAGCGGACTTAAACGTTCCTGCCTGCTGGCTCTGAAGAGAGCAGCAGATTTCCCAGCACAGCATTCAAGTTCTGCTAAGGGACAGACTGCCTCCTCAAGTGGGTCCCTGACTCCCATCCTCCTGAGTGGGAGACACCTCCCAGCAGGGGTTGACAGACACCTCATACAGGAGAGTTTTGGCTGGCATCTTGTGGGTGACCCTCTGGGCGAGGCTTCCAGAGGAAGGAGCAGGCAGCAATCTTTGCTGTTCCGCAGCCTCTGCTGGTGATACTCAGGCAAACAGGGTCTGGAGTGGACCTCCAGCAAACTCCAGCAGACCTGCAGAAGAGGGGCCTGACTGTTAGAAGGAAAACTAACAAACGAAAAGCAATAACGTCAACATCAAAAAACAGGATGTTCACACAAAAACCCCATCTGAAGGTCACCAACATCAAAGACCAAAGGTAGATGAATCTACAAAGATGAGGAAAAACCAGTGCAAAAGGCTGAAAATTCCAAAAACCAGTATGCCTCTTCTCCTCCAAGGGATCACAACTCCTTGCCAGCAAGGGAACAAAACTGGATAGAGAATGAGTTTGACGAACTGACAGAAGTGGGCTTCAGAAGGTGGGTAATAACAAACTCCTCTGAGCTAAAGGAGCATGTTCTAACCCAATGCAAAGAAGCTAAGAACCTTGAGAAAAGGTTGCAGGAACTGCTAACTAGAATAACCAGTTTAGAGAAGAACATAAATGACCTGATGGAGCTGAAAAACACAGCATGAGAACTTCATGAAGCATACACAAGTATCAATCGCCAAATCACTCAAGCAGAAGAAAGGATATCAGAGATTGAAGATCAACTTAATGAAATAAAGTGTGAAGACAAGATTAGAGAAAAAAGAATGAAAAGGAACAAACAAAGCCTCCAAGAAATATGGGACTATGTGAAAAGACCAAACCTACGTTTGATTGGTGTACCTGAAAGTGATGGGGAGCATAGAACCAAACTTGAAAACACTCTTCAGGATATTATCCATGAGAACTTCCCCAACCCAGCAAGGCATGCCAAAATTAAAATTCAGGAAATACAGAGAACACCACAAAGATATTCCTTGAGAAGAGCAATCCCAAGACACATAATCGACAGATTCACCAAGGTTGAAATGAAGGAAAAAATGTTAAGGGCAGGCAGAGAGAAAGATCGGGTTACCCACAAAGGAAAGCTCATCAGACTAACAGCGGATCTCTCTGCAGAAACCCTACAAGCCAGAAGAGAGTGGGGGCCAATATTCAACATGCTTAAAGAAAAGATTTCTCAACCCAGAATTTCATATCCAGCCAAACTAAGCTTCATAAGTGAAGGAGAAATAAAATCCTTTACAGACAAGCAAATGCTGAGGGATTTTGTCACCACCAGGCCTACTTTACAAGAGCTCCTGAAGGAAGCACTAAATATGGAAAGGAAAAACCAGTACCAGCCACTGCAAAAACATATCAAAATGTAAAGACCATCAACACTATGAAGAAACTGCATCAACAAACGGGCAAAAAAACCAGCTAGTATCATAATGACAGGATCAAATTCAATTCACAAACAACAATATTAACCTTAAATGTAAACAGGCTAAATGCTCCAATTAAAAGAAACAGAATGGCAAATTGGATAAAGAGTCAGGACCAATCGGTATGCTATATTCAGGAGACCCATCTCATGTGCAAAGACCCACATAGGCTCAAAATAAAGGGATAGAGGAAGATTTACCAAGCAAATGGAAAGAAAAAAAAAAGCAGGGGTTTAAGGGGTTCAAATACTAGTCTCTGATAAAACAGACTTTAAACCAACAAAGTTAAAAAAAGACAAAGAAGGGCATTACATAATGGTAAAGGGATCATTGCAACAAGAAGAGCTAGCTATCCTAAATAAATATGCACCCAATGCAGGAGCACCCAGATTCATAAAGCAAGTTCTTAGAGACCTACAAAGAGACTTAGACTCCCACACAACAACAGTGGGAGACTTCAACACCCCCCTGTTAATATTAGACAGATCAACAAGACAGAAAATTAACAAGGATATTCAGGACTTGAACTCAGCTCTGGACCAAGCTGATCTAATAGACATTTACAGAACTCTCCACCCTAAATCAGCAGAATATACATTCTTCTCAGCACCGTGTCACACTTATTCTAAAATTGACCATGTAATTGTAAGTAAAACACTCCTCAGCAAATGCAAAAGAATGGAAATCATAACAAACAGTCTCTCAGACCACAGTGCAATCAAATTAGAACTCAGGATTAAGAAACTCACCCCAAACTGCACAACTACATGGAAACAACAACCTGCTCCTGAATGACTACTGGGTAACAAATGAAATTAAGGCAGAAATAAATAAGTTCTTTGAAATCAATGAAAACAAAGACACAATGTACCAGAATCTCTGGGACACAGCTAAAGCAGTGCTTAGAGGGAAATTTATAGCACTAAATGCCCAGAGGAGAAAGCGGGAAAGATCTAAAATCAACACTCTAACATCACAATTAAAAGAACTAGAGAAGCAAGAGCAAACAAATTTAAAAGCTGGCAGAAGACAAGAAATAACTAAGGTTAGAGCAGAACTGAAGGAGATAGAGACATGAAAACACCTTCAAAAAATCAGTGAATCCAGGAGCTGGTTTTTTGAAAAGATAAACAAAATAGACTGCTAGCCACGCTAATAAAGAAGAAAATAGAGAATAATCAAATAGACAGAATAAAAAATGATAAAGGGGATATCACCACTGATCCCACAGAAATACAAACTACCATCAGAGAATACTATAAACTCCCCTACACAAATAAACTTGAAAATCTAGAAGAAATGGATAAATTCCTGGACACAAACACCCTGCCCTAAACCAGGAAGAAGTTGAATCCCTGAATAGATCAATCACAAGTTCTGAAATTGAGGCAGTAATTAATAGCCTACCAACCAAAAAAAAAAAAAAAAAAAAAAAAAAAAAAAAAAAAAAAAGCCCAGGACCAGTCGGATTCACAGCCCAGTTCTACCAGAGGTACAAAGAGGATCTGGTACCATTCCTTCTGAAACTATTCCAAGCAATAGAAAAAGAGGGAATCCTCACTAACTCATTTTATGAGGCCAGCATCATCCTGATACCAAAACCTGGGAGAGACACAACAAAAAAAGAAAATTTGTGGCCAATATCCCTGATGAACACTGATGCAAAAATCCTCAATAAAATACTGGCAAACCGAATCCAGCAGCACATCAAAAAGCTTATCCACCATGATCAATTTGGCTTCATCCCTGGGATGCAAGGCTGGTTCAACATACACAAATCAAAAAATGTAATTCTTCACGTAAACAGAACCAATGACAAAAACCACAATAGATGCAGAAAAGACCTTTGACAAAATTCAACATCCTTTCATTCTAAGAACACTCAATAAACTAGGTATTAATGAAACGTATCTCAAAATAGTAAGAGCAATTTATGACAAACCCACAGCCAATATGATACTGAATGGGCAAAACCTGGAAGCACTCCCTTTGAAAACCGACACAAAGCAAGGATGCCCTCTCTCACCACTTCTATTCAACATAGTATTGGAAGTTCTGGCCAGGGAAATCAGGCAAGAGAAAGAAATAAAGGTATTCAAATAGGAAGAGAGGAAGTCAAATTGTCTCTGTTTGCAGATGACATGATTGTATATTTAGAAAACCCCATCATCTCAGCCCCAAATGTCCTTAAGCTGATAAGCAACTTCAGCAGTCTCAGGATAAAAAATCAATGTGAAAAAATCACAAGTATTCCTATACAACAATAATAGACAAACAGCCAAATCCTGAGTGAACTCCCATTCACAATTGCTATAAAGAAAATAAAATACCTAGGAATACAACTTGCAAGGGATGTGAAGGACCTCTTCAAGGAGAACTACAAACCACTGCTCAAGGAAATAAGAGAGGACACAAACAAATGGAAAAATATTCCATGTTCATGGATAGAAAAAATCAATATTATGAAAATGGCCATACTTCCCAAAGCAATTTATAGAATCAAAGCCATCCCCATCAAGCTACCACTGACTTTCTTCACAGAATTGGAAAAAAGTACTTTAAACTTCATATGGAACCAAAAAAGAGCCCGCATAGCCAAGACAATCCTGGGTAAGAAGAACAAAGTTGGAGGCATCACACTACCTGACTTCAATCTATACTACAAGGCTACGGTAACCAAAACAGCATGGTATTGGTACCAAAGCAGATATATAGACCAATAGAACAGAACAGAGGCCTCAGAAACAACATCACACATCTACAACCATCTGATCTTTGACAAACCTGACAAAAACAAGAAATGGTGAAAGGATTCCCTATTTAATAAATGGTGTTGGGAAAACTGGCTAGCCATATGCAGAAAACTGAAACTGGACCCCTTCCTTACACCTTATACAAAAATTAACTCAAGATGTATTGAAGACTTAAACGTAAGACCTAAAACCATAAAAACCCTAGAAGAAAACCTAGGCAATACCATTCAGGACATAGGCATGGGCAAAGATTTGTGACTGAAACACCAAAAGCAATGGCAACAAAAGCCAAAATTGACAAATGGGATCTAATTAAACTAAAGAGCCTCTGCACTGCAAAAGAAGCTATCATCAGAGTGAACAGGCAACCTTCAGAATGGGAGAAAATTTTTGTAATCTATCCATCTGACAAAGGGCTGATATCCAGAATCTGCAAGGAACTTAAACAAATTTACAAGAAAAAACAAACAATCCCATCCAAAAGTGAGTGAAGAATATGAATAGACACTTCTGAAAAGAAGACATTTATGCGGCCAACAAACATATGAAAAAAATCTCATCATCACTGGTCGTTAGAGAAATGCAAATCAAAGCCACAATGAGATACCATCCCATGCCAGTTAGAATGGTGATCATTAAAAAGTCAGGAAACAACAGACACTGGAGAGTATGTGGAGAAATAGGAACACTTTTACACTGTTGATGGGAGTGTAAATTAGTTGAACCATTGTGGAAGACAGTGTTTCGATTCCTCAAGGATCTAGGATCAGAAATACCATTTGACTCAGCAATCCCATTGCTGGGTATATACCCAAAGGATTACAAATCATTCTACTATAAAGACACATGCACGCATATGTTTATTGTAGCACTATTCACAATAGCAAAGACTTGGAACCAACCCAAATGCTCACCATTGATAGACTGGATAAAGAAAATGTGGCACATACACACCATGGAATCCTATGCAGCCATAAAAAAGGATGAGTTCATGTCCTTTGCAGGGACATGGATGAAGCTGGAAACCATAATTCTCAGCAAACTAACACAGGAACAGAAAACCAAACACCGCATGTTTTCACTCATAAGTGGGAGTTGAACAGTGAGAACACATGGACACGAGGAGGGGAACATCTCACACTGGGGCCTGTCAGGGGGTGTGGGCTAAGGGAGGGATAGCATTAGGAGAAATACCTAATGTAGATGACGGGTTGATGGGTGCAGTAAGCCACCATGGCTCATGTATGCCTATGTAACAAACCTTCAAGTCCTGCACATGTATTCCAGAACTTAAAGTATAATAAAAAAACAAAAAATCAGTATTGGCTTCAACTTGAAGTCATCAGCTGCATTATCCCTCAGTGAGTGAGTCAAGCCTGTCCTTTGAAGCTTTGAAGCCAGATAGTGACTTCTGTCTAGCTATGAAAGCCCTAGATGGCGTCTACTTCCAATATAAGTCCGTTTTATCTACGTTGAAAATCTGTTGATGAAATGTAGCCATCTTTATCAATGTTCTTAGCTAGATCTTCTGGATAACCTGCTGCACCTTCCACATCGGCACCTGCTTCTTCACTTTGCACTTTTATGTTATTGAGATAGCTTCTTTCCTTAAGCCTCATGAACCAACCTCTTCCAGCTTCATACATTTATTTTGCAGCTTCCTAACCTCTCTCAGCCTTAATAGAATTGAAGAGAGTTAGGGCCTTACTCTGGTTCAGACTTTGGCTTAAGGGAATTTTGTGGCTGGTTTGATCTTCTATCCAGACCACTAAAATTTTCCCCATATCAGCAATAAGGCTTTTTTAAACTTTCTTACCATTTGTGCATTCCCTCGAGTAGCACTTCTAACTTCCTTCAAGAACTTTTCCTTTGCATTTATAAGTTGGCTAACTATTTGGCAAAAGAGGCTTAGCTTTTGACCTATTTTGGATTTTGACATGCTTTCCTCACTAACCTTAATCATTTCTAGCTTTTGATTTAAAGTGAGAAATGTGTGAGTCTTCCTTTCATTGGAACACGTAGAGGCCATTATAAGGATATTAACTGACCCAATTCAATATTATTGTGTCTCAGGGAATAGGGAGAACTGAGGAGAGGGAGAGAGATGGGAGAATAGCCAGTCAGTGGAGCAGTCAGAACACACACAATATTTAACAATTAAGTTTACCAACTTATATGGATGCAGTTCATGGAGCCCCAAAACAATTACAATAACAACCTCAAAGACCACTGATCACAAATCATCATTAACAGATAGAATAATAATGAAAAAATTTGAAATAATGTGAGAATTACCAATATGTGACACAGATACATGAAGTGAGCATATGCTATTGGGAAAATGTCACTGATAGACTTTCTCAATGCAGGGTTAATACAAACCTTCAATTTGTAAAAAAGCATAGTATCTGTGAAACACAATAAAGAGAATCACAATAAAATGAAGTTTGTTTGTATCAAAAATGAAAGTGAAAATATCAGCACAGTTTCTATGGACATTGAAAGATAACAATGGAATATTGTGAACAACTCTGTGCCCACAAATTTGATAACCTAGGTGAAATGCATGAATTCTTTAAAAGACATAATCTGCCAAAACTCATACAAGTAGAAATAGGCAATCTGAATAGGCCTATATCTATAAAATAAATAGAATCAATACTTAACACCTTTGAAAACAAAATGTACCAGCTCCAGCTGGGTTCACTGATAAATTATACCAAACATTTAAGTGTGAAATTATATCAATTCTCTACAATCTCTTCTAGAAGATAGAAGCCAAGGGAATTCTTCCTAACTCATTCTGTGATGTCAGCGTTATGCTAACACTGAACCTGACAAAGATGTTACAAGAAAAGAAAATAACAGACCAATATCTCTCGTGAGCATAGACGTAAACATCCTCAATAAAATATTAACAAATCAAATCCAAGAATGTATAAAAAGAATTATACCCTACAACCAAGTGAGATTTATCCCAGGTATGCAAGATTGGTTTAACATTTGAAAATCAATTAATGTAATCTATTATATCAACAGGCTAAAGAAGAAAAAAAATCACCTGATCATATTAATAGATGCAGAAAAAGCATTTAACAAAATCCAACACCTATTCATGATAAAACTCTCAGCAAACAAGGAATAGAGAAGAGCTTCTTCAACTTGATAAAGAACATCTGCAAAACTCTCAGAGCTAACATCATACTTAATGGTAAGAAACTCAAAGCTGTCCCACTAAGATCAGAAACAAGGTTAGGATGTTCTCTCTCACCACTTCTTTTCAACATTGCACTGGAAGTCCCAGCTAATGCCATAAAACAATAAAAGGAAATAACAGGTATACAGACTAGGAGGGAAGAACTCAAACTATCTTTTGTTTGCGGATGACGTAATTGTCTATGTAGAAAATCCAAAATAACTGACCAAAAAATTACTGGAACTAATAAGCAATTATGGCAAAATTGTGGGACACAAGGTTAATATACAAAAATCAATTGCTTTCCCATATATCAGAGCAAGTGGAATTTGAAATTAAAAACACATTAGCATTCACATTAGCACTCCTAATATGAAATATTTAGGTATAAATCCAACAAAATATGTACAAGATCTATATTAGGAAAACTACAAAACTCTAATGAAAAATATCAAAGAGTGAAATAAATAAAGGGATATTCTATGCTCATAGATAGGAAGACTCAATATTATGAAGATATCAGTTCTTCTGATCTTGAGCTAAAGAGTCAATGCAATTCCCATCAGAATCCTAGCAAGTCCAATTTTGTGGTTATCAATAAACTGATTTTAACATTTATTTAGAGAGGCAAAACACCCAGAACAGCCCTCTGAATATTGAAAGATAAGAACAAAATTAAGGGACTGACACCACCCTACTTCAAGATTTACTATAAAGCTACAGTAATCAAGACAGTGTAGTACTGGTAAAGGAATAGACAAATAGATCAGTGGAATATAATAGAGAGGCCAGAAATAGACTCATACATATAGTCAACTTATCTTTAACAAAGGAGCAAAGGCAATGCAATAAAGCAAATACAGTTTTTTCAACAATGGTGCTGGAACAACTGGACATGCACATGCAGAAAAATGAACATAGACACAGACTTTATACCCTTCATGAGAATTAACTAAAAATAGATTATGAATCTAAATGTAAAATGCAAAACTGTGAAGCTCCTAGAAGATATCATAGGAAAAAACCAAATTGACTTTAGGTATGGTGATGACGTTTTAGATACAACACCAAAGGCACAATCCATGAAATAAATAGTTGATAAGCTAGATATCATTAAAATGAACACTTCTGCTCTACAAAAGACAAGGTCAAGAGAATGAGCAGACAAACCACAGACTGGCAGATATTTGCAAAAGACACAAGTGATAAAGGACTGTTACACAAGAGTCCTTAAAAAGAGTCCTTAAGGCCGGGCGCGGTGGCTCACGCCTGTAATCCCACCACTTTGGGAGGCCGAGGCGGGCGGATCACGAGGTCAGGAGATGGAGACCATCCTGGCTAACACGGTGAAACCCCGTCTCTACTAAAAATACAAAAAATTAGCCGGGCGTGGTGGCGGGCGCCTGTAGTCCCAGCTACTTGGGAGGCTGAGGCAGGAGAATGGCGTGAACCTGGGAGGCGGAGCTTGCAGTGAGCCGAGATCGCGCCACTGCACTCCAGCCTGGGCGACAGAGCGAGACTCCGTCTCAAAAAAAAAAAAAAAAAAAAAAAAAGAGTCCTTAAAACTCAACAGTTAGACAACAAACAACCCAATTAAAAATGGGCAAAAAAAAAAACTTGAGCAGACATGTCACCAAAGAAAATATACACATGGCAATTATGCAAATGAAACAATGTCCAACATCGTATGTGTTTACGGAATTGTAAATTAAAACAACAACGAGATACCACTCAATACCAAAGACACATGCACACGTATGTTTATTGCGGCACTATTCACAATAGCAAAGACTTGGAACCAACCCAAATGTCCATCAATGATAGACTGGATTAAGAAAATGTGGCACATATCACAGGAAGGGGAACATCACACACTGGGGCCTGTTGTGGGGTTGGGGGAGGGGGGAGGGATAGCATTAGGAGATATATCTAATGTTAAATGACGAGTTAATGGGTGCAGCACACCAACATGGCACATGTATACATATGTAACAAACCTGCACATTGTGCACATGTACCCTAAAACTTAAAGTATAATAATAAAAAAAGAAAACGTGGCACATATACACCATGGAATACTATGCAGCCATAAAAAATGATGAGTTCATGTCCTTTGTAGGGCACATGGATGAAGCTGGAAACCATCATTCTCAGCAAACTATCACAAGGACAGAAAACCAAACACCGCATGTTCTCACTCATAGGTGGGAATTGAGCAATGAGAACACTTGGACACAGGAAGGGGAACATCACACACTGGGGCCTGTCGTGGGGTGGGGGGAGGGGGAGGGATAGCATTAGGAGATATACCTAATGTAAATGATGATTTAATGGTTGCAGCACACCAATATGGCACATGTATACATATGTAACAAACTTGCACGTTGTGCACATGTACCCTAGAACTTAAAGTATATAAAAAAAAATGGACAAAATCTAAAACACTAACAATACCAAATACTGGCAAGGACGTGGAGCAAAAGGAACTCTCATTTATAGCTGGTGGAAATGCAAAATGGTAGAGCCACTTTGGAGGACACTTTGGCAGTTTTTTTACAAAACTGAACATACTCTTACCACAGGATCCAGTAATCATGCTCTTTGGTATTTATTCAAATGAATTGAAAGCTTATGTCCACACAAAAACCTGCACACAATGTTTATAGGAGATTTATCCATAATTGCCACAACTTGGAAGCAACCAAGATGTCCTTCTGTAGGTGAGTGAATAAACTGTGGTACATCTAGACAATGGAATATTATTCAGCACTAAAAAGAAATGAGCTGCCAAGCCATGAAAAGACATGGAAGAAACTTAAATGCATATTACTAAGAGAAAGAAGCCAATCTGGAAAGGCTACATACTGTATGATGCCAATTACATGACATTCTGAAAAAGAGAAAAGTATGGAGGTAATAAAGGGATCCGTGGTTACCAGATGTTAAGGGGGAGAGAGGGATGAGGACACTGAGCACAGATGATTTTTAGGGCAGTGAAACTGTTCTGTATTGGGCACATGTCGTTATGCATTTGTCCAAACCTGTAGAATGTACAACTTCAAGAGTGAAACCTAATGTAAACTATGTACTTTAGGTGATAATGATGTATAGATTTATCTATTGTAAGAAATGTGCTACTGTGACTCAGGATGTTGATAGTACCAGCGAGATTGTGTGTGTGTGTGTGTGTGTGTGTGTGTGTAGAGATGGTAGGTATATGGGAACTCTGTATTTTCCACTCACTTTGGCCTTGTACCTAAAGCCAATATAAAAATAAAGTTTATCAATTAAAATAAAGAAATATCATCTTGAATAAAAGTTTTTTTCTTTTAAAAAGTGGTAGCCATTTACTTTAAAAATAATTTTTAGGCATAATTTACATACAATAACATTTACTTATTTTAGGTGAATCATTTAATGAATTTTGACAATTGAATACAGTCATGTCCCCATCATCACAGTGAAGATAAAGAATATTTCTATGCTTCTAAATAATTCCTGTTAACTCCTTTGTGGTAGATTCCCTCTCCCCAGTCCCTGGCCCTGGGCAATCACGGATCTACTTTGTCACTACAGTTTTGCCTGTTGAGGATTCCTCATAAATGGAATCATACTGTATGTAGCCTTTTGTTTCTTGCTTTTTTCACTGAGTGTGTTTCTCTGGAGAGCCATCAATGCTATTGCATGTATCATAGTTCATTTCTTTTTTATAGTGGAATAGTATTCCATTGTATGACTCTACCATCTACTGTTGGATATTTGGGTTGAAATAAGTATTCAAATATTTATTTGAGATAAATGTTACAAAACTGGCTATGAACAATCATGTGAAAGTCTTTGTATGGACATAGTTGTTCATTTCCCCTTGGTAAATACTTAGGAGGGGCTGATAACTTTTCATCTTTGAAATACGTTTTTGAAGAAAACAAAGCAGCCTAAGGGTTAATCTGTACATCAGAACCAAAAGGGCTATGTCTGGTGCTTCGTTTGCCTGCTGCCTAATAAAGCACAAAGAAGCACCTCTGATTACAGACAGATTAACTTTCAGCTGACTGTATCTAAAGTCCTATTCCCCACTAATTCCAACACCACACAGTGCAAGCAATCCCTAATGCCATTTGTTGAGAATGGATAAAGTTGATGGATTTTTGCTCTGCCCAGAGATTTTTTCTATGAATTTACTAAATTTATGAAAATTCATAAACTAAAGGTTTCTATTATTCTGCATGCTTAATTCAACTATTGTTAATCTACTAAAAGGCTATTAAGCAGGTTGTTTTCAGCTTTTTTTTTTTTTTTTTTTTTTTTTTTTTTTGAGACGGAGTCTCGCTCTGTCGCCCAGGCTGTAGTGCAGTGGCGCCATCTCGGCTCACTGCAAGCTCCGCCTCCCGGGTTCACGCCATTCTCCTGCCTCAGCCTCCCAAGTAGCTGGGACTACAGGCGCCCGCCACTACGCCCGGCTAATTTTTTGTATTTTTAGTAGAGACGGGGTTTCACCGTTTTAGCCGGGATGGTCTCGATCTCCTGACCTCGTGATCCGCCCGCCTCGGCCTCCCAAAGTGCTGGGATTACAGGCGTGAGCCACCGAGGCCGGCCTGTTTTCAGCTTTCTTAATGAACATTTGCTTTCATAAAATTTGCTGCCCCCATACATGCTGTGTATATTCTCACCTTTGTACCTTAACTCATGCTGTTCCCTGTTCCCAGACTTCCCTTTCCCTACATCTTGACATGTCCAAAGCCTATCTATTCTTTTACACCTACATCTGGCCTTTCCCCTGAAGGTCCTACAGAAGTTTCTATGTCTCTTTCTATGTCTTGTCTCTTTCCCATCCCCCTCCCTTCTTCTCTTACTTTTTCCTGAAGCCCCTTAACCTTCCATTTCGTATTCTGAATGCTTTTGCCATATATTCAATGTTAACTTTGGGGCCTATTGAGAACAGGAGTAATATTGAATAACTTTGGATATGCTCAGAATGACTAGATCATGGACATACTTGGTACTTAGAATACATTAAGTCACAAGATTTTCATGGAGTGTTGACTATGTGCCAGGCATGGGGCTAGGTGCTGAGTGTGCAAAGGTAAATGACAGACTCTGCTCTCAAGGTGCTCTGATGTGGTAAGTTAGAGGCATCCACAGGGGACTGTGGAAATCCAGATGAGGTGGCTTAAGTGACTTTTATGGAAGAATAAATTAGGAGAGGCTTTCTGAAATGAGGTGATGCCTGAGATGAGACTTGAAGGTTTACTGGGCAAGGTTAAAGGAGAACATTCCAAGAAAAGGTGATGGTATGAACAAAGACTAAATCTCATTGTGGCAAACTATAGGGCATTCAAAGCTTTCTAGAAGACAGCCCAAGTATCCTCAGAAAACTCCTTCGTCCTTCACCAACAGTTCAGTCCACAGTTACTCTAGCAAACCCACTGCTTTCCTTTCCCTGTACAGAAAATGTGAATTTCCTCTTCTATCCCTTCACCTAGGCATTCCTTCTACTCAGAACACCTTATCCTTTTTTTTAACCCTTCTATACCATGTCTGGTATTTTACTTTCCTTACAACATTGTCTCAAGATTTCTTCATCTAAGAATTTTTCTCTGATTAATTCCAACCAACTCTCACTATCCTTCACTCAGTTTCAATTGGAGCAGTTTTTGATATTATGTACAGCAGATGAATTTGAGTCCTTGTCTTAGCTGTGAATCTTTCAGGTTGGTTGAGCTTAAGAAACTTCCTTAATGTTCTAATTATTAACATAATAGAGATATGCCTCTCAGAGAGTGGTGGTGATGGTCTAAAGAGGTCCAAGATGTAGGGTGCTTAGCACAGTGCCTGGCAAATAGTAAATCCCAAATAAAGGGCATTAGTAATTGTTGTCATTAATAATCATTGTTCTCAGCTTGTTTCAAGTGCACATATTTTAACTCCACAGTTATTGCTCAGCCTCTTAAAAGCTGGGACTCAGTCTTTGTTCAGCATGATTTCACACTGTTTGGCACAGGTATGTACTCCATAAATGTTAATTTCTAGCTTGCCTATGTGACCTAATTGGTTAAATTCAACACTCTATTTCTGATGACTTATATTTTTCAATCATTCAACCCCATTATAATTTTACTGATGGATGAGAATCTGCCATCTGAGCTGAAAGCCAATCCAACACAGACTTCTTATATGCCCAGCATTAAGGTAGGTGCTATTGGGGGATGTATATATTAATAACAACAGTGACCATTTAGGGCAGGAATTGCAATCCCAATTGAAAGATGAAAAAAACTAAGACTCAAGGAGGTCAAAATGTTGGTGATGGTCACATCTCCTACAGTTAATGAAAAGTAGAAATAAGATCAGAAGTCAGGTCTTCCTTTAGTTCTGTGCTCTTCCATATACCACGACCTTTCTAGAGCCTTTCCTGACCCTCTGAAGGCTTCTAGGAGAGAGCGAAAACAATAGCAGCCAGGAGTGCCTTACTCTTTCACATCTATTACAAATTGTCAGAGAATCTGTAATGCTCAGTACATTCATCGTGCATCTCAATTGCCCACGCTGCTTCCTTAGTGCTGTCACTCACTCTGGGGGTCTCCAAGGAGACAATGCACATTCTGACAATCAGCTCTTGGCACCTTCACCTTGATATTTTTGCAAACATTTACATTGCTGGGTTCATTCCTTCAGTTTTGAGGTGTTGTTTTATATAAAACTGTGTGGTCCTTCAATTCATGCTGACTGGAAATTGGGCTCCAGTGTCCCCAAACCACGATGCTCCCAGAATTGGAGAACTGAAAACAAAGACAGTATGAAGAAACATAGCCTTTGTCCCTACGGATAATTAGGAATTCTGGGGTCATATTAAATAGACACACAACCTATCAAACATCTTGGAGCTGTCTCTATCCACTACATCTTATTGAAAACCAAAGGGGAGAGTAGGGGAGCAGAGTTGGGGTGAGAAGAAAGTTGTCAGAGGCACAGTAGTAATTAAGAGTAAGACCAGCTAGGTGTGGTTGCTCACACCTGTAATCCCAGCACTTTGGGAAGCTGAGGCAGGAGGATGGCTTCAGGCCAGGAGTTAGAGAGACCAGCATGGGCCACATAGTGAGACTCTGTCTCTACCAAAAATAAAATAAAATAAATAAAGAGTAAGGACCAAGGTGTTAGTATTAATCCCGCCTCTCCTTGGCATTGTGAATTTGGTCAGGTTCTAAGCCTCTCTGAATTTCAGTTTCCTTATCTGCAAAAATGCAAATTATTTTTGTTTGGTGGGAGGACGGGAAGGAGGTAACTACAGAATAAGACAGATATTAAGTTTAGAAATCAGTCAAGGTGAAAACATGGGGCTGGGCATGGTGGCTCACGCCTGTAATCTCAGCACCTGGTGGGAGGCCGAGGCAGGCAGATCACCTGAGGTCAGGAATTCGAGATCAGCCTGGCCAATATGGTGAAACCTGTCTCTACTAAAAATACAAAAAATTAGCTGGGCGTGGTGGTGCGTGCTTGTAGTCCCAGCTACTCGGGAGGCTGAGGCATGAGAATTGCTTGAACCTGGGAGACAGAGGTTGCAGTGAGCCGAGATCATGCCACTGTACTCCAGCCTGGGCAACAGAGCAAGACTCTGTCTTAGAAAAAAAAAAAGTGAAAACAAACGGTCCAAGAGGGTAGGAAGACACTGGGAGAATTGGCAGGTGATGAAAGGCAAGGTAGGTGTAGGCAAATAGCAAGTAGCTCCACAGTCAACGGAGGAAAATGCAGAAGTGACCTTTGGATTTGGCCAGGAGCAGGCCACTGGAGACCTCCAAGCAGTTTCCATGGAGTGCTCGGGAGAGAAACCAGATTTTATGGGCTTGAGAAGGGTGAGAGTGATGGAGAAACCAGACAGGGAGATTCCTCTTTGCCCCAGCATAAGAGGTGGGACCTGAGAGAGTGGTGGCTCCTTGGTGTTGTGATGACTACACATTGGGGAAGATGGCCCACTCCTTGCTTCCCAATGCCACTTCTAGATCTTTATCCCCTTACCTCCTCATCCCCACTTCAGAGTCTCCATTTCCTCATGTGAAAAAAAGGAATTTTCTATTATAGATTCCATAGGTTTTTGAGTATTGAAGGATATAATGCATGTAACATGCCTGGCCTGCAGAATGAAATGACTCAATAAATACTGGCTGCTTTTACTGTATTATTATTATTATTATTATGCTTTAGAGCTATAGAGGGGCAGGTCAATTAAAAATAGCTCAAGAAAGTGGAGTGTCTGTTCAGGGCCATTGGTCCATGAAGAGGGAAGGCTTCCAGGTGAGAGAGCCTTCCTAAAAAGTCAAGGTGTGGGTGGTTGAAGGGTGAGGAATGCAGGAGTCTGGCTGTCAAAACAGTGTCAGATTCTGTGCTGTTGGACATGCTATAAGGAGCAAGACAGAGAATGTCCCTGCCATCATGGATTTTAGGAACTAGTTGAGGAAAACACAGATAAATGAGTAGTGCCAAGGAGGCTGTGGTGAGGGTTAGGACTGGGGAAGCACAGAGTGCCGTGCACCTAACTTGATCCAAGAGCTTAGTGAGAGAAATGAGGTTCTTTTCTGTCCCCAACCCCTGCCCAACCCTACCACCATCTTTGGAAGAAAGGCTCTGGATCCAGAAAGGAGTGTTGGGTCTACACCATGTCTGTTAGAGTGAAACTCTCTGATATGCATGGATTTCAAAATTCCTTCACTGGCAGATGCTATAAATTGGCATTTGAGGAATGATCCAGAGGCAGCTGAACCTACCTAATTTTTAAATGAGCAAATCCTAATGCGAATGCTCTTTTTCCCCCAGTCTCTGAAACTTACTATGAGTAAAATCACTATAATAACAATATGGAGACATTTATAGCAAATCATTAAAGAAATTCCATTTTCTGTGAGCAAACACAATTTAAGCACTTAACAGCTAAGCTTCTTAAGATTTAGAGCTGACTAGGGAGCAATTAGGACTGGGTTTTAATTAATACACATGAACTCAGGGGGTTCTGCCAGGAAGAAAGGCTAACTTAGTAAGTAGTGGAAACAGCTTTTGGATTTAATTCAGAATATCTCTCAGACATCTTCTTGGAATAGAACACAATTAAACAAATCCTTAACTTATGCACTAATTACAACATGCTATATTCATCTCCCCCTCATCCACAACACCCTCGTCATTCAGCCTGACAAGCAAAATATTTGGGGGTGGGGAATGACTGCTGATTTTTAAATGACTATTAAACAGTTAAACTTATCAGCTATTCAACAGAAATAGGAACTCCCTCCCTGCTAAATGAGACTGATTAATTAACTGTTGTGTTTGGTGAACTCTGTCCAATGGCAATTTGGAATGCAGCACCTTCAGCACCTGCATCTAAAGGGGAAAAAGCTAGAAGGGAAAGACCAAGGTACTGAATGCCCCTTGTACATGACCAATTTTCAGGGTTATAAGTCTTCCCCTTCCCAATTGCCTAGAACTTCTGTAACCCATTCTTGTTAGCTCTTAAGCTGAATGGCTATTTCAGGATATCCACAGCTTGCAAAGTTCCACGTCTAATTATTTCTGGGAGTCTCCAGGAGTCCTTTGCTAAGAAACACAGTTCAGATTTGTGTGTCAGTTTGGATCCTCTGGGAAGCTAAGATAGAGTTTGAAAGGCAAGATACTTATTCATGTAATGCCCATGAAAGATAAAGGGGAGAGGGACCTGGAGTAGGCAGGGAGAGCCTCCAGGCCACAAAGCTGGCCTAGCACCTGTGAGAGGAGAGGGGAACAAAGGAGGATTGGGTGTGAAGAAGCTCAGACACTGATTAGTTTGGAGAAAATCTTGGCCAGCCCAACTGGCACCAATCTGGCACCAAGATTTCCCATAGAGGTGGGCCACGCTGGGCAGAGCTGGCCAGGGTCCTAACACCCTGCCATTCTCTGTCACTGGCCATGGGCAGGCTGGGAAAGGCATGGCCTCAGCTCAGTGCTGCAGTGGATCCCTATAGCACCACAGCAGCAAGATGCTCTCTGCTAACTGTACCCCTTGCAGGACCAGCCATTGCTTTCCTGAAGGGAGATCCCAGCAACACCCCTTCCCTCCATGGCTGCCAGAGGAATACATCTAGAGTATGAGCAGTGGTCCTGCAAGGTGGCCACAGGTATCAATCTTGGGATTCGGTGTTTTAAATGACATACTTGAAAACGGCTAGTCCCAGAGGCTTTAATACTCTGTAGGTGTGTTAGAACACAGAACAAGGCTAGCAAGCGGAATTTTGCCACTGGGAAAATTCCACTGTAGTCAGTTGTATTAAATGTAGAGCCCTACATTAAGATTTTAAGAGGATTAATTATTAAATATATAAATTGAAAACTTCAGAAGTAACTGAAATTACTTGTTTTATTTGAAACAGGCTTTGAAACCTCTGATATATGGAAATGCTTATGATATGCCGTATTGCAGTCTTTTATCAGTTAAGTAGGTGATCCAGTCTGCTAAAAACCAACAACTTTGTAAAGGAGTTTTCCTTTATTGTGAAAATATCAAGTGTGACATACATGAAGAGATTTTTTGCTCAAGTAGATGATGGTGATGATGATGATGATTTTATTTTTTGAGATGGAGTCTTGCTCTGTTGCCCAGGCTGGAGTGCAGTGGTGTGATCTCATGTCACTGCAACCTCTGCCTGCTGGCTTCAAGCAATTCTCCTGCCTCAGCCTCTCGAGTAGCTGGGACTACAGGCATGTGTCCCATGCCACACTAATTTTTGCATTTTTAGTTGAGACAGGGTTTCACCATGTTGGCCAGGCTGGTCTTGAACTCCTGACCTCAAGTGATCCGCCTGCCTTGGCCTCCCAAAGTGCTGGGATTACAGGTGTGAGCCACCGCACCCAGCCTTGAGTAAATTATTGACAGGTTATTGATAAAAGTTTAGTGTTTAGAATGGTTATTTTCCCTACATTCTTTTTGTTGTTGTTGTTGTTTCAAGACAGATTCTCTGTCACCCAGGCTGGAATGCAGTGGCACGAACTCGGCTGACTGCAACCTCCACCTCCTATATTCAAGCGATTCTTCTGCCTTACTCAGCTTCCTGAATAGCTGGGATTACAGGCATGAGCCACCATGCCCAGCTAATTTTTATATTTTTAATAGAGACGGGGTTTTGCCATGTTGGCCAGCTAGTCTTGAACTCCGGACCACAAGTGATTTGCCCGCCTCGGCTTCCCAAAGTGCTGGGATTACAGGCGTGAGCCACCGAGCCCTATTTTCCCTGATTTCCTGTGTGTAATCAGGCACAGATTTATTTTTCTGACTTAACGGGAATGTGATTAATCAGCACATACACTACACTTTTCATGTTTTATTTCTTGTAACCCTCAAAAGAGCCCCAGGAAGTAGATAGTTTTTCTATGTCCATATTATAGACATGAAAACTGAGAGTGAGAATTTAAGTAGATGGCCCAGTTTTATTATGATGGGAAGTGGCAGAACTTAGGTCTGTCAGATTCTGGAAACTGCATGCCCAAAGGCTATACAATACGACACTGCCTATCATGAGTTCAACAGCAAATTCCTCATTTATAGGAAATGGACCTGATAGTATCCACAATAATTTATGTCTGCTTAGAGTTCCCCTTTACTCTATTTTGCTGTTGATTTTAAGTGGGCTCATCTGTTTACCAAAATGAGCAAACTGTGGTCTGGCTAACTGCTTTAAATTGTACACTAAGTTTTATGTGTAAAGAGATTTTTTTTTTAACCCGGGAGGAAATCAATAAATGCAATCAGTTTCTAAAAGGAATTTGTCCCGTGGGTTATTTAGTTCTTTGGATTCCAACCATTTGGAGATTTTACTGTTATTCTTCTGTTATTGATTTGTAGTTTGATTCCATTCTTTTTGGACAACACAATCTGCATTATTTCAATTATTTTAAATTTGTTGAGGCTTACTTTATGTCCCAGGATATGATCTAGATTGACATTTTTTCCATAGATATTTGAAAAGAATGTATGTTCTGCTGTTGTTAAGTAGGGTGTTCTACAAATGTTGATTAGATACTGTTGGTTGATAGTGTTACTATTTTTTTCAAATATTCTTGCTGCCTTTTTTTGTCCAGTTCTATCAATTGGTGTCAGGGGGTATCATTTTCTCTAATTATAATTGTATAGTGGTCTATTTATCTTTTTAGTTCTATCAGTTTTGGCCTGTGTATTTTGCAGCTCTGTTGTTCTATGTATACATTTAGGATTGCTGTGTCCTCTTTGTGGATTGATAGTTTTTTGTTATATAATACCCTTTTGGTCTCTGGTAATTTACTTTTCTGTAAAGTCTACTTTATCTGATATTAATAAAGCCACTTCTACTCTCTTTTGCATGATATATCTTTTTTATCATTTTGCTTTCAACCTGCCTATATTATTATATTTGAGTGAATTTCTTATAGACAGCATATATTTAGGTCATGGTTTAATTAATACACTGTGAATCTATCTTTTAGTTGGCATATGTAGACCATATATGTTTAATGTAATTAGTGATATGTTAGGGCTTAAGTCTGCTGTTTTATTTTTGTTTTCTGTTTGTTCTTTCTTCATTTCATTTATGTTTCCCTTTCCCTGCTTTCCTATTTGTAACTTGGACACGTTTTCGAATTCCATTCTGATTTATCTATAGTGTCTTTGAGTGTATCCATTTGTACAGCTTTTTTTAGGGGTTGCTCTAGATATTACATTATATATACACATAACTTATTGCATCATTGATATCATCATTTACCAATTAGAGTGAAGTATAGATACTGTATCTTCCTTTACATCCGTTTGCCCTCTCCCATTTATAATATAATTGTCTTAAATATTTTCTCTACCTACATTTAGAATCACATAAGACGTTGCCATAATTTTTGCTTCAACAATCAACATAATTTAGAAAAATCAAGAAAAGGAAAGGCTTTGTTTTCACCTATATTTTTGCTTCCTGTGTTCTTCCTTCCTTCCTGATATTCCAAGGTTCCTTTTTTGTCATTTCCTTTTTGTTCAGAAAACTTCCTTTAGCCATTCTTTTAAGGTAGATCTGCTGGTGAAATATACTCTCAGCTTTTCTTTGTCGGAAAAAGTCTTGATTTCCCCTCTATTCCAGAAGAATATTTTCTCTAGGTATAAGATTATGGTTTTACAGTTATTTCTGTACTTAAAAAATGTTGTGCCACTTCTGTCTGGCTTCCATGGCTTCTTATGAGAAGTCCATTGTCATTTTAATTGTTTTTCCCCTATAGGTTTGGTGTCATTTTTCTCTGGCTGCTTTCAAGATATTTTTTTCTTTGTCTTTATTTTTCAGGTGTTTAATTATGAAATGTCTTGGTATGGATTTCTTTGGGTCCATTTTGTTTGGGGTTTTCTCAGCTTCTTTAATCTGCAGGTTTATGTCTATTCCCAAATTTGGAAAGTTTTCAGCCATTATTTCTTGGAGTACTTATTTAGCCTTGCCCTCTTAATATTCCCCTTCTGGGACTCTGATGACATGAATGTCAGCTATTGTGGTATAGTCCCATAGGTCCCTGAGGTTCTGTTTATTCTTTTTCGTTTAGTTTTTCTCTGTTGTGTAGGTTGAGTAATTTCTATTGTTCTGTCTTCAAGTTCATGGATTCTTTCCTCCCCTCCATTTTGCTATTAAGCCTATGCACTGAGCTTTTTATTTTTGTTATTATATTTTTCTCTTCCAAAATTTCCATTTGGTTCTGCTTAATATCTTTGATGTCTTTGCTAAGACTTCTGATTCTTTTCTGAGGCTTCCCGTGTTTTGTATGTTTTTTTTTCAAGAGTGTTTGCAATTGCTCCTTTAAACATTTTAGATGATGGTTTCTTTAAAATCTTCATCAGATAATTCTAACATCTCTGTCATTCTGGTATTGGCATGTATTGATTGTCTTTTTATACAGTTTGAGATCTTCCTGATTCTTGTCATGACCAGTGATTTTTTAAATTGAAAATTGGTCATGTTTATATTATGAGGTTGTGGATTTTCTTTAAATCGTCTGTTTTAGTTGATATTTTCTGACACTGCTCTGGCAGGGAAAGGTGAGAACATTGCCTCATTACCGCCAGGTGGAGGTAGAAGTTCAGGGTACCCACTAAGCCTTCATTGACACATGAGGGGTAGGCTGTTTATTTGCTGTTAGGTCGAGGAAGGAGTTCTGGCTTCTCACATAGTCTCCACTGACACTGTGGTGGGGGTGGCCTTGTAACCACTGGACAGTGGTGAAGGTCTTGAGTCTCCACTAGGTCCCTTCTTACACTGACTGGCAAGGAATGGGAGGGACTTCCCATAAATTCCACGTGGAGGTGGAAGTACAGGCCTTGATGTGGTTTCCAATGACACTGTGGGGATGGGGGATCATTACTGGCCAGCAGATTAAAGTTCTGGCTCCCTACTTGACCTTAGTTGATAATACTCTTACAGGGTACTGCGGTGCCTTGTTTTTGCCTTGTAAGAATGGAAGTCTAGGCTCCCTATTTGGCACTTACTGGTGTGGCTGGTGGTGGAACAACAAATTTTTATGTAACATTTAGCTGCAGTAGAGTGGTTATTCTCTCATTTTTTTTCTTTTTTGCCAGGCTGCCCCTTTCCTGCTCTTTTGGCTAGAGAGAGCAAGCTTGTGTTTTGTCTTCTTTTTCTGTCTGCTTCTATCAGTCTTTCGAAGTTACCATTTATTTTCAGCTCCATGTCTGGGATATATGAGGCAAAAAGAAACCCAGGGAACTTACTACCATGTCTTTCCTTGGGACTCAATGTCCCTAAGCAATCTGGTTTCTTTTCTACATGTTTCAGAGTCCTCTTACTGTTGTTTTACATATAATCCCCAGGTGTCCAATGTTTCAATTGTACTTAGTAGTTGAAATAGGGAAAAGTATATCTACTCCATCTTCCTGGAGGCAGAAGTCCAAAATTGTGTTTTAAAAAAGTTCCTCATAAGCAGATGCTGTCATTCCCTTGGGATATCTGGGCTCCCCAAATATCTCCTATGGTACTGTCCAGCATTTTTTGTCATGCTGCTTGAAGTTTCATAAATTAGAGTATCATTTAGATTAACTAGGATTCTTTTGAAAAATTAGACATTTTTCAGATGTTTAAGGGGACACCGATTTTCTAAGCCACATTGAATAGGACTTATCATGAAACAGCAGAGATGAAGAACTGCATGCATTCTTGTAGCACAGAGCACCAACCCAGGGAGGACAGTTTAGTGGTGTCCCAGTGGGTAATTTAGAGCAGAGGTAAAGGCTGTAGGGACTCAGGGAGCTAGGCAACAGGAAGAAAATGCTAGGTGAAGAAAAGCAGATAGAAGGATATTAAAGGTAAACACTAATGATTTTTAAGTCTTGATTGAGACCCGTTCTGTTCCTAAGAATAGTAATTATCCTTTATTTTCTATCAAGTGCCAGGCACTTCAGGTATGTTATCTCACTAAACTCTATAATGACTCTGTGGAATAGGAATTGTAATTCTCATTTCACAGAGGAAGCAACTGGGGCATAGAATTTAGGTGACTTCCCTACGTTCTCATAGATAATAGATTAAAAGGTCCAGATGTAAACCCAGATCTGTCTGACTTCAAAGTCCAGTTCTTTACCATTGCAAATTCACTCTTCTTCCTCTTCCCTCCAGAAGAATGTGAGTCCTTTCCCTTATACCCTTATACCCAGGCCTTGGGTTCATGAAGATAGCTCCTGAATGCGGGACAGTAGGCTTTTCAGGGGTAGCCTAAGACTCCCCTCAGCTATGGAGCTTATTTTGTGGACAAACCCATTCTAAATCCAAATAGCTGACTTATAAATGGCCCTTTGGAACACAACCCATTTCAAATGTTGGGGAAGCTTGTAATTTTCAGTCACATACAAGTGCTTTCTCTCTCTGTCTTTCTCTTTTTCTCTCAATGCTACATTTTCATGTAACTTAAAGAGACAATCAGGTTAGAATTTTTAAAATTTATCTTTCAGGTAATGACCCAGTATTTTCCTTCAGGCTCATACAAGCTCTGAGGACTATTGCAATCATTTATAAGATATTTTCATTGGCCAAGAAACATTTTTGTCTATATTCTGCCATGCAATCTAATAATAGGAGTAATTGATTTAATAATCACAATAGCAGGAACCTCAGGGGGCCATTTAAATGTGGCCTGTGTTGACATTGCTGAGGCCTTGTTGGAGGCAGGGCCATAAGAGATTGGGTTTTTCATTTCCATAAACAAAAGTACACTTTTCTCCCTTGGTCTTATATGCAAGAGGCTCCCAACACTTATACACAACTGGGGGATGGGAAGCCAGACAATTGCCATGCAATAGGGCAAAGGAAAACAGAACTATTGAAATTTGATGAGTTGTGTTTTTATTTCAATTCTGTCAAAATACCCCAATGAGATTGAGGCGATATCAAATGGGCAATATAAATGCAAATCCAAGGGCTCTCAGTCTGCCAGCAGAGGTCACTCACTGGGGTGCATTGTAGATATACAGAGGTCAATGTCTATAACAGTACTCAGGTTTACCTGAGATGGAAATCCAGGCTCTATGGTTTGACTTCATATCTAGGGAATTTCTTATGTGGACACATGTCTTGAATACAGTTATGGAGTTACTATTGACAGCTTTACAGTTGTAAAAATAACTAAAATTGTTACCAACCTGTTGGTTTTCAAAGAAACTTGAAAGAACACATAAAAATTTTCAAATGAAGTTTAGCAGATGGGGGATAGCTGTGGGGAAGCTTAATGAGCAGCATGATTGTCATAAGGAGGAGGCAGTTACTGGAACCAGTTGTATGAAAGAGCTGAAGGACAAGAGCTACAGAAGGATACAGCAACACAGGTGACCTGGGATGGAATGGAGCTGGAGGAATAAATACATCAATCTTATTCTCCTCACACTCTCTGACTTCCTGCTGCTGCCCCTTGCCCACTGGCTCAAACTTAACCAGAATCCAGAAGGCAAAGACAATCCATACAGGTTAGTCTTCCTAGGCACAGAGCAGGATGGAGAAGGGTGAAGAGTGGAAAGTAAATCTGGAGGAGTAGAGAGAAAACATCCAGCACAATGTAATTTGTTCTTATTTTTAGCTATTTATGCCATTGTAAAATAAAATTCAGAAAGCAAACACATATGCAATGTCACCATTAACAGTTTGGTTATAATTCTTTCATGAATTTTTTTCTCTGTCTTCTCCTTCCCCCTAACTGACACACACACACACACACACACACACACACACACACACACACACTATATATATGCAATTTAGAGTAGGTTTACCTACTGTAACACACAGACCCTAAGAGACAGTGACTCAAGACCATATAAATTTATTTTTTGATCATGTAACTGTCCTGGACAAGTGTTTAGTTTGATGGGGTTGCTACCTTCCACAAGGTCATTCAGGGATCCAGGTTTCTTCCATCTCAAGACTGATACATAGCTTAGGACCTTGTTATTGTCTGCACCCAGGAAATAACATAGAGGAGTACATAGACAGAGGTTTTATGAGCCATTTCTGTTCACATCTATTGGCTAGAGTTGTTACATGGCCACACACAACTGCAGGTGTGGCTGGGAAATGCAATTCATCTGTACGTCCAGGAAGAAGGGGTGAATGAACTCTAGTGAAAAAATAGCTAGCACTCTCTGTGACAGTGATGCACTTATGTTTGTGTGTATATGTGAGTGATTTTTACATAAATTGAATCATATTCATATGGATTATTTTTAAGTACACAATTTTGTGCAGTTTTTTTATGTTTATATTTCCCATTCCACACTTTTCCTCTCCACCTGTATTAACATCTTCCATTCCCACCCCACATAAGCAACTCAGTTTGAGAACCTACTGTGCCAACACTCATGCATATGAAAACTTAACAAAAACTAGGAAAGGAGAGGGAACTTCCTCAACTTCAAGAAGAACGTCTACAAAAAACTTATAGCTAGCATACTTAATGGTTGGATTCTATTCTCCTAAGATCAGAAACAAGGCAAGGATGTTTTCTCTCACCACTCCTATTCAATGTCATACTAGAAATCCTAGCTAGTGTAGTAAGATAAGAAAATGAAATAAAAGTTATACCTATAGGGAAGGAAGAAATATAACTGTCTTTCTTCACAGATGACGTGATTGTCTAGGGAGAAAAATCCCAAAAAACTACAAAAAAACAAAAACAAAAACAAAACAAACAAACAAACAAACAAAACTCCTGGAAGTAATAAACAATGATATCAAGGTTAATATACAAAAACCGATTGAATCCCTATATATCAGGAATGAGCAATTAGAATTTGAAATTAAAAGAATGGGCCCGACGCGGTGGCTCACGCCTGTAATCCCAGCACTTTGGGAGGTTGAGGCAGGTGGATCATCTGAGGTCAGGAGATCGAGATCAGCCTGGTCAACACGGTGAAACCCTGTCTCTACTAAAAATACAAAAATTAGCTGGGCGTGGTGGTGGGTGCCTGTAATCCCAGCTATTTGGGAGGCTGAGGCAGGAGAATTGCTTGAACTCAGGAGGCGGAGGTTGCAGTGAGCTGAGATCGTGCCACTGCACTCCAGCCTAGGTGACAGTGAGACAAAAAAAAAAAGAAAGAAAGAAAGAAAAGAAATTAAAAGTGCAACGCCATTTACAATAGTACCCCCAAGAGAAATGTTTAGCTATGAATTTAATAAATAGAACCTACATATGGAAACTACAAAATTCTGAGAAAAAATTAAAAATTAAACAATGGAGAGATATTACACGTTCATGCATCACTATTGTTAAGATATTAATTCTTCCCAACCTAATCTATAGCTTCAACACAATGCCAAGCAAAATCCCAGCAAACTACTTTTTAGATATCAACAAACTGTTTTTGAAGTTCATATGGGAAGGCAAAAGACACACAATACTGAAGCCAACACAATGTGAAGAAGAAAAACAAAGTTAGAAGACTCATACTACCTGATTTTAAGAATTACCATAATGCTACAGTAATCAAGACGGCATAGTATGGGGGAAAGAATAGACAAAGATATCAGGGAAACAGAAAACAGAGCCCAGAGTAGGCTCAAAAAAATACAGTCAACTGATCTTTGATAAATTAATGAAGGCAATTCAATGGAGAAAGAATAGTTTTTTCAATAAATGGTAATGGAATAATTGTATGTTCATATGTTGAAAAAAGAACTTAGACACAGATCTTACATCTTTAACAAAGATGGATCATAGACCTAAGTGTAAAATTCAAATTGTAACATTTTATAAAAAACTATAGGAAAAATATATAGGTGACCTCGCACTTGATAAGTTTTTAGATACAACACTAAAAGCATGATCCATGAAAGAAACATTATGTAACTTTTATTATTTTCTTAAAACTTACAACTTCTGCTCTGTAAAAAGACTTTGTTAAGAGAATAAAAAGACAAGTCACAGAAGGGGAGAAAATATTTGCAAAACACACATGTCATAAAGACCTATCTAAAATATACAAAAATCCCTTAAAATTCGACAATAAGAAAACAAACAATCCAATTTAAAAATGGACAAAACATCTGAAGAGACACAACATCAAAGAAGATATATAAATAAGCATATGAGAAGATGCTCACAATTATTTGTCATTAGGGAATTGCAAATTAAAACAACAATGGGATACTACTCCATATCCATTAAAAATGGCTAAAATCCAAAACACTGACAATACCAAATCCTGGTGAGGATGCAAAACAATAAGAACTCATTGCTGGCCGGGCGTGGTGGCTCACGCCTGTAATCCTAGCACTTTGGGAGGCCGAGGTGGGCGGATCACGAGGTCAGGAGATCGAGACCATCCTGGCTAAAATGATGAAACCCCGTCTCTACTAAAAATACAAAAAATTAGCCGGGCGTGGTGGCGGGCGCCTGTAGTCCCAGCTACTCGGGAGGCTGAGGCAGGAGAATGGCGTGAGCCCGGGAGGTGGAACTGGCAGTGAGCCGAGATTGCGCCACTGCACTCTAGCCTGGGCGACAGAGCGAGACTCCGTCTCAAAAAAAAAAAAAAAAAAAAAAGAACTCGTTGCTAAGTCACTCATTGTTATTGGGAATGAAAATGCTACAACCACTTTGGAAGGCAGTTCGACAGTTCCTTACGAATTTAAACACAGTCTTACCATACAGTCCAGCAACCATGCCTCGAAGTACCTACCTAACTCCAGAAATCATGCTTCTAAAAACTTACCTAACTGTTTAAAAAGCTTATGTCCACATGAAAACCTGCTTACCTATGTTTATAGCAGCTTTATTCACAAGAACCAAAACTTGGAAGCTACCAGGATGTCCTTCGATAGGTGAACAGATAAGTAAATTGTAGTATATTCTACAACAGAGTATTATTCAGTAATAAAAAGAAATAAGCTACCAAGACATAAAATGGCATGGATGAATATTAAATGCTATTCCTAAAGAACAGAAGCCAGTCTGAAAAGGCTACATACTGTGTGATTACAATTATAAAACAATCTGGAAAAGGAGAATTATAGAGACAGTAAACGCCAGTGGTTGCTGGAGGTACGGGAAAAGTAGAGGAAAGGTGGAATGGGTAAAACACATAGGATGTTTTAGGGCAGCGAAACTATTCTGTATTATACTGTAATTGTGAGTGCATGACACTATGTGTTTGCCAAAACCCATTGAACTTTACAGTGCATGAACCTTAATGTATCCAAAAAATTTAAAAAGTAATTTAAGAGGTTGGAGAAATCCCAGGGTAACAATCTAACTGTATTGTAAATATGCGAAACAACCTCACTTAAGGAGGCTAAGGAAAAAGGTGTTCACCTAAATAACTTTGCTAATAAGTGGAATCAGTAAAACTAAAGATGAAAGGAACTGCACATAAGCATTGTACTCTAGTTGACAGAGTTGCTTCACTTGGAGGTACAAGTTAACAATTCTGATGCTGCTACTGATGTATACTGGAATGGAGCAGCTAAGTAAATGAATGTCAGATGGTGGGAACCAGATTTCTCCCTTTTTGGAGTGGGAGTTTACAGATAAGCAAGGGGAGGAAGCTAGAATAATTTATATGGTGAGAATTAGAGTTGGAGACATCGATATAAACTCATGTTTAGCTTGATATGGATACAGATGGTTGCATATAGAAATATTTATATGTATGTATATATACATGAGTTAGTATACACACATATATATTTTTCCCTCTGTCAGCTGATAGGGCCTACAGGCAACAACATTCCAGTAGGAATGAATACAACTAGTGCCCAGATCTTGGTTTCTAGCACTAATTTCCAATTTAAAAAAAAAAATAAACAAACAAAAAAAAAACAGGGGCCAGATGCCATGGCTTCTGGTCAGGAGATTGATCCTCTGAGGTGAGCAGATCACAAGGTCAAGAGATCAAGACCATCCTGGCCAACATGGTGAAACCCTGTCTCTACTAAAAATACAAAAATTAGCTGGGTGTGGTTGTGCACACCTGTAATCCCAGCTACTCAGAAGGCTGAGGCAGGAGAATCGCTTGAACCAGGGGGGTGGAGGTTGCAGTGAGCCAAGATTGCACTACTGCACCCCAGCCTGGCAAGAAAGCAAGACTCTGTCAAAAAAAAAAAAAAAAAAGGAAAAGAAAACAGGCTCCTAAGAGAAGTGGCTGATTCTAGGACTAGGGCAAGATATACATAAGAAGACCTTGGAATATCTTATGGTGTCGGGAAGTAAAGAAGTGTTCAAAGATAAAAAAAAAAAAAAAGTAGATCCACAAGGATGAGAGTATGTCAAAGAGACTCTGGAGTCCACCAAAAGAGCTCCCAATGGCCAAAGCATGGAATAATTTGGGCAATAAAATAAAAAAAGTAGTACTGGCTTATAATAAGTATAAATATCCATGAATCCATATTAGTAAATAAACAACTGGGTAAAGAAACAAATGGGGAAAAGAGCTAAATGTCCTATAGAATAATTCCAAATAATTTATGTAGATATTATGCCTCGAAGAGGTGGAGCATAACTTCCCACTCCATAAGTGTGGGCTGCACATAGTAACTTCCTTCCAAAGAGTATAGTATGGAAAATGGGGGAAAAGTGTAACTTTAAAATGGGGGAACCTGACAAATACTACCTCATCCAGGTAATCAAGGTCAGTATCAACAGTGATAAGTCATGCTGATAGCATGTGCCCTTGATATGATGTGATGAGAATGGCAATTTATCTCTATGGTCTTCCTCCCCAAAACCCATAACTGTAGTCTAATTATGATAAAAACAGCAGGTGAATCCCAGTAGAAGTACATTCTAAACAAATATGACCAGTTCCTAGAAACTGTCAAGGTCTTCAAAAACAAGCAAAGTTTGAGAAACTGTCACAGCCAAGAGAAGTCTAAGGAAACATGAAAACTAAATGGAATGCAGTATTCTGTGTGGGATCCTAAAACAAAAAAAGGACATTAGGTAAAAATCTAAGGATGTCTGATGAAACTATAGACTTTAGTTAATGACAGTGTGTCAATATTTTTAATTAATTGTAACAAAGGTGTCATACTAATGTAAGTAGTTAATCTGGAAAACAAGATTTGGGTGTGGAACTTCTCTGCACTATTTTTGCAACTGTTCTACAAATCTATAGATATATTCTAAAATAAAAAGTTTATTTTCAAAAATTCTACTGTATATCTTTTCATACTTTTTCCCATGCCCATATAATCATACACACAATCTCATGCACAGTTTTTTGGTGATTATTTTTGGAAAATGAAGTCACATACATATAGTTCTGCATCTTGCTTTTCTTACTTTTCAATATCCTGTGGAACCCTCTCCAAGTCAACTGGTATAGCTCTTATTTTCTTCTCTCTCTCTCTCTCTCTCTCTCTCTCTCACACACACACAAACACACACACACACACACACACTTTCTCTTTTTTGATGTATGCATAATATGTTATGATGTAAATGTAGATGTACCCAAATTAATTCTATCATTTCTCTATTGATAGGCATTAATTTGTCAAAAATTGCCACTAAACAATATTGCAATAAATATCCTTGTATGTATATCATTATGTATTGGTGCTTTTATATTTACATTATCTTTTCTAGAAGTGGAATTGCTGAGTAGAAGGGCACACGTAGTTTTAATTTTATAGTTACTTCTAAATTGTTTATCAAAAGGCTGTAATTGTTTTTATTTTGACACATTTATAAGAATCATTGTTACCATAGTTTAAATTGTTTCCAGTCTGATGGATATAATGTGTTATTCCTGTGTTACATTATTTTTCATTTCTCTGAGTACTATTGAATTTAAGCATCTTTTTATATTGTTTTCTGGCCCTTTGTATTTGCTCTTCTTAAATTGACTATTCATGTCTTTTGCCCATGTTTTATTGAATTGTTTGCCTTTTTTGTTCAAATTTCAAGCACTCCTTACAAATGATGTCATGAACTCATTTGTCGTACTTGTTGCTGATATACTTTCCAAATCTATGATATGCCGACAATACGGACTTTGTTCTATAGTGGGTTAAGCCTGTATGTTGGCACTCTTAATTAATTTGGTATTTGTAGTCTTTGCTTTTGACAGCATGTTTGTAGGCTGTTTGTTTTTCTTTAGGAGACATTCTGATTGATTTGCATTGGGATTTTCTGATCCAGAGGCAGCTTTCTCTAAAAGCATACATTTTGCATGAAGATTTCCAAGTCCTACTTCCTTTGCAATCTAACTTATTGCATTCATTGAGTATAGGTTTGGCTGAATGTAAGCCATCCCAAAATAAAATGGGCTTAAAAGGGAGAGAAGTTTAGTTCTCTTACACATAAAGTTCTGTGCTGTTTTGTTGGCCTTGCTCTGTGGTTCTGTCCCGGATCCAGGCTTTTTACTTCTTTTTGTGTAGCTTTCCCAGGATGTTATTATCATGCTCATAACTTTGTCTCTATTTCTACCAGACAGAAGGGGCAAAAGAAAGGAAGAGGTGCACCTTCCCTTCAAGGGCATAAACTGGAAATTACAAAAATCACTTCTGTTTACGTCCAGTGGAGCAGAAATTTATCATATAGCCTTAAGTTGCTGCATGGTAAGCTGGGAAACGCAGCTTTTATTCTAACTGGCCAGGTACTCAGATCAAAATTAGAGATTCTGATACTATAGCAGCTCAGGAGAGCTACTAGTCTCTGCACATTTATCAAGAACCATCTTAAGAGAGAGACATTCCTAACCATAATTCTAAACTACCTTCCTGCCTCCTCCATAATCTATTATAGCCCTTCCCCTCTCTTGTACACAACTGATAGCTGAGAATCCTAGGGAAAATATGGAAGGACTATCTAAGGAAACATGATTATTTTAAAACTCTTATAGTAGAAAGTCTCCAAAATGTACAAAATTATATTGAATAGTATCATGAGCCTCCATATACCCATAATCCAGCTTCAACAATTATCAATTCATAACCAATTTTGTTTCACCTATAATTTACTTATTCTCCTTGAGATTATTTTGAAGCAAATACTGTGCATCATATAATTTTATGTAAACATAGTTATTTTAAATCTTTGTTTTTGAAAAACAGCTGACTAATAAACTGGAATAGAGAAAGTTGGAAGATCAGGAAAGGTAGTTATCAAGGGCAAGCCTGGATTATCATTCACCCATAGCAATGGATTCACTTAAGCATATCTTTATGAAGTCCATATTCTTCTCATGGCTAGCTCCTGGTCATTCGTTAGGTCTTAGTTAAATGTCACACTATCCTTTTTTTTTGTAGCACATATCACAGTTTATAATTACTTTATTTATTTGTGTGTTTCTTCTAGAAGAATGTAAGCTCCATGAGGACAGGGCCTATCATAATGCTTGGCACATAGTAGGGCATCAATATATAATTATGTAAGGAAGGAAGGAAGGAAAAGAAACTAAGAAAGGAAGAATTCAAAGCTCTTTATTAGTTGTAGGATAGACTGATACTATAGATATTACTATAATGTGAAGCCTGCCTGAAAGGGACTACCAGTTTGGTAAGTAAGACAGCCAGCCAGGCAGGCAACTCTAGCACTCATTTATTCATCCATTAAGTGAATAGTTGCTGCACATCTACTATGGGTGAGGCCCTGTGTTAGAAAGGTGGACTGTGATAACTGCTAAAACAGATACATAGAGTGATGGACAGGAGAATTCCGTCTCAGGGAGGCAGGACTCAGGTAGGGCTTTGAAGAATGAGCAGGAAGGACATCAACAAAGGGAAAAGCATTATTGGAAGTGAGGATAGAGGGATAGAAAGAACAAAGGCCAAGAGGTTGGAAAAATTAGGACACATTCAAAGTCTTATGACATACAATCATTGGAGTAAAATTGTGCTATTTATGCCCCTGTTTTAAAAAGATAGATAGTAGAAAGACATAGTGGGGGTTGCTGCTCTGGGGTTACAAATTTTTAAAATGAAAAATTAAGAAATGAAGAAACTCTAACAATTTTTTACTAAGCATGGTCTCTTTTTCTCCAAAAATTCTCTCATAAACAGCTGCTTCTTTATTTAGATAATGGTTATATTGATAACAGCATAATACCCCAGGGGAGAGTCATGGAAAATCAAAACAGCTGGGACCTTCGTTAAGTAGAAGAGCTTCTTCTGTTCCCATGTGTGGTGGAGTGAAAAATGGCCAACTATTTTGTGCTATTTGTCCTGTCAAAAAACAGGGTCTAATTCCTCTCTCCTTGAATCTAGGCTGGCCTTAGTGACTTACTTGACAAATAGAATATGGTAGAACTGACATTTTGGGACTTTTGTGGCTGTGTTATAAGAAGCCTTACAGTTTCCACCTGGTTTTCCTAGAACCAAACTACTCTGCTGTAAAGAAGCCCCCAAAAGGCATGTGGAAATGCCCACAATGAAAAGCATCAAGACCTCTGGCCAACAGCCCCAGCTGAGCTCCCAGATGGCAGCTACTACTAATTTGCCAGACTTGTGAATATATCACCTTGAAAGCAGATCCTCCAGTCCCGGTTGGGCTGCCTCAGCTGGCGCAACACGAGCAGTGACAGGCCATCTCTGCCAAGCCTTGCCCAAATTCCAGAAACATAAAAAACAAATGATCATGTTATTTAAGCCACTAAGTTTTGTGTAGTTTGTGTAGTTTGGTGTGCAAGCAGTTCTGGTGCAGTGGCTGCTGCTGGCAGGCCACTGTGTGGCTGAATCTGCTTCTTCCACCCTAGCCTCTTTCTGATATGGATTGTAAATCTTTAGAGTTCTTTTTTTATATAAATTAAAAAGTAATATAAGTTTCATGTAGTAAAGTTAGGAAATACAGAGAAGGAAAACAAAAAAATTAAAATTACTCATTGTGCTACCTCCCAGAAATAACCACCATTAATATCTTGGTGCCTAACATTCCAGATTTATTGCCTTCCTTTCTTCCTTCCTCCCTCCCTCCCTCCCTCCCTCTCTCCCTTCCTTCCTTCCTTCCTCTCTCTCTCTCTCTTTCCTTCTTTCATTTTCTTTTTTTTTGACGGAGTCTCGCTCTGTCACCCAGGCTGGAGTGCAATGGTGCGATCTCAGCTCACTGCAGCCTCCACCTCCCGGGTTCAAGCGATTCTCCTGCCTTAGCTTCCTAAGTAGCTGAGACTACAGGTATATGCCACCGTGCCCTGCTAATTTTTGTATTTTTTGTTGGAGACGGGGTTTCATCATGTTGCCTAGGCTAGTCTTGAACTCCTGGCCTCAAGTGACCCGCCTGCCTCGGCCTCCCAGAGTTCTGGGATTACAGGCGTGAGCCACCGTGCCTGGCCCAGATATCTTTCTATACATGTATTCACACGCATATATTTTTGAATGGTAGCATAAATATCTGCTGCTTTGAAATCTGGTGTTTTCAATGAACAATGTAGCCACAACATCTCTGACTACAATAAATATAAATCCATAGTTTTGTTTTAATGACTGTCTAGTATTATATCTCATGGAGCTAAAAAATTTTAATTATCCTTGTTGCTGGGCATATAGGTTCCTCTCCATTGTTTGCTCTAATAAATGCTGATTCGACGAACATGCATTTGTAGCTAGATCTTTGTACAAAGTTGTTTTCTTTTAGATCGTTTTAAAAAGTTGATCACTGAGTCAATAAACATGCATCTTTTAAAGCTTTTGGTCTAAAATTTCCAAGTTATCTAGGGTCTTATTTTGTATGAAGCATACAGGGCTCCTGTTGGAATATGGAACTGAATGAAGGAAAAGATGGAAACCAGAAGCATTTTAGAAGTGTCAGTATGAAGTGTGTGTCCACATGAATGGATGAAATTTTAATTGAATCTAAATCTTCTGTATCAAATCAGAGAAGTCTATATTGCACCTCCCATGGATTCATGTCTGAGCACTTGAATGATGACCCCAAAAGAGTAGAGTGTTATCAAGTCTTGGCTAAAGGAGAGATTATATGCAGCAAGAACAAGCTCTCAGGTTGAGTGACCAAGGTGCTCTCTAAATTGAAATCATGTTGAGACTAAAATCATGTGTGCCCCATGAGGAGACTATCAACCCTGACCAATGTCCTCTGGGAGAATCTGGGATTCAAGACAAGATGTAGATGTGAGTAGCTGGTAAGGTCAAGGCACCAAAGTGAGATAAAAGAGGAGCCTGAGAAGTGAGTTTAAGAAAGACTTTTCTGGCCAGATACCTTTCATCCCTCCACCTTCAAAGAAGTCTGGGCTATTGGCCATGGCTGCCCTCCCCACATATGGCAACTGAACACAAGGTCTAGGAGGTATCATGCTGGAAAATGCATACACACATGGTTGCAACCTCTACTCAGTTTCTAAAATCACTATTTTTGGTGATTTAGTCTAAGCCCTGAAGCCCATGAGCAAGGGGACATTTGCTCTGCCTTTTGATTTGACAACAGGATAACCTGTGCAATAAATTGCTAAGCCTGGAGAACAATGACTGAGTCAAATCCTGTGGTGGCTAGATTTTCTTCTAGCTGCACTTCTCACTCCATTGCAAATCAAGGGAATGTGAACATTGCAAGGGGAATGGGACCATAGAACTATTAGGTTTTCCTCCAGCTTTGAGGTTTTATGAGTTGATAGGCATGTCTGCATATGACTTGATCATAAATGGAGAACATCCGGCAAGCTCAGGGCATCTCATGGCAGTCAAGCTCATGGCAGTCAAGCTCATGGCAGTCAAGGAGATTTAGTGTGTGCATGTGGGTGTTTATCCATTGATTGGAGGGGAAAGGCTCCCTCTTGAGGCTGGAAATTACTCTTTTCTTAGCAGAAAAGCAAAAAAGAGAAATGAAGGAGTTTGGAGGAAAAGGAACATTTGAGAGTTGGGGGGTGGGGGTTGGTGGGGAGAGCCTTTGCCCCCGACAAAATGAACTTAGTAATGGGAGGTTTGGAGTTAGTGAGGCAGGCTGACTCACAGCTGGAACAGTAGGTGACCTCTATGTGGCCTCCAGATCCCACAAAGAGACGGTCTATTGAAGTTTTGAAGTGGGAAAGTCAGGAGGGCAGGCAGCAGAGGCAATAAAGCCAAAGTGGAAAGACTCTTGGCTCATAAGAACAGAAATTTGGCAGCATGGGGGTGATGGGGAGCTTGCCAGCTTCATATACCAACTACTGAACAAATGTTGTTAAATATTGCTTGCTGTGAATTAAACTTCTCAGTATAACTCTTTGCCAAGAATGTTCAATAAGACATGGTGCATGGGCAAAGAATACCACTTGATTAATGTAATAGATATGCTCAGGTATAACACACACTAAATAAAATAGAATATTCATGAAATTCTTACTATGGATGCTTCATCATAGTCAAAGACAGCTAAAGGGTATGTGTGTGTGCATGTGTGTGTGTGCATGCCCATGCATGTGTGGGTGTTGCTTCTCTAGAGGGTTATAGGCATATGTTGGGAGAGCCTATGAACCCAAAGCTGAGGCTACAATTGAGAAAGAGAAGTCAGGAATGTTTCCCAGTAATTAATGTTTACTTGAATCATTAATTCACATAATACTTGTTGTATATTTACAGTGTACCAAGTGCTGCCCTGGGCTCCATATTTTATGTAAATGAATAAGACCAGGTTTTTGGCCCCAGAGGAATGCACAGTTAGAGGAATGAGACAATGGCATACAATGTTATAAATACTGATAGAAGTTAGCTCAAGTATTATGGGGGTTTAATCCACTCTAGAGAAAATGGAGTAAAGGAAGAATTCTCTGTGATGGTGGGGTAAATGAAAAGCTTTTAATGAACAGGTGATAGAACCCAGTGAGAGGGGGCCTAACTGGGTCAGCCACTAGGGGGCATGTGAGTACGGGTCTGCAACTGGGAAAGAGGCTCCTGTTGATGGCTTCTGGTAGCAGTAGGGAGACTGTTTCCCTTAAATAGGAAACCAGAGAGGAAAGGATAGTTTTTCTGCTCTTGTCTCTCCATTAAAGCAAATGGTTATTTTATAGGCAAACTGACAGGTATTTGGTAATTGAGGGGGAAACGGTGAGCTTGTTCCTGAGGTGGTGGATCTCACTAATGTGGGTCCCAGTAGATTTAGGCTAGGTACACATGGCTGGAAAGCTTAGCAAGATGGGAGAGATGGCAGCAAGACACATGCCAGGGACCACAGGGAGCCCAGCACAAGAAGACTCCTGCTTCCCTAGTAACCAGAGGTCATGTACAGAGTCAGGGTGATGAAGGGGATTTTGGCTTCCATGTGCAATCCAATTTCTCTTAAAGTCATCCCATTTTATATCCTGATTTAGCTTTAATTTTTCCAGGCCTCTCCAGTGTGTGGGAAGTCATGGGACTGAATTAATAGGGATAATCTAAATGTCCTTAGCTGGTGCCTCCATCCACCCAGTGTGGCACCCAAGCCCCTAGATTCATCAAGTCTAGACACAGAAGTCCCCAGGGAGACTCACGGATACTCACAAACAGTCCTCTCATGGTTTTCTCATTCAGGTCCTAAGCTGAGCTTTCCGCTAAACTTGTGTTAACAGTGTTCTGAAGAATAGGAGGATATTTTATTTAATTTTGTGTGTGTGATAATGGCAATGTGATTTTGTTTAAAAATAAATTCATATCCTGAAATATTTATGGATGAAATTAAATGATATATAGGATTTGCTTCAAAATAATATGTAAAGTATAGACAAAACGAGATTTTCCAATTGATAATGATTAAAGCTGCGTGATAGGCACATAGGGGTTCATTATACCATTCTGTCTAATTTTATATATATTGGAAAATTTTGTAATAAAAAAGAGAGGAGAATATCATATGAGTTGATAAGAATAACATTTATTCATATAGAGCTTGTTGGACCAGGTGAATCAGGATTTCCAATTCCCTGTCTCCAATAGTAGCCTGAATGCTTTTGTAGAATTTATTGAATGTAAGATGTATACCAAAGCAAGGTGAACACTAATCCTTGAAAGAAAATGAGGGATACATTACATGTATCAGAAGTTGGGAAGACCAGAAGGATCCTGGAACAAGAACAAACTAAGTTGTCAAGATTTGCTTCAAAAAAGGAATATGTGTGTGTGTGTGTGTGTGTGTGTGTGTGTGTGTGTATTTTTTTTTCATTAGTTCTGTCCCTCTAGAGAACCCTGACTAATACAAATGGCTAATTACAAGGGTATTTTATATGTATACTGACAAGAAGACACCCAGGGTAAACCTAAAGACTGTTGAATTCACACATTTAGTTCTCACTACTAGAATGTTGATGACCAGGTGCAGTGCCCTAGGCAGCCTTCTTCAAATGTGATGGGGCCAATCCTTGCCTTGCTTGCTCTAGCACAAGTGGTAGTACCTCTCCCAGTATCTTTGGTGGAGTGGGGATGCCCCAGGTTCAACATCAAGAGATTCCCTGAAAGCGGTTTCATGCCCATTGAGAGTTAAGATTGCAGATGTTTACATCATTAGTGTGATTTACTTGTCCAGTTCCCAAAAACAGCTGTGTGGGAGGTTGGCATGGTGAAGATGTGGTTGGATTCTGAAGCAATGTGTGTGATGAGAAAATACATTTCTAAAAATGCCAAATGGTTAGATAAAACCCTCCTTGTTTCTTTGGAACTGTGATCAATGTCACTTGATTTTCCTTTCTTCTTCCTCCATTGCTGAGCTGGTTGCTCTCCCATGACATTTGGAACCATTGAAGGGTAGTTCCCCGCATTTTTAGTGGCTGTTAAACAGGTTTCCACAGTGAGAGGCTGAGGCAAACTGAAATTTATAAAACTACTTGTTATAAATCAAGACCACGGAAAAAGCGGCAATACCCTAAACTGTCTAACTGTACACACATCTTCCTTCAAGTTCCTTACAATAGCTGTGAAGCAAAATCTATATGACATATCGGGCAAATCCCACCTGCATATCAGGGTGCAGTTTTAGCTTCTGCAAAGTAGTTTTGCAGAGGAAATATTCCAGGTCACAACGCATTATTCAAAACAATAGCCAGTAATATTTAAAACAGAAGATCATCAAAAGAGGAAGAATTTGGCAGAAGGGCCCCAGTTCTAACATTCTTTCAGTTGACTGACCAATTTCCTGGCTATCCTGCTCCATAAAACAGGATTGTACAAGGAAGAGAAGTGGTCATGTCACCTCTTGTGATTGCTCAGGAGGCAACAGACAGCTGGTGAGGCAAGCGGGAGGTGGGAGTACCCACAAGGAGCTGACAGGAAGGAAGTCAGGACACTGAATCCCACTCCTGAGTAAAGAATTCTGAAAAGAGAAAATTATTTCTCTTGGTTTCTTTCACTCATTTCAAAGTCTCATAAGCTTGTAAGGAAATTGTCAAAGATGCTCTTATATAGGCTACGATCAATCAGATATAGAGTTAGTTCCTAGGAGTTCTAATGCCGATACTGGAGACCCACCTATAATCACCTTCTCTGGGCTCCTTCAGCACTCTGTACTCTTTACAACACTCATTATATGGTGTGGTGATAATTTATTTGTTTCCATGTCTGTCTGTTCGCCAGCTAGATTGTGCCCTCCAGGGAAGATACCTTATCGAATTAACCTCTGTATCCTCAGCACTTGACATGGTGACAGGCATAGAATAATAATTCATTAAATGTTTTTCAACGAATGGATGAATGGATGGATGGATGGATGGATGGATGGAATGAAATATAATGTCATTTTCTCCATTCAGTAGCTGGAGCTGGGAATGGGTAGATGAATTATTTCTTTTCGGGATCCAAGCTTCTCTAACATGGAAACCTAATAAATGTTTGATTGAACTCAGCTAGCATATGAGCTCTTACTATGTATTAGGACAGTTCTAGAAATAGTGTGGGGGATTCTAAAGAAGTACAAGATGGTTCCTGTCCCCCAAACCACTTTCAAAGTCATTGAACATACAAAGTGATAAACCCATGAAATAAGCAACAGAGAAAGTGGTGTTATAACCAAGGACTAGACGGTTGATAATAAGTTCTACAGAAGTTTATAGAAATGAGAGGAGAATATGGGCCAAAGTAGAACAACCACAACAAGCAGAGATGAGGGGAAGGCACAGAAGCAAATACAAGGTTATGAGCGTTTATGGCATATCTGTACAGCAATGCTCCCTTTTCCTGGTTACTGTCCCCTCTCTCCCTATCCACATGATTCTAGCAAAGTCTCTCACCTTACCTAGGAATATAGAATTCTTCCCCAGGGCATTTGAAACTAGAATTGATAGGTTCAGTGTGGGTCTGTGGGTAGACATAGTAACAAGTAAAACTTAATAGGTGTCACTGGTCAGGAGGTGTCGCTGGTCATGTTTTCTGCCACACAAAGGATTCCAAAATGCAGTGAAAGAGAATAACGCAGAAGCAAAGGCAGAAGTTGTGGTAAGAGAAAGGACAGGAGTGGCGGTGGCAAAGAGATGGTGTTTCCCTGGGTTCAGCTGATCTGGAGGTCCAGCTGCATCCCTGTCTTCCCTCAGCTTTTTCCAAGCCCCTTTCAGCAATTTCTCTTTTTTTGTTGAAACCACCCCAAGTTGATTTTCTGTTATGAGCACATTCAAAGTACACATTCATAGATGTACCACTCACTGAGGAATAGTATATTTTCAGAACGGTTTATAATTAGGTGTGGCGAGAGGCTAAAGTCTGGAAGTGGGTGGTGTGAATATTGAAGCAGTTAAGCAGAGACCTATGGTTAGACTTGTTCCTAAAGAGACTGCTGGTGGGAATGTGCATGATGAATTCCATGGGGAAAAAGACTGGAAGTAGGGAGACCAGTTGACAGAGGAAGAGCCACCTCATGAGTCTTCAATTTTGCTTCATCAACTCTTGGAGAATAAAAACTGAGGTTATTTAAAAAAGAAACTTAGGAAACAAATTAACCAAAATAAAATTGATTACTGTTACTGTGCACACTCCCAAAACACTAGACCTTTCTATGAACATCCTCCTGCTACTCTGTACCTTATCTTGGGTCATTTTAAAAATGTTCTTTGCAATGGCTCCTCTTAAAGTAGAATTGAGATTGAGCTCCCTCTCTTCCTCCTCTGAATGTTTCCTGTTCTGCCTCCCGTATTCCTTTTCTCTTCTTAGCCTGGCTAACCCTGAACTAGGGTTGCTAATTTAAGGTAAAACAAATTTGGGTCTCAAGAAACAGAACTCCCCTCTCAATCATTGGGGTTTGTATGGAAATGTCATTGTAGATTTTTATGGCATAAAGCCCAGATCACCTACTATTTAACATCTAGAGTTGAATCACAAATATGGAAAGAGATCCAAGATTACTAATGAGCTGCCTTAGTCTGCCAAGAAGCTCACTCAATATCAGGAAAAAAAAGTCTATTGCATGGCATCTGTCTGTAATGCTAGCCAAAGAGGTGTACAATGGGCAGTCACAATTGAAAATGACCTTCATTATGCTGAATTCATTTCTCTAATGTGTCCATTTTTCCTCATCGTGTATCTCGACAGTAATAATAGACATGGAAATAAATTCAAATTGTGATTCAAATTTCAGAATGTGAGATTCACAGGTGTGGTGGCTTTTCTCAGCTGAATGTGGGGGGTAGATGAGTAAGAAATCTAGGAGGATTTAACAAAGTGAGGAGCATTGTTCAGAAAATCAGACATGGACACAGCATGGGCAAGACTGTCTGTCTTACTCAAACAAGAATCTTTACATAATGTACCAAAAATTTAAGTAAGTGATTTGCAGCTCAGGAAGAAAAAGTTAACTCTTAGCATTACAGATAGGCCCCAAAATATCTTTGAGCACCTGTTTCTGCTTTCTAGGTGCCGTACCTGTGGTGCCACTGGGACCATAGAACCATTTGGCCCTTGTTTGTTTATACTGGCTGTGTAGTTAGCAGAAAGAGTGCTGGATTCCAAGTCAGGAGACCTGGAGTGGATCCCTGGCTCTGCTACCTATTGTCTGTGCCATGACAAGGAGTCACTTAACCCCTGAGCTTTAGTTTCTGCAACTGCAAAAGGGGACTATAATCACTGCACATTATACCTTGCAGGTTTGTTAGGATCAAATGACATAATGGATGTGGAAGTGCTTTGTCAGTTGTAAAATACATTATTATTGTCATCACAGTGATTTCTCTCCGTTATTTCAGAGAACACTGAAATACCAGAAAATCAGTGTCAATTTCCACTCTGTGAAAATTTCCACTTACCCATAGCCTGATAATTTTATGCATGATGAGTCTCTCCTCCATCTCTCTCAGTGTTGTTCCTGAGAACTCTCAGGCTGGGTTGTAGCAGCTCTCTCTTGCTGCTAAAGTGTGTATGATGTACGATTTGATGAAGGGGCCTTGTGGTTGACTGAGAAACGCAGGGTAGGTCAACACAATACCAAATCTGGATGAATTCAGTGCACAAAATCATCAAGCCTCTTGATTGGTCTTTCTATACGTACAGCCTCAATCTCGTAGCTTAAAAGATGGCGGCAAGCTCATGACCTTTGCTTAATGCAATGTTTTGCTACTCTCTACCATTCTGGATATCAAAGGAAGCTACCAAATCAACCTGAGAGAGTAATTTCTTAATGAGATTCTTCAAAACATAGATAAATGGACAGTGCTGTCATTTCCATGAAAAACAGAAATGATAAAAGGAACTCTATTTCCTTTACCTCATGACTCATCCACTTGCTGGTGGGAGGGTTTTTTTATGTTTTTTGTTTTACTCTTTTGGAGAATAGCCAAAAGGGTATTATTCTGTTATGCTTAACAGAACAATAACTGTCCTGTGCATTTTTAACAGAGCTTTCACATATATTATCTCATTTGAACTCATTTTATTTACAACCACCTCTTTGCTCTGTCCTTTCATCTAGCTTACAGAGAGTATCTTGTCATTGCTGTATCTTCATAATTGCCTCCCAGTTGCTTTTCAGATTCTTTCCACATTGCCTGAAATTGTCTTGACCTGGCCATGACCAAATCCTATTTAACTGCTAACTCCAGTGGTCTTTTCTTTGTTCTCATCAAATCCAAACTCTCAGTAGCATTTAGTTCTTTTGAGCTGCACCCTGGCTTCATGAAACTCAGCTCTGGAACATTCTTCTGCATCACTCTTTGCCAGTCTCCTTTGTGCATTCTTTCTCCCATGCCCCTTGGAAACTCTTGTTCTTGAGGGCTCACTCTTGGCACTCTTTTCTTACTGTGTGCTTTCTCACTGAGCTATCCCAATACTGAAGTATTGTGGTTTCAGTTACCATTCTACTTGCCCAAGATTAAATCCAATTCAGACTTTTCACTCCCTCTCTTCAAGCTATACATTCCTACTTCTAAAGATTTACTAGGCTTTGCTACAAAGATGGGCTGTGGGCACCTCAAACTCAACATGTCCCAAACAACATTACATTTTCTTAAGCCTCTTGTATTCCCTTTCCTGTTAATGATCCCACAATTAGCCCAATTGTCTAAGTCAGAATCCTTTACTCCCCTCTTTCCCCTACCCCAACATTGAATCAAACATTGTCTTCTCTATTCCTTCTAAACATTGCCCAAATTTGTCTTCTCTCCACAGTAACTACCACTGTCTTAACTTTGTGTGATATCAACAAATAGCTTCCTACCTGTTTTAGCTGTTCTTTGTCTCTGCTTTCCTCAGCTCATCCCCACACTACTACTAGGGTTAGCTTTCTAAACACAGATAGGAGTTCAGGATTTCTTTTTCTTTTCTTTTTTCTTTCTTTCTTTCTTTTTTTTTTTTCTTTTTGAGATGGAGTCTCACTCTGTCACCCAGGCTGTAGTGCACTGGCTTGATCTCGGATCACTGCAGCCTCTGCCTCCTGGGTTCAAGCAATTCTCCTGCCTCAGCCTCCCGAGTGGCTCGGACTACAGGCATGCGCCACCATAACTGGCTAATTTTTGTATTTTTAGTAGAGATGGGGTTTCATTATGTTGGCCAGGCTGGTCTTGAACTCCTGACCTCAGGCGATCTGCCCGCCTCAACCTCCCAAAGTGCTGGGATTTAATTTGATGCAGGTATAATCATCATTCCCATTTTAAAGATATGAAAACAGAGGCATAGAGCCTTGCCAGTAGTAACACAACTAGGACTGAGTTAACACTGAGCTAGGACTGCAACCTAGTTCTTATGACTATTCTGGCTTCTTTCCATGCTGCCAGAAGAGGACTACCAGCTTAAAGGAACACACCAGTCACACATTTCCTGTAAGACAGGAAGTCTTCCAAATGCATTGAATTAAGCCTGCTGTCTGATCCTTGCTGTTGCAGTGACCTGGAGTACTGGAATCCCCCTACTGATTGAAGCAAGCAGCTACCATCCTAGAAACATAACGACAACAGGTTTTATATGTAAAACACATTAACTAAGAAAGGATATCATTTATCAATTAAATTTTAAACTGGCACTACAACAACCCATTCAGGTGCAATCTCCTAGCTTTCTTGCAATCTTGGGACCCTCACCTGCTGCTATGCAAACAGATATAGGGTCACTCCCCCAAAGCTGGACATGGATGGCCTGGGGATTACAGGGTTTGGTTTTATGTGCTGCTACCTTCTTCCCTTCAATGGAGTTGCCAAAATAACCAGATGTTATTAGCCAGATATGTCTGGAAAGAGGCCAATCAGTGATGTAGAAAATAGAAGAAAGTGTTAGGATTCAAAGTGTTAGATGAAAAATTAAAACTCTTTAGGTGCCTTGAGGCTGATGAAAAACTTTGCCAAACTGCTAGGACTGTAAGGCTGACTGTTCCTAGAATGGAAACACTGTAGGAGGGGCTCACAAGTCAGGAGGAGCTCACAAGTCCATGGCCAGATGTTTGCTTCTATTTATATTTTCCTACTTTTGTTTTGGGACAAATTTGGGGTAACTGATATTTTGAGGTTTTGTTGTTAATATTCTGCTGTATTTTATCAGACTGTAAATAGGCCTGTTTAGAAGATTTGCTGCATTTTGGACTGTGTTTGTCTTACATTCAATTAAAATTTTCCCCTGGAGATCTGGCTCCAATTAGATAATAGAAGTTATCAAGAAACTGAGTTTTTTTTGATGATCGCTTTTAAACAAACTTTGCTGGAATGTATCTGTTAGCTTTTGCAAGAAACATCTGAAATTTTAAATAGAAGTTTTAGAATTCCTTTACTGAAAAATGCTTGTTGATCAATATTTGCAAATCATATATCTGATAAGGAAATTGTATCTAGAATATATAAGAACTCTTACAACTCAATAATAGAAAGACAAACAACAATTTTAAAATGTACAAATAATTTGAATAGACATTTTCTCAAAGAAGATAAACAAATGGCTAACAAGAACATGAAATGATGCTCAGCATCATTAGTCATCAGGGAAAAGAAAATCAAAACCATAGTGATACACCACTTCACATCCATTAGGATAGCTATAACCACAAGATCAGACAATAACAAGTGTTAGCAGGGGTGTGGAGCAATTGAAAACCCCATATATTTTTGGTGAGAATGTAAAATTGTGCTGCTACTGTGGAAAGCAGGCTGGCAGTTCCTTAAATAGTTAAACACAGAGTTATAAGATAACCCAATAATTCTACTTCTGGGAATATACCCAAAGCAATTCAAAGCAGGACTCAAACAAATATTTGTACACCACTGTTCAGAGCAGCATTATATACAACAAGCAAAAGTTGGAAACAATCCAAGTGTTCATCTACTGATAAATGGATAAAATAATATGGCATGTTCACACAATGGAATATTATTTGGCCATAAAAAGGAATAAAGTACTGATTCATATTACTTAAAAAAAACTTTTAGTTCAGGGTACCTGTGCAGGTTTGTTATGTAGGAAAATTACATGTCACATGGGTTTAATGTACAGATTATTTCATTGCCAGGTAATAAGTATGGTACTTCATAGGTAGTTTTCCAATTCTCACCCTCCTCGCACTCTATCTTCAAGGAGGCCCTGGTGTCTGCTGTTCCCTTTTTTGTATCCACATGCACTCACTGTTTAGCTCTCACTTGTAAGTGAGAACATGAGGTATTTGGTTTTCTGTTCCTGCATTAGTTCACTTAGTGTAATGGCCTCCAGCTCCATCCATGTTGCTGCAAAGGATATGACCTCATTCTTTTTTATAGCTGCATAGTATTCCATGGTGTATATGTGCCAAATTTTCTTTATCCAATCCACTGTTGATGGGCATTTATGTTGATTCCATGTCTTTGCTATTGTGAATAGTGCTGTGATTAACATAATGTATGCATGTGTCTTTATGGTAGAATAATTTATAACCTGCTCGGTATATACCCAGTAATGGGATCGTTGGGTCGAATGATAGTTCTGTTGTAAGTACTTTGAAAAATATCCAAACTGCTATCTAGTTTTCTGCTATCCAGAAATTTCCAACTGCTACTTACAGTGTCTGAATTAATTTACATTCCCACCAGTAGTGTGTAAGCATTTCCTTTTCTCTGCAACCTTGCCAGCATCTGTTATCTTTTTGAATTTTTAATAATAGCCATTCTGACCAGTATGAGATGTTATCTCATTGTGATTTTTGACTTGCATTTCTCCAATGATCAGTGATGTTGAACATTTTTTCATATGCTTCTTGGCCACATGTACGTCTTCTTTTGAAAAATGCTACAACATGGATAAACCTTGAAAACATTGTGCTAAGTTAAAAGCCAGACACAAAAGACCACATATTCTATCTCTATGAAATGTCCAAAACAGGCAAATTTATAGAGAGAAAGTAAATTAATGGTTGCTAAGGCTTAGGGAAGTGGGCGGGTAATTATGGGGTGATAGCTAAAGAGTATGGAGTTCATTTTTGAGGTAATGAAAATATTCCAAAACTGATTGTGATGATTGCTGAACAATTCTGTGAATCTACTAAAAACCATTACAATTAACGGGTGAATTATATGGTATGTGAATTACATCTCAACAAAATTGTTACAAAGAAAATATTGCTGGCCATGTTCTTTGTGCCTTGTGCTGTATCAGGTGCTGGGGACAGGGGTGCAGATATAACCAAGAGTCAGAAGCCCCCAAGAAGCTTATGATTTAAGGGGGCAAATAGGAAAGAAAGCAACTATCAAGATAGGGTAAAAAAAAAAAGATGCTATGCTTGAAAACCCAAATACCTGCTCAGCTTCCTTTGGAGCTCAAGGTGGCCACATGACAGTGACATAATTATGGCTAATGATACATAAACAAAAGACTGCTAAGGGGCTTCTAGCAGAGTTTTTCTTTCCTGAAGAAAAGATACAGGCATTGCTAATGCTTTCTGCTTTTCCCTAGTTCCTGCCTTGAATGCAGACATGATACCTGGGGCTCTAATAACCATCTTGCAGCTGAATTACTGGCAACAATGAAGGTGAGAAGCCAACACATTAAGGGTGGGTGGCAGTGCGGAGACTGTAAGATGGTCTGGTCTCTTGATGGCCACAATGAATGAATGCCAGCAACCACCTACCTCCGGACTTATGTAAGAAAAATAGCCTTCTATTTGTATGAGTCATTGCTGCTGGACGTTCTGTTACCTGAAGCCAGAAAGTGTTCTCCACTGATACAGAGTGTATGAAGAAACTTTATAAGCCAAAAAATTATTTAAAAAAATAAAGAATGATTTCTAGAAAAGGAGAAATATATGACTTGAGTTACATTTTGATAGCAGGCTAAAAAATAAATTGGCGAGTTGTAGTAGGGAATGTTAGTGAGGTGGTGGTGACAAGAATGAAGACAATAAACAATGGAAGTGCAGTGGCAGCGAGGATGGGGACAAAAGGACAGATGCCAGAGAGAACATGGAGGGGTAACTGATAGGACCAGACAACTGATCGGACATCAGAAGGGGTGCAGAAATGGGAGGGTTTGAAAATGCTTTGAAAGATTTTAGCCCTGGTGACCGAAGGGATGGTGGAACTGTAAACCTACATTCCTAATAAGGGAATGAGTATAACTTTAAAGAGAACGATAATTAGTTCACTTTTGGACATATTGACTTTGAATTGCCTGCAACACACTTAAGAGAGGTCCTGTAGGCAGTTGAAAATCTGGGAATTAAAGAACAGATGGAGATATGCATTTGGATGTCTTCAGTGTGCAAGTGGCAGCTAAAGCCATAGATGTGGGTGGTATCACTCATGAGGAGTAGGGATGGTATAGAAGAAAATGGCAAGAGATGGAAACTTCTGTGTGTAGGGGATGTCTACGTTTAAGTATTAGGTGAAAATGAGGAGTCAGTAGAGAAGAGACTAAAAAGAAACTTTCTATGATTTTAAAATGTTTATTGAGTGCCTGCTATGTGCTAGACACTGGGCTCAAGACTGAGTAGTCAGAAAAGCAGGAAGAGACCCAGAAATATGTGAAGCTGTGGAGGACGTGGAGCAGGAATGGCCCTGGTCAACAGTGTCAAATGCTGAAGAAAAGTCAAGTGGGATGAGAAATGAGGAACTCCTTTCCTCGGCCACATTCATCTGAATTCCTTTAACGGGAGTTTATTGTTAACTGTAATAGCCTGTCTGGAAGACAAATGCTAAATTAATTTGGGAACTGACTTCTAAAACTCTCAAGTGGCCTAAATCATTTAAAAGAGGTTCAGATTCTATTATGTGAGATTGAATTGGTTTCTGCAGGTGGTTGCGCAACATTCTCCCCTAGAGATCTGTATGTCACATATGGTTTCTGTCCAGTTCCTCCTAGGAGCAAGAATAGTGGTGATGTGAGAGCAGAGCAACTTCATCAAATCGCTCTGATGCCTTATTCTGTGAATGTAAATTGGAGCTCCTTGCTTTGAACTCTAATAGACCTTAGTGCCTATGCTGTGCAATATACACTTGATTAATATGATCTTTTCCTTACTTGTGTCATGGGTGTTAGGCTTGCCTCTCTAAATACACTGAAAGTCCCTTAAGGGTAGAGATTATGTCTTTTGGTTCTCTCCCATTTCCTACAGGGCTGGACAGAATAGGCATTAAATAAATGTTTGATTATGTCATAGGACTATAGTCAAAGTGGTTTTATAGAATGCCAATGTGCATTTTATAAAATGTACATTTTTAAAAATTAATGTTATTTTAAATCCCAATATAAAAAAAATCTAGCTATATAATTTTATTGATACAGGGTATAGTTTGGAAGAGTATAAAGAAAGTGCATGAGTGAACTAGCTGGCATGGATTGCATCTTGGGCTGGACGAGTAAGCAAAAAAGAAAGAGATCTGGCTTGAATGAAACTCAGTATCACTTGGCAGCAATCTCCCAGCTCTCTGTGGGGAAGCCTGGATTAATGCCAACAGGATGAAGGGTATTTCAGGAATCCACTGCAATGTTTAAAGATCTGTGCTTGGGATCTTTATGGGCCCAGTCAACAACAACAGGTGCATTAGAACTTTTTTTATAAGTTAATTCACTAAACGTTTATTGAGCTTATATTACAAGCAGGTACATGTATCCAGCCATTAAATATTGCAGCTCCTCCAGTGTTCAATCCTTGGATATTCGCCTTTTCTTACTCTACACTTTCTCCTTAGGTGATTTCATTTTCAGCCTCTGCTTCAACTACCACCTCCCATAGGCAGATGACTCACATGTTTGTATCTTCAGATTGGAACTCTTCTCTGAGATCCAGACCTATACATCTAGCTGCCAGCTTGATAGCTCCTGTTGGATGGCTCCCAGAAATTACAAATGAAACAGCTCTTAAAAAGAACTCATGCTCTTCTTTCTTTCCACCATCGCCTTCAACCAAGCCTGGCCTTCTTCCAGTGTTCTCCATCTCAGCCGATGACACTTTCATCTATCTTGTTCCATTAGCCAGAAACGTGGCACTCATCTTTGACACATCCCACTTCTTCACCCTCATATCTAGTCTCTTAGGAAGTCCCTACCATCACTTCCACCTGCAAAATATAGCCATATCTGCACACTTCTCCCTATTGCCACTGCCACAACTCTAGTCTCAGACAAAATCAGTTCTCACCTGGCTTAGACAATTGCAGCTTTCTTAATTGGCCTCTTTACTCCCATTTTTTCTCTCCTTCTAGTTTGATCTCCACCCCATAGGAAGAGTGATTGCTCTGATATACACATCACATCATGGCACCCTATTGCATGAAATTCTTCAATGACATACATATCCTTTTTCTTAGAATAAAGAATAAGATAGCTTATAAAGTCTGGAATGATTCCCTAAGTTTCTAACTTGGACCTTCATTTAAGGCATAGTTTTGCAAGTGAACACAAATAGAATTTTGAAAGCAAACTTACAAATCTTTAGAATTACAATATATTTGGAAATTAGAGTGCTAATTTTCCCGATAATTTAAACTTGCTCCTTTAACCACTATATTCCATATTTATGTCTTTACTACACTGAACAAAAGTTAACCTTTTTATGATGATTTGGTGATACTGGCTTCTCTCTTCCTGCTAACTTTACTTGTCAGTGTGTCAGCCTCAAGCATCCCCCTTCTTGTCTCCTTTTAAATGTATTTTTGAATGAAGTGTATATATATGTGAGTCTGCTTACATAATTGTGGAGGTTGACTGGGAAAGTCTGAAATTTGTAGGGTAAGCCATCAGGAGGAGCAGACTAAACATTCTGGGGCAGAAACTGCCCCTGTGGTCAATAGACAGAATTTCTTCTTCCTCAGAGAAACCTTAGTTTTGCTATTAAGGCTTCTTCAGCTGATTGGATATGACCCACCCACATGATCAAAGATAGTGTCCTTTACTTAAAGTCAAATGACTGTAGATGTTAATCACATCTACAATAGACCTTCACAGAAACAGCTAGATTAGTGTTTTATGGAATAAAAATAGGAATGGTAGCCTAGCCATGTTGACACATAAAACTGACCATCACAATTGAGAAGTCGATATTTATAGTTGATACACATTCTCATCCACAGGCTGGAAAGAAGCTTTAGATGGCTATGGCACTCAATGCTCATAGGCTTTCTCATTTCTTTCTGGGTTATACAGCCATGTTCCAGCAGTTAAAGCTGCTGGAAGCCTAATCTCCAGATATCTGAAGTGGTTCTATATGATACTTGGAATTCACATATTATATTTAATTTTGAAACAAAAGTAATGAATTATTTGACAAATACAATTCTAAATGTGTAGATGATATGAAAAGGGCTGAAGGTCCTCAATTTAGATGGGGCCTAAAATATACAACAAAGAATGCTTAGGACAAAAGGGACAAGAACAGGATATCCAGAAGAGAGGAGAAAATGCTGGAATTGGACTAAGGAGAACCTTAATACCAGGATGGGGTTACAGTGTTTATAGGAAATCTTATGAGAAGTAATCCATCTTTTGAGTTTTAGGTATTTATACATATCATCATGAAGAAAGCACCCTACATGAATCTATGAATTTAGGCATGATGACATGAAATTACAGAAATATTAATAATAATAATAATCACCAAGCACTGTGATAAATGCTTTGGATAAGGATTATCTCATTTCTTTCTCTGACAAGATTTTGTAAAGGTAAGAGTAAACATTATACCATGATCCCGAGGCCAGAATCCCTTCTTAAGTTCTACTGTAGATGGAAAGGAGGCCTCAGCTGAATAGGCAAAAGTTACTAACATATAATTAAATTAACGATATGTTGATGTTTGTTTGGAAAATACAATATGGTCTAAAAATGTATGAGCTTCTTGCTACCAGTAAAACTGATGACTAAATTGTGTTAGGAAGACGATTTGTTGGGGATAATGGTATGTGTTGGTGGGGAGATAGTAGAGAAGGGAAGAAAATATAGTAAATTTGAGGCATGTATCTCTAAGCATCTCAGAAAAGATGAGACCTTAAAGGTAAACAGTGCTGTATTCCGACAGCACAAGAAGCCTAATCCAGAGGCACCTCTGAGTCAGGCTTTGGGTTGCTGGGACTGAGGGATGAATGTGGAGTTCAGATTTAAAGGCTCTTGCTTCCCCAATGCCCAAGGGAAATGGTATTGGCCTATAACTGGGAGCAAGGATGGACTAGAAAGTGAAACAAGGGGAGATGATTTCGAGTCAAATCTAAAATTTACATAGCTTACATGTAGTTTGTGCTTCAGGATTTCCTCAGACAGTCCAGCCCCCGTTTTCAAGCTCCCAAATCATAAATATTTCTTCCAGTTTCTCCTATGATGCTACAACCTGTGAGTCTCCTTTCCTTCCTATGCCGTTTGGCATCCCTCTTCCTCATTGGCCATCCATCGGTAGCATAGATGATTGACCTATACACTCATCTCCAGGCCCCATAAACATTGCCTTTTTTCCCCTCCCTCTCTATAGGAAGAAAAGCAGCATTGTTCTCCTGACTTTCCCTTCCTCTAAATTTCCCCCTTTGTGGTCAACATCTTCATTTCAGTTCTTTTCCATCCTAGGTTCCAAGGAATGTGGCTCCATCTTTGGGGATGAAGTTGCAGGATGTGGTGGAAATAGCACTCGACTTTGACTGAGACTCTCTTGGATTTGTGTCCTAGCTCAATCTCTCTGAGTTCTGGTTTCCTTGTCTGTAAAATGTGAATAGTAATACCTGCCTGACCTACCTCAAAGTGTTTTTGAGAGTAGCAAAATCAAGCCGAGTTAATGGAGAAGAAAAGACTTTGTCAACTCTAAACACATATATTCCCAGATCCTAAGTGGAGAAAGAAAAACACAGAGCCCAAGACAAAGACACACCGAGAAACCCAGAAACTAGGAGGAAGAGAGTAAACATAATGGATTAAGAAATTTTGCTTTGAGGCTTGGGACAATTTTTTTTGTTGTTTCTGAGTGAAAGCAATGTTCTTTTGTGAGCTGAAAAAAATCCTGATCAAGGCTCAGTAAGAGCAGTGCCAGTGATGCATCTGTATCCATAAGCTTTGAAGTAAAATTAGACATTAAAAAAAACCCCAAGACTGCCCTCGATCTCTAAAGGCCTGGAAAACGACCTAAAGTCACCTTTAGCATCTCCACAGAAGTCTATGTCTACCTGCTTATTTTTCTTAATTAAATCTGATTTACCTTAAGTAGCAGTCTTGAAGATAAACAAACAACACTTACACAAGTATATACAGCACGTTGTTTACTAGTATTAGAACACCATAGAGAAGTGGTGCATATGTACTTTTAAGGTATTTAAATATGCCATTTTGAAATACACTTTTTGTTGTATAATATAAAAGTGGCTCCACGGTCACTTTTGTTTTTCAAAACTCATTTTTCAAAACTTGCAAACCTAAGGTATTTTGGGCATATTACGGGTTACATAGGGTTTTGTGGGCTATGTCTTCGATCCTAACCAGGGAGACAGCATGTCAGTAATAGAACCTAAATTTAGGAGTGAGAACACGGGTTAGGTCATACCTCTATCACTTAATTGCTGTGCAACCTTCATTTCTGTGAAGCTCAGTATTCACTTCTATAAAATGGAGATTAGACCTATCTTTCTGGGTTGTGATAATGATTAGAAATCATATATATTTAGCTTCCTATTTCTGCCATAACAAATTACCTCAAACTTAGTGTCTAAAAAGAACACAAATTTATTCTCTTACAATTCTGTGGAAGTCCAACCTGGGCCTCACAGGACTAAAAATCAAGATGTTGACACAGTTGTGTTCCATTTTTGAGGCTTTAAGGCAAATCTGTTTCTTTGCATTTTTCAGCTTCTGAAGGCTTCTTGCATTCCTTAGCACTTTTCACTGTCTTCAAAGCTAGCAAGGTTGCATCTTTTTGGCCATCTTTCATAGCCACATCTCCCTTTGACTTTTTTCTGCCTCCCTCTTCCACTTTTAAGGACCCTCATGATTACACTGGATCTACCTAGATAATCCAGGATAATCCCCCCATTTAAAGACCAGTTTATAAGCAACCTTAATTCCATCTGCAACATAATTCCCCCTTTCCATGTAACCTAACATATTCACAGGTTCTGAGGATGAGAAGGTAGACATTTTTGCACCTATTTGCAGAGGGAGGGGGCTTCTACAATGACTTGGAAAAGAATGTAGACACCTTTGGAGGGTCATTATTCTGCCCACCACCACCCCTCTATACACACATACACTAAACTTTTTAAAATTTTTGAACAATTTTCAATTTGGAGAAAATCTGTGAAGGTAATACAGAGAGCTCCCATATGTCCCTTACCCATTTTCTCCTAATGTTGGCATCTTATTACCATGGTACATTTGTCACAATTAAGAAACTAACACTGATATATTACTATTAACCAAACCGCAGACTTTATTAGGATTTTGTCAGTTTTTCTACTGATGTTGTTTCTGTGTTCCAGGATCCAATCCAGGATACCACATTGTATTTATAGAGTTATTACTATTAATAGCAATCTTATTACTTCTATGACAAAGTATATTCCTAATTCCAAGCAACTGATTTAATTCATCTTAAAATATCCCATAGAGACAAAATAGAAAAAACGTACTTTGTACTTAAACATTCTTTATTCCCCTTTCCTCCCTTAAATATATTTATTAAGCACCTACTGTGATACAATTGTTCTTCTAGGCCCTGAGGATACAGAAGTGAATGAAAGAGACAAACATCCCTGCCCCCAAGTAGTTACATTTTATTGGGGGGAAAAGAATGGGGTTGTGAAGGGAACCGACAATAAACAAGACAAGTAAGTTGAATATACAGTTTGTATCATGGGGATAAATGAAATGAAGATAAATAAAGCAGTTAAATAAAATAAAGAAAAATAAAACGGAGAGAGACAGAGAATGCTGGGTGTGTGTGGAGCAATTTAAAATAGTGTAGTCACGGATCCAAAGCCTGAAACAGATGAGGAAGTGAGCCACAGCTATCTGGGGGAAGATCACTCTAGGCAGAGAACACAGCTGGGACAAATCCCCTAAGACTCCGTGATAGGTTGGAGAAAGAACAAAGAGGCCAAGGCTGGTGGAACACAGTGAATGAAGTTAGAGAGGTAATGAAAGGTGGTGTCCAATTATATAGAGCCTTACAAGTCACTGCAATGACTTTGGTTTTGACTTGACGCAGATGGGAAGTTATTGGAAAGTTTTGAGCAGAAGTGTGACATGATCTTATTTTGCATTTTAAGAAAATCAATTCTGGATGCTTTGTTCAAAATAAACAGTAATGGGGCAAGTGTTTCAGGGAAACCTGTTGGGAGGCTATTGCAATAATCCAGGCAAAAGATGATAGTGGTGTCAACTAAGGTGGTAGTAGGGAAGGCAGTGGGAAGGGGTTAGATTCTAGTTGTATTTTGGAAGAAACTTAACAGAACTCACTGATAAATTAGCTGTGAAGTATGTAAGAGAGAAAGGTATCAAAAGTTATATCAAGGTTTTGGGCCTGAGTAACCAGAAGGATGGAGATGCCACTTACTGACATGGTGAGACCACAGGAGGAACAGGTTTTAACAGTGGGCATGGGTAGAGGAGCTATACCATAAGATGGGTTTTGTACATGTCAATCTTGACATGTCAAATATATATGCCAGTTGACCTCTAAAGTAGGCAGTTGGATATATGAGTGTGAAGTTCAGGGAAGGGATCTGGGCTGGAGATATAACCTTAGGAGTTGTCTGTGGTATTTAAAAGCCACAAGACTGGATGAGATCACTAAGTAAGTGGATGTAGAGAGAGAATAAAGGACCCAGAAGTGAGCCCCAGGGAATTAAAATATATTAAAAGATGAGGGAGGTGAGGATGAAGAAGCAGTGGATACTGATTAGAAGATGAGGGAGGTGAGGATGAAGAAGCAGTGGAGACTGAGAAGGAGAGGCCAGTGAGGTGAAAGAGGACCAGGAGAGAGTGGAATCCTGGAGGCCGATTGAAGCAAGTATTTCCAGAAGGAAGAAGTGATAATACAGTGTCAAATGCTACTGCTGAGTCAAGTACAATGAAGATTGAGAAGCGACTATTGGAATCAGCAAGGTGGAGGTCATTGGTGATCTTGACAAGGGCAATTTCAGGGAAATGGTGGAGGAGGATGCCTGATTAAGATGAATTTAAGAAAGACTTGGTGGAGAGGAATTGAAGATGATTATGGGCAATACCTTTGTGGAGTTTTTTTATAAAAAGAAAGAGAAATGAGTAGTAATTGGAGGGCAATCCAAGATTAAAAGCATAATTTAAAATGGGAGAAATAACAGCATGTTTGTATGCAGATGGAATTATCCAGTAAAGATGGAAAAATTGATGATATAGAAGACAGACAAGAGAATTGCTGGAAAACTGTTCTGAAGTTGGTAAAATGGGATGGGTTTGAGTGCACAAGTCAAGAATTGGCCTTAGTTAGGGGCACAGACCGCTCATCTATGGTAACAGGAGGGAGGCCAGTGTGTGCACACAGATGGAGGTCAGCTGCTGATGGGAGTATGGGCAACAACTTCTCAGCTGATTGCTTCTACTTTCCAGATAAATAAACAAGGTCATCTGATAAGAATGAAGATGAGAGAGGTGCTGGAGGTTGAGGAAGAAGGTAAGGTACTATTTGTTTAGAAGAGTGAGAGAATAAATGAATTAGTAAATGTAATAAAATTACTGAATACCATTAAGGGACCAATTGAGGATAGTGGTCATGAATTTAAAGTGAGACCAGTAGGCACATAGTGTGTTTTCCCCAGGCACATTTAGCTGCACAGGTGCAGGTTCAGAGGAGGCAGAAAATTTGATTAAAGTAGAGTGGAGACGTTGCCAGAGGGGTATGATGAAACAAGGCAAGGGGCAAGGGAGTCATTGGTATACACAAGAGAGAAATTATAATGATGGGTCATGGAAGCGAAGCTGTGTAATGAAGAAAGTGAAATGAAGAAAGTGAAAAGGTGATAGGCTCAATGAATTAAAGGTCCTGATGAGATTGAAGGATTGCTGAAGATAGGGCAGTAGAGGGAGTCAGTGGAAAAATAAGAAGTGGTGGTGGGATAGTGGGATGCATACAATTCAGATAAAGGAAGGAATGCAGTTACTGGTAATGATCAGGTCTAGGATATGGCCATGGGAGTGAGCAGCTGACGTTGGGGAGTGGGGAACAGACAATGTCGCTCAAGGAAAAGAGGTCAAGGAACTGAAAGTCCAGGGCACAGGTAGGATTCTCTATGTGTACTATTGAAATCACCAAGAATTAAGGCAGATGTAGTGTTGGAGAAAGTGAAAGCATGCCAAGAGCTAAAATACTCAGGAGATCAGGGGTCTGTGGATGACTGCAAAAAGGAGGGACTAGTAAGTGGTCTGGTCTGATGGCATGAGATCAAAACGAGGGTGTTTTAGTGGAGAAAAGAAGAATGGCCTGGAAATGGCAATGGAAAAAAAAGGCCACCTACCCCACTTTCAAATCTAGCAGTATGAGGGTTTAACAGCCACCACTTAAGAAAGCAACAAGGGAAAGGGTATTGTTCCTAGAGGAGAACTGAATTTCAGTTAGAGCAAGAAAGAGAAAGAAATTTTCAGAGACTAGACTAAGATTATAGGGAAAACAGTTTAGGCAAAGAGAAGGGGACATTGATATAAAAATATTGGGTTCTTTGGGTGGTGGCAGGGGAATATTACCTGTGTGTCTTAGGCTATGCTTCACATCGTACAGTTTTCTTAGAGATTTGAAAAAGGAGAGCTGCAGAGTAACACATAGTCAGTGTGTCTCTAGCAGTGGCCAAGAGAGGGAACCCTGATCAGCCAACGTAAGTCCTGGGATCTGCGAAGAAGGTCCGTCACTGCAGCAGAGAAGCAGGACTCATCAGACTGCCATAGCTGGGCAACTATCCTTTGAAGCCATTTAACAACTCTAGTCCTGATTTCTGCACTCTCCAAACAACCTTTGGACTTTAATTTGGTTTTCCAACTTATCTTTTCTTCTGGCAGAGAATGTGCTGGCTAGCTGGCAGTTCCATTTCCCAGTGTAAATTAATCAATTGGCTTCCCATTTAATCAGTTGGTCTCCTGTAAATTTGGTTAGCATGAGTCAGTCCCCTGAAGCCTGATCACCTCTGCGTGAATGCCATAAAAATTAATTTCTGAATTTGTTAAGCTGAGGACCAGACACTGGCACTCATGATGACCCCAGTAATGTAGCCCAGCCTGAAGCAACTGTGTCTGCTTTCCCCACAGATTTACCTTAATTCTATTCTACTAAGAATGTGTCAAAAAGACAGTGAGGCTTAACCCTTTGCAAATGCCCTGTACTTTAAACAACAAAAAACTGCTGGCATCACATTATTTATTCTTATGCAAATATGATATGAAGCTCAAAGGAACAATGTGCTTTGGCAACTATTTTGGTGAAGTTCCCATGCCTTTTCCTCATTTCCTCAAGAACACTGGCTAGGGCAGCAAGATGTCTTGCTGGCTTAACTTCAGAGAAGTAAAGCCCAGGCAGATAAGATAATCAGTGCAGTGATGGATTAGAATTCTCAGTCCACAAATGTCTAGATCCACGTTCTGAAAAGAAGTGTTCCTGGTTTGAAACAGAACGTGAGAACTAGCTAAGTCCCACCAATTGTTATAATCCGCATTAATGAATATTTTGATCCTTTGGGGCCTAATGTCCAGAGTACTGTGATTAAGACATCTTGGCTTCTTTCCTTGTAAACAGACTGGCTTTATTCATTATCTGAAGCATCAAAATTCAAAAAGTTAACAGACTCAGACACTTCAATTTCTCATAGTAATAAGGAAAGATGGTTATCTTTTTCTTTTAACTCCCCCCTCCCCTTGTGTGTGTGTGTATGTGTATGTGTGTGTGTGTAGACCTTACATTGTTGTTGGGTTAAATATGAAATCATGAGGAAAAAGAGAAACAAAATAAAGCAATAATGCTAGGGCCAAAATGAGACTGAGTAGGAAAGAAATAACAGAAAGGATACACCTAGGATTCTTTCCCAAATATCCATTAGTTGGTGATGAAATTCAGGTCAAGTAAAAAAGGGCTATAAATGCTATTGGGTTTGTTTGACCAAAACAAGCATTAATGGTAATAGCTAGAAAAGAAGTCATCAAACGATGGTCTGCAAGACAAGTCCAGCTCACTCCCTAATTTTGAATGGGCAACAAGCAGGAATGACTTTTTTATGTTTTTAAGTGATTGAAACAAATGAAAGGAATAATAATATTTCATGGCACTTGAAAATTACATGAAATTCAACTTTTAGTGTCCATAAGTAAAGTTTTATTGGAATACAATCACATCCATTTATGTACAAATAGTCTATGGCTGCCTTCACACTACAATGTCAGTAATTGCAACAGAGGCCATAAGTCCCACAAAACCATAAATTTGAATATCTGGCCCTTTGGTTTTTATTAGATGGCAACTGTTTATCAGCTCACATTATTATACCCAAAATTTAAAGTGATTTGGGGAGAGATTAATGGATATTTAGGTATCTTTTCTATTAATTTATTCTTCAATAAAATTCTTTACCAGTGAATTTAACCTGAAGTATTTACTCCACAACTTCTATTGTCTCTATCCCCAAAGAAGTCACAGGTGGAGCACCAGATAATAATTTGGAAGGTGAAATACAGAATTAAAAATATATCACTTGGTACTCTAGTTTTTGGTTCTGTCTAGTAATGTGACTTAAATATCTATCTGGAGCAGAGTTGGGTAAGAGAAAGACTTAAGAACCTGTAACAATATTGAATCCACAATCAGATAATAGGAAAGTGTCTTTGGATATTAAAAATCTGACTACTAAAATTAAAAATTCAGCACAATGGTTGAATGATAGAATGGGTGTGGCTAAAGAAGGAATTAGTTATTGGAAACTTAGGTAGAGGAAATTTCCCAAAATATTAAACCAAAAGACAAAGAGATGTAAAGTATCAGAGAAAAATTGAGGCATGGAGAATCAACCCAGCTTCATGAAGTTATCAGTGCTCAGGCTCTTTTATCTTTCTGTTGCAACCATTTTCAAGATATGACTTCCATCCTCAGTTACCTCACAGCTCAAGGTAGCTCCTGGGGCTCCAGTCATCTTATCCAAGTTCCAAGTAGTCAAATAAAGGAAGTGAGAGGAAGAGTAAAATGGACACCTCTCCCAGTTTTGTCAGTTCTCCTTAAGGAGGCTTCCTAGAACTCCTACATAGTATTTATTTTAACTTAATTGGCTAGAACTTGATCAGGTGGCCACACTTGTCCAAAGAAAGACTAAAAAGTATTATGTTTATTCAAGGCAGTAGTGTACTCTGCTAAAAATTGAGGTTTAGTTCTTTAGGAAAAAGGGAAAACTGGACTTGGAATAAGCAATTAGCAGTCTCTTCCATAAATCCTGTTCTTAGGCAAACTGATATTCAAGGATGAGGGCAAACACATATTAATAAATTTTAGTATTCATGGACCCGCTCTAAAATACTCAAGGGCATACTAAAACTAAAAAGTAATATAATAAAGAGAAAGACATAACATAAAAGAAACAAGTGGTGTGTTGGTAAATGTTTAACAACCAACTCTGGGGGGAAAAGCTCTGATTTGTATCATGAAAATCACCCCCAACATGGCTGACATCAAGCTACCAGCATGATTTCACTGAACACAGAGTTGAAAAGAGATGCTAACAATTGGCTCTTGTGATAAAAAAAAAAAAACGGTTTTAAAAAAGCATGATAAGGAATAACAAAAGATGGGAAGGATAAGTTCAAATATATCAATAATTCCAATAAATGTGAACAAATTAAATTCCACTATTATTTTCAGATTGTGTTCAAATATTTAACATGTGCTGTTTGTAAGTGACACATACCTAAAATAAAATGATAAAGAAAGTTTGATGGCTAAGACTTGGGAAAAATACAAGAGAAATGCTATTTGGAATGGAATGAAAATAAAGGAACTATACATTAAAATCTTTGCTGGGTGGCTAAAACAGTACAGAAGAAAATGAAAGCTTTATGTGCTTATAAAAAACGTCCTGAAAATTAATGGAATAAGTATCCAACTCAAGATGTTAGGAGAATAATGGTAAAATACACCCAAGAAATGTAGATGGAAGGAATTCATAATGATATAAGCATTATTAAAATGGAAAATAAGCAAAAGTAGGGCTGACCAATAAAACTTAAAGTTAATTCATTATAAAGACCAACACAGGCCAGGTGTGGTGGATCACACCTATAATCCCAGCACTTTGGGAGGCTGAGGCAGGCAGATCACTTAAGCCTAGGAGTTCAAGACCAGCCTGGGCAACATGATGAAACCCTGTCTCTACAAAAAAGACAAAAATTAGCCAGGTGTGGTGGTGTGCACCTGTAGTCCCAGCTACTGGGGGGAGATACTGAGATGGGAGGATGGCTTGAGACCTGGAGTTCAAGGCTGCAGTGAGCCATTATTGCACCACTGCACTCCAGCCTGGGCGACAGAGCAAGACCTTACCTTAAAAAACAAACAAACAAACAAACAACACAATTAAAAAGAAAAGCTTTGGCAAATCTAATTAAGAAAAAAAAGATTCAAATAAGCAAACTTTGGAATAAAGAGGACATAATAGATATGAAAAAACTAAAGCATTTTCAGAGACCAGAATATACCTATATGTATAGTTGTGACTTGAAGTCATGTTTGCATTTTCCATATTCAAAAAGTGAAATCAAATCAGTAAGTTTGAGGAAACCCCTAAAATTGAATACAAATGGAGACACATTAATTATATGTCAAAGTGATAACATAACCAACCCAGAAATAAACAAAAATTAATCAGGTAATTTTTAATCATATACTCTCAATTTAAAGATAAAAATAAATAAATATTGAAAGATTCTTATTAGATTTGTTGTTAGTAGTGGTGTCAGTATAGCAACGCTGAAACTATTTTGTGTATGCTTATAGGATTGGGGAAATGAGTGATTATATTACATTAATGTTGTTGCAAGCCAGGGTTCTCACGGTGGGAGAAGGTACATCATTGGCATGGGAGAAGAGGAAGAATCCTATGGTGCTTGATTGGAATTAGAGATATCAGTATGAGCTCATCCTTAACTCTGTTCACTTAAAAGGTCTAGAAGTGTTAACATCCCCAAACCAATGAGCACAGCTAGTGCTAAGATCTTGTTTTCTAAATACCATTCTCCAATAAAAGAAACCAGAGCCTTTTGGAGAAATAGCTGGTTCTAGGGCTAGGCCAAGGGAAATATAAGATAAACTGGGAATATCTTGTGCTAAAAGGAAAGGCAGTGATTCAACACTGATGGGACATGCCTAAAGGACATAGGAGCCAGCTTGAAGGGTTTCTACAGCTGGATTGGGGACAATTTTACCATCAAAATGAAATCATAAAGGTAAAACATTTACACGTCAGACAGTTTTTGTGATATTGAAAACTTTAGTTTTTCATAAATCAAATTTATGGGTCCAAACTGATACTGAAAACCAAAGTCAGAAAAAAAACCAAATCAATACATTAAAAAAGGAAGGAGCAGCCAAAACTATTTTTTATAATAATAGAATGCTCACTAATAAATGTAGTGGGATGATAGAGTTTGAAGCCAATATTTTGCAATTAACGTAATAATACTTGATTTGGGCAAGACACCAAAACTATTGAGTACAAGAGTATTGAAAAGAATCAAAGGTATTTCCCACAGATTACTTACTATAAATCACAAAGGGGAAAAGGGCCTATTCATGGTGGAGAAGCCTGGTAGATACTACCTTAACCAAGTGATTAAAGCAAACATCCACAAAAAATGGGACAACCTGACATCATGTGCCTTCTGCTGTGGTGCACTGAGAAGGGCAAAGCATCACTTCTGTTATTCCTGCCCACAATGCAGCATCTGAATATGATCATAAGGAAACATCACACAAAGCCAAGCTGATGGTCATTCTACAATGTAACTGATTTGTTCTCTTCAAAAATGGCAATGTGATGAAAGATAAAGAAAGGCTGGGATAAAGATGAAGAAAGAGATAGGAAAACTAAATGCAATGCATGACCCTAACTTGGAGCCTAGATTAGAAAATGAAAATGCTGCAAAGAACTTAATCTGAATAATTGGTGAAATTAGAATTTGGGATATGCATTAGGTAATAGTATTTGATTGATGGTAAAGGTCCCAAATTTGATCATTTTCTTGTTACTATGTAAGAAAAATCTTTATTTTTAGTAGACATATGCTGAGGTACTTAGCCTTGAAGGGTCATTAACAACTGGTTACATGGTTTAGGAAAAACACAGTATATGTATATATTTATAAAGACGTGAAGCAAATGTGGAAAACTGTTACAAAATTATTTTTTCAAGACTACTCTTTACCACTTTGTGCCTATAAATTTTACAATCTAGGGATGAGTTTCTAGAAAAAAAAATAGATTTCCAAAGTTTACTCCAGGAATGCTTTAAAGTCTGAATAGATCTATTACCATAGGAGAAATTTAGAAAACATTTAATTCCTTTCTTACATAAACTGTACCAGAGCATAGGGAATAGAGGAAACATAAATGCAGGTCTCATCCCAGTGTAAGGAACCTACAGCGGTGTCCACTTTATGTGCAATAAACAGACAGCTGAGTGTAACAGACTGGGAGTCAGTGGACCAGGTTATGGTACTGACTCTGCCTCTCAGTGCAATGGGGATTTGAGCAAGTCACATAACTTCTCTGAGCTTCCATTTCATCCTGTGAAATGCTAGACCCTATAAAATGGGGCTGGTGCGGTTTGCTTTTCATAACTCACAGATCTGTAGTAGGAATCAAGTAAGCTAACACTGTAGGAAATGAAAAGCCTTGGACACATATAAGAAATACTAGTCAAGAATTCAGGGAAGTCCGTGTGCATCTTGGGACTTGACCTGTATTTGTAATTCCTTTTCAACAAATGTCTTCTGTTAAAAATAGTTACATTTTGTCTAGTTCGTAATATTGAAAAAGGCCAATGGTGGAATGTCCTAAACTTTTGTATGTCTGACATTCACTCTGCCTTGGAATAGTTTATGTAACCAAGGAATTGTCTCTTACTTAATGGGTTGGTGACTCACATGGATGTGTAAATATATAATTACTTCTCAGCTTTAATGACACTTCCAAAAAGCTCTCTCGACTCTCCTGGACCAGGAGAGGACCTCTCCCCATAGCATTTGGTACTTATTTGTCTCATTAACCATCTCCTCCCTGCTAGATATAAGCTCAACGAGGGCAACAGCTAGATCCACCTCGTTCATCACTGTCGCCTCAGTGCCTACATAGCAAGCACTCACTAAATATTTGTTGAAAGGCAGCTCTTATTCAAGAAAGATAAATGAATAAAAATCCTCACTGAAGGAAGAGTTGTATGTTTTAGCAAGTATTTTTGAGCATGTACGATGTGCAGTGCCCTTGGCTAAACAACATGGGGGCTACAGAGGTCATTCTGAGTCTTGCAGTTTCTGACAAGACCACTCAGATCCCAGACTGTCATTTTCTCCTCTCTGGAGGCTGGAAGTGACTGTTTGCAGAGTCACTCTGCCACCTTTTGGCTGTACGTAGGAATTGCACCTTTTCTGGCATTCCCCTCATCCGGAGAGGACCTGCAACTCGCTCTACAGACCTAGGGCAGCAGCATCATTCATTCATCCATTCCACAAACATCCACTGAATGCACACCTCATGCCAAGTTCTGTGCCAGGAGCTGGAGACATAGTGGTGGAAAAGCACACACAGTTCTTGCCCTCAAGGAGTTTACTGTCTGGTCTAGGGGAGAAAGAGGGCAATAAATGTGTAATTACATAAATAATAACTACAAGTGTGTTCAGTGCTGTGGAGGAGAAATACAAATTGCCATAAGAGTGTCTCATGTCTTTCCACTCCATTATCTTTTTGCAGCAAAAGCTCATGAAATGGGAGTACAATACATTTTGCCACCCTAACCAGAAGGGCAGGAAAATAAATGCTCAGGCTAAAAAGGGAGCACAGAACCATGATCAGATTGGCTGCAGTAATGCGTATGGCTTGGATTTTTTACAACACCCAGGCTTGCCTTTTGTCCAAACCCAGATGGCTATCCAAACTATTCCATTTGCCAAAAAAAATGAGAACTTCTAGTTTTCCTTAGTAGTAATAATAGCTGACATTTTTTGAGAGCTTACTTTGCGCCAGGCACTGTTAGGCATTTTAAATGCAGCAGCTAGCACAACCTTCATAATAATCCTATGATATAGGTAGTATTAGTGTTCCTGTAATGACGGTAATGGTGGGAAGCACAGGGTCTGGAGTAGGATTACCCACCTTTGAACCTGATTTGCCATCTACCAGATGTGTGACTGGGCAATTTACCTAAGTTCTTGGTACCTCTGTTTTTCCACCTCTAAAATGGAGATTATAAAAGTAATCTACTTTATAGGGTTGATGTGAGGAGTAAATGACAACACATGTAAGTAGTTAGAACAGTGCCTGGCATATATATGTGTATATTTATGTGTGTGTGTATACGGATGAGGGCATCTGAGCTTCAGTAACTCATCTAACCTCCCATATCTACTGAATGGTGCAGATGTTGAGAAGAGAGGCAATCTGATCCCTGAGCCTGGACTGCACACTCGTCCACTATGCTATCTTGAATACCCTGTTCCTGGGTACCTTCTGTTTCTCTGGCAACAGAAGTCTCAATTGACTCTGCACAGTCATATTCTGGAATCATTTTGCTGAGCCTTGGTCTTAGCTGAACATTGGCAAAAGTAGCTTTTCACAGGCACCTGCTATTTCTTTCCCCAGGGGAAGATCTTACAGGTACATTGTAGAAATAACCTCTCCTTTTGATATTGATGGAAGCTCTGGAACAGGGCAGCTTTCAGCAACGTTACTGTTTGCATGTGATGTCTTTGGAACATGATATAGTCATTGTGCAGAGAACAAGAGCCTTAAAGCCAACCAAATCTGGATCTAAATCTTAGCTCCACCATGTGACCTTGGACTAGGGTTTCCTTCTCTCTGATCCTTGGTTTCCTCATGTTGGAAGTAAAAGGAATAACCACTACCTCATAGAGTTGGCAAAAGAGAATAAAAGAGATTATATGTAATATTATTTATATATACACACACATACATGTATATGTAGATACACATATATACATGTTTATATATAAGTATATAATATATCTCAAAGGGTTAGGCACAGTACCTGAGTTGAGGCTTACAAATGCCAACTGTCTCCCATCAGGGGGTTAGTTATTGTGGTTATAAAAGGGTGAGGGGGCTGGGAAAAATCCAAATAGTAGGCAACCACAAAAAGCCAACACATGGGAAGAACAGAGGGAAAGGGGAAGAGAGGCGGAAGGGAGAGGTGAGTAATTTCATTCTGGGCTTGAGCCCAAACTTCAGGGTGAGGAATGTCTTCTTAGCAAACAGTCAACCCCGATCTGTGATTTACTGGAGCCCACAGTCTCCACACTAACAGCACCATCTGTGATGAATGCATTGATTTGGAGCTGCAGCCCTGGCTGCTGCTCCTGCCCCTCTGAGAGGAAGGTTAATGGCAGGGTTCAAGGAAAAAGCAGGTGGAATGTGTCTCCTTAGCCCACTCCTCCTCTTACCTTAATGAATGCTAACCCCAAAGTCTCTCTGTTCCTGGAGTTGAGGGCCACTTGCCTTGGAAGCCAAATTGAGGTAAATTGATATTTTTTGGATGCTTTCCTGATCACTTAGTTATATGGATAATTATCAGGGTGGGGCTGATTCTGGAGAAATCTTGCACTTTTCCCTGAGTCATGCTTTTACTGTTTAAGGCCTGATTAGGCTCCATGGCTGAGAACTCTGAGTGTGTTCGGAAGAGACTGGGTTTTGATAAACTGGATTGGAGCAAAACTCCTAATTTAGCCTAGAGGTTCAGGACTCAAGCTGCCCAATTTGGAAGGGTGCATATGGGAGTTCAAACAAGATAAAAGTTATGGAGAGCTGGTACTATACCAGATGCAGAGCTGGGAGCCAAGACAGCCAGCTTTTAAGATGTCTTAGAGGTGGGGTATCTGCAATGTTTGTTTTCTGAGGTTTGCTATAAATGAGCTGGAGGCTTCGGTTGTCACGGTAATGACAGAGGCTCCATTTTGAAGCTTCTAGGGGAAGCTTATCAAGTAAGCACAAGCCACTTCTCTGAGCAGGGAGTCAATGCCATGGTAGGAACATTTGTTGTAGCTCCTCTATGCAAACTGCACAGTCACAGAAACATGGCTTAGTGGTTTTCAAAATTGCCACTTGCATCTACAAGTGGAGCAGGTGAGAAGTTATCTCAAATGAACTCAATGTTGGCAATCAAGCATTTGTTGAATACCTTCTGTGTGCTGCACATTTCTGTCAGGCATTGTGAGGGATCCAGAAGAAGCTATGAACTGGCTTCTCCACTTCATCACCGAGCCTGTAAATGAAAGAAACTACCTTGTGTGAAACAACAACTTATGAAGAGTGAAGTGAAAAGCTAAGGAGCCCAGTGGCATTCAGAGGATGTGGTGGCTTTGAAATTGTGGGTGCTTAGAGCTTGGTAGTGTTGGCTAAATTGCAAGGCACAAGACAATGAGAAGACCACCTGACTGCAGCACAAGATCTGGATCAAGGAGACATGATGGTGGGGTAGGTAGTGTGAAGATGACCAGGTAGACCTCATAGTTGGGGCTGCGCTGCGGACTCTGGGTAATAGGCAGCAGGATAGATGGTAAAAAGGTTGTGTTAGGAAGAATTGGCCCTTTCCTTCTCTCTGACCTCATCTTGCACCACACTCCTGGTATTGAGGTAAATAATACTAGCTGCTAAAAGGATCTCTCCAAAATTCTCCATTGATGGCTCTACCCCACATACCCAGGGACCAGATGCCTTTTGTCTTGTGGCTTTGAAAACTCAAGGGGGACTGGACATGGTGGCTCATGCCTGTAATCCCAGCAATTTGGGAGGCCGAAGCAGGTGGATCACCTGAGGTCAGGATTCGAGGCCAGACTGGGCAACATGGTGAAATTCTGTCTCTACTAAAAATATAAAAATTAGTGAGGCGTGGTGGTGTGCACCTGTAATCCCAGCTATTCAGGAGGCTGAGGCAGGAGAATCACTTGAACCCTGGAGGCAGAGGTTGCAGTGAGTCGAGATCAAGCCACTGCACTATAGCCTGGGCAACAAGAGTGAGACTCTGTCTCAAAAAGAAAAAAAAGAAATCTCAAGGGGTTTGGAATTATCTATTGATTCTTTTGTAGCCAATAAGCAGATGAAAGAAGAGAGAATCACATGTCAGAGGGTTTTATAGGCCAGTCCTGGGAGTGGTGTATTTTGCCGTACCTACATTCCATTGGCCATAAGTCAGTCATATGACCACGTGTAATGGCAAGGATGTCTGGGAAATGGAATTTGGCTGGATGTCCAGTAAGAGGAGGCGGACACAGGTAGTGTTGAACACTCTCAATCTCTGCCACATGCCTCTATTTGCACTATGATTCAGTCTCACTGATTTTCTGAGAGTTCTTTCAGCATGCCAAGTTCCTCTTCCCCTCAGGGTTTTTACAATTGCTGTGCCTGTGCTTTTTATAAAGAGCACCCTATGACTGGCTGATGAAAAGTCACCACCTCAGAAACGCTTTTCCTGATCATTCACAGGAAGAATCTCACTCTATCACATTTTAATCCTGTATCTTCTTCATAGCACTGCCAAAGCAGGTACAATATTTCTTGAAATTACTTTGTTTATTGTCTGTTTCCTCTTGTTTGAATGTAGCTCCAGGAAATCAAGGACATCGTGAATCTTGTTCACTGCTATATTTTCAGTATCTAGGACAGTTCCTAGCTTGTGATAGTTGATAAAAAAAATCAGTTAAAGGAATAGAAAAAAAAGAAAGAAATTGTCCAGCAGCAGAATGTACTTGAGAGAGGGCACAGTAAGGCTGGAGGCAGGTGGATCCCCTGGTATGCTAGTCAGTTGCAGGAATAATAGTTAACACTCTTTTTTTGAGATAAAGTCTCTCTCTGTCACCCAGGCTGGAGTGCAGTGGTGTGATCTCGGCTCTCTGCAACCTCCACCTCCTGGGTTCAAGCGATTCTCCTGTCTCAGCCTCCTGAGTAGCTGGTATACTCCTGAGTAGCTGAGATTCAGCGTCCTGAGTAGCTGAGTAACAGGTATGCGCCACCACACCCGGCTAACTTTTTTTTTTTTTTTGTAATTTTAGTAGAGAAGGGGTTTTGCCATGTTGGCCAGACTGGTCTTGAACTCCTGGACTCAAGTGATCCACTTGCCTCAGCCTACCAAAGTGCTCTGATTATAGGTGTGAGTCACCATGCCCAGCCCAGTAGTTAACACTTATATAGCATTTACTATGAATCTGATAATGTTTAAGCACTTTATGTTATATACATTACCTCATTAAATTCTCACAACAATCCTATGAAACTGACACAGTTATTATTTCCATTTTACAAGTGAAAAAATTAAGGCCCAAAGAAGTTAACTTTCCAAGGTTACACAGCTACTAGGTGGTACAGGTAAAATTTAAGCCCAGGGATATCTGGCCCAAGATCCATGCTCTTAAGCCATTACACTATACTCCCCGTTACCTTGTGGGGCTGGTAGGAGCCTGGCTCAGGGTAGAGATGGGGGAAATGCAGACAGAACTGGAGAAATGAGCAAGACTTGGGGATCTGACATGTTTATCTGAGACTTGGTTTCCTATTTTGGTTAGGAAGGGAGAGAAGTCCCTGATCATAAATGTGTCCGCAGATGCTCTACAGGTCCTTTTCAGCTAGGTATGGAAGGTACTCTAGTGCTCCTCCACTCCCTAACCCCAAAACTAGCTCACTTCTCTCTGTCTCTTCAGAAGGATGTTCTCGGACCCAGGGAGGGAAATGAGGACAGAGGCAGGAATGAGTTTTCAATTGGAGCATCATGAAAATGAAGCAGAACATTGTATTTCAGAAGAAGAGAACACCCATCAATCCAAAAGAGTTGATTTAATAAAAGTTGAATCATCTACAGTTGCCTCCCTGAAGCAGTAACAAAACGAAATTAATGCAAAAATGGAAATTCTTCTGATTGTCAGTGGAACATCATGAGCAGTGAGGAAATGTGTGATGCGGAGGTCTCAGATAAAAACCACTGTGACTGTTGAACTCTAGTGGAGAAATGAAATCACCCCTGCTGGCTCCTCCTCTGCTCAACCTCTAACTGCTGAAGTGTCTTGGGACTTAGTGCTGATCCTTTTTTTTCTCTGTCATCACTCTTGCCTTCTCCCTGGGTTATCCCATCTAGCCCCCTGGCTTCAATTACCATCTGTATGCTGATAACACCATAATTTATATCTCTAGTCCAGACTCCTTGCAGGAGCTCCACACTCCTTGGTGTACCTGCTCATTTGACATGTCAACTTGTCTAAAAAGCATCTCAAACTTAAAAAGATAAAAACAGAATTTTTTGACTTTGGTATCCTCCCCTCCAAAGCTGCACCTTCCTTAGTCTTTCCCATCTCAGCAAATGGCATCACAGTGCATACGTTTCCTTCAGACCTCCAATCCGTGAGTTGCCCTTGATCTTTCTATTTCCCTCATTCTCCTACCCCTAATTCATATCCAAACTACCATCAAATCCTGCCAGCTCTATCTTCAAAGTCTGTCTGGAATCAGCTCCATCTCCTCCTTGTTGTTTGTTGCCATCCTAATTCAAACCTATATCATCCCTTGCCTAGATGACAACAGCCTAAACTTGTCTCACTGCCTCCACTCTTGGAACAGTTAGTTATCCCTTTTTGCTGTTGTTTTATAAAATATTTTTGGAGTGATCTTTTAAAAATGTGACTCAGTGAGCCCTGTGGCAGTGTTTTAGTACAAACTCATGTTTAGTTTAATATAGATACAGATGGATAGACATATAAATATTTATAGATATGTATACACATGTGGGTTAGTTCACACAAATCATGTATTTCCTAGCTGTGTTAGCTGAGAGGGCCTAGAGGCAATGACACCTTGCTGGCAATTAGAACACTTAGCACACAAATCTTGGTCTGTAATATCATTCTCCAACAAAAGGAGCCAGGGTCCTTAGAGAAATGGCTGATTCTAGGACTGGGGAAGGAAAAACACAAGGTGAGCATACAGCATCTTGTAGTGGCAGAGAGTAAGATAGTGCTCAAAAACAAAAGGATAGGGGTATATCAAAGGAATGTAGGAGCCAACCAGAAAGAGCTCCCACCAGCCAAAACTAGAACAAATTGAACAATAAAATAAATAATGTAGTATTTGGATTATTACACAAAGTATGATATCAATATCCATGAGTTTGTACTAATATAAATAAATGTTTGAATAAAGAGATAAATGAGGAATGATGGGCAAATCTTCCTTACAGGAGAATTCCAAATAATAGATGTGGCTATTCCCCTTTCCAGGAGATGCAGCTTAGTTCCCTTTCCCCCATCTCCTTGAAGGTAGGGTAAACTTAGTGCCCTGCTTCTAAAGCATAAAATATGAAGAAGGAAAGAGTAAATTTATAGTGGAGAAACCAGGCAAGCGCTACCTGAACTAAGTGATGAAGGTTAACATCTCCAGTAATGGCATGTGGCTACCTATCATGAACCCCTGATATGATATGATAAGAAGGACAAATCACCTCTTGGGCAGTCTTCCAAAACACCCCTAATCTGAGTCTAATCATGAGGGGAAAACATCAGACAAACCCCAGATTGGGAAATTTTTTACAGGGTCACTGACCAGACTCTTCAAAACTGTCAGGGACATGAAAAACAAAAGACTGAGGAACTATCAGAGACCAGAGAAAACTAGGGTGATTTGATGACTAAATGCAATGTGGTAGCTGGGATTCGATCCTGGAACAGAAAAAGGAGATTAATGGAAAAACTGGTGAAATTCAAATAAAGTGTTGAGTTTAGTTCGTATTCATGTACCATGGTATATTAAGATGCTAGCAATGGTGGGAACTTGGTGAAAGTGTACAGAAACCCTCTGTACTATCTTTAAACTTTTCTGTAAACCTAAAATTAGCCCTAAATAAAAAGTTCATCTTAAAAACTATGATTCAGATCATGTGGCTGTCCCATTTAAACTCTCCAAATGTTTCCCTTTGCATCTAAAATGAAACCCAAACTCTTTACTAGGACCTCTGCAAATTCATCATGTACCACTCTCCTCTTGTCACTTCACTCCAGCAACACCCAGCTTCTGACATTTCCTTAAACATACCCCGCTTCCTGCATCAGAAGCCATCCTTATCCCTCTATCTATTAAAAGCAAACTTCCCTTCCTCCTGGATCTCTCCCGTAGCCCAATTTTATTTCCTTCATAGCACTTCTAATAATTTGAAACTTCCTTATTTATTTATTTTATTGCAGCTAGACTGTGAGCTCTGTGAGGTCAGGTGCCTTACCTGTTTTGTTCATCACTCCTTTCCCAACACAGGATAGGCACCAACTAAGTACTTGGGGGGGATAAGTTGATCTTTCTAGGCTTCTGAAAGTCCCACCTCCTTTGGGATCACCACAACAACTGTCCAGAAGCAGGAAAAGGCAGAAAGTCTGAGCAATTAGTCTCACCTGGGTTTGAGAAGAGTGGCAGACATCTTGCACGCTCTCTGTTACAGGCACATGTTGGGGAAAGGTGATCTTTGATTGGAAGAGAGAAGGTCTTACAACCTAAGGGTTTAGGATATAGATCTTTTTTCCTCCCAATCAATATTTGTTTAATTACTAGATTGTCCATGCTAAAAATAGACTATAGTTGATTTTCTGAGAAAAAGTCCTTATAATCTTGCTGTCAAAATTTTATAAGGCCTACAGTATGGCCATCATATTTGGAGAATGGAAATGATTTTCTTAAAGCCAGAAAATTTCCTTGGTTTAGCTATGCTTAGTGCTTAAAACCAATCATAAATGAACATGATCAGGAAGGTTCCCACCTCACCAATATCCCTGCTATTCCCTAACATCCATTCAGCCATATCCTCCTCCCAGGCCCCATGAAAGACCCCCCAAATTTCCCTACCCCCTAAAGCAAACAAAACTCTTTTCCTCCCTTTCCATGCAAAACTGTTTATTAATTAAAAGCTATAATGCATGTATAGAGCCTTTCAAAAGCTAGCAATCCAGGTCTTCTCATTTTAACTAAATCAGAATCAGAGTTGACTTCATGCCCATCCTGCCAGGGAGGCAGTTCCTTCTTTCAGGTTTTCTTGTTACTAGAAGGTAAAAAGCCTGGTAGATAACTTATGAGGGTTCAGCTGCCACTTTGGAGGCACTATATTTTGTCCTTTTAGTGTTTTCTCACTGGGTGGTTTGGCCCCATAACTGTAGCCCGTGTATCAGTCCGTTCTCACACTGCTATAAAGATACTACATGAAACTGAGTAATTTATAAACAAAGGAGGTTTAATTGACTCACAGTTTCACGTGGCTGGGAGGCCTCAGGAAACTTACAACCATGGCAGAAGGCAAAGGGGAAGCAAGGTACATCTTATATGGCAGCAGGAGAGAGAGAGAGCAGGGGAATTGTCAGACATTTATCAAACAACTGAATCTCATGAGCCCACTATTATGAGAATAGCGTGGGTGAAATCACCCCCATGATCCAGTCACCTCCTATCAGTTCCCTCCCTTGACATGTGGGGATTACAATTCAGATTTACAATTTGAGATGAGACTTGGGTGGGGACACAGCCAAATCGTATCATTCCTCCCCTGGCCCCTCCCAAATCTCATGTCCTTTTCACATTTCAAACCAATCATGCCTTCTCAACAATCCCCCAAAGTCTGAACTCATTCCAGCATTAACTCAAAAGTCCAAGTCCAAAGTCTCATCTGAGGCAAGGCAAGACCCTTAGGCCTAGGAGCCTGTAAAATCAAAAACAAGTTAGTTACTTCCAAGATACAATGGGAGTTCGGGCATTGAGTAAATTGTCCCATGCCAAATGGTAAAAATTGGCCAAAACAAAGGGGTCATAGGCCCCATGCAAGTCCAAAATCCAGCAGGGCAGTCATTATACCTTAAAGCTCCAAAATGATCTCCATTGACTCCATGTCTCACATTCAGGGCACACTGATGCAAGGGGTGGGCTTCCAAGGCCTTGAGCAGCTCTGTCCTTGTGGCTTTGTAGGGTACAGCATCCCTCCCGGCTGCTTTCATGGGCTGACATTGAGTGTTTGCAACTTTTCCAGTCTCATGGTGCAAGCTGTCAGTCAGTGCAAGCTGGGGTATGGAGGATGGTGGTCCTCTTCTCACAGCTCCACCAGGTAGTGCTACAGTGGGGACTCTATGTAGGGGTGCCCACCCCACATTTCCCTTCCACATTGCCCTAGTGAGGTTCTCCATGAGTGCCCTGCTCCTGCAGCAAGCCTCTGTCTGGATATCCAGGCATTTCCATACATCCTCTGAAATCTAGGCAGAGGTCCCCAAACCTCAATTCTTGACTTCTGTGCACCCACAGGCTCAACACCACATGGAAGCTGCCAAGGCTTGGGGCTTGCACCCTCTGAACCCAAGGTTCAAGCTGTACCTTGGCCCCTTTTAGCCACGACTGGGATGCAGAGCACCAAGTCCCAAGACTGCCCAAAGCAGCAAGGCCCTGGGCCTGGCCCACAAAACCATTCTTCCTCATAGGTGTCTGGGCCTGTGATGAGAGGGGATGCTGTGAAGACATCTGACACGCCTTGGAGACATTTTCCCCATTGTCTTGGCAATTAACATTCAGCTCCTTGTTACTTATGCAAATTTCTGCTTCATCTCCATCTGAGACCATCTTGGCCTGGGCCTCCTTGTCCACATCACTATCAGCATTTTGGTCAAAACCATTCAACAAGTTTCTAGGAAGTTCCAAACTTTCCCACATCTTTCTCTTTTCTTCTGAGCCATCTGAACTGTTCCAACCTCTGCCTGTTACCCAGTTCCAAAGTCACTTCCACATTTTCAGGTTATCTCTATAGCAGTACCCCACTACTGGTACCAATTCTCTGTATTAGTCCATTCTCACACTGCTGTAAAGATACTACCTGAGGCTGGGTAATATATAAACAAAGAAGGTTTAATTGACTCACAGTTCTGCATGGCTGGGAGGCCTCAGGAAACTTGCAATCATGTTGGAAGACAAAGGGGAAGCAAGGCACATCTTACATGGCAGCAGGAGAGAGAGAGCAGGGGAAGTGCCAGATACTTATCAAACAGCCAGATCTCATGAGAACTCACTCACTATCAGGGGAATAGCATGGGGAAAACCACCTCCATGATCCAGTCACCTTCCACCAGGTCCCTCCCTTGACATGTGGGTATTACAATTTGGATTACAATTCGAGATGAGATTTGGGTGGGGACACAGCCAAACCATATCAGCCCTGAACACATCATTCCAGCTGGCCTTTAACAGGACTGTGATGTACCAAAAAAGTCACTAAGGCAGCCCAGAGATTGGTAAGATTTACCTTTACCCCTCAAAGTTTTTTGAACAGTTTGACTTGAACAGTGCTGGATTATGGCAATTTACCTCAACCTCACCATAGTTATTATGAGAAGAAATATTGTTCTTCTAAGATTTTAAATTAGTTGCTTCAGTTTTTATTATTTTATTTTAGAATCAAGGGGTACATGTGCAGGTTTGTTACATGACTATACATTGCATAATCCTGAGGTTTTGGCTTCTATTGTCACCCAAATAGTGAACATAGAACCCAATAGGTAATTTTTCAACACTTTCCCTTCTCCTCTCCTCTCCCCTTTTGGAGTCCCCGTTATCTATCATTTCCATTTTTATGTCCATGTGTATCCATTGTTTAGCTTCTACTTATAACTGAGAGTGTATAATTTATAACTTGTATGTTTATCACAGTTATTATTTTTTAATGACCCAGATTGAATATCCTCTTTTAAGTTTCACTCCCTTGCTTCTACTATATTGCTCTGCAAATACCTCTGTACAATTTTCAATTAAGATTATAGAATGTAGATCTTAATCCTAGGTGTCTCAGAATCACCTGGAAGGGCTTGTTAGAAATATGGATGCTAGGGCTGGGCGTGGTGGCTCATGCCTGTAATCCCAGCACTTTGGGAGGCCAAGGTGAGCAGACTGCTTGAGCCAAGGAGTTTGAGATCAGCCTGGGCAACATGGCAAAACCCCGTCTCTAAAAAAAAAATTTAAAAATAGAAAAATTATCTTGGTGTAGTGACACACACCTGTGGTCCCAGCTACTCGAGAAGCTGAGGTAGGAGGATTGCTTGAGCCCAGGAGGTCGAGGCTGTAGTGAGCCGTGATCTTACCACTGCACTTCAGTCTGGGCAACAGAATGAGACTCTGCCTCCAAAAAAAGAAAAAAACTGATGCCCCTGGACCTGTGACTCTGAATTTTCTTGGAGGACACCCCGGGTACCAGGTCTGCATTTGTACCTGGAGACATCTGTATTTTTAGCAAGCTCTTTCAGGTGATTTTGACATACACCCAGGATTGAGAACCACCTTTTTAAGGGATGCTGGGGAAAGGAGAGAAAATAAGAAAAACTAATTGGCATGTGAGGAAATGGGTCTTTATGATTCCTAGGGATTTGCCTTCGGAAAAGGAAAAGTAGAGAATATTTTTTAGAGCTCTACATACAAGGTTGTCCAGGCCAGTTCACTAGGGTTGGAAGATAGTCAAAAGTAGGAGGCAGTTGTTCTAAGTCTTGGTTGAACGTCATTGTTGTCTGGAGTGTTGCCAGGGTAAGCAATTTTTGGAAATCAGAGAGTGGACCTACATACAGTATATAGGGCCCAGTGAATACTTAATTTATTTAGATATATGATGCAGTAATGTTTTATAGTTGTGTTTCTCTTTTTTATTATATTTTAAGTTCTGGGATACATGTGCAGAACGTGCAGGTTTGTTACAATGGCACACGTGTGCCATGGTGGTTTGCTGCACCCATCAACCTGTCATCTACATTAGGTATTTTCCCTAATGCTATCCCTCCCCTTGCCCCCACCCACCGACAAGCCCCAGTGTGTGATGTTCCCCTTCCTGTGCCTGTATGTTCTCATTGTTCAACTCCCGCTTATGAGTGAAAACATGCGGTGTTTGCTCTTGTTCCTGTGTTAGTTTGCTGAGAATGATGGTTTCCAGTTTCATCCATGTCCTTGCAAAGGACATGAACTCATTCTTTTTTATGGCTGCATAGTATTCCATGGTGTATATGTGCCACATTTTCTTTATCCAGTCTAACATTGATGGGCATTTGAGTTGGTTCCAAGTCTTTGTTATTGTGAATACTGCTGCAATAAACATATGTGTGCATGTGTCTTCTCAAAGTGATGCCCTTGGTTGCCCTATTTAAAGACTGTGCATGTGTGTGTGTTTGTGTGTGTGTGTTGAAGGACTGGTGTTTAAAATGTGGCTTCCCAGTTTCCAGTTCCAACCTATCAGTGCTGGATAAAATTTAAGAATCAATATTTTATAATATGGGGCTGAAAACATTTTTTTTTTCTGTTGAGGAGCACCAATGTTCAGAAAAATGTTCACAACAGTTAGAAAAATAAACTAGGTAATTATTTGGAATGAGTAATGATATTCTATTTTCAAAAGAGTAGGAAATCTAAAACCATTCAGTATATATAACAAATGAAAAATACACTACAACTCTAAACTACGAACAATTAAGGAAGTTAAAGAGAGAAAGATGAACTCAGTAAATAGATGAGGGGAAAGATAAGTAAAGGGATGAATAACAAGAAACAATGTCCTATCTCAGCTACTATTACGACTTATCATGGACTATAGATTTTTTAAAGAAACAGATAAACTATGCTAAACTTTACTCTTGAAACTGCTTTAATCATCCAGTTCTATCCATGTTGTGAATGACAGAATTTTCTTTTTTAAGGCTATAGAGTATGTCTGTCTGTCTATCTATCTATCTATCTATCTATCTATCTATCTATCTATCATCTATCTATATCATTCTCTTTAGTCATTCATCCATTGATGGACACTTAGGTTGATTCCATATCTTGGCTACTGTGAATAATGCTGCAATGAATATGGGAGTGCAGATAGCTCTTTGATGTACCAGTTTTAATTGTTTTGGCTATATACCCAGAAGTGGGATTGCTGGATCATCAGGTAATTCTATTTTTAGCTTTTTGAGGGCCCTCCGTACTATGCTAAGTGAAATAAGCCAGGCACAAAAAGTCAAATACTGCATGATCTCACTTATATGTGGAATCTAAAAAAGTTGAACTCATAGAAACAGAACAGCAAGGTAGTTACCAGAGGGAGGGATGTATAGAGACAGGGAAAGGGAAGATGTTGATCAAAGGACACAAAGTTTCAGTTAGACTGGAGGAATAAGTTTTAGTAATCTATTGCACTGCATGGTGACCACAGTTAATAATAATGTGTAGTTGTCTCTCAGTGTCCTTGGAGGATTGGTTCCAGGACTCTCCTGAATACCAAAATCTATGAATGCTCAAGTCCTTGATATAAAATGGCATAGTGCAGCCAACAGACACATGAAAAAATGCTCATCATCACTGGCCATCAGAGAAATGCAAATCAAAACCACAATGAGATACCATCGCACACCAGTTAGAATGGCGATCATTAAAAAGTTAGGAAACAACAGGTGCTGGAGAGGATGTGGAGAAATAGGAACACTTTTACACTGTTGGTGGGACTGTAAACTAGTTCAACCATTGTGGAAGACAGTGTGGCAATTCCTCAAGGATCTAGAACTAGAAATACCATTTGACCCAGCCATCCCATTACTGGGTATATACCCAAAGGATTATAAATCATGCTGCTATAAAGACACATGCACACATATGTTTATTGTGGCAGTATTCACAATAGCAAAGACTTGGAACCAACCCAAATGTCCATCAATGATAGATTGGATTAAGAAAATGTGGCATGTATACACCATGGAATACTATGTAGCCATAAAAAAGGATGAGTTCATGTCCTTTGTAGGGACATGGATGAAGCTGGAAACCATCATTCTCAGCAAACTATCGCAAGAACAAAAAACCAAACACCGCATGTTCTCACTCATAGGTGGGACTTGAACAATGAGAACACTTGGACACAGGAAGGGGGACATCACACACCAGGGCCTGTTGTGGGGTGGGGGGAGGGGGGAGGGAGAGCATTAGGAGATATACCTAATGTAAATGACGAGTTAATGGGTGCAGCACACCAACATGGCACATGTATACATATGTAACAAACCTGCACATTGTGCACATGTACCCTAGAACTTAAAGTATAATACAAAATAAAAAATAAAGAATAAAGTGGCATAGTGTTTGCATGTTACCTATGCACATCCTCTTGTATTCTTTAAATAATCTCTAGATTACTTATAATACCTAATACAATGTAAATGTTATATAAATATACTGCATTTTTAAGGTTTGTATTATTTTTATTGTTGTATTGTTATTTTTTCTGAATATTTTTTATTATCAGTTAGTTGAATCTGTGGATGTGGAATTCATAGATGTCAAGGGCCGACTGTATTGCATATTTCAAAATTGCTAAAAAAAATAGACTTCTTAACATCTTAACCATTAAAAAAATGCTAAGTTGGTGAGTTAAAGGATATGTTAATCAGCTTGATTTAATCTTTCTACAATGTATACATAGATCAAAACATCACATTGTACCCCATAAAATATACACAATTATTGTCAATTAAAACAAATAAAAAATTAAAAAAAGAGAAAAATCCTAAAATGCTTTAATGCTATCTAAACTTTTTACCTTCTGATATTCTCAAAACTCTCTTTTCCCAGACTTCCATTGAGAAAATTTCCAACTTTCTGCTCTGAAGAGAGAGAAGTCTTTTATCTCAGTGGAAGAGGACACGTTCTGTTTTCATGGAGTAACATCCCTATCTGCTGGCCTTCCAAAATATTGCCACTGCAGACAAAGAGTTTCTGAGGCAGAAGCATGATGGCTCTATCTCCACTCCACCAACCCCTGCATCCTGAGCCAGCCAGGTCCAGAAGCAGGAGGCGGGCAAAACCCCATGCTGGTCTCTCTCTCTCTCTCTCTAATCAAGAGCCTACTTCCCTGGAAGCCCTGACAAATTCCACTTCACAAGTCTATTATAGCCTAAATCACACACTGCCTTAGACTTATCCTGTGTAGCAGTCTGACTTCCCCCTCTGAAGATAGGGATTATTTCTTATTATTATAGAGTCCTAAGTGCCATCAGTGTCTAGCATACATTAGGCCGTCAATAAAATATTGGCTGAACAAAAATTTACCATAAAGGATAGAGTGTCCTAAGTTGCTTAAAAGTGTGCATTAACTACCTGATGAGACTTCAGCTTGTGTTACAGCTGCTTTTGTGAAATAAAGATTGTCCATTTCTTTTTATGATTATTTTAAAGCAGCTTTTATGCAGAGATACAAATGATTTTTTCTCATAGTGACAATGATCTTGCTTTCATCTTTGAGCAGTAAAACTTTTAAAAATGACTTTGAATGCTTATGTGAAATTGTGATCACCTAATTACCAATGATAAAGAGAAAGCAGTGATGTGGTACACCAAATGCTATTTCAAGAATAATGAGTAATTACATTCAGGGAAGCTCCCTTACTTTTCTGACGGGATCAACCATACATGTGTATTCTAGACATGTGGAAAGAGAATCCATTTGTGTAACAGTTATGGTCTTCAAAGTAGTTTCACATATGTGACTTCATTTTAGTCTCACAATCCCCTTCGGAGTTAGACAGAGGAGCTTTCATTTCCATTTGCCAGTTAGGACACTGCCACAGACAGCTTTAGTAATAGGGCCAAGATGAGCCTACAAATTAGTGCCAGAGCCAGGACAGAGCCATGTAGCTCCCTCCTCTTGTCCAGGATGCACAGGGGTTGGTGTTTCGTGCTTGGACTGTATTAACTCTTTGGAGAGCAATATTAAGACAAAAACATCATAATGTCAGAGCTTTATATGCACACAAAACCTCCATCCAAATGGTTTCGATTTATTTTTTGGAGAAAGGAAATCTTAGGCCCATCAGCCACATTCTTCAGGGTTGATTAGTATTGTTTCTATTTCCAATGTTTGGAATTTAGATGGCTCTGAGTGATTTGTGCATGGAATGGCAGCCCAAGTTCTGTTGTCACCACTGTTCCACTTGCTGCTTTCACAGTTTGCCCTACCTTTGTTTAAAATGATTGAAGAATGCTGTGAGGGCTGCTCTGAGGAAGCAGACAAGTGCATGCAAGTCTCTTCTTAAAGCAGCCTTTCAGCTTCCAAAGGAGGAGAAGAACTAATAATCTTTTATTTGTTTAGGCTGTTTGTGTTTATAGAATCCAGGAGTTCTCAGCAACTTTCATTTAGCTTTTACAAATCACACACATACATTCTCCAAAATACAGCAGCTTAACCATTTCTCACCTTTGCAGTTTTTATCACTGGGCATAAAGTAACCCCAAATGAAAACAAAGTAGGTGACAAAAATAGAATATGCTTTCAAAACTTTACTAATATCAGAAAAAAAGTGGAACTTCTAGGCCAACTAAAGATGTTTAGTCCTATGAATTTGTTAGGATTATTCTATACCTTATTGAGTTTTAATCCACTTCACATATTAATTTAGTTCAGCTCCTCTCTTTTTGCTCTGGGGAAACTGGGTCCTCAAGAGAGTAAGTGATTTGTTCAAGGTCACACAAACAGTGGCAGAGCCAGGACTACAATTGTAACTGCCTATGTTCAGCCCAGTGCTCATTTCTTTGATTGCAGCTGAAGTCAGAGTCAGCTGTTTTCATATTTTCTTATAGTTAATACTACGAATACAAATAGCTAACCTCTACTGAGCACATGCTATGTTTCAAGCACTGTGCTAAGTGCTTTACATGCATTGTCTCTCATGTTTAAACTTGCTAAACCTGCTTCTTTTTCAAAACAAACTGTAAACCAGTAATAATTTATTCTCTTTCTCTCTCTCTCTCTCTCTCTCTCTCTCTGTCTCTTTCCTGCTAAGAGGAAAACATGAAAACTTTAACTAAACATCATTTTTTATGGCTTCTCTTGGGGTCTGGCTCCGTGGCGTGCTCTCCTTCAGATCTTGCTCAGTCTTTCTCTTTCACCAAGCGATCTCCATGGTTGGTACTAAGGCTTATCAATAAGAGAACACGATCCTGACCTTTAAAATGTATCCCAATTGTCCTTTGAACTGGGATTTTAATCTGCAGATAAAATGCAGTCAAATGATCAAATTTACTCATTTATTGTTTTACTTCTCATATAATGTCCCTTCATTTTATTAAGAGAATATTATATTTCTTTAATAAATAGTGTCTCTCCTAATCCCTGTAATTTCCGTCTCTTGCTTTTGAACAGCATGCTAGAGAAGCGCCTTTTTTTGTTTTTTTTTTTAAAGAAGCACAATGGCTTTGGTCTTTCTAGGGAAGACAAAGGGCTAAATTAAAGGCACAGCTGGCAACTTGACACTGGCTGGGGGTGGAGAGACCTAGTTAGCATTCATCCATTTACCTCTGTCCAGTTGGCTAGCTTGTCTCTCTCTTCTTTCTCATCCCCTGAAGGCTGGGAGTAAAGAATCACCAGGTTCTTTATGGTACTTCCAACAGCTGGACCTATAGCAATTGCCTGCGGGTATGTCTTCCCTTGGACAATAGGTGAGTAAGCCTGTAACCAGGTTGTCAAGAAGAGAGGAAATCCGAAATGTAAACATCAGCTTTCAATTACACTTGCACATATCTTTCTCTTACAAATACCACACCTCATTTTTCATCTTTCTGAATGCATGATTTTGTTTCATTGAGAGAGAATTCACATTTTGAATACAGTGTCACAACTCAGTTTAGTTGAAAAGAAGTCCTTCATTTGTTCATTAATCCATTCATAGAACATTTGGTATGTTCTAGGCACTATACTAAACGCTTGTGCAGTCAAACATGAATCAAGCAGTCCCTGACCTTGAGAAGCTACAGTTTCATGGAGGTGTCGAGGCATTGGAACAAGAGCAACTCCATCTTGAATAGGAGCTGGGTAAAATGAGGCTGAAACCTACTCGGCTGCATTCCCAGATGGTTAAGGAATTCTAAGTCACAGGATGAGATTAAAGGTCAGCACAAAATATAGGTTGTAAAGACCTTGCTGATAAAACAGTTGCAGTAAAGAAGCCCACCCAAACCCACCAAAACCAAGATGGTGACGAGAGTGACCTATGGTCGTCCTCATTGCTACACTCTGACCAGCTCCATGACAGCTTACAATTGCCATGGCAAGGTCAGGAAGTTACCCTATATGGTCTAAAAAGCAGGAGGCATGAATAATCCACCTTTCGTTTAGCATATCATCAAGAAATAACCATAAAAATGGGCAACCAGAAGCCCTCGGCGCTGCTGTCTATGGAGTAGCCATTCTTTATTCCTTTACTTTCATAATATACTTGCTTTTGCTTTGCACTGTGGACTCACCCTGAACTCTTTCTTGTGTGAGATCCAACAACCCTCTCTTGGAGTCTGGATCGGGACCCCTTTCCTGTAACAGAGGTGTGAAAGGAAAAGAAATCTTAGGGCTCCCAAAAACACTAAGCTAAAGGGAAAAGTCAAGCTGGAAACTTCTTGGGCCAATCTGCCTCCCATTCTATCCAAAGTCACCCCTCTGCTCACTGAGATAAATGCATATCTGATTGCCTCCTCTGGCGGAGCTTATCAGAAACTCAGAAGAATGCAACCATTTGTCTCTTACCTACCTATAACCTGGAAGCCCCCTCTCCACTTCCAGTCTGTCCACCTTTGCTTCCAGTTGTCCCACCTTTCCAGACAGAACCAATGTTCATCTTACATATGTTGATTGATGTTTCATGTTTCCTTAAAATGTATAAAACCCAACTGTGCTCTGACCACCTTCGACACATGTCGTCAGATCCTCCTGAGGTTGTATCACTGGTACGTATCCTCAACATTGGCAAAATAAACTTTATAAATTAACTGAGACCTGTGTCAGATTTTCGGGGTTCACAGAGGCAATAGATATTTAATCAGGTTTTGATACACTATGGTAAGTGCAGTGATAAAAAATGCAAAGGTGAGGAATGGTTGAACTGCTGTATTTTGACAAAGAATGTGTTTGTGTGATTTATAAAAGCTAAATGAAAGTTGCTGAGAATGTTTAGGTAATCTCTTGCCTTCTCCTTTCCCTTCTGTTCTGACCATGAAGCAACCCTGGAGTTTCTGTGAATCTGCTGTTATTCTGGGGGCTGCCCGATTCGCGAATCATTCATTGCTCAGTTAAACTCTGTTAAATTTAATTCAGCTGAAGGTTTTCTTCTTTTATCAGATGGTGTCACAAGTGGGATTCAAAGTAGAGCTCTAGCCACCCCCAGGAGTGCTGAGTGAACATGGAAGGACCCACTTGTGTCCATTGATCTCTCAGAGATGCTGGGGATTGTGGGTATACTCCCTTTTGGATTTCGGAGCTCCATGGATTTGTGTTTTGAGCTCTCTGAGTTTCTTTGAGCAAATTTCTGATTCAAACTGGGTTTGGAGTCATGACAGAAACTAGACTGGGTTCAGCAATGGATTTGATCTGGGAATTAACTGGCTCGAATCCAGTTAGAGGCCTCTTACATCTGACTGGGTCAGAAAGGAGCTGGTAGTAAGCAGTAATATTGCAGGGGGTATAAAATTTGGCTTTTGAAAATTCACAGGGATTTTTGTGTTATACCACTTTGTTTCATGTTTCTTGTGTACTTAGGTAGGAAAAATTATTGGCTAAGTTAATCAAGAGAACCTGAGCATAAAGCCAATATTTTAGGTAAAATGAGATCCTTAATTTCTAGAAAACTGAGTTCCTTCTGGTTTATACTTTAGGCCCGGGAAGAAGCAAAATCTTACAGAAATGGCAAAATCTTACTAAAGATAACTTATAGTGGAACATTCCGAATGAACAACAACGCATTGAAGTACATTTAAAAATGAAGGCTCTCAGTAAAGTTCCTTTTGGCTAAGAATGGGTTTAGTACTATAGCATGTCAACTGCTATTCTCTTTGGAAGAATCTGCCTTGCATTCTTTGCTGATGGCTGTGGGTGACAGGATTAGGCACATACAAGATCGTGAGACATGGGGAGCTTTTTCCTCTCTAAAAGGGGAAACTTGAGAGCTGATGGGACTGCTGGAAAAGATCCCTTTTGTACCGAGAAGCAGTCGCCTGAACTTTTTAGTGTTGCTGCAATGGGTGGGTCTTTCTCTGGCCTCCCTGAGCAGCTCACCTTCCCCACCCTGCCATGGGCAATGCTTTTCTCTCTCTACTTTTCCTGTCTTATATTTTCTATTACTCAGGGCGACCATCTTGCCCAGAGACCACATGTTGAAACTCCTGGTTGGAGGTTGGATTAACGATCATGGGGCCTAACCAGGGGCAAGTTTGAGCCTTGCCAGTTTGATATTGGGTGCTAATCAGAATGTCTGTGTTTTGTCACATGTATTTTACTCTGGCCAGAGCAAAAAAAGATACTTTTCCTTTATGCTACAGCTTGGTCCCAGTGCAATGGTGCAGAGAACTGAGTCACTAGGGCCACTCAGGGAAAGGAACCCAGAAACCTGGCATGCTGGCAAAAGGGGAAGAATTTCTTACCAGTCAGATTTCTTGCTTCTTTCTCTCTGTGCAAATGGTTGAATGGATGGTAAAAAATTACTGTTTATCTCCATCTTGTTTCACGTCCTTGGGAGCTTGACCTTGTAACCATATGACAATACTTTCTCTTGGTCTCTGCCTTCCAGAGAACAGGAATTTTAGGGTTTATGTCATAGTTAGCTCTAAAAATTATCTTGAGTAGTTAATAGCCTTTGCAAGCTCAACATTAATGACTGTAGATTCCTTCTGGGGAGGGCAATGGAGATTACCCTCTGCTGTAGCTCAGTAGCTAAGGTTTCTCCTTTTCACACTGGCAGTCTGGGTTCAATTCCCTGCTTAGGCAGTAAGTCCCTTTTGGTTTAATATCTGCATGACCTTGTTTAGCCTCTTCTCCTCCATGGACTATCTTAAATTTTCTTTTCTCTGAGCACCTAGGAGGTTACCTTTGGTAAAGTTCAAAGGCCAGAAATATCGGCCCCTTGGCCTGGCTAAGGTTGGGTAATAAAAAATACTAAAAAGACTTTATTACAGTGCTATGGTTAAAAGTCAGCTTAATTAAAAGCAGATATTCAAGCTCTAACAGCCTGGACACCTTGGGAAAAACAGGAGGCACCAGAAACTCCTTTCCTGGCCCTATTCTTCCAAGGGCTCCACCCTAAAGCCAATAACCAATTAAGAAACTTAAAAACTGGCAAACGAAAAATCTTACAACTACTGTAGTAATCTTCCGTCTGTCTGTGTAATTATATATGTGTTGTGTGTAATGTTTATATAAAAGAGCTCTAATTAATTGGCTTAAACAAAAACAAATGCTTAAATCAAGTATTTTAAAAGCAAAATAAAAACAGCTTTAAAGATTATTGATAAAATAAAGACATTTTGTCTAAATTATGCAGATCAGATATTAGGTTTGAAAATGCTTTAAAGTCATAACTGCTTTGACTTTTGAAAATTTTTCAATTTATTTTGGAGACATTACATTCTAAATAGGCCTGGGGATGTATGGAATTAACCATGCTCACTAGCTATGCAAAGAAGGTTATAAAGAAAAGAGATTTTATATAAGAAAGGATGTTGTATGGTAAATTCCTGTCCTAAAGTAAAATAACTGGGTGTTTAAAAAGAGGGGTGTTTAGGGCAAATCAGAAAGTCTAAACATGTTGTACATGGTCTGTGTAAGTCGTGAAAGAATTTATGAAAAGATATTTTTGCCAGAAATGTTGTACAATTTAAAATTAGGTCTCCTAAATGCTTCCTAAAGTGCCACTATGACTCTTAACTGTACAGTTTGTCTGTTTTACAACTAGGTAAGGCCCGGTACACGCGGAGTTAGATGCTGGAAAGAGTCAGATCTTATCTGCATTTCTGTCTAGGTCCTAGGTTCCACACCTAGTACACAATTAAAATCCCTTACTTACCAAGGTTTTCACCAAAAGTAAAAGTTGCTAAGAATTAACACTGTAATATGTAGTTGAGACTACTGAAAAAATAAGTTTACATACAAGGTATGTAAGGAGAATAAAGTGTGTTTTCATAAGAGATTATAAAAAGGTATAGAATGTAAATTTCTGCCTAGGTTAGAGGGTTAAAGGATTGTTTTAAATTAAATAAAGCTAAAGATTTGAACAAGTTGTGAAAGGTTTATAAAAAATTAATTGTAAAATATTCTATGTGTGGACATATTGGCTAAAGTGAAAATGGCATTATTCAGCTTTTTCCATAAATTGGACATTGGAATAAAAGCTCAACAGAGTTTTATTAAAACATTGTTCTGCTCTGAGAAAAAAAAAATTTAAAGGGTTATAAAAGGTTTATAAAAATCTTAACTTGTGGTCAAACTAATTAAAACTGAATAGGTTTATAAAATGTTATTTAAAAGCTAGCTTTAACATCAAAAATACACTAATGGAAACATAAAATTTGGTTTTCTCTTTTAAAAAGTATTTTGTGTAATATCAAAAGACAAAGGTTTTTGTTTATCTTTTAAGTAACTACAAAGGACACAATGGGGAAGGGAAGGAAAGGAGACAGAGTCAGTTGTCCTCATGCTATCTTCATTGGGTCTTGTTTGGAAAGCTGAGTCTCCTCTCTATCAGAATAAGGTTTTTTCCTTTAAAAAATTTTTGAGTTATCATTTTGCTAAATAAATGATTTATGGTACCCTAAGATTTTATGTTGTAATATCCACTGTTTTAAACCTTTGGTATTTAACAAACCTTTCAAAATCAAGCTCTAGATTATCATGCTAAATCAGCCAATACTAAAATTGTTTAAGTACACAATTTGAATGAACTCCATGGTCTAAGTCAAATTACCTCTGCTAACCCATTAGTTATCAGTCCTATGCACCTAAATTGGAGAAACAAGTGGAATGCAGAAGGACATAAGTCCAATGTTAAGCATGGACTCATGAATAACCAGGATGGCCACCCTGTCTTTCCTGAGTCCTTAAAGCTTTTGTTATTAAAGGTTCTGCATTACATGAGTCGTCAAGAAAAAAAAAATCCAAATTAAATATATTGATGTGGTGACTTATAAATTGCAGAAATAATTTAAAACCAGTGTTTGGTTCCATATTTCTGGGAAGACAATCAAAGCTTCAGGTACATTTGGCTACCTGATAGGCCATTTAAACATTTATAAAAGGATTTCATTCAATTGTCATTTTTAATTCATTTTTCTGGTTGTATAAAAGCTTTCCCATGCAAGAGGGCTGATGTTATAACAGTAGATTATTATGCTACAGTGTATTTTCACCAGGTAAATAAAGCTTTTTAATGGTTCACTGAGGACAATCTCTTCACAATCTAGAGCCCGAAGATTGGATCTTCTGAGAGTATCAGAGAAAGACCGTACTTGCCATCCACATTACAGCAAAACTTTGGAGCCTTGAACCTTGGGTTCATAATCTCATAACTGGGATGGCTCCCTCCACACTCCTGGAACTGTACACCCACTGGAACCCTTAAGGTAAAACTAACCAGGAAAGTTTATCCCCAGAAGAAGATAACATCCTTGATGTGAACAGCTTTCCCCAAGATCACCAATCAAGACTTCTACTATCACTAGACTCTTATATTTGAACATTTTTTCCTTGTTTACGCCTGTATGAACAATAGAAATGAAAAGGGGATCTATTACTTGCACTTACAGGATATACTTTTATTTGTGAGGGATTTTGCAGCCAGCCTTCTACATGCATAACCGTATACTTTAATAGATAAAAGATGAAGGTCCAATGTAGGTGAGAAACTTTGGTGGTACATGTGTTGCCTCATAATCAGTCAAAACTCCTCTTAACCCACATCATGGATTAAAGAGAACATTGCCAGGAGGCCTTCACTCTTCTAAAAGGACATCATTTGTTATGTCCTTTGTCCATGATTTAGAAAAAAAGAGGCAATAATTAGAAATGTCACCCACACAATAGGCTTTACAGAAAATTCTACTTTAAAGGCTATCATTGCACAACAGACTTTAAATTCTCTTGTGAAAATTATGCTAAATAATAGAATTGGCTAAACAGAAAAGTACATGTGCAGCTGCTGACACTCGTGGCCTATGGAAAAATACATCAAATGTAGATTATAAAAATTCAGTTGTAGAGGATTAATGAAAAGGCCACTTAGTCAAGCAAGTAGACTCTTCATCTAGCTCATTCTTTACTTATTTAATTTTAGGTGGTTTGGTTTATGGGGAACCTGGGTAAGGAGCATACTCCAAACTCTTGGTATTATTCTCTGAATAGTCATAATAATAGTCTCCCTGGTGTGCTGTATTATCTCAAAGGAGTTAAATGTTTTCCTGCAGCCATCTCTAAAACGTCAAATGGTCTCTCTTCAACTGGAATGACAAAAGCTGAAAGAAATGTGTGACCATGATAACAACATAACCTATGAATGATGTGCTGAGACCAGAAACCCAAAATGATGGTAACTGAGAGTGGCACTAAGGCCCTAAGTTTTGGTCACACTCTCACCTATGTGAGAACCTGGACAAAAAGAGGAAATTTTTTTAAACAAAATTATAGGAGGCCATTATTTTGGACTGAACTTATGTGCTAGGCCCTAACAAACCAAACCAAACCAAACTAAAATGGAGTCACTTGTGCTAAATGTGACATAATCAAGCTAAGGCTTTAAGAAAACACATAGATCCTAAAATGGACCAGGTTTTTTCTCCTGTAAACATCATGTTCCAGTATAAGGAGGTATCCTCTACTCAGTCCTTATTCCCTCGTTGCAAAACGCACTGTTCTACTTTTCCAGTGGGTTTCAAAACCATATAAGTACATATACCATAGTGATAGTAACACCAGTGACTGAGATTTTGGTCAATCTCTCAAAATTGAGAAAATGACCAAAAGGGGGGAATTGTTAAACCAAACTAAATATGGCCTGAGAAGGACTCCATACTTCTATATTTGAGTCCTTGTGGATGAATTGTAACCTAGCTTAATAGTCAGACAAAATTGAAAACCAAACTTAATAGTATGCCCCTGTAACAATGGCTGAGTGTTGGCCAATCCCAGGAGTCTTACTTCAACTACTCATAGACTGCTGAATGTTCAAACTGCGTTCAAATAAGGCAAATGTTGAGCTGTAACCAATCTCACTGTTTCTGTACCTCACTTCCAATTCCTGTATGTCACTTTACCTTTTTTGCCTATAAATTTGTTCTGACCACGAGGCACCCCTGGAGTCTCTGTGAGTCTGCTGTGATTCTCGGGGCTGCCCAATTTGCGAATCATTCATTGCTCAGTTAAACTCTTTTAAATTTAATTCGGCTGAAGTTTTTATTTTATCAACGTAAATGTTTATAAATCAAACATTAGAAGGCTTTTGTTGTACTTTGAGCCATGCCAGTTATTACGTGTGAGACCTTGGTTAAGTTACTTCACCCTCTCTAGGTTTCAGCTTTATTATTTGTAGAAAAAGCAACTGTAAAAAATCTTATAATGTAACAACCAAGTGAGACAGCCAGGTGGGAGGGGTCCCTGGAGAAACACCAACCAGCCTGCCCACTGAGGTAGAGCCTCGGGAAGTTCACGATGTTTGCAGCAGGGAGGAGCCTGGCCCTTCCTCTTCTTGTGTGGAATCTGGGATTCGAACTGCTGGGCTGGAAGCACTCTAGCAGGGGCTTTGGCTTTGCAGAGGATCCGTGTTTCCCCTTTTTTCCTTTTCACCCAATAAAACCCTGCTTCACTCACCCTTTAAACCGTCTGCGAGTCTAAATTTTTGTGGCCCTGGGACAGACAAGAACCCCGTTTTTAGCTGTACTAAGGAAAAGTCCTGTGACACAAGTAATTAGTAAAAGGAAATAACAAAAAGTTCCCAGGCAAAAGGATTATTCAAAATATTGAGATTACATTCATTAATTCCAATAATTTAGTGTTTCAATTATCTTTCAATCTTTCTGATAAGAAGTAGGTTTCAGTTAGGTGCTCCCATGTGGTTAACATCTTGCTGTCTTTCTAACACTTGCTAATCTTCCTTTTTAGCAAGTGAGAGCAAGCTTCAGCTCAGTGCTTCCAGCAGAAAATGGTCTCCGGCTAAAACTTAATGTTGTTTTGTGGTCATATTTATTTTTATCACTATGTTCTATTTATAGGAAGAGATACTGCCTTTCCACTTACTATAGTGACCAAGTTTCCTTCTAAAAAATTATCCAAATATAAAAAGTGAGTCAAATTCTAGAAAATACTAATTAAATAATACAGCTGATTATTACATATAGCAAATATCACAAAGGTGATTCTAGAATGATTAAAGTTTGGGAAACAATGGATTATGTGATTGAGGCAGAGACTGGTTAGGTGTTCATCAAATTCATTTCCTTTTATTGGACACATAGGAAGATTACATTTTCCAGCCTCCGTTGCAGTAAGGTTGAGGCTAGGTGACTAAGTTCTGTTCTATGGAATGTAGGTGGAAGTGTTGTGTATCACTTCCAGTTCTGGCTCACAAAACATCCCATGAGTTCCTTTGTAAAGTAGCTAGTGTAGTGGCTCTAGAGGATGGTGAAACCAACTGATGCATGGAGGCTAAATTCCTGAGTCCCCACTTGGAGGAGAGCTGCCAGGAACATCTGAATTGGACTTTGCACAAAAGAGAAACTTTTACTCTATTAAGTCACTGCGACTTGGGGATTATTTGTTAGAGCCACAGCAGTTAACCAACCCTGATTAACACAGCAATCCATGAGGACTTCACTACTTAGCACAGTGACCTGTGTGTAGTAAGTGCTTAGTAAACGATTGTTGAATAAGTTAATTTTGCTCTCATTTTAATCTGTCTTTACTCACAATTGTCTGTTGATAATGTTATTAGGTATAGGATTTAGGTTTCAGCACAAGTCTCAACCCTTGTTTTATGACACATTAGACAGCTCCAGTAATGTTAAATGACCTTAGCATTTTCAAAATAAAATGAGTTTGAATTACTGTTTTAGAAAACATGCCTATAATACTTTTAGGACTCGGGTAAGCGGGGTTGAAAATAGGGTACCCTGTTACTCAAAAGATTTGAAATCTCTGCCTTAGAATATGATTATGAATTCAGTGTTTTGGCAAAGTTTTAAAGATATCAAATGATTTAGAGTCTACTCTAGACTAGATTATTCCTCTGTCTCCAGAGGGAACTGTTTTACACGCTTGCAGATATGATAGTTGTTTGTACTTTATAAAATAACAACAACAGCAAGCAAGGTGGGGTTTTCCTAAGGTATTGTATTCTAAGGTCTTAGAACTTTCACATTCAGGAAACTCTTCTTTGGGGAGGATCAAATAAAATGGTATATGTTAAAGTCCTTTGCAAAACATAAAAGTACTATACAACTATAACATTATTGTTAGCCACTGTTCTACCATTAAAGCCCATTTCCTTCTCTTTTGCTCTCTTAATCAGGTAACATAATTTTCTTTACTGATCAGCCACTTAAAAGAACACCACTTGAAAGGCAAATTAGCAATATCTACATTAGCGACAGAGTGAGACTCCGTCTCAAAAAAAAAAAAAGAAAGAAATATCTAGATTATAGATGTACGTATCTAAGTACTTGAATTAGATGAATGTTACGTTCCTGGAATAAGTAATATAAATTAGAATGGGAAAATCAAGGCTAATTTTTCTATAGAAAATATGTCATTGGCTGGGCGCGGTGGCTCACGCCTGTAATCCCAGCACTTTGGAAGGCTGAGGCGGGCGGGTCACGAGGTCAGGAGAGGGAGACCATCCTGGCTAACGCGGTGAAACCCCCTCTCTACTAAAAATACAAAAAATTAGCCGGGTGCGGTGGCAGGCGCCTGTAGTCCTAGCTACTCTGGAGGCTGAGGCAGGAGAATGGCTGAACCCGGGAGGCGGAGTTTGCAGTGAGCCGAGATGGCGCCACTGCACTCCAGCTTGGGAGACAGCGAGACTCTGTCTCAAAAAAAAAAAAAAAAGAAAAGGAAAGAAAATATGTCATTGGAAGTAGTATGGTGGAGTCATTTTCTAATCCAGAGCTTCGTTTTCCTCATTTGTAATGTGGGAGAAATAATAGTACCTATTGGGTAGTGCTCTTGTCATGGTTGAATGAGATAATGTATGTGGTATACATTGCACATGTGAGGTACATAACCTGTGCTCAATAAACAGTAGCTCTGACATTATTATGATGATCATCTGCACAGACTCTGGAGCCAGACTGCTTGAGTTCAAGTCCTGGCTCTGCCATGTACTAGCTGGGTAATCCTAGAAAAGCGATTTCATATCTCTGTGCTTTACTTCTTTCAGCTGTAAAATGGGGGAGATAATACCAGGGCCTACCTTATAAGGTTGTTGTGAGGTTGAAATGAGACAACATATGTAAAATGCTTAGAAAAGGGTGCCTGGCACATCAGGAGAACTCAATAAATAGTAGCTATTATTCTTGTCTATGAGAAACCATTCTGGAAGGTGAGAAAAGTGTTGCTTTTGTCTGCTGCCTGATGCTCACAGCCTTCTCCACTTCATTCAGCAGAGACTTTGGTATCTGGATTAGAGAATTCTTTTTCATCCTAAATCCTGCCATTCCCCTAGGGGGTGTCATAATTGACATGGACAGGCAGAACACCACTCTGACCTCTCAGTTCTTTGACCTCTTAAACTTCAGAGGTCTTTACTTGCACATCACTTCAGCTACCTACTCCCATGGAAAGGAATATTCTTAACTCTGAAGATGGAAGGTTGCAGAGAAGAATCTGAACCAACAGGACTTGCTAAGTGTCCCCCAGTTTATTACTATTAGATTATACCCACTTTGTTCAGTTCTGTTTCTCTATGATTATCCACTTCTTCATCAAATCTAGCATAAAAATCCACACATTTCTAAAAAATACACAGGTTTAATGGTTCCTTCAGGTCTTCATTTCCTTAGGAAAGCTCCTGTGTCACATAAAATGTATATTAAATACACATGTATGCTTTTCTCTGTTCAGTCTGTCTTTTGTAATAGGGGCCATTAACCTAGGATAGGGAAGAAAAAGATATTTTTCCTCCCCTACACTAGGGACTGAATGTTTTGTGCTTCTAAAGTTTATATTTTGAAGCCCCTATCCCCAGTGTGATGGTATTTAGAGGTGGGGCCTTTGGGAATTAATTAGGTTTAGATGATGTCATAAGGGTGGAGCCCCCATGATGAGATTAGTCCCTTTATAAGAAGAGGAAGAGACATGAGGTCTTTCTTTCTTTCCACATGTACACACCAAGGACAGGCCATATGAGGACATAATGAGAAGATGGCCATTTGCCAACCAGAAAGTGAGCCCTCACCAGATATCAAATCTGTCAGCCTTGATCCTGGACTTTCCAGCCTCCAGATCTTTGAGAAATAAATGTTTTGACTAAGTCACCTGTGTTTCCCCCATCATTTATTCCTTTCCTCCTGTGATAGTAGAGCAGTGTCTCTCCTCCCTTCTAAAGTTAATTTCTTCATCTGTCTGATCCCCATTTTCTTCACCTTCTATTCACTCACCTATGACAAGTGCTTTCTGTCTGTTTCTACTAGCTTTGTATCAGCAGCATCAAAACGTGTTCAAGTCATTCAAGCCTTTAAAAATAAACAAATCAACAAGAAAATTTTATTGACCCAAGGTCCCCTTCTGTCTACTGCCTTAGCTCTTTCTCCCTATTCACAACCAAACCTCTTGAGAGTTGTCTCCTCCTTGATCTCCTCTTCCTCACCTTTGAGCACTCCACTGGAAATGCTCTCATCAAGGTCACGGGCAGCCTCATTGCTGGTAAACCCCGTGGACATTTTTAATCTATATCTTACCATACCTCTCTGCAGCCTCTGACCACTTGCTTTTGGAAATTCTATTTTGCTTGGCTTCTGTGATAACCACCCTATCCGGGTTTCTTTCTTCATCTCTTCTTTCTTCTCTTTGCATAGCCCTCTTCCTCTGGCTGCCCCCTAAATGTTTGTGTTTCTTGGGAATCTGTTTAGGTCTCTTCTCATTCTACACACTCTCTTAAGGTAATCTCTCCTGCTCCTATGACTAATAATTCTCCTTTAGATCTGTTTCTTCATCAGATATATTGAGTTCAGACATATATATATATATGTGTGTGTGTGTGTGTGTGTGTATGTATATATATACCTATCTGTCATTTACACTGAATATCTGATAGACATCCAACTCAACATGTACAAAATTGAATGCATCACCCAACTCCCCCAAGGTTTCCTCAAACTTCTGTGTTAATAATTGCCCACATCAGAAACCTTGGTTCAGAATTGTACCTCTTCCCTTCCCTCATCCTCTCTTCAACAGGTCCTGACATTTTTACCTGAAGAGGTAGTAGAATATAGTGGTTAAGATCAAGCACCTGCTGCTAGTTGAGAGATCTTGGATAAGTTACTTAATCCCTTTGAGGCTCAGTTTTCTCTGCAGTGACCATGTTATGGGGTTGTGTGGATCAGGTGAGATAAAGCACGTGAAGCGCATGCCATAGAGCCTGACAAAAAACAAACACTAGCTATTGTTATTCATTACATCCTTATATTCTCTGCTATGGTCTGAGTGTTTGTGTTCCCCAAAATTTATATTTTGAATCCTAATCATCAAAGGGCTGGTATTAGGAGATGGGGCCTTTGGGAAGTGATTAAGTCATGAGGACTCTGCCTTCATTAAAATGGGATTAGTGCCCTTATCAAGGATGCCTGAGATAAATCCCTTGCCCTTTCCATCATGTGAGGACATGACAAGAAGGTGCCATCTATGAACCAGAAAACAGGCCCTCACCAGACACTGAATCTGCTGGCACCTTGATCTTGGACTTCCCAGCCTCCAGAATTGGGGAAATAAATATCTGTTATCTCTAAGCTGCTCAGCTTATGGTATTTTGTTAGAACAGCCTGAATGGATTAAGATAATCTCTCCAATCTGTATACTTCTCTGTATCCTCCAATGGCACTCTTCTAGTTTAGGCCACCTTCATTGCTTACCTGCACTATGGTAATAGTCCTCTGGCTGATTACTCTGTCTCTCTTCTGGTCCTCTATCAATCTACCTTCCAAAGTGTAGCCAGAATATACTTCTGAAATGCAAGTTAGATAATATCTCTTCCCTGCTGAAAGCCATTCAATGACTCCTCACTGTTCTCAGAACAAAAAGTCCAAATGCCCGAACTTCTCCAGTTTTATGTGTACATACAACATCCCTCTTTCTTATCAGGGTCTTTTCACATCCTTTGAGTAAACAACCTTTCTCCACTCTTACTCCCCCCTATTTGCCTGATGACTCTTAATAATCTTTTAAATCTCAGTTTAGATATCCCTTCTTCCCTTCCTGGCCACTTGAGACATATTAGGCACCTTTCTGTACTCCCATAATGCCCCGGGTCTTTCACTCCTTTGTCCACCTGTTGTGCTGAATTAGCATGGCCTATTTATATGCCTATCTCTCTAAAACTCGAAGTCCCTGAGGGCAGGGAGTATGCTTTCTCCACCACCACATTTTCAGTACTTAGCACAACTCCTTGCTCATTGTAAGTGTTCAATAAATATTTGCTGGATGAATAAAATATTATCTAAAGGGCAACAGCCTAATTTAATCTATAAATAATGTCATGTACCAGAATTTCTCGTTCAACTATAAGTCACACACCTGTTCATCTTAAAGCTTTTTAAAGCATATGCAAATCAATGTAAGAAGGCAATGTTAAAAAGATGTTCCTTCCTCTCCTAAAGAAGTTTTCTCATTGGCCACCAGTTGTCACTTTTGTACCACTGCCCCCTCCCCCCAAAACACAAATATTGTTTTCTGGTTGTAAATATCAGATCCTAAATGACAGAAATTCAGTACCTAGCACAGTACTCAGAGAGAACTGTCATTTGGCCTCTGGAGCCAGAGAGAGTCTGTTGTTCCAGAGTACATTTAAAGCAAACTATCATAATGACATAATTTATGCACTGCTTGCTATTAAAATGCTGTAAGAAATGTCATGGGTGTAGTTGGTTGAACCCTGGAAGAGAAATCAGAGTAAAGTGAACTGCTGCAAAGTGAAGATGGGCTAGCCCAGTCCCCCCATAAAAAAGAAAACGTTGATTGCTTCCATCTCCTTGCTTTGGTCATCACAATGTGATTGGTGGGATATATATTTGTCTGACTTTTTTTCTGTCTCTCCACTGTCTTTTGAAAAACGTTTTCCTACCACCTCAGGAGTAGGAAAAATGCTGAAAGCCAAGATTTTACAGGCCATACTGTGAAATTGGACATGCTTGTGTTGTTTCATGCTTAGAGTATTTCCATTAAAGCTTGGTGAACTCATAACATATTTTTGTCTGTTGTGACATTATTTTGTATTTCAAAACTCTTACAAAATAATACATGAGACACAGACTGTAGCTAAGAACTGGAAGAATCTTGGACGCATTTCAGAGAAGGGCCACCCAGCCAGAAGTGTTCTAGGACTTGGGATCTGAACTGGACAGCTGGGATGTATGAATTCCCAGCGCCCAGGCCAGTTGGCCAGTTGGCCAGTTGGCACTTAAAGGCTGAGCTGTAACTATAGATAGCTGAGAAGGATGTGTGTGTATGTGTGTGTGTGTGTGTGAAGAAAAATATATGCTGATAAAAAGAACTCTCAGACAGCTATTGCCTCAAATTGTCAAGCCCTCATTTCTTTCAATAAACATTGTATGCTTTCTTTATACTATGATAGACACTGGATTTCCTTCATTTCATTTTGTTTATTTATTTTTTGAGATGGAGTCTTGCTCTGTTGCCCAGGCTGGAGTGCAGTAGCACAATCTCGGCTCACTGCAACCTCCACCTCCTCGTTCAAGAGATTCTCTTGCCTCAGCCTCCCGAGTAGCTGGGACTACAAGTGCGTGCCACCATGCCTGGCTAATTTTTGTACTTTTAACAGAGACGAGGTTTCACTATGTTGGCCAGGCTAGTCTCAAACTCCTGACTTCAGGTGTTCCGCCCACCTCGGCCTCCCAAAGTGCTGGGATTACAGGAGTGAGCCACTGCAGCCAGCCTGAATTTCTTTCATTAATCTGATATTTATAGCCAGAAAAATAATAATTGTGAATTTGTGTGTGTGTGTGTGTGTGTGTGTTCGTTCTGCAAAGTGGCAACTGGTGGTAAATAGAAAAACTCCTGGAACAGTTTGCCTCAGAATATATCCAAATGAATGTCAGATGGTGCGTCCCTGATTCCTCCTCCTTTTGAAGGGTGATAAAATCAGGGCAGAAAGAATGGCTGTCTTCCTTTCAATCTCATATCTCAGTTGTAATTCATGTCATGAACTACTCAAGTTCTTTTCTGGAAAGAGTGTCGCTTGCTTCAAAACAGAAGTTTAGAGATCTAGAAGCTCAACAGCTGTGGAATTGCATCTCTTACTCCTATCTATCCCAGCATCACAGACAGGGCAAAGCAGTGCCGAGTACATCACAGGAAATAACCCTGTTCCTGGGAAGGGAGTCCAGTCCATGGGCTGGTGGAAAATGTGCTCTATCCTGGTGATACATTTTTTAGTCTTAGAGAAAAATATCCTATTTTATGCCAAAAGAAATTTAAGAACTTAACATTATTTGAAGTCAAGGTTACATATGGCTTTTGAAATCCAAATCACAGCGGGACTATTAGAACATTCAAGAAAATGTGGATCCATTATAGACTATATTTTCTGAACATTATTTTCCAAGGTTCTGTTGCAGATTTGTTTTATTATTATTATTTTTTTAGAGACAGGATCCTGCTCTATTGCCCATGTTGGAGTGCATTGGCACAATCACGGCTCACTGCAGTCTTGACCTCCTGGGTTCAAGCAGTCCTCCCACTTCAGCCTCTCAAGTAGCTGGGACTACAGGTGTGCGCCACCGTGACTAATTAAAAACAATTTTTTTTTTTTTGTAGAGATAGGGTCTCATTATGTTGCCCAGGCTAGTCTCTAACTCCTGGCCTAAAGTGATTATCTTGCCACAGCCTCCTAAAGTGCTGGGATTACAGGCATGAGCCACTGCGCCTAGCTATTGCAGATTTAAATTCTGACGAAGGTCATGTATGGCTTGACCTGACCTCTGTTTAGCTGACTTTAAAAAGGTCTTCAGTGCATGAGGCATCTGTGTAACCTAGATCGGTGTTTATTGGCAGAGTTTCCTGAGCAGGGATGAAACCAGATTGTGTGGTGCCTAAAGTATTTATAATTTTGGGAGAAGGAGGGGGCTCTCTAAGTAAAATAATACAAAAATATCTTACTTTTACAAATTTTACAATGACACATGACCATGTGAACACATTGCTAGGGCCCTTCCCAGTGATGGGTCCTGAAACTCAAGCTACATTAGCTTCATGGTAGGTAAATCTGCCTGTGTTCCCAGCATTCTGAAAGATGCTCACATGTTGACTAGGAAGGCTGTAGGGAAGGTGGAAAGAGAAATATTGGTGATGATGGAGGTCGCTGTATTAGGAACAAACAAACAAACAAACCTCGAGTTGTTTAAATAAATTAGAAATCTTTGTAGTACATGAAGAAGCACTAAATTTCTGAAAATGTTGAAAGCAAGTTGGGCTCTACCCACAGGCAGTTCTCATTAGATCTGTTGTATGCTTTTGTTCTTCTAGTCTTCGAAATGCCTTTCTGTTTCTTTGTGATGCTCTATGGATAAAACTAGTATCCTGGATCACTGACGCAATCCAAAATAGCCATTTAAGAAAATCTACATCAGTGAGATAGACTATATCCACACTAGTGTTCATCTCTGTGAATGCTGTTCTCCTCAGAACCCCAAGGATTCTACTTTCGACTGTTATTTGATTACCTAAAGGAGGGAAAATTGCTCATTCCTTAAAGCTTATTATTAACTGGCATTTTTAAAGGGTTAGAGAATTTAATGGTGTTACATGAATTCTGATTCATGAAGCTGCTAAAATGGTGCCCTTTTAAAGTTTACACGTAACCCATGAAGTGGCTATATACACTTTTTAAAGGTCAATATTCTACAAATCATAACACACTAAGCAGCTAATTATTTTGGAAAACTAGGGGAAATTTTCAAATATATTTACTGAATGTGTAATCTGTGCACTGCTGGTACCACCATTTTCCAGGAACAGGAGTTGTGTTGGGTTATTTAATCATGTAGCTTTTGTGGGAAGGAGCAATTTCCGGGGACAATTTCTTCCCTGAAAGGTTTCTAAAATATAAGTGGCTGTTTCTTAAAAGAAACCTGCTGTATGAAAACCCAAACTTTATAAAATGGGCAACTTAGGGGGTGATCAATGACAAAACAAGTTATCTTTTTTTAAAATGAGTAGTCCTGGGGTTTCTCTACTGTAGTTCAAATTTGGTAGGAAGAGGCTTCTTACAGCTATGGCCACCAGCTGGCTCTTGCCCTAGGAAAGCCTCTTCTTTGCCTCTCTTAGCCACCATTGTCTCTGACACAATAAGGACTACTACCTCTTAGATTAGTTGTTTTGAGGATTTAATGAGATAATGTGTGGAAAAGTGACAAACAGAGTGCCTGACATGTGACAGTTACTCCATGAATGCTTTTTGAATGTGCTGATTTGAAATATTTCTTTTAAAAACTTGTTTAAAAGGCAGGGTCTTGCTTTATTGCCCAGGACGGTCTTGAACTCCTGGGCTCAAGCAATCCTCTTGCCTCAGCCTCCCAAGTAGCTGAGGACTAGACGTGCATGCCACCACGTCTGGCTATGTTTTTCTTGTAGAGACAGGGTCTTGCTATGTTGACTAGGCTGGTCTTGAACTCCTGGCCTCAAGTGATCCTCCTGCCTTGGCATCCCAAAATGCTGGGATTACAGGTGTGAGGCACTGTGCATATCCTTATTTTCTTTACTCATTTAAGCACTTGAATTTATCCACTTTTTCCTGTCTCCACTGTCACCCTAGCTCAAGTCATCATCAATCTCTCACCTGTACTTAAAATTTTTTTTTCCATTTAGGACAAATCTCATGTTTAATGTTTTCTTATGAAAACTTTAAAGCACACAGAAAGATAAAATAGTGTAATGAACACCCATGTATCTCTTACTAGATTTAACCATTCTTAATTTTTTGACTATTTACTTCATTTTTTTAAATTAAATTACCAAAATAAATGCCTCAATATGACTTTCTAAGAATTAGTTATTTTCCCACATAACCACAATGGTATTATTACATCTAACAAATGACTAATAATTTCTTAATAATATCTAATGCTCAGTTCATATTCAGGCTTCTCTAATTGTCCTCAAAACATTGTTGAAAGGTGATCAAACCAGGAAGAGCCCATCAAGGACTATGTATTGTAATTTCTTTTACTCTCTAGAACATTAGCCTCCAAATTACCCCCACTTGTTTTTAACATTAAGTTTTTGAAAAGAGCTAGTCAGTTGTCCTGAAGAATGTCTCACTTTTCTGCACTTTCTGATTGCTGCCTTGTGGTGGTGTTAAACTTGTTTCTCTAGCATCGGCATTTTCTGCAAACTGGAAGTTAGATCTAAAAGGATCAGCTGGATTAAGGTTGAACCTAAAAGGATCAGCTGGATTAAGGTTGAAACTTTTAACCTTAAAATAAAATTTCTGCCTTAAAATATTAGGCAAGAATCCTTGTTATGGGCTGAACTGTATTTCCCCAAAATTCCTATGGTGAAGTCCTAACCCTAGTAACTTGGGATGTGATTGTATTTGGAGATAGGGCCTTTAAAGAGGTGATTAAGTTAAAACGAGGCTTTCAGGATAGATCCTAATCTGACTGGTATCCTTATGAGAAAAGAAGATTAGGACATAGAGAGACAACAGGGATGCACACACAGAGAGAAAAGACCATGTGAGGACACAGTGAGAAGGTAGCTGTCCATGAGCCAAGGAGAGATGCCTCAGAAGACATCAACCCGACCAACACCTTGATCTTGGACTTGTAGCCTCCAGAACTTTGAGAAAATCAATTCTGGTTGTTAAAAAAACTCAGTCTGTAGCATTTTGTTATGGCAACCCTAGCAAACTCTTACAATCCTCATAGGTAAAATTGTATGCTCATATTACATCCCATCAGAAGGTACATCATGTGTGATTGTCCCACCATTAGAGATCCAACTTCTGCCTTGCAAGCAGGAGTTTGTTGGGCAATGCTTTGGCATCTTGCAAATGTCAGATCTTCATGAGTGTTTCAACCTCATGCTTTTAGCACAGCTTCCACTGATAATCCAGCCCAAAGCAATTATTTTATTATCGCCTGGACTACTTCAACAGCCTTCTCATTCATCTGCTTCCTTTTAGTCTTACTCCCAGAGTCATTACTAGCCTACATTGTGCCTTTGTATTAGTTAGAAAAAGGAACCCCCTTTGATTACACAAAACCCAAATCCTGGGCTAATGGCTAGATAAGAAGAGCTCAGGCTGGACTACAGCTTCCACTTACCCCTTAGTAAAGTCCCCTTGTGCATGAGCAGCCTGCAAAACCGCACGTGGCAGCCCTGCTTGCTCTGCTCCATTCCATTCTCCAAACAGCAGTCAGGGTGAACACCAGCAATATAATCACATCACTCACCTGCTTCAAGGCATTTCAAATCCCCACATTGAACCTAAAATGATAAATCTGTAAATTACCTAAAATTAGGCCCTGCATGACCAACCACCATCCTGCCTATCTTCTAGCACTCTTGGCCTACTTCACTAAACTCCCGCCCCACCATTCTCCTTGTAGTTTCTCAAATATGCCGCAATTCTTTTCACTCAAACTTGTCTTTCCTTCTTCTGAAGAGCTCTTGCCGCTCCTCCCCTTTTACCTCCTCTCTTCATCCTAGACCAGATTAGAGGTCTGGGTCTACTTGGCTCTCACAGTGCCCTGCTTTTTCTCTGTAGCACTTAGCACAACTGTAACTAAATAATTATGCATGTTATCATTTGTTTAATATCTGTTTCCCTAACTAGATTATAAGTTTCAGGAGATGGAGACTGTGTCTATATTGTTATCATTTTATCCTTAACAACTTACACTACCTAGAACATAGTAGATGCCAACTCAGTGTTTGTTGAATGAACTAATGACAGAAAGCAGCATGGCATGGTATACTGCAAAATGGGCATACCGATGTGGACTTCAGAGTGTTATCGGGAGGATTAGATCAAAGAGTACCTACATGCCTAACACACAGTACGTGTTGAGCACCTAAACTGTTTATAGATTTGGTGAGGCATTTTTTGTTGAATGTATTAGTTAGAGGGGCGAAGTATGAGAAAATACTGTATTAGACATCGAAAAGTTATTTGGTATTGTCAACTGTGGCATACCAATATTTGTTCTGTCATGTACATAAAAGCTGTTTCTTCTGACAATAGAAGCTTCTATTAAACATAAACTCTTCTAGTCAATTTCCAGGTTCTGTGAGGGTACTTTATTTAAGGATCTCAGGAGTAGGCATCATGTCTGTTGGCTGTTTCATGGTTGAAATATATTTTGGGCGAACAAGATTCTAGTATGGGAGCTGATAGAATTTTTAAAAATCAAGATACTTAATAGTAGTTGAGTAAGAATCTAATTCCTATTTTAAGGCGTGGTAAGAATCTTTGAGATATAGGTCAAAACTTGTAAAAATAGATGTTCTATGTAACCCACTAATCATTAGAGCCTAATGGGATCTGTAAAACATTCTAGAAGAGAAGGCTGGGGGGAGTCACAGCAGAATATGACTGATCTGCATGCCTTTATGAGGAGCCTTTAATCAAAGTTTGCAGTTGCCTGAGCTTTGAATCCCTCCCTCCAGCCGTCCAGTGATGCCACACTGGTGGCGTTGACCTCAGGGTCATTCTTTTTTAAACAATTATGTTTAATTTGTGAATGCGATTTCCAAATGCAAAAGCTCCCCTGCCTTCCCCTGATTTCCCTCTGTGGAAGAATGTGTGAATTCACATGCATCCTGTCCTAACTGTGCAGGGGAAAATTCCAGTCAGGGGACATTGTCTCACATCCTAGATATCTGAGAGAATAATGAACTGATAACATAAAAGTAGATTTTCTAGCAATAGAGCTTCTTTTCTGAGTGTGAAAATTGCCAAAGTGTCTTAGGTTATCATCTACTTTACTTCTGGGTTTTGTTTCTCTGACCAGATTGGGCTAAAAGTAAAACAAGAGGTGAAAGCCCTTACTTCTGTTTGTTAATCTTTCTTCTTCTATCTTTTTTTAAAGCAGTCCTCTTTTTTCTCCCTCTCTTTTGCCTCAATAGAAAGAAAAAAAAGTTTTGTCAGCACTCCTGTTTCTTTTGTTGTTTTCTTTTTCTCAGAAGTCTTTTTCTGCTTTTATCCTAATCCCAGTCATGCATGAGAGAACAGTTGTGCTCTGTTGTTTGGCTGTTCTGCTAGTTTTGAATCAGTGGGACTCCCTCTTTGTTCTCTTTATTTTCTGAACACAGAAAGGTAAAATAGTAGAAATAGGGATTGGAACTCTTAAGAAGAGAAACCTATATTTATTTAGATTTAATTCATTTTTTGGGCCATGTCAGTAATAATTAAGGAGTTGCAGTGAATAGAACAGGGATCTCAGTTTCCTTACCTAGAACATTTTGTTTAACTGCTATCTCCGGAAATAATCTATTTTAACCACATGTTTCCAATTTTGACAATTGTTGGAATCTGCTTAATCATTTAATGTATGGCTGTTTCTTTCCCACTTGGGCTTGATACATCGTAGCAGTTGCTTTATGATTCAAACACCACCTACCTGAAGTGACAGCTGCATGGGGTTTAGTATGGACTTCATGATAAGACCATTTTAAAATCACACAAGAAGATCTGGCTGCATCTATCTTTTTCCAGAGCATCAAAGAAGCTCCTGTAGTTTTTAATATTTGCATTTTAATTTTTGTGATTTTTAAAAGGCATTCAGAAGTGAGACTTGAACTTAGGATGAAAATGTGAGGGCTTCATCCTTACAAAACAGCCCCTTTCTGATGTGGTTATCCAACATGGGCTTGCTACAGGTTGTCATGGTGATAGTGTAGGCCTGAAAATTTTCACAGGCTCAAACTATGAAGTTTTTGAAAACTGTTTTGATTAATTTTTCCTCCACTCCAACTTCTCTCTCACTTCGACTGTTTTCTCTTTTGTTTCACACTTGATTTATGGCAGGTTGCTGTCATTTAAATAGATGTGCATTTTGAAATTCCTCCTTTCTTTGCCAATGCAAAGAAAAAAATAACCCATGCAAGTCATGCTCAAAGAGTTGGTTATTGTTGCTTGCTGGATTTCGACTCTCTGTGGTTGTCGGGCCTAATTCAAAGTAATTCAGGCTCCACAGTGGGGGCAGTGCATAGCTCCACAGGAAATTATGATAGCAAAAGTCTTCCTGTCGAGCTCTGCACTTGGCACTACAAAGTGCCTCAGGCTGCAGCTACCTGAATAGGGTTGAATTAGACCAGACAACCGCATCATCCCACTTCTTAATCTATTAGAGCGATATACAAGTGGCAATTGTTGATTGCAAAAATGGGATTAAGAGGCTCTTCAAGTGAATTGATTTTCTTGTGAGAACAAAAAGAGGAAAGAGAAGCCTTCGTTTGAATCACACAGCCAGAAATTTTCATGAATGGGTTCCACTCCAAATGTTAGAATTAAAGCAATCAGTGAGTCCCCATGGGGTGTGCAGGTGAGAGAAATAAACTGCTCTAAAATAGCAAATTATGTGCAAAACCCAAGTTTAAGGCATCTATCTGCATTGAAAGACTGCCCAGAATAAAGTAGCCACTGGAAAGCTGCCTAATAATGTGACACAGACAATGATTTGCAGTGGTTCCTTTGTAGATTTGCACACTAGTGTTGGCTTCAGCTGGAGTCAGGTGAGACTTGGACATTCCTCATGATTTAGTCTCTGCTTTGCCCCGATGACACTTCTTTCCCTCCCAGGTCAGTAGGTCCATGCTGTCTGTTGAAAAGTTTCCCTGTGGGCCAGGTCTCTTTTGAAGAGTCACTTAATGCCTAGGTTATTTTTTTCCTTTGAAATGTCCTTAAACTTTTGACTTTGATTACTTTGGAAAATGTACATAGATTCTTCCTAGTCAGATTAAAATTGTTTTACCTTTTCCAAAGTGTCATTTAGTTAGGAAGGACGTTTATCACAGTAGTGTGTCTTCTGATGGCCAAATGGTACAGGCAGGCCTCTGCTACAGGGTGATTGTACAGGGCAGGACTTGAAAATATCAACTGTTGATTTAAACTCCTATGTTGCTCAAAGCTGCATAAACAACCACAAAAAAACCTCAAGCTGATGGAGAGACCATCAGGATCCTAAAAGAAAAGATATAAAAGATACGCACATGAGCTCTCATTTTCTAATTTCTAAAATGATAACTAAGGGTCACTCTAATGTTGGTTGTTTTCTATGGCATATCATGCATCACAAATGTATCTAGAATGATCATTTATCTGGCAGCTTTAGCTGTCAGAAACACCAAGAGTGTGGAGAATAGAAATGACACCCTGATGCCAGCTGGGGAAAAGAAACTGACCAGAGCAGATGGGGTAAGCCTCCTATTACTTCTGCCTTTAGGACCATGTCCCATTCTAACCAGCAGCAAATAATTTGGAAAGCCCCAGCTCTTTGACAACACAATTGGCGACAAGCAGTTGAAATGTGTTAGAAGAGGCTCCCGTTTGGGAAGAGAAACATAACTCCAAGTGACAATGAAGTCTCCACAGATCTGAGACTGCTCAGAAGAAAATCCTTGTTGATGAATGTAGGAAATGAAAGTGTCCGCCTTTCTCTCACCTATCAGCCTCAGGGATTAGGGGAGGATGTGGCGATCTCTCTCCCATCTTCAAAGGTTGCTTCAAAGATCCTTTGGAGAAATATGGCACAATTTAGACATTTGACATTCCTTATGCATACTGATGCTGTGACTTCAAAAGCTCTATTGGCCAAGCTGGTTAGGGAGGTGTTATTTATTTACTTTTACTGGGAAATGTTGTTGTTGTTGTTTTCTCCTGCTTGTTTTGTTTTCTTAACCTGTAGAGGCAGTAGCCAAAGGACACATCAGAAACGGCACGATGGAGTTGTTACTGTGTTGTGAGTCTGGAAAGACTGCTGAATCTAAGGTCCTGACCCACAGGGAGCACTATTTTTGGCAGTAATTTCTGATGCAACTTTGAGGGAAAGGGCAGAAATAAAAGGGAACCACAGCCAGAGGACTCTGTACAGCCAGCAGCATATTGGCCGACGGTGTAGGTTTCTTCTGCTGTATTTGAGCAGCTCTCTGTTCAGTCTTTACCTTGGCAGGTGGAGTTTTTTTTGTAAAGGGAAGCCTTGTTTAGACAACATTTGCACAGAAGCTTTGAATTCCCAAATTGTGAAACTCTCCAAAGAAGAAAGAACATGTGCATTTACATGAAAATATAATTGATAGATTTCATGTCCTCCTTTCCGTGCATATTCAAGTAATTCTCTTTCTGGGTGGATTTCACTTGCCACAGCCTTTATTTAAAACTTAATTCAGAGGAATCACAGTTTGTTAGGTCTTTTCTTTCCCTCTGGATTTTTCTCTAAACCTCGAAAGCAGAAGCATTGGCCTGCATGTAACATAGCAAGTATGGGATACAGAAAGTAATAATTGGATATTTATCATAATGTTGCTTTCCCAGAACACTATTCATTAACTGCCCCATATTTAATTATGCTGAAATTAGCACAGGGGAGTCTCTGGCTAGTGTATTTGCACATGCTATCAATTATGTCCTAATAAATTAATTTGCTTTTCAGGATTCACCAGAGGCACTGGTTGGGCCTCTGCGCTCCTGCTTGACTGTTCTGACTTTGAACAGGTTTATTCAGCTGCTGTCTGCTAAGCCCTACAGAAAAGCACAATGGCTGCTGATCGGCCTTTTATGGTTTATTGGAAACTGGTGGTCCGCACTGCAGCTCTGGTCAGTGATTAACCCGCGAGAAAACAAACTACACAAGGCTAAGTTGATGTTGGAGGAGGAATGAGCTCACTTCATTAAGGCTTGAAGAGGAAACCTTTTCTCCTTCAGTGCTTGTTCAAAACTTTTCAGGTCTCTATTTAATCACGTAATTCTCTCTAAGTAGCAAGAGAAGCCTGCTGCACAGCAAGTGGTCTTTTGCCACATGACAACTTAGAAAGATAAATTATATATAAATATCTTCATGGTTTTGTGTGGTGAGGAAACCAATTTTAGTATTACTCTGTGAAACTAATTTACTTGTTTCTTTATTAAAAGAAATAGCTGGGTCCACTCTGTGCTGTTTCATGTGCACAGTGGCCTTCACATTTCTTCTGGGCTTCTCTTTCTTTGATAGGGTCACTGAAAAATCAGGTGAAAGGTACCTCCCTTCCTGCCTACCCACTTCCCCATGATTCTAAACAAGGATTTGAAAGGGGCTGCAGAGGAAGAGAGTGATGGAAAAGCCTCAAATAATACAGATTATTGCAAAATTGAAAAAAAAAATCAATCTCTTTCCAGCTATGAGGTAGAACAGGATCTGCACAGCCTGGTTCTCTTTCAGGAAGTATTATATTTTCTGGCATCATCTAATATCTCTCTCTCTCTCTCAACCAGCAACCTCAACCTTGTAGATGATGAGTAAAAATCATAACAAATATAGGTGCTTCAGTTCTGGTTTTGGCAATTTTTCACTCTGGGAAAAAAAGATAATAAAAAATTCAATAAAGACATGCAATCGGTGAATGTCAAGGGATTTCAGTGCTGCCTTCCAATTCTGAATTTAAGGATGTAACTATCCCTGTGGTAATTTTGGGAATGTCTTACCCTATTCACTGATCCATTTTTCCTATTAGATCTAGGGATAGGTACTTGATTGTCTACCCTTCTCCCCCATTCACATACACACAGGCACTCTTAAGACATTGTTATGGGAAGAGGTTTAATTCATCAAGAAAATCCATAATGAATTTGTAGATTAAATATGAAGGAGAAAAGTCTCACAGAATCTCCATTATCATCAGATATATGTATATCTTCAGAAAACTCACAATCACTGGAGAATAAATCAAGGAGAGGGAAAGGATTCTTCTGTGCCAGAAGCCAGAGCCTCTGAGCCGTGCACTGCTGGCTGCTTTTAACTGGGACCTTATTCATAAACCTTCCATAATCACTGATTTGCATCCCATTTACAATGAGTCTCCAGCAGGACTGAGGTTCCAATTTTTTTACATCTTTCATCCTCTGTTATACTATCTATACCTCGTTCTCATCTCTCTATGCTTTCCCCTTCCCTTTTGTTGCAGTGAGAAGAGTTTTACAAACCTCTCTGGCTTTTTGGCAGAACAAAACTTTTGGTTCGGGTGCTCTCTCAATAATCTTTCTTTACCACTCTCCCCGCTTCATTTTATGCAGTGACTCCACTCTATCATTATCTCTTCCGCAGCCCCTCCAGTAACAACCGAAATGTGATTAACATCACCCAGTTGCTGATTTATCGGGCAATTCCTATTTAACTGTTTGCTTTTCTCTTATAAATGTTACATTAGTGCTTCTCAAACTCTAATGTGCATCATGAATCACCTGAGAAATTGTGTTAACATACAGGTTCTGATTCAATAGGTCTAGGATGGGCCCTGATATTCTGCATTTTTAATGAACTCCTTGGCGATGCTGATGTTGCTGGTCCCAGACCATAGTTTTAAACTGGATCTTCCCATCCACACTTTGAAAAGCAAAGTGTATTCGTAGTAATCCTGGATTGTTAGAGAATCACACACTTCAATCAAGGCACAAAAATTTGAACAATGTTCTTGAGGATAGTTAAAAAGTGCCCTAGCATCAGGGCATATGTTAAAATCTCGATGTTAACTAGATTCCTTTGCCAGTGAACACACATGCTTTTCTATATTAAAAAAAAAAATTAAACTCCATGATAACCACAGGCAAAGAAAATGGCAGTTTGTGCTGAAGTCTACAATTGGAGGAACAAAATGGAGCTCAACAAATGACCTATCATTAAAGGATTTTGAAATGTTAAAGAAATTTACTACTAAATCACATCTTGGTAGTAGTGTTACTGCAAAGAAAGTGTTCTCAGCTGGGTGAATATTTTAGCTCTATAATAGCATTTTAAAAAGTCTTTTAATATTGCCATAGTATTTATTCCAATTCATTTCAGCTTCTACAATTTTCTGAGTATTGAGGTCTGTTAGAATGGATGCTGGACCAGTAGTATATCTTAATATAAACTGCTGTTTTCCCCTTTTTAATTCCTATGACCTTTAGGGAAAGATTTTCTACAACCTCTCATAGCATTATTTTTTGTAAAAATCAAAATCCTGATATTACTTATTTTTATTTTTAATTGACACATAATAATTTTATAGCTAAGCGATTTTTAAGAAACTTAGTCATTCTTACTGTAGGATGTTGTTACTGAAGTCTAACCATAGTAGTTTATGCTGCAATTTAGACCACTATTATTTTGTTTGGTCAACCACAAAATATTTATAACTTATCTACTATAAACCTGAGATAGTTCTAGGTACCATGGAAGAGAGGAAGAATTTTAAGATATGGAGGACAATGGAGTACAAACAGTTGTATAAAATAATGAGGCATAGTCTATGAACTGATAACAGTGTCATTTCTGGGATATATTATTAAGTGATAAGAGAAAAGTGTAGCATATTAGCATGTTACTTTTTGCATAACAACTAAGAAGAACACACACATATCTATGACATATAGATAGATAGATGTAAATTGGTATGTTTACTTTTTCCTACAAAAACAAGTGGAGAAAGGCTAAGACAGAATCTATTGAGAGTTAGTAGAAACTGAGTAGATAGGACAGGAATAGAATAATGACTACTCTGATGATAACATTTTAGATAGTTTTGACTTTTTCCCCTTTTTTCCTTTTGAAGTAAAAAGAGGCAGAAAAAAAACAAGAGAGTTTTGACTTTTTAAACATGTAAATATTTTACATACTGTTAAAGTTTAAAAAAATGAAAAATCAAATATTAAAACTTAATACAAATAGAAACAAATGAACCTAAGTATCACATTTGTAACAAATGACAGAGAAAAGAAAATTCAAATTTCTTTCAATATTTTGAACACATATCTCTGACTATATACATCATTGCTGGAATACAAGGGGACTTCAAAAACTTTGTGGAAAATGGAATTAAAATATAACAATAAAATTGTAAACTTTATCTCTCAACATAAGTTCCATCAAGGTAAAGATATTTTGGTAAATGATGATAACAGCCATTTATTCAATCCCTAAGGAACTGAGGGGCCTTGGAATTTAATCATGTCAACATAGCCTTTTACATTATTAACTGTAGAAAAATGGGTGATTTTTACACATTTTTAAAGATTAGGAAACAAAAATAAGTCAGAAGGAGCCAAATCAGGACTATAAAAGATGGATGCCAAATGATTTGCCATCAAAACCATCACAAAATTGCTCTTGCTCGATCAGAGGAATGATCAAGAGCATTGTCGTGGTGAAGAAGGACTCTGGTGAAACTTTCTCAGGAATTTTTCTGCTAAAACTTTGGCTAACTTTCTCAAAACACTCTCATAATAAGCAGATGTTGTTGTTCTTTGGTCCACCAGAAAGTTAACAAGCAAAATGCCTTGAGCATTCCAAAACACCATTGCTATGACCTTTGCTTTTGATCAGATCACTTTTGCTTTGACTGGACCACTTCCATCCCTTGGTAGCCATTACTTTGATTGTGCTTTGTCTTCAGGATCATATTGGTAAAGCCATGTTTCATCTCCTGTTACAAGTCTTCAAGGAAATATTTCAGGATCTCAATCTTACGTATTTAAAATATCCATCAAAATCTCTAATCTCATCTGCAGCTAATCTGGGTGCAATGGTTTCGGCACCTTTCGAGTGGAAATTTCATCCAACTTTAATTCTTCAGTCATAATTTTGTAAGCTAGGCCATTTGAGATGCCTATGGTGTTGGCTATTGTTTATGCTGTTAATCATCAGTCCTCTTCAATTAGGGCACAAAAAAGATTAATTTCTTCCTCACGAGTTGATGTGGATGGTTACCTATTCTGCTGATTTCCTTAAGACATTGTCCCTACAAGTTTTCTTGTAAAGTATCAACAGTTTTACCATTCTTCCACCCAAGCTTCACCATAAATTTGATGTTTGTCCTAACTTCAATTTTAGCAGAATTCCTGTTGCTCTGAGAGGGGATCTTTTCAAACTGATGCCTTATCCTTCTTAGTGTCTCACACTAGATCCTGTTCGGATATGTCATAGTAAGTTAGGACAAATCTATTTTGGTGCAAAAAAATTTGAAATCCATGCATAGTTTTTCATAATATACATTTTCACAAACTTTTTGAAGGCCTCTTGTGTGTTCTAAGGACAAAAAGAGCCATAAAGTCATAATAAACTTTATTAATTGTATTGTGAATAGTGCATTATATTTGTGTATTTATGTATACTGTGTGATAAAGCAAATAAGGAAATGTATTAATTTTGTCTGGAACCAAGACTTCCACAGTAGAAGAAATGTAAGTACAAAGTAAAAGAAAGTAAGGGAAAGTTCTGTAATGTTAAATTTGAATCAGAAATATCAGTATGAATTTATTTTATACATGTATATACATTTTTTCGTAGCTCTGTTCACTCACTGGACTTACAAGTAATAACATCCCAGTATCAATGAACATACCTGGAGCTCAAATGTTGGTTTCTAAATGCAATTCTCCACTGAATAGAACAAAGAGCCCTTGGAGAAATGACTGATTTCATGGCTGGGGCAGGGAAGGTACCAGATGATCCTGGAACATCTTATTGTGCCAGAAAGAAAGGAAGTGTTCAGATGCTAATGGGATTAAGTCAGAGAACACAAGAGTTGTCTTGAGGGATTCCTACTGGTTAAAATCAAGACAGTTTTAACATTATAATAATCTTGGTAATGGATTTTAATACATTTAATTAAAATAATCCATGAATTTGAAGTGATAGGGCCAAAGGGGGTGAGCAAGGGTGTGAGGAAAGTTCTTTTTTTTTCAGATTAATACTAATTATAAAATGTAGGAAGAATGAGAGAATTAGAAGCTCACAATTTTCCAATCTCCAATGTAATAATCTAGCAAGGATCATCAGTGGGTGCTAAAACAGTTGAGTGAAGGGTAGTTTGGGAAACCAGGTATTCCAAATGTTCAAGGTATGATGTCAAGGTATCACCCATAAATTACTTACTAATTACAAAGAGAACAATGTAATGTTACAGTGTGGTGCTATGATAGTCATCACTTTAAAAGTGATCAGTCTTAGTGTCACCAGCATGACATTAAGTGCCTCCTGATGTGATACAATAACAACTACACAACAGCACATATATAGTACGTTTGCCTAGAGTGTTTTATCTAAATCTAATCACAAGGATATAATTAGAGACATCTAGAATATGGGATGTTTTATTCTACAAGACAACTGGCCTAAACTCTTGAAAAAAAAAAGTCTCTAATGAAGAAAAACAGAAAGGGGGAAAAGATTGTTGTTAAATGCCATCAAGACAACAAATCTTGATCGGAACCTAAGCTGGGTGAAAGAAGACATAGAAGGCATTTTGGGAACAATTGGGGAAGCTTGCATATATACTGTAATTTGATGATTTTACAGACTGATTACTAGATTTCTGGGGTTTGATCATGGTATTGTGGTTATGTAGAAGATTGTCCTTGTTCTTAGGAGATATGTGCTCAAGTATTTATTTATTTTTCCTCTTGTTGCCCAGGCTGGAGTGCAATGGCGCTATCTCGGCTCACTGCAACCTCCGCCTCCTGGGTTCAAGCAATTCTCCTGCCTCAGCCTCCCAAGTAGCTGGGATTACAGGCTCCCACCACCACGCCTGGCTAATTTTTGCATTTTTAGTAGAGTTGGGGTTTCACCGTGTTAGTCAGGCTGGTCTTGAACTCCTGACCTCAAGTGAACTGCCCGCCTTGGCCTCCCAAACTGCTGGGATTACAGGCATAAGCCACTGTGCCCAGCCTGTGCTCAAGTATTTAGGGCTGAAATATCATGACATCTTCAAGTTGTTTTCAAATATATAATATATATGTGATATATAATATACATATATGTGTATATATGTATATGTAAATATATATGTGTGTGTGTGTGTATATATATATATATATATAAAAGAGAGAGAAAGCAAATGTAGCAAGATATTAAGAAATTGGTAAATCCAAGTGAAAAGTATACAGGATTTGAATTTACTAATCTTTCACACTTCCTGAAGACTTGACATTTTTCAGTACAAAAATCTATGGGCAGGGGGAGTACGTCATGTGCAGAATTGGTGGAAAGGCAGGAGAACCAGATTCAGAAAATAGGGACAAGGGTGACTCTGCAGCCAGAGCCACAGCCATAAACTTGTTACAAACCCTATACAGTGAGCACACTCCTGCACAGATGCTATTGAGCCGTCAACTCCAGGCTGCTGGCTCTAGTTGCTGGACAATGCTGTTGACTCCAGTATGGTTTGGCCCCATCTCTGCTTCTGTCTGTCACTAGGTTCCATGCCTTTGATTAGCCATGCCTTCAGTTATGGGCCCATACCCTAGCTGCAGGAAGTATTGGGAAAAGCATTTTTAACTTCCGTAGTGAGAGTCAAGCTCTGCCTCACTCAGACTCATTTGGTGACAGATTCTTCAAACATAAAATCCATTTGAACATTAGAAGTGAGTTCAGAAGCTGTCTTCCTATGACAGCCCTTAGTCTAGGGTAGAAATCATAATGAGTTAGACAATGTAAATCACTATAAAGTCACCTGTATCGTGTCACTCTCTTCATCATTACCTCTGATGGTCCATCGGTTCTAGTTCTAACCCTTACTGGGCTTTCTGGCCCTAATAATTACATTAATACTAACCCAGGTAGACCAGAACTGAGCCTTTGAAATTACAGAAAAGTTGAAACATAAACGATAAACAGAGATGCAGGCCCCTTGTGATGTTAACTTGGATCCACTCGTCATGAAGTAGAGTAAATTATTTGGAGTAAATTTTGTAGCCCAGGGCTGTCCAATCTTTTGGCTTTCCTGGGCCTCATTGAAAGAAGAAGAATTGTCCAGGGCCACACATAAAATACACTAACACTAACTATAGCTGATGAGCTAAACAAAAAAGTTGCAAAAAAACTCATAATGTTTTAAGTTTACAAATTTGTGTTGGGCCACATTAAAAGCCATCCTTGGTTGCATGTGGCCCATGGGCTGTGGGTTGGACAAGCTTGATGTTGCCCAAAGGGTGATTTGCATGGGAATAATGTGCCCCTAAATTTCATCAATAAGCAAACAGTCTTAAATGAACTAAAGGTTTAGAAGTTAGAGCATGTTATACATTTGGATGCCATATGTTCAAATAGCTAAACGGGAGCACCAACATGGAGAAAAAAAGTACTGTGGCTTTAGCATGACACTGAGGGAGAGTGTTTTGTCAGGCTAATGTGAGTACTTCTATTTCCTTGATAAGTCTCTCTATAGTGTTAAGGGTGACTCACCAGGCTGCCATAGCTTGATGACATTATTCCTCAATTCAATTTTTTTGTAATCATCATCAACAGCCAGTTATTGAACGCTTCTTATGTGCTCATTACTGCAAATATGAAGATGAATCAGGCCTTTGAGGAGCTTATAATCCACTTGGAGAGAAAGAAGATATACACTAAAGATAAATAACATTAAAAGGTAGCACATAAAGACCAAATGAGGAGTATAGACAAGTGCCGAAGAAGGTCAGAGGAGGGACAGAATACTGTTGGGTGGGATGGTAATAGCAGGCTTCCTTGAGAAAATGAACATTAGAGGAAGAGATCGATTCACATAAAAGCAGGGAGGTGGTTTGGGGTTATCATTACAGGTAGGCCCAAGAACACGGGCCACAGTGTTTTAGGGCTCTATGGGCGGTGTGTGGAAATGAAGCCAGTTTTCCTGGGACAAAAACATGCAGAGGTTGTACATTGATTGCATAATGAGGTAAGCTTGGGGCTTTGAAGGGCCTTGTTGCCAGAGCAAAAATTTGGAAATTAGCTATTAGATTAGTTGAGCTCCTCAAAGATCACCTCTCCATTTGTACTCTCGAGTCCATATTCTATCTGCTTGAAAACCTTGCTTTTTACTTTACCTTCTCTTTCTCCAAAATCTTATCTTCATGGACTCCTCCCCATGTCTTCAAACACACATAGATTGCTCCTTTCCCTCCAATTTTATTGTCCCCCGCCCCGCCCACCCTTTAGTTATTTTGTGTTGCTTTTGTATTTATTTTCCAATGTGTGAATCTTAACCAGAAAGATCTTTTTTGACTTGGATGCTTCTTTTACTTACTTATTTCTCTCCTTTCGCTATTATACTTCTAATTGTTCACCTACAAGTTACTTGTTAATCCCCTTGCACTATGATATGGTGGTCCCTTACTATTGAAACAGTAATTTCTAAGGTTTCCAGTGGCTACTTTGCCATCAGATCAAGCAGTATTCTCAATACTTATTTCCCTTGACACCTCTGTTTTGATGTTTGGTGCCACTTTGATAATGTCACTTTCCTGTTCAACAAACTTCATGGGTTTATTGATGCTTTCAGAGCAAATTTCAGTTCCTTAGACAAGGATCCAAGACCTTTCAAAGTCTGTCCTCAACTCCCCTTCCAGTTTTATAATGTCTACCATTTACTGAATGCTTCTTATGTGCCAGGCAAATATTTTCATGTGTAGTCTCATTTAATGCAAAACTCTGTGAGGCAGATCCTATTAACCTCCATATTATATGTGTTTGGAAACTGAAGCACAGCTTATAACTCCAGTTTCAGCCTCTCACATGAAGTTAATTCTTGTATATCAAAGTGCTACTTGACAGTTCCATTTATTTATTTATTTATTTATTTATTTATTTATTTATTTATTTATTTTTGAGACGGAATCTTGCTCTGTTGCCCAGGCTGGAGTGTTGTGGCATGATCTCAGCTCACTGCAACCTCTGTCTCCTGGGTTCAAGCGATTCTCCTGCCTCAGCCTCCCAAGTAGCTGGGATTACAGGCGTGTGCCACCACACCCTGCTAATTTTTGTGTTTTCGGTAGAGGCAAGGTTTCACCATGTTGCCCAGGCTGGTCTCAAACTCCTGACCTCAAATGATCCACCCACCTCTGCCTCCCAAAGTTCTGGGATTACAGGCATGAGCCACCGCGTCCAACCAACATTTCCATTTAGATGTATGTTGCTTATTTCAAACTCAAGATATTCAAAACTGAACTCTTGATCTTCCACATCCCTAAACCTGTTCCTCCTGCAGTCTTTCCCCATTTTAGAGGATGATGATCTGCTTTTCAAAGTTTTCAGGTCTAAAAGCTTAGCAATATTTCTGATTCCTTTCATCTTTTAGAACCGCACATCCAATCCATCAGCAGAAGTCTGTTGGCTCTGCCATCAAAATATATTCAGAATGTGACCGTTTATCATCACCTCCACTACTACACCCCTGTTTTAATTCACCCATCACCTCTCACCTAGATTACTGGCATAATTTCCTACCTGGTCTTCCCTCTTACACTATTGCCTCTACTGTAGTTTCTCAATACAGCAACCCCAGAAGGATGCAACTAAATATGCCATGTTGTATCATTCCTCTGCTCAGAAACTTTCTAATGGCTCCCATTTCATTCAGTATAAAATCTAAAGTTCAATCATGACCTATATAAAAAAGATGCTACATCATGACCAAGTGAGGTTTATCTGAAGAATGCAAGACTGGTTTACCATTTGAAAATCAATCAGTGTAATTCATCATATTCATCATATTAAAAGTATAAAATAATGAAAACATAAGACCATCTCAATCAATGCAGAAAAAGCATTTGGGAAAATTCAAAATTCACTCAATATAAAAACTTAGAGCAAGCTAGGAGTAGAAGAAATCTTCCTCAACCTGATAATGGGCATCTATGAAAAGCATTTAAGTAACAGCATACTTAATGGTGAAAGACTGAATGCTTTCCCCCAAGACAAAATATGAGGCAAGAACGTCTGCTCTTATTACTTCTATTCACCATTATACTGGAGCTGCCAACCGGTAAAATCAGTCAAGTGAAAAAAGAAAATGCATACAGCTTAGAATAGAAGAAATAAAACCATCTCTATTCATGATGACATGAATGTATACAGAGAAAATTCTAAACAGTCTATCAGAAAACTACTAGAACTGATAAGTGAATTTGGCAAGTTCAAATGATACAACGTCAATGTATAAATTTCTATATACTTGCTATAAACAATTGGAAAATAAAATTTAAAAGAATACCATTTTCAATAGCATCAAAAAAAACCATGGAATACTTAGAGATAATTTAAACACATGTGCAAGACTTTTACAGTAGGCAGTGTAAAACATTGTCGAGGGAAATTAAAGAAGACTTAGTAAATGGATTGGAAGACTCAGGGGTGTTATTGTTAGAACATCAGTTCTTCCCAAAATGATCTGTAGATTCAGCACACATCCAGTTAGAATCTCAGCATAATTTTTTGAGGAAATTGAGAATCTGACAAGGTATAAAAAAATGCACAGAACCTAGGATAGTCAAAGTAATCTTGAAAAAGAAGAACAAAATTAAGCGACTTACATTATCGGATTTCAATACTTTTTATAAAGCAATAGTAATAAAAGAGTGTGGTAATGCAAAAGCAAAGACATGGAATCAAATCCAATGCCTATCAAGATAGACTGGATAAAAAAATGTGGTACATATACACTATGAAATACTATGCACCCAAAAAGAATAAGATCATGTCCTTTGCAGGGACATGGATGGAGCTGGAGGCCATTATCCTTAGCAAACTAACGAAGCAACAGAAAACCAAATACTGCATGATTTCACTTATAAGTGGGAGCTAAATGATGAGAACACATGGACACATAGAGAGGAACAACATACACTGAGGCCTATCAGAGGGTGGAGGGTTGGAAGAGGGAGAGAATCAGGAAAAATAACTAACTGATACTAGGTTTAATACCTGGGCGATGAAATAATATGTACAGCAAACCCCCATGACACATGTTTACCTATGTAGCAAATCTGCAAATCCTGCACACGCACCCCTGAACTTAAAAGTTAAGAAAAGTGTGGTGCTGGAACAAAGATAGACATATAGAAAATGATAGAGTTCACAGGTAGCCCCACAAATATATGGTCAATTATCTTTTGCAAAGGTGCCAAGACACTTCAACTGGGGCAAGGACAGTATTTTCAACAAATGGTGCTGGAAAACCAGATATCCATATTTTTAAAAATCCCTAACCTTTACCTCATTTCATACACAAAAATTAATTCAAGTGCATTACATACCAAAAGGTAACAGTTAAAACTGTAAAACCTATAAGAAGGCACAAGAGAAAACCTTCACTATTTTGATGTAAGCAAAGTTTTCTTAGATGGAACACAAAAAGCATAAATCATAAGGAAAAAGCTTAATAAATTTGACTCCATCAAGATTTAAAACTTCTGATTTCTGAAATACATATTAAGAAAACGAAATGGAAGTGACAGAATTGGAGAGAAATCTACAATACATAAATCTAACAAAGGACTTGTGTCCAGAATATATAGTGAACTCATAATTCATTAATAAGACAAGAAACCCAATTAAATGAATAGGCGAAAGAGTTAAAAAGAAACACCACAAAAACGATCTAAAAATTGCCAGTAGACACACACAGAGATGTTTATCATCATTAGTCGTCAGGGAACTACAAATTAAAATGGCAATCATGTACCACTACACACCTAGTAGGATGGCTAAAATTAAAAAGATTGATAATACCAGGTGTTGGCAAGGATGTGAAGCAATTAATACTCTCATGCATTGCTGGTGGAAATACCAAATGGTACAACAACTTTGGAAAAGAGTTGACAGGTTTCTTATAATGTTAAATATATATTTACTGTGTGTTCTAGCTATCCCACTCTTAGGTAAATAAAGAGAAATAAAAACATAGATCCACACATGGATGTTCATAGCAGTTTTATGCATAATAGCTCCAAATTGGAAACAACCTGAATGTCCACTAACAGGTGAATGGATAAACAAAATGTGTGATATCCATATACTGATATACTACTCAGCAATAAAAAGGAACAGTTTACTAATATACCCTAAAACATGGATGAATCTCTAAAACATTGTATGTTAAGTGAAAGAAGCCAGACACAAAGAGATTATATTGTGTGATTCCATTTGTATGAAATCCTAAAAATGTCAAAACTACTCAATAATGATAGAAAGCATGTCAGTGGTTGCCTAGGGCTGGGTGTGACAGATCTGTCTGGAAAGGAGCATAAGAGAACTTTTTAGGGGTTTGAAAATGATCTGTATGCTGACCATGATAATTATTATATTGGTATAAATGTTGGTTATAGCTCATAAGACTACACACTTAAAATGAGTGCATTTGAGTTATGTTAATTATACCTCAAAAAGTTTAATATTAAAGAGGCATGGAAGGTAGAATAAGAAAGTGCAACATATATCAAATAGAAACTCCAAAAGGAGCACATATAGAAAATTAAAGAGAGTCAACATTTAAAGAGATAATTGCTGACAGTTTTTCAGATGTGATGAAAAATACGAATTTTCAGATTCAGAAAGCAAATCTTGGTCAGGAAAAATAAAATAAATTCACATTTGGATACAAATTCATAAAATCCCAAATGCCAAAAACTATGTGATGTTAAAATAGATCTAAGAAGAAAGACAAATTACTTTCTAAGGAATAGCAATTAGATGGATAGCAGACTTAACAACAACAACTGAAACCACAAGACAATGGAAAAATATCACTATAGCCAGCAAAAAATGGCTTCAAACTAGAATTCCACACCATTTCAAAACATTTTCAGAAACTGGATGGTGATTACAAAGGCACATACATATGTAAAAATTAATCAACCTGTACATGTAATGTTTGTACAGGTTACTGTGTGAAAGTTATACCTCAGCAAAAAATTTTGTTTCTATTTTCTTATATTTTTAATTGCTTTTAAAATACAATATGCACATGGTAAAAAATCCAAAACTTTCAGTGAAATTGAAATAAAATAAAATTTAAAATAAAACATTTTAAGTATTTCCAGGCATAGGTTTTAAGTTTTTATGACTCATAGATTCTCCCTAAAAATCTACCAAAGAGGTACTTCAGAAGAAAGAATTTATCTAAAAAGGAAGGAGGGAGATTTAGCAATTGAGAGCAAAGAAAATAGTAAGCAGCTGGGTAAAACTAAACAAGGATTGACTCTATCAACAGCAATAATAATAATATTACATTTAATGGATTACATGATATACTTAAATCTTTTTAACATTTCTGAAATTGGGATGCATCTTATGTGTTGATGTGTCATGTAATTGGCAGCATTTTTTTCTTTGGAGTAGGTAAAATCATGGTGCATGATACAATCAATGATGCCTTTGATTCAGCAAAATGTAATCATAATTACTAATTTGGGGAATGTAACAAAATGGAAACAAAATTATTTACAATGGGAAATTGACTGGGGTTAAAATGTTCTAAGACCCTTTTTAAGGATCGTTTTTAAGGATCTTTTTAAGGATCCTTTTTAAGGATCTTCTCTCTTAACAGAGAAGAGATATTGAACAGATTTAGAGTCTATTAAATCAATTGTGACTATCAAAATTTAAGAGAATCCTAACTATATATCATAATTGCATAGGGAAAATGATTTATTTCAAGTGACTTAATTAATTTTTAATTTTTGTGGGTACATAGTAGGTATATATATTTATGAATTACTTGAGATATTTTTATACAGGCATGCAATGCGCAATAATCACGTCAGGGTAAATGGGGTATCTGTCACCTCAAGCATTTATCTTTAATGTTACAAACAATTGAATTATATTTCTTTATTTTAATATGTACACTTAAAATTATCTTTGACTATAGTCAACCTGTTGTGCTAGCAAATATGAGGTCTTATTCATTCTTTCTAATTTTTGTACCCATCAACCATCCCCACTTCCCCCCAATACCCCCAACCCCTCATTACTCTTCCCAGCCTCTGCTAACCATCCTTCTATTCTCTGTCTCCATGAGTTCAACTGTTTTAATCCAAGTAACATTAAAACACACTCTTCAGACTGTACATTCCTAGTGGAATATAGGAATATATCTGATAAACAAAAAGAGCCATGAGAAATATTAGGCTGCATTAAGTAGTGTAGTTAGTAATAATAGTATTGTTATTTTAAAATTATCAAATATGTAATGGGTTAATGCATAAAGATCGAAGATTTTTAAGATAAGAGAGATAAAGTATACAATTGAATTAATTAAAAGCCCCCAATCTTATATATAAATTAGGAATATAATAAGACTTTATGATTTATTTTTTCTTAATGGAGATATACATATTTCCTAGCTTTTTTCACTGAAAAGCCCTAGAAATAATGATATCCCAGTGACAATGAGCACCCTTAGCACCCATAGTATCATCTCTAATTTTCCTGCTAGAAAGCATCAAGAGCTCCTTGGAGGAATAACTCATTTTATGTTTGGAGTAAAAAATGAGCCTCGTAGATCCTGTTGTGTCATAAAGCAAGTAAGCTATCAAAGATTAAAAGGGTCATGCCAAAAGGATGCAGGAAACAACTTGAAAATACTGGATTCTTGCTCACCATATAAGGGATTATTTACAGGAATAGTGACTGCAATGGATCGAAACTCATAAAATTTATAAAAACCCATGGGTTCATAATAGCAATTTTAAAAATATTGATCACCAGGGGCTGGAGAGAGAGATGAATGTGGAGTGACTGGTTAATTGTATGGAACTTCCTTTTGAAGTGATGGAAATGTTTAGGAACTAAATGGAGGTGATGATTACATAACATTGTCCATGTACTAAATGCCACTGAATTGTACAGTTTAAAATAGTTAAACATATGAATTTTATCTCAATAATAATATTGGATGATGGGTACATGGCAGTTTATTACATGCTTTCTCTACTTTTGTGAATGTTTGAAAACTCCCATGAATCAAAGATAAAACAGTAATAGAAAATTGAGCTAAATCATAATGAAAATATTATCTATCAAAACTTATGGGATGCAGCTAAAGAAGTACTTAAAAGGGGGAATTTATAACCCTAAATGCTTACATAAGAAAAGGAGAAAGACAAAATTTATGGGCTAAGAATTCGATTTAAGAAATTGGAGTACGAACAAATGAATAAGTTGTAGCAGGAGTAAGAGTTAATAAAAAACATAAATTAATTAAATGGAAATTAAAGATATACTCATTAAATATAAAAGGTGTTTTTTTGACTAATAAAATAGACAAACTTCTGGCAACATAAATATTGAGAAAATATAAAAAGCACAAATAAACAAGACTAGAAGTGAAAATAACTATGGTTACTTCAGAAATTAAACAGTAAGAGGTTATTATAAACAACTTTATGCTAATCCATTTGAAACCATACGTAAAACTGATAAATTCCTAGGAAAACATAGCTTACCAAAGCAACGAATAAATAGAGAACTTTAAGTGTCTTCTAAATAATACAAATCATTGTTCAAAAATTTTCTCTACAAAGATAACATCAGAACCAGATAGTTACATAGAGGATTTCTGCAAACAATTACTGGAATGACAATGTTTATCTTATATAATCACTTTCCTGGGAAATTGAAAAAGGAGAAAAACTCCCTAACTCCTTTCTCATGCTCTCCTTGTCTGAGTGAAAACAGTATGAGTGAGGTGTCTCATGAGAAAGGAGTTAGGGAACATGAACAGACACTTCTCAAAAGAAGACATTCATGCGGCAAAAAAAATATGAAAAAAACTCAACATCACTGACTGTTACAGATACGCAAATCAAAAACACAATGAGATACCATCTCATGCCGGTCAGAATAGTGATTACTAAAAAGTCAAAAAACAACAGATCCTGGTGAGGTTCTGGAGAATAAAGGAACACTTTTACACTGTTGGTGGGAGTGAAAATTAGTTCAACCATTGTGGAAGACAGTGTGGAGATCCCTCAAAGACCTAGAGGCAGAAATACCATTTGACCCAGCAATCGCATTACTGGTTATGTACCCAAAGGAATATAAATCATTCTGTTATAAAGATACATGCATGTGTATATTCATTGCAGCACTATTCATAATAGCAAAGACATGGAATCAACCCAAATGCCCATCAGTGATTGATTGGACAAAGAAAATGTACATACACAAGACGGAATACTGTGCAGCCATGAAAAGGAAAGAGATCATGTCCTTTGCAGCTATATGGATGGAGCTGGAAGCTATTTTCCTCAGCAAACGAATGCAGGAACAGAAAACCAAACACCACATGTCTCACTTATAAGTGGGAGCTGAACAATGAGAACACATGGACATATTGGGGGGAACTCAAACTGGGGTCTGTTGCCGGGGAGGGAGAGCATCAGGAAGAATAGCTAATGGATGCTGGGCTTAATAACCTAGGTGATGGGTTGATCTGTGCAGCAAACCACCATGGCACACTTTACCTATGTAACAAAACTGCACATCTTGCACATGTACCCCAGAACTTAAAATAAAAGTTGAAGAAAAATAAATAAGTAAATAAATAAATAAATAAATAAACAGCATGAGAAAGGAAGTTATAAGCTGATCTCATTTGCAAACATTGGCATACAAATACAAAATGAGCTATCAGCAAACTGAATCCAGCTGGTATAAGAAGAAAAATGTATCATGACCCATTTCTTTAAGCCATAAAAAGAGAAAAAGTTTAACATTAAAAAATTTATTAATTTGATTCATTATATTAACAGACTAAAGGAAAAGAACTCATCCTAATAGATGCAGAAAAAAATTTCACAAAATTCGACCCCTTTCCATGATTAGAAAAAACCAGCACTTTGGTAAATAAGAATAGAAAGGAACTTCTTTAACTTCATACGGAGTATCTACTCCCAAATACCCCAAACATCAATTTTAATGATAACATTAGAAATATTCCCTTTAAATTCAGGAAGAAGACAAGAGTCTCTGCATCTAATAATGTTTATTGAATAAATTAGTAGTTGCCTTGACAATGCATTGACTTTATAGCTTATAAATCTGTCTCTGTTGAATTCACAAATCCATTGTTAGATGTTTCCAGAGTTTATGGACTTGCCAAGCTATGATGAAATGGCGTCAGCCAGCCTTAAGGCCCAACCTGTTGCCAACTTTTATCTTTTTCAGTAAGCAGAGTGGACATTTAAGTAAATGCCTGCTGACTATTAAAATTCAGTCCCAGCAGAACCACTGGTTTAAGGAACTTTGTATTGGATGTAATAAAAATAAATACATTAATGACACATCCAAACTTGCTCTTCACATAGCTACTGTATTTGCAGGGGCATCCCCAACTGGTTTATTCCTGCTTTGGCATAATTGCCCCTGTAGTCTGTTTTGTTGACTATTCAGTATTCTAGTCACAGATCGTTGGACTAGACACCATCATTAACTGCCAGTCAGCCAACAGCGCTGGATCCAGGGATTTTTGTTGCCTCTACAGTGGTTTGCTTGAACTCTGTCCTGTACAGGTGCTCTATGCCCAGTGTCATCAATCTAACATAATCACTGATTTTGTGAGAATAAAGCTGAGAGGCACAGGTCTAAGTAATATTTAGTGATGGTCTTAGTTGCCTATGAAACTGGGGACACCTCCCAAAGCTGAGAGAATCGGGGCTTGGGGTGAGGATGCAGCTGGTGGGGTCTTTTCCCCTTCTGTATTGTATTTCTGTATAGTCTTAAACATACATGGTTGTCATTATTCAGTAATCAGCTCTTTCTTGTGACTCTATAGAGAATCTGAGCGGCTGAATCTGCAAACATTCAGAGCTTTGGTATTCTTTCCCCCTTAAATGTCATCTACCCACCTCATCCCTACCCTGTCTTTTTCTTAGTTTTGTCCTTGCTTCATTGTTATCTATTTCCACTGAAAGATATTATCTCGCGAGACAGGAAGACTAGAGTTAGGATTGTTGATTTGGCAATTCCAGTGATGTCATGAAAACCTTGGGATTTTTCATCACTGTTGCTCTGCCATTCTCAGAATAGGCTTTATTCTAAGGTTTGCAGCAAGATGGCTGCAACAGATATAGATGTAATAACACCCAGAAGATGTACAGGGACCATATTTTTATATGCCTGTTTTTTAGGAATGTGCAAACTTTTCCCAGAAGCCACATAGCAGTTCTCACTTCAAATATAATTGGCCAGAATCAGGTCATAGGACCATTCTTAACCCAATCACTAGCAAGGAATTATGGTCCCCTTAGATCAATGGTTCTCATGCTTTAGCATGCATTAGCATCACTTGAAGAACTTGTTTTAAAATACAAAGTGCTAGTCTGCTCCCACAGAGTCCTGTGTTCAGCAAGTCCACGGTGGCCCAGGAATGTACATTACTAGCATGTTATCAGGTGATGCTGCTGCTGCTGATCTGGGGACGTCACTGCATTAGATCAATCAGGCATACCTCTTGAACTTATGGCCTCAGAACTCAGGAAACCCTGAATCACGTGGCTACATGAGGGAGGGTTGGATCCTTGATCAAAATCAGGGTTCTGTTTGGAAATAACAACAACAAAAAAGAATCAGTACTAGAATGTCAATCCAGAGTGTCCACTAAAAAATAAAACTTGATATCCTGCAAATCTATAGATGAAGATGACAGGAATGTTAGACATTCCCTGCTGAATCATTCAAGAGGCAGAAAGTAAAGTGCCTTATTCTACCCATCCGCAATACAGAATGATCTCATGGGAGACTTTTCACTGTGAAATAGTGAAATGAGCATTGTTTTTGGAGGCAAAAAGAACTATTGAAAACCAAAATTTAAGCCAGGCATGATGGCTCACACCTGTAATCCCAGCACTGTGGGAGGCTGAGGCAGGCGAATTGCTTGAACCCAGGTGTTTGAGACCAGCCTGGGCAAAATGGCAAAACCCCATCTCTACAAAAAATACAAAAATTAGCTGGGTGTGGTGGTGTATGCCTTTAGTTCCAGCTACCCTGGAGGCTGAGGTGGGAGGATCGCTGGAGCCCAGGAAGTTGAGGCTGCAGTGAGCCATGATTGTGCCAATGCACTGCAGTCTGTGTGACAGAGTGAGACTCTGTCTCAAAAAAACAAAACAAAACAAAGAAAACCCTAAATTTAACACACTAGGTATATATAGCTGAGATCATTCCTTTACCTATAAAATGATGACAAAAATCTGCTTTGCAAGGCTGTTGGAAGGGTTAGAAAGAATATATGTAAAGTGTCCTGCACATTATAGACACTCAACAAGTGGCAACTATTATTAATTAGTATTGTGCCCTTTTTCAAATTTGTGAACCCCATTATTAGTTTCTGTGGTTCTAGGAAGCAGCATCTTAGGGATCCTCAGCGGCATTTCAGGTCGAGCTTTTGGGACAATTTGAAGGTGAACACTCAAACCTGATGAACATCTCTTGCTTTTGAAATACTTTTGATTGCTGGTAAGCCAAATATTCCTGGTCCGTATAGGTCTGAATGGTGTTTTATTGATTCTTCCTCGTGGTAAGAATGTTAGAAAAATCCATATGTTGAATGTTTTAATGATACTAAGGGTTTGTGGCATTTTAAACCTAGACTAATAAAAATGAAAAGGCTTTGAATTTTAACAAATATTAAAAAAATTAATATAGGTTTTGAATTTGTGTGGGTAAGTATTTATGAAGGTCTACACCCTATAATTGTTCTGAAAAAGTGGCAGGTTACCTTTTGATAATAATCATTAGAGAGAGTACAACAAGGAGGTAATTTAGACTCATGTGTGATAGTGAAAGATGTCTTCCTGGTGTATTTTAAAATACTTTGATGAGTACCCATTTTAAATATTTCAAATGGACTCTTAAAACTGTAGGGGTGAGGGGAAAGCTTGCCCTTTGCCTTCTGAAGTTTCACTGAAAAATTAACTGACAAAAGCCAGATTAATTAGAGAAAAGGCATGTAAACGTATTAATGTGTACACAAGCGAAAATCACAGAGTGATTGCCCCATATCTCAATGGGGCTTAAATACTTATATATCCTTATTTCATAGGGGAAGAAGGAGATGGGGAATATAATTTTTTAGGGGCAGTAGTGATTACCAGAGAAATAGATCAAAAAACAGATTAACATAAAAGTTCTCTTTAAAAATTAAATGACTCTGAGAGACAGACACTATGTTATAAATAGGTCTGTTCTGGTGTGGTTACATTCTTAGCCTTTATTTTTCTGCAAGAGACAATGAGATAACAGAAAAAAGTAGTTGTTCTTCTTGGTAGCTGTATCCAGTCTTTATATAAATAAAAAATATTTCTTCTAACAACTGTTAATCTCTAAGGGCCTTTACTTAAAAATACTCACTATACCAGAAAGCCTTATTTTGAGGTAAAGTTCCTTGTGCTCCTTCAAAACTCTAGGTTTTTTTAAAAACTATGTTTGCTTTTGAAAAGTGTCTATTGTGGCAGTTAGCTGTCTTCAGCTGCAAGCAACAGAAACTAATTTTGGCTAACAACCACAAAAAGAGGGATTTACTGCAAGAGTGCCGAGTGTCTCACAGAATTGGAGAAGCTTAATACCCAGGTCTCAGGAAAGACCATAACATGAGCACCCTTAGGGAATACGAGTAACATTGTGCCTGTGGATTGTTTCTCCATTGCAAGAGTTGGCAAACTATAGTCTATATGCCAAATCCAGTCTACTACCTGTTTTTGTAAATAAAGTTTTATTGGAGCACAATCATGCTCACTTGTTTACTCTATGACTGCTTTCATCATACAATGACAGAATTTTCATAGTTGCAACAGACACTGTATGGCCCACAAAGCTTAAAATATTTACTCTCTGACTTCTTACAGAAAAAGTTGCAGACTCTTGCTTTAGGACATTGCTGTCAGAATGATATAGCACCAACTGACTTCCATCTTCATAGCACTACTTAACATTCAAAATTTTGGGAGAGGGGCTGTGATTCGTCCAAACTGGATCATATGCTCACTCCTAGAAAATCAGTATAACAGAGGATGGACTCTATGATTGACAGTCCCACAAAGAGGATGGATGGAGGAGGAGCAATTCCCTAATGGAAAAGCCAAGGCCTGTTACTACAAAGAGGAAAGGATAAAAGGCAGGCAAAAAAAAAAAAAAAAAAAAAAAAAAAAAAGGTCTACTACCTGTATGCAATTATAACATACAAATTCAGAGATCCCTATATGATCATATAGTGTGCTGAATAGACCGAACAATGGCTTATGTGTTCTGTACTTTGCTTGTTAGAGTAGTTAATTCTTTTTCATTTTGACTTACAGGTGCTATTTATGTGCTATATATTTTAATCATTTGTCATGTAGATGGCAAAAATTTTCCTATTAAAAAAATCTCCCTTCCAAGTTTGTTCATTCATGGTATTTTTTTCTGATACAAAAGTTCCTCATTTTAATGTAAAAGACAGTAGATTGACACAAATATTACAGGCTTTGGAGTCCAACAGACCTGGATCCACATTCTTACCAGTTTTGTAGTTTAGTTAGGTTGTTTACTCTTACTGAGCTTCAATTTTTTTATCTGTAAATTGGGGAAAATACCTGGCTTTATGGCTTGTTATAAGGAATTAATAAGATATGAAATGTGCCCAGCAAGAGTAGGAACTGAAAGTCAATTTTTTCAAGTCCTCCAGACTTCAAAGTTCACCCTCCCCTTTAAAACCAGCAACTGTAATTGGAGCTTGCATATTTCATGATTGTAGATAGTCTAGTCATTTACTGGACTAGTGTTTTTTAGAATCCCCAGGGAAGAGTGACAAATACATCCCAGTTGTTACTAGTCACCTCAGACTTCCGTGCTCATAGGTCACACTGGCCATGCTCCCATACTCAATACTTCTGGGATTTAATCATTACCACAGGCTCTTCTCTTTATGGAAGGTTTGGAAAAACAAGGTGGAATTATAGTACTTTTTAAACATTATTTTAGATAATCAGGCTTCTAGAGTCCAGTCCCCTTCCTCTTTCCACTCAAGAGGTATCCTACTAGCTTTATCTCTTAGCCCCTACTAGCTCCACCATCAGGTAGAGCCAGCCTACTTGTCTTCACTGGGAATGTCTTTGACCATATACTATAGTGAAGGCCCCAATATCCTCCCCCTATACACCAGAGAAAAGGAGAACCTCTTTCCCCTCTCACTTTCATGTGAATATCATTGGAATTCTTAAAGAGATACAAACCTATAAAAAACTAACTTTTTACATTACTATGCAAAACTGTTTAACCCCCAACATTGTCCCAAATGTCTCCCCTCCAAAATAGGATTCTGGCTTTATATTTCCAGAGAGAAATTAATCATTTGTATTACCTATCTATTTCTGCAAAAGAAATTACCCCTCAAATTTAGCAGCTTACAACAAGCAACACTTATAATCTCACAGATTTGGTGCATCAGGGATCCAGGAGTGGCTTAGGTAGGTCCCTCTGGTTTATGGTCTCTCATGAGGTTGCAGCCAAGCTTTCAGCTGGGGCTGCAGTCTCATCTGAAGTCTTGACTGGAGGAATATCTGCTTTTAAACCTACACATGTGGTTGCTAGTTCCTCACTGGCAAATTCCTTGCTATATGCTGTCTGGGTGTTCTCTTGACACGACAACTGGCTTCCCCTAGAGTGAGCAATCCAAGAGATATCAAGAGAAAGAGAGAACACAAGACAAAAGCCACTGTATTTTATGCCCGTATTTTGGAAGTGATGCATCATCACTTCGGCCATATTTTATAAATCACAATGACCAACCCTGGTACAGTGTAGGAGGAAACTACCGAAGGGTATGAATACCAGGAGGCAAGGATCATTGAAGTCATCATGGAAGTCTGCTACCATAAAATCCGACTATTTTCTCCAAACAAGAAATGTGCATCCACTCATAGAGAAACAAGAGGAAAACTGCTTCCAACTCCAGCCAGTTTGTCTCTTCTTTTGGTCATCATGATTTTAAAAATTATTAAGGTCCAGTCTCAGCAGTCTCAGAGAATTTCAACATATTTTATGATTTCTGATTCTAATATTTCTTTGGTAAGAAAGAGCTATAAAACTAAAAGGGAGGTTTGCCTAGAATGACTTATATTATTGTTTGAATATATGCTGTCCTCATGTGGAAATCTAGCTAAAGTACAGAAAAGTACATTCTAAGTACACTAGCAGCTACAGTTTGCCCCATATCGAATTATATTTTAGTCATAATCATTTGCATTTAATTTGTACTCTTTTCGTCAATCATATTCGCTTGAGGTTGTAACCACTTGTCATATTATTTTCTGGCTATTGTCTTTGTCCTTGTGCCAGGGCTCTATAGAGAAAAATGCGACATCCATTCTCTTCTCACTGGAATCTATCCAGATCTACACTGCCATAACTAAATACTTTTTAGAAGTTAAACTCCCCTTTTCTCATATATAATTTAATCCTCACAGCACCCTTGCCAAAAAAAATGTTGTTATCCCATTTTATCCATGAGGAAACTGAAATTGGAGAGGTTAAGTAAGTTACCTGAGATCACACAACTAGGAGAGTATGTGGGAATGCCAAGATGTGAACCCAGATCCTCTGATCTTCAACAGAACTTTTTTGAATTTTTTATTAAAGTACAATACCTATACATAAAAGTGCACAAGTCATAAGTGTATAACCCAATGAATGATGACAAAATGAACACAGTTGTGTAAGCAGAACCTGGGACAAGTAATGGAACCCTGCACCTGTGAAGTTTCCTTCTGCCCTCTTGCAAGTCACTGCTTCTTCAAGGGTAATCGCTATCTTGATTTCTAATGGTATAAATAAGTTTAGCCTTGTGAAATCAACTACTAATACTATGAATTATGTTGTGTAGGGCTTCTTTCTTTGTCAGATTCATCCATGCTGTTGGTTAGAGTTGTAGTTTATTGATTCTCATTGCTATTACAGTATTTAACTATGAATATACTACAATGTATTTATCTGCTCTATTCTAAGGGAATTCTATTCTGATCCAAGAGAAATCTTCAACAGATGAATGAGAAAAACAAACCGTGTGATGACTAGTTTTATGTGTCAACTTGGCTAGCCTTCAGTAGCCAGATATTCAATTGAATACTAATCTAGGTGTTTCTGTGAAGGCCTTTCATAGATGTGATTAATATCTATAATAAGTTGACTTTAAGTAAAGAATATTAACCTCTATAATCTGGGTGGGCCTCATTCAATCAGTTGAAAGGTTTTAACAGCAAAATTGGTTTCCCTGAGAAAGAAGAAATTCCACCTGTGGTCTGCATGTCAACTCCTGTCTAAGAGTTTCCAGCCTGCTGACTTGCTCTATGAATTTTGGACTTGCCCAGCCAGACCCTACAACTGCCAATTCCTTGAAATACATACAGTCATCCCTTGGTATCTTATCTGTGGGTGATTAGTTCCAGGACCTCTTGTAGATACCTAAATCTGCAGATGCTGAAGTTCATTATATAAAATGGCTTAGTATTTTTGCATGTAATCTATGAACATCTTTCTGCATGCTTCAAATCATCTCTAGATTACTTATACTACCTAATACTATCCAAGTGCTATGTAAGTAGTTGTTATACTGTATCTTTTAAAATTTGTATTTTCAAGTTTTTGCATTTTTCATTGTTTTCTTAGAAATATTTTTGATCAGTGTTTGGTTGAATTCATGGATACAGAACTTGTGGGTATGGAGGGCCGACTGTCTTTATATGTGTGTGTGTGTATACACACACACATATATATACACATATACACACATATAGATTCTAGCAAAAACCAGAACCAGCAAGAGATATATATTTATATATATATATTTTTATTTTTTATATTTTATAAATACCATATATATTTATAAAATATATAAACTATAAATATATATTTATGGTATATATATTTATAAAACATATATGTATATATACCATAAATATATATTATTGTATATACTTGTAAAATATAAAAGAATATATAAACAAAATATATACCATATATATTTATAAAATATATGAAAAATATATATACCTAAAAAAACCATACATATTTATAAAATATATTAAATATATATACAAAATATATACAAAGATGTATATATACACACCATATGTACACACACAAATATATATACACACACATACACACCATATATGTGGTATATATATATATATATATACCATATATACACACACACACACACACACACACACACACACACACACACACACATTATGCAGCAACATAGATGAGCCTTAAATGCATTTTGCTGAGTGAAAGAAGCCAGACTCAGAAGGCTGCATATTGTAACATTCCATTTATACGATATTATGGAAATGGCAAAACTGTAGGAATGGAAAGAAATTGGTGGTTGTCAGGGGACAAGGATTGACTATTAAGGGGCCCCGTAGGGAATTTTTACATTAATGGAACTGTTTCCTATGGTAGTAGAGTGATAGATAAATAACACTGTTTTTGTCAAAATCCATGGAGCTGCACATCACAAAGAGAGAATTTTAGTGTGTGCACATTTAAAAAAAATTAACCATTGAATAACCAAAATCCAAAACACTGGCAATACCACATACTGGTGAGAATGTGGAACAACAGTGACTCTTACTTATCGGTGGTAGGAATGCAAAATGCTATAGCCACTTTGTAAGATAGTTTGGCAGTTTCTTACAAAACGAATCATATTCTTATACAATCCAGCAACCCTGCCCCTAGGTACTTACCCAAATGAGTTGAATGCTAAAGTCCACACGAAACCTTCCACCACAGATGTTTATAGCAGCTTTATTCATACTTGTCAAAACTTGGAAGCAATCAAGATGGTTTTCAGTAAGTGAATGGATAAATAAACTGTGGTACATCCAGACAATAGAATATTATTCAGCATTAAGAAGAAATGAGCTATCAAGTCATGAAAAAGACATGGAGGAAATTTTAATGCAAATCACTAAGTGAAAGAACCCAATCTGAAAAGGCTACATTTTGTATAATTCCAACTACATGACCATCTGGAAAAGGCAAAACAACAGGAATAATAAAAGGATCAGTGGTTATTGAGCGTTAAAGGAGAGGGAAGGATGAATAGGGAGAACACAGAGGATTTTTAGGGCAGTGAAACTATTCTGTGAGAAATGACAGTGGTCAGTACATATTATTATACACATGTCCAAACCCATGAATCTTCAAGACCAACAGCAGAACCTTAATGTGAATTATATACTTTGGGTGATAATGATGTTTCAATGTAGGTATTCAATTGTAAAAGATGTATCACTCTGGTGAGGATGTTGATAATGGGGGAGGCTATGCATATGTAGGGGCAGGGAGTGTATGAGAACTGTATACTTTCCACTCAATTTTGCTGTGTACCCAAAACTGCTCTAAAATAATAAAATTTATTAATTAAAAAAGTCAACCAGGATTTCAGAGGATCCCAGGGTGTAGACTGTGCAGACGGTGACAAACAAACCTATCTTTGCTACAAATATAAGAGATAACCTCACAGAAAGAGATAAGAAAAAAAGGAGCTCACATACATATCTTTGGAAAACAGTACTTTCCCTGAATACTGTAAGGCTAAAGACAAAAGGAGTTGTACATATTGTACATAAACACTATGCTGTGGTTGTTAAATTTGTTTCTCATAGAGATACAACTTAACAATTCTGAAGTGACTTAACATGTATTGTAGGGTTAAACAGAAAAGTAAATAAGTTAAACAGATATTGAGGGTCAGATTTCTCACTGTCAGGGGAAAAAAGTTACAAATAAACAAAGGAAGGATGTCAAAATCAACACTGTGATGCTAGATTAGAGTTGGAAATATTATGAACCCATATTTATATACACATATGTATTATTTATTTATACAGAAAGAGAAATACAGAAATATAGATATGTGTGATACTTTGTTATATATACATATATTTTCTTGCTCTGTCCACTGAAAGGGCCTATAAATTGACAGCCCCATAGCAACTAGCACCATTGATGTTCAAATATTGGTTTCTAAATATCATTCTCCACTAAAAGGAGCCTTTGGGAAAATAGCTGATTCTAGAACTGGGGAAAAAAATACAAGATGAAACTTGAGCATCATATAGTGCCAGAAAATGCTAAAAATAAAGACAGAAAGACAAGAAGGAGGGACGACAGGGAGAGAAGGAATGAGGGAAGGAGGGAGGGAGAAAGGATAATTCTTGGACCCTCTTTATGGAATGGTTCGTGGGGCTGTCATAACCAGGCTAATTTGTCTAAGACAGGTGGGGCTGGGAAAGATGGTCTTAGCATTCTTGAAATAGAGGTCTCATGGGGTAGCAGAGCCCAAATGGTCAAAAGCAGCTGACTTAGGAGAGGTATGAGAACAAAACACAGTGTGCGATCTTGTATTGAAAGGAAGTTTCTATAGATACCGTTGGTAAAATTTGAATATGGACTGTATATTAGATAATAATATTGTATAAGTGTGAATTCTCCCAGATTTGATCATTTAATGAGATTTATCTAAGATAATGTATGTGTTTCTAGTAGATTCACAGAAAAATATCTAAGCACAAAAGTTCAGAATATCTGGAACTTACTCCCAAACAGTCCAGCGAAAATAACAATAATGATGATAACAATATATGTGCACATTTGTGTATGTATATGCATATTGCATGTGTGTAGAAAGAGAGAGAAAATGAGGTGCTGGTGTGTCAGATGTGGCAAAATGTTAGTCATGAATAAATCTACATGCAGGATAAGAGTTCACTTTATGCTTGCAAGAACTGTAGGAAAAAAGCTGGCTTAGAAAGCCAGAAAACCTAGGTTTATGAAGGAAAGAGAAAGAGTCAAATGAAAACATGGAGGGGGTCTGGGGTCACTGCTCAGAGTAGGTGTTCTCCTCTTGTCTTGAAGTATCAGGAAGTGAGATCAGTGTGAGTGAGCAAAGACTTGAGGCAATTCAGAATTAAATTGCTTGTGAGGGTGTAATTAGGTAGGTTGTCTCCTAGTCTGCCAGTGAGAGTAAAAATTGATGGATCTTTCCAAATTCCTTTCCAGAAAGGTAGTATCAGGAGGGCTAGCTTGTCTATACCTTTTTAAAATGCAATTCCATTTGTCAATGTTGATATGTTTTATCTACATAGACACAGCTCAAGACACATGCACAAACTCTCCCCAGGTATACAAGTTTGTGAATTCTCTCTCTGTAGGTGATCATTAAAGCCTAGAGTAGAAAGTGAAAAGATTAATATACAGTCCATATTCAAATTTTACCAATGGTAGTAGCACCCTAAATCATCCAATAGCAAAGAAGTAGCCAACAAAGGAGGCTGAAAGGGAATCCTAAAGGGGTATGGAGAGAGAGTTGGCAACATAAAAGCCAAGGAAAGAAAATGTTTCAAGAAGGGAGTGGCATACAGCTTAGAGATGCCTTGGCTGGTATGGTAGACACTAGCTATATGTGACTATTGAAATTTAAATTCAATAAAGTTTAAAAATTCAGTCCTCAGTCACACTGGCCACATTTCAAGTGCTCAATAACCACATAAGCCTGGTGGCTACCATACTGGACAGCACAGATACACACCACTTCCATCATTGCAGAAACATCTGTTGGACAACATTGGACTAAAAGTCAAGCAGGGTAGGAACCATGAAGTGTCCAGTGGAACTTAGCAACATGGAAGTCAGGGTAATCTTGATGAGAGTCATTCCAATGGAGCTGTGGGAGCAAATGCCAGAGTGGGGAGTTAGCAAAGACGAGGAAATGAAAGTAACAAGTTAGCTTCTTTGAAAATGTTGACTGTGAAGTGAAAACCGGATCTGGTGTCATTGCTGCAAAGGGAATCTGAATGGGAAGATCTTTAAGATGGAAGTTTTGAAACCCTATGGAGATTATATATTTAAGTGAGAGGGTAAATAATCATTAAAGTGAAGTTCCTGAGAAGCTAGAAAGCCTGGGACTCAGGGATTGGGTTGCAGGACTAGCCATACAAAGGAGATATCCTCTTCCATTTTAATAGACGGATGGGCAGAATTACATACAGGTCAGTCTGTAGATTTGGTAGTAGGAAGGTCAGGGAATCTGAAGTTTTCCAATTTCTAATGTGAATTTGAAAGTGAGTTCATTTGCTTGGAGTGAAAGTTGGGGTGGCTGAAAGATAATGGAGTATGAATAGGATAAACATGTGAACTAACTTCTTTGGAAAGTAGGTGAGAGCATTGGTGTGGTTCTCAAACGTAAGCATGCATTAGAATCCCCTGGAGGGCTTGCTAAAATAGAGTGCTGGGGCCCACTCACAGGGGCTCGGATTCTGTAGGTCTAGGATGAGCTGAGAATTTGCATTTCTGACAAGCTCCCAGCTGATGCTGATGCTGCTGGTCCAGAGAACACACTTCAACAACCACTGGACTTGCCAAGTAGCACTGACACTGGAAATTATAAATATTGACAGTGATGGTAGGGCAAGGTATGAAAGGTATGAAGATGGTCAAGAAAGTTTGCAATTGTGGAGAATGTGAGAGAATTGACTAGAGAAACAATATAAATAGTGTCAGTGTAACAAAAGTTAAAGTTTTGACTGAGGCATCAAGATACCATAGATATTGAAGCAATTAGTGAGACAGGCCACCCTGTATGAATTTCAAAGTAGCGAACCAATAACTGATTTCAAAACTCTTAAGCCCTTCACTCAGTATGGGTTTTAAAAGCTCTGGTTGGTGGATATTAGGGGTACTTGTAAGGAATATTTCTAGTAAGAGGGCTGTTCTGTGAGCCCTCCTTCCCAAGATGGAAGGGTACAGAGTGCTTCTCCCTCTACATCAAGTCAGGAGAGAGGAATTTTAAGGACCACTTAGCTTGATATGTGACTTCTGCAGTTGGACAGATATGGTCACATGGTGTCTGACTCTCACCTGGAAAATGTAAAAGGCTGGCCAGTGCTCCAAGAGCAGGAGCAAAAATGTTGGTGCTGTGTTGAGATATGCCTGCTCTCCCAGAATCTGTCAGAGCAAGGGACATGTACGTGTACCCCAGGGATCAGACAAAAGCCACACATGCATGAGAGATCTTCAGGTTAATGGCTTTCTGCACTGTGGAGGTTTCAAAAGGAATTACAAAAACATTCACAAAAGACATAGCTTTAAATACCTGCTGGTCCCAGATTGTGAAAAGCCAACTTACAACAGTATCAGTCAAGAAATAACTTTTCTATCTCCCTTACCTCTTTTTCTTCCCTTTGCTTTGCTGCTGAACTAGGGTGGCCAGATATAACAACAACAATGACAAAAATACAGGATTCTCAGTTAAATTGGAATTTGAAATAAACAGTGGAGACCATTTTAGCATTATCTACCATGCAATATATGAGACCAATCATGTTCAAAAATTTATTCATTGCCTACTCCAAATTCCAATTTAATTGGGCATCCTGTATATTTTATCTATTACTCTAAACAGGGTCAGTAATTGTAGTTAGTAAGATGGGGAGAATGGCTCAAAGTCTAAAGTAGGGAAAGAGAACAACTGTGGTCCATTTGACAGCTGTAGGCCCTTCACCTGTAGCAGGTTGCAGCTCAGGTAGGAAGAATAGCTCTAACTCTGGTTTTAGTTGAAAGCTTTATTCCATGGAATGGGTTAAAGTAACCATTTAACACTGTGTTTTGTTACAAAAGAGACAGGTAAAGTGGAAGACGCCATTGAAGGTGGTTTATGATTTCATTCCATGACTTCTGTCAGTTCAACTTATTGATTACATTTGGATACGTAAAATAAATAAGTCCGGAAACATGTATAACAAACTGAAAACAGTGCTTATTTCTGATACCACAGTGGACTTCCAATTACAGTTCCCTTCAATTTTGTTTAGTTAGAGTTACTATAAATATGAATTACTGTGATCCTTGAAATTAATAAAGATTTTTTAAACTTGTTATTTTTCCACTTAACATTTTCTGGTCATCTCTTCGTGTTAGTATTCTTCTAGAAGGTGGTTTCTATAGCTGCTTGATATCCCATTGTATGACTGCAGCATAATGTATTCATGCCCCTGATTCAGGTTGTCTTGTCCTTTATTAATACAAATAATTTTACAATGAAATCCTTGTAGCTTAATCATTATGCACATCTTTAATTATTACCTTAGGATACATTCTTAGAAATGCAATGTCTGAGCCCAAGAGTTAAATGTGTGCTTTTAAGCTTTCAAAATTTCCTACTGAAAGGCTGACTACCTACACCAACTCCACTACAGGTAATTATCGATATGTATCTCATTGTTTTGATTGTCATTTCTTGATGAATATTTTTACAAGTGTTGCTTGGCCATTTGTATTTTCATATTAACTTGATAGTCTGATGGATGCTTAACAGATGGATATTAAATTGATGGATGCTAGCAGGTTTTGTTGACTTTTGTCTACACTGGCACCGCGTCATGCGTGCACACACACACACCCATTCTATGTGTTACACAAATAAATGCTGGTTGAATGAATAAGTACATGTAATAATTAAGTATTTAAAGAATCTGGTCAAAGGAAACTTCTTCTACTTCTTTGCTCTTGACAGTTTCATGATTTATTTATCCACTCAACAAGCAATGTGGAGTGCCTAATGTATACATAACTCAATGCTAGGCTATTTAAAAATAATAAGCATTGGGAATAATTTCAGTCAATACAATAAAAGTAAAAATCACACACATTCTAAGAACATCTCAGCTATATAGCAACTTCAGTGGAATGACCCTCTTTAGATTGGCGAATGCTCTAAGTACTTTGAGATTTACACACTTACTTTAAATTTTTAAATGGTTGTTGGAAAAAATATTTCTACAAGATACCATATGCTTCTGTATTTTTATAAATATGGTACCTCATATATGTAACTATACATGGATGGAATGAAGGAGAGCATGAATGAGTTTGTCACTGCTCTATATGTAGTAAATGTCCCCTCTTTTCCAGATTGGGAAATGTAATTGATTGGGGTGCCCTGAGAGACTTTTGAGCATTGTTTCTACTCACCTCTGTGGCTGCTGTTGCTGTCCCTGCCACCATGACTGTGGACCCTCCATACCTCCTTCTAAACTCTGCTGTTTCTGCCACCAATGACTCTCTACCCATTTCTTGTTTCTTCTCGCTTCTGTTGCTTCACCAGTGCCTCTTGACTTTCAAGTGTAAGTTATTATTATTTGTATCATTTATTAGTTATTATTAATAGTATCATTTTACTTTTGGGTGACAACCCAAGTAGTCACCTTACCCTTGAAGTAATTCTGCAGGCTGTCTGTCTTGGCCTTGTTGTTTGATGTTGGATACCAATAGACAGATCTTTCACTATAAAAAAATGTTTTCGAGCTGTTTCTAGGTCCATAAACCTGAGGGTTCTAGAAGTCCAAATGCCAGATAACATCTGTATTGTACAATTGCTGGCATCATATGAATATGAAGTTTTATACAAGGAGACCCCAACTATAGGGCTGGATCCACCAATAGCTCTTACAAGCTGGTTTGATAGATTTCCAAGCCAGTTTTTTCATGCCGTTGAGAGGACTTTCTAAAGAAAGCTACTTCTGACATCCTCTAATTCATGTTCTTTAGAAATGTTCTCATCAATATCTGAACCCATTAGCCCCACCAAGGGGTGAGAGCATCTCCTTGGTCCCCGTCCTACTATGGTGGTTATATGACTCCAAGGAAATAAATCCTAGGCTTCTCCACCACAAGTTTGGAGTGTCCTTTCTTAAGGCAGATGAGGAAGCTGCATTTTCTTATTGGTAAAGGGGTCTTGAACCTGGAGATGAAGTTGTAACTAGGAAAAAGAAAAGAACTAAAAGAATGTTTTAGGTTGGTTCAGACACAGCTGACCTGAGTGGGGAGTAAAACTGCATTGTTAGAAGAAAATCCTCAAGTCTTAGGGTCTTGCTGCCTTTGACTAGGAATTCTGACAAAGAAAATTCGAGCATACTAAATTCCTAATGAAGTGCTTGATTTGTGCCAACTTTAACGTCCCTCTGGTGTTGTGAAAATACCCCTTTCTTCTGACAATGTACTCAGTTGAGATGCGGGAGTCGGGGTGGGGGAACAATTCAGGGAATGCTGTGGAGGCTGCTGTGGGAAAATCCCAAGGGCCGAGATGAGTGGGGAAGGCCCAGGGAGAAGAGGGAAGGGAGGGGCCTGCCCGGCCTGAGTGCTGCAGGCACAGGGCAGTGGTTGCAGAGATAAGCAAGGAGGAGCTTTCTGTCAACAACCACAACCACCACCAACACAACAAAGAGCAGTCTTTCCTAAGAGATGATTCCACCTGCCTTTGACACTGGGCACCACATATCGGGCTCTCTGGTATTTCATTGAAATGGCTGCCTGTGTGGAGTTCAGAGGGGAAAATAATGGAGTAGGTTTTGCCTCTTCCCTTTTACAGTAGTCCCCAAAAGAGTGTACATTTGATAAGGGCCAAAGTCTGTTTGTGAAAAGAAACCTCTGAGGGGATGTACAGCACCTAAGACCAAAGAACTTAATTTTGCCTCAAATTTTGGCTATACTGTTTCTATAGAGACCAAAGGGAAGCTTTGGCTCCCCCACTCAGCTATTAAAGTTTAGTGCATTGAAAACTGTCTTCATGCTGTGATACCCTTTCAGGGAGGAGAATAGGGTCTGAACTAATCCATGAAAGTTGTCATGCTATGAACTAGTAGTCAAGCTTTTTCCTTTCAATTGAATCTAAAACTATACTGTACTTCACACTTGATTGGTCCTTCAGATGGAAGGATTCAATATCCCTGCTGGAAATCAGCTCGTCTTCTTCACACAGTGCTGTTGAACGTGGAAAGAACTTATTTCTGAGGCATAATTACCAGCTCTAACATATGAAAAGTTGTAAGGATATTTAATTTTTTTCCTTTTCTTAAATTTCAGTCAAACTCTTTAAAATGTTAACTTTTATTTCCCCCTGTGACAAAGCTTGTTTACTAGACTGTGTCTCCATCCTTGGGCTTGTTGTTTGTCAATAGATGTTGGGATCCATACATGCTCACCAGCCTTTCTTTCTTCAGGATGATAGACAGACATACAGCATAAATGTATCGAGGACAAAAAAATATCTTCTGAATGCAGCCGTCAGCGAGCCATTGAATGTCCTGTAGCAAAGGTAACGGGTCACTTATTTACCATGAAGAGTGGGACGAGAACTCAAGGAATCTGAGTAGTGCTATGCCAATTGTCTAAGGGAAAGGACACTTTTCCTTTCCCACTCAAAGAGTTAGCTTTGTTTGTTTGCACATGTTTTAGATCAATAACTGGTAATAGTAAAGGCAGAATAAAAGCTCTAATAACCATGAACCATCTGTAGTGTGAATTGACATTTTCCAAGTTAAACACTATGTCTTGTGAGTGAATACATACAGTGTGTATGATTTTTTTTAATTGGAAAAAAAAAAAGGCTTGATCTAGCTACACCAAAAGGGGGCACCAGGGTATTAAGGAAGTTATGATGGTTTCGGAGGCTAAAAATTAAATTAAGTGAAGTTTGAAGAGGTTTTTAGTATAATTATTATGTGCATGATTTTAAAAACGTGTTGTTTTAAAAGTCAGTTGGATGATTTCAAGTATTTTGATAAGACTGTTTTGATATCAGAATGTAATTTCCTACTAGCATGGGGCAATATTTCTGGGGTTGGTGGTATAAATGCTAAAAAATATTTGACAAAAAATTATATAAGAAAAAATCACATATGTCTCCTGAGAGTGCTATTAATATTCATAGTATTTCTCATCAAAATTTTGGTATATTCTGTCTTTTAAAATATAAATTTGTCTCTTCTTTGTTGTATAAGACACTCAGTAAATGTAAGAATATTTGTCTATGTGTATCTGTGTCTAGATGAAAAAAATCAGCATTCTGTATTTGCTTTTCTGAGAGAGGATGCAGAAAGTGGGAACCTGTGGGTTATGGCAAATAGCACCTAACTTAGAGATACTGTAGCTTCCAGAGTTCAAAAGGAATAAATAAAGAGAACAGATGGCATTTCCTGGAAAGATTTTCAAATTATACGTTTTGATTAACACTATCTAATTTCTATGATTCTAGTAAAGGGAATTTAATGAAAGAAAATAGAGACAAAATACTTTTTAATGGGGTTGTAAATATATTCAATGCAAGTAGATGACTCTTCTGATTTAATGTCACCTATGAAGAGTAAAAACCAGTTCAATTTCTAATTTCGTTAGTGATTGACTAAGTGCTATTTGTGTTGTTTTTCTCATCATTCTGATACCCTGCCCCTTTCCCTCCCTTATGTGAAATAGAGACCTTTTATATGTAATCAAATCTTAAATGGTTGACTAGCTAATAATTCCTCTAAAAAATGGAAATCAGTGTCTGCATGATCCTGTTTTCTCTGTATATCTGTACCGTTTCCAAAGATGGCTGCAATCTAAACAAAATGGGCTGTCTTTTCATGGAAAATATTTTCTCCTTTTACTTTTTGATGGCTGGTCATAGCTTCTTAAAAAATGATAAAATGATGAATTTAGTTGAAATCTTGTTTTATGGTTTAATTTTTATCCAGCCTTAGGTCTTGCCCATTGTTTTATGCTTTGTGATGATTTATGGAATCATATATTATGCAATGCAAGGCAATTTACAAGCTGCTATTACATCCCTGTAACTTTTATGAAATATGTGACTAATTAGTATATTGTTTAATGGGGAGAATTAGATTAAAAAAGCAAATGTCTTTCAGGTTTATTTGAAACATATGGACTTTATTCAACCAAAGTAATTATTCAGGTACAATAAATTGTTATGTGTAGTGCTGGCAGATAGCTGTAATTTTATTTTAAAATATGGCAATATCGAGAAGTTTTTGTGACTTTGTTGTTTATCTGAAATAAAAATAGAATAGGATTATTGAATTTCATATCTTCTTTTTACTATCAACAGTGTAGTGATTTGTGGTGATTAACATGTACTGAAATGTCTATTAAAGACAGGGAAGGAAAGTTACTGTTGCCTTTTGCTTTTTGTGGTTCTCCCCAACATATATATTGTAAAGGATGTTTGATGAGATTGTGAAATATTTAAAATGTGGTCAGTAAAGTCTGTTTCATATAACTGGATATTTTCAAAATTATATTTTCTATTTTTTTTAAAATTAGTAGTTGTTTAGTTAATAATAATAATTGCACTGTATTGCTTCTGCTTTGAGGAATTGATGTTCCTTAGTGCCACTGAAAAAGAAAAATTCTTTTTTTCAGGATAATGCTTTATAAATAATATATATAAAATATTGTATAGATATATAGATATTCATATAGATGTTTTATTTCTCTGTGTACTCTTCAGGTTCTGCCATTTTCATGAAGGGTCGATCTGACCGATAAAATCAGGTGTTATACGTTTTTGGAATAACAGAAAACCAGAATAGCCAAGATCTGAACACGCAATTAATCATGATGCTGATGATTAGTGTATTGTTTCAGCCACAATCTATGCTTTGGGAGGGCTTGACTTGGATCTAAGACATTGTTCCATTTTAAGAAAATGTTCATATGGTGATATCTGAGGTCAGAACAGACAAAATAATAAGTAGATCAGATTTTGATTAAAGCTTTTTAGTTGTTTAGCCTGGTATTTCTTATGAAAAGATTTCACATCAATAGGTCACAAAGACTTTCTGGCTTTAATTTTTTTTTTTTCAAAAAGTCAATTTACTCATGCTTAAAAGTCCGTCCATGCACATGCTCAATGGCTTACTTTTGTGGTGTTTTCAAGTCACCTCTCCATGGAAGCAAATTAGTGGCCAAGTAGAGCTTATGAAAGAACCTGAAACACAGAAGGGTTTCCGAAGGGGCTATTCTCCTTTAGGGAAGCTATCTCCGGATTAAAAAAAAAAAAAAAAAAAAAAGAATCGAAATCACAGCTGCAAGGGTCCCTGATCTGTTCCCTGGCATGATGTGTTCATTGAAAACCCTGTATAGAGGAGTTTCACATTAGATATGTCATTTCTTTTTAACAGATCGATTTGCCTACACAGGGCACAGTCTGTGGGAGTTTTCAGTCACAGGTTTTATTTATTTTTTTTCCCATAATCCAGCTCCATCTCTGAATAAGTGAAAGGAACATTTTGGCCTCTTTGATTATAAAGACATGCAAGAAGCATAGAAAATCTGATGAAATTAAAGCAACAAGAGATTTCAAAGCACGTAATCAAAAAGCAAAATTTTCTTTTCAAATGAAACACTATGTTATTGTAAAACCAGACATTCTACATAGGAAGCTGACTAAAAAGAGATAATTTCAGAGACATAGAAAATAGGCATCCTGACTAGATTCCTGCAGCACCTTCAAAAAGTTTGGTTTTTGGTATTTGGGACAGTAAGCTAAAACAACAGAATAGAATTTGATCCTAGAACAACTAGATAGAGTTACATGTTTGTTTTCTCTCTCTCTCTCTCTCTCTCTCTCTCTCTCTCTCTCTCTCTCTCTTAAATAGACAAACAGAATAGCTGAGATAAAACTTGAGGACTAGTCATTCAGCAGAGCTGTAATCTCTAAATTCACAATGGACTTTCCAGCTTAACTGGCCTTCATGCAACTGTTTATTAGAAATTGCAGTATTAATTTTCAGTGTTGCTCTAGTGATGTGATTAGGAGTACAGATGTCCAGAGTTAAATTAAAGAGGTGTTCTAAACCTCACAATTTAAAACATTTCCCTGAACTGATGTGGAGACAATACCGGTCTCTCTATTTTTAAAATTCAGTTCTCTTGGTTTGAATAGTGAGAACAAAGGTGCTAATCTGTAGTACTGAGAAAGGCCAATTATGCCCTCTGCATCAGACAGGGCTTAATATGATTTTAAATAATTGCCAAATTAGATGCATATGAATGTAGTTTTACTATTTACTCAAAACCCATTAACCCAGTGTCTATGTTATATGGAATCAGGTGCATTTGCAAATAAATTCCCCTATATAGAAATGCTCCACCTCATCGTACAAAAACATGAAGAGACATTTAGGATTTGCTTTAAACCATTGGTACTGTTGTTCTGATTTAGAATGAGCTGGTTATACTAAGCAACTGAAGCTAGTGTTTCTCAGGAGTTCCATACTTTGTACTTTAAAAAATATTTTCTTATTTTCACATTTTTAATTTCATTAGTTTCCTTATCGTAGTCTGAGAAAGTGGACATTTATTCTCATTTTCCAGTTGAAGAAACTGAGGCTCAGAGAAGTCAACTTTCACTAGGTCACGTGGCCACTTAGTCACGGACACCCAGTCAGCACGACACTGTTAAAGCAGTCATCATAAGTTGACAGCCTGCACACTTCTGCAGTGGGTTCACAGATAATTCTTGTTTGGTCCTTGCACAGTGTTAAAATATATTTTTTAGATTAGTTGCTAACATTTAAAAGTTGAGAGAGATTTTGCATTAAAAAAATCAGGATTGCTGGATTTTTGGGGAGAATCAAAAGCTTTGGCAACCCTGGATTATCATTTCTACATGACAAGCATTCACTGAGACTGAGTCGTGGCTCCCTCATCCCACAGGGCAAACTCTCTCCACTTTGTCACAGTCTCCGCCAGGCCTGCCTTGTCACTTGCTTGGTCCTTTGAGCATTTGCGCTCAAAATCCCCGGCATGAAAACAATGACTATCAACCTTTCTTGAGCATGAGATCCCAGTTTAAACAGAAAAAAATAAATAAATAAATAAAAGTTTACCAATCTCTGTCTTCCTTGCCAGCCAAAAATCTCCAAGGGCAAGCCCAGAGTATCATTCCTTTTTGGAGCCTCCCCAGATCATAGCACAATGACTAGCTCATAATGTGCCCTCAGGAAATTTCTAGGGTAAGGAGGTCATGACAACTGCTTTATTATTAGAGTTAGTGCTATGTTGATCTGTAGGAAAGTTCTATGAATTGGGAATCAACTTCATTAGACTTCAGAATTGCAAATCCTATTAACTCCTAACTGAATGGAAAATCAAAAATGTGCACCTACAAGATGCTAAACAACTGTGGGAAAAATGTGTCATTGAGCAGATGCTTTGAATATATGTGTAGATGTTTCTAGTTGTGTAGATACATGACTACTCCAGGGTGGACAAATTTCTCAGAGTATGGGGCACTCATATGAGGTGCCTGCTTCCTTGTGACTATGGCCTGAAAACTGCCATTTTCAATTTTCCAAGTTATTCCCTTTGGAAGTAATTTAGCAAAGGATGCCAGGTATGTGTTTGGGAGAATGGAGAAGTTTGGAGGATATATTCATCTACAGCAGCCTTTCGCCTCCTCTGAACTTTTCCAGCAGTTATTCTTTGTATTATTTCTGGGTTACTCACATTTGCAAAATTTGAGAATATTACCCAATATCATATTGTGGATGTGGAATGGGGGTCCAGAGAGACTTCCCCAACGTATCTGACTCCCCGTTTGTGAATTTCATGTGTCTTCATTGAATGACAAAGCTCCTTGAGGGCAAGGACTGAGCCTTATCATGTTTGTACCTGTCCCGGAATCTAGATGGTGAGTCTTGCATGTAGTGGGTGCTAAGTTAATTTGAGTTCTTGTGGGAGCTGTGACATTTTCAGACTGACTTGGGATATAAAGGATACTTTGATTTCCTTGTCAGGCTCTCATTTCAAGACGAGAGACCTTCAGCATGACTGCATATTAGGCTTTTCAACTGAGCCCAAGCCAAGTACTTGGCGGCAAATAAAATGGCCACCGCAGAGATGCTTTTTGAAAAGAACTTGATTCTATTTTTAAAGGCTTTTTTTGGAGGTGCAGAGGAGACAAAATATTGCTCTTTTTTCTCTTGTTGGTGATCCTATAGGTGTTTCTTTAAGAAAATACTGCACACAAAATTTGAAGGCTCCAAAATTATCTAACTCATTAGATTTAATGAAATCCAGGAGAGAGTACTTCCGGAGTCCTGAGGCCTTTCATATTGTCCTTTACCTAATTCTTTACAAGTTATTTTTCAGCTAGTAAGTGCCAAAAATACGCACATCTGCAGAAAGTGAGTACGTTTTCCTCTACAATATGACAATGCTATCTGACAGCTGTTAGAACTTGAAATTCAGGGGCTTGCAAAGTAATTCTTCAAGTGTAGCTTATTTCCAAAAAAAATTTCAGTGTTCTGTTTTCTTCTTTTCATTGAATTTCATTTAACATTTTTCTTTCACAGAAATACTTTTGTGATTCTATAGTCATTATGTACGTGCTTTCTGGTCTTATGCTTTGTTAATAATTTATTTTTATTATCATAGGATATTTTTGTACATTTAATGCTGAGACAACATAAACATGGTATGTATAAATGTTGTTTTGTTTTTAAAAAGTGTCAGGAAACTATTGCATTTTTATTCTCCATCACATTTGGTTTTTGGAGCTTCCCTCTCCAAACTGTTTCCTGTAGGAACTGCTGAGAGATGCTGAGAATTGTGACTCAGTGCTATGGTACATTCACAAATTAACTACCTTCCAAAATTGCAGAAATCACTAGAATCCAGAAAGTTATTTTTTCCCCCACAGGAAGCATCATTCTACTTTTAGTCAAATAAGCAGGGTTCCAGCTGTAGCTCTGCCCTTCAAACTACAGAGAATTTCAGAAGGTACTTATCTTCTCTAGGCCTCAGTGTCCTCATCTATGAAATGAAGAGTCAGAACAGGGACTTTATAGATGAGGCTTCAGTGTCCTCATCTATAAAATGAAGAATCAGAACAGGACTCTAACTCATATGATTATTGTGAACATTGAATGAGCAAATGCAGGTAAAGTGCTTTGCCCAGTGCCCAGAACAATAGATAGCATTTTAAAGTTATTATTATCAGCAATAACGTTTGATTCCTAGTTCAGGCCTAAGTGGTGCTTGCAACTCTGATCCGAAAGGGCGGGAAGAAAAAGAAGTGGCTTCTCTGGCTGGCGCTATAAAAAGATATGAGGCTTTCAGAAGCAGTGAGTCCATAACCCACCTCTCTTATCCCCAGAGGAGCGACAAGAGACAAGCAGGCCTGCATAAAACCACCCTTCATTGCTGCAAAACAAGCCTAAATAGCTCCAGGTTACAGCTACTGAAACTAACAGAGTGGTAGGTTATAGCAACAGCTGGCCTGCCTAGACTCCTCCTTCCCACTTTAGCTAACTATCTTTAAGGCAGCAAAGAGGTGGGACTCTTTCTGTAGCCATAAAGCCATCAAACACTCAACATAAATGTTTTTCTGGGAAGGGATTATCTTGGGAATGAAAAAGGGCAATCTTTGTCATTTATCATTTTGTTAAGCATCCTTGAAGACCATGGAAACAGTTTTCCCTCAGTAGCTGGAAAGAACTTCAGCATATTTTCATTCTTAAGAATAAAAGTTATTTTAGAGTTTAAAAAAGAATCTTCGTTTTCCAGCCAATCAATACGAGAATAATTTTTGATTTAGAAAATATATGCTGCAATTGGAAGTGGCTTTGGTATGCCTGGGCATTTTGCCTCCCTGTCCTCATCTTGATGAGTTCTGTAATTATATGTCTTTCAAATGCAAACTGGCACCTCTAGGCCTTTGAGTACAGTCCAGATGCCAAGTATATCTTGCCTGGAAAAAGAAAATGAGAGAAGTGGCAAAAAGGATAATTAAAACTAATACTAGCAGCCATTCACTGGACATTTGCCTTGAATCAGGTACTACAATAAATGGCTTTCATTAATTCTTATTTAATTATCCTAACAGCTGTATGTTCTAGGAACTAATATCTTCATTTTACAGATGAGAACACCGAGGCTTAGAGAGGTAAAATGACTTTCCCAAGGGTCGTATGGGTAGTAAGTAATAGAAATGGAGATTCATACCCAGGCTACTTGCACTCTTGTGCCCACGCTTTTAACCATTGTACCATATTCTTCTTTGGTAAATAAAAATATTGGAACCATGGCCTCATGAAATTAGTTTACGGTTTTCATCTCTCATCTTTGTCTTAGAGTATGTTGACCTCACTCGTTTGAGTGAAGAGGGAGAAGGTGGTGAAAACTTGAGGCTAGAAGCCTTACTCAAGTCAGGGCAAGCAAACCCCCTTACTTTATCTCGGAACCTCTGAGTTGCTCTACTGGCTTCAAATGGCTTTAAGTTGCTCTACTGGCTTCAAAATGAGGTTTTACAGAGAAACAGATTTAGTATCAAATCCTGCCTCACTACTTGCTAGCTTTGGGGGCCTCATCAAGCCTCCTGACCCACAGTCTTTTCTTCTGTAAAAGGGGTTACCTTCTGCCCCACAGGACTGGTGCAAAAATTTAAAAAGACACTGCACATAAGAGAGAGTATGGAGAACCCCTTAGAGACCAAACTACAGCATTAGACAGCCTGAGTTTGAATCACAGCTTCCCTGACTTACCAGTTGTCAGACTTGAGCTTTCATTGCCTCATCTATAAAATAGGGTATGTGTTGGGGGTGTTAATAATAACACCTACCTCATAGGTGCTGCTGTGAAGACTAAGTGGGTTAATACAGGTAAAGCCTTTAAACAGGGTCTGGCCCATAGTAAGTATCTTATAATTGTGCTATTATGCAAGGTATAAATGACACACACAAAGGCAGCTCTTATTGCTACAGTGTTGGCCACCAGTCCCACTTATCTTCAGGAATAGTTCCAGCCTACACAGTTGAGAACTCCTTTAAACTAGACTCTTTAAACCTTGGCTTAGATTTTAAGTCCCAAGCAACTTGCTATAGTTTTCCCCAAGTATGGAGCATGGACTTTATGCCCAGTTACATCATATCATTATGCCCAGGCAGAGGGAGCAAGAGGAAAGAATAAGAGTCTGTATCCCCAGGATTTTGATATATGCTGGGGCAGAGGGGCAGGAAAAGATATTAAAGTCATCCTGGAGGAGCTCTCTCTGGAATTGTGGTGGTTTCCCATCCACGAGATTTCCAGAAACAGAGCTGTTTTAGCATCCTGGCACTTGTTTCCTTCCTCTCAGGCCTCCTGCAGGACCTGGGAAATGGTCCCTTTCTCCTAAAAGGCACAAGATGGGTTGCACAGAATGATCTGAAGGCTGTGTAACATTCACCCTAGACTGGATTCCCTGCATAGGGATGGAGTGGAGAGGAGTGCTGAGGATGACAGGGGCAGCTTTTCATTCTGGTATAGAAATCTTTCAGAGGGATGCTTTGTGGTTTAAGGCTGGGCCATGTCGCTGTTGCCATGTTAGGTACTGACTGGCTGCCCACCTGGACAGATTGTAATCTCCGTAAGTACAGAGACCGAGTCAGTTCAGCACCATACATCAAGGCCAGTGCTTGGCTCACAGAAAATAAATGTTTATTGAATGAAAACTGTGTTCTCTTGCTCAGAAAGGCTGGGGAACCTATGGGGAGGGAATGGTTTGCAGGAATACTCTCAGAGTACATACATTATTCTTCCCCAAAACTGGGGGTGGGGAGGGCATTAAATTCCATGATCCATTGGTTATCTCAGTGCCAACTTAGACAAAAATCTTTCCTCAAATCTTCCTTCTCTCTTCAGCTTTTCTACCAAATCTTCCTTCTCTCCTCAGCTTTTCTGCCAGACAAAGACAATTTATGGCCACTATTGTTTTTCCTCAGTTTGGGTTACAAGGTTTTTTTTTTTTTTTTTTTTTTGTCAATTTTCTTCTTCCTACAGAAACTTGATTGCAGCTGGGTATAGCATTTATGTAAATTTCAAGTGCCACTCCTGTTTGTCTCTGGGTTAACCTAATGGTTTATGTTAATCTCAATCAGGTCTGCCACTCAGACCTCTTATCCCCTTCACCTTTCACCTAATTGCCAATTTTCCTTGAGGACCAGGCTATAGAAGCCCTGTCTATCTCTTCTTCCCCTTGCTTCATTCATTTCTTCTCTGCTGTATATTCCATCTGATTGTTCCCTGGAGCAGTGAGTGGATGATTTCATGTGTTCCTGACACATGATAACTACATGCAACCGCCATGAAACTGTGCTTCCCAAATGGTCTATGTACACGGTCACATGGCAATAACAGGGACAGATCTCCCAAACACAATGTTGAGTGAAAGAAGCCTGACACAAAAAAGGAGCATCTTACAAGATGCCATTTCTATGAAGTCCAAAACCAGGCAAAATTAATCTGATTAACCTGCGGGCAGTGTAGGGGGGCAGGGGAGGCAGTGAGTGGGAAGGGGAAGTGAAGGTGCCTCTGGAGTATTGGTCATGTTCTGTTTCTTGATCTGGGTGCTGGTTACAAGAATGTGTTCAATTTTTGAAAATTCATCAAACTGAACACTTATCATTTGTGCACATTTCTGTATGTAAGTTATACTTTAATGAATATTTCCCCAAAGAGGGGTCTATTGAGCCTCCACTATGTATGAATTCCCTTGCTGGGTGATATTAGGGATTATTTTCCCTTCCAAAGAGATTAAAAAAATAAAACCCGAAACAGGCAAAAGACTCTTTGGGTTTCTTTTTGATGGTTAGGTTGACTACAGGCAAACCCTAGTTCATTTCTAGGCTTTTCCACAGACTCTTCCAAGTCCTTTTCAGCCCACCTCATCCTCCCTTGCTCAAATCCTTTCTTTTCCACTAAGTGTTGTTAAATATCCTCTCTTCCCTTGCGCTGATATTTATCAATTTCTACTGAATTTGACTTGACTCCTTAACTTTAAACTCTGAAAAAGCAAGGACTAAGTCGAGATATTTTGTTGTAAATACAGTACAGCATGACACAGGGCTGGGTACAAATGCCCAATTCATTGGGGTCTATTTTGTCCTGCAGCTATGAATTGAGCCTTTGTACCCAGGAAGGGAAGCATTTCCAGGACAAGGAGAGAAGGTTCTTCCATGATCAAGATAGATTTGATTTTCTTTACACTTCCATTTCTAGACCTACCCAATATATTCTACGCTTTCACGTGTAACTCATGACCAGTAGTTTTCCAAATTTCACACTGGCATAACGTGGTCTCTCCCTTGAATTAAATCCAGTAACTCAAATACCTGTCCAGATTTGGTGGGGCTGTCACTTTAAAGAATCAGTAGACCCTGGACATTTTTGGATATAACATTCACAACTTCAACTATGTATGAGTGGGTCTTAAAGGCTCATGACATGTAGAAATTTGTAATTTTGCTGAGGCATAAATTTGAACTGCACACACTTCAAGGCTGGTGTGATGGAACAATTGGCTTTGCAAAAGTGTGATGGTTCTTAGGAGGAAAATAGAAGTTTTATGCAGGAAATTATATGCCGATTATGTAATTGTGGGATTTGTGAATTGGAGAGGAGTTGGAGGTGAAGTTTTCTGTATGCCCTTCCTGAATGTCAAGGGTTCGTTGTACTTGAATTTCCTCACCATAATAGTCAGAGATTTGGTTCTTAGCTCTTTGTTACTTTTTAGCATTCATTTGATTAAACCTTTCCTAAATGCACGGCATACAACTAAATACTTTTTGAGAGGTGGAAAGAGATCCAGAATAAAATAATCAGCTTTTTTATAAGGAAAGAGAGGGAAACAGAAAGCGAGAGTATGAGAGGGAGAGGGAGAGAGAGAGAGAGAGAGCAAGGAATGACATTGAGGGTCAAGAATTTTGGTTTTTAGTCCCACCTTTGCACTGAAATCTAGCTGAACTGACTAGCTTTGTGACTTTGGGCAGGTTATTTTCTTTTTCTAGTCCTTAGTTTTCCTATCTATAAAGTGAGGGGGTTGGAGCACATTATCTCTTAGGTGCTTCCAGACATGACATTATAGAAATTTATGACCTAAAGCTGCATTTCTGTTTTCATTTCAAGCTCTGTTCTCAGTGATGCCCTCCAGAAGAGATTTATAAATGTCATTACTGAGTATCCATTGAGATAAAGCCATCAGAACATGAGGCTGCACTCACAAGTACTTTTTAACCCCAGGAAAGCTTTGGACAGCTCCTAAGGCAAAATTGCATTTAAATACACAAACAACCAAATGAACAAATGATTCACATATTTTCATCAATTTGGAAATGGAATCTTTTTAAAAATTCTTGGATTTTCTTTTGACTGCAAAAAGAGAAACATTTTTGTACTTGTTGTTATTTCTTCTGAGTTCTAATGTTTAGTTTCTGGAACTAGAAAAATAGACCAAGGATCTGCTCCTTATTTCAGGAGTCTCAGTGAATGGAGTGAAGTGGCCCAGAAAAGTTGCTGCCTCAGGAATTGGGTGTGGAAGGTGGGGATGTTGTCCAACTTGGAATCACAAATGAGATAGAACTGGAGAAAATAATAGAACATTTTCTCTCACTAGATGGGGGGAAAAATTGAAGTTTAAAAAAGAGAAGTGACTTCTGTTCAACATTTATTTCAAAAATATGTATGGATACACAACAGAATACTATTAAGCCATAAAAAAGAAGGAAATCCTGTAATTTGTGACAACATGGATGAACTTGGAGGAAATTATGCTAAGTGAAATAAGCCAGACACAAAAAGACAAGTACCTCATAACCTCACTAATATATGGAGTCTTAAAACGTTGATCTCATAGAAGTAGAGAGTAGAATCATGGTTACCAGAGGCTGGGAAGCGGGGTAGAGGGGTTTTGGATAAATGTTTGTCAAAAGGTACACAATTTTAGTTAGATGGGAGAAACACATTCAAGAGTTCTATTGTACAACATAGTGAGTATAGTTAATAACGATACATTTTATTTTTGAAAAATGCTAACAGAGTAGATGTTAACAGTTCTCACCACAAAAATGATAACTATGTGAGGTAATGCATATGATAATTAGCTAGATTTAGTCAATTTTCAGTGTATATATACTTTAAAACATCACGTTGTACATGATAAATACATACAATGTTATCTGTCAATTCAAAATAATAAATTATTTAAAATATATATGTAGATAGAGATAGATAGATAGAGATGCGGGGAGAGAGAGAGAGAGAGATAAGGTGCCTAATATGTGCCAGGGCCTGGGGATACAGCAGTGAACAAAACCTAACCTTATGGAACTGACATTACAGTGATTGAGAGAGACTAACATTAATAAGCCACACAAATAAATGTAACAAGACCTAGGAAGAAGAGATACACAGTGCCTTGGGAGTGTAAAATGTGGTGCTTGACCTGGTCAGAAAAATCAGCCAATGCTTCCCTGAGGGAGTGATGGTATGCTGAGAGCTGAAGAATGAATAGGAGCTATCCAGGTGACAAGGTGACAGCAGTTCAAAGGCTGTGGCAAGACAGAACACAGTCCAAGGAATTGAAAGTGGGCCATTGTGACTAGAGAGGAGAGCATTCAGGAAAGGGTAGTGCAAGATCAGGCTGCAGCTGTGGGCAGGAGTCAGGCTGTGCAGGATCTTCGTCCTAAGAGCAATAGAGTCATTGGAGGGTTTTGAGAATGGGAAGGACATGGTTAGATTTGTGCTTTTACTCTGGCTACTATGGGGCTGAAAAGGAGATGTGGTGAGAGACAAGGCTGGAGGGAGTGTGGGTCCAGCTATGAAAGGGCTTGAACAACAGGTCAAGAAATTTGACTTAGTTCTGCTGGCATTGGGGACTTATCAAAAGCAGAGGGAGTAAGCTGGGTCCACACATGAGATCAATTGTAAGAAAGTCTTGTGTGAACTCAACAAATATTATTAATATTTTGTAAACACCATGAAGGGGTAAATGAGAAATAGGTGCCCTGATCTTCACTCTCCATATTCTGAAATTGGTAGCTGACCTAGAGAACCACTTAACATTCCTGGCCTTCATTTAATGAGAAGTATGATGCTATTTCCCCCAAACACTTAACTCACTGGAGAATATACCAAAAGTATAATTCACTTTTACATAACTCTAATTCCACAGGTATTTATGGAGCCCTTCTATGAGGCTAGTGGCTTGGTTCATAGTAGCAGTTATCTGATGCTGTATAGCAAATTATCCCAAAACTTAGCAGCTTAAGATACAACCACATTTGTGATCTTACAGTTTTTATGGGTCAGAAATTCAGGCATGGCTTGCTGGGTCCTCTGCTTCAGGGTCTTTCATAGGTTGCAATCAAGGTGTGAACCAGGGCTGGGATCTCATTTGAAGGTTGGACTGGGAAGGGATTTGCTCCCTTGCTCATGAGGTTCTTGGCAGAATTTGGTTTCTGGAGACTTATTGAACTGAGAGCCTCGGTTCCTTGCTGGCTGTTGGCTGGAGGCCAATCTTAGTTCCTTGCCCCGTGGGCCTCTCCATTATGGCAGCTTGCTTCATCAGAGTGTGGGAGCCAATGAAACAACAGGGAGACTCTTGACGCTTGCTCAGAGAAACTTTACAGTCTTCTTGTATGTAAGAAATAATTGGCAAACAAACTATATGACAGACTGTCATTAAATGCCCAAATGTATGATAATCGGCCACAGAGGATTCATCGAGCTTGGATGAGGCTGGTTAGTGACACAGGGAGGGGGAAGGCATTCCAGATAACGGGTGTAGTGTGTGCAGTGATGTAGAGACAGGACAAGTATGGTGTTCAGAGAACAGTAAGGCCAGTGGCCTGGGTGGTGGAGTAGAGTACATGTTTTTGGGTGTAATAAAAAGCAGTAGAAGCAAACAGCAGATTCCAAGTCTGTCTTCAAGATTTAAGAGCGAAACAGGGTTGTTTGAGAAAAGAATCATCATCTCTTCAATGATTGTTCCTGTCACTGTCTAAGAGCATGATCACGTGACTGGTCCTCAAATGCATACATTTTGATGAACATATATACTTTGACAAGAATTGTGATTTTTAACATTTGCCATGTAATTTTATTTACATAATCATTGCTACTTTAAGGATTTTTTTAGCATTCCCCTTTCAGAACAAAATAATTGAGTAGTAGGTCTGCCTTTTCTTACTTTATATTTTTTTGTTCTCAAATATAAGCAGGGGAGCCTTTTCTTGTTGTTGTATATGATTTCTCTTTGAGGTCAATATTAGAATATCCTTCCCTCATTTCTGATCCCTTAACCCTAAGCAGGCTCACCCCACTTTCAATCCACAAGACTGTAAACTAATAAAATAGCTATCATTAATAAATAGTTGAAAATTATGGAGTTGGTGCACTTTATTTGTAGTTCTTTATGGGGATTAAAAGTGATTTTGGGAAGTGACTTGCTTTTTCCAGACCCTAGCACAGTGGCACATAGCATCTGATAAATGAACCCAACAGATAACTGACTGAGTGCAATACCAATGATTTTTAAATGTGACAAGGAATTTGACTTGGTCTGGTACAATTTTACCCAGTTCCTTCTGTAAAATGAAAAATCAATCCAGATATGGGTTGCATTTGTATCATTTAAAACTGCTCTGGGGGATCTCCACCTCCCAGGTAGAGGATCCATACAACAATAAGCCAGTTTATCAAAGATGGGATTTACTGCTCGTTGTTTTTCTATTAGGGAGGAATTACGCTAAGCCCAGCAGCAGACATTTTGTGTTACCATGGCAGCCCATATTTCCTGCAGGGTTGTGACCCCTAATGACTACAGTGGGAAGGCAGGAAAAATAGAGACTCTTTGAAGATTAGTAAATAAATGCATTACTTATGCAAACCATCTCTGAGATGGCCCCACAGTACAAAGGAGAAATGAGGAAGCTCTTCAGATTGAGCAAATGGTTATATGTAAATACCTACGTTGGAAGAAAACAAATCACCTTTCATCTGATTATTTCTTTAAAAGTCTGGTTGGTCTGATAATGCAAGTAATATAAACTGGACTTCATACTGAGAAAATAGTATTATTGTGCATGAAAATACAAACAGATGTTGATGTTTTTCTTTCACTCCCAACAGCTATTTATTTCCCCCATTGACTCTTTGGATATAATATGGCTCCTGAAATGATTTTGCAATGTTTCTCGATGGATTACAGACAGGAAAAAGTACTGAGCATACTCAACTTTATGTAAGCATTGGGCATGCAGTCCACCTTTTCTTGTTGGAAGCGGTTCAGTATTGTTTGCAATTGACTTGATTTCTCTTAATTGACCCACTCCATTTTTGACAGACAATCAAACGTTGATTTGGGTCTACTAGTTGTAAGGTATTTTCTCAGTACGTATTTCTCTTGACATCTCATCTGCATTTATCCATACAAGAAATATTTATGTTTCTTGAGTATCTACTATACTATTACTGTTCAAGACATTGTTCAGGTGAAACTGGTTCTAAACTTGTATTATTTGGGTAGATCAAATACAAATGGATCGCATTTTCTTGCTATATCTCTATTGCTCTTTAAAAGAGTTTTATTGAGACCCAAGAGGGGAAAAATATGATATAAAGTGGATTTGCCACACATCCAGTTTATGTCATATTCTTTCACCATGTATTTATACAAGATATAAATTGATATTTATATAAAATAAATATTTTATATATTTCTTTTTACCATGTATCTATAGAAGAAACATTTACTTATTGGGAAGCTATTATGTGCTAGGCAGAACTCCAGCCATTGGGGATAGAGTTGTGGACAAGACAGCCTTTGCCCTGAAGGCTGACACAGTATAGCTATAGTTCCATTGGCTCACTTGGACTTGGAAGTTTGCCCTGCTGGTGTTCTAGCAATCAGAAAGGGCAGCATTTGGGAGAGTGTTTCCAGTGTATGGTTCATTTGTGCTGACCCATCAGTTCCCTCACCTGGTTCTCCTTGCATCAAGGGCGTGAATCCAGGCTAGGCAATGTTCACTTCCTTTTTATTACCCAGTCCTACTGTAATATTTTTTACTGTGTCTTCCGTGCATTCTTGCCAGTCAGGAAGATTTTTCAGCTCTTTACACTCCATAGCGGATATTTTTTAAATCATAGGAATATTGTTATTTTATTCCACACATTATCTCTGTTGCCTTCTTCAGAGATTCTAATCCATCCTTTCTTTGTGCTCCAATACTGCCCCCCTCCCACTTCAAAATATTGAGACTTACTGGGAAAGCCGGTCTAGGTTCACAAACCAGCCCCCTTAGGTGTCCATTCTTCAATTTTGGTTTTAATTGCTTTTAGCAGATCTAAAAGGAATCTGCTGGATGCATCAGCCAGTATTTAAAGTACCTTGGCCAAAGGTGCTAAATAAAATTTTAAATGTTACCACTCTAAGAGGCAGCATTTAACATGAAGCAGATATATGAGGTAAATTTCACCCCCCACCCACCCTTTTTTGTTTAGAGAGACAGGGTCTCACTCTGTCTCCCAGGTTGGAGTGCAGTGGTGTGATCATAGCTCATTGCAGCCTGGAACTCCTGGGCTCAAATGATCCTCCTGCCTCAGCCTGTCCAGTAGCTGGGACTACAGGCATGTGCCACCACACCCAGCTAAGTTTTGTTTTTAGAGAGAAGGTCTCACTATGTTGCACAGGCTTGTCTCAAACTCCTGGGCTCAAGCAATCCTCCTGCCTTGGACTCCCAAAGCTCCAGGATTACAGGCATGTACCACCATGCCCAGCTCCAATTTCCCTTTTCATAAAAGAAACAAGAACACCAACCATGAACAGAAATCAGAATTGTTGTTACACCTTGGTGTAAAGTTATGAGGTTTCAGTTGGAACAATCAGTTCTTTGAATGAGCAAATCTATTCATACCAATTCTTTCTCCACCTCATCCCCAGGGGATGCAGGAGAAGAGAAGGAAGTTGAGACTAGACAAAACCATAGTGGGAGGGGAGTGTCTTGGAAAATGGGAGGGGTCGATTGGGCTGAACACTACTGAGAACTGGTATTGTGTCTCCATGCTAACCAGCTGAAGGGTGGCAAACCTTGACTTGGATGACTTAGCTGCAGTTCATTGTGCTTGTAGATATCATTATGGCTATCTATCTCTTGGCCTCTGAAGTAGCTTCCTACTGTCTAGCTGTAAGGCTGATAAACCCTTCTATTTATCAAGTGAGGGCCCAACAGACCATAACTCTGTTCCTATCTTTCAGAGACAGCAAATTAGCATCATAAGTCATGGTGCAAATATTTATGAAAGTGTTTTCCAACTTTAAGACTCTTTGATTCTATGATAAACTCTTTGACAGCAGTTTTTAGAAGAACTCACTTAATATTATGTCCCTTCTTGCCTTCTGGCTTCCCATAAAATAATTCCACAGAACCTTTCAGACCACAGCCTGAGAAGTAGCAGAGGGCATTTTTCTCTTCCCCTTTGCAAATTCTCTGAGATGACTAGGCTTAATTGCTCAGCAGCTGCGCAGCTGTCAAACACAGGGTTTGGAAAGTGCCAGGGATTGGCACCAGGGAGTGGGCATATGGAGGGACATATGCCAACAAGAGGAATGTTGTTGCCTCCACCTTGCTGCTACCTGTACCCTCCAGGCTCCAGGCAACTTTCCCAGACATACCAGTGAGGCTTGAAACCAGAGAAGCGGAATTGTTGAATGTGGGTTTTCCTAGCCTGTAAAAGGAAATGGAGGAGGGGTACCCCACCTTCTGCACGTGCCAATGTGTTTGCCTATGGAACCTGAGGTTGGTATCACTCTTGCCTGTAGCTGTGACATCACATAGAACCAGGATGAGGCTTCAAATTTGTTACTGCCTCAGAAGTGAAGTATTAGCTGGAGGAGATAATGAGGAAATGAGTGAATACCCTTAGTGACCCACAGATTATAGAGAAAAATCTTTCAAAATTATATACGGATGGACTTGTGAGTAGCCTCCTTCAGTTGGACTGGAAGAGCTCATAATGGAAAATAGACTTTAACAATATTTGTAGCATTCAAGAATTACTTTGCCGGCAGTCTCCATGACAAGCCTGCTGGTAGAATCCGATGGCAATTCTAGGGGGAGGAAAGAAAAATAGAGCTGTTGAAAGAAACTGGGGCTCAGAAAATGTAAGGAGACTGGAGAGGTGACAGGATGATTGATGTAGCATGTGGAGCTACGTAGGGGCTCCCAGGAGAGGATTCCATTAACTGACCAGGGGTAAGTTAGCTGGCAAAGGCCTGAAATCGAGGAGCAGTTGTGAGGGGATATTTCTCTGGCTGGCCACTGGGGCCCAGGGCAGAGCTCTTTGGAAGTAATTCAGAGGAGGACACAGTCACTGGATCAGGTCTGAAGTGGCTGGGGCTGAGACAGGTTTGCTTTACGTAAGATCAAATTTTACTTTCTGACTACGGATGTAAACATGCTGATAGTAGGAATTTTAGGAAATACAGAATATTAAGCAGAAACTAAAAATAACTCATAGTACTACTACTCAGACATAACCACTATTGATATTTGAAGTACATCCTTCTGGATGTTTTACTCCAAGCCCATATATAGAGAGAGTTCTTTACAAATTTAGAATTAGTATGTTTTACAACCTGTTTTTACCCCTCACATACTAACATGTTGTGATTGTTCTCCACCTCTTCACCTGCCCGAATCCTACTTACCTTTAAGGGCCTAACCTAAGCCTTGTTCCCTCACAGCAATTTTCTCTGAACTCTAAGCAAGGTGTTATCCTCACTCTGTGGGCTCCCGTGGCACTGTGTTCCTGCCATTTGACAGCACTCATCACACTTGTTCATTTCTTATCTCTTCTATGTGAGTACAAGTGTGTCTGCATCACTGCTATATCCCTAGAGTCTAGCACATAATGGGCAAAATTAAAAAAAAAGTTTGTTACATACGTGAATGAGAGCACTTCTGATCTGTAACATGGTGGACCTATAATTCAGGGCCAATAAGAATGAATTACGGAATCCCAAATGTGGGTTCTATGCTATGATTAAGGAGAAGAAGCAATAAAGAGAGCTGGAGTGCCTGACTAATGGATGGTTTCTCTGTGCCATGCTGGCTTCACTTACAAGGCTATGCACCCACAATTAGCTCCATCTGAATATGGTTTGAATCCTAAAGGCTCCTTACTTTGCAGTCAAGTCACTCCTATTCTCCACTGGCTGATGAACCTGTGATGTGGGGAGACGGTTCCAGAATCATGATGCTGGAGTGAGGGAAATGTTATGGTCCAGAGGCCATTGTGATACAGGAGGGTTTCATTTTCCCTTTCCTGTCCCCTTAGGTGGTAGTGGTGGTGGGAGGAGTGGTAAAGTGTACCAAGAGTGAAAGCAGTAGGAGAGGCCTGGACACATGCATTCAGCAGGCTTTGTTCCAGCGTGGAGGTGATGCGAAAAAGCATTCAATGGGTCTTTAAGTCCTAAGGTAAGGAGCTGCTATGCACAGTCTGAAAGAAGCACGTCCAGTTGCTGAGAGGACCCCTGCAGCTCAAGTGCTTGCTGGAATGATAGCAAACTTCATAGAGTAAGATTTTGAGCTATCTCAGGAAAGTGAGACTGCGAGACCCAGTTCTTTGCTCATAGCAGCAGCGCTACTCTATATTTATATAAATAATCTAGTCCCAGCAAGTTTCTTCTCATACTTTTGATGAATCTGGAGAATAATAGACATCTACTTTTGACCATAATTTCATTGAGAATAGTTTTTCTTAAAGTCCAATAGAGTTTCACATTCAATTTCTGTTATTAGTATTTAGTTCATATATCAATGAAGTCAATGACATTTGTTAAAGCATGGTAAGGAAGACTTTATTTTAGGACCACCATGATAGGTATAGGGATCACTGCAATGGGCTATTGCAGTAGGTGAGAGAAATTGGGCTCAACTCTGAATATAGCCTGGGTAAGTGGAAACTTGTAGTTAAAGAGTAGGATGGGGGTCAGTGGATTAAAAAATTACAAAAACAAACAAACAAAAAACCAACATCCGGGGAAGGGGGTTTCTGGCTGAACAGACCTAACAGGACATTTGCTGAAGACAGGCCAGGGTGATCAGACATCCCCTGGGTGATGGTGGGTGATGAGGAATCCAATCAGATATTGAGGGTGATCAGACATCAACGGGGAGGGAGGGGTATTCTTACTAAACTGCCTTATCAGTGTTCATTACTAAAACTGGATTTTACCAGAAAGTGCACAGATGAGCCAAGGACAATATTCAGGAACCCAACTATAGTTTGGTCAAGCAAAGAATCCTTGTCAATATCTGATAAGAAGAAAGAATTGTAAAGTGGAACTCCTAAGTGTTTGATTATCTCAGACGACTCTTCCCTGGCATTTAAAGACCAGCAATCTTTGCAGAAGTAGCAAAGCACCTTTAGCCTCCAAGCAGTATGTGTTTCTTGTACATTTCTACAGTTGATTGCCTCTTTTATTTTTTTCCTTAGAGACAGTGTCTCGTTCTGTCACCCAGGCTGGAGTACAGTGGCATGATCACAGTTCACTGCAACCTTGAACTCCTGGGCTCAAGTGATTATCCTGCCTCAGCCTCCTGATTGGCTAGGACTACAGGCATGTGTCACCACGCCTGGCTAATTTTCTTTTAATTTCATATAGTAACTGCTTTTCTTGTTTTCATGTTTTCAACCAAGTTTAGGACTATACTGAAATGTCCTGTAAATCTTGAATATAATTGCATTTAGAATTCTTTCTACAAAGATTAACTTTTCTAAGGTCTACCACATATTACTTCATCCATTTAACATCCTACCATGTATAAGCCATGTGCTAGGAGCACAGTGACAGGTGCAGGAAGCAGAGGTTGTGAGGGCTTTATGTTGAAACTCTTCTGCTTGGGTTTTAGCGACCCTTTGGATATATACCCAGAAGCTGGATTGCTGGATCATATTCTATTTTTGGTTTTCTGGAAAACCTCTATACTGTCTTTCATAATGGCTGCATTAATTTACATTCTCACCGACAATGCACAAGGGTTCCCTTTTCTTCACACCCTTGCCTGGTGAACCTTTCTTGATAAAGTCCCAAACAAAATGAAGTATGGGCCGGGTGCAGTGGCTCAGGCCTGTAATTCCAGCACTTTGGGAGGCCAAGGCCAGTGGATCACCTGAGGTCAGGAGTTCAAGACCAGCCTGGCCAACATGGTGAAACCCCATGTCAACTAAAAATACAAACAAAAAAAAATTAGCTGAGTGTGATGGTGCATGCCTGTAATCACAGCTACTTGGGAGCCTGAGGCAGGAGAATCGCTTGAACCCAGGAGGCAGAGGTTGCAATGAGCTGAGATTATGCCACTGCACTCCAGCCTGGGTGACAGAGCGAGACTCTGTCTCAAAAAAAAAAAAAAAATTAAGTATGGTCTTTCCTGTTCCCCACCCTCCAAGTAGTATCCTCCAATCATTGGAACAATTAGAAAACTAAAAGTGCTCAGTTACATTTTCAAAATGACCTCTAGGGGGCATTGATGATGCCCTGAGAACTATGGCTCAGCCCACTGATCTTGCTTCTTTATGCAAAGTTTGTTCCTACCTCAGGACTTTTGCACTTGCTGTGGTTGTCTCTGTCTGGAAGGCTCTTCTGCTAAGCATTTGGATGACGCTTTCCATCTTGTCCCTCACATATCTGCTCAAATGACGCTACTTTAGAGAGCCCTTTCCTGACCATTCTAAGAGAGTATCCCTGCCCCATCTACCTCTACCTTTTCACCTTCTTAAATTTTGTTCATAATACTGTAACTATTGGTATCTGACATTATCTTATATATCAGTTTTATGGTGTGTTTATTCCTTGGCTCTTCCACTAGACGCTAGTGGCTAGGAGGAAGTGTCCTAGAGGTGAGGGACTTTTTCTGTCTTTTATATGGCTCTATTTCCAGAATCTAATAAATAGTGCCTGGCCCATAGTAGGTACTTGATAAATATTTGTTGAAAGTGTGTCTGATTATCGGTTGGGTGTGGTGGCTCACACCTGTAATCCCAGCACTTTGGGAGGCCAGGGTGGGTGGATGACTTGAGGTCAGGAATTCAAGACCAGCCTGACCAACATGGTGAAACCCCTGTCTGTACTAAAAATACAAGATTAGCTGGGTGTGGAGGCACATGCCTGTAATCTAGCTACTTGGGAGGCTGAGGCAGGGGAATCGCTTTAACCCAGGAGATAGAGGTTGCAGTGAACCGAGATCACGCCATTGCACAACAGCCTGGGCAACAAGAGCAAAACTCAGTCTCAGAAAAAAAGATAAAAAGAAAGTATGTCTGATTATCAACTACTTCCCCTCTTTTTTTTTTTTTTTTTTTTTGACGGAGACTCGCTCTGTTTGCCCAGGCTGGAGTGCAGTGGTGCATCTCGGCTCACTGTAAGTTCCGCCTCCTGGGTTCATGCCATTCTCCTGCCTCAGCCTCCCAAGTAGCTAGGAATACAGGCGCACACCACCATGCCGGGCTAATTTTTTGTTTTTTTTTTGTATCTTTAGTAGAGATGGGATTTCACCGTGTTAGCCAGGATGGTCTCGATCTGCTGACCTCGTGATCCGCCCGCCTTGGCCTCCCAAAGTGCTGGGATTACAGGCTTGAGCCACCGCACCCAGCCTTTTGTGCACTCCCATGCAAGTCTGCCACATAAAGGTCATCACTATTATGTGTTATGTGTGGCAGCAATGAGGTTGGTAACAGTTGTCTTCTCTGGCTTTTCTTATTATGAACAGGTACCTAAGCATCCAAATGCAGTCAGCTTGCTAACTAGCCTGTTGCTTGTCCATGCCATACGTGTATTTGTCTTTTCCTTCTGTTTCCATCAAGGGCAAGCATTTGAATGTCACACAAAATGATGTTACTGCACTGCTTAGGGTTTTTTTTTTTTTCTTTTTCCTGGACAGGCTAAACCTTGTCCCTATGGTTTTAAGTAACTTTTGATGTACTTAGTAGTTCAACAAACTAAACAAAGTGATGTGCTGGTGTCAGATCTTCCATGTGGGAGAGGGGGTGTCAGCCAAGTGCGGTGATTAGATCCCAAAGAAAGGGGCTTGGTGAAGTAAGGGGAAGGGGCTACCCAGAGTGGCAAGAGAGAAGCCAGGGTATGAATGCAAATTACATACAGAAGCAAGCACCAGGGATCAAGAGAAACATAACCTTTTATTTGGTGAAAAGGGCAAATGGTGAAAGAGGAAATGAGAAAGAAACATACAAGGTTGGGAGTTGGACCAACACAGAAATAGAATGGTTGTTCAAGAGTGACTTAGAGCAACTTCTGCCTGGAAGACTCTTCCTTCAGGGAGCCACATAGCTTGGCCCTTCATTTCCTTCAGGTCTCGGTTTAAATGTCATCTCATCAGCTGGATCACCCCTGAATAAAATGGGACTTCTTCACCATCATGCTATGTTTCCCTTAACCTGCCTCTTCTTCTTTATAGCATTTTTACCATCTGACATTATATATTTATATTGCTATTTGTTTATTTTCTGTCTCCTGACCCACCCCACTTCCCAACTAGAATGTCAGAACTGTGGTCTGCACACAATATTCACTTAGTAAATATTTGTTGAATGAATGAAAGAACAAAGGTACTGAGGCATGACTGACCACAGTACATTTTGATCTTGGCACTTCCAACAGAACTCTGCTTGGTGTCTTGTGGGAAAATGGTAATACCCTAATTCCTCTACCCTAATGGGCTGTGAAAGCATCCAGAGAAAAACATGGGAATAAAAACATTTGGAAAAGGATGACCTCTGACTTTAATTATAAGAGTAATCAGTAGAAATATTAATGGTAATGATTACTTTTTCTAAATGTATGTCTTTGTTCTCTTTCTTTCCTCTTTCATTCTAAGATAGATTGAAAAATCTCAGAAGACAGTTACCAAAAGTAGCCCCTTGCCCCCAAATATTTCTGTGGCCTTGACCAGTGGTTCAGGATCAGAAACCCTGCAGAATTAAGAAATTATAGTCCAGATCGAATTTTGCTGGACACCTAGTTTCTGCTCTGTTAGGAATTCATTTGGCTGTCAGGAGAGTTTATTAATAAATTCAGGTTTTCTTTATGATCCCAGGATGACAATACCAACCATGAAATAGTTACAGTAAATGCTACCCTATTTATTGAACAATTGTTACGTACCATGTACTGTGCTGTTCTCACAACCACCCTACAAAGTAGCTGTTATTATCATCCCCATTTTGCAGAGGAGCAAATTGAGACCCAGGTAGGTTACTTCATTTGTTCAGGATCACAAAGGTGGTAAGAGACAGAGACCATGATTTTTCTGTGGCATTTTGCTATCAGTGGAAAGGGTAAGAGCAAATGAAAAAGCTGTCCTACTCCCAACACCTCTGCCAGCCTAGATCTAGAATGAAGACTGTTATACAACCTGACACCTCTAAAGAGACACCCTGCACGGTCCACCCTACAGAAATGTAAGCACACTTTATAACCACCAACGTTGGCTAGGGGGCTAGGGGCATCCATGGGCTCAAAACCAAATATCCTCCCCCAAATCTTTCTTATCTCTCTGCCTTATCGTAACAAGGAAACAAAAAGAGTTGGGAAGACTGACTTATCTGCATGGATACTTCCTAAACAACTGTGTATTGTCTCCTGCTCCTAAGTTATTCCAGCAAATGGATTTTGGTTGTTTTCAAATGTAACTTTCTGCTGTGTGTCACTGTTATTTGTATTAGGTTGGTGCAAAAGTAATTGCGGTTTTTGCCATTGACAGTAGTGGCAAAACCCACAATTAGTTTTGCATCAACCTAATGTATACGTATCCTATATCCCCTACTCAGTTGAAGCTCCTAAAGGACATGGATCAAGTCTTAGTCATCTTGTATCCTCCTCCTTTGACCTTCAAACCAGACTCGTTATCCCATACCCAATGGAGCCTTATACATCCCACTAGACAGTCCCCAGAGTTCCAAACAGTGCCTAGCATGCAATAGGCACTCAATGCATACTTCTGTGCTTGCTGTATCTTGGTCCTCTTTGCAGCGAAACACTAAACCTTTCACTTTGTTTTTGCCCTTACTCATTCACCCATTCATTCATTCTTTTATACAACTATCTCCTCCCTTGGGGTTCAGAGAGAGTAGAAATTTCTCTTTCTCAGTTTTCTCTAGTCTCATTCTTGTAGTCTGAGCTCTGTGTATGCACAGGTCCACTGCTTAGCATTATCAGTGTTTCCTGGGGATGAAAGCCCTCCCCCAAAGGGCGGGACCTCCAGGTGGGGACAGCAATGATACCTGACATTTGAATTGCTATTATCAGTTTTCTAAGTACTTTTTTACCCCTCTTGTTTGCACAACATCCCTATGAATTATGCAGATATTATAAGAATTCTCATTTTATAGATGAACAAATAATCTTGGTGAATTTTAATAATTTCTCCAAGGTCACACAGCAAGGTAAGTGGCAGAACTGAGATTCAAGTCTGGATTTTTGGATGTATAGTTCAGAAGATGCTTTTTCTGAGGCATGTTGGGGGAACAGAAGACCCTGGGGATAATTTTGCCTCCACACCCAAATCTAGCTTGCCACACTCCATTACCTCACAGGAGTGAATAAATGAGAAGAACAGTTTCACTCTTCATTAGACCTCTGTTAGGCAGTGTCCAGTTTGTTTATTAGCTATAATTAGGATACTGTTTCAAATTTCCCATGTAGAGATGTACTTATATTCTCACCATGAATCTTACCTGAGACCAGCCTATGTGGACCACAATCCAGTCAGAGAGCCATCGCACTGGAACAGACTACAAGGGGCATCTGGCATTTGTTAAATGCCAAACCCATGCTTTCTCAGACACCCACTCCTTCCATTCTAAGCTTCTTTTTTTTTTTTCTATTTGAAAATGGCCAATATCGTCAACATTCTGAAGTTCATTCCTATTCACTCCTGTTGGCAGTGTGTGCTATACTCAGCCTGTGTTGATCAAAGTAGGTCCCAGTCACAACTAAATTGACTTTGTTTCAGCTCGCCTCAACACACCTTCACAGCAGTCCCTGTGAAAAGTTGAGCATCAAAATCCTGCTTCCTGAAAGAAATTTTTAAAAATCTAAATAAATGAAAGGATATTCTGTGTTCATGGATTGGAAGACTTAATATTAAGATGGCAATACTAGCCTAAGTGATTAACAGATACAATGCAATCCCTATCAAAATCCTAACAGCCTTTTTTTTTTACAGAACTAGAAAAGCTAATCCTAAAATTTATATGGTATTGCAAGGAACCCTGAATAACCAAAGAAAAATTCTGGAAAAAAATTGAAAGAATCACACTCGCCAATTTTGAAATGTACTACAAAGGTACAATACTCAAGACAATGTGGGACTGGCATAAGCATAGACATACAAATCAATAAAATATAACTGAGAGTCCAGAAATAAACCCATTCATCTACAGTCAATTGGTTTTTGAAAAGGGTGCCAATGTCTTACAATGGGGGAAATAAGTTTCCACAACCAGTGGTGCTGAGACAACTGAAGATCCACATGCAAAAGAATGAAATTGGGCCTCTGTCTCACAGCATATACAAAAGTTTAGTCAAAATGGATCACAGACCTAAACTTAAGGGCTAACACTATAAAACTCTTACAAGAAAACATAGGAGTAAATCTTCATAACTTTCATTTGCCCAGTGGATTCTTAGATATGACAGCAAAAGCACAAGCAATGAAAGAAAAAAACAGATAAGTTGGGCTTTATCAAAATGAAACACTTTTTGCATCAAAGGACACTAACAAAAGAGTAAAAAGATAACCTACAGAATGAGATAAAATATTTGTAAGTTTTATATCTAATAAGTCTAGTATTTAGAATATATAAAGAGCAAACCACTATAAAAATGGACAAAGAACTTGAGCAGACATTTTTCTGCAGAAGATATATAAATGGTCAGCAAGTGTATGAGAAATACACAACATCATTAGTCATTAAGAAAATGTAAATTGGCCGGGCACGGTGGCTCACGCCTGTAATCCCAGCGCTTTGGGAGGCCGAGACAGGCAGATCACGAGGTCAGGAGATCAAGACCCTCCTGGCTAACACGGTAAAACCCCGTCTCTACTAAAAATACAAAAAAAATGAGCTGGGCGTGGTGGTGGGCACCTGTAGTCCCAGCTACTCGGGAGGCTGAGGCAGGAGAATGGCATGAACCCAGGAGGCGGAGCTTGCAGTGAGCGGAGATTGTGCCACTGCACTCCAGCCTGGGCGACAGAGCGAGACTCCTCAAAAAAAAAAAAAAGAAAGAAAGAAAAAAAAAAAAGAAAATGTAAATCAAAACCAGCAGTTCACAACCTCTAGGGTAGATATAATTTTTTAAAAAGGAAAACAACAAGTGTTGGCAAGGTTGTGGAGGAAATGGAACCCCAATGCATTGCTGATGGGAATGCAAATGGTGCAGTCACTATGGAGGTCAGTTTGGTGGTTCCTCAAAAAGTTAAATATGGAATTACTATAGGACCCAGCAATTCCACTTCTAGGTGTAGACCCTAAGGTATTGAAAACAGGCATTCAAACATACCTGTATACAAATGTTTATAGCAGCACTATTCACAATAGCCAAAAGGTAGAAACAATCCAAATGCCCATCAACTGATGAACAGATAACAAAATGTGTTGTATCCATCCAATGGAATGTTACTCAGTGAATAAAAGGAATGATGTATTGATACACGGTACAACATGGATGAACCTCAAAAACATGCTATTATGAAAGAAGCCAGATATAAAAGGTCGTGCATTGTATGATTCTATTTAAATGAAATATCCAAAATAGACAAATCCGTAGAGATGGAAAGCATATTAGTGTTTGTCAGGAGCTAGGGATAGGAGGGGAAGGGGCATAGAATGTGACTACTTAATGCATATAGGGTTTTGTTTGGGGGTGATGAATTGGGGGCTATATAGAAGTGATGATTGTACACCATTGTGAATGTACGAAATGCCACTCAACTGTACACTTTAAAATTGTTAATTCTATTTTGTGTGAATTTTGCCCTGAAAAAAGTCCTAGTTCCATCTTTATGCAACACTGTCACCAACAGGGCCTCTCTCCAAGCACCAAGAAGTTTGGTGGTCCAGCAGGGGTCACATGAGTAGCTCTGCTTTCTTGGCCTTTCATATTTTGTTAATGGGCTTAGAGGATTCTTCATGATCTGAGTTTCTAGCCGGCAAGTATCTTTGATTCAGGGACTGAATTCAATCATCACCGCCCTGTGTGCATAAATGATGGTGCTGAATCATCCAGATGGAACATGTCATACTCTAAGTGCAAGTGTATCTCTCCCAGACTCACACATCACAGGTACCTATGAGTAGCACAGCAAAGCCCCCATCCCCTTCTTCTGAAAACAGCTTTCAGGATTTGAAGTTGTCTCTCAGAAGACTCACTTTGCTACCTCTTTGGAGTTCGTGGGCTTGGGGGTGTCTTCCCTTTTTTGGAATCAGGGTAGAGAACATTCTGTCCTCAACTATAAGGTCTCAGCTGAGCCTTCTTATGTCAGTGGAATCAGAGGTTCGCAAATGATCCTAATGTGTTGAAGATGAGAAACTGGATCTCAGCTTCAGTGAAGAATAATGTTTATTACATACTAAAGAGCACTAGAAGAGATGGCAGCTAATACAGAAGTTGTGTGAACATGTGCGTCATTAAAAATTGTAATTAAGCCAATTCCCTGAGGACCCATAACGAAACCTAGGGAAGTTGTTTGTGGGAGGGTTGGGTTAGAATTCCACATTGCAAAGAGATCTGTGGCAGCATCTGAAATGCAGCCGAAACACTGGTGTTGACCATGGCTCTTGGAGCAGGAAGAGCCGAGAGACCCAGTGACAGAGGGACTCTCTTGTCTCCACCTAGGAGTTGGTAAGAGTGACACAGTGGCACAGATAAAAAGAATGATAGGGAATTCTTTTTTTTTTTCTTGAGACAGAGTCTAGCTCTGTCACCCAGGCTGGAGTGCAGTGGCACAATCTCGGCTCACTGCAAGCTCCGCCTCCCGGGTTCACACCATTCTCCTGCCTCAGCCTCCCAAGTAGCTGGAACTACAGGCTCCCGCCACCACACCCGGCTAATTTTTTGTATTTTTAGTAGAGACGGGGTTTCAACATGTTAGCCAGGATTGTCTCGATCTCCTGACGTCGTGATCCGCCCGCTTCGGCCTCCCAAAGTGCTGGGATTACAGGCGTGAGCCACTGCACCCGGCCTAGGAAGTTCTCAGGAAGTTGCTGAAAGGGAGTGCAAATGTGCTTGGGGATCCCAGAAGTAATCTTCAAGGAACACAAAACAAATGGTGATGTTGACTGTTATTTTACTGTAAACAAAATTTTCATGGAGTGTTTACCATGAGCAGACACTATGTGGAGCTCTTTATGGAAATTATCTAGCTTAATTTTCAAATCCCTAACAGATAAGTGTTGGCATTAGCTCAAATTTACAGACGCAGAAACTGAGACTCTGAAAAAGAATAAGCCACCTGCTCATGGCTACACCACTCATAAATTACAGACCTGGGAATCAAATTCAGGACCGCTGACTCCAGGGGAGACAAGTAGGGACTTGTTTTAAGATCTTACTCAGGGCTTTTCTAGGGATGAATGGGGGGAAAGGGTGTGAAATCAACCTTTATTGATAACATAATTTGTGTCATTTAATCCTCACAACATCCCTGATGAAATGAGCACTACAAATTCCACTTGATTCCCACTTGAGGAAACTGTTGAGTCCATCAGTGGCCAATTCTCGTGAAGAGGGCTGTTCCTAAGGATGAAATTTTTTTAAACCTTAAGAAGAAACTTTAGGGCACTTACATAGACCTCCATAGAATGGTTTCAGGCATAACCCTAGACTCCAGGGTCTCCATTGACCTTCCCTGTTGTTAATCTCCTGGTTTGTGCACATGTGCACAAGATGCTCAGGGCATAACACATTAGTGGGTCTGGGGCTCCATTATGAAGTCTCCGCTACCCTCCAAGTGTGCATGTAGGGATACATCGTGCTCCAGTGATTGGCCCTTTCTGGGGGTTTCTGTTGTGTTTACCTTTTTGTTAGGATCTTTGATACTCTAAGATCCAAACAGACTGCTAGAAAATTATCAGCTGCTGAGAGGTAAGGGCTGGGATCAGAGTGGAGAAGTTCCTGAAACTGGAAATGGGGAATAATAAGGATCTGGGTGGGTTCATGGAAATCACCATGTTCATTCCTCCTTTCTTCTTAGCCAAAATCCAAATTGCCATGGGAAACGCCATCAGCTGCCCTGCTTCCTGTGGTCCAGCTGTGCATTGAGTGACAAGGAAAACCCTGTTTGTAGTTACCTGACAAAACCATAAAAAGAAAAAAGACCACAGCTGCAGTAGCAGCCAACATAACTGAGCGGCACCCTCTTTATTTCGTGTGCTTACTTGCTCGGGCATGGTCTGATTCAATCCTCACAGCAGCTCTATGCACCAGGTACTACTATGCCCCTGGATTTAACCTTCCCCGTTTGTACTGATGATATGCCTGAGGCCCAGAGAAGTCAAGTGACCTGCCCAAGGCCACAGAGCTAGTAAGTGGTAGAGCCAGGATTCAAATGCAACCTGCTACTTCTGAACCAGTGCTCTGAATCTGACGCTCTCCTGTCCCATGGGGAATGCAGGAATCAAACTGGGTTCCCTGCTGCCATTTTGTAATTGCCCTCTACCCCTTTGGGGATCTTCTGGAGGCTCAAAGCCCTAAGACATTGCTCTGAGTGGGGTCAAAGGACAGAACTCAGTGAAACAGAGAGACAGATGCTGATGTGGGTCGGGGAGGCTGGGGTGGGGAATCTGAGAGAGGGGTGGTTACACAGTTTAAGCTGAAAATTGCCAGCTTCACAACTGCATCAGTAAGTGGAGTTGGGGAGAATGAAAAGGGTGAATTAAATAAAATTGTTATTCATCTTCCCTATTTTTTTTTTCACGTTTGCCCTAAGAGGGCAATTAAAGAAACAAATGGTTTGTGGAGATTAGCTGACTGGTAGCTTTGCATATTAATATAATGACACTTGGCTCTGCCAGGCTGACTTTCTATTTGAGGTAGTGCTGTCCTTTCAGGCTGAAGAGCTGATTTCAGAGAATTAGGCCCCTGCAGATTAAAAATGAAATGAAATCAGTGTGCTCTCTGTCTCTACCCTGCTTGCAGCCCCACCAAGACTGTCTGCAGAAAGCAAAAAGGATGTGAACAGGCTGTGCACCCTTCTGCCAGCAGTCATTGGAGTGCAATGGGTCCAGGAGAGGTGAGGCCTGAGGCCAGGCGAGGGTAGGTGTGGGTGTCATCACTTCTCAGGAAGGGCTCCACATTTGCAAGACACTGCAGATACAGAGGTTAATGCTGGATCCCTTCTCTTGGAGGAGTGTCTCACCTAGTAGGGGAGAAGGACACATGATACATACTATAATTTCGTCTGGTAGGGGGGCATCAGGAGTTGACATGTGGCTCAGTCTAGAAGAATGAATAAGAATTGGACAGGCATGGTAGGGGACATGGTTTCTTTTTAGGAGCAGAAGATAATGGCTTCAGTGTATGGCAATGTATGGTGGGCACTGTGATGCCCACAGCGTCTCCACAGAAACCTGAGCACTCCTATGCTGCCTGCATGAGGATCAATCCATTGGCAGTTTGGGTGTCTGTGGCTTAGTCCGTGAACAAAATATCAGAACAGAAATGGAATCTTGCCACAGGCCCATTCCCACTCTACCTGCAGTATTTTCAGGGAGTGGCTTGGAAAGGGGTTAAGTACAAGAGCTTTTGAGTCAAACTAATCTGCCACTGCCAGGATGTGTGACTGTGGACAAGTCCTCTCTAAGCCTGAGTTGATTCAGTTTCTTCAGGTGAAAAGTAGAAATAAATAACAATACCTTCCTTACAGGACTGTTGTGAGGATTGACTGAGATCCTGCTCGTGGAATCCAGATACTAGCTGCTGAAGTCTTTTTACCTTTAAGACCTAGATAACATTGACTCAAACTCCTATTTCCCCTCCCCAAGATATCTGCAAATTTCTATAGGGTTTTCAATTATATGGTCACCTCTGTCTCTAGCTTTTTCCCACCTGTGAGTTCTTCCTCTCATAGTACAACCATTTACAATTTTGTAGCTCTAAACTTAAATTCAAACTCTTTCTTTGATTTTGACAACAGCAACAACAACACTACTACCCCCAACATATTAACAAAAGCAACCATTCGCAGTGCCTGTATGTGCATAGCATACTTTATTGAAGGCTTGGGGAAGTAGAGGAAGTTGTTGCAGCATGGAAAACAGCTTAAAATGCAAAATGTTCTTCAAAGTCCTCTAGCCATGCCTCCAAGTTGTTCAATTTGCCTTTCTCAGTCCTCTTCTCTGCTCCCTCTCTTTTGGAAACAAAGGAACCCCATTTTTTCCACTTTACAATACAGAGCAATTCAGCTGTCTTTAGCCCTTAACCCCCAAGCTTAGCACTGGGTTTTTCTTTCAATAGGCGAGGGTCTGGCTGAGGCTTGAAAATGTCTTCCTAAAAGAATTTAATTAAGTTTTTAAATAAGTTGCCATCCATCTCTTTGATTTTATCGTGTGGAGGATGACTTTTTTCCCTCATTATACGTGTAAAGCATATCACAAAAATACTCATCCATACTAAGCACACATAAAATAACAACTGTTGTTATTATAACAATTTTTATACTTTGGACTGATTTGGGCATAAATTAATAACTATATTGTGCCTACATTAGTATAAGAGTCAAAAGAGATGATCTCTATAAAAGCCCTTAGAGATCCAGTGCTTCTCCACACTTGTTTCTGGAATACTATATTCACAGGCTGTTTATAGATCATCCAAGAAATAAGGGTTCTTTGCTTAAATGTATTAGAGAGATACTACACACTGTATCCTACTCTTAGGAATGCCAAATTTACATTAGACTATTAAAGGCTCTGATAAGTCCTGCAAAAGACTATCTATTTAACTTTGTTTAGCTGTGTGTTCTCCAGTCAGATTAGACCAAATTAACAAATGTTGTAATTAATATTTCATGAAATTTACTTTGTCCTGTGTTAACCTGGTTCCAACCCATCATTTTACAAATGACTAAGTAAGATGCAAAGAGGTGAAGGACCTGAACCAAAGGCCACCCAGCTAGCTGGTAGTTTCTGAGTCTGATGTAGCAAGTGGAATGGAGATTGTGAAGAGTGTGTCAGAGAAGATCTAAAGACAGCCAACAGTCTTTTCATACTATTCACCTACCTCTGATATAGGCTGAAGGTCTTTATCGAAAGAGACAACTGAAAGTGTTATGTCTATACTCCCTGTCTACCTCTCTTTATCTCCTCCAATCCAAACTAACCAGGCTTCAAATCCTACTGCTTAACTAAAACTGCTCTTATTGAAATCACTAATGCCCTCCATGTTAAGTATCTGATGGTCACTTCTCTGTCCTCATCTTACATGACCTTTTGCCAACATGTAATGAAGTTGAACATTTCCTCTCTCTTGAAAGTCTTTCCTGATTTCTTATAACACTGGAGTCTTCCAGTTTTCCATCAACTCTCCTTGCTAGAGTTTTTTGTTGCTCTTTATTGTGGTGGTTGTTGTTTGTTTTTTAGTGACTTTTCTGAACAAATATTTAAAGTCTTTAATTATTTGTCATGTGTGGCCACTGAAGTCTCTCTTTGGTTAGCCTGGTGGTCAGCTAATGATTGGATAGAGATTGCTTTAAATGTATAGAAACAACACATCTCCCAGTCTTTGTTGGGGGGCTATGTGTACATGTCAGTGCGTGCCTTCAACACTCTGTCAACTCTGTCTTACTCTTCACGTCCTGTTGACACAAAGCTTCAAGCTCAGCCAGAGGTGAGACATTAGGGCCTTCCCAGGTCTTTCCTGAGTATGTGCACAATTTTGTGCATCTTCACAGTCCTACACATATGTATGGCCTTCTAGATTCTCAGGAATATGTCAAAGCCCCTTGTAGACATCTCATTTCTCAAGTTTTCCATTTAAGCTTTTTAGCTACTCTATTTTTTTACCCCAAACTTTGTTCATTGCCTGAGGAAGCTGTTTTGTTAAGCAGTTGCTGCTGATTGTTTTTGACAAAGGCCTATGGGGAAAAGGCTGTTTGCATTGGGCAAAGGTGAGTCCAGCTGGTGCTTTATTTAATCTGTATCTTGAATCCCATTACTTCTCACCATTCCAACCAACATCACCCTGATCCAAGCCACCATCATATCTCACCTAATCACTGTTGTAATCTCCTAACTATTCCCCCTTGATTCCATTCTTGTCCTTCCATAATCCATTTTCCCCATAGCAGATCCCTTAAAAAATGCCCTTCAAATGAAGTTATGCCACTGTTTAAACCCTTTAGTGGCTTTCCTTTGGAGAAAATCCAAGCTCCTTCCCATGGTGTCCCAGGCCTGGCATGATATGGCCCATGCCTGCCCACTACTCTCAATGTGTACTTTTTCCCTATTGCACCTTAAGCTAACAGCTGTTGGTTTTCCATTGCTTGAACACATCAAGCTCTTTCCTACCACAGAGCCTTCACACTAAGGTTACTGGCTCATCACAGCTTTCCTAGAACTTTACTTATGTTAGCACTAGAAGTCCCATGTCTCAGGAATCCCTTTGTGCTGGGAAGACCAGGACAATTGGTCACCCTACTTCGTACATATGGTGAATTCTAGTTAGAATACTGTTCTCTCTATTCTTCACCTAGATATATCTTACTTATCATTAAATCTCAGCTTAAATATTCTTCCTTTGGGGAGGCTTTCCCTGACCAAACAATTAGCAGTAGAGCTTCCCTGTTTTTCTCTCCCATGATTCTGTACTTTTCTCCTTTGCACAACTTACTATAATTTGTGATTATTGTATTTATTGCTTTGTTTACTTTTTCTTTGTCTCCTCCACTAGAGTGAAAACTCCATGGGGGTCTTATTCACTCGTATGTTCCCAGCATCCTGCACAATATGTAGCAGATATAGGAGCTTAGTTAATACTTCTTAAATGAATGAATGGATGGATGGGTGAATGCGACACTATCATAGATTGACCTACAACTCCTAAAAACACAAAGAACTCAGCAAGTTCAGTGGCAAACTGCTTATGACACAACTCTGATCTGAGCAGAAACTAGCCTAGCCCATGCAGTGCCTTTGTGTGAATTAGAAAAAGATGCCCCTCAATTTGGGCACAATCTTGAGGGAAAGTGGCTTGGTCAGCAGGGCACAGGATGCATTTCAGGCCCTTTTGCCTCGCTCTCCAGCCATGTGGCCTTGTGCAGGTCATAGATTGCACAACTGAAGCCATGGCCCTGACTTTGAAGGGAAATCTGTAAGCAAGGTGAAAGGAAGAGTGAAAAGGGAGAGCTACAGAGTCCCAGGAGATGCAGTGTCTGATTCTGGTGGAAACTGGGGTTCTTTTGGAAGTGGTTTTAAAAAGCCATATGAGAAAAAGGAACAAAAAGTGACTGGCTCAGTCATCTCAACTGATAACAGCAGTGAAGCGTCAAGAGTGTGTGCTCTGGTATCCCACAGGACTGCGTTTGCATTCTGGCCCTGCCTTTTACTAGCTGTGAAGCCTTAGAGACGTGCCTCTGTTTTCTCATATGTAAAATGGCCTATAAGGTCAATGTGAATATTAAACAAAATAATGTATACAGGATATGCTTACTACAGTGTTTTCTATATAGCAGGTCTTAAATAGTCATTACTAATATTGATAGATAATGTTACTTATGTAAAATATACAAAATATTTGATTTCAAAGAAGTCAGAATGGGTTTCAAAGGTAGCTTTGAACAGGCAGCCCCTTCCCCCAGCAGCCAGCCTTGAATTTGCAGTTTGGGCTTTTATTAAAAGATGAAATTGGAAAGCTTCCCAGATTATACAGCTGGTCGGGTCCTAAGGCAGCTGGGTGACAATGTAGGGTAATGAGCAAGGTGACTCACTTGTCCCAGTGGAGGCCTCATCTCCTGTGAAACAGCAGGGCTGGGGGTAGGGGTGCTAAGCAAGATATAAATAAGGTCCCTGATATGGTTTGGATTTGTGTCCCCACCCAAATCTCGTGTTGAATTGTAATCCCCAGTGTTGGAGCAGGGGCCTGGTGCGAGGTGATTGGATCATGGGGGGAAGATTTCCCCCTTGCTGTTCTTGTGATAGTGAGTGAGTTCTCACTAGGTCTGGTTGTTTAAAAGTGTGTAGCACCTCCTCCTTCACTCTATTCCTCCTGCTCCAGCCATGTAGGATGTGCCTGCTTCACCTTTGCCTTCCCCCATGATCGTAAGCTTCCCAAGGCCTCCCAAGCCATGCTTCTTGTACAGCCTTTGGAACCGTGAGCCAGTTGAACTTCTTTTCTTTATAAAGTACTCAGTCTCAGGTAGTTCTTTATAGCAATGCAAGAACAGACTAATACAGCCCCCAAGTGCTGTGACCGTGCCAAATACCCAAGTGCTGTAGAAGTGGCTGGCTGCAGGCCTGTTCTCGGGCAGAAGGCACACAGACATCAGTATGACTTATCTCTCTTCAGGGGTCCAGGCTTCCAAGGCAACTCTTTGCCAGAGGGAGGCATAGCCCCAGGCCCTGTGTTACTCTGGATGATGTCTAAATGGGGGACTGGGTGGGCAGCAAGAGTGGGTTGGGCCTGGAAAAGGCCAAAGAAAGGAAGAAGAGAGAGTCCACCCAGCACTTAAGCACCTCTGTATGACACCACTTCGTTTCCCACCTCTGAAGACACTGGAACCTAGGGAAAATAGCTCAAATAAACAGCCATAAAGCCAATCTTGAAAGAGAAAGAAAGGATTGGGTACCAAGTACCAGGTCTTTTTGGGTTTTGACTGGAAAATTACCTCTTTTACCCAAGGTCATTCAGGTGGTGGAAATCTTCAGATTCAAGAAGGCTCTATAGTACAATGCATAATAATAATGTTAGTAACAGTGGCAACAACAGCAAAAGTAGTGGCTGAACCCTACACCATGACCTGGCCCTGCACTAAGTGCCTACACAGGCTACCTTGTTTCATCCTGCCAACAATTCTCTGAAGTAGGAACCATTGCCATCTTTATTTTATAGATGAAGAAACTGAGATTCAGAGAGCGTAAGCAGCTTAAGCCAAACAATGGAACCTGCATTTATACCAAGGTGCCTGTAACACAAAAGTTTCTAACACCAAAGCAGAATACATATATCCTGACATTACACAAACATTTGGTTCACAAGACTTCTCCAGGAAAAAAATCCAGGGCCTTTGATCACCCCTTGCACAGCCTGAGCCCTGAGCACTGAGAGGCCCAGTATTTTCCCTGTTTAGTTCTACTATTTACCTCATGTAACTTACTAGCTGTGCAACCTCGAACAAGGGCTTAGCCCAGTACCTGGCATGCCATAATATCAGCGATATTATTATTGCTGTTAGCCTCCCTGAGCCTGTTTCACCTGGATAAAATTGGGATAATAGAGCCCACACTATCTACCTCACAGGCCAATTGAGAAGTCAAATGAGATGATGGATAGAAAGGACTTTTTAAACTGAGAAGCTCAGTGTGAACATATTGTGCTATCATTAATGCATTTATTTGTTCCTTCAACAGACTTGTCTTGAATGCTTATTATGGCCTGGGGTAGACACGAAATTGAAAAACAAATAGAAGCCCTTTCTTTGTACCGTCACATTCTCCCTGAAGATTTTTAATAATTATTTCTTTGTGTACCACAGGGCAGGGATTTTCACCACCATTTCGCAGATCAGGTTGTGTAATTTATCCCAAATCATATAGTAAGACATAGTTAAAAATAACAGGCATCTGTGTGATCTTGAGCAAGTTACTTAACCTCTCCATGGTGGGCTGAATCATGGCCCCCAAAATATCCAGGTCTTAATCCTGGACCTATAAATGTTACTGCATACTTAAAAAAGGGATTTTGTAGATGCAATTAAGTTGAGGATCTTGAGATGGGGAGATTATCCTGGATTGGCCCTAAATGCAATCATGCGTGTATATCCTTGTAAGAGAGAGGCAGGGGGAGATTGGACACAGACAAAAGAGAAGACAATTTGATCATGGAGTAATCACAGATTAGAGTGATGTAACCTCAAGCTAAGGAATTCTGGGAGCCACTGAAGATGAAAGTAGCAAGGAATGGATTCTCCTCTAGAGCCCTCCAAGGGATTGTGGCTCTGCTGACACCTTTACTACTATCCAGTTATAATGATTTTGGACTTCTGGCCTCCAGAACTGGGAGGAAATATTTTTTTCTTGTTTTAAGCCAACAAGTTTGTGGTAATTTGTTTCCATGCTTTCATGAAGAGTAGCCAATCCAATATTAGCCCATCCAATAGGGCTAATAATAAGACTCACTGATATGGTTTGACTGTGTCCCCAACCAAATCTCATCTTGAATTGTAGCTCCCATAATTCTCACATGTTGTGGGAGGGATTCAGTGGGAGATAATTGAATCATGGGGGTGGATCTTTCCCATGCTATTCTTGTGATAGTGAATAAGTCTCATGAGATCTGATTGTTTTATAAAGGGGCGTTTCCCTGCACAAGCTCTTCTCTTGCCTGCCACCATGTGAGATGTGCCTTTTACCTTCTGCCATCATTGTGAGGCCTCCCCAGCCACTTGGAACTGTGAGTCTGTTAAACCTTTTTCTTTTGTAAATTTCCCAGTCTAAAGTATGTCTCTATCAACAGCATGAAAATGAACTGACACGTCCACTTAAAAAAAAAAAAAAAGAAAACTTTTATTTTAGGTTCAGGGGTACATGTGCAGGTTTGTTATATAGGTAAACTCGTGTCATGGGAGTTTGTCATACAGATTATTTCATCACCCAGGTACAAAGCATAGTACACAATAGTTACGTTTTCTGGTCCTCTCCCTCCTCCCACTCTGCACACTCCAGTAGGCTCCAGTGTGTGTTGTTCCTTCTATGTGTCCATGTGTTCTCATCATTTAGCTCCTACATGTAATTGAGAACATGTGGTATTTGGTTTTCTGTTCCTGTGTTAGTTTGCTAAGGATCATGGCCTCCAGCTCCATCTGTTGTTCCTGCAAAGGATGTGATCTCATTCTTTTTTATGGCTGCATGGTATTCCATGGTGTATATATACTACATATTCCTTATCCAGTCTACCACTGATTGGCATTTAGGTTGATTCCATGCCTTCATTATTGTGAATAGTGCTGTAATGAACATACGCGTGCATGTAAGACCTACTTTGTAAGGTTGTTGTGAAGATTCACAGGGTTAATACATGCAAAGGTCTTTCAAACAGTGTCTCCTACGTTGTAATCACCATATAAGTGTTAGCTATTTTATCATTGCTGTTATTGTTGTTATCATTAGTGGAACGCTTACTATATGACAGGCCATATATTAGGCCTTTAGATACATTTCTTCTGGTAAGCAAAAGTGCTGGACCTATAGCTTCAGTTTTATGGATTTCTTTCTTTCTTTTTTTTACCTTTACTTGTAGTTATTATTATCACTCAAAGGTCCCAGAAGAGAAGTTTGTCTCAAGCCTTCATAACAACTCTATTCTACACCCTTCCCTGAACCTGCTAACCCAGAACCCAAGCTTCTTGGGCAGAAACCCTACCTTGGGAGGGCAGGTGATCCTTGGTAAGTCAGTCTAGCCCACCTCTGGCTCCAAGCTCCCTTCTGGAAATGCTGGAGTGGGGTGGGATGGAATGAAGCCCTATCCTCTCCTGGGATAGAAATACCATCTCCTATTAGTAGGACAAAGGGCATCATCACCTTTCTCATTTCTCCTCTGAGCATCTGCCACGTATCGGCATTCCATCAGTATTTGGTAGGTTATTGAATATCCCTGGGATGAGTGAAGAACAAAATACCATTACCCAAACAGAGATTTTGAGACCCACAGGGATTGAGTGTATTCATCAAGGCACAGGCAGGAAAGAGATGGCCTACCCAAAGGTGTAATTTGAGGAGAGTTTAAGGAAAAAACTACTTACAAAGGTGTTTGTTGGTTGGGTAAAGGAAACCAATTAGGGATGGTTAAAGACTGGAGCTAGTTGCAGCAGGGAGATATTACCACTCCTAGCCTAAAGGAGCAAGGGGAGGGAGTAGATATGGAACCCACTGAAAGATGTAGCTGTGGGAAGGAACTGCAACAGGAGATGTGGCTTTTGGTAAAACAATATAGGCACTGGCAACCTACAGGCTTCCTGCCCAAGAAGCCTGTGGCCTAGACAGTAAGGGATCCAGGAAAATCAATACACCACCCTCTCTTTCCTTCTACCCTTCAATCTTCTGCCAGTGCTTCTCATTGACTAAACACAACTGGATACCAGAGGACTAGGGAGCCCAGGTGATTGAGTCCACATAGCTCAGCCTCTTGGGGCACACAAGGATGTAGGGTGGAGAAGGGTGGAAAGAAGATCTAGAGAGACAAATGGAGCCCATCCAACATGGCGATTGTCCCAAGATCATCTAGCAAGACCAGTGCTAAGTTAAAACTAGGACTTGTACTTGAGTCCAGGCTCAATCTCTGAGACCTCATACTTCTAAGCAACCTAGTCTCACGATGAATTTAGTATTTGGCCAAGTGCTTGTTGTCCTAATTTATCCTTACAACTTCTGACATAATTCTTTTTCCTTCCATTGTCAATGCATTTGAAAAGTAAAATCTCGCCAACAGTGCTCAGTTCCTTTGGTTTTTGTGACACCTCTTCCCACAGGCCATAAATGAGTTAATACAGAAGATAAATAAATAAAATTTCTGTTGTATTCCTTCAGGCAATACTTACAAACTTATAAAAAAATTAGAACTAAAGTGTATAGATTTTTCTGAAAGTTTGGTTGAGTATAAATTAGAATTAGAAATTAGAAAATTTCCCCCAGGAGACAGAACTTAGTTGCCTGGAGAAATGTTGGGTAAATGATGAAAGAATCCTGATATGTCTGCTGTGGGTATTACAGGCATCAAATCCTTGCTTGGCAAGGCTGGAAAGGTCTGGCCACTCCATCTCTGTGCCTTCAAGGTGATTGCTCACCAATGTATACTTGTCACACACCAATCAAAAAATTGGCTGGTGGAAACCTGGGCTCTGGGGTCAGCCAGATCTGAATCGGTTCTAAACTCTACCACTTCCTTGCTGTGTGGTCTTGGCTGAGTCATTTAATTTCCCTGAGACACAGTTTCCCCTCTGAAAAAGTGGGGAAATGATTTGCTTACCTTTCAGACTTGTTGAGAGGGTGAAACGAGGTCACACTGTAAACCCCTTAGCGTGCTACTTGGTGAAGAGTCAACACTCCATACAACACTCCAGCACTAAGCAGGGGTTCTGGGCTAAAGAAGCTCCCTCTCTTCCCCCACCTATACTGGTTCCCAGCTAGCTTGTGTTACATCCCATCTCCTGGTTCTGTACCCTCTAGACACATTCCTGGCATTTTGGCTCTGATGTCTCCTGAGCAGTTTTCAGCCTCGGTCTTTCTTTTGGACTCAGTACCCCTTCCCCTATTGTCTCAGGTCAGGATTCCCTGCTATATCCTTGGCAACCCTAGAGCTCCACCTTCTAGCCAGGTTAGCTTTGTGTCCCCAGGAACTAAGAGGAATGGGTTATGGGATTCAGATGGAGTTTTCAGCAACCCTGCAGTCCAACCCAGCCCTTGAAAGGCAGGAAGGAGGGTTTGGCGAATAGCACTAGGGCTGGCATTTGTCAGCTCTGGGTTTGAATCCCAGTTCTGCCACTTACTAGCTCTAGGACCTTATGCAAACCATTTAACATAGTTCTGCCTTGATTTCCTCATCTGAAAATGGGCTAAAGATAGCACCTACTTCATGGGGCAGTTGAAAGGAGCAAATGAGGCAGTTTGGAGAGTGCTTAGAGCAGGGCTTGATGGTGGTTAGTTCACCTCTGACCCCACTCAGCAGTCCAGCACAAAGGTACCCACACCAGACACTCTTGCTACAAAATTCCCCATGATAGCTCATTTTATATATCAACTTGACTGGAACACAGGATGTGCAGATATCTGGTTAAACATTATTTCTGAGTGTGTCTATGTGTTTATGAAAAAGATTACCGTTTGAATCAATAGACTGAGTAAAGCCCATTTCCCTCCCCAATGTTGGGTGGGCCTCATCCAATCCATTGAGGACCTAAATAGAACAAAACGGTTCAAAAGGATTCTCTTTCTTTCTGCCTGACTGCTTGAGCTAGGACACTGATCTTCTCCTGCCTTCAGTGTTCTTGATTCTTGGGCTTTCAGACTTGGACTGGAACCTACACCATTGGCTCTCTGGCTTTTCAACCTTTGAACTATACCACTGGCTTTCCTTGGACTCTAGCTTGCAGACAGCACAATCCTGTAAACTGATACCTTATAATAAATCTCTGGATATGTATGCATATACATGTACACAGACATACACATATAAAGTAAGAACAAATAGGAGGTTATAGACGCATGTGTGTATACATATATATATTATATTATATAATATATAATATATTATTATATATTATATTATATTATATTATATTATATATTATTTATATATTATATTATATAATATATAATATATTATTTATATATTATATTATATAATATATTATATATTATTTATATATTATATTATATAATATATTATATATTATTTATATATTATATTATATAATATATATAATATATAACATATTATTTATATATTATATTATATACATTATATGTTACATATAATATATGTTATATATAATATATTATACGTTACATATAATATATGTTATATATAATATATTATACATTACATATATATGTTATATATAATATATTATACATTACATATAATATATGTTATATATAATATATTATATGTTACATATAATATATGTTATATATAATATATGTTATATTATATAATATATTATATAATATACTATATAATAATATAGTATATTATATAATATATTATATTATATAATATATAATGATAAATATATATTATTTTTATATTTATATAATATATCATATTATATAATATATAATGATAAATATATATTATTTTTATATATTAATAATATATAATATAATATAATATTATTACATTATATTATTACATTACATTTATTGTTACATGTATACATTAGACATAATTACATTATATATTACTATATATACTATATATAATGTATATGTAATATGTAATATATAATATGTAATATATGTATTATAATATATAATTTATAATATATGTATTATTGTATATAATATAAATGTATGTGTATAATATATTATATATTATATATTACATATAATATATATAATATATTATATATTATATATTACATATAATATATATAATATAGTATACAATATATAATAAATAATATATAATATATATTATATATTCTATTATGTATTATATATTCTATTATATATTATATATTATATATTATATATTATATATTATATTATATATTATATATTATATATTATATATTATATATTATATTATATATTATATAAATTATATAATAATATATATATTTATTATATATAATATATAATATATAATATATGTAATATATATATATATTTCTCCTATTGTTTTTTTCTCTGGAGAACTCTGACCAATACATCCCCTCCATCTTTTGCATCCTCTTGTACCCTACTAGTGGTTCCACCTTCTACATCCCTTCCATTCACATTTCCTACAATGGCAGCAGTTCCTAGGAGCTACAAGCCTCAGGATCAGTTACTGACTGATCAAGTATTTTATCTAGATTTTTAATCGTTCCTTTTGTAACCATGTTTGTCGTATTTACATGAGTGGACCCAAAGCAGGCACTTATGGGCATTTTTTTTTTTTACAAGAAGATGGAATTATTTCCCACTTATTCTGCCTATAGAAGCAGATGGGAAACATTCATGGGCACTTGGATGATCACCTCAGCAGGGTCAGCTGGCAGCCCAGCAGTTGGCAAACGGGTCTTCAAGCATAAAGGGTCTGCCCTGGCATTCTGAGTTTTCATACCATTAGCCCCTGGCTCCAGGCTCATCTTTGCATTATGCAACCCCATTGTCTGTCTGCATTCAATCCTGAGAATTTCCTTGCAGTAGTCCTCCAGCTTTGTGGATCTGGAAGACCGAAAGAAACCCAGATAGCAGAAGTGAAGTAACTTGCCCAAGGTCTCCCAGCCACTCAGGTGCCTTAAAACTCTCAGGTGCTTCTCCTTCTAGGAGTTATTCATAACATGTAAGCAGTACTCAGTGGTTAAAAGTGAGCACTCTGACAGACCGCGGTTAAAATCCCAGCACTACTGCTCATTATCTGGTTAATCTCAGGCAGAGTACTGACTTCTCTTCCGTAAAATGGGAAGAATGGTTGCCTCTACCTCGTAGGGTTATGAGAATTCCAATTAGTCAGGGCCTGAGTCATAGTGTGTTTGTATGTGTAACCTGAAAGATCTTGAGCCTTCCTACCCTATGGATAAAAGAGAGGCCACAAGGCCACATTACACTGACCTGTTACCCCCAGACCTCTAACATCCACCCCACCCTGTGCCAGATGGCCTAGAGGGTCACTCCAAGTCTACCTACATTTGTCCCTGCTGGCCTCCTCAGTGAAGCTTGCATGTGAGAGGGCTGTCAGTTCAGGTGCCAGCTCCCAGGTAAGAATGGCACTGTCATTCCTTTACTTCTCACTGCCCACATCAGATTCTGTCCTTCTCAGAAAAAGGGATAATTATACCCGACTTCTACCAGGGGCCTGGATCTCATCTGTGCAGCCAGGTCAGGCAGCTACAAGCAGTTCTGCTAATACGTATATTCCCTGCCGTACCTCAACTTTGCTGAGGGACCCCTCAGTGCCAGACCCTGTGTAAAGCATGCAGCACTGAGTTCTTTGCTGTTCTTATACCTGCCAGCATGTTTCTGCCCTAGAGCCTTTGCACTTGCAGTTTCCTCTTCCTGGAATGCTCTTTCCCCAGACTTTCACATGGCTTGATCCTTCCCGTGCTTCAGATCATCTTTTCAGTAAAGGCTTCCTTTTCCCTGACTACTCTATTTAAAAGTGTTATCACTCATCACCACCACAATACTCTAGCCTTCTCCCATAAATATGTAGTATTTATCACTACATAATATGTGTATTTTGCTTATTTATCTTGTTTATCTGTGTCTATGAAAGTTAAGAGTTTTGTCTGCTTTGCTCTCTGTCATATTCTCAAAATGTAGCACCATGCCTGGTACATAGTAGGCACTCAATAAATGTTTTCTTAGTAAGTGAAAGACCCCATGAGGTAGATGCTATTTATGATCCCCATTTCATAGACAGAGGCACAGAGAATTAAGCTAACTTGCCTTACACCACACAGTTAAGATCCAAACACAAAATGTCCTGATTTGAGAGTTCTAACACAAAACCACTACCCTGTGCTTCTTTTGGACACAGAGGCTTCTTGGCAAGCCAAAAGTAAATCCTCCAATCAGACCTGGCTGTGGAACTGGAAGCTTCCCTAACTGTTCACCTGGTCCTACCTTCCAACTCTGGGGAAGCAAAGGGAGTGTCACAGTCAGGGGAAAGTGCCCCCAGAATCTTGGTCTGTAAAAGCCAGGGTTCAGAGTGGCTTGGCTTCTGAGCTGGGGACATGTGAGTGGGTAGCTCCAACCCTGCCTATCTAGCACCCCATGGGCCCTTCAGACAGACATCTCCCAGAGACAAAGAGAAGGCTCAAATTTGAGTCCTATTTTGTCTCTTACTCCCATTGAATAGAGCTAGCACTGCGTTGATACTGAGATTTGCTTAACTCTGTGCCCTGCCATCCAAAATTCTGGCCACCTTCAGCAGCCTCTGGAGCATGCACACTGCCTGCAGTCTCTAGGGCTTTGGCTTCTGGCTCACAGTCTTTCTGCCCTTGGCTTTTGCCAAAATCTTTGGGGACTTCTGTGTGTCTTTGTGATTTCCCTACAAACACTTGGGCTTCTGAATTCCTTGACTTTCTTCTTACTTTCATTGACAGTTACCTTCCCCTCATTTCAACTATGCCACCACATGAAAGTTTTCTCAGAACTGCTCTCACCACCTCCGTGATTCCAAACTCCGAAATTTCTCCCCGGTCATTCATGATCCTCTCTTGTATTCCCATCTCTGCTACTGAAGCTACTCTTGGTGCACATCCCTTCCACTTCCTCACCTACCCTGCTTCCCCCCGGCCCCTGATTCTTCTAGACAGTGGATCAAACTTCTCCTGGCTTCAGCCATTTCAGCCCCACTGGCCAGGATTCTAGAAACGCTTCTGTCTTAACTTCCAATGGGACAACGCTGCTTATTCAAACTCCACCGAACAGCCAGTATCCAAGTTCCACTCTCCTATTGATATTTGCAGGCTGTGGAGTATTGTCAATGAAAGTCTTGACATGCTAGCGTCTTGGGGGTGTGGGTGTCCCTTGTCACCCAAGCTGCCTGGATGCATCTCTGCCCCTTGTGCAACTGCCCTTCTCTTTCCCTCCTGTGGATCCTGCAGCCCTCTTCCACATGACTCCCACTGTTTACCATTTGCAAACCACCGCACTGGAAAATAGTAGGTAGGTGGAAAGCCACATGCTTAAAACACATAGAAACACTTGGGCTTCAACAGGTCACAGAGGAAGGAAATGTAGGCTAGTCTAATTAATAAATGGGTGTTTTCTCAATAAACTCAAAAAAGAAGCGTTCTGAAAATGAACTGTATTGCAATCTTTTGGAGGGAGTGGGGGCATGTGAATAGGAAATGAGCGAGGTTATTTTTCTGGATCTAGGTTTTTGTGAGGGAATATGCTCGAATGGCATTCTGGAATTTCTCTCTCAGAATGATGCAAGTTGGTAGCAACATCCCCAATTATCATTTTTCAAGGTCCATCAATTGCTGGTACAACAAAGCACCTATTAAACCATTAACATTTTATGTTCAAATGAAATGAGAAAATGTACCTTGCAATATATCCATATGTCATAAAAAGAGTTGTAATTTTTTTCAGCTGCTTTTTTCAGTCGGTGAGCAACTCATCTCCACTTCATTATTTCTTTCCACTTTTCTTCCCATATTCACTCTTGTTTCCCTACAGTCCATTCTCCACACGGTAGCCAGAAGAATCTTCAAAAGCATAAACCAGGGCAAGTCTGCCCCTTGTTCTCAATCTAGCAGCTTCTAGCTGTGCTTAAAATAAAATCCAAAGTTTTACCGTGGCCTAGAGGGCCCTACAGGCCCTGGTCTCTGTCCTCCTCTCCTACCTCATCCCCTCCTGTTCTCTTAGTCATTCAGTATGATCCGTCCTCATAATGGCCATCATTATCTCATACCTCGCTGGCTGCAGTAGCTTCTTCACTGGTCTCCTTGCTTCCACTCTTGCTCCCTGCAGTCCATTCCCCACTCAGCAGACAGAATGAGCTTTTGAAAACATAAATCAGATCATTTAAACTTTCAACCCTTTAACAGTTTCTCTTTATAACTAGAAAGAAATCCGAACTCTTTGGTATGCAAGGCATACCATGATCCATAACTGCCCTTCTATTCTCCTAAGCTATCAATCTTCCCCTAGTGGGTAGATTTTTTAAATTACAAGAGAAGAAACCAGTTTAAGGAGTTTGGGAAGCCATTGAATCCTTTATTTAGCAAACATATCTTATGTTCCATCTACTTGCCATTATGGGGATCCAAAGTTGAAGCAAGTAATATCTTCCCTCAAGGCTTTTGCAGTCTAAGTTACCCCAACATAGATGAGGAGGGCCATGCCTCATTGTAAAGGTGGCAAAGTTTTTAGGTGACAGTGCAGACTCTTTGGCAGTCCTGGTACCTGACTTCACATTCCCATTGAAATGTGGAACCTTTCACTTTAAAAATATGTGCATAATTGTGCATTCAGTTTTCTCTGGAGATGATATTGTTCTAGAATCACACAGCCCCTTAATAGAATCTATGTAGTGCTAAATTAATTTCACAAACCTTTTTGCTCAATATTCTCTCATGGGCTCAGGCCAGCACTCTTGACATTTATCTACCAATGCTCTCTTTGTCCAAGGAAACAAACTTAACAATGGCTCTGAAATAGCTACTCTTATTCAAGTATTTACCAAAAGCAGACTTTTCTTTTTTAATCTAGTGACTCATGATTGTAAGATTATCTTTTCACACTGTATTGCAGTGGTTCTGAATACGCTGGTGACAGGGTTGGTGAATCAGAATGACCTTTGGACATTTGGAAAAATAACATGCCTTGGGAACATTTTACATTAAAGGTGTATGCCCCTTCCCAGCAGCACCACCTCCAGTTGAGTATCACAACTTTGTTCCTATACGTTTTTCTCTATTTTTCCTTTAAAATAATCCGTGAAAAACCATGGTTATGTATCTAGACCATCAGCTGCTTTCACCCCCTCACATATTTTCAGCATATGCTAAATCTTGGTCATTACTTATGCATGTGGTTCATAGAGGCAACTTTGAAGGGGAGGGATACAGGGAGTCATGAGAGTCTTTAAGCCAAGACATCTGAAGTCAGTGCAACTCAAAGCACCACATATGACCCAATAGAGACCACAGGCAAGAACATGAATTCTCTGCCTTCACGAGCTCTCAATTTAATAGTTCAAAATCCGACTTTGCTCCTAATTTGCTCTATGACCTTGAGCAAGTCTGTTGCTATGCTTGTACTTCTGTTTCCTCATCTGTCGAGTGTGAGGACTTAGACACCTGGACTCTCAGGCCCTTTGCACTTCTACTGTAGTGAGACAATGATTCCGTGAAACTTTACCTCTTCATCTTGCATCATGGAACTTCCTTGGCCTACTCAGTAGCAGAAAAAACAAAAAACAAAAAACTACACTGACAACCTCGTTCCCTACCTATACTCAACTCCTACTTTCTTCTTTTTTCCTTGGGAGGCTGAGGCAGGAAAATCAATGGACCCTGGGAGGCAGAGGTTGCAGTGAGCCAGGACCGTGCCATTGCACTCCAGCCTGGGCGATAAGAGCGAAACTCCATCTCAAAAAAAAAAATTATGTGTTGTTGAATATGATTATTAATAATCATAATAACCTTTCTAGGCTTTCATTTTTTGTTCAACTGGGAATTACCTTTATGATGCATTATACTGTATATAAACTTTCCCCTAGGAATTTTGGTAACATGTCTTAGTCCATCCTTCAAGTACATATGAATTCCCTGAAATAATGAAGAAGCTGCTGTTAGAAATATGTGGATGAGCATCATACTATCTAGTTTGAAAATCTACTAAAAGCTACAGTAATCAAAACAGCATGGTATTGGCATAAAAACAGACACATGTACAGATGGGAAAGAATAGAGAGCCCAGTAATAAATCTACATACTTATAGTCACTTGATTGTTGACAAAGACATGAAGAACATACAGTGAATGAAACAAGAACACAAAGAGAGTGTGGACTCTTCAATAAATCGTGCTGGGAAACTGGATATCCACATTTAGAAGAATCATATCACATCATATATAAAATCAAATCAAAATGGATTAAAGACTTAACATAAGATTTGAAACTGTAAAACTACTAGAAGAAAACATAGGGGAAAATCTCCTCGATGATGGTCTGGGTAATTGATATACAATGGAATACTAATCAGCCTTAAAAAAAGAAACAAGTACTGTCATATGCAACAACATGGAGGAAACTGGAGGACATTACGTTAGGTTGAATAAGCCAGACACAGAAATACAAATGCCACGTGATCTCCCTTATACATGGAATGTAAAAATGTTGAACTCATAGAAACAGAGAGCAAAATGGTGGCTGCCAGACGCTGGGATGGGGGTGGTGGGAAGTGGAGAGATGCTGGTCAAAGGACATAAAATTTCAGTTAGGAGGAATAAGTTCAGAAAATCTATTGTATATCATGGTGACTACATTTGATGACAATATATTGTATATTTAAAAACTGCTAAAAGAGTACTTTTTAAGTGTTCTCACCATAAAATAAAAATAAGTATGTGAGGTAATGCATATGTTAAGTAGTTTAATGTAGTCATTCTGCAACATATACATATATCGAAAACATCATCTTGTACACTGTAAATATATACAATTTTTACCTGTCAATAAAAAATATGTATATGAGTGACTGTGAACACAGCCTCCTTTTCTGGTTCTCCACTTGAGGGGGGTTGGCTGTGTCTGTACTCTTTTATCACCACTGAAACCCCCATCTTGGTGCCCCTGCTGATTCTTTGTTTGTGGATTGAGTAGCTAAATAATATAGTGTCTTTAAAATACCTGGGAAATTTTCCTGGCACATAGTAGTTCTTTTGGATAATTGAGACATTCATCTACAGTGCTCCCTTTGCACACCTGCTTTGAGACAATCAAATAATATAGGGCTGAGAAATTTATAAGAGAAAAAATGAGAGGAAAAAGGGAGAAAATATGTAGGAATAAGTAAAAGCCTGAGGGTCACCCCATTACTCCTCACCAAAAACACACACACACACACCCACACAAACAAGAGATGAAATGATAGCTTTTATTATGCAAACAAGAGGGGTCTTATTATTTTACCTTACTTACTTTAAAGAAGATAAACTCATGACTAAGGAATAAAACAAGGTTTCTAACATGAAAATTGTCTGACAGAAGCAATGAATGTATGTCTCATACAGGCCTTCAAAGGGATGGTGTCTTATTTTTATATTTACCATTTTGCATATTTTTTTCTAAAGAATTTTGGATCATTTCTTACTATCTACTCCCAAACAACCCCTGAAGTCAACATAACAAACTTTGATTGAGTTTCCAGGTCAAAGAATGCAGTGAGTGGAGGCCTGCCAGATGGGTCTTCCCAGAGGGCTGTGAGGTGCCCAGTAGCTGGATGGGTCCCTCCTCTCTTCCTTACCCTGGCCACTATTCAAAAGCAGAGCTATTGTTTTTAAGCAGTTGTTCAAAACAATAATTGAAATTATGGCTCCAGAGGTATTAAATAATTTGGGTGCCTCTGATAGAAACATGGAAAACTTCCATTGGAAAAGTAGATTAAACTTTATAACAGGCAAAATTCTAAGATGACCTCTATAATTCTTACACTGTGGTAGAAACACCCTTATATAAACGCTTCTCCTTGCATGTAGGAGGAACTTGTTACTTGCATCTAAACAATAGAGCATGGCAAAGGTTGTCGTATTTTATAGAAGTAAGATTCCCTAATCAGTTAACTTTGGATCAATCAAAAGGAAGATTATCTTGAGTAGGCTTGACCGAAGCACATGAGCCCTCCAGTCCTGCCCCAAAAGAAGAAACTGGAAGAAGTCACTCTGTCTCCTGCTAGCCTTGAAGAAGAAGCTTCCATGATTTCTACTGCTGCAAGAAAATGAATTCTGCCAACAACCACGTGAGCTTGGAAGAAGACTTCTAGCCTTGGAGCCCACCCTGGCCAATATTTTGATTGTAGTCTTGTGAAACCTGAACAGAGGACTCAGCCATAACTGTTTTCAGATTTCTCACCCATAAAAACTGTGAGATAATTAATTAATGGTGTGCGTGTGTGTGTGTGTGTTTGAGATGGAGTCTTGCTCTGTTGCCCAGGCTGGAGCGCAGTTGTGCAATCTCAGCACACTGCAACCTCTGCCTCCCAGGCTCGAGGGATTCTCCCACTTCAGCCTCCCCAGTAACTGGGATTACAGGTGCCCACCACCACACCCAGCTAATTTTTGTATTGTTAGTAGAGACAGGATTTCGCCATGTTGGCCAGGCACATCAAGTGATGTGCCTGCCTCAGCCTCCCAAAGTGCTGATATTACAGGCAGGAGCCACTGTGCCCAGGCAATTAATGTTGTTTTAAGCTACTAAGTTTCTGGTAACTTGTTACACAGTAGTAGAAAACTGATATAAAGTTCATGAGCCTTACTCACGTTCTGTAAAAAAAAAGAAATGCTAACTAGTGACACCTCAATAAGAAGTCAAAAAGATTCAGTAATAAGTGCTTTAGCTATTTCAATATTATTGGGGTGGTGGCTAACAACCTGGACTTCAGAGTGAGATAGTCTTTGGTTCTGGGACCAGCCCTGACACTTAATAGCTGTTTGAGTTTAGGTAAGTCACTGTATTTCTCTGAACCTCTGTTTTCCCACCTTTGATGCCATTTTCCATGGCTGTGTTTCTGTTGCCATTTAACAACTGAAGACATGACGTTAGGGAGAATTTGACTTTCTTACACAGACAAACAGGTTCTAACAGGGGTTAATCCACATACTGAATCCTCCAGGCCAGGCTTTCTTTTTTTTTTTTTTTTTTTTTGAGAAAGCCAGCTGACTTTATTGCTTTGGGGGCAGGGGGCTCAGGAGCTCTTGGTGGGGTGGGTCCGCTTCCTCTTCACCATCACAGGCTTCTGGCTGCTCAGGATGGCGCTGGCCCGGCTCCTTTCGCAGAGGCAACCTGAGATGGAAAGAGCAGGCCAGGCTTTCAATGGGAAAAAGTTTTCATAAAATGAATTTCTGGGCCACTTTTGTTTTAGAGAAAGTAGGAATGGTGAGGATTGGAATCGGCGTATACACATTTCTCAGTTTTTAGACTTCTAGAATCTAGCCTGGTGTTTGCTGGCTGCACTTGCTCTGTATTCTGTTGTCCAAAGGCAAATAAATAAATAAATCATCAAATGTTAGCAACGAGAAGTGGCTTGTCAAAGTCACAGACCCTACTAGTGTCAGAGTCAAGAACAGAATTCAAGTTCTCTGACCCTCTATGCTCTGCAACTATATCATCTTGCTCTTCCTGGAATTTCTCCTGATTTTCTGTGAGGCCCCTAGAAAATAATTTCCACACATGGTTTCTTTCTTTGTTTTGCCCAAAGCCTGCATCGTTTAACTTGATTACATCTTGTCTTGCTGATAGAAAGTAATTTCAGCAAGTGCTTAGCTGTAATAGTTACCTCCCCAGTGTGAAGAGGTCTCTGTTCTCTGAGAGAGCAGAGACCAATTTCTAGCACTTACTCACAAATTCCACAATGCAATTCATCTCCATGATTTTTTTGCTCCCTGCTTGCCCCGAGACATAGAAGTGGCTCACATGCACTTTTTGTTGAAAAGTAAAAGCAGGGTAAAAAAAGATGTAGTGAAAAATATACTCCTATGGATTTTTTTAAAAAATGAAAATTGAACTTAGTGGATTTCTTGGGAAACCAGTGTTGCTCCTCCTGACAAAATCCCCCTCATCTTTCAAGACCCAGCTTAGCTGACACTTCATCTAGGACTCATTCTCTGTTCCACCCCAGGCAGAGTTTCTCTTTCTTCCTCCTCTGTGTTCCCATTGCATTTTGACTAGAACTCTTCTTTGCTATTTATCACAAGTTGCCTTGTATTGAACTTATTCTCCCCAGCACAGAGGCAGTACACTCTCAGAGAACAGAGACCAATTTTTACTTATCTTTGCATCGTCCATCCCTACTACCATGCCTGGCAAAGAAGAGGCACTCAATCACTGTTTGCTGAGTTGAATCTAAAATCAACTTTTTAAAATTTACTTTGAAATTTGTTGTAGCATACTTTAAAGTTGCTTTGACAATGAATAAAACTGTTTACATTTATGGAGTTAAATCAGGGGTGGGTTGAGGGTGGGGGTGGGAATGATGAATTTTCCTGTTACAGATTTTAACCAGAATCTCACATGGAAAAACTGGGTTTGTGAATGGACTTCTGGGTTTTAGTCTCCTCTTCTTTGCAGTCCCTATCAAGGGAGTACATATGTTGGTATATCAGTCAGGGTTCAGGGCAACATACTGAAACAACTCAAGGTATACTAATCAGAAATTATTTAATACAGAGAATCCATACTGAGAACTTATTTGAAGGGAAGAAGGTGTGGGCTCTATGCTGAACATCAAAAAATGACTCCTAGAACATGACAGGAATGACCCTCTTGAAGAACTACTATCTTTAAGGCCACTGATGGAACCACTAATTTTTTTTTTTGAGACAGGGTCTCACTCTGTTGCCCAGGCTGGAGTACAGTGGTGTGATCATGGTTTGCTGCAGCCTTGATATCCCAGGCTCAAGCAATTCTCCCACCTCAGCCTCCTGAGTAGCTACAACTACAAGCACATGCCACCATGCCTAGCTATTTTTTTTATTTTTGCATTTTTATAGAGTTGGAGTCTCCCTGTGTTGCCCCGGATGGTCTCTAATTCCTGGGCTCAAGAGATCTTCTTGCCTCTGCCTCACAAAGTACTGGGATTACAGATGTAAGCCACCATGTTTGGCTGAACCACCACATTTAAGAATGCATTGCAATTGCTGTTATCCAGGAATCAGGAAGACAGAATTAAGAAGTTGCCATTGCCACTATTCCTACCCCAGCTACCTCCTGGCCCCTACAAAGATGATGACTGGGTAATGAGACATAGACTCTGTCCAGTGTCTCTGCTACAACTTGCTTGTCAACATCCAGGAAGCTAGAGAATTGACATGGGGCACCAGTGCAAAAAAAGATCTCATGTCTCTAAGACCTAGATTGCCAGCAGAAAACAACTAAAAGAAAAGAGAGATGGCCTACACTTTCCATCTGACTTCAAAACTCCAAGCAAGTGCATCTAGTTTGCTTCCAGATCTTCAGCTACAAGAGAGACTGGGAAATATACTTTCTAGCTTTCCAATCTCAGTAGTATAGGAAGGTACGTCAAAGGGAAGATGAACTAGAGACTGAATGAGATAATACACAGTATTTCCACAGGCTAATTCTGGGACAGTCTGCTGGCCTTGCATGGCTGTGGCACTGAGGAGCTTTCTACCCTGTAGTCAGATAGACCCATTGTCCTAAAGACATCATTATACTAAAAATACCAATCATTATTTGCCATATCACAGCAGGAGAAGCTTCCAGAGAAACTACCTGTCTCATAGCCTTGTTGAATGGTCAGTAGATTATGTGCCCCAGCCTCCTGGCTGTACCTTATGTGATCATGGGTGGGTCCTTGGCCCAGTGGTGGCTCATATGTAGTCTAGCCAGGAAGCTAAGTGGCTTGGATGACCTGGTCTGAAAAAAAGAGCTAAGCCAATAGACTTATGCCCTTATAAATTTAGTATGGTAGGCTGTGTACAAGGTGGAACTATCACAAAATCAGATTTGTAGAGAGGTGAATGAAGCAAATATGCAGGATGAAGTAGACATACCCAGGAGAAGAGAGAGCATCCCCTGAGTAAGCCCCAGAGAAGGTAGCTGTCTCCACTCTTAGCGTCTTTTGAGGCTAGTTCCAATCCAAGCATGCCCTTGCAACACTCTTTCCACTTGTCTTGGGGATAACTTAAGTGGGCTTACCATGTAGCAAAAGGGCTTTGACTAAAACCAGCCCATAAAGGAAAGTGGATGGAAGACTCACTTTCTTTCACTGGTCATGTGGCCAAGACAATGCTATGTTCACCACCATATTTCCCCTTCCTGAGCACCCACACCAGGAAGAGTCCATTTCCCAGTCTCTCTTGGAGGGCTACTCTAAGTTCCTACCAGTGGGAATGTGAGCTGAAGTGATGTGTCATTTGCAGTCCAAGGCAATTTAAAATGGTGGAATCCCCCCTCTTGCCCTCTTCATCTATGTGGCTGGAAGCTAAAATCTCTGAAATGGAGGCCTGGAACTAGAGAAGTAGCCAGGATCTCTGAGCCTCTTGGAGGACAGTTGCCAAGGAGATTTGCTCAGCTCTCATCAGATTGTAATTTACCTTTCAGCAGATGGAAACTACTTCTACTTATGGGAATCAAGGAGGAAAGAGTGTGGGCTCTTTAACTGGAGTCAATGACAGTATTTCTATGTAACTCAGTGAATGACTGGGCCATATAAACTTCATAAGGAAGGGACCATGACTGCCTAGTTCACCACTGTACCTCTAGAACCAAGAACAGTGGCCATTGTAGATGTTCAGTAAATATTTTTCCAACGAATGAATGAGCTCAGATGAAGTCAAGTTTTCACATCTTTGATTAGGATGTTATTTGAGTTTAAAATCATTTTAATGGACTTTCAGTTAGCCAAAAACTAACTATAAGTTAGTCCCAAGAGCATTTCTGGGTATACATCAAAAGCTCATCAGAAGTATTCCTAAGTGGCCAAGCATGGTGGCTCATACCTGTAATCCCAGCACTTTGGGAGGCCAAGGCGGGTGGATCATTTGCGGCCAGGATTTCGAGACCAGCCTGGCCAACATGGTGAAATCCCATCTCTACTAAAAATACAAAAACTAGCCAGGCAGTAGTGGCACACAACTATAATCCCAGCTACTCAGGGGGCTGAGGCAGGGGATTGCTTGAGCCTGGGAGGCAGAGGTTGTGGTGAGCTGAGATTGCACCACTGCATTCCAGTCTGGGCAACAGAGTGAGACCCTGTGTCAAAAAAAAAAAAACAAAAAAAAACTCCTAAGTAATTACTACAGGCAACCCAGTAAGTAGACATGGGGGATCTAGCCCTCTCAACAATTCTGATTTTCTGTGTGAACTTATGCAAATAATTTCGCTCAGCCTCAGTTTCCTCATTTACAAATGGAGATATGAATCTTTGCCCTGTCTGCCTCAGAAGAGTTCTGAGGCTCAAATGACCCAATAGATGTGGAAGAGCTTTGTAAACTATAAGGTGTGTGCACGCGCATGCACACACATACACACACACACACATGTACAGCTAGGTGTGTATGTATGTATATAGAAAATAAATCATTAGGAATCACATATGTTCCCTGCAGAACATAAAGCCCTATTTGTCCCACAGCATTTATACATTTATATTTCCCACTTTCTATGAATATCCTTAAATTTTATTTTAGTGCAAGTGAAATTGGCTGGCACCTCTGTGTAATTGTTGACAGATGAGGAAGATAAAGAGATACAGGTAATCTGCATGCCTCAGGATAATCAATGAAGAAATGGAATGACTGAATCTATTATAGAAAAGCTTGCCTGGATTATGCAAATATTCCACCACCCAAGGTAAACCAAGTGGGTCTAAGTGGCACAGAACATGGAGCTGCCATTGCAGATTTGGGTACTGTTTGGACTCTGCAATGCCAGCATACTTACAGATTGCCTCACTCTGCATAACAGTTGGATTATTATGACTACATGACTACCTGTGTAGACATTCACTCACTTTAAGTGCAAGAGGTACTCTTAAATTCATTCACTCAATCATTCATTCCTGGGAAGCACTTTTCCCGTCATTTGATACAGCAATAATTACTTTTTAAAGTGAACGTTTACTCTCTGATTTTGCTAGCAGTCAACTTTCATCTACTGAGTGTTTTTCATTGTGTCAAGCCCTGCACCAAAGCACGGTGAGGGACATGGTGATGTATAAGGCATGGTCCCTGCTCTTAGAGGACCATAGCTATGCAAGTTAGTTAGGGAAAGCTTCTCAGAAAAGGTGGTATATTAGTTTTCTATTACTGCATAACAAATTACTACAAACATGGAGACTTAAAATCTCACCTATTTATTAGCTCACAGTTCTGTTGGATATGGCTCAAATGGCTTCTCTGCTCAGGGTATCACAAAGTTGAAATCAAGGTATTGGTCAGGCTGATGTCTCATCTGGAAGGTCCAGGAAAACTTGTTTACAAGCTCACTCAGGATGTTGGTTGAATTCAGTTCATTGAGATTGTAGGGCTAAAGTCCTTGTTTTCTTGCTGGCTGTAAACCAGAGGTTATCTTTGGCTCTGAGGGCTGCCACGTTGCTTGCCATGTGGTCCCCTCCATCTTCAAAGCAGTAATGGTGTGCCAAATCCTTTCCAAACTTTGAATTTCTGACTCCCTTCTTTGCAACCAACTGGAGAAAACTCTGCTTTTAAAAGGCTCACTTGATTAGGTCAGTCTATTTAGGGTAATCACCCTATGCCATATAATGAAACATAATCATAGGAGTGATATCTCATTACATACACAGGTGCCACTCACACTTAAGGGGTTTATGCAGGGCTTGTATCCCAGGGGGCAGAAATCTTGGAAGCCAACTTAGGATCTTGCCTACCACAGGTAAATGTCAGGATAGTCCTTGAGAATTGTAAGCTGTAAATGCTACACAACCATGTTGGAGAGATTTGGAAGGCACAGTTTTCCAGTTTCCAGTCTCCCATATCTGTTCCCTTCATTATTTTCTGATGATGGCTCTTCCTTCTTTGGATTATTGAATACCAAAGAAGATCATTGGACCAATTAACGTCCACAGGTGGCCTTTCAGCTCCAAATGACATCTGGCGTAGGGGTGGTTTTCTGTATGGAAAATTTGAGGCGTGTTTCTTTCTGTAAATTCCTAGAGGGTAGGCATTGCGTTTTCCTTCAATACTCCCACCTCCAAACAAAACAAACCAAAACAACAAACTTCTCCTGATCCTTATATTTTCTGAGACATTTCTCTCGAAAACTTTACAGCCAGGTTTGGGAAAGAATCACCTATGTTCTCTTTCTCTGTATCCTTGCTTACAAATCACTCCTCCACCCACTGCAATCTAGCTGTCATTCCCACCGTTCCATTTGGTTTGACCCAAAGGAATAGACTCACTTGGATTCAAATACTGGCTTGATTACTATGGTGGTTGATTTTATGTATCAGCTTGACTGAGCTAAGAGATGCCCAGATAGCCTATAAAACATTATTTCTGGGTGTGTCTGTGAGGGTGTTTCCAGAAGAGATTAGCATTTCAATCAGTAGACTGAATAAAGAAGATCTGCTCTCACCAATGTGGGTGGGCATCATCCAATCTTTCCAGGGCCCAGACAGAACAAAAAGGCAGAGGAAAGGGGACTTCACTCTCTCCTCTTGAGCTGGGTCATCTATCTTCTTTTGCCCTTAGGCACAGGAGCTCCTGATTCTCAGGCCTTTGGACTCCAGGACTTATAACAGCAGCAGCATATTATGGGACTTCTCTGCCTCCATAATCATATGAGCCAAATCCCATAATAAATCCTCTCATATAACAGGATTTATTATGGGATTTGGCACACACGCACGCGCATGCACACACACACACACACACACACAAACACACCCCTCCTTGATTCCATTTATTTGGAGAACCCTGACAAATACAATCACTCACCTGATGTGTGACTGTCTCAGCCTTAATTTCCTTTTCTATAAAAAGCGAATGACATTCATGCTGAAGTGTTTTGGTGAAGATTAGTGATAATGCATGTAAAGCACCAACATATTGGCACTCGTACTCTTCTGTGACTCTAAGCACCTTGAGCACAGAAACCGTATTTTAAAGGGTCACAGGACAGTCTGACATCACCCTTTCGACAGTGGCATTTTGACAAAACAGCACCAAAATGTCCCCATGTTCAAATGGGCCTATGAAAGCATCTTTATTGAGAATTGTGCTTCCTTGTCTCCCACATTTCCTAGCACAGTGCTTGACACACAATAGAAATTCCATCAATGTTTGTCACTGGTAGAAATGATGAATTAGTTTATCTCTTTTCTTCATCTAAATTGTATGCTCATTGAGGGGAGATAATTTTTTTCTTATTACGAAGATTCCACATGGTTCGTTCTTCCAATACTTGGCTATGGGTAATTCTTTCACTCATCCAAATTCTCAGACTTAGATGAAACCCAAGGGAAGATTGAACTCATGCATCCCAGTAAGATTAGCTCTTTAATGTTTAATAATCATTAGGGAAAAAGAGATTCCACAACCTTCCCCAATAACTTGTCTCAGAGTTAGATTAAATAGAAGGAAGACAATAAGGATTATTAAAATTCCTCATGCCCTATGCAAGTCTATTTGCAAATGCTAACGGGTTTCTCAGGAAGTCAAGCAATTTCCTTTCTTCCTTTCTCCCCCACCTTTGCTCTCTGTCTCTGTCTCTCTGTCTCTCTCTCTCTGTCTCTCTCTCTCTCTCTCTCTCTCCCTCTCTCGTGTGTGTATAGGTTGTTTGCCCTGCCTGAATTAGGGAAGAAAAATGAGGTCCTCCACATAACCTGAATCAGATTTCCTATAGTGGAGTTGTTAAGGAATAGAGCTTAGGCTTTCAGAAAGATAGATTCTGTTACATATTCAAGCTCCACTGTCTGATTTTGGGGTAGCAAGTTCTTTAGCCCCTCTGAGCCTCAGTTTCTTCAGCAAGAAAATAGAGATGAAAATGGTAGTACCTCCCTCAAGGATGATCATTGAGATTTAAAGAGAGAATTCACATAAAGCCCTTAACACATGTTTAGCAGGTAATAATAAATGCTAGCTGTTTATATCACAAGTAGAATTCTCTTTTAGCAAGAGTATTTTAATGCCTAACTTGGCATAATGATCATCATGAAACTATTCCCCATGTCTTTGTGAATAATCTATATAGTACTGCTTTGCTGATGAGAATGAGTACTCCTGTAAGAACCACACTTCAAAGACCCTCTTTACTTGACAGTTATTGGGATATAATTATCATTCTGTGAAATCAAAGGTAGGTCTGTGTAAGGGCTGCATTTAGACACAGACTCCATATTAAATATCATGTTAGCCATAATAAAATATGGTGCTTTTTCCTGTGGATTAGTGATATTTTGGTTGGGTAGATTGGGAAAATAATTGTAGAAATTGTTTTTGGTTTTGTTTTAGGAATGAGCTCTTCTTAAAAGACTGAAAGACTCTTGGTCCTGGTGGATATTTTGGGACCTGATCCTAGCAATAATGAACCTCCTTCCTTTAGGGAAAAGGCAAAATCCAGGGCTGAGCAGGTGTTTAGCTCTGGATTATTCTGGGTTATTCAAAAGGTTTAGAGCAGTGGTTTCTGATTCTGTGGATCTGGGATTCAGCCTGATGATTTGCATTTCTAACAAGTTTCCAGTTTATACTAATACTTCTGGTCCAGGGACTGCACTTGGACAACCACTGCACTAGAAAGAAGTAAGGGAATAAGAGTCCCTTCTGCCTATGTAGTATTTTTTACCATTGCTAATCCTATTCACATCCATTATCACATTGGAGCCTCATTGATGTCAGGTTAAGACAAGGAAAGTATCGTGAACATCAATTGTCCATGAGAAATAAGTTAAACAGAGACTTACAAACTTTGGATTCTTCAGTGTACTATGACTTATATCTTGTAAATGGTTTCCTATCTGGAGGAAAATAACAGGCTCTGAGGGCAAACTCTATAAAGGAGATGGGAAATGTCAGTCACCTACACTCTCCCTACTGCATTCTTAAATGCATTACCAATCTGTCATAGCAGTCTTTCACCCAGATTTGCCCTCAGAACCCTCCTGGCCATATGCTCAAGGTAGCCACTACCAGTTAATCAGGGTTAGCACATACTGCTATTTTCCATTCATTCTCCAAAGGGAATGAAGATGAACTAAGTAGGATGGAACTGGCTTTGTGAATTACCAACTGTAATTTAAACTAAAGATGTAGTCACAAAATATCATGATTCTAGTGACCTTCCAGGTGCTTCCGCAGCATATAAAGTCCCTCATAGGAAAATAAAGCTATTCTGGTAAGGCCTCCCATCCAGCAGGTTCTAAGAACTGGTTAATGTCAAGATGTCATTTGTTTATTTATTCATCTATTATTTGTTGGAGCCCATTCTAGTGCCAAGCACTGTGCTAGACATTTTTGGCTGCAGAGATGGATCAGACACAGTTCTTGCATGGTCTAGGAGAGAAGACAAAAGATGTGTAAAACTAGCTACATCTTAGGGATAAATGCGGTTAAAGGCTGCAAGAGGAACAAGTAAAGTGTAGAGAACGGAGATGTCACTTTCAGTTGTAACATTAGATCTTCCTCTGTTGGACCCACTTCTACCTCTACATCACAAAGTGACAGAGAACATTAGAAGTTCACTTGCTACAACTTCTGCCCATCAATTCTTGACCTCGGTCTGTTTCTTGCTGTGTAAAACACATCCCATACAGTGGTTAGAAGGATTAATTGTCTCATACATGGTGTGCCCTCGCTCTATGAAAGGTATTGTAATGCTCTCCACTGAAACTCCTCAGGCTCAACTTACTGTGAAGTCAATTCAGAGGATAGGTACATCCAGGTAGTTTGTGGAGGTTTCAGATCTTGTCCATTTAAATAGAATGAATCACTGTATTGGCAAAACTACCATCTTCTCCTCTTAGTTTGGCCTAGTTTGGGAAATTCACAAAGATAACAACACTCTACTTCACTCCTATCTTTTGGCCGCACAACAGCCCTGAAATTTCAGAGGAAGGCCTTATATGCACAGATAAAACTATAAAAGATACATGTATTTGTATTAAGAATGTCATATTATGCTTTCAACAGTACCTATGGAAGAAAGACAACATAGTCATCACATATATCTCCCCACAAGTTTCTACTTTGGGGTTAGCAAGGCAATTCCTTTTTGAATAATACACCTGTTATTCCCCCACTTCTCTTAAAATAGACAGTACATTTAATATGTGTTTATGTTTCATCTGGGTTGAAAAAAACATCACAATTTGGATGTTCTGATATCTCTTCAGACTTCTTAAAATAAGATTCTACTGCTGTGTATATGGATAATTGTTTTTGAAGCAGATATATAGTAATTGGCAGGTGAATATTAGCTTAAATCCCCACTTAACATTTGCCATGAGTTTCATGATTTTGCTGCACCCATCTTTATTTTTAGTAACGAGACCTCATAGTCTTAATATTGCCACAATTTAGGTCTGAAACAGAATTGGGGTGTGAGAGGGGATTTTCTGCAGTATTGGAGGAAAATGTCCCTCAAGAAAGAAAGAAGCTCTGGAAGAAATGGACAGTTTGTCATTTCTGAAAGCCAAAGGTTAAAACTTTTCTTTTTGACAGCCTGGAAAATGGTTTTCTGAAGTAGTACTGTAGCACCAGGCCACATAAAACAAATGGTAGAGGCTTCAGGAGTGTTGTCAAAAACTCAATTATTGATAAAGTCCAGCTCCAAACTCTCTCTCTCTCTCTCTCACACACACACACACACATGCACACACACACAAACACACACACACCAACTCAATGTTCATATCTTTTTGTGTTGTATAATGGGGAGAGAGATGCTAGCATTGCTTCTAGAATCACATCAAACAGCATGAGGAATCACGAAGCCATGGAAACAACTTGTCTGGTTATATGTAACCGTAAAAAGAAATTGGATTTTGAAAACTAACAACAAAAAACCAACTGGAGTTTTCTTATGAACTTTCTCGGAATTGTATTACTGATTTCTTTATTTGTACTTCATTCCTTAGTTATACATGTATATATAGAGAGAGATGTTTATAGACAAATAGATCTATATATATATATAGAGAGAGAGAGAGAAGAGAAAGTTCTCTCTCTCTCTATATATATATTTAGTTATATATATATATTTAGTTATATATAGAAGTGTGTATATATATATATGTGAACATATATACACACACACATATATATGGCCCTCCTAAAATAAGCTTTAATGGTTTTTCCCTCAATTTGAGATTTTATTCTTCTGCAAATTTTGTACATTTTTACATGTTAACAATCTCTTACACATGTACAGCAAAACTCTTTCATATTTGTTACCTTACCATGTCCTAATACATTTGTGAGACAGGTAAAAGCTTCCAGATTCAGATAAGGAAATTTGAAGCCCTGAAAGATTAAGTGGCCTATCCAAAGTCACACAGCTACCAGGTGTTGAAATCTGGACAGTGATCCCCATCCTTTGCCTCTAGAGTTCTTCACACTCTACCACCTGGATGTGTGTGTCTGTGTCTGTACCGGTGAGTAAGTGGGACTCCTCCACTGGTCATTCAAACCTATTTGGTGTCACCTATGCTTTATCCCTTCCCTGGATGCAAACCAGGGCTAGTACCTGTGACTTTTCTGGTTATGCTCAGATAATATAACATTATCTTGTCACTTTGGGTCATTTTCAGTAAAGAGTCTAGTCCACTTATGAGTCAAAATCCCTATCTTCATTTGAAATGAAGGTTTCTCCATTTCCCCAACCAGGAACTGTAGTGGGAAAGGGGGGATGGTGGTCACCTCATTCTCAAGTTCCATACCTTGCACTTCTACTCCTCTTCCCAACCTGGCTAACTATGGTTTCTGACTTCCTCAGTGGCAAAGCAGGGATGAAGAAAATAGGTAACGGGCAAGACCTTGCCTGACTAGCGTGGCTGTGGTAATTCAGCACCAGAACTCTGTGGATTAGGCCAGGTGTGGTGGCTCATGCCTGTAATGACTTGAGGACAGGAGTTTGAGACCAGCCTGCCCAACATGGCAAAACCCCGTCTCTACTAAAAATAGAAAAAACTAAATTAGCCTGGAGTGGTGGTGTGCTCCTGTAGTTCCAGCTACTTAGGAGGCTGAGACACAAGAATGGCTTGAATCCTGGAGGCAGAGGTTGCAGTTGCAGTGAGCCAAGATGGCACCACTGCACTCCAGCCTGGAGGGCAGAGTGAGACTCTGTCTCAAAAAAAGAAAAAAAAAAAAGAAAAAGAACAAGAACTTTGTGGATTTAGCAGGTGTTTCAAGCTGGCTCTTTCCCTGTGGGCTGCTTCATGGATTCCTCTTTTACACCCTCAGTGTTGGAGAGATTAATAATCAAAAGCCAATTTTTAAGAATCTCCTTAGTCTTGGGGTTTCAGCTGCAACTGAGATAAAACTAGTTTTGTTGTAACATCCTGTTACATGTAACCGATTTATTCATTCACAATGTGAATAAAGACCATGAGCTTTGGAGTCAAAAAGACCTAACTATAAATCAAGGTACTGCCACTCACTAGTTGTATGACCTTGGAAAAACTTTTCTACCATCTCTTAGTCTCAGTTTTTTAATCCGGGCATTACAATACTTACTTTACAGGCATTATAAGATTACTTGAGATAATATATGTTAATTGCCTGGGATAAAATAGACACTCAATAATTGGTAATAGAAGTAGCTGTTTTTGTTATATAGGCAAGCTGACCCTAATGAACATTTCCACGTAGATAATGTGTCCCTTTAGCATAGTACTACACCCTCTTTTGCTTCCCGATATCCTAAAGCTTACAGGGTTCTTCTCACTTTCTCACTGTGCTTGAAATCCTTCACTAGGCTATTCTACCTAAGCCTCACAGCCCTGCAAATGGACTTTTTTCCAGATTGTAAGGATTAAGTGAGATCATGCATTTAAGATGATTACCCAGAATCTGGCACTGGCAAGTGCTCAAGAAATGGGAGTCACTACTATTATTGGTTGTGTTATTGTTATGATCTTACCATATCCCTGTTTTTTTAAGAATGTCCCTCTTATCCACAATCTCAACTTTCTCATTCTCAACAAATCAACTCTCTGGGAGTGACCAGATACAGATAGTTTCTTTCTTTTTCTTTCTTTCTTTCTTTCTTTCTTTCTTTCTTTCTTTCTTTCTTTCTTTCTTTCTTTCTTTCTTTCTTTCTTTCTTTTTTTTTTTTTTGAGACAGAGTCTTGCTCTGTCGCCCAGGCTGGAGTGCAGTGGTGCAATCTTGGCTCACTGCAAGCTCTGCCTCCTGGGCGTTCACACCATTCTCCTGCCTCAGCCTCCTGAGTAGCTGGGACTACAGGTGCCTGCCACCATGCCAAGGTAATTTTTTGTATTTTTAGTAGAGCTGGGGTTTCACTGTGTTAGCCAGGATGGTATCGATCTCCTGACCTCGTGATCCACCCACCTTGGCCTCCCAAAGTGCTGGGATTATAGGCATGAGCCACCACTCCCGGCCAGATACTTTCTTCTCTAAAGAATCCCTTGAGACTCTTCCAAGTGACCGAGTAGATTGGCTTGATTAAGAATGCAGGTTCTGTTGTTGTTGAAAACTTGATAAATGGAAAAAAAAGAATGCAGGTTCTAAAATCAATAGAGTTTTACTTCAAGCCACGACTCTGTGCTTTCCTAGTTGTGTGACCTTAAATAAGTCACTCAACCTCCTTGAACCTCAATTTTCTCATCTGTAAAATGTGGGACAATAATAGCGTGTACCTTGCAGGATTATTGTGAGGATTAAGTGAGATAATATATGTAAAGCACTTGGCATGAATCCTGGAGCATAGTAAATACTCAGTAAATGTTGCCTATTATCACTTTTACTGTTATTCATGATTCATGCAACAATCCTTTGTCAACTACCTACCATGAGGTCCTTGTTATGCTAGAACTAGGGATAGAGAGATGAAAGGCAAAAACACAGTTCCAAAACTCACAAAATTTACGTCTAAAGCAGTGGTTCTCAGACTTGCACATGAGATTCACCTAATGGACTTTTAAAACTCTCAATGCTGCATTCATATGAATTAAGTCAGAATCTTGGTTGTGGTGGTGTGGTGCTGTAACCTAGCATCAAGATATTTTTGGGTGGTTTGACTATGTAGCCAGAGTTGAGAACCTCTGATCTAGAGCAGAGATTGGCAAATGTTCTCTGCAAAGGGCCAGAGAGTAAATACTTTAGACTTTGTGGGCCATATGTTCTCTATCACAACTACTGAACTCTGGTTAAAATTCAAAAACAGCCATAGACAATATATAAGTGAATGGGCATGGTCGTATTCCCATACAACTTTATTTACAAAAAACAGAAGGCGGGCCGGAGTTTCCCGACTCCTTATATACAGTATGGAAGCAAATCAAAGATTACAATACAGCATGGAAGGCGCTGTGATGGGTCAAGAAGAGCATTCAAGAAACAGTGAAGCTTAAGCTGAGCCTTGAAGAGCACGTAAGACGTAGTCAGGAAAAGCAAGACAAGGCAGTGGGGCAGGTGGAGAAAAGATCTTCCAAGGATAAAGAAAGTGACAGCAATACTGTTAAATGAGCATGGAGAGGTGATGGACCTGAAAATAGTTGGTATGGCTTGAGTGTACACGAGATATTAAGGAAGAAGTGGTAGATTAACCTGGAGAGATATGAGCAAATACACAAGAGCCAGATGATGACAAACTTTATAAGTTGGGCAAAGGATTTTAAACTTTACCTTGAAGACCGTGGGACATAGTGGCATTATCAGAGTCACATTTTCAAAAGAACACTCTGGCAGGTAAGCGGGAGGGGCGCATTGGTGGTGCAGCAGACTAGTAACCATTAGGAAACAATTATAGTGATCATGTAAGGAGAAATGAGAGTATGAAGTAATGCAGTGATAAGTGGGGGAATCCAAGTACAAGGAAGGAGAACAGACAGTAGGAGGTGGACTGATTGAATTGAGAGGGCGTAGTTAGGAAGAGGAGGCCATCAAGAATGGAGCCCCGTTTTCAGGCTTGTGCAACTGAGAACACTTGAGATAAGGAGCACTGGAAGAAGGGCACTGATGGAAAGATTAAAGGAAAACCATAAGTGTGGTTTCAGACATGTGAAGTTTGCAATGCCAGTAGGACATCCATGTGGATATATCCAATAAGCAGTCTTGAGCATAAGAGTGAAGTCGGGATAGGTGAGAGAGATGGGCAGTCAATGGCATATAAATTATAGTGAAAACAGTAGTTTTTTATGAGTTCACATGCAGTGTGGATTTTAAAAAGAAGGGGTAAAAATTCATGATTCTAGGGACACACAGATGTGGCTCTCATTTATGGAATACTTGCAGTATGTCAGAAACTGTGCTAAACACTATATACAGATCATCTTATTTCCAAACATCCCCTTGGGTAGATAATATTACTATCTCAGTTTCAAGCTTCAGGAAACAGATACCCAGAAGGTTTAAGTAATTTGCTCCAGGGCACAGAGTTGGGTTGACTCTATGTCTCTCTGAATCAGAAGGACATGCTATTAACTACGATGCTTTCCTGCCTTCCATAGGAAACCAAGGCTGAAGAGAGTTTCCAGAAGGAGGAATTCTCCAGTGTCAAATGCTTCAGAGACCAAGTAGAGTAAAGACAAAACTATGCATCCTTTAGATGTGTCAGGAGCCAGACTACAGTTGGTTAATGAGCAAATAGGAGGTAAGAAAGGAAAAAAAATGCTTTCAAGGGTAGATAACTCCATTGAAACCTTGTCTGTGAAGAGGGGAAGAGGGATAGTGAAGGAGGCCATGGAGTCAGGGGAGAAAGTATTTTATTTTGTTTTGTATGCTTGCTTTTAAGATGAGAGAAACCTAAGCATTTTGAAATACTAAATTAGAAGGAAAATCTGGAGAAAGAAAGCTTGAAGAGAGAAGTAAGAGGTGGGATGAGTCTTTTTTCTAGCTTCCCTAAGACTCCAGGAGTCCTAGGAAGGTCAGGGAGAGAGATGGCCAGAGCATGGTACTGGCTCCATAGAGATCAAGGGTCACCATTTACATTGAGATAGGAAAGAAAGAGGAAAGGCTGAAGAAATATTCAGGACAAAATTGTAGAAATGGAGGAAAATTCTACCAAATGGTCTGTTTTCTCTGCACTAAGATGTCTACTCCTGCTGATCTACACTCCACTCTTCCCCATCCTGCTATGTAAGTGGGAGGTTGACCTGTATGGACCTTCAGGTTGGATTTGGCAAGTGGGAGGTCCAGCAGGAGGTGGGAGAGGGTGAGGCAACTGAGGACTGGGCATTTATTCCCCTAGTTCCCTCCTCACCGGGCTGCTTCAGGTTGACTATTTCTCTCTACTAAAGACCACAGTGCCTGTCAGGTAGCCCTCTCTATACAGTTGCACTGTTCAAGTTCTGGTGACTGCTTGCTTTCTAGGCCCTGCAAGCCTAGAGATTTAACATTCTCCGTTGTTGCTGGCCCCAGCGCCTGGGCTATGTCATGTTAGTTTCATAAAACTCAGCTCCTACCTTTGTTAACTGGTCCCTCCATTAAACTCATTTTAATTATCCAATTCGGAAGTGGCATCTGATTCCTACCACGACCTGGGCTGACAGAGGAGGTAAAGTCACTTTCTGAGAATGAGGGAGGTGATGTGAAGAGGTAGGTTTTTTTTTGTTTGTTTGTTTTTTTGTTTTTTTTTTTAAGGAGCACTGGAAGAGGGGCACTGATTGAAAGATTAAAGGAAAACCATTAGTGTGGTTTCAGACATGTGAAGTTTGCAATGCCAGTAGGACATCCATATGGGTATATCCAATGAGCGGTCTTGAGCATAAGAGTGAAGTCGGGATAGGTGAGAGAGATAGGCAGTCAATGGCATATAAATTATAGTAAAAACAATAGTTTTTTTTATGAGTTCACATGCAGTGAACATGGCCTCCTTCACTATCCCTCTTCCCCTCTTCACAGACAAGGTCTCTGTGGAGTTATCTACCCTTGAAAGCATTTTTTTTTCCTTTCTCACCTCCTATTTGCTCATTAACAAACTGTAGTCTAGCTCCTGGCACATCTAAAGGATGCACACATCTAAAGGATGCTCCTAAAATTTCAGGAGGAAGTAGTTTAAGGAGAAAGGAGAAGGTTTGAAATAACTTACATAGGGAAGGAAAGAGGGAGCTGACAAGGGTCACAAAGGATTGCGTGGCAGTGCTGAGACAACATCCCAGTGAGGCCGAAAGTTGTCATTATATAGGATCAGAGTAAACAGTGGAATGGCTTGATCCATGGTCAGAAATTTGCCAAGGACCAAATGAGTTCAGAGTATTGGTTAAAAAGAATAGTTGAAAAGCAAGCAGACTTAGGAACATGACTGGAGAAAGAAGTCATGAAGCTAGCTGATTGCTGATAGATTGGGGTAAATGGATAATATAATGATTACATTTCTCCCTTACACAATCAAATAGTCATTCGAAAAAGGTTTGTTTAAAGAGTTCAAACCTCTTCACATCTCACTCACCCAGGCAGGGTACAGACTAGGATAAGGCAAGCAAAGTGCCTATGGTGCAAAATGTAAGGATCCCTCACTCTCAGGTGCCAAGCCTAGGCCGAGTGCAGTGGCTAATGCCTGTAATGCCAGCACTTTGGGAGGCCAAGGCAGGAGGATTCTTGAGCCCAGGAGTTTGAGATGAGCCTGAGTGACATAGCAAGACCCCATCTCTAAAAATTTAAAAATTAGCTGCATGTGGTGGTGCACGCCTGTAGTTCCAACTACTCAGAAGGCTGAGTCAGGAGGATTGCTTGAGCCTGAGAGTCTGAGGCTGTGGTGAACCATGTTCATGTCACTGCACTCCAGCCTGGGCAACAGAGTGAGATCCTGTATCAAAAAAAAAAAAAATTTAGATGTTAACCCTGCATTTGCATGACTATGAGAGTGAAGGCCTCCTTAAATTTTGTACCCCGAATGCCTCACTTTCTGCCCCTAGCCTAGGCCCTGCACACACAGTTCTGATCTCAGAGACAACTATCAACATTTTGGCATATTTCCTTCCAGTTTCTTATCCTAATAATTTATCTATTTCACTAAGAAATAGTGAAATAGCTCATACAATTTTTTATCCAGCCTTATTTACTTGACATTATAATGAAATTGAATCTTTTTTAGCTCTACTTTTATTATGTCTCCGTTCACTGGTAATGCATATTCACCACAGCAAAGCCAGACAGTACAGATAAGCAAAAAGAACAACAAAAAATGTCATCTGTAATCTCACCATCCAGAGACAATGACTGTCGTCACTGCTGCATGCCGAGATTGATTCATAATACAAAAAGGTATTTCTGAAGTAGAAATATACTGCCAGCTTGTGGAAGGCTGTGCAAAGACCATTTGCAGTTAATAACATGTAGTAAAGTTGGGAGAAGGGTTTTGGGAAGGAAAAGAAGGCACCAGGACCACAACCTTGAGAGGTAACACAGTGATAAGGAGCACTGGAAGAGGGGCACTGATGGAAAGTACACCCTGCCTAAGGACCCTACATTTTAACCTTGCCTCCTCTGTCATCAAAGAGTCTATTCTCCCATCCAAAGTGAAAAAGCTCAATCTGTGGGGGAAATTATGTATTAAAAAGATAAAAAAGAAAAATCCTCTTAGTGTCAGTTCCTTGTAATAATTATTCGTTAGGCTTCTTAACACTCTGTAAGCTTGATTTTTTTTTTTTTTTAAAGAAAATGCCCTGTAGTCCTCCAAGTGAAAGATATATGTCACATCTCCAGGTGAGAGACAGGATATCTGCTCATGGTTACACTAAATGTGATATGATCATCCTTAATAATAATGTGATCACCATTTAGAGAAGTATTTTAGATTCTAGTTTTCCATTAGAAAACTTTGATAAATCTTGATGGCTTTTCCATTACCTAGGGAGGAAAAAAAACCCTCCCTGTAATCTGGTTGCAGGTTGGTTTTTCAACATTTGCTCTCCTAATTCCTCCAGCACCATCACCACTACCATCATTACCACTGCCACCTTCTTTCCTGCTACTACCTCCTCTTTCTCTTCACCTATAATTGCAGCCAAATGGGACTACTCTTCCTGCCCAAAATTCATTCCTGCTTTCCAGGTTCTTTGTCTTGTTCTGCTCAGATTGCCTCTAAAGCCTTCCCTTTCCCCAGTCTCCCTGGTGAATTCTGCCTTTCCAAAGATCCAACCCAATGACAATTCTACCATGAGGTTCGCCCAGATCTAGCCAACAAAAAGTGATTTTGAATTGGATTTCTGGTACTGGTAAGGTTCTTACTGAAATGGGGGCTATAGATTTGAGTAGAATCAATGAATATTTTCTTTTTAGAATATTTAATATCAAGGTCCAAATAGGAAACTCTAATCAATAAGGTACAGTCTGAGGATATTCTGATAAATGATGGTGTTTATATGTGTAACCTAACTGGAGTTTCACTTCTAAGGGTTGACAGGTACTAAGGAAGCAAAAATCATATTTCTTATTGGGGTGGGTGGTATAGGACCAGTTAAATAAAATATGGCAGGTGGGATTCAAATTTGAGGATGTGGCTGAAGAGATTAAGACTAAGAGATATGAAAAGAGAGGATAATAATGGCTTATATCCCTTCCCTTCATTAACGGTGGGGTATAGTAGCAAGCACATGAGGTTTGGAGGGAAGGAAGCTAAGAGCCGATTCTGGGTCAGACACTGTGCTCAGTGCTTTGCAAACACTGTCTCACTTAGTCTCAAAAGCACACTTTGTTGGAACTGGCCAATGTAGACATGAGTCGTGGCTCTCTCACTCACTGGCTTTGTTCATTTGGGCAAAAACTTTCAGCAAACTAGGACTAGAAGGTAGCTTCCTCAACCAGATAAAAGTTATTTACAAAAAGCCCACAGCTAAAGTCATACTTAATGGTGAAAGACTAGAGGTTTTCCCCAAGATTGAGGAAAAAGGTAAGGACATCTGCTCTCAACACTTCTAGTCAACATTTTACTAGAGGTTTTGACCATTAAAATAAGGTGAGAAAAAGAAACAAAAGGCACTCAGATTGGAGAGGAGGAAGTAAAACTACCTCAATTTGCAGATGACATGATCTTGCATATAGAAAATCCTAAGGATTCCACTAAAACCATTAGAACTAATAGAGAAACACAGTTTACAAAAGAAATTCAAGACCTACATACTAAAAAATACGAGACATTACTGGGATAAATTAAAGAAAATCTAAATAAATGGAGATAATTATCTTATCAGTTGCCAGACAGTACTGTTGAGATGTAAATTCTGCCAACAAGATCTACAGAGTCAACACCATCCCAGTCAAAACTCCAGCAGGCTTTTGTTGAAATTCACATCAGATTCTTCATTTAATATAAAAGTTAAAAAAAATTAGAATAGCCACAAAGACCTTTGAAAAATAACAAAATTGGAGTATTTCAATTTGTCAGTAATCTGCTCAGTTTGGTATTGGCATCAAGATAGACAAAACAACAGAAAAGAGAGTTCAGAAATAGATGCATACGAATATGGACAACTGATTTTTGACAAAGGTGCAAATTAAATTCACTTAGAAAGGCTCATCTTTTTAATAAATGGTGTGGAACAATTGGATATCCATATACAAAAAAAGAACTTCAATCCATGCCTTGCATTACATACAAAAATTAATTCAAAACGGATCATAGACCTAAATGTAAAACCTAAAAGTATAAAACTTATAAAAGAAAATATAGGAGAAAACCTTTGCAACCTTGGATTGAGCAAAGCTTTCTTAGACATGACACCGAAAGCATGATCTATCAAAGAAAATAATTGACAAATTTAACTGCATCAAAACTAAACACTTATGCTCTTTGAAAAACACACATGAAAATAAAAAGGCAAGCCTCAGACTGGGTAAATACTAGCCAAGCACATATATGATAAATGACTTGCATCTTTTTTAAGTTGCTAATGTGGTGAATTGTACTGATTGAGTTTTAAATAATAAATGAAACTTGCATTCTAGGATAAGCCCCACTTAGTCATAATGTACATACTGTTGGGTTTCATTTCTAAAATTTTGTGTGGAATTTTTCCATCTATACTCCCGAAGGATATTTTTGTTGTTGTTGTTGTTGTCGTTGTTGTTGTTTAGAGAGACAAGATCTCACTGTGTTACCCAGGCTGGAGTACAGTGATGCAATTGTGGCTCACTGCAGTCTCAACCTCCCAGGCTCAAGCAATCCTCCCACCACAGCCTCCTAAGTTGCTAGGACCATAGGTGCATGTCATCATGCCTGGCTAATTTTTTTTTTTTTTAACTTTTAAAGTTTTTTGTAGAGACGGGGTCTCGCTGTTTTGCCCAGGCTGGTCTGGAACTGCTGGCCTCAAGTGAGCCTCCCACCATGACCTCTCAAAGTGCTGGGATCAAAGGCATGAGCCAACACACCCAGCTGAGGATATTGGTCTGTTGTTTTCTTTTGTTGTTGTTTTTCTTGTAATGTCTTTATCAGGGTTTAGTATCAGGGTAATCTCGGCCTCCTAGAATGAGTTTGGAAGTGTTCCCTTCTCTTCTATACTTTGTTTTCATTTAAAAAAATATATAATATTTTTCCATAAGTTATTGGAGTACAGGTGGTATTTGGTTACATGAGTAAGTTCTTTATTGGTGATTTGTGAGATTTTGGTGCACCCATCACCCGAGCAGTATACACTGTGCTATATTTGTAGTCTTTTATCCCTCACCCCCCTCTCACACGTCCCCCCAAGTCCCCACAGTCCATTGTATCCTTCTGGTGCCTTTGCTTCCTCATAGCTTAGCTCTCACATATCAGTGAGAACATACCATGTTTGGTTTTCCCTTCCTGAGTTACTTCACTTAGAATAATACTCTCCAATCTCATGCAACTAGCTGCAAATGCTGTTAATTCATTCATTTTCATGGCTGAGTGGTATTCATTTATATATACCACAGTTTCTTTGTCCACTTGTTGTTTGTTTCCACAATATTGCAATTGTGAATTGTGTTGCTATAAACATGTGTGTGCAAATATCTTTTTCTTATAATGACTTCTTTTCCTCTGGATAGATATCCAGTAGTGGGATTGCTGGATCAAGTGGTAGTTCTACTTTTAGTTCTTTAAGAAATCTCCACGCTGTTTTCCATAGTGGCTGTACTAGTTTACATTCCCACCGGCAGTGTAGAAGTGTTCCCTGATTGCTGCATCCACGCCAGCATCTACTGTTTTTTTGATGTTTGATTATGGACATTCTTGCAGGAGTAAGGTGGTATCACATTGTGGGTTTTATTTGCATTTCCCTGATCATTAGTGATGTTGAGCATGTTTCCATATGTTTGTTAGCCATTTGTATATCTTCTTTTGAGAATTGTGTATTCATGTCCTTAGCCCACTTTTTGGTGGGATTGTTTGGTTTTTTTCTTACTGATTTGTTTGAGTTCATTGGAGACTCTAGATATTAGTTATTTGTCAGATGTATAGATTGTGAAGATTTTTCTCCCACTCTGTGAGTTGTATGTTTACTCTGCTGACTGTTCCTTTTGGCATGCAAAAGGTCTTTAGTTTAATTAAGTCCCAACTATTTATCTATAAATCAGTCAATCATCTCCATAGATGCAGAAAAACATTCGACAAAATCCAGCATCCCTTTATGATTAAAACTCTCAGCAAAATTGGCATACAAGGGACATACCTCAAAGTAATAAAAGCCATCTATGACAAACCCGCAGCCAACATAATCCTGAATGGGGAAAAGTTGAAAGCATTCCCTCTGAGAATTAGAACAAGACAAGGATGCCCACTCTCACCATTCCTCTTCATCATAGTACTGGAAGTCCTAGCCAGAGCAATCAGACAAGAGAAAGAAATAAAGGGCATCCAAATCGGCAAAGAGGAAGTCAAACTGTCACTGTTTGCTGATGATATGATCGTTTACCTTGAAAACCCTAAAGACTCCTTCAGAAAGCTCCTAGAACTGATAAAAGAATTCAGCAAAGTTTCCAGATGCAAGATGAATGTATACAAATCAATAGCTCTTCTATACACCAACAGCGACCAAGCAGAGAATCAAATCAAGAACTCAACTCCTTTTACAATAGCTGCAAAATAAAATAAAATAAAATAAAATAAATTACTTAGGAATATACCTAACCAAGGAGTTGAAAGACCTCTACAAGAAAAACTAAAAAACACTGCTGAAAGAAATCATAGATGACACAAACAAATGGAAACACATCCCATGCTCATGGATGGGTAGAGTCAACATTGTGAAAATGAACATACTGCCAAAAACAATCTACAAATTCAATGCAATCCCTATCAAAATACTACCATCATTCTTCACAGAATTAGAAAAAACAATTCTAAAATTCATATGGAACCAAAGAAGAGTCTGCATAGCCAAAGCAAAACTAAGCAAAAAGAATGAACCTGGAGGCATCACACCACCTGATTTCATACTATGCTATAAGGCCATAGTCACCAAAACAGCATGGTACTGGTGTAAAAATAGGCTCACAGACCAATGGAACAGAATAGAGAACCCAGAAATAAACCCAAATACCTACAGCCAACTGATCTTCGAGAAAGCAAACAAAAACATAAAGTGGGGAAAGGACACCCTATTCAACAAATGGTGCTGGGATAATTGGCTAGCCACATGTAGGAGAGTGAAACTGGATCTTCATCTCTCACCTTATACAGAAATCAACTCAAGATGGATCAAGAACTTAAATCTAAGACCTGAAACTATAAAAATTCTAGAAGGTAACATTGGAAAAACCCTTCTTAGATGTTGGCTTAGGGAAGGATTTCATGACCAAGAACCTTCTTTTCTATCCTTTGAAAGAGTTCATTTGCTAAGAGGGAGGCCAGCTTTCATGTGAGCACCCTATGGAGAAACCAGTGTATCAAAGTACTGCCAGAGGACTATCTTTAACATTTTTTGTAGTGCATATCTTCTGGTGCTATTTTTTTTCCAGCTTTTATATGTTTTAAGACATCTTTATTTTGCTTTCATTTTTGAAAGATATTTTCACTAGTTACAGAATTTAGATCAATAGTTTTTTTTTCTTACTTTTTGTACTTTGAAGTTGTTGCTCCACTGTCTTTTCACTTGCACTCGTTCTGATGAGAAATCTTCTGGAATGCTTATTTTTGTTGAGCAATTTGATTATGGTATTCCTTGATATATTGTTATTTACGTTTTTTCTGCTTGGGGTTTGTTGAGCATCTGAGATCTGTGGGTTCATAGTTTTTATCATATTTGGAAAATTTTCAGCCATTCTTTCTTCAAGTTTTTTTTCTGTCCCTCCCCTCCACTAGGGACTCTACACAAATATTAGGTTGCTTGAAATTGTCCCATAGCTCTTAATGATGCTTTTTTCACTAATGTTTTCCTCTGGTGTTTCATTTTGGATAGTTTCTATTGTGGCCTTCTGTTTGCTAATTCTTTTCCAATACCTAATCTTCCATTAATGCCATTAATACCACCAGCACATTTTTCATCTTAGGCTTCTTTTTTTTTTTTTTTTTTTTCTAAAAATTTCATTTGGGTCTTTTACATACCTTTCACGTGTCAAATTTATCTGAGAGTTTGTATCACGAATTAGTATGGAGGGTAGTCTCATTAGCACTGGGTGGCGGTATCTCAGCTCCCCACTGGGCCTTCTCTGGGTTGGGGTGCCTGATGAAGGTGGAAGTCTAGGCTTCCCATTTGACCTTTGCTCAGGTGGAGGTCCACAGTTTTTTCTGTGATGTTTGGCTGGAGTGAAGTTGTTATTGTCTAAAAGTTTCTGTCCTGTTGGGCTCTCCTTTTCCCGGATCCTTTGGCTAGAGAGCTTAAGCTTTCTTGGGACATTTATTGTTTGTGCCTATTGGCATTTCTGGGTTGCCAGCTTCTCCGAAACCCATTCCTGGATACATAAGGCACAAATAAAAAAATAAAAAACCTGGGATCACACACAACTATGTTATTCCTTGGTTCCTGAGGTTTATAGTTGGTCCACCTTCTGTCCACCTTTCAGAGCCTTGCTATGTTTGTTTCCTACAGAATGTGCAAGGTTGTTAGGTGCCCTTGGCAGGTGGAATAGGGAAACAACATCAAAAAGGCTCAAGATCTCCAACTCTGGTCAACAAAGAATGAACATGTAGGAGTAGATTTGCAAAGTTTAGTCTCAAAAGACATGAAATTGTGGTTTCAAAAAGTCTCCTCAGCAGTAAGTGCTTGGTGGCTTTGGAATGCAAAAACACTGGAGGTATGGAAGAGATTTGGGCAACAGTCCCAGCCATGAGGTGATTAGGGCATAAACAAGGTTTCTGGTAGTATTAAGAACTGTCATGAAGGAATGGATGTGAAAAATATTTGGAGAATATTGTTTGGGGAGAAAAGTTGAAAAGTAAGTTTGAGGTGAAATTTTAGAGAACCTCGAGTGCCTAGCTAAGAAGGTTTGACCTTGCAAAACTTACTAAGACCCTCCTTAGCTTTTCTTACATTATACAACTGATGCCCATTAGGAGCTTGTATTAGTCTGTTCAGGCTGCCATAACAAAATAGCACAGACCGTGAATATGGTTTTGCTCTGTGTCCTCATCCAAATCTCATGTTGAACTGTAATCCCCAGTGTTGAGGGAAGGACCTGGTAGAAGGTAACTCGATCATGGGGGTGGATTTCCCCTCTGCTATTTTCATGATAGTGAGTGAGTTCTCATAAATCTGATTGTTTGAAAGTGAGTGGTACTTCCCCACTCGCTCTCTCTCACTCTCCTGCTCTGTCATGGGAAGATGTGCCTTGCTTCCCCATAGCCTTCTGCCAAGATTGTAAGTTTCCTGAGGTCTCCCCAGCCATGTAGAACTGTGAGCCAATTAAACCTCCTTTCTTCATAAACTACCTGGTCTCAAGTAGTTCTTTATAGCAATGTGAGAACAGACTACTACAAACTGGATGGCTTAAACAACAGAAATTTGTTTTCTCACAGTTCTGGAGGCTGGAAGTTCAGGATCTGGGCCGTCAGCATGGTCAGTTTCTGGTGATGGCTTGCTTCTTGGCTTGCAGATGGCCAGCTTCATATGGTCTTTCATTTGTGTGCACACATCTCCTGGTATTTCTTCCTCTTCTTATAAGGACACCAGTCTTATTGAATTAGGCCCATACCCTTATCACCCCTAATTTAACCTCAATTCCTTCATAAACATTTTATCTCCAATATAGTGACATTTGGGATTAAGGTTTCAACATATGAATTTTTCAGGGACACAATCATTCAGTCCATAGCAGAGTGATTTCTAGAAATACTGCTGAAAAGATTATGAAATGGTTTTATGGGCAAAGAATTATGTTCATGATAGATAATGATGATTATAACCTATGTTAACATGGATTATTGCTATTCCAAAAATTTTTCTAGTTATGGAGAGGTGTGCTAAATAAAATAATCTGTGTAGAAATTTAGGGAGTAGTTTAGCATCAGTATCATCTTTCGGACTCTGAGAGAGTAAACATAATAGAATCCATTGATTGCATTCCTTACTTATATTTGTGTTTTTGAGATAAAAGAATTGTGCTTGATTAGTAATGCAGTCATTAGTGTGTTCATGACTGCAGAAATCATTGAATTATTTCCAAAGTAAAATCTTTCACTGATGTGGCTAATGCTGCAGGAATCAAATTCATTGGAAGTGGACATTATCTGATGACTGACCCCTTAATGTATTAAATAGCTTTTACTTTACATGGAGACATCTTGAGCTCTGATTTGAGCTACTATTCTATAATATCAGCTTCATTGGGAATTAGTGCCTAATTATGAGACATTTGAGGCTAATACCACATTGTCATTAGCTGGTGAATTCTTGGAGAAAGAAGACTGATGTGCATGGGTTTCTCACATGCAGCCCCCCTCAGCCTTCCATTCATCTCAGACACCTGACTTTTCCTCTAGCACTTTAAAAAGACTGTTGCCCTGACTTTCTCTCAGAATCTCTTCTACCTTACTACAATGCTCAAAATGCTGCCTCTGGATACTTCTGGGATTATACACACCTGACTGAAACCAATTCTTCTTGAGGACTCTGAACAAGTGACTTCCAAGTCATTCCCATTGGTTCTGCTCATTAAGTTGATTCTTGTTAATTTCTTGCCCCAAAAGCAACCTGAACCCAGTTTTCTCTCCTCCCACCCCAGGCCTCAGTGACAAAGACAATGTCAAGTGCTGACTACTCACCTTATAGACCAGGAGCTGGGAATCTAACTCCAGGCCCTTAGTCAGGTGGGTACTTTCTGGGTTATTTTTTACAGTTACTCTGTGAGGCTTTGAGAAGGGGAAAGCCTGAAACAAAAGAGGAGCAAGAAAATAAGGCAGCTACTGCAGCTGAGGGGGTGGAGACAAGATTAGAAGTGTAGTCAGCAGATAAATGAAGAATGGCCACAGGGATTTGGTTATTGGCTGTGTCATCACCTCTGGTAGCTCCTAAGACAATGCAGAGCCTGTAAAAAGTGTGTGAGGAATGGTTGAGATCTAATAGCAAGGGCTTAAATCTTGAGAGCTCTGGTCTTGTCTCTGTCTTTTCATTTGCTGAAGGACCTTTGACTTCACCAACCTGCTTCCTTCCCCTTCAATCCCCTCCCCAACACAGATCACACCTTCATAGTCCACTGGGGGCAGTATGTTCTGCTAGCTGGAACATCCATTTCTGAGTGCTGGAATCCCACCATCTGCTGTACCTTTGGTCCACACTCAAAGTAAGTTATATACAGAGGTCTCTGAGCCTCACTTTCTCTCTCTATATATATAAAACAGAATTGTACCACAGAAGAATCTTCTGGAGCCAAGGGTTGTCTATCAGTATAGGATGTATGCGAAAATTGACACGTGTTGGCGTACTTGAAGTTGAGTGATACATGCCCCATCAGAATTTTTGTTGTTTATTGGTTTGGGTTTTCTTTTATTTAAATTGAATGAGAAAATGGGGACATTTCTTGAGCATATTTTCATTATATGCAGGTCAACTCATGTTACATGGTTAATGAATTTTTAAAAATGAGGGATACTGCTTCCACATAAAAAAAAAGATTGTGGAAAATAGGAGAGCGCTTGGGGACATTCAGCCACAAGGAGAAGAAAACTAGCATATTTTCCAGCACTTGTTCTGTGCCTGGCACTCAAAGCATATTATTTCATTTAACCCTGTCATCAACTGTGGGAGGTAGGAGCCGCTGTTTCCCCCATTTTACACTAAGGAAACTGAAGCCTGAGATAGGTTAAATAATATGGCCAAGATCACACTGCTAGTAAGTGTCTGAGCAGGGACTAGGAGGTCTAGAAGATTCCAAGGTTATTACACCATGCAGCCTCCAGAAAACCTGCTTTCTCTCTTTAACAACCTATTAATTTCTTCTGTGAACGCCCTTGCTGCTTGAGGAAGCTGTTTTGAAGTTTGAGCCCTGTTCACACCTCTGGAGCAATGAGCTGAAGTCATTGCAGGCTTAGAGCATCTGGGAAAATCTGCCAGGCCAATGGAGAAGTTCTCAGAGGCCCAGGCCATCTCAATGGGCCTGGGTTAGCAGCAATGCGACTGCCAGAGAGTGACTGAGTCTGATGGGGAGAGGTAAAGAGAAACTGAGTCAGAGCAGCTGAGAGAACTGGACTCCAAACCCCAGGGGAACTAACAAGGGTGAGAGATTTCCCAGGGTGAGTGGTAGCTAAGATGCAGGAGACCCAAAGACAGAAGTAGATAGACGAGTGGGTGAATATTCCCCTCTGCAGAACTCTCTGGTGCTAAAATGTGGGTGTGTGGGAGTGATGCAGGAAGTGAAACCCAGGTGGAGAAAATAAAGGAGACAGAGACAGAGAATACACAGGCAGAGAGAGACAGAGAGAATATATCCAGGTAGCACTTTTGCAGCCCAATCAGGGCAGTACAAATATCACAGAGCATATCAGTAGTTCCAGAAATGCCATAGTCCTCACTCTGAGAACTACTCCATTTCAGACACATACATTAGCGTTTCCAGATTGCTCTAATCACTCAAGTAGACTCTTCCAACTTTCCTTCTACCATTTCTAACCAAAAAGCCTGAACAGCAATGACAATAAACTTCTCAATTACAGATGCTTAGATGAAACATGAAATTTTGTCTCGCCACAAAAATGTCCTAGCTGAGCTCTTGTTTACCCAACTATCTAATTTTGCCACCTTCCAAAATAGCATCTCACAACACCTGGTGTGGAAGTATCTGCATGCTTGCGTGTGTGTGTGTGTGTGTGTGTGTGTGTTTGAGTGTGTGTGTGGTAAGATGGGAGACAAGAAGAAGGGGAAGGAGGTGGAGAGATGTGATGCACATTTGTATAGCTGACATCTCCCCTTAATAATTTCCCTCCATTGTCAGCACAATGCCCTTGCAACCGGAGGAGAGCAGAAGGACATGTAATTTACTTCACGTTGTTTTTCTTTTTTGGATCTCAGCAAGTCAGCAGGTATTCCTGGAGATGACATCAGCAGGAGACCGGATGTTGCCAAAGAAGAAAACAGGCACTGCCAAGCGCGAAAGGCAGCTAGTGCCGGTATAAGGATGCCCCCTCTCCCTCTCAAATAGCTGGTAAGACAGAGCCTGTTCCTCTCCCAAAGCTGCTTTCCACTTGGGCTTTTGCTTTTGGGGGGGCTTATGTTATGCTTTTAAAACATATCTCCAGTAATTAGTTGACAATTACTTCAGAAATGGATGATTTGGGTTTCCCCAGTTTGGGGCGAGGCCCTAACTTCCCCCAAAACCTAGGCCTTCATGAAGTACAGTGTTTCCTCACCCGCTCTTGACTTTTCAAAATGGCAGAATCTTAAACCAGGTGTTGGGTTTTCTTGGTGGTCAGATTGAACATTACTTTGTAACCGATGTTGAGAAAACTTCCTCCTACTCCTTGGAGTCAGAGACTATTATTTGCCAACTCATAAATGAACACAAACCCTCCCCAAATTTCAAAAGCCCAGAACTCAGCAAGGTTCTCTCCTTGTCAAAATATATTCGCCTGTTCTCTCTTCAAGAGGTGTGAGAGGCTTAATGGGCATTTTTGGGCTCTGCTCCTCCACATACAATTATCTTTAATAATAATAATGCTTGAATGGAAACATAATGCGTTAGCCTGGAACACTAGAGTGGGTGTTTAATTGGCCCTGCCATTCTCAACACCTGAGATAAAAATAAGACTGCTTAAGAGGGCCCTTTCCAGCTGGGCACTGGGAGAAGTTGGTGTGCTGCCAACTCCTAAACAGCATTATGTGCCTATCTGTCAATCCTTAAATTAGCCCATTTTAAGCCCTTAGCTTCCTGAACTGATTCATTTCATAGAGGGCTATTCTTTTAGGCCAATTCTATTTTTTGTGGTGGCCTGACAGCTCTGAAATGTTTTTCCTTCTGAAAAAGCCTGGCACATTTTTGTTTTTCTTTGGCACAGATGTGCCCTTAATGTAATGTTTACAGCTGGCAGGAAAACTTTAGAACAGTGGTTTTCAAAGTATGGGTTCTCAAAGTAGGATTGGAGGAACCTTGGGTGTTCCTGAGATGCTTTCTTTTTCTGACTCCATGTGTGTCTGTGACTGGTTTTCTTCATAGAACACATCCCTAACAACATAGCAGCAGACTGAATGCAGAAGCCTATCTGAGAATTCAGCTGTCCTTTGTTAAGACAGACATTAAAGAGATTTGTAAAAATGTTACACAATGCCACTCTTCTCACTGAATATTCTTTTGTTTGGGAAAATAAAGTTATTTTCCATCAAAATATTTTGGGGGTCATATGTATTGCCATGTACCATATTTGTTAAGTAATTAATTAATAAATATTTTTACAGTTCTGTTTTAATTTATAATATGGTACATAGAAATAGATATGACTCACAAGAACAAAAACTCTTTGGAAGTCCTGTTGGGACTTCAACATGATGCTAAGGTGATACTCAGTGATACTGAGGTACAGCCCTTCAGTAGAGAGGCAGGAGTACCTGTGTCCTTCCTTGGCTCCTGCCTCCAACTTTCTGGGCACTACAATTTTCTCTCTTCTGCTGGATATGCCTGGAGTACAGGGACATTTAGAACAGGTATCAGAGAGACTATGAAAAGACAACATGTGCCCAACTTAAAGTAAGCATGACATTTTTCAGCATAGTGGCTACGAGCTCAGATTTTGGTCAAAATCCTATCTTTGCGATTTATTAGCTAATTGACTGTGAATATGTTACCTAATCTCTCTGAGACTAGTTATTTCTTTATGTATAAAATTGGGATGCCTATTTCAAAGGGTTTTTATGAGAATTAAAGGAAATGATGCAAATGCAAAGTGCCTGGCACATAGTGGGTGCTCAGCAGATGATAGCTATTGTCATTATTATTCCACATAGCATCTTAGGAGGTGACATGTAAATACCAGCAATTTGTGGTCCCCCAGAGCCCTTCCTTTAGACTCTTCTTACCAACTGCCACCCTCTACATGTGCATGCACTTGTGTATTTGCACATGCATGTACACACACAAATTTACTGGACAGATATTCACTGAACACCTACTATGGGACAGGCACTATTGGGAGTGAGAATAACACAGTGAGCATGGTCCCTCACCTCAAGGAGCTTTTCTGTCAAGCTGGGAGCCAGAGGCATCAACAGGCAATTGCAGCATGGTGCTAGGACTGAGGTAAGATAGATGACTATGGGAAGCTGGGAAGGGCACCTACCCAAGCCCGGAACAGCTCTCCAAGAAAGATTTGTCAGCCATGTCAGAGAGAATCTAACTGACATAAAATACAGGTCATAAGGATTCTCTCCCCTCAAAGAGCAGAAGACCTTCTAATTTCTCTATAAGATTACAGGCCACTGGGGGCAGAAGTGCTTCACTGTGGACATCATGTCAGGAAGAAAAATGTCCTCTGGATATACAAGTCAGCCCAGTCCATACCAGGCGTTCTTATCTGTGGTTATCCTTTGATAAACATCGTCTCCAAGCTCCCCAGGCTTTTTCCTTAAAGACTATGCATCAAGGGTAAGCAGGCCAATTCAAAAATAAGCAAAGGACTTGAATCGGCATGTCTCCAAAGAAGATGTACACATGACCAGTAAGCACACGGCAAGATGCTCATCATTAGTCTTTAGGGAAATGCAAATCAAAACCACAATGAGATACCATTACACACCCAATAGGATGGCTATAAGCAAAAACACAGAAAATAACAAGTGTTAGTGAAGATGTGAAGAAATTGGAACTCTTGTGCATTGCTGGTGGAAATGTAAAATGATGCAGCCATTGTGTAAAAAGTTTTGATGGTTTCTCAAAAGGTTAAACATGGAACTACTATGTGACCCAACATTTCCACTCCTATGTATAAAGTGGGCCCTCTGTATCTGTTGGCTCCACATCTGCAAATTCAACTAACCATGGATCACAACTATGGTATTCACAGGATGCAGAACCCTCAGATATGGAAGGCTGAATTTTCCTATCCGTGGGTTTCATGGGGCTGACAACAGAACTTGAACATCTGTGTATTTTTGTATTCATTGTGAGGCCTGGAATTAATCCTTTGCTGATACCGAGGGACAACTATATATCCAAAAGCAAGGAATAAAATACATATCTGTACCCCAATATTCATAGCAGCATTATTCACAACAGCCAAAAGGTGGAAACAACTCAAGTGTCCATCAGCAGATGAACGAGTAAACAAAATGAGATATGTATATCCATACAATGAAATATTATTCAGTCATAAAAGGAATGACATTTTGATATATACTGCAACATGAGTGGACCTTAGAAACAATATGCAAAAGGAAATAAGCCAGATGTCAAAGGACAAATCTTGTAATTCCAGTTATATGAGGTAGCCATATGAGAAAGTAAAATAGGGACTACCAGAAGCTGAAAGGAAGAGGAAATGAGGAGCCATTGTTTAATGGGCACAGAGCTTTTGTTGGGGATGATGAAAACATTTTGGCAAGAGATAGTGGTAGCAGCTACACAACACAGTAAATGCATTGAATGTATTCACTTAATGTATTCATTTAAATTGTAGACTTCTGAATGGTTAACATGATAATATTATGTTACATGTACTTTTTGCCACGAATAAAAACAAAAAGGTAGGCAGAGAACATGACTGTTATGAGCACAAGCTTTGAAAGCAAAGAGATCTGCATTCGAGTCTCAGCTCTGCTATTTAATAAGCTGTGTGGTTTCATCACTCTACACCTGAATTGCCCCCTCAGCAAAATGGAAAGAATAACTGCAGCTTACCTCCTAAGGTTGTTGTGGGGTTTAAAGATGATGTGTGACCAGTGCTTTGCACTGTGCCTGGCACACAGTAGAGCTCAATAGCCGTTAGCTTATATCATTATCTGCCCACAGCCTCCAGGATGCTCCTTTCAAAATGTGAATCAGATCATGTTCCCCCAACCCCCATCCCCTCTGCTGAAGGTCCTCTACAGTTCCTCCTTGCCCTTAAAAGAGGAGGTAAGATACCTGTACTAGCAAGGAAATCCGAGCTAGAAGAGAAGGTAATTCCAATAGAGATGTGCTTCACTTCCTTATTGAAGATTCTATAGGAAGAGAGACTCCTGAGCAGCAGGCAAACCAGAAGAATAAACTGGAATCAAGGCTTAAAAATCAGGTTCGGTCTACTGTGGCCTTCAAGAACAGGGCTGCTCAATGGCTTCAAGGACAGCAGGAAATATATTCGATTAAATTTGCCTCAGCCTGATTTTCCAAGTGATCTATGAACCTGTTATGAGACAATGAGAAACCAAGGAGCTTTCTTATGTTCAGGGCTCAAAGTTACAGCTATGAGCTGTCTATGAGCTGTCTTCTGTTCAGGACTCATTTGTTTTGCCCAAAGAATGTATTTAACTCATCTTCAATTTCTTCTTATTTGTCTCTAAAAAACAAAACAAAAAACTTTTGACTGCAAATCTGGGGATGAATAGGCAATGTTTGTGTATGCCCTGCTCTTCTGATGTGGCCCCTGGCTACTTCTCCATCTTCATTTTGCATCTCTCTCCCTGTTACTCTGCATCACAACGTTGTTGGTCTCTTTTCAATTCTTCAAATGCACCAGGCTGTTTCTGGCCATGGGGCCTTCTCTCAGCAATATTCTTCCCTTCCACCTTTGCCTGGTTAAGGCCTATTCATTCTCAGATCTCAGCTTAAGCATTACTCCCTGATGGAAGGCTTCCTTCCCTGATCCTCTTGCCTTAACCAGATCTCATAGTCATGTGTTGTTTCCTCTCAGAGCACTGATCTCAGTGCATTATTACAGTGATATAACGCTTGACTGAAGTCTGTCTTCCCCAGAGGAGTGTAAGCTCCATGAGGACAGAAACCATGTGTCATTTTGTTCAGCACTGCCCATGACAGTGCCTCATATGTAATAGCTGCTCAATAAAAATGATTTCAGTGGCAGAGTGAGTGTACAAATGTGCTTGCTTAACAATTTATGCTCTCAGCCTAGGCCACTTCCACTCTGTACCAGAGAAACCCAAGCTCATATTCAGTGCTGCATTTCCTCTTACTTCCCTGCCTGTCTGAAATGCCTGTTTTCCTTCCTCTGCCTAGTGGCTTCAGACCTGCAGGACCTGGCTCAGAAAATATTGCCTATTAAATGAACCTGCAAAACCATCCCCAATCTTCTAGGCTTAGGCTCTCCCTGACTAACCCTTCTTTCTCCCAATTTGACTTATGTGCTACTGTATATTATTGAAGATTGTCTTTGAATAAATAGGTCTTGTTTCCTCTGAGAAGAGAAGGAGGCCTATTCCATATACACAGGGTCATGGCTAAGTGTCTGACTTTGAACTTGGGCTCAAATTCTGGCTTTGTTACTTAGTAGTTGTGCAGCCTTGAGACATCACTTCCCTGCTCTGGGTCTCAGACACCTCATTTGTAATATTAGAGTGTTGGACAACATGACCATTTAAGTTATTTCCCACTTTAAAGATTCTAGAAGCTTTATGAGATGCTAGACAAATGGTGCTACTTGAATGCTGTGGAGTGTTTTTGTTAAAACAGCTCTATTGGAATATCATTTACATATACAAATTGTTTCTATTTAAGGAGTACAACCTGATTGATGTTTTGGTATGTATATATACATACTGTGAAATGATCGCCAAGATCAAGCTAATTAACATATCCATCACTTCTACATAGTTACCATTGTAGGTATGTGTATGTGTATGTGTATGTGTATGTGTATGTGTATGTGTGGTAAGATTTAGGAGCTATGCTCATAGCAAATTACAATGATATTGTTAACTATTATCATCTTGCTGTTCATTAGATCTTGAGAAATAGTTCATCCTGCATAACTGAAAGTTTGTACCCTTTGACCAACGTCCCCCCATTTTCCCCACTCCCCAGCCTCTGACAACCACAATCCTACCCTCTGCTTTGCTGTGGAGTCTTAACATGCTGCTCCACCAGAAAGGGAAAATTGGGGAAAGACAGACACAGTCCAATGGACCACCAAAATCAAGGGAAAATAAGGCTATCCTAAAATAAATAATATACATAAAATAAAAGGTGGTTATTCCTGGAAGGGATTACAGGTGACTTTCATATTTTCTACATTTTCTGAGGTTGGCTTGCCACTCAGTGGTTTCTTGCCGCTCCTTCTTATACTTATTAAAATCAAATCCCAAACGCAATCTTATGGCCTATTTTTTCATTCTGCACACATTTTGGGTCTGTATGTAGTCCAACAAGGAGATATGTAAACAGCAATGCCCTGAACTCCCATTGCAGGCCAGACCCTGTGTGGGTTTTGGAAGAGTGGGAATGAGAGAGCAGCATACTTCCCCAGGGCAGAAATGACCGAACTGCTCCATCCAGGACAAAGGTTTTATATTTGTTCTGATACAACATGTCCAGATGCTGCTGCCTGACTGCTGAATGGACATCTCTCCCCACAGAACTGAGGCATTTGCCTTTTTGTTTTTAAATGGGGGTGTTTTTCCCTGTTTCTGAATTTGGTCTTCTTTTCCCCTGCTCTGCTTCCCTCTGTGGCGGGCTTTCTTCTTTTCTCTTCCTTTTTTCTTTATCTCTTTTATTTTTCAGTCCCAACAGAGCAAAGAACAGCCAAAACAAATGATTTCTCATTGGCTTTACAGATCTGGCCTAGCCCCAATAACATTATTCCACACCACTGAGGAACTGGAAGTCTGAAGTGAACTTGAACTCCTATATTGTGCTACTTGCTTTCCATGAAATGTTATGAATAAAAATAAGCTGCTATTGTTGAGGTAAACCAGCTTCCAGCATACCATGGGTGCTCATTAAGTGTTAAATAATAATGTTTGGTGATGTAGTTAGCTTGGTTTATACTCATTATTATTTTTGCTTTCTTTCTAATCCATGGAGTTGGATCATGTGGGTTGGGCCAGCCCGTTGTTAGGGGAAATTAGTGAAGGGCTGCACACATTTCTCTCCACCTAGCACACCACAATGACAATTTACCTGTCAGCCTTCCTGACACTAATCTTTGCCTGTGGCTCTTTCTGCTCTGACTTTCTAAATCCCCTTGTAGTTATTTAAATCTTTGAAGGCTGGTTCTTTAGGGAGATTGAGAAATGATGGTCATGGGCAATATATTATTTCAGGGGTGGAAAAAAACAGCCTTTTCAGAGCTTTCTCTCACTTCCACTAGAGCTTGAACTATATTGTGCTTCTCCCAGGTATCAGCAAATATGTGGGTGGTTGCATGGAGGCCGCTTTATAGAGTGTGGGTAATTGCTTGGTCACGCCTATCAATCAGCCAAGGGCTCTACTTGAATTTCTCTGATTAGCTACAGACATTTTGGGGGAACAATCAACTTGTGACCAAGTTTTCAAGACACACACTTTCTCTAGAAGCTTATCTCCACATCTTAAAACATAACAATTAGCAAAGGACCTATTTGATGGTTTTCCTCTGCTTAAATTGTCTGTGAGACTAAAAGGAGAAAGCAAAATCTTTATACCTTAAAAAAAAAGCTTTTGAGTAGATGAGTTGGATTTGGTGCCTTCCATTGGGTGAGCTCTCTCTGAGCCTCTGACTCCACAGTGCATGGATTTCACAATGCTTCCCCTCTCCCCTGCTTGGTACAGCTATACCACAGTGTTGGCAACAGGCTTCTGCAGTCAATTCATTGGGCTGTCATTGAATCCAGATGAGACCAAACATGAACTCTTCCAGGACAAAGACTGGGCCCCATCTTATCTCTTTCCTCTCCCCACATCACACCACAGGCTGACTGTCCAGCTCACGAGGGAAGACAAGTATCAGGACTGGTAGACTGGATTTTACAGATCCTAAATTAGAGCATATCAGTCCAAGTGGCATAGGTTTGTGGACAAGGACCGTAAGTCTGTGGGCAAGAAGAAATTAGAACATATCAGGCTGAGGGACATAAATATGTAAGGAAGGACCAATGAGATGATATAAAACAAGGATCAGCATGGAAATTCTAAGCCCTTGGGATCACCGTATGCTCAGGCCAGTGACCTCCTAGTATTGTGAATGCTCTGTTATCTTGAGAACTGATATGAATCTATCAAATCAACATTTATATATAAAATCATGGATCAGGAGACAGAAGAACCTGCCACATGAGTTTTGGGGTCAGCTAGATCCAGATTCACATGCTGGATCTGTTGCTTACTAAATGGGTAACCCTGGACAGGTGATAACCTCAGAGCCTCTTAACTGTAAATGATGGTCACAACTTACTTTAGAATTATTGTGAGGATCAAATGAGATGATGTGGGTAATGCATGTAAAATGGTGTCTAACTCACGGAAAGGGCTAAGTAAATATAAGCTATTATGCACACTATTCAATCGTATTATCTTTTTTTTAAAAAATCAAACAATCTGTGTCAACACAAGTGCTTCTGATGAGATAAGTAGAGAGAAAAGTACAAAAAGCATTGCCTAACCAAAAGCTAACAGACTCCCAGGAGTCGAGGTATCAGGTCAGTGCACAAAAGAGAGTTACATTTTGAGACTGGGAAGGTACAGGAGTCTATGTTTGATCTTACCCTTTTTCTCAGGCTGTTCCCAACAATTCCCATCCAGCCATGCCATGCGGGCTCTTCTGATATCTGTCTTGATATTGCAGATTGGAGAAGTGCTGCCCCACGCTAACAGTTATGTCACTCTTGTTGACACCATTCAGGGAAATTAATTTTGAAACTGGTGGCCTTTTTTTAGACTTCACATATAAGTGAGATATTTCTATAATGCCTACATAGATCAAAACATCACACTGTAACCCGCAAATATACATGATTATTATTTGTCAATTAAAAATAAATAAGAAAAAGAATTGAAGCTGGTGGCCTAATGTACTGAAAATGCCTGCAAGTGAGGGAGATTTTCAGGGTGTGATCAATATTAGTTTAGCCCCAAGACAAACTTGTGGTTGAATAAAAATTCACTGTTAACTTACTAAAAGAGGATTTACCAATAGTTAATCTAATATTGTCATTACATTTAAATTAATATACAACATATTTTTGCTAGTCATTATCATTTAAAACACAGAAAAATGCAAAAAGGAAGATGTTTATAGCAACGCTCATGCCCATGCCAGGCACTTTTGGATTGTTAGGCTGTCAATGTTTTAAATCCAAAAAGCTTGACATTCTAGTCTTAAACTTAAAATTAGGCTCAGATTCTGGGCTGAGAACTTCCACTTCTATGTTCCCTGTGCTTTCTGACACCCGCTTTCATCTCTCTTTTACCTTTATTTTAGCCTTGCACTTTCATGTCCAGCTTCCAAACTTCTGAAAGTCAGTGTTTCCCATCTCTGCACTTAGGTGTTCTCCAGCATAAAATAAGATCATTTGGCTGGGAGGGACCTGAGAGCCAGCTCTGTGCTGGCACTCAGACATGAAGCCTGGGCTTCAGAGACTGAGTTTGTTTTTGCTTGGCCTCTAGGGGCAGAAAGAAAGAGGGAAAAGATCCAGTATCCAAACATTCCAGGATGATAGCTGGATACTGAAGGTGTCCTTGAAGGAAAATACAATAAAATTAAAAGAAGTATAGGCATCTGAAGGCTTAAGGTGCATCAGCTTCAACATTTGAAATGCCACTGTAGTTGTGTTGAAGTGTGTTAACTTTTAAAATCATCACCTAACCTTTCAGGGCTTTGTCATGAGAGCATTTAATACAAATTCGTATTTCAGTTGCATAACCAGAGTCCACTTCTCAGATATTTCTGGCCCAAGTCAAATAGTCACAGCACTATTTGAGAGTTTAGGTTTGCTGGATGGCCGAATCTAAGGAGATCTTCATTAAAGTCAATGGAGAAGAAAATTAAGTCATTTAAATTGCTATTTCTGGAGTTGTGGAACTTGAAAGTGTCCAAACAAGAAATATTCCATTATTTATTATGGTGACTCGATTTGTGCCTATTGAGGTGCTTAACTAGTGCTCTTCCATCTTTCCTACGTGGTCTGTGCTGGTAGCATGTCCGAGGAAGGGAAAGGTAGTACATAAAATAACAGCAGCTCTGGGGCCCAATACTAATTATTGTTAGTTAGTGCAAAGTACAGAGTGACGTAAAGAGTTAAATGACTGATCGCGAGCTGAAATTCTAAAACCATCTCTTGCCCAACAGGGGAGAAGACTTTTCTGGAGTTTCCTTCTTTCTTTCTTCTTCCTTATTAGAATAGCCCTTTGGACCCAGGAGGATTGCACTACTGATGGTATCGTTCCTTTGTTGGAAACTAGGAGTTGTTTGGTAATGAAATGGCTGCTTGAGATTGACAGGGCCCCATATACTGATAAGAAGGTTTAACTAGCTTCTGCTCCTTTCACTCAATATTTGTCAATTATACCTCAATAAAACAGGAAAACAACTACTGAGGTAAACACTGGAAAACTACTCTATTATCTCTTAAAATTTGGAATCCCCAACTCATCTTTGTGATATCAATTGTAGTCTAACCTACATCCTGGATAGCAGAGGTTCTTAATCTGAGTTTAAGGAGGTCTATAAATCCCTTGAAATTATATGGAACCTTTTGTGGGTAGGTATACATCTGCTTCTTTCCTGGGAGAACACATAGCTTTCATTGGATTTCCAAAAGGGTCTGTGGCCTCAAACGGACTAACAGTAATTTCTCTGTCTGCAGAAATTGGAACTAACCATCATGTTTCCTTTCTGTTTCAATCACTTTGCATTAATCCAGGATGAATGCTACATAAACCATTTCTTTAGTTCTCACAAACTCCTTGTTTCTGAGAGCATCTCTCCTTCCACCTCCCCTGTTTGTGTTCTTCTCCTGACAGAGGCCTGGAGCAGTCAAGGCCAACTCCTTTGCTGCTTTTGATCCTTGCTTGTGTGCTCTTCTCTCCATGCCCAGACACCACCTCTGGCCCTCTCCTGCCGTTCTGGTGCTGCTGGAGTTGAAAACCCAAGATCAGCCTCTGGCAAGTAGAAGTGAGACTCGGGGAGACCTGTCATGATGGCAAGCTTCCTTTTGACTCACACTCAATAAAGAGAAGATGATGGCCTTTTCCTCCCCTTCTGCGCATCTCATCATTCCATGGGAAGCAGTGAGGTTGGCTTCCTGCCTCTGCCTAAATGCTTCTGCTGGCCCATCTGCTCAAACTCCTGTCTGTCCTAAGTTCACTCAGTATATAAGGGAAAGGAATATGATCTTTCTTCTTCTCTAATTACCTGCCCCTATACCTTACACCTGCTGCCCAGAGCAACTGATGATGCCTGCCACAGCCACTCTCTTTTTAAATAGCTGCTTTAGGTCCCAAAGGGTGGGTGGGTGGCTTTTCTAGGGAGGATAAGTGATCAGTATTTAATAATATTTTTATTTTTAGAGAGACAAGGTCTCACTCTATTGCCCAGGCTGTTGGAGTGCAGTGGTGCAATCATAGCACACTGCAGCCTTAACATCCTAGGCTCAGTAATAGTAATTTTTAAAAACTACTACAAGTAATGGCTGCCATATATTGAGTGCTTACTATGTGCCAGGTACTGTGTTGAGATCTTTACATGAATCCTCTCCTAGAATCCCCATAACAACATTATGAAGTGTAGACTGCCTTTGAAGCCAGAACAGCTGGTGTTCAGAGTTGACGAGTACAATGGTTGAGATTCAAACCCAAACTCCAAAACTGATGGTTCTATTCTCTACACTCCTCATTGCTCTCTCTGTGAATCTAAAGTCTAAATGTGCTTCCAAAATAAAATGGCAGCTGCTCCCTATGTGGCTAAAATCAGTATCTAATGCTCCTCTGCTAATGGATTTGTTGCCATCAGCCTCCACTTTCTGAGCTGATGCTGAAGTCTTATCTGTGGTTACTTTACTCATTTCCATTTAAATTCTTTTTCCAGAGTCAATACTGATAGTCACAAAGGTTTCCACTACTAGATCTCGAGAGAGTGACTCATCCAAACACAATTATTATGCCATCCTATTTGCCCATCATAATTAGCTATCCATTTTAAACCTCCAAAATGCCTGTGTCAGTAGTTAATAGCAATGGAAAAATAAATTAAGACATATATGCCAGTGTGTATGTGTGGTCATTACTGCTCTATTATGTGCATCAGCTCTATTGTCCACCTCAGAGCTGTAATCGCAGACAAGCTTCCCCTTCTCCCCAGCACACTCCAGCAGCCGCCTGCTCCTGCTGTTCAGCCAGTGTGTGCTTAGTGAATGCAAATTAATATTAATATCAATCAGCCTAAGCCCAATCAGCCTCTCCTAAGTAGGGAAGTGAATCTGCATAAAATCAAATGAGATAATGTATGTGAAAGTGCTCTGAAAATTATAAAGTACTATACAAATCAAGGTATTTTTATAATAAAATCATAATGTATTATAAAATCAAATATGAATTATTTCTTAAAATGGTCTGCTATTTTAGATTAGCTGCACCATTAGCAAGTGCTCAATAAATATTTGTTCAATTGTATTGTTGAATTGAGATAATCAAGAGTTGACTGTACATGAAAACAAAGAATTCCATGAAAGATTTAACTAACTACAATAGGTTAGAGAGCATATAAAAAATGAAATTTAAAATAAGAATGACTTCAAATACAAAAGAAAATAATTTATGTTTTCATTTGAGGATAGAAGACTCTCTTGAAATTGCCTCCTTTTTAAGACAAGGTGATTACAGTTTACCTTGTTGTAAAAAAATCTTTCACCAGTTACTATACAACAAGATCTTCACTGCATTTAAATTTGAAGTAAACTATGCAATTCTAATTAAACAATTTTTATTGCTATCCAAGATGAAAAGGATGTCAGCTGATGTCAAAACACTTTGGTGGTGTAAGCCTAGTTTGTGATGAAGTTTTTTGATGTCTCATCAATTTCTGTAATCCTCCATCATTTACTAATTTATAATTTTGAAACATGCTTAAAGAGAATTCTGGTTTCTCCCAACACATACTGTTTGTAGCAATGTTAATTTTGATTTATTTAAATACAACCAGTTACTTTCAAGCTAAAATAGCATCCATGAGAAATAAAGTGTAAATACATTATTCAGGCACCAATTTTCTTTGTCTTATGGTGTGTTTGCCCACCTTTTAAAAGGAAGACTGAAGATACCTGGATAATTGACTGGAATTCATCAGTGGGTAAACAGAACCTTGTGCCTGGCATTTGGAAAAGTTGAGTAGCTTGGTCTGTAGATGAGTCTTAAGAATTTGATTCCATATGTGAATTCTGAAATTTCTGTAGATCTTGTTACTTGGAAGCTGTTAATGAAACCTGCTAACATTTGGAACGTTTAAGTTAGGCTTAAAGAAGCAAGCTAGGCAGCCTAGTGGAAAATGGTAACAACAGAAATAGATGAAAATTGCAAAACCCTTCCTGAGGCTTTATTTACTAAGCGGATAAACCAGTAGCTTACCAAACTTATGAACAAAGGAAATCCCAAGAGCAATTTCATGAACTTCTGGAAATAAATTTTCTAATAATACATTTAAGATGAATCTTGAGAAATAATGACCATGGGGAATTAATATTATACCTTCTTTTTAAGATTAAGCACACATTTTCTATACATTTCTTTGATATTAATGTACAAATAGTGTCAAACAGAAAATTTAATGCTAAGCTGAGGATCCTATTCTTTCCCAACACAGCTAGATAATCACATTAGTATATGAGTATAACCAAAGGCTTTAAAATAATTATAGGTTTCCAGTGCTACCTTGAATTACACCATTTTCATTTACAATGGAATGTTGAAAGAACTAATGTAACTCAATTATGGATACACACACACACACACACACACACACACACACATCCCAAACCAAATATCATTTGTGTTCCTGATTTGCAAATTAATGCCAAATATAATGTTAATTTTAAAATCAGTTTCCTACCAAGTCACAAAGAAATGTGGAAAGTTTAAAAGCTTGTCTCCCCTCCCAATTCCCCCAAGTTCTGGTATTGCCTGGTATGAAGAAGACATTTTATTTCTCTTTCTTATGCCAACTTATATTGCTTCAACCTTAGTAGACTACCAGAATTATGATTGCAACCAGATGACACTTCTGTTCCCTAAAGCATATGACACTTGCTTTACATATGAAAGACTGTGGCCTGCCTAAACCTGCAACCTAGAAGGAGCAAGTAGGTCAAGGAGAGGCTGTCATAGATCCCTTGTCTGGGTATGGTGGTCTCTCTGCTATTTGACAAGTGTATGGAGAACACTTTTCTACATTATGCTTCCACAAGCTTTTGATTATTCAAATCCCTCTCTTCTAAAACACTCTCTTCTCCTGGCTTTAAGGACATACTCCTGTTTCTCTGTCCCTTTTTTCTCTTCCTACTTCAACTTGTGTGTGGATGGTCCTTGAGGTTCACTCCTTGAACATCTGTCTGTTCATCTCTTTACATTCTGTTTCAAAGTTTTCACCCACTCTTATGGTTCCAACTATCACCTCTTTAAAGAGGACTTCTTTAAACTCTATCTCCAGCCCTGACTTCTGGTGTCAATGTCACTTTTCTGTCTTCAGATGCCTAGTACATGATGCAACTCAAATATCCAGCCATTATCTCTAGGCAAGTTGACGTGCCTAAAACTGGATGCCTCTTGTCCCCAGACTACTCTCTTCTGCCCAATCCTGGCTCAATTTCCATATTTCTGTCAAGGTTTGTGCTGTTCTCCTGATCTTGACATTTTGATTAAAACCCTTAAGAAAGAGCCTTATCATTTATTGAGAACTTACTCTGTATCAGAAACTATACATTATCTCATTCAATCTTTGTTTTTCTTTCCAACTTTTATTTTAGGTTCATTTAGTCTTTATAACAGTTCTATGAGATAGGTATTCCAATTATTTTACAGAAGAGGACACTGAGGTTCAGAGAAACTGTCAGTGATAATTCCAGATCCATGTAAAACCAAAGCCTGAGCACTTAACTATACTACAGGGGTCAAAAACTCAACTGCTTACAAGATTCCAGACAGGTAGTGTAAATATGTGAAGAACAAATTAAAAAAAAAATAACAGTGCAATCTGTCCCTGTTGAGGAAACAACAGGAATATTGGGTTCTGTAGTGCACCATTCAGCTCCAGCCATGAGAGAAACACTTCTTGCCAGATATTGTACCTTTTAAAGAGAAGACATATCTAGACTTTCATGGAAAATTTTCCAATTTTTAAATGTAGACAACCTACCAAATTTTCTACCTTGGTTTCATTTCCATTTTATCATAAAGCATTTCAAACATATACAGAAAAGTTGAAAGACTTTGATATTGACTGCTCATATACTCATCACCTAGATTCTACTGTTAACATTTTGCTGTTCTTGCTTTATCACATATCCATCCCTTAATCCATCTTTCAGATGCATTTCAAAGTCAGTTGCAGACATCAGGATCCTCCCCACTAAACACTTCACCACATGTATCATTTGAGTTAAGTATATTTGTTCACAGTATTTTGTTCTTGTCACTGATGTAAATTTCACAAACAATACAATTCAAAAATATTAAATATACCATTTGATGCATTTTGACAAATGTATGCACATGTATAACCCAAATGTTTATAAAGATGTAAAAACATTTCCACTACTTTTTGAGGAATGTTTCTTTGTGCCCCTTTCCAGTCAAATCCTACCTCTCTCCATCCAGAGTAACCACTGATCTGATCTGATTTTTTTTCCACCATAGATTAATTTTTATGTTCTAGAATTTTGCATACATAAAATTGGGCAGCATGTACTCATTTGTGTTAGGTTTCTTTCACTCAGCAAAATGCTGTGGAGAGTCATCCATGTTACTGAGCAAACTATCAATTTTTAAAAATTATTGAATAAACCAAAAATTAAAACCTACATTTGCAATCCAAAAGATGTCAGGACGTACCCACCGTACTGGACTTGAATGCCTGTTTTCTCTCCTCACACCCAAATGCTATAAAATTCATGTTCCTTTGAAACATCTTATCTCTCTTCCATTCACATTGCTACAATTCTCCCATCATTCTGTGATATTTGTGTTCTAGCAGGGCATTTGACAGAGGTTTGTTTGACATCCTAGAGAACAAGATCATTATATAAGGGCTGCATGGTATTTTAGTTAGCTACACCTACCACTGGTAGGGTGGCTGCAACCAGAGTGTAGATTATTGGTGCTGATACCAGGTTATTGCTGACAACCTGGAGGGGCTTCTCTATGGAAATACAAAAGAGCTGTCTTCTTCATCTTGCACTGTTCAACTTTTTTTTCACATGACAGATGAAAGTAGTCATCAAGTTTGTAAATGAAATAAAGATAGTGGAGAAAGTAAATACAGGGATGACAGAACTAAGTTTCAAAATCTTGATATGCTAAAAGGACAAGTCAAAACCAAGAAGATGAAATTGCAAGGATAAAGTGAAAGAACTGAATTTGGGTTTTAAAAAAAGTCAATTGTCAAACTACATCATGAGGAATATTTGTCCTGACGGCACTCCAAGTGGAAAATATCTCAAATATTGTATGAGTCACCAGTATTTCGATAAGAACAAAAACAAATAGACTGAAGCAAAACTAATAATGCAGTCATAGCTCACATTAATAGAAGTGTACAAGGAAATAGCTCTAATTTAATACAGTGGTTAGAGGTATGGGTCTTAGAGTCAGAAAATACTGTTTTGCTACATTAAGTTAAATATGCCTATTAGACCTCCAGCTAGAGATGTGGAATAGGTGGTTGGCTGTAAGAAATGGTCCAGCTAGAGTTACAAATTTAGGTCTTGTCAGCAAATAGATGGTATTTAGAGTCAAGGGACTAGATGAAATCAGAATAACGGTGAGTATAGAAAAAACAGAGAAGAGGTCTGTGAGTCTGCTGGGTCTGCTATAACAAAATCCCACAGACTGGGGGGCTTAGACAACAGAAATTCATGTTCTCACAGTTCTTGAGGGTGGAAGTCCAAGATCAAGGTGTTGACAGAGTTGGTTTCTTCTGAGACCACTCTCCTTGCCTTGCAGATACCCACTTTCTCTCTGTGTCCTCACATAGTCTTTCCTCTGTTCATGTGACCCTGGTGTCCCGCTGTGCACCCACATTTCCTCTTCTTATAAGGACACCAGTCAGATTGGATTAGGGCCTGTTCTAAAGGCCTCATTTTAACATAATCACCTCTTTAACAGCCCTGTGTATAAATACAATCACATTCGGAGGTACTTGGAGTTAGGGTTTCAACATATGAATTTGGCAGAACACAATTCAGCCCATAATAGTGTCCAAGAATTGAGACTTGGTCCCCCAAAATTTAGAAATCAGGCAAAGGAAAAAGAGATGTCAGCAAAAAGGACAGAAGTGGCCAAATAAAAGAGAAGCCAGGAGAACGTGAAGTTTTGGGGGCCTAAAGAAGAAAAAGGTTTCAGAAGTGGGGAGTAATCAATCATGCCAAATACTGCTGAGAGATAAAGATAAGAACTGAGAATGACCAAAGGATTTGGCAAAGATAGAGGTCATTGTAAGCCTTTGACAATAGCCATTTCAGTTGAGTGGTGGAACTGGGAGCCTGAGACAAGAGGAAGTGTGGTGAGAAAGTGAAGACAGCAACTACAGGCAACTATTCTGAAAAGTTTTTCTGTGAATAGAGAGAAACTGATGAGAGGCAAGAAATATGAAAAATGCGGGAGCGAAGTTTTTAAAAGGGGTGAGATGGTATGGGATCTATTCTTTGGGGTAAAAGAAAATATATTACCTATTGCAACAAGAAGGAAGGCAGATTAGGTGTATCTGGGTTGGTGGAACTGGTGTTGAAAGGATGAGGTAGTTCTGCTCTGATGGCTGATCTTGTTGCAATTGTATCTTTTTTCCTGCTGTAATTTCTGCCTCATACTCCCCCTCTCTAACCAAATCTTCTCTACCCATCCAGGATCAGCCTCTTTGCTTTGGAAAAAGTGCTACACCTGGAGCCAGAAAACCTGGTTTAAAGTCCTAGCTCTTCTAATTATAAGCTGCATGACTTCAAATAAGTCACTCACCTTCTCTGGCACCCATTTTTTCATCCATACACTTGGAACACAAATCTTTCTACATACAATCTATTATATATACATTATTTTAAAATGCAAAGATAAAAATGAAATATGTTCTAGTAAAGCCTACCTCCTCTAAGAAGCTTCTGCGTCCACATTAGTCTTTTCAGGACCCCTTTGGGTTTTTACTACTCATCTGCTGTCTGACACTGTCACCTAATGGTTCTCAAGTGTATTCCTATTGATTCAATCACTCAATTATACATTTTTGAAGAGCAGGAAATGACTTTTCCAAGTATTGTGTTGGGGGAGTGGGTGGGAAGAGGAATGGACTAATTTATTTAGCATCTGGTACTTGCCAGGGGATTGAGGTACCTTATCTAATTTGGTTCTTTCAACAATCTGGAGAAATAGACATTATTTTATGGGTGAATAAACTGAAGTCCGGAGAGATTCAGCAGCCTCCCCAAAGTCACACAGCTAATATGTGGTGGAACCATAATTTGAATTCTAAACTCCAAACTGACTATGCCCTCTTTTCACTACTGCATCCCACACACTCTGATGCCAGGAAATTTTGGCTGCATTTGGATTTCTTGCCAAGGCTTTAATTACTGAGAGGAAATGACACTTTGATTAGTTCATGTTTTTATAGCTATAATGTCAAACAAACAGATTCTGCTTTTCTCAGAAATTTATGATGGTACTGGTTCATGTCCAACTCTCTGAAAATTGGTTATCTTGCTACCAAGAAGACTTTTAAAAAAATTTTTTTATTTATTTATTTTGAGATGGAGTTTTGCTCTTGTTGCCCAAGCTGGAGTGCAGTAGCGCAATATCAGCTCACTGCAACCTCTGCCTCCCGGATTCAAGCGATTCTCCTGCCCCAGCCTCCTAAGTAGCTATTACAAGCATGCACTACCACGCCTGGCTAATTTTGTACTTTTAGTAGAGATGGGGTTTCACTATGTTGGACAGGCTGGTCTCAAACTCCTGACCTCAGGTGATCCACCCGCTTTGGCCTCCCAAAATGCTGGCATTACAGGCGTGAGCCACCATGCCTGGCCTAATAAGACTATTTTTATTTCATTTGCTTTTTCATAAGGAAATCAGAAATGATGATGAATCATAAACTGTTGACACTCAAAAGGGCCTCAGAGACCATCTATCCCAAGCCCTTTTTATAGATGAGGACATTGAGGCTCAGAGTGGGCAATTGGTTGACCTGTTAAGATCACACAGTGGAAAGCGGCAGAGCCAATATTGCCTCTTCTTCCCTCTCCGTCTGTCTGTCTTTCAGTCTACTCACTCCATTTTTCAAGCTAGCCCTTCATCCCTAAAGCAGCAGCCCTGACGTCTCATGGATTTTCTCAGTTTTTGCATAGAGTTTGAAGGGCAGAGCCTCAAAGCATGCCTTTCTGGGTGAATGTCTAAAGAGGCTGAGAAAAGGAGTGACAGGTAATCCAGGCAAATCCATGCTTCTGACATTTATTTGTTTTGTTTCCATATATATATATATATATAAAATTTTATGCCTCTAAGCAGTAACATTTAAGGAATATACAAACTCTTTGGAACCATGGTAACATTTACTTGTTTTAAGATTTCATCAATGAGTTTTTCTTCTCAAAACAGCCCTGAGAAATGGGCAGGCACAGGTAGATTTGAAGGTTATTTTAAATGCAGCTCTCCTTCTTGGAATATGTGAACGACTCCCCTGATCAATTGCCTTGCTTTCAAGTTTATAAATGATGCTCAGGAAACGTCTTCATGGAAGACTGAACCAAGAGGACATCTAGGTGAAGAATGGATGATGCCAAAGGGCTCACTTACTGTTTCCATTTGTCTCGGGAGATGAGCTTTTCCCTGACTGCTTTCAGCCCTTGAGTGAGGACCGATTAGTATTGGTTGAAGAGGCTTCCTTCCTTGGTTAGGACTTCCTATGGCTTTGCTGGGTCTATAACTAGGCAGTGTGTGTGGCCCGGGGGTGGGGGAGGGCGGGGCCGAGGACTTCTATAACATCGTGAACTGGCAAAATGCACACCACAGGTTTTCCAACACCATATCACGTCATAGGGTTAATTATCCCACACATTATTGTTGAAATGGAAGGATTTCGTGTCTGGAGCCAAGGACAACATATCACCCACAGATCTGCTTGGAGCCACAGTTGCCCAATGTGTGGAGAGAAAAAACCAGTAATAGTGAAAAGAGCAAATAAAAAACACTTGCAAACCTGTTTCATTCAAAGAGCCTCATAACAGAGTATATAGCTTCTTTATGTCCTTTTTAATGTGTCTTAAGTTCTTCCAAAAGGAAGGGTCCAGTGCTTGAAACCTTGGTGGTGTGAACCCAACTACCCACCAGTCATTGACTCAGCAAACAATTATCAAGTACCTCCCATATGCTATGATCTGTGCTTGGCAATGAGAGACTATAAAACAGGGGCCAGGGGACAAACAGGACGGCAAATCTGAGACAATGAATAACCATTGGATAATGAATCTGAAACCTAGCTCATTGATTGTTATTTGTGACCTGCACCAACCTTGGATAAACCCAGCAACCAAGTACTGCCTTCGGGCTTATAGGAAACTTGTATTCAAATCCATTCCAAAGAGCCTTACTCTGCCTTACTTAAATATGGACCAACATCCAAGCATCAAGAACAGCAGCACAAACACGTTTTCTTGTTTTGTAAAGATATTTTTTCTGGGCTTATTGAAAATTATTTCAAAACTCCACTTAGCTTTTTCCCAGTAATGGATGTAGCAAGTAACCAGCGCCTAAAGCATCCAGTGGACGCAAGTCTATTGAATCATTTTCTGTGCAGAGACGCTGTTCCGTGCCCCCACTATCGATCTGCTTCCATTTGCCTGAATATGCCCATTATGTAGCAGCGTACCCAGAAAGAGCTATTATAAGGGACAGAAGATTTTCTTTTCTCCTTTTTTTTCTTTTTCTTTTTAATGAATAAGCTTTGAAAGAGAAAATCAAGATGACTTCCGGTTCGACTTTTGTTTCTAGGTCTTGTTGAAGAAAGAACTTTGATTCAATTGTCTGGAACATATTTCATTTCCTTGAAGATCTTAGAGGCTGGAAGCCATAAAAAGGGCACTGGATTAGGAGTCAGGAAGCTAGGGTTATAGCCCTGACTCTGCCACTAGGTAGCTGTACAACTTAAAACTTGGCTTATCATTTCTGGACCTCAGTTTCTGCTTCTTTAGAATTAGGGAAGCAGTACAAAAGTTAAGTTAAGAGGCAGCGCTTCCACCTACCAGTTGTGTGGATTTGAGAAAGTCACTTAACCTCTCTGGGCCTCAGTTTCCTCACTTGAAAAATGGAGTGGAGATTGTGTTTTCAGAAGATTAAATAAGAAAATACATGTGGATGGTTAGTACAGTGACTGGCATAGAGTGATCAAGAAATACAAACAATTCTTAGTGTTCTGGGTTAAAAGGAATTATGATGACCTCTTTTGATTCCAAGTTTCTGTGAACCTTTAAGGTCAGTAAACATTTTAGCATCATTTTAAGTCAAAATTTTTCTCCATTTTGATTAATATAACATTTATTAACTAGCCAGAGCATGTTAAACAGTTGCTACAGGTTGATTGACAAGAAAGGTCACCAGTAGTAACTTCTTTTCTTTATTTCATAGAATTGTTTCTGATAAAAATTCTTCTTTCTGAAACTCAAAGACTAAAGAAGCAAAGATTTGATACTTTATGTTTACAGAAGAAATATCAGAAGACAGAGACCACTGATTCTCACATAAGCTTGTGCTTTAGTCCATATGAATGAAAAGAGTAAAGGATTTATTGCATTTGTCAGAAATCTAAAGGTTTTTTCTGTAATGTTTGCAAATGTAAGATTGTAGAAATATGCTTTGAACTTTGGTTATGTTTTACCAGGATTCAGTGACCAACGTGCAGTTTGGGAGACATTTATCTTCTTACATGTGTGAGACAAGAGATTGAGGCAAGCTTATGGAACTTCCTAGAAGAAAAATTATCAAAATCCTCAGCACAAACTCATTACTGTTTTCTTAAAATGCTTAGCCTCTGTGTATGTGTGTATGTACTGAATGCAGGGTAACAATTCCTACATATACCTTTAGTAGTCAATATGCATAGAATAGAAAATAGAGCTGTGATAATTATTTTTTAATCCTGGTTAACTAATTAAAAGTGCTGTATGAGAATACAAGACAGGTAGTCCCAGTCTTCCTTTGCATGAGATTTTTATGTCTTTTCCTTGTCAACAAAGCTGAAGCCGAAATGGCCATGTGAGACTGTGTAAGAGCTTGACATGAAAAGATGGGGTCTGAGGCTGGTGCTAGGATATTTCATTTTGCCCACCTAGGTGGGTGTTATTGAATCTGTGTCTCCTGAAAGAGCAAGCTGTGTGATAATTGTCTTTTCATCTGTTGATGAAAAGTCGCTTGCTCATGTTAATGTTCCCTGGGACAGAAAGGCCAGATCCAGTTTAGATACAACTGTTTCTCATCTTTCGTCCGACCTTGATAGCACTATCACATCATTTACCAGTGCACTCTGGCAAAACTGATTGCAGCAATCATCTTGTATGTCCATGTGTAGAGGTGTGAGGTGGGGTTGTCTCTTTTGACTGAATCTGTAAGTAACAGCATTGCTAAAAGCTTTGCCTCTTTATCCCATCTACATCTTCTATCATATACACTGAGTTAGTGACAGCACAGGAGGTAATTGTCAGCCTGCCTGGAAGATCCAATTTGTGCATTAAAATAATGCTGTCCTGATCTTGTAGCACCAGTTTGTTTATTCGTTTTTTTGTGAAGTATTTTTGCTCACCAGCCCATAAACCCACACTCATCATATTGAGCTTATAATAGGGACAGGTCGTCCTCTAAACTCAAAGAAAAAAAATGAAACTCCTTGTAAACTGAAAAAAAAAAAACCCCACAAAACTCCAGAAAGGTAAACTAGTGGTAGGAGTGATGGGGAAGATGACATGGTATGAGATTAACTTATCAAGCTAATAGTGTACATATGCAATAAGTAGTAACCTTATTGGACGTAGGTCAGAACACATCTGGAGTATCATGTTCAAATATAGGTATTTTCGGAGTAATGGTGGGAAAATATACCAAGAAGGTGACCAGGATAAGAGATCTAGAAACCATGACATACAAGAAAGGGTTGAAGTAACTGTATGTTTTGCCTGGAGAAAAGATGACTAAGCTAATTCATGCTAATTCTTAACAAGTTTTAAAGTGGAAAAGGGAGTACATCTGTTTTGTATTGCTGCATAGGAAAAATCTAAAAGTAGATGGAAATTACAAAAAAAAAGCACATTTCAGATCAACAGGACAAATAAACAAAACCTTATAAAAGTGAAAACTATCCAATAATAGAATGCATTTAATCAGGAAGTAGAGCCTGCTTCCTGGAGATATTCAAGCCGGCTGAGCCTCTGGTAGGGATGCTATAGAGAAGACATTTGTATCTTCTGATCAGGTAATCTCAAAGCTATCTTTTCAATACTCTAAATTATTGTTTTCTATGTCCTGGTACAGAACTAGGAAAATACAATCATATCCCTCCATTCATTTGTCCATCCAGGCATCCACTCATTCATTCATTCAACAAACATTTATTGAATGGCTACTATGTACCAGGTACTGTGCTAAGCAAAGGGATATAAGACACAGGAATGGAGGCTGAGGTGGGAAGATTGCTTGAGGCCAGTAGTTCAAGACTAGCCTGAGCAATATAGCAAGACCCCATTTCACAAAAAATACAAAAATTAGCCAATCATGGTGGCTTGCATTTGTAGTCCAGCTATTCAAAAGGCTGAGGCAGGAGGATCACTTGAGCTCAGGAGTTTAAGGCTGTAGTGATATATGATTGTTCCACTGTACTCCAGCCTTGGTGACAGAGTGAGACCCTATCTCTAAATAAATTCATAAGTAAAATCTTAAAATTATAAAAAAGATTCAGAAATGTAGAATACAGAAATGTAGACAGATACTTACAATATAGGGTGATGCACGCTAAAACAGATGTATGTACGAGTAACAGAAAGCATCACGGAGATGTTAGGGGAAATGAAATCCAAGAAGACCTGACAGGCAGGAAGTCATGTCTGAGTAGAATCTTAAAAGATGAATTGTAGTTTGCCAGAAAGATAAGGTGGAGAAGGTGGGAAGACCATTCTAAATGAGGGGAACAATATGTTCAAAGACATGGAAATGTGACACTGTCTAGCAAGTCTGTAAAATTTTAACCAACATGTTAAAGCATAGTCTATCAGGAAAAGGGGAGAGATAGAATGAGGTAAGAAGTGTGAAATTGGGCAGGGACATAAGGGGCCACTCCAAGGAGCCTGAACCCTTATGGAAGCCAGGAAGCTGGGCACTGATGTGTCTTCCTTTTATGTTTGCCCTTGGCTTTTCCTATACAATTCTTGCATCTAACTTGGAAGCCATTGAGAGCAAAACAAAATTAAAATGTAGGTCAGTTATTTTCTGCTGCCATAAGTCATCTTAATTTCCAGAATCACATCCCCTGACTACTCTGTTATCATTTTGATCCAAATGTAATGAAAAAATTAAACATAAAGGTTTTTTTCATTTACTGCAAATTGAACAAAATTATGCAAGTTTTCTAAACTATTTCAAATGTTTGTGGACAGGAAATGAAATAATATATGTAGCTATTCCATCATGGAAACCCTGTCTCTCAGTTGATAAAATATGTTGTTTAAAAGTTAAAAACAAATGGAACCATCTTAACAACAAAATACAGTCCTCCAAGATTTTAGTACTTTTTGTTCTGGTTTTTAAAGAAAGCTCTTATCTCTTTAGAGTAATACAATTCAAATGAGCTTTGATTTTTCTAAGACCCCTATAATTGGCTCTATTAATTAGATGGTCAGCCAGATTTGGGGAGAACTCAGACTTACGAAGGTTTTTTTTTTAATAACTTGCCATGTTATTACTTTCAAGTGTTGCACTTGAGAATCCTGTAAGTGCTTTAAAAAAGTCACATATTCCTGTTTGAATGCAAATGCTGCTGTGACAACAGTTCTTGAAAACAATTGGTCTTTGTTGGGTTTTTAATATTCATCTTTATTAATTTTATTCTAAACACACATGAGGTGTTCTAGATCAGAGAGAGATTATTATTATCTTGTTAAAAAGCAAATAATGAATTTGCTTTCCCAAACCCTGATTCTCACCTCTGCAGTGACACAACGTAAGCCAAGTCAAATCTTCTACACATAGAAAGTCTGTATTACAGGTAAGGAACGGAGGCAAATAGATTTTTTTCTACTTTATATACAGGAGAAAAGGCACCTGTCTCCCCCTTTCTGCTCAAAAGGAAGGAATGAAACTTTTGCTCTTTGAAGAAAAAATGGAAAGGATCCTGGGTTCTTACTCTAAACTTGTTTAATATAAATGCATCTTTCCAAGATATATCTCCAACTTCTATGACCTAGAAATGTCTTCAAGGTCCCTGACTTCATTTGTCCTTGAAATGTAAACATATACCTCCAGAGTCAGATAAATCTCCGTAGGGTTCTATCACCGACTATATACTTGTATATTACCTTACCAATGTTGGCTCTTAGCTCAAGATTCCAAGTTTCCTGCAAAATTTATTTAGGAAAACCTAAATTGAAAATACAAAAAAAAAAATTCTCTTTATACCTCAGAGTCAGCCTACACTATCAATGAGGTTAACATTTCTTTGTGGTAAGGACGCATGTTTGCTTAGCAAATATTTTTCCCATGCACAATAAAAAAATTAACCTCAGCTCAGTGTGTTCTCATTATAATAAATGTTAGTATAATTCATTCAATGTATTCAACAAATATTGATTTTGTGCCTACTGTGTGGCAGGCCTTGTTCTTATAAAGTATTTCACTACAAGTAGACTTCTCCCAGAGTCGGCATTTTACTGTTGCTTATAAACCTTCCTCTTGAATTAGAATGACTCTTCTAAGATCAATTCGTGTTTTATTTGATATTTCAAAAGTCCTAAGTGACCATGGTAACAAAAAAAAAATGAAGTCTGAAAATTTTTGAGCAAGATTTGGAACATTGTTCTCTGGGGACTATTAAATTCAATCATTTTTTCTTTGTACTTTGCCGTTCTTCCTTATCACTTATAATCCTAACTGCTAATCTTTGAGACATTCCCATAGCTTCCTTCACTAAACTCAAGCACATTAATTTGCATGCTAGACTAACTCAAATGACTTCTCAGCTTTAAGCCAAAGAAAGTTTTTCTTCAAAATGTTTCCAACTATCAAACAGTTTTGTTTGCCAAATTTTAAAGGCTTCTTTTACAACTAAGTCCATGGTAGCTTAAAAATATATGGGTTTTTCATAACCTGCTTCACCTTTAATAAAACAAAATCAGAGAATTTATATTGACAGTATCATAGGCAGTAAAAATCAAAGTGATCCTTTACTAATTTATATTTCTGGGTCATTTCTTAAGGTAATATTAGAAAAAATAGTATTTAATGAGCAAAAAATTAAAACACACCAAAAAGTTAGCTTAGTACAGTTAAAGGAGTAAACATTCAATTCTAAGAACAGCAAATCATAATAAATTATTCCTCCTAAAGCATTAAATTTACTCAAAAGGGGTTGGGGAAATTAGAAATTCATTAAAGTGTAGTTTTTATTACTTTCCAGTTAATAAAACACGTTAGAAATCTAATATAATTTTAAAAAATATTTTGGACATTTAATGAATCCACTTCTATCTTTCCATTGTGGTACAAAGCAAGTAAATAAGCTATGCCAGAAAATAATCAATAATAGAATGTTTGTTGTTATTTTTTTCCTTATCAATAAGTGACCATGAGTTTGAGCCCAGGCAGAGCCAGGGTATCTACACCTGGCCAAGTGTTGAAGATAAGCCTCAACATGCACAGAGCCCTTTGGCAAAACTGAGAGACTTACTGATTCTAGGAATTTAAGGTAATCTCTAGCTCTGTAATTTCTAATCTCCAATCATTAGTTGGCCACTACACTAATCACACAGTGACTTCAGTGACCACATGCAACAAAGAATGCAGACATTGCAGAATTCATTCAGAAATGTCACACACACTCACACGCACACACACACACACACAAAATCAAAAACAACAAACTGCAGCAACAAGAAATCCTATGGGGAAAATATTAGAGGAAATCTGATATCCAGACTTACCAGCTAATATTATGTAAAATGTCCAGTTTTTAACAAACAAACAAAAAGGCATTCAAAAAGACAAGAAAGCATGGCCCATACACAAGGAGGAAAAGGCCAATCAATAAAAATTGTCCCTGAGGGAGCCAATTCATTGGACTTACTAGACAAGGACTTTAAATCAGCTATTTAAAACATGTTTAAAAAACTAAATAAAAGCAGGTATAAAGAAATAAAGCATAACAATGATGTCTCACCAAATAGAAAATACCAGTAACAAAATAGGTACTATAGAAGATAACCAAATAGAAATTCCAGAGTTGAAAAGTACAATAACTGAAATGAAAAGTTCCCTAAAGGAGTCCACCAGCAGATCTGAGCAGCCAAAAGAAAGAATCATACTAATATAGGCAAATAAGGTTATCCAATGTAAGGAACAGAAAGAAAGGGGAGTAAAGGAAAATGAATAAAGCCTCAGTTACCTGTGGGACACCATCAAGCATATTATTATATGGGACTTCCAGAAGGAGAGGAAAGAGAAAAGTCAAAAAGAGTATTTAAAGAAATAAAGGCTGAAAATTCATATTTAAAGAAAAATAGTAATTTACACACCCAAGAAGCTTGATGAACTCAAAAGAGATTCGCATCTAGACACATGATGACCAAAATGTCAAAAAGATAAAGACAGAGAGAATCTTGAAAGCAATGAGGGAAATGGCTCATAATATAAAAGGATCCATAATATTAAGAGCTGATTTCTCATCAGAAGCCATGGAAGTGAGGAGACAGTGGGATGATACAGTGAAAGTTACAGAAGTGCTGGAAGAATTCTATATCCACAAAAACTAGCCTTCAAAACTGAAGTAGAAATTAAGACATTCTTAAGTAAATAAAAACTGACAGAATTTTATGGTAGCAAACCTTCCTTACAAGAAATACTGAAGGGATATCTTCAGGCTGAAATGAAAGGATAGTAACTTGAATCGACATGAGGAAGTAAAGAGCACTGGCGAAGGTAACTACATAGATAAATATAAAAGAGAGAATAAATAAATATATATATATTATTATCATTAATTTAGAGACAGGGTCTGTCAGTCCAGGCTGGAATGTAGTGGTGCAATCATAGCTCACTGCAGCCTCAAACTCCTGGGGTGAGGAGATCTCCCACCTCAGCCTCCTGAGTAGCTAGGACAACAGGAATATGCCACCATGCCCTGCCTAAATATATTTTCGTCTGTAAATCTTTACTTCTCATATGTGATTTTTAAAGGCAACTGCATAAAGCAACAATTATACATCTGTGTTGATGGGCACACAATGTATAAATATGTTATTTACATGATAATAATAGCACTAAAGAATGGAGTTATAAAGGAGCAAATATTTTGCATACTATTGACACTGGTGTCAATCTGAACTAGATCGCTGTGAGTTAAGATGTTAATTGTAACTCCCGGATAGACCATTAAGAAATTAATTTAAAAATGTATAATATCAAGAAAATTGAAACCAATAAATAAAATTATTTTTACTTGCAGATGACATGATCTTGTATATATAAAATCCTAAGGAATTCACCAAAAAGCTATTAGGGCTAAATAAGTTCCACAAGATTGCAAGATACAAGATAAATATAAAAATTCAGTCGTACAATCATGCATTGCTTGACAATGGGGATATGTTCTGAGAAATATGTCTTTAGGTGGTTTTGTCCTTGTGCAAACATCACAGAGTGTACTTACGTAGATGGTATAGCCTACTACACATCTGGAATATATGGTATAATCTGCTGCTCCTAGGACAGCATGTTACTGCACTGAAGACTATAGGCAATTGTAACACAATGCTAAGAATTTGTGTATTTAAACATATCTAACCATAGAAAAGATATATTAAAAATATGGTATTATAATCTCATGAAACCATCATCAAATATGCAGTCTGTTGTTGACTGAAACATTGTTATGCAGCACATGACTGTGTTTTCATACGCCTGCAATAAACAATCTGAAAATGAAATTAAGAAAACAATTCCATTTGAAATAACATTAAAAATAATAAAATATTTAGAGATATATTTAACAAAATAATTGCAAAACTTACAACCTGAAAACAACTAAAGATAGTTGACAGAAATTAGAGAATATCTAAATATAGGAAAAGGCATCCCATTTTCGTTGATTGGAAAAATTAATACTGTTAATATAACGCAACTCCCTAAATTGATCTACAGACTCAAAGCAATCCCCACCGGAAAGCTAAGTGGCTTCTTTGTAGAAATTGACAATCCAATCCTAAAATTCATGTGGAAATTCAAGGCACCCAGAAAGTCCAAAACAATCTTGAAAAAGAAGAACAAAGTTGGAGGACTCATACTTTCCCATTTCGAAACTTAAAGCAACAGTAATCAAGACAATGTGGTAACTGGAATATGGATAGGCATATAATATAGAGCAATGGAATATAATTGAAAGTCTAGAATAAAACCATGTATCCACAGTCAACTGATTTTTTACAAGAGTGCCAAGACCTTTTAATGGGGAAAAAATGATCTTTCCGATGAATGGTGCTAAGACAATTGGATAGTCATATGCAAAATAATGAAGTTGTACTTTTACTACACATTATATATAAAAATTTACTCAAAAATGGCTCAAATACCTAAATACTCTTTTTTTTTTTTGAGATGGAGTCTTGCTCTGTCGCCCAGGCTGGAGTCCAGTGGCGAGATCTTGGCTCACTGCAAGTTCTGCCTCCCGGGTTCATGCCATTCTCCTGCCTCAGCCTCCCTAGTAGCTGGGACTACAGGCGCCCGCCACCACGCCCAGCTAATTTTTTGTATTTTTAGTAGAGACGGGGTTTCACCATGTTAGCCAGGATGGTCTCGATCTCCTGACCTTGTGATCTGCCCGCCTCGGCCTCCCAAAGTGAATACTCTTAGCCTATATATAAAACTCCTCAGAAAAACACAGGGGTAAATTTTTGTGATTTTGGATTTGGCAACAGATTCTTAGAAATGACACCAAAAACACAAGCAGCAAAAGAAAAATGGATAAATTTGACTCTATCAAAGCTAATAATTTTTGTATTAAAGGGCACTATTAAGAAAGTGTAAAATAAATCCAAAATTTGGTAGAAAATATTTGCAAATTATGTATATATTAAAGGACTTGTACCTAGCATATAAAGAACCATTACAACTCAGTAAGAAAAAGACAACCCAATTAAAATTAGGCAAAGGTTCTGAATAGACATTTCTACAAAGAAGATATGAAACTGGCATATGAAAGGATGCTATGCATCATTAGTCATGAGAGAAAAGTAAATGAAAATGACAATAAGATACTGCTTCATGTGCACTAGAATAGGTATAATCAAAAAGTAAGATAATAAGCGTTGGAGAAATCGGAACCCTCATGCACTGCTGGTGGGTATGTAGAATGGAGCAGTCGCTATGGAAAACAGTTTGCAGTGTTTCAAAAAGTTAAGCATAGAAAAATGAAAACACATCTCCACTCAGGAAAATTGTACTCAAATATTCATAGCAGCATTATTCATAATAGCCAAAAAGTGGCAACAGCTCAAATATCTATTAACTGATGAACAAGTCAACAAAATATAGTGTGTTTATACAATGGAATACTATTTGGTCATAAAAATGAACAAATTATTGTTACATACTACACGTTGGATAAACCTTGTAAACATTATGCTAAGTGAAATAGACCAGATACAAAAGGCCATATACTATATTATTCCATATATATAAAATATCCTGAGTAGGCAAACTGATAGAGACAGAAAGTACATAAGTGGTTCTCAGGGCCTGGAGTATGGGGATGGGGGAATTGAGACTGACAAAGAATACAGGGTTTCTTCTTAGGATTATCAAAATATTCTGGAATTAGATAATGGTGGTGGTTGCACAATCTTTTGAATATACTAAAACCACTGAATTGTACCCTTTAAAAGAGGTGAATTTTATGGTATGTGAATTATATCTCAGTAAGAAAAAAGTAATGGGAGGGAGAATAAAGAGAATGAGGTTTTGGTGTGTTCTCATTTGTTGGAGTCAAAAGTTTTAACAAAAAGTTAAACCATTAGCCCTTCCTATACCCTCCAGTATAAGAATATTTAAACTCTAGTAACATCACAGCATAACTTCTATTTCTAAAAGGAACAATATTTTGAAAGTTGCACAACAAAAGTTACACAAACTGGCATAAAATAGGGTATATCAAATTTTGAGTTTACCACCTAGATCACAAGTAAGATCAATAGCTTTGTATCAGAGATGCATGTGTAAGGTAAAAGTTCTAAGAGATCTACCTGAGCAAGTAAAAGTAACAAATACAGTGACCAACTAACCTAGTTTGCCTGGGACTGAGGAGTTTCCTGGAAAGCAGAACTTTCAGTGTTAAACCTGTAAATATCTTGGGCAAACCAGGATAATAGGTCATCCTAGATAACAGAATATGAACAATTGGGCTTACTGCCCTGAATCTAGATTATGCATGGACCAGTGTATGCCTGAATCTGTCCAAAAAGCCTCTGGGTGTCTTCAAAGCATCAGAGACAAGAAGGGTACATCCTTGGTTCACATTAGTCAATAACTCTCTTATATTACCCTACAAGAAGAATGACAAGGAGGGGGTCAATAAATGTTTTTATAGGATGGATTATTACATTAAGTGATACCCCACCTCCTTGCAGTCATTTCATGCCTTCTAAATTAAAAAATGGCCAATGGTACAAATGAAAGGGCAAGTTTTTATGCACACAAATGTGTACACTCTCCTTTTGAGGAAAAGCTTCATTCAAAATGAAAGCCAAAAAAAAAAAAATGAAATAACATACCACGTGCAAAGCCCTGTTCAAAGCACTTCAAATATAAATTCACTATATCTTTGTATAACTTTATGAAGTAGGTACTATTATTATCTGCATTTTATGTATGAGGAAACTAGTACACAACCAGGTTAAGTAGTTTACCCAAGGTCACATGACTAATAATAATGAAATAAAGGATTCGAACACTGACAGTGGCTCTAGAATCTAAAATCTCAGCCACTGTGTTAAGTTGTACATTTAAATGAGACGTATTGCCAGTGGACAAGGAAGCGCAGACCTATAAGGGCAAAGCAAGTGAGAAAGGGCTTGGAACTGAAGACAGAAATTTTAATAAATCAGGAAAATTACCTTCTCAGTCCTATATTGCTAAAAAACTCATAACCCATAGTCATACTCCACCTGAGGCAGGGATTAGAAGATTTTTGTGGGGGATAATCTCCCCACATCTCTAATTGAAGATGCCTACACTTTTTACCTCTATTGAAAAGGGAAGTATATAATTTCCAAAAAGATAAATTTGAATACTTGGGTCTAAAATATACGATGTTATTCAGAAGGATTGGCACCTTAGATTTATAGTATGACTTGACTAGCATAAGTCAAAGCATAGTTCTGAAAATGGCATGGAAAAGGGTGGCAGGGATGGGGCTTTGAGAGTGAAGTACAGTGGGGATCAGCCAGTAAGCACATGAAAGGAAAATACAAAGGCTATTTCCAGCGGAATTCTCAGAAACACTATAGGAAATTAATACAAGAGACTGGCATAATCTCACCTAATAAAACCAGGAGCAGGTGTGTGCTAGTCCTATAGTCAAAACAAGTTAATAAGATTAGTCTACAGTACATAGAGGGCTTGGAGATTGCATGGCTTAGGATAAGTAGGATTCGGTTTTCATTAAGGATATAGGAAAATAAGGAACTTTCTGTTACAACTGCAGATCCCTCATTCAATAAGCATTTACCTTGAATGCCTACTATGTGCCAGGTTCTGTACTAAGTGTTAAGGATTCAGAAATGAAAGGGACAGACACAGTCTCTGCCTTCATGGTTTTACAGTCTATAAAGCAAACATTTTTAACATCACAAATAAATATATAAATTCTGATAAGTGCTTGAAGGAAAAGAGTGGAGTTTTATGAAAAATGCTAATTATGAGGCTAATTTAGATAGAAACTTTGGAGTCAGCTCCCCTGAGTCAGCGAAACTTAAGCTGAAACCTGAAGGAAGAGTAGTAGTTGAACAGATTTGGAGGTGAGGTTGGAAGTGAACATCCAGGCACAGAGTGGAGATAGGAGAGAGTTTGGTAACATTCTAGGAATTGAGAAAGCTTATGTGGTTACAGGGTAGTAAGCAATGGGTAGAGAGGCTCAGGATTAAGAATGAACAGGTGGGGAGGGACCATATCATATAAGTCATTGTAGACCGTGAAAAGAGTCTAGATTTTATTCTAAGTACAATGGGAAGTCACCATTGAGGATTTTAACTGGGGGAAAGAGGAAGTGATACCAACCAATGTGTAGTTTAGACATCACAAAACTATATACAATCAAGTCCTGAATTAAGAAGCACAGATTATTTCCTGATAGAATCAGTGTGAGCTGCAGGAAAGGCATTAATCATGGTGATGGTGGCCGGTGGGTGGGAAGTGATCTTCAACTGAGCCTTGATGGGCTGTATGAGGCAAAGCCATGCTGAACCAGAATGATGCCAGTGTAGCTAAATAGAAGAAGGAAATCTGCAAGAAATGAAACAGGGCTTGGAGACCCTTTGGACACTGGGTAAGAATACAGAACAGTTATTAAAAGTTCCATGATTTGGAGCCATTGGACGTGGAAAAAATGGTATGACTATTCAGATAAATGAGATAAGAGAGATGAGGAAGTGGATTGCTAAAGAAAATTATCATTTCCATTTTTTAAATGTCGATCATAAATGTCTGAGGACCAAAAGTGTAGATGCCGTGCTGGTGATATAAAAGATTAGGCTGGAAATTTATTTAAGAATAAATGGAAGTGAAATGAAAGCTGAAATTGAGCGAAAGGAGCAGGGTACATCAGGATGGAAGGAGAAAATGAAGTCCTGGAAGGAGACACCAAGAGAACACTCAGTGGAGTTGGTAAAGAACTCAGATAGATCATCATTGCAAATAGTCAAACACAGCCAAATCAAGATGATGCAAGTGAAGACTAAGGAAGGAACACTAAATTTACCTACCTTACAGAAATGTCTATAGGGTGATGAGTACAAGGCATTAAAGAAAAAAACAATACTGCACTTAGAATGACAACATTGGATCAGATTCACCCTTTATTCAGACTGAGGAGTCACTAAGAACTGTGTAATGTCATGTTGATCATTCTTATGTCAACTTCCTGTATCAGGGAAGAAAATTTTATGTTTTACTTTTGCCAATTCTTGAATAATTAATTACTTCAAAAAACTCTACTTCCTGCTTTGTAAAGTGAGTGAGACTTACTTTAGTTAGCAAGAACGTCTTTATTTTAAACCTCAGGGGTACCCTTCTGCCCAACATTGTGGAATTCAGTAAACAAGTTTTGTCAAGAAAGAACCCCAACCTCATAGAAGATGTCAAGAAGTAACAAGACTACAAAGGAGATTACTAAAGCAGCAGGTTGTCTTTGTCTTGTCACAGGTGCCAAATGTAGACAATGAGACTCAATGGATCACAGCAAGAAGGTTGATTACTCACAGCACAGGAAAACCAGCAGCATCAACATGTAGCACTAGCACCTTTAAATCCAAGTCCCATGGGACCATGCAATGGGCCCAGATGGTAGCTATGTGCATAGCCAGTTGTGCCCTAGGCTGAGGGACCAAGAGTTAAAGGCTATGCGCCCTGGTAGCAAGAAATAAACAAACCAGTCCCCCAAACCTACAGAGTGAGTAGTTCCGTAGTAGTCACTCTGACATTGCCTCGACCCACTCAGTTGCCTACATGAGTAGCTACAGAAACTGCTTAGCGTGAGAGGACAATAAGGCATTGCAGAATGTCAGTCTCAGCAAGGGTGCATAGGAATGCTCAGAGCCCATGGCAGACTGCCTCTTCCAAAAAATTGGAATTCACCTTATCTGTTAAGCATTCATAAATCAGATACATTTTGGTTATCAAAAGTCTCTTTTGGCCAGGCGCAGTGACTCACGCCTGTAATCCCAGCACTTTGGGAGTCTGAGGCGGGCAAACGACAAGGTCAAGAGATCGAGACCATCTTGGCCAACATGGTGAAACCCTGTCTCTACTAAAAAAAAAGAAATTTGAAAATTAGCTGGGCGTGGGGGTACACGCCAGTAGTCCCAGCTATTCGGGAGGCTAAGGCAGGAGAATCACCTGAACCCGGGAGGCAGAGGTTGCAGTGAGCTGAGATTGTACCACTGCACTCCAGCCTGGCCACAGAATGAGACTCCGTCTCAAAAAAAAATAAAAATAAAAATAAATAAATAAACAAGTCCTTTTTGTCTTTATTCTTTCCAGAATTAAAAATTCTAATCTTATAAGTCTGTCCTCCTGTTGCTATTAGCACTCCCCTTCCCCTCAGTACCCCAAACACCCAAACATCTTAGTCATTTTAGTTCCTTCCTCTGGAATTTTTTCCATTTTTCTCAATCATCTCTTTCTTTCATATGGAATAATCGCTGAATTTGTTCCCAGAATTTCATGTCTAGACAAACCGTAGTTTGGAGCAGGAGTCAGCAAAATTTTCTCTAAAGGTCCTGATAGTAAATATTTTAGGCTTTGCAGGTCATATGGTTTCTGCCACAACTGTTCAAATCTACCATTGTAGTGTAAAAGCAGCCATAGACAAGAATACTTAAATAAATGAGTGTGGCTGTGTTCCAATAAAATTTTATTAATATTTATAAAAACAGACTGTGGGCTAGTTAGCACACAGGCCACAGTTTGCTGACCCTGGCTTAGAAAATAGTAAGATGTTTTGTGTTTGTTACAAGAACAAAGTTGCTGACTAATATGTTTCATAAACATAGATGCAAATATTCTTCAAAATATGAGACTTTAACACCCCACTGTCAATTCTATCCATCTAACAAAGGGCTAATATCAAAAATCTACAAAGAATTTAAACAAATTTACAAGAACAAAAATAACAACCCCATCAAAAAGTGGGCAAAGGATACGAACAGACACTTCTCAAAAGAAGACATCTATGTAGCCAACAAACATATGAAAAAAAGCTCATCATCACTGGTCATTAGAGAAATGCAAATCAAAACCACAATGAGGTACCATCTCACGCCAGTTAGAATGGCAATCATTAAAAAGTCAGGAAACAACAGATGCTGGAGGGGATTTGGAGAAATAGGAACACTTTTACACTGTTGGTGGGAGTGTCAATTAGTTCAACTATTGTGGAAGACAGTGTGGTGATTCCTCAAGGATCTAGAACCAGAAATACCATTTGACCCAGCAATCCCGTTACTGAGTGTATATACCCAAAGGATTATAAATCATTCTACTATAAAGACACATGCTCACGTATGTTTATTGCAGCACTGTTCACAATAGCAAAGACTTGGAACCAACCCAAATGCCTATCAATGATAGACTGGATAAAGAAAATGTGGCACATATACACCATGGAATACTATGCAGCCATAAAAAAGGATGAGTGCATGTTCTTTGCAGGGACGTGGATGAAGCTGGAAACCATCATTCTCAGCAAACTAACACAAGAACAGAAAACCAAACACCACATATTCTCACTCATAAGTGGGAGTTGAACAATGAGAATACATGGACATAGGGAGGGGAACATCACATACCGGGGCCTGTCGGGGGGTCGGGGGCTAGGGGAGGATAGCATTAGGAGAAATGCCTAATGTAGATGACGGGTTGATGGGTGCAGCAAACCACCACGGCACATATATATCCATGTAACAAACCTGCACATTCTGCACATGTACCCCAGAACTTAAAATATAAATAATAATAATAATAATATGAGCAACTGAATCTAGCAACATATAGAAAAGGTTATATACCATGACCAAGTAGGTTATCCCAGGAATGCAAGGTTGATTTAACATTCAAATTAATGAATATTATTCACCATATTTACAGAATAAAGAAGAAAAACATAGAATCATCTCAAAAGATAGAGAAAAAGCATTTGACAAAATTCAATATCCATTCATGATAAAAATTCCCAGCAAACTAGAATAGAACATACTAAAACTAATAAAAGTCATTTATGTAAAATCTATAGCAAATATGCTTACTAATAAAAAGACTGAATATTTTTCCTTTAAGATCAGGAACATGGCAATCGCTTGTCCCTGATCCCACCATTTTTATTCAACACTGCAGTGGACATTCTAGTCATTGCAAAGCAAGCAATGGAGTGCATATAAACTGAAAATGAGAAGGTAAAACTGGCTTTATTAACACATGACATGGATGTGTATGTTTTAGAACATTCTGAAACATTTACAAAGTGGTAATAGAAATAATAAGTGAATTTAGAAAGATAACAGATTAGAAAGGCAATATAAAAACAATTTATTTTTGAAATGAAAATTTGGAAATTGGATTTTTAAAATAATCCAATTTCAACATTATCCAAAAACATGGCATACTTAGGAATAAGTTTAACAAAATATGAGCAAGACCAGCACACAGGAAACCGTAAAACATTGCCAATAGAAATGGAAGAAAACCCATATAAATTGAGAGATATATCATGCCTATGCCTCTAAATTGATAAAAATTGATCAGTTTAGAGTTCTCCCAAAGTCGATTTATAGATTCAATACGATCCTAATAAAAACTCCAGTAGACTTTTTTGTAGAAACTGACAAGCTGAATCTGCAATACATAGGGAAATAAAAAGACATAGACATTTCAAAATAATTTAAAAATTTAAGCAAACAAACAAAAGAGGACTTAAACTATCTGATTTCAAGACTTACTATAAATGTACATTAATTAAAAGCTGGCAAATTAGCTGGGCATGGTGGTGGGTGCCTATAATCCCAGCTACTTGGGAGGCTGAGGGATGAGAATTGCTTGAATCAGGGAGGCAGAGGTTGCAGTGAGCCGAGATGGAGCCACTGCACACCAGCCTAGGCCACAAGAGTGAAACTCCATCTCAAACAAACAAAGCAAAACAAAAAGAGCGGGCATTTGGATGAATGGAATAGAAGAGAGAGTCAAAAAATAAATCCATACATACTACCTGCTCGATTTTCAAAAAAACTGCCTTGGAAATTCAACTGGGGAAAGGATAGTGTTTTCAACAAATGATGCTGGAACTACCAGATATCCATATGCAGAAATACTCAGCATCAACCTTTATCTCATACCATATCCAAAAATTAGCTTAAAATGCATCACATAATTAAATATAAAAAGTAAAACCACAAAACTTCTAGAAGAAAACATAGGAAAAAACTGGATTATTGAATTAAGCAAATATTTCTTATAAAGCACAAAAAATGTATAAACTGTAAAAGAAAAAGTTGATAAAATAAACTTGATAATAATTAAAAACTTATTCTCTTTGAAAGACACAGTTAAGAAAATAGAAAGGCAAACCATACACTGGAAGAAAATATGAGAAATATATATATCTGCCATAGGACTTGTATCAAGAATATATAAAGAATTCTTAAAGCTTAGTAATAAGATAAACACCCTCCCCACCAACAAATGGCTAAAAAGCATGAACTAAAAGTCAAAATGGAGATACAGCAATAGCCATTAAGCAAATGAAAGACTGCTCAACATTATAGAAAGGCAAGTTAAAACCACACTGAGATACTACTACACAACCTCTAGAATGGCTAAAATTAAAAGACTGACCATATCAAGTACTGGTGAGGTTGTGAAACAAATTGACTTTCACACATTGTTTTTGGGAATGTAAAATGTTGCAACCACTTTGAAAAGTTCTTCAGCAATCTCTTTTTATTTATTTATTTATATTTTTGTGAGTACATAGTAGGTGTACTCTCATGCATTTCTCGGTTACATGAGATATACTGATACAGGCATGCAAAGCCTAATAATCACATCAAGGTCAACGGGGTATTTATTACCTCAAGCATTTATCCTTTGTGTTGCAAAAAATCCAATTATATTTTTATTTATTTTAAAATATACAATTAAATTACTATTGACTATAGTCACCACGTTGTGCTATCAAATATTATGTCTTCTTCATTCTTTCTATTTTTTTGTATTCATTAACCATCCCCACTTCCCCACCCCCAACACTCACTAACCTTCCCAGCCTCTGGTAACCATCCTTCTACTCTCTATTTCCATGAATTCAATAGTTTTAATTTTTAGCTCCCACAAATAAGCAAGAACATGCCGAGTTGTCTTTCTGTGTCTGACTTATTTCACTTAACATAATGACCACCAGTTTCATCCATGTTGTTGCAACTGACAGGATCTCATTTTTTCAGTGGCTGAATAGTAAGTACTCCATTGCATGTAGGCACCACATTCTTTTTCCATTCATCTGTTGATGGACACTTAGGTTGCTTCCAAATCTTGGCTGCTGTGATGAGTGCTGCAATGAGCATGGGAGTGCAGATATCTCTTTGATATACTGATTTCCTTTCTTTCGGGTATATACCTAGGAGTGGGATTGCCAGATCCCATGGAAACTCTATTTTTAGTTTTTTAAGGTTCCTCCAAACTGTTCTCCATAGTAATTGTATTAATTAACTTTTTTACAGTATATGAGGGTTCCCTTTTCTCCACAGTCTTGCCAGCATTTGTCGTTGCCTGTCTTTCAGATAAAAGCCATTTTAACTTGAATGAGATGATATCTCACTGTAGGTTTGATTTGCATTGATCTGATGATCAATGATGTTCAGCACCTTTTCATATCCCATTTGCCTTTTGTATGTTTTCTTTTGAGAAATGTCTATTCAAATTTTTTGCCCATTTTTTAATCATATTAGATTTTTTCCTACAGAGTTGTTTGAGTTTCTTATATATTCTGGTCACATGGTTAATCCCTTGTCACATGGTTAGTTTGCAAATATTTTCTCCCATTCTGTGGGTTGTCTCTTCACTTTGTTGTTTCTTTTTGTGCTAGTCCATTTTCACACTGCTGATAAAGAAATATCTGAGACTGGATACTTTATACAGGAAAAGTGGTTTAATGGACTTACAGTTCCACTTGGCTGGGGAAGCCTTACAATCATGGCAGAAGGCAAGGAGGAGCAAGTCACGTCTTACATGGATGGCAGCAGGCAAAAAGCTTGTGCAGTGAAACTCCACCTTATAAAGCCATCAGATCTCATGAGACTTATTCACTATCTTGAGAACAACATGGGAAAGACCTGCCCCCATGATTCAGTTACCTCCCACCAGGTCCCTCCCACAACACGTGGGAATTCAAGATGAGATTTGGGTGGGGACACAGCCAAACCATATCATTTTGCTGTGCAGAAGCTTTTTAACTTGATGTGATACCATTCGTCCATTTTTGTTTTGGTTGCCTGTGCTTCTGGGATATTACTCAAGAAATCTTTGCCCAAACCAATGTCCTGGAGAGTTTCCCCAATGTTCCCTTGTAGTAGTTTCATAGTTCGAGGTCTTAGATTTAAATCTTCAGTCCATTTTGCTTTGAGTTTTGTATATGGTGAGAAATAGGCATCTAGTTTCATTCTTTTGCTTATGGATATTCAGTTTTTCCAGCACATTGAAGAAACCATCCTTTCCCCAATGTATGTTTTTAGCAACTTTGTAAAAAATAAGTTCATGGTAGATGCATGGATTTATCTCTGGATTCTCTATTCTGTTCTGCTGATCTTTGTGTCTGTTTTTATGCCAGCACCATGTTGTTTTGGTTACTATAGCTCTGTAGTATAATTTAGAGTCCGGTAATGTGATTCGTACAGTTTTGTTCTTTTTGCTTAGTATAGCTTTGGGTATTCTGAGTCTTTTGTGGTTCCCTATAAATTTTAGGATTGTTTTTTCTATTTCTGTGAAGAATGTCATTGGTAGTTTGATAGGAATTGCTTTAAATCTGTAGATTGCTCTGGGTAGTATAGACATTTTAACAATATTGATTCTTCCAATCCATGAATGTGGAATATATTTTCATTTTTTGTGTGTTTTCTTCAATTTCTTGCATCAGTGTTTATAGTTTTCCTTGTAGAGATCTTCCACCTATTTGGTTAATTCTTAGGTATTGTATTTTACTTTTAGATATTGTAAATGGGATTACTTGATTTATTTTTCCACTATTTGGAAATAGTGGAAAATTTTCACCTATTTGGTTAATTCTTAGGTATTCTATTTTATTTTTAGATATTGTAAATGGGATTACTTGATTTATTTTTCAGATTGTTCACTGTTGGCATATAGAAAATGCCACTGATTTTTGTATGCTGATTTTATATCCTGCAAGTTCACTGAATTTGTTTATCGGTTCCAACAGTTTTTTGGTGGAGTCTTTAGGTTTTTCCAAATATAAGATTATATCATCTGCAAACAAGGATAATTTGACCTCTTCATTTCCAATTTGGATGCCCTTTATGTCTTTCTCTTGTCAGATTGCTCTAGCTAGGACTTCTAGTACTATGTTGAATAACGGTGGTGACAGTGGGTATCCTTGTTTTGTTCCTGATTTTAAGAGAAAGGCTTTTAGTTTATCCCCATTCAGTATGATACTAGTTATGTGTCTGTCGTTTACAGCTTTTATTTTGTTGAGTATGTTCTTTCTATATGCGTTTTTTTCTGAGGAGTTTTACCATGAGGGATGTTGAATTTTGTAGAATGCTTTTTCAACATCAATTGAAATAATCATATGGTTTTTGTCTTTTGTTTTTTTGATATGATATATCACATTAATTGATTTATGTATGTAGAGCCACCCTTGCATCACTGGGATAAATCCCACTTGGTCATGATGAATGATCTTTTTAATGTGTTCCTGAATTTGTTTTGTTAGTATTTTCTTGATGTTTTTTGCATCAATATTCATTGGTGATAGCAGTCTGTACTTTTCTTTTTTTGATGTGTCTTTGTCTGGTTTAAGTAACAGTAATACTGGCCTTGTAGAATGAGTTGGGAAGTATTTCCTCTTTCTCTATTTTTCAGAATAGTTTGAGAAGGATTGGTATTAGTTCTCCTTTAAATATTTGGTAGAGTTCAGTAGTCAAGCCATGGGATCCCAGGTTTTTCTTTGCTGGGAGACTTTTTATTGTGGCTTTATTTTCATTACTATTATTAGTCTGTTCAGGTTTTGGATTTTTCGTGGTTCAATCTTGGTAGGTTGTATGTGTCTAGGAATTTATCCATTTCCTCTAGATTTTACAATTTGTTGGCATATATTTGCTCATAGTAGCCAATAATGATCCTTTGAATTTCTGAAGTATCAGCTGTAATGTCTCCTTTGTCATCTCTGATTTTATTTATTTGGGTATTCTCTCTTTTATTCTTAGTCTGGCTAGAGGTTTGTCAATTGTATGTATCTTTTCAAAGAAACAAGCTTTTGTTTCATTGATCTTTTGTATTGTTTTCCTCAAGTTCATTTATTTCTACTCTGATTTTTATTGTTTGTTTGCTTCTACCAATTTTGGGTTTGGTTTGCTCTTGCTTTTCCACTTCTTTAAGATGCATCATTAGGTGGTTTATTTGAAGTTTGTCTTCTTGTTTGCTGTGGGCAGTTATAGCTATAAACTTCCCTCTTAGTACTGCTTTTGCTATATTCCATAAGTTTTGTTATGTTGTGTTTCCATTATCATTTGTTTCAGGAAATTTTTCAATTCCCTTAATTTCTTCATTGACCCACTGGTCATTCAGCAGCACATTGTTTAATTTCCTTGTATTTGTATAGTTTCCAACATTCTTCTGGTTATTGATTTCTAGTTTTCTTTCATTGTGTTCAGAGAAGACACAATATTATTTTAAGTATTATTTTAACTTTTTTAATGTTTTAAGACTTGTTTTGCGACCTAACATATGGTCTATCCTTGTGAATGATCCATGTGCTGAGGAAAAGAATGTATATTCTGCAGCCGGTGGATGAAACATTCTGTAAATATGTATTAGGTTCATTTGTTTTACAATACAAATTAAATCCAATGTTACTTTGTTGATTTTCTATCTGGAAGATCTGTCCAATGCTAAAAGTGGGGTGTTGAAGTCTCCAGCTATTATTGTCTTGGAGTTCATCTCTCTTTATCTCTGATATTTGCTGTATATATCTGGGTGCTCCAGTTTTGGGTGTCTATATAGACAAAGAAGTGACCTTCTTTGTCTCTTCTTATAGTTTTTGTCTTGAAATCTATTTTGTCTGATATAATTGTAGCTATTCCTTCCTGCTCTTTCTTGGTTTCTACTGGCATGGAATATCTTCTTCCATCCCTTTATTTTCAGTCTATGTGTATCAGGAAAAGTGAAACACCTATAAAGACAGGTAACACCTATAGGCAACAGGTCATTGGGTCTCTCTTTTTTATCCATTCAGTCACTCTGCTTCTTTTGATTGAAGAGTTTATTTAATTTACATTCAATATCATTATTGACAAGTAAGGACTTACTCCTGCCATTTTGTTATTTGTTTTCTGTTGTTTTTTTTTTCCTTCCGTTCCTTCTTTCCTGTCTTCCTTTTAGTGAAGGTGATTTTCTCTGGTGGTATGATTTAATTTCTTGCTTTTTACTTTTTGTGTATCTGTTGTACGTTTTTTGATTTGAGGTTACTATGAGGCTTGCAAATATCTTATAATCCATTATTTTAAGCTGATAGCAACACTGTTTGAATAAACAAACAATCAAGCTAAAAGAAAACTAATGAAAAGTCTACACCTTAACTTCATCCCCTCATTTTAAATTTTTTTTGTTTCTATTTATATCTTACCGTACTGTCTATGTTCTGAAAATTTGCTGTAGTTACTGTTTTTGATGGGTTCATTGTTTCATCTTTCTACTTAGGATAAGAGTAGTTTACACACCACACTTACAGTGTTATCATATTCTGTGTTTCCCTGTGTACTTACTATTACTAGTGAGTTTTGTACCTTCAGATGTTTTCTTATTGCTCATTAATGTCCTTTTCTTTCTGATTGAATACTCCCTTTAGCATTTCTTGTAGGACAGGACTGGTATTAATGAAATCCCTCAGCGCTTGTTTATCTGGGAAAGTCTTTTTTTCTCCCTTATGTTTGAAGGATATTTTCACTGGAAATACTATTTTAGAGTATTTTTTTTCCTTCAGCACTTTAATATGTCATGCCATTCTCTCCTTGCCTGTAAGATTTCCACTGAAAAGTCTGCTGCCACATGTATTGGAGCTCCATTGTATGTTATTTGCTTATTTTCTCTTGCTTCTTTTAGGATTCTTTCTGTATCCTTTACCTTTGGGAGTTTGATTATTAAATGCCTTCAGTTAGTCTTTTTTGGGTTTAGTCTGCTTGCTCTTCTATAACCCTTTTGTACTTTGATATTGATTTTTTTCTAGGTTTTGGAAGTTCTTTGTTATTATCCCTTTGAATAAACTTTCTACCCCTATCTCGTTATCTACCTCCTCTTTAAGGCCAGTGATTTGCCCTTTTGAAGCTATTTTCTAGATCCTGTAGGTGTGCTCCATTGTTTTTCATTCTTTTTTCTTTTGTCTCCTCTGACTGCATTTTCAAATAGCCTGTCTTCAAGCTCACTAATACTTTCTTCTGCTTGATCAATTCTGTTATTAAAAGACTCTGATGCATTCTTCAGTATGTCAATTGCATTTTTCAGGTCCAGAATTTCTGCTTGATTTTTAAAAATTATTTCGATCTCTTTGTTAAATTCATTTGATAGTATTCTGAATTCCTTCTCTGTATTATCTTGAATTTATTTGAGTTTCCTCATAACAGCTATTTCAAATTCCCTGTCTGAAAGGTCACATATCCCTGTTTCTCCGGGATTGGTATCTGGTGCTTTATTTAGTTTATTTGGTGAGGTCATGTTTTCCTGGGTGGCCTTGTGGATGTTAGTCTATTTCTGGGCATTGATGAGTTAGGCATTTATTATAGTTTTTGCAGCTTGAGCTTGTTTGTTCCTGTTCTTCTTGGGAAGGCTTTCCAGGTATTCTAAAGGACTTGTGTGTTGTGATCCAAGCTGTATCTATTGGGGGCACCCCAAGTGTAGTAATGCTATAGTTCTTGCAGAGTCATAGAATTATCACCTTGATGGTCTTGGATAAGATCCAAAATTTTCTAGATTACCTGGCAGAGACTTTTGTTTTCTTCCCTTTTCTCTCTCTGTTCTGAGCCACCTGGAGCTGGGGGCAAGGTGACACAAGCACCCCTGTGGCCACCAGCACTGGGACTATGCTGGGTCAGACCTGAAGCCAGCACAGCACTGGGTCTCACCCAAGGCCCACGTTAACCAATCCCTGATTACTGCCTATGTTCACTCAAGGCTCTACAAGCAGCATGTGGTGAAGCCAGCCAGGCTTGTGTTCTTCCCTTCGGGGTAGCAAGTTCCCCCATGCCCCAGGTGTGTCCAGAGGTGCCGTCCAGAATCCAGGAACTAGAGTCAAACCTTAGAAGTCTACCTGGTGTTCTATTGTACTGCAGCTGACCTGGCACTGAAACCACAAGATGCAGTCTTTCCTCCTCTTCCCTCTCCTTTCCACAGACAGAAGAGCCTTATCCCATGGCCACCATCACCACAGGCCCATGGGGAGTGCTGCCAGGCTACCACCAATGTTCCCTTAAAGCTCAAGGGCTCTAGGCTGGGTGCAGTGGCTCATGCCTGTAATCCTAGCACTTTGGGAGGCTGAGGCGGGCAGATCATGCGGTCAGGAGATCGAGACCACCCAGGCTAACACAGTGAAACCCCATCTCTACTAAAAATACAAAAAAATTAGCCGGGCGTAGTGACAGGTGCCTGTAGTCCCAGCTACTCAGTAGCCTGAGGCAGGAGAACTGCTTGAACCCGGGAGGTGGAGGTTGCAGTGAGCCAAGATGGTGCCACTTCACTCCAGCCTGGACGACAGAGTGAGACTCTGTCTCAAAAAACAAAAACAAAAACAAAAACAAAAACAAAAATGCTCAAGGGCTCTCAGGTTAGCTTGTGGTGATTCCTGCCTGGCCTGATACTCACCTTTCAGGGCAGTGGGTACCCCTCTGGCCCAGGGTATGTGTAGAAATGCTGTCCAATAGTCAAGACCTGGAATCAGAGACCCCAGGAGCTGCTTGGTATTCTACTCCTCTGTGACTAAGCTGGTACCTAAGGTGCAAGACAAAGCCTTCTTTACTTTTCCCTCCATTTTTCTCAAGTAAAGGAGTCTCTCTCCATAGCCAGCACAGCTGGGAAAGTACTGAGTCTCACCTGAAGCCCACAGCATTCTACCTTGGTATTGCTGCTGGTTATTCAGGGCCCAAGGGCTATTTAGTCAGCAGGTAATGGGTCCTGCCAGGACTGGGTTCTTCCTTTCAAGGTAGCAGGTTCCCTTCTGGCCCAGGGTGTGCCTAGAAATGTCCTCCGGGAGCTAGGGCCTGAAAAGGGGGCCTCCCAGCTGAACTGTACCCTATCCTGCTGTGGCTAAGCCGGTATTCAAGATGCAAGACGAAGTCCTCTTTAGCCTTCCCTCTCTTCTCCTCAAGTGGAAGGAAGGGGTCTTTTTTGGAGTTGTGGGCTGTGCAGCCTGAGGTTGGGGAGGGGTGGTGCAAGCACTCCCTTAGCCGCCCTGGCTGATGTCCCAGTAGGTCATGTGCCCACCCAGTCCACTGTCTCTGAGCCCAGTTCCGCACTAGAGGAGTTGCAGTCCTTGTGACCTAGACTGCCTTTCAAGTTTATTTAGAGTCCCAGAGCACTTTAGCCCATGGTAGTGATGCTTGCAGGAACTCAAGTTCCAACTGCTGGCATGGGTGATTCCCCTCCGGATAGGGCTGGTTTAAATTCTCCCTCTGGGGGCAGGTGTCAGCTGAGTTCAGCTGGGTTTTGCTTTCTGCTATGGCAGAGCAGCAGTGTGTTCGATGTAATGTCTTACAATTGCAGTGCTCTCCCTCTCTCAAGTGCACAGATTCTTTCTCTGTACCATGTGGCTACTTCTGGGGGATAGGGGTGGGGTGGCATCTGCAATTCAAGACTGTCTTTCCTACCCGCTTTAATGCCTCTTTCAGTGAAATGAAACTAAAACCAAGTACTACGAGTGCTCACCTGATTTTTGGTTCTTATGAAGGTGATATTTTTGTGTGTAGATAGTTGTTAAACTGGTGTGATTGCAGGAGGATAATAAGTAGAGCCTTCTATTTGGCCATCTTACTCTGCCCCTCTAGGTAATTTCTTTTAAAATTAAACATTTGCTTAACGTATGATATATAAACCCTACTTCTAGGTATTTACCCAAGAGAAATAAAAACTTATGTCCACACAAAAACTCCTATACAAATTTTCATAGCATCTTTTTTAACAATAGCCAGTGGAGTACTGGTAAACTGGCTCCCCCATTAAAAATGCCCTGATTTGCCAGTTTCTTTGGTGTAAATACTGCCACTATGGTTGATTTAAAGCTACTAATTTGACATCACTGAACGGTGGAGTTGAAAAGAGATGTGCACAATCAGCTCCTGTATGCTGGTATGAGCCAGCTTCAGCAAACCACTTACATATTGCTCAAAACTGGAAATATACCTCATATGTTCATCAAAAGGTGGGTGGTAAAAGAAATTGTGGTATATTCAGTACAATGGCATGTCATTCACCAATGAAAAGGAATAAACTCTGAATGCATGCTACGACATGGATGAATCTTAAAGACATTATGTTGAATGAAAGAAATCCATACACAAAAGAGTACATAATGTATGACTCCATGTATATGAAATTCCAGAAATGAAAACTAAAAGTAAATGACAGAAAATTCAATTGTTCTCAGAGTCTTGAAGTGGGGTTGGAGTGAAGGTGATTTTGATGGTATTACATGGGTGAATATAGTTATCAAAATTCACCAAACGGTATTCTTTAAAAATGGGTGAAGTCTATTATATGTTAATTATATCTCAATAAAGTTTATTTAAAACATTTATATTTTCTAGCTTTTGTACACTAACTAGTAAGATCTCCCTCTGGTTTATGTGCATTAATTTGACTTTCCATTACTGGAAGAATGTAGTGTTATTTGTAAAAACAGAAAATTAAATATGTATTCTTACTTTTAGAGCATTCATAAAGGTATTAAACAAGAGTAGTTCCAACACCCTGGAAAAGCCCATTCTTAATACCTCTCAATCTAAAAAAGTGTCCTTTAATCCCTAATCTTTCTATACTGCCTTTAAATTGGTTTCCTATTTGTCTCTCCTTTCCACCACCCATTCTCCATACTCAGGACTGGTCCCCATGTGGTATATACAGAGTAGACATAATGTTCATCATGTACCACCTAAAATGATCAACTCTCACACAATAATAATATCAGCTAGTAAATAACACCTGCTAATAAAGCTAGTAAAATAATTAATACAGAAAATACTTATTGCTGAGTGTGGTGGCTCACGCCTGTAATCCCAACACTTTGGGAGGCCGAGGTAGTCAGATCACTTGAGGTCAGGAGTTTGAGACCAGCCTGGCCAATAGGGCAAAACCTCATCCACTAAAAATACAAAAATTAGCCAGGCTTGGTGGCACATGCTTGTAATCCCAGCTACTCAGGAGGCTGAAGTGGGAGAATCGCTTGAACTCGGGATGTGGAGGTCCCAGTGAGCCGAAATTAGGCCACTGCACTCCAGCCTGGGCAACAGAGCGAGACTACATTTCAAAAAAAAAAAAAGAAAAAAAATACTTACATAGAACTTACTATGTGTCAGGCACTGTTGTATGAACTTTATAATAAATTAATCCATTTGATCCTCACAACAACTCTCTGAAGTAAGTACACTATCATTATCCCCATTTTACTACTGAGGAGACTGAAGCACAGAGTGATTAAGTATCTTGTCTAAGGTCACCCAGCAAGTAAGTGTGAGAGTTAGGATTCAAATACCTTTGCTTATAAATAACTTCGTTCTTCAAGTTACAGAATTTTTTATAACAAACACAAAAATAAGTCACTGGGATGGGTGCAGTGGCCCACACCTGTAACTTCAGTGCTTTGAGAAGCTAAGGTGGGAGGAGTACTTGAGGCCAGGGGTTTGAGATCAGCCTGGGCAACATAGCAAGACTCCATCTCTACAAAAATATAAAAATTAGCCAGGCGCGGTGTCTCGTGTCTATAGTCCTAGCCACTTGGGAGGCTGAGGTGGGAAGATTGCTTGAGCCCAGGAATTCGAGACTGCAGTGAGGTGTGATTTTGCCACTGCACTCCAGCGTGGGTGACAGAGCCAGACCCTGTCTCTAAAAGAAAGGAAGGTCAGTTCCATGGCAAATGCAAAATGGAAGACAACATTGTTCTTTTCATTGGAGTCATAGAAACCAAAAATTTGAACAGTATGTACAATACAGCCCTAATTTTATTACTGCATATTACACACACATATAGATACATACATAAAAATCCATGTAAGAGACTTCAAAGATAAAAACCAAAATGTTATAGCTTATCTCTGTTTGGGGACATTATATATAAAATATTTTTTCCTTCTTCATGCATTTCTGTATTTCCCAAATGGTGTGCAATAAATATGTTTATAATTTGAAAAAAGTCAGTATCTTTTCAACTGTGCACTGATTCTATTTTAAATATTCCCTGGCATACTATGGTATTGAATAATCTTTGCAGTAAGTCAAAAGTTCTCTTCCCTCAAACGGTAAAGATCCAGGAACATTCAAGTTAGTCCTGGTGTGATACCTGTTTTATAGGATAATTTCATATACTATTTTATACTACTCATAATGGTTTGGCTTTGTGAATCTCAACACGCATGGCTTTTAAGCAAATGCTGCAAACAACATTATGACAATCAATTTGTTTTACCATACACTTTGGAAAAGAGATAGATTAATTGAAAATTTACATGCAATAGCATGGGAGTAATTATATGTACTACGCCAAATTTACTTATGATAATAGACATAATTGGATAATTCTTTAATGTACGATTTTAATAAGGGCATTAAAGAAATTGGGAAAGTTGAAGAACATCTAATCATTTCTGAATTATAATTGCAAATGAGTGCAGATGACCTAATCTGCTTACGTAAATGATAATTATTAATTTAGCAATTGTACAAATGAGCTCAAAATATGAACTACAATAATTACAATACAAACCAATAACTTCCTTGTCTGCCATTTGCACAAATGATTAAATTATATGAGGAATGTTTCCTCTATACTTTAAAAGCTAATGTAAATTTAAGAACCCAGGGAAATTATTAGTGTAATTAAAACTAATAGGTATACACAAATATGGAAAACAGACAGCTGGATTTATAAATCTTGAAGAAAGGACATTTTATTTCTACTTTAAATGTTAATATCATGCATCTTTCATTGTAAGTGTAATAAATAATGTATCACTAGAAAAATAATAACACTTCCCGGCCGGGCACGGTGGCTCACCCCTATAATCCCAGCACTTTGGGAGGCCGAGGTGGGCAGATCACGAGGTCAAGAGATCGAGTCCATCCTGGCCAACATGGTGAAACCCCGTCTCTACTAAAAATACAAAAAGTAGCTGTGCATGGTGGCACGCGCCAGTAGTTCCAGCTACTCGGGAGGCTGCAGCAGGAGAATCCCTTGAACCCGGGAGGTGAAGGTTGCAGTGAGCCGAGATCGCGCCACTGCACTCCAGCCTGGGCGACAGAGCAAGACTCCGTCTCAAACAAAACGAAACAAAACAAAAGAACCATGTCTTCTTGCCATCTCACTGGAAATAATTTTACACTTTGAAAATAATGCTACATATTTCAGTTAACCAAGGGCACTAATTGGAAACCCAAGATAATTTTCGAAACGTCTTTAAATGCCAAATGCATTTTATTATATTGTGATTCACCTTGACAGAGTTTGTACAAGAAAGAATGGGGGGGAGGGCGAGAAACATCAGAAAAATGCAGCATTTTAGATCTATTTAGTGTGTGTGTGTGTGTGTGTGTGTGTGTGTGTGTGTGTGTGTGGTGGAGAGAAGATGCACAAAAATCTCTGTTAATTAAGTAGTGGCTGAGCCCAGGAAGTTCCAGAAATGAAGGTAGGCATGGGGGTAGTTGACTCTGGATGATGGAGGAATCAGTTCTTCTGTGGGGCAAGGAGCCCCCACCGGTTCTTGGCCCGTGCCCAGCTGCCCAGCCTCGGCCTGCGCCTTTCACCAACCGCTGTTGAGTTCCTTTGCGAGTCCTTGTTTACCCCTTCAAATCGCTCCAGTTTGACCAGGGCGCAACCCGCCCGGCCAGGTGGGCATGTGCTGTGGAGGGCCCGTGACTTCGGGTGACAGGCTCAGGCGAGTCCAAGGCGCCTTGTCACTTTCACAGGTGTGCGTCCTTCCAAACCAAGCGGGGTAGGATGTAGGGGAACTCACTGGTAAGCCAAGCTGGCCATAACTGAGACACCCGCCCCTACATCCCTTGCAGTCAAATGAGGGCAGCAGGCTGGACCTACCATAAAGAGGGAGGGACACTGGCAGCGCGGCCTGGAGAACTGGTCTGGCAGTGGCAGGTCCAAGGGCGGCCACTGGGGCCGTTTACTGGGGCGCCACCGCGGCTCTGGTGGCCCTCACCCTTGGTGTCCAGGGCAGCCTCTCACAGCCCCTCCTCCTGTGCCATCAACCCAACGATTCACTAGAGCTTCAGAATGCCGGTTTTGGAGATTAAGAGAAGTTCCTCAGATCCCAGACAGGCAGCCTGATCTCTCTGCATCTCAGGTTACTTATTTGTAAAATGAAGGCAATAATGGAGCCTACTTTGAGGCTGCTTTAAGATTCAAGAAAGCAATATGTGTGTTTGGCACATAGATGTTAATTATTAGCATTATCAGTATTATATGTATATGACTCTAGTTACAGCAGAGCTAGACAACTGTTGGGTCAATAGCCCAATGGAATCTGAAATACACTATTTTGAAAACGATGAGACATATTTCACCTTTAGAAAAAGTACATAAAGCCCATGCATGGTTCACACCAGTGCTTCTCAAACTTTAAAACACACAGGAATCACCCAGGGATCTACTGAAATGCAAGTCTGGGGTAAAGCCTGTCATTCTGCATTTCTAACAAACTCCCAAGTGATACCAATGCTTCTGGTGACAAGGGTGCAAATATAATATAAATCAAACATCCACGTAGTCACCATCCACCTTAACAGAAATCATAGTGTCATATCAGAGAATCCATTGCCAAATCCAAGGTTCTGAATATCTGCCTCAAGTTTTTTCTGAGTTTATGGTTTAGCCCTCATCTTTTGAGTCAATCATTATCATTTTGAGTTAATTTTGTATATGATGTGAGTTAGGAATCAAAATTCTTTCTTGTACTTGTGGATATCCAGTTGTCCTAGAACTATTTGTTGAAGAGGTTGCTCTTTCCCCATGGAATGAACTTGGAATCCGTGTGGAAAATCAATTGGCCATAGAGGTAAGGGGTTATTTCTGGACTCTCAATTCTGCCATATTAGCCTATCCTTACACCAGCATCATACTTAAAAAAAAAAATTCTTTAGCTTTGAAGTAAGTTTTGAAATCAGGAAGTGTGAGACCTCCAACTTCTTTCTTTTTCAAGATTGTTTTGGCTACTTGGGATCCCTTGCAGTTATATATAAATTTGAAGCTCAGCTTCTCCATTGCTTTAAAGGTGTTAAAAAAAAGAAGGTGTTCGAATATTTGACAAGGATTATGTTCAATCTATAGGCTAGTTTGAGTTGTACTGACATCTTAACAATATTAAGTTTTCCTACCCATGAACATTGGATGTCTTTCCATTTATGTAGAGCTTCTAAAATTTCCTTTAGCAATGTTTTGTGGTTTTCTGTATACAAGTATTTTATCTCCTTATTTAAATTTATTCATACGTATTTTATTTTTTTACATACTATTGTAAATTAAATTGCTTTCTTAACTTCCTTTTCAGATTGTTCATTGCAGGTGTACAAAAACACAACTGATTTGTGTGTTGATGTCATACCATGCAACTTTGCTGAATTTTTTCATCAGCTCTAGTAGCTTTCCTATGAATTGTTTGGAATTTTCTAGATTTTGTATCATTTCATCTGCAAATAAAGATACATTTACTTCTTTCTTTCCAGTTTCAATATATTTTATTATTTATCTTCATTGTCTAATTACTGGGGCTAGAACTTTCAGTATAATGAGGAATAGCAGTGGTGAAAGTGGGCATCCTTGTTATATTCCTAATTTTAGGGGGAAAGTTTTCAATCCTTCACTATCGAGTATGATGTTAGCTGTGGGCTTTTTTGTTTGTTTTTTTATAAATGCCATTCATCTTGATGAGAAAGCTCCCTTTTATGCAGTTTTCTGAGTGTTCTTATCATGAAAGGGTATGGGATTTTGTCAAATGCCTGTTCTGCTTGAATTAAGTTAATCCTATGGGTTTTTTTTTTCCATTCCATTAGTGTGATGTGTTACATTGATTGATTTTATCATGTTGAACCACACTTGCATTGTTGGGATAAATCCCACATGGTTGTGTTGTATAATATTTTTAATGTGCTGTTAGGTTCATTTTGCTATATTACGTTGAGGATTTTTGTATCTCTATTCATAAGGGATATTTGTCTGTAATTTTGTTGTTGTTGTTGGGATATTTATCTGGCTTTGGTGTCAAGGTAATGTTGGCCTCATAGGATTAGTTAGGAAGTGTTCTCTCCTCTTCTATTTTTTGAAAGAATTTAATAAGGCTTGGAGTTAATAATTTTTAAAATGTTTGGAAGAATTTACCAGTGAAGCCATCTGGTCCTGGGCTTTTTATGGTTGGCAGGTTTTTGAATGCTGTTTCGATCTCTTTATGTGTTATAGTCTGTTGAGATTTTCTGTATCTTCTTGTGTCAGTTCAGATAATTTGTGTGTTTCTAGAAAATTTTCCGTTTTATTTAGTTTATCTAATTTTGGGGGATACAAATATTTATATTATTCTCTTATAATCCCTTGTGTTTCTGTAAGGTTGGCAGGAATGTTTCCACTTTCATTTCTGATTTTAATTATTTGTGCATTCTGTCCTTTTGTCTTTGTCAATGTAGTCAAAAGTTTGTCAATTGTGGGCTGGACACAGTGGCTCACGCCTGTAATCCCAGCACTTTGGGAGACTGAGGCAGATGGATCACGAGGTCAGGAGATTGAGACCATCCCGGCTAACACGGTGAAACCCCATCTCTACTAATACAAAAAATTGGCTGGGCGTGGTGGCGGGCGCCTGTAGTCCCAGCTACTCAGGAGGCTGAGGCAGGAGAATGGTGTGAACCCAGGAGGCAGAGCTTGCAGTGAGCTGAGATCACACCACTGCACTCCAGCCTGGGCAATAAAGAGAGACTCCGTCTCAAAAAAAAAAAACAAGTTTGTCAATTGTGTTGATCTTTTCATAAAGCCAACTTCTGGTTTCCTTGATTCTCTCTATTGCTTTTCTCTTCCCTATTTTATTATCTCTAGTCTGATCTTTATTGTTCCCATCCTTCTACCAGTTTTGGGTATAGTTTACTGTTTTTAGTTGTTCAAGATGTAAAGTTAGATTATTGATTTGAGACCTTTCTTCTTTTTTAATGTAGGTGTTTGTGCCATAAATTTCCCTCTGAGCACTGCTTTCACTTTCCCATAAGTTTTAGTATGCTGTGTTTTCATATTTATTTGTTTCTAGGTAATTTCTTTCTTCTTCTTTCTTTTTTTTTTTTTTTTTTTTTGACAGGGTGTTGCTCTGTCACCTAGGCTGGAGTGCAGTGGCAAAATCACAGTTCAGGGCAGCCTTGACCTCCTTGGTCTCAAGTGATGCTTCCAATTCAGCCTCCCTAGTACTGGGGACTACAGGTGTGTGCCACCATGACCTGCTAATTTTTGTATTTTATGTGGAGAGGGGGTTTTGCCATGTTGCCCAGGCTGATCTCCAACTCCTGTGCTCAAGTGAACTACCCACCTGGGCCTCTTAAAGGGCTGGGATTACAGGCATGAGCCACCATAATTTCTTTTGCAATTTCTTCTTCGACCATTTTTTAGAGAGTGGGTTGTTTAATCACGACATATTTGTGAAGTTCTAGTTTTTCCTTCTGTCTTTGATTTACAGCCTCCTTCCATTGTGGCTGGAAAATATACTTTGAATTATTTCAATCTTTCAAAATTTGTTGAGACTTGTTTTGTGGCATAATATATGGTCTAGTTTTCCATGTGCACTTGAGAAGAATGTATTCTGCTGTTCAGTAGATAGTTCTATATAATTCCATTAGTTCTTATTGGTTTATAGTGTTGTTCAAGTCCTCTATCTTCTTATTTCCTATGCCACATTTTAGCTACCCATTCTACTACTGCTGGACAATTATATTGGTCATAGTATTTTGCTATTATAAACAAAGCTTTATTAAAATGTCTCCTTGTGCACATGTTTCTCATACCTAGGAGTGGAATTGCTATGTGTAGGGTATGCACATGTTCAATTGAACTAGCCAATGCCTATTTTCCAAAGTGGCTATATCAATTTACATTCCCACCCTCAGGGTATAGTGAGAGTTCTCAGTACTCCACAGCTTGACAATGGTTGGTATTATCAGACTTTTTAGTTTTTGTCAACCTGGTGGTTGTGTTATGATGTCTTATTGTGGATGCAATTTTTATTTCCTTGACTATAGTAAGTTATATTCACCACTTTGTCCTTCTTTTGTTTCCTTTTGTTTCTCTCATGTTCCCATTCTTTCCCCTCCAACCATTGCCATGATCCTCTCTCTCCCATGCAATTCAAAGAGAATCACACCGGTGATTAAAAGTACATGTTTGGAATCAGGTTTGGTTTCTAGTCCTGCACTGTCACTTTGTAACTGTGTGATGTCTGGCAAGGTACTTAATAGTACCTAGCCTAATCACTTAATAGATGCTCACTATTATTATACAGCTTAACTTTAGACTCAGACAAACTGACATTCAAATTTCAGCTTCGCTTCCAACATTTTATTTAACAAACTTTTTAAAAACATTCTATTTTGAAGTAATTGTAGATTCACAGGAAGTTATAAAAAATGTACAGGAAGAGCCTGTATTCCCTTCATCCAGTTTCTCCCAATGTTTTGTATCTTATGTAATTATAGTACAATATCAAAACCAGAAGCTGACACTGAATGATGTATATATATATTTCATTTACGATGTGTAGATTCATAGAAGCATGACCACAATTAAGGCACAGAGCTATTCCATTACCACAAAGGCCTCCCTCCTGCTACTACTTCATAACCACACCCATATCATTTCTCCCACCATCCCTAGCACCTGGCAACCACTAATCCATTCCCCATGTCTATAATTTTATTATTTCAAGAATGTTTTATGAATTGAATCATATAGTATGTGCCCTTTTGAGATTACCTTTTTTGCACTCAGCATAATTCCCTGGAGATACATTCAAGTTGCTGCTTGAATCAATAGTTCATTCCTTTTAATAGTTCAGTAATTCCATGTGATGGATGTACCACAGCTTCTTTAACCATATAGCCATCTAAGGTCATAGTTATCTCCAGTTTGGAGCTATTATAAATACAGCATCTATGAACTTCTGTGTACAAATTTGTACGATAACAAGTTTTCACTGGCAAGTACAATATCTGAGTCATATGGTAAGCCCACTTAAATTTTAAAAGGAACTGCCAAGTGATTATCCAGAGTAGTTGTACGATTTTACATTCCCACACATAATGTATGAGTGATCTAGTTTCTCAGCATCCTCATCAGCATTTGTTGTTGCCACAAGTTTTTATTTTAGCCCTCTTGATTTGCGTGTATTGATATCTCATTGTGGTTTTAATTTGAATTTCCCTAATGGCTAATGATGTTGAATGCCTTTTCATGCACTTTATTTGCCATCAGCATGTCTTCTTTAGTCAGGTATCCGTTCAGATATTTTGCCTATTTTTTAATTGGGTTGTTTTCTCATTGTTGGGCTTTATAAGTTTTTTATGCAGTCTAGGTACCAGTCCTTTTCCACTATCAGGTTTGCAAAGATTTTCTCCCACTATGTAGCTTGTCTTTTTTTGTTCTTAATAGAATATTTAATGTAGCAAAAGTGTTTTATTTTTATGAGGTCAAAAATATCAAACTTTTCAGTTAGGGATCATACTTTTAGTGTTAAGTCTAAAAACTCTTCACCTAGCCCTAGGTCATAATGATTTTTTTATTACAAAAAAAAAGTTTTTATAGGTGCTAGCTCTTTAAATCTCCTGGAACTCAGCCAGAGGTGGAAGGGCTTGCAACAATGTGGAATGAATAAGATCTAGTATTTTGTAGCACAATAGGGTGACTATAGTTAGCAATAATTCATCGTATTTTAAAAAATGATTAAATGAATCTCCACAATCCAGCTGTCTAATTTCAGAATCCAAGTGCTCAATCACCACTTTATACTAACTTTGAGCAATTTATATTACTTCTTGGTTACTGCATTTCTTCATATGTGAAATAGCGATGATTAATTCTTACTCATTGGGAAGGTTAAATGAAATAATTCATGTGCCTGGTTCATGGTAAAAATGATTGATGAATGTAAGCCATGGTAGTTACTGTAGCCTTGCTATCAACTCTCAGGGCTGAAGAGGTCTGTGGTTTATAATCAAGTTTACAGACTTCTGGAAATAAGATGAGCTTTTTTGGCTAAGCCACCTGTGAAATGGGTGACTTTATTCTAATTTAAGACGGTACAGCATAAATGGTTAGAGACAGCGAGAAATTAGAGAGCCCTCACTCGGGCAGTGAGGCTTTATGTAATATTTATATCCAGTATAGAATCTCCAGGACTGGAAAGCACCTTAGAGATCCCAGGATATACATATAAAAGATGTAAGATATTTAATGAGAAGTTTAATATCATATGCATTTATTAAGTTCTCTTTTGTGCAAGGCAGGGTTTATAAGAAAAAAAAATCAGATCTTTTCTCTCCCAGTCTTCACACAAGTAGTTGTTCTTTTGGTAGGGATTGGAAGAGGTGTGCAGCAGGCTAGGTTTTTTGTCTATAGCTACATTTTTTTTTTTTTTTCTGATTTGTTTTCAGGTGTGGATCAATTGTTACCTTTTTAAATTCAGGAAGCAAGATGACTGAGCAAAACAACTTTCAGTGCTTTTAGCGAATCCCAAGTGGGTGTTCAATGTTGCTAGAGGGGATTAACAGGCATACCGAGTGAGAAGTATTTCAGTCAAAGTACACAACTGGGCACTCAGAGTATAGCAGGGAAAAAAAGAAAAGCATAATGTGAATAGAAATCCTTTTTTCCCCCGCCAAATATGGTGGCCACTCAGACAGCAGTTCATATAACTGGGTTTCTGCGATGCTGTTTCTATCACAGCTGAGAGCAGGTTTTTGGACCTTTTGGTTTCCATCCTTTTTCAACAGTGCAGCTTTTCTTCTGTTTTATGCTACCACCACCTGCTGTCCTATTCCTACCAAACAGAATCTCTTCTCTTTTCCAGAAAGAACTAATCAGACTGCAAGCCATGATAGGGACATCTTTCAAGAAGTTTAAGCAATGACACAACTTTGGAAACCTTAATTTTAAAGCCACAGGCTTTTAAAAATAGAAATGTCTTGTTTTTAAATGCCTGTAGGCAAAGTATCTTCATTTCTAGGCATGTAATAATAAAGCATGGGATACACGATTTTCACCATAGCAAGAGGAAACAATTGTATGGACAAACATTTTATTTATTTTTATTTAACAACCACTTATCTAGCATTTATTATGTACTAGGCAGGATTTTAAATGCTCTACTAGAATTAAGTCGTTTGAATCCTCATATCAACCCTATGAGGTAAGTTCTATTATTATTTCCATTTTAACAATGAGAAAACCAAGGCACAAAGAGGTCAAGTGACATGCTCGAGGTCACTGTGGTGGATTATAATATTGTTAAAAATATTAGCTACTCCTCCCTGTGGGAGGATTATACATCCCTGCCCTGTTGACATCAGCCTTGGCTGTGTGACTTATGCCCCTCCCTGTGGGAAGAGTCCTCTTCCCCTCCCCATTTGCATCCAGCTCAGCCATGTAATTTGCTTTGTCCTATGACATATGAGCAGAAGTAAAATGTTCTGAACAAAGGCCCTGAGAGTCAGCTCAGGGTTCACCACATTCCTTCTCCATCCAGGAGACCAACAGTGTTCGTGAGAGGAGCTGTTCCTTCACGTTGGATCCTAGAGTGAAGACAGATGAAGAAGAATTTTAGTTGACCCAGATAGTACATGACTGATAATTAAATTTTTTGTGGTGTAAACCACTAAAATCCTTTATTATTTGTTCCTGTGTTTGTCATCTTTGGCAACATAACAACCAACTACCAGATTTTAGTGGCATGCAGTAATAAACACTATTTATTGCTTTCAAGTTGGAAGATAATAAAGAAGCTCTGCTCCAGGTGTCTCATTTTAGGGCCCAGGATGAAGGGCCAACAGCTATCAGTGGTGTGTTCTTCTCATGCAATGGCAAAACTGTAAGAGGGAAAGCTCAACTGCCCAAGTATATTCCAAACATCTACTGATATAATATCCTCTAACATCCCATTGGATAAAGCAAGTCACATGACCAGGTCCAACGTCAAGAGGTGAAAAAGTATAAGCTGCTCACCATAATGCAATGGCAACGGAGTGGATGTATAATAATATTATTGGTGTAATAAAGAATTGACATCAACTACTGAACCTATCACAGTTACTTCCTTATAACCTAGGTAAGATGACAGTGTCAGTAGCTGGAATTCAAATCCAGGCAGTTTGGCTTTATATGGTTTTATGTACAAATTTTTCAAGATATAACTGCTATAACATAAAATTCACTATTTTGAAATACAGTTCAGTGGTTTTTACTATACTTACAGAACTGTGCAATTATCCTCTCTATTTAATAGCAGAACATTTTAATAGTCCCCTCGAAGAAACACCATACCTATTAGCAGTCCCTCCCCATTGTCTCCTACTTCCAGCCCCTTGCAACCTCTAATCTGCTTTCTGTATTTATGGATTATCCTTTTTTTTGACAATTTACGTAAATAAAATAATACATGGCCTTTTGTGTCAGGATTTTTTCATCTAGCATAATGTTTCCAAGGTTCACCGATGTAGCATGTATCAGCACTTCATTTGCTTTATTGGGCAAATAATATTCCATTGTATGTAGATACTACATTTTATTTGTTCATTCATTAGTTGGATGGACTTCTGGGTTATTTCCACATCTGTTTCAATTCTCTTAGGTATGTACCTAAGAGTAGAATTACTGGGTCATATGGTAGGTTATCTGATGTGTTGGCATACAATTGTTCATACTATTCCCTTATAATTATTTTTTATTTCATAAGGCTAGTAGTAATATATCCTATTTAATTCCTGATGTTAGGAATTTGAGTCTTTTCTCTTTTTTTCTTGGTCAATACTGCTAAAGGTTTGTCAGTTTTGTTGGTCTTTTCAAAGAACCAAATTTTTGTTTCATTGATTTTCTCTATTGTTTTTCTATTCTTTATTTCATATATTTCTACTCTCTTCTTTATTATTGCCTTCCTTATGCTTGCCTTGGGTTTAGTTTGCTCTTATTTCTAGTTTCTTAAAGTTTAGGTTACGGATTTAAGACTTTTTTATTGTTACGTTGATCATTATTAGGTTATTGATTTTAGATTCTTTTTGTAAATATATGTGGCTGGGCACGGTGGCTCACTCCTGTAATCCCAGCACTTTGGGAGGTCGAGGCAGGTGGATTGCCCGAGGTCCGGAGTTCGAAACCAGCCTGGCCAACATAGTGAAACCCTGTCTCTACTAAAAATACAAAAAATTAGCTGGGCGTGGTGGCGCATGCCTGTAATTCCAGCTACTCGGGAGGCTGAGGCAGGAGAATTGCTTGAGCCTGGGAGGCGGAGGTTGCAGTGAGCTGAGATGGTGCTATTGCACTCCAACCTGGGCAACAAGAGTGAAACTCCATCTCAAAAAAAAAAAGTAAATATATGTGTTATGATTATAACTACATCCTATAAATTTGCGTATGTTGTTTTCTCATTCATCTGAAAGTACTTTCCCATTTCCTTTGTAATTTCATCTTTGACCCTGTATTAGTCTGCTCTCACACTTCTATGAAGAAATACCTGAGGCTGGGAGCAGTGGCTCACACCTGTAATCCCAGCACTTTGGGAGGCCAAGGCAGGCAGATCACCTGAGGAAGGGAGTTCCAGACCAGTCTGGCCAATATGGCAAAACCCCATCTCCACTAAAAATACAAAAATTAGCTGGGCGTGGTGGCAGCTGCCTGTAATCCCAGCTACTCAGGAGGTTGTATCAGGAGAATTTCTTGAACCCACAAGGCAGAAGTTGCAGTGAGCTGAGATCGCACCACTGCATTTAAATTAAATCGCCTAACAATGCATTTCTCAAATCTGTATTTAAGCAATGTGTGACTGTATATATTTCTAGATCTCACTGTTTTTGGGGGTATTCACATTTCTTTCATGTGATGCCTCCATGTACATAATGTATTTGTATACCTTTTCTCCTATTGATCTGTCTCACATCAATTTAATTTGTAGCCCATCCAAAGAACCTAAAAGGGTGGAGATAAACTATTTTTCCCTCTCCTACAATAGATTGATCAGGGATTAAAAACAAAAAAAGAAGACACAAATTACCAATGGTAGGAATGATATAGGAGACACTATTACAAATAGTGTCCTGGAAGCCAAGTGGAGGAAGTAAATTAAGGTAGAAAAAAGTGGTCAAGCCTGTCAAATGCTGCTGATAAGTCAAGCAACATGATGATTCAAAAATCCCACTAATAGAATTAACTTGTGACCTTGATAAGAGCAGTTTTGGTGGTGGGGCTGGGGAGGGACAAAAGCCTCAGTGAATCAGGTACAAAACAGAATAAGAGGAGAAGAATTTGAGTCCTTGACTACAGGCAACTCTTTTAAGAATTTTGCTGGAGAAGGAAGTGGAGAAGTGGCGCAGTATCTAAAAGCAGAAGTAGGGTAGGGGAAAGAGTGTATTTTTTAAGATGGGAGAAACAACAACACGATTGTATGCTAATGAGAATGATAGAGAGAGAAAATTTGACGATATAGAAGGAAGAGGGGAGAATTGTTAGGGCCATGTCTCTGAGTAGGCAAGGAGAATAGAATCTATTGCACATGAGGAGACATTGTCCTCAGCCAAAAGTGTGGATGGCTCTTTCAGAACAACTGGAGAGAAGGCCAAGTATAGTGGTACAGAAGCTGCAGGTAGGTGTGTACATAAGGCACTAGGAACTTGTTGACAATCTCTTCTGTTTACTTCCATTGTCTCAAGAAAATAACAAACAATGTCATCAGGTGAGAGTAAAAATGGAAGAGGGGGTACTGGAGATTTGATGAGAGAGAGAAAGATGTCTAAAGTTCCTTTCAGTTTCAACATTCTGTGATCTTCAACCACAGGATAAAATACAGAGAAATGTTCACGTTTTTCCTCCTTGGAGGAAAGAGCAAGTTCTTTCTATAGAACTTGTTCTTATTTCTATCCTTCCCCCTTCCTCCCTTAAAAAAATCCCTCAGTTTTGAAGCTCATGTAATCAGACTAAACCCCTCCCCACCCCTCTTGTTCCTGTTGTTCACAGACCCCCATGTTTTGCTGAAATAAATTGAGCATCATTCTATAGCTAAATGCAAACACCGTAGAGCAGGTATTAAATCAATTTGTTTCCGTTGCAATCAAATAGGCCCCAGATCAGTGAAAAGAGGCAGGCAGAAGAAAGAAATAATATTGTGTTGTAATTGTTGTCAATATGCAAAAGTCACACATCTTACTCCATATTTCCAGGGTTTTAAAGGACAGTATCCCCATACAACAGAGTGAAAGCAGAGACACAGGATAGCAAAGGATGAGGAACAAAAAGGAATTGTTCTTTTCACACAGGAAGTTCTCTATTAAGAAATTTAAAAATATATTATAAGGTATTATTGGAATAATTTACCTAAAGTTATAAAACACTATTTAGTGAAAAACGCATCAATCATGTGAAGCTAATATTGCTTTTATTGCTTTATTTTAAAATTTTTCTAATATTCCTAGGACAATTATAGTTGTTGCTTGTATCCTTTCTACCATTTAAATGCATAAATAAGGTTAAGGATCAAGCACTCTTTGCAAACATTTTAAATATATGAATTAAAAATGTAATGATGTAGCCAGGCATGGTGGCTCACGCCTATAATCCCAGCACTTTGGGAGGCTGAGGTTGGCGGATCGCTTGAGTCCAGGAGTTCAAGACCAGCCTGGCCAACATGGCAAAAGCCCTCTCTACTAAAAATACAAAAATTAGCCAGGTGTGGTGGGCACAGACCTGTAATCCCGCTACTGGGTGGGGGGAGGGGTGGGGTGGTGCTGAATCAGGAGGATCGCTTGAGCCTGAGAGGTCAAGATCAAGCCACCGCACTTCAGCCTGGGTGATGGAGTGGGACCTTGTCTCAGAAAAGAAAGAAAGGAAAGAAAGAAAGGAAATAAAGAAAGAAGGGAAAGAAAGAAAGAAAGGACGAAAGAAAGAAGGAAGGAAGGAAGGGAGGTAGAAAGAAAGAGAGAGAGAAAGAAAGAAAAAGAAAGAAAGAGAAAAAATATTTTTAATGTAATGTGAACAACAAAAAAAGAGGAGGAAAAAGGAGAAAGAAAGAGGAGGAAGCAGAAAAAGACAACGAAGATGAAAGGGCTATGCTAAGGGATTGCCTCTGCTTTAGAGAAAGAACTCAAGTGCACAATGGGGTAGTAATGTTGCAAAATGGACTTCTGGAGTAGATTTGCTTGCTTTCTTTTATAAGCATATAGTTTCTGTTTACACTGTCAAAGCTTTTTGAAGAATATGATACTACTTCTAGCTTGTAAATTCCTTGAGGGCACAGGCCGTGTCTTATAGATCTTTGTATCTCACATAGCATCTAGCCATGGTGGAGGTGCCCAATAAATATCTGTAGAAGGAATGACTGCAGAAGTTGAAGCATATTAAATATTTTTAAAAGGAATACACAATGTAGTTTAATAAAATGTAAAATGCATCTTTCCAAATATTATTTTAGGTGAATTGTGAATCCACATATTTCAAAGTAAATTTAATTTATATTTTGCCAAGTCATTTTTATTTATTTATATATTAACTTTTTAATTTTTTAATATGCATTGAAAATTTTATGGCTCATTAGAACTGTTATTTCTAGGTTTCCCTAACTTTTTATTTTGAAAAATTTAACAGAATATAGCCTTCATCTACATTCATTTGTTGCTAATACTTGGCCACATTTATTTTCTATAACTTTCAAAGTAAAAACAAAAACAAATTCTTTTAGAGCCACTTCAAAAATGCAAATAATGTTGAATTTTTTTTGTAGGAATCAGATAGGGCATTTTGTCAACTCTGATGATGTCAAACTTCTAACATTTCTAAGATTTTAAGACTTTTATAAAAGAGATTGACAGATCTCTTTTAGTTAACAATTTTAAATCAACCTGAAAAAAGTGTAATTATAATAGTTCCTTTTAATATTCACATACAGCATAGATATATTTTTAATTTAAACAAGAATGCTTTGTTATAATTCTATGAATAATAGACATATTAGTCTTTTATTTATTTTCTATTTTTGAAGATAAATATTTGATTTATAATAATATCTGGCACAAAAGCATTCCATGTTCTTTTTATTTTACCTATATTATAGAAGTGAGTTAAATTTATACATCTAGACTTGAGTATGACATTTCTACTCTGCATGTCAAGGTTGAATTCTAGGCTAGGTAATAAACATTTGAAACCACAGCAAATATACCCCGGGAATTAGCAAAACATTTGAGCTAGTTTCCTGCAATGCAGTTGTCTTGGCTCACAATACATTTCTAGTTTTTCTTTCAGTAACATAAGACTAAAATTTGGACATGTGCAATTTGTCCCCATTGAATTTTGGTGCTCCAGTTTTTCTGTGCAAATTAAAATAACTGATCATTAAGTGTCATATCAGGTTTAAGGAATAACAATATTTCTTTAGTTCTTCCACAGTTCATCAAGTATTTTCACTAACATTACCTCATTTTTAATTCACTATATTCCTGTGAAGTCAGTAGTAGTGGGATCCTCATTTTATAGACAAGGAAACCAGATCACAGAGAGTTTAAGTGATTTTCCCTATACATACTGCCATAAAGTGGAGGAAGATCTAGATCTAATTCCAAAGTCAGTGCTTTATCCATATCTTGTCATGCCTAATTACTAAATTATAAAGGGCTGGACATAAATCTGATAGCCTTTTGGAATTGCTCAACTGATAAAATAGGCCTCATGTTCTGAGACAGCAGTAGAGTGGGCAAGGAAACACTTTCAATAAGCTAAAGATGTAGAGGGATCCAGAACAAATCAAAGAATTAGATGATTTTCAGAAGGGCAGATTCAGAAAAGTGAACATTCTTCACGTATGCTAAATGCTACCTTGAGGAAAAGGAAGCATATTTATTATTGCTTCCAGGCCAGAACTAAAACGAATGGGTGAAAATTCATAGTAATAATGATCAATTTTAATAGACATGATGTGCTGGGTACTTAATTAGCACTTTACATGTGTTCTTTCATTTAACGATGAAAAAGAGTATAACCATTTTACAGATGAGGAAACTGAAGCTTCAAGTGGTTCAGTAAATTGTCTAAGGTCATACAGATAATCAGTGGTGGTGCAGGGATTTGAATATGTGTCTGACTCCAGAGCCTGTGACCCCAATCTCCATGCTGTGCTTTTTATTCTTTAGGCCATACTGCCTATACATGGGTAATGGAGTTACCTGAAGGAATTATCCCAGAATGCTTTGAGGGTGAATGGAAGACTGTCTCAAGGGTGTTAAACACTGGTGTTTGTCATGCAACCTAGCTCTGAACCAGGCATTTGTTCAAATTAAACACTGGAATTGAATGGGGAGAACCTGGGTATTCTGAGCATTCTGAAAAATAGCATTGGCATTTGTCCTGGGAAGGAACAATTGAAAGGAAGGAAGAATTCAAAGGCTGAACAGTTCCTAGAAGTCAGAAAGACAAGATGGCAGCCAGAGTCCACATGAGTAAAGGGCAAGAAAGAACCTAGGTACCACCATCCATCTGGTTGCTCAAATCCACACCTATCAGTAATCTTTGATTTGTTACTCTTTTTCTTTTTTTTCCACCTAACCTCCCTCACCTGGTTTACTAAGAGGGTCCTGCCAACTCTACCTCCCACATATTTACTGAATCCCTTCATTTCTCTCCACTGTCATCATCCTAGTCCAGTTCTTCCTTATCTCCCACCTGGATGACTGCAATAACCACTAACTGGTCTTGCCGACTCTACCCTTGACCCTTACAGTCTATTCTCAACAAGAAGCCAGAGTGAGCTTGTGAAAATGTGAACAAAATCATGTCATGTCTCTGCTAAAAATAGTTTAGGGGCTACTCACTGCTCATAGGATAAAGAAAAACTCCTTCCCAGGCCTAAAAAGTCCTCACATGGATTGGCCTCCATCTGCCTCCCCAGGCTCCTGTTGCCCCACACTTCTCTTTACTCTCTCCAAGCCCCAGGCGGTGCAGTGTAGTGCTAAGAGCCTAGATTCTGGAGCCAGACTGCCTGGACTTGAATTCTGGCTTGACCACTTAGTAGCTCTGTGACCTTGGGCAACTTACTTAAGATTCCTGTACCTCAATGTCCCCTATTAATAAAATAGAATAATAATAGTACCTAGCTCATAGATACCAACTCAATTAAGTGAATTTGTATATGGCAAGTTCTTCAAATAGTGCTTGGAATATAGTGAGCATTGTTATTATAATGCCCAGCTCAGCCCTGCCTCAGGGCACTTCCACTTGCTGTTTCTTCTACCTGGAACGTTCGCACACCAGGTCTTCATTAGACAAGCACTTTCTCATTCTTAAGACCTAAGTGCAAATATCATTTTTGCCAAAAACCACCCCGACCCTCCCATCCCGATCCAGTCAACTCTATTACAATGCTTGGTTTTATTGCCTTCATGACACTCACAATTTGTTAAATAAATGAATAAATGTACTGTCTTCTCAGGGACTGCATTAGGACGTAGTTAGAAGGAGGAGTGGAACCTTGTAAGGCTCTTTGCAACCTTTACTGGTGTTTAAAGATCAGAAACTTCTGTTTCAGAAATCTATTTTTATGCTGCTTGTTTATTCTATAATTGTTTCCTTTTATTTCCCCTTAGTGATTAGTAAAGTTCTCTTGGAAAATGTCAGTTCTCCCAGCTGTGCAAAGGAAAACACAGAAAGGGGTTTTTGTACCTAACTGGTCCTGAGTCAGAGGAACTAGAAGGGGGAGCATGAGAGTGGCATTCAATATCCAAGAAAGAGACCCCCAGGAGAGTGAGGAAGAACCAAGGACTGAGGGCACGGCAACAGCCTAGCGGTGCTTCTTCGGAAAATCGTCATGCTTTGCAGGTGATTGTTTTAATAAAGAAGGCTGAGCCCTTACCGCTCCCATCTGTCATGGCCATGGAACAGGAATCCCACAATGAAGAAGAGGGCTTCACACATTGCTTGGCACACAGTAAGCATCTAGTAACTAAACATAGCACACGCTTATCACTTGTCTACTGTGTGAGAGACACTGTGCTAAGCTCTAAGCATGCATTATCTAATTGAATCCTCACGTGGATCTTCTGAGGGTCTTTTTACAGAAAAGGAAACTGAGGCTCAGGGAGGATAAATGACTCTTCTGAGGTCGCAGAGCTAGTATATAGGATTTAAATCCAGGTTTTTGTTCTTAATAGCCTCCCTATTTGATGAATAATGAATCCCTGAGATCTTTGCTGATAATAAGATTATATGTTTTACAAAGTTCAGCCAAAAAGAAATAATTTGTATCAAAATCAAACACTGTAGAACCATGGTTCTCAACCATGAACAATTTTGGCCCTGAGGAGACATTTGGCAATTTTCAAAGACATCTGCTGAGTGGGTAGAAGCCAGGAATGCTGTTACACGTCCTAGAATGTACACGTCAGTTTGCCACAACAAAGAAATACGTAGTCCAAAATGTCCATAGTGACAAGGCTGAACAACTCTGCTGTAGAAAGAATGGTTAAGGCAAAGAGGAGAATATGTTTCATTTGTAAAAATGTATCAGAAGAAATGGAACAGTTCTGAATACCACTTTTTGTTTTCCCCTCATGATGCACTAGTCCAAACTTTAAATGTATTGTATATTTTTAATGATATTATCAATGAGGGTCAAAGTCAGCTCGCTCCTCTGAAAGCTCTCATTCTCCAAATAGAATAAAGCAAAATGTTGAACTACAGAACTGACCACCCATGATTCTGCCCACCAATACATTCTTTACTCCTTTAATTCCACATTAATCCAGGGTGGTAGACAGGGTTCAAAAATCTGTCTGAGCTCATGACTCTGGGCCAATCCTGACCTCTCGTTGCCATCTTACAGCAATGGCTTCTCCAACTGCTTCAGACACTGTGGTCCTAGTTACATGAATGGTAGCTTCAATTTTGATTAAAATTCTTAAGCCACAGTCATATTTCCCTTTGTCTTTGTGGTGAGCCTGCGTGAAATAAATGAATGCATCAGCACACACTGGAGCAAGGAGATGGGACTCTGACAATTCTAAGCTATTCACAAAGTTTTTCCATAATCGTGAATTCAGGGCACAGTTTGGATGGCCAGAAACAAATGGTTGCAACAACTCATCCTCGCACTCTTTTTTTCCCAAAAGGTTGACTATAACTATTGCTTTGTTAAACTTTATGAATTACATTTCAAAAGAGAAAATACCACTCTAATCCACTTGCTATTGATGACAGCAAGATTAACTGTTGCCTCAAACTCATGTCCCTCCCACAATGTCTAGCAAAGTATTTGTAAGTGTTACCCAGGGATCCACCCGCTCATTAAAAAGACCCATGTTGCAAATACCAGTCTGGAAACCTATTGGCTTCTAGAACAAATACAAATAAGCAGATTATGTCGTTTATCCCCTCTCTCTTTGTATCTGTAGCTAGATGTACAGAATAGAATGTGATAAAACAGGGTTTAAGGAAATAGTAGCATACAGAAATTTTGCTCTTGAGGAAAATACTTGTTTTAAGAAATAAAAGCACCAATATAAAAAGATTTGCCTGGGGCTAGGAGGAGGGAAGAATGGAGAGTGACAAAATTGATCGTGTAGAGGGTTTTATTTGGGGTTGAAGAACAGGTTTTGTAAGTAGGTAGTAGTGCTAGTTGTACAACATTGTGAATGCGCTAAATACCACTTCTAAATGGTTAATTTTGTTATGTAAATTGCACCAATTTTTTTTTAAGATCTCTAAATAGGGCTAATGAGATGTGTGGTTAGATAGTACATTTGACTTGGTGTTCACAGGGTTAACCTGCATTTCCATTATCACAAAATGCCTAATGCATGTTTGCATACTTAAGGTGTTAATACATATTATAGTTTTCTCCCCCTTTTTGATAAAAGAGAATTTAATAAAGGTAACCGAATTACCGAGAAATATAATCCAAAAATATGTCTTGGATTTTAAATTATTGGTGAACCTAACTACTGAGAATGTAAGATGTGTTCGGAATGTTTAGGTCAATTCCAGTCCTTAAGCTCTGTAATGAACAGCAGTAGGTCTTTTTTTTTTTTTTTTCAGCAGTAGGTCTTTCACTCACTGAGACCAATGTGATTTTTTTCCTACCTTGCATCTCTATTTCAGCTGAAAGGAAAAAAAAAAAGAAATTAAACAACAAATGGTCTTTTTGTTTATCACTTGCAAGTTGCTTTAGACAACTGGCTTTTTGTCCAGTTGTCTTGTTTATCTCTCCCTGTGTTATGGTGATAACCCAAGCATTCTAAAATCCCATCTGCAAAACCAGGTGGGAAACTAACACACCATTACTACATTCCTCTAGAGCCCATTTTAAAGAAGACTTTCACAGAAATAGATAAATCCTTTCTCCCTTCCAAGGCCAACATAACTCAGGGCAGCGAGTTCAGACAAAAATTTCATTTATGGTTGGGTTGCCTAATCCCATCCCCTCTCCTAAAGGCCAGTATACCTCTTGAGTTGTTTGATGTTTTGAGAGAGGTCCCTAAGTTGAGAGACAGATATCAATTGTTTTATATACACATAACACACACTGAGTCAGAGAAGTAGAAAGAAGTAACTCAGTGGGCCAGTGCTAAAATCTTTGCGAAGGAGATACAGGCACCCGCGAACGCGCGCGGGCGCGCACACACACACAAACACACACACAAATACGCACACGCACAGCCAATCTATATGGCCTAGTGCCTTCCCTCAGGCTGTCTTTTTCTACTCTCTTTTTGCCTGGATCCACGTGTTGGGGGAGGGGACCAGAGACAAAGTTCCGCAGTGCTTTCCTCCCCCTGCAACTCAAGCGAGGAGGTCGGGACTTCTCCTCCCCTCCCCCTCCCAGGAATGGCCCTAAGCATATCTCCTCCAGCTAAATCCTCCTTCCTCACCCAAGTCTGATTGATGCTAACTAATGTCGAGTTAGTTCCTTTAAAGAAGTTATCTTGCTACCAAGTGTGAGCCAGTCCATACCGGAGGTGGAGGACGGGGGGCGGGGGCCCGGGGGCGGGGGGCGGGGAGAGGGGGACGAGGACGGAAGGTGAGGAAATGGAGCTGGGAGTGGCACCTCACACCAAACAAAAACGACGATCGTTACATTGTATTTAATTTCTAATTAATCCTCAAGAGAAATATAGCCGTTTTCCTTACCAATGGATCCCTGTTCTTACTGTGGGTATCTCGCGCGCGCGAACGGTCCCCACCTTCCCGGAGCCTCGCAGCTCTAAGGAGAGCAAGGAGTCCCCAGATAACTATTTAGTATAAACAAACCGTGTGGCTTTAATGGAATTACCTCAGCCTGCTAGTAAATAATTTATAGTAGGCAGTAAATAAAATATGGTTTTACGTCTTTAAAAGAGTTGTCAAGTGGAAAACACCCACCAGAGGGACATAAACCCCGAAGACTGCCACGCTTAAAGACGCCGGTTGGGATGACAGCCGGGTGGAAAGACATGATTTTCTACCCCGAAGGAAGACGCGGGTGCTGCCAGAGCCAGAGCGGGCAGCTCTCAAAGAAGGTTCCCGCATGGAGAAGGAGCAGAGACAGCCTGTCTTTGTCACTTAGCAGAGGGGCAACGGATTAAAACGCAAAGGGAGGAGGTGCACTCTCATAATGGTACCTTCTACTTAAAAGCCTAGACGCTCTCAAATTCGTTATCACACTTAATCCTCGCCACCAGTCTTCCAGAAAGACCAGGCCGGAGCCGTGTTTCCCATTTTGCCGATGAATAAAAATAAGGCTCAGAGGCTAAGGGACAGTGGCTGTGTATGCTTGCTGGGCACTAAATGGGACGCGGGAATCTAGGTTTTTGCAGCTCTGGCCCGCGCAGTTCTTCACCCAGTGCCCCCAGGAGTAGCTCGCCTCTGACACACACACACACACACACACACACACACACACACACACACGCAGTCCAGCCCAGCACACTTGCCCAGTTTTACAACACTCCGGCATGTCTTCTTTTTTCGGTGACCTGAGAACCCTCTAATTAAATTTTCTGCCCCCCTCTTCCACGAATCACGCCCCTGGAAGGCTCATCCCCAATTCAGAGAGGAAGAAAGATTTATGAGCCTCTCCTCAAGGTTTCCCCCAAGACAACCTTGACCATGAAACTAGAATCTTGAACACTTGACCTAAATTTCCAAGGGCATCTGTTTCCGTCTGTAATTGTCACCAGGCTTCATTTGAAATTCGATCCTGTGTCACTAATGGTATTAACAGGAGCTGAGGTCCAACCTTCCAACGGGAGACTGTTGCATATGATTTTACATCCAAACGAAAGTAAATCAGTTTCTATAAACCTGCAGCAACCCCCTCCCTGAGTACAATAAAACTGTTGTCGCAATCAATAAATCTCTGGTTTGGGGCAATGAAAATTAGATAACTGTTCTCTCTCTCTTTCTGTCTCTTCTCCCCACCCCCCCACCCCCATTAAGACAAAGCCACTATTCAAAGAACGGGGCGTCTTGTTAACCATTTCTGAAGTCCCTCGCTGTACCCGGCGCCTTTCAGACACGCACCTCTCAGTCATAGGAGAAAACCAGACGTTTAATTACGGTGACTTTTGTTCGATCATTACGGATAATAAAGACAACCTTTTCGCTAGATAACAATTATAACGCAAGCTGCTCCAACACCTGCACGGATCGCATTTGTCTCCAGCGTGTTTTTTTTTGTTTGTTTTTTGTTTTTTTTTTTTTTACTTCTCTAAACTGCCTTTGAATTTCCCCTTCTCTTCTGACCAGAAAATTTAATATGTTGCAAGAGATAGATTTCACGAAAACGCGTTGTCCCTTCTGTAGCTACATCTGCTCCGACCTATTAAGAAAAGTAAGACATTTTGATACTAATTGCAAATAAATTGTGATGTGTTCACCGAGTAATTGATTTAATGAAGTTCATATGAAACTCCTGAGATTGGCCAAGTGAAAGGCCCCCTGGTGCTTCTATTGTGGAGGGAAAGGAAGGTTGGTTTTTCGTTTTCTTTCTTTAAAAAAAAAAAAATAGAGGTGGCTTGGAGGGAGGAAGGGGATGGGGGAGGGGGTGGGCACAGATGTTACCTCCACAGAGGCAGCTCCGTGGCGGGAACGAGCAGCCAGATAGTCCCTCCCTCCCGTCGGCGTCGGCCGCTAGCCGCCAGCCCGGCTAAACGAGGCGCAGGCTGCCGCTCCCAGCCTCGGGCCCCGGCAGTCGGTTGAGCGCAATTCAGGGGCAAACGTGGGCCAAGGAGAGGGTCAGTGCGCGGGCCGCCCGCGTCCTCCGAGTTGCCAAAGTTGCACAGGGCGCTGCCTCCGGATCCTGTTCCCTCGCTTCCTGAAGTGCTCGACGATGGCCTCTAAACCTCTTTATCCGGCTAGAGGCCCAGAGGCTAGGAGGGGCCCCCAGGCGGCTCTCCCCTGAGTCCCGGCGCCCAGGTCCCAGTTGAGGCCAGGGGAGAGGGCTGCGGTAGCTAGCACTACGCCACTCCGCGTGCGGGCCAGGGTCTCCAAGGTTCGGGTCCCGAGCTCACCCCACAAGCAAGAATATACGGACAATAAAGCCGCCTTCGGCCTCACGGGGGTTTTCCTTTTCAACCTTTCTGGCCAGCCACGTCGGCGAGTTAAAGGGCCGGGCGTGCATGAAGGGTACAGAGAGGGAATAAGACTTTTCTGAACACCTACTGTGTGCCAGACCCAGTGCTTCACAACAGTTCCCTTTCTCCAAGCAACGGTGGGAGGTATTATTGCTCCCTCTTAACAGATGTGGAAACTGAGATCGGACCCTTGACAGCAACGTGCCAACAATGCCCTGGCTACCCTGGGCCATCAACAAGCACGGCTCGTCGGAAAGGAGAAGGCAGATTCCCGCAAAACTGTCCCCAGTTTGCCCCAAAGCCCTCCAAATATTCCCCCCGGAGCATAGGGATACAAGGCAGAAACTGCCGCCGGGCCCCGCCCATATCTCCTAGTTGGCGGAGCACAGTCTCCTGCTCGAGTTTGAAATTTTTGTTTCGTTTTGTTTTAAAGAAAGAAGACCTCTTTTGAATAATCAGAGCCCTAGCTGAGCTAGCGAGTGGCTCCAAGCTCCTCGGAGTTGCCCTGCAGATGAACTTTCCCTGAGTTCTTCCTCCCGGGTCGCGGGTCCCCCTAATCTGGGTCCCAAAGTGCCCGCAGGAGACAGCGGTGCAAGGGTGGTCATGCTGACTCGGGTGTCGGGCGCCGCCAGAACCCACAAGCCAGAGTGCGTGGGAGACGGGGGCCGGAGGGATGCCCCCTCCACCCTCTCAGCCCACTTCTGGGAGGCCGCACCCGCTCTGCGCCTTGAAGAGACCGCCCGCAGCGCGAAGGCGGGTCCTCACCCGAGGATGTGGCGAAACGCTTAACACCCAGGCAAATGCAAATGGTCAACGCTGGGGTCTGACCGAGGCCAAATTATCTCCCCAAGAGGCAAAAGCAGGCGCGAATGAAGGCGAAGAGACCAGCCCCTCGCTTTCCGTTTCGACATTTGCAACTGTACAGCGCTCCACCCCCAGCCCGGGGGGAGGGGGGCTGGGAAGCCAGCAGGGCCTGCCTGGGCCGGGCCGCCAGAATGCCACCTTGTTCTGGGTGGAAACTGGACACTAAGTGCCCAGCCTGCTTCTTCCAGGGAGCTCCGACACCACGCTCTATCAGAACGTGTCCGGCGCTGGCCCACCCTTGCCGCTGCTCATGGCCCGCCGTATTCGTTGTTCGGCCCGAAGAACTTCCCCTTTTGCTTTGATGCGGGCTTTTCCTATGTTTTTCGGGACCCAGAACGAGGAAGGGCTAGGCCATCTCGCCCTAGCACGGGGGAACCCAGCTAGATGTCCTTGACCCCAGGGTTAGCGTTTCTGGGACCCAAGAGAGGTCTCATGGATGTCTGGGCCCCTTCCCTCACCTCTGGGTCCTGGAGTAGGTGAACTGGAAGCAACTCTCTCCCGCTCCATGTGACAAGTACACTTTCTTGGGTCGCAAGTCCGAGCCCTCCCCTCCTGTTCATCACAAACGGCGGCCGCAAGGGCCCGGGGCGTCGAGGAAGGGGTGGGCTACAGCGCCGCGGGCTAGGGAGGCCACGGGGCATGGGCCACAAGGATCTTCGGGATTGTTGAGGGAGGCGCCCGTTGGGAGAGAAAAGTTAGAATCTGAGCTTGGCCAGCCGGGATTGTTTCGGGATGACCTTTTCTTCCCAATAAGTGGGCACCAGCTGCTGATAAAGGCGGGAGAGGGACACTCAGCCTTTGTGAACACTTTCCACATTCCTGGGGCCAGGAGATTGACAGGGGCCTTAGAGGGTATGGAGCTCGCGGCATCCCGCTTAGTTTGAAGTTGCAGCCTTCGCACCCCAAGACTTCCCCCTTCCCCAGGGATCAGCTGCAACCCCAATCCAGGCGGCCCGCTCCCCCTGCCGCAGCGCCCCCTACGGTCTGGAGGTGGGCCCTGAAAGGTTCCGACGGGCGCGGGGAGCCCAGGGGTGGGGGCCGGGGAGGCCGAGGGAAGCTGGTGTGCTCCGGTCCCCGTCTGAGAAGCGGTCACCCGCTGGGGCTTGGCTTCTGAAAGTGCGATTTAGGTAGCTGGGAGTGGAGATTTACGATCCTGGAGGACAGAGCGTGAAAGGGTTATCATCATCAGTTTTGACTGAAAGAAAGAAAACATATCTTTAACAAAAAGAAGGGCTCTTGCCATTCACCCGCGTTGTTAGGACAACGTGAACTATCCTTGAAATGATTAGTTCCACTTCAAAGGAATTTACATTCAACAGTGAAAACTCAGCCTCTTTTTATTTATTCGAAAAGACTTTTCACTACGGAGAAAAGTCTTTCCTGCTATTTATTTTTCCGCGTTCACGGTGCACTTGTATTAAATCAACAGAGACCGCGCAACGCACTCAGTATGCGGACCAGTCCAGGGTTCCGGGGACGCAGGGGTACAGGTAGAGCGGGGGAGGGGGTTGTTGGGGTTGGGGTTTGCACCACGCAGGCACCTGCCTGGCCCAGGGGATGGGGTGGGAAGCAGTGGATCAGGTCTGGGGCCGTGGGGGGAATGCAACCGAAGAAACCTCACCCAAGCCCAGCCCAAGTGCAGTAATCAGAGATTTTGAATGCTCGCGATTCTCATAGAGCCTGGCACTCTCTACGTCATTTGTGGAGAAAGTGGACCTGAAGTTCCCCAGCGACACCTTAGGAACATCTGTTAAAAACTGATCAGGTTGGCGTAACTTCGCTGGGCAAAATTAAAGCCTATCTCCACAAATTGAGAAGACAAATCCCACCTCTTAGTAGCTTGGGACGTTTGCTCACACACACTCTCTCAGGGCCCACACCTCCGCGCCCCACCCCCCACCCTCAGGTCGCCAATTGTCGCCAAATCCAGGAAACCTCTACCCAAAGGAACAACAGCACTAAGTTTACGAGCGGCGCGTCCTCCCGGGGCGGGGGAGGGGGCGGGGGAGGGGGTGGGGAGTTGGGGAATGCTACCCCTCTAACTGTCCCCGGAGTGCCTTGAGCTGTGGCTGGAATACTTCCCACCTCCTCCGGAAACGAGCAGCAGCAACCAACTCTCAGCTTCACCTCACACACCCACCCGCCCAACCCCATTCCCACCTCCCGCAGCAAAATCTTTTCTTCAACCCAGGGCTAAGTTTTTCTCACCAAGGACAATGATGTTAAGCTTTCCCTTGATGGTCTTTTCCAGCTTCTAATTAAATAGGAAAAAAAAATCTGGGTTGGACATTGGATTCAAGTTTTTCTACCATTCCTTAACATATCTGGATTTGTACCTGGCAACTGGCCCCATATCTTGAAATATTGTCAACATGAATCGTAACAGTTGTCCTTTCTAACACAGTTTTTGGACGGCTCCTCAGTAGGTTCAGAAGCAGTGACCACAGGCTGCTTGGCTGGGAGTTAAAGGTGGCCGCTGTTTGCCACCTGGTAACAAAGGTGTAAGTTGGAGCAGTGACTGGGGCAAGCCCTTATTCTCCTGTGTTTCAGGTTGAATAAGAACTCAGGTTTTGTTCACCATTCTGGAGCTACTCTCATGTTCCTTCTTCCTCCTGGATCTTCCTGGGCTTATTTCACCTTCTTGGTCTGAAGGTTTCCTTTGTTTCTTCTCTTGCTCAAACCTAATCCTGAGGCATCCCCTGCTCCCTCTCTATCTCTATCCCCTGCTCCCTCCCTATCATCTCCTGTTCCCTCTCTATCTCCCTCCCTATCTCTCTAAATCTCTCTGGGACATTTCCTGTCCTTCATGAGGAATCAAACTACAGTTACACTTGAGTCAGAATCCCAAGCAGGAATGTGGATTTGCCAACTCTCCCAGGTGGTTGAAGAGAATGTGCAGAGAATCATGAGATTCCAACCCCCATCCAGCCCCATTCCCAACTAGATCTATGCCTTAATTCTAACACTGAGCTCCTAGAGACTTTCAAATGGGTTGATGTTTGTTCCTTAGTGGTATCTACTTTTCTCTGCAGGTGGCAAACAAATTCCAGTGTCAGCACCAAGGTCTGTCTTTGTGGGGTTGTATGTAGCTTTAGAGGTGCCTCTCTTGATCTCAGGCAGTGAAGAAAGAAAAAAAAGAAAAAGAAGAAAGAAAAGAGAGAAAGGGGAAAGAAAAAGAAAGAAAGAAATAGAAAGACAGGAAGGAGGGAGGGAAGGAAGAAAGAAAGGAAGGAAGGGAGAAAGAAAGAAAGGAAAGAGAGAAACAAAGGAGGGAGGGAGGGAAGGAAGGAAGAACAAAGGAAGGAAGGAAGAGAAAGACAGCAAGAAAGAAGGAAGGAAGGAAAAGAAAGAAAGGAAGAGAAAAAGAGTGAGAAGGAAGGAAGGAAGGAAAGAAAGAAAGAAAGAGAAGAAGAAAGAAAGCAAGGAAGGAGGAAAGGAATAAAAAAAGGAAGGGAGGGAGAAAGCGAAAGAAAGGAAAGAAAGAGAGAGACGAGAGAAAGAAAGAAAGAAGGGAGGGAGGGAGAGAAGGAAGGAAAAGAAAGAAAGAAAGAGGAGGGAAGGAGGGAGGGAGGGAAGGAAGAGAAAGAAAGAAAGGAAAGAAAGAGAAAAAAGAAAGAGAAAGAAGAAAGAAAAAGAAAGAAAAAAGAGAAATAAAGAAAGGAAGGAAGGAAGGAAAGAAATAAGAGAAAGAAAGAAAGAGAGAGAGAATATGAGAAAGGGAGTGGGAAAGGAGAGGCCCTGATAGAAAGCAATGCTGGGAGAGTGCAGCCAGGCCTCCAGCTGAAAAGGCTTGAGAATGAGAGGCTTGCAGCTCCCAAGGCAGCTCTGGTGGGGGGAGGGTAGGAAGAGGCATGTGAGAAAAGTGACACATCCTAAAGCACACCCCAGGAGAGCTAGGGATCTAGGAAGCACTCAAAATGTATTTCCAATTACTTTTCATGCTCTCAGAAAAGGGGCTCCTTTTAAGTTCTATTTTAAAAGCTTGTTATTGTACTGAGTTATAGTCCACATTTTAAAGCACTGTTTATATGTTTTAACTTTTTATGTAGAGTGGGAGGATGGTAAATGTTAGAAATGTAGTTTTCTGAAAAAATATGTAGAAAATCAGAACTTGGAAACTTCTTTAATAATAGCTTCTTTCCTCATTATAAGGACTAATACAAAGTATCAAAGACATTGATTTGCCATAACATTTTAAGAGTCTTTATAAGAGATAAATAAATTCTTGTTCTTGCCTTGGTTCCATGTAAGGTATCTCTCAGGTAGCTGAGGCTCTAAATGTGCAAGTATGAGTTGTTTGGACATGACTGCAGAGCAGACATCCAGTCAGCAGAGGGCACACTCGTCACTCTCAAACCCTATTTCCAGATTTGGAGGTGACAATGGTAGGTACAGGCAAGAATGGTGGGCATAATCACATTGGAATAGGGCTCAAGTGGAGATCTAGAAAATGAGAATAGTCATTTTCTCTTGAAAGTAAACACAAAGACAGCTCACACACACTCTCAAGAGAGGACATATTGATATGTTTGACAACCATGGAGTCCCCCCAAAATAAAAGTGTCTCAGGACTGGAAAAAAGGGCCTTTAAAAATCTTGGTTTGGCTGACTGGCAAGATGGCCGAATAGGAGCAGCTCCGGTCTGCAGCTCCCAGGGAGATCAACACAGAAGGCAGGCGATTTCTGCATTTCCAACTAAGGTACCCAGCGCATCTTATTGGGACTGGTTAGACAGTGGGTGCAACCCATGGAGGGTGAGCCAAGACAGGATGGGGCATCACCTCACCCCGGAAGTGCAAAGGGTCTAGGAACTCCCTCCCCATAGTCAAGGGAAGCCATGAGGGACAGTGCCATGAGGAAGGGTGCATTCCGGTCCAGATACTATGCTTTTCCCACGGTCTTCAACATGCAGACCAGGAGATTCCCTTGGGTGCCTACACCACCAGTGCCCTGGGTTTCAAGCACAAAACTGGGCAGCCATTTGGGCACTGAACTAGCTGCAGGAGTTTTTTTTCATACCTCAGTGGTGCCTGGAGCACCAGCGAGACAGAACCATTTACTCCCCTGGAAAGGGGGCTGAAACCAGGGAGCCAAGTGGTCTAGCTCAGCAGATCCCACCCCCAGAGAGCCCAGCAAGCTAAGATCCACTGGCTTGAAATTCTCGCTGCCAGCACAGTAGTCTGAAGTGGACCTGGGACACTCAAGCTTGGTGGTGGGGGGAGGGACGTCCGCAATTACTGAGGCTTGAGTAGGCGGTTTTCCCCTCACAGCGTAAACAAAGCTACCAGGAAGTTTGAACCAGGCAGAGCCCACCGCAGCTTGGCAAAGCCGCTGTAGCCAGACTGCCTCTCTAGATCCTCCTCTCTGGGCAGGGCATCTCTGAAAGAAAGGCAACAGCCCCAGTCAGGGGCTTATAGATAAAACTCCCATCTCCTTGGGACAGAGCACCTGGGGGAAGGGGTGGCTGTGGGTGCGGCTTCAGCAGACTTAAACCTTCCTGCCTGCTGACTCTGAAGAGAGCAGCAGATCTCCCAGCACAGCCTTTGAGCTCTGCTAAGGGAGAGACTGCCTCCTCAAGTGGGTCCCTGACCGCCGTGCCTCCTGACTGGGAGACACCTCCCAGCAGGGGTCAACGGACACCTCATATGCTGGCATCTGGTGCATGCCCCTCTGGGATGAAGCTTCCAGAGGAAGGAACGGGCAGCAGTCTTTGCTGTTCTGCAGCCTCTGCTGGTGATACCCAGGGAAACAGGGTCTGGAGTAGACCTCCAGCAAACTCCAGCAGACCTACAGCAGAGGGGCCTGACTGTTAGAAGGAAAACTAACAAACAGAAAGGCATAGCATCAACATCAACAATAAGAACGTCCACACAGAAACCCCATCCGAAGGTCGCCAACATCAAAGACCAAAGGTAGATAAATCTATGAAGATGAGGAAAAACCAGTGGAAAAAGGGTGAAAATTCCAAAAACCAGAATGCCTCTTCTCCAAAGGATCACCACTCCTCACCAGCAAGGGAACAAAACTGGACAAAGAATTCGTTTGATGAATTGACAGAAGTAGGCTTCAGAAGGTGAGTAATAACAAACTCCTCTGAGCTAAAGGAGCATGTTCTAACCCTATGCAAGGAAGCCAAGAACCTTGAAAAAAAGTTAGAGGAATTGCTAACTAGAATAACCAGTTTAGAGAAGAACATAAATGACCTGGAGGAGCTGAAAAACACAGCGCAAGAACTTCCTGAAGCATATACAGGTATCAATAGCTGAATTGATCAAGCAGAAGAAAGGATATCAGAGATTGAAGGTCAATTTTATGAAATAAAGTGTGAAGACAAGATTAGAGAAAAAAGAATGAACAGGAACAAATAAAGCCTCCAAGAAATATGGGACTATGTGAAAAGACCAAACCTACATTTGATTGGTGTACCTGAAAGTGACAGGCCAACATTCAAATTCAGGAAATACAGAGAACACCACAAAGATACTCCTTGGGAAGAGCAACCCCAAGACACATAATCGTCAGATTCACCAAGGCTGAAATGAAGTAAAAAATGTTAAGGGCAGCCAGAGAGACAGGTTGGGTTACCCACAAAGGGAAGCCCATCAGACTAAGAACAGATCTCTCTGCAGAAACCCTACAGCCCAGAAGAGAGTGGGGGCCAATATTCAACATTCTTAAAGACAAGAATTTGCAACCCATAATTTCCTACCCAGCCAAACTAAGATTCATAAGCAAAGGAGAAGTAAAATCCTTTACAGACAAGCATATGCTGAGAGATTTTTTCACCACCAGGCCTGCCTTACAAGAGCTCCTGAAGGAAGTACTAAATATGGAAAGGAAAAACCAGTACCAGCTACTGCAAAAACATACCTAATTGTAAAGACCATTGACACTATGAAGAAACTGCATCAACAAATGGGCAAAATAACAAGCTAGCATCATAATGACATGATCAAATTCACACATATCAATATTAATCTTAAATGTAAATGGGCAAAATGCCCCAATTAAAAGACACAGACTAGCAAATAGGATAAAGAGTCAAGACCCATCAGTGTGCTGTATTCAGGAGACCCATCTCATGTGCAAAGACACACGTAGGCTCAAAATAAAGGGATGAAGCAATATTTACCAAGCAAATGGAAAGAAAAAAAAAGCAGGGGTTACAATGCTAGTCTCAGATAAAACAGACTTTAAACCAATAAAGATCAAAAAAGACAAAGAAGGGCATTACACCATGGTAAAGGGATCAATGCAACAAGAAGAGCTAACTATCTGAAATACATATGCACCCAATACAGGAGCACCCAGATTCATAAAGCAAGTCCTTAGAGACCTACAAAGAGACTTAGACTCCCACACAATAATAGTGGGAGACTTTAACATCCCACTGTCAATATTAGACAGATCAACAAGGCAGAAAATTAACAAGGATATTCAGGATTTGAACTCAGCTCTGGACCAAGTGGACCTAATAGACATCTACAGAACTCTCCACCCCAAATCCACAGAATATACATACTTCTCAGCACCTCATTGCACTTATTCTAAAATTGACCACATAATTGGAAGTAAAACACTCCTCAGCAAATGCAAAAGAATGGAAATCATAACAAACAGTCTCTCAGACCACAGTGCAATCAAATTAGACCTCAGGATTAAGTAACGCACAGAAAACCGCACAACTACCTGGAAACTGAATAACCTGCTCCTGAATGACTACTGGGTAAATAACAAAATTAAGGCAGAAATAAATAAGTTCTTTGAAACCAATGAGAACAAAGATATAATGTACCAGAATCTCCGGGACACAGCTAAAGCAGTGTTTAGAGGGAAATTTATAGCACTAAATGCCCAAAGGAGAAAGCAGGAAAGATCTAAAGTCGACACTCCAACATCAAAATTAAAAGAATTAGAGAAGCAAGAGGAAACAAATTCAGTAGCTAGCAGAAGACAAGAAATAACTAAGATCAGAGCAGAACTGAAGGATATAAAGAGATGAAAAACCTTTCAAAAAATCAATGAATCCAGGAGCTGATTTTTTGAAGATTAACAAAATAGATAGACCACTAGCCAGACTAATAAAGGAGAAAAGAGAGAAGAATCAAAGAGACACAATAAAAAATGATAAAGGGGAGATCACCACTGGTCACACAGAAATACAAACTACCATCAGAGAATACTATAAACACCTCTATGCAAATAAACTAGAAAATATAGAAGAAATGGATAAATTCCTGGACACACACACCCTCCCAAGACTAAACCAGGAAGAAGTCAAATCCCTGAATAGACCGATAACAAGTTCTGAAATTGCGGCAGTAATTAATAGCCTACCAACGAAAAAATGCCCAGGACCAGATGGATTTACAGCTGACTTCTACCAGATACCATTCCTTCTGAAACTATTTCAAACAATAGAAAAAGAGGGACTCCTCCCTAATTCATTTTATGAGGCCAGCATCATCCTGATATGAAAACCTGGCAGAGACACAACAAAAAAAAGAAAATTTCAGGCCAATATCGTTGATGAACATCCATGCAAAAATCCTCAATAAAATACTGGCAAACCGAATCCAGCAGCACATCAAAAAGCTTATCCACCACAATCAAGTCAGCTTCAACCCTGGGATGCAAGGCTGGTTCAACATACACAAATCAATAAATGTAATCCATTACATAAACAAAACCAATGACAAAAACCACACGATTATCTCAACAGATGCAGAAAAGGCCTTTGATAAAATTCAACACCCCTTCATGCTAAAAACTCCCAATAAGCTAGGTATTGATGGAACGTATCTCAAAATAATAAGAGCTATTTATGACAAACCCACAGCCAATATACTGAATGAGCGAAAGCTGGAAGCATTCCCTTTGAAAACTGGCATAAGAAAAGGATGCCCTCTCTCACCACTCCTATTCAACATAGTATTGGAAGTTCTGACCAGGGCAATCAGACAAGAGAAAGAAATAAAGGGTATTCAAATAGGAAGAGAGGAAGTCAAATTGTCTCTGTTTGCAGATGACATGATTGTATATTTAGAAAACCCAATCATTGGTCAGGCATGGTGGCTCACACCTGTAATCCCAGCACTTTGGGAGGCAGAGGCGGGGGGATCATCTGAGGTCATGAGTTCAAGACCAGCCTGGCCAACCTGGTGAAACCCCATTTCTACTAAAAATATGAAAATTAGCTGGGTGTGATGGTGGATGCCTGTAATCCCAGCTACTCCGGAGGCTGAGGCAGGAGAATCACTTGAACCTGGGAGGCAGAGGTTGCAGTGAGCTGAGATCACGCCATTGCACTCCAGTCTGGGTGACAGAGCGAAACTCTGTCTCAAAAAAGAAAAAAAAAAAGAAAGAAAGAAAAAGAAAACCCAATTGTCTCAGCCCAAAATCTCGTTAAGCTGATAAGCAACTTCAGCAAAGTCTCAGGATAAAAAATCAATGTGCAAAAATCACAAGCATTCCTATACACCAATATTAGGGAAACAGAGAGCCAAATCATGAGTGAACTCCCATTCACAATCACTACAAAGAGAATAGAACACTTAGGAATACAATTACAAGGGATATGAAGGACCTCTTCAAGGAGAACTACAAACCACTGCTCAAGGAAATAAGAGAGGACACAAACAAATGGAAAAACATTCCATGCTCATGAATAGTAAGAATCAATATCGTGAAAATGGCTGTACTGCCCAAAGTAATTTATAGATTCAACGCTATTCCCATCAAGCTACCATTGACTTTTTTTTTTTTTCCCGTCTTCGTGTTTATTTCTTTCATCTTTTCCATTTTACGAGAGATGCTCATTTCAACAACCAGATGGCAGATGTGACGGGAGAAGTGTCAAGGCCAGGAGTTTGAGACCAGCGTGAGCAACAGAGCAACACAAGTAGGAGAGCCCAGCTGAAAGAAATGGAAGATGAGGAGGAGGAGGAGGAGGAGGAGGAGGACAAGGGGGGTGCGGGGGGGAGACTTTCTTCACAGAATTATAAAAAACTACTTTTAATTTCATATGGAACCAAAAAAGAGCCCGTATAGCCAAGACAATCCTAAGCAAAAAGAACAAAGCTGGAGGCTACCTGACTTCAAACTATACTACAAGGCTACAGTAACCAAAACAGCATGGTACTGGTACCAAAACAGATATATAGGCCAATGGAGCAGAACAGAGGCCTCAGAAATAACACCACATATCTACAACCATCTGATCTTTGACAAACCTGACACAAACAAGCAATGGGGAAAGGATGCCCTATTCCATAAATGGTGTTGGGAAAACTGGCTAGCCATGTGCAGAAAACTGAAACTGGACCCCTTCCTTACACCTTATACAAAAATTAACTCAAGATGGATTAAAGACTTAAATGTAAGACCTACATCCATTAAAAACCCTAGAAGAAAACCTAGGCAATACCATTCAGTACATAGGCATGGGCAAAGACTTCATGACTAAAACCCAAAGCAATGGCAACAAAAGCCAAAACTGACAAATGGGATCTAATTCAACTAAAGAGCTTCTGCACAGCAAAAGATGCTATCGTAAGAGTGAATGGGCAACCTAAAGAATGGGAGAAAATTTTTGCAATGTATCCATCTGACAAAGGACTAATATCCAGAATCTACAAGGAACTTAAACAAATTTACAAGAAAAAAACAAACAACCCCATCAAAAAGTGGGTGAATGATATAAACAGATACTTCTCAAAAGAAGACATTTATGTGGCCAACAAACATATGAAAAAGAGCTCATCATCACTGGTCATTAGAGAAATGCAAATCAAAACCACAATGAGATACCATCTTACACCAGTTAGAATGGCAATCATTAAAAAGTCAGGAAACAATAGATGCTGGAGAGGATGTGGAGAAATAGGAATGCTTTTACACTGTTGGTGGCAGTGTAAATTAATTCAACCATTGTGGAAGACAGTGTAGCAATTCCTCAAGGATCTAGAGCCAGAAATACCATTTGACCCAGCCATCCCATTACTGGGTATATACCCAAAGGATTATAAATCTTTCTACTATAAAGACACATGCACATGTATGTTTATTGCAGCACTATTCACAATAGCAAAGACTTGGAGCCAACCCAAATGCCCATCAACAATCGACTGAATAAAGAAAATGTGGCACATATACACCTTGGAATACTATGCAGCCATAAAAAAGGATGAGTTCATGTCCTTTGTAGGGCCATGGATGAAGCTGGAAACCATCATTCTCAGCAAACTAACACAGGAACAGAAAACCAAACACCCCATGTTCTCACTAATAAGTGGGAGTTGAACAATGAAACACATGGATGCAAGGAGGGGAACATCACACACTGGGGCCTGTCGGGGGGTGGAGGGCTAGGGGAGGGATACCTAATATAGATAACGAGTTGATGGGTGCAGCAAACCACCACAGCACGTGTATACCTACTTAACAAACCTGCACGTTCTGCACATATAGCCCAGAACTTAAAGTATAATTTAAAAAAAAATCTTTATTTGACTGGTTTGAGGTCAAAGTATTCACTGAATGGAGACATGATGTTCACTGTTTGTCCGTGATATCTTAAAACACATAGGCCTTCTTAGAACCAAGAGGAATGCCATAAAATTCACTGAACATGACACTGAAAGCCTTTGGTTCTAGTACCTTTTCTGTCAGTTCTTAGGCAAGTCAATTCCCCTCTCTGAGTTTCAGTTTCTTCATTTATAATATAAAAGAGTGGAAATGGAACTAGATTATCTCTAAGGTCCCGTCTAATGGTACGTGATTCTGGGAACAAAATGAAATCTGAGCCCACTTAGAATTTGTCCTCACATTCTAGAATCTCAAACTACAGTTCCTAGAAGAGTCACATGCAGGCAGGGTTTTGAAAATAGCAAGCAATTCTGACTGCTTTGTGATGCTAACATTTTGTATTATCCAGCCTATGAGCTCTTTTGTGAATAACACTTGATATTGCATGGTGAAAATGATAGAAGCCAAGATGCTCTCAGGCTGGACACTGGCAGCAAATAGGTTGTAAGTAGAAATACTTGAGGAGAAGAAAGCCAGAGACCAAGGCATTGCTCACACTGGGGAGGCTGAGGTCTTGAGATAAGGCCAGAATATTAATGTTAGTAGACCCCTAACATTCTCCTGGGTTAGATCTGGAGACCATTGGGAACCCTCAGATTTAAGATTGCCACTTTCATTTCTGTTGTCATATTTGTGTTCCTCAGGATTTTTTTTTTCTGTTGCCTGAGCTGGAGTGCAGTGGCACAATCTTGGCTCACTGCAACCTCTGCCTCCTGGGTTCAAGCGCTTCTCCAGCCTCAACCTCCTGAATAGCTGGGAGTACAGGCGCACACCGCCACGTCTGGCTAATTTTTTGTATTTTAGTTGAGACGGAGTTTCACGTTTTTGCCCAGGCTGGTCTTGAACTCCTGAGCTCAGGCAATCTGTGGGCCTCGGCCTCCCAAAGTGCTGGATTACAGGCGTGAGCCACCGACCCGGCCTCTTCAGGCCTTTTTGAAATAAATTAAAGTTCTGGTTTTCCTCTGATTAGTAATTTTTTTTTTCCATTTTAGGGCTAAATTTTAATAGAATGTGAGTCTGAACTCTTACATTTAGAACAAACAAAACCTAAAAGATACTGATTGATTCAAAATGGATTTATGGAAAAATTAATCTGTAACAAAAAGTTGGCATTGAGTGCAAAGGCTCCACCGTTTTTTGAGCAAAGCGAACAAAGGTTCCAAGGGACAGGACCAAGAACTAGGGGCTCAGACATTTACAACTGCAGGCATTTTCTCTTCCTCTTCTTCACGGGAGGTGGGCAGAGGACAGCTCGGATCGCTTCGTCAAACACTGTCTTGAGGCCTCGCCTTGTGAGGGCCAAGCACTCCAGGTATTTTACAGCACCCATCTCCTTAGCCATGGCTAGACCCTGCGGATAGGTGATGGGAGTTAGCTTCTTCTCCTTCAGTTTCTGGATCCTGTCTTTATCATCCCTAAGATCAAGTTTAGTTCCCACTAGGATAATGGGAGTGTTGGGACAGTGGTGCTGCACCTCAGGATACCACTTTGCAAGGACATTTTCAAATGATGCAGGACTCACAAGCGAAAAGCAAATTAAGAACACATCTGCTTGCGGATAGGATAGGGGGCGTAATCTGTCATAATCTTCTTGTCCAGCTGTATTCCATAAGCCCAGATTCACCAGTTTTCCATCTACCATAACATTGGCAGAATAATTGTCAAAGGCAGTAGGGATATCTTCTCCAGGAAATGCGTTGGTTGTGTAACTGATCAGTAGGCAAGTTTTACCTACAGCTCCGTCTCCCACCACCACACCCTTGATGGCCTGCATCTGGGCCGCTCGCTGGGCCGCAGCTGCTGCGGCAGGCGCTGAGACCGGAAGCGGCGGGCTCGGGGCGCGGCGGACAGGCGCGAGGCTTGCGGGCGGCGGGGCGCTGGGTGCCAGGGCCTCTGTCTACGCTGCCTTGGCCTCCGCGGACTGGAAGCTGAAGTCTGGCAGCGGCCACCACCCAAAGCAGAGGAAAACCCCTCTGATGAGTAATTTTATACTGATTTGAACACCTGAAGCAATTGCTTGAATTGAGGTTTCTTGTTGCTGTCTAAATCACATAACAAACAGACCTGTTTACCATGGAGAGTACAGCCACCACTGATTTTATTATTCCACTCTTTAATTGGCATGAAACTTCTAACATTGACAACAACAAAGCCATGTACAGTTATGTATGCTGCACTAGCTCACTGGCTGAACTGCTTAAGATATGGCGTGAATAGATGAAATCATCAAATCCCCGAAGGCCTAAGGTCTACTGTATTCGGAACCTGCCTCCCTCTGTCCCCTCCACCTCACTTCCCAGCTGCTATAGTCTGAATGTGTCCCTTAAAATTCATGTGTTGGAAACTTAATCACCCCTAATGCAACAGTGTTGGGAGGTGGGACCTTTTGAGAGGTGTTTAGGTCATAAGGGTTCTGCCCTCATAAATAGATTGATGCTACCATAAAGGGGGCTTGCAGAGGTGGATTCTCTCCTTTTGCCATGTCAAGACATGGCATTCATCCCATCTGGATGATGGAGCATTCAAGGACCCAGCATGGAAGCAGAGAAATCAGGCCCTAATCTGCCAGCATCTTCATCTTGCACTTCCCAGCCACAGTGTCTGTGAGAGAATAAATTCCTGTTCTTTATAAATTATCCAGTCTCAGGTATTCTGTTATAGCAGCACAAAACGGAGACTAAGACACCAACTTTATGTGGCCAAGCTGTGGGCTCATAGCTTACGAAGCTGCAGACAGACTAGCCTGACAGTTCGCAAAGCTAGGTATTTGTGAGCAAGTGCTGTCATTCATCTTGAGCCTGCATGATCCAGTACCATGGTCACTAGCCACATGTGGTTATTGAGCAATTGAAATGTAGCTAATCCAAACTGAGGTATGCTGTAAGTGAGAAATACATACTGGATTTCCAAGACTTGGTACAAAAAAAGAATGCAAGGTATCTCATTAATAACTTTTATATTGATTACATGTGGAAATGATAACATTTTAGATATACTGGACTAAATATAATATATCATTAAAATTAATTTCAGCTGTTTCTTTTTACCCTTTTTAATGAGTCTACTATAAAAATGAAAATTATATATGTAGTTCATTTTTTTATTTTTTTATTTTTATTTTTTCATATTTGTAGCTTAAATTCTTTTTTTATTGGGCAGCACTGCCCTAGACTGTTGAGAAACAGTTTCTGACCACATACTCTGTGCCCAGCATTAGAACAGACTGTGGTTTCTTGCTCTTTGCCTAATCAGAGTCAAGCACAGTACCTGACCTATAAGCAGGTGCTCTGTTCAGGAAATGTGGCTCCAAAATATGATGATTTGGTATGTTCATTACTTGGAACTGAGGGCACTTCGGAAACAGCAGATACAGGCAGAGGTTTTGTCTGAGCCTTATCTGTCTATAAATGGATTCTCCAAAAGGAACTCAATTGTCAAGAATCCCCTCCCCTGGAATCTTATTAGCCAGGGAAGATTAACTGGGATCACAGGAGAGGAGACTGGAGGTGGAGACCAAACCCAGATAATGACCTATTCTTCAGAGGGCTACTCCGAGACAACTTTTATTACCTAAGAGACTTTTTATCTGTGTAACAAGACAACCTTTATTTACCATACATTTCCTCCTCTCACTCTCCCATAACTTGTGTTGTCACCATCCCCCCGAAGCCAGAAACCCCTATTCCTTTCTTTACCTTCAATCATCTGACCCTTCCTCAAGTCTTATGTTTTTGTGAGACTCTTGTGTATATATACAGAATTAAATATGGTTTTTCTTCTGTTAACCCGTCTTGTGTCAATTTAACTTGTTACCCAACCAAGGAACCTAGAAAGGTGGAGGGAAGCCATTTTTCACTCCCCAGCATTGCTTACTCTTGAATGAATGAATGTTCCCTCCAACATTCTAACCCTAGGATACATTGACTTTGGAAGACAGCCAGGGTGAAATCTCCCTGCTCCTAAGTAGGTCCACCCTGCCATTGCATGGTTGTGAGTGAAAAGAGCTTGGGAAATCACAGGACACCTTACTTCAAGATTCAGGTGAGCACATTACTCACTTGCTGTGTGACCTTGAGCAAGTCATTGCTCTTCTGACTTTCTTTTCTTCCTCTGTGGAGTAAGGAGGTTGGGCCACAGAGTTAATCTAGGCTCCTTCCAGTGCTTGTACTCTGAGTCAGTGACTAGAGAGGGGCAGATAAACCTTTAAGAAGAGCTAATATTCCATTATTCAGAATCTCCACCATGCCTGCCTCAAGTTCTCTTTTGGCTCCCTTCTGCCTGATTTACTTTTCCTCTTCACCTTTATCTGTTATACTCTGTGCTCTTGCCTATGCCTCTCTTCCCTGCCCCTCAAGAAATGCCAGTACTGTTTTTCTCTTGCTTTTCCATTGCTCTTCTTCTCCAGTTGTTGGGGATACAAAATGCAGAAGGAAAAATACGTTCCAATCCTTGAAGTGACTATAGAGTAGCTTTTGGATGGAATAGGACTTCTTGTCCACCTTTGCTTTGGATACTATGGCAGTGGTAAGGAATAGAGATGGCAAATGGCAGTCCCAAGATTTGGAGTAGTGGTGAGCTAGGACAAAATTCTAGCCCACACAGTTCAAGGCAGCCATTACAATTTCAGCTTCCCTTGCTAACATTTGCTGGTCTGCCGTCACTCTTACAATTTCCCTTAAAATTAGGGGTTCTGCAATGCCAATTTGAAGCATTTGCTCTTCCAGCTGTTAAATGGGAATGAGAAGTCACTAGCTCAGGGGTTACAAACCCAAATGCCCACTCAGGGGCCAGGCACAGAATAGAGAACATGAGCAAAGTAGATGAGTGCAAGACAATAAGGAATGGTGGGAGGTGTGGCAAACCAGAGAGTGCTTGTTTTAGCTTAAGGCATTCAAATTCGTCTTCCTTTTTTTGTTTGTTTGTTTGTTTGTTTTAGTTTTTTCGTTGTTGTTTTGCAGTGCTGACCAAACAAAACACATTTCTAGGCTGAATTTGGCCCATATCCCATAGGCCTCAAAGTTTGCCATTCTGCCTAGCTCATCTGTTGTCTAGGTTCTGATTATACACTTTCTAAATTCTACATTTTCTTTCATGATGATGGATGCCATACTAAGACAACTCACTTTAGAACTAGTGGTCTATAGTGAAAATTGGAACCCCATCAACATATGCAAACCTTCCCTCTCTCCCCTTACTCTCCATTTCTAGAAACACCCTCATCCCCACTCTGGGGCCTCCATTCCTTTCATGGGTTGCTTGAGCATTAGTTATGTTTAAACTTCAAACCAAAGCAAAGATTCTTCATGATGTTTGCATCCTTTGAAATCTGATTATATATTGTCAGCAGATTTTTCCCCCAAATTAAAATACCAGTGCTTATTTACACATAGGCTGGGCCTCTTGATAACTTGGTATTTCTTCTAATGTGCAGGATTACTCTGAATGCATTCAAACTGTTGTGAAGTTGGAACAATCTCCAAGGACATCTTGCCATGCCATATCTGCCTCTCTAATGCACTCTTCTACCTGCTGAGGGGAAAGATGCCTTTTATACCCAAATGACCTAAATACACAGAATCATCACTTCTCTGTCATCCTGCATTGCCACCCCCAGAAAACAATTAGCATCCTGAAGACAGAGCCTGTGTCTAAGCCGCCTCTGTAGCCCCAGCACACAGTGCCAGGTCTGGGACATGGCTGGCACTCAAAGTTTTGGAACTGAACTGTCCTTCAGGATAGTTGTGGAACTGAACTGACTCCTTCTTCTCTAAATACAGTCATATGTCATTTAATGATGGGGATACGTTCTGAGAAGTGCATCATTAGGTGGATTTTCTCATTGCATGAACATCATAGGGTGTGTGTACACAAACCTAGATGGTATAGCCTACTACACACCTAAGCTAGGTGATATAGCTTATTCCTCCTAGGCTACTAACCTGTGCAGTGTTAAAATATACCCCTGGCTGACAGACAAAATGGATTCCCTGTGGCTAAAATGAGACACACCAAGATGAAATCAAGCAGCCATAGCAGAGAGAGGGGTTGGTCACATACCCCTATATTACTGACTGCCATAACATCTTTTCTCCTATAATTGAGCAGAAGCTCACCCTTTAAGAAATTGTCAAAACAGCTATAACTGGGAGTTTCCCAACTGATGCTTAGTGGACTGCCCGATGCCAGCTGGCCTGACCCTGCTTTGTGGGCCTGCCAGCAACCCCGATTGGACAGCAGACTGACCTTGTAAACCTTCTTTCCTGATAAACAGCACAGACCTCAAGCCAATTTCAGCCGGCAAACAGAGACTGCAAAAAACCTCTTTTATGCCCTGTAATTCACATTTTGACATCCTCATCCCCACCCCCCCAAATAAACATAAAATGTATATGTATGTTTGCCTACTACACACGTGCTTGGCTTCCCTCATAAATATTCATAGATTTTCCCCAAACCTGCTAAATATACATGTGAGGCAGACCTGAAAGACATAAATGCCAGTTTCCCTCTTCCCCCTTTGGAGTGTGTGCTTTTGATTTCCCTGGAGGCTACATTTCCTGATCTGCAGATTGTCTGTCTGAAAATAAAGTTTTCTCCTATTCCTTTCTCCGTAGATCTCATGGTCATTTGTTAACAACAGCATGTTACTGTCCTGAATACTGTAGGTAATTATAACACAATGGTAAATATTTGTGTATTGAAACATAGAAAAGGACAGTAAAAATATGGCATTATAATCTTATGGGACCACTGTCAGATATGTAGCCCATCACTGAATAAATGTTATGCAGCGCATGACTGTTGTCATTTTTTCCCATTCATTTATTTACCTAGCACACATCCATTACAGATATGTTTTCTGCTATGAAAATGGAAAGTGGGAAATGTTCAAGCAGATTCTTTCCTTGCAATTTTTTCGAAGAAAGGCTTTCATCCTGAGTATTGTTTATTGAGTGCCTACTATATGCCAGGCATTGTGCTAGGTACTGAGCACACACTGATGAAATGATATAGTCCTGCTGTTGCAGAGCTTACAATTAAAAATGGCAAAGGCTGAGCCTTGGTGCAGCTCAGACATCCTTCCATGGCTTCCCATCCTTCTCACTCATCCCTCTTGTGCAGCTTGTACACCTCTGGCCACAGCACTTGTTACTCCACATTTTAATTGCCTGTCTATTTGAAGGTCTTCCAATCTGAACTCTGACCAGCTTATAGGCAAGGACATGCTTTGTTACTACTGCACAACCAGGGCATAACACAACCCCCACCAGAGAAGTAACACACAATAAAAGTTTGCTGAATTAGTGGACAAAGAATTGACAATTCTTATTATATGTTGATAATGACCAATGAGACTCGAAAGGTATTGGGGTCAGAATAACTTCTTGTTTCATTAGTTTGGAGTAGAAAAGAAAACAGTGGATTACTAGAGGAAAAAAGAAAGAGGCCGGGCGCGGTGGCTCACGCCTGTAATCACAGCATTTTGGGAGGCTGAGGCGGGCGGATCACGAGGTCAGGAGATCGAGACCATCCTGGCCAACGTGGTGAAACCCTATCTCTACTAAAAATACAAAAAATTAGCCAGGTGTGGTGGCACGTGCCTATAGTCCCAGCTACTCGGGAGGCTGAGGCAGGAGAATCACTTGAACCCAGGAGGCAGAGGTTGCAGTGAGCTGAGATCACGCCACTGCACTCCAGCCTGGGTGACAGAGTGAGACTCCATCAAAAAAAAAAAAAAAAAAGAGGATCTTGATTCTGGGGTGACCAGGTTCCATGCTAAAATCTGCTCTCATTGCATTCATTTGAGCATTTCATTTTAAGGTGATACTAAACACACTAACATTGTTCAGTTGAAAGCCACTACATTTTGCAGGAGTTGATTTGAAGCAGAAATTTAAGAATTTCCTTGGAGTATATTTGTCTCACTCATCCTCTTACATATGTAGAGATAGAATCTAAGTTCACATTTATATTCCTATCCATTTTTCTATCTTCAATTTTCTTCTGCTTGTTAGATTTAAAAAATGCTATTGAACCTGAAGAAAAATAATGTGGGGGAAACTAAGTGGTCTGAGGTTAGAGCACAGGAGTGATTGCCTGCCAAACATGTACTTTCTGCTTCTTGGATTTGACATTTTTTTGGCTTGACATTTTTAAAAAGTTAGAATGCAGCTTTTAAATTTAAAGGCAATTGTTAAGGAATTTGAGCAAGAGTTTTCCAGTTGTACTGGTACGAAATGTCAAGTCCATTTTGATTCCTACAGTTGCTGCAGTTTATTTTTCTACTGCTTTTGTGGCTTCTTTCTCATTCCTTTCTCTGCCTGTTGCACATCTATATTTTCCAAAATAGCACCCTCCTAATCTCAAATACAAAACACTTAGCATAAGAGACATTTTATGGAGCATCTTACACTTGGAAAAAGTTTGAAGCATCTCCTTTGTTTTCCCTAACATTTCTTGGGGGAATTGTCTTAAACAAAATGTACCCTAGTCCTATAGCTTTTCATATCTTGGTTCTTTCCTTGTTAACATTTATTTAATAAGCTTCTAAAGGTGGATGATTTCACCTGGGCAGTGCAAAATGTCCTGTAAACTACTGCTTGTTTTCTGTCCTGTATGCTTCCTTTTAATTGTTTTTCCAGAGCCATTGATTTGGGGCTTAGACAAATTTCAGTCAGCATCTGCATCTCCCCAAATGTCTCAGTGTCTGCATTATGCTGCTCTGGTGCTGGGTAATCGTGACACCCAGGCTCCCCACCTGCGTCCCTGCATGTCCCTTGCACAAAGCATAGAGCCCCCACTGACTTCTAGTGAGAGCACTGCGTGAAAAAGGGAGCCCTCTGAGTTGAGGTTTGGGGCCTTAGTGGGGAAGCTCCCTCTTCAGTGATCACAACTCACCTCATTAAGCATTCTTTTCTGCCCCATTTTCTCCAGAGAGGAGGCTTGGGGTCTGTCATGTTGGAGAGCAGCTGAGAATGGTATAGCTTCTGTCTGGACCTGCCCCATGATTCTCCTAGACATCTCAACCGAACCATGGGTTTGTTCCCACTTGACTGAGTTCCTGTCGTCTGAAGAATACGTTTAAAGGAGCTCAAGTCTGAAGTTCAGTGGTTGGCTTGGCCCCAGTTGACAGGGTGCTCCTGTTATCAGCAACTGAGAGTGCTTCTGGCCATTCATCTACATCCTTCTCCCTTTTCCTTTCACTGGAATTTTCTTGGTTAGGGGAAATAGGCAGTGTAATCATTTTTCCTGTCTGACCTCAACCAGGGGTAAACTAAAAGGACATGAGTCATTTCTAGGGGTATGCAGTGACGCGGTGTTTGTGTGTGTGTGTGCGCGCGTGTGTGTGTTGGTAGGCTGGGGGCTAGGAGGAGGCAATATAAATCAATCTAAGATTTTCTGGGCTCATATTTTTATTGAAAATCTGAAGAACTAATCACCTAGTTACTAACTTTGTTTTCCTCCTGGAGTTCTACAATCAAGGTAAAAACACCTAGCGTGTGTTCAATTTTGTGTCTGATACGGGAGAAAGCTTAGAGGACCGAATTTTTTGCCCTTGGTTTCTGACCCATCTTACTTTGATTCCTTGAGTCCTTGGAAGAGTAGTCTATACTTGTAATCTCTACTTTTTTCCTTCACTCCATGTCTTAGGTTGGGTTCTCAGGGAAGCAGATTCTGAGACAGAGTTAGAAGGCAGGATATTAATTAATGAGTTCTCTAGAGATGCATGCCTATGGAAGCAGGGTTGGCCAGAAGGAGAAGATGCACTGTGACACAGGCCCTGTGATTGCTCTGTCAACCTCACAGGAATCTCCAGAGTGAGACAGGCTTCCAGTGCATCCGAGTTAGGCCAAAATGGCTAGACCTTTATACTCACCAGAGGTCACTCCCTTTCTCAGGGTAGCACCCATCTAATGACAGGGATCAGTCAATAGATGGGTGCTACCCTGAAAAGGGAAGTGACATTGGGTGAGATGACTCTCTGCAGCTGAGGCAATCTCTGAAGGGGCTGGTTGCTGAAGACCATATGTACATAACACTCCCAGCAATGGAGCAACAAATCTTTCATTGAAAGGAGATCTGAGTGGCTTATCACATTGGCTACCACACAACCCACTCTAAGTTAGCTTTTCAGAGCCAACTATATATCGCTTGCAAAGGTTACCAATGAACCCCATATTAGAAAGTTTAACGGCCTCATCTTGATCCTCTTATGTGAATTTTCTGAGCTTTTGGTGAGTTCATCAACTATTCTAGCTTAACAACCTCCCTTGCTTCTGCTGTAGTTCACTTTCACCTTTCTAACAGCTCTTTAAAGTCATCTCTCCATCTTCCTCATTGAACCATCCAATTGTATGTGCCATTCCCTCTAACTCAATTCTGTCCAAGACCCTCTTCTCTTTTTTTCTCCATATTCTCTTTCTCCCTGATTGCTCTGTCTCATCTAGCTCCAAATGCCAATGATCAGGTGACTTGCATCGTTACAACGCTCTTCTGAGCTCTAGGTGTATTTCAAGCTGCCCACTAGATATTCACAAGATAAATGTCCTGCCGTCTCAAACTCAACTTGTCTGTATTACTCAGCTTGAGCTACCATAAAAGAATACCACAGCCTGGGGGGCTTAAACAAAACAAATTTATTTCCTCACAGTTTTGGAGGCTGGAAGTTCAAAATCAAAATGCTAGCAGGGTAGGTTACCTGGTGAGAGCTTTCTTCTTGGGCTGTGGATGGCCAACTTCTCCCTATGTCCTCACATGACCTTTTCTCTAAGCATGTGCAGAGAGAGAGAGAGAGATCTGCTGTCTCTTCTTATAAGGACACCAGTCATGTAGAATTATGGCCCTACCAAGATGATTTCATTTAACCTTAATTAACCCCCTAAAGGCCCTATCTTTAAATACAGTTGCATTGGGAGTTAGGGCTTCAACATATGAACTTTTGGGGCAGAGATTTTGTTCATAATATTCCACCACTGTCCTCACAGAATTAATTTCCTTCTGGCATGAAAAATAAACTCACCCCATTCCTCAAAACTCTTAGAAGTTTTAACTCATTCCAGCATCAATTCTAAGTCCAAAGCCTCATCTAAACATCACCTAAATCAGATACCGGTGACTCAAGGTATAATTTATTCTGAGGCAAAATTCTTCTCCAGCTATGAATCTGTGAAATCACGAAAGTCATGTGCTTCCAAAATATAATGGTGGGACATGCATAGAATAGACATTCCTATTCCAAAAGAGTGAAATCAGAGGGAAGAAAGGGATGATGGGTCTTAGGCAAGTCCCAAACCTAGCAAAACAAATTCCATTAGATCTTAAAGCTTGAGAATAATCCTCTTTGGATGCTCTTTCATGCCCACTGGGGTGGCAGCATCACTGATGGCCCTAGCCAGCAGATCTGACCCTTTGCTCTGTGTGGCGGCCCCACTCACATGGTATTTTGCAGTGTTCCCACTCATGTAGCTCCTTGTGGAGGCGCTATCCCTGAGGCATTGGCCCACTGAAACCCAGAAGGTAGGCCCACCCTCTGAAACCGAGGAGGAGGAAACAGCCTTGCCCCCGGGCCTGTGGTGGGAGTAGCAGCCATGATTGTCTTCAAATTGCCTTCAAGGTTATTCTTTTTTTTTTTTTCTTGAAGGTTAAGGTATGCTTTCAGCTCAATAGCTGTATTGTCCAGTTGTAGAACTGCAGACGTCTGAAGATCTTCATTTATTTCATCTCATCTCTATTGTCTTCGGTTCAAACTGGTGATGTCTCTGCTACTATACTTCCATCTCTATTCTTGGTTTCTGCTGAAATGACTGACTAGTACCTTGTGTAATCTCCTTATGGAGTGATTGTCCATCCATACCCTTGGTTTTCTCTCCAGAACATGCTTTCTTATTTTTTGTAATACACATAGATTTTTAACATCTATATTTCTGCTAACAGGAAATCTAGGATTTTTCTAGCCTGCACATCAAAACTTTTCCAGACTCTGCCAATCACCCAGTTGTAAAGCCACTTCTCCATTTTTACATATTTTTCACTAGCACCCCAAATTTTGGTACCAAAATCTGTATTAGTCTTCTAGGACTGTTGTAACAGAATACCACAGACTGGGTGGCTTAAACAATAGAAATGTATTTCCTCACAGTCTTGGGGACTAGAAATTCAAGATCAAGGTGACAGCATGGTTGGTGTCTGGTGAAGGCTCTCTCCTTGGATTGCAGACAGCTGCCTTCTCACTGTGTCCTCACATAGCCTCTTTGTGCACACATGGAGAGAGAGATGGAGACAAAGAGAAAGGGAGATCTGGTGTCTCTTCTTCTTATAAGGACACCAAGCCTATCAGATTAGGTATCAATCCTTAAGACAATTTAACCTTAATTACCTCTCTGAGGGCTTCAGCATATGAATTTTGGGCAGTGCAATTCAGTCTATAACACTGTCCTAAAATAACCTCTTCATCTTACATCTCATCACTGTCCCTCAAACTTGCCCTTCCTCCTCTTCTCTCTTTTCAATAAGTCACATCATCCAGTGGCTCAAGCCAGAAACTTGAGAGTCATCCTTGACTTACTCTTTTTCCTCACCTTCTACATCCAAGCTGTACTACTTATCTATTGCTGTGTATATCTCAAAATATAGCATCTGAAAACAATAAGCATTTATTATCTCACTCAGTTTCTGTGCGTGAGGAATTTAAGAACAGATTAGCTAGGTGGTTCTGACTTAGAATGTTTCATGAGGTGGCCATCAAAATGTCAGCTAAGGATTCAGTCATCTGAAGGCTTGATTGGACCTGCAGGATCATCATTCAAAATTGCCCACTTAGCCATTAGCAGGGCCTTTAGTTCCTCATCAGCTATAGGTAAGATGTCTTAATTCCTCACTACATGGACCTCTCCATGGGGTTGCTTGAGTGACTTCATGACATGGCACCTAGCTTTCCCCAGAGTGGGTGATCCAAGAGGCAGCAAGGAGGAAGCTGCATGCCTCTTATGACCCAGTCTCAGAAGTTACACATCATCACTTTTACCACATTCTATTCAATAGAAATGAGTTATTGAGTACAGCCTACACTCAGAGGAGAATTAGGCTCTACCTCTTAAAAGGAATATCATATAATTTGTGGACATATGCTAAGTCCTCCCAAACATATCTTATATCCACTCCACTTCCATCAATTTTTGGACTGTTACACTGGCCTCCTAAATTGTCTCCTTGCTTTTAATATTTCTAAAACCCAGATACAACCATGTAAACCTTAGTGGCTCTCTGGAGCAGCAGACTAATGCCCATATCTTTAGCATGGTGTTCAAGGCTTAAATTAAATTCTTAGCCTTGTTACCTTCCTCTAAACAATCCATGTGCTTCCATATCTCTGACTATGCCTTTGATCATCCGTTTGATCTCTCTGCCTGGAATTTCTGTAGTGCATTGTTCCAAATTATTCACCTTCCCTGTATCCTCATCCTTTGCCATGCGACTTTGCAGTTCCGCTAGAGGCAGAATATATTTCACCCTTCAACTTTGGGCTCAACTATATGTCTTACTTTGACCAATAGGACGTTAGCAGATGTGATGCAAGCAAGGGCTTGAATGTGCTTGAATAGTTGGACTTGTTCTCTTGCATTTCTGCCATGGCCGTGAGAAGAGTTTTCTTGGGGCAGCTGTTCTACAGCAAAATAAGTCCTCTTGGAACATGAGAAAAGTTGGCTGTATCACACACACACACACACACACACACACACACACACACACACACACACATACACACACACCCTGGAAGATTGAAGCCAAGCCCAGCAGAGCCCCGCTTAGATCAGTGGATCCCCAGACAACCCATAATTGTTCGTATGAGTAGGAATAAATTATTGTTTAAAGTCATTTAGTTTTGGAGTGGTTTGTTACATAGCATGATTGTGGCAATAGTTTACTAATCTGTTCTTTCCTACTTTCTTTGCTTGCCAAAATTCCACTTTTCCTTCAAACTTTAGCTTAGATGGCACCTCTTATGAAACCTTCTCCAGTCTTTACAGTGAAAATTAATTGTATTAATTGCTTTCTCCCCTGTAATATCATGCTTTATGTGCATTTTGCTATATTAACTTTTTTTTTGCTTTGTACTTTACATTTCCTAAAGGATTTGTAAGCCTATTGAACACAGAGGTCAGATTTTGTCCTTATACTATTCTCTGAGCATTGGGCACATAGTAGGCACCCAGTAAGAGTTCAAGGACTAGGTGAATGACGATGATAGGTAGATAATTGACTATTGGGAGGACACAAACCATAAGCATCATAAGTTTTCACAGAATCAATCACAATGGACCAGGATAATCCAGAGTTAGTCAGGTATTTAATTGCCTGATAGAATTTTAAAAAAATTTATTTTAATTATGAGTCACTGGTTTCAAAGAAGAGACACTCATCCAACCTAGCTCAAATAAAGGAGAACTTATTGAAAATAAATGACTCAGGAGATGATCATAGAACCCAAGGATAGTAAACAAAGTAAGCCAGGTCTTGAAGGGGCTGAAAAGCCATCAGGAAGTGATACTACACAGGGTCACACAGTCTGTCTTCCATGCCATCTCTGATCTAGTCTTTTCTCTTACTGCAGACGTGCTTTCTCAATTCACTCAACCTCTTGCCCATGAAGAATCACGACCACCCTCAAAAAACTTTTTCCCATAGCGAAATGGCACCATTTTTGGGGGCCTCAATTCCATATTCCTAAGAACAGGATTGGATTGTTCCAGCTTGTGTTAGGTGGGTTCAATCAGCTCAGGGCAGAATGGAGGAGTTCACTTGGGCAGCTTAGTCTCATCTCTTCACCAACGACTATAGGTGGGAAGCAGTCTCAGAGAAAGAGTGTGTGTGGGGGCAGGGACCTAACAGCTTTTTGTTTTATGGGCATACTAGGTAGCCTTAAAGTCCAAGATCATGAGAACTTGTATAGCCTGCAGAAAGAGAATCTTATTGGCCTGTGCCTATCACTCTTCCATGACACTCACAATAGACTGGTTTTGGAAAGAGCCTAGCACTGTGGCTAGGATATAACAAGCACTCAAATGTTAGTTATTGTATTTGTAGATGTTGAAAAAAGGCTGTATCATTGAATATTTTGGATCTGTAGCCACCCAGATATGGAGATTTTCCTACAGAATCTTCAGGCCTAAGAACTGAGGGTGGGACTGGGGCCTGAAAGGAAACATCAACCTCTTAAGGGCCTTTGTGAAGTGATTGTCTTGTAGTTATCATTGTTTCAAATACCTAACCTTCTTTGCCAACTATTTAGAAGAAAATATATCTTCAAATGCCATTGCTATGAACATAGATGAAAAACCCAGGAATCAATTATGTAAATGAGGTTGTATACTGTGCACATTGCTTCTTAAGAGATGTTTCGGGCCAGCCCTTTCCTGGGGTGATCACAGTGGATCTCAGCTCTCCACTGGCTGATGGGAAGCAGAAGGATGGCTATGCAGTTGCTCAGGAGTTATGCTGTTGAGCCATGATGATGTTTGACATAAGAGGAAGAAAATATTCCAGAGATGAGAGCCTTCAGGTGATTACCTGAGGAAGGTGGCCCAACAAAGAACATGAAAGCCCATAATCAAAGCAATTAGAAATTTGAGAGCTTTTAAAGCACCCCAAAGGCAAAAGGAATGTAGGTCTGGATAGAGGGGCAGCCTTTGTTACTTTAGCAAGGTGCTCTGGACCTAAAAAGACATTGTGTTGGGCTGGCACTCAACTGTATGCTGCATTAAAGCCAGCCTTGGGTATGTCAAGTTCACCATCATATTCTGAGCACCTGGCACACAGTACTGGTTAAAGACTAATTGAGTTAGGTAGCATTTATTCATTGATTTGTTTGTTCATTCATTCATTTCATCATTAATTTATTCATTCATTTGGGAATGCATACCTTACAGGTTTTCTCAACCTTGGCACCATTGATATTTTGAGCCAGATTTTTTTTTTTGTTATGGGAAGTTGTCAGGTAAATTGTACAAAGTTGAGGGGATCCCAGCCTCTACCCACTAGATGCTAATAGCAGCTCCTCCCACTGTGACAACGAAAAATGTCTTCAGATATTGTCAAATGTGACCCTGGGCAACAAAATTGTCCCTGGCTGAAAACCACTTCTCCCAGAATCCAGGAGTTCCACTGAGTATCCCTGAGAATGGCAGTTTCTATCTAAAATCAAGAGATGTGCTTGGTACTCAGTTTCTGCATGGATAGAGTGAGCTGAGAAAAATAACTCAAGCTTGTACTGGGAGCGTTCAGTGTAACCGAGTAGAAATTGTCAAGAAAGGACCCAAAGCAGAGGTATTCAAATTTTTTTGATCAAGTGCCCCTCTAAAGTAATTAAAAAAATCATTATACATTTTTAATTGATTTTAAATTTCATTGATTTAAAATATTTTTCTTCGTAAGTTTAAAGAGTTGTGAAGGATGTAATTTTCAAAATATCGTAAATATTGCCATTTTAAAATAAAACTTTTCCATATCTAAAGGAATCCAAACATACATATATAAGCTCTTTCTAAACAGCCAAAACTATTACGCTGTTCCTTTATCTCCTTAAATTCACATTCTACTTCTATAGGATTTTGCTGTAATGTATTTTTATGCTTGAAATTCTTACTGATCACCCATAATACCACCTAGCAACAAAAATATGTATAGAAATCAAAATTTAACATTTTTAAAAGTAAGTATCCATAAAATTATTGGTGTCAAAATTTTATTTGAATTGGTTTTTATTAAAATTATTAGTACTACACAATTTATGAAAATATAAATATATTACAAATTTCGATAACTAACTATTACATTTTAAAAGAAAGACTTTTATTTTGAGATAGGATCTCACTCTGTCACCCAGGCCGGAGTGCAGTGGTGCAAGCACAGCTCTTTGTAGCCTTGACTTCCTGGGTTCAAGGAATCCTCCCACCTCAGCCTCCCAAATAGTTGTAACCACAGGCATGCACCACCACACCCACATAATTTTGTTTATATTTTGTAGAGATGAGATCTTACTGTGTTGCCCAGGCTGGTCTCGAACTCCTGGGCTCAAGTGATCCTCCTGCCTCGGCCTCTCAACATACTGGGATTGAAGATGTGAGCCACTGCGCCTGACCCCAAAGTAAGATTTTTGTTGGGAAAACATGCCAGTGAAATGGATAAGGCTTTTCTGCTCAGTTAGTCCATGTACCTGAGATAACTATTACTTACTGCTAGAATGACACAAGATTCAACATTGATTTTATTTCTGTTTTTCATTTGTATAGATCCTAAATGCAAATAAATCTCATTCACATTAAATAAGTATATTGGACTGGAAGGAGGAGTAGAGCTTTGTTAGAGCAATGTCACTTGGTTTTTCAAAGCTCTTTTCATGTTGCATGCTCCCAAAATCACATAATTATTATCATTGAGAAATATATATATGTATGTTTTTTGGGAGTTCGAGGCAGGTGGATCATGAGGTCAGGAGTTCTAGAAGAGTCTGGCCAACATGGTGAAACCCTGTGTCTACTAAAAATACAAAAAAATTAGCCAGGCATGGTAGTGCACGTCTGTAATCCCAGCTACTTGGGAGGTTGAGGCAGGAGAATTGCTTGAACCCAGGAGGTGGAGGTTGCAGTGAGCCGAGATCACATCACTGCACCCCAGTCTGGGCAAGAGAGCAAGACTCTGTCTCAAAAAAAATAAAAAATAAAAAAAGAAATATATTTTTTACTGTGGTAAAACATACATCACAAAATTTATCATTTTGACCATTTAAGTGTAGATTTCTGTGGCATTAAGCACATTCATACTGTCATGTAATCATTACCATCATCTATCTCTAGAACGTTTTTAACTTCCCCAAATGAAACTCCATACCCATTAAACATTAACTCCTCATTGTCTGCTCAGCTCCTAGAAACTGCCATTTTATTTTCTGTCTCTATGAATTTGTTTACTCTAGATACCTCATAGAAGAGGAATCATATGATATTTGTTTTTTTTTGTGACTGGCTTATTTTACTTAGAGTAATCTCTTCAAGGTTCATTCATATGGCAGCATGTGTCAGAATTGCCTTTTTTATGGCTGAATAATATTCCATTATATGCTTATACCACATTTTGTTTATCAGGTCTATCCATTGATGGATATTTGGGTTGCTTCTGACTTTTGTCTGTCGTTAATAATGTTGCTATGAACATGGGTGTACAAATATCTCTTCGAGATCTTGTTTTGAAATTTTTGGATATGTACCCAGAATTGGAATTGCTGTGTCATACAGTAATTTTATTTTTAACTTTTTGAGGAACTGATATACTGTCTTCCACAGTGGCTGCACCATTTTACTTCCCCATCAGCAGTGCACAAGAGTTCCATCAAAAATATTTGTAATGATCAATCAGGTCACAATAAATACAACTAGGCCCTTCTTCAATTTTGTTAAAAGCAAAGAATTGGAAGCCACCTACTTGCATAGAAATTTGTTACCTGGTCTTAATTAGAGTCATCCACTTTTTTGACACTAGCACAGTATTTCAAATTGCCTCTTTGTTTATTTTCCAAGAAGTGCTTACATTCCTGGGGGCAATGCGCTGTAGTGAGAGCCAGGGTGGGTGAGAGTTTGCCTCTCTTTAGTAAAGTGCAAGGAGATCAGTGGTGAAAGGAGAGGTAGAAAAGTAAAACTGGCTTGCTGCCTCCACCATGGATACTTTCTCAAGCAAATACATTTTAGGAAGAAGTACATATTAAAGTTTAGGATCTCCAACTTGATTCTAAGCCATGTTGGCCAGGCTGGTCTCAAACTTCTGACCTCAGGTGATTCGCTCGCCTTGGCCTCCCAAATTGCTGGGATTATAGGCATGAGCCTTCACGCCTGTAAAATACAAAAATTAGCCAGGCATGGTGGCACATGCCTGTAATCACAGCTACTGGTTGGGGGCGCCGAGGCATGAGAATCACCTGAGCCTGGGAGGCGGAGGTTGCAGTGAATTGAGAACGCGCCACTGCACTCCAGTGTGGGTGACAAAGAGAGACTCCATCTCCAAAAGAAAAAAAAAAAAAAAAAAAAAAAGTAATAACACGGGGTGTTAACTGAATCTGTCCCTCTTTTTCTGTGACCATAAGGCAAATGGGCACACCTATTTCATGGGGAGTAATGATAAAAAAAGATTTTAAATCTATTGATGATGTGGATGTGTAAGGTTCTATAGTGTGCAGAGAGCAACAAAAAAGAATCAAGCACATACCCTACTATCAAGAAGTGCCCAGTTGCCTTTTGGGAGGCAGAGGCAGGTGGATCACTTGAGGTCAGGAGTTTGAGATAAGCCTGGCCAACATGGTAAAACCCCGTCTCTACCAAAAACACAAAAATTAGTCGGGTGTGGTGGCATGCACCTGCAGTCCCAGCTACTGGGGAGGGTGAAGCAATTCTCATGCTGCAGTGAGCAGAGATCGCACCACTGCACTCCAGCCTGGGCGACAGAGTGAGACTCTGTCAAAAAAAGAAGTACCCAGTCTAGCAGGAAAGAGATTAGTGTGAACAGAAATATCTAGATAAAGTGCCGTAAGATGGAGAAGTAAAGGAGTCTGGGAATTCACAGTAGGGAACTACTACCTTCAAGTCAGATTTGAAGGAAGGTGGACACTCTGTGGAGCCAATGTAATTTGAGCCAGGCCATGGAAGATAGGTAAGAGTTGACTATGTAGAACTAAGGTTAAGAATGGGGACAGAGAATTCCAGGCTGAAGTGAAAATGAGCAAGAACAAAGCCACTAAAGCAGGAAATCATGAGCTGTATGAAGAGCAGATAAGAGATTCCACATGATTGGAGCACACAGTGCATAAAAGGAGTAGGGGTCAAGAATGGGACCAGATGATTGTGGAAGGCCTTGAATAACAGGCTAAGAAATTTGAACTGTATTCTGTAATCAGTGGACAACCATTGATATTTGTTGGGTTTTGTTTGTTTGTTTTGAGACAGGGTCTCACTCTGTCACTCAGGCTGGAGTGCAGCGCCACAATCATAGCTCACTGCAGCCTCAATCTCCTGGGCTCCAGCAATCCTGATGCCTCAGCCTCCTGAGTATTTGGGACTACAGGCATGCATCACCATGCCCAGCTAATTAAATTTTTTTTTTTTTTTAGTAGAGACAGGGTCTTGCTTTGTTGCCCAGGCTGGTCTCGAACTCCTGAGCTCAAGTGATCCTCCCACCTTGGCCTCGTAAAGTGCTGGGTTTACAGGCTTGAACAACCATGCCTGCCCCATTGATATTTAAACAAGAAATGGAATGACCAGAGATGTGCTTCGGGAAGATTTATTTGAAAGGAATGTATAGGATAAATGAGAGAGGATAGAGACTAATTATGAGGCCATTACAGTACTCAGTGGGAACAGAGAAGAGGGGATAAATGATGCAGGATTAGAATAGACAAGATATAGTAATAACTGGATGTGACAGCTAGGGGGAAAAGAGGAATCAAATATAATAGTTTTAGGTTTTAGGTCTGGGTGATTGGGTAAGTAGTAATATCAAAAATTGGGAATAGGGGAGGAGCAGGGTTTGATGAAGTTAGGAGAATGATTGGGGAAATATATGCTGCTTTTGAGGTCCCAGCACATCATCCTTTTAAGTGTTAAAGCAGTCAGAAAAACAGAAGTGGGGCTCAGAAGAGACACCAAAGTTGCAGATTAAGATTTCAGACTGGCCAGTCATGGTGGTTCATGCCTGTAATCCCAGCACGTTGGGAGGATGAAGCAGGAGAATTGCTTGGGGCCAGGAATTCGAGACCAGCCTGGGCAACATAGCAAGACTCTATCTCTACAAAAAAAAAAAAAAAAAAAAAAAAAGCTAGACATGGTGGCACATACCTATAGTACTAGCTATGGGGAAGCTGAGGTGGGAGGATCCCTTAAGCTTAGGAATTAGAGGCTGCAGTGAGCTAAGATTGCACCACTGTACTCCAGCCTGGATGACAGAACAAGACCCTGTCTAAAAAAAAAAAAATTCAGACTTAATTCCATAGAAATGATAACTGAATGGATGTTATAAAGTGGCCCTTGATGGCCACTTGTATTTATTCCATGAGCCTACAGTTTTTCATTAGTGGGCCTACTTTGAGTTAGGCTGCAGATTCAGTAGGCAAAAGGGGGAAGAGGAGCAGAAATAGAGAAAAGAGGCTGGGCATGGTGGCTCGTATCTGTAACCTCAGCACTTTGGGAGGCCAAGGTGGAAGGATTGTTTGAGTCCAGGAGTTTGAGACCAGCCTGGGCACCATAGGAAAACCCTGTCTATATATATTTTAAAAAATTAAATTAGACAGGCATGGTGGAGCATGCCTGGGTTCCCAGCTACTTGAAAGGCTGAGTCAGGAGGATCACTTGAGCCCAGGAGGTTGAGGTTGCAGTGTGTCATGATGGTGCCACTGCACTCCAGCCTGGGTGACAGAGCAAGACCCTGTCTCAAACGAGAGAGAGAGAGAGAGAGAGAGAGAGAGAGATGGAGAAAAGAAAGGAGTGGTAGAGAGATGGTAAAATAAAGTGCTGTGCAGTCACAATGAAGACAGCATTTCAAGCTGGAGACAGTGTGTAGATGAGAGGCCCTAGAAAGTTCAGAAAGGATGAAATATACTAAAGTTCATTGGACTTGGCAATGAAGCCTCAAGTGACCTGCATGTGATAAACAGATTTATAACTAACATGGTCCCCAATGATACCCACCTCCAGGTATTCATGCCCTTGAGTCACCCCCTCCTTTTTAGTGTGGGCTAGACTTAGTGACTAGCTTCTAACAAATAGAATACCTTCTAGTGAATAGATTACAGCAAAAGCGATGGGATATAATGTCTAAGGTTAAGTTTATTAGATGGTAACTTCCAGCTTACTCTCTCTTGCCTTCTTGCTTGCTTGCTCTGATAAATCCAGTTACCATGTTATAAGCCACTCTGTGGAAAGGTCCATGTGACAAGGAACTGGGGGAAGCTTCTGGCCAACAACCAGCAAGAAACTGAGGCCTTTGGTCCAACTGCCTATGAAGAATTGAATCCTGCCAACAACTACATGATTGAGCTTTGAAATGAATCCTTCCCCGGTCAAGCTTTGAGAGACTACAACCCCCGCCAACATCTTAAATTGCAGTCTGTAAGAGACCTTGAGCCAGAGGACCCAGGTATGCCACATCCAGCTTCCTGACTCATGGAAACTGTGAGATAACAATGTATGTTGTCTTCAGGCACTAAGTGTCAGGGTAATTTGTTATGCAACAATAGATAACTAACACACTGTATTTTGAGAAGAATGGCGAAGGCAGGAACCAAATCATAAGGGATTAGGGAGGAAGTATAAAGAAATGCAGGCAAGAAATAGAGACAATTCTTCCGAGACTTGTGATGGCAAACGGAAAGAAAAGAAAGCAATATCTACTATCCTAAGGTAATTTTCAGGTGGCTATAATAAAATATTATTTAGAGCTATAAAGATTACACAGACTTACTATAGCCTCGGGAGTCTTAAATATTCAGAAATTAGAGTCTTTATTGAGTTCTGCTGAGAATCTACCAAGTAACAATATCAAAATCCTTTAAACTCGGATATCAATGTATATCTGGTGACAGCCTCTCCTTATGCGTTATCCTATGAAATGCTCACACCCTATGAAGTAGACATGACAGGCACTAAAGAATCAACATCCACTGGCACTACCATTCTTCTATCTTTGTAATTTGGTGAACTTGGTTCGGGAACACAACTCTTACTGTTGGCACAATAACACCTAGTTAGACAGATGTTGCTATAAAGTAGAAGGCTGGTTACACATACCTTGCATGGTAAAGCTATGTGGAGTCTCTGTGGGGGTGCGTGGTTGTGGAGGGGGAAGTTGGTGTCCCAGTGCAGGATGAATGCTTCCTTACAAGCAAACTTATTGAGAGCTGCAGATTGTCATACTCATGAGAGTTAAGCTTTGCTTGATTATACAATTCACCCCCGTCTGCCAGCACAGAGTCCCCAGCTGTTGCTCTTAGCAAAGGACTGACATTAACTGACACTTTATCATTTTTATGGGCAGAACACTCGATACCAGTGATACCTCTGCCAGCTTTGGAAAGAAAACTCTCCCAAGATCTTTGCATTTGAGTGACATCTGCAAAGGGCTACAATGGAGCTTACCCATTTGTGGGTGCACTTCAGCATGTGCCTTCCAAGCTTGACTTTCAGAGTCTGCCTAATTGTCCCAGTCAATTACTCGGGATGTAATTCCTCAGGCAACCAAGTGTTCCGGAAAAGCTGTGCAGAAGCTGCCAGTCAGCTCATCCATTCTGACCCTTCCTGCTGTGCTTCAGATGGTGACCTCCAATCTGACTCAACTTGAGAGGGCAAAAATCAAAACTTGGGGCTTTGTCCAATGGTTTCCAAAGGCTCCCACCAAACTCATGAGTGTGCTGGAATTCACAGGGTCTTGGCCCAGTTGTGTCACCTTGGGAGTATATAAGCAAATAAAACAGGTGTTTCTTCATGCCATGCCATTACTGGTAAACATGTTTCTTTCTCCTAAAGGTCTTGATAGTGGTAACAAAAAAATTTTACCTTTAGTGCTTTTTTCATTCCTTTCATTTTGATTTTTTCATGGTTTTAAAAATGCTTTTCTCTACTCACTGGAAGGGTTTCTAAAATACTTCTTCCAAAGAGGTAAAAATGAGTTGATTATTCACCAAAACCTATTTGCACAGATGAGTTTTCACATTTGTAAGCAATAATGTCAACAAAAAATACTTGTCCCCCTCTGATTTGATCCCTAATATGTGACTGATAATTTACTTAAAAATAATTTCTAATTGGTAATGAGAGGTTCCCCCCCCAACCCCTGTCTATGCACTGTGAGAGAAAAATACAGTAAAGAGATCTGAGGTTTCATTTATAGGGTATTACTAATTAATCACTATTATTTTTGTTTGCATAAACAGTTCCTTCCATCATTCTGTTTTAATATTGAGGATTTCAATCGCTTATGTATTATTTAGCAGACATTTATATAGCACATATTCTGTGCCAGTCACTGTTCTAAGCATTTTACAAAGTATTAACTCATCTACTCTTCCTAGTACACCCATAAGACAGGTACCATGATCATTTCCCCCATTTTAGAGATGAAGAAACTGAGGCACAGAGAAGTTAAGAAACTTGTCCAAGGTTACACAGCTAGGAACAGTGAAGCTGGGATTTGTACCCAGGCAATCCATGCTCATGAGTACTATACTATGCTGTTTCTGTGAGTCACTTCATTATTTCTGCTTCTGAAGATTTTAAAAAATGCTATTTTAAGTCACATCAAACTGCCAGCCATAGAATACAACACAGCACCTCGCAAATAGAAATGACAACAGCACAACCCATTCTTGGTGAATGAATTTCAGCCCAGCAGTGGCCCCTCAGGGGCTGGGGAGAGGTTGTCTGTGAGGTTGTGGCTCCTAGGCCACTTTTTGAGAGGTGTTTCAATTCCTTCTTTTTCCATTTAGTAACCTTTTACTCATTCTTCAGGTCCCAGTTCAAATGTCTCTCCCTTTGAGACAGCCCCTGAAAAACCAGGCGGGCAGGACAAATTTATGGTGGATGTGCCAGAGGGCAGGCTGAGAGAATACCAAGAGGGGAATTTTTCCCAAGGCTGCGCTTTAACAAGCTCCCAGGTGTCTGGGAAAAATTACAAACATTTTTACAGTTCTTACTACAGGTGCTCTTCAACTTACGACAGTGTTACATAAACCCATTGATTAACCAATCATAAATTGAAAATATTGTATGTCGAAAATGAATTTAAGGCCAGGTACGGTGGCTCATGCCTATAATCCCAGCACTTTGGGAGGCCGAGGAAGGCGGATCACTTGATGTCAGGAGTTCGAGACCAGCCTGGCCAACACGGCGAAACCCCATCTCTATTAAAAATACAAAAGTTAGCCAGGCATGGTGGCATGCACCTGTAATCTCAGCTACTGGTGAGGATGAGGCAGGATAATTGCTTGAACCCAGGAGATGGAGGTTGCAGTGAGCCGAGATCACACCACTGAACTCCAGCCTGGGTGAAGAGCGAGACTCCATCTCAAAAAAACAAAAAAACAAACAAAAAAAAGAAAACGCATTTAATACACCTAGCCTACTGAAAGCCAAACTTAGGTGTACTCAGAACACTTACATTAGCCTACAGCTGGGCAAACTCATCTAACACAAAGCCTATTTTATAATAAAATGTTGAATATTTCATGGAATTTATTGAACACTGTACTGACATTGAAAAGCAGAATGGCTGGCTGCATGGGTACTCAAAGTATGGTTTCTGGCCAGGCACGGTGGTAATCCCAGCACTTTGGGACGCTGAGGCGGGTGGATCACCAGTTCGATGCCAGCCTGGCCAACATGATGAAACCCTGTATTTACTAAAAACACAAAAAAATTAGCTGGGCATGGTGGCATGTGCCTGTAATCCCAGCTACTTGGGAGGCTGAGGCAGGAGAATCTCTTGAACCCGGGAGGCGGAGGTTGCAGTGAGCTGAGATCACGCCACTGCACTCCAGCCTGGGTGACAGAGTAAGACTTTGTCAAAAAAAAAAAAAAAGTACTGTTTCTACTGAATGCATATGGCTTTCGCATCATCATAAAGTCAAAAAAATCTAAGTTGAACCATCTTAAGTTGGAAACTGTGTGTCTGTGTCTGGGTATTTGTGTTTTTGTGTGTATGCTAACTTAATTATCACAACAACCCTGTGATATAGGTACTCTTATTATCTCTGTTTTACAGATGAGGAAACAGAGTCAGAGAGGTTAAATAACTTGCCCAAGATCACACATTCAGTAAGTGGTAGAACCACAATTCAAACAAACATGAGCAATTTAGCTCCACTTACCCTACATTTAGCCACCACAGGATACTCCCCGTGTGGGAAACCCAGCTCCATTGAAAGAGCTAAGGAAAATATAAAAGGAAGTTTCAAGAACCAACTGTGATGTAGACCTCTGGGCAGAATGCCTGTCATCTTTGCAGAGGCTTTTGCAGTTTCCCATGAAGTGGCTCCTGAGGCTTGGTTTGCTTGGGTCCCAAGTATCGTCTCCTGGAGGGGAAAGAACATTAAGGCATTTTTAGAGGGGAAAAGGCAAATAATTTTCCTGAGAATGAAATCTTTTTTTCCTAAAAGTTTAGAACAACATTCAGTCATTCGACAACCCTTCATGAAGTGCCTACCATATGCCAGCTACTCTTCTAGCCCTGGAGACACAGGAGGAAGTAAATGTGAGCAAAATCCCTGCCCTTGTATTTTTGGTCCAGATAATTCTATTCATTCCAACTACTGCCGTCACTAAATGTTGTAAGACAATTATTTTATGAACAAATAAAATAAGCACATACACACATATATAATTCACACGCACACACACTTTTTTTGTTGAAAAGATACATTTATTTTATTTTATTTTTAAACCAAATTTAAGTTCTGGGATATATGTGCAGAATGTGTAGGTTTGTTACATGGGTAAACCACACACACATTTTTAATGAGACACAGTTGAATGAGAGCAGTGTGGTGCTGGCCTTTGGATTCCAGTTCAGCTCTGACTGTGAGAACCTGGCAAGTCCTGTCAGCTCCTGGATGAGTTTCCTCATCTGTCAAAGGATAGGGAGGTGCCCTCTGGCTCTCATATCATTTTTTATTCTGTGTAGCCTTACTTTGCTCAGCTATACAATGGGGATAATAATGTCTCACCCTTTTGCCTGCCCCAGTTTTCTCCTAACTCATGAGATAGATGTGAGATTTATGTAGGTAAGTGCGGGGCTTTCAGTGCTGTCTTTGGGCACACCTTTCCTCGTTCCTAGAACCTTCTCTCCCCTGCCTTTCCAACACATAGACTCAGTATGAGTAACTCCACCTCTCAGGCAATTAATTGTAAATAAAGGGTATGTTTCAATAACATCATTTGAAATGCAAAATTATGTACTTCAAAAAATTTCAAACTCACAAAAAAGTTGCAAGAATAGTATTAATTTTTTTTAATCATTTGATAGTAAGTTGTCAAGCTGATGCCCCATCACCCCTGAAAGCTTTGGCATGTATCTCCTGCAATCATTAAAAGGACATCACTAATATCTAACCCTCAAACTTCATTCAAGTTTCTCCAAAGGTCCCAGTAATGTCCTTTATAGCGAAAAGATCCAATCCAGGATCACAGGTAGCATTTAATGTCCATGTCTCTTTAGGCTCCCTCAGTCTGAAACAGTTCCTTAGTCTTTCTTTGTTTTACATGACCTTGACACTTTTTGAAGAGTACAGGCCATTTCTTATATTGAGGGCCCCTTAATTCAGGTTTGTCTGATGTTTCCTCATGATTAGGTTCAAGTTATGCATCTTTTACAGTAACAGCACAGAAGCAATGCTGTGTTCTCATTGCATCCTATCAGGTGGCACATGATTTCAGTTTGTCCCATTACTAATGATGTTCACTTTGATCACTTCATTAAGGTGGCAGTATCTGCCAGGCTCCTCCACTGTAAAGTTATTCCCTTTGTAATTAATAAGTATTCTGTGGGGAGGTACCCCAAGACTATGTCAATATCCCATTTCTCATCAAACTTTCACCCACTAATTTTAGCATCCATTGATGTTTCTTGGCTGAATTAATTATTACTACGATGGTTGCCAAATGGTGATTTTCTAATTCAATCATCCCTAAAACATTTATTAGTTGCTTTTTTATGTAAGAGAAAGCTTTTTCTTCTCCCCATTTATTTCCATATATAAGTATGTGCCTATGAATTCCTATGTTTCTGTAAGATTTTACCAGCCTTTCTTCCCTGTTATTCTCAAATCTCCCACATAATCTGATACTTCTCCCTTCAGCAGAATGTGGAGCAGACAGGGGTTGAAAACTTAACCTAGTCTCAGATATCTTGTCAATCACTCTAAGCCACAGAACCCCATTACACAAATTTTACCTCATTGTAATATAAAGAGAATAATAACTACCTTCATTGAGCACTTAGACTGTGCACTAATTTTTTTGCATGCTGTATTAGTCAGGGTTCCCCAGAGAAACAGAACCAGTAGGATACAGATATAGACATAGATAAATATAAATATAGATGAAGGGATTTATTAGGGTCCTCCCATACGTTCTGCCATCCCAGCTTATAGGATGCCATTCTTTCCGGACCAATGTCCTCACTTTTTTTTTTAAATTATACTTTAAGTTCTAGGGTACATGTGCACAACATGCAAGTTTGTTACATATGTATACATGTGCCATGTTGGTGTACTGCACCCATTAACTCGTCATTTACATTAGGTATTTCTCTTAATACTATCCCTCCCCCCTCCCCCCACCCCACGACAGGCCCCAGTGTGTGATGTTCCCCACCCTGTGTCCAAGTGTTCTCATTGTACAATTCCCACCTATGAGTGAGAAACTGTGGTGTTTGGCTTTCTGTCCTCGTGATAGTTGGCTCAGAATGATGGTTTCCAGCTTTATCCATGTCCCTACAAGGGACATGAAATCATCCTTTTTTATTGCTGCATAGTATTCCGTTGTGTATATGTGCCATATTTTCTTAATCTAGTCTATCTTTTTTTTTTTTGAGATGGAGTGTCGCTTCGTTGCCCAGGCTGGAGTGCAGTGGCCCAATCTCGGCTCACTGCAAGCTCCACCTCCCGGGTTCATGCCATTCTCCTGCCTCAGCCTCCCGAGTAGCTGGAACCACAGGTGCCCACCACCACGCTCGGCTAATTTTTTGTATTTTTAGTAGAGACAGGGTTTCACCGTGTTAGCCAGGATGGTCTCAATCTCCTGACCTTGTGATCCACCCGCCTAGGCCTCCCAAAGTGCTGGGATTACAGGTTTGAGCCACCTCACCCGGCCGATAATCCAGTCTATCCCTGATGGACATTTGGGTTGGTTCCAAGTCTTTGCTATTGTGAATAGTGCCGCAATAAACATACGTGTGCATGTGTCTTTATAGCAGCATGATTTATAATCCTTTGGGTATATACCCAGTAATGGGATGGCTGGCTCAAATGGTATTTCTGGTTCTAGATCCCTGAGGAAATCGCCACACTGTCTTCCACAATGGTTGAACTAATTTACATTCCCACCAACAGTGTAAAAGTGTTCCTATTTCTCCACATCCTCTCCAGCACCTGTTGTTTCCTGACTTTTTAATGATTGCCATTCTAACTGGTGTGAGATGGTATCTCATTGTGGTTTTGATTTGCATTTCTCTGATGACCAGCGATGATGAGCACCTTTTCATGTGTCTGTTGGCTGTGTAAATGTCTTCTTTTGAGAAGTGTCTGTTCATATCCTTTGCCCACTTTATGATGGGGTTGTTTGATTTTTTCTTGTAAATTTGTTTAAGTTCTTTGTAGATTCTGGATATTAGCCCTTTGTCAGATGGGTAGATTGCAAAAATTTTCTCCCATTCTGTAGGTTGCGTGTTCACTCTGATGGTAGTTTCTTTTGCTGTGCAGAAACAATAAACACCTTGCAAGGCTGAGAGTTCAACTTTCATTGTAATTTAGCCAATTGTGTGATGAGGACCTGGGCTTGATTTTCAGTGATTTTAGCCCTGTGGCTGTAGCAGAGAAGATTCTGGCTCAGGGCACACTTAGAGGCTCTTAGACTATTTATGCAAAGCTAAAGCCAGAAATTTGAAACTCTGAGTTTATCCTTTTCTTTCATCACTAAGGTCGCTGGCGACCTTAGGAGCAACCAACCAATGTCATTATATTCCCTGGTTTTCCCCCAAACGAATTAAGAAAACTCATCCTTAAAATTCCGTTCCTTTAGAACCACTCCTGGCACCAAAATCTGTATTAGTCAAGGTTCTCCAGAGAGACATAATTGATAGAATAGATAGATAGATAGACAGACAGACAGACAGAAAGAGATATATGAGAACGAATTTATTAGGATAATTGGCTCACGCAATTATGACAGCTGGAAAGTCCCTCGACAGGTTGTCTGCAAGCAGGAGACCCTGAGATTCTCGTACCATGGCTCAGTCCAAGTCCAAAAACCTCAGAACCAAGGAAGTCAGTGTTGTAACTCTCAATCCAAGGCCAAAGGCCTGAGAAACTGGGAGGCCACTAGTATAAGCCCTAGAGTCCTAAGGCCAGACAGCTTGGAGTTCTTGTGTCCAAAGGCAGGAGGAGGAGAGTGTCTCAGGTCCAGAATAAAAAGGAAATCCTTTTTTTCCTTTTTTGTTCCATGGAGAGTGGGAGGCTGGACCCAGCCGGTTGTATGGTGCCCATTCACACTGATGGCAGATCTTCCCCACTTAGTTCACTGATTCACATGCCAATCTCCTCTGGAAACACTCTCACAGACAAACTCAGAAGTAATCCTTTACCAGTTCTCTAGGTATCCCTTAATCCAGTTGACAACCAAAATTAACCATCACACATGTATTATTTGAATTCATCAATAACCCAACTCTATGAAGTAAGTGTTTTCATCATCTGCAATTTACGTATAAGGAAACCAAGGCATTGAGAAGTTTATTTACTTGCCCAAGGACACACAGCCCATAAATAACAAAGGGAGGATCTCAGCCTGTAGGACTTCAAAGCTAGTGCCACTAACCACTTTGCAGTCCTGTCCCCAATTTACCTCTTTACAAATACAAAAGTCTGGGACCTGACTGAGTAATGATTTTCCAGTTTCTCCTTGATTTTATTTGTTCTCTGGGGCAAACAGCCAGCTTCTCCTTTAATCTGTCCTCGGAGTAAGGTTTTCTTGAATTGTTCATGGGAACTAGGGTTGAACTAGCTTCCAGGATACAAAACAGAGATTGTGGAACTCTAGGTGTGAAAAGTCACTAGACTTCAGACACACTGAATTCAATGACCAAATAAAATTGAAAGGAAAAAAATACCTTAACCCCCTTCCTCCTGCCTCCAATGTTAGCTTCTATAAGACCTAAGATTTTTGGTCTTAGGGTTCAGTTTCCCAGCAAATGCTCCTTTGGAGTGGGGCATATGTAGTGTAGCAAGAGGTTTCATACTCTTCTGTGAGAGGGTCCAGGTTAATTTCTGAGAGTCCAAGCTGCTTGGAGTTGAGCCCCTGAGGAACAGTCTTCTGGAGTTGCACAGTTTGCAATTCATCCTGGAAGTCTGACATGTAAGTCCAATAAATGGCAGGCCTTTGCTGAGTGTGGGATCCTGAGAGACCAGTGCCTGGGAACCCCTTCCTCCCAATTCATTCATTCACCAAATATTTATTAAGCACCAGATGATGCAGAACAAGGCGAGTAAGATTCTTGATTATAGAATTCCGAATCCTCATTGGAAAACGTAGACAAATAAATAGAATTCTAAAAGTGTGATCAATGCTAAAGGAATACAAATACAGCCCCTCATCCAACTATTCTCAGAATTTCTCCCTACTTTCAAAATGTTCCACAATGACTATGCATTCCTATATTCATTCGTCCATTCATTCTTTTAGCAAATGATTATTTACTGACAATTGGGTCTGTGCTGGGCACTGAAAGTAGGAGGGAGAGGAAGAGCAGCCTTCAAAGAACTCGATGTTCAGGCCAAGAAATCATTAAATGATGAGACAATGACAATTCCTGTTGGGAGAGACATAGGCTTCAGTAGGCACAGAGAAGGACCCTCCGTCTTGTCTGGAGGAAAGTCAGAGAGGGCAAACAAGACTTTGAAGGCTTTCTAGAAGAAGTGGCTTTGAAGCTGTGAGGGGAAGCTTGTCAGAAAACAGGGTACTTAGGCTTTCCCCAAACCCAGAGGCCTCATGATGAGACAGCAGGTAGAATGAGGGCCACTAGAACTTTGAGACTCAGGAAATATGTGGTCCCAGGAGTCAGGGATGCAGTCCAACCAATGGAGACTGAATGGCAGCTTGATCTCAGGGAGTATCCTGTGACTAAATCTTGAAAAGCAGGCTAAGTGGAGAGCACCCTAGGCTCCCATTGCAGAGTACTGATCTACGATGCCCTGTTTCTCACAACCAGCCAGCAATCTCGAAAGTGTGCCAAATACACCTGAAGGAATCAAAATGTGCTAGTTACTTCAAGTAGTCACGGGATTCCTCTTATACAGCTGGTGAGACATAAGCAGCTCTTGTTCCTGCTCAAAAGAGTCCTACAGTGGAGATTTTAAACACACACACACACACACACACACACACACACACACACTTTTTGCTAAGCTTATTTATCTCTGCTGATACTGCTTGCAGAGGCCTGTGCAACTTTCTAAGGGCAGCTACTGGCCAGATCTCAGGTTGGTGACCATAATTGCCATGGCCTTGGCAGCTAGCCAAAAAGCCAAAATCACAAAATGTGTGGCTTTAAGGACAATTACTAGAAATACTGACATATTGCATTTAAAAGATGTTAAGGAGCCTCCAAAGACATTTGTTTGAGCCTGCTGTGGATTTCCTAGTGCATCAGTTTACAGCTGCTCCTAGCTTAACCTCTTTGGGCCCTCAAGCTAGCTGTGGCCAACACCATGGGGTTGTTCTTCCCAGAGACTAAAGTGAGGGCCCCAGCACTCTGCTGTCCTATCACACTGGAGCTTCAGAAGGAAGGGGTCTGGAGAGGGAAATGATATTCCTGAATTTCACCTCAAGAACCCAACACTGGAGCACTCACGAAATTCAGTTTTGCATTATGCAAAGCACACAGGCAGACCTGGTAGATTCCAGCTGGACTACTTTCCACCGTGTGACCTTGAGCATGTCCCACAACCTCTCTGAGCCTCAGCTTCCTCTTCTTTAAAATGAGAATAAGTCAGCCTCGAAAGGTCACTGGGATGGTTAAATAAGATGATAGTTGTAAAATCACACTGTATGTAAACCGACAAATCATCATATAAATATTTCTGTTGCTATTTTTCCCTCTGCTCAAAGGAAAGACCTAGGAAAGAGTAGCCAGTTGGTTACCTACTCATGGTAGAGGTGGCAGCAGAAAGAGTTAGAGGGAGAAATTAGGAAAGGGCCCTTAGCAGAAAAGAGGCTTGCCTGGCAGAACTGGGTAACTGGCAAAGCAGACTTCAGGAAACATGATCTTCTTGTGTCCTTAGGTGGAGTGTGCCCTTCAGCTTGTCCTCCACTCTGATTTTCCTGGGTTGCCTTTTGAGACTGCCCAAGTGTCCATGACAGCCAGTGCCTGAGATAGCTTCTCTGTATTTATTATTCAGGATTGCTTTTCTCCAAGATTGCAGCATGTGGGATGGGTATCTATCTTTAATCTCATGCCATGCCTATAGGGAAGAACAATTATGATTAGCCTCATTTTGCAGATAAAGAAATTGAAGCCCAGAGAGGTTCAAAGACATGCTCAACACAGTCAATGGTATTTACCTTTCAGTATCCTAATCGATTCTCAAAACATATTTATTCAATAAACAAATATTTCTTCAACACCTATAAAATGCCATACGTTGTTCTAGGGGCTGGGGATACAAGGGTTAACAACAACAACAACAACAGCAGCAAGATTCCTGCCCTCAGGGAGCTTACATTCTAGAGAGGGTTAAAACAAATTAACTTGCAAAGAAATTAATTAACAAGTTAATTTCCCATAGAGGTAAGTGCTGGAAAGACAATAAAAGAGGAAAGACTTTCTGAGAAGGGAAGATTGAGCTGCAACCACCTGATGGATTAGAAAGAAGAGTTTCCAGGCAGAGGGAGCAGCAAGTTCACAAGCTCTAAGGCAGAATGGGACTCCCCATGATGGGGAAATGCTCAAAGGACCCTGTGACTGGAGGGTCCTGAATGATGAGGAAAACATGGAAGGAGATGAGGTTCAAAGAGGTTGGCAAGGACCAGATGTGGAGGGCATTATAGATCAGGGTAGAAGGTTTGGATTTGATTCTCAGTGCCTTGGGAAATTATGGAGAGCTAGTGGGAAATGAGAGGATCTGTCACAAAGGTGAGGAATGGACCAGAGAGAGCAAGAGTGGCAAGAAGCAGGGAGACTGGTCAAGAAGCCATTGCAGTGAGTTCAGACACGAAAGGACTGGGGCTGGGACTAAAGCTGTGGCACTGAAGGTGGATGGGGCAGGCAGATTCAGGGTTTGCTGATGGATTGGATATGGGGGTGGTACAAAGAGAGCGATCAAGGATGTGAGGAACCGTGGGTGGTGGAGCCATTACTGAGAAGGAGAAAACTGGGGAAGAAGTAGGTTGAGGAGGTAGGGGTAGGGGCGGTGGTGTGGAAACCCATGAGTTTGCTATAAACCATGGTAAGTTTGAGATTTCTATTCTAGGCACTGAGGAAGAAATGATGGACAAAAATTGACCCAGTCCCTGTCCTCATTCCAGCTGTTCTGTGGCTGATGGTTGCAACATACATCTCCAAAAGAGAGTCTTAAATGGGGTTTGTGGATGTGTTTGAGGAGAGTCTGTAGATCCCACCCCCTAAATTCTGTTTCCAGATGTTCCTCTTCCTGAATCCTTTTGAGGATGTGATACAAACTATTGATCTTCCTGGAAACATACACGCAAGCACACAACTCACAGAATTATCAGATCCTTGAAGGCACCCTGGTATCCTCAGGGCTCAGCACAGTGCTTGGTGCACCACAAATGTTCAGCGACTATCTGTTGACTGGATGAATGATGCTCCCTGTCTCACCATTATATGCCAGTAGCACACTCAAAGCTGTGCACATCTGGCCCCAGACTACTTCTTCAGCCTTACCTTCAGCTTTCTCGATAAGGGTCTTCACCTCTGGTGAAAGATGTCAGCTCACTATCCCCCACACAGATTGTGTCCTTATCTGGCCTTCACCCCTTCCCTGGTCTCAGGTGATTCCACTCCCTCTTGTATAGTTTAAATTCTAATACTATTGAGCTACATGCAGATTGCTGCACTGACTCAGCTCCATGCCTTTGCTCATTCAGTCCTTTCCCCCAGAAGGACATCCCCTTCATTTATTGCCCTTATTGCTTAACTAACCTCTAATCATACATTCTATCTCGGTGCCTTCCCTGGTTAGACTCCAGAGAATCAGTAATGAAGAATACATACCTGGTCCGTGCCCTCCTTGAACTTATGGTCTAGCAAGAAATACAGACATCTAACACTTAATGACGACACATTGGATAAACGCCTTGAAGGAGAAGGGTAGGGTGCTATGGGAAGGTACAACTGGGGGATCTAATTTAATCAGCAGTGGTGAGGAGGCTACGTCGGAGAAGATTTCTTGGGACAAGAGATCTTTACATTGAGAACTGAAAGAGAAGGAGCAAGTGCAGTGGAGAGAAAGGAAGGAGAGAGTGTGTCTGGCGGAGGAGATAGCATGTGCAAGGACCTGGGGTGGCAGGCCTTGGAGTAAAAGAGGTGAGAAAGCGGGAGGGCCTTGTAGGTTAGAGTAAAGGACTTGGGTGGCATTGATTGGTCTGAAGTGGGACAGTGACATGATCAGATTTATATTTGAGAAAGGGCACTTTGCTGAGTACAGCATGAGTCGGGGGTGGAGGAGCCAAGAGAGGAGACCAGGAAGCCATGTACCTGTTGTAACCATCACAGGGGGAATGTTGCAGTGCTGTGGTCAGGTTGCTGGGCAGGAGGAACAACTTGTCCACTTCTTTCCTCCCACTCTCAATGCTATGCCCATTTGAAACCATGGTCATTTATACCAACAGAAGGTGGCTTGTTTTCCTCTCCTAGGAGACAAAGATTCATCCTTTCTTTACTGTATCCCATCCTTGCAATATAGGTCATCCAGGATATCTGATAGAGAAGAGAATGTGATCAACTGGGTGTGGTGGCTCACGCCTGTAATCCCAGCACTTTGGAGGTTGAGGTGGGAGGATTGCTGGAGGCCAGGAGTTCAAGACCAACCTGAGCAACATAGCAAGACCTCATTTCTACAAAAAATGGGAAAAAAATTAGCCAGGCATGGTGGCGTGCCCCTGTAGTCCCAACCACTTGGGAGGCTGGGGCAGGAGGATCACTTGAGCCTAGGAGGTTAAGGCTGTTGTGAGCCTTGATTGTGCCTGCACTCCAGACTGGGAGACAGAGTGAGAACCTGTCTCTAAAAATAAATGAATAAATAGATAAATAAATAAAAAGAAAAAATAAAAGAGAATGTGTCTTTGGTCCATAAAAAAAAGACATCTGTTTAGATCACAACTTTCTGAGCCCTCTAAGCCTGTTCTATACCGTGATACTCCAAATTGCTCTGTAAGCATTTACCGCCATCAGTGACGAGTGGCAGGGTTTGCAAGTCCCAATTCTTGGGCCACACTTCTATCAGCCTGACAGAAGGCAGAGAAATGTGATGCTTGCAAGTTCAGAGTGAGGGTTGGAAGGGTGAGGTGAAGTGATGGAGTGGGCTGGGGAGCTTGGATCTTCTTAAGTTGACTCAAGTTAACACAAAGGATTTCTCTCAAGACTGGGATATAGGAAGAATGTAGCATTTGATTCTAGTTTATAATTAACTCATGGAGTAGTAATGGGGTAGATAGACTTTGGAGATAATGATGCTTTCAAAGTCCCTCCTGTGGTCTCCTGCTTTAGGATTTATTAGTATCCAAAGGTTGGAAGCACTGGCCAGAACGTGCTCAGGGCATTGGAAATACTTCTTGGCATCACATCCTTCTACCTGCATCGCATAGGTTTGAATGCATTCTCAAGAGTCAGACTGCCTGAATCCAAAACCTGACATTGCCACTTAGTTGTGTGATCTCGAGTAACTCACTTAAACTCTCTGAGACTCAGTTTCCCCTCTTGAAAATCGAAATGCTCATGTCACCCACTTCACAGGATTGTTCGAGGGTAAAAAGGTATGGTACATGTCAAGTACCTGATACATGATGTTAGTAGTTAGCAGTTAGGGAATACCTACTGTTACCTGTAACTAAACCATCTGGCAATTCAGACTCCCTCCCCATCCCCAAGCAATTGTTATCTTACTTCTTACTGCTACAAACAAATAATTCTAGAAACTTCCTTATATTCTCTGAAAAAGCATAGTTTCAAACAAGACTAGCCTAAAAACCAATACTTGGAGCTTTGAAATAATTCATTTGTTTTCTAATGTGATTGATTTAGTTCAGTAATAAGTAGCTGTAACCTAAGTAAACACAAGAAGGTAGAGAAAAACAGTAAGATCGAATTTTAAAGTTTGTATCATAATACAGAAAAGAAGTAAACATTTTAAAAGACTGAAACATGCAATTGACAATGAAACTAGAAAGCACAGATATTAACAAAGGTTGTGTCTGAATGAAGAGGCCATAAGTGTTCTCTTCTTTCTACAGATCTGCATTTTCCAAATTTCCTTTAAGAAACTACTATTACTTATACACATTTTAAAAATCATAATTAAGAAGAAAGGAAAAATCAGTGCTGTTTCAAATTTCGATCTGAATGTTCATAGCAGTGCAAAATAAGCTAGTTACAGCTTCAAAAAATTAACTAGTTTAATTCATGCTGTTTGTTCACTGTGAGTTAATTTAATATACTTATCCTAGAAAATAATGCATTATTCAGTTTAATCAATATTCATTTGTTCTTTGCATAATCATATTTGCAGAAGCATTTATTAATGATGCGCCTACAGACTAACAGGGAAAGGCCATGCCATAAGTAGAGTAAAATTTTTGAAATGAAAAAAAAAAAAACAATGAATTTACCAACATCAGACAAATGATTGATCCTAATATGTTGCACGTTTTCATTTAAAATGCAGCCAGGAGTCTTTTGTATATGTGTCTTCATTGGAAGTAGCAATAGATACACTGTCAAATTAATGAATATCATGATACTTTGGGAGGAAATTAAATCTGGGTTATTAGTGAGTAGTTGGCATATCGGTGCATGTAACATTTGCTCTTTCTACATAACCTCAATTGACTGAAACAGTCAATGCTATGGATATTTGCAAATATTTGTTGTGCTGAGAAATACATATTTTTCCATTTTAATCCAGATGCTTAGCATTATGTAGACACAGACAGAAACTCATGTTGGGCTTTTCAAACATTGTGACTTAAAAGAAAGTCACCTTTTAAGAATAAAGAGAAGTTTCCTGTGAATGAATCCCATTTGCATTGTTACAATTTTTCTTTAAGATTTTATTTAGGTTGAGATTTGTATTTTTTATTGATTCATTTCCATAAGTAGCCCAGCAAACTATGGTTTGCAGTGCAACCCCAGGACCTAGGATGGTGAATTTTTCTTCTTAGTGATGCATGCCTACTTCATAGATGCCCGTTAGTCAGGACCCATCCTTGTCAATCAGGGGCACTATCTGTTATGCAGAGGAGCCCTTTTCCAGTTGAGGGGAAATTGTATTTCATGATATTTGAGAGCTCTAACTTTCCAGAAAAAAAATTTAAAAAATAGATGTAGAGTATTTCTGATTAGCCTCCCTAAGACACTCAAGAAAACACATCCTTTGGAGAAATGAGTAATGTTACAATAGTACCTGAATTTCCATTTTGTTTAGGTTTTTTTTTTAGCTGAAATATAGTTTTAACTATTTTTCTAAATAAAGTAACCAACTAAAGCTATTTTCAGCTGGGTTGGACACTTCCAGAAAAATATATCTTAGGCAGAGTATCAGGGAGGCTAGTGTAAACCCTCCGGAGGGATATAGTATATTATTTTAACTTCCAGGTGGGGAACTAACCCTGAAGAAATTCACATGTTTATTCTCATGAAATACAACTTAAATATCACTTTGTTTTTATCCTGGGAGAAGTGTTGAAAGCCTTAAACTCCATTATTATTCAGAAATAACTATATGAACATGCCCACTACTATGATAATACCCAACGAATGGGGACCAAATGAGAGGGAAAAGTAATAGTAAGAAAACTTCAATTGTAAGAATGTTCACTGATACTTTCCAAATACAGGTGGATCCCACTTAAGTGGGATCTATAACTCATTATGTAGGATATACCCAGAGAAGTTAAAATTTATGGTAATTATCTTTCAGCTAGCATCCAATGCCTCAACTATGCAGAAAGATAAGATGTTTTCTCCATACTGAACTTAAAAGGGCATTGAGAAAACATTGCAACTACTGACAGCCTTGAACAGGATGATTAAATGAATAAACAGTTCAGAGATTTACTATATGATAAACCCTTTCACAGAAGGGGCAGCTAAATGCTTTGAGTTTTCAAAGAAAATATTTATATAGGGAAAGGTGAGCAATGGAATACATTTAACAACTGAGGCAACACACAGGATGCGCCTTCTCCTTCAGATGTAATCAGAGCAGTATTTCTAATCGTTTACTATGAAAGAATGCTTTAACTTGAAATATGTGATTTTTGAAAGCCTTGTCACTTTTTATATTGTGGGAAAAAAAAAACTCTGTCACATTTTAAAATGTGATTTGTATTTCTTCTTAGTAGCCAGAGAATCCTCATGAAAACAGCTATAACTTTATGACAGAGGTTGTTGAGGGAAATACGGTTTAATTTACATAGCCAGACGTCACAGCCAATGTTTCTGGAAGACCTCCATTCAGGAAAGGCAAGCACATCTGTGCCTGAAGTGGCTGGGTCCCAGCAGATTTGGCTGCTCTCCAAAGGCAGCTGCCAGGCCACATCTCTGTTCAGTGCAGTCAATGCCAGATCAATCATTTTAATCAATTGGCAGGGAGATAATGATTTTTCAAAGCCTGAGGATCATTTTCAAATATAAACTTAGACACAAGCTTTCCTTAATGCACTGAAGAAAAGTGTTTAAAGTTCCTAAATTCTGTATCTCAGGGACTTCTCAGTTTGTGATTTTAGAAATGGCCCTTAATATCAGGGATAGTTCCAGAGACTAGCTTGGTTTTCCCCCTCCAGCACAGTCCTAGTAGTGTGTGAAGGAAAGACTTCATTTGAATATCCTGCTAGAATAGCACAGATACAGGTACAGTAGCGCAGGTAAACAATTGTTTACAGTGCAACCCCAGGTCCCAGCATGGTGACTTTTTCTTCTTACAGATGCATGTCTACTTTAGATGCCCATTATTCAGGACCCCTCCTTGTCAATCAGGGGCGCTGTCTCTTATGCAGAGGAGACCTTTTCCAGTTGAAGGGAAATTGTATTGTGGGAAGTTGCAGAAGGGATCATCTCAAAGAAAAAAGCTCCCACAGGACACAGGCTTAGTTACTCAGGTGCCAGCAAACTCACCTAACAATCCATCTGTAGACTCCAGAGGGTCCCAGCAGTAAAAATGAAGCTATGCTGTCATCTACAGAAAGGAATAATAATAATAATAATAATAAAAACCCTCTCCCAAATCTGAGAGTAAACAATGAGTTTTATAAGGAACCAAAGTAATGTACTCCATGTTGCCTGGAGAAGTTTTAACTTTTTCACACCTATGACAGTTTCTTGCCAAACTGAAGAACTGCCATAGTATACTTACATATATACTTTTGTTTAAAAAAGGTATCTTTCAGATTAATTACCTTGTGGTTTAGTAGTTGCTATGGTGCTATCATTGTATGCAAAGGTAAGGATACAGCTACAGCTGTCTCTGTCTCTTGCCAGTCTCAGTGTAATTGGTTATTTAGCAAGATTTGGTATTTCCTGCCCCCACTTCACTCCCCTCAATATTGAAATGACATACTTCAATTTATACATTTTTTGCATCTGTATATCTCTAATAAGGCTGCACCTTTTTTTAAGATGAGGATCTCACTATGTTGCTCAGGCTGGACTCAAACTCCTGGGCTTGAGCGATCTTCCCACCTTAGCCTCCCAAGTAGTTGAGACTACAGGCATGCACCACTGCACTCAGTTTTGACTATGTTTCTTTTCTTTCTTTCTCTTTAGAGACAGGTTCTTGCTATGTTTAGGCCAGGCTGGTCTCAAACTCCTGGCCTCAAACGATCCTCCCACCTCAGTCTCCCAAAGGGCTGGGACTATAGGTGTGAGCCATTGTGCCTGGCCTGGCTGCATTTAAGTGGGCTGGCTGTAGTGCTCAGCTTTGGGAACTGTTGCTTAAAGCACACAGTAATGTGAAGTCGTATAACATTAAACAATGCCGTTCTTAATTTCTTAAACTAGCCTTTTCAAAGGAGCTGTCTCCAAAATCCTACCAATCTAACAAGAAAAAATATACCTGTGCTCAAATTAAGCCACTCATTTTTCACACTCTTTTTATTGGAAAAAATTTTAAAATATACAAAAATAGAGAAAAAAGTATAGTGAAGCCCCATGGAGCCATCACATAGCTTGAACAGTAATTATGATTTTGCCATACTTCTTTCAATTATTCATTTGCTACAATTTTCCACTTGCCTAAGACTGCATCATACTAAAGCAAAGGCCAGAGCTGTGCCATTTCAACCCTATGTACTTCAGACACATCTTAAGAAGATATAGATATTTTGTTAGATAGGCTGGACGTCATTTTCATAGCTAATCAAATTAACAATGATTCCTTGTCATCATGCAATACCCAGTTCATATTCACATTTTTCAGATTATCTCAAAAATACAAACCACTCAATATGATCACTCCTCTACAGGAGCAAGTAGGAACATCAGGTTAGAGCTCCTTATCAACTTTTTTATGCAGAACAACCCTTTGAGTCTATGCCACAGGGCTCCACATTTGGTGATGGCTCAGTCAATGTTTGTCGGATCTGGCCCTTCTCTTATTTGAGGAAAGAAATCAAAAGTGACATAAGGAAAGGTAGTTTTTTCAGGGCAGCTGCAGCTCTCAAGATTGAAGCTCGAGAAAGCTGCTATTGATTTCTGTAGCCTCCTACCCAAGTGTGGCAATGCTCCTAGTGAATATTGAAGGCATATTGAAAGGCCACTTTCCTGGCTCTCTCTGTTCTCTGTTCACTGTGTGCATTTGCAGTCAATTGAGAGGCATGGAATTATTTGGCTGATTAAAGAATCAACTAACCCAAATTGAATGGTTTTGTTGTGTCCTTTTTCATTTGATTCAGCTATAAAAGATTAAGTAAATGCATTTCCTCTCCTTCCCAAAGGTGCAAAATCTCGAATGCATGCCAGCTAACTGTTTTCTCCTATGACTAATTGATGTTTTGCACTCACAGCCTTGAAAACTAATCTTTTCCATGCCCGGTGCTAGTTGTAATGAGATATATTATGCTGACAGCTTGAACCTTTGCAAAGGTATGGAACTCAGCATGTAAATAATTGTGTCTGCAATTTTAAAATTTGATATAAATGGTGCACTGTTCGAGGTGAAGGCTGTGCTTGCCAGCACTTGGCCAGCTGTGCCCCAAAGTGCAACTCAGCCACTGTTTGGCCCTAGCAGCCTTTAACCAGCCATGTGTATCCTGGGCTGCTGCCTAACTCCCTGGCATAGCACCTAGCACAATGCTTGGCAAATGGGGATTAGTCAACAAATATTTGTAGAATGATTGAATAAATGAACCAGTACAAAAAAAATCAGTCTAAATAGAATAAAAGTTTATTTCTCACCGAAAAAGGAAAACTAAATGAGACAGTTCCAGACAAGCCCACAGGAGGCTCTGACAGAACTCAATCCCCGGTGTGGTGACCATAGGCTATTGGTTGACTCACACTGGCTAGCCACAGTGTGCAAATGAAATCCTGCATTTTCAAATGAGTATTTAATTTTTTTTCTCAAAAAGATCTGGTCATCTCCCTAATACTCACTAATTATTAGGGAAATCCTGCATTTTCAAATGAGTATTTAATTTTTTTTCTCAAAAAGATCTGGTCATCTCCCTAATACTCACTAATTATTAGTATTAGTATTTTAAATTCTGGATAAGAAAGTAAAAAATCATAGTGAAAAAATTATCTAAAGCCATAAATAACAGTGTTTCAGGTATGAAAAGCATAAAAACAGGTCAACTCAATTGGAACTGTGGGGCAGTCTCCTGGACCGAAGATTTAGGCAGGAACTGTTGAATGGTACGGAGGTCTATACAAGAGCCCTAAAATGATCCCTACCCTTTGACCTGGTAATCTCACTTATAGGAATATATCCCAAGGAAATAATCCAAACAACAAAAGGTAATTTTGTAAGGATATTTATGGCAAAGCCATTTATAATAGGAGAAAATTGGAAACAACCCAAGTGCCCAAGAGTAAGGAGACTGGCTAAGCCAAGAATATCATATCAACTATGTGGTGCACTGCACAGACATTAGCGCATCGAGCAGGTGGTACGTTTCAATGTGTGGAAATGTCTACATGAAATCATGTTAATTGAAAAAAGCAGAACACAAACGATTATGTGTCCAGTGATTACAACTTTGTGAAAATGTACCTGCTATTTTGAAAAGGGTCAGGAGGGCATCGAGTGATATAAACACAGCTGTAGGTTCATTGAATTCGTTTTCTGCATTGTGGATGGTTGTTTAAGTATATAATGTATAAAAAAGAAAGGAAGGACAGAAGGAAGAAAGAAAAAAAAGAAACTACTGAATACAAACCAGAGCTGCTATTTAAAACAATCTGTCATTTAGATGTTTATAGATTAAGAACACCAGAGAGAAATACAAGTGGGAAATCAGAAAGACCCAGGAACATCTAAATGGTAGTCTATATGCCTAATAGAAAGTTGAAATTCATTTGGAGCAAGATCCCTTCTGAATGCCTTGCAGCATTGGATCAACAATTGGAAGCCATAATGACAAAGATGTGCTCAGACTCCTACAGGGAAAGACAACTTCCCATGGCCAGCAATGTTTGTTCCTTAGCAAACCACTTCTCAAGTGATGATGTCATCATTAAGGAAAAAAATCCACATCTGCAGAATTCACCATCATCCAGCAGAAAACAGCAGGCCAAAACCTTTAGAACTGATTTCTGTGCATTTACAGCACACCCTCTGGATTCTGTGGCTTAAATTAATCACTAATGGAAATTAGAAAGCATTAGTTTTGGATTGTATTTGCAGCATGGCCCCTGCAACTAAAGGGGAGAGGGTCTTGGAAAATAAGCAAAATAATTGCTTAGGACTTAGTTCTGAGGTTCACTGTAGGACATCTTCAAAGATTTTTTTTTTAAATCTTTTGTTCATGTTAAAAATTAGCCTCCGTTATCACTTTTTTTTCTGCAGTATTTTTTACAAATGCAATTACAATTAAGAGGTGAGAATGTAATGTTTTGGAAGAAAGAGCATTACAGGCCCATGTCTGTTGGAACATTTTAAATATTACAGGACTCAATTGGAGGCAAAATCCCCTTAAAATTATTTGAGGTCTCAAGACATCCTATATCAACATGCAAGTTGGGAAGAAACCAAAGCTGATGACAGGCAGCTCATATGTGTTTGATCTGAAAGTTTTCATTTATGCCACCATTTTATTGCTGCAAAGGGACCACAGCAAAATGGTGGCGGCCTATGCTGTATTTCTTTGAAGAGAATATATGTAAAACGGCCACCCCCTGTGAGTTGGTTAATATGCCGCCTGAGCCTTGAAAGCCGTGCCCTTCCCGATACACAGACTGACTCTGGCATTTGTGCTGATATTGAAGTTACAAAATCAAATATCAAGAAGCCATATTTTTTCTCAAAAGACAACGATTTACCAGTTTAATTACACAGCACGTTCCTCTTCTTTGCATCTACCTGTCTTCCCTCCCCCATATCCTGCTGGGGAATAGAAAGAATTCTGGTGTCATATGAAACCTAGAACTCTAAGGAGTCTAAGTGCTTTGACTGTATTTGTGAACATGAGTTCTACTTAAAGACGAGTGACTGGGTCCTGTTTTTCCTCTTTAGCCATTGTTGGAGGTTCATATGTTATGATTTTCTCTTAGTTGTTGACAAGTAGTGATTCTGTCCATTTTGTGATATTTTAAAATGAGGGACTAAGGGAGTAGACACTGATCATTCCCCTTTCCCTAAACAACCTCCTGGTTTTAATTCTGTATCCTTTGTCTCTGTCTCCTCTCACACTCTCAGATTCTAAAGTTGTTCATCATCTTAAATTTTTCATATGCACTGATTGTGGGTATGAAATCTTTTTGTACTGGTTCATTTATTCAATCATTCTACAAACATTTGTTGACTAATCCCCATTTGCCAAGCATTGTGCTAGGTGCTATGCCAGGGACTTAGACAGCAGTCCAGGATACACATGGCTGCTTAAAGGCTGCTAGGGCCAAACAGTGGCTGAGCTGCACTTTGGGGCACAGCTGGCCAAGTGCTGGCAAGCACAGCCTTCACCCTGAACAGTGTGTGTGTTTGTGTGTGTGTGTGTGTGTGTGTGTGTGTTCCATATATGGTAGGTAAGTTTCCTCAGCTATAAAGTGGAGATAATGCTTCTTGTTTTACTTTACCTCCTAGAGTTCCTATGAGGATAAAATGAGATTCAGTATGTGAGAGTGCTTTGAAAAAAGTTGAAAGCCCACAACATATGGAGCACTTACTATCACCATCTTTTCCTGCAAAATCTAGACAGTATTTACGCCACAAGTAGAATGTTGAACTAAATAATTTCTAAATTTTGGTAGTAATTTGCTAAGAGGTAAATACAGCAATTTGCCAAAGGTAAATCAATTTAACCAAAATTTGTAAAGTTTGTCCATTCGATTCTTATATGGTTCCTGAGTTGGCCACACTTTAAGCTCTGGGTTAGCTCTGTGCATCAGAGATGTGAAAATTGACCAAAGGTTCATGCCTGCAATCCCAGCACTTTGGGAGGCCAAGGCAGACGAATCACTTGAGGCCAGGAGTTCTAGACTAGCCTGGCCAACATGGTGAAACCCCGTCTCTACTAAACATACAAAAACTAGCTGGGCATGGTGGCATTCTCCTGTAGTCCCAGCTACCTGGGAGGCTGAGGTAGAAGGATAGCTTGAACCCGGGAGGTGGAGGTGGCAGTGAGCCGAGATCGCAACACTGTACTTCAGAGGGAGACTCCATCAAAAAAAAAAAAAGAAAAAAAGAGAAAAAGAAAGAAAAGAAAAATAGAAAAAAAAATTGACCTAAGTAACTCCCAAGTCAGCTTAGGCAAAGGGGAGAGATGGGCAGGAGGAAGTGAAAAATGGGCTGTTTCATCACCAGTTACTTAGAGAAAAGTGTGCCAAGGCGAAAGGAAGCAGGCTTGGATGCCATTTTCTTTGGTAAAAGGTAATTAAATCAGTATTAATCTTTATTCCAAAATCTTGTGTAAAATTATTCTCCAGAGAAATAATATTATTAAAATATCCACACTACCCAAAGTGATCTCTATCAAAATTTCAATGCAATGTCATTCATAGAAAAAAATTTTTAAAATCCTAAAATGAATATGGTACCATAAAAGTTCCTGAATAGCCAAAGCAATCTTAACTAAAAAGAACAAAGATAGAAGAATTGCATGCCTGGATTTCAAAATACATTGCAAAGTAGTGGTAATCAAAACAGCATGGTATTGGCATAAAAATAGACACATTGACCGATGGAATAAGATAGAGAGCCCCGAAATAAATCTGTGTATCTACAGTCAATTGATTTTTGGCCAAAGTGCAAAGAACATACAATGGGGAAAAGACAGTCTCTTAAATAAATGGTATTGGGAAAACTGAATATCCATATACAGAAGAATGAAATCGAACCCTTATTTCACACCAAATACAAAAATCAATTCAAAATGGATTGAAGAATTAAATGTAAGACTTGAAACTATGAAATTACTAGAAGAAAACATAGGTGGCAAAGCTCCATGACACTAGTCTGGGCAGAGGTTTCTTGGATATGACCCCAAAAGTACAGACAACGAAAGCAAAAATAGACAAATGGGACTACATCAAGCTAAAAAGCTTCTGCACAACAAAGGAAACAATCATCAGAGTGTAGGGACAATATGCAGATTGGAAGAAAATATTTTAAAATCATACAATGGATAAGGGGCTAATATCCAAAATATACAAAGAACTCAAACTACTTAGTAACAAGAAAATAAATAACCGTATTAGAAATGGGCAATGGAAGGCGGAGGTTGAAGTGAGCTGAGAGTGTGCCACCACACTCCACCCTGGGTGACAGAATGAGAGGCTGTCGCAAAAAATAATGGGCAAATAATTTGAATAGACATTTCTCAAAAGAGGATATACAGGCCACGTGCAGTGGCTCACGCCTGTAATCCTAGTACTTTGGGAGGCCGAGGTGGATGGATCACTTGAGGTCAGGAGTTCGAGACCAGCCTGGCCAATATGGCAAAACCCTATCTCTACTAAAAATACAAAAATTAGCTGGGCATGGTGGCGGGCACCTGTCCCAGCTACTCAAGAGGCTGAGGCAGGAGAATTGCTTGAATCCAGTGGGCAGAGGTTGCAGTGAGCCAAGATCATGCCACTTCACTCCAGCCTGGGCGATAGAGTGAGACTCTATCTCAAAAAAAAAAAAAAAAAAAAGAAGAAGAAGACATACAAACTGGCAACAGATGTTTTAAAAATACTCAACATCACTAATCATCAGAGAAATGCAAATTAAAACCCCAATGAGATATCACCTCACACCTGTTAGATTGGCTGTTATCAAAAAGATGAAAGATAACAAGTGTTGGTGAGCATATGGAACAAAAAGAACTCTCACACACTGTTGGTAGTATTGTAAATCAGTACAGCTATTTTGGAAAACAGTATGGAGGTTCTTCAAAAAACTAAAAATAGCGCTACCATATGGTCCAGCAATCCCAGTACTGGATATTTATCCAAAGGAAAGAATATTAGCCTCTCATAGATATCAGCACTCCCATGTTCATTGCAGCATTATTCACAATAGCCAAAATATGGAATCAATCTAAGTGTCCATCAATGGCTGAATGGATAAAGAAAATGTTATATATATATATATACACATATATAACATTTATATATATAACATATGTATATGTATATGTATATATATACATATATATATATATATACAATAGAATATTACTCAACCATTTAAAAAAGACAGGAAATTCTACAAAAACCAAAATAGACAAATGGGATCTAATTAAACTAAAGAGCTTCTGCACAGCAAAAGAAACTACCATCAGAGTGAACAGGCAACCTACAGAATGGGAAAAAATTTTTGCAATCTACCCATCTGACAAAGGGCTAATATCCAGAATCTACAAAGAACTTGAACAAATTCACAAGAAAAAATCAAACAACCCCATCAAAAAGTAGGCAAAGGATATGAACAGATACTTCTCAAAAGAAGACATTTATGCAGCCAACAGACACATGAAAAAATGCTCATCATCACTGGTCATCAGAGAAATGCAAATCAAAACCACAATGAGATACCATCTCACACCAGTTAGAATGGCAATCATTAAAAAGGCAGGAAACAACAGGTGCTGGAGAGGATGTGGAGAAATAGGAATGCTTTTACACTGTTGGTGGCAGTGTAAACTAGTTCAACCATTGTGGAAGACAGTGTGGCAATTCCTCAAGGATCTAGAACTAGAAATACCATTTGACCCAGCCATCCCATTACTGGGTATATACCCAAAGGATTATAAATCTTTCTACTATTAAGACACATGCACACATATATTTATTGCGGCACTATTCACAATAGCAAAGACTTGGAACCAATCCAAATGTCCATCAATGATAGATGGATTAAGAAAATGTGGCATATATACACCATGGAATACAGCCATAAAAAAGGATGAGTTCATGTCCTTTGTAGGGACATGGATGAAGCTGGAAACCATCATTCTCAGCAAACTATTGCAAGGACAGAAAACCAAACACCACATGTTCTCACTCATAGGTGGGAATTGAACAATGAGAACACTTGGACACAGGTTGGGAACATCACACAGCGGGGCCTGTTGTGGGGTGGGGGGAGGGGGAAGGGATAGCATTAAGAGATATACCTAATGTAAATGACGAGTTAATGGGTGCAGCACACCAACAAGGCACATGTATACATATGTAACAACCATGCATGTTGTGCACATGTACCCTGGAACTTAAAGTATAATAATAAAAAATAAAATAAAATAAAATAAAAAACAGGAAATTCTGTCACATGCTACAACATGGATGAACCTAGAGGACATTATGCTAAGTGAAATAAGCCAGGCACAGAGAGACACATATTGTATGACCTCACTTATATGTGGAATCTCAAAAAGTAAAAAGAGAGTAAAATGGTGATTATCAGAGCCTGGGAGGGTGAGGTGGACTAAAGTTCCAGTTAGATAGGAGAGATAAGTTCTGGTGATCTATTGCACAGCACAGTGACTATAGTTAATAAGAATGTATTATGCATTTTAAAATAGCTAAAAGAGAGGATTTTAAATGTTCTCACCACAATGAAGTGATAAATATTTGAGGTGATAGATATGTGAATTAGCCTGATTTGATCATTCCAGGATGTATATATGTATCTCATTGTACCCGATGTGGGGTACAATAACATCACATCATACCCCATAAATATATGCAATTATTATTTGTCAATTAAAAATAAAATATTTTTAAAAAGAAAGTTAAAACAGGGCAAAGAGGAAAATATATTCGTTAGAAAGTGCTAGGGTGCCTATTGAACTGAGGCAGTTTGTAATTAAGATCCTGACTTCAAGCGGTTTCTACTAAGTTGCTAAAGGAGATCAACCACCTAAAGCTACATAAATCCATTCAAAATCAAAATGAAATATTAGGCCTGCTTGGTAAAGCTTTATTCAAAATGGCTGGCTGTGTTGTCCTGTAGTCTCAGGAATAGATTGTAACTTTTGGGAGAAGAGTATGGGTTTCCAAGGCACCAGATCTCTGGTGATCTCTATCTCTTATGGGGCATAGGCGTGCTTCCTCATCTTCACACATTCAGCGCTTTGTACATTCTACATTGATCCCTTAAACCTGCCATCACTACACTTACTGTGGTCTACTGAATAGTCACTAAATGGGCATTTTGAGGTGTCACTTTTGGATACTACCTGTTTCAACAACATTACCTTCTTTGGTTACAGTGGTTCAAGTGATTTCTCTTTTTGCATTCAGTCTTTGTAAACGTGAATGGAGCCGGGTGTGGTGACTCACACCTGTAATCCCAGCACTTTGGGAGACCAAGGCAGGAGGATTGCTTGAACCCAGAAGTTCAAGACCAGCCTGGGCAACATAGTGACACCTCATCTCTACTAAAAATAAAAACATTAGCCAGGCATACATTCCCAGCTACTTGGGAGGCTGAGGCAAGAGGATCACTTCAGCTCAGAGAATCAGGGTTGCACTGAGCTATAATTGAGCCACTGCACTCCAGCTTGGGTGAATTTGTGTCAAAAAAAAAAGGGGGGGGGAATGGAAAGTAAACAGAATAATAAAAGTGTTGGAACTAGTGAAAAGAAGCTCAAGTCTCTTAAATATAATATGATTAGGATAAAGATGGGAATCGTTACATGGTCAAAATTAGGGACTCATTAATCTTAGTGTTTGGACCTCATTTTTGGACATGGGCCACTGGAGGCTCAATTGTGAAGGAGAAGAATGCAATTAGAGAACATGTACAAAATGCTGTGAATGTATCATTGCCGATTGATCTGGGCTTTTCAAGAAAATTTTTAGTTTTCTGGGAACACCCCCATCCTTTCTTCATATCATGTCAAATAGTTTTTCACACATTCAAAGTTCTACATACGTTTTTAGGAATATATTAGGCATGAAAACAGGAGATCAGGAATTGTGGCATCAGCTGCAGTCTAGCTAGCTTTTCTCTGTCCCATAGACATAAAAATTCAGTCCTCAGATCATACTGTTTTGCTGTCTGGAATGCCCTTCCTCTCCCTTTTCCTGTGTAAATTCTTATCCCACATTCTAGCCCTATCTCCTACAGGTAAACTGACTTGGCCACACAGCCTTCATCCCTCATTCACTTCCCTGATGTGCTCCCACAGCAGAAGTTAGTGCTTAAAGACATACTGGCTTGGAACTTTAGTGATTGGTTTGTATTTTAGTTTCATTTCCACAACTGAATCGTAACCCCTCTGGGGCAAGAATGTAACCCTTGCCTCTTCTGTATCCCCCCACAATACAGAGGATTGAGTTGGGCACTGTAATGGGCTGAATTGTGTCCACCTAATATTTGAATTTTGAAATTCCAATGCCTAGTATGTCAGGATGTAACCATACTTGAAGATAAGGTTTTTAAAGAAGTGCTTAAGTTAAAATAAGGCTGGTAAGATGAGGCCCTATTTCAATCTGACCGGTGTCCTTCTAAGAAAAGGAATAGACACAGGGATGCACATGCACAGAGGGATGGCCATGTGAGGAGCAGCCTTCTGCAAGCTAAATAGAGGTGGCCTCAGAAGAGACCAACCCTGCTGACACCTTGATCTTGGACTTCAAGCCTCCAAAACTGTGAGAAAACAAGTGTCTGTTGTTTAAGCCAACCAGCCTGTGGTATTTTGCTATGGCAGCTCTGGCAAACTAATGCAGGTGCATAGTAGGAACTCTATAAATACTATAAATACTTCTAGGCTATCTCTCTGGAGGAAAGGGGGAATAATAAGCAAAAGGAAAGTGTTTAAGTCCATTTTCATACTGCTGTGAAGAAATACCTGATACTGGGTACTTTACAAAGAAAAGACTTTTAATGGATTCACAGTTCCTCATGGCTGGGGAGGCCTCACAATCATGGCTGAAGGCAAAGGAGGAGCACAGGCACATCTTACATGGTAGCAGGTAAGAGAGTATGTGCAGGTGAACTGCCTTTTATAAAACCATCAGATCTTGTGAGAGTTATTCACTATCAAAAGAATAGCAAGGGAAAAACCAACCCCCATGATTCAATTACCTCCCACTGGGTCCCTCCCGTGACACGTGGGAATTATGGGAGCTACAATTTAAGATGACATTTATTGAGTATTTACTATGTGCTGGTGCTGTTTATTCTGAAAGTGTTTTACATGGATTAACCTATTTAATTTCCACAACACTATGAAGGAAGTTCTGTTATGGTCCCCATTTTGCAGATGAAGAAACAGAGGCCTGGAGAGGTACAGTGACTTGCCCAAGTTCACACAGCTAGTATGTGGAGGTGTCAGGCTCTAAATGCAGGCAGTCTGACTTTAGGCAGATACTCTTATCCTGGCTGGAGTGCAGTGGCATGATCTTGGCTCACTGCAACCTCTGCCTCCTGGGTTCAAGCTATTCTCCTGCCTCAGCCTCCCAAGTAGCTGGGATTATAGGCGCCTGCCTCCATGCCCAGCAAATTTTTGTATTTTTAGTAGAGATGGGGTTTTGCCATGTTGGCCAGGCTGGTCTCAAAGTCCTGACCTCAGGTGATCTGCCCACCTTGGCCTCTCAAAGTGCTGGTATTACAGGCATGAGCCACCATGCCCAGCCTGCAGCCCTGCTTTCTAAGACTTCTCTTCAGGTAAAACTCTCTCCAACACCTGAGGGACTCTATATCCAGGAAACATAATGGGGGACTTGAAGCTGTCATATGAACAATCTTGTCAGGCAACTTTCTTCCTTCTGGTTGGCAGGCACCTCTGTATCCTAAACTTGTCCCCCACCTTCTGGTATGTGCCAAGAATTCTATCACTGGCAATTAATTCTTTTGTCTTAACATTTTTTTTCCCCAGAAAAATTGCAGTTTCTTCAAGGAAAGGCCAGCCATAAGCCTTATAGCAAATCAATGTAGGGTTCTTCAGCTGTTTCTCTGACAATGGCTGTGGAAGGAAGGGGGAAGGAAGGAGGTTCAGGAAGATTAAACAAACTAAGAACTTTGGATTTGTTTCTTAAGTGAATGCAAGTGAATGAAATAAATATAAAATCTCACTTAGTAATAATAACAACAAATATTTAAACACTATTTGTCTCACATCTGCTCTATGAGGGAGGTGAAATGTTAGCCCCTTTTCTTTTTTTTTTTTTTTTTTTTTTGAGATGGAGTCTCGCTCTGTCGCCCAGGCCGGACTGCGGACTGCAGTGGCGCAATCTCGGCTCACTGCAAGCTCCGCTTCCCGGGTTCACGCCATTCTCCTGCCTCAGCCTCCCGAGTAGCTGGGACTACAGGCGCCCGCCACCGCGCCCGGCTAATTTTTTGTATTTTTAGTAGAGACGGGTTTTCACCTTGTTAGCCAGGATGGTCTCGATCTCCTGACCTCATGATCCACCCGCCTCGGCCTCCCAAAGTGCTGGGATTACAGGCGTGAGCCACCGCGCCCGGCCATGTTAGCCCCTTTTCTACATGGAAAAACTGAGGCCCTGAGAAGTTAGATAATTTGCCTAAGCTTGTTTAGCTAGTCAAGAAGAGAGCTAGGCTTTAAAGGCAGGAAGTCTGGCCCTAGAGCTCAAGTTCATAACTACCAAGTCATGGTGCCCCTCCCTACATCACCTCTCATTCCCTCCATGAGTTTTTCCTCTTGGGAGTGAGAACAGTCCACAGAGCTCAGGTGGCAAGTGGACATCAATAGAAAAGCTCCCTGCAGTAGCTCCGTGGTAGGTTCTCTGGACTTGTTCCCTATGGGGAGGAGTGTTGTCCCCACAAGGAGCTCATGGCAGAGTTAATGGGTGAATGGTAGATTTGGACTTGCCTCACCAATTTTTCTGTAAGGACCATTGCTATTTGAGTGGTGAAGTACAGCTTGTTAAACCAGAGGCGTTCAGGATCTACAGAAAAACTGATATGACAAGATAGTTTTTGTTGTCAGCTGAATAGCAGCAAAGATTGGCTGATTTGTCTGGGTAGGCAAATAAGCCCACAGGTGAACTTAAGTACATCACAGAACCTCAAAACTAGATGAGACTTTAGAGAGTCATCTGGTCCAACAACCTATAAAACACTGGAATTGACTCTAACCAACCCCCGCCCCCACCACCCCACAACACATATATACCACCAGCAAGCAATAGTCTAGTTTAAACGCCTCCAGGAATGGAGAGCTCACTGCTTCCCAGAGCTGCCATTTTTGTCTGTTGAGTACAATTTAGTCCAGGTGAATAAGAGTGGATTTTGTGTCTGTCAAAAGCTCACCACTTAAGTAGCTGGGATGGGGAATTCTCAGTACCTGTAACAAAGTCTCTGTCCCTGAGAGGTCATTGGCATTTAAGAGAAAAAAGGGCTCCAGATTCGTCCTGGGATGCAATAATGAAAAGCCCCATTGGCTAAATGAGAAACTCCACATTCTTCCTGGAGTTCACTGATTGAGCAGGCTGCAGGGAGCTTCTGGGTTGAGTTTTTAAGGCATCTTCACTCTACCTCACTGCTCTTTGTCTGGACTCTGGGTCTCCCCTAGGATGGGACTCCTACAGTAAACCCGACAAAGGATTCCAAGTAAGGATATACTTGAAGTCCAACCTTAAATCACAGGGCTCTCTGGGACACAGCTGGGAATCACAAGCCAGGCAAACCAGCAGGTAGAAAGGGGACCTCTCTGCATCAGCAAACACATTCCAGGGCCCCAAAGAGAACAGGTTACAAAGCAGAAAGAACTGTCTCAGAACCAGCACAAAAAGGACTTAGGCATCAGCCTCCTTAGTACAAATGCACCCTTCTCAGAGGCCTCAGCACCCCAAAGGTCACAGCAGCTGATACCGTTAATTATAATAGTCAATACAAGTTATTGAGCACTTACTCTGCACCTGGCCAGGTGCCTTGTACTTCATTTGCATGATCTCCTTTAATCCCCACAATATCATTGAAAGGTAGATGTTATTGTTTTCCTCATTCTTTAGGCTCAGTGAGGTTAGGTAACATACATATGGCCACACACTTGGTAAATGGCAGGGCTAGAATTTTAACCAGAACTGGAACTGAGGCTTTCCTGACTCCAGAATCTATGTGCTAACTACTTTGTCATGCTACTTGTCCCAGTGAAGCTTCTACAGCCACCTTGAATCAATTTTTCATGTTGCCCTCAGAGCTACCATCTTGCTCAATTTTCCATTTCTGCTCAAAACATCCAGTGGTTCTGTTTTTACTTTTACCACAAAGTTCAAGATCCTAAGAGTAGTATTTAAGGCCTCCTCAATCTGGCCACAACCTACCTTTCAGATCTATTTTCTATTACTTGCGTCATCTATCCATGCCCCACCTTACCTCCTTCTCATTCTTCTTTATCCACTGGCATTTTGATTTGTATTTGTATTTATTTTTTCTTACCCCCTTCTTCTTATGCTCCAGTCATGCTGGATGATTCCTCATTCTCTGAAAATGCCACACACACCTCATCCTATTTTTGCTTACACTGTGTACTCTGCTCGCAAATCTCTTTCTGAAGCACCCTTGTTTTTTTACTTTATAAGGTTTTCACACCCTCTTGTGTTACAGTTATTCCTGCAAGAGTGCCTCTCTCAAAACAGAAAACTATAGGAACCTACTGAAATAGTGTCAATTATAACTTGAGACCAAGTGTCCAAAGAGAGGCTGATGGAAAATATAATTCATAGGCCTTCTCAATCAGAACTCAAAGTCTTCTGTTCAAATCTGTGCCTGAATGAAGGGGGTTGTAGGGCTAGAGATTGCTTAGCCCAAGGCCTTGCCTCCTAGCTATGGTCTCTGGCAGGCCTATGTCATAACAGTAAGTGTAATCCAGGAAAGGGAGGAAGAGAAGCCCAAGAGAGGCTCCAAGAGATCTGACAATCTTGTCTCATTCACTTCTGAATGTTCCCATCAGCTATTTCACTTCCTTTGTGGTTGTACCCATTCAGTCTTTCTCCAATCTTCCCAAAACCAAAGTTTACAAATATTTTAGGAGACTCTCTCTCTCTCTGTCTCTCTTTCTCTCTCTCTTTTTTTTTTTTTTAAGAGTTTTGCTCTTGTTACCCAGGCTGGAGTACAATGGCGTAATCTTGGCTCACTGCAAACTCTGCCTCCCAGGTTCAAGTGATTCTCCTGCCTCAGCCTCCCAAGTAGCTGGGATTACAAGGCACCAGCCATCATGCCTGGCTAATTTTTTTTTTTGTATTTTTAGTAGAGACGGGGTTTCACCATGTTGACCAGGCTGGTCTCAAACTCCTGACCTCAGGTGATCCACCCGCCTTGGACTCCCAAAGTGCTGGGATTACAGGCGTGAGCCACCGCATCCAGCCTTAGGAGAATCTCTTTGAAAGTAGGTTGCATGCAACAGCCCAGAGGAATCTCAAAATTTTAATGCTGACCAAATGAAGCCACATATAGAAGAATACATTCTGTATCATTTCACTTAATGAAATTCAAGAACAGGGAAACTAATCTATGATTTGAGATGTCAAAATAGTAGTTTCCTTTGGGGGAGTGTTGACTGGATGGAAGCACTGAATGAACCTTCTGGGATGTTGGAAACCTCCTTTATCTTGATTTTGGTGGTGATTATACAGATGTGCATATGTATGAAAGTTTACTGAGCTGTACAGTTAATGTTGATGCACTTCATTATATGTGTGTTATAACTCAATTTAAAAAATTAAAACTCACCGCTTTCTCCGTTCCTTCTCAAATCAAACTTTCAAAATCTTTTAAACGAATTTCCTGTGTGTCTTTTGAGGGCAGCCTGTATCTCTAAATCACAAAAACAACAAAAACCTTCAAAAGAGAAACAATGATTCCTCTTTCAGATCCACATACAGCTTAAGACATGGTTCGCCAAGATGATTTGAAGCTTTTGATCCTGAAGATTTGAGTTACAGAAAACATTGAGTCCCACAGAAGCTCCAAGAGAGGGTAAGTTAAAATTTTTAAATTTGATAGGACCAGGTGGCCTCTCAGAAACACCATTCCCCATCCCTCCTCTGCTCCTACTCATCCTCAAGCCCAGTTGAAATGTCTCCCTTCTGCAATGCATTCTCTGGTCTCTTTTGTTCCCCACACTCTAAAACTAGTTAAGTAATCCCAACTAGTTAGTAGAAGATCATGGATTGGAGCCTTGGTACTCAAAGTGTAGTCTGCAGACAAGCAGCATAGTTATTACCTGGGAACTTATTAGAAATGGAGGATCACTGACCCCACTCAGACCTACTAAATCAGAATCTGCATTTTAACTTGATTCCAGGGTGACTTTGACACGCAATAAAGATTAGGGAGCAGTCTAAGAGAGCACTTACTCAAATTTAAAAGCACTTTCAAATTACCTGAGGCAATGCTTACAATTGCAATCCTGGATCCTACCCTGGAGATTTTGATTCAAAAGTTCTAAGATCAGGTATCTGGATTGTAACAAAGCTGGATTTTAATGTTGACAGGAAAGTTGGCTCAAACTTGAAGAGCAGTTGCTAACAGAGACAACCCTACAGATAGTAACTGAGTTCCTCACTAGTCCCCAGAAGACTAATGAACAAGTATGAATCATAATTTGAGACTTAGCTATCCAAAGAGAGGCTTACAGAAAAATTAAGTCCTAGGCCTTCCCATTTGGGACTCAAGGATGCCCTTTGCTTATAGTTTGGGGTCCCCAGAGAATCCCATGTCAAGTTCTCATCTCCTTTTGGCACTTTCCATCCATTTCAAACAGGAGAAAACCTACCTATCCCAGGATCTCAGCATCTCAGATCAGAGACTATTCCAATAAAGTTTTAATAACAAGTGCCCATGGTAAGGGCTAAAAGGAGTGAAAGAACACAGTCACCTGTTACTGTGGGCCAAATCTCCCTGGACAACTGAAGCCACCAGTGCCTGAAGACCTCTGCCATGCCTGGCATCCTGAAGTCTGAGAGCATGTAAAAGGCTCAACAGGAAGTACTAGTCACAGTGTTAGGAGCCACTCACAGGCTGTTCAAAGTGGCAACATTCAGAATTCTCATCCATTGTTGATATCAAGTAAAGAATTTCACTAAGTATTCAACTAAAGTGGCCAGTTATCAGACTGACAAAAATGGAAATGAATACTAATACCCAGAGTTGATAGGGATTTTAAAAAAGAAGACACACACAATTGGGAAGAGAATAAATCAGGACAGAGTTTTTGGAAGCCATTTTGACAATACATATGCTGAAAGGAAGGTACTAAAGTGGGGTACTTGGGGTATCTTGGAGAAATTCTGAAATGACTTAAAATCTGATTGAGAATAGACTCCCCTACCTTTTTGCCAATTATATTGGCTAAAGTTGTAAAGAATGAGAACTCATATCTTAGTTCCATTTGTGTTGCTATAACAGAATACCACAGACAGGTTGCTTTATAAAGAAAAAGAGTTTATTTGGCTCAAAGTTCTGGAGACTGCAGAGCTCAAGAACATGGCACCAGCATTTGGCAAGGACCTTTGTGCTGCATCATTCCATGGAAGAATATGGAATGCAAGGAAGCGCAAGGGAGAGCAAGAAAGTAAGAGAAGGCCAAACTTGATTATATAACAACCCACTCACATTATGATATTAATTCATTCATGAGGGCAGAACCCTCATGGCCTAACAACCTTTTAATGGCCCTACCTCTTTATACCATCACAATGGCAATTGAATTTCAAAATGAGTTTTGGAAGGGATATTCAAATCATACCAACACGCATTGCTGGTGACAATATGAAGAAACAAGCACTTTTGTTTACTACTGATAGCATTGAAATTGGTACACCCCCTTCTGGAGAGTATTTGGGAAATAATTATCAAGAGCCTTAAACATCAGTGTTCATGCTAATCTAGCAATTCCATTCTAATAATTTATCAAAAGGAAATAATTTAAAAGGTATGAACAGATGTCTACACAAGGATGTTTATAACAGTTTGTGTGTAATAGTGAGAAATGGAAATAATCCAGGCCAGGCATGGTGGCTCACGCCTATAATCCCAGCACGTTGGGAGGCCAAGGCGGGTGGATCACCTGAGGTCAAGAGTTTGAGACCAGCCTGGCCAACATGGTGAAACCCCATCTCTACTAAAAATACAAAAATTAGCTGGGTGTGGTGGCATATTCCTGTAATTCCAGCTACTTGGGAGGCTGAGGCATTAGAATCACTTGAACTCAGGAGGTGGAGGTTGCAGTGAGCCGAGATCACGCCACTGCACTCCAGCCTGGGCGACACGGTGAGAAGTCATCTCAAAAAAAAAAAAAAAAAGAAAGAAAGAAAAGAGAAAAGAAATAATCCATATAGATAACAATAAAAGACTGGTTAAAGAAATGACACATCCATATAGTAGGATCTCACGTAGTCATGGAAAATGTTATTTCAGTCAATTTTTATGAATATATAAAGATGTTCACAATGTATCTTTAAATGAAAAATTGATGCATATAGTAGGATCCTGTTTTTCAAAATATCCATATGACTTGTTAGCATAGGGACAAATCTGATGTGATAGATGTCGATAGTGTTTAGTCCTTACGTGGCAGATTTAGAGAGGACTTTAAAAATTATTTTTGCTTAACTAACACAGAAACAGAAAACCAAATGCCACATGTTCTCACTTATAAGTGGGAACTAAATGATGAGAACACATAGAGAGGAACAGCACACGCTGTGGCTTATTGGAAGGTGGAGAGTGGCAGGAGGGAGAGGATCAGGAAAAATAACTAATAGGTACTAGGCTTAATACCTAGGTAATGAAATAATCTGTACAACAAACCCCCATGACACAAGTTTACGTATTAACAGACCTTCACCTGTACCGCTGAACTTAAAATAAAAGTTAAAAAAATTACTCTTGCTTTCTTACATTTTCAATAGTTTCTAAAGCAAACATGAAATTTTAGTAATATTTTAAAATAGTAATTCTAATTACCCTGGCTGATATTCCTTTAGTTTTTGAAAGAATTACTATTTTTTCATTACATATAAAAGTAGGAAACTGAGAGTGAAGTACAGTTAGTAGTCCTGTCACTTTTGTGGACACTTGTATTTAGATCCCATTCATACTTAGATGACATATACTTCTACCCCAGTGACTCCCCCAACCATTAGATAAACTACTCACTGGGCTAGACCTCAGAGGTCCCAGACACAGCCTCAGAGATTACAGGGCAGGGCTGAAGAAAACATAAACAAATGGACATCTTTGGGAGTCAATAGAGATGCTGAGGGGACTTTATGAACTTGAGTCTCTGAAGCCTATATGAAAAGCAATAATTCAGGAGTGGAGAGAGCTGCTGTCTCCCAATAAGCCATGAAACACTCAGCCCCATGCACCTAGACTAGGGCAATGCAGAGAGGATGGACAAAAAAGAGCTTTGTCATCAATCATCCCCAGCATGACCCTTCTGTCACCTCCATTCTTACCAAGAGCTCTGCTTTTTAAATGCTGGTCATGATCCATGGGTGGGCCATGCAATTACATGCAACATTTAAAAAAAATGCAATAGAAAGAAAAGAAATGGGTTCAGGTAGAGATAGGATAATACATGATAGAAAACGTGGGAGTGCCTCCCAGGAAGTAAAAGAGTAAGTATGTTGTGAGTGTGTGTGTACCAGTGGTGATGTTAAATGTATTACTCTGGGGTGTGGTCACAAAGTTTGAAAGTTGAAAAACTGGAGATTTTGTATCTAGATGCTCCTGCCCACTATACTGCAAGGAGCTGTCACTTGAAGCCCCTAACCCAGATCTGTTCCCTGTTCTCCACTTTAGATTGATTGATCAGCCTCTTTATTCACCCAGGTATCTCTTGACTGATCCTGACTTTTTAAAAGCACAGACCCAATGCCATAGATGTTTTTTTCTGAGATGATCAAAAGCCTACATAAAATACCTATTAAGTGCTCCCCATAATCAGGGAAGAATGCTTGGATTTAAGGTACATTTTTTTCACAGTTATTTATGTGCAAGAGATAGATGAATTTTATTACACAAAATCATATTTACCATTTCATACTTTTCTAAAATATTCACTTTTTAAAAACATCTTGAATGCTGATTATTACTAATAGTATGTGTGGCTTATAGAAAAGAAATTGGTTTATTAAGTTGCTAGTAGTTTTTAAAAACTAAGGATATAATTGGATCAAGAAGTACAAGAAAAATTAAGCTTAACAAAATATCTCCTGGACTCAGTTTCTGAGCAATTGCCCTGTAGTCTATAATTATGAATAAAATACCCTTTGAAAAGACCTCATCAGAATCAGAGAGAAATGAGAACAATAGGGTAGGTATTACAAAAGATTGGTTTTTCTCAGATAATTGTTTTTAATAAAATGGTAAAAGTGTAGAAAACACCAGGCAACTATAATTAGGATAATAATCTATTGTTCTACGGGAATATGTACCCCATTATCTCTTCTATGGGAAAGCAACAAAGAAAATGAAGTAAAATATGGGTGAATACATTTGAAGGATAGTTACACATAGAACTATAGAGGTCATTAATTAATCTTTCCTTTATGGCAGAACCAGCCAAATAACCAAGAGTGGATGCATCCTGTCTGCAGTCTCTGAGAGAACTATACTTTTAGAGAGAAGCCAAGGAGACTACAGAACTGCTTTCAGATATGATGATACATTTTGTTTGTTTCTATTTATGTGCTTAGATAGAAGGATATTCAAATACTAAGCATCTTTTCTACACTTTTAAATTCTATTTTTTGTGAGTCGTTGAGTGTGTGAGCCTATGATTCATCTGTTTAGTTGGGAGAAATTCCAGGAATGGTGGATCCATGAAGCTGGGTCTTAATTTGATCATGGCTTTGACAGAGATGTGTTTTCAAAACAGGGTACTTAATAATATACAACACAACTCAGTGAAAGGATCCGATTTTCATCACCATTTTCCAGATTAAAAAAAGAGGGGAGTAAATCAAGCTATCTCCCCAGCTCCGGGCTGGGAAAGAGAGGAACATCTTTGCTCCCAGAGTTCCTATCCCCTGGCTGCTCTGGACAAGAGGACAGCCAGACCTTTCCCTAGTACCTATGGAAGAACATGCCCTTGCCTGTTCCAGAGACACTGCCACTGCGTGATGGACCTATAAGCCTGACGTGGAGGCTATGCCAAACAAGTTTCAGTAGAGGTCCTTGCCTGCCAGGCCACAACTCTTTCTTCTCTCTTGAAGCTAGAGACCCTCAAAAAGCAGTTTGCTTTCCTAGGACCTGACAATCCTGATTTAAGTAAAAATTTAAGTATTGGCAGTATTGTCCAGTAGTTAATAGCACAGGCTGTGGAGCAGGACTGCATAAGTTCATGTCCTCTGCTATCTACAGCTGTGGGATCTTGGTCAGTCCTTTAACTTCTCTGAGCCTCAATTTATTCATCTGTAAAATGGGAGTGAACACAGTGAATATTTCAGAAAGCCATGATGTGGATTGAATAATTAAATGTAGGTAGAATTTTTAGCCCAAAACATAATGAGCATTTAATAAATATTAATTATTTTCCTAATTGTCATCAACTAGTGGGAATATTCATCTCCCTTCTTTTTCAGTCGAACAGGAGTGTTGGGACTTCATAAGGAAGAACTAAGTGACCATCACTCAAAAAGAAGTTACAGTGGTTGGTTTTCCATATCAACAGAATCTTCTCTGCCTCTTACATTAGGTTACTCCTGCCACAAAAACCGTTCACACAACACATACTCCTACATGCACACACTCACCTGGTGGTACATTTAAATTATTAGGTTGGTGCAAAAATAATTGCATTTTTTGCCATGTAAAAGTGATGGCAAAACCACAATTACTTTTGCACCAAACTAATAATTTCAACTCAGCTTGCTATGAAGGCCTTGAATTGAGGGCAGGTATGTGTGTGTTTATTTATTTATTTTTATTTTTACTTTTTTTTGAGACGGAGTCTCGCACTGTCGCCCAGGCTGGAGTGCAGTGGCGCGATCTCGGCTCACTACAAGCTCCGCCTCCCGGGTTCACGCCATTCTCCTGCCTCAGCCTCCCGAGTAGCTGGGACTACAGGCGCACGCCACCGCGCCTGGCTAATTTTTTGTATTTTTAGTAGAGACGGGGTTTCACCATGTTAGCCAGGATGGTCTCGATCTCCTGACCTCGTGATCCACCTGCTTCAGCCTCCCAAAGTGCTGGGATTACAGGTGTGAGCCACCGCGCCCCGCCTATGTGTGTGTATGCATATGAGTGTGTCTTTGTTTGCCACTGTTAAATAAATGGATCTTTGCCTGGGCATGGTTGCTCGTGCATGTAATCCCTGCACTTGGCGAGGCTGAGGCAGGTGGATCATTTGAGGTCAGGAGTTCGAGACCAGTCTGGCCAACATGGCGAAACCACGTCTCCACTAAAAATACAAAAACTAGCCACGTGCCTGTAATCCCAGCTATTTGGGAGGCTGAGATAGGAGGATTACTTGACCCTGGAAAGTGGAGGTTGCAGTGAGCCGAGATCGTGCCACTGTACTCCAGCCTGGGTGACAGAGAGAGACTTTGACTCAAAAGAAAAAAAAAAAAAAAGAAGCTTTGCTTTGAGGAGAGTCCTCTGAGCTTCTCCATCTCTAAGTATGTTTGATTCCCTTCCACACCTTTCCTGCCAAATGGAAGCATTTCCATTTGAAGAAGAAGCATTTCACTTCTGCTTCAAACATTCCCAGAATGAACTCACTATGCCCTGAGGCAGCAAAATCTATCTTTAGCCAACTCTTACCACTTTTAGATTTTTATCTAAAATCTGCTTTCTTCTAGCTACATTTAGATCTGAGGTTGGACTCCTCAGGAGCCCCAACAGCATAGAGTAAAATAATGCCATTTACATCATGAACATCAGTAAGAAAAGTCTTATTCTTTCCAAAGGAAGGGATGGAATATTTCTGATACTGGTGCCTTGGATGGGCAAGTGTTTATCTTGAACCCGAATCCCTGCTGGTCAGGGCAGCTCTCTTGGCTTTCTATCCCCTCTAGGAGCAATTTTCCACTTTACTGTTTTCCTGACTGCTCTAGGCCCAGCTTGGGTACATAACATCCTCTGCCTCACTTGACCAGACATGGGGTTTTCATTGTGGTCCCCTCAGAAATACAGGTTGTTGTGACTCACCTTGTGGTATAAATACTGACTGTTGAGAGCCTGGAAGCTTAGACTTTTCAAGAAGCAGCAGTATTACCTCTCATTCCCCTACCATACACACAGTTTGGCAGTGCCGTATTCCCCAGACTGACCCACAAGCCACTTGGGCTGCAGCCTCTTTAAGTGCAGTTGATTTGGTTTAAGCCCATTAGTGATCATTTGCCTATCACTGCTGGCAAATCCTAAAGCTGGTGGATTGCTGAGGAGGAGGGGAACACAAGTGTGTGCACATGTGTGTGTTTCAGTGGTGGACGGTGTCACTTGCACCAGTGAATGGCAGCTCCACTTCTGTATTTTATGTTCCCAATTTCCTTTTAAACTGTAATTTCTTTTGATCTCTGTATCAGTTATATATATTTATTCTACACCCTGCAAATTTATGAGGTCATTTTAGTTGCTTAAAATACAACATTATCACAAGCTTTCCTATCTTTTATTTAATTAACACAATTATAGAGCAGAACATTGGCCATTGCACAGTATCAGCTCCTGCTGCCCTAGAAAGACTTCATAACAATTTAACCGTATTAAAGGGCATTTTTCCATCTTTTCTACCTGCTGTGAAAAGGGAGCAAGTTTTCATGCAGCTCCCCAACTCTTAAACAGTAACTTTTTGGTTAAATAAAATAGTGTTTCTAAATAACCACTCAGCAATTTTGTTTTCCAAATTGAAGAAAGGGATGGAAAGGGGGACTAGAATGTATTGCATCTCAGTGATGTGCTAGATGTTTTACTTATGTAAGTGGTAAAATGTTCAAGAAGAGTTTCATTTGTCTAGTAAAATAAAGGAATATTTTTATTTCCCAATGTTAAGAAAATGAAATACATTATTAAACCTCAGTTGTGCTTAAAATCAACTTATACCATAATTTCTCAGGGTTGGTTTTGGTGAACACTAGTACTTTTAAAAACTTTTTATTTTGAGTTCATTTTGGATTTATAGAAGAATTGCAGAGTGCAGAGAGTTTCTGCATATTGTTCAATTTACCCTCTCCTGGTGTTAACATCTTACATAACCGTGGTAAATTTGTCAAAACTAAGAAATTAACATTAGCAAAATGTTATTAACTCCAGACTTTACTTGGATTTCACCAGTTTTTTCACTAATGTCCTTTTTTTCTTTTCCAGGCCCTGATCCAGGATCCTACATGACATTGAGTCACCAAAGCTTAATCTTCCAATATGTAACAATTTCTAGGTCTTTCATGATCTTTCATGACCTTGACACAGATGGACACTAATTTTTTTTTTTTTTTTTTTTTTTTGAGACGGAGTTTCACTGTTATCGCCCAGGCTGGAGTGCAATGGTGGGATCTCAGCTCACTGCAACCTCCACCTCCCCAGTTTAAATGATTCTTCTGCCTCCCAAGTAGCTGGGATTACAGGTATCTGCCACCATGCCTGGCTAATTTTTGTATTTGTAGTAAAGACGGGGTTTCACCATGTTGGCCAGGCTGGTCTCGAGCCCCTGACCTCAGGTGATCCACCCGCCTCAGCCTCCCAAAGTGCTGGGATTACAGACGTGAGCCACCACATCAGGCCTAATTTTTAGAAGTCTACTGTAAGGGAAAAAATGAATTCTGTGGTCAATTATTTCTTTTTTCATTTTCTAAACACATCAAGGAAGTACAAATCAAAACCATATTGAGATATCACCTCATTCTTGTTAGAATGGCTATTATCAAAAAGATAAAAGATAGACAAAACGTGTTGACAAGGATGTGGAAAAAAGGTAACCCCTGCACACTATTGATAGGAATGTAAATTAGTACAGCCATTAATAGAAAACAGTATGGAGGTTCTTCAAAAAAAATTAAAATTGAACTATCATATGATCCAGCCATCCCTCTTCTGGGTATATACCCAAAGGAAATAAAATCAGTACCTCATAGAGATACCTGCACTCCCATGTTCATTGCAGCATTATTCACAATAGCCAAGACATGAAAACAATCTGAGTGTTCTTTGATAGATGAATGGATAAAGAAAATGTGATAAACATACACAATGGAATATTATTCAGCCTTATAAAAGAAGGAAATCCTGACATTTGTGGCAACATGGATGAACCTAGGGACATTAAGTGAAATAAACCTGACATAGAAAGACAAATACCACATGATCTCACTCATATGTGGAATACAAAAAAGTTGATCTCATAGAAGTAGAGAGTAGAATTGGTGGTTACTAGAGGTTGGCATGGCTATGGAGGAGGGATGTTGGGGAGATGTTGCTCAATGGGTATGTAATCATAGACAGGAGGAGTAAGTTCGAGAGATCTATAGGACAGTATGGTGACTGTAGTTAATGACGATATGTTGTATTCTTTAAAAAGGCTAAGAAAATGGATGTTAAATGTTGTTATCACAAAAATTATAACTATGTGAGGCAATGAATTTGTTAATTGACCAGGTTGAACCATTCCATAACATATATATATATATACTTCAGAATATCATGTTGTACACAATACATACAATTTTATGTCAATTTTAAAAATAAAGAAATTTGAAAAAATAAAGACTTCCTAGAGACTAGAAGAATATGCTAATATGTTTTATAAACATTCAAGAGGGACCTACAATATGTAGCACTTCCTAAACATTTGGCCACAGAAGACAGGCTTCACAGAGCCTGTCTTGGGACTAGGACTCTGAGGAATCCATAAGGATTTTTATTAGAATAATCTCCTGCCTGCTCTTCCTATCTGTAGTCCTGTATACATTCCTTCCATTCCCCAGTCAACCACTGCAATGAGCTTTCCAAAGTGCAAAACTGCTCCAAAAACTTTATTTAGCTTACCCTCAGTTACAGAACTGGAACTCAAACGCTGCAGCTGTGTGTGTCTTCCTGCAGCCCTCTCTAAACGTTGCTCTCCAGGCACACTAAATGCTCAGGTATCTCCCAAATCTGTCTCTGGCCTTTCAACACTCTCACTTTGCCTTTCCTTCCCCCACCTTTGGTCTATCAAAACCCATGTCATCCTTCAGGTTCATTATAAATGCTACCTCCTCTCTGAATCTTCCCTCCCTCTTCCACTCCTCCAAGCCCAAGCTCAGAACGAATCTCTCCGCTCCTGGTTTTTATAATAATATCAACTTGCATCACCTACAGCATTCATCTCATATTGCCACCTATTAGAGTTAGCTGCATGTGCAGGCCCTGCCCCTGAGTGTGAGCTCCTTGAAGGTAAGAAGTGGACCTTGTTTTTCATTAATAGTGCACTCCTGATTTTGTGCTTTCACAAAATAAGGGCTCATTAAGTGCTTGATGAATGACTGAACAAAACTCTCTAACACTTTATTATTTATTTATTTATTTCAAGACAGTTTGTTGCTCTGTTGTCTAGGCTGGAGTGCAGTGGCATGATCTCAGCTCACTGCAACCTCCACCTCCCAGATTCAAGCAATTCTCATGCCTTAGTCTCCTGAGTAGCCGAGACTACAGGCATGCACCACCACGCCTGGCTAATTTTTGAATTTTTTGTAGAGACGGGGTTTCACCATGTTGGCCAGGCTGGTCTTGAACTCCTGACCTCAAGTGATCTGCCTGCCTCAGCCTCCCAAAGTACTGGGATTACAGGTGTGAGCCACCGTGCCTGGCCAACACTTTACACTTTATAAGTCTCTCATTTGAGTCTCACAATAAGCCTATGAAGAAGGAGTTATAATTATTTCCAGTTTACAGTTGAGGAAACTGAGACACAGATTGGTTAAGTGACTTGCCTGGGTGTCACGTAACTAATTAGATATTGAGCAATATTTCCTGATTCCAGTCAGTAACTGTGTTCCCTTTAACCTCTCCTCATGACCTTCTTGAGTAAGTGAGCGAGTGGACATCAAACATTACGCATCTACCTTGTACTAAGTGAGAACTAGGATATGGGTGACCCAGAAATGAATAAGAATGGAGGAGCATTTATGTTAGAACAGATAAGAGTGTCATCTTTTATAGACAAAAACAGCCTGACCAGTGAAAGGCAGTAAGAAGATAAGAGGATAAGAAATGGCTTAGAGGCAGCAATGATTTGGTGACGACCAGAGGAAGAGAGCTACTGGTTGTCAAAGATCAGGCAAGCTGGGAAGAGCTCTGTCAAACTGGAAATCTGTTCAGAGACAGTGATGAAGCCAACACTCTTTGATTGCCTAAAATTGGCTGTGCAGAAATGGATGGCAATGGAGACCTTTGCTGCTGGGGAGAGAATATACTTTAAATTTAATGAGGACAACTCTAGAAGCCCTGCTGATTCCTGATTGATAAGTACTAAGGCGCCTCACTTAACTTGCAGGCACAGCTGTCTGCACTGAGCTTTGGTTGGGTATTGGGCAGCAGTTCGACCCACAAGGAAATAGTCTCTGCCTTTTTGCCTGTTTGCACTTTCACCTCCTGGATGGCAAGTGGGAAAAGGAGCAAGCCCACAGCCTTGCAACCCCCTGAAAGGTTATTTTGTCCAAGGCAAATGTTGCCTATTGAATTCTCACCAGCCTGATTAGAAAGGATTATTCTGAAGGTCTGTGAAGTATCTAGTAACCAATCTTCCTGAGTTATTTTTGAATAGCTATTGAATGGATAATTTCCATACCCATTATCAAAATGATATGCTGGAGGTGAAATTTAGCTGTATTGTATTTGATCAGTAATTGCAGAAATGTTTCCCTCAGATTTAATGCCTTATTGGCAGCAGGTCTCCCTACAGGCGCAAAAGACTTTGGGATACTTTTTGGTTGACACAAATGCTTTATTATTGCAATATTTTTGTTGCAGTGGGGGGGAAAAACAGGATTTATTTGGGCATCTAAAAATTAACTGGAAGTTTCTTTTTCCACCTCCTGAGAGCAGCATTTGGCAACACAGCATTTTCCACTAGTAAGAGCAAGTGAATAATATATCTCCTCATCACCCAAGCCTCAGTGCTCTGGAACAAGAGCAGACCCCGAGGCTCCCAGTGGCCAGCAAGTCCAGTGACAACACCCATTCATTCAGGTCCCTGTTACCAGAAATAAGTGGACAAGGAAATGAAGGTTGAGAGATTCGACTATGGAATGGTAACTCAATTCCTGAGGTTCACTTCATGCCTCCGCATTGCAAGATTCTAGATCAGCCACTGCCAACAGATATAAAAAGCAAGCCACATAGGTAATTTTTATTTCTCCAGTAGTCTCATTAAAAAGTTAATAAGAAACAGATGAGATCAATTTGAAACTACATTTTATTTAACAGAATATATCTAAAATATTATCACTTTAACATAAAAGCAATATAAAATTATTAATAAGAAAGCACCATCTGTAGTAGATGTGGAGAGGGACTGGCAATGGGCAGGGCCCTAGGACTCCCAAGATTATATGCCCTTTGTCTTCCGCTACCAGAGAGGATAGGGAAGGACCATCAGGTGGGGGCGGGGCTAGGCATGTCTGAGCTCAGACTCTCTTTCCACGTGTCTTGCTATGGCTTCTGTGGGCGATGGGGGTGAGAGTCCCAGGTCACTGGAGTTGTGTACCTAGAAGGACTATGGCTGCTTCTGCTGAGTCATGCAGGTTGTCAGGGAAGTCGGGGAAAGCCGGCAGTCACAGGCCTCACCTAGCTCCCCCTCAAACCAAAGAACTGGTCCCACTCCCACCATGTCCCCAACAGCCCATACAGAACTGGTCCTTTGCTCTATCCCTAGGGAAAAGCTCAGATTGTCCTCACCTTTTATATGGGGCTCTGTCCTCATTCCATCCAATGCAGACCCTATCAAGACTGTCAAATCCAAGCATCAAAATCATCTGCTGACAGTCAGGGCAAGTAACATTGCAAAATAATGATTTATGCAAGACAGGAAAAGGCAGCTCCCCACATCACTTTCAGCAGGAAAAGAAGATAGAAATCCAGGCAGCTATACACCCTCCCAAGTCTAAACCAGAAAGAAGTCCAATCCCTAAATAAACCAAAAACAAGTTCTGAAATTGAGGCAGTAATTAATAGCCTACCAACCAAAAAAAGTCCAGGACTGGATGGATTCACAGCTGAATTCTACCAGAGATACAAAGAGGAGCTGGTACCATTCCTTCTGAAACTATTCCAAACAATAGAAAAAGAGGGAATCCTCCCTAACTCATTTTATGAGGCCAGCATCATCCTGATACCAAAATCTGGCAGAGACACAACAAAAAAAGAAAATTTTTGGCAAATATCGCTGATGAACATCCATGCGAAAATCCTCAATAAAATACTGGCAAACAGAATCCAGCAGCACATCAAAAAGCTTATCCACCATAATCAAGTTGGCTTCATCCCTGGGATGCAAGGCTGGTTCAACATACACAAATCAACAAACATAATCCATCACATAAACAGAACCAATGACAAAAACCACAGGATTATCTCAATAGATGCAGAAAAGGCCTTTGACAAAATTCAACACCCCTGCATGCTAAAAACTCTCAATAAATTAGGTATCTATGGAACGTATCTCAAAATAGTGAGAGTTACTTATGACAGACCCACAGCCAGTATCGTACTGAGTGGGCAAAAACTGGAAGCATTCCCTTTGAAAACAGGCCCAAGACAAGGATGCCCTCTCTCACCACTCCTAATCAACATAGTATTGAAAGTTCTGGCCAGGGCAATCAGGCAAGAGAAATAAATAAAGGCATTCAAATAGGAAGAGAGGAAGTTAAATTGTCTCTGTTTGCAGATGATATGATTGTATATTTAGAAAACCCCATCATCTCAGCCCAAAATCTCCTTAAGCTGATAAACAACTTCAGCAAAGTCTCAGGATAAAAAATCAATGTGCAAAAATCACAAGCATTCCTATACACCAATAACAGACAAACAGAGAGCCAAATCATGAGTGAACTCTCATTCACAATTGCTACAAAGAGAATAAAATACCTAGGAATATAACTTACAAGGGATGTGAAGGACCTCTTCAAAGAGAACTACAAACCGCTGCTCAAGGAAATAAGAGAGGACACAAACAAATGGAAAAACATTCCATGCTCATGCATAGGAAAAATTAATATCATGAAAATGGCCATATTGCCCAAAGTAATTTATAGATTCAATGCTATCCCCATCAAGCTACCACTGACTCTCTTCACAGAATTGGAAAAAACTACTTTAAACTTCATATGGAACCAAAAAAGAGCCTGCATAGCCAAGACAATCCGAGGCAAGAAGAACAAAGTTGGAGGCATCATGCTACCTGACTTCAAACTATACTACAGGCTACAGTAACCAAAACAGTATGGTACTGGTACCAAAACAGATATATAGACCAATGGAACAGAACAGAGGCCTCAGAAATAACACCACACATCTACAACCATCTGTTCTTTGACAAATCTGATACAAACAAGCAATGGGGAAAAGATTCCCTATTTAATAAATGATGTTGGGAAAACTGGCTAGCCATATGTACAAAACTGAAACTGGACCCCTTCCTTACACCTTATACAAAAATCAACTCAAGATGGATCAAAGACTTAAATGTACGATCAAGAACCATAAAAATCCTAGAAGAAATCCTGGGTAATACCATTCACCATTCGTGACATAAGCATGGGCAAAGATTTCAAGTCTAAAACACCAAAGCAATGGCAGCAAAAGCCAAAATTGACAAATGGGATCTAAACTAAAGAGCTTCTGCACAGCAAAAGAAATTATCATCAGAGTGAACAGGTAACCTATAGAATGGTAGAAAATTTTTGCAATCTATCCATCTGACAAAGGGCTAATATCCAGAATCTACAAAGAACTTAAACAAATTTGCAAGAAAAAATCAAACAACCCCATCAAAAAGTGGGCAAAGGATATGAGCAGACACCTCTCAAAAGAAGACATTTATGCAGCCCACCGACATATGAAAAAATGCTCATCATCACTGGTCATCAGAGAAATGCAAATCAAAACCACAATGAGATACCCTCTCATGCCAGTTAGAACGGCGATCATTAAAAAGTCAGGAAACAACAGATGTTGGAGAGAATGTGGAGAAATAGGAACGCTTTTACACTGTTGGTTAGAGTGTAAATTAGTTCAACCATCGTGGAAGACAGTGTGGCAATTCCTCAAGGATCTAGAACCAGAAATACCATTTGACCCAGCAATCCCATTACTGGGCATATACCCAAAGGATTATAAATCTTTCTACTATAAAGACACATGCACATGTACATTTATTGTGGCACTAGTCACAATAGCAAAGACTTGAGATCAACCCAAATGTCCATCAATAATAGACTGGATAAAGAAAATGTGGTATATATACACCATGGAATAATATGCCGCCATAAAAAAGGATGAGTTTGTGTCCTTTGCAGGGCCATGGATGAAGCTGGAAACCATCATTCTCAGCAAAATATCACAAGAACAGAAAACCAAACACTGCATATTCTCACTCATAAGTGGGAGTTGAACAATGAGAACACATGGCCACAGTGACGGGGACATCACACACCAGGGCCTGTCGCGGGGTGGGGGCCTAGGGGAGGGATAACATTAGGAGAAATACCTAATGTAGGTGATGAGTTGATGGGTGCAGCAAACCACTATGGCACATGTATACCTATGTCACAAAACTGCATGTTCTGCACATGTACCCCAGAACTTAAAGTATAATAATAAAAATAAATAAAATAATAAATAAAAGAAAAAGAAAAAAAATAAAAAAGAAATCCAGGCAGCTTCCAAGTTGATATAAGTACACTAAAATCCACCAAGTCATCATACCCATGATTACCTTTCAGTATTGGACACTGCACCCTGGCTAGGCTTGGCTTTCCTACAATGTTTTTGGAACCAAATCCTAGCATAACAACAACAACAGAAAGATGCCTGGCCAGGCATGATGGCTCATGTCTGTGATCTCAGAACTTTGGGAGGCCAAGGCAGGTGGATCACTTGAGGTCGGGAGTTTGAGACCAGGCTGACCAACATGGAGAAACCCTGTCTCTATTAAAAATACAAAATTAGCCCGGCATGGTGGGGCATGCCTGTAATCCCAGCTACTTGGGAGGCTGAGGCAGGAGAATTGCTTGAACCTGGGAGGCAGAGGTTGTGGTGAGCTGAGATCATACCATTGCACTCCAGCCTGGGCAGCAAGAGCAAAACTCCGTCTCAAAACAAACAAAACAAAACAAAACAAAACAAAACAAAACAAAACAAAACACCCAACTAGGTTGGTCATATACTGCCATAATAAAATCCTGAATTGAATAGTATTGAAAATTGGCAGGCAAAATTGATTAATCACAATTAAAGATCTTTTTAGTTACAGAATAATATTGTTATTTTAATTCTCATTGTTGCAATGGGTTTGGACCCATAGCTGTATATCCTAGGCACACTGAAGGAATGTTATTACACAGGGACATTCACGGTGGCAGTGTGGGCTACCATACTTTGGAGAGATATAATTTTGGTACACTGAATTCTCTTTTTTTCTGGTGCTGTGATCTAATCCTATCAGTCTCTAATTGTTTCACATGTATGAGATTTGTCTCTTTGGTAATATGGTTTAATTACCAGATGATAAAAATAATAATTTACATTCTACTGTTTCCCTCTCCTCCCCAACCAAGTCTAGCATAGTGCTGAGGATTTGATGCCATTAATGCTTGTTCACTTGACCTGATTCCAAGTTACTTCAGAAAAAGCTGTAGTAATTCTTCTGGGATACTGACAAGTACTATTGCCTCTTACTCCTCTTCCTGGAATGACTTCACTTGGGTCTTTGAAATGCTGAGCAGCTAATGATGAGTTTCCATGCTGGAGCACAAATGTGAGCAGGTAAAAAACCCAGGCACCTAAATGATTTTGCCTACTTGGCACTAAGAACTGTTGGCCAATTGTTTTCCACTGAATTGATTGAAAGAGCAGTAACATTTTCTACAACGTTGTAGTCTCTTTTCAATTCTTCAAGCATGTTATCAAATGCCTACTATGTGTTAAGCACTGTACTAGGTGCTAGGAATTCAGCGGAGAATAAGACAAGACAGATGATAAATCCCCTGCCTTCAAGTCACCCAAACAATAATGAAGGAGACAGAGAAGCATATAGAAAAGGCACTTACAAAATGGCAAGATAAGTGTTCCAATGGGGGGATATAAATGTACTTTGGAGGAGCACCTAATTCTCACTTGGATGAGATGGGCAGGGTGAAGAAAGTTTCTGTGAGAGGGAGTCTTAAAGAATGAGTAGGAAGGGGTAGAAAGAGAAGAGGCTGATGAAATAACCCAGGTGTGAAATGATGGTGGCCTAAAGTAAGGACGTAGAAGTGAAGACATTGACTAAGACATATTTTATTGAGGTAGGATCAATAGGACTTGTAACAGACCGGTAAAAGAAATAAGAGGAAAGAAGGGATCTCAGGTGACATCCAGGTTTCCGGCATGAGTGATTGCCTGGATAATACAGTCATTACCCGATACAGAGAATCCATGAGAAGAAACAGGTTGATGGGGAGCACTAGTGGAGGAATAAGCTTAGTTTGGGCCTGTATCATTTGAGGCACATCTGGGACAGCCAAATTTCTGGTAGGCAGCTGAACAAATAGACCTCAGGAGAAAGGTCTGGGCTGTTGATACAGCTGGCCTTTCACATCCGTATATTTGACTTTAGTAGAATGTTTTTGTATGCTATTCACCAACAACCCTAAACCACTTAACTTCATTTTTTTTTTCAATACGGCAACTTACTATGTTGCCCAAGCTGTACCTGAGCTCTTGGCCTCAAGCAATCCTCCTACCTTAACCTGCTGAGTAGCTGGGACTATAGGCGCAAGCCACCATGCCTGGCTTCTTTTTTCATATGCCAAATTCAGTGACAAACTAACATTTCACTCTATAGCATGATGGCACTGTTTGCCAGACAATGGTTTCAAAGACCTTGACCTGTATGTTCACTAGTGTCTATTGGGCATATATTGGAATATTTGGTTAAATTTTTTATAAGAATTAATGAAAATCCAGAATTTAGAAAAACGAAAGCATTAATAATGACAAGAAACAGCATCTTAAACTTAAGATAAACACAGAAATCATTGATTGTGCTGTAACGTGGCAAATATTTAGCTTTAAGTAGATGCTCATTGGGCTTACAGTATTTATGTCTTCAATTGTGAAAAAAAGGAATAAAGCTACAGAACATAAATTATGAAAATCTATTTTCGAAAATCATGACTGGAAAGTAAAGTACAGTTGGGGATTTTTACATTACATTTTAGCTCTCTGAGAGTCAGCTGCTTCCCATGTCCTCAATAACATCTGAATCTCTCATTTGACTCTTACATGCTGGACTTTCACATATATTTTCAGGATTGCTTTCTATAGAAAAGCAGGAAGCCACTTGCAGTTGTCTGCATCAAGATGGTAGTTGTGATGGTTAATTTTAGGTGTCAACTTGACTGGGTTGAGATATCCAGATAAAGCATTATTTCTGGATATGTCTGTGAAGGTGGTTCCAGAAGAGATTGGCATTTGAATCAGTGGACTCAGTAAAGATCTACCCTCGCCAATATGAGCAGGCACCATCCAATCGGCTGGGGTCCTGGATAGAACAAAAAGGCAGAGGAAGGGCAAATTCACTCTATCTTCTGGAGCTGGGATATTCATCTTCGCTTGCCTTTGGACATTGGAACTCTAGGTTCTCTGACCTTCAGACTCCAGGACTTACACTATAGAGATACCTCAATTTCTCAGGCTTTCACCTTGGACCAAGAATTACACCATTTGCTTTCTTGGTCCTCAGGCTTTCAGACTCAGACTGAATCACACCATTGGCTTCCCTGATTCTTCAGTTTGCAGATGGCAAACCATGGAACTTTTTGGCCTCTATAATCTCATGAGCTGATTCCCATAAGTTGTCCCTTTTTATACATCTATATCCATCTATCTATGTGTAGATGTCGGCAGATATCCTATTGGTCCTGTTTCTCTGGAGAATCCTGACTAATACAGTAGTTAAACCCTGGCCTAACCATAGCAATTTTCTAAATGTCTCACTGTTTGGTTGTTAGTCTGCTCTCAAGCTGCTACTAAAGATATACCCAAGACTGGGTATTTATGAAGAAAAATAGGTTTAATGGACTCACAGTTCCACATGGTTAAGGAGGCTTCACAATTATGACAGAAGGCAAAAGAGGAGCAAAGCACACCTTACATGGTAGCAGGCAAGAGAGCATGTATAGGGGAACTGCCCTTTATAAAACTGTCAGATCTTGTGAGACTTATTCACTATCACAATTCTTGTGATATTCAGCTTGGGAAAAACCCAATCACATGATTCAATTACCTCCCACCGGTTCCCTCCCATGACACGTGGGGATTATGAGAACTACAATTAAAGATGAGATTTGGGTGGGGACACAGCCAAACCATATCATGGTCTTATCAACATCTTATTCAGCCACTTTCTTTGGTTGACGAAATATATGCAAAAATAATTCATTGTTAAACTTAGTCACTGGGAATATTCTCACTTTTGAAAGCCACACGTTTCTAGATTTCTCCAATTATTTTTCATTTTATACTGCTCAGGATTGAAATGGACAGAGGATTAAGTAAAGTAGTAAAATAAATTAAAACAAAAGAGTAAATGAAAACTATGTTGTAAACCTGCAAAAGAGGCCACAAGAAAACAACTTTTCCGTGATGATAAAGTACTGGGTCTCCTAACATATTTGAACATGCACTTTATGTCCTGGTTGTGACTGATATGTTGAGTGGCAAAGGAAAAGCATAAGCCCATAAAATTTCCCTTTTAAAAATAGAAGTTATGCAGTTTGGCTAAAAGACAGCATTGCCAGGCACCTCCATCTATTTGGAAATTAGTCCCAGCAGGTCATCTATTCTGTTTCTACCATGGGCTGGGAAAAATTTTTTAGTATGTGCTGGGAGTCACCACCTTCAAAATCTTGGAATTTATTTATTTATTTATTTATTTATTTATTTATTTATTTATTTATTTATTTATTGAGACAGAGTTTCACTCCCGTCTCCCAGTTTGGAGTGCAATGGCTCGGCTCACTGCAACCTCCGCCTCCCAGCTCTAGTGATTCTCCTGCCTCAGCCTCCCAAGTAGCTGCATCCAGCTAATTTTAAATCTTGGAACTTATGTAAAATAACATACCTATATACTTTACAAACCAAAGGAATGCATTTAAAACATCATTTATGCTCTGCTTTTTCAAAAGAAATAAAACAAAATGCATGTTTTTATTTTAGATGGTACCTCTTCTGCATATATTAACAGTCTGTTCTCTTCTCCATGCCAATATCTAAGGCAAGGATCAGGTGGTATTTTTTTTTAAAAAGTATTCATGTCCTATTGATGATTTTTAAAAGTTGAATTTCATTTTCCCTTTTCCATTGTGGAATTCACTAAAATATTGCAAACAAAGACGTAGTCATAATCACAGGTGCAATGCTGAGGTCTATTAGTTAAGATGTACCTTAAGACAAACCAGGTCACAGCCTGTTGTGATGGCTTCCTGCTTTTTTGTGAAAGGAAGTACCTAGGATTGTGCATCTCAGAGTGCAATGTGCGTAGAACTCATCCTGGGATCTTGTTAAAAATATATATTCTGATTCTGTGATGCTGATGCTGCTTGTCGACAGCTATGTTTATCCATTCAGGAATCCAAGCTGCCTTCCTTTACAGGATGCAAGATTCATTTGAGAAACAAATGTGTTTGTCCCTCCACGTAAATATTTATTTGGAGAGTATTCATTTTTGTGAAGGGAAGAAAGGAGAACGGAATTTGCTTGTCAAGTATGCAGTTATGTGGTAGGGACTGTTAAACATATTCATTTAATTCTGACAAATACTATGCAAGTTGGGTGGTATTTTCCCACTTTGCCAGTGAGGGGAAAAAATGCTGAGAGTGACGTACTTGTCTAAGGTCAAAGCTTCTCTCCCTTGTATCACCCTGTCCCTAAGATTTCAATCTTATGACAGTGGCCAAAGATGCCATCTAATTCACCTGTTTGTCAATGTAATTTCTGCAGTTCTCAAAAGAAACATAATTCAAGCTAAAATGTTTTACCGCATTACATGAAATGTAATAGAGCCATATGACAGCATAACTTGCTATTTCATACCTCTGAATAGAACACTGATCACTTTGTGTCCCTGAAAATGCAGCAACTGCACGCAGTAACAGCCTGATATCTCACCCTTAAGCGGGAAAGCAGGGGTTATTGTTGTTCTCTGACCCCACCAGGTCTGAGGTGAAGTCACTTTAGTCACTTACCTCTGGCCAGGCCTCCCGAATGCCAAAGAAAGCTAATCTACCAGTTGTTTGATCAAAATGATGCCAATAAATCAGTTGATATTCACCGTTAAACTGTCCTGCCGCTAAAGCTAAGTCAAAAGGACATGGAGATACTGGGTATGAAACACTTCAAACAGGCATTCAAAGAAAACACATTTTCAATTTGTCATGTATCCAAGATGACCCAAGTTCTATCAGTAAACAAGTTTCTTTAAGAAAGAAAAAGGGAGCCGGAGACAGAAGCCAGTATATATAGCCAACATTTCAAAGCAACTTTGTTTCTGCTGGATCAGGAAAACAGATCTCATTCTGCCTGGGAATAAGGGAACTAATAAGAGGTAAACAGTACAATCCAGCTATTCCACCAAATTCAACTCACTGGGCAATTACAGAACACCTGGTACATATACCATTTGGGGTACTGGGGAGACTGAAAGTAGTAGGAATAAGCCCTTCCTTCAAGGCCCTCATAGGCAGGTGCACAAATGATTCCAGCAAGGTCCAGTAAGATAAGGACTAGAAAGAAAATGTCAAGCAAGTCGTATCAAGATTCAGGAGAGGGGAGAGATCATATCCCGTCGGGGGTATCAGGAAAGGCTTAATGGAGAAAGTGGCATTTGAGATGAGCCTTGTAGAATGGGTCAAATTTCCATATGTAGCCCCGAAGTGGGAAGTATCCAGGGAGAAACAGCATAAGCGAGGAAAGGCATAAAAACAGGAAAGTGTAGAATATATTCAGTGGACTCTGGTTTGGCTGGAATGTAGGATATGCTTACTGCACAAATAGTAAAAGGGCAAGACAACGCCTGGCAAGTGGTTGGAAGCTAAATTGTAGAAGACCCTGGCTGGGCGCGGTGGCTCATGCCTGTAATCCCCGCACTTTGGGAGGCTGAGGCAGGCGGATCACCTGAAGCCAGGAGTTCGAGACCAGCCTGACCAAAATAGTGAAACCCTGTCTCTACTAAAAACACAAAAATTAGCCGGGCGTAGTGGCTAACGCCTGTAGTCTCAGCTACAGGCTGAGGCAGGAGAATTGCTTGAATCCGGGGGTGCAGAGGTTGCAGTGAGCCGAGATCGCACCATTGCACTCCAGCCTGGGCAGCAACAGCGAAACTCCGTCTCAAAAAAAAAAAAAAAAAAAAAAGAAGACCCTAAATATCCCATTTTAACAGGGATGCTCTTATTATTAAAGAGAAATACAATGATTTATATGAATCCTAAATTACACTCACAAAAATTACCCACTAAAATATCACCCAGCTTTGGTATAATGCTGTAAAAAAAGCCAAGCCAATGTTGTATGTACAATCTAAAAACTTCAGTATCACCCTATCAGTTATTAAGGCACACTACAAAGCCTGAGTGATAAAAAAAAAACAGTCTAGTATTGACCCGGAAAACAGACCAATAAATTGAGCACTCAGAAACAGTCATACATGCACACACACACACACACACACACACACAGTTTCAGCTATGTATTGCTATGTAACCAACTACCCTTCCCTCTCTTAGTCTATGCATTACAGAGTAGCCAGAATGATCCATTTAAAACTATAAATCAGATTACGTCACTCATGTGCTCAAAATCCTACAATGGCTTCTCAAAACACTCAAAAGAAAATCTAAAGTCCCTGGGATGGCCTATAAAAGGCATTCCATATTCTGGCACTTGGTGCCTCTCCAAACTCATCTTTTAATACTTTCTCCTTTGCTTACTCAGCTCCAGCCACTTCCGTGTCCATCCTTTAACCCACTTATCTATCTCAGGCAACCTACTGTGTCGTAGGCATGAAATACAGTCCCATGTATAGCCAGCCCTGTACAATAAGGCCCACATTCCTAGGCTGACATTCAAGGTCCTTCATGCTCAGGTCCCAGCCTAAGTTTTCCACTCTTATCTCTGACATTCCCTCACTGTGCAACCTATTAGTGCTCTGGTCCTGTTGTTTAAAATTTTTGTGCTTATCAATTTAATACCTTTCTTTTTTCCCCAAAATGAAATTTTATATGGGACCCTAATGTAGAAAATAGATCAAGGCGGAGGTACTTTAGTTGAAATTGTGGTAGGTGTCCTGGGTTTCCTCAAATTTGACTTCCCTCCTTCTCTGCAGTACGCCCTGAAGTAGCTAACAAATTCAATTTGAAAATTATATTTTAGCCAAGCTGAAATACTCTACTTCTTCCAGTGCCTCTGAGCACCCTGTGTCACCCAACCTGAATGTCCTTCATGACCATTTGTCCAAATCCTACCTAGACTCAAGGTTGGCACCAGTCAAATATCACCTCCTCTATGAAGTTTTCTTTGGTCTCATCAGACATGACACTTTTCCCCTCTGAACTTTGTTCATACATCTTCTATGACCCGTACTTCCTCGTTTTCTGTATTAGGGAGACTGGCTTATAAATTGTTAATCTTACTAGGCTGAAAGCTTCTTTTTAACAAGTGGGCAGCTAGTGTTTGCTGAGTGAATGATTCATCTTTGTAGCCCCAATAGTCCTAGTGCAATGTCTTGTACCCAGTAGGTGCTCAATACACATTTGTTTGTTGGATGAATGAATGGGTGAGTGAATGAATGAGTTTTCTACATTATATGAAGCAAAACCAATTTTTGGTTGAGCTTATATAGCTTGTTGTTTGTTTCTTCCTTTTTATGGTCATAAAAACAGACAATGCATCCAGTCCCCTGTGGCTCCTGAAGACTTCAGTAAGCTGCCAAATAACATTACTGAATTTATTATTGCATTAATGAAAAGCTTATAGCAAAATTATCCTAGTGAGGAAATGATCCTTTTGGCGACTTCAATTTTAACTGTTGAGGCAACATTAGTTTTAAATGAAATAAAACATCTCATTGTGTAGACTTCTCACAGCTGATAAATATGCCAGAAGGAGTTTGTCCCAGGGTACCTTGCAATAGATGCAAATAGGAAGAAACTCACCATGGCAAACTGAAGAAAAGGGAGGCATGCTGTGTGACCTTAGAAAAGTCTCTCTCCCTCTTGGGGCCTCCATTTCTCAGTTTTATAGTGTGTAAGTGGAGTTTCATTTCAACGATCTCCAAGTTTCCCTCCAGCCCAAACCATCTATGGTTCTTTCAGATTTTAAGCAGGATACCAGTTTCCACTGGACAGAGTCTCAGATAGCTACCCCCCTTAAGAAGATGACATTTGGTCCCAATCTTTATTGAGGACCCATTTGTAGTAATGCTGCTAGGTCTGAGGGACATAGCTAGTTTTGAACCTGTCCCTTGCCAATGACCCACTAAATATATTTCCACAGCAGGATACATTCCTTACTAGAGATCTGTCTACAAAAGAAGAGCCATGTTCACAAGCCATTCTACTGGATAAGTCACACCACTTGCCCCCAAATATCCAAGTGATTAAAAGATGTGGGACCACTAGCCACAGCCGGTACCTGTTGCCACACTCAATCATTGGGTTGTCTCAACCACATACTGCAGAAGCAAGAGACCTTGCTACATTCCATGATCCGTGGACACCATTATCTCCTGGAGCCTGTGCCAGGGATCTGCGGGCAGTTGTTTGTCATTGCTCAGTGGGTGAAGCTGCCTCCCCACATTTGCATCTCCTTTCCCTACACAGGTATAAGGAGTCCATTCTCTGAGCGCCATGCCTGAAAGCTCCACAGTGAGTCTGGCTGAAGTAGTACCTTTGTTCTCAGCAACTTATATCTATTCCTATCATTGGCACCAGAGAAATAGTAAACTTTCTGTTCAAGCAGTGTAGCAGGCATGGCTCTGCACCCAATAGACATGGGTTTGAAACCTAGTTTCATCAGTAACTAACTGCGTGACCCTCATCAAGTTACTTTCCTTCTCTGACCTTCAGTTTCCTCACATGTGAAATGTGGATGATCTTTTTTAATTTAAAATTTTAAACCCGTTTTATTGAAGTATGATTGACAAATAAAACATTTTTTTTTTTTTGAGATGGAGTTTCACTCTTGTCACCCAGGCTGGAGTGCAATGGTGTGATCTCGCCTCACTGCAACCTCCGCCTCCCAGGTTCAAGTGATTCTCCTGCCTCAGCCTCCCGAGTAGCTGGGATTACAGGCATCTGCCACCATGCCTGGCTAATTTTTGTATTTTTAGTAGAGACAGGGTCCCCATGTTGGCCAGGCTGGTCTCGAACTCCTGACCTCAAGAGATCTGCCCGCCTCGGCCTCCCAAAGTGCTAGGATTACAGGCATGAACCATCGTGCCCAGCCAAATTTTTTTTTAACTTTTAGCTTAGGTAGGTTCAGGGGTACATGTGCAAGTTTGTTATAAAGGTAAACTGCATGTCATGGGGGTTTTTTGTGTGAAAAATTTTGTCACCAAGGTAATAAGCATAGCACTTCATAAGTAGTTTTTTGATCCTCTTCCTCCTCCCAACCTCTACCCTCAAGTAGGCCCTGGTGTCTGTTGTTCCCTTCTCTGTGTCCATATGTACTCAAAGTTTTTCTCCCACTTATAAGTGAGAACATGTGGTATTTGGTTTTCTGTTTCTGTGTTATTAATAGTTTGCTTAGGATAATGGTCTCCAGCTTCATCCATATTGATACAAAGGGCATGATCTCATTCTTTTTTATGGGTATGTAGTATTCTGTGGTGTATATGTACATTTTCTTTATACATGTGGATGATTAATGGCACCTTCCTCAAAGGATGGATGTAAGGAATCAATGAACTGATGCTTGTAATAAAAAATTTAGAACAGTAACTCACATATAATAATATGTCAACAAATATTTACTATCACCACTACTATTAACAATATAGTTTTCTAAGTACAATGAAGCCCCACTAATTCTGATTAAGGTGTCAGTGAGTAATGTTTGGGAGGTAGAGAGATTCCTGCCATAATTCATTACAAGGATATTAAAATCAGATGTATATAGGGCTTACCATATACCCATTATAAGTATGTTACATACATTAATTCCCACATCAACTCTATGAAGTAGGCATCATTATTACTCTTATTACTGTCATCATATTACAGAAACAAAGAGGTTAAGAAACTTATCCACAGTCACACAGTTAAGTGGAAAAGTTGGGGCATGATTGCAAGTCATCTGGTTTCAGGGCCTGCATACTTAACCCCATTGCTACATTGCCTTTACGTAACTAACTATTGATGATGTGAATGGAAATGCAGCTTTATTACCTCAAACTTAGGGTTGTAACCCTTCCAGTCACTTATGCTATCTTCTCCTGTAACAAATGGGAGCTAATTAATTATAATTAGCACATTATTCATGTGAAATCCTTGCAGGCAAACTGCTTCCACTAGAGGTAGAAAGTGACAAGAAATGTATTTGTTTCCCCTGATGAGAAGGGAAATGTTTCTTCTATCCTGATTCACTGTGGCTGGGCTTATCCAATCCCCCTTTCCATCAATGGTAGACTCCAGCTCAGCACACACAAAAGCAGTGCTTCTATGAGAGATGACTCTTATCTACACACTTAATTAAGACTTGCTCATTAAAGTATTTACGAGATTCTTTGAAGCTGTTTCTTATGCACTTTTCCCCAAAAGCAACCAGTCTGCTCAGTTAATTCAGGAAAGAAATCAAGTTGGGTTTATTTTCATTCAACAAGCAATTACAACATGCCAGGTGCTATTCTAAAAGCTTGACATGCATCATCTCCTTTAATTCCCAATTCACCCCAATAAGTTAGGTCCTATTATTTTTATCTCCACTTTGAAAAAAAAAATTGAAAAGTTGTGACTTTACTAGAAACCACACAGAGAGTAGCAAGGGGGGCCCTTGTCCTTGGTTTTGTGCTTGAGAGGGCTTTGCTCTGGCTGCACTCTAGCTGTGACCCTCCCATAGGGCAAGAAATCTGCAGGGCCAAGGAAAAGTGTCCACCCAGAGACTGGGCTCCTTCTATACGCTTTTAGAGCATAAATACCTGGGACCCCACATTTTCCTGCCCAAATGAGTCCAAACACACTTCCAGGGCTGAGTGGAACTCTTCCTTGTAACCATCCTCTCAAGGGCAAACAGTGACACTGCTAGTGTGAGCATCCCTTGGTCGGAAGGGTGACCAAGGGATGGCTGTTTGTTGGTTTTTTTGATGATTTCTGGATGTGAGAGCTGAGGCTGGCATTTCCATGAAGCCTCCTGTGATGAGGAATAAAATCCAGGGTAAGAAGGGAAGAGAGAGAAGGTACAGGCCAGGGGATTGGGGCAAGGGACCACCTCTCCCCATGTGGCCATGTTCCAGAAGTCCAAAAAGTACAAGAACTTTAAATTTTAGCTTGGCTTTTCAAATTGTTGTGAATGTGCATTTCGAAGGTAAAAAGAACATTTTCTATGTCAGTCTGCCAGTTTGAGCAAACTCTTGTCCTAGCTTTACAGATGTCAGGGTCAGGCTTGCACCCCCATGTCCACCAGACACAACTGTATGCTTCTTTAGGGATCCGTTCAAATCCCACTTCTTCCAGAAAGTTCTTCCAGAGGACACCCACCAGAATTGTTTTTCCTCTCTCCTCTTGTGGCAGCTTTTCTCCTGGCCTGCCTGGCCACACTTATCTAAGCTTCCCTCTGTCTTCCCCATGAGACTGTGGCCTAAGATCAGAGACTCATCCATCTGCTTGCCCCTCAGTGCCCAGTAGAGTGCCTTGCCCAAAATGCATGTCTGAAGATGTTTGTTGATTGAAAATATGAGAAGGGAGAAAAGAGAGGCAGCACTTCTTGGGGAGAAAGGAAAGAATGTAGAGCAATCAGAAAAATCCTTGACATAGGGTCAGGTGAACTCATAAGGGTTTTTCCTTTTGTTGTTGTTGTTTTCTTTTTCTCATGGAAAATTTCCAACATATAAAAAGGTAGAAAATAGTGTGATGGACTTCCGTGGGCCTTTTTCCAGCTTCAGCAATGACAAATGAACTCACAGACCATCTTATTTCATCACTACCCGCACTCACTTCCCCCCATCTCAATCTTGGATTATTTCAAAGCAAACCTGAAACATCATATTATTTCAACTGTAAGTATTTCAGCATGAAAAGAAAGAGCTTGGCCGGGCGCAGTGGCTCACACCTGTAATCCCAACACTTTGTGGGGCCGAGGCGGGAGGATCACCTGAGGTCTGGAGTTTGAGACAAGCCTGGTCAACATGGTGAAACCCTGTCTCTATTAAAAATACAAAAATTAGCTGGGCATGGTGGCGGGTGCCTGTAATCCCAGCTACGTGGGATGCTGAGGCAGGAGAATCCCTTGATCCCAGGAGGCAGAGGTTGCAGTGAGCCGAGATCATGCCACTGCACTCCAGCCTGGGCGACAGAGCGAGACTCCGTCTCAGAAAAATAATAACAATTTTTTTAAAAAAGAAAAGAACAGAAAGGAAAGAGCTTGTTTATCAAGAATTTGGTATCACCAAGCCCAGCGGAGCAACCACTGGAAACTGATATGATCGGAGCAGAATCACTTCTAGCAGCTGCAGAGGCTTGCAGGACAGAAGCTCATGCAAACTGGTAGCCTGTGTGTGAGCAGGAAGGCAGGCTTTCTCCTTCCCACTGTGATCCTCAGGGGCAAGGAGCTGGGGAAGCATGGGGCCCATGGTCGTGGCTTCTCACAGCGCTGGCCATCTTTCTTTGCTCATTTCAAACCCTGCACTTAGTGATTTTAGACACCTTTGTGCACATCCATACTGACTTGTCTTAATTCTGTCAAAGGCTTCTCTTTCTCCCCTGGAGCTGTCTGGGAATTCTGGTTCATTGTTGCTGGCCGTTTTTTACTTCCTTTGTGCTTAACTTGTTGAAATACTAAAGGGGTTGGACAGTGTCAGACAATATGGCCCCCGTCACGCCACATTTTACATTGAAATCATTTTTAAGGGCTTTGCTCCTTGACACAGATGGTCTCCATATCCTAGGAGATGGTCTTTTGGCACGAAAATGAAAAAGCTGTGCCCCCTGTGAATCAAGAAACTTTGCGAGTTTATTCTAGCTCAAGTCAAACGAACACTTCATTGTCTCAGGGCCTCTTAGTTTCTCCTCTTGTAGGGAGCATTTTTGACTCCTCTCGTTAAACACATGGATGAGTTTGCACTCCTCTTTCTCACCTCATGGTGGGCCCCTATTCACACTAAGGCTCCTCCCCTTTTCTAAGACAGAGAATGGCCTTCACCTTTAATACTGACACAGAGGATCAACTGCCTGAAGCCACTCCCTGCTTCTCCAAGCCCTCTCAAGAAAGGTCTATCTGGCTGGGTGCAGTGGCTCATGCCTGTAATCCCAGCACTTTGGGAGGCTGAGGTGGGCGGATCAACTGAGGTCAGGAGTTTGAGACCAGCCTGGCCAACATGGTGAAACCCGGTCTCTACTAAAAATCCAAAAATGAGCCTGGTGTGATGGTGGGTGCCTGTAATCCCAGCTACTCGGGAGGCTGAGGCAGGAGAATTGTTTGAACTCAGGAGGCAGAGGTTGCAGTGAGCAGAGGTCATGCCACTGCACTCCAGCCTGGGTGACAGAGCGAAATTCCGTCTCAAAAAAAAAAAAAAAAAAAAAAAAAGAAGAAGAAAAAGAAAGGTCTATCCTTTCACAGCCTGCTGCTAATTGTTCCATTCTTGCCTGTTTTAGTCCTGTAATTGCCACCACTTGGAAGCCTGAATTTTTCCCCCCTTTTTTCTTGGAGTCATCACTGGAATCACTTTCTTTTTAGTGACCTTTGGGCTTCTTCAGTAATTAATATCTCTCTTACAGTAAGAGATGTAAGCAAATCTATAATCACCCTTCCAATCTCTTTTCCTGACTTGTTTGATACTTCACTGACTCTGATTCTGTGGCGTAGGTAGCATATCACTGTACTCATTCCATTTCACCCTACTTAGTTCCCAGGAAGTCTTTGTTTTCCATCTATCTTATGGATTTTGTACTCACTGGGCCAAACTGACATCAAACACAATTCTCCTAGAAAACACTCCTTTTCCACTTCATTGATGTTTTCCACAGTTCTCCTTCACAGCACATATATCCAATCTGTTCAGTGACTGCAGTACTAAATATTTAGTAGCTATTCTCTTTTTCCTCACTACTAAGTTCCAGGACAGGGATGGCAACTGGGCAATAGTAAGCCCTCAAGAAATATTAGAAAGGAAAGAAATGAATGAATGAACTGTCATTTTTTGACACAGCATTTCACTGTATTGCCAGGCTAAACTACAAGTCCTGGGCTCAAGCAATTCTCCCACCTCAGCCTCCCAAGTAGCTGGCACTTCAGGCACAGGCCACGACGCCTGGCTTGAATGAATATTCCTGAATGAATTTCTGATGGCATTTCTTTTATGGCTTCTAAAATATGGTCTCCTTTTACTCTCTTTCAGTTTGTTTTCTTAATTATTACAAACCAAATCAATTGTTCCTTGGGAAAAACTCTTCTTGCTCCACAATTCCATATATTTCAAGCCAGACACTTTTTTAAAGCTAATATATATATATAATATATATAATCATATATTATAATATATAATGTATAATATCTCTCAAATATATATCTCTCTAATATATACATATTATATTATATATATGCATTTGTCTGTACATGGCTTCTTAAATCTACAATTTTAGGAGATCAGTGGATTTTTGTTTTCATGGGAAATTTTTTTCATCAGGCTTTAATTTGCATCGCCCAAACTACAATGTAAAACATTCTTTATAAAAACGAATCAATATTAAATACTTTTTAGTAGTGTCAGTGACCTTGTAGGTACTGTTACCTGGTGGCAGAAAATATTTAAGTGTGTGTAGGTATGTTAGTGTGTATATGTGTGAGTTGCATTTAAAAATTATGAAAAATACAAGCAAATTCAAGGAGTTGTATGGACCTGGCAGTAAAAGATATTTGAATTTCTCTCTCACTCTGTCTTGTTTTAAGATATTAAGTTGAACCTTCCAAGAATGAGAGATTCCAATAAGAGCAATTCTGATCTCAAAAGCATCTATTTCAAAGGCTTCTGAATAATAAAAACTTTAAGCTTAGATGAATGGAATGCAACCATCGCATTTTATGTTCAAATGTAGTCAGACCTGGATTAAAATGCCAGCTCTGCTAATTGTTAGCTGTATGAGATTGGGAAATTTACTTTACCTGTCTGCACCTCTAATTCTCTCTATTTTCTCATCTGTAAAACAGGATAAACAGAGCTGGATGTGGTGGTGTGCTCCTGTAATCCCAGCTACTACTCAGGAGGCTGCTGAGTTGCTTGAACCTAGGAGTTCGAGACCAGTCTTAGCAACATAGTGGAATTCCATCAAAAAAAAAAAAATCCCAGCTGGGGTGCGGGCTCACTCTTTGTAATCCCAGCACTTTGGGAGGCTGAGGCCGGCAGATCACCTGAGCTCAGGAGTTCAAAACCAGCCTGGCCAAATGGTGAAACCCTATCTCTACTAAAAATACAAAAATGAAGGCCAGGCTCGGTGGCTCACGCCTGTAATCCCAGCACTTTGGGAGGTCGAGGTAGGCGGATCACCTGAGGTCAAGAGTTCAAGACCAGCCAGGCCAACATAGTGAAACCTCGTCTCTACAAAAATACAACTACAACAACAAAAAAATAGCCAGGCATGATGGCGGGTGCCTATAATCCCAACTACTCAGGAGGCTGAGGCAGGAAAATCTCTTGAACCTGGGAGGCAGAGGTTGCAGTGAGCAGAGGTCATGCCATTGCACTCCAGCCTGGGCGACGGAGTGAGACTCCGTCTCAATCAATCAATCAATCAATCAATCAATAAAATACAAAAATGAGCCAGGCGTGGTGGTGCATGCCTGTAGTCCCAGCTACTAGGGAGGCTGAGGTGGGAGGATCACTTGAACCTGGGAGGCGGAGATTGCAGTGAGCCGAGATGGTGCCACTGCACTCCAGCTTGGGTGATAGAGCAAGACCCTGTTTCAAAAGTAAATAAATAAATAAGAAATAAATAAATAAATAAATAAATAAACTAAAAAAAGAAAAAACAGGATAAACAAACTTGTTTATGTTATACGTATCAGTGCACATAAGTGACACACATTAGTATCTGGACTATACAAAGATCTTCTTAAAATCAACTAAAAGAAAACTAACAACCCGGAAGAAATATGGGCAAAGTATATGATGAAGCAACTCAGAGAAAAGGAAACCTGAATGGTAAATAAACACATGAAACAATGTTAACTCTCTGCTATGGTCTGAATGTTTGTGTCCCTCCAAAATTCAAATGTTAAATCTTAATCCCCAATGTGTTGGTATTAGAAGATGGAGACTTTGGGAGGTGACTAGGTCATGAGAGCTTTGGTCAGGAATGTAACGTGTAGTGATCAAGTCAGGGTATTTAGGGTGTCCATCACCTGAATATAATACATTGGTAAGTATAGTCACCCTACTCTGCTATCAAACATTAAATTTATTCCTTCTATCTTGCTTTAGGTTTGTACCCTTTAGCCCACTTTTCATTCTCCCCGAGGTTTCACCATGTTGGCCCGGCTGGTCTTGAACTCTTGATCTGCTGGGTCATGAATGAAACTAGGAACCTTATAAAAGAGACCAGAGGGAGCTAGCTACTCCCTTCCTTCATATGAGTATGCAGCAGCAAGAAGGCACCATCTCCGAAGTAGAGAGCAAGCCCTCACCAGATGCTAAAACTGCCAGCACCTTAATGATGAATTTCCAGCCTCCAGAACTGGGAAAAATAGATTTCTGTTGTTTATAAATTGCCCAGTCTAAGGTATTTTGTTATAGCAGCCTGAACAGACTAAGACACTCTCCCTAGTTACTATGGAAATAAGAATTATGACCATGAAAAATACATGATTGCCCATGATCCAATTGGCAAAAATATTAAAGTCCAGCAATGTAAAATATGGCAAGAAACTATGGAAAACACCGTGGAGATTTCTGAAAGCATTAAAAATAGAATTACCAACTGACCCAGCAATCCCACTCCTGGGTATCTACTCAAAGAATAAGAAGTCAATAAAAAAAATAAGAAGAAGAAGTCGGTATACTGAAGGAGTACTTGCACTTACATTTTTATTGCAGTACTATTCACAATAGCCAAGATATAGAATCAACCTAACTGTTCATCAACAGATGAATGAATAAAGAAATTGGGGTACATAATACACAATGGAGTACTATTCAGCCATAAGAAAGAATGAAATCCTGTCATTTGCAACAACATGGATGGAACTCGAGGTCATTATGTTAAATGAAATAAGCCAGGCACAGAAAGACAAACTTCTCACGTTCTCGCTTATATGTGGGAGCTAAAAAATTTGGACACTTGGAGGTAGAAAGTGGAAAAGTGAGTAACAGATACTGGGAAGGGTGAGTGACAGGGTGAGGGGAAAGGGGAGAATGAAAAGTGGACTAAAGGGTACAAACATAAAGCAAGATAGAAGGAATAAATTTAATGTTTGATAGCAGAGTAGGGTGACTATACTTACCAATGTATTGTATTCAGGTGATAGACACCCTAAATACCCTGACTTGATCACTGCACATTACATACATGTAACAAAAATTTCTTATGTACCCCATCAATCTTCACAAATTTTGTAAAAGGCAAATCCAAACATGCTTTCTTAAAAATCAATCACTAAAATATGACAAGGAGATAGAAAAATAGACTCTTTCATACATTACAGATGGGGGTGTAAATATGAAGTCTGTTTTATCAATATCTAGTGAAGTTGAGGATGTTCATACTACATGATCCAACAATCCCACTTCTTGATATCTACAAGAAGACATGTGCAAGCATGTCCACTATAACATTGTTTATAACAGCAAAGAACTGAAGGCAAAATGCCCACCAAGAGGGAGATGACTAAATAAATTGTAGTATATATACACAATGGAATACTACGTAGCAGTGAATATAAACAAACTAAAGCAACACGCTGTAACATGAATGCATCTCAGAAATCTATCATTGACCCAAAACCTACCTGCAATAGGAGGCACATAGTACGTAAGTAAGCATCTCTATAAAGTTAAAAACATGTTAAAAAATATTATTTCTTTTTTAGAGACTCATACAAATATGTTGTACAAATACATGCCTGCAATAAAATTTTAAAGACCTGAATGGGAATGATAAACACCAAATTCTAGAAAGTGGTTACCTCTGTGGTGTAGGGGGAAAGGAGATCAATGTGATCATGGCGGAGTACACACGGGCTTCAACTACATTTCTTCTGTTATATTTCTTCAGCTGGAAGATGAATACACAATTGTGAATTATGCTATTATCTAAAGGTCTAAAATATTTAAATTCAAAAAACACCTATCTCACAGTATTGTTGTAAGGTTTAAATGAGGTAATAGGTTTAAAATTTTCAGCACAGTGTTTGGTACCTAGCAAGTGCTCTGTAAGTATCAATTCCCTACCACCGTAACCCACACACATACACCCCTTTGCCTCCCACCACGGCCTTTAAATTTGTAAACATCATCTGGTGGCTACATAAGACTCCAGACACCTAAGCCTGCTTTATACATTCTTACCTTATCCTGCAGCTTCTCTCCTTTATATTCTCTCTGTTGAGCTGGGCTAAGGAAGTTTGTCTCTTAGAGCTAACTAAACTAAGTCCCTCATCTTATAATTTCCACTAGTTTTCTCTTCTGCCTTGGTTGGAGATTGGAAGTTATAATCTACTCCAAAAGGGTCCCAACTGTACACAACCCAGTCTTCCCAATATGGTTTGAGAAATGTTTCAGTTACCTATTGCTGTGTAACAAACCATCCAATACTTGGTGGCTTACAACAGCAACTGCCTTATTTGCTCATGATTTTTCAATTTCAGCTGGGTTCATTTAGGTGGTTCTTCTGCTTGTCTTTTGTGTGGTGGCATTCAGCTGTTAGTGCAGCTAGGACCAGGCTCAGCTCAGATGTTGGCATAGCTGGGACACTCTCTCTCCATGTAATCTCAAAGCTTCTCCCTCTCTGTGTGGACTCTCCACATGTTTACTGCAGCAGAGTAACTGGACTTCTCACATGGTTGCTCAAAGCTCTCAAGAGCACAAAAACAAAAACAGTCAAGCCGTATTAAGGCTTAAGACCCAGAACGGACACAGTGTCATTTCTGCTGCATTTTACTGGTTAAATCAATTCCCAGCCCAGATGCAAGGGGAGAGAAATATGCACTGATGTGAATACTTTCCTATTACCTCACTCACCAACCCTGTTGTTTCAAGAAAACAGAGGTGGCCTGGGCACTCTATTCTTGCCCTCTGGTTCATGGGAGAAGATTGACTGCCTGCAGCAATAAGCAGAGTACTCAGACATCAAAACTTCACCTGCCGCTGCACACACTCTCTCTCCCCGTCCCAGCCTCACTTATAAACATCGCTTGATTTAGAAACTGTCTTCCAATTTCACATATGTAGATTGTATGACTGCCAGGTACTAGGCACTATGCTGTGTTCTGGGAACCTCGGAACAAATAGCAATGGTTTTGATCCTTGAGGATTTCACAGTGCAGCCAACAAAGAAGGGGGGTTAGAACCTATCTTCGAGCTGCCATGAGGTGGCCTCACAAACCAAATCAAAAGCCTAAAGACATCCAGGCTAGATGACAGCCACAATAGCCACTTGACCTAACAGGCTGAGCCCTTGGTCACAAAAGGGCATTTGATTAGTCTAACAAGGCGTAATTTTTGTAAGAACATGAAGCTGTTACCATATGTGGCTTCATTGTTTAGATCAACATTTTTGGATTCTAAAACTATAAGCTAGCTACCTTTACCCTGTGGGACCTGGTACAATTTGCCTTGTTCATAATAGGTGGCAAAGACACATTTATTTTCATGTTGAATTGAATTTACTCAGTGATTTTTTCAATGTTAAGGAAATGTTGTTTTACTACACATGATACTTAGAATACTACTATAAAAAATAACACCCGGTAGGCCTCCAAATACACATAGATACACACAAATATGTACTTATGTACATATACATATATATATACGCACAAAAATACATATATAACATAGCTATTAGTCCTAAATTATTTTAGTTTTATTTTAGCCAATTGCATTTTTTAAATTTCCCAGACACTCCAAGAAGCAAATAGGCACCACTTACACTCTGCAGCCAATCACTTTTAATTCTTCCAGCAGTCATTTTGATAATATCAGACATAATGAAATCACTTATCAGTAATGTGGGGTCTAATTCCCCTTATGCAAAATAGTCTATTTTAATTCAGGTTTGGAATCCCTGCCAGAGCTCTCAAGACTGCTCCTTCTACAGGGTCATTATTAAAGGAACTTTATTTTTATGATAATACATTCTTATATAAATAGATCTCACACAATAACACAGAATCCCAGCTAGACTCTCCCACCAGTTGTCATGAAATGCTATCCTACTCTATATTGCACGAGTAAATAAGAAGCAGTTTCTGAACTACACCAAGTTTACTGATGGGGGTTATGAAGGTAACTCCAGGATCCCTGAAAATCTGTCATTGCAATAACATTTTAGATTGAATGGAATCTTATTAAATCAGATCTAAAGAAACTGAGGGCAGAACTGTTATTATCTCTCATGTAAATAAGAGTGGGGGCACATCATTTTTTAAGGCATGTTTTTTCTTGATGGACTATGTGGCTTGTCTGACATCATTAAGTCCCTTTTTGTGGTTTTAATCTGCAGTTTGGACACTCGAAGTGTTGAGCTATTTTCACTCTTTAAAGTGACATGAGTTTGGTTAATGGAAGAAAGAAAATGAATCCCCGAGGATCCTCAACTAAAAGCATTACTTATGGGAAAAATCAGTCTTCTATTTGGGTTGGCAAAAATCAGCTGAAGAGAGGTGCTGAGTGGCCAGGAAATGGAAAGGAAGTTGAAGAAAGGAAAATAGGAAGAGAATGAGTCAAAGCCGTCCCCATGTTCTTCACCATTCTTCTTCACAATGGGATCCTTTTTCTTCTCCAAGCTCCTTCTTTCACGCATAGAGCCTGAGAGCCTCAAATTGCAGGAAGAAGAGTGGTGATACCATTAACAGCTAAAGGAAAGAAATATCCAGGCCTGCCCCCAGATTAGCCAGGTACTCTCTCTCTCAGCATAAAACTTGGAAAATAAGAGCATGCATGGTATGAAAAATAGCTTTGTCTTAAAGTATCTAAAGAGAAAAAAAGACCAAATCACAATGTTAAACTTACTGTGAAAGTGTTTTATTCATTCCATTTTCCTGCCTTGATACATCTCATCCTTACACATGGATTTGTGCTTCACCAGTTACTGTTTATGTTAGAATCCTTGGACCAAATTCATAGAAAAAGATTCAACCCTAACTCTGTTGAATATTTTTATTGTTTAATGCAACCAGATCTGTGATTCATTAACTGCTTGTCATGTTTTGATATGTGGATCAGGAATTGATCAACAGCTGGCAAAATTTAATAGAAGGAGCTCATTTCTGGAGAAACAAGCTCGTTGCCATGCCAACTATCGATCTTCCCTGATGGAGGCTCTGCAGTCAGTCACAAAATGGGCCCTGTTAGGCAGGCCCTACAGTCTGCCCATAGGAAATCACTGGGTTGCCAACCTCAAATGAGTTCCTGAAAATGACTTCAGGTTCACAGTGGAGAGAACTGGGCTACATGTGTTTGCAGGAAAGTCTCTGACTCACAATTGTGTGGGACACATCTATTCCATTGAACACCTGAGAATCTTGACACATAGCTGGGTATGGAATGCAACATTATTGAAATACATTGCATTCTGCTTGTGCAGTGCATAGCATATTATAGCCATGAAGAGAGAATGAACAGCTTAATTTATTACTGTTTCATGTTTACGAAATATAAATGCAAAGAAATCTGTTTATTCTGTGTCATTACGTACTCACTTTTTAGGTGTGAGAAAGATTAATAGCAGCTTTATCAAAGAGAGATCTGGGTCTGTACTGTGTTGTATAACATAAAGGCCAGGGAAAAAAAGAGAGAGAGAATAATAATCAAAGAACCCTTTGAACTTTTTGAAACTCTGAAAACTCCTTTAAAGTTAAGAAGTTATCAGAATATTTGAAAATGTCACAGATTCTAATTTGAGGAATTTCATTTGCTTTTATAGGAGCTGAGACATCTTTAAATGTAGAAATTACATTTCACTGTATTGTTACCAAGTGAATAGAGTGCTTTTAACATTTACTCAACAAATACTATTTGAACGCCTATAATGCAGAAGGCAAAGCTCATGAATATAACTGCTACATGCACAACAATTGTTTTAAAATCATACTGCCCTATGTATTGTGATCAAAGATAAAGTCATCCTGTGTTAAGCCTTGTCTAGTAAACTTGAAGCCTCTTGGACATGATTTCCTCCTCCCTTGTCAACTGGACTCGAGGTCATGAGGGGCCCACTCTCAAACGGAACCAGCCCTCACATCTATAGTTAATTAATTTTTGACAAGGGTGCCAAAACCATTCAATGGGGAAAGGACAGTCTTTTCAACAAATAGTGCTGAGAAAACTGTATACTTGCAGTAAAAGAATAAAACTGGATCTTTACTTAAATCCGTATATAAAAATTAACTCAAAATGAATCAAAATTATACAACATGATGTTTTGATATACATATACATAGTAAAGTGATTACTACAGTCAAGCAAATTAACATATTCATCACCTCATATAGTTACCTTCCTTTTTTTTGTTGTGAGAGTGCTCAAACACTACTCTTTTAGCAAATATCCAGTATGCAATAAAACATTATTAATTATAGTTCTGACACTCTACATTAGATCTCTAGGCTTAAACATTTTATATAGCTTTGTACCCTTTGTACCCTTTGACCCATACTTGTCCATTTTCCTCCTTTTCTTGCCCATAGTTACCACTGTCACCCAGGCTGGAGTGCAGTGGTGCGATCTCAGCTCACTGTAACCTCTGCCTCCTGGGTTCAAGCAATTCTCTGCTTCAGCTTCCGGAATAGCTGGGATTTCAGGCACCCACCACGGCGCCTGGCTAATTTTTTGTATTTTTAGTAGAGATGAGGTTTCACCGTCTTGGCCAGGCTGGTCTTGAACTCCTGACCTTGTGATCCACCCGCCTCAGCCTCCCAAAGTGCTGGGATTACAGGTGTGAGCCACAGCGCCTGTCCTCAAATGTTATGTATATAATAAAAATAACAAATTTTCAAAAAGACACATTAAAAATGTAAATAAAATAAAACTGGGCATTTTGTAAATGCTCTTTTATAACTTACATTTTCTATTTAACAATATATTTTAAACATTTAAACACATCATTGTTATTATTATTAATATAACATTATTATTAAACATGAGTTTAATAACTGAAAAATAGATCAAAGGCCTAAATGTAAAACCTAAAACTGTAAAGCTCTTAGAAGAAAACATTGGAAAAAATCTTCATATCTGATTTTGCGATGACTTCATGAATATGACATCAAAAGCACAGGCAACAAAAGCAAAAAAAAAAGATAAATTGGACTTCACCAAAATTAAGAATGTTTGTGCACCAAAGGATACTATTAAGAAAGTAAAAAGACATATAATCCCAGCACTTTGGGAGACCGAGGCAGGTGGATCACTTGAGGCCAGGAGTTTGAGACCAGCCTGGGCAACATGGTGAAACCCTGTCTCTACTAAAAATAAACAATGAGCCAGGCGTGGTGGCGCATGCCTGTAATCCCAGCTACTCAGGAGGCTGAGGCAGGAGAATCGCTTGAACCCGGGAGACAGAGGTTACAGTAAGCCGAGATCATGCCACTGAACTCCAGCCTGGATGACAGAGTGAGACCCTATCTCAAAAAAAAGAAAGAAAGTAAAAAGACAATCTACTGAATGGGAGAAAATATTTGTAAATCATATATCTGATAAGGCATTAATATTCAGAATATATAAAGAATTCCTACAGTTCAATAATAAAAAACAAATAATCCAATTTATAACTGGGCAAAGGACTTGAATAGATATTTCTGCAAAGAAGATACACAAATAGCCAATAGGCACATGAAAAGATACTCAATATTATTACTTCTCTAGAAATGCAAATCAAAACTACAATGAGATACCACTACTCACACACTAGGATGGCTATAATTTAAAAACAAAACAAAACAACAACAACAACAACAAACAACCCAGAAAATAACAAGTGTTGACAAGGTTGTGAAAAAATCGGACCTTTCATGTATTGCTGGTGGGAGTGTTAAAATGGTGTGGCCACCATAGAAGACAGTCTGGTGATTTCACAAATGTTAAACATAGAAGTCCATATGGCCTGGCAATTCTACTCCTAGATATTAATATATATTTAAAAGATTTGAAAGCAGAGGCTCAAAATAATCTTTGTACATAGCAGCATTATTGACAATAGCCAAAAGGTGGAAACAACCCAAGTATCCATCAACCAATGAATAAACAAAATATTATATTTTATATACATATATAGATATTACAATGAAATATTATTGTCATAAAAAGGAAACAAATTTGATATATGCTACCACATAGATGACACTTGAAACATTATGATAAGAGAAATAAGGCAAAAAAACAAATATTATATGATTCTGCTTATATGAGATACCTAGAAGAGTCAGAATACTGGTTAGAGACAGAAAGTAGAATAATGGTTACCAGGGGCTTTGGGGAGAGGGGAATGGGGAATTATTTTTTAGTGGGTACAGAGTTTCTCTTTCAGATGATGAAAAGATTCTGGAGATAGACGATGGTGATGGTTACACAACAATGTGAATGTACTTAATGCCAGTGAACTGTACACTTAAAAATAGCTAAAATAATAAATGTTTTGTAAGCAAATTTTACCTCAATACAAAAGTAAAGTTGAGAGATTTCCTGATTCTTTTTTTCTTTTTAATTTTATTTATTTATTTATTTATTTTTTGAGACAGAGTCTCACTCTGTCACCCAGGCTGGAGTGCAGTAGCGTGATCTTGGCTCACTGCAACCTCCACCTCCCAGGTTCAAGTGATTCTCGTGCCTCGGCCTCCTGAGCACTTGGGACTACAGGCATGCACCACCACGCTTGGCTAACTTTTACATTTTTAGTAGAAACGGGGTTTCACCATATTGGCCAGGCTGGTCTCGAACTCCTGACCTTGTGATCTGCCCGCCTCAGCCTCCCAAAGTGCTGGGATTGCAGGCGTGACCCATCGCGCTTGGCCATCCCTTTCTCTTTCTACCTTTAAAGATATAAGCCCTTAAGATCTCACCTCCAGGTAGGTTTTCTCTCTCTGATTCTAAGAAAACACACACACACACACACACACACACACACACACACAGAACCAGAATTATCTACTACCACTCTCTTTTCTAATTAACACTCTCATCGAAGACTTATTTCTCCACTTTCATCTTAGCTTCACACAGTGTTACTATTTTCTGTTTCCTTCCATCTCCCCCACTGCTGTGAGCATCGTGAGGACAGAGGCTGTCTTTTGTTTATGACAGCAGAACAAATGGGAATGCAAGCTTTGGATGTAGTTGGCCTTAGAGACCAACTCCAAATCTGCCACTAACTAGCCAGGGGACCTTAAGCAAGTGATTGCATCTCTCTACAACTGTTTCCTCTCCTGCAAACTAAGGAATGTTTTAAATGAGGTGATACATATAAAGTGTTCAGAATCATAAGCACTAAAAAAATCTTAGTTATAAGATAAATAATAATTTTAATAATAAATATTAAATGCTTTTAATGTAAAAAATGAACTTTAATAAATATAATGATTTATGTTATAATTATGATTATAATCATAATTATAATTATTATGCCCCATGCCTGACACATAAAGTGAAATAAGCCAGAAAAAGAAGGATAAATACTACATCTCCTCACTCATATTTGGAAGCTAAAAAAGTTGATCTTTAGAGAAATAGAGAGTAGAATAGTGGTTACCAGAGCCTGGGAAGAGGAGGTGGGGAGGACACAGCTAGAGATTGGTTAACAGATACAAAATTACAGCTAGACAGGAGGAATAAGTTCTAGTGTTCTATAGCACTGTAGAGTGACTACAATTAACAACAATTTATTATATATTATCAAATAGCTAGAAGAGAGGGTTTTGAATGTTCCCGATATGAGAAATGATAAGTGTTGGAGGTGATGGATATGCTAATTACCTTGATTTGATCACTATACACTGTATGTATGGAAACATCAGTGTGTACCACGTAAATATGTAGAATTATTATGTGTAAAATTTAAAACAAATTTAAATATTGAACACACATTCTAATTCTGATTTAAATATTAGATGATAAAATTTATAGAATAAAATATTATCAAAAATAGCGAGGTAAACATATAAAATAAAGACAATGTAAAAATAGTAAAAGTTTTAAGATGAGACATTACTTCAGCTATTTTTAAAAATGCAATCTTAAAAGACAATGTGCAACAGCATGCATGCATTAAGATGTCAGTTCTTTTGTGCAAAATATTTTAAGCTTCAGTTAGAAATTATGATTCTTTGCTTATAAGTAGAGTGTTAAGGAAATAGTGTTATGACAATCAAAACATTTTCCTCTAACTCTTTCATCTTCAAATAAACCTATATCTTGTCTTATAATTTTAAAGAAACCTTTTTGAAGACTTTTATTGGGGGAGAGGGATCAGAGACTGAAATCTTTATATTGAGAGTGAGATGTTACTCTTGTTTAGAGAAAGCATTTCTAGTTTGTCTTCCTCTTTATTAGTTTCGTTGTATATAAATGGAGATTTTGGTTTAGAATTACTGGGTTTTTCTGTTGTTGTTGTTGAGACAGGGTCTCACTCCTGTCTCTCTGGCTGGAGTGCAGTTGGGCAATCTCAGCTGACTGCAGCCTCAACTTCTTGGGCTCAGGTGATCTGCCCATCTCAGCATCCTAAGTAGCTGGGACTACAGGTGCGCACCACCACGCCCAGCTAATTTTTTATTTTTATTTTTTTGTAGCGATGGGGTTTCACCATGCTGCCCAGGCTGGTCTCCAACTCCTGGGCTCAAGCGATTGGCCCACCTGGGCCTCCCAAAGTGCTGGGATTACAGGCATGAGCCACCGCACCCCACCACCTGTATCAATTTCTATATTATATTTCCTTTATACTTTGTTTGAAAGGTAGTCTAAAATAAAATTGGTTCTTTCAATAGAAAAAAACAGTAATTTTTTAATTCAAGATGGATTAAAGACTTAAATGTTAGACCTAAAACCATAAAAACCCTAGAAGAAAATCTAGGCAATACCATTCAGGCCATAGGCATGGGCAAGGACTTCATGACTAAAACACCAAAAGCAATAGCAACAAAAGCCAAAATTGACAAATGGGATCTAATTAAACTAAAGAGCTTCTGCACGGCAAAAGAAACTACCATCAGAGTGAACAGGCAACCTACAGAATGGGAGAAAATTTTTACAATCTACCCATCTGACAAAGGGCTAATATCCAGAATCTACAAAGAACTTAAACAAATTTACAAGATTTACAAAGAAACTGTACACATGGCATGCCTTTGTGTCTCATCATGCAGCCTCATCTTATCTGTAGACACCTCTTTCCAATTCCGTTTGCATTTTTGAGGACAGTTTGAAATTTTTCCACACACATCCAGGTGTACCCCATCCAAAAAGTCTTTCAGGACTCCTTGAACCTATTGTTATTCTTTTCAGAATTCCCATAGTATATTAGATCTCATCTTTGCTATATGCAACTTGGTGCCTAAACATAATCTATTGTCCCAATAATAATAGTTCTTATATCATGAGTGCAAGATAAACACTGAGCTACATTTTGAAGATCCAATCAGAAGGACACAGTTCTTATCCTTTCTTAGGAACTCACAGGCTAATGAGAAAGAGAACCAAGGAGCTGTGATCTGTTGTGATTTGTGGTGCAGAGAGGGGCACACAAGTAGATACTTGAAACAGTAGATACTTGAAATTACTAATTGATTCATTTCCAGATACATAACCAAGCCAATAACAACACAAAGCCCAATCTATAGTTTTTCTTTTGCTTCCTGTATCTACTTTTGCACTATTTCTTAAAAGTGGGGGTGAATACAGGTAGACCCCAATCCAGTAACAATTTGAACCAAAGCCTTCCTTGTGTTTTTAGTTCCTAATCTTAAATGTTTGAGGAGTTATTTTATAGACACAAAGAGATATTTTCAAAAAGAGTTTTTAGCATTTACTCAGCACTAAATAGGTGCTAGACACAGTACCAGAAATTTCCCTGTATTAACCCGTTAATCATCAACATAATTCTTTTTACAAATGAGAAAACTGAGTCTTAAGGAATTTAAATAACCTGCCAATTTTACGCAGCTATTAAGTGGCAGGACAGAGATTTGTGCCAGGACTTTCCACTCCTTGCGAGCATGTAATGCTGCCTCTTTTACATAACTGTTGAGTTAACATAATTATGAATTCACGTTTCTCTTTCTATTACTGAGGCAGGACATCCCAGACTGGAATTTGAAATGCATTTTACCTAAGGAAATATGCTATAAATGGTATTTATGTGTGGTTGAAATGAGATAGAAAATAGTCAGGAAATTAAATCACAGAGAAAGAGTCAAGTCAGAAATCACCGAACAATAGGCAAGATGCCCTCAGGCCCAGACCCACCAAAATAAACGGATTAATTTTTTATAAATGTGCAAAATCATCCAAGGTGTAAAGGATTATAAATATAAACCCTGGAAATTTAAAGAAGATTTTTGCCTCTCTAGGCCAGACAGAAAGAGAATGTTAACAGCAAAGTGCCATTTGTCCAAAATTATATTCAACACAGCTATCTGAGCATACACCATACAAGGCTATGGACGCTAAACACATGGCCAAAGCCACATAATTCAACTTGTTCCCAGGACAAAACTATGACATTTTTAGAGCCTATTTCCCTAACCATGCTGTTTCTTAGTCTCCTTAGAAAGTCCAAAGTAGAGGAGAACCCAAGTGTGGCTATACTTCTCCTGATTCCAATTGGCCTATCCAAATACCCTACTGTTTAATTGAACAGAAATATGAGCCGAACTGCAATCATCTAATGCCAAAACATTTTAGAATTCTCCTTCCTTTCTTCCACATATGTTCAGACTCTTTGACACAAAGAAATGTAACAGCTATTAAAACTCAACTGAGGCGGGGCACGGTGGCTCATGCCTGTAATCCCAGCACTTTGGGAGGCCGAGGCAGGCCGACCACCTCAGGTCAGGAGTTCTTGACAAGCCTGGCCAATGTGGTGAAACCCTGTCTCTACTAAAAATACAAAAATTAGCCGGGCATGGTGGCAGGCGCCTGTAATCCCAGCTTCTAGGGAGGCTGAGGCAGAAGAATCGCTTGAACCTGGGAGGCGGATGTTGCAGTGAGCCCAGATCGTGCCATTGCACTCCAGCCTGGGCGACAAGAGCAAAACTCTGTCAAAATAAATAAATAAATAAAAAAACAAAGCAAAAAACAAAGCCTCAACTGAGAACATGCTGTGAGTAACCTGGGCGTGGTGGCGCAATCCCAGCTACTCGGGAGGCTGAGGCAGGAGAATCTCTTGAACCTGGGAGGTGGAGGTTGCAGTGAGCTGAGCTTGTGCCACTGCACTCCAGCCTGGGCAACAGAGACTCCAGCCTGGGTGACAGAGAGAGACATATATATATATACACACACACACACGTGTGTGTGTATATGTGTGTGTGTATATATATGTACACACACATATACATTTATATGTATATATATGTGTATATATTGTATATATGTATGTATATACGTGTATATATGTATGTGTGTGTGTATATATATACATATACATACATATATACATATGTATGTATATGTATATATATACACACACACACACACATATATATAGTGAGTTGAGTGACGATCTTTTAAAGTTAAGAAGTTATTGACTCAAGAATGAACTATTTGAAGTGCATCTTACTGAGACTTAATAAGATCTTAAATGGTACAAACCAAATCCCAACGTAAAAAGTACATTGACATCTTTTTCTCCATTGAGAAATATTTTACCTAACGCATTACTTGCATTTTACGAGGCTATCCTTAATCATGACAATATTCCTTGTGGTTGATATACTCAGTTATGTGGATAAACATTTGGGGATCCCAGGGTTACTTTACACATAACTCGTAAGCTGAAATGAATGTGATCTTGCCAGAGATGTTGGTTGGCTATGATTGCCAACCTGATCACTGTAGGATGCCTCTGGAAGTTCTGGAAGACAAACGTGCCTTCCCTTGGAAAGAGTAGAGAGAAAAGATCCGATCTGATTTTTCACGAGTGAACTCCCTGGGGAACAAAAACCACTCTGTGCAGTGAGGCTAACCAAGCTCATGCAAAACAAGGAGAATTTAGAACAATTTTCCAGAAGCATGAAACACTATCCAATAAAGGCGCAGCTAAGGTATATAGATGTTTCAACTATGGTTGACAGATTCAGCTGGAACCTGGGATCATCATGACCCCAGGAAAAGAGGTCAAGGCATCCTCACTAGGTCACAGTAATCTACTTCTATTTTATCTGTTAGGCTGCATCTCCTCTTGATCTGGATTCTTGAAGTAATGGGTTATGGAGTTTTCTCATCTATTCCTTAGGAAAATCCTCTGCTCAGAAATAATACAAAGAGACAAGAAATGATATGTCCATTCTACCAGGCCCCTTTTCAGCTCTACTCCAAACTATTCTCTCAATGCTGTCAAACTGCATCTCGACATTTTACATAGGACTGAGGTTATAGATGTATAGATGTTTAGAAATGAAAGGGCTTATAGGGGTCATCCAGTCCAGCTGTCTCTGATTTACACATGAGTTCAGTATAAACCCAGATAGCATAAGTGACTTGTCCAAGGTCACTTAGCTAGTTAGGGTGCCCAGTGTTGTGTTCATTCTCTTGCCCTCTTTGTCTTGAGATCACATTTCCAGGACTCTGTTACTTACTGGCAGGACTCAGGCCCAGGGCTTACTCTAGGCTTTATGAGTCATTGTTATGCTTCTGGCTGCCTTGTTAGAGGACAGAGTTGGGTTGAGCTGTTGAAAATTTGGCAGTGTTCAGGAAAGGAAAAACTGATGAAGTTGCAGGAGTTCCACATATTTTCCCAACCTGCACCATGCGTGTAGTTCAAGGCCAGACCAATGGGTCCTGGATCCCTATCTTCTACCTCCAATTCTTTAGGTTGCATTTTTTTTTAAATTTCTCCCACACATTCTGGGCTGCTACCCATAATCCTCTTACCTTCACTTTACCCACCGGAGAACACATTGGAAAGGAAATGAAGGGAAGGACAGAATCTTCCTGTTGGCCCACATCCCCTTGGGGCAGTCTTCGGATGTTCCGTGTAAAGATGAGCCACTGGATCAAGGAGGATTGGCCCTATTATAGAGAGGGGGTGCTAGTTTGGCCCTGGCTAAGATAGGACTTACAGGAGCTCAGTTAGGGCATCTCCAGGTGGCATTGGAATTGCTTTTTGGGGACCTGAGGGAATAAAAGCATCTGTCATCAGTTGGTATGATGGCAGGTGGGATAAGATGCCATCATCATGAACTCATGTTTGGAAGGGATTTAAAAAGTAACTTCATCTAATATATTTCTCTCCAAGACTCCACAAATACAGTGAAGCACATTAACCACTTTGAGCCACTCTGCTTGCTTTGACACATTACAGAGGAAGCCACTTTACCAGAAATTGCTTTATTCATTTTAATAACTACCACTGAGTTGCTACTGTTTTGTGCTGCTTGCTCTATATAATTTAATTCACTTGAAAACTGTAAAGACAGCCACCATTATTCACTTTCTTTTGAAGATATGGAAACTGAGGTTTAGAGCTCTTAAGTAATTTGTCCCAGGTCAGGAAGCTAGTTAGTGGCAAGAAGTAGGGATTCATAACCCTCCTAAAATTGTTTGACACAAAAGCCTGTGCATTGACCACAAGACTTTTGAGAAAGTGAGAGAATGAGTGAGTGAGTGAATGAAGTGTGTGTGTGTGTGTGTGTGTGTGTGTGTGAGAGAGAGAGAGGTGTTTGTGGTAGGCTGGAGAGGCCAAACTGGAGTCCTCATAAGCTCAGCCTGGCACAGAGGGTGAGAGTCAGCTAAAACTTTGTAGGAATGGGGCATTTTGAGGTGGGGACAGGACGGGCCACTGTTCCCCATGCCTAGATAGACTAACAGCTGAAGCTACTGTTTTCCCCAGGGTATCATTGGGTTCTTGTCACAAAGCACCTCAGGACATCCCAGACCAGCGCCAGACATGCATAAGTACTAGAGCAGTACTTATTCACTCACTCACTCACTCACTCACTCACTCACTCACTCACTTTCTCTTCAGCACCTTGCCTTGAGATGCTCCAGCGCTGGGCTTTTCCTGCTTTAACCTTTCCAAAGCAAAAAAGGTGTGCTCATTCCTTCTCCTGGAGCTAGGGACCCTCGAGTCCAGACTGAATGCAGGCTGCTTCCGCGAAGAGACGGTGGAGGTGGTGCTAGCAGGCACATCGTAATTCTTTCCCAAACGTTCCTTGTGCCCAAGTCTTCCGGAATGGCTCCGGGGAACCCAGTCTAGGTACTACCTTATTTACACTTGACCTCGCCCTTTGAAGACCCAAGCTAGATGTGGACCCAAGCGCCCTCGAAATACCAATAATCATCGCCGGGAGCTCTGGAACATAAGGCATTTTCTGAACAGCCTCGGTCCCTCGGGCCAGCGACTCGCAAGCTGCCAGGTGCGTCCTGTAACTTTCCCTCAGACTATGCGCGTTCCCCGGCTGGGCCGCAGCGGGCTCCCGGACAGTGCCAGAGTCGTGCTCTAGAGGCTGCTCGCAGGAGGTCAGGGGACTTCCCAGCAAGCTTGCCTCTCACCACGTAGGCTTGTAGCACACCGGGGACAAGCTGGGTAAGGAAGCGACTTCGATCTGGCTGGAAGCAGATGTTAATGGTGTACAACTAGTTGAACATGGAAGTCTAGAAAAATTACAAGCACAAAAGGCAGAGGGCCAGTTGGTGCACTGGGCAAAGAGAACTGAGAGAGTGAGCGGATTGACTTTTTGAGGCCAGATTTGAAGATATAGATGGGGCAGGGGGACGTGCTGGAGCCCTTGAGAATCGGAAGGCCTCCTGTGCATAGCACTAAGTGTTTGCACCAAGCTTGCTCCTGGATCCTCGATCCTGGATCCTCGACCCCAAGGAGGGAAGAGGACACGTTTCTCCCACCCACCTCTTGGCTTGGGATGGGATGGGCAGTGCCGAGGCAAGAGAAAGCGACCCGAGAAATAGGTGCGTGGTAGGAGGCGGCGGCTGGGACTGCTGCGCAACTGCAGGGTAGTTGGGAGCACTACAGCGCCAGAGGAGCGTCCCGCCCGGCAGGGACTTAGCAGGTTGCTGGAATCCTAACCTCCCGCCTCTTTCTGGCATGCAGAGCAGAAGGGGCCCAACTGAAGAAATGATCACGCGGCTCAGGAAAGAAGCTACTTGTGTCTGGTGGTCTCGACTGTCACGGTTTCACAACCGGAGAGCAAGCTTAGCTCAACACTGGAAACAGCCTGAGGGCTGTGCCCTCTCGCCCTTGGACCCCTGGAGCTGGCTGGGTCCACCCTGGAGTCAGCTTCTGCTTTTTGGCAAGACCTTGGATAGCCTTATTTTTAAACATTTTAACGCCCCCACTTTTTGAAGAAGCAGTCCAAGAGTAAAGTGACCCTTTAGTACCCCCAAAGAGGGGATGTGGTTGGCCCCTTTAAGTGAAAGCCTAGGGAAGGCCACGTAGACCTTCCGGGGGGAGCCTCTGGGTCCCCACCCCACTCCTGAAAAGAGGCCCTGGCCTTTGGGATCGCTGGGCTTTACGGACTAGAGGTGGGGTAGGTGGGGAGGCTGCACTGCCAGGACCCCAGCAACTTCCAACTGCTGCTGGGGACAACTTACTGCATGGGCAAGGCTCTGGGGACAGAGGAGGTGGTAGGAGAGAAAGTCCGTTTAGAGGAACAGATGGGCTCAAAAGAAGTTTTCAGACAAACCTGTGGAATGGGGGTAAAGAGGACAAGCAGGACTCCATGCATTTCCCAATAAAAGTAGGGTGAGTCCAAGTCTACGGCAGGAGACCAGTTACTGTGAAGAATGTACAGAACGTACAGAATGTGCAGAACCAACTTGTAGGAGCCTAGGTGAGACTGGAAGCCAGCTCCAGATTCCGATTTGAATGATGTGTGACGCTGTCTCTTCCCTCAGGTAGACAGCATACACCTTCCGAGCTCCCTGGCCTCGGCCATAATTGCCAGCCGCTCCTCTGGGTTGGGCCTAAGAGCAGCCGGCTCCCGGACCGCGGTGGCGCAGGCGGGCTCTGCGGCGAGCCGGGGAGAGCGCGGCTGCCGGAGAAATATGCTAATGGCGGCCTCTCCGGCACAGTCCTGGATTTGGTCTAGGCTTTCTGGCTTGGCCCTGGAACTCTCAGCAAGGACGGGTCGAGTACCCAAGCCGTGGAGAAAGCCCAGGAAGGGCACGTGCTAGGATCTCACACCTGACCCGCGGCAGAGGCTGCTCGGGGGTCAGACCTGGCGCTGGCGTTTCTTTCTGCTCTTCCGCCTGTGTTCGGGTAGCCACAGGCTTCCCAGAGGCCTGGAGCTGGTCGCCCATATGCGCGTGAGTGCTCATCTCCCAGTCACAACTGTTGGCAAACCGACTACTACAGCCGTCGAGTTCACACTTGAACTGGTTTACGCCTGGAAATAGAAACTTCAACGCTCTCACCCCATCCTACGGAGCCGCTAAGCAATATATAAGAAGGGTAATAACGTATTCGCTGGAGACAACAAATAATTCCCCACGTTAAAATAACTGATTGTTTTCAGAAATTTATTTTTTACATAAATATATAAAACGAATTCACGCCGATCCCCATTGCACCCAGCATTTGAGAAATTACCGAGTGATCTGTAGCTCAGAGACAGACACCGGCGTGGTCCGAGTGTTACAGCAAAGTCTCAGCACCTGTAAACTTGCAACACTGAGACAAATGAAACCCCTCGCGCCGGCATCCGCTGGCGCACAAGCTCCTGCGGCCCCCGTCGCTTGCTCTGGAACTCCTAGCTCTGGGACCACTTCCCTACCCGCAGATTTCGCCAAAGGCTATTGCAAAAACCCACCCTTTGTCTCATAAAACTACAAAGAGCCACACAGCCAGAGGCAGGCTTTTCGGCAGGCTCCTCAGCCTTCCCCGGAGATACCGGCGAGTCTCGGGTGCACCAGGCAGGAGCAAGTTTTCTCCTTACTGGGATTGGGGTGCGCCTCTCTTCCACCCGGTGGTCCTGTGCGCAGGGGTGTGCTGAGGAGACTGTAAAAAAGCTACTAACCGGCAGGGCCTGCTCTCCACGGAACAAGGCCACAGGGAGAAGAAGAGGGGAGCCCCTGGGAACAGAAGAACACCTGGCAGGGCTGGGGTGGGGATTGCAGCTAGTCCATGACCCAACTACGGTGTGAACCTGGACCCGGAAGCTGGGCTGTAAGCGGAGCTAAGGTTTCTTCTCCTCCCTATAGGGCTAGCCTAAAGATGTAGTCATTACGGAAGCCACCTTTTGGGAATGAATCGGGATGGGCAGCAATTTCCGAGGGGTGTGGGGTGGGGAAGAGAGAGCGAGAGCGAGCCTGAGGGTAGGCGGGGGCTAGCAAAAATTCGGAGAGCTGAGCACTCCCCTCGCCTTCGGCTCCCATAAGGACCCACCCCTGTCAACAAATGGTAAGTCCTTTGGGGAATGCTAGAGAAAGAAACTGGCAGGTCAGAGATAAAGGTGCGCCTGGGCGCTGGGGATGGAGTGGGAGGGCAGGGAAGGGTTAGTGGTCCTTGTCCCGTGGAAATCGTACATGTGCTCGGAAGGCTTGTGTAATTGGAGGCCAAGGGGTGCTTGTATTAGTGTGCATGAGAAAGAGACAGAGAGACACATGAGACCAAGAAGCTGAATGGACGTGTAAGTCGCACTGGACGACAATTTCAAAATGCAGAGTTTGGCTTATTATGCAAACGAATAAATCTCACACAGCTTTCACTTGTTCATCCCCTGCAGACCGTAGCGGTTTGCACTCTCCTGGTTCAAGTTCGAAGTGGAACGGGAAACAAAAGCAGGCAACGATTCCAGCGCGGCCTGAAAGACGGACCACAAAGCCTCCTCCCTCGTCTCTCCTCCGGGAGCCGGGAAGCCAATGTGACGATCAAAAGCTTCCACATCGCCCCGGCGGGGCGCGCCCTCAGCCCTGTCGGGGAGGTGGGGAATCTGCAGAAATCTAGGTCTGGAGGCTCCTGCCAATTTTTCCTTGAATCAGAGGAAGGCGCGGGTTATAGGGCCCTTTCTCCCGTGGGTTCACCGCCGGGAGAACCAAGTTTGTATTTGGCCATTCAGTGCCACCCGCGCCTGCCCTAAGGCTCCGAGGTCCATTAGGCCAGTAATCGTCCCAACTGGGGAAATGAATGGTTGGCCTGGCCTGGGGGCACCGGTTCCTTCCTGCCTGTGGGCGTCTCTAGCTGAGCCTCTGGTTCAGGGCTCTGAGCTCTGCCAAGGCCCATGTCATTTAGTGGCCCCTCCGGGGTGGGGACGGCCTCTCTCGGAAGGGTGGGGAAGTCCCTCGAAACTATGGGCAGGGAGAGAGAAGAGAGAAGAGACCCACTGCTTGTTCAAAACCAAGCCCTAACCTAAGCCAGGTCTAGGCAAGACAGAGACACCTCTTACATAGGAGTCACCGGCCCTAACTCCTCCCCGCCATAGCTCTGGAGAGGAGGTGCATCTTAAAGATGATCCTCGGCTCCTGGTGGTTGAGGTGCAGCGTCAGGTTGCACCTGGTCTTGCCTTTCCCGGCGGGCGGGCCAAGAGGGCGGCTATTGAGCCTCGCGGATCCAGGCCCTAGAGGCCAGGAAGAGGAGATCGCGCGGCCTTGATAAGCCGGATCACCAGCAGTGACCCTCGTTGACGTCGGGGTAACCCCGCTAAGTGACCGCCACGTGAGAAAGTCTGGGCCGCTCACAATGCGCCGGCGCCTCGTTAGGGCCGGGCGGGCGCTCGGGGAGCCAGGCCAGCAGTGTCCGCGGCCTCATCATTCATTCCCCTGGACGTGCTGGTAAAAATGCATCAAAATAGGCTGCGGAGCGCGGTATAAAAGCACAGCGGGATGAGCTGCTTTCCAAAAAGGATCTCGGTGATTGGACCGAGCTCGGCGTGATTGACAAGAGCTTAGTTTGGTAAAGGGAAGACACGCAAGCTTTCACAGCAGGAGCCCTTTTCTAAAATATATCACACTAGCCTTTGAAAAGCGCCGCACACTATAAGGAAATAGCGTTTCACGGCTTGCTTTATGGTGCGATGACATTTCTTTAAAACACAGCGAAGATCAAAAAAAGGAGAGAGAGAAATAAAATGTGTTGCAAACACAATGTTTTAATTAGTTTATTCTGCGCGTTGCTTTTAACTGTCGTATACATTGCGGGTTTTCCTTTAATTAAACAGTCCCTCTCGAGCGGTGGCAGGCGAGGAAGGCGAGGCGCTGCGCCCTTTCGTTTCCTTTTGGAAAAACGAGAAGGTTGGCTGGCCCCAGAGCCCAGCTCGCAGGCTCCTGTGCCCTCGCGGCCAGGATAGGCAGACTGAGGCGTTGGGGCTTCGGAAAGCGGCGGGACCCGAGCGCCCCACGGAGGCGGAGAAGGAGGGGACGAGGAGGAAAGGAAGGGGAGGAGGTTCTCCCCCGGGGAACCGAATGGGACCAAGGCAGTGCGAGTAGCTCGGGCATGGCGCCAACCTCCAATCCCCTCCCCACGAGCTCCAGCCAGCAGCCGGTGTCCCCCCGCCCCCCTAACCCGCACCACCTTTCCAAGCCCTCTCTGGTCGCCAGGGTGGTGGGGAGCGATAGGCACCAGGATGAGCCCTGCGGTTCTGGCCGTCTCCTCGGCTTTCGGGCTCCGATTTCCAGCTACTTAGCCCTCTTTGGATCCCAAAGTAGCGGATTCTCTGATTCCTGACCCACAGGAAGAAGAGACTACGCAAGCATCCGCTCGCCGAAAGCGCGGGCGCCGCAGGCGCTGTCAAAAGTGGCGCCTCAAGAAAGACGAGAGTTGAGCTAATGGGGGAATGTGTTGTGGACCTAAGCCTGTTCTTACACACACACACCCCACACTCTCACTCGTACTTACTACACGATTACTTCATGGAAACCTCTGCAGATTTCGGTTCTACCAACAACCACCCTCTCTGCTCCACACACCCCAAAGACCCGGCCTCAGCCTTAACCCAGCGCTTGAGCCTGGCATAGAGTCAGCTCATGCAGTACTCTCTCAACAATATTTACTGCTCAGGCCGGTAGGTAGTGATGGTAGGCAGTCTGTGGCCTTAAAATCAGAGGGCATTGTTTTGTTAATTCTGCTGGTGAGATCTGAAGACAATACAAACCTGCAGTCTGGTGAGAAGGTGGAGTGGAGGTGTAGATAAGAGATGCAGATGTGACCTCCTAAATGAACCACAGAACACAACCCAGTAAATTCATGGACTGGACATAAGGCTTTCTCTCCTGTCCAAATGTATTTCTTCTACTAAAACTGGGAATGGAAGAGACTGAGTCAAGGTTTTTTGCCTAGTGTGTTTGGGGCAGGGGGTGGGGAGAGTAGGGAGGGAGATGGGGACAACCACCATGTGGCTGGGGTGCCTCCTTTCCACTTTTTGCTCAGAGGAAAATTTTCTCCAGATGTCTTTCCTTTCAAGGCAATGAAACAGAAAGCAGGTTGAGCCGTGGGATGCCTCTATGGCCTGTTTGACTAACTGAAGAGGTCTGCAATGTTGCTTCTCCCACCAAAATTTTTTTTTTTTTCGAGACGGAGTCTCACACTGTCGCCCAGCCTGGAGTGCAGTGGTGCGATCTGCGCTCACTGCAACCTCTGCCTCCCGGGTTCAAGCGATTCTCCTGCCTCAGCCTCCCAAGTAGCTGGGATTAGAGGCATGCGCCACCATGCCCAGCTAATTTTTTTGTATTTTTAGTTGACATGGGGTTTCACCATGTTGGCCAGGCTGGTCTCGAACTCCTGACCTCGTGATCTGCCTGCCTCGGCCTCCCAAAGTCCTGGGATTATAGGCGTGAGCCACCATGCCTGACCTAATTTTTTTTTAACATTTTTGTTTAAACATTGAGATTTGTGTAAATGTTTGAAATTATGCTCCTCAGGGTAATGGACTCCATTTTATTTATTTATTTATTTATTTATTTATTTATTTATTTAGTGTTTTGGAGACAGGGACTCTCTTTATTGCCCAGGCTGGAGTGCAGTGGTGAGATCTCAGCTCACTGCAACCTCTGCCTCCCAGGTTCAAGCAGTTCTCCTGCTTCAGCCACCAAAGTAGCTGGGATTACAAGTGTGTGCCACTACATCTGGCTAATTTTTGTATTTTTAGGTGAGATGGAGTTGCATCATTTTGTCCAGGCTGGTCTTGAACTCCTGACTTCAAGTGAACAGATTCCATTTTACTTTATTTTTTATTTTTATTTTCATTTTTGAGATGGAGCCTCACTCTGTCGCCCAGGCTGGAGTGCAGTGGCATGATTTCGGCTCACTGCAACCTCTGTCTCCTGGTTTCAAGCAATTCTCCTGCCTCAGCCTCCCGAGTAGCTGGCATTTCAGGAGCACACCACCATACACAGCTAATTTTTTATATATTTTTGGTAGAGGCAGGGTTTCACCTTGTTGGCCAGGCTTGTCTCGAACTCCTGACCACAAGTGATCTGCACGCCTTGGCCTTCCAAAGTGCTGGGATTACAGGCGTGAGCCACCATGCTCAGCCAGACTCCATTTTAAATCATATACACCCTCCCCATGTAATAGCAATAGCACACATAAGCAGCACATGATTATAACTGGATGGACCTTTTAAAACAACTGCAAAGATCACTTGATAATAATCAAAATAATTCATTTAATATGTAGTTTCTATGAATCACAAAAGTCAATATTACAGGGCATATGCACAATATAGGCTCTCCATTGTATTATCCTTGGAGGGACCTTTTTCTTTACATTATTTGTGATGTACACATATATTATAAAAGCAATCAGCAAAAATTAAGTGACATGTGTGATGGCAAAGTAATGCCAAGCCAACTCCCAGAGCAGTTTGCCTCCCAATTCATTTGAACATTACATTCAGAATAATGACTTAAACCCACCATGGCCACAGAATGAAACCATAGCTCAAGAAGTAAAGCTCGTATACGGCACTGAGCTACAGAGTGCTTTTCCATAGCTAGCCTTCTGTGTGTGTGTGTGTGTGTGTGTGTGTGTGTGTGTGTGTGTGTGTGTGTGTGTGTTGTGGGGGAGTTATGGAATTGTGAAGTTAAAAATAATAATAATGAGCCTCAAATTTTTACCATGTAATTTTAAAGTCTGTTTTAATGAGGAATATAAGGAATATTAAATGGACTTTCTGATCTTAAAGACTATATGTTGCAGCAGGAAAGGACACAAATAGAATATAAAAGAAGGCACTCCCCAAGATAATGATTCCAGTTTATTTCTTTTTTCCTCATGAAAACATGGACTTTTTTTTTTTTTTTTTTTTTTTTGAGACAGAGTCTCGCTCTGTTGCCCTGGCTGGAGTGCAGTGGTGGCACAATCATGGCTCACTGCAACCTTCACCTCCTGGGTTCAAGAGATTCTTGTGCCTCAGCCTCCCGAGTAGCTGGGATTACAGGCATGTGCCACCATACCCGACTAATTTTTGTTGTTGTTGTTTTTTGTTTTGCTGTTTTTTTTTGAGATGGAGTTTCGCTTTTATTGCCCAGGCTGGAGTGCAATAGTGCGATCTTCACTCACTGCAACCTCCACCTCCCAGGTTCAAGCGATTCTCCTACCTCAGCCTCCCAAGTAGCTGGGATTACAGGCTTGTGCCACCACGCCCAGCTAATTTTGTATTTTTAGTAGAGATGGGGTTTCACTATGTTGGTCAGGCTAGTCTCGAACTCCTGACCTCAGGTGATCCACCCACCTCGACCTCCCAAAGTGCTGAGATTACAGGTGTGAGCCACCACACCTGGGCTAATTTTGTATTGTTTTAGTAGAGATGGGGTTTCATCATGTTGGCCAGGCTGGTCTTGAACTCCTGGCCTAAAGTGATCCACCCACCTCAGCCTCTCAAAGTGCTGGGATTATAGGCATGAGCCACCACACCCAGCGGACTCTTTTTATAATAGTTCCATTTGGGTATTTGTTCCAGCAAACCCCAGTAACACATCTGAGTAGGAAAAGGCATAACCAAGAGAGGCATGTGTGAATAAAAAGAAAGAAGCTCTAGGGCCAGGCACAGTGGCTCACGCTTGTAATCCTAGCATTTTGGGAGGCTGAGGTGGGTGGATCGCTTGAGCCCAGGAGTTTGAGACCAACCTGGACAACATGGCAAAACTCTGTCTCTACAAAAAATACAAAAATTAGCCGGGCATGGTGGTGGTGCCTGTAGTCTCCAGCTACTTGGGAGGCTGAGGCAGGAAGATCACCTGAGCCCAGAAGGTCGAGGCTGCAGTGTGCCATGATTGCACCACTACATTCCAAATGAGTGACAGAGACCCTAAGAAAGAAAAAGAAAGAAAGAAAGAAAGAAAGAAAGAAAGAAAGAAAGAAAGAAAGAGAGAAAGAAAGGCTGGGTTCAGTGGCTTACGCCTGTAATCCTAGCACTTTGGAAGGCCCAGGAGGGTGGATCACGAGGTCAGGAGATCGAGACTATCCTGGCTAACACGGTGAAATCCTGTCTCTACTAAAAATACAAAAAATTAGCCGGGCGTGGTAGCACATGCCTGTAGTCCCAGCTGCTTGGGAGGCTGAAGCAGGAGAATCGCTTGAACCTGGGAGGCAGAGGTTGCAGTGAGCCGAGATTGCACCACTGCCTGGGCAACAGAGCAAGACTCTGTCGAAAAGAAAGTAAGGAAAGAAAGAAAGAAAGAAAGAGAGAGAGAGAGAAAGAAAGAAAGAAAAAGGAAGAAAGAAAGAAAGGAAGGAGGAGAGAGAAAGAGGGAGGGAGGAAGGAAGGAAGGGAGAGAGAGAGAGAAAAAGAAAGAAAGAAAGAAAGAAAAGAAAAGGAAAAGAAAGAAAGAAAGAAAACCTCTGACAGTTACCCTAAAGTTTCAGATAATCCACATAGGATTATGAAATATTCCTTCTAAAACTGCTACAATGTTTTGCTAGCCCAGGTGCAAGACTGAATCTTGACATCATTTCCTGGTATCTTCCCCCACAGTACCCCCAGGATGTCTTACATGTAGCATGCAAGCTATAAACATTTTGAAGGGGCAGGTGTGGTGGCCTGTACCTAAAATTCTAGCACTTAGGGAGGCCAAGGTGGGGATTGCTGGAGCCCAGGAATTCGAGACCAGCCTGGGCAACATAGGGAGATACTGTCTCCATGAAAAATTAAAAAAAAAAAAAATAGCCAGGCGCAGTGGCATGCACCTGTGATCCCAGCTACTTGGGTGGTAGGAGGCAGGAGGATTGCTTGAGCCCGGTAGGTCAAGGCTGCAGTGAGATGTGATCATGCCACTGAACTCCAGCCTGGGTGAGAGAATGAGAACCCTGTCTCTAAAAATAAAATGAAATAATTTGAAGAGTGAAGCAGCTAATGTATTGCTTGTGTGAATAAAAAGTTTTTCCACGGGGGAAAAAAGGGTTCAGTTTCAAGTCACTCTGCAACTTGCTTGCTCCCATCTGTCCCTGCCTTCCACAACTTGGAGCTGTCCTCAAAGCCTGAACCAAACTGCATGATACCTGGACAGTTCTGGTTTTTGCAATCATCTAGAAATTGAGAGGCATAAGGTTCCCCTCACCAGTTCTTGGGATTCCACCTAGGGTGGGGGGAGAAACAGCAAAGGAAATATCACTGGGGAACAATTCTTAATGAGATGGCATGCTCCGAATCTCCACTCCCCTTCTTTCTTCTAGAAGGAGGTCAGGAGTGGATCTGTTGAAAACGGGGAGAAGTAGAATTAGAACAGCCCTTTTCATCAAGTAGCTCCATCCCTCACTGTCTTACAGGGGGAAATTTCGTTCTGCAACAGCAAAAGTGTAGCCCTTTAGTTGAAATAAAATAAATGGTTCCAGGTCCATAAGCATATCATTTCTTTACCAGACCTTTATTTCTTCCACCTCAGATCAGGGCAAGGGTCATTTCTAAAAGCAGGATGAATAACGTAGAAGTTGAAGGCGGGATTTTTCTTCATGGAAACATCTGGTAGGCAAAATAAATAGATAGAGATAGCAGTCTGGAGTGGGAACCCCAAGTTTATTCTTAGAGCACTTCTAGTTGAAGCATTTCTCAGACCTTAGTGGTATTACCAGGGCCAAGAATGTAAGCCTGGGAAGGCTGCAGGGTGGGAGCAAAGAGGCTCTAGATATTGACTAACTTTAACACAGTGGCTCCCTCATTAGAATCACCCGGGGAGTTTCAAAAATAGGCCACGGCACCCTTCCCTAGACCAAGTGAGTCAGAAGCTCTGGGGTTGGTCTGACCATCTGAATATTTCAAAGATTCCCAGCAAACTCCAATGTGGAGCTAGAGTTTCTGGTTCTACTCAATTGCTTCTGGAGCAGAGGGCAGGCAACCTCTCCCCCCTCTCAAATTGAGGGAGGGGATGTGAAATTTAATAGCAGAAACTAAATATTGCAATATAAGTCTCTAATTGAGAATCACAAAAACAAGATATCATGTGGGAGCTAGAGCTTTTAAGTGTGTGTATTAAGAAAATGGGTCCCCTTCTGCCAGGCACAGTGGCTCACGCCTGTAATCCCAGCACGCTGGGAGGCCAAGGCAGGCAGATCACCTGAGGTCAGGAGTTTGAGACCAGCCTGGCAAACGTGGTGAAACCCCGTCTCTACTAAAAATACAAAAAAAATAAAAAATAAAAAATAGCCAGGTGTGGTGGCAGACGCCTGTAATCCCAGCTACTCCGGAGGCTAAGGCAGGAGAATCACTTGAACCTGGGAGGCGGAGGTTGCAGTGAGTTGAGATAGCACCACTGCATTCCAGCCTGGGTGACAAGAGCAAAACTCCATCCTTAAAACACACACACACACACACACACACAACAAAACAAACAAACAAAATAAAAACAAAGAAAAGAAAAGAAAAGAAAATGGGCCCCCTTCCATACCCAGGGACATATTAGAAACTCAGGAGCTGGGCGCGGTGGCTCACGCCTGTAATCCCAGCACTTTGGGATGCCGAGGCGGGTCGATCACCTGAGGCTAGGAGTTGGAGACCAGCCTGGCCAACACAGTGAAACCTCATCTCTACTAAAAATACAAAAATTAGCTGGGTGTGGTGGTGGGCGCCTATATTCCCAGCAACTTAGGAGGCTGAGGCAGGAGAATCGCTTCAACCCAGGAGGCGGAGGTTGCAGTGAGCCAAGATTGTGCCATTGCGCTCCAGCCTGGGCGACAAGAGCGAAACTCTGTCTCAAAAAAAATAAATAAATAAATAAAAGAAAGAAAGAAAGAAAGAAACTCAGGAAAACAGGCAAGTGTGTACAGATGTGCACTACAACTAGTGGTTATGGGCTACCAAAACTACCCAAAACTTCAGTTTGCTTAAGTAGGCAGTGGAGGCTCCCTTGCCTCCAAACAAACTTAGAGCCTAAAACCACCTTAAAAAGGAGAAAGAGTTAAGAGGTAAGAACTAATGAGCTTTTCTAAAGTGGGAAAGGAGTATTTCAGTGATGGGGAGAGGGGTCTCCTGGAATGTTTTTGAGGCCACTGAGCTGCTGACAGGTTCAGCTTTTGGAACTTGTACTGATAGGAGTGAGGAAAAGGACACTGTAGGCCATGTGTTTTTCCTCTTTCATTTAATAGGTAGATAGATAAGAACTTCCATGGAGGAATGTGTGATGAGGGTGGGGAACAGGGGAAGAGGAGAACGGATGTCTGCTGATAAAACCTGCTTCACTCTGTCCTTGGTCCTCAGGAAAACTTGACCTTTAGCCCTGGATGGCTCGAGAGGGGCCTCTGCACAGCCCAGTGTGGACTGAAGTTTGTGCATCCAGGTTGGGAGGGCAGGGCTAAGCAGAGGGACCACAGACTCTGGCTCTGAGGATTCCACCTGTTTATAGCCCTCAAGGGCCCATAGGGGCATTCTTGCTGAAATCAGGCTCCTCTGTTCTTGAAGACAGACCCATTAAAATGAGAGAAAGAAGGACCAAGGGACGGCAAGGCGAGGAGGATTTTTTAGGCTTGGTGAAACTTGAACCCTAGAGAGCAAAGGGAAGGGGGCCTCAGGCTCACACAACCTGAGCAAAATAGGAAAGAATATGCAAGGCAAACACCCATCTCAGGTCCTGCAGGGGTGGCAGGAGGATCAGGTCAATGAATGGGACTTTGAGGCCTGCAGTGCGTGGGATCTTAAGGTCCCTAGCACGCTAGTACTCAATGTGTGCAGTACTCAATGTCTGCTGTGCTACTCATGGTGAGTAGCACAAGGGGCTTTCCTTCAGGGGCTAGGACAGGAGCAGGCACAATTAGTCACTGTTTGGGAACAGCGCCCCGCTGCCAGTCCTGTGGTAACAATCTAGCCAGGGTAGCTCCTGGGCCTCTTGATGAGAAAGGACAGGCCCGCTGAGCCAGAACAGAAATTTCACCAGGGGCTTTTCTTGGGCCTTCAGGGCCACCCTGTCCCCAAGTTGACTTTCCCACAAATGGAGCTTTTGGAAAACACTTTGGCAAGTGGCACAAAGTCAGGCTACACTTTGGTGAGAGCTCCATTGGGTGTGACAATTTAGCCTGGCTAGACCATACTCCTGAAAGTAGGAGTGCCATATAAGATACATAATGTCCTATAAAATCTGAATTGCCAATAAAGAATATTTTAGTATAAGTATCTCCCAGGCAATAACTGGGACATACTTAAACTAAGAAAAAATCGTTTATTTGAAATTCAAATGTAACTGAGCGTCCTGAGTTTTTGATGTGCTAAATTTGGCAACATTACTTGTGTGAGTGGCTATTTGGGTCTGAAAGAATTGTTTGCCAGTCTGGACCAGGTTCAAAAGGTGAAGTGTAATCTACCAAAGCTGAGTCTGAGGGGCAAGGGTTGAGGATTATGCAGCCTTATAGAGAAATTCCTGATAGGGCCGGAGTGGAAGGAAAGATGAAGGAGAGGGGAGACATACCTAAGGGGATGAGCTAAGGTAGTAGTTAGTAAGCTGGGTTGTTGGGAGCACCCTGGAATCTTTTTTTATTTTAGAGGGAGTCTTGCTCTGTCGCCCAGGCTGGAGTGTAGTGGCGCCATCTCAGCTCACTGCAACCTCCGCCTCCTGGGTTCAAGTGATTCTCCTGCCTCAGCCTCCTGATAGCTGGGATTACAGGTGCCTGCCACCACACCCAGCTAATTTTTGTATTTTGGTAGAGATGCGGTTTCACCATGTTGGCCAGGCTGGTCTTGAACTCCTGACCTCAAGTGATCCACTCACCTAGGCCTCCCAATGTGCTGGGATTACAGGCGTGAGCCACCATGCCTGGCCCACCCTGGAATCTTTATAATAACATATCTTTATAGTTTAAAGGGGAAGAGTGCAGAGAAGGAGCATAAATGTTTTGCCCAAGTCTACCAGCTGATGGCATTTGTCCTGGGAAGAAAGGGAGGGTAGCGTTTCTGGGCAAGAAGAGGAGCTGGGTGAACGCTAGGCCCTCACTGAGGAGGGGCAGTTGAGTTGGGAGGGAGTCCATCTCTCTGTCCCTCCAACCCCCTCAGGCCTAGGGAATTGGGGTCACTTCCCTCAGGCTTCCTGGCCTCACATGCCTGGCTTGGTTTGGAGCTGTCGTTGCCCCTGAGGGCTCAGTCACGCAGAAAGGGTCAATAAACTGTGTATCTCTAGCCAAAGAAGAAAGACAATAAAACCACCCTCAGGGTCAGAGGTCACCTAGTCACTGATTGAGATATTCACAACTCTTTTTCCTCTCTTCTCATCCCTTCTTTCTCCTGAGACTCCTCCTCCCTTGACTACTTTTTCCCTTTCTCCAAAGCCAAAAGTATCCCCAAAAATAACTGAGATGTGGGGCTGGGGGAAAAAAAATCAAGCCATATGCAAAATGAAGCTGGAAATCTAGGAGGGTGATGGTGGATAAAATCTACTGGTCAAGAATACCTAGCCTCTGCTGACACTACAGTCCAACCCCTAGTCCAGGGGTCGGCAAACTTTTTCTGTAAAGGGCCAGATATAAAATATTATTTTAGGGTTTTCAAACCACATTCAGTATCTGTAGCATAAATTCCCCCCCTTTTTTGTCCTTCTTTTTCTACTTCTGCTCTCTAACCCTTTAAAGATGTTTTAAAAATAAAATAAAATAAAACCATTCTTGGCTCCTGGGGCCATACAAATACAACAGGCTATGGGCCAGATTTGGCCTCCAGTTTGCAGACCATAGTCTGCCATTCACGTCCAAACCAGCAGTTAGTCTAATTCACTCCCACTCTATCTTGTTGGTGGGGAAAGAAAAAAGGGAGGAAAGGGAGGCCCTATGCTTTGTTTTAATGTCAAAGCCCTTTCCTCCCACCCCCTCACTAGGAAATAACTAGATGAATAACCACAAACCAAGTGCAAATTGCAACAGGCAATTTGATTTTACAAAATGCAATTCCTAAACTACACAAAGTTCCTTGGGAGTGGAGACAGCATTTTTCCTAGGGATCAGGAATTCTCCCTCTCAGCTTGGGCAAAAGAAAGGCGGCCTCTGCCCCTCAGCGAGGAAGGGAGAAAGAAGATGAAATGGTGGAATAGGCCTGGACTAAGGAAATGTAACTTGGGGACAAAGGGTTGGTGGGGGCTCCAGATCTAGGCACTAAGGATGAGAGTTGCTGCCAGAAGCCATAATGTGGCCCAGAGATATCTTTCCCATCACGTTGGGAGGATTCTTTCTCAAAGCAAAGAAATGAATGAACAAATATCTCAGAATAGTCTAAGGCTTCTCTCCACTTGCCTTGAAGCTAATTTACATTTTAGAACTAGTACAGCATTTAGCAGCTACAAGGAACTTGGGGTCCTGGGTAAATGTGTGCTCCAAAATGTCAGGCAAACTTGGCTCTCCAAATTGATTCTCCTTCCCCCATCTCTTCAGGTGTCTGGGGAAGGACCTGTAAACATAAATCAAATGTGTCACTGTGTATCTCAGCCTCTGCCTGCATCCCCCTCTTCTCTTGCCTGGGCACTCCCCACCTACAAGGTGTTCTGATCTAGAAGGAAGGAAGAAGTCCTCTTTCAATGTGTCTTGCTCTCCTGGCACCTGGAGCCACTGCTAGTGCAGCTGGGGGCTAACACCTAGTCACCCCCAGAGCGGTAAAGGTATTCCATGGCAGCAGAACCTAGCAGGCCACAGCTCGTCATAAGCCTTTCACTCAGATTTGCCTGAGGACCACTGCCTACCACTTGGGTGGGGTGGTTCACTGCATTTTCTATATTTCAGGGACTCCCTTTATAATTCCAAACTGGATTCTGATAGTTCTAGTTCAAGTCCCTGCCTGCCTCCTTCAAGTTCAGCCCTATTTACTTCAGCCTATGTCTCTGAAGTTCAAGTATATATATCTGTCTGCACAGCCCTGATTGACAAGTACAATGAAAATGTCTCATTCCTGTCTGGTTTGCATTTCATTACATTGGGTAACAATATGCCTTGTATTTCAGAGGACAAAGGCAAAAAAAAAAGGGGGGGGGTTAATTAACAATATCTGTTTATTCTCGATTGAATTTTAAAGGTATTTAGGGCTTATAAAATATGTGTCAAATGATAGGACCATAGTGAAAATTCTGATGTGGCCAATAAAATCTGGAGCTGTGTGATTTTACGCTCACCAACCTGCAGACACACTTGGTTGGCAAGTGTGTCAGCATGTCCTGGAGATCGATAGTTCAGCTTGGCCCCTGATGCCAATTAAGTGCTTTATCTTAGCATAAAAATAAAGAGAAGTTAAAAATGCATTCTTTTCCCAGCTTTCTTCCCCCTTCATTTTTTATTGCCACTTGCAGTTTTTCTTTTAAAAAGATCTGGGACTCTGAAGAGAGGGTGGGGATTTATGTAAAGAAAGTGTCATTTACCAGGAAAAAAGGCGAATAATGGTGAGTTTCAAGGACATGTTGCAATGAGAAACACTTTGTGCTCCACTAGGGAGAGACAGGGGCACCAAATTCAGCGTCCTGGAATAATTCCCTTCCTGGATTCAAAGATTCATTTATTGAAATAAATCAGGAAGCCTTGGCAGAACGGAAATCCGCTTGCTGGGTTTAAAGGGCCTTTAAAATGTTGCGAGTGTTAGATTGCAAGTCTTTTCTAAATACAAAACAGAAGAAAAGACCGCAGCGTTTCCCTTGAACTTAAAGAAAATTACTAGGTCACCGAATCAGGATAATTTCATGTCCACCACATAAAATGTGTTTAGAAAGAAATGCTGCATGATAACACAATGTGCTGTGTATGTTCTGTTTTTCGGAGGTTCGACGGAAGAGAAAAGTGCTGTGGAGTTGGGCTCTGGGTTGTAGGAAGAACCCGGTCCTACCCTACTGCCCCTCAGGACGTTCTGTTTCCCTACTGCTTCTTCAAGATGGATTCTAAAAATCGGGCTCAAAAGCTTTGCTGGTTTAGAAGTGATCAGTTTTTCTGATTTTATTTACTGCTTTAGATTTGGGCATAAAAATAAATCTTTTTCCTATTTACCGTTTGAACTCAGTGTGAGGGAAAGGATCCCATTATATTTCCTATCCATACAAACATGTGGATATTTAGACCCGACCACATACAACTTGGGGACACATAAAAGAGATTTATTGGTTAATTTACGTTGCCTACTACACATGTAAACCCTAGTAAGCCAAAGCTGCTGAGGGAGCCTCAGCTATAGAACCACGACCCCTGGGTTCGAGTTGTCCTCCCTGACTAGAGCTGTGACTCCTGTCTCCACCTGAAAAACGAAAACACGAGAGTTGTCTCCATCCCCTCACCTCTGCCTGTGTGTAGGAAAAACTTTTCTCCTCTTAGCTTTCCCTCTTCTGCCACCACTCTGTTCTCAGACTCAGCTCCCCAAAGCGCCCTGTTCCCCGAAGTTGTTCCCAGAGTCTCCTCTTGAAAATCAAGTTTGGGGAGGAGAGAAGCTCTAAGTCATAAGAAAAACTTCGCGATTTTTCCCCCCCAACAGCAGTGATTTGCTTTGTTGGGGGTGGGGACTTTGTTTTCATGTGCAGTAACTAGCTTTATCTGGAGGGATTTTGCTTTCTACCCTCTTTTAAGGGTCAGGGGTCCCCCTCCCCAAATAAGGAAACTCCCACTCAAACCAACTGAAACCGACTTAGAAATGGCCTGCCTCTGACCTGCTGTTCACAAAGCCCCCAGCCTCGTCCTTTTGCGCGCATCTGGGACCCCTGCGTCCCACAGAACAACGACACCCCCTCAGAACCGCACTCTCAGGATGGGCCCGGCTGTCCCGTGAAGGGCTCCATTGCCCGGGATTTTGGCCTGGCTGAATCGCCTCAGGTCTGCCCCCTTAACAAGCATCCACCCCCCCGGCCCCCACCTCCCCACTTCTCGGTTGATGATCTAATTGAATTATGCCTTTTTGTTCCAGGGACTACAGAGCACGTGCTGGAGGCAATTAATTATCGGAATGTGGCCGTATCAAAACGGACACTGGGCACCGGGTAGGTCAGCGGCGGCAACTTCCCCCTGCCTTGAGCTCAAGACCCCTTCCCAAATAGGGGCATGATGAGCTCCCTCGGCTGCCCCCCTTCTGAGCCCTTCACCCAGTTGCAATCGCGCAAGGCCCTCGATTCTCGGGGTACCTGGCGGGACTCCCCGGAAACTCTCGCATCAGCGCTGGCCCGGCCAGAGCTCGACAGCCGCCCCTTCCCGGTCCCCTAGTCTCGAGAACCGCTGTCCGCGGGACCAGCTCAGTGAGGAAATCCAAACTTTTTCAAACCAACTACTTAGCCAAGGGCGGTTGGGGTTGGTGGGAGGTGAAGAGAGGTAGAGGGAAGAGAGGAAATAAAGGAGAAAGTGAAAAGAAAGGTGGGGCGGGGGGGGGGGGGGGAAGAAAGGCAATCCTCCTTTTTTGTAAACCTGACTCCAGGGGATTCATTTGCATGATTTAAGCATATTTGTTCTCTGAACACACCAGCGCCCCCCTACCCCCCCAAAGAAACCCTCTGCTGAGAGGCACTGAAACCATTCTTGGAGAGCCTATGTTCGGCAGACGCAATAATTTAAGTCAGCAGTGAACTCACCTTCCAACCTGGGGAGAGAGCTCTGGATGTGGAGAGAGAATTGGGGCGAGTTTGATGGGAGGGGGTGAATACGGTAAGATGTGCTACCGGTAGGGTGTTCTCCCAGCAAACTGGCTAAGAAAGAAGGTGAAGTGTTGGCTGGGCCAGGCAGACTGGGGAGCAGGAAGTGAAAGGCTGCAGTTATAAAGCGCTGCTTAAGGCGGTCTCTCCTGGCGCCTCTGAACTTGATCAGATGTTCTATTTCCTACAGAGAGATGGCGGCCAGGCTGTGAGGCTGCCTCAAGGCGCAGACTTTGGGGCTTGGCCCAGCTAGGGATGTGACAATCACAGCCATCTTTCTCTCTGCCTTTTCTTTCCACTCTCTTCTGCATTCTTTGCAAATGCCTTGCAGGACACAAAAATGAGTGAATTTATAGCCTTGTCTGAACCTGGTCATTATGTCAGAAAGACCTTGCAACAGACAGAAGGCGAGAGGACTTTCACACACACCCCTGGAAGTAAATCCTTAAGGGGTAAGCAGTCCCTGAGGTCACTACATGCTTTACCTTCTCCGGGTAGGAGTAGAAGAGAGTAAAGCCTTGGCTGTTCAGAGGAAAGAAAATTCCATGTCACAGTCCCCATTCAGCATCAGCAACCCCCAACACGACTTTTGCATTTGAAAATGTTGAGAATTCAAAGCTGATTAGCCTAGTGATTTGGAAACCACCCTGATACTGTGTGTGTCTAGTGTGTTTATTATGTGTTTAGTGTGTTGTGTGCATGTTTTGCGTACACTGGCTAAAAGTGTTCTTTGCATGTTTTGTATTTGTGGGTATGCTCGCTGTTATGTGTATTTGCTCTGTTGTGTTTAGTTGTGTTTCTGTGTTTGCTGTGTTGTGCGTAGTTTATGTTACTGTGTTGTATGTGCTTACTTTGTTGTGTTGTGTGCGTATTTCATATGTCGTGTTTGTTTCCTGTGGTGCGCTTGTGTTTACTGTGTTGTGTGCTTGTTTCCTACTGTGTGCTTGGGTTTACTGCGTTGTATATGTTTGCTGTGTCGTGCCCGGTGTGTAATTCGGGAAGTGGGCAGCGGCGAGTACGGCCGCTGCTCACAAACTAAAGGGTCAACGCTTGGCGCAGACGGAAGTAACGGAGATCAGCTCTAATTGTAATCGTTTCTTCTCCTTTGGGTCTCGGACAGCTGCCGACAGGTTGGGGGCACAAACGGCGAACTATCCCGGCCTGGGTCCCGGCCTCGAGGCCATCAGAACTCGCAGTGATTGGAGGTGGACGCAGCGGCTGGACCGGGAGCGCGAAACTGCTGCGCTCTCCCCAGGATCTGCGCCCTGCAGCTACAGAGGGGACATGTTCTCAAGGTGGTGAGGCAGCGGGGGCCCAAGCAGGACTGGACGTTGAGCGCCGCGTCTCCTCCATCGGCGCAGCAGTGGGACCGATCCTCGCGGGGCAAAGAGCCCGCGAGGGGTGGGGGAAAGCCCGCGAGAGTCCCGGCGGCGTCCCGCCGTTTGCCGGCTGGAGCCTGGCCCCAGTTCCCCGCAGCCACTCAAGCCCGGTGGAGCCCACTCGCGGCCGCCCGGCAGCCGCCGCCTCACCTGCCAGGCACCCGGCGGCTGCCCAATCAGCGGGGGTCGCTCGGCCGCGGCTGCCATGTTCTCCGCTCCGCGCTGCCAATCAGCCTCGCGGCGGCCAATGGGCAGTCCGGCCGGAGGTCAGGTGACCGCGGGCCAGCTGGCTCCCCATTGGCGCGCGCCTCGCGGCCTCCCGCTCGGTTTATGTGCGAGGAGTGAGTGATTGACTTTATCAGTCCAAGGACATTACTCTGGAGGCGAAGAGGCTGGGACTCGCGCGGCGAGCGGCAAGCGGCGAGTAACGAGCCTGCCTACTGCCCGCTGCCCGCCTGCCCGGCCGCTAGCCGGCTCCGCCACTTGGCGCAGCCCAGCCCGGAGGCCGGTACCCAGGGAGCCTCCTGGCCCCGCGGTTCTGTGCACTCGGGGAGAGGAGGGGTGCCCGGGACAGGATTGGCAAACTCCGCCCTCCACTTACTATTTTGCTTATTTTTCTTTGTGCGCGCCTGTTAGTTTGTTAAACCAGATCTAGTCCGAGTCTTTTCTCCTCCCTTCTCCTCCCTCCTCCTCCCCCCGCCAACACCCCCTCCCTGCTCTTTCTTCCCCTCCTCCCTCCTATCCCTCTGCAGGAGACTCTTGCAGTGACGGAAAGTTGCAGCCCCTGGTAGCGCCTTGGGGGTCTCCCCGCAGTGTCCAACCGCCGCCACCCCTTTCCGACTACGGCACTTCGGAGATCTCCTCCTTCGCCGGTACCCTCTCTCACTTCGGCCGGATCGCCTGTGCCCAGAACGTCCCACCCATGACGATGCTCCTGGACGGAGGCCCGCAGTTCCCTGGGCTGGGAGTGGGCAGCTTCGGCGCGCCGCGCCACCACGAGATGCCCAACCGTGAGCCGGCAGGCATGGGGCTGAATCCCTTCGGGGACTCAACCCACGCCGCCGCCGCCGCCGCCGCCGCCGCTGCCTTCAAGCTGAGCCCTGCCGCGGCGCACGATCTATCTTCAGGCCAGAGCTCGGCTTTCACGCCGCAGGGTTCGGGCTACGCCAACGCCCTGGGCCACCATCACCACCACCATCACCATCATCACCACACCAGCCAGGTGCCCAGCTACGGTGGCGCTGCCTCTGCCGCCTTCAACTCAACGCGCGAGTTTCTGTTCCGCCAGCGCAGCTCCGGGCTCAGTGAGGCGGCCTCGGGTGGCGGGCAGCACGGGCTCTTCGCCGGCTCGGCGAGCAGCCTGCATGCTCCAGCTGGCATCCCCGAGCCCCCTAGCTACTTGCTGTTTCCCGGGCTGCATGAGCAGGGCGCTGGGCACCCGTCGCCCACAGGGCACGTGGACAACAACCAGGTCCACCTGGGGCTGCGTGGGGAGCTGTTCGGCCGTGCTGACCCATACCGCCCAGTGGCCAGCCCGCGCACGGACCCCTACGCGGCCGGCGCTCAGTTTCCTAACTACAGCCCCATGAACATGAACATGGGAGTGAACGTGGCGGCCCACCACGGGCCCGGCGCCTTCTTCCGTTATATGCGGCAGCCTATCAAGCAGGAGCTGTCGTGCAAGTGGATCGACGAGGCTCAGCTGAGCCGGCCCAAGAAGAGCTGCGACCGGACCTTCAGCACCATGCATGAGCTGGTGACACATGTCACCATGGAGCATGTGGGGGGCCCGGAGCAGAACAACCACGTCTGCTACTGGGAGGAGTGCCCCCGGGAGGGCAAGTCTTTCAAGGCGAAGTACAAACTGGTCAACCACATCCGAGTGCACACGGGCGAGAAGCCCTTCCCATGCCCCTTCCCGGGCTGCGGGAAGATCTTTGCCCGTTCTGAGAACCTCAAGATCCACAAGAGGACCCACACAGGTAAGGGAAAAAAGCAGGCGGGCGTGGGTTCCACTGGCGATACCCCGTCACGCAGCGGACTTAGAGCGCGAGGGAGAGAGGTGGCGGCCAGGGAAAGGGGCGACGCCCCGCAACGGCCGCTCGAAAAAGAAGCGCTGTCAGTGACCATCCACCCCTAGCCCTCCCCGTCCCGTGGCGCCTTTGCCGAGTTCTAACTTCCCGGGCAGACTGCTCTGCGGTCTCAGGAACTAATTGGGACCTTCTCGCGCCCAGGAACAAACTGGCGCCGCCTCTTTTTGTCTCCCTTTCTGGGTTACCGTGAAGGGACTCCGAATGTGTTGAGAGCATATTGCTTACAAGCGACTTAGCTCTCGGCACACATTCGTGGAAGGCAACCATACAAATGCTAATGAAAACTAACTTTCGGTTACTTCCGCTTTTTTTTACACTTGATTGGCACATCTCCTAATTAAATGACTGATACTTTTGTCAAACTATTTTTATTTGGAGTTCCAGGTTCAATTCAGTCCTCCGGGAGGAAAGCTAAAGCAGTTTCGTGGTTTGTTCAGAACATCTTGTAAAACTGTCTGGAGCCCCCTGGATCGATCGATCTATCTATCTATCTATCTATCTATCTATCTATCTATCTATCTATATTTTTTTCCTCAAACATTAACTACGACTACCCAGGCTTTTTAATATCGGGCTTAGCCAAACCGCTGCATTTGAAAGAGGCAAATAAAAAGGTACAAAGAGGCTGAACGGGATTGTCCTGTCCGGGGCCCATTGTCCCGCCGGGCTCGGTTACATTGCTGAGGTGGTGGCGGAACGTGGCCGCGCATTGGGAGCCCTGGGTCGGGTAGGGTGGAAACACAACTTAGGGGAAACTTCGGAGGAGCCAGGGGCTTTCCCTCCTTGCAAGAACAAAGACATGGTCAGGTTTTGGGCCGGCCCCGCCCCACCCCCACCCCCACCCCGACCACCACTCCCAAACCCAGCGGGCTCAACCTACGCTCTTCATTTCTCTCCAGGGAAAATAGATGCAGCAGCAGCCCCCAGTCCGCGCTCCCTTTCCGGGAAGACCGCCGGGAGCTCAGTCTCCTGCTGCTTGCCTCTGAGAAACTCCGGCGCTGACCGTATTTTACCCCCCTTGGGTTTTTGCCTTTTGCAGGTGAGAAACCTTTCAAATGTGAATTTGAAGGCTGTGACAGACGCTTTGCCAACAGCAGCGACCGTAAGAAGCACATGCATGTGCATACCTCGGACAAGCCCTATATCTGCAAAGTGTGCGACAAGTCCTACACGCACCCGAGCTCCCTGCGCAAACACATGAAGGTAATTACCTCTTTATTAGCGGTCGGCGGTTTGTAAACACTCGGCCCGACGCCGGGCCGCGGAACGGAAGCGCCCGCGCTGCCAACCCTCTGTCTTCCACGTTAAATCCGATTTGCTCCAGCAGTGACACCTTGAACCCATTTTGGGGACCGGGCGGGGGTGGGGGTGAGGGGGTGGGCGGGAGTGAGCAAAGTTGGGAGGGGGAGGAAGCGGAGGGAACAATCGGTTGTTTACTGGGAAGCTCTAGCCGAGCTCGCCTGGGCTTGCGGGGCTGCCGTGGCCGCCTCTTCCCGACTCAGCCCGCGGTGGGAACCGAGAGTAGCCGCGCCGAACCCGAGGGTGGGTGGTTCATTCGCTCTTTGGCTTCGGATAAAACAATAGGGCCGAGGAGTGCAATCTGATTCCCACACATTTGTCTGCGACTTCGCAGCGCTCAGGGCCCCTGTGCCACCTTCTCTGTACCTGCTTTCTCAAGCCGAAACGGGCTTGGTGAAACCTGGGCCCGGAGTTAGTATTTTATAGGACCTCACAGTGTACTGCTTACCTCACTCCATCCGCGGAGAAAGCATTTTTGAAGTGGCATGACCAAAACGGAATGCTTTATTCCTTTTCCGTAACACCAGTCTTAGGAGCAAAACTGGTTTTTGGCGAACATCTCCGGGTTTTCTAGACATCGGTAATACGGATTTTTTTTAAGCAGCATTTTTCTTTTAAGTGGGTCACTGGGCGGTCTTGTTGTTACAGTGCTCGAATTCTGCTCTTGTTTTTGCTTGCACATTGCCAGTTGGAATTATATTCATTATAATATATACATGTTAATTTTAGGTTCATGAATCTCAAGGGTCAGATTCCTCCCCTGCTGCCAGTTCAGGCTATGAATCTTCCACTCCACCCGCTATAGCTTCTGCAAACAGTAAAGATACCACTAAAACCCCTTCTGCAGTTCAAACTAGCACCAGCCACAACCCTGGACTTCCTCCTAATTTTAACGAATGGTACGTCTGAGGACAAACACAAACCCTGTTAATTATAGAATGGACCAAATACATTTTTAAAAGAAAACTGAGACCAATCAGATGGAAATGGAGTTTTAAGGCAAGAGGCCATATATAGGGCTACATCTTGTTAATTGCAATTGTCCAGGAAGGTTTTGGGCAAGATCCAAAAGTAGCCATGCCCTTTTCTCAGGATAGAAAATATGTTTTGGCATTTGAAGCATTTTTTACAAAATCTTTACACTACTTTTTCTTCCCCTTCCTCTTGCTCTCTGCACACCCCATTCTTAAACTCCTCCAATTCATTTTAACACTTGTCCTGTTTCTTGAGAGGAAGTTATAGAAGGCTTGTTGGTGGTGGTGATGTTAAACTGATGGAAATTCTTTTTCGCCTTAGTGGTGATTGTTTAAACTCTCACAGTCTTAAACCGTGCCAAAGTCCTGTTATGTCTTGAACTTTTCCTCAAAGCATTACACTTGTGAATGTATTTTTGTCTAATAGGGTCGAAACTGTTGTTCAGTATTTTTTCAGGCTGAGGATGTGATGTTACTCTACACATTGTGACGTTTAGTATACAGTTGCCTTTTGTAATAACTTTTTTTTTGTAAATACATATCCATTGATGCCATATTTATCGTTTGTAATTTAATTATTGCTACAAGTGCCGGGAACTGAACAATATTTATGGATAAATGTTTTCTAACAAATTCTGTACAGCTTTTGATTATAACTGCTTTAGCATTAAAAATTGTTTTGAAAGAAGAACACAATTTACAATTTTGGAACCACTGACTCCTTTCTCTTGTTTTGTAACAGCCTTCTTCTACAAAGAGGAGATGTGAGCAAATTAAATCTTGTTTGTTGGTATTTATAACTCACTCAGATCCCTTTTTTAATTGTTAAATTATTTTTCTATTACAGTATAAATTCCTTACAGTGTCAGTTTCCATCTGGGAAGACTCTCCTTTCTTTATCTCTATCTCAGATGGTTGTTTAACTGCGAGTTTAAATGTGTTTGTCCTGGATTTTCGGCATGCAAATCAAATATTACTGATCAATTCAGTTAGTGGCCATGACATCTCAATCTTGTACTTCAAAGACTGAGAAGCTGGATTTAATCATCCCTGCCCTACATATATAAACATAAGGTAACCTACTGAATTTTATGTCCCTTAGTTCTTTATTACCTTACATAAAAATGAAAATTGCGGCAGGATGCATGTCTGTCTGTTCTATCTAGAGATCACCCATATACCTATATATGTTTGTATCTATGACTTATCTAATCTGCCTATCAATCTATCTAGTAGCTATCTATATATTTTCAAAAGATAGCTTATGTCTAAAACAGTGGTGATGAGTAAGGCCAGTTGAGCATTGCTTACTTATGGTTAAAGTGCTTCTTAAAAGAACCATAGTCCATTTACAATTTTGGAAGGCAAAGGCTGATTTGTTTGCTGTATATAGTTCAATTCATAATTATCGCAATTATCCATAACATTTATATAGCGGTGTAATAACTGCAGCAGTTCTGAAATGATGCTATGGGAAAAAAATTGCAAAATATGTATTTTTAAAGTTCATGATTTGTAGGCAAAGATGTTAAGAGCATTGTTTCCATTAAAATCAATAACAATGAAAAACGGTTGTTTGCTTTGTGATAAAATGTTAACAATCCATTTAATCTTCAGTGAAGCAACTCATTTGGACAAACAGTTCTTTTACAGTGGTTATATGGAAAAGAAATTGATTGCTATTTTGGGGGGCTGGAGTGGGTAGAGTATTGAGACCTTTTTTATTAGGGTGCTGTTTGTTATTGAGAGCCCAATCTCTGCATGAATAACAGAAAGGTGGACATAAGGAATTGTAAAGTATTTAGAATGTATTGAATAGGCTTAAGTACCTCCTTTAAGGGGCAATGCTCTAGGTTTTTGGTGGCAGTCAATTTGGTATTATATATGATCATTTTCAATTCTAGAATTTTGTTTATTGTTCTTTTTGAAGAAATAAAGTCTTGGCACATCTTATTTATGTTATAACATTTTTGTATTTGGTGCCTGATTTTTTTTCATGTTCAAATAAATCAATCTAAAATTGAAATGCTTACAGAACTTCTGATGATTAAAAGAAACTTTGATTCTGTGAATGCGGTTGAAGCAGTCTATTTAAGTTATCTACTGATCTTTGTCAACAGACAATTAGTTATTGACAGTTTCTAATTGCAAATTGCTTTGGAGGCTATTTTTTGTTAGTGGAGAATAATGGGGTCTTTTGCATTTTCTTCCACCAATATCCAAGCCTGAATGCCATGAACAGAGATTGGGATGACTACACATGTGATGAGCAGGTAACCTGGTCAGTCTATCACTCCCAACCCAGACATTCCGATCTTGACCTTGACATTGAGGGTGCTGGACCAGATTCCTATTTCAGGCTTTTTCCTTCACCTCAAACCAGAGACCATTTTAAATGCTCAGCAAGTTCTCAGAAAGTATATATTCATAAGACTGGCTCTAAGTGTGTTCCATTGTGAAATCTAAATAGTGTATTTTTCTTCTGAACTGTACAATGAACTTCCATAATTTACCACTTTCTCCATGAGTTCCCTCCCCCACCCTCAATCTAACCTAACTTTACGTGGAAGTAGAGCCATGGGTTGGATACAGGATTCAACCAAAAACCTGCCTCCCTTTCAATTAAATGTATTAAATATCTCCTGAGACAAAGAGCAGTTTGATCTTTTCTTAGTTACCTGAAATTATTCTACCATAAAATTTTACAGGAAAGTACTTGAGGGTCCTAAGAGGGGAAGATATCAATTAAATGAAAAACAATTATGATAACCAATATTAGGAGAATATAAAAGTTTTGCCCCTGTACATGATTACCTCTAATTTGGGTGTAGCATGGTATTTCTCAAAATCACGTCCTCCACCCTTGTCATCTGTGGTAAAGAAAACTCCTTATTTTGATAGAAAGCTTTTCACAGATTTCCCCCCTATAATCTGGCTCTGGGAGTGCACATTTACACTCTTGAATATTCAGTAAACAACCTTAGAGAGTAAGTACCCCCCCCAAAAAAAAAAAAAAAAAAAAAAACCAAACAAACCAAAATCATCAATGCTCAAGCCCGAGGCATGGGCCAGGCTCTTAGGAATCAACTTGTTACTTTCCCTCTTGCACCTTGTAAGATCTTTGTTCAAAGTCCCTTTTTCAAAATGAGTGATTTTGCATAAGATTCCCACTGTTAGGCAAAAGGGAGGTGGCTATTTCCACGCAAGACAGAAGTTTGGCCTTCATCCAGCTTTAGAAGGTTAAAGATCAGGACAGGGTCCACGCTAAGCAGGCCGGTCGATCTAAATTACTAAAGTTGGACATGAGTGAGCAAAGACCTCCGCTCACAAAGCATCCCAGGAAAGTTGGAGTGTTCAGGACTTCCTCGCTCCTCCCCCTTCTCCCTTCTCCCCGCCTGATGTCTCTGCCTCTTCGCCCTGGCTCTCTCTCCCCCTTCTTAAAAAACTCCCTAAAACAGAGGAGCAAAGTCGAAGGGCCTCTTAACATGTAAGTTTGTGGAAGAATCGCCAGCAGCGTGCCCATCGCCTGAAAAGAGAGGTTATCTTGGCACCTAGACTGCTTTCCTCTCACAGGTTTCTGTCCCTCGAGTCCCAAGCCTCCAGTGGATCCTTGGCCGGGGCCGGGGCGGAGGCGGCGAGGCCAGGCGTTTCGGAAGTCGGGGCTCCAGCTCAGCTGTCCTCGGGCCCCTCGTCGGGGCTCCCAGGGTCCCTGTCCACACACCAAGTTCTTGCAAGTCTCTGTCGAGGCTCGGGCGGGGGGGGAAGGGACCTCATTTCCTAGGGTCAATTCTCTCGCGGTCTCTGCCCGCTGACCCTTTGACCTCCACCTACAGGGCCCTTGGCGGCCGTAAGCCGGCGGTCGCCCGGGCTCCGAGGACGCTTCGCGCCCCATCGCCTCCCAGCCTCATTAGGCCGGCGGGGCTGTAAAGCAGGAATCAGCCTCTGCCTAATCCGGACCTGGGGTCAATACGAGCCCAAACAATGGTGAGCTCCGAAGGCCACTGCGTAGCGCTGGCCGCAAACTTTGTGTTCAATTCAATTTTCTAAAGCGGTGGGGGTTGGGGGCAGGGAGGCATTCGTCCACCCGAAAGCCGCTTGCGGCTCCCGGGGCTCATCAGCGAACGTCCTCTCTCGCTCGGCCCCTCCAGCCTTTTCGCAGCGCCTGGGATAGAGGGGGCGGCGAGGCCTGGGGACTGGTTGTCGGCCCGCGCGGGTGCCCAGGGGCTGGCGCAAAAGGGGCCGCCCCCGTGCCGGGAACAGACTTTGAAGTGGGTTTTTAGCGCGCACGTGTGAGAGCCGGGCCAGGGCCGGAGCGGGGACCCGCTGGGAGGAAAGAGGAGGCTCCGGCCGGGGCCCCAACCCCTCCCCCGCTTCCCCGTGGCTCCGGCCTTTTCAAGCCGCGGCCGGGGGCCCGTAGGCCTCCCACACCCACCCCCACTCCCGCGCCCTGCCCGCGCCGCGCGCAGGCGCACACTTCGCAGCCGTCGAGTCGGATTTTGCAGCGAGGGGGTTGGGGATAGAGTTGAAAGCCGCTTTGCAGTGCCGCGGCCTCGGTCGAGCTGGGAGGGAGGGGAGGGGAGGTATGTGGGAAGGGGGGCTGGTTTTGGGGCGGCTCTCGAGTCGTGAACATGGCGGCCGGATGCGAACCCCCGCGGAGCGCAGCAAAGCGCAGCAAAGGCTGCAGAACTGTTGCGTAGTTTAAACTCCCTTGTTATTCCTCAGTTCTGGGCGCCTCGCGGGGGAATGTAGGTCGTGGCGGTTGAGCGCAAAATTGTTAAAAAAACGGAAGCGAAGAAGTTCTTCCTGGGCATTCTCCTGGGAAGTTGGCGTGTGCTTTTTGGGTTTGGGGTTCCCATGGGACTTGGACAAAAAACCCGCCAGAGGCCTCCCCACCCACCTGGCCCGACCTAAAACGCCCCCTCCGGGAGCTGCCATGGCTAGGGGATGCCATTTCGAGTTATCAGGCCCCGGTCGGGATTCCACAGAACCTTGAGTCCCTAAAAATGCCCCAAGAGCGGACAGTATGTTCTCTTCCAGGACAGTGGCGAAGCCTATGAACACGTAAGCACCATTTTCCAAGAAAATGCCCCGGCTGTTAGACAAATGTGCCATTGCGAGTTCGACCCCTACACGTTGCCCAGGCTCCGTTTTCTGTATATCTCATTTAAACGTGAGCCTATGAAAATTGGCACTGTAGCTTTGGTGTGTGCCTTAACAGCTGGTGATCTTATGTTAAGGGGAAAAAAGGCCAGAATTCCGAAAACTTTAATTCAGCTTTTGCTTAACTGCCTTAATGCTGGCGTTGAAAGAACCCCTGGTAGCTCTGGGATCTCGAGCTCGTGTTTTGTCCGTAGAAAAATGCTTCGGATTCACCTTCAGATGTGTCTTTTGTGAGGAAAAAAAAAATGTAAGATTTTAAAAAGTGTAGTAATTGAACCTCAGCTCCTCTAGGAAAATAAGCGGCACGAACTCTTCCAGGTTGGGTCTTCGTGGAGACCAACGGCCAAACGGAAAAGTCAGCCCTCTTGGGGTTGTCCAGTGTCACGCATTTGGGCTCCTGAAGGTGTGGGGCAGTTCCCGTGGGCCACCTTGGGAAGGGCCCCAGGTGGGTGGGCAGGTCATTAGCAAGGCTGGCCCAGATCTGGGGGGAAATCTGCAAAACAGTGCCTTTATCTGCAGAGAACAATTGATGGGGTTGTCTTTCCTCCTTTTCAGTGCACAAAGAAGACGGCTTTGGAGCAAGAATTTGGAATATGCATTTAAGTTGTCGTGCTTTGCATTGGAAACCCATGGGCAATTAAAATAAGCATGCCCTGTAGTATTTTCTGTCCTTTTCTTATGTGTGATTCCTGCAAGTCAAAGGAGGCCGGAGCCTCTTCAGTAGTTTGGAAACTTGTTTTGAAATTGCCACCAAGCCGATTTTTTTTTTTTTTTCTGTGGGTGAAGTTTCCTTCCCCGGTTCACTCACTCCCCCATTCCCCACCCCCTCGCTGGAATAGAGTATTGACATCTTTGAGAGATCAAAGGAAGTAAATGGTGCTTGCTGTATACTCTATTTTTCCATTCTGTAGTGTGAACCCTGAGGTTTGAGCTTTTTTCTGGTTAAATCTCTTGGTACCAAAAGTGTGGAAAATAAAAAGTTCATTAAGTTAAAAAAGCTTTAGCCAATGGTTAGACGGGTTTGTCCCTTTAAGAGCTACAGAGCCCAGATCGTCTCTTAAATTGACTTTAAAGTCGAGCTAAGATGCATTGGTGGACTGTTTCCCCTGGATACCTGCGGTGTTCTTTGGGTCATTTGACATGGTAAAACTGGTTGATTTTTATAGAAGTTATGTGAATGGAATTTCTGCAAAACCGGGCAAGTGATAAATTGGTAGAGCTCTTGTATTTGTTTGGATGACGACTCCAAAGGGTACTGCTTTTTTACCGAGGTTTGATTCTGTCATAACCATTGAAATTTACAGCTTGGAAAACACTAAGTTTGCTGGAAGCATTTAAACCAGGGAATGTTCAGAGCACTTGGACTAATGGTAACTTTTAACAGACGAACATAAATCCTTTGAATATTAGAGAAACTTGTTTCAAAAAATCTGTTGAAACTGAAGAAAATCTCTTTCATTAACATTTAACAAACCAAGCAGTTTTGTATATTTTTAATCTGATGACAGTTCAACCTATTTACACATCTGATGAATGGAGAGAAATGTAAGCTTTATAGTAACTATAATAATAGCTTTCACCAGATGGCAAATTATAATATTTGATCTCTAATAGGGTGTGTGTCTTGTGTCATATATTTTATTAAAATACAACCTGCGTCAAGACCATTTGAATTTGAGGTGTTAAAAATAAAACATTCCATCGTGTTTTATTATAAACCAGAGTTTAAAACAACATATTCATGTGACATTTTATGACATTCTTTTCTAAGAGGAAATGTGGCCTGTTTTGACCTATCTGCAGTTCACTTTTTGTTTTTTTGCCAGTGTTGTCCTGCTTGGTATCCGGGACAGTCTCTAATTCCTGACGAAGAACTTGATACTGACGTTGGTATGCAGCAGCCAGCCCTCCATAACACTACCTATCCTAAATGCAGGGTTAATGCCGAACCTACTGTGCAAGAAATGATTTACTGATGAGGTTTCAAAGAAAACCACATCAATTTGGATGTCTGTTACCTTGAAGTGATCATTTTAAGAGTAGTAGCTTCTTCCCTAGGTATAAAAAGACTATTTTCTTCTTTTGGTGTATTTCATCCTGTGTTGAGCAATCATTTGTGAAATGAAAAAGCAAAAAAACTCCCCCCACTTTAGGATTTATAAATGGGAAGATGGAGGTGAAGACTGGCCTAATTCATAACCCAGTATGCATTATCTCATGCATTGTGTTGACCTTGGTGAAAATCTTTTTCAAATACCAGCATTCTATATGTAGAACTAAAGTGTTTAAAACTAGAAACATGAATTGTTGTTTTGTTAATTTTATGTTTGTGTTCAGAAAGCAATACCCAGGATCCCTTTAATTTTTGTTTGACTTAAATAAAACCATTTAAATTATTTTTGTGATTATTGTTTTATTAAAATGACAGTAGCCCCTAAATAACTTTGATTAACCTGTTGACTTGGGACAATTTACATTCAATTCACATTTTTCACGATATAGCTGGACTTTCACTAGGCAATAAATGGGGGTGGGGGGGAACCGGCCGAACAAACCCCAAACAACTGTTTTGAACCCACAGTGTTTTCCCAGAGGGGTTCAAGGCCAGGTGTTGGGAAGGCCAGGGGAAGAATTCAGAGTCAAGGATTGATTGGAGTGATTAGAAGAAATGAAAGGATGCAGGAGTCTGGAGGGAAAAAAAGAGCATTTGAACACCAATATATGGGTGAGAAAGAGAGGGAAAGATAAAGCTGAAGATAACCTGAAAGGTGAAGAGAGTGCCTCTGTGGCATCCAGGGAGGAGACATTGCAGCATTACATATATATTATTCAGAAGCCCTGAAGTGGTTTTTGGGGCAGACAACTTTGCACAACCATTGATTAGAACACTTAGAGAATCATGGAATATAGGTGTTATTAAAACACAAGTTGTCGTTAATTAACTGTAATGTTAGAGAAGATGAAGACACTACAGAAAAATTACTGGAACTCCAGATACTTGATTTCTCATTTTAAATTTAACATCTATAATCTAATGTAATCTGTGAATGACTGTCATTCTATTTATTTGGCGTGATTATGTGATGATGAAGTATTGTAAAATTGCAGCCTGATAGAGTATATTACTATTGGTTCTTTAGATCCAATTTTATTGAAATTTTTGGTAAGTAGACTGATGATAGTATAATTTTTTAGTAGTAGGAAACATGCTCATGTCCCTGTGATTCCAATTGTTCATTTACATCAAGAATAATAGAAAGGGCCAGGTCAAGGAAGCCTATGATTCTTTGACTCTCAGCTTCCTAACACCTGACATTTTTGTATGCCCCATAACAATGTTGGTAAAATTTTTGTGTTTTGTTTTGTTTTTAAGAACAAGAACTGTGTTCTTTCAGACAGGCAGTGGAGTATAATAATGGAATTGTTGAAAAAGCCCTAGGAAAGGTAAGCTACAGAGTTGTTCATGAGCCAGCTGCACTGTGATAATACCTCCTAGGGTTGTTCTGTGGACTAAACAAGAAAATGTCTCCTAAAGAGCCTGTCACGGAGTAGTCCCTGAACAAATGTTGCCTTCTTTTCCCCCAGCAGGTAGTTATTGTTTTGTTGCTTTTGGGTAGTTTCCTATTTTTACTATCATAGAATATTTTACTAAAAACATATAGTGGTTTGTACTGCGTTGCAAATTTAATACAGTTTTCAGAAAGTAGATGGAGATTTGTGGCATGTAAGAAATACTGCATTTCATAAGCATAATCACTAGATCAGGCATGTGGGTTTGTGAACATAGCTATGAATATTTAAACACATAAAATCAAAATGTTATTAAATGCCTGTTGTTCATTATCTTCCAATGAAAACACTTATTCTTAGATAAAAATAAGTTGTGTACTTAAAATCTGTAAACATGGTAATTTAATGGTTTGGTTTTAATTGAATAAAATTTTTGCTTTAGTCAACAGCTTGATTCTTACATTAGAATTCAGTGACAATTTTACAATGTGAAAGTTGATATTCACATATAACAAGAAGATTAAATCTATGTCTTAAATTATTCAGTTTCCCCTTACCAAATTTATGATCATATTATGTAGTTGTGACTATAGAGTAATGAGACTGATTTTCTTTGGAGCTTGGAAGCTAGCCCTGAATGCAGTTCCCAGTGAGGAGTCCTGAAATGTTTTGACCAATGTCATCATCCTTCGAATAAATTTATGGACTCCATAGGTGATGGATTCACTTAAGATAACAACAACAATAACAACGAAACAGACAACAGCCACTAGTCTTACTACTTTACAGCCATACTTTTGGTTTTATTATGTTGTGAAGGTTACTCTGATTTTATATTATGTTAGTAAACTGAGGCTTGACTGAGAAAGACAGCATAGAAATGCTCTACTACAGCATTATAGAATTTCGTTGTCAATTATAAGTCTATTTATACAGAAAAACGAAACAAAACCACCAACACACAGCTCTCCCTGAGTGAGCTGTCTGAGTGGGAAGTGTTTCTTTCCTTCCCACTGATTTTGGGAACTTGGGGCTTCCCAGAGAAGCTGTACTGCTAAATAACATGGGCTGTTTTACAGAGGCCTGGGAGGCTTTTCTTCACTGGTTTATCAGCTTTGTCTAACTCTTTCTTCCTGATTTTTTCATATTTACCCTGCCCAATTAAACATGGAGGTCAGCCTTGTAAAATTTCTTTTGAGGCTGGGATTACGCCTGTAATCCCAGCATTTTGGGAGGCCGAGGAGGGTGGATCACCTGAGGTCAGGAGTTCGAGACCAGCCTGGGCAACATGGTGAAACCCTGTCTCTAAGAAAAATGCAAAAACTTAGCTGGGTGTGGTGGTGCATGCCTTTAATCCCAGCTATTCAGGAGGCCGAGGCAGGAGAATCGATTGAACCTGGGAGATGGAGCCAAGATTGCACCACTGCAGTCCAGCATGGCGACAGAGTGAGACTCCGTCAAAGAAAAAAAAAAAACAAAGTCCTTTTTAAATTTTTATTCATTTATTTTTATTTTTTTATTTTTTGAGATGGAGTTTCGCTCTTGTTCCCCAGGCTAGAGTGCAATGGGGCGATTTCGGCTCACCACAACCTCTTCCTCCCAGGTTCAAGCAATTCTCCTGCTTCGGCCTCCCGAGTAGCTGGGATTACAGGCATGCGCCACCACGGCCGGCTAATTTTGTATTTTTAGTAGAGACAGGGTTTCTCCATGTTGGTCAGGCTGGTCTTGAACTCCCGACCTCAGATGATCTGCCTGCCTCAGCCTCCCAAAGTGCTGGGATTACAGGCATGAGCCACCACTCCCAGCCAAAAGTCCTTTAAAAAAAAAAAAAAATCAGGTCATCAGAAACTTCACTGGTGAAATGAGCAAAATGATTATGCTAACAATTCCCTCAGTAATGTCCCAGAGTCAACCATAGAAGGCTATTTGTGGTACAAATAAATCGATGCATTTTAATATTTTGATATAAATCCAGTGCAAATGAATTGTTTACAAATGATTCACTAATGTTACCCAGCCAGTACTTACACAGAAAAACTACACTCATATCTTTGTTGTGAAGCACCAAGAGAGTATGTAATTGGTTGGCCAGCTGATATTTCTTTGGAGACATCACTATTCTTTACAAAAAATATTTAGCTACTCTAAGATATGACATCTTATTGGCTGTGGTGATAACCGAAAACAGAAGGTGTTTCGTTAACTTCTGGCCAATGACATATTAAATGAAGATGCTCAGTTGGGCAACATCAGTGATTTCAATTGACTCATCAATCGCTAGTATCTAGCTGCCATCATGTTTCACTTTGCTAACAAGCTGATATCCCACATCTGATGCCAACAACTCAGGTCCTTCAAACAAATGACATGTTTGATAAAGAAATCTTTTCAAAATCATTATGCACTTCAGCATTTGTCTTTTCTTCTAGCACAGCATCTGTGCATCTGTTCCATCAGGCGTCTATTCCTTGATCATTTCTGAGCCTTCCATGATTTTTGAGCCTGATTTGCTGGTATCTCAGGAATGAGAAATGAAGCTTCTTCCATTGAATATTATGTTATTGAACACTGAAACACAATCTTTATGTCCAAGGTTTTAGATTTAATCTTGTGGATGAGACTGCAGGGAAGCATTATCACAGGCTTTCTGATAAGACAATGTTGTGAAAGAAATTGAGTTGGGGAGGAGAACAAAGTGCTAATTTAGGAATAACGTTAAGGCCATATTTTTGTTTGTTTGTTTTTGGTATGGGTTCTTGAAACTTCACACCACTTTCAGTGTTGTAAAGCTTCCGAGTTTTAAGGCATCTCTGAAACATTGAAATGAAAAATCACATGGTCCAATTGGTAAAAATGGATGCAATTCATTCTTTAGTGAGCCCTGCTTAACTATATAATTTGCTCATATGCATTAAACTGAGGAAGTCTTCATCTCTATTTTGCATATATCTGGATTGCACGCATCTGGCTCCACTAGATTCCTTGTAATTGCATATTGACTAATAGTGTGATACAGCTATTTTAACACTGAATTTAAGCCCAAATACTGCTATTAACAGTGTAATTACTTTGATTAAGTGAATAGTTGAAATATAATACTTCAAAATCAGAATGCAGGGCAGTAACTACTTCCCTATTTTATTTTTATTTATTTTTAATTTTTTTAAGATATGGGCTCTTGCTCTGTTGCTCAGGCTGGAATGCAGCGGCCTGATCATAGCTCACTGCAGCTCCAAACTCCTGGGTTCAAGTGATCCTTCTACCTCAGCCTCCCAAGCAGCAGGGACTATAGGCGTGTACCACTATGCCTAGCTACATTTCTAATTTTTTGTAGAGAATGGGGTCTTGCTGTGTTGCCCAGGCTGGTCTCAAAGTCCTGGCCTCAAGCTATCCTCCTGCCTTGGCCTCCCAAACGCTGGGATTCAAGGCGTGAACCACTGCATCTGGCCCTCACTTCCCAATTTTTTTTTTTTAAAGAAAAGTCTAGGCATACCTTTGAATTCACAAATAAACCAATATAGTGTTATATTGGGGAAACACTACATCAGAAAATAAAGTGTAATTGATAAATTCCAAATCTTGATACCCAATAAATATTTTATCAAATCTATACTTCCTTCTTTAACACTTCTTCTTTTAAGTGTTATAAATTGAGCATCCATATATAGTATAAATAGGTTAATTAAAATCAAATCACTGGCTGGGCCCGGTGGCTCACGCCTGTAATCACAGCACTTTGGGAGGCCGAGACGGGCGGATCACAAGGTGAGGAGATCAAGACTATCTTGGCTAACACGGTGAAACTCCGTCTCTACTAAAAATACAAAAAATTAGCCAGGCGTGGTGGCAGGCCCCTGTAGTCCCAGCTGCTCGGGAGGCTGAGGCAGGGGAATGGCGTGAACCCGGGAGGCAGAGCTTGCAGTGAGCCGAGATTGCGCCATTGCACTCCAGCCTGGGCGACAGAGAAGACTCCGTCTCAAAAAATAATAATAATAATAAATAAAATAAAATAAAATCACTTTGGAAAGGTAATTGTGCAGTTTTTGTTTTGTTTTGTTTTTGAGTCGGAGTCTCACTCTGTCGCCCAGGATGGAGTGCAGTGGCGCAATCTCAGCTCACTGCAACCTCCGCCTCCTGGCTTCACGGGATTCTCCCACCTCAGCCTCCCAAATTGCTGGGATTACAGGCATGCACCACCATGCCAGACTAATTTTTGTATTTTTTTGTAGAGACAGGGTTTCACCATGTTGGCCAGGCTGGTCTCGAGCCCCTGACCTCAGGTGATCCACCCGCCTTGGCCTCCCAAAGTGCTAGCATTACAGGCGTGAGCCATGGCGCCCAGCCGTGTGCAGCTGTTTTTAATTTTCATTCATTTCTTTCAATGTATGGCCTCTGACATTTTTTGTTGGGATTGGGAGAGAGTTGATTCTGTAGCTTGCACTAATTGAAACTTACTTGGTGCATATATAGTGTTCGATAAAGGACCTGCGGCTATGTGTGCACAAATATACATTAGTTTAGATTAAAAGTACGTGTTAGGCAGGGCATGGTGGCTCATGCCTGTAATTCCAGCACTTTGGGAGGCCGAGGTGGGTGGATCACCTGAGGTCAGGAGTTGGAGATCAGCCTGACCAACATAGTGAAACCCTGTCTCCACTAAAAAATACAAAATAAGCTGGGCATGGTGGTGCATGCCTGTAATCTCAGCTACTCGGGAGGCTGAGACAGGAGAATCGCTTGAACCTGGTAGGCAGAGGTTGCAGTGAGCTGAGACTGCGCCACTGCACTCCAGCCTGGGCAACAGAGTGAGACTCCGTTCCCCGAACCCCCGCTCCCCCCAAAAAAGTAGATGTTAACCACAGTCTGGCATTCAAAACTGGAGTCTCTGGTAGAATCAGGAGAGAGGATTCCTGAGCTAAAGCAGACAATAAAACGCATTTCTTCAGTGCTAGAAAAATATTACAACTGCCATGCTAAGTGTATATTGAGTGACTCCAGTATTTATGTCTGATCTAAAAATGTATTGTCTAGAATGAAAGAAGCAGAGATCCTCACTGATCCTCTAGTTGAACTTTAGCCTCAAGCTTGCATGGTGTGTAGGCCTATTTTTCTTTTCTGATGTCATGGACTTTCCCTGTGTCTTAAATGATTAAATTCAGGGCACAACCTGAAGACTATTTCAGGAACTTCTTTAGTTTAAGCTTTGAAGAATATTCTCAGGCAAGGTTTTCACTGCATTCCTCTTTGACTTCATTAGGCATTCTAAAACTCAGAGGGTAGCTATATCTAATTGAATCCAAAACTTCAGTCATTTCAGAAAAAATTGAAGATTAATCATGAAGTTGTTTTGTATATTTCAACTAGTTAATTCACTGAATCGACTGGTTATTCTGGTATTGTGTAGAGACAACTGTATTTCTATGGGCAAAACAAAGTAGAGAGTCAGGGAACTATTCAGATAGTTGGGTGTTAAAAAAAAAGTGTGAACTTCACACCTACTATGTGCCTGGTTTGGCATAATGTCCACCAATAAATGAGTGTTGAATAAATGCATAAATAACTGAAAGTTAGTTTCCATTCAATATACTGTGTATCTTAATTGCCATTTTATTTTTGCTTATTTAGATATTTCCTCAGAATTATGATGGTCACAGTTTAGCTTGATGTATGGGCAGTGGGTGACTTGTATCAAAATTTCTTAGACCCGGCTCAGTGGCAGGGCGTAAGGATCTTCCTTTTATTAATTTATTTTTGTTTTTGAGATGGGGCCTTGCTATGTTGCCCAGGCTGGATTTTTTTTTTGAGGCAGAGTCTCGCTCTTTCACCCAGGCTGGAGTGCAGTGGCACTATCTCTGCTCACTGCAACCTCCGCACCCCAGGGTTCAAGCAATTCTCCTGCCTCAGCCTCCCAAGTAGCTGGAGTTACAGGCGCCCGCCACTACACCTGGCTAATTTTTGTATTTTTAGTAGAGACGGGGTTTCACCATCTTGACCAGGCTGGTCTTGAACTACTGACCTCAGGTGATCCGCCCACCTCGGCCTCCCAAAGTACTGGGATTACAGGTGTGAGCCATCGCGCCCGGCTCCCAGGCTGGACTTTAACTCCTCCTCTCGAGTGATCCTCCTGCCTCAGCCTGCCAAGTAGCTGGGATTACAGGCATGTGCCACTGTGCCCAGCAGGATCTTCCTTTTAGATAATTGTTCCAGGTGAATCTGATATATATATATATGTTTTAGAATTGTTTTTTAGAGAATGACAAAAATAAAAGCTCTTGATACTCTTTCCTACCAATTTATGTACTTGTTCACCCATGGTCTTTTAAGACTCAGATATAAAAATGGCCCGCTCAGTTAAAAAAACCCAAAATGACTTTTGTCTAAAGCAAATTTTTTTTTTTCCACTGTGGACATTTGTCTCAAGTCTTTTTACTTAATTTTGCCAATGTAGAGCTGCCAACAATTCAGAGACACATAGATGTAGATCTGAGGATAAATTGGTATCTACAAAGCAGGGGGTAGATTCCTCAGCATGTGTTTGTTTGATTTAACATTTAACTTAAATGCAAAACCCAAGCCTTTTTGTATTCTGATATTTCCCATTTGTTATGCCAAAAGTCCTCCTTCAGGTTTCCGCAGCTTTCTGTGTCAATGATCATGACATATTAAAAATGGTAACATTATAAATACTGTGCTGTCTTAAGAATTTCTAGCACTTCCTGAATAGGAAAATAATGCCCTTGCTTTTTGTATAACAAGTGAGAACAATAAATCTTTCACTTTCCCTATACTATTAGACAGATATTACAACAGCGTTAGTTGGAAGGAAAAGCCAATTCTTATATTAAAGAAAATACCTGCTTGAATGCAGCAGTTAGAGATTCTTAGTTCATCTGCATTTTGTAAGCAATAGAATGCTTTCTGCTGAGTTTTTTCAATATAGGCAGTTGCAACTAATAATGAATTATGTTCCAAAATTTCCTTTTTAAATTTTAGCTTATTCTAAACTCACCATTTATTTTTCCATAGAATCAGTGACAGTTAGGACTCTTGGATGACCTCACGGAAAGTTTATTTTATTCTTCTCTATTCTGACTTTAACTCACAAGGTAGTCAGATGATGGTATCATAATAAAGTGTTCGGTGAGCCAACTACAGATGCCAAGGCACACCTTGGCTCTCTCCTTCCCCAGATGCCCAGACAAAATGGGGACAGTAATGGTGGAGGTAGCAAAAGAGACCACCTCCTCTTCTTCTGTCTCTCCTTCTTTCTTAATATCCTTGGGGTTTGGATAAGACTAGGGAGAGCCCTAAAATAATTGTAGCATGCCTTGAACTGGGTTTTGACATAGAGTCTGGCTTTTAACTGCAGACAGGGAGTGAAGAAAGGGAATCAACTGGCATATCTGTTGGTATTTGTAAGGCAATGCCTTTGTAAGGCACCATCTTCTCTTTTCTGAACCACTCTCTCCCTGCTCTTTTTCTATTTTGCTCTGAAAATCTCTCTCTTATCTCAGTTTAAAGCTTTGGTCTCCAAGTCAGATGCAAAGTAAACCAACCAAATCTGCCCAGTTACATAATAATGAAAGAGTGAGGGAAAAGTATTTCAGCAGTAATCAATTATTTTTCAGTCCCAAAAAGTATACCCTTGACTTCATTTTTATATTTTTAACACTAACCAATTATTTTTTTACTATCCAAACCAAAAACTGTACCCTCAACTTTGTGTTTGTATTTTTGTCCCATGTACTCTCAAAACATGCACATTTCCTGCAAACAGCACGTTAATTTATATCAAGCCTTTTCGATCTTGAGGACAAAGTACAATAATGTTTACATAAATAATGTTTGCAAAAAAGAATTGTATAAAACCAGAAAGAAAACCCTATTTTTGTCTTGGCTTCTGGCTTTTTTAGATCTTAAAAAAAAGAGTTACCATTTCCTGAGAACTTGTTGAGTGCATTATTTACTTAAATGTCAAGTTTGCTAAATCCAGCTCATCTAATAAATGTAGCTCAACCTGTAACATTTTTAGTTGTGTGGTTCCTAATTTTAGGCTAATTCTGTAAATCTTCCAATTTCTTATACCGCTTTTAGTACTGAGTTTTGTGTTTTCCAGTATCAGACTTTCTACTAAAGGTGTCAGAACAATTTTAATGAAGCAAATAATGAAATAAATATAATAAATTTGCAACAAATTGCACTAAATGTCATTTAACACCAACCTGATGTTAGAACACAGGTATGACAAACCAAGACCTTTCTAATAGCTTTAGAACACATCTTTAAATTCTTACAGATTAAGAATGCAGTTGAAAAGCCACCTTTCCAGTCTGCTGTTATGAAATCTTGTCGCTTGGATTCTGGAGAGGATTAGGGAGGTAGCTGATTGCTAATATTGCAAACTGGCCCCCTTCTTAGTGGCGCTGCCTCCATGTAGTTTTCATTGGCAGTTTGTGAACTTCCCTGGATTTTTAAAGACTCTCCTTATTGTTCCATAAAATGCAGTTTCCTTTGTCTTTTTAGTTCCTTTTCTGCTGTTTTCAGAATAGGGCTTAAAAGTAAGATAAAAGGCCTGATACTTTCCATCATAAAAAGTTGTAATGACAGGTCTCACTAATTAAAGTGTAACAATGGGAAGATTAGCCTTTCAGTTAGCTTTGTGTTGAATCTATACAGTATTTTCAAAAGCCCTAACTCAGAACATATTGGAGTATAGCATCTTTAAAATATAAACATTCACACATGGATTTGATTATAATACACACACCAAATAGAGGCACGGTACCGGTAGGGCTTCCAGAATGTAGTAAAACAGGAAAACTTCCCATTTCAATGCAACTTTTTTTGGTGCTAACCATTCTACTACAGAAGTAGGAAAGACCATAGGGAGAATTGGAGGGGCATATTGTGGAACCAGGCCTCTTGCTAATTATGAATGATGGGGCTTTCTTTGGATTCCTTGGTATCAGAGAATTTAAGTAGAATATATGTGCTTTTTAATACCTGTGTTTTTTTCCCTTAATGGAAGAGCATGTCTTCAACCCTGTATTAATAAAGTAATATTCCTTTCTTGTGGTGTCAGTAGCACCACAATGTGCTTAATACATTATTGGAATGTTAGAATCTCAAGGGACCAAATATTTGACGCTGTTAAAAGACATTTGATGTGTAAAACAGGGTATACAGTGAGTCTTTATTAGTGGGGGGTCGTGATATAACATTGTCTGAATAGCATCTAACCATGCATTTTTCTGGAGATATAAATATAAAAATAATCAAAAGAATTCTAGAAAAATCCAGCTGGAGGATAGCTGATGGGAAAGGTCAGAAAGTGAGTAGGAGAAAAATATTCTTATGTTTGCATCAGGTTGCAAAAAAAGTTTAATTTCGGTGTGTAGATAGTTTTAAATTAGTGATTAGTGCTTTGTTAAGAAAAAAAATACATGCAATTATTTTCTTTTTGTTTAAACTTCCAGGTTTGGTCCAAATTCCTGACTTGAATATAAATTAAATATCTTATTTTCTATAGCACACTGCTTAAAAAAGAGGTTTTTGGTTCACACTTAGTCATCTTTAATTTCAATATTTTGTTTTTAGGCATTTATTCAAGCTGAAGTGTGTGGCAGAAACAGTGGCCATGTTTTATTATATTTCAGCCCTGAAGATATGATATTGTGGCTCTGCTCCAAGTTGGAATTATCTCAATTCTAACTTTTAAATGTTTGTGTTCTTTTTTTTTTTTTTTTTTTGAGACGGAGTCTCGCTCTGTCGCCCAGGCTGGAGTGCAGTGGCGCTATCTCGGCTCACTACAAGCTCCGCCTCCCGGGTTCACGCCATTCTCCCGCCTCAGCCTCTCGAGTAGCTGGGACTACAGGAGCCCGCCACCATGCCCGGCTAATTTTTTGTATTCTTACTAGAGACGGGGTTTCACCGTGTTAGCCAGGATGGTCTCGATTTCCTGACCTCGTGATCCGCCCGCCTCAGCCTCCCAAAGTGCTGGGATTACAGGCGTGTGCCACCGCGTCCGGCCGTTTGTGTTCTTTAGAAAAAAACATCTAACAGAAGAGTCCCATGTAAGGTGACTGTAGCTCAGTCACAAGGCGAGAAAGTAGGCAAGAACTGGAAGAGACAAGAGAAAAGGAGAAAAGGGATGCAAGTCAAAGTGTGTTCATTTTGTGTAACATAAAGAGATTATCCTTTTCTTTACTTCTCTGGCTCCAGAAATTTATGGGGAAGGATTGTATTGACATTTCTTCTCAATATTTTTATAATCAACCCCCTTCTCTCTGGTGGGTTCACCCCCTTCCTTCAAGTTCTAATTACTGTTTTATCTGGACTATTGAAGGATTTCCCCCCTTCAGGTTCTCTCCATTCTCCTTACACCCTGCTGTCAGATTAATCTTCCTAACACCAACACTGATCCTGTCATTTCTGTGCCCAAGAGCCTTCAAATGGCGCCCCGTTACTTACCAAATTAAGTACAAATTTTGTAGCTTGATATGTAAGGCCCTCCTCACTTAAACTGGACCTTATTTTTGCCATATATCTTTTTTTTTTTTTTTTTTGAGATGGAGTTTTGCTCTTGTTGCCTAGGCTGGAGTGCAATGGCCTGATCTCGGCTTACTGCAACCTCCACCTCCCGGGTTCAAGCAATTCTCCTGCCTCAGCCTCCCAAGTAGCTGGGATTGCAGGCATGCGCCACCATGCCCAGCTATTTTTTGTATTTTTAGTAGAGACGAGGTTTCACTATGTTGGCCAGGCTGGTCTTGAACTCCCGATCTCAGGTGATCCGCCCGCCTCGGCCTCCCAAAGTGCTGGGATTACAGGCGTGAGCCACTGCGCCCGGCTAACCATATATCTTTTCACTCATCTTAGGCTCTAGTCAAAATAAACTCCTTGGGCTTGGGAAGTAGTTTTTTTTTTTTCTTGTTTGTTTTTGTTTTTGTTTTGGTTTTTGAGACGGAGTTTCCCTCTTGTTGCCCAGGCTGGAGTGCAATGACGCAATCTCAGCTCACCGCAATCTCCGCCTCCCGGGTTCAAGCGATTCTCCTGCCTCAGCCTTCCGAGTAGCTGGGATTACAGGCGTGGGCCACCACACCCAGCTAATTTTTTTAGTAGAGACGGGGTTTCTCCATGTTGGTCAGACTGGTCTCCAACTCCTCACCTCAGGTGATCCACCCGCCTCAGCCTCCCAAAGGGCTGGGATTGCAGGCGAGAGCCATCGCGCCCGGCCTCGAGAAGTAGTTCAAAATAACAGTTAAGAGAACATTCTTTGGAGTCAAATAGAATTGCATCTGTGTGATCCAGCTCTGTGGCCTCAGAGACTCTGTTAAACCTTTCTGAATTGCTGTTTCCTCACCGATGTAAAGAAGATAATGCCAACACCTTCCACCATAGGGATGTTGTGAGGATTGAACAAATGTTATAAAATTCACAAACATTTTTGCGAGCAGCAGGACATTTTAGATGATTTCTATTAATCACTCAGTGGTTTCTTCTGTGACAAGCACAGATAGAGCTAGTCCTGAGGGGAATACAGAACTGGCTCAGAGATGGTCTAAAGAAGCCTCCTAAGAGATGTTCTCGTTCACATTCCTTAAGTAGATCATGATGAAATGATGGTGGTGACACATATTTATTCCCAAAGTTAAATGATAAAAGAACTCGAAGTTCAGGGCAATAATACAAAAATTGTCTCAAGGCCAGGTATGAGCAATTGCCAGGTGAACAAGATAGATACCATCTGTTGGGATTTATTGGAAGGAGACATTCTGGTGGTCTGAGATGATTGGCAAAGGCTTCCAGGAAGAAGAGGAGTTTGAGCTGGATAGGTTTTAGATAGGAGGATAAGTGTGAAGGGGGCTGAAAGGGACACACTTCAAGGGTAGCAAGTCCTGGCTTTATTTTGGGGGGACTCCACCTCAATAAGCTCCTTTTGTCATAAAAGCCCTCAGTCTTTTTTCAAGAGGAAACTTGCTTTAGAGGAAGATGCTAATCAATCTGTTTGGTAATGTAAATTGGGTTTGAACAAACTATTCTCCTGTAGAATTAGAGAATTTTCCTTTTTCTAAAGATGGCTTAAGCTTGGGTTTGTTTTGGGGAGATGGGTGTGCCTTTTTGCCCAGCAATTTTCTTCCAATAGACATAAATTCAATGGATCTGTGGCAAGAGAGGTGTGCCTTAAGTTGCAGGAAAGGCTGTGATAAGGAACTGAGCTGCACCTGGCTTAGTGCTGGCTAGATAGACGAAAGGTGGCCTCACCTTGTATCATTTGAGATTAAATAAGTCAGCCTTTGGGAAATGAACTGTGCACTCTGGTGATTATGTGTCTGGGTCATGGTATCTGGAGATTAGGAATGGGATTTCCCCCAGAAGGAAATGGAGAATTTCAGCGTCGATCTCTCTCAAGTGGGAAAGCAGGCCAACTAACTTTAGATGGGCAGGAAGGGAGGAGTTTCTCTCTCTCTTTTTTTTTTTTTCTGGAGCCAAGGGAAGCTGGACATGGAATTGCAGGCATGGGAATTCCTGAATATTACTGTTAGTGTGAATTTTGAGCTGACACCTGTTATGAGAATACTGCCAGGTGGTGGGCTAGAAATTGAACATAGATTGTAAAGTAGAAGGGTAGTTTTAATATGATCCAGTAGCCTTCAGAAATGAAGACTAAGCTGGGCATGGTGGCTAATACCTGAATCCCAGCACTTCTGGAGGCCGAGACAGGCAGATTGCTTGAGCCCAGGAGTTCAAGACTACCCTGGGCAACGTGGCAAAACCCCATCTCTACAAAAGAATACTAAAATTAGCTGGGCATAGTGGTGTATGCCTATCGTCTTAGCTACTCAGGGGCTGAGATGGGAGGATCGCTTGAGCCCAGGAGGTTGAGGCTACAGTGAGCTGAGATCACGCCACTGCACTCCAGCCTGGGTGACAGAGACCCTGTCTAAAAAAAAAAAGGGATGGACAGTCGTGGGGATATGACTTAATGGTAGTAACCTGGGAGAACTTGTGAAGGCCTGTCTGTTCAGATTCTTCTTGGCTTCCCTGTGTAACATTCCTTTTCTCCTGTTTCTGGCAGGACACCTGTCACATAAGGGTCTTCAAAAGATAAGGTGAGAGAGAACTTTCTGCTTCTGTGGTTTTCTCAATTTCCTTTAGCTTACAATACTCAGTATGTCAAGTTGCCATATTTTGGGGTGTCACATTGTGAGACTTTGCATTTATTCCCAGAGATTCTGATTAAGTAGGTCGATTGTGGGTCCTGGAATCTATTTTTAGCATACTCAGGTAGTTCTGAGATACAGTCAGATCTGGGGTACACTTTTCTAGGCTGAAAATATTACCACCTTCCCTTACTAGGTTTTTAAAAAGTGAAATGTTAAAATACTTTTAACTTGGTGGAGAGAAGTTGTGAAAATTATATGTTGAGTAAAGAGAGACTTCCATGTTAGACTAGATCATGTTGATGTTTTACAACAAGCATATGCTCAAGGTGTATTGAAAAAAAAACAAAGAACAAAAAAAACAAGATGAAATAGTATAAAGTAGAGGTGGAGAAATCTGTCCTGGTCACAGTGCTGCCATCACCAACTGAGAGGTAGATGGGAAGGGGTCAAGGCTTAAGCAGCACAATCTGTCACACAAATCTCAAGTGCTCTTGAAAGTTAAGCATTACTTTTATAATCCAAAAAGAATCTGTGGATGTGGGACTTAAAAAAATAAAAACAAGCAGGGCGTGGTTGCTCACACCTGTAATCCCAACACTTTGAGAGGCCGAGATGGTAGGATCATTTGAGCCCAGGAGTTCAAGACCAGCCTGGGCAATGTGGTGAGACCTTGTCTCTAAAAAAAAATCGAAAAGTAGCCAAGCATGGTGGCACATGCTCGTAGTCACAGCTACTTGGGAGGCTGAGGTGGGAGAATCACTTTAGCCCAGGAGGTTGAGGCTGCAGTGAGCTGTGGTCACACCACTGCACTCCAGCCTGGGTGACAGAGCGAGACCCTGTCTCAAAAAATAAAATGAAATAAAAAACAGAAAAAAGAAAAGTGATGAGAAAATACATTTGTGTAAGTTGGATCTCATATGCTGTACAGGGGATGAAAATCCTTTTGTTAGGCAAATAATCACCCTCTATTTCTCTTTTGTGTAGACACAATTATTTATGGTATTTTCCTTGAGTGAGACCCCTGTGACAGACCATATCCTAGAAATTCCAAAAATGTTTATATGAAAGTAGCGTTTGAGAAAATTTGACACCTACTACCTTTTAGAAACTTCTAATGTTATGTCCATTACCGAAGTGTCATGCATTTCAGCTCAATCAGCTTTTTTTCTTACATGTCACATCTTATCAATGACTAGTATAGGGGCCAAGATGTCACAGGAAGTTGTTAACCTAATTTGTATGGTCTGAAAATACTTCTTTTAATAAGACTATTGAAGAATATTCAGAGTTACTTTTTGCCTTCTATAAGGATAGAGTATTTCCATATTCTTTCAGGTATTTTGAAAGAAACCCCAGATAGATTTCCTACCATTTGAATCTCTATTGTGAGCCTTTCACACCAACAGGTTTACTTGACCTTGGGTCTAGTGGATTGAAGCCCCAAGTGTGAACACTTTTCTTTCCCAGGAGCTGTTAACTTCAAAGCCTCTGAGAACCATTTGAATGGTAATATTGTTCAGCACCAGACCTAAGAAACAAACACTCATAAAGTGTCTTCTGACTATCTTTCCTCCACACTTTTGCTTTAGGTGCATTTGTTCATTCATTCCTAGCTGCATTTCCCTGTGCCGCTCCTTACAGGGAAAGCATTTCTTTGATTGTTTTACATCCCCAGTTCTCCTCTTGTGAGAATTGTATAAGGAAACTCTCTCTTTGGCTTAGTAGATGGGCACAAAGCAACTTTGTTTGAGGTGTGACTTGAACTTTCCTGAAATTTGATATCAACTCCTACTTGGATTTGAACTTTGAAGACCCAAAGATAGGAAGTTTCCGTATAAGGATCAAAACATGTCAGAGCAAGACCCAGTGATTTGGGCTGGCAACCTTGGCGGTAGGATTACTTTGCTCAACAGCTCAGGATGGTGTACCCTGTTCCCTGAAAACCACTTCACAAATGTCTGTGTTGTCCCAAGGGTGACTGGAGAGAGCGTGAGGATAAATCAGTGCAACTTATCTCCACCACTGGAAAAGCAAATCAAAGCATGTCCTAGTGAATATCATCCTTCATTCAACAGCTAATGTCTGTGAGAGACTGTTAGGTTCACAGCAGTGTGGCAGGCACAAAGAAATATAATTGTAGTGGTGTCTGCAGGAGGCTGGTGCCTAGTGAACACGGTGGTACACAGTGGAAGCAGCCATGGTGCCCAGTGGGGGACATTGGTGCCTGGCAGGGGACAAGACCAGGAAATGAAGAAAGAAATGGTGTATGCCACATGGTAGCAGAGCTGGACAGCTGACAGGGGCTTATTCATGACCACTAGTGAGATGCTGCTTGGAGACTTCCAGCAAAACTTGAGAGGTACTTTGCAGGAGGGCAGCGTTTCACAGGAGAAGATGAAGAGATGAAGACAAAAGTCATGGAGGTATAGATTCTGTGACCCTGTTGTACCCACAGGCTGAAAAAACCTGAGGAAATTAAGGTTACAGAATCAATTGCTGTAAGAGACACGACTCCCACCCTTGGGGGCTTTCATACACATCTTAGGGACTTGCTCACATGGCAATAACAGAAGGATTATAAAAAGTATAAATGAGGAGTTGGAGGAGTTTCATGAGGAAGGCATTGCTGGAAGAATAAGTGGGTCCTCATAGGGGTGCAGGTGGGTATTCAGGAATGAGTAGTGGTCTCAGAGCTGGAAAGGCAGAAAGGGCCTTCCAAGTGGGGATCCTCATGACCAGAGAAGGTCAGCCTCTCACCATGTGGGGTCCTGGAACTGCAGACTGGGCTAGGCTGTCGGAGGGGTGTCTGACTGCCCAACTTTCCTCTGAAGGAGCTGAGATGTGTGTCACAGAACAGAAACCCCTGAAGACTTTCTGTGACAAAACTACTGGGGATTAAGAGGACCCTCCTGGTATCCTGTCTAGGACAGAGGGAGAGTTTGTGGGCTGGGAAGAGAAACTGCAGGCAGGGAGATCCACTAAAAGGCAACTGCAAAAACTGACAGGTGCAGGGTGAGGAGTGATAAAGGTCTGGACTGCCAGATACAGAAAGTGGAAATAAAAAGAAAGGAAGAGAAAACCAAGAGAGGTGGGGAGACAGAAATGACAGGACAGGCTGACAGATTGGGACTGGCTCCCAACTGGCTACCAAGAAAGAGGTCAGTCAGACAGAATGAAGAGTTTGAGCTTAACCAACTGGAAGACAGACTGATGGAAATACAGAGGAGTCCTTGGCATTGGAATTACATTTTTTAGTAAGACTGACAACACACTTTGTTTGTCAAAACCTCTAAATAGCCAGGTGTGGTGGTGCATGCCTATAGCCCTCTGAGGCTGAAGCAGGATGATTGCTTGAGCCAGGAATTCTGGGCTGTAGTGTGGCATGCCAATGGGGAGTCTGCACTAAGTTCAGCATCAGTATGGTGGCCTCTTGGGAGCGGGGGACCACAAGGTTGCCTAAAAAAAACGTGAAAGACCCAGGTCAGAAATGGAGCCAGTCAAAACTCCCATGCTGATCAATGATGGGATCACAACTGTGAATGCCACTGTCTTCCAACCCGGGCAACATAGTGAGACCCCCACCTCAAAAGAAAAAAAAGAAAGAGAGAGAGAAAAAAAAGGAAAGAAGGAAAGAAAGAAAAAGAAAACTACTAAATAGAGTTCAGTCTTCCCTTCTACCTTTCTTTTTTCTCCTCTTCCCCCGCAACACTACAAATCTGGTCCTTGTTAAATTTCCACAATTTATAAACACATGTTGGTATTTTAGTTTTTACCACAAATGAGAGCATGATATACATACCGTCTTGCAACTTACTTTGATTAACAATATATCATGGATATCTTTCAGTGTCATTTCATATGGATCTTCCTCAGTTTTTTAAAACAGCTATGTAGCAGCCCATTGTATGGCTGTACCATCCTTTATTTTACCAGTGCTCCATCGGTACACATTTATGTTGTTTCCAAATGTATCTTTTTATAACCAATGATTCCATTAACACCATATTCATACACTTGGGCAACTATTATAGGATAAATTCTTAGAAAAGCAATTGCTGGGTCAAAAGACATGCACAATTTAATATCATTTGATACATATTGCAAAACTGCTCTCTGGAATGTTTATCTGATTTAATTCTTCTACTAACAGGTTAATCAAGACCTCTTCGTGCATGTCTGTGGCAATTTGTCAACCTGTTCTTTCTACAACTGCAATAAATACTAGTTTGCCACATTGGAAGAGATTATATTAGTCAACAGATCCTAATGAATGAAGGGTTTCTTAATTAAAATAACCAGAAAGTCATTACTTGTAAATATATAAACAAGTTGATTATAGCAAGAGGCTGAATACTTCTAATAAGCATGTGTGGATATTAAATTAACCATGGTTCACAAACCATCCATGGATGCATTGGATGCATGGTTGATTGGAAATAACCACTTCACAGTGGTTACCCGATTCCTGTCTGCCAACTGCCAAATGGCATTCCTGTTTGTAAGATTGTTATGGTTTGACATAACTCATGATATTTCCTAACACATGTATGTGTCAAGTAAAATCATTTTTTCCTCTCATAGGTATTTAATAAATTAAAATACTTAATGGAGGATTAGGAAACTACCTCTTCTTTTCTTTTTGATTCAGCAGATATTTGTTGAACATGTACAATATACTAGGAAGTTACCTTGCTAATTGCTTCAGATAATACATGGAGGAGTAAAACCCGATTTTTGCCCTCAAGGTGCTCATAGGGGCAGACAAGAATATAGGATGAATATGAAAATAAATATAAAAATGGCTATAAAACTGAGGCAGAAGGAGAACAGTGCTTAAAGATGAGCACAAAGAAACGATGAAAATTCAAAACAGAGAAAACGCATCTGCTTAATGGAAAAGTAAGGAAAGGCTTCATTGAGGGAGAAGCATGTAAGAAGGGATTTCAAGAATGGGTAGGACTTGTTCACTTAAGCACTTTCTTTTGGAATGTCCAAGACCAAGCTGTGGGAAGGTGAGGCTACAAAGAGAGTCCACATATAGATGCTTCTGTCAATGGCCCAGCAGAGCAGATCTTGCTAGTTAACCTAGCCCAGGTGCCAAACATGAGCGAAATTTCCAGCAGGGCAATTTCCAATGAGTGAAGACACCTCTGGACATTTCCAGCTTCCAGTCATTGAATCACCCCAGCCATTCAAGTCTTACCAGCTGAAGTTCCTGACATTGTAGAGCAGATACAAGTCATCCCTGCTATGACATGTCTGTATTTCTGACTCACAAGATCCATGAGGCTTAAAAAATTGTTGTTTTATTTTAAAAAATGGGTAGGATTCCACAGGTAAGCTGGAGATAGGGAGAACATTTCTAGCAAAAGAAACTACATAAGCTGAGGGGAAGCATGACTATGCCCACAGAACAAAAAACAATCCAGAACAGTCCAGGTGGGCTGGCATCAAGGATTTGAGGACAGGTAGAGTAAAAGATCAGACTAGATCTGAGAATAAAAAACATTACATGGCAAGTGAATATACTTTTTTTTTTTTTTTTTTTTTTTGTGACGGAGTCTCACTCTGTCACCCAGGCTGGAGTGCAGTGGTACAATCTCTGCTCACTGCAACCTCTGCCTCCCGGGTTGATGCACCTCAGCCTCCCTAGTAGCTGGGATTACAGGTGCCTGACACCATGCCCAGCTAACTTTTTTGTATTTTTAGTAGAGGTGGGTTTCACCACGTTGGCCAGACTGGTCTTGAACCCCTGACCTCAAGTGATCCACCCACCTTAGCCTCCCAAAGTGCTGAGATTATAGGTGTGAGCCACCATGCCTGGCGAATATACTGTTATTTGATAGGCAAGTGGAGTCTAGCCAAAGTTGGGCATCAGGCTGTTGTTTTTGAGGCAGGAAGAAAAACGTATTGTTAGGGCTCAGAACATGATGCCCACAATATGGCATCTTGGCAATTGAGAAAAACACAGAAGCAAGAAGGTCAGTCTGATCTTCTCCCACCTTTCTCCCCTAAAGCATTGTCATAAATTCTCTGACCTACCTTGCTTGAAATTGGGTCATAAGACCCTTAATCCAGAGGGATCCTGCCCTGTAACTAAAAGCCAAGAAGAATCTGAACAAACAGGCCTTGCTAAGTTCCCTCCAGTGTATTCACATTAGATCAGAACCTCCTTTTGTCCAATCATACTCCTGCATGACTGTCCATTCTTCATAGAACCTAAGCATAAAAATACAGTTTTCCCACTGGGCGCAGTGGCTCACGCCTGTAATCACAGCACTTTGGGAGGCCGAGGCAAGTGGATCACCTAAGGTCGGAAGTTGGAGACCAGCCTGACCAACATGGAGAAACCCTACCTCTACTAAAAATACAAAATTAGCTGGGTGTGGTGGCGCATGCCTGTAATCCCAGCTACTCAGGAGGCTGAGGCAGGAGAATCACTTGAATCCCAGAGGCAGAGGCTGCAGTGAGCCCAGATCGCACCATTGCACTCCAGCCTGGGCAACAAGAGTGAAACTCCGTCTCAAAATAAATAAATAAATAAAAATAATAAATAAATAAAATACAGTTTTCCTTGGGTGTTTGGATCTTCTTCTCCTCCTTCTTCTTCCTCTTCCTCTTCTTCCTTTTTCCCTTCCTCTTCTTCTCCTTCTACTTCTTTTTTTGAGACAGGGTCTCGCCCTGTCACCTGGGTTGTGGTGTAGTGGCGTGACCGCCGGTTACTGAAGCCTCAAACTCCTGGGACTCACGCGATCCTCCCGCTTCGGCTTCCCAAAGTGCTGGCACTACAGGCGTAAGCCACCATACCTGCCCATGTCTTCATTTCTGAAGTCTTCCATGTTATGTAAGGCTTTGTTTAAATAAAATTTTTGTGAGTTTTCTCTTGTTAATCAGTCTTTGGTAACGAAGGTATCAGCCATGAATCTTTTGATGGATGAGGAAAATATATTACTTTTTCTCCCCAACAATATTAATAAAAGTTTGGGAAAATTAAATTTCATATTGCCTTCTTTTTGCAATGCATTTTTTAAATTAATAAAAACTTCAACCTGTCATTCATTTAACAAATATTTGTTGAATGCCTCTATAAATATAAAATTACTAAGTTTGTTTAAATTATCTTCTAAGTTTAAATCAGCTATTTGAGTTTATCCTTTACATAAATTTGTGTGATGCCTAATATGAAAATATTTTTGTTTTCCACCTAGTTATGTGGCTATGTAAGCACTTTTAGAACTTTTGTGCTAAAATTCAAAAACATATAATACATAAAATAGCATACTTGCAAATAATGATATAATGAATTTGAAATTTGTCCCAGAATAGCAAATTTTCTCCTTAAGTTAAAAAAGTTCCGCTTCTGTTTATTAAGTATTTACTATTTCAATGTGCCAGGCACTGTGCTAAGTAATTTATGTGCACTATCTAATTTGAAACTCACAGCAACCTCAGGAGGTAGGTTAGGTACTATTAACAGGAAAGTAAGGTCAAAGTCCTTTGAGTTATCTGCCCAGGGTCATCCAACCAGTAAGTTGGATTCAAACAAAAACAGAGTCCCTAAAAGGCATCCTGAGCCTCAGGTACTGTGCTCCTTACCACTTTTAATTACTTAAAATCACAGCCTGTCTTTGTGGGAAAGAACTTCAGAAGTATCTAATATAACTTAAACTAGAGAGACAGGTGTTAGTAACATGATAGAAGGATGCTAAAGACAACTTTGTTTCTTAAAAATTCCTCTGCATTACTTGGTACCCTTTACCAAGCAATGCAGAGGAACTGTGTGGTCTCGAGAGTGTGGAGTGTATAAATATTACATTTCTATCACTGCCCTCCTTTTGATCCCATATGTAGACAATGGGGAGTGTCACATCAGAAAAGGAAAACAGATGCCCCAGCCTTCTGGCCAGAGGACTGTGAAGGAGGGCCCCAGAGAGACAGAAAATTGTCAAGGAGATCACCAAGAGGACGGAGCTCAAGGGAAAGCTCCTGTAAAGGGGTTTGTGAGCTACTGGGCACATCTCTGAGTTGCAAACCAAAGAAAGACTTTAAGAGCTAAACTATGGACCATTGCCTAGTCACACACAGACTGGCCATTAGTAGTGTATATGCAGGACAGACCCAAATAACACCATGAACACTCTGAAAATTAAACTGACACTGGAACCACAACCCACAGATATTTGTTTGGAACTTGAAGCCTAAACCTAACCAGATGTCTTACCTTCTAAAGTAAACAACAACAACAACAACAAAACACAGAGGGAATGTGGGAGCAAGATGGCTGAATAGAAGCCTACACCGTTTGTCCTCCCCAAGGAAAATACGAAATTTTGACAACTAACTGCACACAAAAAGCACCATTATAATAACCAAGATTAGGTGACCAATCACAATACCTAGTTTTTTGTTGTTGTTGTTTGTTTTTTTGAGACAGAGTCTCCCTCTGTCGCCCAGGCTGGAGTGCAGTGATGCAATCTCGGCTCACTGCAAGCTCCGCCTCCCGAGTTCACGCCATCCTCCTGCCTCAGCCTCCGGAGTAGCTGGGACTACACGTGCACGCTACCACACCTGGCTAATTTTTTGTATTTTTAGTAGAGACAGGATTTCACTGTGTTAGCCAGGATGGTCTCGATCTCCTGACCTTGTGATCCGCCCACCTCGGTCTCCCAAAGTGCTGGGATTACAGGCGTGAGCCACCACACCCGGCCCACAGTACCTAGTTTTAACTTCATATCGCTGAAAGAGACATTGAAGAGGGCCCGAAAGACAGTCTTGAATTGCCAATGTCACCCCTCCCCTATCCTGTGGCAGCAACCCTGTGGCATGGACATTCTGTGTACTTGGGAGAGGGAGAGCACAGAGATTGTGAGGCTTTGCATTGAACTCAGTGGTGCCCTGTCACAGCGGAAAGTAGAACCAAGCAGTATTAGTTCACATCTGCCCACAGAGGGAGAATTTGGACTGGCCCTAGACAGTGGGGAGTCTCCCATCCCAGTGGTCAGAGCTTCAGCTCTGGCAAGCCTGAATGTGGTCTGGAGTGCTCTAGGGCCCTACGTGAATGTGAGGGGCAGTCCAATCTACAAAGACTCCAAGTCCTAGTGCTGAGCTGGGCTCAGAGTCAGTGGACTGTGGGGGTGGGGGCATGCAACCTACTGAGGCAGCTGGGGCAGCTAAGGGAGTGTTTGTGCCACTCCTCGCTTGGCAGCGGCCGTGTGGAGAAATCTCTGCTTGAGAGACAGCAAGCGACTGGGGGACTTTACATTGAACTCAGTGCTGCCCAATTACAGCAGAGACCTGGCAGGATTAATCAGCTGTTGACTAAAGAGCCCCTGAGCTCTGGATAACAAACCAACAGCAATACCCAGGTAATATGCTGTGGGTGTTGAGCTCTGAGAAATGCTGGCTTCAGGTCTGACCCAGCACATTCCAAGCTGTGGTGCCTGCAGTGAAACTCTCCTTCTATTTGAGAAAAGCATGGGGTAAAGTAAAGGGGACTCCATCTTGCACCTTAGGTACCAGCTCAGCCATAGTAGGGTAGAGCAGCAAATAGGCTCTTGGGGACTCTGAGTCCAGTCTATGTTTAGGCACTTAGTCAGCATTTGTGGACCTTCCCTGGGACAGAGGGGAGCCCACTGCTCTGAAGGGTGAGTGCCAGGCCTGGCAGCATTTATCACCAGCTGACTTAAGGGCCCTGGGACTTTAAGTGAATGTTGGCAGTAGGCTGGCAGAACCCGTGTGTCGCTGGTCATGGTGACCACAAGGAGAGGCTCCTCTGCCTGTGGAAATGGGAAGAAAGAGTGGGAAGGACCTTGTCTTGTGGTCTGAGTGCCAGCTTAGCTGCAGTAGATTAGAACACCAAGCAAATTTCTAAGGTTTTTGACTTCAATCCTTGGCTCCCAGACAGCATCTCTGGACTCACCTGGGGCCAAGAGGAACTCATTGCCCTGAAGGGAGGGATACAAACCTGGTAGGCTTTGCCCTCTGCTGATCTTAAAACCCTAGGGCCTTGAGTGAACTTAGGTGGTAGCTAGGTCATGGTTACAGTGGGCCTTGGGTGAGAACTAGTGCTGGGCTGGCTTCTGGTTTGAACCAGTGCAGTCCCAGTGGTGGTGGCCACAGGAGTCTTTGTATCCCCCCACCTCCAGTTCCATGAGGCCCAGCACAGAGAGACTACATTTGTTTGGGAGAAAGTAAGGGAAAAGAACAAGTGTCTCTGCATGGTAATCCAGGAATTCTTTTGGACATTATCCAGTATCACCAAGGCATTACCTATATGAATCAACTCAAGAACCAGAGTTATTGGGATTGGGGCCCAAGTCCCTTAGAATACCTGGAAGCCTTCCAAAGAAGGACAGGCACAAACAAGCCCAGACTGCAAAGACTACAATAAATGCCGAATTCTTCAATGCCCAGACACTGTCAAACATCCGTAAGTGTTAAGACCACCCAGGAAAACATGACCTCACCAAACAAACCTAATAAGGCACCAGGGACCAATCCTAGAGAAACAAGGATATGTGACCTTTCAGACAGACAATTCAAAATAGCCATTTCGAGGAAACTAAAATAAATTCAACATAAGGCAGAGAAGGAATTTGGAATTCTATCAGATAAATTTAACAAAGAGATTGAATTTTTTTTTTTTTTTTTTTTTGAGACGGAGTCTCACTCTGTCGCCCAGGCCCAGGCTGGAGTGCAGTGGTATGATCTCGGCTCACTGCAGCCTCTGCCTCCCGGGTTCAAGCAATTCTCCTGCCTCAGCCTCCTGAGTAGCTGGGACTACAGGTGGCTAATTGGCCCTTTTTAAATATTTCAATCTTGACTGGGTGCGGTGGCTCATGCCTGTAATCCCAGCACTTTGGGACGCCGAGGCAGGCAGATCACTTGAGTTCAGGAGCTCAAGACCACCCTGGCCAACATGGCGAAACCCTGTCTCTACAAAAAATACAAAAATTAGCCAGGCGTGTTGGTGTGCACCTGTAGTCCCAGCTACTCGAGAGACTGAGGCAGGAGAATCACTTAAACCGAGGAGGTGGAGGTTGCAGTGAGCCAAGATCATGCCACTGCACTCCACCCTGGGTGATAGAGCAATACTCCATCTCAAAAATAAATAAATAAATAAATAAATAAAATTAAAAAGAATCAAGCAGAAATTCTAGAGTAGAAAAATGCAACTGACATGCTGAAGAATGCATCAGAGTCTCTTAATGGCAGAATTGATTTAGCAGAAGAAAGAATTATGAGCTTGAAGACAGGCTATTTGAAAATACACAGTCAGAGGAGACATAAGAAAAAAGAATAAAAAACAATGAAGCATGGCCTACAAGTTCTAGGAAATAGCCCCAAAAGGGAAAATTTAAGAGTTATTGGTCTTAAATAGGAGGTAGAGAAAGATACATGGGTAGACAGTTTATTCAAAAGGATAACATCAGAGAACTTCTCAAACCTAGAGAAAGATATCAGCATTCAAGTACAAGAAGTTTATAGAACACCAAGCAGATTTAACTCAAAGAAGACTACCTCAAGACATTTAATAATCAAACTCCCAAAGGCCAAGGATAAAGAAAGGATCCTAAAAGCAGCAGGAGAAAAGAAACAAATAACATACAATGGAGCTCCAATACATCTGGTAGCAGACTTTTCAGTGGAAACCTTACAGACCAGTAGAGAGTGGCATGACATACTTAAAGTACTGAAGGAAAAAATTTTACCTTGTATATCCAGAGAAAATATCCTTTAAGCATGAAGAAATGGAGACCTTCCTAGACAAACAAAAGCTGAGGGATTTCATCAACACCAGACTTGTCCTGCCAGAAATGCTAAAGGGAGTTCTCCAATCTGAAAAAGGACATCAATGAGCAATAAGAAATCATCTGAAGGTACACAACTGGTATTATCACTAGTAATAATAGTAAGTACACACACACAGAACACAGAATATTATAACACTGTAATTGTTGGGGTATAAAATACTCTCCCTTTCTTTCTCTTTCTTTCTTTCTTTCTTTCTTTCTTTCTTTCTTTCTTTCTTTCTTTCTTTCTTTCTTTCTCTCTCTCTCTCTCTCTCTTTCTTTCTTTCCTTCTTTTGTTTGAGACAGGGTCTCACTCTGTTGCCCAGGCTGGAGTGTAATGGTGTGATATCAGCTCACTGTAACCTCCACCTCCCAGGTTCAAGTGATTCTCCCCCCTCAGCCTGCCAGATAGCTGGGACTACAGGCATGTGCCACCAAGCCTGGCTAGTTTTTAGTAGAGATGGGCTTTCACCATGTTGGCCAGGCTGGTCTTGAACTCCTGACCTCAAGTGATCTGCCTGCCTTGGCCTCCCAGAGTGCTGGGATTACAGGCATGAGCCATTGCACCTGGCCCTAAAATATTCTTAAGTAGAAAGACTAAATGATGGACCAATAAAAAATAATGACTACAACAACCTTTCAAGACATAGACAGTACAATAAGATATAAAGAGAACAATAAAAAGTTAAAAAGCAGGGAGAATGAAGTTAAGATGTAGAGTTTTCGTTAGTTTTCTTTTTGCTTGTTTGTTTATGCAATCAGTGTTAAGCTGTTATCAGTTTAAAACATGGTAACCTCATAAGCCTCATGGTAACCTCATAAGCCTCATGGTAACCTCAAATTTAAAAACATTCAATGGATACACAAAAAATAAAAAGCAAGAAATTAAACCATACCACCAGAAAAAAATCACCTTCACTAAAAGAAGGCAGGAAGGAAAGAAGAAAGAGAAGACAAAAACAAAACAAAACAAAAAGACAACCAGAAAACAAATAACAAAATGGCAGGAGTAAGTCCTTAATTATCAATAACAACATTGACTGGAAATGAACTAAACTCTCCAATCAAAAGACATAGGGTAGCTAAGTGGATACAACAACAAGACCCATTGATCTCTTGCTTACAAGAAACACATTTCAGCCAGGCATGGTGGCTCACACCTGTAATCCCAGCACTTTGGGAGGCCAAGGAGGGCAGATCACGAGGTCAGGAGTTTGAGGCCAGCTTGGCCAATATGGTGAAACCCCGTCTTTACTAAAAAAAAAAAAAAAAAAAATTAGCTAGGCGTGATGGCACGTGCCTGTAGTCCCAGCTACGTGGGAGGCTGAGACAGAAGAATCACTTGAACCAGGGAGGCAGAGGTCTCAGTGAGCCGAGATTGCGCCACTGCACTCCAGCCTGGGTGACAGAGCAAGACTCCGTCTCAAAAAAAAAAAAAAAAAAGAAACACATTTCACCTATAAAGATACACATATACTGAAGATAAAGAAATGGAAAAAATTTTTCATGCCAATGGAAACAAAAAAATAGCAGAAGTTAATAAATAATAAAGATTAGAGCAGAAACAAATTAATTTTTAATGAAGAAACCAATGTAGAAGATCAGTGAAATGAAAAGTAGTGTTTTTTTAAAAAGATAAATAAAATTGACAAACCTTTAGCCATACCAAGAAAAAAAAGAGAGAATACCCAAATAAATAACATCAGAGATGAAAAACGTGACATTACGACTGATACTGCAGAAATGCAAGGGATCATTAGTGGCCAATTCCAACTATATGCCAGCAAGTTGGAAAAGCTAGAGGAAATGGATAAATTCCCAGATACATATAACCTACCAAGACTGAACCATGAAGAAATCCAAAACCTGAACATACCAATAACAGGTAACGAGATCAAAGCCATAATAAAAATTATCTCAGTAAAGAAAAGCACAGGACTTGATGGCTTCACTGGTGAATTCTATCAAACATTTAAAGAAGAACTAATACCAATCCTACTGAAGCTATTCTGAAAAAATGCAAGAGAAGGGAATACTTCCAAACTCATTCTACAAGGCCAGTATTACCTTGATACTAAAACCAGACAAAGACTCATCAAAAAAAAAAAAAAAAAAAAAAAAAGAAGAAGAAAGAAAACTACAGGCCAATATCTCTGATGGGTATTGATGCAAAAATCCTCAACAAAATACTAGCAAATCAAATTCAACAATACATTAAGAAGATCATTTATCATGACCAAGTGGGATTTATCTCATTGATACAAGAATGGCTCAACATATGTAAATCAATCAATGTGATACATCATATTAACAGAATGAAGGACAAAATCCATATGATCATTTCCACTGATGATATAAAAGCATTTGGTAAAATTAAACATCCCTTCATGATAAAAACCCTCAAAAACCTGGCTATATACTCGGTGGGAAGCTGAGGCAGGAGAATTGCTTGAACCCAGGAGGTGGAGGTTGCAGTGAGCCGAGATCACGCCACTGCACTCCAGCCTGGGTGATAGAGTGAGACTCCATCTCAAATTAGAAACAAATAAACAAACAAACAAACAAAATAACTGGGTATGGATTGAACATATGTCAACATAATAAAAACCATAAAAAACAGATCCGCAGCTAGTATATCATACTGAATGGGGAAAAACCTTTTCTCTAAGATCTGGAACACCACAAGGATGTCCACTTTCCCCACTGTTATTCAACATAGTTTTGGTAATCCTAGGTAGAGCAATCAGACAAAAGAAGGAAATGGCATAAAATTTGGAAAGGTAAATGTCAAATTATCCTCATTAGCAGATAATATGATAGGATCTTATATTTGGACAATCCTAAAGACTCCACCAAAAACCAGAAGTGATAAACAAATTCAGTAAAGTTGTGGGATAGGCTGGGTGCCGTGGCTCACACCTGTAATCCCAGCACTTTGGGAGGCTGAGGTGGGCGGATCACCTGAGGTCAGGAGTTTGAGACAAGCCTGGCCAACATGGTGAAACCCTGTCTCTACTAATAATACAAAAATTAGCTGGGCGTGGTGGTGCACGCCTGTAATCCCAGCTACTCAGAAGGCTGATGCAGGAGAATTGGTTGAACCCAGGAGGTGGAGGTTGCAGTGAGCCGAGATCGTGCCATTGCACTCCAGCCTGGGTGACAAGAGTGAAACTCCATCAAAAAAAAAAAAAAGTCGTGGGATATACAATATCAACATACAAAAATCAGTAGAATTTCTATATGCCAACAGCAAGCAATCTGAAGGAGAAATTTTAAAAATCTCATTTACAATAGCCACATGTAAAATTAAATACCTAGGAATTAGCTTAGCTAAAGAAGTGAAAGATTTCTACAATGAAAACTATAAAACACTGATGAAAGAAATTGAAGAGGACAGAAAAAATTGAAAGATGTTCCATGTTCATATATTGGAAGAATCAATATTGTTAAAATATCCATACTACCCAAAGTAATCTACAAGTTCAATGCAATCCTTATCAAAATACCAATGACATTCTTTACAGAAATAGAAGAGAAAATCCTAAAATTATATGGAACAACAAAAGACCCAGAATAGCCAAAGGTATTCTAAGCAAAAAGAACAAAACTGGAAGAATCACATTACCTGTCTTCAAATTAGACTACAGAGCTATTGTGACCAAGAAAGCATGGTACTAGCATAAAAACAGACCCACAGACTAATGGAACAGAACAGAGAACCCAGAAACAAATCCACACAGCTACAGTGAACTCATTTTCAACAAAAGTGCCAAGAACATACGCTGGAGAAAGGATAGTTTCTTCAATAAATGATGTTTGAAAACTGGACATCCAGTTTGATATCCAGATGAACCTTGACCCCTATCTCTTGCCATATACAAAAATCAAATCAAAATGAATTAAAGACTTACACTTATGACCTTTAACTATTAAAATGCTACAAGAAAACATTGGGGAAAGTCTCTAGGACATTGGTCTGTGCAAAAATTTATTGAGTAATACCCCCATGAGTGCAGGTAACCAAAGCAAAAATGGGCAAATGGGATCATGTCAATTTAAAAAGCTTCTGCACAGCAATGTAAACAGTCAACAAAGTGAAGAGACTACCCGCAAATGTGAGAAAAAATATTTGCAAAGTACCCATCCAAGAAAAGATTGATAACCAGAATATATAAGGAGCTCAAACAACTCTATAGGAAAAAATCCAATAATCCAATTAGGAAATGGGCAAAATATTTGAATAGACATTTCTGAAAACAAGACATGTAAATTCCAAATAGGCATATGAAAGGTTGCTTAACATCATTGATCATCAGAGAAATGCAAATCAAAACTACCATGAGATATCATCTCACCCCAGTTAAAATGGCTTTTTTTTTTTTTTTAATGGCTTTTAGGCTGGATGTGGTGGCTCATGCCTGTAATCCCAGCACTTTGGGAGGCCAAGCCGGGCAGATCACCTGAGGTCAGGAGTTCGAGACCAACCTGACCAACATGGAGAAACCCCCGTCTCTGCTAAAAATACAAAAAATTAGCCAGGCATTGTGGCGCATGCCTGTAATCCCAGCTGCTCGGGAGGCTGAGGCAGGAGAATCGGTTGAACCCAGGAGGCGGAGGTTGTGGTGAGCCGAGATCATGCCATTGTACTCCAGCCTGGGCAACAAAAGCAAAACTCCATCTCAAAAAAAAAGAAAGTAAAATAAATAAATAAATAAATGGCTTTTATCCAAAAGACAGGCAATAACAAGTACTGGAGAGAATGTGAAGAAAAGGGAACCCTTGTACACTGTTGGTAGGAATGTAAATGAGTACAGCCACTATGGAGAACAGTTTGGAGGATACTCAAAAAACTAAAAATAGAGCTACTATATGATCCAGCAATCCCAGTCCTAGTTATATACCCCAAAGAAAGGAAATCAGAATATCGAAGAAATACCTGCACTCCCATGTTTGTTGCAGAACTATTCACAATAGCCAAGGTTTGGAAGCAAACTAAGTGTCCATCAACAGATGATTAGATAAAGAAAATGTGGTACATATACACAATGGCATACTATACAGCCATAAAAAAGTGAGATCCTGTCATTTGCAACAACATGTATGGAATTGGAGGTCATCATGTTAAGTAAAATAAGGCAGAGAAAGAAAAGCTTCGCATGTTCTCAATTATCTGTGGGATTCAAAAATCAAAACAATTGAACTCATGGAGATAGAGAGTAGAAGGATGTTCACCAGAGGCTGGGAAGGTTAGTGGGGGGTGGGGGAGGTGGAAGGGAAGTGGAGATTGTTAATGGGTACAAAAATATAGTTAGAAAGAATGAATAAAAGCTAGTATTTGATAGCACAACAGGAGGACCATACTCAATAATAATTTAATTGTACATTTAAAAATAAGCAGAATAATTTAATTGGATTATTTGTAACACAAAGGATAAATGCCTGAGGGGATGGATATCCCATTTTCCATGATGTGATTAGTACGAATTTCATGCCTGTATCAAAACATCTCACATACACCATAAATATATGCACCTGCACAATATATCTACCTGCACAAAATTTAAAAATAATAATAATTAAAAAAATAAATAACTTGTTAATATGGAGGTAAAGAAACAACAACAACAAGAACAAAACAGAAACACACAGACACACGTGCACACAAATACAACAGTTTGCTTGTAAATCAAAGGAGATCTAGAGTCTCATAATATAATTAGAATGTACAGGATGCCATTCAAAATGACTTAGCATGTAAAAAATTAAGAATTTCAACTTGCAAGTAAAAAAAGCAAAATAATTACCAGATTTCAACCCCAAAGTGACACAGATTTTAGAATTATGACAAATACTTCGATCCATCTATTAGAACCATTGTCTAATAAATAAAAGCAAATACTCTTCTTCTCTTTTTCTGCCTTTTCTGGTTTTAATTATGCATTTTATATGATTCCATTATCTTCCCTCTCTTAGCATATCAATTATATATATTTTTTTACTTTTTACATTGGTTGTCCTACAGTTCGCAATATGCATTTACAGCTAATCCATTTTCAAATAATACTGTACCGCTTCACAGGTAGTACTAGTATCTTATAAAGGAGTGTCTTAGTTTTCTGAGGCTGCTATAACAAAGTACCTTGGGCTCGTTATTTATTTATTTGTTTATTTATTTATTGAGACAAATTCTCTGTTGCCCACACCACAGTGCAGTGGTGCAATCACAACTCACTGCAGTCTCAACCTCCTAGGCTCAAACAATTTTCCTGTCTCAGCCTCCTGAGTAGCTGGGACCACAGGCACATGCCACCATGCCTGGCTAATTTTCTTTTTATTGTAGAGGTGTGGTCTCGCTGTGTTGCCCAGATTGGTCTAGAATTCCTGGGCTCAAGCAATCCTCCTGCCTTGGCATCCCAAAGTGTTGGCAATACAGACGTGAGTAATCCCACCTGGCCAGACTGGTAATTTATAAACAATGAAAATTTATCTCTCACAGTTATGGAGGCTGGGAAGTGCAACATCAAGATGCCAGCATATTCAGTGACTGGTGAGAGCTCATTTCTCAGAGATGGCACCTTCTGGCTATGTCATATAGCACAAAGGCAAAAGGGGTTCCTCAAGCCTTTTTTTTTTTTTTTTTGGACAGTGTCTCACTCTGTCACCCAGGAGCCGGAGTGCAGTGGTATGATCCTGGCTCACTGCAATCTCCGTCTCCTGGGTTCAAGCGATACTCATGCCTCAGCCTTCCAAGTACCTGGCTGGGACTACAGGCACATGCCACCACGCCTGGCTAATTTTTGTATTTTTAGTAGAGACGGGGCTTTGCCATGTTGGTCAGGCTGGTCTCAAACTCCTGATCTCAATTGATCCGCCAGCCTCAGCCTCCCAAAGTTCTGGGATTAAAGGAGTGAGCCACTGTGCCAGGCCTCAAGCCTATTTTTATGAGGACATTAATGGTATTCATGAAGGCAGGGCCCTTATGACCTAATCACCTCCCAAATGACTTGCCTCTTAATACTATTACATTGCACATTGTGTTTCAACATATAAATTGTGGAGGGATGCATTCAGACCATAGCACAGAGTATTCCCAATTCCTCCTTCCTGTCCCTTATAACATTGCTGTCATTCATTTCACTTATTGATAAGCCATAATCACCAAATACATTGCTGAAATTATTAGTTAGCTAACAGTTACATCAATTAAGAACAAGAAAAATAAAATATTTTAGTTTACCTTCATTTATCACTTCTCTAATGTTCTTCTTTTATATAGATCTGAGTTTCTGATGCATACTATTTTCCTTTTCTCTGAAGAACTTCTTTTAAAATTTATTGCAAGATAGGTCTACCAATGATAAATTAACCTCAGTTTTTCTGTCTGAAAAAGTAAAATACTCTTGAAAAAAAGTGGAAAAAAAGAAAGCTTCAGCAGAGAAATAGAAAATAAAAAAGAAGAACTAAATAAATCTTTCAGAACTGAAAAATACAGTAATCAAAGTAAAACATTTACTGGGTATGATCAATAGCAGAATGGGGTTTTAAGAGGAAAAGCGCAGTGTACTTGAACACAGATTAATACAAATTAAAATGAACAAAATATAGAAAAATGGTTGAAAAAAGAATAAATAGAGACTCAGGGACCTATGAAACAATATCAAAAGGTCTATCATTTTCTTCATCATAATTCCAGAAAGAGTGGAGAAAAAGTATAGCACAGAAAGAATACTTGAAGAAATAATGGATGAAAACTTTCCAAATCCAGCAAAGGACATGAACTTACATGTACAAGAATCTCAGTGAATCCCACCCAGGATCAACTCAAAAAAATTCACATACAGGCACATTATAATTAAGTTGCTTAAAATTAGGTACTAAGAAAAAATATTAAAAGTAGCCAGAGGAAAGCACTACATTGCATACAGTGGGACAATGAGAGTAAATTTCTTATCATAAAACATGGAGGCAAGAAAGAAATGTCATCACATTTTAAAAGTGTTTATGGGAATAAACTGTTAATCCAGAATTCTATAGGCAATGAAAATATCCTTCTAGAATGAAGGTCAAATAAAAACATTCTCAAAAAGGGAAACTAAGAGAAATCAACACCAGAACACCTGTTCTAAAAGAAATGCTAAAGGAAATTCTTCAGATGGAAGGGAAACAATACCAGAGGTAAACTTGGAATAATAGAGATGGAGGAAGAGCAACAAAATGGTAAATATTTGGGTAAATATAATAAACTATCTCATATGGTTTGGCTCTGTGTCCCCATTCAAATCTCATCTCCAATTGTAATCCCCACCTGTCGAGGGAGGGACGCGTAATCCCCATGTGTCAAGGGAGGGAGGTGATGGGATCATAGGGGTGGTTTTCCCCATGCTGTTCTTATAATAGTGAGTGAGTTTTCATGAGATCTGATGGTTTTATAAGTATTTGGAAGTACCTCCTTCGTTCACTATCTCTCTTACCTGCCACCATGTAAGACACGCCTGCTTCCCCTTCCACTGTGATTGTAAGTTTCCTAAGGCCTCCCCAAACCATGAAGAACTGTGAGTCAATTAAACCTTTTTTCTTTATAAATTACTCATTTTCGGGTAGTATCTTTATAGCAGTGTGAGAATGGACTAATACACTGTCCTCTTAGTTTTTAAAAACATATTGTGAAGATTGAAAACAAAAATTATAACATTGGCTGATGGGGTTTTCTTTTCTTTTTTTTTTTTTTTGAGACAGAGTCTTACTCTGTCTCCCAGGCTGGAGTGCAGTGGCACGATCTCGGCTCACTGCAAGCTCTGCCTCCCAGGTTTTACGCCATTCTCCTGCCTCAGCCTCCCGAGTAGCTGGGACTACAGGCGTGCACCACCTACACCCGCCTAATTTTTTTTTGTATTTTTAGTAGAGATGGAGTTTCACCATATTAGCCAGGATGGTCTTGAACTCCTGACCTTGTGATCTGCCCGCCTCACCCTCCCAAAGTGCTGAGATTACAGGCGTAAGCCACCGCACCTGGCTGATAGGGTTTTCAATGTATGTAAGTGAAATGTGTAAGACAAGTACAGCATAAAGTGGGGAGGGTAAATGGACCTATATGGTGGTAAAGTTTCTACACTGCACTTGAAGTAAAAGATATTGATTTGGAGTAGACAGTGTCAAGTATGTATGTGGTAACCCCTAGAGTAACAACTTAAATAGATATACAAAGAGATATAGTAAAAAATAAAAACCTCAATGGATAAATTAAAAGGGAATACTAAACAATATTAAGCTAATCCAAAAGAAGGCAGTAAGGGAAAAATAGGAAATAAAGAGAAAAGACAAGTAATAAAATATTAAAGCTAATAGAAACATGTCAATAAATGTATTGGTGAAATTGGTCTAAAAACACTAGTTAAAAAACATGGATTTTCAGAATAGATTTTTCCAAAGATTCAGTGGTATGCTGTCGATAAGAAAGCCTCTTTGAATACAAACAAATAGTCAATGTAAAATAAAAGAATGGGAAAAGGTATGTATCATGCAATCACTAATCAAAATAAGCCTGTAGTGGCAATACTAATATCAGCCAAAATAGACTTAAGGGCAAAGAAAATTACCAAGGATCAAGAGTGACATTACATAATTATAAAAGAGTCAAATTACCAAGAAAGCATAAATGTGGGTTGGGCACAGTGGTTCATTCCTGTCATCCCAGCACTTTAGGAGGCTGAGGTGAGCAGGTTGCTTAAACTCAGGAGCTTGAGACCAGTCTAGGCAACAGGATGAAACCCCTTCTCTACAAAAACTATAAAAATTAGGTGTGTGTGGTGGTGCATTATCTGTGGTCCCAGCTACTCAGGAAGTTGAGGTGGGAGGATCACTTGAGCCCAGAAGGTGAAGGCTGCAGTGAGCTGTGATCCACCACTGTACTCCAGCCTGGGTGACAGTGGAAGACCCTATCTCAAAAGAAAAAAAAAAAAATCCTAAAAAAAAATCCTAAATGTGTATGCAACTAACAACAGAATTTAAAAATATATGAAGCCAAAAATAATAAAACTGAAATGATAAATGGGCAAATCCACAATTATATTTAAAGTTTTAAACTCTTCTCTCTCAGTAATAGATAGGACAAGTAGACATATTATCAGCAAGGATATAGGAGAATTGAGCAACACTATCAGCCAGTAGCCAATAGTACCTAATTGACATTTATAGAACACTCTATCAAATGACAGCAGAATACACATTCTTTTCCACCGAAAATGCAAGATTCACCAAGATAGACCAAATCAGTGAAACAGCAAACAGAAAAACAATAGAGAAATACAATGAAACCAAAAGCTCTTTTTATGCAAAGATAAATAAAATGGGCAAATGTCCAACTAGACTAACATAGGAAAAAAGTGGGGGGTGTGGTGGTGACACAAATATCATGAATAAAAGGAAATATCACTATACACATCACTAACATGAAATGGATGGTAAGGGAATGCTATCAATGACTATAGGCATAAATTTGATTACTTAGATGAGATGGATTAATCTGTAAAAATCTACAAACTATTAAAACTTATCCAAGATGAAATAGATAACATGAATAATCCTATCATTATTAAAGAAGTTGAGTTCGTAGTCAAACATCTTCCAAAAAACAAATCTCCAGACCCAGGTAATTTCACTGGTAAATTCCATCAAACATTTTTTTTCTTTTCTTTTCTTTCTTTCTTTTTTTTTTTTTTTTTTGAGACCAGGTCTTGCTCTGTTACCCAGGCTGGCTGGAGTGGAGTGCAGTGGTGTGAACACAACTCACTGTAGCCTCAACCCCCTCAGATCAAATTATCCACCTCAGCCTCCCAAGTAGCTGGGACCACAGGTGCATGCCACCATGCCTGGCTAATTTTTTAATATTTTGTCAAGATGGGGTCTCACCATCTTGCCCAGGCTGATCTCAAACTCCTGGGCTCAAGCAATCCTCTCATCTCAGCCTCCCAAAGTCCTGAGATTACAGGCATGAGCCATCAATGCCTGACCTTTCATCAAACATTTGAAGAAGAAATAAAACTAACTCTACACAATCTTCTGGAAAATAGAAGAGGAGAGAACACTTTCAAACTCATTTTATGAGGCCAGCATTCTCCTATAGTCAAATCCAAAGATAGTACAAGCAAAGAAAAGTATAGAGCAAGATTTATCATAAAATGGCAACATCTTTGACAAAATATTAACAAATTGAATATTGTAATATATTATAAAAATAATGTATCACAAATAATTGTGGTTTATCCTGGGAATGCAAGGCTGATTCAATATTTGAAAGTCATTCCATGTATTCCACCATATTAACAGACTGTAGAAGGAAAAAACTCACATGATCATAGCAGTTGATAGAGAAAACATTTGACAACATTCAACATCCATTCATGGTAATAACTCTCAATATATTAGGAATAGAAGAGAATTTCACTAACCTGATGAAGGGCATCTACACAAAAAAACCCACAGCCAACATTATTCATAATGGTGGAAGACTGAATAATTTTTTTCCCAAGATTGGGAACAAGTCAAGGATGCCCACTCTTACCACTCCCATTCAAAGTCATACTGGCTGTCCTATTGAATGTAATAAGGCAGCAAACAGAATAAAAATCATATAGATTAGAAAAGAAGAAATAAAATTGTTCCTATTCACAGATGACATGATGGTCTCCATAAAAGTCTTGAAGAATCCTTTAAGAAAGCTTCTAGAGCTACATGAAATTCTCAAGTTCACAGCTTTTTGACGGAAAAACAAACCTCAACCTAAACCTCTTACCTTTACATAAAGTAACTCCAAATGTATTGCAGATCAGAGGTGATATTCATGAATGTGAATTTGTGATATTGTATAATGGAATATGTTAATACTTGTAAGATTTGCATAGCTTGGTCAACCAATATTTTCTGAAGGATAATACACAAGTTTGAGAAATTGTCATGGCCAATAGGAGCCCAAACAGGCATGACAACTAAATATAATGTGGTATTCTGGGTGGGATCTTAGTACAAAAAAAGACATTGCAGCCGGGTGTGGTGGATCATGCCTGTAATCCCAGCACTTTGGGAGGCCAAGGTGGGTGGATCACCTGAGGTCAGGAGTTCGAGACCAGCCTGGCCAACATGGCGGAACCCTGTCTCTACTAAAAATACAAAAATTAGCCAGGTGTAGTGGCTCATACCTGTAATCCCAGATACTTGGGAGGCTGAGGCAGGAGAATCGCTTGAACCCAGGAGACGGAGGTTGCAGTGAGCTGAAGGTTGCAGTGAGCCGAGATTGCACCATTGCACTCCAGCCTGGGCAACAGAGCAAGACTCTGTCTCAAAAAAAAAAAAAAAAAAAAGGCATTGCATAAAAACTAAGGAAATCTGAGTAAAGGTAGCCTTTGGTTAATAATAATCTATAAATATTTGATCATTAATCATAATAAATGTACCGTACTAATGTAAGATGTTACTTGGAGAAACTTGGGTGTGGGATATATAAGAACTCTCTACTAGCTTTATAATTTTTCTGTAAATCTAAAATGATTTCAAAAAGTTATTAAAATATGAAAACTGAAAAATGGAAATCAGTAAATATTTTATATAGATATTTAATTACATATCTATAAAATAATGTGTCAAGTCGTCAACTATTAATACAACTCAACTCATATAATACACAAATGCTATGGGTGCATTTTACTGACTACAGTTATTTTAATATATTTGATATAATATGAGGTAGGACCTTTGAGATAAGAGCACCTAGGACCAAAGAAGATATTAAAATGTGCTAAAATGTAGATGCTGATGTGAGAACACAGATGCTTTTTTAAGGAAATAAGTATATAAAGAGAAGAGCTGATGGTTGAGAATTGGCGAGAGAGAGGAGGAAGACAGAGTGAATGAAGCAGAAGATCATTTAGAGGTAGGCCTCATCTGTAGCAGAAGATCATTTAGAGGTAGGCCTCATCTGTAGCAGAAGATCATTTAGAGGTAGGCCTCATCTGTAATAACATGGTAACAGACTTTCAGGAAGAATGAGGTGGTCCCCTAATGTTACCAATATTTAACATGGCACTGGATTGAGGTCTAGAGAAACTAGAACAGAGTGAAGATGAAAGATTTGGCAATAACAAGGTGATGCCTAATCTTTGAAAGAGTACTTTTCATATGAAGTTGTAGCTGAAAGCCATTCTTGGAAGCATGGGAGAGTATAAAAGAAATAGCAACAGCAGGCGGAGTAACTTAAAGAAATGTGGTAGTAGAGAGAGAAGAGAGGGGGAGGGGAGGGATGTAAATTGGACAAGATGTAGATTGGAAAAGATCTATCCTTAATTAAAGGCAAAGGGAAAATAATATAAAGGAAGGAAGAGGGAGTTGTAGAGAAAAAAGGCTCCTTGGAGAGAGTAAGATGTGTGCTTACTATGCCTCCTGTTCATAAGTCAGGTTTGCACCAACTGCATGGCAAGGCAGTGATTAAGTACTTTCTTCTTTTTTGAAACTTTAGCAATAGAACAGCAAGCCACCTGCCTTCCTATTTTTCATATATCCATCATCCATCATAGGAGGCAGCTTGGGGCAATGCAGCTATTCTCAAACTTTTCTTGTCTCAGGACCACTTTGCACTTTAAAAATTGTCAAAAACCCATGAGAACTTTGGTTCTTGTGGGTTATATCAATTGATATTTCTGATATTGGAAATTAAAACTAAGAAAATTTTGAAGTATTGATAATTGTAATATTAAATATATGTATAATTATAATTAATAATTATATGTATAATTAGTATAATATAGTCATATATTAGTTATAATATGTATTATAAATATAATTATAAGCTGATTACATGTTAACAAAATTACATATTTTAATAAAAAATAAGTTTTCTAAAGCAAAAAATAATTTAGTGAGACCAGTGGCATTGTTTTATATATTTGCAGATCTCCTTAATGTCCGGTTTAATACAAGGCAGCTGTATTCCTCATAACTGCTTCTGCATTCAATCTATTGCAATAAATGGTTTAGTTGAAGTATAGGAAGATAATATAGCCTAACACAGATATGAAGTTGGAAATGGAGAGGTGTTTTATTAGCCTTTCCAGGTAATGATGAATATTTTTCTTTGATGCTACACCAAAAATTGCAAGGGTTAGCTTCTTAAAAGTAAGCTGCAATGTGGAATCTGAGATCATATCAACAAAATTTGTGTGCTCTGTCACATTAAAATCTATTGTATTTAGAATACAATTTAATGTATATATCACATTAAAATACCCACCATTTTATTATTTATTTATTTATTTTTGCAATGGAGTTTCACTCTTGTTGCCCAGGCTGGAGTGCAATGGTGTGATCTCGGCTCACAGCAACCTCCTCCTCCCAGGTTCAAGTGATTCTCCTGCCTCAGCCTCCTGAGTAGCTGGAACTACAGGCATGTGCCACCACACCCAGCTGTTTTTTTGTATTTTTAGTAAAGATGGGGTTTCATCATGTTGGCCAGGCTGGTCTTGAACTCCTGACCTCAAGTGATCTGCCGTCCTCGGCCTCCCAAAGTGCTGGGATTATAGGCATGATTATAGGCATGAGCCACCACACCCAGCCGATAGTGGGGTTTTTTGAGCACTTCCTTACTTTTTTACTTTAGCCATTAGACTAAATTCATATTTAGCTTAATATAGATACCCATAGATAAATATAGAAATATTAATAAGTGGCTGGGCGCGGTGGCTTATGCCTGTAATCCCATCACTTTGGGAGGTTGAGGTGGGCAGATCACCTGAGGTCAGGAGTTCTCTAAGGAGTGATAGTTTGTTTTATTGGAGAATGGTAGATCTGGAGTCTAAGTATGCTCATTGCTATAGAGGTGTTATGCTCATTGCTATAGAGGTGTCATTGCTTCTATACTGTCTCAGCTAAACAGCATGGAAATATGTGTGTATACTAACTCACATACCTATTAATATTTCTTTTTTCTTTTTCTTTTCTTTTCTTTTCTTTTTTTTTTTTTTGAGACAGAGTCTCACTCTTGTCACCCAGGCTGAAGTGCGGTGGTGCAATCTCGGCTTACTGCAACCTCTACCTCCCAGATTCAAGCAATTCTCCTGAGTAGCTGGGATTACAGGAGTGTGGCACCACACCCGGTTATTTTGTATTTTTAGTAGAGATGAGGTTTCACCATGTTGGCCAGGCTCTTCTCGAAACTCCTGACCTCAGGTGATCTGCCCACCTCAGCCTCCCAAAGTGCTGGGATTACAGGCATGAGCCACCGCACCCAGCCCCTTATTAATATTTCTATATTTATCTATGGGTATCTATATTAAGCTAAACGTGGATTTAGTCTAATGGCTACAACTCTAGCCCATTATTACATGGATCATTTTAGCCACCCATTCTTGCTTATCTGTAATTTCCTTCATGGATAGTGAGAAACCTGACTCCCAGCATCTACTGTCCATTAATGCAGGGTTGTGTGTGGGCGTTTAGGGATTTATCTCAAAGAAGAGAGCCTCTGAGTTTGTAATATGAGCCTTTTCTCTGTTTGTTGTGCCTCCCCCATCAAGTGATCTTGATTCTCAGGAAACCTTCCTCTACTTCTACCCTAGGAATTGCTCTTGTCTCTGGGTTTTAAACAACCCATGAAGTTGAGGTGGAAAAGAATGCCTATTTGCCTATAGCTGTGGTTGTCTGCTTCTGATGACAGCTGGGCTTGAGTGCTGCCCAGATATTACCCTGCATCTTCTGACTGGTTCTGTTCCTAATTGTTTTCTACTGTGCAGTGGTGCCAGGATCAGGAAAAACCTTCCCAGAAGATGTTGGTGAGACTGAAAAGTCTAACTGGAAAGCTTATTTCCAGTCATTCCTCTCTCTGTGATGGGTAGGTTTAGACTCAACCCCACCTCCACCCTCAGCAATGGGATCCATCCACTTTCTATGTCTCTAGGGATCCCCCACAGTTTTCTTGTTGCATTCTGGGATCTCACAAACTTCCTTCCCTCAACACATACACATTTCTAGATCATCTCCAGGGTTGACTTCAGAAGGGGCCAACAGCCTGTGTAAGTTCTCCATCATGTCATGAACTGGAAGGTCAACTGCCAACTTTAATTTCATTGCTATAAGTGGTTATTGTAAAAGAAAAGAAACCTCAGAAATTGTTTATGAGAAACTCCTAAGTTACAAAGTCAGAACCAGTGACCTGCTTGTTTATTGTGTTTCATTGGCACATACTTCAGGTTGTGCTATGAATGACTGACTAATGCTTACACTGTGAGGCATACTCTAATAACAATACATTGTTCTTTATTATCCCTAAAAATATTGAATCTACAAATCTGTACTTTTTAAAGAGATTGGATCTCACCATATTGCCCAGGCCACAGTGCTGTGGCTATTCACAGGTGTGATCATAGTACTGTAGCCTCAAACTCATGGCCGCAAGCAATCCTCCTGTCTCAGCTCCTGAGTAGCTGGGACTACAGCCATGTGCCTGGCTTCAAATCTGTAGTTGTAAGATGTTATTTTTTTTAAAAATCCAATTTCATATTTCAAATTTTTCTAAAGATTAAAATTGCTGCCAAGCAAAAGTTTCGAAGTTTATATTATGATGTAATGATAAATAAAAATCAAATCAATAAATATTAATGGAAAAATGACTAAGCACAAGACTATCAATATACAAGATTTCTTTTCTTTTCTTTCTTTTTTTTTTTTGAGACAGGGTTTTGCACTGTTGCCCAGGCTGGAGTACACTGGTGCAATCTGGGCTTACTGCAGCCTCCCCCGTGGTTCAAGTGATTCTCCTGCCTCAGCCTCCCAAGCAGCTGGGATTACAGGTATGTGCCACCACATGCAGCTATTTTTTTTTTTCTTTTTTGTATTTTTAGTAGAGATGAGGCTTCACCATATTGGCCAGCCTGGTGTTGAACTCCTGGCCTCAAATGATCCACCCACCTCGGCCTCCCAAAGTGCTGGGATTACAGGTGTGAGCCACCATGCCCGGCCAATATACAATATTTCATATCAGTGTGAATTCTCTCTTCATTCTTCTATAAATTGGGGTAGTTAAAAAAAGGATTTTAACTTTTAGGACTCTGCAGTCTAAAAATTATAAGCAATGATGTTTTTTTTTTTTTTTTTTTTTTTTTTTTAGATAGAGTTTCGCTCTTGTTGCCCAGGCTGGAGTGCAATGGAGCGAACTCAGCTCACTGCGACCTCTGCCTTCAGGTTCAAGCGATTCTCCTGCCTCAGCCTTCCGAGTAGCTGAGATTACAGGCATGTGCCACCACGCCCAGCTAATTTTGTATTTTTAGTAGAGATGGGGTTTCTCCATGTTGGTCAGGCTGGTCTCAAACTCCCGACCTCAGGTGATCCACCTGCCTCGGCCTCCCAAAGTGCTGGGATTACAGGCATGAGCCACCATGCCTGGCCTTATAAGCAGTAATTTTAAGGAAATTTTATACTCATATATACACATAAAAGTCTCCCCAAGCTTAGATTTTTTACCTAAAGTTTCAGATTATGGCAACTGTATACAGGATACTTAAATTTTAACCCTGGAAAACAGGCTGCATAGAATTCCTCACTGAATTTAAGAAACACCACTATAATTAGATTTGGGCAGCTGCTACATATTTGTAGTGTTCTCAAAGCTGCAAAATTCTAACGTAGATCAGGCATATGAAACCAAAGATGTTCTTATATTATCTTATTGAATGACTCAAGTAGTAAATACAATGAGAAATACATCAACATTTAATATTTGATTGGGGCTGGGTGCAGTGGCTCCTGCCTGTATTTCCAGCATTTTGGGAGGCCGAGGTGGTCAGATCACTTGAGCCCAGGAATTCAAGACCAGTCTGGCCAACATAGCAAAACCCCATCTCTACAAAAAATTAGCCAGGCATGGTGGCACATGCCTGTGGTCACAGCTCCTTGGGAGGCTGAGGTGAGAGGATTGCTTGAGCCTGGGAGCTGAGGTTGTGGTGGGCCGAGATCATGCCACTGAACTCTAGCCTGGATGACAGAGTGAGACCCTGTCACAAATATATATATATATATATATATATATATATATATATATATATATATATATATATATATTTAATTGGGCATACAGACATCTTAGTCTTGGCATTAAATTCCATTACCAAAAAAAAGCCTTTACAATGAAACTCTTTATATCACAATACTTTTTTAAAATGTCTAAGACCCAGCCAGTGATCTACTTATTTCCAGAAATATTTCATGCAGAGAAATTCTGGTCTAGCTAACACACTTGGCTTGTACTGTTGTGCCATAGGTTTTGCATATCTCACTCTCAAAATTCTAGTTTTATTGCAAGAGATCAACCATTCCCATTTCCTTTGTGCATCCAATTTGTGCAGTGCTTGAATATCCAACTGAGTTAGCTGTATAATAATTTTCTGGAGGTGTTTGAGGAAGACATAAGCTCTGCTTCTATTGGAATTTGGATTTGATCATATGTCTTTAGAACACATAAGCAGGCCTTGAGAAACATTGTAGATGGAAGGAAAGAGCTGATAAGAGGAAATACCTGTTAAAAGACACCATTTCAGTAAGACAAGCTGAAGTGAAAAGACATGGACAAAGCTGGGGAGGCAGTTAGAAAGGAGAGGCAATTGTAGAATTGTATAGTAATCATTTTGGAAGTAGGCCATAGTATAGGAGAAGAAAAGGAGTTAAATTTGAGAATATGGTATAATGACTACCAAAGAAGAAGAAATTTGTTCCCAATGTTGTGTTTATATTTATCATTTTTGGGTAACCTCATGCTTCTAATAGGGTGATTGAAAAGCCTGTCTTTGATCATATATTTGATTTCTAGTAAAAAGCTAAAATAGTACTTTATCAGCACAGTTAAAATTTCTGTAAATATAGGTCAAAGCCAACTCCATTCATTTTATCTTGTAAATATGCGTGCATCTCCCAAACACGTTCTGTTCATTAAGGGATTCAACTGTGATTCAGAATATGTCTGGATATCCGTATAGCAAAATTAATCAGTTTGGTTGCAAACTTTGGTATGTGATGTATTCATGCAGTGTAATATTTTCAGTTTTTTTCCTGCAGCTATATACATAGAAAATGTTGTTTTCCTTACTATACTTTTGAAAACGAACTGTGTTAGTTGTGAGTACAGCATTGTAGAAGGGTTGTTTTCAAAAGTTCCGGAATAAAACCTCTTAAATTACTTATTTTTGCACGTATCCCTCAGCACTATTACAGTGGTCTGAACTGCATGGCAGTGTTGTTAATGCCAGAGCAGTGTATGGCTGGAGCTGCCACTCTAATAATCTGGCAGAATGGGAAGAAACAAGTTTTTGGTGGCAAAATTAACCCATACTTCTGAATACCAAGCACCTGTGTGCTCTGGCTGGGTGGGCTTATAAATGGACCCAAAGAGAGACTGGATTTCAATTATACTGATACAAGACATGGGTTAACCTGGTTATGCTCATGCCTACTGCCTATCATGGGATTAGAGGGTGAGTTGTGGTGGTACTTTCTTTAGTTAACTTCCGTGTATTGAATTATTACTATTTGCCAGACACTGTACTAAATACTTTACATGCATAATTTTATTTAATGTTTACAGCAACTAAGTAACAGGTACTGTAATTATCTCAGTTATAGAGGTTAAGTAATTTAAAATAACTTTTCAAAGGTGACACAGTTGGAAAGGTAGAAATCTAAGATTCAAACTCAAGTTAGATTGACTCTGAAGTCTCTCTTCTTAATCTTTACATAAGATGTCTCTCCAGGTTTAACATGGCTAGGCTTAGGAAAATCTAGTTTAAGAGACTGTAGGTAGAGAAGTGAGGCCCAATTAGTAGAGAATGCAGCTATTAAAATAAGATCCATTAAATGTTCTTCAAGATAACAGTCCTAGGTTGCCTTTTTACTTTTACCCTTTCTCTTAGCAATCTTATCTAGCCCCTGGGGCTCAATTACCATCTATGTACCCATGAATCTTAAACCGAAAATCTAATCCAGACCTATCCTTGAAGTTTCAGGCGCAAATAGCCAACTGCTTATCTAGCCTTCTCTGCATTTCTGTGTAATTGTCAACTTTTGCCTATCCTTAAGATGGCAGCTTAATTATCTCTTTCTCAGGAATGCCTTCTCTGGCACATTTGTACCCTCCCACACCATCCCTGGCCTAAGTTAGGCTCCTTTGTTATATTCCTTTGTTTTTATTCCTTTTCTTCCAAGTACTCATGTAGGTTTGATGATTATTTAATGTCTGTTTCTCCCACTAGGCAGTATACTCATCAAGGACAGTGACTTTGCCTGTTTTGCCCATCATTAGGTTCTCAGTGTCCAGCATGACTTACATATACTATAGTAGGTACTCAGTGAATACTAATTTAATAGAGGAATGGGTGAATAGATGGATAACACAGAAAATATTCAGAAAAATGAAGATAGATTTGTCAAGTCAAGATCATCCCTTTCTTTATTTCCTCTCTCTTCCTCCCTTTTCTCTGGTTAAAAACAAATACATTAATAAGGGACATTTTTGAGATTATCTGCAATAGGCAACATAGTCTTGGATTTTGACATTGGACTATGCTACTTTGCTAATCATGAGGTGAAAAGGCATAGTCTTTCTTAGAGACTTTGGTATAAGACTTTGGGTGCCTTTGGCATAAAGATTAGAAGCTATGGCTTTAAGTCTAATTGAAATAATTGAAATGATAATAGTGATGATGATCATCATTGGTGATAATTATGATAATATAGGATATGATCATAATTATGATGATTGTGATTTACAGAAGAAGAAAGTGAAGCTCAGAGAGATTAAGTGACTTGCAATATGGTCATATAGTTATAATTAGTGGTGTGCTGGAGCTGGCTTGAACTAGCTCCTGAGAGCCAATTGTTAAATATTGAAGAATTTTGTGAGATGGTTGACACCATGTTGTGAACTTGGAATCAGCATGGTGGATCTATTTAAGCTGTGGAAAATCCACCCCCCAACCCCATCTATTTACCAACATAACACTGGCTATATTTGTCTAATTTAACCATTATACTTTATTATCTCTATATTAGCCATTATGCCTAGTTATCTCCTCACTTGTTTTATTTTTATGTTCCTCAGAATTTTCTGACTAGCCATCTACCAAAAAGATCACTAAATGATAAGGGGACTGAGAAAACTAGTAGATAATAGTTTCTTTCTGATGAATCCTTCTCATTTCCAGGACGAACTATCTAATTATGTTTTATTGTGCAGGCTCAGATTTGTCATAAGTGAGATTAATGAATATTGGGTGGAGGTAGCTGCATCCCACAGGGGATTCTTCCATCATCTAAGTTTGGGAATGAGTCTTGAACAGAAATGTGTGTGTGTGTATGTGTGTGTGCTTGCACGCATGCATTGTAGGGTAGGGGAAGAACAGTATTTCATTGTTTCATACATATCTCCTTGTAAAAAATTTATGTTTTCTTTTTCTTGCTTCCTCTACTTTCTTGTCTGTACATCTGATCTCTCCATTGCTCTTCTTTGTCCCTTCTCTTAATGTTATTTTTAGGATCACATAAAGGAACTAAACAAATGTCACTGGTGCAGAAACCATTCTCTTTGTTCATGCACATTCTGTTTTAGTCACCTTCATGGTCAGTATCAGCACCTATTGCTATAGCACACAATCTACAGCATTTCTTGATTAAAGAAAATAAAAATTAAAAGAAATTAAAAAGGAAAGAAAATATGAAAAGAAAATAAAATATTTTAAAATGGGAATGTTGGTATTTTGCCACCAATACAAAAGGAATTCCTTATGGAACAACTCACCAAGTCATCGAGATTAATTTGTTAGAGAGTGATTACTAAATTCAATAGAAATGCTATTTCATAAAAAGCCATTTCCTTTATTCTGCTGAAACATATGGAATAATTTGGATCATTTGATTCACATCTGAAAGAGATTGATTTTAATATGTAGAAAAAAGCCCTATCAACTTATAATCCATATAATAACAGTAGTCCCTCAACAACATTTTTATTATATATATGGATATAGTAGTAAAAAGAAGAATCTAACATTTATTAAGTATTACTATGTGCCATACACTAGGCTGGGTGTTTCCATTTCTATGAAGTAGGTGTTTATTTAATCTCTCATTTTAGAGATGAATAAACTGAGTCTCAGACCTTAAGGAACTTGCCCAGGTAGTAAATGGTGGAGATATGACTTTTGGACTTGAGCAGTCTGCCTCTGGAACCTTGCTTCTTCACTACTACATTCTCCCACCTCCCATTTCTATGGTTCATTCCTTTTAAAGGCTTAAGTCTTTCATTTACATTATTTCATTTATTCTCATTTTTTTTTCCATTGAGATGTTTCTTCATTCCCATTTCATGCCTACGGAAAGTTTGCCAGAAGTTTTTTAAATGAATTGCCTCCATGGTTAATTGGTAACATGCCTGACACGCCCTTCTGCTGCTGCCTTCTGAAAGACAGACTTTGAATTCTCTTGAGAATTGAGTAGATGGGCCAAGAAGATGCATCTATACATGTGGCTTAAGGGAGATAGTCTTCTTACTTTCTAGCCATGTCATATCTGTTGTCATTTTCCATATTGCACACAGCACCACAATCTCTTACTTGATGATACTTTGAGAATGAAAGCATTCTGAGCTATATATACATTGTTATCAGACATCTTGTTTCTATTTAGTATCAATTTCAGGGAAATATGCTATTCCCTAGTTGTGCCCAAAGAAAAATATTTCATTAGATATTCTTTTGAGAATTCACATGGCTGCATGTACATTTTCAATTACTTTACTCTCTCTTTTAGAATGGTTCTGTAGACTTTGGGAGATGCCCAGTCTTTCCCTCCTAGGTAATTGATGTTTTTCAATAAAATTACTTGAGAGTATTATCTTCTTGTGCATCTGTCCTTCTGAAATTTCCTTAATCTCTTCCTCTCTACTTCTTCATCCTGGCAAACATACAGAGGCATACGTAAATTCACATTTGATATAGTCTTTACCGTGTGTGTGTGTGTGTGTGTGTGTGACTTTTTTGTGAATGAGCTATTCACTGATGATTGGTTAGTCAACCTTATATTGCTGTCATGCTACCGTTTTCTTTATCCAACACAAAAAACGAGAAAAGGTCTCTCTTTTTAAGTTTACTTAAAGCCAGATGGAAAAAGCCCTTCTACAATCAAAAATAGTTTTCTGAAGTATATGCTTTTCAATTACTATGTCTTTTTTTTTTTTGGAATGGGAGGGAAATATGTGATGCTGGCTCAGCTTTACATTGGCTCCATTCTACATTGTACAATCTCACATCTTTCCTGAGTCTTGGTGTATTTTCTTTTCTTGAGACCGGGTCTCACTTTGTCATCCAGGCTGGAGTGCAGTGGTGCAATCACTGCTCACTGCAATCTCTGCCTCCCAGGCTCAAATGATCCTCCCACCTCAGCCTCCCGAGTAGCTGGGACTACAGGTGCATGCCATGACACTCAGCTAAGTTTCGTATTTTTTTGTAGAGATGGGGTTTCACCATGTTGCCCAGGCTGGTCTCAAACTCCTGGGCTCAAGGGATCTGCCCACCTCGGCCCCCCAAAGTGCTAGGATTACAGGTGTGAGCCATTGTTCCCGGCCTCGGTGTATTTTTAATTGCATCAAAGTGATGGAAATTTTCATATTAAACATCATCAGACGCATAATATACTAGTGCTGGAATGGCATGTGATAGGGTGTGGGGCATGCTGTCCAAGTATGGCACTTTGGCATTTGAAAGAATAACAAGATCTAGAGGGTCACTCTCCTATTTCCCTCACCCACTTTCCCTTGAAGTAGACCAGCAAACTTAGCTGACCTTCCCTGAATTAAGCCATGAGGCTCATTCCAGAGGTGCCCTCCTGAAACTCAGAAGAAACAAATGCCCTTGTCTCTGAGGACATAGGGATACAGGGAGGAATCTGAACAAACAGGCCTTGCTGGCTTCCTTCCAGTTGATTACCATTGGATCACATCCCTTTTGTCCAATTGTACTTCTGCACAACCATAAATGGGGATGCACAAGCTTTCCTGTTTCTTTGGGTTTTCATTTCTGAGGCTCCCATGTCATGCCAAACTCATACAAAACCTACATTATTATACTTTTCTCTTGTTAATCTGTCTTTTGTTGTAGGTGCATAAGCCAGCAACCTTGTGATGGGTGAGGAAAAGATATTGCTTTTTCTCCTCTACACATGAGAATTATATTGAACAAATTATAATTTGTTCAATCACTCATTTATTCATTCATTAGATATTTATTCAGTATTTATTATGTGCAAGGGCATGTGTAAACCCTGAGGAATATGCAAAAATGCATAATGCAAAAGTGAAATGATGCACATTAAAAAATAGACCAGAATGTACTGCAACACATCAATTGAGTCTATATTATTAACAAATTTTTGTTCTTGGGCTTATGGAATCATAATTGTCAAACTGATAGCAAGTGTCCTTTTCCTATTTCATTAATTGGACATAAGAAATAAAATAATTGACAGAAATGTCTCTGGCATGGGAACTTTTTAGTGGCACAGCACGGTTAAACTGTACTGGGTACATGACCAACTACATTGTGGATATTTATTGTAGGTACTAATACGTGCTTATATATTCCGTGTTGTCCACGTACAGTGCCAGAACAATATATTTCTTATTATATTTGTTCATTTTCTCTCCTTGTTCTATATCCCAGTGTTTGAACAATTAATCCTCTCACCGTTGAAGTCTTCAACACCATCATCATACTATGAACATCATCACTTGCTGCTGCTGCAGATGCAGCTATTTCTGACAAGCTCAGCCCCTTCCTCCTTGTTGGTAGAGCCTCTCTTTTGTTTTGATGTGCTCTCTCCCATATGCTCAGGCAAAGTGATACCTTCCTCAGCCCCCAAGGGGGTGATTCAGGACAAATCCTAATAGATCATGCTCATTCCATCATCCCCCTAATCCCCCAATCCCACCTTGGTAATTGCATGAGGCTGACACATTATCACAAACACCGAGCGAATATTGTATTTTATTTTTTGAGATAGGGTCTTGGTCTGTCACCCAGGATGGAATGCAGTGGTGCAATCACAGCTCACTGCAGCCTCAACCTCCCTGACTCAAGTGATTCTCCCACCTCTGTTTCCCCAGTAGCTGGGACTACAGGCACACACTACCATGCCCAGCTAATTTTTAAATTTTTTTTTGTAGAGATGGGGTTTCACTATGTTGACTGGGCTGGCCTCAAACTCCTGGGCTCAAGCGATCCTCCTACCTCAGCCTTCCCAAGCGTTGGTATTACAGGCATGAGCCACCATGCCCAACTGGGAATTTTATTTTAATGGCATTATAATGTGGAGCTTTGGACAAGAAACATTGCTGCTCTCTCAGGAGTTTATTACTTAATTGGTAGATGAAACGTGTACATGAAAAATAAATAAAATATAAATCATTAATAATGCTAAATGCCAAATAATGTTTATAAACAATAAGTTCCAGAGACATCCCAAGGAGGGAGAAACTACTAATCCCTACTTTATAGGCCCCCTGTGAAAATGTGTCCTTGATGATGAAAATGATTATTTTTATCTCTATAGATAGAATGAAATTTATAGGCTCCAAATTGCAGTGAGCAAGGAATTATAGTTATGGAATAAATAGAGTCAGAATGTTTGAGGAGACCTGAAACCATGAATCAGTACTAAAATCAGAAAACCAAAGGGTTTCCATAGAGGCCCTTGTAGTTGTCAAAAAAGTGACCTGGCCAGTAAATGTGTAGCTGTTTTTCTCTATGACGTAAAGAAGCCATTTCTCTTTTAGAATTTAATTTTCCACTTAAAGAACACACACACTCATAAAAAATTAGAAAAGGAAAGTTGAAAGAAAGAAGACAATCATCTTTCATATTCCCAGTCTTAGGGCAACCACTTGTTTTTAGCATTTCGATATTTATTTTTCTAGTTTATTGTATGTGTGTGTTGCTTTATTTTTCTTTTGAAAGTATTTTGTGTAGCTCATGTATATATTTTTAAAACTCTTTTATTTGTTTATTTAGTAAGCTAATGGTCCAGTGCTATTTTGTAAGAAACAAATCTCATTACCTCATCCCTTGGTTCTTCTTTGAGCATCTGGCCCTCCCCTATGCATCCAAGGAAGACAGTGCAGTAGAGATGAGAACAAGGCCACCTAATGAGATTTTAGAAGAATAGAATATGACATCTGGTTGCCAGAGACAGTTTTAGCAGATGAAAATATCCTAAAGGAAATGAACATTAGAGTTAGGTCCTTTAAAATACAAAGTGCTGAAAACACCAGTAATAGTAATTTAGTATTGAACCAACCTAAACAGATTTCTTGTATATGTTAGATTGGCTGTCTACACCAAGGAAGTGGTTTTCCCTTGACTTAAACTCACTCACAAACACACATACTCACAAATGCACACACAAACATATTTAGTCATCCTTCTCTCAAGGGGTGCTTGTTCTCTCAGCAGTAGAAGGGTATGATAAGTATGGGAAACATTTGTCAGGTAATTAAAACTAACTATAGGAGGGACTTCACAGCTTCACTGGCTTTTAAAATTTTCTTTTCAAATTGGGGGAACTTGTCAGGGCAAGCTAAATAAAAATGGGCTCAAAGCAGTGTTAGAGGAGCATTCAAAACACTTAAAAGTCAGAAAGTTTCAAAACATAGTGTGAACTTGGCTGTTTTCTTATCTCAGAATTTTAGCTTCTTAAAAAAATTATTTTTAAACTGCTATGTAGACTAGGTGGGCAAAAGGAGTTGCACAGCTGAAAACTCAGTCACTTGACATGGATTTACATAATGAGTATAGTTATGAAGTCAAAATGCTGTTCCTACAGATCCATGGGCTAACCCTAACTGTAACCCTAACCAGAGTATACATAACCACACATGATGCTTCTGTTTTATTTCCAGGAAATTTATTCTGAATTTTTCATTCACTTTTTCCTAGCACTTCATCTAGAGAAGAGTAATTAGTTCTGATCAGTCTTATATAATCATTTTGTTTAGCAACTTTGGGGTTCGTATGCCAAAAAAAGAGTGTTGAGGGTCTGTGTATGATAGGCTTTGTGTTAATAGGCTTTTGTGTTATGTCTTTCTGACATATTTCAAACAGGTATCTGTCAGATAAAATATATAATTTAGGTTGGGAAAGTAGTCACTCCTTTAATTGCGAAGTTTGGAAATCTGACTTGATGTTAAAATGGTGGGGATTTCAGTCATATCCTGAAATAAAATACCTTAAGACTCCAGGAACACACAGATGAGGTAGAAATCCTTCAATGTGAGGTAGAAATCCTTCAATGTAGAGTGGAAAGATTTTATTGTTTAAGACTGCTGGATAGTTAGAAAAGTTAGCTGAGCAATGGTTCTCTGCACAAGTAAAGAGTTCTTAGTACAGGGAAAAGGCAGTCATGTTCTCTTTAATCTTTTAATCATCTGAAAGAAAAAGGGGAAGTAATTTGAAGTGTTGTTTTCTTCACACTGTAATGTGTGCTTTGTATGCATCCACTTTCTCTTATAACATGCATGTCTGAAACTGTGTGCCAGTGCTGTCTTCTCCAGGGTTATCTCTGCTACTTTTTTTCCTGGAGTGCAACACTAGGTATAACACTGAACATTCCCTCTCAGGGTGTGTTTGAATCAGTGTCCTGGCTTTTTCCTTTACAAACACATCGTTAAATAACATTCAAATGCTTGACTGTGTTTGCAGGCTTGGAAGATTAAAGATCTTTTCTAAAACCCTGTGAAACCGAGGGAATCAACTGAAACAGTGAAAAACAAGTGGATGAAGTTAGGACAGTCAAACCCAAGAAAAATCCTTAAATAAGATTTCTTGAGTGAATGAAAAGTGCTTTTGCTATAGTTTGAATCAAATACTGGTGTTCCAACTTTATAGTGTAAACCTTTAATAGTCTCAGGCCTGTTTCATCACCCAGTTGACCCTTCAAAAGCCTACTCATTGCTCAATCACCTTAAAGTGCTAGCCAGACTGGGGTTTGAATCCAGACTGTACCATAAACTGGCTGGGTGATTTGGGACAAGTCATTCAATTTCCTTCAGCCTCTCTTTCCTTATCTATAAAACGAAGATAGATGCATGTACTTCATAAGGCTGATTTTTTTAAATTTTTATTTTCATTTTTATTTATTTATTTATTTTGAGATGGAGTCTCACTCTGTCACCCAGGCTGGAGTGCAGTGGCGTGATCTCTGCTCACCGCAACCTCCACCTCCTGGGTTCAATCGATTCTCCTGCCTCAGCCTCCCGAGTAGCTGGGATTACAGGCATGTGCCACCACACCTGGCTAATTTTGTATTTTTAGTAGAGACGTCACCATGTTGGCCAGGCTGGTCTCAAACTCCTGAACTCAGGTGATCTGCCTGCCTTGGCCTCCCAAAGTGCTGGAATTACAGGCTCTAGCCACGTGCCTGGAGGCTGATTGTAAAATTAATTGCAATAGCAAGGAGCTAGTACAGTGCCAGAAGCATAGTAGGTATATCATAAATGTTTGTCTCATTTATATTAACTCTCTGGATTAATGAAATTTTTTTAAAGCTTCCAATGTAATACACTGCTAATAAAATGTAGAAGAAAATATTGGTTTACCAGAAGTATAATGTATTAGTCAGGGTTCTCTTAGAGGACAGAACTAACAGGATATATATATATATATATATATATATATATATATATATATATGTATATGTATATATATATTTATGTATATGTGTATATATATATGTGTGTGTATATATATATATATCTCATTTCAGAATGGTGTGTGTACTTTAAATTCTATCCTTCCTTTAGTATATTTCTGACACATGTGTCTCATGGTTTGGAACATATATATATGTATATATATTCTATTCTATATATATATATCCTATTTTATATATATATATAAAGGGGAGTTTATTAAGTATTAACTAACATGATCACAAGGTCCCACAATAGGCTTTCTGCAAGCTGAGGAGTGAGGAGAGCCAGTCTGAGTCCCAAAACTGAAGAACTTGGAGTCTGATGTTCGAGGGCAGGAAGCATCCAGCATGGGAGAAAGATGTAGACTGGGAGGCTAGGCCTGTCTCGCCTCTTCACGTTTTTTCTGCCTGCTTTATATTCGCAGGCAGCTGATTAGATGGTGCCCACCTGATTAAGGGTGGGTCTGTCTTCCCCAGCCTTCTGACTCAAATGTTAATCTTGTTTGACAACACCCTCACAGACACACCCAGGATTAATATTGCATCCTTCAATCCAATCAAGTTGACACTCAGTATTAACCATCACATATATAATATGGATCAAATGGTAAAAAGTTTCTAAATATTACCTTATTGATGGATCAGTATACCATAGATTGGAAAACTTACTCTAGATTTGGAGATTATGTATATGTATTATGTGTATACACACACACACACACACATTATGTCATATTATAAAGAGCTGCCCTTATAGTTCATTTTGAAATAGACTTAGGTATCTTTTATTTGGAAAGTGTAAGTGAGACTTTTAGTATTATAATATTTCCACTGAGACTTTAAAATATTTTTGGTGGAAAATAGTATAAAGATTATTATAATAAAATTTTGCTTCAGAGCCCCTTGCATTGGAATAATTTTAATCTCTGGGTTCGTTTTATATACTATTATGTGTGATCTGTCATATGACTATACTGAGAAGTTATACACTAAATCTAAATTACCACCTGTGTGCATTTGTTTTTTTGGGGGAGGGGAAACTTTAAATACATTTCTAATTTTTAAAAGGTTTATTGAGTTATAATTTCTCTGCAGTAAAATTCACCCTTTTTAGTTCTACAAGTTTTGATCAAGATACAGAGCATTTCATCACCTCCCCAGACTCCCCCATATCTCTGTATAGTCAACTGCTCCCTCTCCACCAACCTCTGTTTTCTAATCTATAGTTTTATGTTTTCTAGATTAACATAGAAATGAAATCTTAAAATATGTAGCCATTTGAGTCTAGCTTATCTCACTTAGCATAATGCTTAAAGATCCATCCATATTGTTTTCCTTCTTTTTTATTGCTGAGTTGTATTCCATTTTATGGATATGCCACAGTTTATTTATCCATTCATGAGTTGAAGGACCATCAGAGGGTTTTTTGAGAAAGTATAATAGGTAATTTCGTGAAGAACAGACAGAGGATTATGACATTTTATCTTTTCTCTAAGAGTAGATATTGAGGAATTTTAAGAGTAATATTTGAACATTTTACAACTTCAAATATTGATGGTCTCAATCTGAGGAATAACTTCAAGAGATTCTTGGTTGAAGGAAAATGTAATTTTTGAAAAACATTTCAGAATGGTGTGTGTACTTTAAATTAGACTTTATCTAGGAATTTCTTGGCATCTAAGAACCTATTCTTCCTTTAGTATATTTCTGAACACATGTGTCTCATGGTTTGGAACATTCCTAATGCCTAGACACTGCTTCAGTAGAAGTGCAAAGGCAGAGGCAAAAGAGAAGCCTACCAGAAAGCCTACACAATACCACTCTGTTTCCTTGACAACTTCCAGGGTTCTATACTTGGCTACAATCTACTGAACTTCTGAAGCCAATGTCTAAATCTGAAACTACTGCCTTGTTCTCTTTTTGTTATTATCTGGAAACACATTTCAATGAAATGGATCCTTTGTATAAAATCATTAAGAAGACTTGCAAACAGAATAGCCGTGGGTTGATTAGGAATTTGTTATAAACCATATACTTTGATAACTTTAAATATATCTCTATATTATATATTTCTAACCCAGGATCTATTTAATTGCTAAAGAAGCTGTAGTCTTTTATTTCAGGGGGTTTAGAAGGTATCCTAAAGATGGATCAATTGTATTTTTTTATGGATTTGGCCTGGGGCAGAGAAAATCTACTATTTCAAATAGGTCTTTTGGCATGCTTATTGAAGTTGAGTCCAATGTAGCTTAAAAGCCTCAAAAGTGGAAGTACAATTTTATTTTCCATGGGGGGTACTGTTCTCCGTTAACCCCACACTCCTAAATAAGTAGCTAATTGTTAAAAGGAACAGACTAAAGTGGTTAGAAAAAAAAAAGGTCTCAGTCTGCAAGACACTTCAAAACCAATTTTGAATTCCCTTCCTTCAAGGTGTGAAAAGTATGTCTGACAGCAATAGAATGTAGACTTTGAACTTTTTCTTCAAAATGAACTGAAGAAAAGTACAAGATTGGGAAAGTGAATTATCATAGAGGGCATTCACTATTTAAGATAGTTGGTCAGTCTGTTTGGAGAGAGATTATACTTTTGTGTTTTCATTTCTTTCTAATAGAAGTATTTTTGGTCTTTTCCCAGTTTAATTACTCCCCAGGGCTCAACTTCTGGTTTGGCTTTTTCTGGGGTTAGCCACCTTTCATTAGCCTGTGTACTTTCAGGCTGGCTTACCCAATTTAAAACTCTTGGTCCCAGAGCCCAGACATCAAATTATCAGGTAGTTTATTTTCCTGTGTACTTTTCTGCATTCAAATTTTAAAAAGGAAAAGCAAAGCAAGTCCAAAAAATTTGATGTTTCTTGGTCTTTATTTTCTTCTTTCTGTAAAAGAATCCAGGCTCCAGTTGATTCCAGAAATGGAACAAAAATTGTGTACAGGACCAGGGGACTGGGAAACAAGGGTTTCTCATCCTTTTAGAGGAAACCCAGTAACCAAGAGAATTAGAAACCACATGTTTACTGCACAATTTAAACAAGATGTTTCCAGACAGCCCCTCCCCCCATGTCATTTAATTGGTTTTCATTTTGTCACTTTTTGCTGTAACTGAACCAAGTTCTTTGAGTGCTGATAATAAAACATTGTGTGAAGAAGTAATTTTGAAGCTGTTCACATAGACATGCTGAAGCTATATTCTAGAATCCTTTTCCTTATAATATTTTCACAATCAGTTTGCTGATAATATAGTATAATTCCCAGTCTTGCTCTCCAAATATTTTAGAATTTTAAATAGAGGCTACACACCAAAGTGCTCCTCCTATTTGCATTGCTTAATAATTACTCTGCATATTTGACAAAGGGAAAATCAATTTATGACATGTAAACGACTTGTAAACATGAAAAGAATTCTGAGTTTAGTTGCCTTTTAAAAAGAAGTATGAAATTTAAGTAAGAAAGAGGAATATATTTGAGATCTATTTAATACACTAGGACGTTCCTGCTCCTGTAAGACAAGTTTTGGTTTATCATCTAGAAAATAAGGATGATGCTCATCGCATAGGAATGTGGTAAGGATGAATTAATGATGTCTGCCAAGTGCTTTTTCCATTTTGAAGATGAAATTGACTGTTGATTTTTACTACTATATAGTGTACTTTTCTCACAGTTTAAAGGGTTATGGAAACTTGGTGCCATAGGAATGTGTAAACTAGACACGGGAGGAAAGAAATGGGTTGAGACCAGCCCTTGCAAGGCTGCTGCTTGCTGTTCACAAGCACTTGAAAAGGTGGAGAAGCCAGTGTTTCAGTTCTTAACAACAATCACCACCACCACCATGACATGCTGCATCTCAACCAAAATATAAAACAACTCTGACTCATGTGGTATATTTACTTCCGTTGAGGGTTTTATGTTTCCTATGCCTTTGAGACCACTTTGGCTCCAGGGGCTGGTTTTCATCCTTGTGGATACAGAAACACATTTTATTCTTGTGACCAAGGGGTGTTCTGGTTCCAGTGAATGAATTCACTCTTCAAATCCCCATAAGAGACTAAATGTAAATCAGAAAGTTGGTTAATTAGTTTACTATGAGAGTGGCCCCTAGGCTGATAAATGGGACCAGCTGGCTGATAGGCACCCCACTTGGTAATGTAATCTACCACTTGGAAGCTTCATGAACAGAGAATCACAGTAAAGGGACAAACAAATTGTGTTTCTAGTATGTTTCTGTCAAATTCTGGTGTCCTAAAGACTCCCTGTTCTTTACCGTTGGTACATTTCTGTCTAAACAACTAAAATTGCTACCTAGAACAGATCACTCTCTCCTGATTATGCTGTAGAAACACTGAGAACTTCTCATTCTCTTACTCTATAAATTTCCTTTTTCTGGATTACATGTTGATGCTACAACTTTTAATTTCCGTGTTTCTAACTCTTTTATGCCTTGACAATATATAACTTTAAGAAATTATTTTATGTTGTGCATATTTCATCTCCTTATTGTCTTAGGAAAAGCTTATTATAGTAACCTAACTCTATATTTGAAACTCTCAGTTAGACTTTTTGTGAATCAGACTCACAGAGTATTGGAGTTGAACAAAATCTTAGAGATCATTTAATCTACCTTCCTTATCTGGTAAATGAGAAAACTATGGCCCAGAAACAAAAGGGACTTTTTGCTTAAGGTCAAAAAGTTAGTAGCAGAAATGGAACTGTAACTGACTTAGAGTTTAGTGCTTCAAATACAACATTCCTTGTTTATTTTACCTGCCATGTTATTTCACCTTTTCCCTAATTCCTGACATTGAACCCAAGATCCAACTTATTTTTACATCTACTGAAATATTTGTCTAATTTGTATATTTTTAAAAATTTTTTTTCTCATCAATAGCTATGTTACTTGACCCAGAATATCATTTCTAACTAGAGAGTGGCTTGTTCTTTAAGGTTGTGTATTGCTAATAGGAATGCCAGTTAATAAATTGGACTTTAGAAAAGCTCTGGTTTACTTTTTGAGGGCTATTTTTTGCCCTCACATTGATCATGAGTAGTACTAGCCACACAATAGACCCTCCATAAATATTTCTTAATAAATTCACTGGTTAAACCTTGACTAAGGAGGGTGAGTCCAGCTGATTGGAACAAAATTAATCCTAGATGCTTTGGCACAGAAGTGATTTGACTGACCCTTATTCTACAAATACCTCTTAATTGAAAGATATCCCCAAACTGCTATTTTTGAGCCTCTAGGGTTCTCTATCTCTGTGTCATAACCAGAGAACTAGCAATTAATGTCCATACCTTGAAAAATATCCTCCATACTTATTTTTTAAACTTCATGCTTTGTATGTCATTCATCAAGTCCTGACATTTTTACCTCCAAAATGTAGTAAATCTGTGTACTTTTTAACACCTCCACTGCCACAACCCTAGTCTAAGCTACCATTATCTCTCACCTGGCCAACTCAATAAGCTTATTAACTGGTCTTCTTTCCACTGTTATCTCCCTTTACCTGTACTTTAAACTGCAGCAAGAATGGTCTTTGAGAAAGTGGGTGAGATCATATTTCCCACCTAATTCTACCCTTATCTATACCCCTAGAGTAAAGTTTTTTCAGTTACCTTCTAATACTTCCACAGTAAAGACTGCCTTCATTACCATGCCAGTTCCCTTTGCTCCCACTTTCATCCTTGCTCACCAGTTTCCAGCAATACTGACCTCCTTTCAGCTCCAAGAACAAGCCAAATACTTGGACATTTGTCCACTCTGTTCTTTCTTGATGGTCCTTTTTGTAAATCCAAGGGTGCTTCATAAAGTCAGCATTTGAGCTGGGACTTGACAGATAGGTAAGATTACCACAGAGAGGGATGATTCATTTTAAGATTACTACATGTAAATAATTTCCTAACTGCTCTGGGGAGGTGTTCAAATAATTATTATTTATTTATCTATTAATTTTGAGATGGAGTCTTGCTCTGTCGCCCAGGCTAGAGTGCAGTGGTGCGATCTCAGCTCACTGCAACCCCCACCTCCCAGGTTCAAGCAATTCTCCTGCCTCAGCCTCCTGAGTAACTGGGATTACAGGTGCATGCCACCGTGCCTGGCTAATTTTTGTATTTTTAGTAGAGATGGGGTTTCACCATGTTGGCCAGGCGGGTCTTGAGCTCCTGACCTCAAGTGATCCACCCACCCCCGCCTCCTAAAGTATGGGGATTGCAGGCATGAGCCACCGCACCCAGTCATCAAATCATTAATTTGTAACTGGAAGCAGTTCATATTATTATCCACTCTGATTGATCATTTCAAAGTGTCTCATCCTCTTAATAAATGCTCTTTCCTGAATATTGAACCTTATCTGCTCTATCAGTACTTTGTTCTTACTGTCACAGTTGAACATGTAGTCAGGCCCAAGTTATTAATATAAATCATTGAGATTTATAGTTAACAATAATTGCAAGTTTATTTCTTTTCAGCAGCTTCATGATAGCATCCAGTCAATTAAACAATGAACCTAATATAGTACAAAATATTCCCTACCTATAGAAGTGATCACATGCTAATAGTTATTAACCTGGGAAGTTATTCCTCTGAGTAAACTGGCATTCTTGGAGAAATATTTCTTCATTAAGATGACCAGGGATGTGTTTAATGTACTGAAATAGTAATTTACAGAGTGGTACCTTATTGGCTTCAGAAATTTGAAACAACTCCCAGAGTGCCTGACACATTCATTTTGTTTTCATCACCTCATATACAAGCAAAACAATCCAGAGCCAAACGTTTGATTGGATAATAGAAGTTTTGCACAACATATTTGACATCCAATTAGTTTTTTTCATAGGTTAATGATAAAATTGGTCGTATTGCTTGAGGTCACACCAATTAAGAGAAAACAGGTAAGGTGTGTGAGTGTGTATGTGTTGGGGCGAGGGTGGGTGGAAGGTTGGGGGAACAAGCAGAAAACCAGTTTAGAGTTTCAAACCTTCTGTAAATAATCCATTGTTTGCATAATCCACATTTAGAACTGACTACCATAAGTAAAACCCTAATTTAATGCAGTGGGTTAAGATTGAGGTCATTCATAAGGGAGGGATTTTTGTAGAAAGGGAAGGGCCTCCTTAATGTGCATACCTATTGTAAGAGTTGGGTAAAAATTTGAAGGCCGGGCCCGGTGGCTCAGGCCTGTAATCCCAGCACTTTGGGAGGCCGAGGTGGGCGGATCACGAGGTCAAGAGAGCGAGACCATCCTGGCCAACATGGTGAAACCCCGTCTCTACTAAAAATACAAAAATTAGCCTGGCGTGGTGGCGGGTGCCTGTAGTCCCAGCTACTCAGGAGGCTGAGGCAGGAGAATCACTTGAACCCGGGAGGCAGAGGTTGCAGTGAGCTGAGATGGCGCCACTGCACTCCAGCCTGGGTGACAGAGCGAGACTCTATCTCAAAAAAAAATAATAAAAAAAAAAATAAAAATTGAGGGTAGTTAAACTTCCATCAGGAAATCAACTGAGACCCCTCAGAACTGCCCAATTCCATGTCACCCACCTACCATCACCACCACCACTAGGACTATCACCTCCTGTTCTGATTCAGGGCAGAGGAAGGCAAGAGGGAGAGAGAGAGAGAGAGATCAAGAAGGTGATAAGGTGATATAATAAGTAGGTTTCTTGGTGCCAAAGACACAATTGGGTTGATGAACGTGAGTCTTCTTTAGGGCCAGCCCAAGAAGGACAGAAGCTGAAGGACAGGAGAGGAAGGCAATGCTTTCACAATCCTAGTGGGAGCAGGAACAGGTCTCTTATACTCCTCCAGCCACACTGTAGTGTGTTTACTAGAATTATAGTTGCCTAGCAAATGAAGTAGTAGGTTATGTACCCATAATCCCACTCACTCACTGCTTAACAACCCTCCTTGTCAAGTTCATCACAGAGAACCAGAAATTTAACCAAAAGGCTCTGAGAAACCCAGGAAGAGATACAAATCTCTGCAATTAATGCTTAGCCATTTCTTTCATAGGTTCTGAATAGCTGGTTTCATTTACTTTTGAATACCTGAATTCATTGATAGATTGATAGATTCGTTCATTCATTCATTCTTTTATTCCACATGCACAAGTGCACGTGTGCACACACACACATATATATACAGTCGTGCATTGTTTAATGATGGAGATACATTCTGAGAAATGTGTCATTAGGCAATTTTGTCATTCTGTGAACATCACAGAGTGCACTTACACAAACCTAGATTATATAGCCTGCTACACACCTAGGCTATATGGTACATCCTGCTGCTCCTAGGCTACAAACCTGCATAACATGTTACTGTACTAAATACTGTAGGCAACTGTAATACAGTGCTAAGTATTTGTGTATCTAAATATATCTAAACATAGAAAAGGTAAAAATATGTTACAATCTTATGACTGTATGTATGTGTGTATATGTGTACGTGTGTGTATATATATATACACACACGTGTATATATACGTGTGTATATACATATGTGTATATATGTGTGTATATATGTATATGTAGTATACTATATACCATATATGTACACACACACACACACACACACACACACAGCCATCCAGATCAGCTCAGTCAATCCTGGCGATCAATGGGGTGACAGATGTTGCAGCCAGATCACCCTCACATCCTTAACTAAAAAAGTAAGAAAGAAGCAGTAATGTCTTTGGGGTTCTACCCAAGCCACTGCAATCAGCATAACAGGTCTTGTTGCCTGCTCAGCCCTGTGGAGCCAGTCCTGGGGTGTCAGCAGAGGGGCTGCACTGAGACCTTTTGGAAATGTTTTTCTCTTTAGTCCCAAATTACTTGGAAGCTTTTTGGCTTGTTTAGACTCTTTATAAAAAATAAAAAGGTGATTTCCATGACAAAATAGTGCATGTGTTTTTGAAAACGCTGCGGCAAGCCGTCAAGATGATTTGGCAGATTCAGAAGAGCCTGATAAATTCCTCATAGCAAGTATCAAGGGAGAGGTACCTTTGAGTTTTCAGCCTTATGTTACAGATGCTCTGAATGGTGAGCTTCCAAAGAAACTTTTGGAGTATCTAATATTTCTGAGAAAAGCATTCTGGTTCCCATTTTACAGCAACACAGAGGCAGCCTTAGCAACTAATGGATTTTACATCTGGAAAAGGAGAAAAGAACAAAATATTTGGCCAATGACTAAAATATTTCCACATCATCTAGCCTTCAAAAGATCACCTATGAGACACTTCAGTTTTAGAACTGTAGAAGTTAAATAAAGTAAGTAATTAACTCAAACTCTACTACTTTGGGAATTCTTTTCAATATTCTGCCTAGCATAGATTACGCCAGGGAAAATGTGGAGTTGAATCAGGTGGCTCACATAGGCTTGCCACTGGATCTGCTTTTAGAAAGAGAGAGAGGGAATTAATTTAATTTTAGAAAGGTCTCTCAGGGCTCCAGAAACAGTGGAGTAGAATGGTCTAGCACTTTTGTTCTTTTCTAAAGGATTTTAATGTATTTTCTCTTCTGAGATCCAAAGGGCCCTGAAATGCCTTTCTTGATCACCCTTTAAATCTTTGTGCTGCTTTTTTCTTCTAGGCTCCCAGAGAATGAAGATCACAATAGAGTAAGCATGGAACACGACGATTTATATTGATGACTCTCTCTCTCTCTCTCTATCTATCTATCTGTGTGTGTGTGTGTGTGTGTTAAGGAGCAAAACTGTATTGAAATAATTTATGTGCAATTTTCTAACCACTGGGATTCAGTTGCACTACCAATCCTCATTCAATGTGGATTGGAGAATAGTGTGACCGTTCCTTCTCAGGGTATTATTCATTTTCCCTTCAACAATTTTTGGCTATGAAGTAGGAGGGTCCCAGATGGATTACCATCTGGGGACCAGCCCAAGAAGCAGAAAGATAGTCGGGAAGACATTTTTGACATTAACAATGTCCCTGTGGAGGCTCTTAACCTGTGACTTGAGCCTGAAAGAGATCTGATGAACAAGCTACACCTTGTGAATGATTTTGAAACAGATTTATGATCCGGTTGAAGTCAACTTGACAATTTATTACATTTGTTCTCATGTTCTGTTTTCCTTTCATTTGTCTTTCTCCTTTTTTCTCATAGTTGCTGTAGGAAGCTTACAACCCCTTAATAATAATTATGAATGCTTGCTAAGTGCCAGGCATCATCTTAAGTGTTTTAGATGCACTATATTATTTAATTTTCTAAAAACTCAAAGATGTTGGTTCTATTTTTGTTTCCATTTAGCAGATGAGAAAACTGAGGTTTGGTGAACTTAAGTATTTTACTATATTAGTTATCTTTGCTTGGGTTACAAACAAATAATCCCAATATCTCTGGGCTTAAACTAGAGTCTGGCAATTTTTTTAAAAAAGGGTCCAGATAGTAAATATTTTAATCTTTGTGGACCATACAGTCTGTGTCACAACTACTCAACTCTCCCATTGTGGCACAAAAGTGGCCATATATATCGTGTAAATAGATAAATATGACTGTGTTCCAGAAAACTCTATTGATGAATATGTAAATGTGAATTTCATGGAACTTTCATGTGCCATGAAATATCATTCTTCTTCTGATGTGTTTTCAACCATTTTAAAATGTAAAGGCCATTTTTAGCTCACAGGCTGTACAAAAACAGGTGTGGGCCATGTTTATCCTCATTGGCTGTAGTTTGTGGACCCTTAAGTTAAACTCCCATTTATTTCTTGTTTACATTATGTGAAGGCTGCAGTTCAGGTGTAGATCTGCTGGGCTCTTATTCAGTGTGGCTGTGCTTGGCCCCACAACTCTTCTTATTCTGGAATCCAGGCTGAAAGCGTAGCCACTATGTGAGGCATGCTATTTTCATAGGACAGGAATAAGAGGGGCAGAGCCAAATTATGCAAGCTCATTGTCTTAGTCCATTCAAGTTGCTCTAACAAAACTACCATAGACTGGGTGGTTATAAACAACAGAAATTTATTTCTGACAGTTCTGGAGGCTGGGAAGTCCAAGATCAAGCCTCTGGAAGATTCATTTTCTGGCAAGGGCCTGCTTTTTGGTTCATAGAGAGTACCTTCTTGCTGTGTCCTCACATGTCGAAAAGGGTGAATGAGCTCCCTTGGGGCCTCTTTTATTAAGGCACTAATCTCATTCATGAAGGCTCTGCCCTCATGACTTAATCACCTCCCAAGGCTCCACCTCTTAGTACCATCACCTTCAGTGTTAGAATTTCAACATATGAATTTTGGGGGGACATATTCTAACCATGGCACCCATTAAAGCTTTCCCTTGCCTATATGTAGCATATGTGATGTCCACTCATATTCCATTTTTCCATAGCAGGTTATATGGCCAAGTCCAAAGTCAATGGGACAGAAAGGGAAGACATGTTCAGGGAGGCAATGTATCATCGTAAACTAGTAAACTAGTAAACCCATTTGCCACTTGATCTAAGATTGTATGGTGGGTCTTGAGGTCCAGGGTTTTGTGCTCTGAAGTCTGTGCTCTTAACCACTTTGCTATGCTGGCTCCACTTTGTTAAGCCTTTGCTTTCCCCACACTCTCTTAACAGTGCTCTTTATTACCTGTTCAGCTTCTATCTGTTTTAGCTTTCCCATCTCCTTCCCTTCTGAGTTGGTCTGAATCTTTACTATGCTGTATGGATTTCTGGGTACTTTCTGTTGTCCTCCAGACCAAGACAGCAGGACTCACTGCATCCCTCAGACCATGAAGGCAGCCATCCAGGCTGCCTGGCCACACAGGTCACTGTTTTCTCTCTCACTCTCTGCATGAATGATGGAAAGGGCTGTGCATTTCCCTCAGGAAGCCTGCTTGTTTCACTGAAAAAAGACCAGCTTCCTGGTAGAGGACACCAGGAATAAACCCCAATTGCTCCCCTGACCTCTGGCCACCACTCCCCTTCTAGGAAACAATAGCTAACATTCGTATGAGGCTTTATAGTTTACAAAGCCCCTTCCCTGTATCATTCCACTTGATCCTCATAAACATATTGAGAGGCAGACAAGATTATTACCATTCTACAGATCAAGAAACTGAGTCTGAGAGAAAGTCCAAAGTTTTCTTGAAGATCATGGAGTTATTTATTTAATTATTTAGTTATTTAGTGGTGGAGCTGGAACTCAAACCCAGGGCTCTTTCCCCTTATCCAGAAACACACCCTGTCTTTGATGTTTCTTAGTTTCCTCCCTTTGAAGCATTCCTACTACTGCTATGAGGCAGGATTAGAGTCCTTCCTCCCCTGGGATTGCAAGAACCTTAAAAGGACTGGCAGAAGTGAGATTTAACTCTTTACTGCTCTTTGTGTGAAGATTACATCAGCCATTACTCAAAGGTCACAGTCACTTGAAGGTAGAAAATTGTGATTGCTAGTATGCTGTAGTCCTAAACTTCCTACTTCCTGAGCCATTTCATTTTTCAGGATCTGGTTTAATGATACCTCCTATGTGAAGCCCTTTCCCATCCCCCACAAATAGAGGAAGGAGTCATCTTCTCTTCTGTGCTCCCACAGTCCCTGAGCTCCCTTCTCCCATAGACTATCACTCTGTATTGTAATTGTTTATTTGCTAGTATATATCTCCCACTAGGCCCTGAACTCGCTGTGAGCACAGACTATACCAGCCTCACCTTGGTACCCCCTATCATAGCAGTTATCCCTCTGTCTTGCACTTAATCTGGTTGCTTGCCTATCTGCTCTACTGAACTTCATGAGTTCACGCTCATGCCACCTCTTTACTGCCGTACCTAAATACTGTGCCAAACATGGTGCCTGGCATGTGGTAGATGCTTAGTAAATGGCCAGTGAACTTTAGGATTTGGTTGCTTTCCAATTGGATCCAATCTTCTGATATAGGGGCCAGTGAAAATTTTCTCTTGTGCTTGTAATCAGACATACTGGAAACCACCTTCTCCTACTCCAGTATTTTTAGAAGGTAATCAACTAAGCAAATTCAGTGGACAGTTGGAAAGGTGGCACAACAGTTAAACCTGGCTAGCCTCAATCCCAAGGATATGATTAGAGATTGGGGGGGTGGAAGGTATTGACTTCAGTTTCAGGGGTCCCAACCAAGCATGTTTCTTCTCCCGCACTGCACAGTCCTGTGAGGCCAGCAAGTGAAGCAGTTAGTAAAAGCTGAGAGGAGAGTGGAGAGAAGGAAGAACACCATTTTAATTCCTTTTTTTCCTTACTTGCATGCCAAACATCTGAGCAATATACTATTTAAAACGTTGAAAATTTACAACATAGCATTGGAAAGGTGAAAGAGGAAAGCCCCTTTTATCAGCTCACTTCTCAATGATGTTCTCACCCCACAAGCATTTGAGTCCTGAAGCAAAACTCAGCATGATATGAAAAAGTTCCAGTCACTCTTATTTGCAACTTTTCTGGACAATGGAAAACTATTTACTTGTCTGTGAAAGTCTATTTTTTTCCCATCTAGACATGAACTCCAGTTAAAATTAATAGGAAACTCTTTTAGCCTGTTGAGTGTAATCTATTCAAGCTCATGTTTTTCAGAACTTACTAGAAGCTTTGTGTCTTCTAGTAGACCCTTAATATAATTCAATATGTGACGAACAAGGTCATGTTGCTCAGGCATGGTTAAAATTAAGAGAGAGCAGCTTTTATCCAATATAGTCAAAAATGCATCTTACAGATGGAAGCTATGACGAAATGCCACTTTAAATAAGGAGGCTCTATATTGTGCAGAAACACCCACATCTACTCCCTCAAATCTCAGTGCACTCCACTCACTCTGTATTTTGTCATCATGGGCAGACAGAAACATTCAAGCCAAGATGCATGATTTAGCAGAGGTTTTGCAAAAGGTTCCATTCTTCTGGCCATCAGCACATGTGGAGCTGTCAGGAGCCCTGTAAAGATTTTACAAGCCTTATAAGTCATAGCTTATTGAGCCTGGGATGGAATTTAATATATCATCATGGTTCTGGAAGTTCCCTCCTTTTTGTCTGATATAGTCTATCGCTTTATTTACCTTGAAACCAAAAATACTGGATATAAAAATGAACAGGCAAAGCTCCCCATTGGTGCCCCCGTGTCATCGCCTTCTAGGTCTGGCTCCTCGTTTACTGCATGATGGCAATACTCTCACTTTCTTCTTCAGGACTGCTGCTATCAGCAAGCTGAATCAGCATTTTAGCCAGCTTTTAGTTCATTTTATTTTCCTTTAGAGGAAATGTTTCCCAAAATTTGTTAATGAACCTAAAGTCTTATAAAATTACCCAGCAATCTCATTTTACCACAACTTCATGCAGTATGAAGTTCCAGTCATGCCAAAAAGAGTTCAGATGCTCCAAGATCTTATAGCATTTATCAAAACTGGCCTAAAAAGCAACATACAAAGCTTTATGCAAAATCGAATACTCCAGGCAACTGGGATGCCTGGCCAGCTTAGTACACATAAATGTTGGACTTGCTTTGCCAAATTTGAAGAGTGTGTGAGCGGACTCATTTGCAACACTGGGAAGAAAATAGAATAGAAATTGCTGCTGCCATTTGTGGAGCACATGTCTCTAAACAACTATGGAGATAGATGTCCTTGTTTTTAAGTCCTAGTTTTACAGATGAGGAACTTTAGGCTTAGAGAGGTGAAGTACCAGGCCTAAGATAACACAAGTCTTTGACAGACTAGGACTTGCGTTTCTTGGCTTTTTAGTATGCCACAACTTTACACTTTAGCTATAGGAGGGATGGTCTGGCATAACTTTGGGAACAGTGAGACATTGAAGCCAGACAGACATGGGTTTAAACCCCCTCAGGCAGAAATGTTTTTCCATGTCATTTCTTCCACTAGCAATATCCATCTTTCCCTTAAAGCTTTTCCTGACCCTTCATTTTCTCTTTTGCCTTCTATAACTACATGTGTTGCTGCCCTTCTTTGAATCCCTGAAATTACAATCACATTGTTTGTAATACTTTTGATCACAGATTACTGTACTTGAACTATAATAATTTGTTCATTCTTTGATTCTCTCTACAGCTATTTTTGAGTTTCTTATATGCAAGACCATGTGCTCAATATTCTGAGGATTCACAGATGAATACATTCAGGTAGAGCCTACAAGGAGCTTATCTGCTAGTACAGGAGATAAAACATGTCATAAGAACATTAAGTGGTGCTCTTTATTGAATAACTACTATGTTCGTGGTCCCATGTGAGGCATTTTACAAAAGTACCTTTCCAATTGACTCCTTTCAACAATCCTGTAAGTTAGATATTATAACTCTCATTTTCATGGTGAGGAAACTGAGGTCAAAGGAGGTTAAATGACTTATTCAAGGTCACCCAGCTGCTCAAGTAGAGAAACTGGGATTTAAGGCCAAGTCTGGTTGGCAAGCTCACTGCTTGCTACTTCATTACACTGCCTCTCTATAAAATAGCAGATAGAAAGTAAGTGAAAGTGCCAGAAAAGAGGTACAGCAAATGTGCTAAGGGAGTTCAGAGGAGGAATGAAGCTCTTATACTGGTCTTTTTTGCACTGCTCCTCTTCTCTTCTCCCTCCATCCTCTAAACACAGGAAGTGGGGGCTCGAACATGGAAACTGTCTTTTTTTCACCTCTGTATCCTCAGTGACTGGCCCAGTGTTGTGAGCACATAGCAGGTGTTCAGAGATGTGGGTAGAGTTGAATATAGTGACTGTTTGCAGGAAGGAGGGACAACTGGGGTTTGCACCACATCATGTTCCATTCACTCCCCAACTGCAAATTTGCTGGTGCGCTCTACTTGGGCTCCCTCCCATGTGTGGCCTTGGGTGGGGATGCAGTCACAAAGGCAAAGAGGAGATTGAATACACAACATTTCATTGTAGGTTTTGCTATTTTTCATTAGCTACATTTCTATAATTTGGGAGGGAGATCATATAAATGTTTATGTATCAATAAAAGTGCTTGAGTAGGACTTTAGGGAAGTCATTTCCTTTTATATTTCTTTTGTATGATAAATATTGGGCATTCCGTAGTGATTTTGACTTTTTTTTTTTGGATGGAGTCTCGCTCTGTTGCCCAGGCTGGAGTGCAGTGGCACGATCTCGACTCGCTGCAACCTCCACCTCCAGGGTTCAAGCAATCCTCGTGCCTCAGCCTCCCAAGTAGCTGGGATTATAGGCACATGCCACCATGCCCAGCTAATTTTTGTATTTTTAGTAGAGATGGGGTTTCACCATGTTGGCCAGGCTGGTCTTGAACTCACGACCTCAAGTGATCTGCCTGACTCGGCCTCCCAAAGTGCTGGGATTACAGACATCAGCCACTGTGCCCAGCCGAGTTTGACTTTTGAATGCAGTTATGAGGCAATGCAATGTAGTACGGGTAGTAACCCCCTATGGTTAAACATGAAGGCTTCAGAATCAGGTTGATTTGGGTTTGAATTTTAGCTCTGCCACTTAGCAACTTTGGGACCTTGGGTAAGTCACTTTACCTCCCTGAACCTCAAGTTGTTTTATCTTTAAAATGGGGTTAATGATAAGAAAAAATGTGCAAATTATGCATGTGATAAGGGGTTAATACCCAAAATATATAAGAAACTCAAAGAACTCAATAGCAAGAAACCAAATAACCCAATTAAAAAGTGGACAAAGGATTTGAATAGGCATTTAGCAAAAGGTGACATAGACTACCTAACAGCTATATGAAAAAGTGCTCAACATCACTAATCATCAGGGAAATGCAAATTAAAACCACAGCAAGATATCACCTCACACCTGTTAGAAGAGCTTCTGTCAAAAAGACAAAAGAGGCCAGGTGCAGTGGCTCATGCCTGCAATCCCAGCACGTTGGGAGGCCGAGGCCGGCAGATTCCCTGAGGTCAGGAGTTCAAGACCAGCCTGGTCAACATGGCGAAATGCTGTCTCTACTAAAAACACGAAAATTATCCGGGCATAGTGGCATGCACCTGTGATTTCAGGTACTCGGGAGGCTGAGGCAGGAGAATCACTTGAACCTGGGAGGTGGAGGTTGCAGTGAGCCGAGATCGCACCACTGCACTCCAGCCTGGGCAACAGAGTGAGACTCTATCTCAAAAAAAAAAAAAAAAAAAAAAAAAGACAAAAGGTAACAAGTGTTGGCAAGGATGTGGAGAAAAGGGAACCCTTGTACACTGTTGGTAGAAATGCAAATTAGCACAGCTATTATGGAAAACAGTATGGAGGATTCTCAAAAAATTAAAAATGGAACTACAATATGATCCAGCAATTTCATTTCTTGGTATATATCCAAAGGAAATGAAATCAGCATGTCAAAGAGTTATCTGCACTTTCGTGTTTGTTGCGGCACCATTCACAATAGCCAAGATAGGGAATCAACCTAAGTGTCCATATATGTATGTGTGTGTGTTGCATTTTCTTTATATGCTATATACATGCACACACATATACACACACAGTGAAATACTATTCTTTATACGCTACACACACACACACACACACACACGGGAATACGATTCAGCCTTAGAAAGTAAGAAAATCCTGTCCTTTTTGAGAACATGGATGAACCCGGAAAACATTATACTAAGTGAAAAAAGCTGGGCACAGAAAGACAAATACTGCATGATCTCAATTATATGTGGAATGTAAAAACTTCACACTCATAGAAGTAGAAAATAGAATGATGGTTACCACAGGCTGGGGTCTGGGTGTGAGAGAGGGAATGGGGAGATACTAGTCAAAGGGTACAGAATTTCGGCTAGGAGAAATAAGTGCCAGAGATCTAATATACAGCATGGTGACTATACTTAATAATACTTTATTGTCTACTTGAAATTTGCTTAAAAAAAAAAAGAAAAAAAGAAATTTGCTAAGAGAGTAAATCTTAAATGTTCTTGTCACCAAAAAATGTTAACTATATGATATGATGAATATGTTAATTAGCTTGCTTTAATCATCCCACAATGCCTACATATATCAAAATATCCCATTATACTCCATAAATATATGTAATTTTTATTTGCCAATTTTAAAAAAGTAAAATATAAAAACAAAAGAATGGGGATGATGATAGTTCTTGTGAAGATTGAATGGAATGATGCATGTAAAATGACTAGCACATATAAAACTCTCAGTGAGTATTAGGGGTTATAATGATAAACAGACCATTTATTGAAACCAAATTTGACTTATTTTTATTATTTTTCAGTAGTATTCAACCAATGTTTATTGCTCATACAGATGCATTCCTTCCTATACACTTATTGTCAAATATGGTTTTCAAGGAATGCTAATGTAACATATGGAAAACACAATTCATTTCCATAATGGAAATGTGGTGCCAGAAAACACAAAAGAAGAACTTCTTTTTTTTTCTTTTTTCATTTTTCTTAATTTCTCAACAGTGAGAGAAATGGCACTGTGAGAGTTGGGAAGGCCAGATGTGCTGTTAAGTGTAAAATACGCAATCTTCTGGCCGGGCGCGGTGGCTCATGCCTGTAATCCCAGCACTTTGGGAGGCCGAGGCGGGTGGATCACCTGAGGCCAGGAGTTCGAGACCAGTCTGGCCAACATGGTGAAACCCCATCTCTACTAAAAATACAAAAATTAGCTGGGTGTTGTGGCACATGCCTGTAATCCCAGCTGCTCGGGAGGCTGAGGCAGAAGAATTGCTTGAACCCTGGAGGTGGAGGTTGCGGTGAGCTGAGATCACACCATTGCACTCCAGCGTGGGTGACAGAGTGAGACTTCATCTCAAAAAAAAAATATATATATATACATGCAATCTTCTTAAAAATCTCAACAAATTGAGAGTGAAAGGGTACACTGTTGATAATTAGGCTGGGAAAACAGAAGTAACCACGATTTTTCCAGACAAACCTGGACATATGCGACCCTACACAGAGGTTATGAGCAAACTCTGGAGTCAAACAGACTTAACTGAGGATCTGTTTTGCTCTCTTTATGCATTTTTTAATATCTTCCGTGCTGCCTATTCTCCTATGTTTTTGGCATCCTGTAATATTTTAAGAATACAGGCTCTGAAGTTCAAATAGATTTGAGGTTCAATCTTGCTCCAGCACTTACTGGCTGTGTGAAATTAGACAAGTTATTTAACCTCTCTGACCCTCAGTTTTGTCATGGGCAAAATGAGTGTAATGATAATACCCCTATCATGGCATTTTAAAGATTGTGGTCAGGAAATATGAAAGACTTTCTAGGTAGGAATAAGTGAGACAGGTCTGATGAGATTGCACAGTGTGTCCTAGTGGATGAGTGAGAAAAATGACTACCTAGATAAGGTCTGTCCAGGTTATGGAGGGCTCCAAAAGTCAGGTAGGATACCTGCACTCAATGTATTAGTAACAGTAGTACTAGCCCCATCTTCAGGACTTTGCTCAAATTTCACCTTCTCAGTGAAGCCTTCCCTGACAACCCCAGTGATGAACGAAGCAGACAAAAATCCCTGTCCTCATGGAACTTTCAGTCTAGGGTGAGAGTAGGAAGAAAACAGATATGTATAATATTGAAGATGGCCATAGTGTCATGAAGGAAGTAAAGAGGCCGCTGATGGGGACTAATGGTAGTGTTGCAGGGGGACAGAATGGGCTGCTTTATATTAAGTAATCAGGGAAGTCCTTTCTGAGGAGGTGAGACTTCAGCTGAGATCTGAAGATTGAGAAAGAGCCACATGAAGAGAAGGGGAAGGGCGTTCCGTAGAGAGTAAATACCGTATGCAAAGACCTAGAGGCAGGAAGGAAAACAATCAAGAAGAGGCCATTTTGGCTAAAGAGTAGTGAGCTATGAAGATAATAAAAGAGGATGATGTGATAGGAAGTGACAGGGCTGGGGGAAGGGGCAAGTCCTTTAAATAAGGGGTCAGGGAAGGCCTCTCTGAGGAAGAGACATTGAATTAAGACCTGAGCAGAGACAAGGAATCAGCCATGCAAAGATCAAGAGACAGAACTTTACAGACAGAAAGAATGGCCACTGCAAAGGCCCCTAGGTGCAACATGCTTGGCCTGTTGAACAGACAACAAGGAGGCCATTGTGGCTGGAGTAGAGCCAGTGGGTACAGAGTTGGGGGGAGATAAAGCTGGACAACTTGGAAGGAGCCTGATCGTACAGAGCCTTGCAAGCCACGGTAAAGACATTGGATTTTACTCCAAGTGAGATAGGAAGCTTTGGAAGGCCTTTAAGCCAGGGAATATTTCAGTCTCTGTCTCCTCTGGAGCCCTGCAGACCTTACCTTCTATACTGTTCACTGGCTTCCACTAGGCACTAAGGTATCCTAAGCTATTGTTTGCTGAGTATATCCTGTCTTGCAAACTGGACAGAGATCCGCTTGAGTCATGGACTGGGGCTTGGGCATTTGAGTATGAATTGCTCAGCACAGTGACAGAGCCTTACAGTGTGTGTGTGTGTGTGTGTGTGTGTGTGTGTGTGTGTGTAGGAAGAGGAGGGGTGTGGCTGGGCATGGTGGCTCACGCCTGTAATCCCAGCACTTTGGGAGGCCGAGGCGGGTGGATCACAAGGTCAGGAGTTCGAGACCAGCCTGGTCAATCTGGTGAAACCCTGTCTCTGCTTAAAAAAATACAAAAATTAGCCAGGCATGATGGCAGTCGCCTGTAGTCCCAGCTACTCGGGAGGCTGAGGCGGGAGAATCGCTTGAACCCGGGAAGCGTAGGTTGCAGTGAGCCGAGATCGCGCCACTGCACTCCAGCCTGGGCGACAGAGCAAGACTCTGTCTCCAAAAAAAAAAAAAAAGGAAGAGGAGGGGTATGTCTTGATGATGTTGATGAACACACAAGCTAGAAATAAAGCTGGAGAAGATAAAATGTACTAATAGCATATTCCATATTTTAAGTGTTTTACGGGTGATGCCAGGGCAAATTGATGAAAGTGCTTGTTGAGTGTATATTTGGGTTGTGATAGCTGGAATAATTTGTGCTGGGACAGAACATTGCAGGCATCTCTATTTAAGGGGTGAAAAAAGCAGTGGCTTCCTTTTTGGATTTTCTAAGTCCAACCTTAATTTTCAGGTACAGCTACATTCAGACCCTGATTGGGTAAGACTTTCCTGGCTTCCTAGTGATAGTGATGTCTCAGAAACAAGTCTCTTTTGCTAAGGTGAGCTTTTAAGCAGTACGTTTTCACCAGAAAGGCTTCAAGCCTTAATCATAATAATATTAATAGTTAATACTTCAGAGCACTTACTGTGCGCCAGGCGTTGTGCTTTATCTGCATTAATTTATTTAAGCCTCAAAATAATCTTATGGATCAGGTAATCATATTATTAATATTACTATTTTACAGAAAGAAAACAGATTCTGAGGGATTGAATCATTTGCTTAAGGATAACAGCTAGTTACTGGCATAGTGGGATCAGAACACACGTTTGACTGATCCCAGAGCCCTCTTATCGCTTTATGTTGCCTTTAAAGGTTGGTTTCAGCATCCACAATCCTCACTTATATTGCAATCTGATTGGATTTGTCATGGTAGATCTACTATCTTTCTGTGGTTTCCCTCTCTGGCGGTCTATCTTCTATTTTGCTTTCATTATTAAAATCCCCCAATACAGAAGATTTTAGGGCTCAAACAGATGTCAGCTAATCCAGGCAGAAACAGTGCATTACTGCTCTGGATAAAAATTCATTTGTCATATTTCTTGAACGTAGAAATCATAACCTTACCTAGTTTTATATTCCCCTCAATATAAAGCACAGAATAGTCTTACAGCCTAGATGCTCAATAAATGTTGAATGGACTTAAACTCAATTTCTAAACCCCAAGATACTACATAATTACTCCCATTCCAGCCAGACAGGGCTATTCCAAGTTTCTACATAACATTTTTTTGGGGGGAGAGGGGGTGCAGAGTTTGGTTGGGTGGGGTCCATGTGTATGCTTGGGGTGGGTAAAGGAGAATAGCCATAAGTTTTCTAAGTCTTATGCCTGATGCAGGAAGGGAAACATAATCTCTATTTACCACCCACCTCCTTTACTTCATTCAGTAATATGGTAGTTTATGAAAATATGTAGTATTTTCTAAAAAGCAAGGGAGGCAAGAGAGAGCTTGGTAATTTATAGTTTGCCAGTTTCATCAGTGCCTTAACATAGCTCCCTATTCAGTCAGTGAAGGAGAACTGTATATCCTTGTTGGGAATCTGGAGATATGCCAGTGGTTGCAAAGAGCTCAGCAGTTTTGCCTGTGTACTTAGATCTGGACTGACCAGTCTAGCATGTGGATCAGATCAGGGACTAGTAAATGTCATTTTGTTTTGACATTGTATTGAAATTATGGGAAAGAGGTGCCTGTTTCATGAGAATAAAAAGAAAAGAATGCATTGGAAAAGTTTGGGCTTGATGTATTATTAAAGAAGAATATATGATCCCTTCAGGCTGAGTATAAAAACATCTCAAAACTAGTATCATCCTAAATCTGGCAATAGTTTAGTTATGTAGTGATGGAAAAGACAGGAAATGTACAGGAGCCTAATACTAAGGGCAGTTCAGTTTCATATAGAGGGTTTTTTTTTTCGTGCAGATACAAATCCATTATGTAAAATAGATTTGTTTGCCAAAAAGTCTATTTTTGTCTATAATAACAATGCAGTTACCAATTATTGAGCAGGTTTTATATGTCAGGCATTGTGCTTAAACACTTTGCATGCATTGTGTAATTTAATTTTCACAAAAACCCTATGAAGGAGGTGAAATTATCTAATTGTTACTAATGTGGAAACTGAGAGGCTCAGAGTGGTTATGTAACTTGCCCAAGGCCACACATATAATAAGTGGCAGAGCCAGGATTCTGAAGTGAATCCCTGGCCTGAGGACTCTTAATAAGATTAGAATCAACACCTCTGAGGATGAAGACCTGGTCCAGTTTTTAAAATGTACAGTAAAATAATACATCCAAGGACCCTGTGGTATGAATGTATGTGTGTGTGTAATATGTTTTAAGTTCCTTAGTAGAGAAACTAGGTAATTTTCATTGTGTTTCTTAAATAATCATTGCTTAATTGCCTTTAACACTTGCAGTCACTTAGTGGTTAAGTGATGTCTGTTAGAAAATTCTCTTGGCAGTTGCTTTTTGAGAAAGATGATCAAAAGCACACCAAGAATGCCAGTTAATGCCATCATTATTTACTTAGTATAAATTTACAATAACAGGAAAATATGTTCATAGAAATAAAATATCATCTAAAGTATTTAAAGAATTGAAAATGATTCCCATCTTTGTTGTTTGGCCTTACCTTCCTTTACAAAATAAACAAACCTGTTTATCACGTTGTTATAGGAAACAATGACCATGTTTATAAAAAAAAAAAAGGTAAGCTTAGGTAGGAATAATAAATATCGTCTTGGATGAAAAGCCTTTGTAAGAGCTTTTTTGATCCTTGAAATATTCTTTTGAAGAAAGGTATGTGGCTTAAGGGTTAATTGATAAATCAGACACCAAGGAACTGTACCTATGGCTACCCAATGCCAAAATAACATCAAAATGGGCAGATAAGTTGCTCCAAAATTAGGTTAACTTAGTTGTTTTCACTTTCTCCTCACATACCCTTTGCTCCCATTAAATCAGTTGATCCTCAGATACACCTTGTGCTTTTGTAACTTAGTGTCTTTCCTCATGCTGTTCTCTCTTCCTAGAATTACATATATCCGAATCCCAACCCATTCTTCCAAATTAGCTCAGATGTCACATCCTCTATGAAGTGCCTCTGATCCCCTCACAGAAGGAGTATGTTTTGTGTCTCTCCATTCCCACCTTTCTTGCATTAGCAATCTTATAGAATTTTATTTTTATAGTTCTTGAGGCCCCTCTCGCTTCCCACCTTGAAATTTTGTTTTTAATTCATTTGTGTTACGTCTTCTATTGGTCTCTAAGTTTCTTGCAGTCAAAACCTATTTTCACTCAGCTTTGGGTAGATCTCAAATACCAAGCACAGTGCTTTGAATGTAAATGTCACTCAGAAACATCTATTCAGATTTGAGTGCTTACCACGTGCCAGATACTAGGCCTGCAGGGTGACTGAAACAATTTCTTCTCTCCAGGTACTCATGGGAAACAGACATATTAACAGACTTTCAATATGATCTAGTAAGTAATAAGATAGAGTCATGAACAGAGTGTATGGAAACCTAGAGTAGAGACTTGACCAAGGAGAAGGCCTAGACTGAAAGATGGGCAGTCTTGGTCAGAAAATGGAATGTATGAATCTATGACTTCAAGGTGAAGACATTTTGGAAGGTGGCAATATCCAGGATGTGACCCTGAGAACTGTGCAGGCGAAGGAATGTGAGTATAGGATGTGAGATAGCTCTTCCAACTGGCCAATGGTGCCAGGAATTGAGGTACAGAGGATGCCGGTAAGCCAGATGCCAGAGTCCTCAGTGAATGAAGGAAAATGTCCAAAAGAGAGGTAGATGATCATCCTGGGAAGGAGTAAAAGATGGCATCTGCAGATGGTGTGAACTTCATGGGCAGTGAGGCTTTTCATGAAGCTGGAGCAATGGCCTGGTAAGGGAAATGGGAAGGCAGGAGGGTGCTGGTTCCCTATGCTACCTGACCCTATCCATCCCAGAATTTGATGTTTAGAGCTCAAGCAGCTTTAATTGGAGAGAGCTGCATGGTGAGGCTCATTGTCTTTGTAGAGAGCCAAGTCTTCTTCATTAGGGCAGGAAAGAGGTGTTCTGTGAAAACACTGAGGGTATGGAGGTGCTTATTTACAAGTTGAATCACCATAGATAATGCTGATACAATGGGAGAGCTGAACGTGGACTAGTCCACCTTTATCATTTTAAATTTGAATACTCTGAGGCCCAGTGAAAAGAAATAACTTTTTTCCTCAGGCTTCCAAAACTAAATTTAATTTCCTTTTTCTAGCAGTTATTTTGATGCATAGATTTCTTAAACACAGATGCTTGAAGCACATGAGTGGTCTATAAAGACCTCCAAGGTAGGTTGTGGGCTATTTCATAGTATAGCATTTCTAAAATGATAATCCTATGAAAGCATACAAATATGATATTTTGACATTAAGAACTTGCACATGAATTTCAATAAACTTATGTCAATAATCATTGATATTTATCACAGTAGCATGTTCTTCCTATACGTTTATGGATAATTTCTTTCCCCAGCTCCCCCAGCCCTAATACAATAGTGAGTCTTTTGACTGTATGGTCCTTGAAACTTCTACCCACACCACTCTGCTAAAACAGTTCTCACTAAGGTCACCAGTGACAATCAAGTCACTAAGTCTAACAAATAATTTTCAGTCCTCATCTTATTCAATCCCTCAGTAGCATTTAATACAGACAATCTTCCCTTCCTTCTTGAAGTACATTTTGCCCTTGCCTTTTATGAAACTACGGTCCCCTTGTTTTATTTGCCCACTTTTGTATTGCTCCTTTGCAGATTTATCCTCCTTTACTTGGTTATTAAGCATTGAAGTTCACCAGGGCACTGTTCTAGATACTTTTATCATCCCACTCCATATTCTTTCTCTGAATGATTTAATCTATTCCCATGGCTTACAATATCTTTATGCTCAGTGTGTCTCCAGAGCATAAATAAAGATTTATATCTCCAACCCGTGTTTCTCCTATGAACCTTAAACCCTTATGTCCAACTCAACATCTCCACTGGGATATCTCAAGGGCATCTGAAGTTGAACTGGCCCGAGTGTGAACTTAGATTGCTTCTCTCAAACTTGCTCTTCCTCCAGTGTTTTGTATCAGAGTGCCAAAACAGCTACTTACAGTTGTGTAAGCTAGGAATTTGAGTCATCCTCAATACTTTCCTTCCTCTCAACTTCCACATCAAATCCATCAACATGTCCTGTTGATTTTACCTTGAAAATACCTCTCAAATTCATCCACTTGTCTCCATCTTTATTAGTAGCACCTTCAGTCAAGCTATTGCAGTAGACTTTCTTTGGTAACAGCTTTACTGAGATTTAATTCAGGTGTTATAAAACACAGCCATTTAAGTTGTACAATTCAATGGTTTTTAGTATAATCATACCTCATTTTATTTTCTTCACTTCATTTCATTTTGTAGATGTTGCATTTTTAAAAATAAATTGAACTTTTGTGGAAATCCTGCATCAAGCAAGTCTATCAGCAATATTTTTCCCACAGCATGTGCTCACTTTGTATCTCTGTGTTACATTTTGGTAATTATCACAACAGGCTGGGTGCAGTGGCTCATGCCTGTAATTCCAGCACTTTGGAAGGCCATGGCGGGTGGATCACTTGAGGTCAGGAGTTCAGGACCAGCCTGACCAACATGGTGAAACCCCTTTTCTACTAAATATACAAAAATTAGCCGGGCATGGTGGGAGGTGCCTGTAATCCCAGCTACTTGGGAGGCAGAGGCAGGAGAATCACTTGAACTTGGGAGGCAGAAGCTTCAGTGAGCTGAGATCACACCACTGCACTCCAGCCTGGGTGACAGAGTGAGACTCGTCTCAAAAAAAAAAAAAAAATAACAACACTTCATACTTTTTTATTATTGTTATATCTGTTATGATGATCTGTGGTCAGTGATCTTTGATGTTACTATTGTAATTGTTTTGGGGCACCATAAACGGTGCCCATATAGGACAACAAACTTAACTGATAAATGTTGTAGGTGTTCTGACTGCTCCACCAACTGGTCATTCTCCCCTCTCTATCCATCTCCTCAGGGACTCCACATTCTCTGAGACAGAACAATATTGAAATTAGCCCAATTAATGACCCTATAATTGCCTCTAAGTGTTCAAGTTAAAGGGAAGAGTCTCAAGTCTCTCACTTTAAATCAAAATCTAAAAATGATTAAGCTTAGTGAGGAAGGCATGTTGAAAGCCAAAACAGGCCAAAAGCTAGGCTTCTTGCATTAGCCAAATTGTGGATGCAAAGGAAAAGTTTTCGAAGGAAATTAAAAGTGCCACTCCCATGAACACACAAATAATAAGAAAGCAAAACAGCTTATTGCTGATATAAAGAAAGTTTTAGTGGTCTGGATAGAAGATCAAACCAGCCACAACACTCCCTTAACCTAAAGCCTAATCCAGGCCAAGGCCCTAACTCTCTTCAATTCTATGAAGTCTGAGAGAAGTGAGGAAGCTGCAGAAGAAAAGATGGAAGCTAGCAGAGGTCGCTTCATGAAGTTTAAGGAAAGAAGCCATGTCCATAACATAAAAGTACAAAGTAAGCAACAAATGCTGATGTAGAAGCTGCAGCAAGTAATCCAGAAGATCTATCTAAGATCATTGAGGAAGGTGACTACACTAAACGACAGATTTTCAATATAGATGGAACAGCCTTATATAAAAAGATGTCATCTAAGTCTTTCATAACTAGAGAGTAGAAGTCAATGCCTGGTTTCAAAGCTTCAAAGGACAGGCTGACTCTTTTGTTAGGAACTAATGCAGCTGGTGACTTTAAGTTGAAGCCATTGCTCACTTACCATTTCAAAAAGTCTAGAGCCCTTAAGAATCATGTTAAGTTAACTCTACCTATACTGTAAAATGGAACAATAAAGCATGGATGACAGCACATTTGTTTACAGCATGGTTTGCTGATTATTTTAAGTCCACTGTTGAGACCTACTGCTTAGAAAAAACCAAGATTCCTTTCAAAATATTGTTATTCATTGACAATACACCCAAGAGCTCTGATAGAGATGTACAAAAAGATGAATATTGTTTTTCTGCCTGCTAACACAACATCCATTCTGCAGCCCATGGATCAAGGAGATATTTTGACTTTCAAGTCTTAAGAAATATATTTTATAAGGCTATATGTAGCTAGTATAGAGTGTGATTCCTGTGATTAATCTGGGTAAAGTAAATGAAAAACCTCTGGTTTTCCTTATTCACCATTCTAGATGCTATTAAGTAAATTTGTGATTCATGGGAGGAAGTTAAAATATTACATTAACAGGAGTAGTGAAGTAGCTGATTCCAATCATTATGGATGACTGAGAGGGTCAAGAACTCAGTGGAGGAAGTAACTTGAGATGTGGTGGAAATAGCAAAAGAGAAGTTGCTGATGCAGCCAAATTAGCAATGAATGGAACTTCCTCTGCAGGAACCCTGGCTGTGTCACACGACCCAGTCAAGCTAGTAACTACCAGTCCTCTACCAGCAGAGATGGATATTCCTCTATTCTCTGGCAGTATAACTCAGGTCAGAAGTCCTGTTGGAAGTGCAATGAGCCTTATTCCTGAAGATGGCCTTCCTCCTATTCTCATCTCCACTGGTGTAAAAGGAGACTATGCTGTGGAAGATAAACCATCACAGATTTATTTCAGAAATGCAGCAGTTGGAAGACGGTGGCCCTGACCCACTTGTATTTGTTTTAAATGCAAATTTGTTGTCAATGGTTAAAATTGTAAATTATATGAACAGGAAGTGCTGGTGTTTTACAACCAAGGGAATGCATGCAGTGGGTCAGTCTGAGATAGTCATTCTTCTACAGTGTCTACCGGATGGAAAGTGTTTGCCAAAGGATATCTTTAGTGACTTTGTGCAACTTTATCGGGATCTCTGGCAGGGAATGTCGTGGGCAACTTGGGACATTCCTTCTTCAGTCAAAGTCTCCTCAGCAGTAAAAAACATGGTGGATTTTTATATGTGACATCTACCTACCAGTCACTGCAAGACCTAGTACTCCCAACCCCACCTTACTTGTTTGGGATTCTTATCCAGAAATGGGAAACTCCTTGGGCTAAAGTGTTTCCTATCCATCTGATGTTGAGACTTGGAGCTGAATATCGACTTTATCCATGCCCACTAGTCAGTATCAGATTTCGGAAGCCATTATTTGGAGAGACGGGGCATACCATCATGAATCTTCTTGCAGACTTCAGAAATTACCAGTATACCTTGCCAGTAGTTCAAGGTTTGGTGGTTGATATGGAAGTTTGGAAAACCAGCATAAAAATTCCCAGCAACAGATAAAATGAGATGATGAAAGCCACGAACAAGTCCAATGAGCATATCTTGGCAGGAGGTGCCTGCTTCAATGAAAAGGCAGACTCTCATCTTGTGTGTGAAGCTATCAGACCCAGGCTATCAGTATTCACAATCAGCCCAGAAAAGTGACTGGTGCCAGTTTCTTTGTGTTCAGTGGCACTCTGAAATACTCTTCTGGATACCTTGCCAAGTCCAGTATTGTGGAAGATGGCGTTATGGTCCAGATCACTGCAGAAAACATGGATTCCTTGAGGCAGGCACTGTGAGAGATGAAGGACTTCACCATCACCCGTGGGAAGGCGCACGCAGAGGATCCCCAGGAGCACATCCACACCCAATGGGTGGATGATGACAAGAACGTTAGCAAGGGCGTCGTAAGTCCTATAGATGGGAAGTCCATGGAGACTATAACAAATGTGAAGATATTCTATGGATCAGAATGTAAAGCAAATGGAAAAGTCATCAGATGGACAGAGGTGTTTTTCCCAGAAAATCCTGACCAGCACAATTGCCTCAGTGATCCTGCAGATCACAGTAGATTGACTGAGCATGTTACCAAGGCTTTTTGTCTTGCTCTCTGTCCTCACCTGAAGCTTCTGAAGGAAGATGGAATGACCAAACTGGGACTACGTGTGACACTTGATTCAGATCAGGTCGGCTATCAAGCAGGGAGAAATGGCCAGCCCCTTCCCTCGCAGTGCATGAATGATCTGGACAGCGCCTTGGTGCCGGTGATCCATGGAGGGGCCTGTCAGCTCAGTGAGGGCTCTGTCGTCATGGAACTCATTGTTATTTTTAAAAGTTGCCACGGCCGCCTCAACCATCAGCAACTAGCATCCTGATCAGTCAGCTGCCGTTAACATTGAGGCAAGACCCTCCACTAGCAAAAAGATTATAACTCCCTGGAAGATATTGGTTTTTCTTTGCCTGGCTTATTTCACTTAGCATAATACGCTTCAGGTTCATCCATGTTATCACAAATGACAGAATTTCCTTATCTTGTAAGGCTTTGTGTGTGTGTATGTGTGTAAAATCTCACATTTTCTCAATCTATTCATCTGTTGACAGACATTTAGGTTAATTCCATACCTTGGCTATTGTAAATAATGCTGAAATAAGCATGAAAGTGCAGATATCCCATCAACACACTGATTTCATTTCCTTTAGATATATGCCAAGTAGTGGAATTGCTGAATCATATTGTAGTTCTATTTTTAATTTTTTGAGAAACCTTCATACTATTTTCCATAATGGCTCTACTAATTTACATTCATATCAAAGTGTTCAAGGGTTCCCTTTTTTCTACATTCTCACCAATACTTATCTTTTGTCTTTTTAATAGAAGCCATTCTAACAGGTGTGAAGTGATATATCACTGTGGTTCTAATTTACATTTTCCTGATAATTAGTTATGTTGAGCTTTTTTTTTTCATATACCTGTTGGCCATTTTTATATCTTCTTTTGAGAAATGTCTATTTGGGTCCTTTGCCTTACTTTCAATTTGGTTGTTTTCTTGCTATTGAGTTCTTTGAGTTTCCTGTAAATTTTGGATATAAACCCCTTATCAGGTATATGGTTTGCAAATGTTTCTCCCATTTTGTAGATTGCCACTTTACTCTTCTCGTTGTTTCCTTTCTGAACAGAAGCTTTTTAGTTTGATGCAATCCCATTTGTCTATTTTTGCTTTTGTTGTCTATGCTTTTTGGGTGATATAAAAAAATCGCCAAAACCAGCACCAAGAAGCTTTTTCTCTGTTTTCTTCAAGTAGTTTTATGTGTTCAGACCTTAACCTTTACGTCTTTAATTCATTTTGACTTGGTTTTTGTATGTGATGAGATATAAGGGTCCAATTTCATTCTTCTGCATGTGGATATCCAGCTTTCCCAACACCACTTATTGAAGAGACTCTCTCTATCCCATTGTGTGTTCTTGGCACCTTTGTTGAAGATCAACTGACTGTAAATGTGAGGATTGATTTCTGAGCTATCTATTCTACTCCTTTGGTCTATTTGCCTGTTTTTATGCCAGTACCATGCTATTTTGATTACTATAGCTTTTCAGTATATTTTGGAATCAGGTAGTGTGATGCCTCTAGCTTTGCTCTTTTTGTTTGCAATTGCTTTGGGTATTCGGGTTTTTTTTTTGTGCGTGTGGTTTCATATGAATTTTAGGATTTCTTTTTCTATTTCTTCAAAAAATATTATTTGAATTTTGCTGGAGATTGCATTGAATACGTAGGTTGCTTTGGGCACTATGGAAACTTTAACAATATTAATTCTTCTGAATCACGTATGTGGAATATCTCTCCATTTATTTGTGTTTTCTTCTACTTCATTCATCAGTATTTTTATAGTTTTCAGTAGACAGAACTTTCACCTTGTTTCTTAAATTTATTTCTAAGTTTTTTTATGCTTTTGTAAATGGGGTTATTTTCTTATTTTTCAGATATTTGTTGTTAGTGTATGGAAACACTACTGATTTTTGTATGTTGATTTTGTATCTAGCAATTTTACTGAATTTTTAAATTTGTTCTAATGGTCTTTAGGTTTTCTGTATGTAAGGGTGTATTATCTGCAAACCAAGAGAATTGTACTTCTTCCTTTTCAATTTGGATTTCTTTTTTTTTTTTTTTTTGGCCTAATTGCTCTGGTGAGGACTTCCTATATTATATTGAATAGAATTGTTAAGAGTGGGCATCCTTGTCTTGTTCCTGATCTTAGAGGAAAAGCTTTCAGCCTTTCTTTCTTTCTTTCTTTCTTTCTTTCTTTCTTTCTTTCTTTCTTTCTTTCTTTCTTTCTTTCTTTCTCTTTCTTTCTTTCTTTCTTTCTTTCTTTCTTTCTTTCTTTCTTTCTTTCTTTCTTTCTCTTTTTCTTTCTTCCTCCCTCCCTCCCTCCCTTCCTTCCTTCCTTCCTTCCTTTTTTTGATGGAGTTTTGCTCTTGTCACCCAGGCTGGAGTGCAATGGCATGATCTTGGCTTACTGCAAACTCTGCCTCCTGAGTTCAAGTGATTCTCCTGCCTAGCCTTTCAAGTAGCTGGAATTACAGGCATGTGCCATCATGCCCAGCTAATTTTGTATTTTTAGTAGAGACGGGGTTCACCATGTTTCCCAGACTGATCTCGAACTCCTGACCTCAGGTGATCCACCCGCCTTGGCCTCCCAAAGTGCTGGAATTACAGGCGTGAGCCACTGTGCCCGGCCACTTTCAGCTTTTCATGGTTAAGTATGATGTTAGCTGTGAAGACTAAAATCCTTAAGATATCATTGAAGTATCTTAATACCATTCTACATTAATTAATCAATTACACACCTAAATGTAAAGTTTCAACTTTGACAAGTGGTACAACAAAGTACGGTCACATATGGACCATATATATTGTGGTGGTTTCATAAGATGATGATGAAGCTGAAAAATTCCTGTAGTCTAGCGATATCTTAGCTGTCATATTGTCATAGCACAATGCATTACATTTTTTATGTTTAGAAATGTTTAGATACAGAAATACCATTGTGTTACAACTGCCTACAGTATTCAGTGTGGTAACATGATGTACAGGTTTGTAGCCTAGGAGTCACACCATATACCATCTAGGTTTGCCTAAGGACACTCTGTGATGTTCACGCAATGACAAAAACTGCCTAACGATGCATTTTTCAGAAGGTACCCCTGTACTTAAGCAATGCATGACTGTATGTTATGAGAGTCTGAAAGTCTGTAACAGATCAGTTTGACCCAGCCACAGGTCTCCTGCATGAGCTGTTTCTTTACCAGTAGGGAATGTATCTATTTTGTTCACTACTGGATCCTCAGTTAAAACATTTTTTTTTTAGCTAGATCAAGACTCTAGATTCTAGTTTGCCTCTAAGCTTAATGTGTTGTGAAGAACAAGGAAATTAACACTAGTTAGTTATAATACATTATGTAAAAAGTAAACTGCTAAAAGTTAAGACAGTCCACGTCTAACCATTGAGTCATAGGCATCTTGTAAAAGAATAAGTACTACAACCTAAGTCACAATAACAAAACTTTGTCAAGGAAAAAAATCATTTCCATATTTCATCCACATCTTAGGCAGTTGAAGTCAAATGTCAAAAATAAACACGCATACCAGACTTCCAATCAAAGTATTTGGCAAGAACAAAAACCCAGACACCGCATATTCTCACTCATAGGTGGGAATTGAACAATGAGATCACATGGACACAGAAAGGGGAATATCACACTCTGGGGACTGTTGTGGGGTGGGAGGAGGGGGGAGGGATAGCATTGGGAGATATACCTATTGCTAGATGACGAGTTAGTGGGTGCAGCGCACCAGCATGGCACATGTATACATATGTAACTAACCTGCACAATGTGCACATGTACCCTAAAACTTAAAGTATAAAAAAAAAAGTGTTTGGATTGGCTCTTGTTTAAGACTTGCATGAGAGGCATTCCTTTATTCTGGGACTCACTGAACCTTTCGTGGTCAAACATATCTAGTAAATACACTCTACACTTTGCTTTCTAACAGTCTGACACATTTTATGATGTCTTAGATGGTCAGTTTTAGTTGTTTTTTGTAACTGCTTTTATTTACATGCACAAAAATAAAAATACAGACCAGCCATATTTTGCTTAGTATGTAATATTTTTAGACATATTTTTACTCTTTACGTTAAGGAGTATATATATATATATACACACACACACACATACATATATACACACACATACACACACACCTATATATGTATCTGAAGATATGTGTATGTATATGTGTATGTATGTGTGTATGTGTATATATATATATATATATATATATATATATATATATATATATCTGAAGACGTTTGATATGGAATGCAAGAGAAAATATTTAGAGACCTGTAGACTGTATTAACTGAGTATAACCACAACATCTTTAAAAAGGAATATTTCCTCAGAAAACTCTGAAATCATAAAGGAAAGGTTAACAACAACATTTACTTACTTAAGAAAATCTTTGTACAGTTTAAGCTTTCAGAAACTTGTATGCTTTTGGCTAGGCTCCGGATCATGTTTGGGAAGTTATTTTTGTTTTGTTTTCTTGGAACTTATTGGGTTTTCCTGGTTAGGTCTTCTGGATATAGTTCTCAGACACTTCACAGAGAACTAGATGAACAGCCATGTTGAGCATATAAGATATGAGAGAACAGATTTATGAGAACAGTTTCACAAGACAAAATACTTAAGGATCATAATACTCTACTTCATAGGTTAGTTGAGCTTTTCTTTTACACATACAATTCCCAGTGAGAAAATATTGCAAAATATTCTGGTGAAGAAAAAATTTTATAAGTCAATAATTTCTGAGCAGAAAAATTTATTCCAATGCTACTCATTTTAATTTTACTGTTTTAGACAGCATAAGGCAAGAAAGAGTAGAAAATGAACTTTTCCCTGACAATTTAAAAATAGTTGATCATGAAACTGAATTGTTATTCATTTGAAATAACTGAATATAAAACTGGATTTTAAAATTCCCGAATAACAAACATGTAACATGAAATATCTTTAAATTTCAAGTTAGAGTACATCTGGAAACTCAACATGTAGAAGACAAATGCCTTGTTTTTTGTCCAGAAGTTATTTACTACCTTTTGTTTTAAAGAGCCGGAGAAGTCTTTAGAGACATTTTCATTAGCCAATCAGGCAATTTGCACCTGGAGAGTTTAATAACAAGTCATAGATCACAAAGCTAGTTATTGGCAGACTTCGAATTTGAACTCATGTCTCTTCACTATCATTTTGCCTCCTTGAGACAGGATTCTATCATGGGTAAGAATAATGTGTACACATAGACATATATTCTTAAAACATATATTCTCTATTTCTTTTATGATTTTAAAAGTAATCATTATAAAAATATTCAAACAACAGCCAGTGCAGAAAGCAGAGTGAATTTCGGCCTTCCATTCCAGTCAAAGGATAAGCATTTCACATAGGTAAAAAGGAAGACAAGTCAGCTTAGTGTAGCTTAGAGCTTAAAGCTGAGAAAAGTCTAATTTTTTGAACTTATTCTTCTTTCCCATACCATAGGAAAGCATTCATTCAAAGTCTGTCATTACTGCAGGCCCAAATTTAGAAAGTTATGACTGTGATATTGCTGCTCTTGAAGGAAGATATCTCACAGAGCAGTTTTGCAAAATGTTGTGAAATTGAGTGCTGTGGAAACAGGACAGCACCCGATTCCCCTTTGGAACACATGAGGTAATCATTTGAATTATACCTTTGCGAAGGCATGTTAGAATGCATTTTTTTAGATCGCTGTTTGAAATGGTGATTAACATGACCCTTTTGGGGAGATTTGATCTGCTTGTCAGCTGCCTGGAAACACAACAGGCTGTAAAAAGAGGGTTTATTATCAAGTAATATAACTGAAAAGGCATGGTGCATGCAAAAAGAGGAAGATAGATTTTGTTCTCGCTTGGCGTGTCTCAGACATTTATTAATCGAGATGGCATTTGCAGTGGCAAATCCCATTTCCCCTTTCACATTCCCTTTGGCTGGCATATGATGATAGTATTAGAGCTGATGCCACTTGGCTGATCATGCATTGCTGATCACCATTCAAGGCAACCGGAAGAGACAAAAGAAAAAGCCTATCAGTCCCCAGAGTACTAATGTAAGGAGAAAATTGCTCATTTGAAACGTTTTAAAATTTCGTTTCATTTCTAAACAGTAACAAATTGTATTACTCTCTTTTATTTTTATATGTTGTTAGATGGGATGCAGGCCATTATTTATGAACCACTTGCAAAGCTGCTCCTCCCGTCTCTCCACCTCCCCTCCCACTGCTAGCTTCCAGTTCCCATCCTAAGTACCACACTATCTTATTTAGTATTCTTCCCTTTGTTCTACTCTGTGCTTCTAGTTTAAATATGATAGAATTATGTGAGATTAATCATATTTGTAACATCAGGTGCCACAAAAAAGAGAAAAGAAACAAAAATCCTTATTTGTAAACAGCTTTTGCATTCTGTGGGTTCCTCATGGTTTTACTAAACACTTCATTGCTTCATGTTTAGAATTCGCTTGACTTCATTTAGAATTCATTGCTTTATATAATAAGGTGCTATATAAAAGATACAATTAGACATTTTTCCCATTACTAATTTCACTGTTTAAAGAGAGATAAAACACATGGAAGGATGTGAGTTTATGGACATCGTCAGGACAGACTCTGCACCCACTTCCTCATTGATTGGAGTTTCTGATTAAGAATCATAAAAGTTCTACATCTTTTTTTTTTTTTTTTTTTTTGAGACAGAGTTTCGCACTTGTTGCCCAGGCTGGAGTGCAATGGCATGATCTCGGCTCACAGCAACCTCCGCCTCCCGGGTTCAAGCCATACTCCTGCCTCAGCCTCCGGAGTAGCTGGGATTACAGGCATGCGCCACCACGCCTGGCTAATTTTGTATTTTAGTATACACGGGGTTTCTCCATGTTGGTCAGGCTGGTCTCGAACTCTAGACCTCAGGTGATCTGCCTGCCTCGGCTTCCCAAAGTGCTGGGATTACAGGCGTGAGCCACGATGCCCGGCCGGAGTACTACGTCCTAAGAAAGTCCTGGAAAGGTCTCTAATTGCTGTGAGGACTCAATAAGTTCATGAGAAAATGAGAAAGTCTCTAGTGTACAGTTCCATCTTGGGTACTTTGCTTATTTTTATGCAATAATTACATTATAGTCTCATTTTAACTATTATTGAATTAAGTCAAGATAAGAAGGAAATCTAAATATGAAACTGGGACTCAGAAAATACCACCTGTTCTTCTAGGCAATGGAGCAGAGCAGTAAACAAAATGGACAAAAATCTCTTTGCTCTCATAGAGTTAGCATTCTAGTGAAAAAATACTAATTGGATGGACTTTATAATATAAATGGAAGCAGGTGACTGATGTTATTATATCTGCTTTTGCAATGAGAAAACATGCTAGGTCAGTTTGTGCATAGTCTTCTAAAGACATGTAGTCCATCGCTATCACGAGGACTCAACAGCTAATGTAAATGATTTGGAATAAATGTTTTTATAAGACCTGTACATCATGTCACATAATTCAATTGCAAAAGATGTGGGAGACGTCAGTCAAGGACAAATGGTATACATTTATGCCAGTTTTATTTTATCCTATAGGTTTGGTCCAAGTGACTGCTCATGAACATATGGGATCTGGCTAAAGAATTGTTATTTTCTATAAATGTTCAATATCAAAGTACACAATTTGAAGTTTTTTTCTAAATCTTTTTACTTCTGCCTTACACAGTCCTGAAGGAAGAATGGTGTCTTTCTTGGGTGCCTATCCACCTGATGAGACATGGTGCAATGGAAAAAATACAGTCTTAAAAACCAAGGCCGAGAGCGGTGGCTCATGCCTGTAATCCTAGCACTCTGGGAGGCTTAGGAGGGCGGATCACCTGAGGTCAGGAGTTCGAGACCAGCCTGGCCAACATGGTGAAATCCCATCTCTATTAAAAATACAAAATTAGCCAGGCATGGTGGCTCGCGCCTGTAATCCCAACTACTCAGGAGGCTGAGGTGGAGAATCGCTTCAACCCAGGAGGCAGAGGTTTCAGTGAGCCGAGATCCCGCCACTGCACTCCAGCCTGGGTGACAGAGCGAGACTCCGTCAAAAAAAAAAAAAAAAAAAAAAAAAGAAGAAAGAAAGAAAGAAAAAATCAAAAGATGGAAGTTCTAGCCCTGGTGTTTTTCACAAACTAAGTAAACTTGTACTATTTCTCCTATCTGGACCTCAATTTCTGCACATATACAATGAAGGGCTTGGCAGATTGTCCCTAATAGCCCTTTCCACTAATATATTTCATGATTCTATGACTTGATGAGTAAGGGTCGTATAGAAGATCCTTCCTTGATCACAAATATAAAGTTTAATTTCTCACTTCAAATCATATTTTTTTCTTGGAATTAATTTAACCACTTTCTTCAAAGCCAAAAAGACATATAGGCAATTTAGAAGAGCTATTTCATTTGATTGACAAAATTTCAAGTAAAAGAAAACAATTTTAAAAAATAACAAATCAATAGTATTTTATTTTATTTTATTACGTTCCAGGGTACACGTACAGGACGTGCAGGTTTCTTTTTTTAATTTTAATTTTTTATTTTTTTGAGATGGAGTTTTACTCTTGTCACCCAGGCTGGAGTGCAATGGCGGGATCTCGGCTCACTGCAACCTCCGCCTCCCAGTTTCAAGCAATTCTCCTGCCTCAGCCTCCCAAGTATCTGGGATTACAGGCATGAGCCACCACGCCCAGCTAATTTTTTCTATTTTTAGTAGAGACAGGGTTTCTCCATGTTGGTCAGGCTGATCTCGAACTCCCGACCTCAGGTGATCCACCCGCCTCAGCCTCCCAAAGTACTGGGATTACAGGCGTGAGCCACCGTGCCTGGCTCAACATGCAGGTTTATTACATAGGTAAATGTGTACCATGGTGGTTTGCTGCACCTCTCAACCTATCACCTGGGTATTAAGCCCTGCATGCATTAGCTATTTGTCCTGATGCTCTTCCTCCCCCAACCCCTTTGAGAGGCACCAGTGTGTTGTTCCCCTCCCTGTGTCCATGTGTTCTCAATGTTCACCTCCCACTCATGAATGAGAACACGCAGTGTTTGGTTTTCTGTTCCCTTGTTAGTTTGCTGAGGATGATGTCTTCCAGCTTCATCCATGTCCCTGCAAAGGACATGATCTCATTCCTTTTTATGGCTGCATAGTATTCCATGGTGCATAGGTACCACATTTTATTTATCCAGTCTATCATTGATGGGCATTTGGATTGATTCCATGTCTTTGCTATTGTGAATATTGCTGCAATAAACATGCATATGCATGTTTTTTTTTTTTTTTGAGACAGAGTTTCACTCTTGTTGCCCAGGCTGGAGTGCAATGGCACAATCTCGGCTCACTGAAACCTCTGCCTCCCGGGTTCAAGCGATTCTCCTGCCTCAGCCTCCCGAGTAGCTGGGATTACAGTCATGTGCCACCATACCAGCTAATTTTTTTGTATTTTTAGTAGAGATGGGGTTTCACCATGTTAGTCAGGCTTGTCTCAAACTCCTGACCTCAGGTGATCTACCTGCCTTGGCCTCCCAAAGTGCTGGGATTACAGATGTGAGCCACCATGCCCAGCCCACATGTATCTTTATAAGAGAATGGTTTATATACCTTTGGGCATATACCCACTAATGGGATTGCTGGGTCAAATGGTATTCCTGGTTCTAGATCCTTGAAGAATTGCCACACTGTCTTCCACAATGGTTGTACTAATTTACATTCCCAGCAACAGTGTAAAAGTGTTCCTATTTCTCCACAGCCTCGCCAGCATCTGTTGTTTCTTGACACAATAGAGATTTCAGAAATAAGACCACACATCTACAACCACCTGATCTTCCACAAACCTGACAAAAACAAGCAATGGGGAAAATATTTCCTACTTAATAAATGGTACTGGGAAAACTGGCTAGCCATATGCAGAAAACTGAAACTGGACCCCTGCTTTACCGAAATTAACTCAAGATGTATTAAAGACGTAAATGTAAAACCCAAAACCATAAAAACGCTAGGCAATACCATTCAGGACATAGGCATGGGCAAAGATTTTATGATGAAATTGCCTAAAGCGGGCCGAATAGGAACAGCTCCAGTCTACAGCTCCCAGCGTGAGCAACGCAGAAGACGAGTGATTTCTGCATTTCCATCTGAGGTACTGGGTTCATCTCACTAGGGAGTGCCAGACAGTGGGTGCAGGACAGTGGGTGCAGCGCACCGTGCACCAGCCGAAGCAGGGTGAGGCATTGCCTCACTCGGGAAGAGCAAGGGATCAGGGAGTTCCCTTTCATGGTCAAGGAAAGGGGTGACAGACGGCACCTGGAAAATCGGGCCACTCCCACTCAAATACTGCGATTTTCCGACGGGCTTAAGAAATGGCGCACCAGGAGATTATATCCTGCACCTGGCTCGGAGGGTCATACGCCCATGGAGTCTCGCTGATTGCTAGCACAGCAGTCTGAAATCAAACTGCAAGGCGGCAGCGAGGCTAGGGGAGGGGCACCTGCCATCGCCCAGGCTCACTTAGGTAAACAAAGCAGCCCGGAAGCTCGAACTGGGTGGAGCCCACCACAGCTCAAGGAGGCCTGCCTGCCTCTGTAGGCTCCACCTCTGGGGGCAGGGCACAGACAAACAAAAAGACAGCAGTAACTTCTGCAGGCTTAAATGTCCCTATCTGACAGCTTTGAGGAGAGCAGTGGTTCTCCCAGCATGCAGCTGGAGATCTGAGAACGGGCAGACTGCCTCCTCAAGAGGGTCCCTGACCCCTGACCCCCGAGCAGCCTAACTGAGAGGCACCCCCCAGTAGGGGCAGACTGACACCTCACACAGCCGGGTACTCCTCTGAGAAAAAACTTCCAGAGGAACGATCAGACAGCAGCATTCGCGGATCACAAAAATCCGCGGTTCTGCAGACACCGCTGCTGATACCCAGGCAAACAGGGTCTGGAGTGGACCTCTAGCAAACTCCAACAGACCTGCAGCTGGGGGTCCTGTCTGTTAGAAGGAAAACTAACAAACAGAAAGGACATCCACACCAAAAACCCATCTGTACATCACCATCATCAAAGACCAAAAGTAGATAAAACCACAAAGATGGGGAAAAAACAGAGCAGAAAAACTGGAAACTCTAAAAAGCAGAGCGCCTCTCCTCCTCCAAAGGAACGCAGTTCCTCACCAGCAACGGAACAAAGCTGAACGGAGAATGACTTTGACGAATTGAGAGAAGAAGGCTTCAGACGATCAAACTACTCCGAGCTACAGGAGGAAATTCAAACCAAAGGCAAAGAAGTTGAAAACTATGAAAAAAATTTAGACGAATGTATAACTAGAATAACCAATACAGAGAAGTGTGTAAAGGAGCTGATGGAGCTGAAAACCAAGGCTCGAGAACTACATGAAGAATGCAGAAGCCTCAGGAGCCGATGCGATCAACTGGAAGAAAGGGTATTAGTGATGGAAGATGAAATGAATGAAATGAAGCGAGAAGGGAAGTTTAGAGAAAAAAGAATAAAAAGAAACAAACAAAGCCTCCAAGAAATATGGGACTATGTGAAAAGACCAAATCTACGTCTGATTGGTGTACCTGAAAGTGACGGGGAGAATGGAACCAAATTGGAAAACACTCTGCAGGATATTATCCAGGAGAACTTCCCCAATCTAGCAAGGCAGGCCAACATTCAGATTCAGGAAATACAGAGAATGCCACAAAGATACTCCTCGAGAAGAGCAACTCCAAGACACATAATTGTCAGATTCACCAAAGTTGAAATGAAGGAAAAAATGTTAAGGGCAGCCAGAGAGAAAAGTTGGGTTATCCACAAAGGGAAGCCCATCAGACTAACAGCTGATCTCTCGGCAGAAACTCTACAAGCCAGAAGAGAGTGGGGGCCAATATTCAACATTCTTAAAGAAAAGAATTTTCAACCCAGAATTTCATATCCAGCCAAACTAAGCTTCATAAGCGAAGGAGACATGAAATACTTTACAGACAAGCAAATGCTGAGAGATTTTGTCACCACCAGGCCTGCCCTAAAAGAGGTCCTGAAGGAAGCACTAAATATGGAAAGGAACAACCGGTACCAGCCGCTGCAAAATCATGCCAAAATGTAAAGACCATCGAGACTAGGAAGAAACTGCATCAACTAACGAGCAAAATAACCAGCTAACATCATAATGACAGGATCAAATTCACACATAACAATATTAACTTTAAATGTAAATGGACTAAATGCTCCAATTAAAAGACACAGACTGGCAAATTGGATAAAGAGTCAAGACCCATCAGTGTGCTGTATTCAGGAAACCCATCTCACGTGCAGAGACACACATAGGCTCAAAATAAAAGGATGGAGGAAGATCTACCAAGCAAATGGAAAACAAAAAAAGGCAGGGGTTGCAATCCTAGTCTCTGATAAAACAGACTTTAAACCAACAAAGATCAAAAGAGACAAAGAAGGCCATTACATAATGGTAAAGGGATCAATTCAACAAGAAGAGCTAACTATTCTAAATATATATGCACCCAATACAGGAGCACCTGGATTCATAAAGCAAGTCCTGAGTGACCTACAAAGAGACTTAGACTCCCACACAATAATAATGGGAGACTTTAATACCCCACTGTCAACATTAGACAGATCAACGAGACAGAAAGTCAACAAGGATACCCAGAAATTGAACTCAGCTCTGCACCAAGTGGACCTAATAGACATCTACAGAACTCTCCACCCCAAATCAACAGAATATACATTTTTTTCAGCACCACACCACACCTATTCCAAAATTGACCACATAGTTGGAAGTAAAGCTCTCCTCAGCAAATGTGAAAGAACAGAAATCATAACAAACTGTCTCTCAGACCACAGTGCAATCAAACTAGAACTCAGGATTAAGAAACTCACTCAAAACTGCTCAAATACATGGAAACTGAACAACCTGCTCCTGAATGACTACTGGGTACATAACGAAATGAAGGCAGAAATAAAGATGTTCTTTGAAACCAACGAGAACAAAGACACAACATACCAGAATCTCTGGGACACATTCAAAGCAGTGTGTAGAGGGAAATTTATAGCACTAAATGCCCACAAGAGAAAGCAGGAAAGATCCAAAATTGACACCCTAACATCACAATTAAAAGAACTAGAAAAGCAAGAGCAAACACATTCAAAAGCTAGCAGAAGGCAAGAAATAACTAAAATCAGAGCAGAACTGAAGGAAATAGAGACACAAAAAACCCTTCAAAAAGTTAATGAATCCAGGAGCTGGTTTTTTGAAAAGATCAACAAAATTGATAGACCACTAGCAAGACTAATAAAGAAAAAAAGAGAGAAGAATCAAATAGACACAATAAAAAATGATAAAGGGGATATCACCACCGATCCCAAAGAAATACAAACTACCATCAGAGAATACTACAAACACCTCTATGCAAATAAACTAGAAAATCTAGAAGAAATGGATGAATTCCTCAACACATACACTCTCCCAAGACTAAACCAGGAAGAAGTTGAATCTCTGAATAGACCAATAACAGGATCTGAAATTGTGGCAATAATCAATAGCTTACCAACCAAAAAGAGTCCAGGACCAGATGGATTCACAGCCGAATTCTACCAGAGGTACAAGAAGGAACTGGTACTATTCCTTCTGAAACTATTCCAATCAATGGAAAAAGAGGGAATCCTCCCTAACTCTTTTTATGAGGCCAGCATCATCCTGATACCAAAGCCGGGCAGAGACACAACCAAAAAAGAGAATTTTAGACCAATATCCTTGATGAACATTGATGCAAAAATCCTCAATAAAATAGTGGCAAACCGAATCCAGCAGCACATCAAAAAGCTTATCCACCATGATCAAGTGGGCTTCATCCCTGGGATGCAAGGCTGGTTCAATATACGCAAATCAATAAATGTAATCCAGCATATAAACAGAACCAAAGACAATAACCACATGATTACCTCAATAGATGCAGAAAAGGCCTTTGACAAAATTCAACAACCCTTCATGCTAAAATCTCTCAATAAATTAGGTATTGATGGGACGTATCTCAAAATAATAAGAGCTATCTATGACAAACCCACAGCCAATATCATACTGAATGGGCAAAAACTGGAAGCATTCCCTTTGAAAACTGGCACAAGACAGGGATGCCCTCTCTCACCACTCCTATTCAACTTAGTGTTGGAAGTTCTGGCCAGGGCAATTAGGCAGGAGAAGGAAATAAAGGGTATTCAATTAGGAAAAGAGGAAGTCAAATTGTCCCTGTTTGCAGACGACATGATTGTATATCTAGAAAACCCCATCATCTCAGCCCAAAATCTCCTTAAGCTGATAAGCAACTTCAGCAAAGTCTCAGGATACAAAATCAATGTACAAAAATCACAAGCATTCTTATACACCAATTACAGACAAACAGAGAGCCAAATCATGAGTGAACACCCATTCACAATTGCTTCAAAGAGAATAAAATACTTAGGAATCCAACTTACAAGGGACTTGAAGGACCTCTTCAAGGAGAACTACAAACCACTGCTCAATGAAATAAAAGAGGATACAAACAAATGGAAGAACATTCCATGCTCATGGGTAGGAAGAATCAATATCATGAAAATGGCCATACTGCCCAAGGTAATTTATAGATTCAATGCCATCCCCATCAAGATACCAATGACTTTCTTCAGAGAATTGGAAAAAACTACTTTAAAGTTCATATGGAACCAAAAAAGAGCCCGCATCGCCAAGTCAATCCTAAGCCAAAAGAACAAAGCCGGAGGCATCACACTACCTGACTTCAAACTATACTACAAGGCTACAGTAACCAAAGCAGCATGGTACTGGTACCAAAACAGAGATATAGATCAATGGAACAGAACAGAGCCCTCAGAAATAACGCTGCATATCTACAACTATCTGATCTTTGACAAACCTGAGAAAAACAAACAATGGGGAAAGGATTCCCTATTTAATAAATGGTGCAGTGAAAACTGGCTAGCCATATGTAGAAAGCTGAAACTGGATCCCTTCCTTACACCTTATACAAAAATTAATTCAAGATGGATTAAAGACTTAAACGTTAGACCTAAAACCATAAAAACCCTAGAAGAAAACCTAGGCATTACCATTCAGGACATAGGCATGAGCAAGGACTTCATGTCTAAAACACCAAAAGCAATGGCAACAAAAGACGAAATTGACAAATGGGGTCTAATTAAACTAAAGAACTTCTGCACAGCAAAACAAACTACCATCAGAGTGAACAGGCAACCTACAGAATGGGAGAAAATTTTCGCAACCTACTCATCTGACAAAGGGCTAATATCCAGAATCTACAATGAACTCAAACAAATTTACAAGAAAAAAACAAACAACCCCATCAAAAAGTGGGCAAAGGATATGAACAGACACTTCTCAAAAGAAGACATTTATGCAGCCAAAAGACACATGAAAAAATGCTCACCATCACTGGCCATCAGAGAAATGCAAATCAAAACCACAATGAGATACCATCTCACACCAGTTAGAATGGCAATCATTAAAAAGTCAGGAAACAACAGGTGCTGGAGAGGATGTGGAGAAATAAGAACACTTTTACACTGTTGGTGGGACTGTAAATTAGTTCAACCATTGTGGAAGTCAGTGTGGCGATTCTTCAGGGACCTAGAACTAGAAATACCATTTGACCCAGCCATCCTATTACTGGGTATATACCCAAAAGACTATAAATCATGCTGCTATAAAGACACATGCATACGTATGTTTATTGTGGCACTATTCACAATAGCAAAGACTTGGAACCAACCCCAACGTCCAACAACGATAGACTGGATTAAGAAAATGTGGCACATATACACCATGGAATACTATGCAGCCATAAAAAATGATGAGTTCATGTCCTTTGTAGGGACATGGATGAAATTGGAAATCATCATTCTCAGTAAACTATCTCAAGGACAAAAAACCAAACACCGCATGTTCTCACTCATAGATGGGAATTGAACAATGAGAACACATGGACACAGGAAGGGGAACATCACACTCTGGGGACTGTTTTGGGGTGGGGGGAGGGGGGAGGGATAGCATTAGGAGATATACCTAATGCTAAATGACGAGTTAATGGGTGCAGCACACCAGCATGGCACATGTATACATATGTAACTAACCTGCACATTGTGCACATGTACCCTAAAACTTAAAGTATAATAATAATAATAAAGGAGTTGCCTAAAGCAATTGCAACAAAAGCAAAAATTGACAAATAGGATTTAATTAAACTAAAGAGCTTCTGCACAGCAAAAGAAACATCAGGCTAGGCGAGGTGGCTCACGTCTGTAATCTCAGCACTTTGGGTGGCTGAGGTGGGTGGATCACTGAGGCCAGGAGTTTGAGACCGGCCTGGCCAACATGGTGAAACCGCATCTCTACTAAAAATACAAAAAATTTGCTGGTCGTGGTGGTGCACACCTGTATCCCAGCTACTCAGGAGGCTGAGGCAGGAGAATCGCTTGAACCTGGGAGGCAGAGGTTGCAGTGAGCCAAGATCGCACCACTGCACCCCATCCTGGGAGACAGAGTGTGACTCTGTCTCAAAAAAAAAAAAAAAAAGAAAGAAAAAGAAAAGAAAAGAAACTATCATCAGAGCAAACAGGCAACCTATAGCATGGCAGAAAATTTTTACAATCTACCCATCTGACTAAGGTCTAATATCCAGAATCTACAAGCAACTTAAACACATCTGACAAAGATCTAATATCTAGAATCTTCAAGGAACTTAAAGAAATTTACAAGAAAAAAACAAACAATCCCATCAAAAAGTGGGCAAAGGACACGAACAGACACGTCTCAAAAGAAGACATTTATCCGGACAATAAACATATGAAAAAAGCTCAATATCACTTATCATTAGAGAAATGCAAATCAAAACCATGATAAGATACCATCTCACACCACCCAGAATGGCGATTATTAAAAAGTCAAATCAGGAATTTCATGTATAAGGTGGGAGTTCATTTCTAATCACTGTTCCACTCATATGTTTGCAAACTTTAACATAGAAGACTTTTTTGAGTTTAGTGGAAAGGAGTCAATGATGCAGTGTGTCGAAAATGGTTATCCATTTGCTTTCACATCAAACTATTTTGGGAAGATTAATAATGAATAATAATCACCTGTTCATGGCACTTTGCCTTCATTCGCAATATATCGCTTATTGAGTGACGCCAATGTCTGTAGCAATGTGCTAAGCTCCTCACAAACCTCAAGTCACTTATAGCACTGAGATTTAGGTATTATTGTGCCTATATTTGCAAATGAGTAAACTGAGAAACAAGTAAGTTGATAAAGGTGACGTATATAATAAGTGGCAGAGCCTGGATTCAAGCCTAGGCCTCTCTGATTGCAAATGTCTAGTGCTTTTATGTATATACTATACTACTTCATTTGATACCCACACCAATCATGTAAGATAGGTAAGGCATTATAAACCTCACTTTATTGATGAGAAAACAAAATCTAAGGGTTTATGTGACTGACTTACTTTGAAACACAATGCTAGTAAGTAGTGGAGCAGGGACTGGAGCCTGATGACCAATATCTAACCGAGTATAAGATTATATTAAGCAAAGGCCAGGCATGGTGGCTCAAGCCTGTAATCCCAGCACTTTGGGAGGCCGAGGCGGGTGGATCACTAGGTCAGGAGTTCAAGACCAGCGTGGTCAAGATGGTGAAACCCCGTCTCTACTAAAACTACAAAAAAAAAAAAAAAAAAAAAATTAGCCAGGCATGGTGGCATGTGCCTGTAATCCCAGCTACTTGGGAGGCTGAGGCAGGAGAATAACTTGAACTTGGGCAGCAGAGGTTGTAGTGAGCCGAGATCGCACCACTGCATTCCAGCCTGGGTGACAATATGAGCCTCTGTCTCAAAAAAAAAAAAAAAAAGATTATATTAAGCAAACATTTGTGAGACCAATTTAAATATTGTGCCTATTCATGATATCAGTTATGTGACCATTTTAGGTTTTGGAGCAGTAGTTACGAAAAAATAGATTTAGGCTTAAACGTAATTGATAGAAGACATAAAAACAATGTGTGTTATAACCATTCTATCAACCAAGAAGTTTTCATGGAACATCTACTTTATGCACAGCATTCTTCTACGATCCATGTGAGCATAGAAAAATATATAACAGGCCAGGTGCGGTGGCTCACACCTGTAATCCCAGCACTTTGGGAGGCTGAGGCGGGCAGATCATGAGGTCAGGAGTTTAAGACCAGCCTGATCAACATGGTGAAAACCCGTCTCTACTAAAAATACAAAAATTAGCAAGTTGTGGTGGTGCACACCTGTAATGCCAGCTACTCAGGAGGCTGAGGCAGGAGAATCACTTGAACCTGGGAGGTGGAGGTTGCAGTGAGCCAAAATTGTGCCACTGCACTCCAGCCTGGGTGACAGAGTGAGACCCGTCTATTTAAAAAAAAAAAAAAAAAAAGAATGTTCAATATGAGCTGGAAAGGACTGTATGAATGGAGACTTGAGTTTGGCTCTCAAGGCAAGTAGGCATTGGTTAGATTGGCTAAGTTGCAGGAGCAAATTTAGAGGTAGGAATGAGCTAGAGGTTGCTGGGGACAGTGACTAGGTAATGGGTGGAAAAAGGGTTTCATTTTAAGTGCCAACTCTAGTCATTTTTTGGTGTTGTCTGGAGCACCATATTGGGAAGTATTCAGAGACTCAGCAGATAAGTGTCATATGAATGATTATTAATGTCTATTATGATTGTGGGAGGGAGGTAATAAGAACATGAGGTCAGCCTTTTGCCATCCTGGCCCAGAACAAACTGGCGAGGGCAGAGAGTTTTCTTGGCAGTACAGCAGGAGATAATGTTGAAAGGAAAGGTTGGGAGTAGATTGTGGATGCTCTAGGAATGCTGTGCTTACTAGCTACGTGTGCTTATTTAAACACTTGAAATGTGGCTGCCCCAAATTGAGATGGACTGTGAGTGTGAAATACACACTGGATTTCTAAGACTTTATCTCCTCCACAAAAAATATAAAATATCTTATTAATAATTTTTATATTGATTATATGTGAAACTAGTAATATTTTGTCTATAGATTAATTCATAAATTAGGGATTTTTAAATATAAACTACGGTTGTGTAAAATGTTAACATGTGGGAAAACTGGGTGAAGGGCGTATGAAAACTCTGTGAACTACTTTTGTAACTTTTTTGTAAGTCAGCCATTATTTCAAAATAAAATGTTAAAAAATATTAACTCATCACTCCTAAAACTTTGTGATTTCTCCATTTCTGTCAGGGAGACCAAAATTCTCTCAATCTTTCAGGTGAGAAATCATGAAACAGAGATTCTACTTTCTTCACCACCCTCTATATCCAGAAAATAACAAAGACCTGTTGGTACTTCCATCTAAATGTCTCTTGTATTATATCTTTTGTCTCCAGCCCCATAGCCATGACCCTAGTCCAGAACATCCCTCCTGGACTTTTGTAATGTGTTGTTCCTCCTGGCCACCTTCCAGGCCATAGCCAGACTAAATTCCCCCCAAAAACAATCTCACATTCCTACTCAAGGACCTACAATGGCTTCTGAGGATGAAGTACAAACTCCTTAGCTTGGATTTCTAGACCAGCTCTGTATATATATAGTTTAAAATTTTCTAACAGCCATATTTTAAATAGTAAAATGAAACAGATGAAATTAATGTTAACAATATATTTTACATTCTTTTTAAAATGCTATGTTTCCAAAATCTGGTGTGTATTTTGCATTTAGAGCATATCTCAATTTGGACTATCCACATTTCAAATGTTCAATAGCCACACACAGCTAGTGACCACTGCATTTTGGACAGTGTAGGGTTTTGGTCCAGAGTAAGAATCCACATTGCATTTGGTTGTCATGTCTCGTTAGTCTCCAATCTGGAACAGATAAATTTACTTCTGAATTAACTGAGGTATTGAGTCTTGGTGCTTAGAGGTAGTTACAGATAAGATCTTGAAGTGCAGGTAAGACTGGTCTGAAACTCTTGGGGTCAAGTGATCCTCCCGCCTCAGCCTCCAGTGTAACTGTGATTACAAGTGCCAGGCCCAGCTAGCGACTGAATTTAACATTAATAAAATCAGACTTTTTTTCACTTGAAATAATGTTTTAAAAGAGTTGAGAGAAATGAACAAATTTGTGGTTACAAATATTTTCTCCACTACTTCTCTGCCCTTTTTTGTCACTTTCACCATTCCCTCCTTTCTTCTGTCTGCTGGGTCCCCTCCCTTCCTTTTGGCTTTAGGTTGACTATTGGACAATTTGTTCGAAATTTATTAAGCACCTACTATTGATTATCTAGTTTATTCTTTAGTTCTTTAGTAATGATTATAACAGTGAACAAAGTATCCTTTTTTGTTCTTTTGACAGAGTCTCACTCTGTCTCCTAGGCTTGGCACAATCTTGACTGACTGCAACATCTGCCTCCCGGGTTCAAGTGATTCTCCTGCCTCAGCCTCCCAAGTAGCTGGGACTACAAGAATGCACCACCACGCCCGGCTAAGTTTTGTATTTTTGGTAGAGATGGGGTTTCACCATGTTGCCCAGGCTGGTCTCGAACTCCTGAGCTCAGGTGACCCTCCCACCTCAGCATCCCAAAGTGCTGGGATTACAGGTGAGAGTCACTGAACTCAGCCCAAAATATTTTAATTCTCCCATATTTTAGTTAAATGTTTACTAGGAAATTAAATCAAGATATATGAATGTTTTGGTTTATGCAAACTCAATGAACGATATTGCTATCATTTGATTTATATTTGTATTACAAGGATTTATAGAAAGTACTGTTGAGATTCTTAAATACCCATATTTATCTTACCTGAATTATACATAACTGTAAGTGTGTTAAAACACCTCAAGCACTAGAATTAATTTAAATATCAGATTCTAATTGACAGGAACGATTTAGTGAAATTTCTTTATACTGCTTTTTCCCCCCCCAGGGGAAGAAGTTTGACTTTATTCTGACCTTTATTTACCCTTGTTTCTTTAAAAAAAAAAAAGTTTAATGAGAAAGACTTGGTGTCAGTTAACAAAAAAATGACTTCAGATTTACATTCTTTTACCAATGGAATAAATGAACAAAGTTTGCAATTGAAAAGGCAGTTTACACCTTTTGTTGTTTGGGTTCATAGAAATCCTATTATGCTTCATACATAGCTCTGAAGAATGTGCAAACAAGTATTAGATCAATGACATTTCTTTGTAATTTCTTTTATCAACATATTTAAAACTGAATATTCAAACCTTCATTCATATTTTAGATGCCTGTCTCATCAGTACACTTATACCTGAGTATATTTCATTGCTATAGAATATTTTTCCCGCTAAGATCCTAAATGAATTGAAAGATCCTAAATAGTAGAAGGTCAACAGTGTTCTGCCAAGGTGTTTGCAATTAAGCAGCCACTCCACTCACTGGTGGCTTTGAAATTAGTGTTTGAAATTATTGTGTGTTATCTACCATCAATGATGATAGCATTCAAAGGAATTCATAGAAAGATATTCCACAAAAGCAGTTTATTTTAGTTTGGGGAGTAAAAACACATGAAAGAGCTTTATCGAATGTGATCAGATCGCGTGAAAATAAAGTTGAGTTTCCAAAAATTTTCATAATCTAGAGGAAAGGTTTCTCCCAGACCTCTGAAATATATACTTACTTTCTGCCTAACTTCTCTTTCATTAGTCTTTTTGATTCTGAGGAAATGCCCTGAATATGTATTGACAGTTCATCCTTGACCATTTTAACCACAATCTTTCATGGTGTAGAAATCCTAGAACACACTTTTACAAGTAGGTCTAAGACAATCAATCTGTTTAGAAGCTTGATCCCAAAATTTGTACAGATAAGGCATTTTAGACAAAATTATAGAATATTTTAAACTAAGCACTAGGTGACAATATATGTTAATTTTTTTAAAGTTTCCTCTTTGAGTATAAACCGTATATATTATATATTAAATTAGACCAAAGTTGTGTAAACCTTAGGTTTTATTACAGTTCTTTTGCATTTCAAATTGATGTTTTCCTTTGAAATAGAAAACAAACTTCTGAGAAGTTTTCTAACAGACGTTTCTATTTTTCTCAACTCTAAAATTCCAGATTAATAAACTCTACTACTAATTGTAGTATATTTTATTGTGCAAAATGCAGTATAAACACATGATGTAAAGTAACAAAAAGCATAAGGCAACTTTAAAATATTTTTAAGGTAGTTATCGTTGGGTAAGAACAGGTGCTTTAAAGTCACATTAGCTTTCTCAGGAGTAAATACGTAAATAAAATATTGAGTTAGTTGATGAATAAACTGAATTGAAAAAAGCTAAGATAAAATATATAAAATATATGTTTAAGTATTGCCGATAGGGTTATTTTAGTTAGAATGATTATACACATTCAATGTGAAACGATAAAATTATATTGCAACATAATTACATTTAACTATTTGTAGTTTTTTAACTCTGGGAAAGAAATTGCATTCCCAGCTGTTTCTCAACTCCTGTAATTTAAATAAGTAAACCTTTTGTTCTTGAAACTTACTTAGTTCCTTCTAATTCTGTTGATGGACATCCATTTCTACTGCCTTATTTTATGTTAATATCTAACAAAAGAATGCTGTTAGCCTCCTGCCAGTAAAAGCCCACCTCCTTTGTTGGAAGGGTAGAGAGGAGGGAGATTCTTTTTTAGCCTTTTACTTTACAGAAGACTTAAAACTTCCTCTCTCCACATCTAGTCAAGAAGAGCATTTCTACTTGAGCTAAAAATTCCTAGGAAAAGGCTATAGCCCCCAAGTGTGGAAGGTGGTTCTTAGCTGTCAATTCCCTTTTGTTATTCGCTCAAATGGAATTATGAAATGTTCGTGGCTTTGTAGGGCAGAACACATTTCTCCCGAGCAAATGCAAATGCATTAGGTGTGCCCAGGTAATTTGAAGTGCTCATGCTGGCAGCTTTTCTGCATGAGTAAAGCTGTTTAATTAATGCATTTTCCCCTTCCTTCTGATTAGTTGATTCTGATTTTCTTTGAATAAATTAAACTCTCTGTAATATGCTTCCTATAGCTTCTTGGGCTATCCAAGCCCTGATACCTCCCACCAGGAGGGCAGATGCAAAGAAATGAAATGATTCCTCTGCATATTTCTCACAGAGATTTTTCTCCTGTACAAAAGACTGATTTTCCTTGTAATATAGCTCAGGCGAGTGATGTGTTTAAAGAAGATCTTTGAGTTTCTGTTGATGTTGCTCATTGGTAATTGTCCTTCCAACTTGAATTATGGAAATGAGTATTGGATCCATTTAGTTTTGCTTTATTGAGATTTGGGGAGTAAACATTCAGCGAGGTTGGACAGAAGTGGCATAAACACCTTCCCTAATAATAGTGCTCATGTTAACTGCCACTGCTTACTACAAGTGCCAGCATCTACAGATGGCATGGGAAGTTAACATTTTTCCCAGGGTTTCTAAAGGAAACCTTTGATTTGTGAAAAGAATTTCTTTGCATCAAAAAGGCAGAGTAGTGTAGTAGAAAGAAGGCTGGGATTGGAGTCAGGAAGAACTGTGTTTAAGCTCTAACTTTGCCACTAGCCAGTTTCTGTAAAGTCAAGATCTTGTAGCAGTCTCTTAAGTGGGAACCTTCCAGCCTGTATAGCCTCATTATTTTCACACACGAGGCATCTTAACAAGGGTTGAGATAAGGTCCCAAACTGTTGTCCCATTTTAAATTTTGGCTTCCAGACCAAAACAGAAATCCCTAAACATAATTTTCTTGTTCCTCTCCAACCTTCACAACCTGGTCTCATTCCACTTGGACACACTGCAGAGGTAATGCAATCATGTTCATGAGAAAATTATTATTATTATTATTATTATTATTATTATTATTATTATTATTTTTGAGACGGAGTCTCGCTCTGTCGCCCAGGCTGGAGTGCAGTGGCGCAATCTTGGCTCACTGCAAGCTCCGCCTCCCAGGTTCACGCCATTCTCCTGCCTCAGCCTCCCGAGTAGCTGGGACTACAGGCACCCGCCACCAAGCCCAGCTAATTTTTTGTATTTTTTAGTAGAGACGGGGTTTCACCATGTTAGCCAGGATGGTCTTGATCTCCTGACCTCGTGATCCACCTGCCTCGGCCTCCCAAAGTGCTGGGATTACAGGCGTGAGCCACCACGCCCGGCCGAGAAAATTATTATTATATTGTTTTGAGACAAGGTCTTGCTGTGTCATCCAGGCTGGAGTGCAGTGGCACAATCGTGACTCACTGCAGCCTCTAACTCCTGGCCTCAAATGATCCCTCCACCTCAACCTCCCAAATAACTGGAACTACAGGCGTGCACCACCATGTCCAGCTATTTTTGTTGTTGTTATTTTTTTTGTGGAGACAAGGTTTTTCTATGTTGCCCAGTCTGATCTTGAACCCCTGGCATCAAGCAATCCTCCTTTCTCAGCCTCCCAAAGTGTTGGGACTACAGATGTGAACTACCACACCCAGCCTCATGAGAACATTATTAATGAACATAATGACAATAGTCACAAGATCACTGCCATAGTTGGTATTTTGTAGCCCTTTCCTTTTAAACATTTGAGAGTTCTCAGCAGCATTTTTGATTGATTTTTATATATTTATGTATTTAACAGAGCTACGCTGACTTCATTTTTTTTTTTTTTTGAGACGGAATCTCGCTCTGTCACCCAGGCTGGAGTGCAGTAGCGTGATCTTGGCTCACTGCAACCTCTGCCTCCCGGGTTCAAGCAATTCTCCTGCCTCAGCCTCCTGAGTAGCTGGGATTAACAGGCACATGCCACCATGCCAGGCTAATTTTTGTATTTTTAGTAGAGATGGAGTTTTTCCATGTTGGCCAGGCGGGTCTCAAACTCCTGACCTCAGGTGATGCCACCTTGGCCTCCCAAAGTGCTGGGATTACAGGCGTGAGCCACCACGCCTAGTTGAGTTCAAACTTTTTAAGACTCTGGTCAATGAACATTTCTTGCTTCTGAGGCCCTTTCAGGGTTTCCTTCAGCTCAAAATACTCAGCATGCCAAGGCACCATATTTGGGATATCATGTTTTGAGCCCTGACAAAAACAAATGCCAATGCCACTCTTACAATAACCTTCTCTATTTTTTATTCATGTCTCACCTGTCTCCATTGTTCACTTAATAAACCCAGTACCTCTAGCTTAGGGCTAATTGACATGGCTGATCAGTAGAAATTGGTATAGAGCCCACTTAATACTCCAGAAGTGTTCTTAGAGAAGTTCTGTATGATTAAGAACTGGTCAAGAGGGGAACAATACTTTTACACTGATCATTATAATTACGTTAAAATCCTTCATGAATGGGTTTTCTTGACATCTCTTACTACTCAAAGTAGTTAATGAGCTAGATGTAGTAGTATTTAAAGTAGACTTGTTTGATTAAGTGGACAACCCACTCCTTAATGTATTTTTTTTTCTTTTTCTTTCTAAAAAATATAAAATGCAGGCCGGGCACAGTGGCTCATGCCTGTAATCCCTGCACTTTGGGAGACCGAGTCGGGTGGATCACCTGACATCAGGAATTCGAGACCAGCCTGACCAATATGGTGAAACCCCATCTGCACTAAAAATACAAAAATTAGCTGGGCATGGTGGTGGGTGCCTGTAATCCCAGCTACTTGGGAGGCTGAGGCAGGATATCAGTTGAATTGGGGAGACAGAGGTTGCAATGAACCAAGATTGTGCCACTGCACCCCAGCCTGGGAGACAGAGCCAGACTCTGTCTCAAAAAAAAAATTTATATATATATATATATATATATATATATAATGCTCCATGAATTTGTGTGTCATCCTTGACCAGGGACAATGCTAATCTCCGTATCATTCCAATTTTAGTATATGTGTTGCCAAAGTAAGCACTTAATATGTTATATATATATTTTTTTGACATGTGGATCCAGCTGTTTTGTTTTTACATTTTTCATTTTGAAGTAATTTCAAACTTACAGGAAAGTTGCAGGAAAAGTAAAAAGACCTCTTATATAGTTTTCACTCAGATTCCCCAATTATTTACATTTGCTTTATAATCTCTTTAAATATATATTTATATATAATATATGTAATTAATATTTCTATATATTATATATAATTAATATTTATATATATGTAATTAATATTTCTATATAGTATATATAATTAATATTTATATATACATAATGCATTCTCCTCTTCCTTCTGATTAGTTGATTCTAATTTTCTTTGAATAAATTAAACTCTGTAATATGTTTTTTAAAATAATTCTTTTTAAGTAAACATATTAGTATTTTTCTGAATTAATGGAAAGTTGCAGGCATGATGCTCGCTGCCCCTAAATATTTCAGTGTGTATTTTCTACAAGATAAGGGTACTTTCATACATAGTCACAGTACTGCCATCAAAATCAGGAAATTAACATTTATGCAATACCATCTAATCCACAGATCCCATTCGAATTTCACCAATGGTTCAATAATGTTCTTTATAGCAATCAATTAGTCAATAAATAAAATATATTTTTTAATCTGGTCCAGAATCCCTCCAGGATCATGTGTCACATTTAACTGTTTTGTTTCTTTAGTTTTCTTCAATCTGGAACTAGTTCCTCAGTTATTCCTTGTCTTCCATGACGTAGATATTTTTAGAGCACAGTTATTTTGTATAAAGTCTCTAGGTTTATATTCGTCTGATATTCCTTATGAGTAGATTCAGTAATGTATTTTTGGCAAGAATATCACAGAACTGAGATTGTGGTTTTGTCAATTTATCATATCAGGAGACACTTCGAGGTGTCCCATTACTGTTGATCTTAATTTTAATTGCTGGTTAAGTGGCATCTACCAGATTTTCCCACTGAAAAGTTTTTATTTTCCCTTTGTAATAAACAAGCATTTTGAGAGAAAATATATTGAGACTATGTAAATATCCTTTTCCAATGGCAATTTTCTAATACTATATTTTTGTACCTTTATTAGTCAGCATCCTACTGTATGGAAGAATTTTTCTTGCCTATCATCTGTCTGTCTGTCTATCTATCTATCTATCTATCTGTCTATCTATCTATCAAAACATAGTCCTATGAATTGCTATTTTATAAAATTGGTGCAGAAATAATGTTTTAGCAACTTTCTGGATATCTTTAATCTAGTCAAGTTGACACCTAAAATAAACCATCACAGACAATATATCCAACTGCCTAAAGAACAGTATAATAGTATAAAAATGTTTATGGAATGTTTTCTATTTTGCAAGCATTTTCTCCCTAATACTTCACATGTATTATCTCATTTCATTCCTCCCAACAGCTCTTTGAGATAGTTACTATTACTTTCTTGCTTTACAGCTCAGGATATTGAGGCAGAGAAGTTAAGCAACTTGCCCATGGTCACACAGTTGGTCTCACTGGCACCTTGATAACAGAGACTAGGCCTTTGACTACTACACTCTGCTGACAACTCGAGATATCCCAAACTTAATCATCTTCCCCTACAAGCCAGCACCCCTTCCAGTCTTCCAGATCTCAGAGAGAATGATGCTAGTAACCATCTAGTTATTCAAGTTGAAACCTAATTATCATACTTGATTCCTTTCTAGCCTTTCATGAGAACTTGTACTTCTCCCAGCATAGTACTTCCTATTTGCATTGTAATTGTTAATTTTCTTGTATCCTTCTTTAAATCCTTGAGAAAAGTGGTGGTGTGATGTTGATAGTTGTATCCATAGTACCTAATATCCAGATGCTAGTACCTAGCACAGGACCTGGCACACATTCAGTACCTATTTGTTGAATCGACGAATGAATGAATGAATTGGTAGAATTAAGCCTTTTATAAGTGAGCAGTTAGAATAGAAAAATGAAGTGACTTACTCAAAGTTATACAATCAGGAGTGGCATATTTACCATAAAGCAAATGAGGCTTAAGTTTCAGGGCCCATCACATAGATGGCCCCTCCCAAAGTCCTAGGATGGGCCTTTGGAATGTGTTCATTTTGTCTTGTTTTTGCAAAATTTGCAAATGGTTAAGGCCATTGTCTCTTTCATTTAGACTTCTTCATCACCCTCCTCCTTCTTGTTGAATGGCATCTGAGTGGCTGCAGGAATTTTGGGGATCAGGCTAAGGGGAATTTGAAATGGGGATACATTTAGCTAAAGTTTAGTGGAATATATCTATGTTATTTGCGGTCACCTAGGGGTATAATTATGTTATTGTTACCTGCCAAGGATAGGAATGGCTGGCAGAAATTCTCTACCACTCACTGTGCCATTTCACCTGGTACATGTCATGGAATTGCTGGCCTAGAGCTTATATCCTGATATGAATGTGTCCCTTGGTACTCATCATTGGAAGTATGTGAGTAATGGAGGAGAAACAAAGTTGAAATGTACAGAACCAGAAGCTGATCTGTGGAGAATTCTTCTCAATATTGCAGGTTATATATGAAAGATACTTGATAATGTTCTTCTTATTTTCATAAAGAATTACGTGATATTAATAATAAAGAACTTTGATGTTGAAAATACTTTTCTAAACTGTCATTAATAATAATAAAAATTTGATTAATGATGCTAGAGGAAAGATTGATTTATCTTTCTATTTTCTCTATGGAGATGTCTATTGTAAAATTATTGTTATAGGAAGAGATAATCTAAGAATATGCAGCTTAAAAAGAAAGAAAAATGAGCCCATCACGGTGGCACACACCTGTAAACACAGCACTTTGGGATGCCAAGGCGGGCAGGTCACTTGAGGCCAGGAGTACAAGACCAGCCTGGCCAACATGGTAAACATGGTAAAGCCCTGTCTCTTCAAAAAAATACAAAAATTAGCTGGGTACAGTGGTGCATGCCTGTAGTCCCAGCTACTTGAGAGGCTGAGGCAGGAGAACTGCTTGAGCCCAGGAGGCGGAGGTTTCAATGAGCTGAGATCACGCCACTGCACTCTACCCTGGGTTACAAGAGTAAAACTCTGTCTCAAAAAAGAAAAAGAAAAAGAAAAATGTTGTAGATATGTGTGAAGCAGTTAATTAATATAAATATTATGTGATTTTAATGGATTTTCTAATGTTTGTGGTATTTCAGCTTTTGAAAATATGTACTTTGTTGTGTTTTCTAAATTCTAGGTAAATATTCATTTTGTTACTGAATTCTGTTTTTACATTTTTGGTATCATTTTTCTTAGTGACAGCCCTACAAATTGCATATGATTTTTGGGAGGTGGGCTGGTCAATTACAAAAAACAACAAATTTAAAGGTTAAAACTACTGGAATTTTAGGCAGAATAAAAAGTCCAGGAAACCTGGATCCAATATGACAAGGCATGCAGTAAGTGCTCTATAAATGTTTGTTGAGTGAGTGAATGAATGAATGAGTAAAGAAAGAATCTTTTTAAATTTTATAAAATTTATATGAGATTTATATATGTTATTATTATTTGTTTAAAGACAGAGTCTCGCTCTGTTGCCCAGGCTGGAGTGCAGTTGCTCAATCTTGGCTCACTGCAACCTCTGGTCTCAAGCAATCCTCCTGCCTCAGCCACCCGAGTAGCTGGTATTACAGGCACGCACCACCAAACCCGGCTAATTTTTGTATTTTTAGTACAGATGGGGTTTTGCCATATTGTACAGGCTGGTCTCGAACTCTTGGCCTCAAGAGATCCATCTGCCTTTGCCTCCCAAAGTGCTGGGATTACAGGCGTGAGCCACCATGCCTGGCAAGAAAGCACCTTTTTACACAGGCTTCTTGGGCATGGAAGGCACTCGGGGAAATACCAGTTGGTTTGCATTTGGGTCAGGGTGGTGGAAACTAGGGGGAAAGAGGTTCCACCTGAGGTCTCTGATGAGTAGGGACCTGTGCTGAAGTAGAAGTTATCACCTCTTCTCCACCTTGTGAAGAGGCTGAGGACATGCCAGTTGGAGTTAGGTGGAAAGTGGTCAGTGGTTTGCAAGGACATGACAGGGAGGTAATCTATATTCTGGACTCATTCCCTCATCCCGGATATTTTCTCTACCTTTGGTAATGAGGTTTTTAGCAACAAAACGTGGGGCTGGCACATATCTCCCTTGTTATAGATGTATTACCTTATGACTCTTTCCAAATAGTAAATCGCATTAAAAGGACATGCATTTCTACTTACTTGTAGTCACAGCAGAGAAAAATAAAAGCCAAAAGTGTGTTACTCTAAGATCACAGAATCATGAAAAAAGATAGTGATAATTTGGAAAATGGAAATCATAAATCATTGGGTTTTTTTCTTTGTAATTAAACCACGCTTCTTTTTCTTTTCCTTTCTTTTTTTTTTTCCTTTGAGATGGAATCTCGCTCTGTCGCCCAGGCTGGAGTGCAGTGACGCGCTCTCAGCTCACTGCAACCTCTGCCTCCCAGATTCAAGCAATTCTCCTGCCTCAGCCTCTCGAATAGCCGGGATTACAGGCATGCGCCACCACGCCCGGCTAAGTATTTTTTTAGTAGAGATGGGGTTTCTGCATGTTGGTCAGGCTGGTCTCAAACTCCTGACCTCAGGTGATCCACCCGCTTCGGCCTCCCAAAGTGTGGGATTACAGGCATGAGCCACCGCGCCCGGCCCCAAAAGCCACCATGCCCGGCCCTAAACCACACTTCTTATAATATTGAGAACAAATCATAATTTGATTTGGGCTTTGATCTTTTCAAAGACAGTCATGTTTGCTTCTACTTTTTCACGTGGATTGTTTAAAGTCCTCAAGGGGAAAACAAACAAAAAAATAGGCAAAAATCTTGCATCTTTATTTTTAATCATTTTGTTTATTTTTCAAAGATTGATAAATGTAAAATGTAAAAGTACTCCACAAACACTCAGTCCCCAGATACGCTGAAAGAAAAGAGAATGTTGTTTTCCATGGTAGGTAAAGTAGAAGGTTTTACAGTATATGTTTCACTAACTTATTATGATTTTTGCATAAAATGAATCCACGTAATCATCACATTGTATTTTCCAATTTAATACTGAGTTATCAGTCACTGGGCATTTTTTAAATGGCAAAAATGCTTTATTGGAATAATTGGAATAAATATAATGAACACAGGTATCTCCCTTTTACATTCAAAATATAAGTAAAATATTCAGGACAATTTTGATAACAAGAAAACCACCCATAATCTCCACAACCTATTCATAATATTTTAAATTTTGGTTAGTATCATTGAAGACTACTTATGCATATGCATATTTTTCCACATGATTGCAACCATTAGGTAAATAATATCTATTTATTTATTTATTTATTTTTATTTTTATTGTTTTTTGAGATGGAGTCTTGCTCTGTCACCCAGGCTGGAGTGCAGTGGCATGATGTAGGCTCACTGCAAGCTCCGCCTCCCGGGATCACGCCATTCTCCTGCCTCAGCCTCCTGAGTAGCTGGGACTACAGGCGCCCACCACCACGCCCGGCTAATTATTTGTATTTTAGTAGAGACGGGGTTTCACTGTGTTAGACAGGATGGTCTCGATCTCCTGACCTTGTGATCTGCCCGCCTCGGCCTCCCAAAGTGCTGGGATTACAGGCGTGAGCCACTGCGCCTGGCCCGGTAAATAATATTTTATAGTCTGAATTTTTCTGTTGCATTCTGTCTTAAACATACGTGCTCCCATGTTTCTGCACAGTCTTCAAAATTATCATGTTAATGGCTGGATAACAACACAGTGAGCAGATGGTGCTCCTTTATTAAGCCATTCTCCTATGGTGGTGTGTGGTAGGTAATGCAAGCTATCATGATGGTATGTCCCCTTCTGGAAGGTGGAGGAGAGGAGGGTGGGAAAGAAAGAATGGAACATACTGAGAAAAATATTATTACTTTAAGATTTGAATCGATTTCCCCCTGTTATAAAAGTAGTACATGGTAATTATGGGAAAACCAGGTAATCCCAGGGTATATAAATTTTAAAAATTTAAAAAACCAACTATAATGTGTCTACTTGGTGGTCATTCTAACCCCAACAGTAAGTATAGCCGAATCTTGATGATTTCAAGAGCTAATAAACTTTTGGATCATCATTTAATACTGTTTCTCCAGATTTTTCCACATCTCAGCAAGTTTACATGCTGCAGGAGGGGAAAACAAAAATTATCTTGTCACTTTTTAGACATATTTCATTTGGACTGTAAACAGTGTCACCAGTCTTATCTTAGGTGTTTGGAATGGGGTTTGAATATTTCCCAAAATTAAACCATCCCAAAAGCATGATAATTGCTAGCTATTGAGATAAATTAAAACAAAAAACAAAAAACAAAACAAAACAAACAAAAAACAGAAAGCTGTAACAATTATTGGGGAGTAGAGTGGTTAATTCCAAAAGAAAAACCTTTTTAAAGGTTAAAATTACTGCAAGTATATATGGAATACGAGTGCAGCTTCGCAAGGGGACTCTGTTCAAGAGGACAGCTCTCTTAGATGGGTGGGTTGTGGTATATTTGCTAAATAGCTGCAGTTAGTTCCTTATGAGCAAAACTTATCCTTCAGCTTTTCAATGAAAGTACCCTTTTAAGGGTGGGTAGACAATTTTAGGAACTGTTGGCATTTTGGGTGGAACAATTATTCAATGTGTGGGGCTATCCTGCTCATTGCATGGTGTGATGGTTAATGTTGAGTGTCAGCGTGATCCGAATGAAGGATGCAAAGTATTGTTTCTGGGTGTGTCTGTTAGGGTGCTGCCAAAGGAGATTAACATTTGAGTCAGTGGATTGGGAGAGGCAAACCCACCCTCAATCTGGGTGGGCACAATCCCCTCCCCTGCCAGCGCGGCTAGAAAAAGCAGACAGTAGAAGGTGGAATGAGCAGACTTGCAAGTCTTCTGGCCTTCACCTTTCTCTTGTGGTGCTGGATCCTTCCTGCTCTCGAACATCGCACTCCATATTCTTCAGCTTTTGGACTCTTGGACTTACACCAGTGGTTTGCCAGGGGCTCTCGGGCCTTCAGCCACAGACTGAAGGCTTCACTTCCCTACTTTTGAGATTTTGGGACTCGGACTAGCTTCCTTGCTTCTCAGCTTGCAGACGGTCTATTGTGGCACATCATCTTGTGATTGTGTGAGTCAATACTTCTTAATAAACTCCCTTTCATATATACATCTATCCTATTAGTTCTGTGCCTTTAGAGAACCCTGACTAATATACATGGCATTTAGCACTGGCCCTGCCCACTAAATGTCCCTCCTTCTGACAAAAAAAAAAAAAATGCCTTATGTCCATTTCTACAAGGCCCTTGGGGTTAAAGTGGGATCAACTTTGGTTAAGGACCACAGATTTGGTTTCTAAAGTACTAGCCCCTACTTTAAGGAATGGGCTCAGGAATCATGATCACTAGGGTAGGAATCTGAAAATATATATTTTTTTCAATTAAAAACATTTTTTTAGAGATGAGGGTCCTGCTGTGTTATCCCTGCTGGCCTCAAACTCCTGGGCTCAAGTGATCCTCCCAAAAGCTTCCTGAATTGTTGGAATTTCAGGCATGAGCCACTGGGCCCAGCTGAAAATCTTTTTAGTAAGCTCTTCCAGTGATGCTAATGTAGCCAGTCCTCAGAGAGGCTTTGAGGAATCAGAGGCTTACAGCAATAAATGACTCCCTGCTCCCTCCCCAAAACCTCATTCATCCACCCTCTGCCCTCCTTCTCTATAATGCTCTAAAACCTCATCCTTGCTTTACAAAAAAAAAAAAAAAAATTTCCCCAGCTCCTGGAGAAAGGGGAAAGATTGTTTTGTTATATGCCCATCGGGGAGGGAACACTGTACATTCAACTTGCCAGTATAACACAGTGTTTATATTTCCACTTTCACAGATGAGAAAACTGAGGCTCAGAGTGGGCTGCTAATACTAATAGCCAGCTACTATGTACTATGTATCTGCATGTGCTTGATTCCTGACAACAGTTTTGTGAGATATGTACTCCTAATGTGTCCGTTTTACAGATGAGAAAACTGAGACTCGAAGAGTCTTGCAGAAAGTTGTGCAGCCTGTAAGAGCAGCTGGTGGAGCTAGAATTCAAGTCTGGGCCTTCTCATCTCAGATCCTAAATTTGTTTCTGGGGCCCAGCACTGCCTCTGTGTCAGGGGGATACAGACCCTACCTGCTTTCTAAATGACCCCTTCAAGAAGTTGGAGGCTGAGCTGAAAAATCAGGGCCAGGCAGGATTGGAATATTCGAATAGCAGTAATAAAAATTTGGTAGGAAATGAAGACAACTGGCTGCTAGTTTCATTAAACATGCCCCCAGAACACAGGCTAAACTGAGATAGTTAATCAAAGACAACTGTAAATCTCAGACTGTGTTTTTCACAGCATTCAGAGATCCAAAGAAACAGCATGAAAATTATGGGAGCTATAATTCTAAATTGTTTGAGGCAAGAGAACATAGGGTGGACTATTTTGAATACAAGCTCTGTAATTGAACCTCTTGCCTTATTATTCTTTAAGCCAGGGATTCTTAACTTGAGATCCATCCACTTCCAAAGGATCCATGGATAAAATTTAGGGGTTCTTGAAAAGTGTAGGCAAGAGACCACAATAATATTAGCAGTGCCTAGGACTTTGACACCAGTGAAAACCACAGATATTTTCATATCATATTAAGGGTGTTAAAGACACCTAAATATTATTTTGCTCATCACTACTTAGAAACTATGGTTGTTATTACACCTGCTTTTAGGTCTTTAATTATCATTATTTTTTGTTTTTTTATTTTTATTCTTTGAGATGGAGTCTCATTCTGTCACCCAGGCTGGAGTGCAGTGGTGTGATCTTGGCTCACTGCAACCTCTGCCTCCCGGGTTCAAGTAATTCTCCTGCCTTAGCCTCCTGAGTACCTGGGATTATAGGTGCGTGCCACCATGCTCGGCTAGTTTTTGTATTTTTAGTAGAGATGGGGTTTCACCATGTTGGTCAGGTTGCTCTCGAACTCCTGACCTCATGGTCCACCCGCCTTGGCCTCCCAAAGTGCTGGGATTACAAGCGTGAGCCACGATGCCCCACCATAATTATCATTATTATTTAATGTGTTACAAAAGAAGCACACATATTACTATATCATAAAGTTGATTTTTAAAATAATTTTGATAAACTTTTCCATATAATCAGTTTCCTTCATAATTCTATGTATGTTACTGTATTCATTTATAAAGATTATTCTGAGAAGAGGTCTGCTATAGTCTGAATGTTTGTATCCTCCCCAAATTCATATTGAAACCTAATGCCCAATGCACTAGCATTAACAGGTGAGGTTTTTAGGAGGTGTTCAGGTCGTGAGGGCAGAGCCCTCATGGATGGGATTAGTGGCCTTATAAAAGAGGCCCCAGAGAGCTTGTTTGCCCCTTCTGCCATGTGAGGACACAGCTAGAAGACACCATCTATGAAGCAGAGTGAACCCTCACCAGGCACCAAATCTGCTGGTGCCTTCCTTGTTCTTGACTTCTTAGCCTCCAGAACTGTAAGCAATAAATTTCTGTTGTTTATAAATTAACTGCCAGGGCATGGTGGCTCACGTCCATAATCCCAGCACCTTGGGAGGCTAAGGTGGGAGTATCACTTGAGCCTAGCAGTTAAAGACCAGCCTAGGCAACACAGTGAGACCCCATCTATAGAGAAAGAAAATTACAAAATTAACCAGGTGTGGTGGCATGTACCTGTGGTCCCAGCTACTCAGGGGGAGGCTGAGATGGGAAGATCATTTGAGCCAGGGGGGTCGAGGTTACAGTGAGCCGTGATCGCACCAGTGCACCACTCCAGCCTGGGTGACAGAGCAAGACCTTGTCTCAAGAAAAAAAAATATTACCCAATCTAAGATATTTTGTTATAGCAGCCCCAGTGGACTAAAACAGGGTCAATGTACTTCATCAGAAGGCCAATGGGGCTATGGCAAAAAAAATCACAACAAAACAAATAAATGGGAATTCAATTGACCTAATGAAAAGAATATTTTATCTATACATATTTCTTTTAGCTCATGGATGCCCTCATTTCTTCTCCTTCACTCAGGTTAGATCCCTGGAGATAAGAAGTGATGGCAGGGGCTGAGCAAAGGAGCGGATACAGTTCTTAGGAGGACAAGGACTTAGTTCTTATTTGCAGCACTCACTCACTCACTCACCAATGACTGAGCAGCTCAAGGATACAGTCTGCTGCTAAATCAGGTACTTCAGGGTAGAGAGAAAAAATTGAGGGCCTGGGACCTGGTGCTCTAAAAGCTTATAAGTTAACCCAGAGAAAAAACAGTACATTTCTGCATAGTATTATCTCAGTAGGGTAGAGAGGTAGAAGGGCAGTGTGGAATGATCATGGACATTAGGGGTCAAATTGTCCTGAATCTCAGCAAATCCACTGTCTAGCTGTAGAAGTTTGGGCAAGCTTTGCTCAGCCTCAGTGTCTGCATCTGTAAAATGAGGCTGACATCACCTAAATTAGATGATTTTCATGAGGATTAAGAAAGATGATGTTGCTAACATGCGTGCCACATAGTAGGTACTCAATGAAAGATACCAATTATTATTATATACAGAATCTACGAATGCTCAAATAACCTCAAGACAAACTTGATGGTGGTTAATACATAGGTGTGAAGACTGACATGTTCAGTCTTTCAATAAGTGATAGCTTTCTTTTTCAAAGTTTGGGCCGGCTGCTCTATCAGGAGGTTGACAATATGAGTTTTTTATTTCTTTGTTTTGTTTTGTGAACCTCTGAATATGCCTTTTCTTTTTAGCTGTTTCTACATTTCTACTTTCTGGAATACATTGAGTTGCAGGTGGCCCAAAGAAAAAAGTATTGTCTAACATTCTTTAGCTCATTAGTAATGGCCACCTAAAACAATTTAACTGTGAATCTTACAACTTTTTTCCCTCCCTAATTACATTTGGAGAAGAAGGCATACAACTCTTGTATATTTGAATGCTGTAAACACCGTTAATTTCTGCAGCTTAGGTAAATGCATTCTGCAGCAAATGGTCTCGGAGCAGTCATGACGACATTTGTTGTTTACTCTTCATGAGGCACCAGCCTAAGAATTTTTAGAACTTCTGATCATTCCGCAGTTACGTGTCTATCTGAAGTTACCTGACTTTCATCCCATCAAAGGATATACAGAAGGTGTACTCATCTCTGACAGGGATGTGTTTAGAAGCAGATGCTAGGTGGTAGTCAAAGACGTTGGAATGGGGACCCTTTGATCCTGTTCCAAAAGGGGACTCAAGGAAAAGTCCCAATTGTTAATAGGAACAGAGTATATGAGTGCTCCTGAGCCCCTTGAGTCTATGTTTTAATTTGAGGATTTAAGCCTCTGGAGATTGATATGGTAATATCCTGAAAAGAGAAGATGAAATTAGGCAAGTTCTGCTCCCATAAGATATAGGCTCTTCAGAGTCAATGTCAAAAGAAGAGTTATGGAAAAACAATTTGTCCCTCCAGCACAGTGGAACGAAGATGAAATTATACCTGAATATTAGGTCAATGGTCAACTTCTCAAAGGAGAAATGGGGCCTGCTGTAAGTGGTGACAAAAGCAGATGGAATGAACTTCCAAGAAGAGGACCTCGAAAAGGCTAAAATGCTGTTTCCCAATGAATGTAATGAAAACATGAAAAATTACATTCCTAAGGAAACCACCAAAAACATGGAAAGACCCTAGACTGGAAAACATGGAATAACCTCTTATCTTGTTCTTATCTTGACTTTATTTGCTGTCTGCTTAGAGTAAAATGAGAATGATGGAGAAGGAGAGAAGGAGATACATAGACATCTCAAACAGTTATTGATAAAGAGAACAGTTATGTTAATTGGTGGGCAAGGAATATATTTATACATACATGTGTGTGTGTGTGTGTGTGTGTGTGTGTGTATATATATATATATATATTTTTTTTTTTTTTGAGATGGAGTCTTGCTCTGTCACCCAGGCTAGAGTGCAATGGCGTGATCTTGGCTCACTGCAACCTCTGCCTCCCGGGTTCAAGTGATTCTCCTGTCTCAGCCTCCCCCAGTAGCTGGAACTACAGGTGTGTGCCACCATGCCCAGCTAATTTTTTTGTATTTTTAGTAGAGACGGGGTTTCACCATGTTAGCCAAGCTGGTCTCGAACTCCTGATCTCAAATGATCCACCCACCTCAGCCTCCCAAAGTGTGGGATTACAGGCATGAGCCACTGCGCCCAGCCACATGTGTATACATATGTGTGTGTGTGTGTGTGTGTGTGTGTGTGTGTGTATATATATATATGACAAGATACATCACCTTGATGGGCAGCTTTAAATAGTACAACTTCTAATCTTTCCAACAATAAGTTTTAGCAGCTTCTAATCTTGTCTCCAATAGAGGGGTCATGGCAAACCACAATCTGATTGCGAGGAAGGAATATGCCATGGCTCAAAAAATGTGCTTAGCAAAATCAGACAAGTCTGTCACTGTGTGAACAAGCAGGGGAGATCTGATGCTTATTTTATTTAGCACTGGAAAGACTTTTACTTTAGAGTAATAGCTTACTCTTATATAATGCTCTTTAGTTCAGAAAGCCCCTTTATTTCTGTTATCTGATTTAGTCTGGACTGTATCCCAGTAAGGACAATTATTATCTGAATTGATAATAATTCGGATGAGGAAACTGAAGCTCAGAAATTTTAAATAGCTTGCCAAAGTTCCCATGGGTAGGAAGAGACAGAGCTGGCAGTAGAACCCAGGCCTTCAAATTCCCAGACCAAGCCCGATTTGTCACATAATGCCTCACCATATAGGTTCTAGGATCAACATGAACAGTATGGAGAGAGGCCAATGGACTAGGCACCAGGATGAAAATAAAGCAACAAAATATGGCTAGGGGCATGAGGACTATTAAGCCAAGAGAAGAAAAACACAGGGAGTTAACTCTTTAGTGGCTTTAGTAATGAAAAGTGAATATTAAGAGAGTCTACTTCATTTTGAGTAATGATGCACTCAAAGGCTATGGATTGGAATTGCAAAAAAAAAAAAAAAAAAAACAAACAAAAAGAAAAGAAAAGAAAAAAAGAAAACAAAACACGCAACCACGTTTGGTATTCATAAAGTAGTTCCGGACAGGGAGGAGTGTTCAACACTGAGGAAGGTACCAAAAGGACTTGTGGAAACTTCTTTAGAAGCTTTCAAGACCAGCAGGATGTGTAGTTCATGAACACATGCATCCCATAGGGAGAAAGGCGCTCATTGAAGTTTTCAGCATCTGTCAAACAACTGGGCCATCTGGGAAACATGTCTCTTGTCCCACTAGAATTTTCCTTCTCTTTCCAATTCTGTGATTTTAGTAAAGAGGCTGAGGTGGCAATGTGCTGCTGTAGTTCCCAGCTCAACACTAGAGTCCAGGGTGAGAGTGGGACTTTGGGGCTGACAAGAAGCCCTTAGTGGAGGTAAAAAGGGAATTCCAGGCAGTGTTTGTCCTGGAAAGGGGGGAAATTGACACCTTCTATATTCTCCCCTTACACTTCACTAGAGGGGGAAATTGGCTGGGAAAGGCTGGCCCTTCAGGGTTTTTTTGTTTGTTTGTTTGCTTTTTGTTTTTTTTTTTTTTCTGTATACCTGCCAAGAGAGAAATCACCTGAAAGTGAAAGGAAGCAGCTCACAGCCTGTGAAATTCTGTGATTCCTGGGGCCAGGTGGAACATTCTTTCCTCTAGTCTCATTATGTAAATCTTCATCTGCGAAGTGGGCGCATACATTCTTCTTGTGCAGAGGCACCTGCAGCTTTAATTAGTTTCTCAAATTTGATTGGGTTTGAGAATCAAAAGTTGTAGTTTGAAAAGCACAATAAGGTTTGTATAACTAATCACTAAGGAGAAGCAGATAAGAAGTGAGAAAAACGGTAATCCGGGAAACTACAAAATGGCAGAAAGCTGGGGAAATTCCCACACCTGCTCCCCACTTTCTTTCTTTCTTTCTTTCTTTCTTTCTTTCTTTTTTTTTTTTGAGAGAAGTCTCGCTCTTATCCCCCAAGTTTGAGTGCAATGGCTCGATCTCGGCTCACTGCAACCTCCGCCTCCCAGGTTCAAATGATTCTCTTGCCTCTGCCTCCCAAGTAGCAGGGATTAAGTCGCCTGCCAACACGCCTGGATAATTTTTTTATATTTTAGTAGAGACGGGGTTTCACCATGTTGGCCAGGCTGGTCTCGAACTCCTGACCTCAGGTGATCCGCCCGCCTCGGCCTCCCAAAGTGCTGGGATTATAGGCGTGAGCCACTGTGCCCGGCCACCTGCTCCCCGCTTTCTTACAGGACATCCATAAGGCCCGAAACCCCTCTTAATCTCCATCCCTCTTCTCTAGCTCCCCACACTTCTCCAGCAGCATTAGCCTCTGTGACTTTTCAATTTTGTATGTTCTTATTCCAGTTTTTGTTTGTTGGCTTCAATATTTTTGCATGCACTTATTCATTTGTTTCTTAAAATGTTACTTTTAATTATAAAGCATTTCAAACATTCAAACTAAATGTAATGTAGCAGACACCTATGCAGTCCCAAGATAAAACAGATGTTAACATTTTGCCATACTTGTTTCCAATCTCTTTTTGTAAAGAAACTGAATGATGCGGATATATTTCCCTTTGCTTTCCTTCCCCAGAGGTAACCACTAATCCAGAAATCAGCAAGTATCATTCTCATGTATGTTTCCAATATATGCATGTGTCTCCACAAAACATAGAAGTCTGCCAACTTTTTCTGTAAAGGGCTAGATAGTAAATACTTCAGGCTTTGCAGGTCTCTGTTGAATATTCTGCTTTTAAAATTAGAAAAAGTGTTATAACCTTTCAAAACTGTAAAAAGCATTCGTGGCTCTCTTGCCATACAAAGACAGGCTGAGGCCTGGATTTGGCCATTGGGGGTTAGTTTTCTCACCTCTGGATGTTTTTCTAGCCCTGTGCATTCTAATAATTTGCATACAAATAGAATCATGCTGTTCGTATTTTTTCACTATTTAAGTTTTTCATTCAGTATGTTTATGAGATGTATGTATGTTGATATATGTTGATCTATTTCATATCTATGTACATATATATGTATGTGTGTATATATATATATGTATGTATGTATGTATGTATATATATATATATATGTATTTTTTTTTTTTTGAGATGGAGTTTTGCTCTTGTTGCCCAGGCTGGAATGCAGTGGCACAATCTTGGCTCACTGCAACCTCCACCTCCCAGGTTCAAGTGATTCTCCTGCCTCAACCTCTTGAGTAGCTGGGATTACAGGTGCGTGCCACCACCTCCAGCTAATTTTTTTTTTTTGTATTTTTAGTAGATGGGGGTTTCATCATGTTGGCCAGGCTGGTCTCGAACTCCTGACCTCAGGTGATACACCCGCCTCGGCCTCCCAAAGTGCAGAGATTACAGGTGTGAGCTACCGCGCCTGGCCTATTTCATATATTTTAATAGGCTATATTGTAGTCCATTGTATGAATACACCACAGGTTCCTTTTCCTTTCTTCTACCAAGAAACAGTTAAGGTTGTTTCCCACTTTTCATCGTTGTAAATAGTGCTGCAATTTTATTTTACTGACATAAAATCCAGCTTGGCATTCTGTGATCAGGATTGGCAGCACATGTTCAAGTCGACTTCTCAGAATGACTCCCATCATGGGAGGTGCACTACCTCTGCCACAGTCAAGGTGGTGGAAAGAAAGGAGGCTGCCACTGGAAGTACTGAGCTCATGAAGTTACTGCTGTAGCCGCAACATAGGGAACAGGAAATCTTGATCATGAGGCTTTTACCGCTGCTTCTGCTGTCTCTTAACACCTGTGAATTTGGTGACTGGGCATGAGGATGCTGACTCTTGCCACCACCACTCCAGTAGCTGCCTACAGTTACCAATAAGCAAGAGACTGGATACTGAAATGCGGTTTGTGAGGACAACTCACATCTCCACAAGTGTGCTTGCAATAGCAGGCATATATATGGCTTCCACATCTCTTCTGCTTTCCAAATATCATGTGAGTGCATCAAATTGGCAGAACCCAGTTTGTATAGAGAACGCTAGTGGCAAAGGTGTCTGGAAAACACAATAATTTTTTTCTTTCTTTTCTTCTTATTTTTTGCTTTTCATCTTCTGCAGTGCAGGAAAGTACATTAGAAGAATGTAGGAATGAGTGTTGGGCACTGGGCATCAATCAGCCTTGTCTACCCCCACACTTCTGGCTTGTTAACAGATTGTTTCATGTGTTTTAGTCTTATTCCCACAAGTAAATGTTTAGCTCCCCAAATCCCAAATCTGAATACGAGGATTCTACCTTGGCCCTAACACAGAGCTGAACACAATGTAACTTCTCTCTCTCTTTGTGTATAGATTATATACATTTATTTTGTATTTTATATAATATATATGTATTATATATAATGTACGTATATGTATTATATATTATATGTGTGTGTATATATATATATATTTTTTGAGACAGGGTCTTGCTCTGTCTTCCAGGCTGGAGTGCAGTGGCACAACCATAGCTTACTTCAGCCTCGACCTCCCTGGACTCAGGTGATCCTCCCGCCTCAGTCTCCTGTGTTGCTGGGACCACATGCACATGCCACCATACCTGGCTAATTTTTTTTTTTGTAGAGACAGAGTCTCGCTATATTGACAGGGCTGGTCTTGAACTCCCGGCCTCAAGTGATCCTCCTGCCTCATCCTCCCAAAGTGTTGGGATTACAGGTGTGAGCCACCACACCCAGCTCAATTTTTTTATTGAAGTGAATAACATGGAAGTAACCATTTTAAAGTAAACAATTCAGTAGCATTTAGGACACCCACGATGTTATGCAACCACCATTTCCATTTAGTTCCAAGACATTTTCATCCCCAAAAGACAAATCTCATGCCCAAAAAACAGTGGCTTCCATTCACCATTTAGTCTACCCCTGACAACCACTATTGATTTTCTGCCTTTACGGATTTACTTATTCTCTATGGATTTATCTGATCTTGGTATTTTATGTACATGAAATCATGAGGATCTTGATAAAATTTATATTCTGATTCAGTAGGTTGGGGTCGGGACTTGAGCTTCTGCATTACTGTTAAGCTCCCAAGTGAAGTCTATACTTCTGGGCCATAGAACACACCTTAAGGTAGTAAGGTCTTAGAGTATAGTCATTTAAGTTAATGACCATAATTTAGGTGCCAGTACATAGTAAAAATTAAAGACAAACACCCACTAGGATGACTATAATCAAAAAGTGTATAATAGCAACAAGAGTTGTTGAAGATGTGGAGAAATTAGAACCCTTATACTCTGCTGCTGGGAAAGTAAAATGTTACAGTCATTTGGAGAAGAGTTTATCAGTTCTTCCAAAAGTTTAACATAGAGTTACCATATGACCCAGTAATTCCACTCCTAGGTATATACTCAAGAGAAATGAAAACACATATTCACACAAAAGCTTTATGCGAATGCTTGCAGCAGCATTATTCATAATGGGCAAAAAGTGAAAACAACTTAAATGCCCATCAAATGATGAATGAATAAACAAAATGTTGACTATCTATTCAGCACAATATTCAGTAATAAAAAGTTAAGAAGTAGTGATTTATGCCACGACATGAATGATCCTTAAAATCATAATGCTAAGTGAAAGAAGTCAGTAACAGAAAAGGCCACATATTGTATGATTCCATTTGTATGAATTTTCCAGAATAGAAAAATTCATACTGACAGAAAGTATTATAGATTAGTGGTTGCTTATTGCTGGGGGGCAAGAATGGAGAGTGACTGTTTATGAGCATGGTACTTCATTTTAGGGTGATGAAAATATTCTAAAATTGATTGGGCTTTGGTTGCACAACTTTATGAATATACAAAAAACACTGGATTGCAAACTTTAAATGTGTGAAGTATATGGTATGTGAATTATATTTCGATAAAGCTGTTACAAAAAATGGAAAATAAAAAGTAATCGTGACTTTGTGGCATTACCCTGTGGCCAGCATTTCAAGTTGTGGTGAAACCAGATCACTGGTGCAATTTGGGCAGTTGCATGGCCTCCAAAGTAATTTGGGCATAAAAATAGTTCAGGAAATACTGAATTTGTTGACCACTCTAGAATTATGCACATTTTTTTCATAGATTCTGTCTTTTATTTTATTTTATTTTATTTTTGAGACAATGTCTCACTGTATTGCCCAGGCTGGAGTGCAATGGCATGATCTTAACTCACTGCAATCTCCATCTCCCGGGTTCACGTGATTCTCCTGCCTCAGCCTCCCAAGTAGCTGGGATTATAGGGATGTGCCACCATGCCTGGCTAATTTTTGTATTTGTAGTAGAGATGGGTTTTCACCATGTTGGTCAGGCTAGCCTTAAACTCCAGACCTCAGGTGATCCACCTGCCTCGGCCTCCCAAAGTGCTGGGATTGCAGGCATGAGCTACTGCGCCCGGCCAGACTCTGTGTTTTCTTCTATTGGCATTGAGGGAAGACTGACTGAGAGAGATTATGAAAGGATCAGGCCCTTCTCTATCCCCAGCTGCAGTTCGTCTTCACCATCACCTGACCTCTAAAATGGGAGTTGGAATATAAGCTTGTTTTGGGTAGGAACTATGTTTTACTAGCTTACCACCATATCTCTTGTGCCTGCCATAAAGTAGATTTGCAATAAATGTTTGTTGAATGAATAAATGATGTTATCACTTATTAGAAGTTATATAAAAAGGAGAATGAAGTTGTGGGGGCTCCAATACATAATTCATGTTATTTTTGAAAAAAAGTGAGCAAAAAGATGAAGAAGTTCCATTTAGAGATTAAAATGTCACCTTTATTTCTCCCAAGTGGTGAAGTCAGAAGACATGGCTTATATCTGAAGGTGCATGGAACTATGGAATGCCAAACCTCCAAACTAGATGTAGCCACTGTGCTAGATAATTGTAGCAGTAGCCCCAATTTGTTCATGCCTTCCTGGGTAGTCCACTCCTGCATTGAATCTTGGCTTAGGCTTGTGGCTTGCTTTGGTCAGTGAAACATTAGAAAATGTGATATAAGCAAACATTTGGAAAATTATTGCACATTGAAACTCTCTGCCTCCCACTTCTAGGAAACTATCCATCACTGTGAGAACAATCCTGTGCTAGACTTTGAAAAGGTGAGAGATCATGTGGACAGAGGCCCTAGCTATGGAAGTCATCTTAGCTGTCCCAGATGAGACCCCAGAAATGTGAATGAGGCTTTATTACACCATCCGGTCCCAGTTGAGCCAGCCTAGACTAGAATATCCTGTCCAGCTAACCAGCAGAATCATAAGAAATAATGTTTGCTGTTTAAGCCATTGTTGTGGGTTGAATTGTGTTTCTTAAACAGATATATTGACATCATAACCCCTGGTGCCTCTGGTACCTGTGAATGTGACCTTATTTGGAAATTGAGTCTTTGTAAATGTAATTAATATGTAAGTTAAGATGATGTCATACTGTAGTAAGTTGGGCCCTTAATCCAATACAACTGATGTCATTATAAAATAAAAGGAGAGGAGGGATAGAGACAAACACACAGGGAGAATGCCATGTAACAACAGAGGCAGAGATTGGAGTGATGAATTTACAAGGAAAACCAAGGATTGCTGGTGACATCAGAAGCTAAAAGGCATGCAACAGATTCTTCCTGGGAGCCTTCAAAGGGAACATAGAATTTAATTTCGAAGTTCTAACTCCTGAACTGTGATAAAATAAATTTCTGATGTTTTAAGCCAACCAGTTTGTGCTACTGTGTTACAGCAGCCACAGGAAAGTCATATGGCCATTAAATTTTGGAGTGATTTCTTACACAGTAAAAGATAAACTATATACTTATCTGCTCATTTGTGGAAGCAATAGACCAGGGCGAGGATCCCAATATGCCTGCCCAAAGAAAACTTACATTACTCAAAGAGTGTGCTCTTAGAATGTTTCCTTTAAAAGGGAAAAGAGAAAAGCTCTGGGCCTAATACACCTGGCTTATTCGCCTCAGATTCGTTAAACAGATTTCACCCCACCTACGCTTTAATGGGGTTTGTAAAGAAGTAGAAAGAATCTTCTAGGAGTGTCACATTAATTAAACTCCCTCCTATAGAAGAAAACATCAGGAATTGAGAAGCATACCAATTAACAGTGTCATACACTGAACACACGAAAAGCCAGATTTATTCCTACTAAGACTTGTAAAGAAAAACTGGTATGGTGTTCATCCAGGAAAATTGTGATCATAAGTGAGCTTCACACTTGTAACTTGAGGTGATATTCTACAAATGGCTGCAATGTTTCACTTTCCATCAGCTGAGTATGGATATGTGAAATCCAAGGCCATGCATATTTATTTAATTTTTGATAAAAAATATCAAACCCTATTAAACCTCTTTTCCCTTTTAAAGGACACGTTCTAAGAGCACACTCTTTGAATAATGTAAGTTTTCTCTGGGCAGGTATATTGGGATCCTCGCCCTGGTCTATTGCTTCCACACAAAAATATATTTTTGATATACATTTGATATATATCAAATATATATATTTGATATATAAAATATATTTTATTTTACATTAAATATATACTATAATATAATATAAATTATATATATTGCTCTGTCACCCTGGCTGGAGTGCAGTGGTGCTATCTCAGCTCACTGCAATCTCCACCTCCTGGGTTCAAGCGATTCTCTTCCCTCAGCCTCCCAAGTAGCTGGGATTACAGGTGCACACCACACGCCCAGCTAATTTTGGTATTTTTAGTAGAAACGGGGTTTCACCATGTTGCCCAGGCTGGCCTCGAACTCCTGACCTCAAGTGATCTGCATGCCTCAGCCTCCCAAAGCCCTGGGATTACAGGTGTGAGCCACCGCGCCCTGCCCATGCATATTTACCTCTGTTTTCTTCCAAGGGGTTTTTAGTTTTAGTTGTTACATTTAGTTTATCGATCTATTTTAGTTAATTTTCTGCATATGGTGTGAGATAGAAGTCCAACTGTATTCTTTATTCATTATCCAAAGGATAAAAACACATACAGTACATTGTTTGAGATCTAATAGGACAATGGATCATCTAAAGTGTGTTACCATTTAGAATAATTCCTGGATATATTTTAAAATGTCTGAGGACATATCATATTTTCTGTAGAGCTCGCCTATTAGCCCAAATTCCTAAATAAATCATTGCTTTTGGAAGTGATTTCAGAGTCTGTGAATCTTAACCAGTCATTTATTCAAATTTTAATATAAAGTAATAGCATTCTATAATCTTTGTGAAAATTGGAAATGATTATGCCACCTTCATGGATCCCATTGTATGACTTACTGCGTTCTGTAGTTTGAAGATGATCTTATAAACTCTATGATTAATTGTTTTGTTTACTGTAGGTCCTAGGTCACATCCCCTTATTTATTCATAGTGGTTTTGTGTGGAAAGCTCTCACTGAGTCAGAGGGACTCTGTGGGTAGAAAATCAAGAATTTCTGTAGAGGTAAACAAGAGTCATCATTCATCCAACAGACATAAGGCAATGTTCTAGATATTGGGTAATACAAAGGCAATGGGAAATCAATTTTTATCTTCAAGGGGCTGGCAAACTGATTCAGGATATAAAACGTGTTTATAAATTACTATAGAACTAAGGTAAAAGTGTGTTAGTGATATAGGAAAGTTAACAAAAAAGCCAAGCTATATACATATCCTTTCAATAGTAGGTAGGATGATCATACATTTTGGTTTCCCTGGAAAATTCAAATTAACACCTATTGTCACTGTGTGATAGCACTCTTTCTCTCTGGAAAGTCTTATGGCTTGTATGATAAAATATATGGTCACTATAAAAATCGGTAGACAGTCTAATAAATTAGACAGGTGAACAACCATATTATGGTTTTCTTTTCTTTTTATTTATTTATTTTTTTTAGAGACCGAGTCTCACTCTCTGTCGCTGGAGCTGGAGTAGAGTGGCGCGATCTTGGCTCACTGCAACCTCTACCTCCCGGGTTCAAGCAATTCTCCTGCCTCAGCTTCCCAAGTAGCTGGGACTACAGGCATGTGCCACCATGCCCAGCTAATTTTTGTATTTTTTAGTAGAGACAGGGTTTCACTATATGCTGGCCAGGTTGGTCTCAAACTCCTGACCTCAGGTGATCCGCCTGCCTTGGACTCCTAAAGTGCTGGGATTACAGGCTTGAGCCACTGCGCCCTGCCATATTATGGTTTTCTAGTAAAAGAAATGAGGGAGTGCAAAAGGCAATTGCACAAAACACAAAACTCTGTTGCATTTCTATATATTAGCAACGAACAATCCAAAAAGGAAATTAAGAAAATAATTTCATTTACAGTAACATAAAAAATACTTAGAAATGGGCGGGGCGTGTTGGCTCACGCCTGTAATCCCAGCACTTTGGGAGGTGGAGGCGGTCAGATCACGAGGTCACGAGATCGAGACCATCCTGGCTAACACGGTGAAACCCCGTCTCTACTAAAAATACAAAAAAATTAGCCGGGTGTGGTGGCGGGCGCCTGTAGTCCCAGCTACTCTGGAGGCTGAAGCAGGAGAATGGCGTGAACCCGGGAGACAGAGCTTGCAGTGAACCTAGATAGCGCCACTGCACTCCAGCCTGGGCTACAGAGCGAGACTCCATCTAAAAAAAAAAACAAAACAAAACAAAAAAAAAAACAACAACTTAGAAATAAATTTAACCAAAGAAAAGAAAGACTTGTACACTGAAAATCATAAAACATTGCTGAAAGGAACTAAACAAGATCTGAGTAAATGGAATGACAACCTGTATTCATAGATTGCTACACTTAATATTGTTAGGATGACAATACTACCCAAAGTGATCTACAGATTAGATGCAATCCCTATCAAAATTCCAACAGCACTTTGTGCAGAAGTAGAAAAAATAACACTTATATGGCATTTTAAGGACCCTCAATAGCCAAAACAATCTTGAAAAAGAACAAAGTTGGAGTATACACACTTCCGGATTTCAAAACTTACTAAAAAGGTACAGTAATTAAAATAGTGTAATACTGGCTTAAGGACAGACATATCTACAATGAGATACCTCTTCATACCCATTAAGATGACTATTAATTTAAAAAAGGAAAATAACAGGTGTGGGAGGTGGTAGATAAATGAGAACCCTGGTACATTGCTTGGGGGAATGCAAAATAGTTTGGTAGTTCTTCACAAAGGTAAATATAGAATTATCATATGATCCAACAATTCTACTCCTAGGCATAGACCCAAAAGAATTCAAAGCAAGTCCTCAAACAGACACTTGGACACCAATGTTCATAGCACCATTATTCACAATAGCCAAAAGATGGAAGCAATCCAAGTGTCCACAAACATGAATGGATAAACAAAATATAGTATATCCATAAAATGGAATATTATTCAGTCACAGAAAATGAATTTCTGATACATGCTACAACATAGATGAACCTTGAAAACATTATGGTAGGAGAAGTAAGTCACACACTTAAGGACAAATATTGTATAATTCCCCTTACATGAGGTACCTGAAGTAGTCAAATTCATAGAGACAAAAAGTACAATGAATGTTATAGAGGTGGGGGGAAGGCAAATGGAGAGTTATTGTTTAATGGGCAGAAAGTTTGTCTGAGATGGAGAAAAATTCTGGAGGCGGATGGTGTTAACGGATGTTGGTGCACAACATTGTGAATGTACTTAATATGGTTAAAATGGTAAATTTCATGTTATATATATATTACTACAATATAAAAGGTAACTAGAGAGTAGTATGATCCATATATATTTATATTCATACACAGTAAAAATAATTTAAAACTAAATAGTGGGTAAATCTGAGTTTTAGGATTGGAGGTGTGAAGGAAATAAAAGAGGCCTTCTCTTTTTATTTAAACACTCTTTTACACTGTTATAATTTTTACTTTTTTGGTATTACCTATATAAATATTCTTTTTAAATTCATAAATAACTGAACATATTTATGGGGTCCATGTGATACATGCATGCAATGTGTAATGATCATATCAGGGTATTTAGGATATCCATCACCTCAAACATTTATCATTTCTTTGCATTGAGAATATTTCATTTATTCTCTTGCAGCTATTTTGAAATATATAACAAGTTATTGTTGACTATAGTCACCCCACTGTGCTATCAAACACTAGAACTTATTCCTTTTATCTAACTGTATATTTCTAACTATTAACCAACCTTTCCTCAACCCCCCACTTCTATCCTTCCCAGCCTCTGGTAACCATAATTCCACTCTCTATCTCAATAAAATAAATTTGTTAAGCTCCCACATATGACTGAGAATATGCAATATCTGTCCTTCTATGCCTGGATTATTTCACTAAACAAAATGACAGTCCTAGTGCTTTGAGAGGCTGATGTGGGAGGATCACTTGAGGCCAGTAGTTCAGGACCAGCCTGGGCAACATAGTGAGACCCTGTCTCAAAAAAAAAAAAAAAGGCAGGGGATGGTGGCTCACACGTGTAATCCCAGCACGTTGGGAGGCCAAGGCAGGAGGATCACCTGAGGTCAGGAGTTTGAGGCCAGCTTGGCCATCATGATGAAACCCCGTCTCTACTAAAAATACAAAAAAAACTAGCTGGGCATGGTGGCACACTCCTGTAATCCCAGCTACTCAGGAGTCTGAGACAGGAGAATTGCTTGAACCCAGGAGATGGAGGTTGCGGTGGCAGTGAGCCAAGATCGCGCCACTGCACTCCAGCCTGGGTGACAGAGCAAAACTCTGTCTCAAAAAAAAAAAAAAAAAAAAATTAGTTGGGCATGGTGGCTCATGCCTGTAATCCCAGCTATTTGGGAGGCTGAGCCCAGGAATTCAAGGCTACAGTGAACTATGATTACATCACTGCACTCCAGCCCAGGTGACATGTTACTGCAAATGAGAAGATTTCATTCTTTTTATGGCTAAATTCTATTATGTATCTATAAACCGTTTTCTTTGTCCATCCTGATGAACACTTAGGTTGATTCCATATCTTGGCTACTGTGAATAGTGCTGCAATAGACATGATAGTGCATATATCCAGTTGATATACTGATTTCCCCTCTTTTGGATAAATACCCAGTGGATGGATTGCAAGATCATATTGTAGCTCTATCTTTAACTTTTTGAGAAATCCCCATAATGTTTTTTCATAATGGCTATACTAATTTACATTCCCCAAAGTCTATAACAGTTCCCTTTTCTATATAGTTATTCTTTGCATTTTTCGTAATAGCCATTCTAACGGGGCTGAGATGATCTCATTGTGGTTTAGATTTGCATTTTCTTGATAATTAGTGATGTTGAGCATTTTTTCATATATGTGTTGGCCATTTGTATATCTTCTGAGAAATGTCTATTGAGATCCTTTACCCACTTTTTAATGGAATTATTTGTTTTTTTTTTTTTTTTTGCTGTTGAGTTGTTTGAGTTCCCTGTATCTTCTAGATATTAGTTCCTTGTCAGATGAATCGTTTGCAAATATTTTCTTCCATTTAACAGGTTGTCTCTTCACTCTGTTGACTGTTTCCTTTACTGCACAGAAGCTTTTTAGTTTAGTATAGTCCCATTTGTCTATTTTTGTTTTTGTTGCCTGTGCTTTTGAAGTCAGCCGTAAAATCTTTGCCTAGACCAATGTCCTGAAGTATTTCTTCTGTGTTTTCTTTTGGTAGTTTTATAGTTTCAGGTTTTATGTTTAAGTCTTTAATCCATCTTGGGTTGATTTTTGTATATAATGAGAGATAGAGGTCCAGTTTAATTCTTCTGCACACAGATATCCAGTTTTCCCAGCACCATTTATTGAAGAGGGTCTCCATTCCCCACATATGATTTTGATGCCTTTGTCAAAAATCTTAGTTGTAAACACATGAATTTATTTATCGGTTCTATAATATGTGCCATAGGTTGATGTGTATATTTTTATACCAATACCATGCTGTTTTGGTTGCTATAGCCTTGTAGTATATTTTGAAGTTGGGTAGTGAGTGTGATGCTTCCAGCTTTATTCTTTTTGGTAAGTATTTCTTGAGCTATTTGGAGTCTTTTGTGGTTCCATATACATTTTAGGATTTTTTATTCTATTTCTGTGAAGAATGTCTCAGTATTTTCTTAGGGAATGCATTGAATCTATAGGTTGCTTTAGAGAATGTGGTTATTATAACAATATGAGATATCTTTTGATTTGTTTGTGTCCTCTTCATTTTTTGTCATCAGTGTTTTGTAGTTTTTGTTGCAGAGGTTTTTCACCTCCTTGGTATAATTTATTTCTAGGTATTTTATGTAGCTATTGTAAATGGGATTGTTTCTTGATTTCTTTTTCAGATAGTTTGCTATTGATGTATAGAAACATTGCTTAGTTTAGTGTGCTGATTTTATTTCCTGAAACTTTACTAAATTCGTTTGTCAGTTCTAACAGTTTTTGGTGGAGTCTTTAGGTTTTTCTATATATAAGATTATGTTATCTGCAAAGAGGGACAATTTCACTTTCTCTTTTTCTATTTGGATGCCTTTTATTTCTTTTGGTTGCCTGATTGCTCTGTAGGACTTCCAGTACTCTGTTGAATAAGAGTGGTGAAAGTGGGCATCCTTGTCTTGTTCCACTTCTTAGAGGAAGGACTTTCAGCTTTTCCCCATTGAAGATGAAGCTAATGGTGGGTTTTTCATATATATCCTTTATTATGTTGAGGTATACTCCTTCTATACCTAGTTTGTTGAGAGTATTGTGAAGAGATGTTGAATTTTGTTAAATGCTTTTTCTGCATTTATAAGATAATCATATGATTTTTGTCCTTTGTTTTGTTAATACTATGTATACATTTGTTGATCTGCATATGTTGCACCATCCTTGCATCTCTGGGATAAATCACACTTGATCATGGTGAATGGTCTTTTTAATATGCTATTGAATTCAGTTTGCTGGTATTGTGTTGAGAATTTTGTGTCTGTATTCATCAGGGATTTTGGCCTATAATTTTTTCATTCTTGTTGTTATGTCCTTGTCTGGTTTTGGTAAGGGGGAATGCTAACATCATAGAATGAGTTAGAGAATTCTCTTCTCTTCAATTTTTTGCAATAGTTTGGGAATAATTGTAGAATTCAGCAGCAAAGCCATTTGGTCCTAGGCATTTCTTTTTTGGGAGACTTTTTATTACTGATTTAATCTCACTAATTGTTATTGGTCTGTCCAGGTTTTCTATGTCCTCTTGGTTCAATCTTTATAAGTTATATTTGCCCAGGAATTTATCTTTTTTTTCTCTAGGTTTTCAAATTTGTTAGCATACAGCTATTTATAATGGTCTCTAATGATTATTTGCATTACTTGGTATCAGTTGTAATACCTCCTTTTTCATTCATAATTTTACTGATTTGGATCATTTATCTTTTTTCTTGGTTAGTCTAACTAGCAGTTTATCGATTTCGTTTTCTTTTTTAAAAAGAAAACAAAACAAAAACACAACTTTTTGGCCAGTTGTGGTGGGTAATGCCTGTCATCCAGGAGGCCGAGGTGGGTGGATCACCTGAGGTCAGGAGTTTGAGACCAGCCTGGCCAACATGGTAAAACCCCGTCTCTACTAAAAATCACAAAATTAGCCGGGTGTGGTGGCACACACCTGTAATCCCAGCTACTCACAATCGCTTGAACCTGGGAGGTAGAGGTTGCAGTGAGCTGAGGTTGCACCACTGCACTCCAGCCTGGGGAACAAAGCGACATTTCTTCTAAAAAAACAAAACAAACAAACAAAAAAAAAAACACTTTTCACTTTAGTGATCCTTATTATTATTTTTGTAGTCTCAATTTTATTTAGTTCTGCTCTGATCTTTGTTATTTCTTTTCTTCTACTAACTTTAGGTTTGAGTTGTTCTTGCTTTTCTAGTTCCTTGAGGTGCATTGTTAGGTTGTTTGTTTCAGATCATTCTACTTTTTGTTTTAGTTAATTTTTTTGGAGACAGAGTCGCACTCACTCACCCACCCAGCCTCCTGAGTAGCTGGGAATACAGGCACACGCCACCTTGCCCGACTAATTATTTGTATTTTTAATAGAGACGGGGTTTCACCATGTTGTCCAGGCTGGTGTCAAACTCCTGAGCTCAGGCAATCTGCCTGCCTTGGCCTCCCAAAGTGCTGGGATCACAGGAGTGAGCCACTACACCCGGCCTCTACTTTTTTGATATAGGCTTTTATTGCTATAAACTTCCCTCTTACACTGTTTTTGTTGTGTCCCATAGGTTTTGGTGTGCTGTATTTCCATGTTCATTTGTTTCACATTTTAAAAGATTTCCTTTATAATTTCTCCATTGATCAAATGACTTTTCAGGAGCATATTGTTTAATTTTTGTGTATTTGTACAATTTCCAAAGTTTCTCTTGTTACTTCTTTCTGGGTTTATTTCACTGTGGCTTGATAATATACTTGATATGATTTTGATTTTTTAAAACTTGTTGAGACTTGTTTTGTGACCTAACATATGGTCAATCCTGGAGAATGTTCCATGTGCTGATGAGAAGAATGTGCATTCTGCAGTAGTTGGATGAAATGTTCTGTGAACGACTGTTAAGTCCATTTGGTCTAAAGTACATTTGAAATCTAGTGTTTCTTTGTTGATTTTCTATCTAGATGATCTGTCTAATGTTGAGAGTGTAGTGTTGAAGTTCCCAACTATTATTTTGTTGGAGTCTATACCTCCTTTTAGATCTAATAATATTTACTTTATATATCTGGGTGCTCTGGTGTAGGATGCATATATGTTTAAAATTGTTATACCCTCTTGCTCAATGGATCCTTTATCATTACATAATGACCTTTTCTGTCTCATTTTAAAGTTTTTGACTTAAAGTCTGTTTTATCTGATAAAGGTATCACTAGTTTTGCTTGCTTTTGGTTTCCACTGGTGTGGAATATCTTTTTCCATAGCTTCACTTTCAGCCTATATGTGTCTTTAGAGGTGAAGTGAGTTTTGTGTAGGCAGCGTATAGTTGGATCTTTTTTTTTTCCATTCAGTTAGTCTATGTCTTTTATGTGAGGAATTTAACCCATTGACATTCAAGGTTATTATTGATAGATGAGAATGTATTTCCATCATTTTATTTTTTTTCTGTTAGTTTTGTATATCTTTTGTTCTTTTTTTCCTCTCTTATTATCATTGTAGTTTGATGGTTTTCTGCAGCGGTGATATTTATCTCCTTTCTCCTTCTCTTTTGTGTATCTGCTTTATCAGTGAGTTTTATAGTTTCATGTGTTTTCAAAATGGTAGATTTTTCCTTTCTGTTTTCAGGTATAGGACTCCCTTAAGCATTTTTTTTTTTTGCAGGGCCAGTGTAGTGGTGATGAATTTTCTCAGATTTTGCTTGTCTGGAAAAGTATTTCTTCTTCATTTTTTTTAAGACTAGCTTTACTTGTTTTAGTATCCTTGGCTGACAGTTTTATCTTTTTCTTTCAGCACCTTGAAGATATCATGACATTCTCTCCTGGCAAAAGGTTTCTCCTGAGACATCCATCATTAGTCTGATCAGGGTTCTCTTATATATGACTAGATGCTTTTCTCTTGCTGTTTTTATAATTCTCTCCTTGTCTTTGACTTTTCACATTTCGACTTTTTTTTTTGAGATGGAGTCTCTCTCTGTCACCCAGGCTGGAGTGCAGTGGTGCAATCTCGGCTCACTGCAACTTCTGCCTCCTGGGTTCAAGTCATTCTCCTGCCTCAGCCTCCTGAGTAGCTGGGATTACAGGTATCTGCCACCACACTTACCTAATTTTTGTATTTTTAGTAAAGATGGGGTTTTGCCATGTTGACCAGACTGGTCTCAAACTCCTGACCTCAGGTGATCCACCCACCTCGGCCTCCCAAAGTGCTGGGATTACAGGCATGAGCCACCGCACCCGGCCTGGCACTTTGAATTTTATGTGCCATGGAGAAAATCTTTTTGGCGGCTGGGCACAGTGGCTCACACCTGTAATCCCAACACTTTGTGAGGCTGAGGCGGGCAGATCAACTGAGGTCAGGAGTTTGAGACCAGCCTGGCCAACATGGTGAAACCTTATTTCTACTAAAAATACAAAAAAATTAGCGAGATGTGGTGGCTCATACCTGTAATCCCAGCTACTCAGAAAGCTGATGCAGGAGAATGGCTTGAACCTGAGAGGCAGAGGCTGCAGTTAGCTGACATTGCACCATTGAACTTCAGCCTGCGCAACAGACTCCATCTCAAAAACAACAACAACAACAAGACTCCATCTCAAAAACAACAACAACAAAAGAGGCGGGGCATGGTGGCTCACATCTGTAATCCCAGCACTTTGGGAGACCGAGGCGGGTGGATCACTTGAGGTCAGGAGTTCAAGACCAGCGTGGCCAACATGGTGAAACCCCATCTCTACTAAAAATACAAAAATTAGCTAGGCGTGGTGGCAGACACCTGTAATCCCAGCTACTCAGGAGGCTGAGGCAGGAGAATTGCTTGAACCCAGGAGGCAGAGGTTGCAGTGAGCCGAGATTCCACCATTACACTCCAGCCTGGGGGACAAGAGCAAGACTTCGTCTAAAAAAAAAAAAAAAGAAAGAAAACCTTTTGGATTGTATATATTTGGGGATTTCTGAGCTCCCTATGTCTGGATGTTTAAATCTCTTGCTAGACTTGGGCAATTTTCAGGTATTGTTTCAGTAAATAAATTTTCTATGGCTTTGGCTTTCTCTTCACCTTCTGGAACACCCCAAATTTGGGTATTTAATTACCTTATGATGTCTCATATATCTGACAGGTTTTGTTTATTTTTTCTCTTTTTTTGGTCTGACTGGATTTTTCCAAAAGACCTGTCTTCAAGTTCAGAAATCTTTTCAGCTGCTTGATTTAGTCTATTGTTGAAACTATATTCATATTTTTAATTTCATTCATTGGATTTTCAGTTCTTGGATTTTTGTTTGTTTCTCCTTTATTATATCTAACTCTTTTTTAATTTCTCATTCTGATCATGAGTTGTTTTTGTGATTTTTTTGTATTGTTTATTTATGTTTTCTTGTATCTCACTGACCTTTAATATCATAATTTTGAATTGTTTTTCAGACATTTCATAGATTTATATTTCATTGGAATCTGTTGCTGGAGAATTATTGTGTTCTCTTGGAGACGGCATGTCTCTGTGCTTTTTTATGTTTCTTGTGTCCTTACACTGATATCTGCCCATCTGGTGTAACAGTCACTTACTCCAATTTTATTGCTTTGCTTTCATAGGAAAATACTTCTTCCTATGGATATATCTATAGCGCTGGTTGGGTAGGGTGGTTTGGCTTTGATTCCAGGTGGCCACAGTAGTGTTGTCTCCATATGATTTCTTTGGCTGTTATCAGTACCAGTGGCATCTCTGAGTTCCTCAATGGCTTAGACTGTGGTTATTAGTGGACACCGTGGTAAGGCTTGGCTGGGGACAGGAACTCCGGGCAGACTGGTCCTTAGGCACCAGTGATGATAGTGTCAGAGGGATGGACCTGTCCTTATGCTTCCCCAATAGTGTGCAGAAGTGCTGGCTGCAGCAAGCAGATGCCTGGATGGCATGCTTGGGTGCAGGTAGCTTTGATGATGGGTGAGACAGGCTTGTCTTCAGGCCCTAGACAATGCCCACATGCACTGGCAGTAGCAGTGGTGGGAGGGGCAGGCCTGTCCTCAGGCTCCTGGATGATGCATGCAGGCACCTGCAGTGGTGGACAAGACAGGTCAATCCCCAGGTCTCCAAATGTCTGCAGTGGCTGGTGGGGCAGATCAACCCCTAGACTTCTGGATGACATACATGGCTACCAGTGGTGGGCTCACAGACTTATCTTCTGGCTTCCTCAATAGTGCACACAGTTGCTAGCTGCAGCAGGAGGGGTGGTTCAATCCCCATTTCCTGAATGGCATGCTTGGGTGCAGGTGGTAGTAATGGTGGGTAGACCAGTCCTGTCCTCAGAACCCTGGATGGTGTGTGCAGGTGCCTGTGCAGGAGAGATAAGTCCCCACATCCCCAGATGACATGCCTATGTATAGTTTTAAGTTCTCTGGGTATTCAGGAAAGGGAGTGATTGTTTTCCCCATAGGTGATATGGCGTAGGGACAAGGGATATATAAGTAAGGTTCTATATGATTGTGGGTATATAGATCTCTATCTTTATGCCTTATTGACCACTCCCCCTTCTATAATAGCCAATAGACTTTTTGCCTAGAGATACCATTTTGCATCTAATTATATTATGGCTGCTAATATTTGTTGAATGTGGCAGGTTTGCTGTTAAATTTGCTCTGTTATAAGATAAACTTAGGTATATTACAATTTTAAACATTTTCTTTGAGCAGTCAACAATTCATGAATCAGGCAGCACCAGACCACAAGAGGTTTAGCACTCCACTAAAAGGGCATGAGGTGACAACTTTTATAAGGTGTTTGGAGAAACAGGGCGAATAAAATATTTGATTGGTTAAAGTGGAAAGTCTTTATTTAGAGGTTAGTTGGCAGTTTCTGATTGGTAAAGTCTCTAGTTAGAGGCTAACTGGTTGCTTCTAATTGGTTAAGCTTAAGTTTCATTTTATAATTTACATTAAATTGGGTTTTGGTTTGCTAGAAACTCAAGGTGCTGGAGCTCTCTCAGCCTAATTGCCTCCCAATTAACTGTTTTTTTTTAAAAAAACAGCTAATTATTTGTTGCTTCTTAAACTAGATGGTAAAATCTTGAGGCCAGGCCTAAACATTTCTTGTCATTGCACATAGGGTTTAGCCTGGACTGAGCACACAGCAGAGGTTCAGGAAATATATATTGGTTGATTCCAAAATTAAACTAAGTTAATTTGAGATGATCTGTTGTTTGTGTTTGCTTTTCCTCTTCTCCTTATAATCAGTGTTTAGATAATTAAGAAATTACTGTGAAAGTTAAAATTTCTGCCTGCTTTTCATTTAATGAGAAATGCATTTTCTAAACTTCATCTCAATCATGTGTCTTACTTTATTTCTTAAGAGCTAATTTCTGCTGATTCCTGGGCTGGTCAAGACTGTTGTATTTATAGTTTCAAATTGAGGAGATTTTTTAATTAAGATGTATACTTTAGTGAGGTTGTGATGCAAGTTATAGTCTTCTACATAGTTCAGAATAAGAGAATTCAGGTATAAACAGATGCGTTTTACAGAAGTTAGGCAGAGTAGATGCTGACAAGTAAGTGAACTGAGCTATTTCCAAGCAACAAAGGTAAAACGGGAAATAGGTTCGGTTGTAGTTTTCCTTATATTAGAAGAGCTATTTTACAAAATTATGGGTGCACACAGTTTTTCTTTCCTGAGATTAAGCTCAAAAGGAAATTTATCTCACCAGTTCTTTTATAAACCACTTTGAATAACATTAAACAATATCTTCAGTGAGAGTTTTGCAGAAGGTACAGCAACTCTATTTAAATAAATGGATTGTCTCTCAAATGCAAGACTGAAGGTAAAATGTTAAATTTTATTAACAGTATAAACATTTCTCAAAAATATTCAAATGATATGATCTAGATATTTTACTTTGTGCTGACCCAACTTCATAAGGTCTAGACTCTAGAGGTAAAAAATGATTATTTTGAGCCAGTTCACTACAGGTGCTCGGGAGTTACCAATTCAGAATTGAGCACCTATAGTAAACATGACTTTTGTGGTTGATTAATGCCAGAGTGGCACTCATGATATTCTAAATGTGATGGGGAAAAGCCGCTAATCAATTAGGAAAGTTTCACAACAGGATTGTGTTCCCACTTGGTGAGAAGACCAATTCATCTCCACAAGAGGTTGGATGGCAGCAGTATTCAAAACAAAGAGTCAGGAGTCTTTACAAGAAAGAACTTTTAATATTTTCAAACATTCAATATGCAGTTTATTATTTGAGACTCTAGTATCTTGTGCCTAATAGCTGGAAAACCTAGGATGTTTATTGAGTAGTTTTTAGTAATGCACTAACAAGCGACTATAATTAATGCATTACAGCCTATAAATCTAGGCCTTTCAAAAAACGTTTGTGCAAAAATGCACATTTCCTCTAATCTAAAATATAACTGGAAAGCAAGTATAGGGAAATTTGGCACATATATATGGACATAAAATATAAATTATATATTATTTAAAATATGCACATTATGTAATACATCACATATTAATAGATACTTGATAAATATATAAATAAAATAAAGTGGTCTCTTGGTATCCATGGGGGATTGGTTTTAGGACTCCCTGTGGGTACCAAAATCCACAAATGTTCAAGTCCCTTATATAAAATGGCATTGCATTTGTATATAACCTATGCATATCCTCCTACATACTTCAAATAATCTCTAGATTATTTACAATACCTAATACAATGTGGATGCTATGTGCATAGTTGTTATATTGTATTTTTTTTCTCCAGACGGAGTCTTGCTCTGTCACCCAGACTGTAGAGCAATGGTGCAATCTCAGGTCACTGCAACCTCCGCCTCCTAGGTTCAAGCGATTCTCCTGCCTCAGCCTCCTGAGTAGCTGGGATTACAGGTGCATACCACCACGCCCAGCTAATTTTTTGTATTTTTAGGAGAGATGGGGTTTCACCATGTTAGCCAGGCTGGTCTTGAACTCCTGTCCTCGTGATCCGCCCACCTTGGCCTCCCAGCGTGCTGGGATTACAGGCGTGAGCAACTGTGCTTGGCCTGTTTTTAATTTTTTATTTTAATTGTTGTTTCTTTAATTTTTTTTCAGAATATTTTTGATCCATGTTTGGTTAAATCCACGAATATGGAACTCATGATTATGGAGGGTCAACTGCTTATATTTGATCATAGGGCACACAAATGACCTCATCCCTTTCTACCTTTAAAGATATAAGCCCTTAAGGTCTCACATCCAGGTAGGTTTTCTCTCTGTGTCAGTCTCGCTGTGTCTTCGTATCTGTCTCTTTCTCTCCTTTCTTGTGCTGGGCAAGACTTTTAGTTCCCTGAGTTTTAATTATCCCATCGAACTAATGGCTGAATATTCAGATGCTGGTAAGAGAATTTTTTTTCTTGCCTCGAGGTCTTTCCATTTATTATGCCCACTGCAGAATACTCTTCTTGCTCCATCTCTTTCTGGTTTAGCTCCTAGTCGTCGTTCACAGCCCCATTTAAAATTCCCTTCAATCAAGAAGTCTTCCCTGAGAGTTACATTGAGACTGAGATTAAATCCCTCTCTTATACATTCCTCTAGCATCTCTTATTTAAGACATTCACTGTTGTAAAAAAGTTTCAAACATATTCAAATGTAAGGAGAACAGTATAATGAGGACCCACTGAAGCATACTTTCTAACTTTCCACAGTCTGGTAAATTCCTTTCTCAAAATTTGTCTTTGAATTTAAGTTTCATGATGTCAAGAGCCATGGCTGACTTGTTATTGCTTTATCCTTAGTGCTTAGAACAGTAGTGGATATACAGGAGCCATTTAATAAAGATGTGTTCAATAAATGAATGCATCAATCAACCAGTGAGAGTGATAGCAAGGTTTGCTTTTATGGTTTTTTGTTATTAACAAGAGAGTGATATAAACATCTTTACTACTTATAAGAAAATAAAAAAAAGAGCTAAAAATACAACAGAGGGCAACATGGAGAGATGGGATTCCTGAAGATGTCAAGGTGGGCCTACAGAGGTTAATACGGGATTTGCCTAGCTAATTGCCCTGCATGTCTCTGCTTGGATGTTGTAGAGCAAGCTTGTCCAACCTGGGGCCCATGTGACCCAGGGAAGACAAAGGATTGGACACACTTTGTTGAGGTATCTCAAATTCAAATAATTCAAAATCTATTTCTCGTCTTTTCTTCCAGATCTGTTCTCCCTATTTTAATTAGTGTTTCTATTATGCCCTCAGGTGAGAATCAGGAGATCTTGATTCTAGTCCTGACTTCCCTACTTGCTTTCTGGATAAATCACTTGACCTCTCTCAGCCTCAGATTTCTCATCTGTAGAGTCATAGAACAAGACTAGATGACATCAAAGGCATTATCCTACGCTTAGATTCAGAGTCTAATCCTGAGCCATCTGAAATTCTTCTATTTTCCTCATTTAACATATCCAACACACTGGCAGGTTTGCTCAAATTTTGTTCAGAATCTCATCTCTCTTCTAGATTAGTGTACTAGCCTAGACTCTTTGTGACTCCTGTACACAAATATGATCCAACCCTTCAGTATCCCCCTGGTATTTAATAAAGTCCCAACTGCTTAGCCTAGCATTTGTGATTCTCTAAAATCTAACCTGAACCAACCTCTCCAGCCTTGTTTCTTACTTCTACACGGACCTGACAATCCAGCAGTACTAAATTGCCCTCTTTTCCCCCATGAAAGGACTATGCATTCCCACCTTTCTGTCTTTGCCCATGCTAGTTTCTCCACCTAAAATGCATTTTATTCCATTACTGCATGTGTTGGGCCTCTTAATTCATTAAATGACAGCTCAAATGCCACTCCTCCATGAAACTTCTTTTTATTCTTTTAGCCAGAAATGGTCTCCCTGCTTTCTGAATACTTTGTATTTTATCGTATATATCTCTTTCTGTCTTATATGAAGTTCCCACGGATGTCTGACTAGACTGTAAATTCCTTGATGGACAGGACCAATGTTTTGGTCACCCTTTTTCATCCCATAGTAAGTTGCTCTGTGCCTAGCACATTGTGGACACATGATAAATTGTTTAAATGTATGAATCTATTTCTAAAATTTATAAATTTTCTGTAGTCCATAATTTTTTTAGGTACTCCAAAACTGTATTAGTCAGGGTTTTTTAGAGAAATGGAACCAATAGGAATGGGCTCACATGATGATGGAAGCTGAGAAGTCCCAAGGTCTGCTGGAGACCTGGGAGAACCAATGGTTTAGTTCCAGTTGAAAAGCCAGCAGGTTTGAAGAAAAGCTGATTTTTTTTTTTTTTTTTGAGACAGGGTCTCCCTCTGTAACTGGTGTCCAGTGGTACAATCATGGCTCACTGAAGTTTTGAACTCCCGGGCTCCAGCAATCCTCCCATCTCAGCCCCCAAAGTAGCTAGAACTGCAGGCATGTGCCATTATGCCTGCTTAAATTTTTTATTTTTAAATTTTTTTGTAAAGACAGGATCTCACTATATTGCCCAGGCTGGTCTCAAACATCTGGCCTCAAGCAACCCTCCTATCTTGGCCTGCCAAGGTGCTGGGATAACAGGTGTAAGCCACCATGCCCAGCCTAGAAAAGCTGATATTTTGGTTAGAGTCTGAATATAGGAAACGACTGATGTCCCAGCTGGAAGGAAGTCAGGCAGAAGGAATTCTCTCTCTCTCTCTTATTCAACCTTTTTGTTTTATTCAGCCTCTCAGCAGATTGGATGAGGCTCACCAACATTGGGTAGGACAATCTGCTTTACTCAGTCTACCAATTCAAATATTAACTCCATCCAGAAGCATCCTCATACATACATAGATATTTAGGTGATGGGGTACCCTGTGGCCAAGTCAAGTTGACACATAAAATTAACCATCACACACACACAAAAATCAGTGAAATTTTAATCAGTTTTTCTCTCACTTCAGCTATTGCAGCTATTGAATACTCTAAAGTGATATAATGTAGCAGGGCATTCTTTGTAAATAAGTTAATAAGTATAAATTATTTGTGAAACGTTTGGGCATATCTACGCCAAAGCTCTATGACTCTTTTTAACTTGATGCATAGGCTTCCTCAGGTTCAATTACAGCAACCAGGGTATTTCTCCAAATATCAGGGATAGAACCTGGCACTAGCATTCAACTTCCAAAAGGATTGGTATCTGAGTTATACACCTATAGGTTCTGGTGACCCATTGAGCTATACCCTAAGGGTGGCAACTTTATAGTGGCATGGGTGTATCTTGGAATTGACCCTTGAGGACAACTATCTTTCGTTTGTTACTTCATAGTAAACTTACTATATTATATAGCCAGAGGGCATGAGAACTTCTATAGACTGTTTGTGTTCCCCCTGAATTCATATGTTGAAACCTAATCCCTAATATATTGATATTTGGAGGTGAGGTCTTTGAAAGGCAATAAGGTTATAAGGATGGAACTCTTGTGAATGGGATTAGTGCCCTTATAAATGAGGGCCCAGAGAACTCCCTTCTGCCCTCCAGTATGTGAGAACAGACCATTAAGATAGCACCCTATGATTCAGGAAGTGGGCCTCACCAGATACTGAATCTGTCTTGATTTTGGACTTCTCAGCCTCCAGAGCTGTGAGAATAAGTTTCTGCTGTTTATAAGCCACTGACCAGGTATTTTTGTTAGAACAGCCAGAATGGACTAAGGCAAAGACTGAGGATGACTTCACTATTAGCTAATTTGTTTTGCTTTTGATCTGTGTTTAAAGGATTCATATAAAGGAGTTATTTCAAATTATCCTTTTTTTTTTTTTTTTTTTTTTTTTTTTTGAGACAGGGTCTCACTCTGTCACCCAGGCTGGAATGCAGTTGTGCAATCACAGCTCACTGCAGCGTCAACCTCCTGAGCTCAAGTGATCCTCCCACCTCCACCTCCCAAGTAGATGGGACCACAAATGCACACCTCCATGTCAGGCTAAGTTTTGTATTTTTTGTAGAGACAGGGTCTTACCATGTTACCCAGGCTGGTCTCAAAGTCCTGGGCTCAAGTGATCCACCCACTTCGGCCTCCCAAAGTGCTGGGATTACAGATGTGAGCCACTGTGCCTGGCCTCAAATTATCCTTTTAAAGTCAACCTGACTCTTTTGACATTGTGACATGCCTTCATCATTAGGTGATTCTGTCCACTGGAACAAATACCATGCAGGAAAAAATCAAGGGTGAGAGCCATAGCTAGAGCAGCACAATAGTGTTAAATTTGTATTATTTTGTATAATTTGATGAGTTATTGATAAGTAAATGCTGACCCCCATCCTCATTATGATCACAAGGCCTGTGAAAGAAATGGGAAGGGGGGCCGAGCACAGTGGCTCACACCTGTAATCCTAGCATATTGGGAGGCTGAGGTGGAAGGATTGCTTGAGCCCAGAAGTTCAAGACTAGCCTGAGCAACAAAGTGAACCCTGTCTCCACAAAAAATGCAAAAATTTGTGGGGTATAATGGCATGTGCCTCTAGTCCCAGCTATTCAGGAGGCTGAAGTGGGAGAATCACCTGATGCTGGAGAGGTCAAGGCTACAGTGAGCCGTAATTGTACCACTTCACTTCAGCCTGGGTGACAGAGTGAAACCTCATCTCAAACAAAACAAAAGGAAACAAAACAAAAAGAAAAGAAATGGGAAGGTGATGGGGTTTTCATTTGTCAGCCGAAGAACCCTGGTGACTCATGTAGGCACAGAAATATTACCACTTATGACTTCTTCTCCAATTAGGAAACAGTTTGTCATCATAAGTGCATCTTAGGCAGGTCTGCAGAAATCCTTAACTCCTGACAGGCACTCCATGAGGAAGTGCAGAGTGCATTGTCAGAAAGTCTTTGCTACATTGGAAGCAAGAGGGGCCAGGTTAAGCAGGACTGGGGAGCAAAACATCTGTATATTTGTCCAGATTGATAACTCAGTTATGGGCAGCTATGAGTCTATAATGTCTCCTTTCAGTGGAGACTTACTTGTTGATTTGGTGTCCATTTTTGTTGGGTGCATTTCTAGCATATTGTTGAATGCGCAGATATCAATGACATCTGATTTGTGGTAAATGATCCTCCTGATCAAAAAGTATTCTAATGACCAAGCAATAGCAAAGTCTACTTTCAAGGGCATACAATTTACAGAGTTAACAAGGACAAATTGAGATTCCCTAAGTATCCAAACTACTGCAATCATTGTAATCACTGCAGGAGTCAAGTCTGTAATGTGGCACTTAGGATGTGCTCTTAGCCTAAGGGTCTAAATTCATATGATTCGAGCTTGTTATTTGTTTATATGCCACGAAATAAAAAACTGGAAGTAGATTGAGCAATAGAGTCACCTCATATTTTTAGCATGCAAGTTTCCAAAATCAAATTCTACAAATTTGATAAGAAGCTTGGTTTTAAGCCAGGGTCTTAAAGGCCTGCCCCCTCAGACCTTTAGAGTGGGATAGGAATCGAAATGAAAAAAGTGGGCTGAGGGAAGACTGGGACAAAGTGGAGAGTCTGTGTCCTATCTTCAAAGGCCTGAAATTCCTTAACCCCAGCCAAGTGACTGCCTTTTGGGAATATGGGTCTTGTGTGGCTACTCTCTATCATTTAAAAAAAATATATAGACGCCAAAGGAAATCAGTATATGGAAGAGATAGCTGCACTCCCATATTTATTGCAGCATTGTTCACAACAGCCAACATTTGGAAGCAGCCTAAATGTTCACCAGCAGATGAATGGATAAAGAAAATGTGGTACATATACACAATGGAGTACTATTCAGCCATAAAAAAGAATGAGATCCTGTTATGTACAACAACGTGGATGAAACTGGAGGTCATTATGTTACATGAAATAAGTCAGACACAGAAAGACAAACTTTGCCTGTTCTTGCTTATTTCTGGGAACTAAAAATTAAAACAAACTCACAGAGATAGAGAGTAGAAGGATGGTTACTAGCAGCTAGGAAGGGTAGTGCGAAAGTGGGGAGAAAGTGGGGATGGTTAATGAGTGCAAAAAAATAGAAAGAATGAATAAGACCTAGTGTTTGCTAGCACCACAGGGTGGCTACAGTAAAAAATAATTTACTTATACATTTAAAAATAACTAAAAGACCATAATTGGATTGTTTGTAACACAAAAGATAAATGCTTGAGGGAATGGATACCCCATTTACCCTGATGTGATTATTACACATTGCATACCTGTATCACAATACTTCATGTAACATGTAAATATATACACCTATTATGTACCCACAAAAATTAAAATAAAAAACCCCTGAAAATCCAGATTTTTTTCTGAAAAAGCTTCCTGATCTTTAGGTGCTGGCAGCACACGCTCTAAGGCTTGGTTTGGCCTGGAGATTACTAATCTCTAGTTTAGTAGCAAGAGCAGTAGACTAGAAATCAGAAGACCTGGGTTCAAGCATGCTATCTCCTATACTTGTGAGGTCTTTGACAAGTCACTTCATCTCTGTGGGCTCCTTTTTTTTTTCTTCAACTTTTATTTTAAGTTCTGGGGATATATGTGCAGGATGTGGAGGTTTGTTACATAGGTAAATGTGTGCCATGGTAGTTTGCTGCACAGATCATCCCACCACCACCAAATTTAGCTAGGTTGTGTGTTTAAGGTATTAAGCCCAGAGTCAATTAGCTATTCTTCCTGATGCTCTCCCTGGCCCCACCTCACCTCCAACAGGCCCCAATGTGTGTTTTTCCCCACCCCGATGTGTCCATGTTTTCTCATCATCCAGCTCCCACTTATAAGTGAGAACATGCAGTGCTTGGTTTTCTGTTCCTGTGCTAGTTTGCTGAGGATAATGGCTTCCAACTCCACCTATATCCTTGCAAAGGACATGATCTTGTTCCGTTTTATGGCTGCATAGTATTCCGTGGTATATATGTACCACATTTTCTTTTTCCAGTCTATCATTGATGGGCATTTAGGTTAATTCCATGTCTTTGCTATTGTGAATAGTGCTGCAATGAACATTCACGTGTATGTGTCTTTATAATAGCATGATTTATGTTCTTTGGGTGTATACCTAGTAATGGGATTGCTGGGTTAAATAGTATTTCTGCCTCTAGGTCTTTCTTTGAGGAATCTCCACACTTTTTTCCCCAATGGTTGAACTAATTTACATTCTATGGGCTTCTTTTTCCCCCTCTGTAACATAGAGAAAAAATGCCTACCATAATTGTGCCACAGAATTGTGTCAATGAGATGAATGATGGTGTATGTAAAAGACCTTTGACATAGGCCAAATGTTAGACAAATGTCTGAGTCAGTGAATGTTGCTTTGATACACATCAGGGATGATGGTAAAGTTAACTAATTTTCTGCCAGCTTTATTAGCCTAAGGAAAAGACTCAAGGAATTTTTGAAACTTTAAAGCCAAAAGACATTCACATTTGGGCAAAATGTTAGAAGGTTGTGAGCCAGGGCAGCATCCTCAGACTAAGGGCTGCCTGTGCTTTGAAGAGAAGAGGTAGTCTTTTTAAAGTCAATAGCTGTGGGCCATAAGTTGATTATTGAGTGGAGGTAGTGGTGCATGGTGGGAAGGGCAACCTGGTCATCTAACCAGGTGCTCCTCAGCTTTGAGAGAGATCACTTGAAGTCATTAGCTCTGGTAAGATGAGCAATGCAATTTATAGGTGTGAGTCCTGGCTTAAATTGTAAAAGATGCTTGGTGCTAGAGTCATTTGTCACGCAGAAGCTCAGAGAAGCCATAGGTTGCAGATTTCAGTTCAGCAACTGCATGAATAATTCACCAGTCATTTTGTCAGGTTAGAGCAACCAGTTTTTCTCTCTCAAATTCTTAGACCTAGCTGTTAAGAATTACCTGACAAGAAAGTGGGCACTTCTACACTGCTTTAAGGCTCAGAAATGGCAGATGGAGAGATGTACCTTCTTGAACTTATTTTTCTAACTTACCTGCTGTTATTTTGTTCTGTCCTATTTAATTATATTTTCTTAGTTATTGATTAAGTAGACTGGATTTGAATAATTTACTCTATGAATAAGAGGGCCAGTGTTGATTCTTAAAATCACTTTGCCATTCTTGTAAAACTTGTCTTCTCATTCGTTTTGAAAACAAATCTTTAGGAAGTCAATATGATCCTGAAGAGTTGCTTGTACTGTATTTTTTTGTGTGTTTGTTTGTTTGTTTGTTTGAGACAGAGTCTCACTCTGTCACCCAGGCTGGAGTGCAGTGGTGCAATCTCAGCTCACTGTAACCTCCGCCTCCCGGGTTCAAGTGATTCTCCTACCTCAGCCTCCTTAGTAGCTGGGATTACAGGCACAGGCCACCACGCCCAGCTAGTTTTTGTATTTTTAGTAGAGACGGGGTTTCACCATGTTTGCCACGTTGGTCTCAAACACCTGACTTCAAGTGATTCACTTGTCTCAGCCTCCCAAAGTGCTGGGATAGGCGTGAGCCACCACGCCCGGCCTGTACTGTTCTTTAGTTTAACTTTCAGCTAACAGGTATAGAGTATTTACAGATAAAAGGTTATAGTGTTTGGGATTTGCTTTAACAAATTTAGCTATGTTGTGTGTTTAAATATATGAGGGACCATGAATGAAATGCCAGTGGCCAGGAAGTGATCATTGTTGAAGTTGGATAGTGAATACATTGGGGTTCATGATACTATTCTCTAATATTTTATAAAAGGAAAAAAATTGTGAATTACTTTGCATGATGTATAAGCAATGTTTTATCAGCTTACCCTCACCCATGGGACTTCATTTGTCTTTATATTTATTTATTTATTTATTTTGAGATGGAGTTTCGCTCTTGTTGCCCAGGCTGGAGTACAATGGCGCAATCTCGGCTCACCTCAACTTCCGCCTCCCGGGTTCAAGCGATTCTCCTTCCTCAGCCTCCCGAGTAGCTGGGATTACAGGCATGTGCCACCACGCCCAGCTAATTTTGTATTTTTAGTAGAGACAGGGTTTCTTTATGTTGGTCAGGTTGGTCTCGAACTCCTGATCTCAGGTGATCCGCTCACCTTGGCCTCCCAAAGTGCTGGGATTACAGGTGTGAGCCACCATACCTGGCCGTCTTTACTTTTAAATTACTAATTATAAAAGTAACATATGCTCATTATGAAAAATATTCAAAGAATACAGAATATGTAAACAGTAAATGGTCCCCATTTACATCTCACTGTGACTTCTCCCTTATTTCACATGTTTCTCAGAAGTAACAACAGTAAAAGTCAGGTGTGTATTATTTCAGAGCTTTCTTTATGTAAACACAGACATATATAGAAATGAGTAGTTTTTTAAGAGAATTGCTATATTATAAAGGGCAATTTAACTCTATAGAAGGATCCACCCCCCACTCAGGTAAAACAGTCTCTAATCCTATTATGTAAATGAGTGGAAAAAAGACATATCACTTAGCAGAATTTCATGTATTGGCAGATTTTGTTCTAGCTATAAATAAATGTACTTCTTTTATTAATAGGTTAAGCTTTATCGAGATCAGAAAACAATATGATGTGTCCGAATTGCTCCAATGTGTAATGACTGACCACTTTAAGTTATGGCCATTGAAAGCAACTTGAAACAACTTAAAAGATTTATCAATGCTATATTTTATTTGCATGCATTTCACATGCATTTTGAGAGGAAAAAGCAAACCCATTTAGGCCAAAGAAATCAGCTTGTGATTTTGGTTAATTTTTAAAGAGTCAAGAAAAAATAGATCATTTTGAAGTAAAGCTTATCTTGTGACAACATTTAGTTCCATTAGCTTTTACTGAATGATGAGTAGTAGGAGTTCTCAATATATTTTGAAAGGATTCTCTCTCTTTTTTACTCTGGAACATCACCAGTCACCCCTCTCCGCCTCCCTCCTCTGTTCAGTTTTATGTAAACTTTTGAATATAGTCTCTGTTTCTCCCAGATGCTTCATATTTACTTCCAGCAATGCCAGGGACTGAAGATCTCAAGAGTGACCCTTCTTTGTTTTCTCTCTGATTCACTTTTAAGGCGCATGAAAAGCACTAGGCTGACAGCTCTGGAGGCTCAAGACCTGTTGATCTCTGCACCATGTGCAGCATGGACCTTCTCTGTCCCATTAGCAGTAGTTCTCCCTTTGCACCTGCAGGAACCAGCATGGGGCAAAGGCCAGGCTGCTCCATCCTTGGTGCTTTTCCTGAAAGGAAGCAATTAACCAGGATTCAGGGGTAGGCCCTTTCTGTTTCTTCTAACACTTCTCGCCTACTTCTCCTTTACCCCAAACACACACACACACACACACACACACTCACACATACATGCATACACACATACTCATTCATTCACAAACTCTCTAATTGGCTTATATGAACTGGTGCCTGGTATTGTACTACAGAGACCCATTTATTTAGAAAGAATTTAGTAAATACTTGCCATGTATAAAGCCTTGTACCAAACTCCAATGGCAAAATCTGTGTTCTCACCACAGTGAATAATTGAGGCTGTTATCCAGACGTTTGAGATGTAACTTTTGTATTAACTTGAATTATCTCTATCCATGGTTCTCTATTGAGGGTAGGTGGGTGGTAGAGGTGGGAGGCAGGGAATCCATATAAGTGCTCTACAAATTCATATGCAAATTGACTAAACAGTATATCTCATTTTCATATGTAAATGTATTATGAATTCATAGTAGCTTCTTTTATTTGTTTTTTAAAATGGTAGTAAGACATATAATTTGTCATTTTAACCATTTTAAGGTGTACAATTCAGTGGCATTAATTGCATTTGCAATACTGTTCTGCCGTTTTCAAAACTTTTTTTTATCATTCCAATAGAAACTCTGTACCCATTAAACAGCTCTCCACTTTTCCCTCCGTTCAGCTTCTGGTAATCTTTTGTCTACTTACCATCTTTGTGAATTTGCCTATTTTAGATACTTCATGTAAGTGGAATACAATATTTGTATTTTTGTGTCTGGCTTATTTCATTTAAGATAATGTTTTCAAGGATCATCCATGTTGCAGCATGTATCAGAATTTCATTCCTTTTTATGACTAAATAATATTCCATTGTATGGAAAGGCCACATTTGTCTATCCATTTATCTGTTGAAGGACATTTGGATTGTTTCCACCTTTTGGCTATTGTGAATAATGCTGCTATGAACATTGGCACATAATTATTTTTTTGAGTCCCTGTTTTCATTTTTTCTTTTTCTTTCTTTTTTTTTTTTTTTTTTTTGAGACAAGGTCTCACTCAGTCAGCCAGGCTGGAGAGTCCAGTAGCATGAACACAGCTCACTGCAGCCTCAACCTCCTGGGCTCAAGCAATCCTCCCACCTCAGCCTCCTGAATAGCTGGGACCACAGATGCACACCACCATGTCTGGCTAATTTTTGTATTTTTTGTAGAAACGGGCTCTCATTAATATTGACCAAGCTGGTCTCGAACCCCTGGGCTCAAGTGATCCTTCTGCTTTGGCCTCCCAAAGTGCTGGAATTATAGGCATGAGCCATCACTCCCAGCCTGAGTCTCTGTTTTCAATTCTTTGGGGGTATATACCTAGGAGTGGAATTGCTAGGTCATTTGGTAATTGCATATTTAAATTTCAGTAATCACCAAACTGCCTTCCACAGTGGCTGTACCATTTTACATTCACACCAACAATGTATGAAGGTTCCAATTTCTCTACATACTCCTCAAGACTTTTTATTTTTTCTTTTCTTTTCTTTTTTTTTGTAAGCCATCTTAGTAGGTGGGAGGTGCATAGTAGCTCTTTGTTGCATACTTTCTTACTATTCTCTGTGTGTAGGAGAGCAGGAGGTGGTTCCATAAAATATCCTCGCATTCAAAATGTATTCTCAAATTCCAAAGTTTGATAACCTCTAATTTAGATACATTTTTAAAAATCTCTCCACATTGGCCGGGTGCAGTGGCTCATGCCTGTAATCCCAGCATTTTGGGAGGCCAAGTTGGGTGGAGCACCTGAGGTCAGGAGTTCGAGACCAGCCTGGCCAACATGGTGAAACCCTGTGTCTATTAAAAATACAAAATCAGCTGGGCATGCTGGTGCATGCCTATAACCCCAGCTACTTAGGAGGCTGAGGCAGGAGAATCCGTTACAACCCGGGCGGCAGAGGTTGCAGTGAGCTGAGAACACGCCATTGCACTCCAGCCTGGACGATAGAGCAAGACTCTGTCACAAAAACAAACAAACAAACAAAAACAACAACAACAACAAAAAACAACTCTCTACATTGCACGTTTAGAAACATTTTATATATCCCTCATAGTAATATTGTGAAGTATTATTATCCTTATATGAGGAAACTGAGACTCTGAGAAGTTAAATAACTTACAGAAATAGATGCCCATATTCAGTTTGTCCAGTTCCCAATTCTCAGAGAACTTTCCTCAACATTCTCCTAACTACCTTTCTGGACATGGACTGTTCAGAAAGCAAGACATAGGCCTTGGAGGAAAGCAAGACATAGGCCTTTTTGTTTGTTTGTTTTAAACCTTCATGCATCTGTTCTCCCTGCCATGGCCCTACCTGTCTACCACGGTTTTATTCTTTACTCTCTGTCTATGTCAAATTCTCTTCTATTTTGATTGAGCCTTTCCTATGGTGGAAACATTAGGGAATATGAGAAATTGAAAAACAGAGACGGAAGTAATTCTGAATCGTAATGCCATGACATAGCTGCATACCATGTACATTTACATACATCTACACCCACAAACACACGAATTCACATGTATACATATAAAGGTGTGTATACGTGTATGTGAGAGAGAGAAGTGTGAAAGTCTTTATCTTTTTATTTGGTACTCTCGCTGCTGGGAGTAGGCTTAAGTGGCAAGTAATACAGACCATTTCCTTGAAAAATCTTGCAGTTTGCTTCTTCTCTCCTTAGTGCTCCACAGAGAGCATAATAATGATGGTCTCATTGGGAGGAGGGCTCCAAAGGAGGTTGCTCACTCTTAGGCCACACTCTCAGGGCTGCTCCATGTGGTAGGGGTAGTAGAGGTAAGTTAAAATCTGGGTCCATAAGCACAAATACCAAAAATGGATCTCTTGCTTTTTATGAACTATAAAATAAAGTGCTCTCCAGCAGGGAAAGGCCCCCTCAGCAATGCTTGGTTGGCATTTATACCCTTTAGATAGGAGTTGGAACTGTGGAGGCCACTGAGCCAGAGCTGCTCAGACTGTGCTCAGATTGACTCAACTGAACATGCAGTGACAGAGCCTGCTATTTATTCATTTATTCATTTGATCTTTTTTTTCTTTCATTTATTCTTCCAATGAAACTTTTATTGACTCTGCTTTGGTTCCAGATTTTGAGCTAGGAGCTGGAGATACAGAGAAGAATGAGGAACATCACTGCCCCAGGGGAGATTGCAATGGAGTGGCATGGAGGAGATAGGCAGGAAAACAGATAATTACAGTGGGGAGACCTAAGTGCTCCAAGTGGCAACTGCTAGATACCTTGGGAGCACAGACAATGGAGAGGGCAGGGTGGATGGCTTAGTGGGAATTCCTCCTGGATGATCAGCCCTGGAGCTCAGCGCAGGGGTCTACATGGAAAGAAAGTAACCACATTGGCAACTATTCATTAGTAACACTTAACTGAACACCTAGCAGGACCCAGAGCATGTTATAACATAATAATGATGGTAAGAAAATTTTAACTGACATTTATTGAACGCTTCTTATGTGCCAGTCAGTATACTAATCATCTTAAAAATAGACTTCATTTTCTTTCTTTTTTTTTTTTTGAGACAAAGTTTCTCTCTTGTTGCCCAGGCTGGAGTGCAATGGCACGATCTCGGCTTACTACGACCTCCACCTCCCAGGTTCAAGGGATTCTCCTGCCTCAGCCTCCTGAGTAGCTGGGATTACAGGCGCCCGCCACCATGTCCAGCTAATTTTTTGTATTTTTAGTAGAGATGGGGTTGCACCATGTTGGCCAGGCTGGTCTCAAACTCCTGACCTCAGGTGATCCACCTGCCTTGGCCTCCCAAAGTGCTGGGATTATAGGCATGAGCCACCACACCTGGCCTGAGACTTCATTTGTTTAGAGCAGTTTTAGGTTCACAGCAAAATTGAGCAAAAGGAAGAGATCTCATATATCCCATGCCAGACACATGCATAACTTCCTTCACTTTCAACATCCTCCACTACAGTGGTACATTTGCTATGATCCATGCGCTGACTTTGACTTACTATTGTCATCCATAGTCTGTAGTTTACATTAAGGTTTACTCTTGGTATATGCTATAGTTTGGATATTTGTCCCCTCCAAATCCCATGTTGAATTTTGATCTTAATGTTAAAGGTTGGACCTAGTGGGAGGTGTTTGGGTCATGAGGGTGGATCCCTCATGAATGGCTTGATGTTGTCCTCATGGTGATGAGTCAGTTCTTGCTTTATTAGTTCCCACAAGATCTGTTAGAAGGAGTCTGAGGCTGGGCGTGGTGGCTCACACCTGTAATCCCAGCACTTTGGGAGGCAGAGGTGGGAGGATCACCTGAGGTCAAGAGTTCGAGACTGGCCTTGCCAACATGGCAAAACTCCATCTCTACTAAAAATACAAAAATTAGCTGGGCAGGGTGGTGTGGGCCTGTAATCCCAGCTACTTAGGAGGCAGAGGCAGGAGAATTGCTTAAACCCAGGAGGCAGAGGCTGCAGTGAGCCAAGATTGTGCCACTGCACTCCACAGTCCAGCTGGGTGACAGAGAGAGACTCTGTCTCAGAAAAAAAAAAAAATCTGGTACCTCCCTCTTCTCTCACTCTCTTGCTCCATCTCCCACCATGTGACATATTGGCTTCCCTTCACCTTCCGTCATGATTGTAAGCTTCCTGAGGCCTCACCAGAAGCAGATGCTGGTGCCATGCTTCTTGTACAGCCTGCAGAACCATGCGCCAAATTAACTTCTTTTCTTTACAAATTACCCAGCCTCAGGTATTCCTTTATAGCAATGCAAACAGACTAACACAGTGTGGTACATTCTATGAATTTGAACAAATGCATAATGGCATGTATCCACCATTACAGTATTATACAGAGTAGTTTCACTTAAAAAACCTCTGTGCTCTGCGTAGGTATTTTTAATATATTAAGTAATTTAATTATCATACCAACCTTTTGAGGTAGAGACAGCTATTACCATTTTTCAGATGGGAAAAGTGACAGACAGGGGTACAAAGAGAGCAAGAAACCTGCCCAATCAAGTATTCTGACTCTAAAGCCTTAGCACAGCTAATTTCATTTCTATCACTCTATAAATCTTTGTCTGCTTATTTATAGTTTATGCAATTATAATCATGCTGAAATAATGTGCTCTTTTCATGTAATATATCAACAGAATTTTAAAATAAATTAAATTTGTTATTCATACATAATACTTGTACATACTTATAGGGTACCTGTGATAGTTTTTGTTGTTGTTGTTGTTGTTTTTTTTTTTGAGGCAGGGTCTCATTCTGTTGCCCAGGCTGGAGTGCAGTGGCTTGATCTCGGCTCACTGCAAACTCCACCTCCTGGGTTCAAGCGATTCTCTTGCCTCAGCCTCCCCAGTAGCCGGGATTACAGGCGCACGCCACCAGGCCAGGCTAATTTTTGTATTTTTAGTAGATATGGGGTTTCACCATGTTGGCCAGGCTGGTCTCGAACTCCTGACTTCAAGTGATCCGTCCACCTCGGCCTCCCAAAGTGCTGGGATTACAGGCGTGAGCCACCGTGCCCAGCCTGTGGTAGTTTATTAAATGCACAGAGTGCATAATGATCATGTAAGGGTATTTAGAACATCCATGACCTCAAGAATTTAGCATTTCTATGTTTTGAGAACATTCCAAGTCCTCTCTTTTAGCTAGTTTGAAATATCCAATACATGCTTTAAAAATTATAGTTACCCTATTCTGCTATGGAACATTAGAACTTACTTCTTCTCCCTAACTATATGTTTGTACTCATTATCCAACCTCTTCATTGCCCTTCCAACTCACACACCCTTCCCAGCCTCTGGTATCTATCATTCTACTCTTTACCTCCATGTGATCCATTTTTTAGCTCCTACATATGAGTGAGAACATGTGATACTTGTCTTTCTGTGCCTGACTCATTTCACTTAACATATTGACCTTCAGTTCCATCTATATCACTGCAAGTAACAGGATTTCATTCTTTTTTACGGCCAAATAGTATTCCATTGCATATGTATTTACCACATTTTCTTTATCCATTTATCCATTGATGGACACTTAAATTTATTCTGTATCTTGGCTATTGTGAATAGGGCTGTGATAAACATAGGAGTGCAAGTATCCCTTTGATACAATGATTTCCTTTCCTTTGAGTAAACATCCAGTAGTGGGATTGCTGGATCATATGGTAGTTCTAGTTTTAGTTTTCTATGAAATCTCCATATTGTTTTCCATAGTGGCTGTACTAATTTACATTCTTACCAAAAATGCATAACAATTTCCTTTTTTCTGCATCCTAGCCAGTATCTGTTATTTTTTGTCTTTTTGATAATAGCCATTCCAACTGGGGTAGGATAACTCATTGTGGTTTTGATTTGCATTTCCCTGATGATTAGTGACATTGAACATTTTTTCATATACTTCCTGGACATTTGTATGGCTTTATTTAAGAAATGTCTATTCAGATCCTTTGCCTACTTTTTAATGGTTTCTTTCTTTCTTTCTTTCTTTCTTTCTTTCTTTCTTTCTTTGTTTCTTTCTTTCTTTCTTTCTTTCTTTCTTTCTTTCTTTCTTTTTTCTTTCTCTTTCTCTCTCCCTTTCTTTCTTTCTTTCTTTCTTTCTTTCTTTCTTTCTTTCTTTCTCTCTTTCTTTCTTTCTTTCTTTCTTTCTTTCTTTTCTTTTGTAACTGTTGAGTTGTTTGGGTTCCTTGTATATTCTGGGTATCAGTCACTTGTCAGATGAATAGTTTGCAAATATCTTCTCCTATTCAACAGGTTGTCTCTTCCCTCTGTTAATTGTTTCCTTTGCTGAGCCGAAGCGTTTTAGTTTAATATGGTCCCATTTGTCTATTCCTGTTTTAGTTGCTTGTGCTTTTAAGGTCTTAGTCATAAAATCTTTGCCTAGACCAATGTCCTGAAGTATTTCTCCAATATTTTCTTTTAGTAGTTTTGGATCTTACATATAAGTCTTTAATTCATCTTCAGTTGATTTTTGTATATGGTGAGAGATAGAGATTCCGTTTCATTCCTCTGCACATGGATATACAGTTTTTCCAGCACCATTTACTAAAGAGGAAGTCCTTTTCCCCATGTATCTTCGTGGTGTCTCTGTTAAAAATCAATTAGCAGGCTGGGCATGGTGGCTCACTCCTATAATCCCAGTACTTTGGGAGGCTGAGGCAGGCAGATCACTTGAGGTCAGGGGCTCAAAAGCAGCCTGGCCAACATCATGAAACCCCGTCTCTACCAAAAATACAAAAAATAAGGCCGGGCAGGGTGGCTCACGCCTGTAATCCCAGCACCTTGGGAGGCCGAGGCAGGCGGATCATGAGGTCAGAAGATCGAGACCATCCTGGCTAACACGGTGAAACCCCATCTCTACTAAAAAATACAAAAAAATTAGCCGGGCGTGGTGGTGGGCGCCTCTAGTCTCAGCTACTCGCGAGGCTGAGGCAGGAGAAAGGTGTGAACCAGGGAGGCGGAGCTTGCAGTGAGCCGAGATAGTGCCACTGCACTCCAGCCTCGGCGACAGAGCGAGACTCCGTCTCAAAAACAAACAAACAAACAAAACAAACAAACAAACAAAAAATACAAAAAATTAGCCAGGTATAGTCCCAGCTACTCAGGAGACCGAGACAGGAGAATCGCTTAAAACCAAGAGGTGGAGGTTGCAGTGAGCTGAGATCGCGCTACTGGACTCCAGCCTGGGCGACACAGCGAGACTCCATCTCAAAAGAAAACAAAACAAAACAACAACAACAACAACAAAAAAAACGACAACAAAACACCAAACAATTAGCTGTAAACGTGAAGTGAATTTATTTCTCGGTTCTCTATTCTGTGCCATAGATCTATGTGTCTATTTTCACCATGCTGTTTTTATTATAATAGCCTTCTAGCATATTTTGAAATCAGATAATATGATGCCTCCATCTTTATTCTTTTTGCTTAGGAGAGCTTTGGCTATTCAGGCTTATTTTTGGTTCCATACAAATTTTAGGATTTTTTTTTCTATTTCGCAACAGCATTTTTTATGTTTCTACATGAAGTACATAATACATTTAACTTTTTCAAAATTATTAAAGAATAAACATGTTAGAAAATATGTAAAACAAAAAAAGAAATACAATTTAAAATACCCTATAATCTTGGCTTCTATACACTACTTAAAGCATTAATATGTTTAATACTTTTTTTAGTGTTTTTTCCTTTGCTCACATTAAAAATTTTTTTTTTTTGCTATTGGACATTATGTTGTTGTTTTACAGGAAAGAGTGTGGAATCTGTTATTTGGTTCCCTTGCTTTGCTCAGTTCTGAACACATTGTAGAGTCTGAGTGAGCCTTGAAAGTCCCCATTCACCTTGCTCTTTTGCTTTTTGATTGGACTGGAAGCTCCATGAGACAATGGCCTTACTGGTTTTGCTCACTACTTTTTCCCCAGAAGGAAACATTGCCTGACACATACACAGTAGGTGCTCAATAAATATCTAGTCTCTCAGCTTTCTTTCTTGTCCCAGATTTACATACAGAAATAAGATTGTTGTCTGTAAAATTTAAATCAAATTGTGTGCTGTCCTTGTAGGCCTTGGTAGAGATTTAACTTTATTTTTAATTTTAACTTTATTTTTACCTTGAGAAAAGTTGGTGAGGGAGGAATTCAGAAACATATGCGGTAGGCTTTGCTTTGTACAGGAGGGGCATTTCCTCAGTTGTTGCAAGAGGAAAATATGGGGGCAGGTGTAGTTCTGTTTTTAGGTTTGTAATAGAAAGAGAAGTCATTTTTGTTTGATGACTTCTATTTTGTCAATGAGTTAAGTAGCAAGGTTACAGCTGAGGGGGGTAGGATGTAGGAATAGGCATGAAATAGTCGTCTTGAAAAGTAAGAAGGAGATATTTCTAAAGTGATACGGTAGGGTTTCTGGGCAATGTTTGAGGGGTCATTAGAGGTCTTAGATCAGGAATTTTGAAGAAAACTTGTTGCCCAGAGTAGGGGGGATTCTCTGTCCTAAGATACTTTTAGTTATTTTTCTGTCCATTGCTCTCAAAGGAACTTTTTGTTTTAAACCTAAGGCCTGGTGTCCTTGAAGCTACTTCAGGTGATCCAAAAATCCCCTGAACTTACATGCAAAAAATTATGCATATGTGTATTTTCCAGAGAATGGGTCCTTAGCTCTCATTAGATTATCAAAGAAGTGTCTGACCCCCAAAAGTTTAAGAACCACTGTTGAAATGCTTGCCCTCCTAATTAGTACAGCCCTTTAGGACTGCACCACAGTCGCTCTCCTTCCTAGCCAGTATTCTCACTGGCCCGTGAATTACCTAATATGGAGGCGTGTTAGGTAACTCAGCAACTAAACCCCTAGTATGAACTTCAGGTAACCCTACCTAATGTGGTCTTTTCACACCACCAACTCTGCCTCTCTTACCCCCAGCCATTCACCACAATGACTACAGAGAGAGGAGACAGTGTCATTGCTTAACAATGCAACGAACACTGTCACTACAAGTAAGGCTATTCCTGCCTTTATTTAATACCCCTCTTATTAGTACACATTGATGCTGTTTCTCATCCTTGGATATGCTAGTTCAAAGAGGGTGTGCATATAAAGAAATTTCCGGCCGGGCGCGGTGGCACACGCCTGTAATCCCAGCACTTTAGGAGGCCGAGGCGGGCGGATCACGAGGTCGGGAGATCGAGACCATCCTGGCTAACACCGTGAAACCCCGTCTCTACTAAAAATACAAAAAATTAGCCGTGCGTGGTGGTGGGCGCCTGTAGTCCCAGCTACTCGGGAGGCTGAGGCAGGAGAATGGCGTGAACCCGGGAGGCGGAGCTTGCAGTGAGCCCAGATCGCGCCACTGCACTCCAGCCTGGGCGACAGAGCGAGACTCCGTCTCAATAAAAATAAATAAATAAAATAAAATAAAATAAAATAAAAAAAGAAATTTCCAAAGAGTTGTCAGCAATCTATAGTCCCGTCAGTGGCATGTGGACTTGCTTGTTTCTCCACACTGGGAATTATTGTGCCTTTTATCGCTATTACCAATCTGATAGTTGAAAATAGTACATTGTTGTCTTAAGTTGGCACTTGTTTAAAGTATGTCACCACAGGGATTTTTAACCTGGAGTTCTTAGATGGGCTGGGAACTCCCGGAAATGGCATGCAAATTGTTCTTTGTGTTTCTGTGCATTCTTTAGGGGTGAGAGAAAGGGTGAGAAGGGTTGAGAAGGGTTCTGTAGCCTTCCTCAGATTTTCCAAGGGAGTCTAAGCCTCCAAAATATTACAAAACAAAACTGGAAAGGTTTTATAGCAAATTACTAATGAAAAGTAGGTAAGCAATAAATAACTAACTTGGGAAAGTTATAAAATGCAGCAATCACGTAAGATGCCCATGGTCCCCAACTATAATTCTTTTTTTTTTTTTTTAATCAATGTTGACCAGGTTGGCCTCGAATATGTAGCCTCGCCTCCCCGAGTCCCAGGGCAACCGGCCTGAGCCACGGCGGCTCCCCCAACTATAATTCTTGATACCCTTTTTTATGTTAAAAAAATTCAGTGATACTTATTAAAGCACCATAAGGAAGACTTTATTTAGGACCATGGCAACAGGTACACTGCAACAGAGCCTTGAGGTGGAAGAGAGAGAGAATGGGCTCAACTCCAAATAGAGCATGGGCAAGTGGGAATAGCCAAGCAGCAGGGTGGAGGTGGTCACAGGATGGAAAATTGCTAACAAGCCGCAGCAGGGGCAGGGGTATTCTGGCTAAACCAACCCAACAGGATTCTTGCTGAAAGCAGGTCAGGGTGATAAGACATCCCTTGGGGAATGAGGGAGGATTGAGGACCCTGATCAGATAATTACTGAGGATAATCAGATATCAAGGATGGGGATTCTTGCTAAGGTGACTTAGCTAGTTTTCTAAAGCTAGATTTTACAAGGAAATGCACAGATGGGCCTAGTAGAGGATTCCTGACCAAAGTTTCACTAAGCAAATAATCTTTGTCACTTTTTTTTTTTTTTGAGACAGAGTCTCGCACTGTCAACTGGGCTGAAGTGCAATGGCACGGTCTCGGCTCACTGCAACCTCTGCCTCTTGGGTTCACGTGATTCCCCTGCCTCAGCCTCCCGAGTAGCTGGGATTACAGTCACACACCGCCACGCCCGGCTAATTTTTTGTGTTTTTAGTAGAGACAGTGTTTTACTGTGTTGGCCAGGCTGGTCTCGAACTCCTGACCTTGTGATCCGCCCACCTCGGCCTCCCAAAGTGCTGGGAGTACAGGTGTGAGCCACTGCACCCGGCCTCTTTGTCACTTTTGACACCTGAAATTCTCAGCCTCTCCTAGTTTCCTTCCTCTGGGATGCTCCTGCTCTCTGGCACATAGTCTGGAAAAATCTTTTCTTTTCTTTTTTTTCTAAGACATAGTCTTGCTCTGTCACCCAGGCTGGAATGCAGTGGTGTGATCTGGGCTCACTGCAACTTCTGTCTCTCGGGTTCAATTGATATTCCTTCCCCCACCACCACGCCGGGCTAATTTTTTGTATTTTTAGTAGAGACGGGGGTTTCACCGTGTTGGTCAGGCTGGTCTTGAATTCCTCACCTCAGGTGATCCACCTGCCTCTGTCTCCCAAAGTGCTGGGATTACAGGCATGAGCCACTGTGCCCGGCCAGAAAAATCTTTTTCTGTGGGAAAACCATGAATGAGCTCTGTGGACCAGTCCATTGCTCCCTCATCTAAGTGGTTGAGTTAATCCTGATTCCTTTCTCAAAGCTCTCCTCTTGTTCTTAGAGAAAGGCCATTCTAGCACTTTACTTCCACAGGGTTCCCGAGGAGGTACCTTTGTGGGAAGCAGGATGTGCAAATCTGTTTTTCTGAGGGGGTCTTGGCGCCTTTTAAGAAGCTGCCAGCCAGAAAGCTTTGAATTTTATCTTTAAATTTCATGTAATTATTGCATTGTATTCCCTAGAATATTTTTGCATGTCTTAAAGTTAAAAAAAAAATCTTACCAAAATATTGGTTTAAAATGGACATTTGGGGAAGTTGTCTTATATTTGTCAGTGAATCCAAAGATCCCTCAGTTGGGTTCAAGTGTGCCTGATTTTCTCTGTGTTTACTTTAAAAGTGTTAGGTACATATAAACTTAAAATAAAGCATGTTTGCAGGGCTGACTTTTCAGTTTCTTTCATTTTGTAGGATTTTCTTTCTCAGAAAATTCTACTTTGGATCAAAAGAAGCTATGAATTCTATTTTCCAAAGATCTTCCATTTTGCAGAACACGATTTTAACCATCCGAAATGTCGTTAGTTGAAATTATTTTTTTCAATATCTCAATTCAACTACCAAATGCCATTCTGTGTTCAGAAATGGTGTCTCTTCTGCCATCTTGGAGGAAGTGCGTGGTTTGCCTTCTGTTCACTATTACCCTTCTAATTTTATCTCTATCCATGAGGTAGGTGATACAACCCTGAAGACACAATGCCTATATGGGCTAAGGAAATTGAAGTAGAGGATTTGTCCCAGGACATCGGTGATAAAGTGGGACAAGAAAGTTAATCTTCTGATACCCATTATCTTTTTGTGAGGGAATGTTGTGTAGCATTGAGAATTCCTATGTGATGATAGGCCTTGGTTCTACCACTTACTAACTGGGAGGCTTGTTGCGAGGTACATCACTTCTGTATACCTCAGTTTTCTCATCTATAAAATGGAGATAGTAATATTTACTTTGCAGGGTGGTGGTAAGGACTAAAGGAGATAATATCTGTAAAGTGTCTGGTATATAGTAGGTAAAATGTAGAGATTAATTAACCTATCCTTCCATGCTTCTTGGAAAAGTTCTTTGTGGAGAGAAATAAGTCTTATGAAGATTCTATTGCGAACTTTATTTTGGCAATTCAATCATAGAATCTAAGATTCTCTGGAACTGGAAGAGCACTTAGAGATTGACTAGTTTAATTAACTTGTGTTACAGAGGCAGAAACAGGCTGAGAGAGGGTGATGACATGCTCAGGGTCACAAGGTGATGTAGAATCCCCGGTAAAGACACTTATACTTAAGAGGGGAATATGTATTTTCAGGAACCTTTGTTTCAAAAGATGTATTAAAAAGAAGTCTTTCAAAGTAAAAATGCTTTGTGCCCTAAAATAGGAATCCCCATGTCTAAAGTTCATTTGATAATGGATATAAATCAGTTATATTTAAAATGGTACCAAAGTAAAGTAAAACAGGTGGGTTTCTTTAAAATTAAAAGGTCATATGCATTTTAAAAATACAATGATGTGCAGATAATGAACATGTTAGCATATATAGCCATTAAAATGTAAATCACCTTGCTAATCTCCCTCACAATTGAAAAAATAAATAGACTATCAAAATATTTAGGGGAATATCAGATGAAATTTTACTTAAATTTTTTCTTCCAGACTTTTTATTCTTCACCCAAGATTACTTTGGTCTATCTAACCATAAGAAGAAAAATAAGCTTAATACATAGATAAATGCTTGTCTTCCTAACACTACAAAAGAAACATTTGTTCTCCCAGATAACTCTTAAGTAAACTGCTGTCAAAACAATTAGTGTTATTTTTCTATTATCTTCCTATTTGAGAGTAAATAACCATTTCATGAATATGTTAATTATCTGGTAGGTGGAAAAGATAAGAAGGGCTCTATATCTCCAGAAGCAATGATAAATCATCAATTGTATACAAAAACACAAGAAAGGGTTATAAGCGGGATAGTCATATGTCTACATTTCACCTAGCCAAAGTAAAATCAGTTCAGTTTTGATAGTTGAAAGAGAACCAGGAAAAAAGTGACAATATTTTGATAGAATGAACCACGAATAAGCCTTCATTTGTGCACTGTGGCTGCAATGAGACTGTCTTCTATCTCACCAAGTATTCAATAGTTTTATTGCTAAGAAAGCTATTTGATTTTCACAAAATTTAGAACACACGTTTTGGGATTGTGTTAATTGTCACTGTAAAGAATTGGAGAAGTGAAGATAAACCCTTGAGTATGTTCCTCTCACTTAGAAAAGCCTAGTTTATGTTACAAGTACTGAACAGAGATTTTTCTCTTATAAAATCACTTTTTAAAATATATGATCGTGCTTACTTTAAGCTTCATCTACCTTTAGTAATCATGCCCAACTTTTGGCAGCTTTGAATGTGCCTTTTGAAATCTCCGGCACAGAATTCTTCACCATCCGCAGTGGTTAAATGTTTTGCTGAAAGGGAACACATTTTGAAGGGGGAGAGGAGGTGGGGGTGGGGAGAAAACGCAGAAAAGTGCTTTCTCTTCCTATTTTGAAGGGGCAAGATGTATTTTTCCATATTAAATATTTTGAAAAAGTTGAATGCAGCATTGTGCCAGATAATTAAAATGTAAATTTCAGTATCTATGCTTGCTTTGTGATTTTTTTAATACATTTAAGTTAGTTGTCTTTTAAAACATGTGGTCAGCTGTTGTATTCACATATGGTCAAATGATCAAAGTCTGAACTCCTCTCTAATTGTCCCCCCGCTGCTCGTCTGCTCTGTCCGTGATCAAGGCCTCAGCAGGTGATGAGAAAGGCATGAGAACAAGCTGGAAGGAGAATGAGGCACCGAGAGGCCCAAGCTGAAAGAAATAAAGACTTCCAGTACATCACCCTGACAGTAAAGAGCAAAGGAAAAGTGACGTCTGGTTAGTAGTGCTTATATATTTTTTTGTTCGCCAATCTGCATACATTTTTTCCCTAGCTAAATGCAAATGGAGCCGAGCCTGCTGGCAGAGATGGAGCCCCACACATCAGCGCCACCGACGAAGTGTTGCATTTGTTTACTTGCCTTGGGAAGAAGCTGCTAAGTCCCACAGTTTATAGTATTTCACATGTTTGTGGAAATCATTGCAATTCTTTTCACTTCTGCTTGTCATTGTTTGCCTAGAGTTCACTTTGCCAGATGGCGCTTTATTGTCACTAGTGGTTACACCTCGCTATTGGATCAGTTCAAGACCAAATGGTGTGAAGAGCTTTCATACTTAGAGGATTTAGTCAAACATTCATTCTCTGCTATTCAGACTGCTTGAGCACTAATTCATAAATGAGCCGGCTGACCTAGGAATGAAGGGAAGAGAAAATGGCCCAGGTCTTTTTTCACCGTAAATTATTAATTTGCCTTCTATTTACAGTCCAAATTGGGATGAATCATAATTAAGCAGGAGTACCTTGCAAAAACATAAATAAGATGCTAGGGGAGGGGCTGGGACAGAAAACAAGACATTGCATTATGTGAATACTGCCAGAGCTTAAGGGTGGGGGAGTTGCTAGTCCGCACGAAAATACAACCCATTATTTTCCCACAAGTCCTATTTCCTGATGGTCTCTGGTCCCTTATCAATAAGCCAGTTCTATCAGCAAATGCCACAAATGATCACATCAAACATTTTTTTGAATGTGTATTTTTTAGTGAAAGTTGTCAGATGTGAAATGTTTTCAAATATGAACACATCTTCAAAGCTGAGAAGGAACTTCTAAAATCCAAGCTATTCCATTTATCTTTTGTAATTATTAGTGGAGGTTTGGGAAGTCTGTCTGAACAAATTCTGGGTGAGTTCACTTTTCGGCTTTAGAAATTGGGTAATTTGGGGGCCTGAGATAAGCAGCTTCATAATGTGTGTGTGTGTGTGTGTGTGTGTGTGTGTGTGTGTTTAAAATTTATATGGTATTTGCCTTTTTTGAAACAAATCTATTGATGCATCTCTTGGCTGCTGCCTCAAGCTATGGAACTTGTCTTCTTTATCAAATTTTTCAAACGACTGAAAAGATGGTGCAGTGAAACTAAAACAGGGAGAGCAAGGAAAGGGTTAAGCAAACAATGACTCAATTGCTCTGCCTAATGTTGTTTCTTATTAAATTTGAAGCCCTGTAGTTGTCGCCCTAGTTTTCTTTTTCCTTGGGATGGGAGTATAGCTTTACCTAACTATTCAAAGTCATGTTGAAAGGACAAAGAAAAGCGCCGAGGTGAAGAGGGAGGTTCTTTGGCAGAAGGCAGGTGCTAAGGGATTTGGAGGTTATTGTTGAAAAAATCCTTGAAGCCCTTGGTGCAATGCCTTGCTGTAGTAAGAAAGGCAAACAGGATAATAGATTGTATCAACAGAGGGAGCGAACCCAAATCAAAAGACGTGATCTTGTTACTGTACGGACTGATATTGTCCCTCTACAAAGAGCTGGTTGGCGCTAATCAAACACTGCACTGCCAGCCTAATCACCTTGTCCTCAGAAGCCTATTGTCCTGAGTAAGGCCCAGTTCACAGAACAGCCGGGATGATACCCATTTTTCCATTGAAGGAAAGGGAAAAAGAGGTGTAGGTTTTCTCCTTCATACATTTTTTTTTGCATTGAGGTACAATGCAAAATTATGTAATAATAGTATCCCTGGGTCCTGACCTAAACCCGGGGAAGCCACAGCAGAGGGGATTGCAGCTCTGCTTGGGAAGTAAGCACAGCTGGGAGGAACAAAGCACCAACTGGGGGTCCTCTGGTTTTTCCACACAACATTTCTGGACTTCAGCTCTTTGCTATGCTAAGTGGGCTGCCAAGTAATTGGACCTACCGTTATGGAGGGGAGGAGACAGAAAGCTGGAAGGGCATAGTGAGAAAACAGGAACTGCTAAGCTGGGGATTTGGGTGGGGGTGGAGGTGGGAGTGAGGGTGGGGGCGGAGGGCTGAGGACTTTGCTTTCAAGCAGCTCCTTGAAACCAAACAATGAAGTAGGGAGAGTTAGTTTTAATATTAAACCAGACATCTTGGCATTTTCCCTTTGCAAGTGGGATAAAACTGAGTAAATAGTCAGCGTCTGGAGTTAGGAGGACACTTTTGTGCACTTTGTTAAGTCACTTCTTAGGGCTTCCGGTTTCCTCATCTGAAAAATTGAGAAGGTGGTGGGGAGGGTGTTCCACTTCAAATCGAAATTCTCTTCTAGCCTAACATTCTGCGGGCTTGCATCTTCGTGATGTCTTGAGTTTATCTTTCAGGAAGACTCAGCGTACCAGGGGGCTAACAGATCCAGCTGCACTGCGGCTCTGAATGACTCAGGTCAGTTCAGGTACAGAATTAGATGAAAATATTGGACTTGCACTGTGCAGAAGGACCTCCTTTTGACAAGCCAACCTATGAAGAATGGCTGGCTAACAAGTACTTGCTTGTTTAGCCATCAGTTTAAGAAGGGTGGAATAGTTGGAGGTTTAGCTCTTTTGGAGGTTTACAGCCCTTTTTAGAGGCTGTCCCTTGCTATTCCTCTCTCCTTGCAAGGTTCAGAAATTCCTGTCTTTTGGGTTCATATGGCTGAGGCCAATCAAATGCTTTCATCAGCTTGCCATTGGATGTTGAGTGATATATTGCCACCAGTTAAAATTTGACCTACTCAATGACCCTCTTGCAAACATTAATTGTGCAGAACATCCTTCTCCTCCAACAAGAGTATCTTCTTGAAAAGGCCACTCATTTACTTAAGGCCAGAGTTAGCCCAACTCATCCAAATTTGTTACAAAGCTTACCTTGTACTACTTCATCCAGGGATTCCTGGAGAAAAGAATCACATAGGCCTAACATAAAGGTTAGAAAGAGATTATTTTCCTCAGCGACTTTGCAAACGATTACTAAAAAGGGCTTTCTGAACTTCTATGAGATACTTATTTACCATAACAAAAACACAGCCCTAATCATCAGAGAATAGAAAGATGTATAACTAAGGCTTTACTTTAGCTGTGATGGATTTTGCACAAAACCTTTGAATTGCCATGGGAAAGGAACGGCAAATTTTAATGTGCAGAGAAATATTAAAACAGCATAAGCAATGATGGCCGTCTGGTTTTCAAACTGGTTGATGGATAAAGATAGGCTCTTTTTATTTCTGCAGAAACCAAACCACATTAAACAAGTATTTCTTATCATGGAGCCAATTGTATGCAATATTACAGATTTTCTTTAAAGCTTCTAGTTAATCTTGTTGTGTGCCTTTGGAGGTATTAGGAAGGCATTGTCCTGAGATGAGTGAATATCTAAAAGGAGACTTTTTCTTTTTAATCAAAGTACAGAAGCTGCAAAACAAGGGAAAATTAAGAATTGTCTTTAAATTTAACTAAGCTAATCCAGCTAGCTACAGAGATATTCTTTCTATTTTATTTGATCCACTGCATCCATCATTTTAGTAATATTTTGTTTTTTAGGAAAATGGTGTAAATCGATCTGGAAACCTTGAGACTGTGTCTGTTGCACCCACGCTGTGTTTGTGTGCATATTCCAAGACAACCAAGGCAGACATTTTTGTTGTTGTTGTTTTAGCTTTTCTTTCCTGGACTTATAAGGTAAAAAAGTTTCTTTGTTGGGCTTGTTTTTTCTTTCAAGTTTATGGGGAGTAATGAACACTGAACTCAAAGTCAGATGCATTTTGGTTTGAATCTCAGCTTCATGCTTTGTAGCTGTGTGACCTTGGGCAAATCACTTAGCTTCTCAGAACTTCATGTATCTAATAAAAGGGTCACCTGCTTTCAGAATTTGTGAAATAAAAAGTTCACAAGCTCAACTCAGTAATTCTATCAACAATCAGATACAAAATATCTTGGGGAAACTCAAGACATATCTCTCCTAGGGCCAGGGCACAAGACTTCCTTCCCTGCTCCATCTTTGCCTTTCCAAGTTGGGAAAAGGCCTGGAAATAACTCTGTAGAAGTTTTATCGAGGATGAAGATTTACTATCCTCATTTCAGGAGGAAACTGAGGCCCAGCAAAGTTGTGGATTTTTTTCAATGTCTCATAGCTGTTAAGTGACCAAGCAAAGATTATATAACCCAGATCGTCTAACTCCTCATCCAGCCTTTCCACCATAGTGTCTGTTTCGAAACAAACTGGGCCTTCTCATAGAGAGCTTTCGGTGAGAAATTAGCTTTATTTTGAAATGTACCTGCTAAAGAGAATTCTTCAAATCCTCTCCTAAAGGACACTTAGTGATTAATATAAAATCTCCACCCAGGCGACTTTTACACACTAATCCAAGTCAGAGAGATACAGATCCAAGGTTCTCATGGCAACGTTTAGCCCCCTCTTTGAGTAAGTGCATTACTACAAGGCCCTTCATCAACCAATCCCCTAATGCAGGGGAACCTTGAATACAAGACCCTGGAAACCCTAACCCTAACCTTCTCTTACTCTGAAAGAAAGGCAAACACTTTTTCCCCTTCTATTCTCTTTTTTCCTTTATGGAAAAGAAAGGAAAGAACTTTCCTTCTTCAAGTTTCCTTTATGGACCATCCCCTGCCTTTGCCCCAACCCCACCTGGGCCTCAATTTCTGTGACAATTTTCTTCTTTTCCAGCAGGGATTACTTTTCAGTGTTTTTTTTCAATGTGGGAAAAATAGATTTGGACTAAGGGGAGAGCTTCAATTCCTTCTTTTGCATTTGGGTGATGGTGGATACAGTAACCCCATAGCTGGGTTCCTCTTTCCAGGTCCCAGGTTCATCTCCAGTTTTGTAGGGAGGCTTACATTTAGACCAATAGTATGGACTGCAATCATGAGAAAAGAATCCCAGTTTCTTTACTTAGATGTGGGTTTGGGTCTTGTTTGGCCTCAGGCATGGATGGAAAGACTGGGAGGGGATGCCACATTTCTAGCAGGACTCAAATTGTCTCCTGGCAAAAGTGTCCTCAAAAGGTAAACTTACTTCATGATAAATATAAGCTGCTTTAGCTCACAGGTATTGTAAGTGTGAATCCCATTTTCACCTGACCCTCTCTCCTTATCTTCCAGTCTAACAACTTTAGGAAAAAAAAAATAGTGACTCACAGTAGCCGTTTCTAATTTGGTGCATTGGTTACTTGGGTGTGAAATACTGGGCTGTGTCTCTATCCCTCTGCAAAGAAATCAGGAGTAACCAAAAGCCCTTTTTAGAAAACTCTGGAGAACTGTTTTCTGTCAACATAAACCCACTCTCATAGTATGGAGAAATGAGATTATTCATTGCTGTCCACAATTGTTGACTCTATTTTCCAATAGTAACAAAGTCAAATTTAAGGAATCGTTTTTTTTTTTCTTGGTCACAATACTATTTTTTTCAGATTCACATAATAGCCCAGTTATTTGCTTGCTTGCTTCCTTCCTTCCTTCCTTCCTTCCTTCCTTCCTTCCTTCCTTCCTTCCTTCCTTCCTCTCTCTCTCTCTCTCTCTCTTTCTTTTTTGACACAATCTTGCTTTGTCGCCCAGGCTGGAGTGCAGTGGCATGGTCTTAGCTCACTACAACCTCCGTCTTCTGGGTTCAAGTGATTCCCCTTTTTCTTTTCTTTTTTTGAGACACTGACTTGCTTTGTCACCCAGGCTGGAGTGCAGTAGCGTGGTCTCGGCTCACTACAACCTCCGTCTTCTGGGTTCAAGTGATTCTCCTGCCTCAGCCTCCCCAGTAGCTGGGACTACAGGCAAGCACCACCACGCCCAGCTAATATTTTGTATTTTTAGTAGAGACAGGGTTTCACCATGTTGGCCAGGCTGGTCTTGAACTCTTGACCTCAGGTGATCTGCCCGCCTTGGCCTCCCAAAGTGCTGAGATTACAGATGAGAGCCACTGTGCCTGGCCTTAGCCCAGTTATTTTCAAACTGCTCTTTATCAGTGGGATCTTTTTATTTTGTATTTTATTTTTATTTTTAAAATTGTGGTAAAATACACATAACATAAAACTTTCCATCTTAACCATTTTTAAGTGTATAGTTCTGTGGTATTAAGTGCATTCACATTGTTGTGCAATCATCACCACCATTCATCTCCAGAACTCTATATCTTGCAAAACTGAAACTCAGTCCCCATTCCCGAGACCCTGGTAACGACTATTCTACTTTCTGTCTCAGTGAATTTGCCTATTCTAGATATTTCATATAAATAGAAAAATAAAATATTTGTCCTTTGTGTCTGGCTTATTTCACTTATCACAATGTCTTCAAGGCTCATCCATGTTATAGCATTTATCAGAGTTTCATTCTTTTTATAGCTTAATGATATTCCATTGTATGTAGATACCACATTTTGTTTATTCATTCATCTGTTGATGGAAACTTGGGCTGCTTCCATCTCTTGGCTACTGCAAATAATGCTGTTAGGAATATGAGTGTAGGGGCTTTCAAATTCTTTTGCCATGAAAATTTGCAGATACCTACAGAGAAGCCTGATAAAAAGTGATAAATAGATTCCCATTGTTCGGCGGAAAGTTTTTCACTGTCAGAGCAGTATGAAAGGCACTGGTCCATTCAACCCTCTGTTTTCCCAGGTGAGGAAAGTTCCATCCATAAAAGAAAAAGACATGCAGTACTAGGAAGTTAAAGGTAGAGGCTCCATAAGAACCAAGGCTTCTGACCTCAGTCTGCTGCTATTTCCACTCTACTTGGTATTACCAGTTCAGGAAACTATAGCATTCTTTCTTAATATCTGCATTGGGAATATAGAAAGCCTTAGTGTAATTCTGGGAAAGTACTTTGATAGAGAACATGATTTGTTTTAGGACTTTCACGTTGAGGTAGTTGTGAAGCTTTTTTTTTTTTTTTTTTTTTTTTTTCGTATCATTTCATTTTGCTCCAGTAGTCCTCTAGTAACAGTATGTGGTTTCCAGAGCGGAACTGCTGACACCACTAACCAGTAACATCATGATACTCTAGCTTAGGAATGTGATATTTAATTATGAGATAATAGTTTCAGAGCCCTTTGAGCTGCTCAGAACAAAGGCATTGGATACATTCAAAGTGTTATTGTATGGCGTTATCTAAAGATAGACAGTTTACTAAATATTTCCAATTCAGTATTAATCTTCAGATGTCTGCAAACATTCATTTGCATTTACAGAATAATGCTTTAAAATAAACCTGGGAAAGCAATTGGATATCATAGGATGTGCTTGGCCTTACTGAGTATTTCAAGATAACTGAAAATAGTTGAAAATGTTGGTACCATGGCAACAAAATGAAACAAAAATTTTTGAAACTTTTCTTTCCTAGGAAAGATCCTTTATTGAGTTTCATCTTTTTTCATCTTTAATTGACATGAGTTGCTTTTGACAATGTTAATTTTGATTAGTTCATCTCATCTAGAATCGGCACATTTAAGATCTGACTGGTCATTCATCAATTATCAAAAAGAAGGAAAATGCTAAGCATTCTTCATTATAGCATAATGAATTTCTGGATCTTCCTCATTTTTAAGAAGAGTCAGATTTTTTAGGTCATCTTCACTTCTTGAAATTCCATACCTTTAGTCTAAGGGCAATCAAAGTGACAGGGAAAGCAACGAATAAAAGGGAAAAGCAGATCATCCCTCAAGGTGGAAAAGTTCTCCTCCCCTGCTACTCATCAAGCAGTGTCCTTGGGGTTGGAAGTAACTACAAAGAAGAAGGAGCTCATGTCTGAGGCTGAAAAGGCAGGAAAGAAACGTACATTTACTAAGTTGCTATTATGTGTCAGGCACTGGGCTTGGCCCATTTCTGAATATTATCTCATTTCATCCTCATGACAATGCTGAGAAGTGGATCATCTTTCTCTTTTTTGTTAATACTTGAGGTAACTGGGGTTCTGATTATGTAAATTGGAACACAGGTTTTTTTTGTTTTTTTTTTTTTTTGATAGAGTTTCACTCTTGTTGCCCAGGCTGGAGTGTAAGGGCATGATCTCAGCTCACCGCAACCTCCGCCTCCTAGGTTCAAGTGATTCTCCTGCCCCAGCCTCCCAGGTAGCTGGGATTACAGGCATGCCCCACCACGCCCACCTAATTTTTTTTTTTTTTTTTTTTTTAGTAGAGACAGGGTTTCTCCATGTTGGTCAGTCTGGTCTCAAGCTCCCGACCTCAGATGATCCGCCGGCCTCGGCCTCCCAAAGTGCTGGGATTACAGATATGAGCCACCACACCTGGCCACATCTACCTATTTTAATCCCCAAATGCAAATTTCCAGGCTTGGGGGTGGGGAGTAAGGAGAGGACTTCAGCAGCAGGAAGAAAGCAGGCAATAGGAGATAAGAAAGTAAGAGGGTAGAACTTAGTGTTTCAGGCTCAAATTTAAAGCCTCACCTCACCATTTCTTGCTGTGCACACTTGGGGAAAAAACTCAGTCTCCTTTAGGTTCAGTTTTCCCACCTAAAAAACAGGAAAAAATGCTCCTCACCTCACAGAGTGGTTGTGAGCTTTGCTGATAGTGCCAGAAATGTATTCAAGCATAGAGCTTTGCACTCAGAAAACATTTTTCGTGGTTGCTTTTATGTCTAGGGGACTCCATGTTCTAACATATTACTGGATGTTTCCAGCCAGAAGTGTGTATTATTGATTGGGAAGGCAGCTGACAAGATTAGGCCATGCAAGTCAGAACACACAATATGGCGCGAGGGCATTTACACTCAGGGCTCTCAAACTCTGGCCCCGAGGATCCCTAAAGCTCCCAAAACTGGACTGAAATGTCAGCCACTTTCTAAGAATAAAGGAAGCCTTTCCCAGTTTGCAGATTAATTTGATACATCTTTTCAACTATAATTTTTTTCTCCCATAAATATTTATTAAACAATTTGGTGCCTGCTCCTAGAACTTCATTCATTCAATAGCTTCTGAGTGCCTTCTCTGTACCAGGTACTGTTCTTGGCACTGGAGAAACAGCAGTGGAAAAAAACAAAAAACAAAAAATCCCTGGCCTCATGGAGCTTACGTTCTAATTGGGGAAAGAGACAATAAATACGACAAATAGGTAAAGTGTATGGTATGTCAGTGATAAAGGCTAAGGAGAAAAAAAATGAGCAAAGGAACAAAGAGGATAGGAAGTATGAATGGGGTTTGGAATATTTATTTGGTGGGGAAGCGGTGGAAAACCCTACTGAGAAAGTGAAATTTATTTGACCTGAAAGAAGTGATAATTCCAGATAGAGAAAGCAGCAAGTGCAAAGGCCCTGAGGAGGAATGTTAGTAATATTCTAGGAGTTAAAAGGAGGCCAGAGTGGCTGATAGGGTAAATGAATGAGAGAGGGATAATGGAGCGGTATGGGGGCAGGAACAGGGAAAGCACCATGTAAGGCCTTGTACAGCTGATGGATTGTAGTTAAAAAACTAAGCAAGACACAAGCAATTGAGTATAACAGAAAACTTAAAAATATTAACATATAATTTCTTAGAAATGTTCCAGATACTGATATTATTGTTGTTCCGACAAAGAGGCATGTACATAAATAAAAAAGCCAAATGTGTTTGGTGATAAAAATAGATATCACTAATTTTTTTTTTTTTTTTGGTTTGTTTGTTTGTTTTTGAGACGGAGTCTCACTCTGGCTCATCCTGGAGTGCAGTGGCGCGATCTCGGCTCATAGCAACCTCTGCCTCCCAGGTTCAAGCGATTCTCCTGCCTCAGTCTCCCGAATATCTAGGATTACAGGCGCCTACCACCACACCTGGCTAATTTTTGTATTTTTAGTAGAGATGGGGTTTCATCATGTTGGCCAGGTTGGTCTCCAACTCCTGACCTCAGGTAATCTGCCCGCCTCAGCCTCCCAAAGTGCTAGGATTACAGGAGTGAGTCACCACGCCTGGCCAGATATCACTATTTTATAGTATTCCACAAAGGTGCCCATGACTTCGAGGTCCTTGCTACCTAAACAAGTTAGAGAATCATGGCTAGTGAGTGGCAGTGCTAGACTTCTAGGCCAGAGCTGTTATGGCCCTACTCCATGCTGGAGGCATGTCCTATAACAGAATCATTCAGTATCAGAACAGGAAGTGGCCTTGGAGGTCATCTAATTCAACTTCCTCCTTGTAGAGATGCGGATGGGAAACCCGAGTCATGGAGAGCAAAAGTGACCTGCCAAAGGTTAGCTAGCATGTCAGTAACACAGCTAGAACTAGAGCTGAAACTGTTGCTTTTTATCTGAAATGTCATGGTAGTGTTTGCAGGCTGAATGGTGGGCTCACTTTCCAGTACTTAAGGCAAAGGTGGGCTCTGAACCCAGCTGTTTTAGAGGAAGTGGTGGCAGATAATTCACCCCCTAACCTGGAACCAAGGAGATCTGAGACATAGGGGACAAAGCTGAGTTGATTTTAGGGTATGAGGTAACTATAGACTCCGGGCTGGTGGATTGTTGCAACCAAGGCAGGGCCTGGTGTTAATGGAATCCTGTGTCTTTCAGGGGTGGGAGTGAAGATAGACCTGGTGAGTTTATATCCTGAATGTTTTTGAACATCTTGAGAAGACCACCCATGAAGTTCATATGTTTTCTTGTTGATTTCTGTCTTAGGTGCTGTGCAGATGTGTCTGGAAACTGTTTAACTGAGAAAATACCATGTGGTGGCAAACGTCCTTGCTGTGTGGGCTGAACTTGTTGCTTCTTGCTGCCACCAGCCTATTGCTGAGACTTTTCTTGTATTATAACCAAATTGGTCTGAGGTGGGCACGCAGCATAAAGAAGGAGAATTTCCTGGTGACTATTTGAGGCAGCCTAGCTGTAAAGCCAGTGTGTACAACACAGAATCACTCAATAGCAGAACTGGAAGTGGCGTTGGAGGTGATCTAATCCAACTTCCTCCTTGTAGAGATGAGAAAACTGAGTCACGGAGCAAAAGTGACCTGCCAAAGGTTAGCCTGCGTGTCAGTGACATGTTAGAACTAGACCTCAGATCTCCTTTGCCCTATGTACTGGAAAATGTGTTGACCATCCAGCCTACAGATGCCTCCATGACATTTCAGACAAGGAGCAAGGCCCATTGCTTATCATTTGCTTATCATTAGAAACTGGCAATTGATGAACTTCATCTCACAGGCAAGGAAATGGATCAGGTACTGTCCCAGGCTTTGCTGGGCTTGGGCAATGATTAGTGTCAGGGCCAAACTGCTTTTGCCGATGGCTTGGGGGCTTTGGAGAGCTAAGATTGGGGTTTTGCAGGGATGGGATTGGGGCCAACACTGGTCAGTCAGACCCTGCTACCTTGGAGAACCTGACTAATGCCTAGCAGTGTGGGGTTTAGCCCAACCTGCTTCCTGGATATTCTTCCACCTGTGAGTGGGCACTTGTTGGAGCTCATGCCTATCTGTTCTTTTCTCTGTCTTGCTCTCTCTTACAGAAGCTTGAGAAGCAGACATTACACAGCATGAAAAGCCCACATCTGCAGTGGAGGTGCTGAGAACCCACTAGTGAGGCAGCTGTGAGTCCTCAGACATGTGTTAGTGCTGGTGGCTCAGGGCCAAGTGAAATCTCTGGCTCCAATCATGTGGCTACCCTCTGTAAAAGTTGGCTGTCTGAAAGAATGCAACAGGAAAATCAGAAACGCCTGCATGCGTTTCCCTGTTGCAGTCGGTGCAGAGCAGTAGTTCAATTCCACTCAAGTCCCAGTGATGTTACGGAGATCCTTTAATATCATTTGGAAACCCAGACACCTGGTTTTGCCATTTGTGAGCTCTCATGACTCATCGCCATGCTCCACTCACCTCTGAGATGAGAGTGGCTTTCCCAGCTGGAGGTTGCCTTTGTGTAGATGATCGGTTGGCTACATTTCCAGAAGAGAGTAAAAGGTGCATGACTTAGGTGTGATCTTGGACATCAGAACAAAAGGTGAAGAACAACACACCATTGCTCTGTGAAAACTGGCATGTAGTCATCTTGCTTCTGGGAAAATGTCACCTCCTGGTCATCTATTGACCTAAAGCTAGGAGCCAGGGGTATATGAAATATGTTTGACACACTCTTCAAACCACTTTTCCAAGGTTGCTAGCTAGCTACAAATACCCACGCTGTTCTACCGACATATCTTCTTGAAAAGTAATGGCATTTTAAAAAGGGAGGAGGGTGAAAGTGGGGAGGTGCTTAGAACTGACAATATTGCATTACTTTTGGAGAACTGCAATGTGCTCTGCTTGGACAAAAGGAAGTTAGACTGCGATAATATAATTCTGGATTCTATGGAATGTTGCAGCTCAGAGGGGCAAGAGATAAAAGACAGAGGCACAGCATAGTGGTAAGTTTCAGGGTTTTTATTTTATATGAAAACCTCATTTTGTCACAAATATGGACTGAATGTAAGTAATAGAAGAGTATTAGATTTCTGTGCATCAAAATGGAAACATGCTTACTTGGCTGTGCTTTGTATTATCTGAAAAATACCAAGTGTGCCTCATCAATAGCCTTTGTGCTAAAAGGCTTGCAAAATAATTTCAGAAAAGGTGTGTTGGCAATCAACAACTGTTTAGCTAGAGGGAAATAAATAGCCTATTTGATGAAACTACCTGGGAAGCACCTTTGCTGGTGCAACATATGTCTATGCCCCATTGCTGTATGTCCAAGCATGTTCAATTATGGATCAGGGTGTGTAAGTTAGAGAGCCATGGAGACATAAGCGAGACATAATTTATGCAGATTTGCCCAAGTTCATATAGCACTTTGTTATTCAACACAAAAGCAGCCACCATAGCAACCTCAGGATCACAAAATCCTTATGGTACCTCTGAGAGACAGATCATCCTCTTGCAAAATGTTGAAGCGTGCAAATGTTCCACAGCCACATAGTTTATCTTTGCCCTGTGTGAACCAGGGAGCTGGATGGCTAAAATGCTTTTTTCCTTTTGGTGTGATCTTAATGTCCCATAAATGCACAGTCTGTGTTAAGTAAGCTAGCTAGTAGGTGGATTTTCTCCTCTCTCAGGGTTTGTTTTCATTTTCATTTCCTTAATGATTTGAAAAGTTATTTTCAAAGGTTCCTAGGACAGGACTCAGTGGCGCTATGCTGGACCTGGCTTCCTTTGCTGCCGAAGTACAGACCCTCTGCAGCATAACAGAACAAGGCCATTGAGCAGCTAGTGGGTAAGGGGTATAGTAATGAGCTCCAGCTGTTGAGTTAAGCGCCAAGGAACTGAGGAGAGCCCAAATGGAGAGGCTCTGCCCTTACCTTTCCTGTTTTGGTATCCAGACCCTGGGTCCAAATTCAAGCTGATGTCCCCACTTCTGAACACCCCTAGTGACCTGCAAGTGTCCTTCATGTGCTAGACGTGGCAGACTCCCCAGCTCACAGGTCTTGGGTATTACGTGGAAAAGGCTCCTAGGATGGAGTACAAATAAAGTGCATCTCTGAAAAACAAATGAAAAGCCCTGATGTGTAGGGTCTGCATATTTTTGTGGTGCAAATACTCCCATCGTAGCCCAAGTTCAAACTAGCAGCAGCTTAACAACCGGCTCACAAAACTCCTGAAAATCTAACAGCCAGCTCCAGGACAGTGGTGTCCCAGGTTATCTCATTTGCTACCCACAGCCAGTCTCAGGGATAGGTTGGTGTCCTCAATCCCATTTAAGGGAAGCAGAAACAGGCCTAGAGGGCTTAAGGCAGTGATTCTCAAACTTTACTGTGCATATGAATCACCTGGGGATCTTGTTAAAAGGGGATCCTGTGATTCTGCATTTTTAACAAGCTCCCTTGTGACAAGTTTCCACAGTTAATTAAAGGTACAGTCAACCTTCTGGAAAAGGAGAGGAGGCTAAAAGATGGTGTCTCACAACGGACAAGTCATGCTCTGCCCGCTTGTCCAAGCCACACTCTTTGATTCCCCAATCAATTCCACTCCTGGAATGCTCAGGGACCCTCATGGGCCCTCACAGCAGCCACTAGCAAAAGGCTGTAGGACAGAACACATACCGCCCTTTCAGGCAAAGGGGAAGCTGGGTTTTTTCTTTCCAATGCGCACAGGTTAGGGACAGGCTCAAAGCAGAACTTTGATGGATTCATGGCCGTATGACGGCCTTTTGCGTGACCCAATGCCAACCCTATAAAGCAACACCTCTCCTTGAGTTTGCTCATATTATGTGACTTTATGGTACTGCACCCTTAGGAATTTGCTCTAATTCTATATTTCCTTCCTCTCTTGGTCTTAAAGGAAAAAATCTGTTGCTGCATATTGTAGAGGAGCTGAAAATTGAGGCTATTCTCTGGCTACCTGATAATTATAAACTTAGAGGCTAAAATCAGCCACCAGAAAACAATTACAAATGAGCTAATGTGGGTCCTGTTTTCACTCAAGTTCATCACCTTGTAATAAAGACTTAGAAGAGCTGGAGAGATGACTGAATGGAGAAACCTAAGCTCAGGGGACTGTGTGTCTTGGATGATGCTAAATTCTGGGAAAAACAGGTAACAGCATTCCTGATCTCAGAGAGCCTGCAATCTAGTGGGGGTAACGCAGGCCCACCAAAGTGTATGAGAGCGTATATAGTAAAAGGTCCAGTTGGGCAGTGAGATTTAGATTATGTTTGTTGTACAGAATGCTGTAGTGTCTGTGGGCAGGGCTACTGTCTAGACTGTCAGAGCACAATTTCCAAGGGAATGTCTGTTCTTCATTCTTGTTTTAAGAGTTTTCATTCAATTGTGTAATCAAAAGATTCAACTGTATCCAAGATACTTTCTAGTTAATAGAACGCACGAGCAAGGGATTCTTTTTTTTTTCCTTGGGAGATTGTCTCACAATCAAAATAATCTTTCTAGTAAAACAATTTTATCCTGATATTCAGTTCCAGTTCTTTTTTCATTTTCTTCTCCTGAGTCTGGAGAAACCAAGTGAGTCATGATGATCCATTTATTCGCTGCCAAATGTATGTTTGCTGTTATACAGACATAATCTTAACTGCATCTCTCTGCTTTTCTTTATCACCCTAACAAATTTCATTCTGTGTCTGCTACAGGGATGCCTTTTTGTTTATAGGACAAGAGAGTGCACAGTCACATACCTTATCCCTTTTCTACCTATAGAAATCCTCCTCATCCCCTCAGGCCCAATTTGAAATGTCACATTATCTGGGAAGCCTTCCCCAATCCCTGCCGTTAGTTGGAAGGTATTATATTTTTCTCTGGGTCTACAACCTCGTGCCCCCCTTCCCAATAAGAGCACATATTTGATTCTGCCTTCCATTAGAGGTAATTATCTCATGGTCTTTCCCCCTTTCTTACCTCCACCCCGGCTAGAATGTCAGATTAAACCTGTAGATTAATTAATAATTTTAATTATCAATTACTGAATACCTACTAAGTACCGGGCATTTTACAGGAGAGTGTTTTGTTTTTGTTTTTGTTTTTGTTTTTGTTTTGAGATGGAGTTTCACTCTTGTTGCCCAGGCTGGAGTACAATGGCGCTATCTCGGCTCACCGCAACCTCCGCCTCCCAGGTTCAAGCAATTCTCCTGTCTCAGCCTCCCTAGCAGCTGGGATTACAGGCATGTGCCACCACGCCTGGCTAATTTTGTATTTTTAGGAGATACGGGGTTTCCCCACGTTGATCAGGCTGTTCTCGAACTCCCCACCTCAGGTAATCCGCCCACCTCAGCCTCCCAAAGTGCTGGGATTACAGGCATGAGCCAGCGCGCCTGGCCAAGAGAGTGTTTTAAAAATGCAAAATAACTCCTTATCGGAGGTGCCATCATCCTATTTCACTGAAGGTCAGAGAGGTCAGCAACTTGCCTGGAATCTCCCAAGTAGCAATAGTTTAAATCTGACCCAAAGCCCACACTTTTTTCATTCCACCCCCTGCTATATGCTTTCCTGGAGGGTAGGAACTAAGGTATCCAGCTAGATTAATTGTTTAGTAAGTTGTCTAATGAATACATACAGGAAGCGGTATGTGTTACTCTGCTCATGGTATCAATAATGAGGTGCTAAAAAAGGGACTGCCACCTGGCTGGTGCCCCTCCTTGCGTGGCCTCCCAGGGTACAGCACTCAGGTCTCCTTTCTTTCAATCTCTGTGTACTGTGCCATGTCCCCATTTGTCTGTTCCCTCCCATTCAGTCAACTAGCTAAGCTTATAAATGGATGCACTTTGATGCTATTGTATTAATGGATGCTAATAGGTATTTTCCTTCATTCAACATTTATATAACAAATATTTAATGTACAGTGCCAGGCACGTAGGAGGAGTCTTATACATATCCATTGAATAAATGTGCTAGAGGCAGAATGGAGCTGTTTGTGACAATAAAGATAGGAATACAGACACAGGTTAGAGCTAATTTCTCTCTCTCTCTCTCTCTTTTTTTTTTGTTTTTTGTTTTTTTGAGATGGAGTCTCTCTCTGTCACCCAGTCTGGAGTGCAATGGCACGATCTCGGCTCACTGCTACCTCTGCTTCCTGGGTTCAAGCGATTCTTCTGCCTCAGTAGCTGGGACTACAGGTGTGCACCATCACGCCTGGCTATTTTTTTTTTGTATTTTTAGTAGAAACAGGGTATCACCTTGTTGGCCAGGCTGGTCTCGAACTCCTGACCTCAGGTAATCCACCTGCCTCAGCCTACCAAAGTGCTGGCATTACAGGCGTGAGCCACTGTGCCCAGCCAGCTTAGAGCTAATGTCTAGCAAACACATCAAGGTACCAAGGACTGTGCTGAGCCAGGGACACCAAGATGACTAAAACTGACACGGTATCTGCCCTCATTGAATTTACTCTCTAGTAGGTGACGCATTGCACTTTACACTATATCTACTTGAATTAATGTCCTAATCAAAAAGAGGAGGCTAAAAATATATTTTAGGGGAGGGGGTCATGAGAGATTAGAGTGACCATGCAGGATTTGCTGCCATTGAACTTTACTATGAAGAATTGATTCTAGACAGCAAGTCTCTGTGTGGAATTTCTCTTTCTTTCACATTTCCTTCCAGTTATTGTCAACTTGGGAAGGAGGTGGGGGCACACCTTCCGAAGGGCTTGTAGCATCATTTGCAGTGAGTGCTTTTATCATTTAAAAATTATATAACTATCAAATGAAAACATTGTTACCATAAAAAATCTTCTAATAATACCTTATTACCTTCAGACTTTGTCTCAAACCCATTCTCCAGAAGTACTCACAGTTATAGATTGCTGTGTCTCCGTCTAGATATTTTTCTCTGCACTTATGAAATCAAATGTACATACACTTAAATAGTACAGTTTTTATTTTTATAAAAGTGAAATCACTTTTTTTCTATGTATTCTTCAGTGAATGGTTTTTTCATCTAACAATATGTCTTGGATAACTTTCCATGTTGCTACTTATGGATCTATATTTTTCTTTTAGATTTTTTTTATTATACTTTAAGTTCTAGGGTACATGTGCACAACGTGCAGGTTTGTTACATATTTATACATGTGCCATGTTGGTGTGCTGCACCCATTAACTCTCATTTACATTAGGTATATCTCCTAATGCTATCCCTCCCCCTTCCCCCTACCCCACAACAGGCCCCGGTGTGTGATGTTCCCCTTCCTGTGCCCAAGTGTTCTCATTGTTCAATTCCCACCTATGAGTGAGAACATGCAGTGTTTGATTTTTTGTCCTTGTGATAGTTTGCTGAGAATGATGGTTTTCAGCTTCATCCATGTCCCTACAAAGGACATGAACTCATCCTTTCTTATGGCTGCATACTATTGCATGGTGTATGTGTGCCACATTTTTGTTACACAGTCTATCATTGTTGGACATTTGGGTTGGTTCCAAGTCTTTGCTATTGTGAGTAGTGCCGCAATAAACATACGTGTGCATGTGTCTTTATAGCAGCATGATTTATAATCCTTTGGGTATATACCCAGTAATGGGATTGCAGGGTCAACTGGTATTTCTAGTTCCAGATCCCTGAGGAATCACGTCACTGTCTTCCACAATGGTTGAACTAGTTTACAGTCCCACCAACAGTGTAAAAGTGTTCCTATTTCTCCACATCCTCTCCAGCACCTGTTGTTTCCTGACTTTTTAATGATCACCATTCTAACTGGTGTGAGATGGTATCTCATTGTGGTTTTGATTTGCATTTCTCTGATGACCAGTGATGATGAACATTTTTTCATGTGTCTGTTGGCTGCATAAATGTCTTCTTTTGAGAAGTGTCTGTTCATATCCTTTGCCCACTTGTTGATGGGGTTGTTTGTTTTTTTCTTGTAAATTTGTTTGATTTCTTCGTAGATTCTGGATATTAGCCTTTTGTCAGATGAGTATATTGCAAAAATTTTCTCCCATTCTTTAGGTTGCCTGTTCACTCTGATGGTAGTTTCTTTTGCTGTGCAGAAGCTCTTTAGTTTAATTAGATCCCATTTGTCAATTTTGGCTTTTGTTGCCATTGCTTTTGGTGTTTTAGACATGAAGTCCTTGCCAATGCCTATGTCCTGAATGGTATTGCCTAGGTTTTCTTCTAGGGTTTTTATGGTTTTAGATCTAGCATGTAAGTCTTTAATCCATCTTGAATTAATTTTAGTATAAGGTGTCAGGAAGGGATCCAGTTTCAGCTTTCTACATATGGCTAGCCAGTTTTCCCAGCACCATTTGTTAAACAGGGAATCCTTTCCCCATTTCTTGTTTTTCTCAGGTTTGTCAAAGATCAGGTAGTTGTAGATATGTGGTATTATTTCTGAGGGCTCTATTCTGTTCCATTGATCTATATCTCTGTTTTGGTACCAGTACCATGCTGCTTTGGTTACTGTAGCCTTGTAGTATAGTTTGAAGTCAGGTAGCGTGATGCCTCCAGTTTTGTTCTTTTGGCTTAGGATTGACTTGGCAATGCGGGCTCTTTTTTGGTTCCATATGAACTTTAAAGTAGTTTTCTCCAATTCTGTGAAGAAAGTCAGTGGTAGCTTGATGGGCATGGCATTGAATCTATAAATTACCTTGGGCAGTATGGCCATTTTCACGATATTGATTCTTCCTATCCATGAGCATGGAATGTTCTTCCATTTGTGTGTGTCCTCTTTTATTTCGTTGAGCAGTGGTTTGTAGTTCTCCTTGAAGAGGTCCTTCACATCCCTTGTAAGTTGGATTCCTAAGTATCTTATTCTCTTTGAAGCAATTGTGAATGGGAGTTCACTGATGATTTGGCTCTCTGTTTGTCTGTTATTGGTGTATAAGAATGCCTGTGATTTTTGCACATTGATTTTGTATCCTGAGACTTTGCTGAAGTTGCTTATCAGCTTAAGGAGATTTTGGGCTGAGACAATGGGGTTTTCTTAACATACAATCATGTCATCTGCAAACAGAGACAATTTGACTTCCTCTTTTCCTAATTGAATACCCTTTATTTCCTTCTCCTGCCTGATTGCCCTGGCCAGAACTTCCAACACTATGTTGAATAGGAGTGGTGAGAGAGGGCATCCCTGTCTTGTGCCAGTTTTCAAAGGGAATGCTTCCAGTTTTTGTCCGTTCAGTATGATATTGGCTATAGGTTTGTCATAAATAGCTCTTATTATTTTGAGATATGTCCCATCAATACCTAATTTATTGAGAGTTTCTAGCATGAAGGGCTGTTGAATTTTGTCAAAGGCCTTTTCTGCATCTGTTGAGATAATCATGTGGTTTTTGTCTTTGGTTCTGTTTATATGCTGGATTATGTTTATTGATTTGTGTATGTTGAATCAGCTTTGCATCCCAGGGATGAAGCCCACTTGATCATGGTGGATAAGCTTTTTGATGTGCTGCTGGATTCGGTTTGCCAGTATTTTATTGAGAATTTTTGCATCGATGTTCATTAAGGATATTGGTCTAAAATTCTCTTTTTTTGTTGTGTCTCTGCCCGGCTTTGGTATCAGGATGATGCTGGCCTCATAAAATGAGTTAGGGAGGATTCCCTCTTTTTCTGTTGATTGGAATAGTTTCAGAAGGAATGGTACCAACTCCTCCTTGTACCTCTGGTAGAATTCGGCTGTGAATCCATCTGGTCCTGGACTTTTTTTGGTTGGTAAGCTATTAATGATTGCCTCAATTTCAGAGCCTGTTATTGGTCTATTAAGATATTCAACTTCTTCCTGGTTTAGTCTTGGGAGGGTTTATGTGTCCAGAAATTTATTCATTTCTTCTAGATTTTCTAATTTATTTGCATAGTGGTGTTTATAGCATTCTCTGATGGTAGGTTGTATTTCTGTGGGATCGGTTGTGGTATCCCCTTTATCATTTTTTATTACGTCTATTTGATTCTTCTCTCTCTTCTTCTTCTCTATATTTCCTGAATTTGAATGTTGGCCTGCCTTGCTAGGTTGGGAAAGTTCTCCTGTATAATATCCTGCAGAGTGTTTTCCAACTTGGTTCCATTCTCCCTGTCACTTTCAGGTACACCAATCAGACGTAGATTTGGTCTTTTCACATAGTCCCATATTTCTTGGAGGCTTTGTTCATTTCTTTTTATTCCTTTTTTTCTAAATTTCTCTTCTCGCTTCATTTCATTCATGTGATCTTCCATCTCTGATACCCTTTCTTCCAGTTGATCGAATCGGCTACTGAGGCTTGTGCATTCGTCACGTAGTTCTTGTGCCATGGTTTTCACCTCCATCAGGTCCTTTAAGACTTCTCTGCATTGGGTATTCTAGTTAGCCATTCGTCTAATCTTTTTCAAGGTTTTTAACTTCTTTGCGATGGGTTCAAACTTCCTCCTTTAGCTCAGAGAAGTTTGATCGTCTGAAGCCTTCTTCTCTCAACTCGTCAAAATCATTCTCCGTCCAGCTTTGTTGTGTTGCTGGTGAGGAGCTGTATTCCTTTGGAGGAGGAGAGGTGCTCTGATTTTTAGAATTTTCAGTTTTTCTGCTCTGTTTTTTCCCCATCTTTGTGGTTTTATCTACCTTTGGTCTTTGATGATGGTGATGTACAGATGGGTTTTGGTGTGGATGTCCTTTCTGTTTGTTAGTTTTCCTTCTAACAGTCAGGAACCTCAGCTGCAAGTCTGTTGGAGTTTGCTGGAGGTCCACTCCAGACCCTGTCTGCCTGGGTATCAGCAGCAGAGGCTGCAGAACAGCAAACATTGCTGAGCAGCAAATGTTGCTGCCTGATCGTTCCTCTGGAGGTTTCGTCTCAGAGGGGTACCCAGCAGTGTGAGGTGTCAGTCTGCCCCTACTGGGGGTTGCCTCCCAGATAGGCTACTCGGGGGTTAGGGACCCACTTGAGGAGGCAGTCTGTCCATTCTCAGATCTCCAGCTGCATGCTGGGAGAACCACTACTCTCTTCAAAGCTGTTATACAGGGACATTTAAGTCTGCAGAGGTTTCTGCTGCCTTTTGTTCGGCTATGCCCTGTCGCCAGCGGTAGAGTCTACAGAGGCAGGCAGGCCTCCTTGAGCTGCAGTGTGCTCCACCCAGTTCGAGCTTCCCGGCCGCTTTGTTCACCTACTCAAGCCTCAGCAATGGCAGGCGCCCCTCCCCCAGCCTCGCTGCCACCTTGCAGTTGGATCTCAGACTGCTGTGCTAGCAATGAGCGAGGCTCCATGGGTGTGGGACCCTCCGAGCCAGGCACAGGATATAATCTCCTGGTGTGCCATTTGCAAGACCATTGGAAAAATGCAGTATTAGGGTGGGAGTGACCTGATTTCCCAGGGGCCATCTGTCACAGCTTTGCTTGGCTATGAAAGGGAATTCCCTGACCCCTTGCGCTTCCCGGGTGAGGCGATGCCTCGCCCTGCTTCACCTCACGCTCAGTGCGCTGCACCCACTGTCCTGCAACCACTGTCTGACAAGCCGCAGTGAGGTGAACCTGGTACCTCAGTTGGAAATGCAGAAATCACCCATCTTCTGCATCACTCACGCTGGGTGCTGTAGACTGGAGCTGTTCCTATTCGGCCATCTTGGAACCACCCCTTCTTTCATTTTTTGAGAAACAAACTGTTGCTTTTAAACTGCAGTATAGTATTCCATTGTACGGATGTATGAACGTTTTATTTAACCATTTCTATACTTGTGAATATTTAGGTTGTTTCCAATTTGTTTACTCTTATGAAGAATGTTGCAGTGAGCATCCTAGGCAATTCGCCTTATGCACATGTATGTCAATATTTCCCTAGAGTAACTGTGTAGAAGTTCAATTGTTGAGTCACGGGGTATGTGCATTTAATTGCTGTATTTCCCTCCAAAGTGGCTGGATCAATTTACATTACCACCATTAGTGTATGGATACCCTTTGTATTTATTTATGTTTATATTTAGTTATTTAAACCAGGGGTCCCCAACCCCTGAACCACAGACCAATACTGGTCAGTGGCCTGTTGGGACCCGGGCCACACAGCAGGGAGTGAGCAGTGGGCAATCTAATTCCACCACTGATCTGACAGGAGGCAGAGCTCAGGTGGTAATGCTGGCTTGAGCCTGCTGATCAATGTTAGCATCACTAAGAGAAGCATAAACCAGACCTTCTGTTCCTCCTCATGGGATCCAACAGGAGGCACACAGAAGTATCCATGAAATAGTCTTGCCAAAAATGTCTGTAAACTCTATCAAACTTTTAGAGCAATTGTCAAGTGAATAGGAAATATAGGGAACAGAGAAAAATGTTAAATGGAACCCAAGAAAGCAATCAGAAAATCCAGAATATAAGAAGAAGTGGCTTTTTTTTTTTTAAGAAGCCAATGGGAGGGAATAATTGAGGGGAGACTACTCTAGTTTAAAAGATATTTGAGGGACATTACAAACAAATGTAGTGAACCTGCATTGGCTGCTACTTCAATTGAATTAAAAATGTCTCCAAGGCAGCCTGGTATGAGACAGAGATCTAACTAAATTTTCTCAAATGAATAGCTAATTGTCCTTATACTATTTCTTGAAAAGCTCATTTTTCCCCAATGATTTTAAGTGCTACCTTCACCATGCATTAAATTATTATAATTTTAATGCACTAACATGCATTTTGACTGTTTTTGACTGTATTCTCTTTCATGGTGAGGGCTTTATCAAACTATCCATTGCCACAGCAATTGAATGGAGTGTTGGCACAAATACTGTTGATCCTCTAATACATATGCCATTCTTTCAAAGAAGACTCTTAATGAGGGCCAGGCACGGTGGCTCACGCCTGTAATCCCAGCACTTTGGGAGGACGAGGAGGGCGGATCACAAGGTCAAGAGATCGAGTCAATCCTGGCCCACATGGTGAAACCTTGTCTCTACTAAAAATACAAGAATTAGCTGGGCATAGTGGTGCGCACCTATAGTCCCAGCTACTCAGAAGGCTAAGGCAGGAGAATTGCTTGAACCCGGGAGGTGGAGGCCGAGATCATGCCACTGCACTCCAGCCTGGCGACAGAGCAAGACTCTGTCTGAAAAAAAAAAAAATACTTAATGACATTCACAAAAGTTTTCTTTTGGTTTTAACTAAGTAGTATATTAGCGTAGACACTTTGTTTTAAGAATAAGATATCCACATGCAGTGACCTCAGAGTTACTTTATTCCAATAAGAGATTAATCATTATAACAAAATAAAATAAAAATGCCAAAGATTAACTGTTGGTGCATATAGCCACATTTCTATTTCTCCCATTAAAATGAAAGGATATGCTGGGCAGAATTTTTATGTCAGAAGATCCCGGACTTTGTACTTGATCAACTGACCTAAAGGACCCAAGACAGTCCTACTTTTTTCATACCTTGAAAGCAAATCTTACTCCAGACATTAACTTCTATAGAGGTCCTTTTAGAGACAGGCTTAAAGAAAAAGAAAAAAAAAAAGAAACCCTGCAGAATGTAATATAATACAATGGGGAAGAAAAGAATATTCAGAGCACCATTTTTTATAAGCACAGAAAAGTTGTTTTACAGACATTTATAAAGATGATGGAAATAGCTTTCTCCAAAATGATTATCCATCTATGGAGTAGAGCAGTTGCATTTTGCACCTCAAATGTTTGTGACTTCCTATAGAAATACATTGGTTTTACTTTTCTTTAGAAAGCCAATGTATTATGTGGATATCTCACATGGAAGACGGCCAGCATTATCTAGGAAAAACAAATGGTTGTGTGTAGCTTTTAGTGGTGCCGTTTTGGTTTTTGATCCACAGCTGATGACTTGGTGTTGTATTTCAAGTACCAGAGGATTTAGAATCACACAACCTTTTGGTTTAGTTTCAGTTCAGCCATTTACTTGCTGTATGACTTTGGGTAAGTCAAGTACATCTTTGAGTTTCAGTTTCCTTGATGGATCAAGCCACTGCTCTACCTATTTCACTGAATTATTATGAAAGTCAAATGAGAAAATGAACAGAAAAAGGCTTTAATTACTGTAAACATGAAATAAAAGGGCATTATTAAAGGGCATTGAAGAATATGCTCTGATGGTCTTTGAACATTGTACACCACAGGAAAGGGGCCAGAGAGGACAGAGGAAAAATAGCCCTGGGAGAACAATGGGAAGACAGAACAGGAAGAAGTTCTGTGGTAGAAAGCATAATATCCAAATATTTGCCACCATTGTTACAAACCTAACAATAGGGACCCTCCAAGTGGTGGGATAACAAAATTATAGGGTTGTGGTTAAGAGCCTTAGGAAAATGGAAGTCTGATTCTGGTGCAATGGAAGTTTCAAGGAATTGGGGAGTCTGAGTGGTAATTAACACCTATTGAGTTTCTACCACAGGACAAGCACTGGGACACATGCTTTACATACATTATCTCATCTATCCTATCAAGAAACTTGCAAATCTGGATCTTAACCCCATTTTACAGATGGAGAAATTGATTTGTGAATGTTTTGTGTCCCCTGTTGGCCAGCAAAATGAACCGACCTATCTCTGCCCCACCAACTCCTTTCTTGCACCTGAGGAGTCTGAATCTCTACATTTGTCTTTCTATCTTCTCATCTTTCATTGGTTAATCACACCTCAGGCAATCTTTTATCCATACGTGTATATACACCCCTCTCCCCTTTTCATGCCTTTGTTTTCAATCTCTTTCTTCCAAATGCTGCCCAATCACGTCAAGAAAAGGTATTTGTCCTTTTTTTTTTTTTTTTTTTAGATGGAGTTTTGCTCTTGTCACCCAGGCTGGAGTGCAATGGTATGATCTCGGCTCACTGCAACCTCAGCCTCCAGAGTTCAAGCAATTCTCCTGCCTCAGCCTCCCGAGTAGCTGGGATTACAGGCACCCACCACCACACCTGACTAGTTTTTGTATTTTTGATAGAGACGGGGTTTCACAATGTTGGCAAGGCTGGTCTTGAACTCCTGACCTCAGGTGCTCCACCCAACTTGGCCTCCCAAAGTGCTAGGATGACAGGCGTGAGCCACTGCGCCTGGCCCTATATCTTTTTTATTTTTTTGTCCTTAACTTCTTTGAGACTTTGTTTACTCATCTATAATAAGACAACTCATAGGCGAGATGTGAGGTTTAAATTTGATTGCATTGTGAAAGCACATTGCAGTCTCTAAATCTCTAATCTCTAAATCTAAATGTAAGTTATATTTTATCTTTCTCTAGAGAATATTAATTACTGGATAAAAGTATTCAGTGAAGCATGACAGGGCTTTGTCCTTTACCATATTGAATCCAAATATGTATCAATAATTGGAAAAATATCATAAAATACGCTTAGCAGATTTACATACTCAATAAAGCTGAAAAGCATAGCTTTTATTTATTTATTTATTTTTATTTTTATTTATTTATTTTTTTGAGACGGAGTCTCGCCGTCTCCCAGGCTGGAGTGCAGTGGTACGATCTTGGCTCGCTGCAACCTCTGCCTCCTGGGTTTAAGCAATTCTCCTGTCTTAGCCTCCCTCATAGCTGGGATTAAAGGCACACACCACCCTCCCGGCTAATTTTTGTGTTTTTAGTAGAGACGGGGTTTCGCCATGTTGGCTAGGCTGGTCTTGAACTCCTGACCTCAGATGATCTGCCTGCCTCAGCCTCCCAAAGTGCTAGGATTATAGGCGTGAGCCACTGAGCCCTGCCTAAAGCATGGCTTTTAAACTGTACCATGACATTAGAGAAATTTTGACTGACTGGATCAGTCAAAACTGGTTAAAATTAGCAAGATTATATTTAACCAAAAATAAGTGTAAATTTTTTCATTTAAATTCAGAGAATTGCAAAAATTCAGACTGAGGGCAGACTGACTCTATTGGTTTTAATGGGAAATGCTGTTTTAGTTGTGTTAATACTGTAACACAGCTGCTATAAAACCTAAGGCATATGTAGTCCACATTAATAGAGGTCTACTGTCCAGGTCAGGGGTGGTGATGGCCCTGCTAACTCTTCAGTGACAAGTTGAACTGGCATGTAATTTTCAGTTATAAGCATCACATTTTTTAGAACATTCTTATTTATTATTATTATTATTATTTTTAATTTTTGAGATGAAATCTCGCTCTTGTCCCCAAGGCTGGAGTGCAGTGGCGTGATCTGGGCTCACTGCAACCTCCGCCTACCAGGTTCAAGTGATTCTCTTGCCTCAGCCTCCCGAGTAGGTGGGATCACAGGCACCTGCCACCATGCCAGGCTAATTTTTGTATTTTTAGTAGAGACGGGATTTCACCATTTGGCCAGGCTGGTCTCGAACTCCTGACCTCAGGTGACCCGCCCGCCTTGGCCTCCCAAAGTGCTGGGATTACAGGCATGAGCCACCATGCCCGGCCAAACATTCATATTGTAGAAACTTTCATTAGCTGGGTGTGGTGTCACATGCCTGTGGTCCCAGCAACTCTGGAGGCTGAGGCAGAAGGGGGAGGATCACTTGAACCCAGGAAGTTGAAGCTATGTTGAACAGTGATCACACCACTGCACTGTAGCCTGGGTGACAGAACGAAAGAAAACAAAACTCTGTCTCAAAACAACAACAAAAAATAAAACTTTAAAAAATACACAAAAGTAGAGAGAATGCTGTCATGAATGTCCATAAACTACCCCTCTCTCAAATTCAACAATCATTGACATTTTACTACCTGTTTCACGCAGCTTTTTTTTTTTTTTTTTTTTTTGGCTGTCATTGCTGGGGTTTTTAAAGCAAATCCCAGTCCTCACGTCACTTCACCTCTAAATACTTCAGTGTGTGTCTCTAACATGCACATTTTCTTTTTTTGTTTCTTCTTTCTTTTTTTTTTTTGCGATGGAGTTTTCGCTCTTCTTACCCAGGCTGGAGTGCAATGGCACAATCTCGGCTCACTGCAACCTCCGTCTCCCAGGTTCAAGTGATTCTTCTGCCTCAGCCTCCTGAGTAGCTGGGATTACAGGCGTACGCCACCACACCTGGCTAATTTTGTATTTTTAGTAGAGATGGGGTTTCTCCATGTTGGTCAGGCTGGTCTCGAACTCTCAACCTCAGGTGATCTGCCCACCTTGGCCTCCCAAGGTGCTGGGATTACAGGCATGAGCCACCGTGCCTGGCACACATTTTCTTATATAACCACAATGGCATAATTACACCTAACAAAATTAACAATAATTTCTTATTATCACCTAATATCCTGTCCATATTCAGATTTCCCAGGCTACCTTGGAGACATTTAATTCAATTGAAGTAGCAGCCAATGCAGGTTCACTACATTTGTTTGTAATGTCCCTCAAATATCTTTTAAACTAGAGTAGTCTCCCCTCAATTATTCCCTCCCACTGCCTTCTTAAAAAAAAAAAAACCACTTCTTATATTCTGGATTTTCTGATTGCTTTCTTAGGTTCCATTTAACTTTTTTCTCTATTCCCTATATTTCCTATTCACTTGACACTTGCTCTAAAAGTTTGATAGAGTTTATAGACATTTTTGGAAAGACTATTTCATGGATACTTCTGTGTGCCTTCTGTTGGATCCCATGAGGAGGAACACAAGGTCTGGTTTATCCTTCTTTTAATGATGCTAACATTGATCAGCAGGCTCAGGTGGTGACAATGGGCATTACCCTTTTCAGAGGGTCATAGACAAATTGGAATATGATCAAATGTTGTAGACTTGATGGTAAGAGGATGAAAACCCTGTGGTGTCAGGAGTATAAAGGAATTAGGAAGAGAAGACTTGGTGATTGTATTCGATTTCTATTGCTGCCGTAACGAATTACTCAAACTTAGTGGCTTAAAACAACACTCATTTATTACATCACAGTTCTGTAGGTCAAAAGTTTGGGTGGGCTTGGCTAGGTTCTCAGATTAGGGTCTTACAAGTCCAAAATCAAGGTTTTGGTGGGGCTGTGTTCCTTATTGGAGGTTCTGGGGCAGAATTGACTTCTAAGTTCATTCAGGTTATTGGTAGAATTCAGTTCCTTGGGGTTGTAGGACTGAAGACCCAGTTTCCTTGCTGTCTGTCAACTGAGTGTTAGTTTTTAGAATTAAATGTTGCCCTCATTCCTTCTCATGCTTTCCAACTGGCCTTCCTTAAGCATCAACTGGTTGAGTGCCACTCAAACTGTGAGTCTTTCTGACTTCTCTTGTTGCTGCATCTGCCTTGCCTCCAGATGGAGAAAGTTCTCTATTTTTCAAGGACACATGTGATTAGATTCACCCACCTGGCCAATCAAGGCCAATCTCTCTAATTTTAAAGTCCCTAACCTTACTATAGTACATCTGCAAAACATCTTTTGCTGTGTAATATAACATATTCACATGTCTTAGAAATTAGGGTATGGACATCTTTAGTGGACCATTCTGCTTACCTCAGTGGAGTTGGGGGTGGTGAAATTTGCTAACCGACTTTAAACTTTTGCTTCATAGTTATAGGGAGGTAGGCTTGGGTGCAATATGAGGCAGGACTCTGAAGATTTAAGCTGTGGCAGAACAGAATGATCTGAACAGTGACAGCATGTAAGCAAAGGCTGGCCAGCCCCTGTAGGAGCTATGTGGGAGGCAAATCTCTTGCATGTTTCATAAGTAGAGAGTATAAAAACTGAGGTTAAGAGCACAAACTCTGGAGTCAGACAGCCTAAGGTTTCAACCAGGGTGTAGTTAACCTCTCTGTGCCTCAGTTTTCTGATTTGTAATGTGCGGATTACAATCCTGCCTTTGAGGGTTATTTTGAGGTTTGAATGAATTGCTACTGAGTTAAATGAGTTAATAAAACATGCAAAATGTTAAGAAAAACAGTCACTGGCATAGAATGAGCACTTAATGTCAGGTGTTATTTTCTGAAAGGAATGAAAATTTGTGAGTCACTTGAAAGTTCAAATTCTTGTAGACATGGGCCGGGCGCAGGTGGCTCATGCCTATAATCCCAGCACTTTGGGAGGCTGAGGCGGGCGGATCACCTGAAGTTGGGAGTTCGAGACCAGCCTGACCAACATGGAGAAACCCCGTCTCTACTAAAAATACAAAATTAGCTGGGTGTGGTGGCACATGCCTGTAATCCCAGCTACTCAGGAGGCTGGGGCAAGAGAATCGCTTGAACCTGGGAGGCAGAGGTTGTGGTGAGCCGAGATTGCACCATTGCACTCCAGCCTGGGCAACAAGAGCGAAACTCCTTCTTAAAAAAAAAAAAAAAATTCTTGTAGATATGAACAGCGGTGTTTCTCCATACCTGTTTTTGCAAGGCCATTTTATATGTTTGCCAAATATCTTTTTTTTTTTTTTTGAGACAAGATCTCTCTCTGTCACCCAGGCTGAAGTACAGTGATGTGAACCTAGCTCACTGCAGCCTTGACTTCCTGGGCTCAAGCAATTCTCCCACCTCATCCTAGCTGGGAACACAGGCATGGTACACTGCCTTGGCTAATTAATAATTGTGTGTGTGTGTGTGTGTGTGTGTGTGTGTGTGTGTGTAGAAGTGGGGTCACACTGTATTGCTCAGGCTGGTCTTGAACTCCTGGGCTCAAGCAATCCTCCTGCTTCAGCCTCCCAAAGTGCTGGGATTACAGGTGTGAGCCACCATGCCTGGCCCAAGATACCTTCCTAACACACAGGTTAATACACTCTTGGCTCCCCAAAATGATTATAAGTCATCATAAAGTAAAAATTAGATGAGTTTATTTTATATTTCACAAGAAACAGAAAAGAATCCAAAGTCCTTTACATAATATAAAAAGTCCAGTTTACCAGCCTAAGCTCATCCTGTACTGCAGCTTTTGTTCAGGCTATATTATCTCTGGGCCTTTGTTCATTCTATGTTCTCGTCGCCTGGAATGTATTTCTCTTCTCTTCTTTAACTGTTCTCTCTCAATACATTCTCCAGTACTTGGTTTAAATGATTCCTTCTGGCCAGGTGCGGTGGCTCATGCCTGTAATCCCAGCACTTTGGGAGGCCAAGACAGGCGGATCACGAGGTTAAGAGATCAAGACCATCCTGACCAACATGGTGAAACCCCCATCTCTACTAAAAATACAAAAATTAGCTGGTCATGGTGGCGCGCACCTGTAGTCGCAGCTACTCGGGAGCCTGAGGCAGGAGAATTGCTTGAATCCGGGAGGCAGAGGTTGTACTGAGCCGAGAGCGCCACTGCACTCCAGCCTGCCAATAGAGCGAGACTCCGTCAAAAAAAAAAAAAAAAAAAGACCAGCCTGATCAATATGATGAAACCCCATCTCTAATAAAAATACAAAAATTAACCGGGCATGGTGGTATGCGCCTATAGTCCCAGCTACTTAGGAGACTGAGACAGGAGAATTGCTTGAACCCGGGAGGCAGAGGTTGCAGTGAGCCGAGATAGCACCACTGCACCCAAGCCTGGGTGACAGAGTGAGACCCTGTCTCAAGAAAAAAAAAAAGAAAAAAAGAAAAAAAAAGAAATCTCTTACTTTCAAAATAAATATTCTATTCAGAAGCTATACTCATAAATTAGTGTATCACTAGAAGCCAATTTATTTAATATTTTCTAGAGGCTAACTTTACTGGGAAATTTAGATAGATAGGTAGATATAATGAAAGATAGATTAACCAGCCTTCAAAAGTTGTACGTTGTTAACTCTGTACAAAAATATGAAATTTCTGTATGATAAATATCATGAATAATGTTTTTAAAAATTCAACAAATGAGGCAAATATTTACAACACATACAACAGAGGAATAATTGTAAATTTACAAGGAGTTCCTAGAAATCAATATGAAAAGGTAATACAACCCAATAGGAGATACTAGGTAGAGCATATGAAGAGATAGTTCATAGAAAAAATCAAATATAAATTGACAATAAAGGTAGAAAAGACGTTCAATCTTTTTAATAATTAAGGACATTCAAATTAAAACAATATTGAGGTAGTATTATTTTTCCTCCCCAGACTGTCAAATACTAAGAAGTGGATTAATAGCTAGTATTAACCATGATATAGAAAAATAGCATTTCTCATGCATTGATGGTAAGAGAGTAAGCTAGGCAGCCTTTTTATAGGATAATCTGGCAGGATTTATAAAAACTAAAATGACTGACACTCTGACTCAGAAATTTCACTTCTCTTATTTTTTCTTAAAGACAATTGCATATATTCATTTATAACAGAATAAAAACAGACAAATTAACAAACTGGAAATAACCCAAGTGTTCATCAAAAGGGGTCTGTTTAAACAAATTATGGTGCATCCATGCAATGGAATACCTTTGCAGCTATTAAAATGAATAATATTTATGTGTTTAATAGATATCAAGCATACAATTTAAGAGTAAAGTGTAATTTATTTATATAAAGGGCATATATATCTCTATATACCTGTATTTTTCTAGTATATTTCTTGAAGAAAGTCTTAAAAATAAGTTTTATAAGAAACTCTTGAAAATGGTTACTTCTGAGAAATGGGACAACTTTTGAGAAAGGGTGGAGAGAGGAGGTGGGAAAGCTGTAGTATTTAATGTCTCTCTCTGATTATTCTTTTTTGTTTGTTTGTTTTTTGTGAGACTGAGTTTCGCTCTTGTCGCCCGGGCTGGAGCGCAATGGTGTGATCTCGGCTTACTGCAACCTCCGCCTCCTAGGTTCAAGCGATTCTCCCACCTCAGCCTCCCGAGTAGCTGGGACGTGCACCACGGGGAGGTGCACCACTACGCCCAGCTAATTTTGTATTTTTAGTAGAGATGGGATTTCACCATGTTGGTCAGGCTGGTCTCGAACTCCTGACCTCAGGTGATCCGCCCGTCTCAGCCTCTCAAAGTGTTGGGATTACAGGGGTGAGCCACCACACCCAGCTGATATGTTTTTAAAAAGAAACAATTAGGAAGTAGAAGACAAGCTCCTCAAACAGTACTTAATGTGTGGTAAGCTCTCAGTAGATGTTAGCTATTGTCATTGTTATTAATCCTTAATGTTGATCACTCTTCCACTAACTTGATGCATGACCTTAACTATGTCACTTCCCTTCTCAGGACCTCATTTTCTCCAGCTTCATAATAAATGGACCCACACTAGATATTGTGATGTTCTGTGACTCTTCTGTATGGTTTTCTCCATCCCCACTCTGCCCCACCCTCCTTGGCTGGAAAAGTAGAGGGTATGCTATAGATTACTTAGAAGATTTCTGGCTGCTTCTCAAGGAATCTATCCTGATTTTCAAGCGGCTCTAACACTGTGCTATGTAATGAAAGGCCCACGGTGTCTGGGTGTTATATTGGGGTCTGTTCTTGAAGATAAAAACAAAGACGTTTTTCACTTGAAGTGATGTGGAAAGACTTGTAAGGTTGTGTAATTAAAAAGCTGCTTGGCTTTGGGGGACATGGTGAACTTACTTTCACCTACTGTGAGGAGAAGTGAGGGCAAAGGAGAAGAAATCTCCAAGTCCAAAAAGTGCGATACAATTCTCAGCGTTCTTTTGGTTGTAGGATAATGCCTGGTGTGATTCAGCGCTGCCTACCAGCTTACCTCTTTTCTTTCTAAAAGTCGTAAACTCAGAGAATCTATTGAGGGGCTTTCCCTCACTTTGAGAATGCATCTGTGGGTTAAGAATGAATGTTATGGAATTCCATGTTATAAGAGACCTCAGAGGCCATAAGGAGCAGTGATTTTCATGATGAAACTCTACAACGCAGAGATATTTATGTGAGAAGATAGCATAAATATTACCCACTTATTAAATTAAATGAAGAAATTCTGTTAAGCACTAGGAAGCTGGAGTTCATTTCATTCCTTAGGGACACTCCCTTGATTCTATGGAGAAGGAGGGTCTATCTCTTCGCAGTCCTTCTTGGCCCTTCCCTTATATAAAGGGCAGTAGTACAAGAATATTTCTCAATGTATTTTAAAATTATTTTGTTTACTTCTGTGATTTCAGAGAGTTGTTTTTGGAGTATGTGTACATGAAGGGATCAAAGTGGCCATGAAAACAGTCAAAAGCAAATGCAGGTTTCCTTTCTTTCTCTGGTTCTGCAGTCATCTGACTATGACTGTGAGTTGATGTCTCTATCAAATTTGAGAAATCTCTGCAATATCTGCCATGTAAATTAGACACAAATACCCGTGACCTCACATGAACTAATGAGTGGCTCCCCCTGCAACAGAGCTCACCATGGGGACTTGTAGCAATTCATTATGTATTTCAATGGGGGAAATAAATTAAGGCAACGAAACAAAACTGCTATTAAAGCAAGGAAATTTTTATTAAAATTCAGACCATCTGAGAGGAAAAATTATATCTTTCTGTTCTTTTCATTCTGTTTTCTTGTCTTACATGCTTCCTTCCCCGTTGGCATAAAGCAGGTAAAAAATGTTTGTAGGGTGAAAAAAATCATCAAGATCTTGACATTTATGATGAGAAGAACAAACCCTTCAATCAGTGGTACTAATGCCTTAAGCACCCACGCACTCTATCATTAAACGGAGATGATTTTTTTTTTTAAAGCAGGGAGTCAGGATGCTGGCCATACATTATTTAAGCAATAAAGAAGACAAAGGGTCCTCATTCCATCATCTTTTCTATCATCTGCCCTCTCTCCCAGGTTACTCTAAGCATGGGAAGCTGCTCTTCCAAAATTGTGAGCTCTCTCTGAGCTTTATCTGAAAAATATTTTCATATAAAACAAGAATGAATATTGTACTACTACTAATCAATAGGAATAACTTGCATTTGCTGTATAGGTGGCATGTTAGAAGTTTTCTATGGTATCTCATTTATTCCTTATATCAATCTTGGGAGATTAGCTTATTTATTTCCATTTTACAGTTAGAGAAACTGATATTCAAAAAAGTAAATTACCTTAACTGAGATCACTTATCTATGCTAAATCTAGATGTGACCTTCTTAACCACTATACAGGCTGCTGCTCCAAAATCTCCCCTGCCTAGGCATGTGCCTGTACATGTGTGCGTGTGTATGTATGTGCAAGATTTAAGGAAATGGCTTCATTGAGCTTAGCACCAATATCCATGAGACAGAAATTAAAGGGGCATCAGTATATAGCACGCAAAATGAATATCGAATGCCCTAAATCTCCCTAGAAGAAATGAGAGCTGGCTGTCTTGCCTGCTGGCCACCTGTTGAAAATACCCTCCTGAGATGGGCCCTTTCCTTAAATAATCGTAAGCCTTAGACAATGAACCTTTGAACCTCCTTGCCAACCATGAGCTTCTACTTTTGCCAGTTTTGGCCTCACTTGCCACTTACACTGGGCATTTCTCAGTGAGTTCAGGTTTTTTTTTTTTTGAGATGGAGTCTCACTCTTGTCACCCAGGCAGGAGTGCAGTGGCGCAATCTCGGCTCACTGCAACGTCCACCTCCCGGGTTCAAGCGATTCTCGTTACTCAGCCTCCCAAGTAGCTGGGATTACAGGTGCCCGTGACCATGCCCGGCTGATATTTGTATTTTTAGTAGAGACAGGGTTTCCCCCATGTTGGCCAGGCTGGTCTCCAACTCCCTACCTCAGGTGATCCACCCGCCTCGGCCTCCCAAAGTGCTGGGATTACAGGCATGAGCCACCGTGCCCGGCAGAGTTCAGGAATTTCTTACCATGTGAGCATCACTACTCTCTTTCATTTTCTAAATCTTCAATCTTCTTGGTTTCTCCCTAAATTGTGGTTTCAGTGGCCGCCATTTCTTTTTTCTTTTTCTTTCTTTCTTTATTTTTTGAGATGCAATTTCGTTCTTGTCACCCAGGCTGGAGTGCAATGGCGTGATCTCGGCTCACTGCAACCTCCACCTCCCAGGTTCAAGCAATTCTTCTGCCTCAGCCTCCGGAGTAGCTGGGATTATAGTCAGGCGCCACCACGCCCAGCAAATTTTTGTAGTTTTAGTAGAGACGGAGTTTCACCATATTAGCCAGCTGGTCTTGAACGCCTGAACTCAGGTGATCCACCTGCCATGGCCTCCCAAAGTGCTCGGATTAGAGGTGTGAGCCACTGTGTGTGGCCTAGTGGCTGCCATTTTTTATGTTTCTCTGTAGAAATTACCCCTGGCTGAGCATAGTGGCTCACACCTATAATCCTAGTGCTTTGGGAGGCCAAGAAGGGAGGATAGATTGAGGCCAGGAGTCTGACATTCACCTGGGCAACATAGCAAGACCCTTTCTCTAAAAAAAAAAAAAAAAAAGCCAGGCATGGTAGTGCACACCTGTTGTCTTATCTACTTTACTGGCTGAGGCAGGAGGAACACTTGAGCCCAGGAGATAAAGGCCACAGTGAGCTATGATCATGACATTGCACTACAGTCTGGGTGAAAGAGGAAGACCCTATCTTTCAGAAAAAAAAAAATATACTAATGACCTCTGTGAGGTATGAAAGCAAGTCCTTCTGGATAATTTCATCTGGACAAATGCAGTCTTCTTGACAAAGGAAGGCCATACAAACCAATTCTAGATGTTTGCAAAACTGCCCCTTTGCTTGTGGCTTGGAGACCTAAGGCTTGAAAGCCTGTTTCTAGAGAGGCAGTGGTATAGGACCAAACAGTGTTGGGAATGGTTTTAAAACTTTATTAAAAATAAAAGTTCATAAGAAATTCTCAAAATATCTCAGTTTTCATTATAGACTTTATAAAAAAATTTTTTATGAATCATTTAGGAATAAGCAAAGAAAAAGTGGGGAACAAAGAAAATTTTCCATATAATTAGCTATGATAGGCAGAATTCTAAGATGGCCTCCAAGAATCCTGCCTCCTGATGGACACACTCTGTGAAATCTTCTGCCCTTCAGTGTGCACAGAACTTGTAAACATGAGGGGTTTTCACTCCTGTGATTAGATTGTATTCTGTGGCAAAGGTGAAGATATTTTGCAGATGTTATTAAAGTCTCAAATCATCTGGCTTTGAATTAATCTAAAAGGAGATTATTCTTGGGGTGAGCCTGACCTAATCAGATGAGCTCTTTAAAGAAGGTCCCCAGGGCTGGGCATGGTGGTTCATACCTGTAATCCCAGCACTTTGGGAGGCCAAGGTGGGAGGATTGCTTGAGGCCAGGAGTTCGAATCAGCTTGGAAAACAAAGAAAGACTTTGTCTCTAATAAAAATAAAAATTAGCTGGATGTGGTGTCACATGCCTGTGGTTCCAGCTTCTTGGGAGGCTGAGGGAGGAGGATCACCTGAGCTCAGAAAGTTGAGGCTGCAGTGAGCTGTGATCACGCCATTGTACCCCAGCCTAGGTGACTGAGTGAGAGTGTCTCAAAAATAATAATAATAATGAAAATACAAAAATAAAAACATAAGGAAGATCTCAGACCTCCCCGGAAGGGAAGGGTAATTTTCCTATTAAACTAGGATTTCCTTTCTTTGTTTTTTTGAGACAGGGTCTTGCTCTGTCACTCAGGATGCCGTGTAGTGGCATGATCATGGCTCACTGCAACCTCAATGTCCTGGGCTCAGGCAATCCTCCCACTTCAATCCCCTGAGTAGCTGGGAGCACACGTGTGCACCACCATGTCCGACTATTTTTTTTTTTTTTTTTTTTTTTTTTAGAGAGACAGGGACTTGCTATGCTGTCCAAGCTGGTCTTAAAGTAGTGGCCTCAAGCTCAAGCTATCTTCCCACCTCTGCCTGTCAAAGCACTGGGATTACAGACATGAGCCACCGCAGTTGGCCAGAATGGGAGGATTGAAGCCAGAGAATTGTTTTTCTGCTGCTTCGAGAAAGTAAACTGTTGTTGTGAAGAGGACCACATGGCAGGAAATAGAAGGTAGCCTCTAGGATCAGAGGGTCTCGCCTACAGCCATAAGGAACTGAATTCTCTAATATCCAGTAAATGTGGAAGAGGACCTAGAGCCTCAAATGAGATCACAGTCTCAGCTAACACCTTGATTTCTGCCTTGTGAGACTCTGAATAAAGAAGCTAGCTAAACCATACCTGGACTCCTGACCCAGGTAAACTATGAGGTATTAATAATATGTGGATGTTACTTTAAACCATTAAGTTTGTGATAAATTGTTACTCAGCAATAGAAAACTAATACAATAACTTTGCTTTTCCTCTTATTCTTTTTGGAAAGTATGTGCACATTCTGGTACAGGAGTATTCTGTATGTGCAAGTGGACAGGGCGACACAGTCTACAGCATTATTCAGATATGTGAATGGTATTCACTGTAAAGAGTAGTTCAGTGAATATAGAGTAAACTCAATGAAATGTTAAAGACTAATCACCTTGCTGAAGTAATGTCTGAGGAAAATTAGTAATCTGTGGGTCACAACTCCTTTGCATTAAATCAAGAACTCATAATGTTTCAGGACTATACTACTACTGTATTCCATCCTACTCCCTATCCGTTCTGAAATCCAAGTTAAAAACAGGATTCCAGCTTTTAAGTGTTAATGTCTGTTTGACATTATGGCTGCCCCCTCACATGCTCAACATTCTTTTGCCTCAACCTTGGCTTCATCTCTACCTCTTCTCTGGTTCTCCCAAAGATAAGCATTTTCCTTTCATTTTTATAGCTATTATTTCAAATTCAGTTTCATGCCTGGGGCGTTTTGTCACTTTCTCTCCTAGAGTTGTAAAACTTATCTTTCTGCAAAAGAAATATTTTATATGCCACATTCTAATAAGATGTTTTAGACTATCAGGCATAGTTTTGTAGTTACTGAGTCTGAAAAAAATAAGAAAATCTTTATTTTCTCAAACATCCATTCTCATTGGTTTCTCTCTAGATTTTGGTTTTTGTGACTGCCATCTCATGTACTTTTCTATGTAGAAAATAACTCTTTGAGGTATGTCATCATGTCCTTCCTGAGAATTTTACCTAACCAAATGCAAACTCCTTGACCAAGAATGCCTATGAAGTCAACTCTGGGTATATTTGCAAGACTGTCCTTTAATTTGTGCTCCAAAGACAGAAAATAATCCTATTCTGATATGACAAGGCTTTAAAAAATAAGCTAAACAACCCCATCAAAAAGTGGGCAAAGGATATGAACAGACACTTCTCAAAAGAAGACATTTATGCAGCCAAAAAACACATGAAAAAATGCTCATCATCACTGGCCATCAGAGAAATGCAAATCAAAACCACAATGAGATACCATCTCACACCAGTTAGAATGGCAATCAGTAAAAAGTCAGGAAACAACAGGTGCTGGAGAGGATGTAGAGAAATAGGAACACTTTTACACTGTTGGTGGGACTGTAAACTAGTTCAACCATTGTGGAAGTCAGTGTGGCGAGTCCTCAGGGATCTAGAACTAGAAATACCATTTGACCCAGCCATCCCGTTACTGGGTATATACCCAAAGGACTATAAATCATGCTGCTATAAAGACACATGCACACGTATGTTTGTTGCGGCACTATTCACAATAGCAAAGACTTGGAACCAACCCAAATGTCCAACAACGATAGACTGGATTAAGAAAATGTGGCACATATACACCATGGAATACTATGCAGCCATAAAAAATGATGAGTTCATGTCCTTTGTAGGGACATGGATGAAATTGGAAATCATCATTCTCAGTAAACTATCACAAGGACAAAAACCAAACACCGCACGTTCTCACTCATAGATGGGAATTGAACAATGAGAACACATGGACAGAGGAAGGGGACCATCACACTCTGGGGACTGTTGTGGGGTCGGGGGAGGGATAGCATTAGGAGATATACCTAATGCTAAATGACGAGTTAATGGGTGCAGCACACCAGCATGGCACATGTATACATATGTAACTAACCTGCACATTGTGCACATGTACCCTAAGACTTAAAGTATAATAAAAAAAAATAAGCTGCCACATAAAAGGTATGCTGCCCTTATATGTTTCCAGTTAATGTATTTCTTTAAACGTTTTTTGATTGTAAAAACATAGGGGAAAAATCGAGTGTAGAAAGACGCATGGTTGTTCAAAAACAACCTTTTCTCTTTTCCTTTTCTTTTTTTTTTTACAGCTTCAAGACTGGTAAGGAAATGGAAATGTCAGAACACAGTAGCTGGGTTGCTAAGGTGTGTGGAACAAAATAAGACATCTATGCATTGAAAGGGAGATTGTCATCTAGAAAGACAATGGAATTCATCCCATTAATGGAAATATGTAATTAACAAGCTGCTGGTGTCAGTCTGTAGTGAGAACCCTGGCTTGGGCTCTTGCCTCCTATAGAGTGGTAGTCTTGTCAATGTCTTCTGGCTCCTTGTGGGGGTTGCACAGATACAAGTGCAAAGAGGAAATCTGCCTCCCCACTTTCATGGAATCTTACAGTTTGAGACTACATTCCAAGGTATCTGAATAAGTAGACAAGCATGACATTTTCTTCTTGAAATGTAATCTTTATTACTTCAATTAATAACTATGTATCAGGGATAAATAGTTTGCCAGTATACCTTATTGCTGTTAATTTTGCTACTACATAGTACGTATGTATGATGATGCTTTCTCTAGCACTTGTGTGGGTTTTTATAGTATATATCTATATTGCTTTGCATACATTATCTAATTTTGGTTTTCATTCTCAAAACAACACTGCGAAGTTAATATAATCTGCAGGGCAGGTATTATTATCCCAAATGAGGAAACTGAGGCTCACAAAAATTAAGTAGCTTGCATAAAGTCAGATGGCTACCAACATTGAAGGAAGATAGATGTTTAGTCTTAATGAAGAATCTCAGTAATACATATATACACCCATTTTCTCACATACTTGCATGTACATGTATACACCCCTTTCTTGCCTCTCGTTTGGCAAACTAAACACATTTCTTTTGTGGCCGGGCAAATCCTGATGATGACTGGGTTAGCTATCCTCTTGAAAAAGGCATTGCCTGTGATCTGAACTCAGGTCCAGATCAGATCAGAGCTTTCCGAGTTTCTTGACTTTTGTGTGAATCAATTTAGTACTGTTACCGAGATTCTACATACAGGAAAGAAGAAACAAAATGAATCACTTTATTCTCCCATCTTTCTCCTCAATCATGTAGCCATCCATTATCCAACCATTTCACTATGTTCTAAACACTGAGCTAAGAGCTGAAAATAAAACTTTAAAGAAAAACAATCGGATTCATGCTTCAGGGAACTTATAGTCAAGGGCTGCTTTTTTTTTTTTTTCTAAATGAGCCTACAAGAAATAAGAGAGAAATATAATGATTTTGTGAATGATCTGTGCATTTTCTACTTCCCAACAGAAGTATCCCTAACAGCTGAGCACTATAAACTCAACTCCTAAGGGTAAGGGGTGAGGCATTTCTTTGAAGACTCATGTTTTGCCTTAAAGATTAATGCAAAAATATGTATTCTATTCTATAATATGTGTGCGCTTATTTTGATAACCATTTCCTCTCCCTCAGTATCTAATAAAATTGCTAATCCAGGAAGTTCTCTATGTTTATCCTATGGTATCAAGTCATTTCTAGTGTATTTCTAGGGGTGCCTGTGCCTCAGCTTAAGTTGCTTCATAACTTACATCCCAGGTCAGTTCTCATTGTAATCTTGTATGGGCCTCATATGAGTAAAGTCCTAGGTTCTGGATCTATCACTATCTACTCTTGCCAGTATTTCTAACCAATCTCCATGCCCCACCCCTTTCCTGCTTATTTTTCACAAGAGGCAAACACAATTATTTTTTCTTTATTGTAAATAATAATAATGACTCTTAATTTAGCCCTTTAGTATATGGCTGGTACTATGTACTGTGTGTTTCATACACATGTTTCCTTTAGTCTTAAAATCTGGCTCATGGGGTAAACACTATTATAATCTCCATCCTCCAGATGAGGAAAGTGAGACTTAGAGGTTAAGTACATTTTAGGATAAAGTAGGGTATTTCGATAAATGTTTCAAATGTGTTTCTGGTCTCTGAGGACTACACTCCCAGGCTGCTGGGGATACAAAATACCCTTTCTTTACCATAGGAGCACTTGGGTAGAATATTTGCAGAAACAATAAACTGGCTGATATTTAAAGTTCTCTTCAGCTCTGACATTCTATAATTTCATTGACCCTCTTTGCATTTAATTATGTTGATTTTTCTTTCTACCCCTTGCTTAGCTAAAAATATACCCCTTCTTTGTCCATGCACAGGAGATGGACGATTGAATAGAGAGCACCATAACAAATCCTTGTGATTATTCAGATGTCACTCTAAAATATTTATCATCTTGGTAAATCTAAAGCCATCACAACAGCTCATATGCAACAATGAATATCATACTAACACCACTAAAATAGATATAGCTGAGAATGATGCTTGTTAAGCTCATAATGATTCCGTTCTCAAAGGACTTGCAATTCATCTCCTTTATGCTGCTTGATTGCCTACCGCATCCTGCAGGTTTGGGTAGATTCCTCTTTGGTCTCATGTAATACACGACATTCACAAACTACGATGCAGCTCTCATCATGCCAATCAAGAATGCAAATGGGGAGCTAGCTGATGGTGTGATCTGAATGTTCAGCTTGTTTAGAAGGCTATAAACATAGGGAGAATATGGATCTGCTGTGTAATGGCTTAAAAGTAATCAGACTTTTCATTCAAATTAAGTCAGAAAAGGTTATTTCAATATTATCCTATACTTTTCATTTAACAAGATTTTTCTTAAATTGGTAAGTTACTTACTGAAGAATACCTACAACTTTTTAAATGAAAAAATGAGTTATTAGAATTATTTTATTTGAAAACTTTCTAAACATAAGGTTATAATAATTAGACAGTATTCTGACCTTTAATGATCTGTGCTATACATTCTGCAGAATGGCCATGGACACTGGTTCTCTTTTTAATGTTGAGTTAGCTAGGAAACTAGGAATAATATTATTCCTAGATTATCAATTGCCATGGACTTGGGAAATGATGAAAATAACAAAATCTAAGCTAGGTCGAATAAAAAGTTATTTCTCTTTGGTGATTCAGCCTCATATGCTCATGTTGTAAATCTGAATTCTCTTTGTGTAGCAGATGTGGGATGTACTGACCCAATGACATGCCTGAAAGTTGCTTTTTAGAACAATCCCTGAGGATAGGTTTGTTTATGTATCATTGGTCTCTCTCAGAAACAGACTGTATGATATCCAAATTGATAACCTCCTGGGCCACATAATGTGGGCGCCTGTCTGCAAATTTAATTGTTGCCTCAAGGTCTAAAGCAGGACTTTGCCAAATTATTTGTTTCCTTCTTTCAGAATCTTCCTCTTCATTTCCTTAGCTTGTCTTTTGACTTTCTAGTATTCAGAAACAATTTTTTTTTTAAATTTTTTGTTGCATCCAGATACTTTTCTGATGAAATCTCTACTATCTGTTTCTCTTACCTGGATCAACTTTGTTGTTTGGGCAATTTTTATAATTCACACTATTGTGGTTTAAAATAAGAATTTACATTATTTGTTTTTATTTTTTCATATTTATTTTTATTTTTATTTTTTTAGAGACAGGGTGTCGCTCTGTCACCCAGGCTGGAGTGTAGTGGGGCGAACATAGCTCACTGCAGCCTCTGACTCCTGGACTCCAGCAGTCTTCCCACCTCAGCCTCCTGAGTAAGTAGGTCTGTAGGTATGCGCCACTATTACCAGCTAATTTTTAATTTTTCGTAGAGACAGTGTCTTGCTGTGGTTGCTCAGGCGAGTCTCAAACTCCTGACCTCATGTAATCCTTGCAAAGCACTGGGATTACAGGCATGAGCCACTGTGACTGGCTGCAATCGGATTTTGACAAAGGCATCTTTATCATGTAATGACATATGGTACCTTTATCTGAATTGGAAAAAGACCTCCCCACAGACACATCCCCCTGCAAAGGTGCATGGCTTGGTGAATGGTGGAAGGACTGTGGATTTCAGCTTCCATTTGCCATCTCCACTAGTGTTCTCGTGCACTGAACAACCTGTGTGTTGTGTATGTACTAATTGTTACAAGGTAACTTGTGCTCTGTGCATCTAACACCAGTCCAGAGTTTTCGCTAAGCCTTCACTAAATGTTTCACTTTGAATAGAGATTCAGTCACCTGTATCAAAGACAAAGAATGATCTCGTTTCTGCTCTCTTACAATTGAGTACTGAACACTTCAAATTTCTCATAAAATATTTTCTGCTAAGCATTTCACATTTTAAATAAAGCCCTGGCCCAAAGACTGAGTTCATGTCTAGGAGGGAGATCATAATGATTTCTTCAGGTGAGAAGTATTCTCATTCTCTAGCACTGCAATGATTCTCTTCCTATAAACTTTTATTTTTATAAAATAGCCCCTTCTCTAAATATATTAAACATGAGAAACAATTTTTTAAAAACTCTAGGTTTATTCATTGAATTACATTTGTCATTATGAATATTAGGTAAATATGTAACACCTCAAAAAATCTGAAATTACTGTATGTTACAATCATCAAAGGTTTTAAGGTTTTATCCTATGTAAGTCTGCAGCGGGAGGAACAATCAACCACACTTTTTTTTGGCTACATAGAATTCTCATCAATGGAATCATCTGTATCTGCTAGGGTAGCAGTTGACAAGCATAGTCCAGTTTCATCAACCTTCCAGGATAAACTAGGATAAGATGTTTTCAGGACTGACCACATTCAAGAATTGTACATCCTAGCCAATCACCCCAAAAAAGAAAAGAAAAGAAAAGAAAAAGTTCCTAGACTTTCTTTTGCTCTACTTTCAACTGATAGAACCACATACAGACATATAAATGTTAGAATAATGGGGAAGAGCCTTAGAAATGATGGAACCAAATGTCCTCAGTTTACAAAGGAGGCAACTAAAACCTAGCGAGGAAAAGTGTCTTACCCAAAGTGACACACAAAAAAGGAGGGTGACCTTAGAACTCAAGTCTCCAGTTTCCCTATTCAAGGCTGGTTGGCTGTTTGGATGAAGAATTCCCAGGCATTACAAATCTAAGTTAAGGGGGCAGGGTTGGCTGATAAAATGGCTGAATAGGAACAGCTCCGGTCTGCAGCTCCCAACGAGATCAATGCAGAAGGTGGGTGATTTCTGTATTTCCAAATGAGGTACCCAGCTCATCTCATTGGGACTGGTTAGACAGTGGGTGCAGCACAGAAAGGGGGAGCTGAAGGAGAGTGGGGCGTCCCCTCACCCAGGAAGTGCAAGGGGTCGGGAAACTCCCCTCCCTAGCTAAGGGAAGCTGTGAGGGACTGTTCCGTGAAGAACGGTGCATTCCAGCCAAGATACTATGCTTTTCCCATGGTCTTTACAACCCACAGACCAGGAGATTCCCTTGGATGCCTACACCACTAGGGCCCTGGGTTTCAAGCAAAAAACTGGGTGGATGTTTGGGCAGACACCAAGCTAGCTGCAGGAGTTTTTTTTTCATACCCCAGTGGCCCCTGGAACACCAGCGAGACAGAACCACTCCCTCCTCTGAAAAGGGGGCTGAAGCCAGGGAGCCAAGTGTTCTAGCTCAGTGGATCCCAGCCCCATGGAGCCCAGCAAGCTAAGATCCACTGGCCTGAAATTCTCACTGCAAGCACAGCAGTCTGAAGTCGACCTGGGACGTTCGAGCTTGGTGGGGGGAGGGGCATCTGCCATTACTGAGACTTGAGTAGAGGGTATTCCCCTCACAGTGCAAACAAAGCCACCTCAAAGTTCCAACTGAGTGGAGCTCACCGCAGCTCGCAAAGCTGCTGTAGCCCAGACTGCCTCTCTAGATCCTCATTCCTCTGCAGGGCGTCTTGAAAGAAAGGCAGCAGTCCCAGTCAGGGGCTAATAGATAAAACTCCCATCTCCCTGGGACAGAGCACCTGGGGAAAGGGGCGGCGGGTGCAGCTTCAGCAGACTTAAACGTTCCTGCCTGCTAGCTCTGAAGAGAGCAACAGATCTCCCAGCACAGTGCTTGAGCTCTGCTAAGGGACAGACTGCCTCCTGAAGTGTGTCCCCGACCCGCATGACTCCTGACTGGGAGATACCTCCCAGCAGGTGTCGATAGACACCTCATACATGAGAGATCTGGCTAGCATCTGGTGGGTGCCCCTCTGAGATGAAGCTACCAGAGGAAGGAACAGGCAGCAATCTTTGCTGTTCTGCAGCCTCCGCTGGTGATAACCAGGCAAACAGCGTCTGGAATGGACCTCCAGCAAATTCCAGCAGATCTGCAGGAGAGGGGCCTGCCTGACTGTTAGAAGGAAAACTAACAAACAGAAAGGAATAGCATCAACATCAACAAAAAGGACGTCCACACAGAAACCCTGTTCGAAGGTCACCAACATCAAAGACCAAAGGTAGATAAATCCATGAAGATGAGGAAAAACCAGCACAAAAAGGCTGAAAATTCCAAAAACCAGAATGCCTGTTCTCCTCCAAAGGATCACAACTCCGTGCCAGCAAGTGAGCAAAACTGGACAGAGAATGAGATTGACAAATTGATTGAAGTAGGCTTCAGAAGGTGGGTAATAACAAACTACTCTGAGCTAAAGGAGAATGTTCTAACCTAACGCAAGGAAGCTAAGGACCTTGAAAAAAGGTTAGAGGAATTGCTAACTAGAATAACCAGTTTAGAGAAGAACATAAATGACCTGATAGAACTGAAAAACACAGCACGAGAACTTTGTGAAGCATACACAAGTATCAATAGCCGAATGGATCAAGCAGAAGAAAGGATATGAACAAAGCCTCCAAAAAATATGGTACTATGTGAAAAGACCAGACCTATGTTTGATTGGTACCTGAAAGTGACAGGGAGAATGGAACCAAGTTGGAAAACACTCTTCAAGATACTATCCAGGTGAACTTCCCCAACCTAGAAAGATAGGCCAACATTCAAATTCAGGAAATACAGAGAACGCCACAAAGATACTCCTCGAGAAGAGCAACCCCAAGACACATAATCGTCAGATTCACCAAGGCTGAAATGAAGAAAAAAATGTTAAGGGCAGCCAGAGAGAAAGGTCCGGTTACCCACAAAGGGAAGCCCATCAGACTAACAGTGGATTTCTTTGCAGAAACCCTACAAGCCAGAAGATGGGGGGTCAGGGGAGGTGGGGGGCAATATTCAACATTCACAAAGAAAAGAATTTTCAACCAGAATTTCATATCCAGCCAAACTAAGCTTCATAAGTGAAGGAGAAATAAAATACTTTACAGGAAAGCAAATGCTGAGAGATTTTGTCATCACCAGGCCTGCCTTACAAGAGCTCCTGAAGGAAGCACTAAATATGGAAAGGAAAAACCCGTACCAGCCACTGCAAAAACATACCAAATTATAAAGTCCATTGGCACTATGAAGAAACTGCATCAACTAACAGACAAAATAACCAGCTAGCATCATAATGACAGGATCAAATTCACATGTAACAATATTAACGTTAAATAGAAATGGGCTAAATGCCCCAATAAAAAGACACAGACTGGCAAATTGGATAGAGTCAAGACCCATAAGTGTGCTGTATTCAGGAGACCCATCTCACGTGCAGAGACACACATAGGCTCAAAATAAAGGGAGGGAGGAATATTTACTGAGGAAATGGAAAGTGAAAAAAAAGCAGGGGTTGCAATCCTAGTCTCTGATAAAACAGACTTTAAACCAACAAAGATCAAAAAAGACAAAGAAGGGCATTACATAATGGTAAAGGGATCAATGCAACAAGAAGAGCTAAGTATCCGAAACATATATGCACCCGATACAGGAGCACCCAGATTGATAAAGCAAGTTCTTAGAGACCTACAAAGAGACTTAGACTCCCACACAATAATAGCGGGACACTTTAATATCTGACTGTCAATATTAGACAGATCAACAAGACAGCAAATTAACAATGATATTCAGGACTTGAACTCAGCTCTGGACCAAGCAGAACTAATAGACATCTGCAGAACTCTCCACCCCCAAATCAACAGAGTATACATTCTTCTCAGCACCACATTGCACTTATTCTAAAATTGACCACATATTTGGAAGTAAAACACTTCTCGGCAAATGCAAAAGAACAGAAATCATAACAAACAGTCTCTCAGACCACAGTGCAATCAAATTAGAACTCAGGATTAAGAAACTCACTCAAAACTGCACAACTACATGGAAACTGAACAACCTGCACCTGAATGACTACTGGGTAAATAACGAAATGAAGGCAGAAATAAATAAGTTCTTTGAAACCAATGAGAACAAAGACACAATGTACCAGAATCACTAGGACACAGCTAAAGCAGTGTTAAGAGAGAAATCTATAGCACTAAATGCCCGCAGAAGAATGCCGGAAAGATCTAAAATCAGCACCCTAACATCACAATTAAAAGAACTAGAGGGCTGGGCATGGTGGATCACACTTGTAATCCCAGCACCTTGGGAGACTGACGTGGGTGGACCACGAGGTAAGGAGTTTGATACCAGCCTGGCCAACACAGTGAAACACCATCTCTACTAAAAATACAAAAATTAGCTGGGCATGGTGGCGGGCGTCTGTAATCCCAGCTACTCGGGAGGTTAAGGGAGGAGAATCACTTGAACCCAGGAAGCAGAGGTTGCAATGAGCCGAGATCATGCCATTGCACTCCAGCCTGGGTAACAGAGCTAGATACCATCACAGAAAAAAGAAAAAATAAAAAAAAAAAGAACTAGAGAAGCAAGAGAAAACAAATTCAAAAGCCGACAGAAGACAAGAAATATCTAAGATCAGAGCCAAACTGAAGGAGATAGAGACAAAGAAAACCTTCCAAAAAAATCAGTGACTCCAGGAGCTGGTTTTTTGAAAAGATTAACAAAATAGATAGGCTGATAGTCAGGCTAATAAAGAAGAAAAGAGAGAAGAATCAAATAGACACAATAAAAAATGATAAAGGGGAGATCACCACTGATCCCACAGGAATACAAATTACCATCAGGGAATGCTATAAACACCTCTACACAAATAAACTAGAAAATCTAGAAGAAATGGGTAAATTCCTGAATATACACACCCTCCCAAGACAAAACCAGGAAGAAGTCGAATCCCTGAATAGACCAATAACAAGTTCTGAAATTGAGGCAGTAACTAATAGTCTACCAACCAAGAAAAGCCCAGTACCAGATGGATTCACAGCCGAATTCTACCAGAGATTCAAAGAGGAGCTGGTACCATTCCTTCTGAAATTATTTGAAACAATAGAAAAAGATGGACTCCTCCCTAACTCATTTTATGAGGCCAGCATCATCCTGATACCAAAACCTGGCAGAGACAAAACAAAAAAAGAAAATTTCAGGCCAATATCCCTGATGAACATCAATGTGAAAATCCTCAACAAAATACTGGCAAACCAAATTCAGCAGCACATCAAAAAGCTTATCCACCATGATCAAGTCGGCTTCATCCCTTGGATGAAAGGCTGGTTCAACATACGCAAATCAATACACGTAATCCATCACATAAACAGAACCAATGACAAAAACCACATGATTATCTCAATAGATACAGAAAAGGCCTTTGGTAAAATTCAACACCCCTTGATGCAAAAAACTCTCAATAAACTAGGTATTGATGGAGTGTATCTCAAAATAGTAAGAGCTGTTTATGACAAACCCACAGCCAATATCATACTGAATGGGCAAAAGCTGGAAGCATTCCCTTTGAAAACCGGCAAGACAAGGATGCTCTCTCTCACCACTCCTATGCAACATAGTATTAGAAGTTCTGGCCAGGGCAATCAGGCAAAAGAAAGAAATAAAGGGTAGAGAAGAAGAGAAGAGAGGAAGAGAGGAAGTCACATTGTCTTTATTTGCAGATGACATGATTGTATATTTAGAACACCCCATTGTCTCAGCCTCAAATCTCCTTAAGTTGATAAGCAACTTCAGCAAAGTCTCAGGATACAAAACCAATGTGCAAAAATCACAAGCATTCCTATATACCAATAATAGACAAGCAGAGAGCCGAATCATGAGTGAACTCCCATTCCCAATTGCTACAAAGAAAATAAAACACCTAGGAATACAACTTGCAAGGGATGTGAAGGACCTCTTCAAGGAGAACTACAACCACTGCTCAAGGAAATAGGAGAGGACACAAACAAATGGAGAAACATTCCATGCTCATGAATAGGAAAAATCAATATTGTGAACATGGCCATACTGCCCAAAGTAATTTAGAGATTCAATGCTATTCTCATCAAGCTACCATTGACTTTCTTCACAGAATTGGAAAAAACTACTTTAAAGTTCATATGGAACCAAAAAAGAGCCCGTATAGCCAAGACAATCCTAACCCAAAAAAACAAAGCTGGAGGCATCATGCTACCTGATTTCAAACTATACTAAGGCTACAGTAACCAAAACAGCATGGTACTGGTACCATAACAGAGATATAGACCAATGGGGTAGAACAGAGGCCTCAGAAATAACACCACACATCTACATCCATCTGATCTTTGACAAACCTGACAAAAACAAGCAATGGGGAAAGGATTGCCTATTTAATAAAGGGTGTTGGGAAAACTGGCTAGCCGTATGCAGAAAACTGAAACTGGAACCCTTCCTTACAACTTATACAAAAATTAACTCAAGATGAATTAAAGACTTAAACGTAATACCTAAAACCGTAAAAGCCCTAAAAGAAAACCTAGGCAATACCATTCAGGACATAAGCATGGGCACAGACTTCATGACTAAAACACCAAAAGCAATGGCAACAAAAGCCAAAATTGACAAATAGGATCTAGTTAAATTAAAGAGCTTCTGCACAGTAAAAGACACTATCATCAGACTGAACAGGCAACCTACAGAATGGGAGCAAATTTTTGCAATCCATCTGACAAAGGGCTAATATCCAGAATCTACAAGGAACTTAAAAAATTTGCAAGAAAAAAAACAAACAACCTCATCAAAAAGTGGGCAAAGGATATCAACAGTCACTTAGCAAAAGAAGACATTTATGTGGCCAGGAAACATATGAAGAAAAGCTCATCATCACTGGTTATTAGACAAATGCAAATTAAAACCACCATGAGATACCGTCTCATGCCAGTTAGAATGGTGATCATTAAAAAGTCAGGAAACAACAGATGCTAGAGAGGATTTGGAGAAATAGGAATGCTTTACACTGTTGGTGGGAGTGTAAATTAGTGGAAGACAGTGTGGCGATTCTTCAAGGATCTAGAACCAGAAATACCATTTGGCTCAGCAATCCCATTACTGGGTATATACCCAAAGAATTATAAATCATTCTACTATAAAGACACATGAACATGTATGTTTATTGCAGTACTATTCACAATAGCAAAGACTTGGAGCCAACCCAAATGCCTATCAATGATACACTAGATAAAGAAAATGTGACGCATATACACCATGGAATACTATACAACCATAAAAAAGGATGAGTTCATGTCCTTTGCAGGGACATGGATGAAGCTGGAAACCATCATTCTAAGCAAACTAACACAGGAACAGGAAACCAAACACTGCATGTTCTCAGTCATAAGTGGAAGTTGAACAATGAGAGTGCTATCGGGGGAACCCGCCCCCAGTATTTCAACATATGTTCTTTCTATTTTCCCTAGGTGTTGGCTGGCTGAGAAATAAAGAGAAAGAGTACAAAGAGAGGAATTTTACAGCTGGGCCTCTGGGGGTGACATCACATATCAGTAGGATCATGATGCCCACCTGAGCTGCAAAACCAGCAGGTTTTTACTAAGGATTTCAAAAGGGGAGAGGGTGTATGAACAGGGAGTAGATCACAAAGATTACATGCTTCAAAGGGCAAAAAGGAGAACAAAGATCACATGCTTCTGAGGCCAATAAAGATCATAAGGCAAAGGGCAAAAGAACACCTGATAGGGGTCTATGTTTAGCTGTGCACGTATTGTGTTGATAATCATCTTAAACAACGGAAAACAGGGTTCGAGAGTAGAGAACTGGTCTGACCTCAAATTCACCAGGGGTGCGTTTTTTCCCCACCCTAATAAGCCTGAGGGTACTGCAGGAGACCAGGGCGTATTTCAATCCTTATCTCAACAGCGTAAGACAGACACTCCCAGAGAGCTATTTATAGACCTCCCCCTAGGAAAGCATTCCTTCCCCAGGGTATTAATTATTAATATTCCTTGCTGGGAAAAGAATTTAGTGATATCTTCCCTACTTGCATGTCCATTTATAGGCTCTCTGAAAGAAGAAAAATATGGCTCTATTCTGCCCGACCCTGCAGGCAGTCAGACCTTATGGTTGTCTTCCCTTGTTCCCTAAAATCGCTGTTATTCTGCTCTTTTTCAAGGTGCACTGATTTTATATTGTTCAAACACACGTTTTACAATCAATTTGTACAGTTAGATACAATTATCACAGTGGTCCTGAGGTGACGTACATCCTCAGCTTATGAAGATAACAGGATTAAGTGATTAAAGTAAGACAGGCATAAGAAATTATAAGAGTATTATTTGGGAACTGATAAATGTCCATATTAAAATGGAATCTTTGCAATTTATGTTCAGAGATTGCAGTAAAGACAGGCGTAAGGAATTATAAAAGTATTAATTTTGGGAACTGATATTTGTCCATATTAAAATGAGATCTTCACAATTTATGTTCCTCTGCTGCAGCTCCAGCTGGTCCCTCCGTTCGGGGTCCCTGACTTCCCGCAACAGAACACAGGGACACAGGGAGGGGAACATCACACACTGGGGCCTGTTGGGGTGTGGGGGTAGGGTAGGGGAGGGATAGCATTTGGAAAAATATCTAATGTAGATGACGGGCTGATGGGTGCAGCAAACTACCATGGCACATGTATACCTATGTAACAAACCTGCACGTTCTGCACACGTATCCCAAAATGTAAAGGATAGTAATAAAAAAAAAATCCAAGTTAAGGACTAGTTTAACATCCTGGTTTAGTGGTGTTGCTAACGGGGTGGGAATTAGGAGAACATTAGAGTCCTGTCCTATTCTTTGATATATACAATTGATATTTATACAACTTCACAAAATTTTTAAACAAACTGTGCTCCATCTTTCCACTTCTCATCAGAATGCCACTCCTAAGCCCCTCCTATGTAATAATTATAGCACCATCCTAGCCTCACAGTTCCTGGATTATCTCAGTCTAAATTCCTCCCTATTTACTCTACCTTTGTTACTCATCAGTGTGCCTATACCCAGGGTTTCTCACCCTTGGCACTATTGATATATGGGGCTTGATATTTATTTGCTGTGGGGGACTTCCCTGTGCATTTTAGGATATTTAGCAGCATCTCTGGCCTCTACCCACTAGGTGCCAGCAATACCCTCCTCCATCTCCAGACATTGCAAAATGTCCTCTGCAGGACCAAGTTCACCCTGACTGAGAACCACTGGGTTATACCTTATCATCCTAGGCCTGTCTGAGAAAGAAGCCAATATTTTTTGTGTATTCCAACTAGAAGTGTGTGTGTGTGCATGTGTGTGTGTGTTGCACATGTGCATGCGACATGCATGCATACACAGGCATGTGTGTCATGGCTTAAGGTTATTTGGGGTTCGCTACTTTTAACCAAAATAGTCTTGACTAGCATACTGCAAAGGGATAAAAATAATTTAAAAAAAATAATGAGTGCACAATCTTAAACATTAAATTCTAACTTCTTTTGCCTTGTATGCTCTAGTATAAGGGCTATAAAATGATAACGAAGATATTTTCTTTGAATGCAAAATTTATAAAGTTTTTTCTCTTTGGTGTATTTTAATTTTTTAATGTTTCATGCATTATAAAAATAAATATGGTAATTTGTCATTAGGTATTTGTCCACAGAAACTAAAAAAAACAGTTTTATGAAAATGGAAAATGAAAACCATGTGGTCTTATATTCAGGGACTCCCAAGAACACATGCTGATCTGTAAATAAAGATATGTAGAAACAAGAATGTCCTCTACGTAGAAAAATACACAAACCCACAATGAAAACAGATAGCTATTTCTCTTTCTGATCTAAATCTGATGAGCTTAAAAAGAAATATAAATGAGCAGACAGTATGTTTAAAGTAGACAGCTGCTAACAAATCGTGATGACACCAAGCTAACCCTAACTGCATCAGTTTTAGGGCCAAATTTATGTTTAAGGAAAAAAATATTCCAAGTCATTTTATAGATAGGACCTTACTTAAAACTTTTAAAATAGATTACTATTATAGGTTGTTATAAAGATGATTATGAAACCATAATCATGTTTCTCATAATGTAAGTAAAAGCTGAATAGGAATTAATTATAATGAATTACTAGATAAAACTTTAAAAAATTTCTTTCTTTAGAAACTCTTAACACAACCTTGGTTTGAAGACCAACTCTGCCCTTATTGCTCTAAGGACTTGAGTAAAAGTGTATATTTTAAATGCATTTTTAAACCTTTACCTTTTTCTATCAAATTAAAGCATATGCGTGGGTTTAAAAACCAAATATTATTCAAAGACTTGTAATGAGAAACAGCAGTTCCTTGCCCTATGCCTTCTCATTACCCAGTTTTATTTAGTATTTAAAATTTTTATTATGTCTAAAAAATTACACAAGTAATATAAGAATACATTCCCATTGGGAATGAGTCGTCATTCACAAGTACAGAAAGTAAAACGTTCAAGTGCTCCTCTTACATTTCACTCCCCCATCTCACCCTGCTTCCTGAAATAATCATTGTCATCATTTTGATGTGAATGTTTACAAACTTTTCCCTATGGATTTACATGTATATGTACCTACAAATTCGTTTGGTTACCTTATTGAGATCATATGATAAAAATGGTTTTGCTATTAATACTTTTTTTTACATAATAATATGCTTTGGAGACCTTTCCATGTCAGTGCATATAGACCTACTTCATTTCTTTTAACCACAACCTAATGTAGATATATCGTTATTTAACAACTTGTGAGCATTTAGATTGTTTCCAACTTTTTACAATTAAAAATAATGCAACAACAAACATCTTTGTCCTTGCGTCTTTTTGTGTACACATATGCTAGGTCCAAACTTTGCATATTTTATATTTTGATAGCAACTGAGAAATATCCCTCCAAAGAGGTAATATTATTTTATAGGCTTTAAGCAAAAGTGGAAATTTTTGCCAAATCAGACCAAAAAAACTACTATCTTTTTAATATTGCTTTCCCTGATAAGTAGTGAGTTTGTGTACATTTTCATACTTGTAGTTGCCTTTTAAATTTCTTCCTCTCTGAATCTCATAATCACATCATTTCTAACCCTCTCTAATAATATGTTCTTTGCCTTTTTCTTAAGATTTTTTTTCATATATTCTAGATCTGAATCTGTTATCATACATGTTGCAAGTAATTCTCCCATTCTGACACTTTCCTTCTTAGCTCACAACATCAATTAACAATATAATTAAATTACATAATTTGTTATAAGATCTATTGATTGCACAATTAAAATGTTCATTTTTTTCTTTAAAAATTTTTTAAACTTTTAATTTCGGGGGTACATGTGCAGATTTGTTGTATAGGTAAACTCTGTGTCACTGAGGAGAGAGGTTTGCTGTGTGGATTATTTCATCACCCAGGTAATAAGAATAGTACCCAATAGGTATTTTTTTCTGATTAACTCCTTCCTCTCACTCTCCACCCTCAAATAAGCCCTAGTGTCTATTGTTTCCTTCTTGGTGTCCATGCGTTCTCGCTGTTTAGCTCCCACTTATAAGTGAGAACATGTGGTATTTGGTTTTCTGTTCCTGCATTAGTTTGCTTAGGGTAATGGCCTCCAGCTCCATCCATGTCACTGCAAAGGACATGATCTCGTTCTCTTTTTGGCTGCGTAGTATTCCATGGTGTATAAGTATCACATTTTCTTCATCCAGTCTACCATTGATGGGCATTTGGGTTGATTCTGTGTCTTTACTATTGTGCATAGTGCTATGATGAACATATGTGTGTATGTGTCTTTATGGTAGAATGATTTATATTCCTTTGGGTATATATCCAGTACTGGGATTGCTGGGTTGAATGGTAATTCTGTTTTAAGTTCTTTAATGTATTGCTATGCTGATTTTCACAATGGCTGAACTAACATACATCCTACTAGTAGTGTATAAGTGTTCCCTTTTCTCCACAACCTCTCCAGCATCTGTTAATTTTAGGCTTTTTAATAGTAGCCATTCTGATTGACATGAGATGGTATCTGATTGTGGTTTTGATTTGCATTTCTCTAATGATCAGTGATATTGAGCTTTTTTAAAAGGCTTTTTGGCTGCATGTATATCTTTTGAAAAATGTTCATGTCCTTTCCCACTTTTTAATGGGGTTGTTTGATTTTTGCTTATAAATTTATTTAAGTTCCTTATAGATTCTGGATACTAGACCTTGTTGGATACATAGTTTGCAAATATTTTTCTCCTTTCTGTAGGTTTCCTCTTTATTCTGTTGATAGTTTCTTTTGCTGTACAGAAGCTCTTTAGTTTAATTCGATTCCATTTGTCAATTTTTGTTTTGTTGCAATTGCTCTTGGCATCTTTGTTATGAAATCTTTGCCAGTTTCTATGTCCAGAATGTTATTTCCTAAGTTATCTTCCCAAGCTTTTATAGTTTTAGGTTTCACTTTTAAGTCTTTAAATCTTTGTGGATTCTTGATTTAAATGTTGCTAAAAGGTCTTCCTCACCCTATGATAAAAATATCCTTCTAAATTTTCTTCTTTAGAACTTAGTACAGTATTCAATTATGTCATTGACATTGTGTTCTTTAATCCATCTGGAATTTATTTTTTGTGTGTGGTATCAATTAGAATGTGAACTTAATTTTTTTCTAATATGAAGTAAGTTATCTCAATATTACTTAATGCATTGTTTCCCTTATAATTTGAAGTGTCACTTTTTCCCTCTATTAGATGTCCTGGCTGTCTGTTTTATCTTATTGATGTACTTGTCCATTTTAATTACTATAACTTATTTTAGCCTTATGGGATATTTTAATATCTGATGGAGCAACCTATCATTGTTCTTCTTTGTCCACTTAAAAATAATTTTTATGTATTTTTACTTTCTCAGTTGAATATAAAATTAGTTTGCTAAGTTGCACAAAACATCCTGTTGAAACGATGTTTTTCATTGCATTGTATTTATAGGTTAATTTTGGGAGAAATGGCATCTCTAAAATATTGTTTTTCCAGCCCGTATCATAGTATAACTCTCTGTAGATATTTTTTTTCTTGTTATGTCCTTTATTTAAATGTTACTGATATAAGGTGTTTGCCTGTGGACTCTGCAATGCCAGTGGATTTCCTTCTTCTATGGACTGAGGCTTTTGCCAAACAGTCTATTATACATATCTAACATGACAACAATTTTAGAAGTTGTGACCAGGTGGGACATATGCAAACAATGACAGATATATCATGACTTGCCTATCAAATGGCCACTATAAAATGCTGTTGGTTATAAAATTCTTTCTGATTTCAGAGATGTTAGAATGTGAAAAATAGACATATAGAATTAATGAAATATAATCAACAAAGGAGTTATCTATTTTTTGCAGATTTGGTTGACTTCATCTGTGAAGCTATATGGGTCTTAAGGCTTTTTTAAGGGCAAATATTTGACTAGGTTTTCAGCATCTTCTATGATTTGGGGATTATTCAGGATTTCTATTCTATCTTAGAGTCAATTTTAATAATCATTATGTTTCCCAGAATGTGGTCTATTTCATTTAAGTTCTCAAATCTATTTACATAAAGTTGTACATAATATGCTCCTAATATTTTTGATATTTCTCTTTGTATTGTTAGTTATGTCCTCTTTCATATTCTGATTATTTTTTTCTGTATGTGTTGTGGGATGGTGGTAGTTTTTTTAGTACATTTGTTATCAATCAAACCAGTAATCAAACGCCACTATCCTTGGTATTTCCTGACATCATTCAATAATTATTTCTTCTTTCTCAACTCTTCAGAGTTATTTTTTAAATTGAAATTGTATTTTTATGAAGTAATATATATATTTGATTAAAACATTTTTAAAATTTATATATAATAGTTGTACATGTTTTTGGAATACGTGTGATATTCTGTAACTGTATACAATTTGCGATGATCAAATCAGGGTAATTTGGATATCCATCACCTCAAACACTTATCTTTTCCCTGTGTTGGGATCATTACAAATATCCTCTAGGTATTTTGATATATACGATACATTATTGTTGACTATAGTTTCCCTAGTATACGTTGAAATATTAGAACTTATTATTTCTATCTGACTGTATTTTTGTACCCCTTAATTTCTCTTCATTCCTCTCCTCCCTCTCCTTTCCAGCCTCTGGTAACCACCATTCTACTGCCATGCTCCATGGGGTTCACTTTTTTAATTCCCACATATGAGTGAGAAAATGCAATGTTTTGTCTTTCTGTGCCTGGCTTATTTCACTTAACATAATGATCTGCAGTTCCATCCATGCTGTTGCAAATGAGAGGATCTCATTCTTTTTTATGGCTGAATAGTATTCCATTGTGTGTGTATAGATTATGTTTACTTTATCCACTGATCTGTTAATGGACACCTAGGTTGATTCCATATCTTGGCTATTGTGAATAGTGTTGCAATAAACATGGTAGTGCAGATAGCTCTTTGACATATTGATTTCCTTTCTTTTGGATATATACCCAGCAGTGGAATTCCTGGATCATATGGTAGCTCTATTATTAGGTTTTTGGAGAACTTCTATACTGTTTTTCATGATGGATGTACTACCTTACACTCCCACCAACAGTGTACAAGACTTATATTTTCTCCACATCCCTGCCAGTATTTGTTACTTTTTGTCTTTTTTATAATAACCGTTCTAACTGGAGGGAGATGGCATCCTGTTGTGGTTCAGATTTGCATTTCCTTGATGATTAGTGATGTTGAGGATTTTTTTCAGATACTTGTTGGCCATCTGTATGTCTTCCTTTAAGAAATGTCTATTCAGGTCTTTGCCCACATTTTAATCAGATTGCTTGTTTGTTTGCTATTAAGATGTTAGAGTGTCTTATGTATTATGATTACTAATCCCTTGTTGAATGGATAGTTTGCAAATATTTTCTCCCATTCTGTTGATTATCTCTTCACTTTGTTAATTGTTTCTTTTGCTGTGCAGAAGCATTTTAGCTTGGACGAATCCCATTTGTCTATTTTTGCTTCTGTTGCCTGTGCTTTTATGTCTTACTAAATAAACCTCTGCCAAGATAAATATGCTAACATGGCTTCCTAAATTTTTCTTTTAGTAGTTTCATAGTGGTAGGCTTTACATTGAATGTTTAATCCATTTTGAGTTGATTTTTGTATATGGTGAAAGATGGGGATCTAGTTTCATTATTCTGTGTATTGATATCCAGTTTTCTCAGCACCATTTATTAAAGAGACTGTCTTTTCCTCAAGGGCTGATCTTGCCTTCTTTGTCAAAAATAAGTGTGCTGTAATTGCTTGGGTTTAATTCCGGGTTTTCTATTCTGTTCCATTGGTCTATGTGTCTGGTTTTATGCCAGTACCATGCTATTTTGGTTACTATTGACTTGTCATATAATTTGAAATCGGATAATGTGATGCCTCCAGCTTTGTTCTGTTTGCTCAGGATTGCTTTAGCTATTCGGGGTCTTTTGTCATTCCATATAATTTTTTTTTTTTTTTTTTTTTAGACAGAGTTTTTGCTCTTGTTGCCCAGGCTGGAGTGCAATGGCGCAATCTTGGCTCACCACATCCTCCACCTCCCAGGTTCAAGCGATTCTCCTGCCTCAGCCTTCCCAAGTAGCTGGGATTACAGGCATGCGCCAACAAGCCCGGCTAATTTTTTTTTTTTTTGTATTTTTAGTAGAGATGGGGTTTCTCCCTGTGGGTCAGGCTGGTCTCGAACTCCCGACCTCAGGTGATCCGCCCACCTTGGCCTCCCAAAGTGCTGGGATTATAGGCGTGAGCCACCGTGCCCGGCCCCATGTAAATTTTTGAATTGGTTTTTCTATTTCTGTGAAGAGTGTCATTGGTGTTTTGATAGGGATTGCATTGCATCTATAAATTTCTTTGGCCACCCAAAGACATTTTAACCATATTAATTCTTCAAATCCATGAGCAAGGGATATGATTCCATTTCTTTGTCTGCTCTTCAATTTCTTTCATCCATCAATAGTTTTTTCACAGAGATATTTCAGTTCATTGGTTAAATTTATTTCTAGGTATTTTTTTGTAGCTATTGAAATGAGATTGATTTCATTTCTTTTTTAGATTGATCACTATTTTCATGTAGAAACACTGTTGATATTTGCACATTGACTTTGTATTCTATAACTTCCTGAATTCATATTTTCATTCTTTTTTTTTCTTTTTTTTTGAGATGAAGTTTCATTCTTGTCATCCAGGCTGGAGTGCAGTGGCACGGTCTCAGCTCACTGCAACCTCTGCCTTCTGGGTTCAAGCAATTCTCGTGCCTCAACCTCCCAAGTAGCTGGGATTACAGGTGTGCACCACCACACCCAGCTAATTTTTGTTTTTAGTAGAGATGGGGTTTTTGACATGTTGGCCAGGCTGGTCTCAAACTCCTGACCTCAGGTGATCCACTTGTCTCAGACTCCCAAAGTGCTGGTATTACAGGCGTGAGCCACCTAAACCCACCTGCTTTGTCTTTTCATATAGTTTTTGACTTAAAGTCTATTATATCTGATATAAACATATCTATTCCAGCTTACTTTTTTGGTTTCCATTTCCATGGAATATTGGTTTTACCTTTACTTTCAGTCTATGTGTGTCTTTATAGGTAAAGTGAGATTTTTGTCAGCAGCATATAGTTGGGTCTTTTAAATAAATCCATTCAAGGCTGGGCGTCATGGCTCATGCCTGTAATCCCAGCTATGGGACTATGGGACTTTGGGAGGCCAAGGTGGGTGGATCACGAGGTCAGGAGTTTCAGACCAGCCTGACCAACATGGTGAAACCTCGTCTCTACTAAAAATAGAAAAATTAGCCAGGCGTGGTGGTGCATGAGTGTAGTCACAGCTACTCAGGAGACTGAGGCAGGAGAATCACTTGAACCAGGATGCAGAGGTTGCAGTGAGCTGAGATCGCGCCACTGAACTCCAGCCTGGGCAACAGAGTGACACTCCATCTCAAAAAAAAACAAAAAACAGAAAAACAAAACAAACAAACAAATCCATTCAGTGGTTCTATGTTTTAATTGGAGAATTTAGTCCGTTTACCTTCACTGGTATTATAGATAGATATGGACTTACTACTGTCACTTCATTACTTGTTTTCAAATTGTTGCATAAGTTATTTTTTCTTTTCTTCTTTTCTTTCTGTCTTTTTTTTGATACAGAGTTTCGCTCTTTCCCCAGAGTGAGGGATTCAACAGACAGTGCAAGGAGGAAGCTGCAGTGCCTTTTTTGACCTAGTCTTGCAAGTCCCACACCTTCACTTCTGCTTTATCTTTTCTTTAGAAGTAAATCACTAAGGCTGGGCACGGTGGCTCACACCTATAATCCCAGTATTTTGGGAGGCCAAGGTGGGCGGATCACTTGAGGTCAGGAGTTCAAGACCAGCCTGACCAACATGGTGAAACCCCGTCTCTCCTTAAACTACAAAAATTAGCCGGGCGTGGTGGCACATGCCTGTAGTCACAGCTATCCAGGAGGCTGGGGCAGGAGAATCACTTGAACCTGGGAGGTGGAGGTTGCAGTGGTGGGGGACAGAGTGAGATTCTGTCTGAAAAAATAAATAAATAAATAAATAAATAAATAAATAAATAAATAAATAAAGCAAGTCACTAAGTCCAGCCCACATTCAAGGGAAAAGGGATTAGGTTCTACTTCTTGAAGGGAGAATATTTAAGAATTTGTGTACGTACTTTAAAATCACCACACATCAGTAAGCACCAAATCACTAATTCTTAGTATTTTCAGATGAAGTTTTATAAGCTTAAACCCTCCTTTGGATTCTTGAGACAGAGTTTCGCTCTTGTTGTCCAGGCTGGAGTGCAATGGTGTGATCTCGGGTCACTGCAACCTCTGCCTCCTGGGTTCAAGCGATTCTCCTGTCTCGGCCTCCCAAGTAGCTGGGAATACAGGTGCCCGCCACTACACTCAGCTAATTTTTGTATTTTTAGTAGAGACGGGGTTTCACCATGTTGGCCAGGCTGGTCTCGAACTCCTAACCTCAGGTGATCCACCCGCCTCAGCCTCCCGAAGTGTTGGGATTACAGGCATGAGCCTCTGTACCCGGCCAACATAGTCGGTTTTTTTAAACATTTTTTTTTAATTTAAATTTTATAAAAATTAAAAAAATTATCCATTTTTTGTAATTATTATCTGTGGGGAATTTGTGTGACCTTTTTCTCTGCTATTACAGGAAGTTCTCCCATACTAAATTATTTTAATGTAAGATAGAGACAGTATAAGGGGTAGTCTGAATTTTGCTACCACAAAAGGAAGGAATCCAGCTATTTTTTGTTGATTTGTGGTAATAAGGTAAATCAGAGATATGGTATAGCTCAGCGTTGAGAAAACAGCAGAATATACACAAAATGTGTAAGCAATAATAGCATTAGAGAATCAGATTGAAGGACAAATTTGGAATTAGAATCCAAGAGCTTAGGGTGCCAGACTAGAAGTAAGATTAGATAGAGTCAAGTATACCAAGACAAAGATAAATGGCCTAAGAATACCCATGGTAAGAGCCAGGTTGGGAAGAGAGTGCTCTTCATAAATTCTGACTCCTAAGCTGGAGTCACTGATCTGTAGAGGCAGACACCTGGGAAGCATCAAGGAGAGGACCTTGGGGGTCCTTTAGCACCAGGCCTGACCTGGTGGCACCCCCTTTTCTTCCTGACCCAATGCCACAAATTAATTTTTATGGCTGCTTCCATTAAGTTTCTTAGCACCATCATTTTGAATCTCAATAGAAATCAGTCATCTGCATCCACTCACTTCAGTAAGCACTGGGCCAGAGACAGAGGTTCTTTTAAAAATATCTTTGATTTCTATATGAAGCATTGCCAGATGATCTAATATTTTTATGGGAAGAATATATCCCTGCTCAATAGCTTTAGCAGAATAATAATAGCCACTATGAGGTGCCAGGTATTGTTTAAGGCACTCTGTGACGTCCGTCTATCTTATTGAAAACACTGCACACTTAACTTCTACTAAAATGACAACTGGATGCCATAAATTCTGAAGCACAGACCTCAGAAACACAACCGACTAGGACCCCAATATGTGCTCAATACTAACCAATTTCCCCAGATACCTACAACCAACCAATCAATCACACATTCAGCTTTCCTAGTATAGAACTGAGATAATTTGCAATTTTGGCTTTAAGAACCCTAGCCCATTTCCATCCCTCTAGTGTAAATTCACAGAACATGACATCTGCCTAAGACTGAGGCTTTTGTCTAACAGTAAGACACTTACCACTCAGTCTTTGGCCTTTGAGTTCCTATTTTCTTTTTAACATGTTCAAAGCTCTTCTCAATCATAACTCATTTAATATTCACAACAGTCTTGTGAGACAAGTATGCTGTACAATTATTATCCCAGATGAGGAAATCAAGATATAGAAAATTTAAATTACTTGCTTAAGGAAATCAAGATATAGAAAATTTAAATTACTTGCTTAAGTGACAGACTTGGCATTTCAAATCCAAGTAAGCTGGCTCCAGAGCCTATGTGCTTAACCACAACACCAAACTCTCATAACTCCTGAGGAATCTGAGCAAATACATTACAGAATTATGAGGACATTACATTGACAAGTAAAATTGCACCATTGCATCAATATTTTCAAGCCCCTATTGAGGCATAAACATTAAATAAAATTTTCTTTATGACTAGAAGAACACTGTGTGTTTCTCTCTTTTGCTTTTCATTCTAGTTATATTGGACCCCATGGAATAGGATGGCTTCTGCTTTAGTTTATAGAAAACCCCCCGGTTTTCTTTGTGCTATGTGACTTACACTACAAAGACCTGATGTTTCTTCTTCCTCTCTGGCAGAGACCCTTTCCTCCAAATTTATATGTAGATGTGGGAGTAGCTGCTGTCTGTCTGGAGCCAGAAGAACTAATAATTGAGTTGAAGATGTGTTATTGTTCTGTGTTCATATTATCTGAGGTGAGACAATGGTCCTAGAGTGGTTGGAGAGGTTAAGTCTCAGGTAGTACAAAAGGGCTAGGTAGAGGGGAAGAGTTGCCAAAGGGATTGGGGCCTGGAGAGAATAAATAATTTAGACCTTGAAGCTTCTCAGAGATTGAGTGGACTATGGGACTTCAGCAGCTGCCAGACTTGAGAAAAGAAAGAGATTGGCTCCTGTTTACTGAGCAGAGGAGGGTCCAGTTCAGAGAATTTCTACAGGCATAGTCTAGGGAACACTGCTGACTTGGGATTCACAAAGCTTCAAGAAAAGCAATCAGAAAAGCAATCTCAGCTTGAAGGTGAGAGTGGGCCAGGGAACAGAATAGACGAGGCCTCTGCTTTTTCAGAGAAAACTCCCACAACTAAAGAGAGGTGGAATCATATGAATGAGCAATAAGGACACGTAAATCAAAGGGTCAGCAGATGAACAGTAGAGTATAATAACGGTGAAACAGAGATGAACTGGGAGAGGCTAAAGAGCAGTTTTATCTCAAGATTGCACTGAAGTGGAAGAAAAATAGCGAACACCCTACAACTGGCCATAGTATGCTCTATTGCAGTCAGTGGTGTGGGGCAGGGAAACTAATGAAGAAATGAATGCCAAAGGGTGGACTTTAGAGACAAAATGGTGCTTTGTCCTCTGAATGGTGGTACTACAATGTCCAGAGACTGAGGGCAGAGGTGGAAGGCTGACACTGGAGCCTGTTCTGGAGTTACATCCTCCCACACTGCTCCTTTATTTCTTTTGAAAGTCTTCACTGCTCCATCTCATGGGCGTTTGTCCTTCTGCTTGCTCCCTATTAGCCCTTTCAACCCTGGCAATTTACCTTTTAGTAAATTGACTTGTCATAGACTAGTTGAATTTTGCTTTAACCTCATGTTGTAGATATATCTGAGTTTTCTCACTGCTTAGTTCAATTATTCAGTGTTTGATTTCTGATAAAAAATAAAGCCTAATATTTGTGTATGCTTTATGTATTTCAATATGACCTTGTATGTGATATCTCATTAGTCATCAAAACAACCTGTGACTAAATCAGTCATGGTGCTGCCTGAAATTTGGTGGCATGCTCAGCTGGAGTAATTAAGAGTTTAACAAAGTGACTGTTTACACAGATATGTCCCAGGTTAAAGGGAAACCAACAAGTCATGTTGAGCCATTCTTACATGCCAATTTAGTCTAATCTAACCATTGCCAATCTTGAGCTTCTAGGCCCCTAGTCCTGAAGGGACAAGGGAAGAAAGTAGAGAACATAACTGTTTGGTGAGGGCCGTTGGAAAGGCTGTGAAGGGATCTTTAGGAAAAAGGATATAGCCAACCCAAGATGACCTAGCAGGGAGGAAGCTGGGGAAATAAATTCCCTGAACTTATTCTCTTCATGACCTCTGACCTCTTGCCAGTGCCTCCCATTGAATGAACCCAACTGGAAGTCAGAAATCAAGGAAGCCCATACAAGTTAGCTTCCTGGTCACAAAGCAGAGTGGAGAAGGAAGGAAGGATCTGAAGTGGCAAATGAAAGCTTATCTAGCACATCTAGGTCAGCCCTGTATTATTAGCTCTATTTTACCATTTCAGAAGAGTAAATGGAGACTCAGTGAGATTGACTCATCAAAAGGCTCTATATTAAATCCAAAGATCTGGCTCCTATTATGAAAGTATCTCCCATAATTTTTCAAAAAGTCTATTATCTCTTTAGCCACTGAAGAACTTGAGGCTCTCTAAGGTCAACAATGATTAATAAATTTTTGTAGATTGACTATGTAGAATGAGACCCTACATACAGAAAATAATTGATTACTACTAGTCTTTTATCAAAGAACTAGATGAAATATCATGTTTTAATTTTTAAATCTATCTGCTTTGCAACATACAGTATTTGCTATTATACCAACTGTAATACTTTCCTACACAGTGCCAGCACAGAATTACAAAGCAGGATCTCATTTGTGACTTAACTGGTAACTGGTCAATTAGAATGCATGGTACACTTGGAGAATACTTTCCTAATGTTTATGCTTGCTATCAATCAGTATTGTCCCTTCCTTCAGGACTCACTTACTGATACTGTGAAAAAAATTCTATTTTCTGCATTAATAAATATTACATTCTAAACCAGAACATACACCATTTCATTGCTGTAAAATCACTTGCTTCCTGTTTCAAAAATATCATTAAAGGCAGCATTGAACTTCTTCTAGCTAATTAGAACATTTGTGTATTTATTTATTTCATTGATGAGTTCTATAAATACATTTTAGAAGATTCAGGAGGTCTTTTAGTACTATTCCTTAGAGGGATGGTGTAATAGAAATAATCATTCATAATGAAAATAATCACGATCAAAGCCATGCTTCTTTAATATTGAAAGGACAGCATGTTCCAATACTTTGAACAATTTAGTTCAGGGAATTCAAGTCTTTTTCTCTGATCTCAGAGGCATTTTCTCTGAACAGGAGTCCCTCACACACAAATTGTTTCTGTTGGAATTTAAAAGGTGGCCTCAGCATATGCATCCTCTGGACAAAACTCAAACTCATTTGCATGTGTTATATATGTAAATAGTTGTGTGGTGTCCTTCCCATACAGAGATGATAATGCTGACCCAAGTCACTCAGACATGTTTTAAAAGATGTGCTGTCAATAGCAGGGTAGTTTTCTACTATTTAATCCACACACCCTCCCTCTGTTCTCCCTGTAATCAGTGGGGCACAGGACCAGGTGGCTCAAATGAAGATTAAGTATCTGATCTTGGTTTCACTGATATGATGCTCTAATTGAGCTAACTGCTTCATCCTGTATAATCTATCACTGAAGAATTTCGAACAAGTTTGGGACATCAAGGTGAGGTACAAAGATGAGAAGAGATAAAAATCACACTATGAATACAAGGTAGGAGAAGATAAAAGAATGAATTAATCACAAAGCTGGGACAGAGTGTCACAAGCCAAACAAAATCACAGGTCTAGAAGCTACTAGTCAATTAAGAGTAGTGGTGAATTCAGATAATAAAGGCAATAATACATTTGTGGGCCACATGTGAGTAGAAAAACTACAGTCAGATCATGCAAAGAATAAAGGTTAGAATTAATCATGGGGCAGAAGCCAGGTATAGAGATAAGAACAAGCAGGATGGGAGGCCATTATCCTAAGTGAACTAGTGCAGAACCAGAAAAGCAAATGCTGCATGTTCTTTCTTACAAGTGGAAGCTAAACATTAGCTACACATGGACATAAAGGTGGGAGCAATATATATTGGGTACTACTAGGGGCGGGAGGTACGGTGGGGGGCAGACGTTTGAAAACTGAGTTGTTTGGTACCATGCTCACTACCTGCATCATGAGTTCAATTGTACTCCAAACCTTAGCATCACCCAATATACCTTTCTAACAAACCTGCACATGTACCCCATGAATCTAAAATGAAAGAAGTGGAAAAAAATAAAAATAGAACCAGCAGGATGAAGGCACCCAAAGGTAGAGAAAAATTGGAAGTCTGAAATCCAGGTAACTTGGAACCAGAAAAGCTTCAGGAACTGAAGGGAAAAAAATTACTGAAGGACAGAGATAAAATGCCAGGAACAAGGAGGGATCTCAATCTAAGCCAGTTTTGGTGTGCTCAGTGCATAACTTTTATATACGTTTCTATTGGAGGGTTTTGTATAAGAAGGTATACAGTTAGGGCCTTCTTATACAAAGGGTTAACTACACAAACCCTGGCCTAGCCACCTTTTCTCTTTATAAGAGCTCCAAGGGATATATAGATGCAAATGAAGGCATGGAAAACAAAGTGATGATTTATTATTTATTAAAATAGCTGGGCGTGGTGGTGGGCGCCTCTAGTCCCAGCTACTTGGGAGGCTGAGGCAGGAGAATGGTGTGAACCTGGGAGGCGGAGTTGCAGTGAGCTGAGATCACGCCACTGCACTCCAGCCTGGGAGACAGAGCGAGACTCCCTCTCAAAAAAAAAAAAAAAAAAAAAAAAAAGAGAATAAAAAGACAAGCTTCAGCTTGGGAGAAAAATATTTACAAATCACATAATTTGCCAAAAGACATGTCCAGGTTATATAAATAATTCTCAAATTCAATAATAAGAAAACGAATAACCCAATTTTTAGAAGAATGAATAAATTTGAAAAGATGCTTAATCAAAGAATATATATTGATGTCAAAAACATATGAATAATGTTCAATATCATAGTCATTAGTGAAACACAAACTAAAATCACAATTAGATACCATTACACTTATTAGAATGTCCAGAATTAAAAAGTCCATGCAATGGAAAGGATATAGAGTAACTGGAACCCTCGGACATTTCTGGTGGAGACATAAAATGGTATAGCCACACTGAAAATAGTTTAGCAGTGTCTTAAGAAGTTAAACATACATCTACTCTACCACCCCAGCATTTTACTACTAAGCGTTTACTCCTAAATGAAAGCCTATGTTCACTCAAAGACTTTTACGTGAATATTTATAGCAGTTTTATTTGTAATAGGCAAAAATGGTAATGATTCAAATTTCCATCAAAAGATGAAAGGACAAATTGTGATATACTCATATAATGGAATTCTTCTCAGTAAAAAGAAAAGAATGAGTGATTAATTAATGCAACAATGTGGATGAATCTCAAAATATGCTGAGTGAAAGATGCCAGAGGGAAAAATATATTGTATAATTCCATTTAAACAAACTTCTAGAAAGCACAAACTAATTTATAGTGACAAAAAGCAGATAAGTGGTTATCTGGAGATAGGAAGGGATGTGGGGAAGAGTGACAGGCAAAGAGTATAAAGGGATGCTGCAAACTTTAGGGGGTGATTGATATGTTTGTAGTTTATGATGACGACAGTTTCTTGAGTGAATACATATTCCAGAATATATCACATTGTGAGTTTTGAATTTTTTCTCTCTCATCTTTTGATTCTGTCTCCTGCCTCTTAAGATTGGTTTCTTTTTAAGTACTCAGATTAAAATTAAAGGAGATCCCCTGAAGATTCCTGGAGTTCTCTTTCAGTACAGCTCTCTCCTCTCTGGTGCTTTTAACCTGTGAACTCTAGCTACCCTGGCTTCTCTGGACTCCCAGTTTTATTTACTAAACTCAGGGCAACCACCAGACTTTACCTGGGTTGCCCTTCATTGTATCCTGGACTGAAAATTTTATCTAGACAGTAAACTATGAGCTATGGCAGTTACAGGGCTTTTTTTTTTTTTTTTTTTTTTTTTTTTTTTGAGACAGTCTTGCTTTGTCGTCCAGGCTGGAGTGCAGTGGTGCAATCTTGGCTTACTGCAACCTCCACCTCCCAGGTTCCAGCAATTCTCATGCCTCAGCCTCCCAAGTAGCTGGGATTACAGCCATGTACCACCACGCCTGGCTAATTTTTGTATTTTTAGTAGACACGGGGTTTCACCGTGTTGGCCAGGCTGGTCTTGAACTCCTGACCTCAGGTGATCCACCCGCCTCGGCCTCCCAAAGTGCTAGGATTACAGGCATGAGCCACCGCACCTGGCCCACAGGGCTTGTTTGTTTACTGTCTCTTAGGGATCACCGTTCTTTGTTTCCTGATGTACAATGCCTTGAAAACTATTGTTTCATGTATTTAAAAAATTATTTTTAAATCTTTAATTGTGGTAAAATACACATAACATTTAACATCTTAATCATATTTAAGTATACATTTCAGTAGTGTTAAGTGCACTCACATTGTTGTACAACCAATTTCCAGAAGTCTTTTCATCTTGCAAAACTGAAACTCTATACTAGTTAAAAAACAATGCCCCATTGTCCCCTCCTCACTTTCTCTCTCTATGAATTGGACTACTCTTGGTACCTCATATAAGTAAAATCATACATACATGTCATTTGTGACTGGCTTATTTCACTTAGCATAGTATCCTCAGTGTTGATGCATGTTGAAGCATGTGTCAGAATTTCCTTCCATTTTAAGGCTGAACGATATTCCATTGTGTGTATATGCCACATTTTGCTTATCCATTATCCATTTATCCATTATCCATTATCCATTTATCCATTGATGTATACTTTGGTTGCTTCCACCTTTTGGCTATTGTGAGTAATGCCAAATGTACAAATTTCTTTGAGAGCCTGCTTTCAATTCTGTTGAATACATACCCAAAAGTAGAATTTCTGGATCATATGATAATTCTTTTTTTATTTTTTTAGGAACTGCTGCACTATTTTCCATAGCCCTGTACCATATTTTTTCCTACCAATAGTGCACAAAGATTCCGATTTCTCCACTTCCTCACTAATACTTGTTGTTTTCTGTTTTGTTTTTTTTTTAATAGTAGCCATCCTAATGGGTATGAGGTGATATCTCATTGTGGTTTTGATTCACATTTCTTTAATAATTAGTGATGTTTATGTGCTTGTTGTTCACTTTGTATATCTTCTTTGGAGACAAAGAAGATATACAAGTCCTTGGCCCATTTTTTAAAAATTGGTTGTTTTGTTATTATCGTTGTTGAGCTGTAGGAATTCTATACATATTCTGGATATTAAAACCTTACCAGATATATGATTTGCAAACATTTTCTGCCATTCAATAGGCTGTCTTATGTTTCACATATTTTTCCAGGTTTTTAGTTTTTTCAGGCCAGAGGGTAAGTTTGGTCTCTGTTACTCCATCTTGCCTGGAAGCTGAAGTCCCCATTCTCTCTTAAACATGCCATTCCACAAAAACTGCTATTTCATGATCATCAATGACTTTCACAGTGCCTATTCCAATAGTCAATTCTCAATCTTAATCTGACTTGACCTAGAAAGAATAATTGAGTGAACTGAACATTCTTTTCTCCTTAAGAATGTTCTTCTCATTGCTCCTAATACACCTATTCTCTTGATTTTCCTACTCACTCAGCAGCTACTCCTATTCCAGTGGCTACTTCTTTTCAGTCTCCTTTGCTTGCCTCTTCTCATCTCCCCAACTTCTTAATGTTAGAGGGCCCTAAGATTCTCAGTCCTGGGACCTTTTCACTATATACGTTCATTTCCCTGTTGATCTCATTCAGTTACATGAGTTTAAATAACATCTGTAAGTGAAAATTCACAAATTTATTTCTCCAATCTGGACTTTTGTTCTGAACTCTATATCTAGGTACTAATTCAGTAGCTTCATTTGGGTATTGTAGGAACAATAATAATAACTTTTACCCTAAAATGCCCACATTCTATTCCTTTGAACCTGTGAATATGGCAAAAAGGACTTTGCAGATGTTATTAAATTGGGCATCTTGAGATGCTGAGATTATTCTGGATTACCTAAGTGAGCCCACTGTAGTTAAAAACGTCCTTGTAAGTGAAAGAGGGAGGCAGGAGTATCAGAGTAGGAGATGTGATGATGGAAGCTGATGTTATATTCAAATAGAGAGTTGAAGATGCTCTGCTGCTGGCTTTGAAGATTGAGGAGGAAGCCACAAGCCAAGGAAAGCAAGCAGCCTCTAGGAGCTAGAAAAGGCACAGAAACAGATTCACCTCGACAGCCTCCAGAGGGGAACACATTCCTGCCAACACTTTGATTTCCATTTCAGACTTCTGACCTCCAAAATTGTAAGATAGTAAATTTTCGTTTTTTTAAGCCACTAAGTGGTAATTTGTTACAAGAAACATTAGGAAACAAATACAAGTATCTCACAAGCATTTCACATATAACTTGGACAAAACAATACTTTTTTTCTTCCACCCAAACCAAGACCTCCTCTGGACTCCAGAGGCGTATACAGTTCCCTGCCTATCTATGCAATATATCCATTTTAATGTCTAATAAGCATCTCAAACTTAATATGTCTAAAACGGTAATTCTCATCTACACTTAAAATCTGCTCCTGCCATAGTCTTTCCCACCTCAGTGAAAGGCAACTCTGTTTTTGCAGTTGCTCAGGCAAAAACCTTGGAGTCACTTGTACCAGCTTTATTTTTGCTCATACTTGACATCTAATCATTAGCAAATCATATTACCTTTTTCTTCAAATATACCCAGAACCTGCCCAGTTCTCCACCTCCACTACTACTGCCCTGTCTCAGCCACTACTATTTCTCTCTCTTATGTTTTTTTATTTTTATTTTTATTTATTTATTTTTTTTGAGACGGAGTCTCCCTCTGTCGCCCAGGCTGGAGTGCAGTGGCAAGATCTTGGCTCACTGCAACCTCCCCTTCCCGGGTTCATGCGATTTTCCTACCTCCGCATCCCGAGTAGCTGGGATTACAGGTGTGTGCCACCACACCCGGCTAATTTTTGTATTTTTAGTAGAGACAGGGTTTCACCATGTTGGTCAGGCTGGTCTCAAACTCCTGACCTCATGATCCACCTGTCTCGGCCTCCTCAAGTGCTGGGATTACAGGTATGAGCCACCGCGCCTGGCTCTCTCTTATGTTTTTAAAAATTGAGATATAATTCACATACCATAAAATTGACCGTTTTAAGGCCCATCTCACACATAATGACATCCATAGGCTCAAAGTAAAAGGTTGAAAAAGGATCTAAGCAAAGAACAAAATCATGTCCTTTGCAGCAACATGGATGCAGCCGGAGGCCACTATCCTTAGCAAATTGATGCAGGAAGAGAAAACTACACATTGCATGTTTTCACTTATAAGTAGGAGCTAAACATTGGGTATTCAAGGGGATAAGTATGGCAACAATAGACACTGGGGACTACTAGAGGGGACTACCAGAGAGGGGAGACAAGGAAGGGAGTAAGGTTTGAAAAACTAACTCTTGGGTACTATGCTCAGTACCTGGGTGACGGGATCATTTGTACCACAAACCTCAGCATCACTCAATATATTCAGGTAATAAACCTGCACATATACCCCTTAAATCTAAAATAAAAGTTGAAAATAAAAGGTCAAAAAAGAAATATCTGATCATATATTTTGTAGATTTTCTATTTGGATTGTTCTATTAACTCCGTCTCAAAAAAAAAAAAAAAACCACAATCACAATTCAATGATTACATATAATTTAAAATTATTGTTTAATATCATTAATATGCAGTGTTCAAATTACCAATGGTCATTACAACCAAATGTTATTACATTTTTTACATTAAGAAATTAGAATGCAAATCATGTCCACACATATGACTGGACATTATATCCCCTAAATTTCTTTTACATCTGCCATTTACTTTTTGTTTTCTATATGGTTCATGTTTTTTTGTTCCTCTTTTCTTCCTTTACTGTTTTTTTGAATTATGTGAATATTTTATAAGGTAGTATTTAATTTCTTTAGTGATTTTATTTTCTCTATATTTTCTCAGTTATTTTTAAGTGGTTGTTCTAGGGTTTATTGTAACTTATGCATCTTAAATTAACATTAGATTTCTACTAACTCAATTCTAGTAATATATAGAAATGTTATTCTTACATAGCTCTATTCCCTTCCCCCATTTCTATGGTATTATTGCTATATATACTACACCTATTAATTTTAAAAGAACCAAAAATTCATTGCTATAATTATTATTTTACTATCTGTAGTCATTTATTAAGCCCAATTCTGATTTCTCCCACTTGCCTTTTTTGTGTTATTATTGGCAATATATATTACACATATATGACATTTCTATATGTTATGGGCCCAAGATTACATTATATACATACTGTACTATTTTATATAATTGTTTTTAATCAGTTATGAGGAGAAAGAACAAAAATATAAATTTATACTGTTTTCTATACTTACGTAATTATCTTTAAAAGTGCTCTTTTTTCATGTGGGGTCACTTGCTTTCAGTCTGAAGAACATCCTTTATTATTTCATTATTTCTGGTAAGCAGTTCTACAGCAACAAATTTTCTCTGCTTTTCTTTATCTTGGAAATAATTTTGTCTTTGTATTTGAAAGGTAGCTTTGCTTGATATAACATTAGTGGTTGATAGGTTTTTCATTTTTTGGAGCACTTTGAGTATATTATCTTACTGTCTTCTGGCCTTTATTGTTCTTGTTGAGAATTTAGCTTGTCAATCTTCATGAAGTTCCCTTGTAAGTGATGAGTCATTTTTTCTTGCTACTATTCAGATGTTCTCCTGACCTTTGACTTTCAGCATTTTTATGTGTGTGTTTATGGATTGCTTTGCATCTATTACTTTAGTGAGGTCTATTTCCTCTCCCCACAGTGTTAAGTCTCTAATGCCACTCATCAGAAAGGCACACCATTGGTTGACACTGTTATTGGTAGAGTTTTCTCTCTTTTCTGAACCACACCCAGCTCTTAAACTCCACTAGTTGCTGGCTGATTGCTCTACTACTGTTTTCAACAATACTTTGGGGCGTTAATTGCTCTACAAACTAATCCAATCAAGTTGTGGCTATTTGGAAGAAAAAGTTTCTCAGATCTGTGTTTGATATTTATTCTGACCCTAGCAGGGCTTCTCGCAGCTGTCTTATATTGTGATTCCCTCCTGCAAACTAGCAGGCGTATAGTCTAGGCTGTATCTTCTTCAAATCCATGAATATCCTTCTAATTGCCTTTCATTGAAACTTCTACTGTCCTTTGGAGCATGCTTAAGTTTGAACTTCTTCCATATATGTTGCAAATGAAGTCAGTTCCTTTGCAAAGAGATTAGGAGCTAGCTGTTTTACAGTCTGCTCCTCTCCTAGGCAGAAATATTTGAGCCAGGGCTTTGGACCTGGGAATGGGGAAAATGGCAAGCTTCTTTCTGAGTGACCCTCCACTCTAGAAGCTTAGCACTTTATGGGAGGGGAAGCAGACTGAGGTCTTTTTGACTTGCATCTTCTGGTATAGAACCACTGTCTCACAAGCTAGGGTAAGAGCGATCATGGCCCCAGTATTTTCAGTGTGCCCCACCCAAGGTAAAGATTTAATTCCATAAATTTCACCCATGGCTGGAACAGTAGCAGGTAACGGGTAAGTAACTGGGGTCAGGAAGAGAAATACTGAAGTGTGCTGCTCCTGGGAATAAATCCCTGTGTCTGAAGGATGGGAAGAGCTGGAATCTTGTACTCAGAAAGTGAGTGGACTCTCTGCTTTGTTGGGAAGAGAGGGAATAGTCTTGGTTCATGTTAACACAGTCTCTTATCTTCATTACAGAATTTTCAAAGATGTTAAATAAATGTTTCTTCATTTTCTAATGGCTACTTCAGAAACCTTAAATAGAGGTTTAAAAAATTATTTTAACTTTGTGGGTACATAGTAGATGTATATATTTATGGAGTACGTAAGACATTTTGATACAGCCATGCAATGTATAATAATCTCATCTTGGAAAATGGGGTATCCATCCCCTCAAGTATATCTTTTGTGTTACAAACAATCCAATTACACTCTGCCTACTTTTAAAAAATATTGGAGTTGTGTAAAATATTTAAAAACATATCAAGATTACTATTAAATATATTTTAGAAATTAAAAAAGTTAAAAGAAACAATGATACACCAATACTTGAGAAGAGTTATTGATAAAACACAGAATTAAACTCTAAGCTTTCTGGCAGCATAAGCAAAAAGTAAACTATAAAAGGTAGCATGTATTTATCTGTGAATCTACTGAGGTCTATTTAGGAGGAGTTACTCTCATGGATTCCTGGGACTATATGTTTGACTGTACTTTTGTGATAGGTGTAAAAATAATCTTCAAATGGCCAATTTTCAAGAGAAGATTGATTAGTTTAACAAAAATAATAACACATGTTCATTTCAAAATTTTTAAAAGCTTGAACAATGTGGAATTGTATAAGATAAAATAAAAACAACTCTCCCTCCATTTATTTTTACCTTTTACTTGAGAGAACCAGTGTTAAATGTATTGTTTTCTTCTAGACTTTTTGTACTCTGTGTGTGTGTGTATACACTATACTTAATTTTTAAAATAAAAATCAATTCATGTTTTACAAACTGTTTTGAAACAAAAGTTCATAACTTTTTTTTTTCTTTTTTGAGACGGAGTTGCACTCTTTCACCCAGGCTGGAGTGAAGTGGCGCGATCTCAGCTCACTGCAACCTCTGCCTCACGGGTTCAAGCGATTCTCCTGCCTCAGCCTCCTGAGTACCTGGGATTATAAGCATGTGCCACCATGCCTGGCTAATTTTTTTGTTTTTAATAGAGATGGGTTTTTGCTATGTTGTCAGGGCTGGTCTCAAACTCCTGACCTCAGTTGATCCACCTGACTCTGCCTTTCAAAGTGCTAGGATTACAGGCGTAAGCCACTGCGCCCCGCATAAGTGCATAATTTATCATCGTAATTCATCAGTGGCATTTCTAAGCGTTCCAAGATACTATAGACTATCTATGCTATTTTTATTTGAGGTAACATAACCTAAGAACGTATAAGAATGCATAACTAAAATGTTGCTTAAAATGTCTGAAAAATTACACACTTGAATTAGAAATGAAGGTAATTGAAATAAAGGACAACTAATATTTACTCAGTAATTACCACATGATAGTCATGGTGCCAAATACATGTATTATCACATTAAATATTCCCCACCTTTAAATCTTCTCAATGCTCTTTTGATACTCTTTCTGAAAGAACCCCTGCAATACAGGCTTTCACCACAAGGCTCATTGGTCCATGAGTTTGCTGCTGAGACCTCTGTGGAAATCAGCACCTATTCTAAAAAATTGTTTCTATACTAAGTGGGAAAGATAAAATGTGAGAGTGAATCAGTGACTTTTGGAGAAAAAAGTGGTTTAGAAATTTTCTAGGTTTGTCCACAAAATACATCTTATTTTATTTTAGAGGGAAACCCATATATAGACTCCTTTGCAGCCACAGATTCAGAATTTGGCGTGTAAAAAATTAAATGTGGTTTGGGGTTATTGATTAAGAAAACAATTTTCATTTTAATAAAAAGAACTAAAAATAGTAATTCTTTAGTGTGCCAGACACTGGGCTTTGCAATTTAATATGCATAGTGTCATCTAATATACAGATGAGAAAACTGAGGTGTAAAAGTATAGGTATATAGTTCATAAGTGACAGAACCAGAGTTTGAACTCAGGGCTGCCTGATTCCAAAACCCATGTAATATACTACACTCTCTAACAAATGAGGCTCCAGTGGCCCAACAGTGGGCATAAGTTAGAAATAAACTTCTTAACTGTAATGTTTCCAACAAAAAGAAATGGTGAATGTTTAAGGTAATGGATGTCCCAATTACTTTGATTTGATTATCACATATTGTTTACAGGTATCAAAATATCACATGTAGCTCCTGAATTTGTACAAATATTATATATTAATAAAAATTTAAAAGTAATTTTCTTTCCTATATTTTCCCTAGTATCTTAAACATTATTTAATTCAGTATGCTCCTGCATAAAATCTCAGGTTGGCAGATGGAGTTGGGAGGGAGAATGAAAAGTAGTACAAGACACAACCGTTTCCTAAAGAGCCTATAATGTTGCTGGGGGAAAAAGAAAATTAAAGTATAGCGTTCAACAATATTTATCCTAATGCTCATCTGTGCAATAGAGACTATCAAGGCAAAGTTCCTAGACCCTACAGCAGCAGTCTCCAACCTTTTTGGAACCACGGACCAGTTTTGTGAAAGACAATTCTTCCACGGACCAGGGTGAGGGTTGGGTGGATGATTTTGGGATGATTCAAGTGCATTACGTTTATTGTGGACTTTATTTCTATTATTGTTACATTATAATATATAATAAAATAATTATACAACTCACCATAATGTAGAATCAGTGGGAGCCCTGAGCTTGTTTTCCTGCAACTAGATGGTCCCATCTGGGGGTGATGGGAGACAGTGACAGATCGTCAGGCATTAGATTTTCTTTTTTTTTTTTTTGAGACAGAGTCTCACTCTATTGGCAGGCTGGAGTGCAGTGGCGCGATCTCGGCTCACTGCAACCTCCGCCTCCCGGATTCAAGCAATTCTCCTGCCTTAGCCTCCCTAGTAGCTGGGACTACATGTGCACGCCACCACGCCTGGCTAATTTTTGTATTTTTATTAGAGACGGGGTTTCACCATGTTGGCCAGGATAGTCTCCATCTCTTGGCCTCGTGATCCGCCCACCTCGGCCTCCCAAAGTGCTGGGATTACAGGGGTGAACCACCACGCCCAGCCTAGATTTTTATAAGGAGCGCACAACCTAGATCCTTCACATACCCACTTCACAATAGGGTGAGCACTCCTATGAGAATCTAATGCCACCACTTATATGACAGGAGGCAGAGCTCAGACGGTAATGCGAGCAATGGGGAGTGTCTATAAATACAGATGAAGCACCCCTCTATCACCCACTGCTCACTTCCTGCTGTGCAGCCTGGGGGTTGGGGACACTTGCCCTAGAATGTTCCTAGCATTACTGGGAAAGGCTTTGGGCAGGAGGTCAAAAGGGAAAAATAAGATTTGCAGAATAGAAGGTTAGTTTTTTAAGGTTGGACCTATGTTTCCCTCATCTCTTCTTTCCTGAACCATCATCACAGTGCCACTCATAATTCTTATAATTGTTTGCCCTCCATCAGTGTCAACTGTAATGGGATATGAGGATAGACTATGAGAGAAGAAAGAAAAAAATATGGAGTTAGGGCTATAAAAGTAGGTGTGGCAAAAGAGGTAGAGAAGGGAGACTCAGACTGTGGCAGAGGGTTTAGTTTGGCTAATGATGGTATGTATGTTTGGATAGGCAAGATGGTTTCTATTAAGCAAGGGACTTTAATGCCAGTAAGAAGCTTACACTTTCCATTTGCAAGCAACAGAAGTGGACTCTAACTAACTTGAACTCTACACACACACATGAACATCTATATACATATATGTAGATGTTCTATATATATATACACACACACACACATACACACTCACACATGCACACACACACACACACACCCCACTAGGATATAGGGAAGCTTCTAGAACTTAAGAGAATACACAAGAACCAGGCTTTAGAAAGGACAAGAACCATACAGATCCAAAGCCACAGGAACTAAATTACATGTTCTTCAGCATTCTGCTCTTACGGTGAACTGGATACCAATAAAGCCTTCAGGTCAAGATTCAAATTTCATGGGAAGTCTGATGGGCTTGGCCTGGCTTATACAACTGGCCTCTGACCAGAGGAAGGTGGGACATAATCCACTGGGGAAGGGATTGTTTTCTAAAGGAAAATTATGGTGCTGCTACCAAAAATGGGGGCATGTTTGTTATGCAGTTAGAAACAACAGATGCACATTGTACTGCTGAAAGTGGAATTTAGAAAGAGCAATTTTTCAGAAGTATTCATGATGAACTGGAGGAAGCAGGGAGGTATATTAGGAAGTTAATAAGGAAAGTTTGTATAGGGTTGGTGACAGTGGAAGGGGAAGAATCCACTGATTTGGCAGAATAAATAAGAACAGCAAAGGAGCTAGAAAAGCACCAGAAAAGCAAACAAAGTTATCATGTTACAAAGAGTGTTAAATACTCCAGTCAAGGAAAATGTAATTGAAGAGAAAAATCAGATTCTTCTGGAAGTACTGTTCTATTCTTAATGTTACACATAAATAATATTCTCAACATGTGCCCTGCCTCCTAATACACAATTAAAAACTGGTTCTCCTTTGCTTTCAGGATCAGGATCTGAAATCCTTAATATGTGAAAAACCCTTTTATGATCTGTTTCCTTCTTCCCTCTCCAGCCAAATGTCCTGTTATGCCATTTATGCTCCAGCCATGTTGTACCTCACCTCTGTGACTTTGTACCTTGTCACTGATATTTCCCCCTCCCTGCAAAACCAGGTTAATATTCTATTCATGCTACAAGACTCATGTTAAGTATCATCTCCTCCAGGAAAACGTTTCTGATCAAGTCTGGGCTAGCACTACTCTTATGTGCCTCCATGACACACATTCTCTTGTGTTACAATGCAACACCTAGCACAGTGCCTAACACATAGTATGTGCTCAAAAATATGTTCATTGAGTAAATAAATAGATTAATTCATGAATGAATGGGCTTTGGTAGCCATGGAAAGCAGTTGCCTGAGTATGGTTCATACAAAAAATAGCTTGTCAATGAGAAATCAGAGACCAGTAGAAGCCAGGCATGATGGCTCACACCTGTAATTCCAGCACTTTGGGAGGCCGAGGTGGGCGGATCACTGAGGTCAGAAATTCGAGACCAGCCTGGCCAACATTGTGAAACCCCGTCTCTACTAAAAATACAAAAGTTAGCAGGGCAGGTGGCACATGCCTATGGTATCAGCTACTTGGGAGGCTGAGGCAGGAGAATTGCTTGACCTGGGAGACAGAGGTTACAGTGAGCCGAGATCATGCCACTGCATTCCAGCCTGGGTGACAGAGTGAGACTCTGTCTCAAAAAACTAAATAAAATAATAAAACAAACAAATAAATAAATAGAACAGTAGAGATTGGGTGTGGGAGTTACTTTGTAGCTGTGAAATGTATCAAAAATTATTTAATCTTGGGTTAATCTGCAGGCTTCTTGACAACTTTCAATTAGTCACTATACCCTCTAAGCACTAGCTACAGGATGTCATTTGCTAAATTTCAAACTAACTGATTGCATTTTGTTGCAATACTAGCTGTGACTCTGTATCTTCATTACACATGATTATGGCTAGTGTGCTGGTCCCTAGTATTGGTGGCCTCTACTTCACCATCATGCTGATTTCCCCAACCCATCCTCTCAGAAAAACTGTCAATGGTCAGTAGCTTCCAGTGTTTTGCTTTGGGGTCGATAGACGTTAATGTGTTCCAACAACTCCTGAAAAGGCAGTGAGTGATGAAAACCTCTTGTCATGTTGGGCTTTTGCACATATTCAACCATGAGCTGCTCCTCTTGGCTTGTAATCATAATTAGAGGATTTTTTTTAAAGTGCAGAGCAAGCATCTAGTTTTTAATGCACAGAATATTTTAGGCTTCTCTCTCAAATTTGGCTTCATGACCAGATTATTTTCAATGACTCTATGATTTTCTTAAAAGGCCTATAAAACAAAAATAAGGTTATCATTTCACTTTAGGCTATTAAATATGCTTTATCTATTCCAGTCTGTTGCTGTGGAAATAGATACAACACAGGAGCCTTGGCAGTATGACAAGCAATTAAGACACCAAGACGTTTAGCCATGTATGAGTATTTTCTCACAGTGAGACCTCAAAGCTTAGCCTGCCACTGACATTGTTAGTCATTGAATCAATTACACAAGATGAGGTTGACAGGTGTAATTATATGTTTCTATGGTGATTATGTATGGCCTGCCATAGAGACCAACAAACCTGTTACTTTGCACTCATTTAAGCAATCACTTATATAGCAAAGTATTTGGAGTTAGAGAGCCTCTTTGGAGTGAAGGAAATCCAAAATAAAGTAAAAAATCCACTGCACTGCCAACTGTAACTAATGTCATTGGGTTGATTCACACTATCTTTGTCATTAGAATGATATCCAGCTGCCAGGTGATTATACCCTCACACACTCTAGAAATATGTGTGGTTATGTGGGACTGGAGTGAAGACAACAATTGATAAGAAAAGTACCAGATATTTGACTGAAATCAAACCCAGGTTAGTAATCTGTTCAGAAATGGAGAATAATCTTTCAAAAAATTCAAACTAGTTTGTATGTATAGACACAATTTGTGTGTTTTTCTTTTATCAATTCAAATAATTTAGATTCTATGGGAAGAAGAACAGAGCCAGCATAATTTTAGACATTAGTTGCTTTCTGCATACCATGTTCCAGCTAGAATAGTTTAAATTTGCTTTGAGAAAGTATTATTTTTATATTCCCTTTTCCCCCAACTGAGATTTTTTGAAAAGGTGGAATTGAACCAAACCAGCCTCAAAGTATCTCATGGAGAGCAAGGGAGGTGATTTAAGAAGTGTAATTGTCTTTTTAATCTCCATCCTGTTTCACCAAAGCATCCCTCAAAGGCAGGATATTTTTGTCATTAATGAAATCTTAATTAGCATATGTCTAGATCACTGTTTGGTGCTGAATCTGGGTCAAAGACACCTATGATGTGTTTGTGTTACCAGAGGGTTAAGTTGAGCTCTGCAAATTAGGTCTGTGCTCCATGTGTAAGTATGTTGGGAAATATCCAGCAGTGATCAGCAAATGCATAGATTGTACCCATGTTGTCACATCTGTTTTCAACCTAATTTTACAAATGTAAGTGTGTTCAGGAATTCTGAAAACATGAAAGGAATATAAAACAAACAAAAACTTGAAAACAACAAAACTAGCCAAAATATACCATTTGTTACTGTGCCAAGCTTCACCAGATTTAAAAAATATATGAAACATCCTTAATTGATAAAGTTGTATTTTAAAAGTTGTAATTTAAAAAGTTGTATTTATTGAGTACCTACTATATGTCTAGCACTGCCATAGGTACTGAAGGAGAACACTGCTTAAAACTCAGGGAATTGAGTTTACTTACAGAGAAGCGACATACATAAAACCACTCAACTTCCTGCTTGCTAAACTGAGGGATACAAATTAGAAGTGCTATTGACCTCTATAGAAAGAGGAGATTAATGCAGCTAGAAGAGTCAAGAAAGGCCAATTAGAAGAAATAGAGCAGGAGCCCAAATTGATGGGCAAAGGAAAGCTAAAGGCATTCATTTCCTTTGAGAGGAATAGCATGAAGCAAGGATTGAAGTCAGCAGCAAGCAGTAAGCATATTGAGTCAGGGACCAATGAAGAAACCTTCTTGGCTGGAATGAAGGGTTTGTGCTTCTGATTGCTGAGAGGGAAGTTTGGAGAGAGAAGGTGGCTGGAGCTTGCAGTGTTAGGTACTAGAATCTAAACTTTTTTGGGTAGGCAATTGTAAGCCTCTGAAAGTATTTGAGAAGAGTGATACAAACAAAGTAAGTGTTTTCAGATGGTTGCTTTAGTGGCTATACAGTGTTTATTCTCCAAGTGTGATCCTCGGGCTAGGAGTGTCAACAGAACCTGGGAACTTGTTATAAATGCCACTTCTTGACCCCCACCCCAAACCTACTGAATCAAAAACTCTGAGGGTGAGGCCCAAAAGCCTGTGGTTTAACAAGCCCTATAGGTGATTCTGGTGGATTCTCCAGTAGGAGAAACACTACTAAGGAAGGTCAAGTAGGAGGCTTTTGCAGAATTCAACCCCTGGGCCATAAGGGCCTAAACTGGAATCTTCATCTCACCAGTTAAATAAACAAACCACTCACTGGAGAATATGATCTAATAATTTTTTTCATCCTTAAAGTAATTAGCTGCTTGATGAACATAGGCAATGATTACATGCATTTTTATGCATATATTATGAAAAATATGTTATAAGATAGGGTAGCCTGTGAATAGCATGATTTGATGACTGAAATTTTTAGAGACCTGTTGAGTATCTCCACCTGCTCATCAGATAGCTATTTAACTTATTCCTACATGTTCTCTGCTATCTATATCATTATAATATCATCCAGGTTCTTTTTTAACAGGATCTAGTCATGACTCATCAATATAACACAACTAGAGACTCTTGTCTCTCTCATAACCTGTTGTTAATTTCTCCAATGCCATTTTTATGGTTTCCATGTGTTTTGGATTTCCTCAAGGTTAAAGTCATGTTTATTGCATTTGGGAGTTTGAGGGAGCGTTCTCTGCATCTATGACACATAGACTGTGTCCGCATGGTACCAGACCAGCTGGTCAGTTCAATCAATAGAGAGCTGGAGACAGGGCTGAAGAGAGAAACTTCATGATATGGTTTGGATGCTTGTCCCCTCCAAATTTCATGTTAAAATGTAATACCCAGTGTTGGAGGGGACCTGGTGGGAGGTGATTTGGCCATGGACGCGGATCCCTCATGAACGGCTTGGTGCCCTCCCTATGGTAATAAGTTGAATTCTCACTCTGGGTTCATGTGAGATTTGGTTGTCTACAAGAGTGTGGTGATCTCGGGAACACAGCAAGATGGCGGAATAGAAGCTTACATCATTTGTTCCTCCTGCTAGAACACCAAATTTTCACAACTATCTGCACACAGAAAAGCACCCTCACAAGAACCAAAAATCAGGTGAGCAACCACAGCACCTGTTTTTAACTTCATATTGCAGAAAGAGGCATTGAGGAGGCAGGAGAGACAGTCTTGAATAACTAATGCCACCCCTCTTCCACCCCACAGCAGCAGTTATTTGATGCAGAGACAGAATCTGTGCACTTTGGGGAGGGAGAACACAGCAACTGGGAGACTTTACATTGAACTCAGGGTTGCCTTGTCACAGCTGAGAGTAAAGCTGTGCAGTGCAAATGCCTCCAAGGCCAATATTGTCCTGATACCAAAACCAGACAGAGACATATCAAAAAAAGAAAACTACAGGCCAATATCTCTGATGAATATTGGTGCAAAACTCCTCAACAAAATACTAGCAAACCGAATTCAACAATACATGAAAAAGATCATTCATTATGACCAAGTGGAATTTATCCCAGGGATACAAGAATGGCTCAATATACACAAATCAATGTGATGCATCATATCAACAGAATGAAGGACAAAAACTATACGATCATTTTAATTGATGCTGAAGAAGCATTCTGTGAAGTTCAACATCCCTCAAACCATCAAGTCCCAATTTTTTGATGATGATAAAACTGTCAAAAAACTGGATATAGAAGGAACATACCTTAAGATAAGAAAAGCCATTAGCCAGGCGTGGTGGCATATGCCTGTAATCCTAGCTACTCAGGAGGCTGAGGCGGGAGAATCGCTTGAACCTGGGAGGCGGAAGTTGTGGTGAGCCGAGATAGCGCCATTGCACTCCAGCCTGGGCAAGAAGAGTAAAACTCCGTCTCAAAACAAAACAAAACAAAACAAAACAAAAACAAGCCATATAGGGCAGACCCTCGGCAAGTATCATATTGAATACAGATGAATTGAAAGCCTTTCCTCTAACATTGGGAACTTGGATGCCCACTTTCACTGCTGTTATTCAACATAGTACTGGAAGTCTTAGCTAGAGTAATCAGACAAGAGAAAGAAATAAAAGACATCCAAATTAGAAAGGAAAAAGTCAAATTACCCTTTTTTGCAGATGATATGATCTTTCATTTGTTTTTTTTTAATTTTTTAAATTTTTTTATTTCAATAGTTTTTTGGGGAACAGGTGGTGTTTGGTTATATGAATAAATTCTTTAGTGGTGATTTCTGAGATTTTGGTACACCCATCACCTTAGCAGTACCCAATGTGTAGTCTTTCATCCTCACCACCCCCCACTCTTCCCCCCAAGTCCCCAAAGTCCAATATATCATTCTTATGCCTTTGTATCATCATAGTTTAGCTCATCGTATGAGTGAGAACATAGAATATTTGGATTTCCATTCCTGAGTTACTTCACTTAGAATAATAGTTTCCAATTCCATCCAGGTAGCTGCAAATGTCATTATTTCATTCCTCTTTATGGCTGAGTAGTATTCCATGATGTGTGTGTGTATATATATATATGCCACATTTTCTTTATCCAATTGTTGATTGATGGGCACTTACATTAGTTCCATATTTTTGCAATTGCAAATTGTGCTGCTATAAACATGCATGTGCAAGTGCCTTTTTTGTGTAATGACTTCCTCTCCTCTGGGTAGATACCCAGTAGTGGGATTGCTGGATCAAACGATAGATCTACTTTGATTTCTTTAAGGAATCTCCACACTGTTTTCCATTTTTCCATAGTGGTTGTACTAGTTTACATTCCCACCAACAGTGTAAAAGTGTTCCTTTTTCACTTTATCCATGCCAACATCTATTATTTTTTGATTTTTTGATTATGATCATTCTTGCAGGAGTGAGGTGGTATTGCACTGTGGTTTTAATTTGCATTTCCCTGATCATTAGTGATGCTGAGCATTTTTCCATATGCTTGTTGGCCATTTGTATATCTTCTTTTGAGAATTGTCTATTCATGTCCTTAGCGCACTTTTTGATGGGATTGTTTTATTTTTCTTGCTGATTTGTTTGAGTTCTTTGTAGATTCTGGACATTAGTCCTTTGTTGGATGTATAGGTTGTGAAGACTTTCTCCCACTCTGTGGGTTGTCTGTTAACTCTGCTGATTATTTCTTTTGCTATGCAGAAGCTTTTTAGTTTAATTAAGTCCCATCTATTCACCTTTGTTTTTGTTGCATTTGCTTTTGGGTTCTTGGTCACAAAGTCTTTGCCTAAGCCAATGTCTAAAAGGGTTTTTCTGATGTTATCTTCTAGAATCTTTATGGTTTCAGGTCTTAGCTTTAAGTCTCAGATCCATCCTGAGTTGATTTTTGTTTAAGGTGAGAGATGAGGATCCAGTTTCATTCTTCTACATGTGGCTTGCCAGTTATCCCAACACCATTAGTTGAATATGGTATCTTTCCCCAGTTTATGTTTTTGTTTGCTTTGTTGAAGAACAGTTGGCTGTAAGTATATGGCTTTGTTTCTGGGTTCTCTATTCTGTTCCATTGGTCTATGTGCCTATTTTTATACCAGAACCATGCTGTTTTGATGATTATGTACTTGTAGTATAGTTTGAAGTCAGGTAATGTGATGCCTCTAGATTTGTTCTTTTTGCTTAGTCTTGCTTTGGCTATGCAGGCTCTTTTTTGGTTCCATATAAATTTTAGGATTTTTTTTTCTTTTTTCTTTTTTCTTTTTTTTTGACGGAGTTTCACTCTTGTTGCCCAGGCTGGAGTGCAAGGGTGCAGTCTTGGCTCACTGCATCCTCCACCTCCCATGTTCAAGAGATTCTCCTGCCTCAGCCTCCTGAGTAGCTGGGATTACAGGTGCCTGGCACCACGCCTGGCTAATTTTTGTATTTTTAGTAGAGACGGGGTTTCACCATGTTAGCCAGGCTGGTCTTGAACTCCTGACCTCAGATGACCCACCTACCTTGGCCTCCCAAAGAACTGGGATTACAGGCGTGAGCCACCGTGCCTGGCCTAGGATTGTTTTTTTCTAGTTCTGTGAAGAATGAAGGTGGTGTTTTCATGGGAATTGCATTGAATTTGTATATTGCTTTTTCACAATACTGATTATACCCATCCGTGAGCATGGGATGTGTTTCTATTTGTTTGTGTCATCTATGATTTCTTTCAGCAATGTTTTGTAGTTTTTCTTGTAGAGGTCTTTCATGTCCTTGGTTAGGTATATTCCTAAGTATTTAATATTTTTGCAGCTATTGTGAAAGGGATTGAGTTCTTGATTTGATGCTCAGCTTGGTCACTGTTGGTGTATAGCAGAGCTACTGATTTACGTACATTAATTTTGTATCCTGAAACTTTGCTGAATTTATTTATCAGTTCTAGGAGCTTTTTAGAGGAGCCTTTAAAGTTTTCTAGGTATACAATCATATCATTAGCAAACAGCGACAGTTTGACTTCCTCTTTACTGATTTGGATGCCCTTGATTTATTTCTCTTGTCTGATTGCTCTGGCTAGGACTGCCATTACTATGTTGAATAAAAGTGGTGAAAGTAGGCATTCTTGTCTTGTTTCAGTTGTCAGGGGGACTGCTTTCATCTTTTCCCTGTTCAGTATAATGTTGGCTGTGGTTTTGTCATAATGGCTTTTATTACCTTAAGGTATGTCTCTTCTATGCTGATTTTGTTGAGGGTTTTAATTATAAAGGAATGCTGGATTTTGTCAAATGCTTTTTGTGCAGCTATTGAGATGATCATGTGATTTTTGTTTTTAATTCTGTTTATGTGGTGTATCACGTTTATTGACTTATGTATGTTAAACTATCCCTGAATCCCTAGTATGAAACCCACTTGGTCATGGTGGATCATCTTTTTGATATGCCACTGGATTTGGTTCACTAGTATTTTATTGAGGATATTTGCATCTATGTTCATCAGGGACATTTTTCTGTAGTTTTCTTTTTTTGTTATGTCCTTCCCTGGTTTTTGTATTAGATTGTTACTGGTTTCATAAAATGATTTAGAGAGGATTCCCTTTTTCTGTATCTTTTGGAATAATGTCAATAGGATTGGTACCAATTCGTCTTTGAATATCTGATAAAATTCAGCTGTGAATCCATTTGGTCCTGGACTTTTTTCTGTTAGTAATTTTTAAATTACCATTTCAATCTTGCTGCTTGTTATTGGTCTGTTCAAAGATTTTATATCTTCCTCTTTAAACTAGGAGGGTTGTATTTTTCCAGGAATTTATCCATCTCCTCTACGTTTTCTGGTTTATGCGTGTAAGGGTATTCATAGTAGCCTTGAATACTCTTTTTTATTTCTGTGGTATCAGTTGTAATATCTCCTGTTTTGTTTCTAATTGAGTTTATTTGGATCTTCTCTCTTCTTTCATTTGTTAATCCTGCTAATGGTCTATCAATTGTATTTATCTTTTCAAAGAACCGGCTTTTTGTTTCATTTACCTTTCATATTTTTTTGTTTCAATTTCATTTAGTTCTGCTCTGATCTTCGTTATTTCCTTTCTTCTGCTGGGTTTGGTTTTGGATTGTTCTTGTTTCTCCAGTCCATGAAGTGTGATTTCAGATTGTCTATTTGTGCTCTTTCAGACTTTTTGATGTAAGCATTTCATGCTATGAACTTTCCTCTTTCCTTTTGCTGTATCTCAGAAGTTTTGATAGGTTGTGTCACTGTTATCATTCAGTTCAAATAATTTTTAAATTTCCATCTTGATTTCACTGTTGACACAATGATCATTCAGGAGCAGGTTATTTAATTCCCATGTATTTGCATGGTTTTGAGGGTTCCTTTTGGAGTTGATTTTTAATATTATTCCACTGTGGTCTAAGAGTACTTGATATAATTTTGATTTTCTTAAATTTACTGGGACTTGTTTTGTGGCCTATCATATGGTCTATCTTGGAAAATGTTCCATGTGCTGATGAATAGAATGTATATTCTGCAGTTGTTGGGTAGAATGTTTTGTAAATATCCATTAAGTCCATTTGTTCTAGAGTAGAGTTTAAGTCCATTGTTTCTTTGTTGACTTTCTGTCTTGATGACCTGTTTAGTGCTGTCAATGAAGCATTAAAGTCTCCCACTATTATTGTGTTGCTATCTCATTTCTTAGGTCTAGTGGTAATTGTTTTATAAATTTGGGAGCTCCAGTATTAGGTGCATATGTATTTAAAATTGTGATATTTTCCTGTTGGACTAGTCCTTTTATCATCATCTAATGTCCCTCTTTGTCTTTTTTAACTGCTGTTGCTTTAAAGTTTGTTTTGTCTGATGTAAGAATAGCTACTCCTGCTCGCTTTTGGTGTTTATTTGCATGGAACATCTTTTTCCACCCCTTTACCTTAAGTTTATGTGAGTCCTTATGTGTTAGGTGAGTCTCTTGAAGACAACAGAAACTTGGTTGGTGAATTCTTATCCATACTGACGTTCTATATATTTTAAGTGGAGCATTTAGGCCATTTACCTTCAATGTTAGTATTGAGTTGTGAGGTACTATTATATTCATCATGTTATTTGTTGCCTGAATTGTTATATAGGTCCTGCGAGATTTATGCTTTAAAGATGTTCTGGCCGGGTGCGGTGGCTCACGCCTGTAATCCCAGCACTTTGGGAGGCCGAGACGGGTGGATCACGATGTCAGGAGATCGAGACCATCCTGGCTAACACGGTGAAACCCCGTCTCTACTAAAAATACAAAAATTAGCCGGGCATGGTGGTGCATGCCTGTAGTCCCAGCTACACGGGACGCTGAGGCAGGAGAATGGTGTGAACCCGGGAGGCGGAGCTTGCAGTGAGTCGAGATCGCGCCACTGCACTCCAGCCTGGGCGACAGAGCGAGACTCCGTCTCAAAAAAAAAAAAAAAAAAAAAGATGTTCTATTTTGGTGTATTTTGAGGATTTGTTTCAAGGTTTAGAGCTCCTTTTAGCAGTTCTTGTAGTGCTGGCTTTGTAGTGGTGAATTCTCTCAGCATTTGTTTGTCTGGAAAAGACTGTATTTTTTTTTTTTTTCATTTATGAAGCTTAGTTTTGCTGGACCCAAAATTCTTGGCTGATAATTGTTTTGTTTAAGGAGGCTAAAGATAGGATACCAAGCCCTTCTAGCTTGTAGGGTTTCTGCTGAGAAATCTGCTATTAATCTGATAGGTTTTCTTTTTATAGGTTACCTGATGCTTTTGCTACACAACCCTTAAGATTCTTTCATTTGTCATGACATTAGATAACCTGATGAGTATGTGCCTGGGTGATTTGCAATGAATTTCCCAGGTGTTCCTCGAGCTTCTTGTATTTGGATGTCTAGGTCTCTAGCAAGGCCAGCAAAGTTTTCCTTGATTATTCCCTCAAATATGTTTTCCAAGCTCTTAGATTTATTCCTCAGGAACACTGATTATTCTTAACTTTTGACTTTTAACATAGTCCCAAACTTCTTGGAGGCTTTGCTCATTTTTTTAAAAATTCTTTTTTCTTTGTCTTTGACAGATTGGGTTAATTTGAAAGGCTTGCCTTTGAGCTCTAAGTTTCTTTCTTTTGCTTGTTCAATTCTATTGCCGAGACTTTCCAGTGCATTTTGCATTTTTCTATGTGTGCCCTTGATTTCCAGAAGTTGTGATTGCTTTTTATTTATGCTATCTCTTTCACTGGAGAGTTTTCCTTTCATATCCTATATCATGTTTTTTATTTCTTTAATTTTATTTATTTTTATTTCACCTTTCTCTGGTGCCTACTTGATTAGCTTAATAATTGACCTTCTGAAATTTTTTTCTGGCAATTCGGAGATTTCATTTTGATTTGGATCCATTGCTGGTGAGCTGGTATGATCTTTGGGAGTGTTAAAGAAACTTGTTTTGTCATATTACCAGAATTGTCTTTCTGGTTTCTTCTCATTTGGGTAGACTATGTCAGGTGGAAGATCTGGAATTCAAGGGCTGCTGTTCAGATTCTTTTGTCCCACGGGGAACTCCCTTGATTTGGTGTTCTCCTCCTTCCGCTAGGAATGGGGCTTCCTAAGAGCTGAAGTGTAGTGATTGCTTTTGCTCTTCTGGGTCTAGCCACCCAGCAGAGCTACCATGCTGCAGGCTGGCACTGGAGAGTGTCTGCAATGAGTCCTGTGATGTGATCCATCTTCAGGTCTTGTAGCCATGGATACCAGCATCTGCTCTGGTGGAGTTAGCAGGGGAGTGAAGTGGACTCTGTGAGAGTCCTTGGTTGTGTTTTTGTTTAGTGCACTGGTTTTGTGTTGGCTGGCCTCCAGTGAGGAGTTGGTGCTTTCAAGGAGGCATTAGCCACAGTCTTATAGGGAGGATGCAAACTTGCCCTAGGGACACCTAGTTTCTCAGGTATTCAGGTATTCAGGTTTCTCAGGCAGTGGCAGGGCCATAGAGTTCCCAAGAGATTATGACCTTTGTCTTCGGCTACCAGACTACCAGGGCAGGTAGAGAAAAACCACCAGTTGGGGGCAGGGATAGAGGTGTCTGAGCTCAGCTGCTCCTTGAGTTGGACTTGCTGTGGCTGCTGTGGGGGCTGAGAGTGTGGTTCCCAGTCCATTGGAGTTATATTCCAAGGGGGATAATGATTCCATTAAAAAGTGGGCAAAAGATTTGAATAGACATTTCTCAAAAGAAGACATACGAATGTCAAACAGGCATATCAATAGGTGTTCAATATCATTGATCATTAGAGAAATGCAAATCAAAACTACAATGAAATGTCATCTCATCCCAGTTAAAATGGCTTTTATCCAAATGTCAGGGAATAACAAATGCTGGAGAGGATATAGAGAAAAGGACCCCTTGGGGACTGTTGGTTGGAGTGTAAATGATTTGAACCACTACGGAGAAGAGTTAGGAGGTTCCTCAAAAAACTAAAAATAGAGCTACCATATAGTTTAGCAATTCCACTGCTGAATATATACCTAAAAGAAAGGAATTCAGTATATTGAAGAGATATCTGCACACACATGTTTGTTGCAGCACTGTTCACAATAGCCAAGATTTGGAAGCAAGCTAAATGTCCATCAACAGATGAATGGAGAAAGAAAATGTGGCACAACAGAGTACTATTCAGCCATAAAAAAGAATGAGATCTTGTCACTTGCAACAACATGGATGGAACTGGGGGTCATTATGTTAAGTGAAATAAGCCAGGCACAGAAAGACAACTATTACATATTCTCACATATCTGTGAGATGTAAAATTCAAAACAGTTGAACTTGTGGAGATAGAGAGTAGAAGAATGGTTGCCACAGACTAGAAAGGATAGTGGGGGGCAGCAGGAGTGGGCATGGTTAATGAGTACAAAAATGTAGTTAGAATAATGGATGAGACCTAGTATTTGTTAGCACAACAAGGAGATTATAATCAGTAATAATTTAATTGTACATTTAAAAATAACTAAAAACACATAATTGGATTGTTTGTAACACAAAGGATAAATGCTTGAGGGGATGGATACTTCGTTTTCCATGTGATTATTACCCACTGAATGCCTATACCAAAATATCTCATGTACCCCATAAATATACACACCTACTATACACCCACATAATTTTTAAAATAAAATTTTAAATAAATTAATAAACTATTGAAAAAAGAATGTGACACCTTCCCCACCTCTCACTGGATCCCTATCTCACCATATGACATCCTGGTTTCCCCTTCACCTTCTGCCGTGGTTGTAAGTTTCCTAAGTCCTCACCAGAAGCTTCCTGAGTTTTCACCAGAAGCCAGCATCATGCTTATACAGCCTGCAGAAACGTGAGCCCATTAAACTTTTTTTCTTTATAAATTACCCAGCTTCAGATTTTTTTATAGCAATGCAAAAATGGCCTAATACACTTCAGAACCTGGAAGATTAGCAGTGAGAAATAAAATCAGTTAAGTTGATGACTTCTAGTATTTCACTACATGGTTGTTTTGCCAAAATGAAGGCAATATCAGTGTCTTCACACTTAAAAAGTAGTATATTGAACTTTGAGGTGAAAGAGCTGGGGTTTAAATTTGTACTTTACCAATTATTGAGATAAGTGTCCTTGAGCAAGTTACTTGCTTTCTCTGATCTTTAGTTTTCTTATTTGTGAAATTGGAAATGGTGGTGTTTCAGAGGGGGGTTGTATATAAACTTTGTAAACTATAGAGTGCTGTACAAAGGTAACCTGCTAGTATAATTGTTTGCAGTCGTTTTAGTCATGTGGTACTTAAAGAGGCAGCAGAGCCTACCAGAATAATAGAGCCAATCCTTATTGGCTGTGGCCCCCAACCTGAACCACTCAAATAGTTCCAGTTAGCACCATTTTCTCTGATTCTTGCTGTAGAGTCCCTTGAAGGTTAAGTAAATGTGGGGGTAGTTTGACTATATAGTGAAGGGCTAGTTTGACTTTATAATGAATTGTCCTGGGAGTCCTTGAGTTCATTGTTTTCCCTAACTTGGCTAGAACCTCAAAATATCTGACATTCAAAGATGTTTGGATGATAGGCAAATAGAAATTTTTACTAGGTTCCAGATAAAGAGCAACTGAAGGTATGGATGAATCACAGGGTACCCTGACTCAAATTTTTGCAGAGAAATTCCATTCAGGGGGCAGTGTGGTATGGTAAAAAGAATAGTGGATTTAGAACAAAATGGGCCACAGTTTGAATCCTGTATTGATCTGCTATCTGAGGCTCAGTTTTTTCATCTGTAAAACGGGGGCTATATTAGGACCTACCTCATAGACTTTATGTGAAAATTAAATTGAAGAACACATGTACAAGGGTCTTGCACAATGTCTGCAAATACTAGTTTCTTTTCTCAAGGACACATTTCCCAGGTACAGTGTTGCCATATGTTTTCAGGACCTTTTCTTTTACAGGCCTCCAAGTCCTGTGGATTTTATAGTATTGGAAGCATTTGGAAGGTTCTGAGACTCACTGTAATAAATAATACTGCTAAGAATAAAATACTTGAGAATCTGTGGACTCAGTTCTTGCTATATACTTTTTAAAAGTATAATGTGTGCAACCATATATAGGCTACAAATTTTATACAATGCCTGAGACTGAAATTTGAGGTTTTCCATGATCTGGCCCTACCTAGCGTGAATTTGATTTTCCAGTAATCCTCTGAATGGTGTTCAGGTCAAACTGGTGTATTCATTGTTCCCAATCATGCTAAGCACGTTCCTACTTCTGCATCTTTGCTCAAGCTTTCCCCGTCTCTTGAATTTCTTTCTTCTCCCTTTGTACTGTGTACAACCTTCATTCTTGAGACCTAGCTTCAGGATTGCCTGCTTCATAGAGCCTTGCCTGACCACCTCATCTCCCAGGAGATCATTTGTGCCTCTGAACTCTTACAGCATTATTATTACCTATGCTGGTTGAATGGAAGGGTTGGTTGGATGAATGGCCAATGTTTACACTGATCTAGAACCAACCTGAGTCTGTGGGCAAGAGAGTCTGCTGGAGGGGAAAGCCTCCTTCATGTTTTATTCATAAGAAAATATAAGCATGATTTCGTCAGCTGGAGTATAATTCTCCTGAGAGCAGAGGAAGTATGCAAGCATATAGGAAAGGTGTAATGGTGTTGCGCCAAAACTAACATACATATCCTGTTGTTTAGAAGAAAATGTACCTTTTAAAACAATAGCACATATTTCCAAATTGGACCCCAAACAATACCTTTTGTGTGAGGTTGATAGTCATCTTTTAGCAATAAATGCATGATTGTACTCTAAGCATTTGCATTTAATTTTGTATGTAGAAGGAACGAGCACACATATTCTGAGCATTTATTGGCACCAAGCACTTTTCCAGGTAGCTTTACAAATTCTGTCACTGAAGCCCTTGCCATAGACTACTTTGAAATAGTTACTTGTGTTCTCGCCAGTGTTATTCACCTTTTTCTTCCTCCCAACATTTGGCACAGTGCCTGGCATATAGTAGGTACTAAATAAATGTTGAACAAATGAATTCATGCATAAATGAATGAAATCATGCAAGGCTCAAAATGTAGCCTTTAATGCCTTCCAAGTTTTCTTCCATAAATGCACAAAGTAAGCCCCCATTTAACGTTTTAGTCGTCGAAGACAAAAAGTCCCATGTCTTTCAGCCAGTCATTGCAATGTCCTTTTGTGCTTGGCTTTATGAAGTTGTTAAAAAAAAGTTTTCCTTGGAAAACGTTCACCAAGAAACTACCTAATGGGGGCCAGCTGCAGCTCCAGGTTTTATGAACACTTTGATAGAAACCACATTAAATAGCAACACTAGTTCACACATTAATTTTGTCATGTTAAATTCCAGCTTGGGCACGTAGGGAGTTCATGAGATATTGACTTTTCATCATCGTCATTGCAGAAAATATGATTTTTTTTTCTGGCTCAGCCATTAGCAGACATAATGAAGTAGAATAGTCTCAAAGTGCCTTAAGAAAACTCAATCTGGTCACACGTTTTTCTGGCTTTGGAGTTCAGTGAAGCAGGTGAGGGTCAAGGATTACCAGAGAAATACTCAAATCGTTCCCTAAGTGGCAGTGGAAGTTGGACTCTTTCTTCTCATTGCAAACTTTGGTAGCTGTGTGGCCTCACTAGTACTGGTAGATTTTTTTTTCTTTTGCTGATTGCCACTGCTTTGTTATTTTCTTCTGGTGCAATATCTGAACTTCATTGGCTACAGATATCTCACTCTTTTGCTTCTATTGGCACCCAAGTTGGAGAGGGTACAAATGACCCAGTCACCACTTAATAGATTCATATGGACAAAAAAAGGTGTATCATTTGAGCTGCAGAAACCTAGAGTAGTACCCTGATTCTGCCATGGGCTAGCTGTGTGGTATAGGTAAATTGCTTAAGTTGGAAGAACTTCAGTTTCTTCATTTGTCAAAGTGGGTTGTTGATCTGGGTTGAACAGTGGGTAAGAACATAGGTTTGGAGCCAAACAGTTCTGGATTTGTCTCTTAGCTCCATTTCCTACTAATTGTGTGACTTTCTCTAAACTTCAGAACTGTCATCTGTAAATTGGGGATGAATAGTTCACAGGGCTGTGGTGAGGATTAAATGAGAGAATGCATATAAAGTTTCTGACACATAGTAGGCACACAATGAGAGCTATTATGATTATTTTATAAGAAATACAAAACAGGGGAGGGTTATGGCTGACTGTTGCAGAAGTTTCTGATGAAAAAATACCCCGATTTAGTGGTTTTCAATGACGGGCAAATTTGACTCCCTAGAGCACATTTGCCAATGTCCAGAGACATTTTTCATTTTCATTGCTTGGTGGAAGTGTTGCTGTTATACAGTGAATAGATGCCAGGGGTTTTGCTGAACATCTTACAATACACAGAGAAGCCCCTCACTACCCCCAACAAGTAATTATCCACTACAAAATGTTTTTTTTTTCTTGATTTCCAGCTTTTATTTTAAGTTCAGGAGTACATGTGCAGGATGTGCAGGTTTGTTACATAGGTAAACATGTGCTATGGTGGTGCACAGATCATCCCATCAACTAGGCTAATAAGCCCAGCATCCATTAGCTATTCTTCCTGAAGCTCTCCATCCTCCCCCAGTCCACCCTCTGACAGGTCCCAGTATGCATTGTTTCCCTCCCTGTGTCCATGTGTTCTCGTCATTCAGCTCCCACTTATAAGTGAGAACATGCAGTGTTTGGTTTTTTGTTCCTGCATTAGTTTGCTGAGGATAACAGCTTCCAGCTCCATCCATGTCCCTGCAAAGGGCATGATCTTGTTCCTTTCTATGGCTGCATAGTATTCCATGGTGTACATATATGACATTTTCTTTATGCAGTCTATCATTGATGGACATTTAGGTTGATTCCATGTCTTTGCTTTTGTGAATAGTGCTACAGTGAACATACATATGCATGTATCTTTATAATAGAATGATTTATATTTCTTTGGGTATATACCCAGTAATGGGATAGCTGGGTCAAATGGTCTTTCTGCCTCTAGGTCTTTGAGGAATCTCTACACTGTCTTCCCCAGTGGTTGAACTAATTTACACTCCCACCAACAGTGTGAAGGCATTCCTTTTTGTCCACCACCTCGCCAGCATGTGTTGTTTGTTGAGTTTTTAATAGTAGCCATTCTGAATGATGTGAGATGGTATCTGAATGTAGTTTTGATTTGCATTTCTCTAACGATCAGGGATGTTGAGCTTTTTTTCATGTTTGTTGGCTGCATGTATGTCTTTTGAGAAGTGTCTGTTCATGTCCTTTGCCCACTTTTTAATGAGGTTATGTTTTTTCTTCTGAATTTAAGTTGCTTGTAGATGCTGGATATTAGACCTTTGTCAGATAGATTGATTGCAAAACTTTTCTCCCATTCTGCAGGCTGTCTGTTCACTCTGATGAGTGAACTTTTGCTGCACAGAAGCTCTTTAGTCTAATTAGATCCCATTTGTCAATTTTTGCCTTTGTTACAACTGCTTTTGGTGGTTTTGTCATGAAACCTTTGCCTGTGCCTATGTCCTGAATGGTATTTCCTAGCTTTTCTTCTAGGGTTTTTATTGTTTGGGTTTTACATTTAAGTCTTTAATCCATCTTGAGTGGATTTTTGTATATGGTGTAAAGAAGGGTTCAAGTTCAAATTTTCTGCATATGGCTAGCCAGTTCTCCCAGCACCATTTATTAAATACGGAATCATTTCCCCATTGCTTGTTTTTGTCAGGTTTGTCAAAGATGAGATTGTTGTAGGTGTATGGCATTATTTCTGAGTTCTCTATTTTGTTCCATCGGTCTGTGTGTCTGTTTTTGTACCAGTATTATGCTGTTTTGGTTACTGTAGTCTTGTAGTATAGTTTGAAGTCAGGTAGCATGATGCCTCCAGTTTTGTTCTTTTTGCTTAGAACTGTCTTAGCTATTCAGGCTCTTTTTTGGTTCCATATGAATTTTAAAATAGTTTTTTCTAATTCTGTGAAGAATGTCAATGGCAGTTTAATGGGAATAGCATTGAATCTATAAATTGCTTTGGTCAGTTATGGCCATTTTCACTATATTGATTCTTCCTATCCATGAGCATGGAATGTTTTTCATTTGTTTATGTTATCTCTGATTTCTTTGAGCAGTGATTTGTAGTTCTCCTTGAAGAGGTCCTTCACTTCTCTTGTTAGCTGTATTCCTACAAAATGTTAATAGTGCTGAGGTTAGGCCTGGTAAGGTGGCACACGCCTATAATCCAGCACTTTGCAAGGCCAAGGGAAGTGGATTACTTGAGCTCAGGAGCTTGAAACCAGCCTAGGAAACATGGAAAAACCCCATCTCTACAAAGAAAAAATTAAAAATTAGCTGGGCATGTGCCTGTAGTCCCAGCTACTCGAGACGCTAAGGTGGGAGGATTGCTTGAGTCAGGGTGGCCAAGGCTGCAGTGAGCTGAGATTGTGCCACTGCACTCCAGCCTGGTGACACAGTGAGACCCTGTCTCAAAAAAGAAATAGTGCTGAGGTTGAGAAACCCTGCCCTAATTTGAGAAACACAATTTACTAGGCTTATTGAGACTTTTGCAAAGTCATTTAACTTAGTGGTTAGCCTTATAAATTTATTTTTTCTCTCCCTTCCATTCATGAGGATTATGCATGTTAAAATTTCCAGTTCATCTGTGATCCTCGTTAAGTTTCCTTTCCAGTAGTGTTGCCTAGAATGTCTCTTTGCCTTTCCCTGTCATATTCTGTTGTTCCAAGAATACAGATAATCAGATTATTTCTGAATTTGTAGTTTAACTCTTTTCACCCTGAATCAGATAAAAAAGGTCCCTATACCTCTAAAAGCCATCCATACTCTGTCCAATGACCCATGAGACTATTTTCTTCTCTTTAAAGACAATAGAGGAAGAAGTGAGAGCCTGTAACACTTTAGAACTGGGTATCATGGGAATGGACTGGATTCACTTTGTGGATATGGTTTGGCTCTACAAGTGAGTTTGCCTTGAAAACAAAAGAATTTATAATAGCTATCACCATCAATATTTCTGAAGCATTCTAAAGCAGTTTATAAGATAAAAATACACATATGAATATATGAGGACAGTTATAAATGAGAGAAGACTGGAGTTAGAACCACAAGGAATTATACCTGGAAGGAGCAATATGATAGCTCCTGAAATAGAATGATAAATTTAGCTCTGAGATTCCTAGTAGCTAAGGTAGAAATGAAAATATGATTCCACTTCACTAAAAAAAATGCTTGATAAACAAAAGATAAATTTTCTGCCTCAAACCAGATTCTAGGCAGATCTTATCACATGAAGTATGATATAAAGAACACTATACAACATTCTATTGTTTTCTGCAGATAATGACTTGTTTTAGATCAATTTTGAATGACAACTTAAGGCTTTATGAATGCATTCCCATACAGACCCAAGCTAAATCAGCCAAAATAAATGAACTTCTGCTTATTTAATTTGCATAAAATTAGACCTAGGAGAGTCTAAAGGGTTGGATGATCAATATGTCCTTCAGATTGCCTCTTCAATATTACTTATCTAAATCATGTTTCCCAGTTGGTAAAATAACTTTTTAGTCAAGATTAGACTCTTCAGTCAATGACTAAGTTACAGCTCTCAGAATGAAAAAACTGTAGCCTTAGATTATGACTGCTACCAGTCAGAATAGGCTAGAATATGCTCTGAAAACAAACACCACCCAAAGCTGGGTAGTTGAATACAACAAAAACATTTTAATCACTCATGCTACATGTCCAGAATGGGTCAATAGGTGGGTTTGCTTCATGTAGTCACTCTGTAGCACCTCATGACCTCATCTCAATCAACACTGTACTACAGGGTTTACCAGACCAGGGCAAGAAAGCCCTGGAAGTCTTGGCAATTAAATGCTTCTACCCAGAAGTAACACATAGCACTTTCAATCACACTTCATTGGCCAAAGCAAGTGACATGGCTGTGCCTACCTTCAAAGGGACTGGGCTTACATTCCTCAGGTATGCCCACCTCTTCATCTAGAAATTGTTTAGCAGTCATAATGCCTACCACACTTGCCAGCCAGCCAGGTAGCAGGGTTGACATTCTGTTTTGTAAATTAAGCAGGGTTCCTGGTACTTTCACACAGATGGAGGACCATCCCACATCTGCACCAGATTGGATATCAGGGATGTCTTCAGACAGGACCACATTTCTTAATCACCTCTTTTGAAATCTGCTACTCAATACAGTTCAGTTAGTCTCTGTGACATGCTGTTTCCATTCCCACTGGTTTAGAAATGGGGATATGCTTTTAGTGGCTGGACTATCATTCATGTTTCTTCCATGTCTGATGTTTTAGGAAGGAATGTTCTTTGGATACTCAAGCAGGCCCCTGAGGTTGGGTGACTTTCTGAGGGCTCCTTAGATCCTGGTAGCAGAGTCAGACTTGGAACTCACAGGTCCTGTAGTTTTGTGCTTTGCAGTCTTACTCGTTACAGGCATCTGATTCAAAAATGCAAGGATTAGTCTCCTTCACCTATAATGCAAGTTGGTGCTGTTGCTGCGAACGTGTTGGAATGAAATGAGAGGGGACTGGATTCCTGTGACGGTCTAGAGTAAGCCCCAGATAGACAGCATTGGAACCTCCCTTCCTTTTCCTGCTGCCAGCCTCCAGATTGCAGAAAACTGGAGCTAGAATCCTGACCATATCCCAACACACTAACAGGTGTGCCATATTAATATTGGAAGTATTGACAGTGCTAGATTCTGAAAGGGATGACATTACAATTGTTATTCTTTGTTACTCAATTTATTTGTTGACATACCATGAGCCACATTGTTTATTGATGTACAAAAATCATTTAATCTTAGTGCATTAGTTATACAACATAGTACAGCACAGCTGCAGCTAGCTGTCAGCTTTCCAAATTTTCCAGTTGGTTCCGGCACAGTTGTTCTTCCTCCTTCTATAATCAGAATTGTCTGAGAATGCTTGTTTTGGAGGGAACTTGAAGGGAAAAGGAACCAGAACCTTAAGAAGTGAGATCCATTGGGAGCTCAAGAATTATCAGACTTTCCAGGAAAATGCATGGGGTGGGGGGGCAGTGACACGGGTGTGGAGACATGAAGAGGAACGGTCAGGAGCAAAGGATAGGCAATAGGCCAGAAAAAAATGTAAGCAAAAAAATATCTTGCAGAGATGTGAAAAGGAACTTTCAATAAAGGCTTACTCTATAACCCATTCTGTAAATCTAATTTGCTGGAGCAACTGCCCCCACCACACAACCTTCTACCTTCCCCCGTCCTATTTTTTTTTTTTTATAACTGCTACCAAATGGCTGCAGTTTTTAATTCTTTACTTTCCATTTTATGGCCTACAGCTTCATACAAAAGTGTGAGTGCCCTCTCCAGATGGACTGTGCAACTCATTTGGGAAGAAGGGCAGCCGATTTTCATCATCTGGGCCTTTAAGAACTCTCTAGGTAGCCCTAAAATACATAAAAGTACAAATGGTGGACAGGAAATTTAGCAATGTCTCTTGCTGAACAATCAGAGTATGGATTTTAGTCAGTTCGTTTTTCTTTTACTGTTGGTTAGAACTACCAGCCTTGCAGGCAAGCTGGAATATGGGGGAGGGGGGCACATGCGCAGAACGCAAGTCTTTCTTGCTAGGTGACACTTTTTATTCTGAAATTGCTTTCACTGCAGACATTCCCAGTGATCCTGGGAGCTTCATTTCGTTTTTGGCCATATGGCTCTGCTCATGAAATTCCTCAGGCTCTTCCAACTGATGTTTTCCCACCACGTGGCCACAAATTGACTACTCGCTTTGCCTAGAGCTTTTAATTGGTTTAAATAATAAACTCCCCAAGTCTTTGTTTGTTGGCACACAGAACTGAGCACACAATTGCAAATGAGTTGGGCAACCTGCTTTGATTTGGTGATTAGTCATTGCTCTTAATTGTTTTTACAATTTCCACCTGAGCGATCAGGAAATGAAGCGCCGCCTCACACTTCCAGCAAGTTGCAAAGAGCCTAACTATGGTATTTCCTTATTGACTGTTTCCTTGCCTGGGAGGAGGCTGCACTAAGATGTTGTGGCTTGGGAGGTGGGCGCTGCAGGGCTAAAGTCAAGTCTTGGCTTTTTAAGCTGATTCCCGTCTGATTTTGGGAAGTGATGGAGACAGATTAAGCCATGAAGCATAAAAAGGCCCCCAACAGGACACTAGGCCCCGGTCACACCACAGCATAAACACAGAAAACATGAATGTGGCTTTGGGAGACAGGGCTTTCCTCCTGTCTCAAAAGAGGTCTTTTTTGTTTAAGGCGTTTTTGTTTTGTTTTGCTTTGCTTAGTTCTCCTGGTTTATTTTCCTACATCGTTGGTGCAGATGGCAGATTAGCAATGCCTTTGGTTTTTTTTTGTTGTTGTTGTTTGGTTCTGTTGTGTTTTCTTTTGGTGGTCAAGTCTCTGAACTTCTGAAACAGAACTATCAGCAACTGTAATATAGATTCTTTTTTTGGAAGTTTGTTTTTTCATTTAAAAAGTTTTATGAAAATTCCCATATGAACAATATATCCTGTCAGGAATGTACTCCACACCCACCAAGCACCTACTGCCTACTCCTTGTGTCCTTGGTGACTCTTATCAGGACTCAGTTCAAGGGGCTACTCTTCTACAATGTTTCCCTGACCAGCCCTCCACTCCACATGGCTAAGCTGACATGGTAACATTTTCTCTCCTTCAAGTTCCACTGTACCTTGAACAAACATTGAGCATAACTATATTTGAGTTATTTGTTACCAAGTTTCTTCCTCACTATTAGAGTGTTTACCCCCAAGACAGGGACCAGAAGGCACTGAGCACAGGCTTATTGAGATCTGTGGTCAACTGGAGGGAGCAAAGACTACAGATTTTGGAGTCAGTCTGACCTTAGCTGTAATCTCAGCTCTGCAAGCTAATATACTAAGTGACCTTAGGCAATTTACACGATCTCTCTGAACCTCAATGTCAGTTTCTTAGTCTGCAAAGTGAGAATCATGAGCTCTACCTTATGAGATTGTTGGGATGGTTGGGTGAAATATTGTGTATTAAGCACACAGCACTGTACCGGGCACAGAGAAAATACTCTAAAAATGTCTAATCCTATGATTATGTAAGATATTATCATTAAGGGACGCTGGGTAAAAGGGGTGAGGGAATTCTCTGTACCATTTTTGCACATTTGTTAAGTCTAAACTTACTTCAAAATAAAATGTTAGAAAATACATGTATCTAATAACACACACACACAAAATAAAACCAAATAAAAATAAAAATGGCTAATCCTCCAGGAAACCACCCTTGCTCCCCTTTCAGAGAAGGGCTTGTCCTTATCTGATTCATTCACTCTCTAGCCTCCCCTTCCTTGGCTCTCACAAAATCTAAGATAACATGTATGATTTCTGCCATGTGTCCACCTTGCCAACCACCTGGTTGGGAGAAGTCCTTTGCAATCTTTTCTGCTTCCATTTTGATGCTCCTTGCTGAATAGCATGATTAGATACATCCATCTACAGCTTACATTGAACTTACATGGCCTCTTTCATTATGATGAGCTTAAAGTGCTTTGTAGATATAATGAGTTATGGCAGGGAGAGATGGTGATGAAAAGAAGGTTTCCTTCTCAAGTATCTTCAGGGTGACATTGCATCCTCTACCTCCCTCCTGGAGATTCACACTGCATCTTAACATCCTTTGATGGGCCCTATAGTAAGGAAACGTGTTAAACTTTATTTAATGCTACAATTTCCAAGTTGGTTTCACAATATGCCTACTAACTTCCTCAAGAACTTTGTTTCCACAGAGCATGCTTTGGAAAATGCTAGCTTATGAAAATAATATTTCTCTTTTTCAATGGAACCTTAGGATTCTGAGAAGGAAAATAACTCATGTAAGGCCTTGAAGAGAGTGCAAGGTGGTCAGTCTGGCTCTGTTTTCCCCACAACACACCTTAATGACAAACACCAGCTTCCTTGGTTTGATCCAATTCCAAAATTGGTCTTGGATTCTATTTTCCTGCCCTTGATTCCTGCTGTTCTTGATCTCTTGCCTGGCTCCCTGGCCATGCATGGCCTCACTTACCAGATACGGTAGTGGTCTTAGCTTTCCTTTTTAATTCAGGTTGGCATTCAGCCCTTGAACTAGTTCTTCCTCTGGCCATTAAAGATAGCAAGCCCTTGCAATCTCAGCCCTTTAGGAAGGAAACCAGACAAGTCATTGGGTCATCCCAGAGGCATTATGGTAGTAGCAAACACTTAACATTTACTTTGTGTTAAGAGGTATATTTACAGCGTCTAACTCTTAACCCTGTGTGAATCTGCCTCTCTTTACTAAGTAGTAGGAGATACAATTACCTTTCCCAGTGATCTTACATTTAAGCTGAGGCCACCAGACAAGATTGGTGGAACAGATCATTACGGCACAGGACATTATGTGATTAGGTGTCACACTACGTGGAGCAAAGCTCTGGAAATTTGTGTAGAGAGAAAAGTAGGCTCCATCAAAAAAAAAAGATTAAAAAAAAATCAAGCAAAAAGTGACCAGAAGCAGGGACAAGCTGCTAGTTAAGGCTGCCAGCAGCTTCTTACCTTTGCTTTGAGAGTTCATTGCTGAAAAAATATTGCTCTTTTCTTTTGGGAAAAATCACTTCAATGGACCATTAATTTTGAAAAGCTCTAACTTACATTCTGTTCTAGAATGAAGAGGTTGTCAAAATAAAGAGTAAACTGCCCTGTAGAAGAGTGTACCTGGTGGGCTTCCTGGGGATAGAGTTGGATATCTGTAGAGATTATGATGCTTTCCACTGGAGGCAAGGATGGCTTTCCTTCTCTCTTTGGGCCTTGAAGGAGAAGGTCAGGGGGTGACCTCTGGACAGTGTGGATAAGGTGGAAGATGCTTTTCTCCATGTGAGCTAAGCTAAACTTTCACCATGGCAGTAGATGCTGAGACTAAGGAAAGAACCTGCTAATGGGGACCCTTGTGGACATACCTGGCTGATAGAGCCTATGCAACATGATAATGAACAACCAACATTGAGCTTTTTTTTTTTTTTTTCCTACACTGTAATTCCCCTCTGTGGTCCCCAAGCCTTCAGTAAAATTCTTTTAAACTCCATAGCCAGGTCTTAACTCTGTCATTATTTGCCACGACATGGTTTGGAAAAACAGCAGCAGCCCAGGGAAAGTTAGTTACATGAAGGCAAGAAGTGACCAGTAGAGAAACGTGGGACAGAGGTCTAAGTCTAAAGGTGATAAATGACAACCAGAATCGATTTGTGAACTGCAGGCATCTCTTAATGATTCCCAGGAAATCTAGGCAAAGGCAGCTTGATAAAAAGACGAGTTTTTCTGCAAATTAGGCAATACATCAGTTAGGCAAGGCTAGATTAGGCTGAAGTAACAATCCTAAAATTTCAGTGGCTTTAAAAAACAACAGAATTTGTCTATTGTGGGTTGGCTGGCTCTTCTTCTAGTCCTCACTCTGGGTGTCAGGCTCAGGGAAGTTACATCTCCATGCTTCCATGATTGCCTAGGCATGGAAAAGTTGTTAAAGCTTCTGGTCACATTTCATTGGCTAAGAGACATCACAGTGCCACACCTAACTTTAAAAGGAGTGGGGAGGTGGAGTCTGCCATGTGCCTGGAAAGCAGGGTGTTGAAAATATTTGTTGAGTGGCACTAATGACTGCTACAGAGCGGATTGGGAGCCTGGACTCTAATTTGCATGTTTCAAGACTGGAGAACTTGGAGACATCTGGGTTGTAGCTTAGGATAGCAAACTGGGCACTGTCTGAATGCCTGAATTTAACAAATATTTCTCGAGCACCCTCTACGTGCCAGGTGCTGTTTTAAGAATTGGGGATAAGTTCTTGTACAAAAAGACATGGTTTCTGTGCTTAAGGAGCTTACACTCTAGTGGGAAGAGGTAGGTAGACAGTAGACCCTTTTCCCTGGGAAAAGCATTGCTTGTATTTGTACCCTATCCTAGGGCTCCTCACATTCTGTAAGATGATACCTAAAGGTGAGTGGCTGTGGCCTTCTGACTGCTGCTTGGTATGCTAGAGCATTTGCTAGCTTTTCATGATTCCCTTTCTGAGTACAACAATCAATTGCCTGGGCCCATTAACCATTTCTCTGAGCATTCTGATTTCTTGCTCTTGCTTCTTTTGTTTTTCACTCTCAGCACTTTTAGGGTTTAGCTTCAAGCAAGCAGTGTCTGTGCTGAGTCCTCTATTGGCTTTTATGAGGCTTTGTACTCTTGCAAAAAACAGCTCCCTTGGAGATCTCTGGGATATCCATAGTACTACCCTATTAGTTGCATTCAGCTCTAGTCTTTTGGGTAGTCAGCAAAGACCCAGGGTTTCTGATTCTCTTGCTGATACATATAGTATGGTACAGTGGTTAAGGACAGTAGCTTTGGCCTCAGATAAACTTGGATTTAAATACCAGCTCTGCAATTTACTAAACCTCAGTTTTCTCATCTATAAAGCAGTGAAAATAATAGAATCTACTTCATGAGGTTGATTGATGATTAAATTAGTTATACTTAAATTACTTAACACAGTGCAAGGCATATGGTAAGTATTCAATAGAAGCTAGCTGTTTTAATTTACTGATGGTTGAATAATCAATAATCATTTGTTGATTGTTAGATGACAGAGTCAGCTCTCATGCTCTTAAAGCAAGGCTCCTCAAATTAATGTAATCAATAGAGTCAGTACCAATTCCAAATCTCTCCTGGTATATTCCTCTTAAGACACAGAGCCACATATGCAAACCAAAACCTAGGAGCAGCTTGGCAAAGAGACATTCCTAAGAAATATGCAATGTGAACTGTAACAATGATAGTGTTCTCTAGCTTCATGTTCACATCTGTCTGTCTTCCTGTTTTTCTCATCTCTCTGGATCCCTTCTTCCTGTAAGATTCTGTAATTTTCACATGTACTTCTAGTTTAAATGTGAGCCCATCCAGATAGTCTATATTTCAGAATGCATTTTTTTTTGGCAAGAAAATAAAGAAAATAACACACTACTTTTGTCATCAAGAATGTGCTTGTGAACTTCCCTAAAACAGATGTCAAACAGTTGATGCTTTCAAAATATTGCACATCTTTTTACAGTATGGCTCTGACCAGAATAGATGAAACAGGAAGACATTTCTCATTTCATGGCTTCTCTGACCTAGGATCAACATGTATGGTCCAAGCAGGTTTTTCTTACCAGCCGTCACTGGCCTCATGCCTTAACTGTGTGCAGAGTGATGTCATATGGCAAAATTGTTGGCTCTGAATATAAGTGAAAACTAGGAAGACAACAAATGAGGCCCCAAGAAGCCAAAACAACTTTTATTTTACCCAAAATATAAACATGTTTGGCTGTCTTCATTCTACCAGCATTTATCAAGCACCTGCTACCTGAAAGGTACGGTGCTGGACACTGCTCTCCAAGCTCATAGGAAGAGAAAAAAAAAAAAAAGAACAGTATTTACAGTCTTTTTAACAAGAAAGGAGACTGAAAATCCCAGTAAGAAAACCCCAAAATACCAAAAACGCAGAAGGCTGATACTACTTTAGTGTGGGATAATGTAGCCCTGCCCACTTCAGTAGCCTTAAAGACATTGTTCATAATGTACCTGTGTCAGTACCAAAGTTGCTCTTTCAGGACTGTGATAGCAAGTCATCCAGAAAAGTTTAAAATATTTTTAATATCTTCTCTTTAAGCAGACAGAGAAAAGTCTAATATACCTTAGTTGGCTTTTTATCACACGTGGTTAAAATATACTTTTTGTTTGTTTGTTTTATTCAGGCATTCTGGTACCCTGAGAAATCTCCCAAGCTTCTAGCTGGCTGAGTTATTACTACAGATTGCTTAGCACTTTTGTCAATCTCACTGTAGATTAATTATCAGATTTCTCTAGAAGTAGTGGTTTTTCTGGCTGTCTTAGTTTGTTTTGTGCTGCTATAACAGAATATCATAGATTGGGTAACTTATCAAGAAGAGAAATTTATTTCTCACAATTTTGGGGACTGAGAAGTCCAAGATCAAGTCACTAGCAGGTTCAGTTGTCTGATGAGGTTCCATTCTCTGCTTTTAAGATGATTCCTTGAACATGGCATCCTCCCGAAGGGAGGAACACTGTGTCTTCACATGGCAGAAGAGTAGAAGAGACTGTACTCACTCCCACAAGTCCTTTTCATAGCAGCGTTAATCCATTCTCCCTCATGATCAAAACACTTCCCATTAGGCCCCACTTCCCGACACTGTTGCATTGGAGATTAAGTTTCCAACACACAAATTTTGGGGCATACATTCAGACCATAGCACTAACATTCCATAGAAAGTTGAGAGAAGTGAATCCTATAAACCAGATGCTAGCCTGGGAAGAAATAAAGTACAGAATACCACCTACTTCTTCAGCCCGGATTGCCAGCCTAATCACAAGTTAAAATCAAAGTTTGATGACTTCGCAGCTATCATTTCTTACCCAGCCTCCTAACTGATCTTTAGCTTCCAGCCTTGAAATCTGGTGTCTAATCTCAACACAATAGTCTGTGTGATCCTTTAAAATAAAATGATTGTACACTTATGTTAATAGAAGCATAATTTACAATAGCCAAGGGGTGAAAACACCCCAAATGTTCACTGACAGATGAATGAATGCAGTGTGATACTGTATATATATATATATATATACAGTATATATCATATATATGATGGAATATTATTCAGCCTTTAAGAGGAAGGATAGCCTCTCAGATGCTACAACATGAATGAACCTTGAAGACATTATACTAGGTGAAATAAGCCAGTCATAACAAGAATAAATACTGTATGACTTATATTAGGTTTCTAGAGTAGTCAAATTCATAGTGATAGAAAGTGGAAAGTTGGTTACCAGAACCTGGGGGAAGTAGAAAACGTAATGTGGAATTATTGTTTAATGGGTGTGGAGTTTCAGTTGGGAAAGATGAAAAAGTTCTTCATCTTTTGGAGATGGATGGTGATGATGATTGCACAATATGGTGAACATATTTAATGCCACTGGACTGTCCACTTAAAAATTGTTAAGATGGTCAATTTTTTGTTATGTATATTTTAATACAATTCAAAATAACAAAAATTCCATTACAATAAAAAAATCTGGGCCGGGTGCAGTGCCTCACACCTGTAATCCCAGCACTTTGGGAGGCTGAGGCAGGTGGATCATCTGAAGTCAGGAGTTCGAGACCAGCCCGGCCAACATAGTGAAAACCTATCTCTACTAAAAATACAAAAATTGGTCAGGTGTGGTGGCGCACACCTGTAATCCCAGATACTCGGGAGGCCGAGGGAGGAGAATTGCTTGAACCTGGGAGGCGGAGGTTGCAGTGGGCCGAGACTGCGCCACTGTACTCCAACCTGGAGGATACAGCGAGACTCTGTCCCAAAAAAAAAAAAAATCTGATTCTGTCACTACTCAAAACCCTTCTATAGCTTCCCATCAGGCCTCCTAATAAAATGTAAAGTACTTACATTGGCCTCTAAGCCCTCCCTTATCTGGCTTCTGGCTACCTCTCTACCTTGTTTCTTACAGTCCGTTGCCCCACTCATTTTGCTGTGGGTTGATTCTTGAACAACCCAAACTGTTTTCTGCCTCAATGGCCTTTGTCCTTGCTATTTCGTCTGCCTACCACACTCTTCTCCTAGACAACCACGTCGCTTATCATTCATTTCTTTCAGCCACCTTCTCAGATGTCATCTCTTCAGAGGTGACACTAGCCTGTTTAAGATACCTGCCATCCCAATCCTGCCCTGGGAACTCTTCATCCTCTCACGTTGTTTTATTTTTCTCCATAGCACTCTAGATTAGATATTTATTCATGTGTCAGTTGTCTGCCTCAGACCCCTGAAGGATAAGCTCCAAGAGGGCTAGAATTTCGTTGCTCAACACCATATTACCAGCACCAAGAGAAGTGTCAGGAACCTAGCATGTGCTCACTAAACATTTGCCAAATGAATGAATAATACGCCAGGACTCTCTTTAAAACTCTTACCTCACAGAATGAGGTCCCTTCACCACATCAACTGAGGTCCATCAGACCTCAGAAGAAGGCAGCAGTGCCAGGCACTGCCATCTTGATATGACACCCAAGTGGTTTGCTCTCTTTTATTGAATTCTTTCAAGTTTATGTGGTAACATCCAACATGGGTTTACTCCAGTGATTTAGAAATTAGGTTGATTTAGTGTAATCATAGCACTCTGCTGTTTGGATGATTTTTAAACACTAATGTGACTCTTCATGCTCACTGCTAGACAGCAATTATGGCATTTCAGAATGATTTTCACAGACCACAGTGTTATGCCCAGCCTCCTCTTCACGTGGAAAGCTACAGGGAACCTTCTCTCAAGTGAGGTCTGCTGCCAGCTGCAGACTTTCTCTTGAACTTTAATGGGCATGATGGTGACCTCTACAGACCCCTAGGAGAGGAGGACTTCTACCAATAAATCCAGGCTGGGAAGGGCTGGCTCAAGACAAATGTGGGAAATAAGAGGCCTCCCTTTTCTGTGCCTTTACCCAGCCTCAGTACCCAGTGCTCTCCCTGGGAACTTTTACTCATAGGAAGGAAAATCTGTAACAAACCTCAGCCTGAATATAGTTTCGCAGATTCATCCTCAAAAACACATTTGCATTTCCGAAGAGAAGTGTCCTTGAAGAATCGTGAAGCATTACAATAGTAGCTCAAACTCTTTAGCACTTACTGTGGACCAGTCTCTGTGCTAAGAATTTAACATTTCATATCAGGAATGCACTTCCTCCTTACCGTCTTGCTGTGAGGTAGTTACTATCATTTCCTCCATTTTACAGGTGAGGAAAGCAAGACTCAAGAAATAAGTTACCCATGGTCATGCAGCTGGCTAGTGGTTGCTGGGCTGTTCAGGGAAGGTTTCATGAGAGAGGTCTAGTGAATTAATGTCCTTGCTCAGAGTAATATTCAACAAATATTTGTTTCATTATGTTTTATAATAAGGAGTTTAGACTTTATTTTATAGACAATAGAGAGTTACTAAAGGCTTTATTTTTCTTTCAGAAAGTCAGATACAGTTCCATGAGGGCTGGAACCACATTATTTTCATATTTGTACCCAAGTGTACAGCACAGCATCTGGCACCTAGTAAATGCCCAGTAAATGTTGCATCAACAACAGAATTCATCACTGCATATGTTTGCATAAACTATGCCAAATAAAATTCCTGGAAATACAATTACATACAATATATTCCTAACACAACGTGGTTAAGGCCATAACACAGACATAATGGTCTTGCCTACAACCACTGTAGTAAAAATTCCACTATAACAATTGCAATTCTTAGGAAAATGGCTTGGGTATACTTAAAATCAGGATAATTGTTCATTTTGAGCACTAAAGCATGAGTTCTGATGACCCCACTTGGCTTTTATCCTCTCACATCTTTTATTATTTAAGGCTTTTAGTGACATGATCAAGCCTGTGTTTTTAGAAAGCTCTCTCATGGTGGATGTAGAGGACTGATTACAGCGGGAGGAAACAGGAGGCTGGGGGCCAGTGGAGAAGCTGCTCTATGCAGGGGGTGGAACAGGGGGCGGGGTCGGAGAGATGTGGTGGTGTGTGGTGAGGGCCAGGACAAGGAAACTGCTGAGAATGGAAAGGAGGGAAGAGATTAGAAAAAGACTGAGGAAGTTGAATTTAGTAAGAGTTACCAAGAAGTATTGACAAATGATGGAATGCATTTTAAAAGGGTTAGGAAATTGCCAGGGATACCTCTGAGGATTTGTGTGGGAATGTGGATAGAAATAGGGAAATCAGGAGCCAAGCCGTTTTTCAGGGGGTCAAATATAAATAATGACTTTGGTTTAGAGCACTTTAAGTTCATTGTGCCAGAGGATATCCAGAGGGAGACGTCTAGCAGACATTTAGAAATTGTAATCCCTTAACAATTCATTCTCCTTTTTCTCCCCTTAGCTTGCAAAGACTAATCACCATTTGAAAAAATCAGGTTCTACAAATTACAGAGTGTCCAATATTTAGATGTCCTACAGGCACCTGTATTACAAGGGCTGGTGCTATAGAAAGCAGTATTTTAAGGCTAGGTTTTTTGTTGTTGTCTTGTTTTGATAGGGGGGCAAATGTGAAGATGGTGTTGCAGGGCAGATTTGGAGAGAGAGTGAGCTGCTTCGCCCATTTAGGAAGCCGTGTGTGCTTGCACCTCTCCTCACTCTCAGAGGCAGGCTAGTGAGTGGTGATTTTCAAGAATGATAAGGCACTTAAATACTTAAGTACTTGGTAAGTAAGATTCTATATGAGCAATCAGTTGAAGAAGCAAATAAGATTCCGAGGGGAGCATTAATCATCTCTGTGTCTAATGGGTCTTCCCTAAGGCCACATCTACACAAGTGTGGAATTTTAAATAGGCTTTATTTCTGTAGATTTACAAAAGGACAAGAAGACAAGAATATATTTTGTTTTTAAAAAATAGGTATTTTCTGGTAACTCTTTTTACATGAAAATGAACTTCAGAGCAAAGGTCCTTGTACTCTTGTCCTTAAAGCTGAACAAGTTTTCAACTTGACAAATTTGCTAAAGCATCTGGGGAGCTCTGTGAAGTTGGAAGGCTTCAAAACCTAACCAAAAAGGGTCTTGCAGTTCAGATGCTTCTTCCTGAAAGCATTTGTCTGTCAACCACACTTTGCTTACCAAAGTAGACTTAGCCCAGCATATCACATCTTCGTGATTGAATAAATTATAAAGCCTGATTTTTTTTCCTTAGGATTTGGAGCTATTTCACTTTCTTTGATATAGGGACTGAAAACATATTGGCAGATGTTAAGAGTTACCTTTGTTTCATCTGCTGAAATGCAGCTTACTTCAAAAATTTGGAGGCTGTAATATAGTCAGGCCTCTCTGACGAGAAATCCACCAGGGAGACTGTTTCCTCCTTTCCCCTGAATGACAGAAACATGGAGAATTGTTAATAAAAGTTGGCAGCATTGAAATTCTGAAAATGACTTGAAAGGAGAATTTGCATGGGACACCACCACCCAAACTCACTCCAGGTGTGACTACTTTCCCTGGCTCCCTGACCGGAAGGGGAGGGCGTATGGGGATCTGCTGTGATTCTGAAGAGAAATATTGAAAAGGAGGTGTGACTGCCTCCTTAGAGGTTATCTTTTGGTCTGGGGAGGAATATTGATTGCTATATTTTGTCCCAATATCTAAATTTGAAGTTTAAGCAAGATTTACATGATCTCAACCACATTCCTAGGACTCAGTGAAGCATAAAGCCTATGAGGGGCAAGGCAGCCAAGTTTTGATCACCATGACCTTCTATTTCTTCCTCTGCTATATGGCTAGTGAGGGTATTGGGCAAATTTCTTCAAACCATCTTTCTGTGAGAATATGTTTCTGATATAATTTTGTCTTCTGATGCGCTTTTGCATTTTGCAAGGAAAACCCACTGCAGGCAAATTCATCTAAAAGGTTTTATTAGAATGTGAATCGTATCTGGGGAGCCCTAGGAAGCATTTATCTAAGCTGTGCCCTAAACTCACTTTCAAAAGCCTGGGAACATTCAAATAATACTGAGAAAACAGATATTTTTCATGGGCACCATAACCCTTGGAATACTAAAACAAAAAAAAATACCTACCAGTTTTAAATGTATGCCAAATCTGTGTCCAAATGAATAATCCATCCTACTTGAGAACAAATGATGATGATGATGGTAATGATGATTATGCTAATCATCATCATCATCATAATAGCTGCCATCACTAAGCAATTACTATGTACAAGGCACTATATTAAACTCTATGCATGCGTTTTTCTTATTTATCCTCATAACAATACTGAGGAGTAAGTATATAATTATCCCCGTTATAGAGATGAGAAAGTGAGGCTCAGAAAGATTTAAGTAATGCTCCCAAGATCCCACAACTAGTTAGTGGCAGAGTTGAGATTCAAAGCTAGGTCAATCTGATTCCAAGACCCATGTAATTAACTACTACATTATATTTCCTATATAGTACAGATAGAAATGCCCATAAAATCGAGACAATATTCTCAGATGACTTTAACAAACCCTGAGTAGCTATTATGTGCCAGGAATCTGAGTAGGTTATGTGAAAACAACATATATGACTCTCTACTACTTTCCTTAATCTCAATTGATTAAAAAAACCCACAAATGCTATCTTTGTTTTTATGTAAATGAACCATCAAGTTTGTAAACACAATCTTTTTTGCCTAAAATTACAGAATGTCATAAAATATCAGGAGTGCCCGTCATATTATGTAGACCAGTGCTTCTCAAGGTTGAAGTGCACCAGAGTCTCCTGGAGGGCTTGTTAAAATGCTGCTGAGCTCCACCCCTAAAGTTTCTGATTCAGTAGAAGTGGGGTGGGCCCAAGAATTGACATTTCCAACAAGGTACCAGTGATGCTGATGCTGCTGGTCGGGGAAGATAAGATTGAGAGCCACTGATCTAGTGATGTGAAAGCTAAGGTGAAAAATACATCTATGAAAGGCAGCTAGCCAATGGCCTTATATTGGGGTCTAGCCCAGGCTCTTTTGCTCTTTTGTTAACCAGCAGTGGGATCCTTGGGAAGTAACTTCTTATGGGCTTGGCTATTTTTTCTTCAGTAAAATAAGGGAATTGGATTAGATGAACACTTAAGTTTTTGTTTGTTTGTTTTGTTTTTTGTTTTTTTAGTTCCAGCATTCTATGAGGAAGGATGAAGGATACCAGATAAATAAAGCCCATTGAAATTAAAACACATGCTCTTTAGGGTCTAGAAACTTTAATCTATTCATAGTGACACCAAGTATCATACAGATACATATCACATGGCTAGCTTGAATATAAAATTTATTATTTTCATTCATTCAACATATTTATTGAGCACCTACTATAAGCTACGTGCTATTTTAGGTACTGGGATGCAGTGGTGAATGAAACGACACGAGTCTTACCTTCGTAGAGATGATAGGCCATACTAGCTAACTGCAGACATTTTAGATAAAAGTAAAAAATAAACATTATTAGAAGTTCCAGCATGTCATTTTCGTATCTAAATGGACCATGTTACATACTCCTGATGTCATGATTCAACAACTAGCTACACAAATGTTAAGTATTTGTGTGATTGATGGTATCAAATATATATTTTAGGACAAATTCATGCTAAAAAAATTATAAAGCTAAGAGCTACTTAAGACCATATCGGTTTACAAACAAAAGGAAGTAAACTGCAAATTCTATCCTATATTCTTTTCTTTTAGTTTCCTCCATTCATTTTTCCATATTTAATGTATTTTTATAAACTAGTTTTTTCTTTACAGATTTGTTTTTAAATTTACATATTCTAGCATCTATCCTATAATCTTTAATAAACAAGCTCAGTTTAAAATCTAGCTTAAAATTTTTATGCTTAAAAGTATGGTGATATACTTTATCCAAAAGTAAATAAAAATGTTTTATTTTGTGTGTTTTTTTCTGTACACACACATGCACACATATATCCATGTGCACAGCAAGGGTAAAACGTATGTTTGCGGCATGATTTTATTAACAATACTATAGACTGGAAGATGTGCTGGGGCAGTCATCAGGAAACCTGTGTTCAACACTGAACTCCACTACCAACAGTAACTTACAGTAAGTCATTGACACTTTAAGGGCCTTGGTGTCTCCATTTGAAAATAAAATTTTGAAAATAAGAAGATTGCATAAGGTATTTCATGATATCTTTCCCTTTCAGCCTGAGCAGTTTATTAAGCAGGTGCTAACAACTAATAAGAGGAAAATACTATATTTCTGCTCCCTCTCTAAAAAATAACTATTTATTCTATTAAATTAAGTATATTATTTCAAGTGCTGAAATCTTACAATATGATGTGTTGTATTTTTTTTTTTAATCTAATATTACTCCACTGTCTTGGAAAGCAAACGGGTCACATCAAACACTTCCTTTTAGATGGTAATTTCACAAGGGGATACATAAACACAGTGGGCCTAGCAAGCCTGCTACTAGAGACAGCCATGGGCTGGTTTAGCTGTAAGGTTCCCTCTCATTTGTGTGCTTACTGCCCAACTGGTTATAATAAGAAAAGAACCGTGGTGGTGATTCTTCCTGAACTGGACTTTTCAGTTTCTGTGATTAGTATCTATGATTTTAGTCCAACTGTGTTGGTGTTAGAAACTTCAAAGCAAATTCAAAACCCCGTATTTAGGGGAATATATTTTAAAGGAATACTCACTACCAATTAGCCTAGGCGGTAATGAAAATCATCATATATTTTCAATGATGAAAGATCCCAGTAGGAGGGCTCCTAATGGATGACAGGTGCCAGAGTGAGAGAAGTCCAGCCAGAGGAGGGCAAAGCTTGTTTCTCAGTCAGCTTAGGAGAGCACAGCACGAACTTTAAGCTGGACTCAGAACACGTACAGCATGCAACCCACAATTTCTTGTTGGATTTCATTCAGAACACTGCTGCTTAGACTCTAATCACCTGAAACCTAGGAAGACCAGACAGGTGACCATGAGTCGACTGTCTCTTCTGGTGTCTTGACTGCTGCTGACCACATAAAACAAACCATGGCATAATCTAATCAATGAGGATTTAGGTTTTGAAGATTCCCATATATTTCCTTCAAAAAACTACCACACTCAATGCTGATAGGATATGCCTCCAACTAGAATGTGATTGCCACAAGGGCAGGAGTATGTGTTTTCTTCACGATGTGTCCCAGGCATTTAGAATGGCGCCTGTCTCATGAGGGTTGTTCAAGAAATAGTTATTGAATGAATAAAGCAATGCTATCATTGTAAGAATAATTTTTTTGTCTGGCTCTCTCTTTTTTTTCTATTTTTCTTCCATAACAGTTATTCCAAGATGTTCAACCACCTCATTTCTGTCTTTTGCGCCATTCCAATTTGCCCCACCAAAACCCCTTTTATTCAGTATTTTTATTGGTATTGTGCTTTATTAAACTTATTAAAGAAGTGTAACATATATCAGAAAAGTGAAAAAATTGTGTCAGCTTGATGACATTTCAAAAACTAAACATACATACCAGTGTAACCAGCACCCAAATGAAGAAATACAATCTGAATAGCACCTAGAAGACTCCCTCAGTCACTACCTCCTCCTCCCAAGGGTAATCATTAACCTGACTTTGAACACCATAGATTGGTTTAGCCTGTGTTTATATTTTATGTAAATGAAATAATACAGCATATCTTCATTGATTATGGCTTATTTTGCTTGACATTGTGTTTTTATAATTCATGCCTATTGTTGGGTGTAGTTGTGCTTCGTTCATACCCATCGCTGTATAATACTTGAATATACTGCAATTTATTTATTCATTTTACTGTTAATAGGCATTTGGGTTGCTTCCAGTTTGGGGAAATTACGAACAAGGCTGCTATACATATGTTTGCAACTGTCTTTTGGTATACTTATGCATGCATTTTTGGGGGGTAAAAATTTTGCCCCATTTTTAGTGGTGTGCATCTGACTTATTCCTCTTCTGCATTTCTTTTCCATTAGGTTTTTTGCCATGTTAGGGAGGATTAGCCTCACCAGTTTCCATAAAATCAGCCCTTTTAATGGGAGTTGAAGACTCTGCAATTAAATCAGACTGAAAAGGCCTGGCTATTTCCTGTTATATGGCTGATATTCCCACCATTAACATCAATTCCTAAGATTTTTCTGGGAATCATGTACTTTGGATGTCATGTACATTTTATTGGTTAAAGCATTGGTTTATCTAGGTGGTAGTACATGAGCTAATCTTAATTGACTCATTACCACTGATTGAACTCTAGCTGAAAGTGGGATCTTGAAAAATGGGGACACTGAACAGGAAACTTTTGAATAGAGTTTCCAGGCAAGAGGTTGATGGGTGGTTTGTAGAACCAGTGCAACCTGGAGAGCTAGGAGACAGCTTAGCTCTGTCTCTTGGAAGGGCAAGAGAGAGAACTGCTTCAAGATGAGAATGAAAGTGCCATTATGTGAAGTGGAGGGAGCTAGAGATCCAGTAACTTTATTGATTTTGCAGCCTTGCCCAGGGCTTATGCTCATTCCAAGGTGCAATCTGTCCACAGTGACCTATCTGATGAGGTCATACAGAGGTCAAATTAAAAAATTTTTTGAAAGTACCTCTGCACACAGCAGGAAAGAAAATCAGGAGCAAATGAGTGATTTTGTAGTAGTATAGGCAGACCCTTTACATGCTAATGGTCTAGCAACCTAGCAGTACTAAAGTTTAGTACTTAAGTATACAACCTGATGCCCGGACTATATTTACATGGTCTTGTTTTCTGTTTAGAAAGAGCATTTTTACTGCCACGACTGTCAGTCAGCTTTGAGTACAAACCCACCAGGTAGCAATCATGGGAGCTTAGGTCAAAGAGGGTAGAAATGGTCAAACCAGCTGACTCTGAACGTTTTTAGAGACAAACAAGGTTGAGGTGATGGATGAATTCTGTCAAGGCTGAAATTGAGCAGTTTGAGTCTCTTAAATGGCATCCACTGAAATGCTGATACAATCATTTGAAAAGTCGGCAGGATTTACTTATTTTTATAAATGTATGTGATTTTATTTGAGGTTTAGTAAAAAGCACTATTTTTTTCTAGCAGATCCCCTTTAGCTGATATCCTGCCTTAGGCAGTGTTTGGGCTAATAATGACATTTCCGACAGAGAAATATGGTCATGAACCATGCTTACTTTTATTATACAGCTTTATCCTTTCAGGTATTTCATGTCAAGCCACATATTCTATTGGTTTGCCAACCTTTGTCACGTCATGTACTATAGCACCTAGTTTGGATTCACTTATTCATATGAGTGTATATTGAGCATCAGTGAGCTAGGCAGTGCTAGGCACTGTTGGGGAAACTAAAAGTGTATAAAATCTGCTCTGTGCCCTCAAAGAGTTTACAGACTAGTAGGGGAGCTGAGGCAGGATTATGATTCTAATATAAGGGGGAATGGGAGAAGTGCCAACGGGGAAGTACAAAGGGCAATGGTGTTCAAAGGAGAGTGCGATCATTTCCAGATGGAAAGATCAAAGAAGGCTTCATGCAAGAAGTGGTATTTGTGCTGAGCCTTAAAGGGTAAGATTTCTGCTGAAGGAGATGAGTGAAAGGAAAGGGAAGCATTGTAGGTTTAGGGCTAGTGAGAGTTGAAGTGCAGGAGTGGGTAATGTGGCTAAACTGGGCAAATATCTATCCCTGAAAGGACTGGAGGCCTTGCAGAAGATTCTGCTAACATTTGTTAAGCAATCCTTATTACAGCCCAGGGCTGTAGAAATACTAGCACACACCAGAAAACCATTACTGTTGACCAGAAGCTTTGATAGCTTCTGAGAAACATCCAGGCTAGGTGTGGTGGCTCATGCCTGTAATCCCAGCACTTTGGGAGGCCGAGGCGGGTGGATCACCTGAGGTCAGGAGTTCGAGACCATCCTGGCCAACATAGTGAAACCCCATCTCTATTAAAAATAATAAAAATTTAAAAAATTAGCTGGGTGTGGTGGCGCATGCTTGTAGTCCCAGCTACTCAGGAGGCTGAGGCAGGAGAATTGCTTGAACCCAAGTGACGGAGGTTGTAGTGAGCTGAGATCGCGCCACTGCACTCCAGCCTGGGTGACAGAGTGAGACTCTGTTTAAACAAAAAATAGAAAAAGACACATCCAAACATGTATCATTCATTCATTATCCATTAATTTATTCTTTAAACAGTACTAAGTTTCTACTTTGCTCAATGCCCTGGGCCAAGTACCGAAGGGAGAGCGGTCATTACAGTGCTAAAATACATGATTCTGGGCCGGGTGCTGTGGCTCACGCCTGCAATCCCAACACTTTTGGAGGCCGAGGAGGGTGGATCATTTGAGGTCAGGAGTTTGAGACCAGCCTGGCCAACATGGTGAAACCTCGTCTTTACTAAAAATACAAAAATTAGCTGGGCTTGGTGGTGCGCACCTGTAATCCCAGCTACTCAGGAGGCTGAGGTAGGAGGATTGCTTGAACCTGAGAGGCAGAGGTTGCAGTAAGCCAGTATCATGCCACTGTACTCCAGCCTGGGCAACAGAGTGAGACTCCATCTTTAAAAATAATAATAAATAAAATATATGATTCTGCTCTTTTAGGGCCTTACAATACTTATATCTTTCTTTTCTTTTGGTGAAGGTAATTAAATGAAAATCAAAATAGCCCAGAACTTCAGAACTTTTGATAAAGTTCAGGTCCTGGTCAGGTTTAGAAGCTAAAACATCCCCACAGTCTTCCTGGATGACAACAAACACCAATACTAATAGCTACCACTTATGAGCTCCACTTCTGTGCTAAGCATTTTATATTTATGACCTTTAAATTTCCCATCAGCCCTACCAAGTAAGGATTCCCACTCCACAGTTCTGCCTCAGTTTTTGGGGGGTAAGTACTGTTGGGGTAGGCAATATTATGCTAAAGTGCGCGTGTGTGTGTGTGTGTGTGTGCGCGCGTGTGTGTATGTGTGTGTGTTGGGGGGCAGTGCTGGTGAGCAATGGGACAGGGTGAAGCTTGCTTAGCAGTATAGGACACGTTTTTCTTACTGCCTGGAGCCCAGGGAAGTCAGGGAGTGCCCCTTCATCTGCTGTATCAGTGACATTTAGGACCACATCCCAGAATAAACACATCCTTATGAAACTGTCAAAAAGCCACGTTGTATGAGGTAGATTTGATTGTGGTGGACTCCATGCCCCAATAATGCATTTGATATGATTATTGAGGCAAATTCCATGCCCCAAACCCTTTACATGAGTACTGATTCTGCAGACAGACTATACTAGGTACTTTTATATGCGTGACTTTAATCCTCATGAGAGTCTTGGAAGATAGTATTATCATTTTTCAGATAAAATTGAGTCTCAGAGAGGTTGGGAAATTTCCCTAAGAGTACGCAGTCAATATGAAACAGAACCAGAACCTGTAATCCATATTTTGTCCATATTTATTCTTTGTGATTCTATGAATGAGGGTGCCATATTTGAACCCACTATAGGGACATCTAAGCATCTGAACATTTGACATCCAGTTAGCCACAGAAACCTAATCTGAAAGCCAAGAAAGTAACAACTATTTCCTTTATGAGCTGCCTGTTTGAAATGAGAGAGAGAGAGAGAGAGAGAAGAGAAGAGATGAGACGAGAAGAAAGGAAGGAAGAGAGAGAGGGAGAGAGACTGACAGGGAAAGGAGAGGGGCAGAGGAAGGGAAGAGAGAGACAGGGAGAGGTATCAAGAAAGAGATCCTGCAAAACGTTCTTCATAGATTAGGCTGAAGTTGGGCATCAGGCTGAGGGGGCACAGTCAAGGCTGTGATAGGAAGATTCAGGTTTGTTGACCCAGAGGTTGGCTTTTATCTTACTTCCTTTTGATCCTCACTTCAGAAACATCTTGCTTTTGCCTTCAGTCTCCATTCAGCGTGGGGTAAGGTGACTCTCCATGGAGATTTACATTTTGGTCACCAGTCATCTTTTCTGTGCCCTCCTAACTATGATAGCTTTGAGCAACTCTGAACCTCAGGTTGCTCATCTTTCAAACAAGGATGATATCAATAATAATTGTAATGATAGCAACGACAACAATAATAAATATCTGTTTCATAGGGTTGTGGTTATGAGACTTAGAGTTTGCAAACGTCAGTTTTGTTACTACTTCTCCATTCCATGTAAACGCAGCCTTGCTGAAGGAATTCCACTGTCTAAGTATCAAATTAAGTATTCCACCTCAGAACCACACCCATGAGAGTATCTATAAATTCTTTGTCCCCAGGTTCAGGAGATGTTATCAGCTGCTCTGTTCCTGTTACAAGTTAGCTAACTCAGCTACTTCTCAAAGAGTGAAACATGCTTCTGATGTGTTGGTCTTTATTTTATTTTGTATCTTAAAACTTTTTCATCAAGGGAAAAACACAGAGGAAACAAGGCTGTTAAAAATTATTTCAGATGATTAATTAGTACCCATTTGTCCTCGGAAGGTCGGTAGTGATTTGCTTAAAGCTCATCTGTGATTTTTTTGTAAGACTTGACTTTGAAACAAAACATCCATAACTTACTAGAATTCACATTTTCTCTCGCATCTCTACTCAAAATCTCTTGACTATCCTGTGTGAACTCCATTTATATTTTCCAAGGACTTATCACTAAAGTGGTAAAGTTGTTAATATTCATACAACTTCCTTTGGAATATTCCAATTGTTTAAATTTATTTTGTTAGTATAGTTAGCTTACCAGAAAACAAATAAATTAGCATGGAATTATCTTTAAGGTAATTAAGTGTATCATTGGCTAAAACAGCAGCACCCAAAACAGTAAGGACTTACAAGAACAAATTAGTTTTTATTCAAATAACTGAGTATGCATAGCAAATGATCTTCAACATGACAAAAAAAAAATCTCAGACATAACTCCAAATTTCTCTAAGCTGGGGACAATGGTTTTGCCTGTTTTTAATAAAATATAGAGCTTGAAAAATCTCACTGAAAATATCAAAAGACTTCTTTTGACATCAAATACCTCTTAAGAAATAATACTTGGAGCATTTTAGTGTAAATGAATCGCAAGCATGTGGATTAAATTTCCCACAAAATATGCACAGCTCAAAAATTAAGTGAAAAATTAAGGGAAAGTATTTCAAAGAAATGTGTTGAGTTATGTTAACTAAAATGGTGGTCTAATTAGTGAAATCCTTAAGACGTCCCACGCACAGTAAATTGTTTCGATTCCCGCAAACAGCTGTACACACTTCTGAATCAGACACACCCTTCCATTTACTAAGTTCATGAATTTGGACAAGTTATTTTACTTTCTCTGAGCTTCAATTTCCTCATCTGTGCAATGGAATTAGCAATACTTAACTCATAATGTTGTGTGGATTCAATAAGAGTGGCTGACTTATGCATACCACTTACTTGATATGTATATATGCATATTTTTGAGTGTGTATGAATGTGTTTAAATGTGTACGTATGTTTTAAGTATGAATGTACTTGTGCGTGTGAACATGCAGAAGTTTTATGAATGTGTGTCCAAGTGCATGAGAATGTGTATATAAGTGTATGTGTATGTGAATGAGACTGTGTGGGTGGTGTGTGGATGTGTATGATTGTGCAAATGTGTATAAGCATCTGAGCATGCACATGTATGTGTATGTATATCTATGTACTCATGGGCTTGGTGCCTCTTTTTTCCATAGAAGCAATAGGTTATGGATTATAAATCAGAGTAACAAAATGTACAATGACGCTTACCTGGGATGTTTCAGAAAGCTGACATGGAGTGAATTCATTTCTGAGAGTGTGATGATTTTTTTTTTTTTTTTTTGAGACAGAGTCTCACTCTTGTCACTGAGGCTGGAATGCAATGGTGCGATCTCAGCTCACTGCAACCTCCACCTCCTGGGTTCAAGTGATTCTTCTGCCTCAGCCTCCCGAGTAGCTGGGATTACAGGCGCGCACCACCACACCTGGCTAGTTTTTGTATTTTTAGTAGAGATGGGGTTTTGTCATGTTGGCTAGGCTGGTCTTGAACTCCTAACCTCAGGTGATCTGCCCGTCTTGGCCTCCCAAAGTGCTGGGGTTACAGGCTTGAGCCACCGTGCCTGGCCAGGGTGTGATGATTTCTAAAAATGAGGATGCCATAAGATGCTATGTACTGTGTATAAAATCATTTTATATATTTTAAATACGGGATTTTATAAACTCTAAATTAGAATAAAGGTTTGACAAAGAGCAGGATATGTATATCTGAATAAAAGTATAGTTACTTCTTACAATACATGTATGCTCTTATCTTTTAGGATGCTAAAGTTACCTGGGCAAAAAATAAGTGCCAACCCACTTATTTGACGTGGTGTTAGCAAGTACTTCCCGGTACTTTTTGGGCTGGAGATGATCTGCTGTAGTTGTCACTCTCAGTCTTTGATGCATCCTAGCCTGAGGCTCCAAACAGAAACCTTCTCATATAAAGAAGTATGCTCCAACAAGAAATATGCTCCCTGATCTCTTTGGTAGTCTCTTGATAGCAGCTGTGAGGTCTTCAGCAGCTCCTGGACAGTTCCCACGTCTCCTTCAGGATGCTTACCCTGCTGGAGAGCTTACTCCATGGCTAGAGCTCTCCCAAGTACGTAGTTTTCCCAACTTTCCCAGGACCCAATTCTTCCACTGGAGAGGATTAGGTCCACTGTTCCAGGACAGAGTCTATCTACTGGTGAGGATTCAAGCACAACGTTCAAAGGTGGTTTCTTTGCTTCGGCTGACTGCTTTGAGTTGGCTTGGCTACTAGGCTAGGGAGGACTGCCTACCTGCTCTTTGTGGGATGTGCTTCTCTCTTTGAGAGGCTTACCCACCCCACTGGTGTGGTTGTTTTAGTAGTCTGTACTAAGATCTTTTTGTGCCACTGTTGTGATCTCCTCGCTTTTTGTGTAGTCTTCTTTTCTCTGGTTTGGTCTGCTCCGTGCTCTCTACTGGCACTCTTCCTAGGTAACGACTTTGGGTCTTCTCTTAGCTGTTGGATTCTTGCAGGCACGGCAGCCTTTGCTGAGCACCCTCTTGATTTGATCTGGGGTTTCAGTCCATTTTCCCACCCTCTGCTGCTGTGCTCACAGCTCTAGAAATCTATTAGACGGTCTGTCCAGAGCTTTTTCTCTCCATCCTCTCTCTGTATCCCTGGCCCATCCCTTTGTTCCCAGGTACGTGGCTCCTGAACACAAAGAGGTACCTAAGAGCAGGGGTTAACACAGCATCCTTTCCTCTGGAGCTCACGCTTGTCCAGCTCTTGACCTCCTTGATTAGGTCTCAATCTGCTTCTGTGAGGTACTGGAACTAATTATGCAGATGAAGAGCTTGCACGCAAATTCGAATAATCACCATGGGTTAGAGTAATAGGAAATTCAAGGGGGTTTTAGTACAGGTCAAATCCTTTACATTAAGCTTCCAACACCCTGTCCATATTCTTTTTTGTTCAAAAAACTATTTTAAATATTTTTTGAATTTGTGATAAAGTTGCTAGGATTTGGTTTCTTTTTTGTAATAAAGAAATTTTGGTTATAACAGAAGATGGCCTAGGGCATTTTGATAACCATATATACTATGATTGGTCAGCAAAGTCAACTCAATTTTTATTTCCATCTCCATCCATTAGCAGTCTTTATGAGACAAGGGAAAAATCATTTTCAAGATTTTATAGCTCTTGCAACAATTTGTCAAGTTACATGGAAATCATAAAAGAATGGTCATTACAGAGTTGGCACAGACCTTGAGAAGTTCCCTATTGCATGTTTTACCTGCACCCAAGGCAAGTGCAGTTTTGGATTTGTGTACCAGCTCTGCTATTTACTAGCTGTGTGGCCATGAAGATTGATTTAACTTCTCTGAGCCTTAGTTTCCTAATTTGTAAAATTGCTTAGTTATGCACAGAGTTGTTTTTACTACTAATAATGGCAGCTTATATTTACTAAGCCTTTAAATAGCAGGCACCATGCTGAATTGCTTTACATGCATTATCTCATTTCATTCTCATAATAGCTCTTAAGGCATGTATTATTAGATGCTAATTTTACAAGTGAGAAAAATTAGACTCATACAAATGAAGTGATTTGCCCAAAGTCACCTAGCTGGTAACTCAACTCATGGTTCAGTTGAGACTTGAATCCAGATGATGGTATGAAGATTTCCAGTGCACTTTTTTCTTAACCACTATAAGGTGAGGCTACGAGGACCAAATGAAATATAATTGTGGTAGTATAACAAATGACCAGGTACTATATAATTATTTATTACTGTTATGGCCATGATTACCTCGGTGAGGTAATCATGATTTGTTTTTTTTCTCTTAAGCTCCTTAAAGCAATAGTTTATGAAAGCATAGGAAGAGTCATGTAAACATGGAAGGGTTATAAAATATGACTACAGAGCCAAGACCTTGACTCCACTGATTCTAAGATTTGTGCTCCTATTTGATATTCCCGAGTGATAGAGTACACTAAACATTCACTGTTATTTTGAGGGGGACTTAATGCAGACAGGATCTGTTTTTGCTTTGTTTGAGAGCCACTGTTAGCTGCTTTTCTAATTATATTGTTGTTTTCCTTAACTTTGGTGATTCCAGACTCTGTTTTGGAAGCTACTCCCAAGGAGTCTATAATTATCCCAAAAATAGTCATGAAATTATCAAAAAGTATAAAACACAAGTAATATTTCATTTAAAAAGTGATTATAGGCTTGTTAAAGAGTAGAAATAAGTTATGAAATAAAACAAGGTCCACTAAAGCCTTCTGGTTAGGAACACAGACCTGGTATACAAGCCTCAATTCTTTTGCTTATTAGCTGCGTGACCTTGAGCAAAATACTCAATGCCATCAAATCTAAGATGTCATCAATTATATGATGCATTATTATTTTACGGACCACTAAGAAAGAAAAATAATTCCAATGAAACAGTGATATGCTCTTTTAGCAATATTGCTGTGCAATGTGCAAGTTGGCTACGCAGGCTTCTCATTACAAGCCTTGAAATTTTTTGCATCTATATAGTGAGATTTGACAATTTCTCCTGCCTTCAGTCACTTTGTTTGGCAATTCTTTTGGATACATAAGTTAACACAATACACCAAAGCTTTCTTTTTGTTGGCATCTTTCTTTCTTAGGTCTTGCAAATCACTTAATTACTTTGCAAGAAAATAAGGACTTGTATGCATTCCTCTAACTGTTTCACTAATACGCAATTGCTACCTTGCTACTGTGTTTTCAGTGCTTTTCAGCATACACAATACCTTTTCCTTTCAATGTAAATTCGGAGTGAATACTCTTGAAAACATTTAAAATGGCAATAAAACTCACCATGTCTAGTACTAACATTGTATATAAATGCAAAGGAAGTGACAACAATATCAACAACTATGACCAAGTGTGCACACACACAGGTAATAGCTACTATGCCAGGCTATCATCTGGGTAATAGTGATTGTAAGATATCATTGATTACAAGATACATACTGACTTTGGGGATGTAAACTGTGTATCTTATTATCAATGAAATACAGTCATTCAGCTTTAACAGCTTGTTTCCTTATTTGAAAAAAACTGAGACTAGTAATTGTATTTGACTCTGAGGGATAACATAAGAATATAGTTAAATCCCTTAGCAATCCCTTAGCACAGTGTTGGGCATTATAGTAAGTGCTCAAAGATACTAAAAAACAACAGCCAAACTACCCCTAAAGTGGACAGCACTGTGAAAACCAAACATAAGGCATAAGATTCAAGGACATCTATAAGAATATCTTAGCCAAGTGCTAATTTTATCATGGAGGAAAAACCATAAAACATTACTTGCAGACAGAGGCCATGACTTCGCAATGCCACAGTGGCAGCTTGTAAAGCAAAATGGTTGGCTTCTTTTAAAATGATTAATCAGTTGTTTAATGCCAGTGAAAAGCCAACTTAACTCATCTTTAATGGACTATTTTAAATCACTCTTAGGATCCCAAAATATCTAGTTTACCAAAACCCCACATATGAACTTCTAAGCATTTTCTCATTTTAAATCATTTATATATCGTAACATGGTGCAGCTACTATAGAAAGCAGTATGGAGGTTGCTCAAAAAATTAAAAACAGAATTACCATATGATTCAGCAATCTCATTTCTGGGTATATATCCAGAAAAATATTGAAAGCAAGACCTCAAAGAGATAGTTGTACACCTATGTTCATAACAGTGTTATTCACAATAACCAAATGTTGGAAAAAATCCAGATGCCCATGGATGGATGAACGGATTAACAAAATGTGGTATATGCATACAATGGAATATTATTTAGTTTTAAAAAGGAAGGAAATGGTGTCACATGCTACAGGATGGATGAACGTTGAGTACATTATGTTAAGTGAAATAAGCTAGTCACAAAAAGACAAATACTGTATGATTTCACTTATATGAGATATCTAAAGTAGTCAAATTTATAGAAACAAAAAGTAGAGTGGTGTTTGCTAGGGGCTGGGGGAAGGGGCCAAAGGGGGAATTGTTATTTAGTGGGCATAGAGTTTCAGATTTGCAAGATGGAAAAATTCTGGAGATAGTTTGACAATAATGAGAATGTACTTATCACTATGGAAGTTTACATTTAAAAATGGCTAAGATTATAAATTTTATGCTATATTTTTCACCACAATAAAAAATTATATGTTCTCAGCAAATCCTTTTTTGTTTTTGGAAAGGACTAGTACATTTCAAAAATATTATTTGTTTTTCTTCCAAAATCTCTTCTTGTCTTTCTTCTGATAGTGAGAAGATATTGTTCTGAACAGAATGTATAAATGCATGTGTCAAAACAATAATGTTCTATTCAACTCAGAGCACATTAGGGATGAAGTGTGATTTAAAATCAGGAAATAAGCCCATTTTGTACTTCTCTGATTACACTGGAGTTAAGTTAGAGATAAAAAAATATATATAAGTAGAAAATTATGTGTTTGAAAATTAGGAAATAATTCTTTATAATGAACTCACGTATCACAAAAGCAAATATTAAACTAAATATAACATATTTAGCACTAAAATTAGTAGAATACATATAAAAGCTCATGAGTTACAGCTTAAATAGTGCTTAGAGGAAAATTTGTAATCTTAAATGCTTTTATCAGTGTGGACTAAATATTCATGAGCTAAGCATCCAACTTAAGAAATTAGAAAAGGAATGACAGACTAAATCCAAAGAAAGTGGAATGAATAAAAGACTAAAGATAAGAGCGGAAACCAATAAAATAGAAAATAAACATTTACTAGAAGCAATCAATAAAGCCAAAAATTGGTACCTTGAAAAGACTGATGAAATTGGCAAAACTTTGGCAAGAATGATCAAGAAAAAAAGATGTAAGTAGCAAATAAGTAATATCAGGAATAAAAAAGATAATTACAAATGTTTCAGAAATGGACAAATTAATAAAATAATTATTGAATAAGCTTAAGTTAATAAAACATGCAGATGAAGTGGAAAAATTTATATTGAGTTTTAACAAACATTCAAGGAACAAATAATTCAGATTTTACACAGATTATTTCAGATTTCAGAAAAGAGGGAGCACTAACAAACTCATTTCACAATACTAGCATAATGCTGATAACAAACAAGAAAAGAACAGAGATAAGAAAAGTACAAGCCAATTTTATTATGAATATAGAATTCAAAAATTTTAAACAAAATATTTAACCAAATCTAGCAGTGCATGAAAGGATAATACATCATTACAAATTGATTTATTTCCAGAATGCAGGAATGGTTTAAACTTTTAAGATTAATTAGTGGAATTCCCCACTTCATGTGATTAAAGAAAAAACAATATGATTATTTCAATATAATCAGAAAGACCATTTGATAAAATTAAACATCTATTCATGCTAAAACTCTTAGTAAGCAGGGAACAAAAGAGAACATCTAAACCTACTGAATGAGAAAAAACATACTACACACATCATATTTATGGTAAAACATTGAAAATATTCAATTTACTTTTGTGAAAAAGGCAAGGTTGTCTGCTGTCACAGCTTCTACTCAACATTGAGCTGGCAATCACAGCCAGTTAAATAAGAAAAGAAAGAGAAATAGTTTGAGTATTGCAAAGGAAGAAATAAAAATATTGTTATTCACAAATCATATGATGGTGTACACACAAAAATTAAAAAGTGTACAGATAAGTTACTAGGATTAATAAGAGTGTTTGACCAAGGTGTTTGGATATAAAGGTAATATAAAAGTTGAATTTCTACATACCAGCCGAGTAAATGTGAATGGCTAATAAATATATAAAAAGTTTCTCAACTTCATTAATAATCAGAGAGGTGTAAATTGAAATCACAATGAGTTAAGTATTTCACAGCTATCAGACTAGCAGAATGAGTAACAAGTCTTCCTGAAGATATGCATCAACTGCAATTTGGCATTATCTAGTAAAGTGGAAAATGTGTATTTTTTTTCCTAGGAATTCACCCTAAATTTGGGCACTTTTATACTGTGAGACATGTACAAAAATATTTATAATGGAACTATTGTACTGTGAAAATAAAATCGTGTGACATAAATATCTATGGGTATGTAGAGACTGTATGAATATGAATACATCTTGGTATACACATGAATAGAATACTGTGCTTCAATGAAAGTAGTGTATTAGTCTGTTCTCACACAGCTATAAAGAAATACCTGAGACTGGGTAATTTATAAAAGATGTTTAATTGGCTCACAATTCCACACACTGCCAGTAAACATGGCTGGGAGTCCTCGGGAAGCTTACAATTATAGCGGAAGTCAAAGGCGAAGCAGGCACATCTTATATGGCTGGAGCAGGAGGCAGAGAGAGAGAGGGGCGAGTCACTACACACTTTTAAACAACCAGATCTTGCAAGAACTCTCTCACTATCAGGAGAACAGTTCCAAAGCGGACATCCACCCCTATGATCCAATCACCTCCTACCAAGCCCTGCCTGCAACATTCGGGATTACAATTTGACATGAGATTTGGGCGGGGACACAGATCCAAACCATATCAAGTAGTTTAATTCAAGTTACGTGCTACAACATGGATGGACCTTGGACGCATAATATTAAAAAATGCAGAAGGATACATTAAGTATTATTTTGTTTTAGAGAGCTCAAAATATGCAAAATTCAGCAATATATTGTTAGGAGATACAAATGTATATAGTAAACACTATAAAAAAGAGCAAGTGGGTAATAAACACAAAATTCAGGACAGTACCACTGGGTGCAGAGGGAAGGATGTAGAATTGTGGAGGGGCTAATGGGACTCCTAATGTAATGGTAATTTTTTTTTAATCTATGGTAACTTAAATATATTTTATACATATTCCTTACATACATGTTCTTTTGCATACAATTTAATAAATACCCAACTCTGTCTCCCTATTCTAGATACACTGTTTCCCCCCCTATTAATATTAAGTTATTTTTAGAAAGACCAGCTAACATTCTTCTTGATATTCCATCTTAATGAGGGAGGAAATGGAAATATTTTCAAGCAATGATCATCTCTGAAGCCCTGGAGTGGGATGCTTGGGGCTAAGGGAAGTCCATGATAAGAGCAGAGGAAGTGGGGTGAGGGAGAGTATATTGGGAATATAAACAAATCCACTTACAGAATCCAGTTGTTTTCTCAGGTAATTGTCGATAGTTCAAAACACATTTTTGTTCAACAACTTTTAAGAGCTGCAAACAGACTTACTGGCAGATTTTCTGATCTATTATGGCAATGGAAACCAGCTGATGCCTGTTTTCAAATGTGTTTGCAGATGGCCAGAACTTATGACTCAATTAATATAACAAACGTGTCTATGAACTTAATGTAATCCTTTTGACCTTAATAAAGTCTTAAATCCCGAGTAAATCTGTTTTAAGATTGAAAAATGTACACAAAAGTGAAACATTCCCTACACTTGTGCTGAAGTTTATGACCCTTGCCTTCTACCACGGCTCCCTTGCTAACTTAGTGCCATTTAAAGTGCTTCCTTTGGTGGTAGCAAATTATAAATCCATATCTTTGTAAGACGCTCTCATCAGCCCACAGGCTTGTGCATAAGTGCGTGCACACGCGCACGCGCGCGCGCGCACACACACACACACACACACACACAGTTTTCTCTTGGCATTGATTTGTTTGGCAGGTTGAAAAATGACTGAGGACTTTCTGTTCTAATTCCAAATATCATTGTTTGTAATGATAATATACTGTTCCCTTTCTTCGATTTTCCACCATGGAAATGCTAGACACATTACAATAAAATATATTCTTATGCAAATAATCCAAACAGAGTTTTTTTTAACCCCCAGAAATAATGTCTGAAAGAACGTTCTGTCAAAAGCAAAATACTAGACTGAGGTTTCTCAATAGGCCACTATGTACCATTCTTTCACCGAGCTGTTAAGTCTCCAGGTTATTATATTATTACTGAATTGAAAGAATAAAATAATACTGGATAGTCAGCCCCTAAACCCTCCCATACATAGCAATTACAACTGCAGCTGAAAATGACTGAAATTTTATCACATCAAAGAAGACACCAGTCAGCCATGGCCTCATGAAAGCCATTCTGGAGTTTTGAGTTAAATTCAAAAGGGAGTTCTTTGGCATATTCTTCTATTGTTTTAGAGGCCCCTGTCAATCAGCACAGCAGTTAGTGGGGAACTCTACTACTTGCTACCATCAACCAAAAGACAAACTAGCTTGGCATTTTTAACCTAGCTGGTTATCGAATCTATTTTTATTATGAAAGAAGAGTAGAGTCAGTGGATTTGATCAAGACTGAAACTAAATTTGAATGTTTTAATGGCAAGCAAATTATTCCTTATGTTATCTGCATTCAAACCTGTTTTTCATAATTATGTTAGTGGGGAAAGGAAGAAATATCCCTAAATCTGAATTAAGGAAACACAAGTTCTATTCTCCCCATGAGTTCCACTCCATGCTGAAGATGCTTTGCAAAACTTTGACGATCCTGTCTTCATTTGGGAAATTGGTAGTACTTTTGTCATAGAAGGAAAATTAATCCTTACTTTGACAAGTCAATATAGCAGCATTGAAGTTGAGAAAACAAATGGGTCTCCTATGTCACATTTGGCATTATCTAAACTTTACCTTATCTTATCCTGGCATCTCTAATCTTGATGGTAAGAAGCTTAAACTGACGTCTGAATGCAACTCAGTCTCTTCTAATTGAAAACTCTCTTTTAGGTAGTCATTTTGTTCAAAGTTCAAACTCTTTCTCAAGGCTGTTTCAAGGGGTTTTCGCTTTCCTTTTTCCCCAAAATGATATCTGTATGCAGAGGAAGGCCTATGCATAGTGGCAGCAGCAGCGGGACAGAAAAGGTTTGTTGGTTTCTCCTGGAATCTTCTTCATCCTGCTAGGTTATGGCACATCTATCCAGTGTTAATGTCTGCTATGGTATGCCTGATTGCCTGTGGTATCCACTGCAATGATCCAGGGCTTCTTTGCTCTTGGGGTCTCTTTACCTCTTCATCCTGCACCAGACCTCTTCCAATTCATTAGTTCTCTCAGTTTCTCCCTTCCTCTGCTACTCACAGACTGTGTGGGCCATTGGAAGTGCTATCTCAGATCCATTCACATAGGTGCCTTTCCTGCTGATGCTGCCACACTTCATGTTTCCAGTATATCATAATTACTCTTTCCATTTTATAACACGGCCATGAAAGTAGACCACCACCAGTATGTTCTGGATTCTCTCAGTATATCTAGTTGTTTTGTTGTTTGACCTTCTCAGGAGTGAGGCATCTTCTAACTTGTCTCATCTGTACAAAATGTATTCGTCCACCAACTCTTCCTCTCAACACAGGAAGAGTTTTTCCCTTTTTGAGTGACAAATCCTTTTTGTGACATATCCTTCATGCTCTTTTACATTGTGGCTAATAATAAATCTTTATTCTCAGACCTCCAAGTTTAATTTTTGCTATATAATGAGATTTAAACAGAGATTTAGAAATCCTTCAGTTTCTCAGCTGAACCCGGCTTTTAAGATCATTGTCTTGTTAGGGAATTAGAAAAATGTAGTTTGAAATCCAAGCTGACTGATTATTTCTTTGTTCTAAGTTGTACCAGGAGCACTCCCTCTCCTTACCCTGCCATGTCTCTCATCCTAAACAATGAATGTCATTGGTTCAATAGGTAAGAAAAATACTTATGGAGAATGAAATATACATTCTTCCAACATTTTCATGTATCTGATATGCTTTGGCTGTGTCCCCACCCAAATCTCATTTTGAATTGTAGCTCCCATAATTCCCACATGTTGCGGGAGGGACCCAGTGGGAGATAATTGAATCATGGGGGCAGTTTCCCCCATACTGTTCTCGTGGTACTGAATAAGTCTCACTAGATCTAATGGTTTGATAAGCTGTTTCCCTTTTCTTTTGGTTCTCATTCTCTCTTGCCTGCCACCATGTAAGACATGTCTTTCGCCTTCTGTCATGATTGTGAGGCCTCCCCGGTCACTTGGAACTGAGTCCATTAAGCCTCTTTTTCTTTATAAATTACCCACTTTTGGGTATATCTTTATCAGCAGCATGAAAAAGAACTAACACATTATTCCATTATATGACATCTTTTCTCTTCAATTTTTTTTGAACTGCGGTCTCGCTATGTCACCCAGGCCAGACTGGAACTTCTGGACTCAAGTGAACCTTTTGCCTCAACCTCCTGAGTAGTGGGAGTACAGGTGCATGCAACCATGCCCAGTGTTTCTCTTCAATTATTGACCACATTTTACAGCATAAGTTTGATGCACTACACTGCCTACTAGGGAGCCAATGGTTTTCAGTGTTAAGCATCAGAGACCCAATATGGAGAATGTTAAGAAGAATAAACCCTTTGTTTACCAAGTAAGATTTTTTAAATTGAAGAGAGAGATTCAGGGTATCTTGGGATTAGTAGCCCCTACGTGTGTGGTTGAGCATGTGTACTATCTCAAAGTGCTAGTGCATTAGATGATTGTATTTGAGAAGATATTGGAAAAGGCATGTGTAGCAACCCCTTAAGGTGTTTGTTTGATGAAGAATGTTGAAACTATATCTTGAAGGAGATGCATTGACTCAAATTTATTGTTAATTTATCACTCAAGCTTCTTCTGAGTTGATCTTATCATTAATGATCCAGAACCCCAGTAGTAGCGTTTGAGGGCAGGGGAAAGGGACATAACAACTTTACACTTGAACCACAAACATTATTTAATTTGCTATATTTCAAAATTCATTGCCTTCAAACAATATTTACTCCTATAGTTAATAAATCTTATTTTCCTTATTTTACAAGTTAGAAACTGAGTCCCAAGGAGGGAAAAATGACTTTCCAAGGATGTACCTCAATTCATTACTATCTATTTTGCAATATCTGTGCTACACTCCTGCACAAATTTTAATCACAAAATAAGCATCTACATAAAACATTTGTGTTTCGGCCGGGCATGGTGGCTCACACCTGTAATCCCAGCACTTTGAGAGGCCAAGGCGGGTGGATCATTTGCGGTCAGGAGTTCAAGATCAGCCTGGCCAACATGGTGAAATGCTGTCTCTACTAAGAATAGAAAAATTATCCGGACGTGGTAGCTCACGCCTATAATCCCAGCTACTAGGGAGGCTGAGGCAGGAGAATTGCTTGAACCCTGGAGGCTGACGTTGCAGTGAGCTGAGATCATGCCATGCACTGCAGCCTGGGTGACAGAGTGAGACTCCGTCTCAAACAACAACAACAACAACAACAACAAAAACATTTGTGTTTCACAGTTGCAGTGTCATAAGGTCATAATACAGCCACACTATGTAGAGAGCAGAGAGTTCGGATCAAATATGGTGGAAGAAAAAAAGCTAAGAAAGTATGGAGAAACTCCAAATAATTTTGAGATTAATTTTCAGCTTTGGGGGCTTCAAAGTATAATTAATACTTTTATATCAATCCAGATGCCAAGTTAAGTTTATTGCAAAACTTTTTTGTGAACTAGAGGATCTTGGTCCCAGGCACTGCAGCATCACAAAATAGACTGATTGATTTGATCCAAGTTAGTCAACTTCTGGACCTCCAGTTTCCTTATGGGTGAAATAAGAACACTTAACTGGATAATCTCCAAGTTCTCCTCTAACATTCAGTCAGTCTATGTGGATTCCACATCCCACAGATCTATCATTTTTTTTTCAGTCTCCAGATCCGATCAACCACCAAGTTCTGCTATCTTCTAAATATTATTTGAATTTTTCCATGCCCTTCTATTTCAGCTGCCATTCTTCTTTCTGTGAGCCTCAGTATCTTTCATCAGCCTCCTAACTAGTCTCCCTGACTCTCTTGACTCCTTCCAGAATCTCTTCTTTGATGGTGCCAAGGTGATTTTTCTAAAACATTAATTTGATCACATCACATTCCAGGTTATAAGTCTTCTGTAATTCCTCAATTGCTACAGTATAAAAGATGGCTTGCATGATTGGGCCCTGTATCTTTGTTTCCTCTGTCCTCCTCATCTTTGATGATTGGGCCGAGCTATTTCTGTCACTCCCCTGCTTAAAAACTACAGAAACTGTGGCTGTAGTCTCAGTGCCTAGTCCAGGGTCTACCATGTGGTAGGGGCTCAATAAGTTTGTGGATGGTACTGCATAAATTCAATTATAAGCTTGGCTCTACAACGGATATGTGTCACGACAATTGCTCACTCTCAGGTTCTTCATCCAGAACCCCTCCTATGGGTTAGGTGCCCTTCCTCTGTGCTTCATCAGCCCCTTCTGCTGACCTCTGTAACAGCACTCATCACACTGGACCATAATTGCCTGCTTGCTGTTCTGTCTATTCCAAAAGACAGTGAGCAACTAGGGAGCAGGGCCTAAGTCTGAGTCAGCATTTTATTCTTAATGCCTACACATGACAGGCATTCAACAATTGAATGACTGAATGAATGAATGGATGCATGTCACAGAAAGAGGACTCAGTTATATTGATAAACACTTCTTTGTAGCACACTGATTGCTACGTTTGTCAAATAAGGAATTAACAGCATGGTACTGGTACAAAAACAGGCACATAAACCAATGGAACAGAATAGAAACTCCAGAAGTAAGGCCGCACACTTATGGCCATCTGATCTTCGGCAAAGCAGATAAAAGCAAGCAATGGGGAAAAGGCTCCCTATTCAATAAATGGTGCTGGGATAACCGACTAGCCAGTTATGCAGAAGATTGAAACTGGACTCCTTCCTTATACCATATACAAAAATCAACTCAAGGCGAATTAAAGATTCATATTTAAAACCTAAAACCATAGAAACCCTGGAAGATAACCTAAGAAATACCACTTTGGATATAGACCCCGGCAAAGATTTCATGTCAAAGATGCCAAAAGCAATTGCAACAAAAATAAAAATGGACAGATGGGACCTAATTAAACTGAAGAGCTTATGCACAGCAAAAGAAGCTATTAACAGAGTAAACAGACAACTTACAGAATGTGAGAAAATATTTGCAAACTATGCATCTGACAATGTCTAATATCCAGCATCTATAAGGAACTTAAACAAACTTAGAAAAACAAACAATGTCATAAAAAAATGAGCAAAGGACATGAACAGACACTGTTCCGAAGAAGACATACATGCAGCCAACAAGCATATTAAAAAAAACTCAACATCCCTGATCATTAGAAAAATGCAAATGAAAACCACAATGAGACACTGTCTCACAGATGTGGAGAAATAGGAATGCTTTTACACTGTTGGTGGGAGTGTAAACTAGTTCAACCATTGTGGAAGACAGTGTGGCGATTCCTCAAGGATCTAGAACTAGAAATACCATTTGACCCAGCCATCCCGTTACTGGTTATACACCCAGAGGATTATAAATCATGCTACTATAAAGACACATGCACACGTATATTTATTGCAGCACTATTCACAATATCAAAGACTTAGAACCAACCCAAATGTCCATCAATGATAGACTGGATTAAGAAAATGTGGCACATAAACACCATGGAATAGTATGCAGCCATAAAAAAGGATGAGTTTACGTCCTTTGTAGGGACATGGATGCAGCTGGAAACCATCATTCTGAGCAAACTATCACAAGGACAGAAAACCAAACACTGCATGTTCTCACTCATAGGTGGGAATTGTCCAATGAACACTTGGACACAGGGCAGGGAATATCACACATGGGGGCCTGTTGTGGGGTAGCAGGCAGGGGGAGGGATAGCATTAGGGGAAATACCTAATGTAAATGACGAGTTAATGGGTGCAGCAAACCAACATGGCACATGTATACATATGTAACAAACCTGCACGTTGTGCACATGTACCCTAGAACTTAAAGTATATATTAAAAAAAAATGAAGATACTATCTCACACCAGTCAGAATGGCTATTATTAAAAAGTAAAAAAATAACAGATGCTGGTGAGGTTGTGGAGACAAGTGAACACTCACACATTGTTGTTTGGGAGTATAAATTGGTTCAGCCATTGTGGAAATCAGTATGGTGATTCCTCAAAGAGCTAAAAACAGAGCTACCATTCAACCCAGCAATCCCATTACTAGGTATATACCCAGAGAAATATAAATCATTCTATCATAAAGACAAATGCCTGCAAATGTTTATTGCAGCACTATTCACAACAGCAAAAACATGGAATCAACCTAAATGACCATCAGTGACAGATAGGATAAAGAAAATGTGGTACATATACGCCATGGAATACTATGCAGCCATGAAAAAGAATGAGATCATGTCTTTTGTGGAAACATGGGTGGAGCTGGAGGCTATTATCCTTAGCAAACTAATGGAGGAACAGAAGACCAAATACCAAATGTTCTCACTTATAACTAACTGGGAACTAAATGATGAGAACTCATGGACACATAGAAGGGACAACAGACACTGTGGCCTACTGGAAGGTGGAGGGTAGCAGGAGAGAGAGGAGCAGAAAAAACAACTATTGTGTAGCAGGCTTTGTACCTGGGTGATAAAATAATCTGTAAAACCCCTGTGACATGAGTTTACTTATATAACAAACCTGTACATGAGCCCCTGAGCCTAAAATAAAAGTTAAAAAAAAAATACAAATAAAGAAGAAAGAGACTATCTTAATAGCAAATGTCCAGGAGAATGGGTTCTTTTGGCTCTCAAAACTCTGACTTTTGCCAGCTGACCCATTGAATTGCTGATGGAAGATGCAATTGTTGGCCACTATGGGTGAATGCATCCTTGGGGTAGGAAAAGGAAAAGCAGTCCTTAAGGGGTAGAGGACAGCTGGAACTGTAAGGATGGTGCAGGCACCTTGGGAAAGAAGGACAAATCACTAGGAATAATCAGGCAGCAATGACTGAGGATTTGTTTCCATTGTGTGATTGTGTTGATATTTGAAAATAAGAAGGTATTTATTTTACACGCTGTGGTAATTAAGCAAACAAAAACCTATACGACCAAAAAGTGAAGATTGATACATGCGTTCATTGAGAGCAGGGAAAATTACACTCGCGGAGGAAAAGATTCCATATGTTCTCCAATACCTAGGCACAACTGGGTGCCGCTTTAATGACTTTCCAAATGCACCCCGTTGCTCTTAGGTATTGAAGAACATATGGCACGTTTCCCCTTTAACTGTGAATTTCCTTGCTTTTGTCAGTTGGTGTCTCAAGCTTAATGTATTTTAATGCAGCTTTTGTGGGTGTGAATACAGTCCGAAGTTGTTATTAGAGAGGCCATGTTAATAGTATACGCAGATGTTATCTCTTAGTCTTCCCCAAATATGCTGCGAAAATCTAAATATACAGGTCTAACTTTGAAATTGTTAATAAAGGCCCTCAAGAGTTTCCAAATCATTCTTCTGAGCTCCAAACTTAGCATGGATGATAAATGACCATTTAGTTGCCAATATAGCACAATATTTCAATTTCCTGCCTTCCCAAAGGTATTTGAAAGGTTGTATGAAGTTCATACTCACAGTATGTGTTGTCCACAATGCTGTGATCTCCGACTGGCTAACTTTAACCAAAACCTTTTCAATTAACTCAACACATTCCTGGATAAAACCAGCCCACTCTAGGCTCTGTGCAAATATGTCTTTATTGATTTTCTTGGCAAAGACTCCCTAAATTATGGTGAAATCTGTTCTTTCAGGTGATGTGGAAAAGGGAACATTGGCAGTATAAGGCAAACGCTAAATGAACAGAAGGATGATCAACATTTTGTATCCAAAAATACAGATTTAACTGTCTTGTGTTTTTTGTACAAGCAGCCTCTGAGAATGTTAATGAATCTCTAAAGGAAAGGAAAAACAAATCCTCATTCATAGTCCTGCCACCCCCCGCAAATCAAATTGTTTTCATTTTTTCCTCATCCCCTTCTAGTCCTTGTCAATATGCATACATAATTTTTACATAATTACACTTCCAGTGTAGAAGCAATTTTGTAATCTGCTTTTTTTTTCTATTTAAAATTATAGCATAGGGTTCTAAGGAAAGCTATATAGCACATTCTTGTGGACAAATAGAGCAGAGCCCAGAGCAGAAAACTGAAACTCATATACTGAGGTTTGCTGGGCAAATAAAGCCCAGCATTTCAAAGTATAGAAAGGTCCCTGAGTAGACTAGGTTGGCTCATTGTTTGCTTTTGAATCCTCATTGTAAGCGGGGGAGCCAAAAGAGGGCTGCATAAGATTGTCCCATTATTCTGAGAGCCAGGCTGCCCAGAGGAAGGAGCCCAGTGCAGGCCAGTCGACAACTCCATTGGGGGCTTAATATCATCCAAATAAAAGGAAACAAGGCTGATTTCTGGTGATCCACCAGAAGGCTGACTACAGAACGAGCATTTTTGGAGTGTGTCACTTACAGTTCCTGTATATTGACTGAGGACCTTAAGCTCACTGCATTGAGGCTAAGGCTGTGCGGCTAAGGCTTATTTCAGGCGTACTGAATATCAACAAACACACTGACTTGTGTTGCAGATGGAAATTATGATCAAAAAGTGATTGGAGTGATAGAATTCCTAAGTAAAGATTTATACACACAGCTAAACCTAGTTAGTGGACGTAACACTTTTAAAAAAGGACATAGATATACAAGTTTAAAAAAATCGTGTGTTTCAGTTAAAACTCAAGCTTTGCTTAATATTTATTGGTTGGCTAAGTCAAGCAATATTTCACCTGAGGCAGAGGAAGAAATTTCTAATGTTTTCATAGAATTGGCAATATGAGAGGAATAATTAGAATACAAGTTTGAGGGTTCTTTCTGCAAGTCCACATCACTGAACCAATTCTCTCTATTCTCATTGCAAGATTTAGCATCAAGTAATCCCTTCTGGATAATAACACATCCCGTCAGCTAACTATGATGTTAGCCAGAATGTAGATGGCAGCTGTTGGGCTATGATTATTACCAGGGCTATGATTATTACCAATGTCTGGAATATCAGATTTGGTAGTCATTGCTTAAAGAAATGTAGCCTGTATACTATTTTTTCCAATTTTGATTAAAAGTCTAACTTACTCATTCCAGATTTATATGCAAAAGCTAGCTGACAAGACTGTTGTTTGTGAAGTCATGACAGACTGAAATGTACATAAGAATTTAGTGAAACTTTCAAACAAGATGGAATAACCCTATCTGGGACATAATATTGCAGAGGTTCTTAAACTCCTCCTCTCCAAGTGTCCCTAACAACAGAGGAGTGTGAACACTCCAGGGGCTCTGAAGCTGTTAAAAGCTTGAAATTTCTTTTGAAGATTCTGTTTTACCTTAAAACATCACGGGTCTTTGCATACTACTTCATGATATGTTCATGTTTGTTTTGATTTTTAAAAATATTTTACACTGTCACACAAATTATATAACTTTTCCTTCCCAATCTTTAAGGAAAATAAATGTTCCAGGAAGATGTATTATATTTATTCTACGGCTCAAACTGGTTGCGTGTATCTGTTGAAAAGCATAACAGAGCTATTTTAAGATCTTATTTTCCAACTATTAAAAGTCACTTTAGAATTTATTAAATACCAGGGAGCAATTGCCTGAAGCATTTTACCACTGAACTTCAGTCTGCCAGATTACTAATATGAGATAATACATGAGAAAATTATTTCAAACAGTCCTTGGTGCTGTATTTGTGTTAGGTTCTAGCATTTGTTGATTTCTTCTTCCTCTCTCTGGAGCTGTGTACTTCAATTTTCCCCATTTAATGCATTTGCTTCTGTGAAGTTTTCATGTTAGGGTTTTAAAATGCACTTTGAAGTGAAACAGGCATCCATTCAGATCACACCTCTGCCGTTTCATAGCCTTGTCACTTACCTTCTCAAGTGGGAATCATAGTATCCATTTTTGAGGGTTGTTGTGAGGATTAAATGAGGCAATGTATTTAAAGAGCATAGTATGTAGAAGGGGTCCCAATAATGCTAGTTCCCCTTCCTATGTACCTCTTTGTCTTATAGTACATATGAGCTGGATTTACTAACAACTCTTGCTCCTGATCTCTGTGAGTTGTTGTAGTTGGGTAGGGAAAAATACTCTAGGTATCTTCTGCTAGCATTTTCATTGCTCTCCTGTCTCAATGAGTGGTGTAGGATACTTTGTCATTTGACAGCAACTGAGATATCTGCACCTTTTTCATTCAAAAAGCAAAAGCAATCTAGGTAACAGATGTATCTTCCTAACCACATGCTGTGCCATTTTGAAATTCTCAAGATTCTAGGATTTTCTTTGGTTGATGAATTTTTTATATTAGAATATTAAATGTTTCTTATCTGATCAGATTTTGATAATTTCTTCAGAAAATGTAGATTATTTGCTTGAGATGGATTTAAAGGTTTGATTTGCAGTCCAAAATACTTGAATCACATAATAACATCAAACACTGACATTGTTCTAGACACTGTTCGAAATTTCCTATGAGGCAGATGGTCTTATGTGTATGTATATGTGCACCTATGTATGCTCACACATACTATCTTTTGAACTATCTATCTTTCTGTGTATCCATTTGCAGTAATATCCTAGGTAAATGGTCTCTTTGTTCTCTCTTTTTCTTAGTGTAACATCTGGTGTCATGTTGTCAGTGTTCAAATCCCAGCTCCATTATTACTTAGCTTCACCTCAATTTTTCTCACTTATAAAATGTGGACAATAATAATGCCTACTTTAGCCAGCCAGGTTTCTTGGTTGCAAGCAACAGCAACCAACTACAGTTAGCATGTTCAAAGCAGAAATTTCTTGGAAAGATATTAGGAAGACTGGCAAAACAGGTTTCAAAAATGGCACAAAACAAAGGAACCTGCAAGGGCCAGGTTAGGTACTAGACTCTGGAGGCTATTTTTGGTACCACGACAACTCATCACTCTGATCACTTGATGTTCCTACTGCTAAAAGGCATCACTCATTTCAGATGCCAAGTTCTCTATGGGATTATTCAATTGGCCAACTTTAGGGCACTAGCTCATGATCACTATAGTAGCAAGATCTGGCTTTTGTAGTGGGAGGTAGGACCCTGCCTTCCATAAAGATTCACATGGTGGGTTGGATGCAGTGGCTCACACCTGTAATTCCAGAACTTTGGGAGGCTGAGGCAGGAGGATTGGTTGAGCCCAGGAGTGTGAGTTCAGCCTGGGCAACATAGTGAGATTCTGCCTCTACAAATAATAATAATAATAATAATTAGCCAGGTGTGATGGTGCATACCTGAGGTCTCAGCTACTATGGAGGCTGAGATGGGAGGATCACTCGAGCCTGAGAGGTCAAGGCCACAGTGAGCCATGATGGCACCACTGCACTCCAGCTTGGGTGACAGAATGAGACCCTGTCTCAAAAAAAAAAAAAAAAAAAAAAAAAAAAAAGACTCACACAGTGGTGGAATTTTCAAACAAGGGAAGAATGTTCAGGTACTTGACTACCATAAAGCAAGTCAAAACAAAATGAAACAAACAAACATCACTGGAAAAAAGTCTACAATCCATCTCATAGGGTTGTTGTACAGATGAAATGAGGGGCACATAGTTAAGAACCCTTTAAATTTTACCTATTATGATTATGTAGGGGAGAAAAAACATCTTTTCCCTTCTACCTTTAAGTTCTCAGCTGGGGCACCTGTAACAAAAGACAGATTAACAAGAGAAAAGCATACAAACTTATTTAATATCATGGCAAGGTAGCCTTCATAAAGAAATGAAAACACCAAGAAATGGTTAAACCTGAGCATGTTTATGAGGAGTGAAAAACTGGGAAAATTTGATGGAACAAACCGGTATGAGCCTGTAAACTGGGGAAAACTTAGCAAGGCCTATTCATTCAGATTCCTCTCCATATCCCTCTGCCTTGGGAAATAAGGGTGTTCCTTTCGCCTGGGTATAGGGAGGGCACCTCTCACATAAGGGTCTTTTGACCAGCTTCAGGGAAAGATCAGAGAGTCGTAAGTGCACCTGCCATTGCTCAAATACCTTCAGCTTAAAATATTCAATATGCCAAGTTGCCATATTTGGGGGTAGAGTGTCCTGAGCCCTATCAATTTTTCTCATGTACTTTTACAGTAGGTTGTCGTATAGTACTCTCTTTTCACATGTGAGTTTCTGCCTTCTGGTTCAATGTTTTCCTGTGGTCATTTCTAATGTCCTTAAAACATTTTTATATTTGATCCTAATCTTACAAGTAAAAATAGTTCTAATAAGAAAATAATGATGTTATATTTATATAGTTCAAAATTATTTGAATTTATAGCATCTCATTTAATCATCACAACAGCCATATGAGAAACACTGTAACAGCCCAATTGAGAAACACTGTAACAGCCCGCTGTAACACTGTAACTGTTACAATTGAGCCCAATTGTAACAGCCCAAAAACTGTAACTACTAACTGAGGAAGCTGTATTAGTCCATTCTAATACTGCTATAAAGACATACCCGAGACTGGGTAATTTATAAAGAAAAGAGGTTTAATCAGCTGATGGTTCTGCAGGCTGTACAGGCTTTTGCTTCTGGGGAGGCCTTAGGAAACTTACAATTATGGTGGAAGGCGAAGGGGAAGCAAGCACATCTTCACATGGCTGGAGCACAAGGAAGAGAGAGCAAAGGGGAAGATGCCACAGACTTTTAAACAACGAGATCTCATGAGAACTCTATCATGAGACAGCACTAGGGGGATGGTGCAAAACCATTTGAAACCACCTCCATGATCCAATCACCTCCCACCAGGCTTCACCTCCAACACCGGGGATTACAATTCAACAAGAGATATGGGTGGGGACACAGAGCCAAACCATATCAGAAGCTGAGGCTCAGAGAAGTAATGTAAATTGCCTTAGGTCACAGCTTAGTGGTGGTGGATCCAGGATTCGAATGCATATCTTCTGATAGTCCAGTACGTTTGCCATGCTGTGCCCATTCAGGGAAGAAGAGAACTTTCTCTTCATATCTGAGTCTTATCTTGACTTCCTATCCTTGGAGATGTTATAGCTATCTTTTCAAATGAGTTGTTGATAGTGTGGGTTGTCAACTGAGAGCACAGGGACAAACTTGAATTTTGTCTCTATAACTTCCTGGCTGTGAAACTGTGAGCAATTAACTAAACCTCTTTGAACCTCTTTCCTTATCTGTAGAATAGGAATGCTGTTACCTTACTTATAGGGTTATAGTTAAGGTGAAATTAGACAACGGATGAAAAGTGCATAGCATAGTGCTTGGCCCACAGTAAATTCTCATTATTTCGGTATTATTATTATTATTACTGGATGAGTGTAGAAAGGAAAAGAAGAGTAGTAGAAGCAACAACGTGTCAACTGCCATAATTATCTCGGTAATCCAGGCATCACCCCCCCACCTTTGTTTGAATTAACCATATATGTCCATATGTGTGGTCTCTCTGCTTAGCTAACTCTTGAGAGTCTTTGGAGCCTGGCCTAAGTTCCATTTCCTCTGAGGACTTCTCCAACTGCTCAATCAATCTCTCCCTTCTCTGGATGCCTATAGATCAACATTGTTAGTACCACGTAACTATGCTTTTCTAAAATCTTTTGTATGGTTATCAGTTAGACTGTAAACTTCTTGAGGATTGTGATTAGTTTCCCACAATGACTAGCACAGGGCCATGAAAGCACATAATAGTGGCTTAATTAATGTTTGTAGATTAATTTCCCTGGATAATTCATAGGAAAGGCCAATAAAAATTGCTGAGTAACACCCAACAATAAGAAAACAAACAACTATACCAAAAAAATGTTCAAGAACATTAACAGATGCCTCATGAAAGATGATATACAAATGGCAAATAAGTATATGCAAAGATGTTTTATATCATGTCATCAGGGAAATGCAAATTAAAACAACTATGAGATACCTGCACACTTATTAGAATGGTAAATCCAGAACACTAACAACACCAAATGCTGGCAAGAATGTGGAGAAACAGAAACTCATTCATTGCTCGTGAGAATGGAAAATGGTACAGCCACTTTGGAAGTCAGTTTGGCAGTTTCTTACAAAACTAAACATATTCTTAACATATGATCCAGTAATTGTGCATCTTGGTATTTACCTCATGGAGTTGAAAACTTATGTCCACGCAAAAACCTGGACATATATATTTATATTTATATCAGCTTTATTCATAATTCCCAAAATTTGGAAGCAACCAAGATATCCCTGTATAAGTGAATGTATAAACTGTGGTACATTTAGATGATAGGATATTATTGAGTGCTAAAAAAAAAAAAAAGAGTTATGGAACCATGAAAAGACGTGGAGGAATCCTAAATGTATAGTACTGAATGAAAGAAGCCCATCGGAAAAGGCTACATTCTGTAGGATTCCAACTGTGTGACATTGGGGAAAAGGCAAAACTGTGGAGACAGTAAAAAGATCAGTGTTTTTCAGGGGTTGGGGCATAGGGGGAAAGGAATGAATAGGTGGAGTATAGAGGAGTTTTTAGGGCAGTGAAACTACTGTGTATGATATTACAGTGGTGGGTACATGTGATTATGCATTTGTCCAAACCCATAGAATATACAACACCAAAAGTGAACCCTAATGTAAACTATGAACTTTGGGTGGTAATGATATGTCAATGTAGGTTTATCAACTATAACAAATAGACCACTATGGTGGGGGATATTGATGATGGGGGAGGCTGTGCATGTGTGGAGACAAGGGGTAAATGGTAAATCTCTGTACAGTCCATTCAATTATGTTGTGAACCTAAAACTGCTCTAAAAAATAAATATATTTTAAAAAGGACAAAAAATATTTCTGTGCAACAATACCATATTTTGGCCTAACTATTTTCCAAAATCCCTTCGAAGTGTAATGTTATGATAATCATATTACCCCCTGTGAGGAAGGCATAGAGTGTTTTCAGTTACGATTTAATGACTGCAGAAACAGCGGGAAAGGGCTTTCTTGTTTTTGTTCCATTCTGCTGTGCTTCTGGTGGGTTTGTATTACCAACTTTCCATGCTAAAATTTCCCTAGGAATAGACCTGGTTCTAACTAGGCAAACAGAGAAAGTTTGATCATATGGTCTTTAATTAGCATTATATGTAAAAGGGCAGGGCCTAGTGTTGAAGGAGTCGTGGAAGTGAAGGATCCATAAGTACCTTCAGCAATAACTCTGAGCCTCAGTCTCCTTCGGTGTAATGGAGAAGATCTTTAAAAACATTTTCAGATTTGCTCTTCTGTGACTTGGGCAGTGTAATAGTTAGGATAATGCTAGCTGCTATAACAAATAGATCCCAAAAATTCAGTGCTGTATTAGTCCATTCTCATACTGCTATAAAGAACTACCTGAAGCCGGGTGCAGTGTCTCATGCCTGTAATCCCAGCACTTTGGGAGGCCGAGGTGGACGGATCACCTGAGGTTGGGAGTTCAAGATCAGTCTGACCAACATGGAGAAACCCTGTCTCTACCAAAAATAGAAAATCCCAGCTACTTGGGAGGCTGAGGCAGGAGAATTGCTTGAATCTGGGAGGTGGAGGTTGCGGTGAGCCGAGATCGCACCGTTGCACTCCAGCCTGGGCAACAAGAACGAAACTCCAACTAAAAACAAAAAAAAACTGAGATTGGGTAATTTATAAAGGAAGGAGGTTTAATTGACTCACAGTTCTGCATGGCTTGGGAAGCCTCAGGAAACTTACAATCATGGAGGAAGGCAAAGGAGAAGCAAGCACCCTTCTTCACATGGCAGCAGGAGAGAGACAGAGAGAAAGAGAAAGTGTTACACAGTTTTAAACCACCAGATCTCATGGGAACTCTATCATGAGCCAGGACTAAGGGGATGGTGCTAAACCATTAGAAACCACCCCCATGAGCCAATCACCTCCAACCAGGCTCCACTTCCAACACTAAGGATGACAATTCAACATGAGATTTGGGTGGGGACACAGAGCCAAACCACATCAAGTGCCTTAACACAATAGAACTTTATTTATTGGTTATGTAATGGTCCAATATAGGTATTCCCAGCCCGTGGTAATAATGATAGGGCTCTGCTTTATGTAGTCATTTTAGTGACCCTGGTTGCCCTTCAACATGGGGTATCCAAGGTTGTCCTAGGGGTCAGCATCTGGCAAACGGGAGGGGAAAGAGCATATAAGATTGTGTTTTAAAGACCTGGAAGTGGTGCACATAACTTTTGTTCATTTTTTAGTAGCCAGACATGACTACAATTAATTACAAGGGAAATTTGGAAATGTACTCTAGCTGGGTGCCCAAGAAAAAGAGGAGAACATGGATATTGATGAATTAGTCTCTGCCACACGTAATAATAACAATTATCATAAGTAACATTTTAGGACACTTATTCTGTGCCAGGTTCTGTGCAATGTGCATTTACATGCATTATCTTATTTAGTCTTTGCAACCTTAATGAGGTGAGCACTGTTTTTGAGGTGAGCCTGATTTTTCAGATGAAGAAACTGAGATTCAAATAATCCAGCAAGTCAGCTCTAAAGCTGTGCTTTAAACCTGGGTCTACTTGACCTCAGAGTTGGACCCCTTAACGTCTATACACTTATAACTGCCCGATATGATTGTTTAATGTTGGAATATATTCTATTGAGTTCCAGCCTAATGGAAACACAGATCATTTAGTAAAATGTTTTCTTTAGCTCTTTGAGTGTTTATATCATGTTATGGCTGGCCAATGTCCCAGTCATATTTTAGCTCTCCACAGGTGAGCTTTCAGAATATGTCCATAGATAAAATATACTGCCTCAATCAGATTCTTAGCCACAGTTTCTCTTGGAATGTTGTCCACACGTGGTATATGAAGTGTTTATGAATGTAGGGAATGATGGTTGGAAATCTCAGGAGCTACTTCTCTGATGAGGTTTCCAGTTCCCTTTGAGTCATGTGGGACATTGATCTAACTGTACTCTTGTGGTACTGGGAGAGTTCTGCTTTGGGTCTTGGCCATCATCAGAAAGGCTGGGAAGTGAAGCATTCAGGGATGCAAATTAGCATGGATCTATGGCCAAGGCTATAAAGAATCCAGACTGCCTGAGGTCAGAAACCTTACACACTGAAAGCAACTGGCCTTTCAGGTGCATAGTTTGTGGGGGAGGAGAATGCACCTGGAGAAAGCGGAGACCTGGATATGGCAAACCCCATCCTCTGTGAAGGGTGGAGGTGGCAATCAGTCATACCAATTGAGGAGAGATGGTGGCCTGATTGAAGAAGTTTAAAAGCCTGCTATGAGGCTAACCAATGTTGAAGAAAAATATATAAACTACGAGTAATGGAATCTTTTGAGTGTTTGATTTTCAACCTGTTGTTTTGATATCTTGTAAACACACTGGTTTTCCTTACATATTTTTACTCATTCAGGCTTTAAATTCTGAGAAACACTACTCTTTCAATTAGGTCATGTGGCCCAGCCATAAGATGAAATTTAAGCTATTCCTCCACTCTCTGTCCCTGGCTACTTCCCTCTTAAGTTGGTTGTGATAACTGGAGGTAGGAATTTTTTGTTTGCCTTGTAAAGCAGGGAAAACAAAGCAATGTTTAGCATACGTGTTCACGGTAGTTCCTCAACACAGGCAGCAGGGGCAGCAAGGGGCACAGCAAATTCTGGTGCCATGCAGATAGCTTCATTTCAAAGGACTTCAGGCCTTTTGCTCTAACCATCTGCTAAGCAATGGTTTGCAATTAGTCAAAGGATATCTGCAAGAAAGCCTCGGGCACTGTACTAGGCTCTGAACACACAGAAACAAAATAGACATGGCTCTTGGCCTCAAGGAGCTCACAGTCTAGTGGGGGACAATACAGTGTGATAAAGGTTAGGCTAGAAGAAGGAAAGTGGGACAATAGTAGCAAAAGGGGTTGCCCTTAGGCATTGGAGATTGTGATGCTTAATACTGAGTGTTAACTTGATTGGATTGAAGGATGCTGTTCCTGGGTGTGTCTGTGAGGGTGTCGCCAAAGGATATTACCATTTGAGTCAGTGGACTGGGAGAAGCAGACCCACCTTCAATCTGGGTGGACGCCATCTAATCAGCTGCCAGCGTGGCTAAAATAAAGGCAGGCAGAGGAACACAGAAGGACTAGACTGGCTAAGTCTTCTGGCCTCCATCTTTCTCCTGTGCTGAATGCTTCCTGCCCTCGAACATCAGGCTCCAAGTGCTTCAGCTTTTGGACTCTTGGACTTACACCAGGGATTTTCCAGGAGCTCTCGGGCATTCGGCCACAGACTGAAAGCTGCACTGTCCGCTTCCCTACTTTTGAGGTTTTGGGACCCAGACTGGCTTCCTGGCTGCTCAGCTTGCAGACGGCCTATTATGGGACTTCACCTTGTGAACATGTGAGTCAGTTCTCCTAATAAACTCCCTTTCATATATACACCTATCCTACTAGTTTTGTCTCTTTAGAGAACCCTGACTAATACAGAGACCTAGGCTGTTAAAAGTATAACACTAAGGTGACCTATGGTAGCGAGTCTTATAGAGCCAAGCCTCTCCACTAATTCTCAAGCAAACTTCTAAAAACTGTATTTTGCACAGTTGGAAAATGAGTTTATTCCTCCTTTTCTTCACCAAGAAATGCTTTTCATCCCTTTTATAAATACTGGCTTGATACCTACCATGGGCCAGACACTGTTCAAGGGCTATAAAGATCTGTGACATTAATAGGGATTGGACGTAGAGAACAGAGGGCTAAACAAATAATATGGCACATGGAATGCTAGAGATACGCACAGGGGATTATGGGAGCACAGAAGAGAGGTGCCTAAATCTAGCCTGGGTATAGAGGAGGAAATGCTGGTGGTCTGCCAAGGTTTTGTGGAGATGTGAGACTGAGCAGAATCTTCGGGAATAAGCAGGAATTAGCCAGGAGAGGTAAGAAAGGGCACAGCAGGGGGGTGGCACATGGCATCCCTGGTAGAGGCAATAGTGCAAGTATGAAGGTCAAATTTTAATATGATACAAAAATCACTATAACCATTCAATTTTGTTAAATGGATTTTCAATTAATATATGTTTCTGATAAATGTATTATTATAAAGATAAAACAGCCTTTTGTGTCAAATTTGAGGATTACAGACATGCTCTAAGAGAAAAGTAAAAATTATTCTGATTGCCCTCACTGTGAGGGAACCACCATTATTATTTTGCAAACTGTTTTCTTCCACATAAGTTATGGTAATTTTCTCAAATCATTAAATAATCTTTTAGGTCATGATTGTTTGTCTCTGCATAGTATTCCATTGGATTTACTTAAGTGAGCCCCTATTGGCATTTGTTTACATTATTTACACTTGTACACAAATATAAATCCTGCTGTACCTAGTATCCTTTCATAGATATCATGACATAGAGATTAAGAGTAAAGGCTGCTTGGGTTTAGATTCTGGCTCTGCCACTTATAAGCTCTGTAAATCTTTGGCGAATTACTTAGCTTCCATGTGCTTCCGTGTTCCCATATATAAAATAGAGATAAAATAGTAGCAATCTCAGAAAGTTGAGAGAATTAAATGAGTTAATGCTAGTAAAATTCTTACACAAAGCCTAATACCAAGTAAGCACTTGTAATATTTGCTATTATTGTTAAATTTATGCCTCTCTGATCATTTACTGAGGGTAAAATCTTGCAAGTAGAATGGCAGGGTTAAGGAGTACGTCTATTTTTAATATGCTTAATGCTTGTTTTCAAATTTCTCGGCAGAAGGGGTATACCAATTTACTGTCCTACCAGTGGTGCACGACAGTGCCTTTTGTCTGAAACTCTCTTCCCACTTTTCCTTCTCCATCTCCATCCAAACACTTATGAAACAAAGCCTGTGTCTAATTCACCAGCACTTATTACTTAATGCAGTGCCTGATAGGTAATAGTTGCTGCAAAAATATTTCTAGAATTAAGAAAAATACGCCAACTTGGTATTTTTGTTTTAAAAGAGTGACTTATTTTAAAGCATATACTTTCTCCAAGTTTATTATTTGCCTCCTAATTTTGTTTATGGAATTATTTTTTAAATTTCAACTTTTAGATTTAGGGGGTACAATGTGAAGTGTGTTACATGGGTATATTACATGAGGCTGAAGTTTGGGGTATGATTGATCTTGACACACAGGTAGTGAGCATACTAACCAATAGGTAGATTTTAAGCCCTTGCTCCCCTCCCTTCCACCTCTAGTAGGCCCCAGTTTCTATTGTTGCCATCTCTATGTCCATGAGTATTGTTTAGCTCCTGGTCATAAGTGAAAACATGAGGTATTTGGTTTTCTGTTCCTGTATTAATTCTCTTAACATGATGGCCTCCAGCTGCATCCATGTTGCTGCAAAGGACATGATTTCATTCTTTTTATGGCTGCATAGTATTCCATGGTGTATATGTGCCACATTTTGTTTATCCAGTCCACAGTTGATTAATACCTGGGTTGATTCCATGTCTTTGATACTGTGAACAGTGCTGCGATGAACATGTGAGTAAATGTGTCTTTTTGGTAGAATGATTTATTTTCCCTTGTGTATGTAACCAGTAGTGGGATTGCTGGGTCAAATGGTAGTTCTATTTTTAGTTCTTTGAAAAATTTCTGAACGGCTTTCCACTGTGGCTGAATGAATTTACATTCCCACCAACAGTGTATAAATGTTTTCCTTTTCTCTGCAGCCTCACCAACATCTGTTATTTTTAGACTTTTTAATAATAGCCTTTCTGACTGGTATGAGATGGTATCTCATTGTAGTTTTTATTTGCATTTCTCTGATGATTAGAGATGCTGAGCATTCTCTAATATGTTTCTTGGTCATTTGCATGTGTTCTTTTGAGAAGTGTCTGTTAATGTCCTTTGCTCACTTCTTAATGGTGTTATCTGTTTTTTGTTTGCTGAATTAAGTTTCTTATAGATTCTGTGTATTACACCTTTGTCAGATGCACAGTTTGCAAACATTTTCTCACATTCTCTAGGCTGTCTGTTTACTCATTGATAGTTTCCTTACTTTAATTAGGACTCACTTGTCAATTTTTGGTTTTGTTGCCATTGCTTTTGAAGACTTAGTCATAAATTCTTTGCCAAGGCTGCTGTACAAAATGATATTTCCTAGGTTTTCTTCCAGAATTTTTATAGTTTTGGGTCTTACATTAAAGTATTTAGTCCATCCTGAGTTAATTTTTGTATATGGTGTAAGGAAGGGGTCCAGTTTTATTCTTTTACATATGGCTAGCCGCAGCATCATTTATTGAATAGGGATATATCATTATTTTAATTTGCAATTATCTGAGTAATAATGAGACAGAACATAATTTTCTCATGTTTCTTGGCAATTTCGTTTGTGTGTGTGTGTGTGTGTGAATTGTCTGCTCATATCATTTGTTTATGCTTCCAATAAGGTGTTTATCCTCTTTTGATTTTAAGTATTTTCTGTGTATTATATAGTCTTTTTCATATATGATGTAATTCTATCTTTGCTTTTGTTATTTGTCTGTTAATTTTGTTTATGGCATTGTTTTGACATGCAGAGTATTTTAATATTATATAGTCAAATCGTTTAATCTTTATAGTTTTGTCTTTGCTACTATGCCTAGAATGCCTTCTTTCCTCCAAGATGGTATTTTCTCCTAGGTTTTATGACTTCAGTGTTTACATTTAACTTTTTAATTCATCTGGAATTAATGTTGGCTCAATTTAATCACAAGGATCTAATAATTGTCGCAGCATTTTGCTTTCCCCCATGGATTTGAAATATCATCTTTACCATATACTAAATTTATATGTACTTCCGGAACAGTTTCTGTGCTTTCTTTCCTGATCTGTTAATATTGCCAGTCTATTCCTATGCTAGTATAATATTGTTTTAATTATTGTTGCTTTAAGAAAGATTTAAGTATTTGGCAGGGCAAGTTCTTCTTCATTACTCATTTTTTTTTTCTTGAGACGGAGTCTCGCTCTGTTGCCCAGGCTAGAGTGCAGTGGTGCGATTTTGGCTCACTGCAACCTCCACCACCCAGGTTCAAGCAATTCTCTGCCTCAGCCTCCCGAGTAGCTGGGATTACAGGTGCCCGCCACCATGCCTGGCTAATTTTTGTATTTTTAGTAGAGACGGGGTTTCACCGTCTTGGCCAGGCTGGTCTTGAGCTCCTGACCTCATGATCCACCTGCCTCGGCCTCCCAAAGTGCTGGGATTACAGGCATGAGCCACCGCGCCCGGCCTACTCATTTTGTTTTCAAAAATATCTTGGGTATTAAATAAATAATTATGTATATATCTTCAGAGATTCACAATTCCCCAAAATACGTTTCATTTTTTTTTCAAAATAATGCAGATATTTTTATAGATGGTGGTCCTAGAAGGCTGCTATACTTGAGGCATATTTTTTTTTTCTCTCTAGGAAAACATTTCCGGCCCCTTATTCTGCAGTATATTGCAGATTTTAAGCTAGCAGTTACCTTCAAGATTGTCTAGTCCAGCTACCTTATTTCACAAATGAGACACTGAAACTTCAGCAGTCAGGCAGCTAGTTAAAGGCAGGGCTAGGGAGGGAATGAATGGTCCCTGATTCTTCATTCTGGAACACTAGCACAAAAAAGATAGTAATGAATAGTTATCATATCATCTCATGCAGTAACATCCATGAGAACAGTTAACATGTACCCTTTGACACAAAATTCTCTTGATATTTGCTTTTTTTCTCTCTTCTCTTCCCCACACCCCAATTTAAATATCTAAACAAACCTCTTTCTGCCTCCATCATAGACTTTATAAATATAAATGTTGTATGTAGTACATAGTATTTTACAGAAAACTACAATAAGATAAATTTAGACTATGGTTTGAGCATATAATTATAGCCTGCCATGAAACAAAGAGAGTTAAAAATACAAAGCTAAGCCCACAGCAAATAAATATTGTATAAGACACTCACTACTTTATGGAAATTCAAAAGAATTTGCAAAATCTCTTTTTGAAGCATTTCACTCGAATTTGTAGTGCAGACTCATCAAATTGAGCTATGCTTTTGGATATTCTCAGACTTTACCTATTAAAGTAAGTGTCAGTAAGTAAGGAGGTTAGATTGCAGGACTTTGGGAATAGATATGTAGCCTAAATATTTAGCTTTCTTGGCCTAAATCATCTCTGACCAGCAAAGACCAAAAATTAGCTCCACCTCAAATGTACATGTTGGCCTTTTGAGAAATGTTTGGATTGTAACATTTACTACTCTGAGCCCAAGTCATATGGTCAGACTCTAACAACCTGCAGGCTCAGAAATAAAGATGTTTGATGGAAGTTCCTGCCAAGAAGTCAATATTGAATAGGCAGAGATCATGCAAAGTTGAGAAGTAATTATGTAGCCAGGATTTAAATTGAGGTAGAAGATTTGAAAGAGGATGGGGACCTATGATTCTATTCCTGTTTGAAAAGATCTGATACGTAAGTGCACATCAGCATTCAAGAATGTTTTACATCTCTCACAAGGGGAACTGTTTATAGTAATGGTTGAGGGAGACCCCTGCCAATCTTGGAAAAGAAATTGCCTTAATGGAAGAAAGTCATGCACCACTGAATTCCTACTATTGGGTTATATTAAAACGTTATGCCCCTCATTCTCATCAGTAAATAATTGAACTCCCTTTGGGTGTGTGCCATGCCACAAAGCATGATGAAAGCTTATGGATTTGGGGCTAGGCTCCAGGATGCATTGGAAAGAAGTTAGGCAAAGTGAGTTTTACTTCCAGTTCAGCCACTATGTGTCTGAGCAAATTACTTTCCCGCCTTGGGCCTCAATTTCCCCAAATGTTATGCTTCCTGAGTCAGGGACACCCCTGAGAACCTGATGAATGTTATGGATTGCTTCAGAGAAATGCATACACATACATACACCACTGCCTCAAAACACACACCAGGTTCAGAATCTCTGATTGATGTGATAGCCAGATCTCTTTCTAGTCTACGAGAACCTCTGCTCAAAAAGCTACATTTACAAAGAAATTATAGGTGGGAAGTCATAAAAAATGAGGTTGGTCTTGAGTTCACAAAAGTGAAAAATATTCTCTTAGTAGTTACATTTTTAATGATAGGCTTTTCCACATTGTGTGTATGTACACATGCATGCATGTGCATGTGCAAAGTGGCAAATGACCAATATGAAGTACTTAGCAACCACTCACTAAAACCACCACTATCCTCTCATTTTAGGTAACTTTGGTAGTTGGTCTTTACTTGGAAAGAAGGTAAATAAATGACTTAAGTCCAATTGTGAGATTCCTATGGTGCATCACTTTTGAAATATCCTGTTTTTGCCAGTATTACATAGATATACATTTGTTAATGAGGGATACAATATATCTGCTGTTGAATTATATTTAGTTTGGGAAGTCTCTAGGTTTCTTGTTTCTTCATTAATTTATCCATTTTGAAATATGGTAATTGGTAGGAAAGCTGAAATACGTCTAGATTTTTAGGGGCCTGAGATAAGACTAGGGTTTTAATCCTGCTTCTAACTCTCAGTTTCCACCTATCACACAGTTGCCTCTATTTTCAGCCACAAATTTTCTTACATAATGTCTTCCTGAAAATTTAGGTGACAGTCCAATATGCAGAAGTGAAACAATTGATTTGGATGCTTTAAGTGTGGTTCTGTTCTTGGAAAGCTAAAATATACTTATTTGATAATTATATTTTGCTTTTCACACATAATCTTCAATGTTTAATATGGCTAGAATTTTCCACATATTTCTAAATTGAATTTTAAATTCATCAAGTGAACCTGCAGTTGGTCAATGTAAGCCTAATAAATATCACAAGGAAGTTAAATATTTGTTACTTTGGGCATGATCTTTGTCACAATTAGGTTATGTTTATGAGACTCATTTCTAGTTACAGTCATTTTTATAAAATAATAGAACAAAATGCAATAACACATTCGAATGATTGCAAAAGCACTGATGGCTGTACAAAGATGGTGAATCAACTAAAAATGGATAAAGTCTAACACAGGAAAGTCCAAAAGCACATTTAAGTTGTAGTGAAATCTAACCTTTGGCAAAATCAACACTCATAATAACCCCTGCATAGCTCTAGGAAGAAACCCTAATAAATAGATATATTCCACTATTTTTAAAAATATATGTATTTTTAAAAAATCTGTACAGTAAGTTTTTTTAAGTCCAAAATGCTAAAAGTCCTTTAATAAAAAACAGTTCCTTGACCTACCCTGATCAACTTCATTCCCTAGTGGCAAACTCTTTCAAATCTGTAACTCTTTCCTCTGATATTTATGTCTATTTTCCAAAATGTTCAAAACACACACACACACACACACACACACACACACACACGGTTATTGGATCAAGTTTAGACATTGTCTATTGAGTATTATTATGTCAAATCTGGAGTTTAGCTCACATACATACTCTTCTCTATTGCATCCCACATCCTTCCAGTATGTCTTACTTTTTTATGGAAATATGTATTATACATTTACTACTGTGTTTATGCAGTATAATTCAATGTTGAGCCAATTAGTGAACTATGAATACTTTTACTTTCTTTTTCAATTTGCTTTTATTCCTAGAGTTACTTATTAACTAACTTTTGTGTTACTTTTTTCTTTTTTTTTTGAGACGGAGTCTAGCTCTGTCGCCCAGGCTGGAGTGCAGTGGTGCTATTTCGGCTCACTGCAAGCTCCGCCACCTGGGTTCACGCCATTCTCCTGCCTCAGCCTCCAGAGTAGCTGTGACTACAGGCGCCCGCCACCATGCCTGGCTAATTTTTTTGTATTTTTAGTAGAGACGAGGTTTCACCGTGTTAGCCAGGATGGTCTCAATCTCCTGACCTCGTGTTCCGCCTGCCTCAGCCTCCCAAAGTGCTGGGATTACAGGCATGAGCCACCGACCCCGGCAGTTTTGTTTACATGTGATGAAGTCTTCTAACATAGTTCAAAAGTTCTGTAAAGAGATTTATAACAATTTTCTATACCTTGTCAGATGACATAAACTTTAAGTTTCAGTAGAAGGTAAATTTCAAGAAGTCAGAAACTTAATTTTGTTCATAACTATAGCCTGAGTGCCTCTAACAGGCTCCAAAGCATAATATATTCTCCGTAGATATTTGTTGCATGGAAAATGAAAATAATAATTTATCATTTTTATTTTTCCCTGGAAGCAGTCCCCCTGAAACCTTCCAATCTTTTGCTCCAATCTGGACTGACTGCTTACTTCATAGCTGACATCTTGGGACTTACCTTCAAGTATTATTTGGTTGTTTTTTTTCCCTGGATCCTGTGTCTTCTATTTTCTTGGTTTGCACCCTCATTTCATAGAATATATCCTTCAGAAGCTTCTTGAGTATGAAAGTTTTTATGGAAGATAAATACTGCACTTGCACATCTAAAACTATTTTTACCATATACTTGCTTGATAATTTAGTTTCATATAAAATTAAAATTTGAAAATGGTTTTTATGCAGACTTTTGAATGCATTTCTCTATTGTCTTCTATCTTCCAGTATTGATTACCATTTCATCACCCTTTGCAGACACTTGAAAAGCCAGAAACAAACTCGTATGATATGGTCTGTCTCTGTGTCCCACCCAAATCTCATCTTGAATTGTAATCCAAATTGTAATCCCCACGTGTTGGGGAAGGGACATTGTGGGGGGTGATTAGATTGTGGGGGGTTCTTATAATAGTGAGTGAGTTCTCATGAGATTTGATGGTTTTATACCTTCACTCTGCACTTCTCTCTCCTGCCACCTTGAGAAAAAGGATGTGTTGGCTTTCCCTTCCACCATGATTGAAGTTTCCTGAGGTATCCCCAGCCATGCAAATCTGTGAGTCAAATCTTTTTCCTTTATAAATTACCCATCCTTGGGTATGTCCTTATAGCAGCATGAGAACAGAATAATACAGTAAATTGGTATTGCAGAAGTGGGGTGCTGCTATAAAGATACCCAAAAATGTGCAAGCAACCTTAGAACTGGGTAACAGCCAGAGGTTGGAACAGTTTGAAGGGCTCAGAAGAAGACAGAAAAATGTGGGAAAGTTTGGAACTTCCTAGAGACTTGTTGAATAGCTTTGACCAACATGCTGATAGTGATATGGACAATAATGTCCAGGTTGAGGTAGTCTCAGATGGAGATGAGGACCTTGTTGGGAACTGGAGTAAAGGTCACTCTTGCTATGCAGAGAGACTGGCATCATTTTGCCCTCGCCCTAGAGATCTGTGGAATTTTGATCTTAAGAGAGATTATTTAAGGTATCTGGCAGAAGACATTTCTAAGCAACAAAGCATTCAAAAGGAAGCAGAGCATAAAAGTTTGGAAAAATTGCAGCCTAAAGATGCAGTAGAAAAGAAAAACCTGGGCCGGGCGTGGTGGCTCACGCCTGTAATCTCAGCACTTTGGGAGGCTGAGGCAGGCAGATCACGAGGTCAGGAGATCGAGACCATCCTGGCTAACATGGTGAAACCCTGTCTCTACTAAAAATACAAAAAAAATTAGCTGGGCATGGTGGTGGGCACCTGTAGTCCCAGCTACTCAGGAGGCTGAGGCAGGAGAATGGCATGAACCCAGGAGCAGAGGTTGCAGTGAGCCAAGATCACGCCACTGCACTCCAGCCTGGGGGACAGGGCGAGACTCCATCTCAAAAAAAAAAAAAAAAAAAAGAAAAGAAAAGAAAAACCCATTTTCTGGGGAGAAATTCAAGCTGGCTGCAGAAATTTGAAAAATAACAAGGACCCAAATGTTAATCACCAAGAAAATGGGGAAAATATCTCTAGGGCATGTCACAGACCTTCATGGTAGCCCCTCCCATCACAGGACTGGAGGCCTAGGAGGGAAAAATGGTTTCCTGGGATGGGCCCAGGGCCCCCCTGCTCTATGCAGCCTTGGGACATGGTGCCCTGTGTCCCAGCTGCTTCAGCTCTAGCCGTGGCTAAAAGGGGCCAAGCTAGAGCTCAGGCCATTGCTTCAGAGGTGCAAGCCCCAAGCCTTGGTGGCTAACACATGGTGTTGGGCCTGTGGGTGCACAGAAGTCAAGAATTGAGATTGGGGAACCTCTGCCTAGATTTCAGAGGATGTATGGAAATGCCTGGATGTCTAGGCAGAAGTTTGCTATGGGTTGGAGCCCTCATGGAGAACCTCTGCTAGGGCAGTACAGAAAGAAAATTTGGGGTTGGAGCCGCCACAGAGAGTACCCACTGGGGTTCTGCCTAGTGGAGCTATGAGAAGAGGGCCACCATCCTCCAGACCCCAGAATGGTAGATCCACCTACAGTTTGCATCATGTGCTGGGAAAAGCCATAGACACTCAATGCCAGCCTCTGAAAAAAGCCAGGATGGGGCCTGTACCCTGCAAAGCCACAGAGGCAGAGCTGCCCAAGGCCATGGGAGTACACCTCTTGCATCAGCATGACCTGGATGTGAGACATGGAGTCAAAGGAGATCTTTTTGGAACTTTAAGGTTTAATGACTGCCCTATTGGATTTTGGACTTGCATGAGGCCTGTCACCCCTTTGTTGTGGCCATTCTTCTCCTATTTGGAACAGGTGTACTTACCCAATGCCTGTACCCCCATTGTACCTAGGAAGGAACTAACTTGCTTTTGATTTTACAGGCTCATAGGCAGAAGGGACTTGCCTTTTCTTAGATGAGACTTTGGACTTGGACTTTTGGGTTAATGCTGAAATGAGTTAAGACTATGGGGAACTGTTGGGAAGGCATAACTGTGTTTTGATATGTGAGAAAGATGAAATTTGGGAGGGTCCAGGGACAGAATAATATGGTTTGGCTCTGTGCCCCACCCAAATCTCATGTTGAATTGTAATCCAAATTATAATCCGCATGTGTTGGGGGAGAGCCCTCATGGGAGGTGATTAGATCATGGAGGTGGTCCCTCCATGCTCTTCTCATGATAGTGAGTGAGTTCTCATGAGATCTGATGGTTTTATAAGGGGCTTTTCCCCACTTTGCACTTCTCTCTCCTGCCACCTTATGAAGAAGGACATGTTTGCTTCCCCTTCCACCATGATTTTAAGTTCCCTGAGGCCTTCCCAGCCATGTAGAACTGTGAGTCAATTAAACCTCTTTCCTTTAAAAATTACCTGGTCTTGGGTATAGCCTTATAGCAGCATGAGAATGAACTAATACACCATACATATATGGTTAACTGATTTTTGACAAGGATCCCAAGACCATTCAATGAGGAAAGAGTAGTCTATTCAACAAATGGCGTTGAGACAACTGAATAACTACATGCAAAAGAATGAAATTGAACCCTTGCCTCACACCAAATACAAAAATGAACCAAAAATGTATCAAAGGCCAAAATGCAAGAGTGAAAACTACAATAAAACCCTTAGAAGAAAACATAGGGTTAAATCTTCATTATGTTGGATTTGGCAATGAATTATTAGATATGATACCAAAAGCATACATGCAAAAAGAAAACATAAATGAATTTAACTTCATCAAAATTTAAAACTTTTGTGCTTCAAAGGACACTAACAAGAAAGTAAAAGACAATCCACAGAATGGGAGAAAATATTTGCAATTTATTTATTTAATAAGGGCCTTGTATCTAAAAAGTATAAAGTACACTTACAACTCAATAAAAAAAGACAGCCTAATTTGAAAATGGGAAAACAATCTGAATAGACATTTCCCCAGGGAAGATATAAAAATGACAAATAAGCACATAAAATGATGCTCAACGTCATTAATTATCAGGGAAATGCAAATCAAAACTACAAGGAGACATTACTTTATATCCACTAGGATGGCTAGAATAAAAAAGATCAATAAAAAGATAATTGATGACAATGTGGAAAAATTGAACTTTCATGCCCCACTTGTGGGCATGTAAAATTGTGCAATGGCTTTGGAAAACAGTCTGGCAGCTTCTCCCAAAATTTAACACAGTGGTACCATATAACTCAGCAATTTTACCCCAAGATATCTACCTGAGAGATTTGAAAATATTTGTTAACAGAAAACTTGTACATTTGTAGGCATACATTATTTGTAATAGCCAAAATGTGAAAACAACCAAAATGTCCATTAACTGATAAATTATTAAAATGTGATATATCTATATAATAGAATATCATTTAGCCATAAAAAGTAATGACATACTGATAAATGCTACAACATGGATAAATCTTGAAAACATTACGCCAAGCAAAAGACATGAGTTTAAAAAAACTCACATATTATATAATTCCATTCCTATGAAAGTCCAGAATAGGGAAATTTACAGAGACAGAAAGTAGATTATTGGTTTCTTGGGGCTGAGGTGGAGTGGGGGAATAGTCTTGTAACGGCTAAAGGATTCAGTATTTCTTTTCAGATGATGAAAATGTTCTAAAATGGATTGTGGTGATTGTTGCCCACATCTGTGAATATACTAAAAACCATTGTATTGTACACTTTAAGTGGGCAAATTTTATAGTATGTGAATTATATCTCAATAAAGCTGCTTAAAAAAGAGGCCAGCCAGAGATGGACTTCATCCATGAAATGGTAGTTGCAGTTGTACATTCCCACTGGAGATATTCAAGAAACTCAATAAAGCACACCAAAGAGAGAGACTCAGCTCTGGGAGCACACCTTAGTCAGGGGGTACAAAATACAATTTGTAACCAATCAGCTGTGAAAGACTGGGCTTTTCTCCTCATTCCCCCTTCACCTTGGGTCTGACCTTTGATGAAGCATTCATGTGGATATCTGAGGGAAGTGTTTTTAGGCAGAGGGAACACTATGTACAAAGTCATAAGATGGGAACATATATGCTGTGTGTACGGAGTGGAGTGAGTGAAGGGGATAATGGTGAAAAATGAAGTGGGGAGGGGCAGTGAGGTCCATATTAAAAAATGACCATGAATTCTTCTCCTTTATGCATCCCTGCCCTTGCAATTGCACGCAATCCATGCAATAGCAAATGTAATCCATGCCATTTCAGATCTTCCCATCAAAGATAGACTCTATTTCTTCACTCCTGAAATTAGCCCTGTGACTTGCTTTGGCCAATGGGACATTAACAAACATGACACAAGTAGAGTTTTGAAAAACACTTGGGTGTTGGAGCTTACTTTCTTGCTGCTCTTAGAATCCCAGGCAGCCATGTGAAGAAACCCAGGCTAGCTGTGTAGATAATTAGAGATGCATGAACCAGTTCCCTTTGTTATTTGAGCTGACACCCAGCCAACCATCAGACATGGCTATTGACTGCAGTTAATAACAGACGCATGGATTAGCCTAGCCAAGACCAGCAAAAGAACCACCCAGCTGAACCCAGTCCAAATCACTGACCCACAGAATAGTGAGCTACTTAGTTACTGTTTTTAGCCATTACATTTTGGGGTGGTTTGTTACATAGCAAAATCTAGCTGATACAGTAAACATAAAGGAGGCTTCTCAGGCACACCTCTGCCCTGCCCTCAAAGCTAAAGAGGGAAGAGGGGTTCTCAGATTTTCATGTCCTAAAGCCCAGCTCACAGGATTTGGGGCTTAACTCCCAACTAACAATAATGGGTATGCGTTTTCTTGGAGTGTTTTTTGTGCTGCATAGTCTCCTTGGAGACCAAACATACATTTAGTGGGAAGCAGCAGAAGTAGTATGTGGATTACAGCCTTTCCCCTGGGAGAGGGTGGATTCTAACAATGAAAATGACATCAGCTATCATTTCTTGAGCTCTTGGTATAGCCTGGGGGCTTCCATTTGCATTATCTCCTTGAATCCTCATAATCACCATGGGAGGTAGGCACTATTGTTGTTCTCATTTTACAGACTGAGATTCAGAGAAACTAAGTGACTTGTCCAAGGTGACACAGCTGGGAGGGCTAGGATTCAAATCATGATGTGCCTCACTCAATAACCCAAACACCTAAGCACAATACTACACTGTCACTCGATTGAGACATAACAAGCTCACCCTGAAGCGTGCAATTGCTGACCTGGTTTACTTGCTGGGAGGCATCAGGCTGGATGATGGCCAGTAGATGAGCCCACCCCATCCACTGCAATTCAGCCCCATGCCTTGTTCACTCATCTCTTACCTTTGTGTCATCTGCAGCTGGCCTAGGTCCTCTGATTTCTGCAGCAGTGGAACAGCTGGGTTAACCCTTTCCTTCAGTAGGGGATCTCAGGGGAGAGTATGAGCCAAGGGTTGCTCCTAGAGAGGCCTGGCAATGCTTTTACTCTTCATTAAAAGTTTATGTGCATTATACACTTCATTATATGCAATTGGGTTTCTTATATGGCACTCCAGTGCATAAATGACTCCCTAGACACATTTGTGAGTTTCCATTGTTATAATATAAATGCTGGCCAAGTCACAAGGCAGACATGTTTTAAACTATTCAATTATTCTTGCTATAATAACCAAATCCAGGGGAGGTTTTACTTTACAATCCCTCTACAGGATTGCTTGGTGGACCCATCCGTATTTCTATTGGTCAAAACCTTTCAGTTTTGATTCTGAGTAGTCAGGAAGATGGGAAAGGCCATCGGTAGAAAATTACTCTCATTTCCAATTTATTGTGAATTCAGTTTATTGTGAATTGACTTATGTGGTGGGCTAGTTTATAAAACATAAATGTAGATCCTAGAAAGGCCAATATTTTTATATTGAGAAAATAATGAAGCCATGAGTATTGTGTAGCTTTAAGAGCTCGTAAAGAGATACACATGCATTCATTCATTCACTCACTCATTTTTTTTCAACTGACATTTACCAAGCATTTATTGTATACCTAGCACACAAAGCTAGGCACTAGCTATGTAGAGATGAATGCAAGACATGGTGTTCACTGTGAAAGAACTTACCTTCTAGTGGAATGACAGAGAAATGTACAATTTCAGTGTAGTAATAATAACTGCTATGAATTAGATGTGCCCAGAGTACTGTGGGAAACCAGATTAGAGAGTGGTACATGAAGAGACAATGGCTGTTGAACAGAGTTCTTAGCAGAAGGGTATGTGGCTTCAGAGAAGAAGGTGTTCTGCTTGCTGGAGTGGGGATAGCTCCCAGAACAACATGGAAACTCACATGTTGCAGATTGCAGAGCCACTTGTCAGCCTGATACCCTCCATGGAGGATGGCTGATCTGCCTGTTTCTCCAGGTGTTCAGTGCTGTTATGTGAGCCAGAAACAAACTTCTCCTTCAAAGAAGTTTGAGCCATTATGCACTTCAGAATTTGCTTGTTATAGTAGCTAGCCCATCCTCGCCCAGTACAGTCACAATGTCCTGCCTGTTTTCATAATATCTCGATTCTGGCCCCTCCTCTCTGTTACCTCTGCCACCATTTAGGTCCTCGGTGTATCCCTCCTGGACCACAGCAACAGCCTTCTAATTGCTTTCCCTCCTTTGCCTTCAGCTCTCTTTGCTAAGTGGAAGGCTAATATGTTTTACAGAACATGCTTTGGAGAAACAATACTTTAGGCCAGAGGAATAATATTAAAGAAAGGTCTGCCAGAGTGGGGGTGAGGAACTCTTCCAATGATAGGCATCCCTCAGATGCTCATTATATGCAGGCAGCCCTCTCCTCTGCCTCTGCTCAGGATAGTTCTTATAAAAGCCCATAAGCTGGATCCCAGCAAAAATGGCTCCGCTTTTCTTTATTTTAGGAATGTCTTATAACATTTGGTGTTAGACACTAGAGGAACAGATCTGAGAATATGGATGGTTCAGGCAAATTCATCTCTATTACTAGCAAGAGCGCTCAAGGCATCATGGCTCCTGATTTGGTGGGAGGGTCAGGGTGAATGATATTTTCATTCCATCTCGACCACTTGTTAGTTGTTGAAAACTTGGGCAAGTTACTTGACTCTAACTTCAGTCCTTTTCAGCTGTACTATGGGAATAAATAAAAAATTAAATTCAAAACCAACGTGAAAAATTAAAATGGTAAAAAGAATCTCAAAGAGTTGTGAGATGATGAGATGATAAATACAATGCCCTTGGAATAGTGTCTGGCACCTCATAAATTCCTAAACGTTTTCACTATTACTGCTTTTAACATTAAGTAGAAAGTAGAGTAGTTATCATTAATGCTATTTTCTGATTTATTTTTTAAAATAATTCTTTCCATATTAAGAAATATTTCCAGTCATGTTTTAGAAAAATAAAGTTATCAAGTAGCCAAAGACTTCCATGCAGGGTACAAATTCTTCCTGACTTGGAAACACAGCTCATTCTGTTGCTAACATACTTAAATATATTTCCAAATGACTTTTAGTTATGGCAAGTTCTTTCCCAGAGTTTGATCATATTTAGAAATGTAATACAGTGTTTTCCCTTTCTTTCCACAGTTGAGGAACAGACATAAACAGATATTGAGGACAGTTTTCAGGGTATTCTCTTTAAAGCTCTGTTAGCTAAGGCTGTGGCCAAAAGGAATATTGAGGCTTCTGAGGATGTTTTAGATCCAACACAAAGTGGTGTATTTTGTGTCAGGTTCTCTCACAGGACTCCTACCTTTGATATTATTTGTTTTGTGTCCTCTGAAGCATCTTCATCACCTGCACTTTGTACTAGAAGTGATTCATGTTTTTTGGTGTGCCTTTCAGATCTGAGAGGGAGGCATTCTGATTCTCCTATCTCACCTTTTCTAAAACAAGGGCAGGATGAGTAATGGCACAAAACATAAGCTGAAGTCCCCTCTGGGATTTCTGGGTAAGGAAGATGGGAAACAGCCACTGCCTCATTTGTATGTACCCACCTATGGTGAATTGATGGTAAATACATGCTGAGACAAGTTTAGCTAAAGACAGGAAACCACTAGACCTTCGAAATATGAATACAACTGTTACAGCAGGGGTCCTTGCTCACAGAGCTCCCAAGATGGTGGCGAGCCACTTCCAAGATGGTGGCGGGCCACTTCCAAGATGGTGGCAAACCTCGTGTTCTCTGACCTAGGGTTCTTGGCCTCACAGATTCCAAGGAATGGAATCTTGGGCCATGCAGTGAGTGTTAATAGCTCTATTAGAAGCGGTGGGTCACGGAAGAGAACCGTGGAACCCAGTGACTAGTGTTCAGCTCGATTAGGATGAACCCAGGCACTTAGCCGTGCAGGAACAATGGCAAGCCTTTAGCTCGATCAGGAGTGGCAATGGGCGCCTTGCTGGATCAGGAGCACAGCGGACACCCTGCCGGATCTGGAGGGATGGAAGTCAGCGGCGGGTCTGCGACGGCGGCAAACAGCAGTGGTGGACTGCGAGCGAAAGCTCAGCTCGAGCCGTAACAAACAAGGACCAGAAGAGTGCAGTTGCAAGATTTAATAGAGTGAAACAGAGTGAAAACAGAGCTCCCATACAAAGGGAGGGGACCCAAAGGGGGTTGCCGTTGCCGGCTCGAATGCCTGGGTTTATATCCCGATCCTTTTCCCTCCCACTGTGCTCTCAGGCAATAGATGATTGGCTATTTCTTTACCTCCTGTTTTTGCCTAATTAGCATTTTAGTGAGCTCTCTGATTGGTCGGGTGTGAGCTAAGTTGCAAGCCCGTTGTTTAAAGGTGGATGCAGTCACCTTCCCAGCTAGGCTTCGGGATTCTTAGTCGGCCTAGGAAATCCAGCTAGTCCTGTCTCTCACAGCTAGCTCCAAAGAAAGAATAGTGTGGCCCAATTAGAACTCTGCAATGCAAAGCCTTAGAACACAGGCCAGCAAACTTTTCCTGTAAAAGGCTAAATAACTAAATATTTTAAGCCATATGAGCCATATGATTTCTGTCAGAACTATTCAACTCCACTATTGTAGTGGGAAAGCAGTTATAAGCTGTACATAAACAAATAGGGATGACTGCATGCTAATAAAACTTTATTCACAAAAAAAAAAAAAAAGAGGATTTGGTCCAAGGGCTATCTATAGTTTGCTTACCTCTGGTTTACAGATTGATGGAAGTCCAGGCTAGGACAAGGAAATGAGCCAGGGGGCTTGCTTGGACCTAACTGAGCTAAGCCAATCTAGGATTCATATTGTTTCTAGTTCCATGAAACTAGGACAGGCATAAGACTCCTTCTAATCCCAAGGGGGAGAGGTGAGGAGCACTAGCATGACCCTTCAGTGAAATCCACAGGGAGATGAAGAGAGTAAGGACAGAGTCTGTGGGTTCTCATTCCTTACAAACTTTAAAGAGATGTGGGTAGGGTGAGGGGAGGGGTATTCTGGCTAATCCATGATGATTTATACTTTGGTATGTCATCAGAAGGGTTCAACTCAAGGTGAGGTAATGGAGCTACCATGACCTATTGACCTTGTTATGTCATCAAAAGGCACAGCTTTTGACCAGAAAATGGTGGGTTTCTTCCTAGTGATTCACACATTACCCAGAAGCCTCTAGCTTGTTGTAGTGCTTCATAAAATTCCAAATATGTCAAAAATAATTTGATAATGCCACAGTTTGTGTGTGTGTGTGTGTGTGTGTGTGTGTGTGTGTGTCTGTGTGTATATGTGTCTGTGTGTTTAAGCTAGCACTTTGACTAATGCCTCTCTTTGTTCCCTTGGGACCCGATTATAGATTTGTCAATGGGAAGGGGGCAAGTTTGTCCTAAATGTTGTGGTCATTAGTGTGCATCCATTTGCACAAAGGAGGCCCACACCCAAGTGGGAATGACTGAAAAGGAATTTGATGTCTCATGTTTTTGGATGAAATTCAAAATACAAACCTTTGTCCATAGTTGTTGGGAGAAGCTAAACAATGTAATACCCTGAGTGTTGCCTACTTTCTGAGGGGGTGGGGAGAGACAACATGTATTTTGCAGAGGCAGACCTTTATTTAATTAGCCCTGATGTAAAGATTTCTTGTCTTTTGCAGCTACACAGCTTTAAGAGAGTGCTGGGTACCTGAAGGCCGGCTCCTACTGGGACTAATTCCATCCAGACAGCTCCAAGTATGTTCATTAGGCGCTGATTAGGTTTCACACAGGTGGGGAAGGTTAGGGGCACAGATAGAGAGGCGGTGCTGATTGTGTTAAGCATAAAACACCATCTGTTTCCCAAGTAAGAAAAGGAACTGCATCCACACTTCTGGAGAGATCACCAGGCCACTGCTGAAGTTGCTGCTCCCTCCTTCCCTTTCTTTTATTCCCCAGCTACATTTACAGGTCTTAAAACAAGTTGGTAAAAAATAATGAAAAACAAAATAATATATCTGAAGGCTGTTGAAGAAGATGCTAAGTAATTATCACATTCAGGCTTGCTGATCAGAACGAATGGGAGAGTTTTTCCCCCCGATGCAGGCATTGTACTTGGCATGAAAATAGAATACTACATTGTCTCCTTTTCATCGTAAGGACTTTTTCTTCCCCAAGGCAAGCAGCCTGTCCAGTTAGCCCGGCTCTTCAATGCACTTTAATATGGTTTTGTTTGGGACCAAAGAATGCAAATGAGCTGACATGCAGATCCCCCTTTTCTAACAGAAAATAAACAGCCTGGAGGCGCATGGGGGAGGAGAGGCAGCAGTTGGTGAAATGAGCTGATAAGCACTTGAGTTCACCTGATAAGGGCTCCTCGCTACTGTTCTGTTCACCCACACAGAACCAGAAGCTCACAATGCTGTCGTCATTCCATCCAGCCTCCCAGAGCAAACCACCCCACCACCTGGCCTCTCCCCATTCACCATTCCTCTTTCCTGCCAAGAAAACTTTCCTACCCAGCAGGTGGTGGCAGGCAGGGCAGTGGGGGGATGGGGGGAATCCAGAGCAGGGTGCAGAGCTTGTCCCCCTCCTACTCTTCAATTAATGACCTCACTGGTAAAGAGTCCCATCTTTATTATTGTTAGAGCTCAGCAAAACCAGCTGGAAGCCAATCAGTGTGACTCCCGCCCCCCATCCCAGGCGCATGAAGGAGCAGGAGGCCTTACCCTAGAGCCATGGCCAGCAAACCATTCTGGGGCACTTGTGGTAGACTTCAGTTCTGTGGGTGCAGTGTGAGATGCGCAGCCTGGAACTGGGTGATGCCTACTTTCACTGGATTCTCTGGGGTAGCTTTGTTGGAATTGTGGGGGAGTCAGGCCCCAGCATGCAGTGAGGGCAGCTCTGGTGGGGGAAGGGCAGTCTATCACTGCTGTCAGACACAAAGGGCCCAAAGACTCCCCAACTCCAGAAGCTAATGCAGGATAACTGACCTCCTTCCTTCCTTCAGTTCAGTAGTCCTGACTGCTTCTTTTTAGTGGGCACTTTATATATATGAAAAGCATGGCCTCAGCAGAGATGTCTCCTAAATTGGAAATCAGTTTCCAGTAAGGGGACCCCACGGACTGCTCTTTGCCAATGACTAGTAATGTTAATTTTAACTGGGCACTCAAGGCCCTCCACCATCCAACACTCACCCAACCCCCAATACCTGATCTCAGAGGGATCCAGACTGAGTGCCTGGCTCTCCTCCACTGTGCTGAGCATGCTCCCACCCCAACATTTGCATGCATGTCATTTTTCCTGACTGGAATGACCACTTTCTATTCTTTCCATTGTGTCTCAACCTCTTCTTCAAAGGGCATTGAAGCTTTCCCCAATTTTGTCAGTCCATTTAGACCTATTTCTCTTCTGAATACCTCTGGCAATTACTATATGTCTTCTGGGATTCTTAATGTGTGTCTCTCATGGTTTTCTTGCCTCTATCTATAGTTTGCAAGCTCTCTGAATGCAGAGCCTTTTTCTTCTATTCCTTCATCTCCCCTATAAAATGTAGCACAGAGCTTGGCCAATATTGAAATTTTCTTGGCTTAGTAAATGTGAGTTCATTTGACGGCTTGTCGATTGACAACCCGTGATAGTGTTGGAGCTCAGAAAACTACACCCGAAAATATGGTATTTTGACATGTTGAACTAAAGAAGCTGCCTCAAGGTCTCTCTGACCTTCCCCCATTCCTGTCCCTCAAGCCTCTGTCTCTCTGAAAGCATAGGATGAGGCTGTTCTCTGAAGTACCTTTTTCTACCTAGTAACCAGATCCCCAAAGAGGAATTGCCTTAGATCCCTTCCCTGAAATTTTGTTAAATAGAGAAGATTAAAATTTATATCACAGAGGAAAAGACTGAAAATTAAACACCACACCTAGAGCACAATGAACTTCAAACTTTGTCCCAAACCATTGTTTGTTCTCCAGTCCTATTCGATTTCCAAATAGAATCACTCATAAGATAATGTCTGCCTCCCAGGTCCATTCATTTCCCCCTAAAAATCATTTACTCCTACACTCCCATCTCCCTTATCCTATGAAGCAGGGTCTATAAGCATCTGGACCTCATTGGGGTATTGGGTAATCATTCCCCTGCAATGTTAACTAAACTTTGTATGCCTTTTCTCCTATTAATCTGCCTATCATTGGTTTATTTTCAGTAAACCTTCAGAGGGCAGAAGGGAAGTTTTCTCTTAGCTTCTACAATAGCATGGATTAATGTTTGTTTGTTTGTTTGTTTTTTACATTGGGCCTGTGTCTATGCTAAAAGAAAAAGAGAAACTAAGGTTTTTGTGTGTCTAATGTGTGGTATGTGTGTGCACATGTACATGTGTGTGTATACATACACCTGTCTCATATTATCTCCTTCAACAATTTTGTGAGAGTTGTTATCCCAATTGTATATACAAGGAAAACTGAGTTTCAGAGAGCAAAATGATTTGCCTAGATTTACACTTGTAAGAAGTTACATTGTTTTTTTCTTTTTTGAAGTTACATTGTTAAATTTGAGCTCAGGGTGGTTTATCTTCAAAGCTAAAGTTGTTTTCATTATTATTCTGCCTCCTCACCTTTCCAGTGCCAGGGCCCCAGTGGGGTGTGAGCTGGGGGGATTGTGGTCTAGAAACAATGGGATTAAATTTTTGATTAATCAGCTGAGTGTATTCAATAAGCACTTAATATTTAGTAAAACATTTCATACATACCGTATTGGATGCTGTGGGGATAGAGAGAAGATCAAGAGAAAGTCCCTGACTGCTAGGAGTTCACAATCTCATAGATGAAAAAATACCCATTGAACAAAATTCTGTTTAGAAAAAAAAAAAAAACCTTTATCTGACAAAGATCTGTATAGGTTTTTGAGGAAAGAAGATAGAGGTTGATTCTGACTGAAATTGTTGGAGAGGCCATTGTGGAGAATGTATAATTTTAGTTGGGTTTCAATGGGAGGATCAGATATTTACAAGTAAACACACAGATAAAGAACCTTCCAGGCTAGGGGAAAGAGACAGGTGGGAGAACCCTGTATGTATGTGTGGAAGGGATTTTCTCTGGAGCCCAGCACCATTGGGTGAGTAGTGTTGTGCTCACAAAATTCTGCTTAGAGAGGTGCTGTCTTGGTCTCATACTATGCCTGGAGTACAAACCATCCATAAATGAGTAAGACTCTCGGGCTCAGTGATGTCAGTACTTGGAGCCTTCAACTTTTGTGATCAAAAGCTCATGGCAGTGGCCCATAGACCTCTTCCCTTTTGACTCAATGGATTGTCACAGGCTCATGATTCAATAAAGACACTATGTATCTTTTTTGTGCCATCTTGATTGCCATCGAGAATGGTTATAAAAGGTAAAACACACAATTATAAGTCATTCAACAAGGCAGAGTATATAATTCCACAATTGATTTTCTTGAAAGTTCATAGAAAATGTTCTTTGGGGTAAATATGTATGTGCCCAGACATTTCATATCATCAACAGAAGTCTCTGAGCAAAAGTCAACATGAAGGAAAAGAGATCTGGCTTGTTTAGATAAAAAAAATTCTGATTGCTCTTTTAGCTGCCTCTCTAGAGACAATAGGATGTTTTGGAAAGAGCATACGCTTTGGAATCATTTAGCCATGTGTTTAAATGCAAGTTAATATCTCTGTGATCTTGAACAAGTTACTTTACCTCTCTGAGCCTCATTTTCTTTATCTGTAAAATGAGGATAGTAAGACCCACCTGCTAGGTTGCTGTGAGAATTAAAATAGATAACACATACATGGTATCTGGATCTGTGCAAGTTACATAGTAAATCCTCAACATATAATATTGTTATTTTGATGATATTTAATCAAATTTTTTCAGCAGAAAAATTGTCCCCCCATTTGATTGTAATGTACATGAAACCTAGAGACCATGCTTACGTTATCTAGCACCTAACATATTGCATTGATATAGTAGGTACTCAGTTAATATTTGTTGGATGGATGGATGGACAGATCAATGGCAAGAACAGCATTTAACAAAGTGCCTGACACCAAGTTGTCACTTCATACTTAATTGTTAAATTGACTTGCAACTAGCCTGATTGGGTAGGAGAGAGGGAAACAGAGGGACCAGAACTTTCAAGTATCCTTAAGATTCATATTGGATCTTTTCTTCATCAATCTTTGTGAATACAGGGTTATAAGTTTGCCCTCTCCATCTTTTAGTGTCCTGGTCCACAGTCCTGTCCAAAACAGAAGTTAAACAAAGAGTCAAAGGCTAAATCCTCAATTGACAGAGTAAAAACTGGCCACAAGGTTTTCCCTTTAAAGGCAATTTCTTGCTGCCAAGTTCTTAAAAGGAGCATCTCCTGGGAGGCAGAGAGGCCAAGTTGCTCACTGGTTACACTAAGCCTCAAATATAGCTTTGGTCAGATCATGAGACACCTGAAACTTGCTTGTCGTCCAACAGAGAGGAAAGGATAATCTTGTGTTCCAACAGAGAAAAAAGGATAGTGTTTAGTTTGTTTTAAATGAAAATATAAATCTCTACTTTGGAGGCTGTTTCTTTCCCTTTGCCCTTTCTATAGTTTGAAACCAAATCCTTAACACTTATTTTATGCTCACTGTACCAGTTAATATTTGCATAAAAGGTTCAGCCTTCCATAAGACCTAGCTTTGTGTTTTCATTTAGCACATATTTACTGAGCATCCTCTTATGACCTAGCACTCTTCTACTGGCTCACACAAGTTTGCTGAATGTATCTTTCTGGCTAAATGGCATCACAGTTTTTGTGTACTAAATTTGACTCCAAGACTTGTAGAGATGTTTCCATCTTATTCATGTAAGAGTGGGCAGCTGCTTCAATAGCCGCATTAGAGGATATGAAAAACGGATTTACTCTAAGACATTTCTTTTTCCATTCTCATGTTCAAAATCTCTATCCTTAACATCACCAACACACCAATAGGCTATTAGCAAAGGAGGGAGCATTATCTTCCTTTTAGAAAGCCCCAGTTGACAAAAATATGTTTTATCATTCCTATTGGCATAGTGGCCAAGGTTCCCTGGTCTACTGAGCTGGGTGGAAGCTTGGGCTCTGAAGGGCTTCTGCTCACTAGGGCAAGATGATTCATGCCATCTGAGTGGGGAGCTGGAGGATAGAATACTTGAGTGAGTTACTGTGAGATAAAGGAATGAAAAAGATGCTCATAGGGAGGAGCCAGAGACAAATATGCTCTGCTCCATAATTTTGCCTCCAGAAGACCCTGTGAATGAGTTCGAGTTCCTCTTGCAGAAAGGCAAAATGTAGTCTGCATAACTTCATGCCAAAATTTAATGAAATCCATGTCTTGGAACCATTGTCTGCTATTTTGTTTGAATTGATTTTTTGTTACTGTTGTTTGCTTGCTTGTTAATGATGTAAGTGGATTAGTGGTGCTCTCCTTACAGAGATCATAAGCATTATCCCCTAAACTTCAGAGGTCAGCGTATCCCTAATAAACAATCAAACTCTGCTAAACATCTTCTCAGGTCTAGAAGAACCTCTCAAAGTTCTAAGGAGAAAATTTTCCTTAATCTGGGATTTAACTGTATAAACTGAGAGACTGAAAATGGGCATGACTTATCCTCTATTATCAACCTGTTCACCTTATCCCATCTTCCTTGTCACAGCTTTAAGGGGTATAAAAAGGTCAGAGTACAGGACAGAGAAAGGGAGAGAAAGCCAGGAGAGAGAGGGAGTAGGGAAAGAAAGAGAGAGACAGATTAAAGGGACAAGATAAGGAGTGAGAACCAAGAAAAGGAGGAGGGCTTTGAAGCTATAATTTGTTATATGCCAGGCTTTGTTAAAGGTTCAGATGACATAGCCATGAACAAACAAAATAGGCACAACCCCTGCCATGATACAGTGCACAGTGCAGTGGAGGAAGATAGACAGTAAGCAAGATAATGGAGTGAAACACATAATAAGTCAGTGTTAACTGCAGTGGCAAAAAATAAATTCGGCCAGGGGAATAACAAGCATTGACCAAGGGCTTGTTCTTTTAGGTATAGTCAACAATGAAGGTGTCCCTGAGAAAGGGATATTTGAGTCACTTTCTCAGTCATTTCTTAACTCATAGTTGTTGATCAGGGTGATGGCATGAAATTCACTGTGGTGGCATAAAATTCCAGGATGTGAGTTGATGAGGCCCATGGAAACAACAATTCCTATGATGACAAGGGTCCTGAGAGGTCATTTCCACCAGTCTCTGCATTTGCATGTGGTGGTAAGTGACTTGCCCAAGCACATAGGCAAGTAAGGAACAAAGCTAAGAAAAGAAACTAACTTTTCTGACTCCCAGTCCAGTGTCTTTTCCATCTACTTAGGGGTACGAGGACACAGATTTTTTTCTCATGCCCTTCAAAAATGAAAAATATGGATATTGCTCCCTAAGTCAATTGTTCTCAACCTTGAAGATGTGAGTGAATCTCCTGGGAAGTATGTTGTAAATAAAGATACCATGGTTCACCCCTAGAAAATTCTGATGCAGATAGCCCATGGGTCTCACGTTGAGAACCCCATCTAGGCCATTGGGCAGAGAAGTAGGGTTTTATCAGAGTTTTGTCTTGTCTTCTTCAGATCTCAATTCCTTGCCAAAGTTAGTTTTAAGTCATTCCATTCATCCAGTGAGTCTTGTCATATTTTGTTTAAACAAGTCACCATTCTTCTAATCTGTGTTCTCTTAGAATCTTTTCTCTTCATTGGGCATGTAAGCATCCAGATTAGAAATGTCTAGAGCATAGGGACTGTGAAAAAATATGTAGATGAAGCCTAAAAAGAGATTCAAAGGTGATAGACGATAGAGGAAATTTAAGGTCAGGCCAAGAAATTCAGATTTGGGCCTATAGAAAATGAACATTATTTGTAGACTTTTCAAGAGAGAGGTGATGTTATCAGACTTGTTTTTTGGGGGACAATAAGTCAGGTAAGATTGTGTAGGATAGATGATAGTGAGAAACTGGTGGCAGGAGGAAAGTAATTTTAGGAGGATATTTTAAGATTGCAGGCAAGAGGAGAAATGGGACTGTGGCTGTGGATGTGAGGATGAAAATTGAAGGGGCATAGGCATGCAAGCCATTGGAGATGTTTAAATCCACAGGGCTTGATGACTGATTGGCTCTGCATGGTGAAAAAAGATAAAGGAGTCAAAATGACTTCAAACTTTCTTCTGAGCTAGGAACAATTGCAGGAAGAGCAAGTTTGGCACAGGCAGATATAATGACTTTGGTTTGGGCCATATTAAGTTTGAAGTGTTGGTAAAATAACCATAAGGATGTGTGTATTCAAGAGAAGGATTAAGTGTAGAGATCTAGATATGGCACTGATTATTTCATAGCTGATAGTTCCTTTATTCCGCAAAATTTATTGAACACTTACTATGTTCCAAGTATTAATCCAGATGCTTAATGTACGTGAGTGTACAGACAAAATTCTCTGCTTTCATGGGGCTGACATTCTTGCAGGGATGAAGTAGGGAGGGGGTAGACACCAATAAACATAATAAATAAGTAAAATATAAGTTAGAACATAATAAGCGTTATGAAGAAAACTGGTATCAAGGGAATGCCAATGATAGCCCAGAAAGAAAGAGATAGAAGGGTAAAATCCAGAGAGAAGGGTAAGGGCAAACTCGTTGGAGCATTGACATTAAGAATTTGATAGAGATATAACAGTGATTAATCAGCAGAAGAAATAAAAAGTGAAATAGGAAGGCTGAGAGAACCAGGGTGATTGGAGGAAAATGTTTCTGTCAGAGACTGAGCATCGGTGTCAAATGTTGCCAAGGGGTGAAATACATTGAGGGCATCTATGAGGCTATTGAGATTGAAAACTAAGAGGCTATTTGGTGGAGTTGCAAAGGCAGCTCCTAAGTGTGACATTGACTTTATATTAGGATACACACTTACAGGGAATTAATAAGAGAATGGATGATTTACAAAGTAGCAATAATGAATAAGGGAATTATTTTTAATGTTTATAAAATAAAAAGTAAGGTTGAGATTGTACCTAGAGTGAATAAGAAGTAACATTATGAAGAGCATTTTTGGTTGAGGGCTGATGATTAGTGAGGGAAACATGAGAGTATGTGTTGGCTGAGAGAAAGGACCCAATGGGAAAGAAAAGTGTTACAATTTAAGAAAATGGAAAATTGATGCATCAAGGTAGAATGAAGAGCATAACAGAGATTTATACTCTAAGGCTAATAAAATTGTTGGGATTAATTTTGAAATGAAGATATAACAGGAGAAAAGGAAAACAGATTGGATGAAGATATGGAAAGACTTTGTGGTGGGAAGGAATGGGAACTGAGGACATTTATGTTTTATAATACGACAGTTTGAGAAGCATAGAAAGGGTCAGAAAAGCATTTGTCAGGAAACAAATAAGAGCATTGAGCAGCAGTGTTGCAGGCCCAGCTGAAGGTCGATATGTGAGTATATAGTGGGGCCACTCAGAAGGATGAGTTGTCTGTGTGTGTGTGCTCACTAAGATCTTTATAGATGGGGAGGAGTAAAACAATAACTATGGGCGCACCCAGGATTGAGTTTAGCACAGTAGTCTCAGAAAAAGATGACATTAGAGAAAATGTATTATTATTGAGTTTAGAAGTGATTAACCATGGTCTCCTGAATGGGTAGAAATAGAGGTGAAAGCATCTGGTGGCAAGAATAGGGAGGTATACAAGGGCGGGAAGGTCCGATGTCCAATGGGGGTGGGAGCATATGTTTAGTGGGACTGAGGAAAAAGAGAGCTTGGAGTCTCTTGCAGACTGAAGTAAGGGAGGGAAATTTTGAGGTTTAAGAATTTAGAGTAAGAACAGTTTCAGGTGACAATAAGGTCATGATGTGGCCACTAAGATGATTGGTAAGGTAGAATACAGATGAAGGTCATTGGAATAAAGGGGATCAAGGCCAGTGTCATGAATGAGTTATCTACATGAAGGTTGAAGTTATTCAGGAGGTAAGGGGATCTGGTGGAAAGAAGATGGTAATCTGGATTTCAGAATGTTTAGTGAATGCAGTGGAAAGCCTGGGAGAGAGATCTGAAGATGACTCTGAAAAGTTTATCAGTCAAATAATGAAGGCTTCAAAAGAGGAGGAGTTATTGATGAAAAGAAGCCTAGAAGAGTCTGGAATGGGGAGTCTGGAAACGCTTGCCAGTCTTTTTACCCCAGGATATATAGAGTGTGGATGAATGAAGGAACTTTAGAGCTTTGCTAACTCAAGTGCAGCTTGTAAACCAACAGCACCCAGTATCATCTGGGAGCTCATTAGAAATACAGAATCTCAGGTTAAACCTCTGACGCGCTGAATCAGAATCTGCATTTTATCAAGATTTGCAGGTGACACATCTACACATTAAAGTTCAAAAAACACTGCTAAAGTGGTTATGAAGGAAGTGTCCCTATCAGAAGAAAACTAAATTTTAATGAAGGGGTAATAGAAACTTTACAAGAGATGTGTTACCAAGGCCTAGGGGTGAGTGGAGCTGAACCAAGTAGAGAACTAACCAGTTATAACTGGAACTAAGGTGTGAACTTAAACTGCTTAAGAGTGGAATTGGGTGTGGTACATCCAGGCAGGTGATCTTTGTCTTGGTCTAGCTTCATGTGGTGGAGAAAACTGGGCTGGCTGTGGCTGTTCAGGTGGGTTGATGAGCCTTTTTGAAAGGCTCTTCTTAAGTAAGAAGAACATCTGTGCTCATCGTCTGTAGCTTGGGTTGTGGCTCATGCCTGGTGGAATTGCTTATAATAACGAGGCTTCTTGCTGTGAAATTGAATTCATGTTGAAAGGCAATGTGAACATTTCCTGTTAGTTGATGAGAGGGAGTAAATCCTTCATGAGACGATGTGTTTCGAGACCATAGCATGCAAGTTAAGTGTGCAGTGGTGTTGCCAACCCAAATCTTTAAAGGATTTTTGCCCCAGAGATTTTGAGCTGGGCCTGGGAAAAAGTTGACAATGACAACAAATGCCAGAAGACAAAGGTGCTTCAAGCTGAAAACTTGGCAAAGTTGCCTTTAGCTTTTCAGAGTTTTGTTCACTGCTTTTTCTTTCTGTATTTATTTCACTAGCCTTACCATTTCCCCTTCCAAATAAGAGGTGAATATTAATTTAGGCAATATTAATTAAAATAACCTGAAAGCTTAAAGCCATGGCTATAACATATACTGGCTGAACATATGTGCATGTAAAAGTATCAATATTGAAAGCCCCTGCTGTGAAAAGCCATAGCAAAGAATTTTTAGCAGACTTACTTCTGGGATCACTAATGATTAATTAGTGTGTATCATAATGTAAAGCAAATGTCACCCTAGCTACCTGGGGTTGCTGTCATTTGAGAGTGGAGCAATTTCCTGTTGATCACCAACAGTAAAATGAAAACTGCCTGCCATCTTGTGGAAGATGGTGGGTATCTCATGCCCAGGGAAAAAAGCAAGTGAGCCTTCTAGACCCTTCTTGCATGTTCTCTTGGAAGACAATAAATTTATTGTCTCTTGTAGAGAACCATAATAAGAATTAAAATGGAAAGAACACATTTCAATTAAAAATGCACAATTATGTTTCCTTTCTCATTATACATTTCGAAATCAGGGCATCTAAGTCTAAATAGTAAACAGAGTCTTTTCATCGGGTGGCCGTTCGTTGAAGAATTGTGATTTGGCCTGACCTGCTCAGTTTATTGGCTAGCCTCAAGAGAAATTGTAGCTGAATAAGTATTTCAGATCACTACCTGAGAAGCAAAGTACAGGCTATGAAATGGTGAACTGAATGCCAAACCAGCAGTTCACGGATTTTTTGATTTAAGCAGGATTCTTAGAGCACTCAGGAGTTTAACCTGCTCCTGGGTAGCCTTTAAATGGTTCTGCCCAGGGCAGCCATCAGCTCAGTTGATTACTGTAACTCCCTCAATCCCAGGAAAATTTGTGTCCTGGGGAACAAATAGTTATTTCCTAACTCCAATCACAATTGAGAAAACAATTGAACCAGTAAAGTGTTGCTTGGAGGAGACAGGTGAGCAGAGCAGTAGAGGGAATTGTTGTTTGGAAAGATCAGGAAAATAAGACTGTCTCCAAGTTCCTTAACAGGTGGTTTTTGTCAAATTGAGGTGGGGGGAGTTAAGTGGCTATTTCATTAAATTGATTGGTCAATTTAGTCAAAATGGACAATTTGGTAAGCTTGTATAGACCCAGTCAGAGTCGTTTTTGGAGGCTCTTTAACAACCCGGATCTAATCCAGTCTATGTGTCCAGTCCCTGGTAGTGAGTGTATTTTCTCTCTTTCTCTCTCTCTCTCTGTATCTAAGTATGTTTTTTATGTGTCTATCTATGTATTGACTTTAAATATCAAATTTCACTTCCTGGTTTCAAGTACATATATCTATTTCTCACTTTCTTGCCATAGTACAGGAGCTGATTTAGTGAGATCAAAATTTATTTTAAAAATATGGTCTCCCACTACAACCATGCTTGACTAGCTTCGCATTTATGGCTGGGCGCAGTGGCTCACACCTGTAATCCCAGCACTTTGGGAGGTCAAGGCAGGTGGATCACGAGGTCAGGAGTTCAAGACTGGCCTGACCAATATGGTGAAACCCTGTCTTTACTAAAAATACAAAAATTAGCTGGGCGTGGTGATGCGTGCCTGTAGTCCCAGCTACTCGGGAGGCTGAGGAAGGAGAATCACTTGAACCCAGGAGGCGGAGGTTGCAGTGAGCAGAGATGGCGCCACTGCACTCCAGCATGGGTGACAGAGTGAGAATCCATCTCAAAAAAAAAAAAAAAAAAAGGAAGAAGACTATGCATTTAAAATAAAAATAATACATCTCTGTTGATGGATGACTTGGGACAGTTTTCACGAGAACTTAAAATGATTTTTGCTATTTTGCAGCATATATTTTAATTGAAAGACATCCATGCACACTTTCCACAACAAATAATTATAGGGTAGTCAAACACAATAGAACATTCAAACATTTATTATTCAGTAACGAGGTTATATACGAACAGGAAGCCAAAACTTCTCCAATGGTTAGCTACTTGTAAAGGTAACTCTATAATTAGGTACATTCTACAATTTCATATAGCACCTAGTTACTGAGTAAATATTCATGCAAGTGTCCAATTATTTTTGAATTGCCCTATATTGTCACAGTTACATGATCAAAAATGAAAGGAATAAAAAATACTACATGCAAGCAGTAGAAAATAGATCATTTAGTGGCCTTTCCTTCATACTTTTATTTCATTTCTTTACTTGTGAGAATTCCAAAATGTATCCTCTTCTTGTAAATACTGACGCAAGCATTCTTATACCTACTAGTTAACCAGAACTGAAAACTACAACTCCCAAGAAGCTCAGCAGCATCCTGATACAATGATAGCTGGCAGTAAAGAAAACAGTTTAAATATTTTGTAGTGATATCATTCTCTCTTTGGATATGTGGCACAAGAGTACATTTTTTTTTGATACACAGTAAGCATAAAACCTGATAAGCAAGCTGAAATCAAACCAATGAAGGAAAGTTCTCATTTTCAATTATGCTCTTGACAAGGTGTGTTTTATTTTGCTTTTTAATCGTTTATTTTTTAAGGATGTGAGTTTTAAATGTACACTCTTTTAAAATATGAATGTAACTATGTATTTTACCTATAATAATACATGTCACCCGGGAGCATTTCAATTTTTTAAAGGCACTTAGAATTTCACAAAGAGTTGGAATTTTGAATACCAAAATAAGAATTCATGTTTTCCAGCTGAGATAAAGCTTTCTGATGGGTGGAATACATTACAGGTCCAAAAAATGCAGTGGTGAGAATAAATAAAATAAATTGCTTTCCAACTGCTGTCTTAGTTTTCTTTCCCCCAGCATTAGATGGTATGCATCATGTAATAAGAGCAAGTCCGTTAAGTGTTTTTGCTCTCTGTAATATCAGGCTGCTGGTGATGGACAGAATTGTGTTATAAATAGGGAGTGGATGTGGAAGTTGTTGTTATAAAATCACTTTTTCTCCACTCATTGGAAAATAAGTTCACTTATAGTTATGCTACCATGGGGTAGTTAAACTTTTAACTCATGGAAACATTCTATTAGACCTGACAATATTATGCATTTTATTTGTTTATTAACATAGTGCTTAAAACTACATGTTTGTTACTAAAGATTACACGCCAAACAGGAGATATACAGAAATAGCCTCCTTCTATATATGAAGGACGAGAAATGACAAATCCATCTGCAATTTAAATTTTCTTCTATAGGTATTATCTTAGGTCCTCTTTGTGTGTTTTCTCCTATTTTTCTTTGTGTTAGCTCTATCTTTCTTTGTTTTAGCTGGCTTGTGCAATATGAAGACTCTGCCTTGCTTATAGCTCCTCAGCGGAGGCAGCCTTAATAACATCAGTGTCATTTTGTTTCTCCTCCTGATGTGCCTTTGTTTGATAGGCAGTTTCATTTGGTGTCATTGTTTAGCTTAAGCAGTTGGCACCTGGGGAAGTCTATGGAAACCTTCAATTCGTCAAATCAGGACTGACTGGCAAAAATATCGCTTGCTGATACAGACAGTCCCATATTTGGTTACTCAAAAATTGAACATGTATTTCAGTCTTGATTGGAAAGGAAGTCTTTGAAAGACATGCAGCTGCCAAGGTAGGGGGAGGTGCAGAGAATGGCTGGAGAGGTTTAGGTGGGGAAATCTTCAAACAGAGATGACTTAAGGTATCCAATATTTGCAGTCTTTAAAAAGGGGGTATTTGAGAAGTGACAAAGAGCCTGATACTTTACGGAAAAAGTGGACACTGATTATACAAGAGCCCTGATTATATAAATACTAAAAATTGACTCAATCAGTTGAGTATTTTCAATTCATGACATCAAACAACTGATCTGGCCATCTCCACCCCACCTCAAACCCTAAGGTGACGAAAAGGAATGGTTGTATATACAAACTTTTATCCCACTCTTCAGTGTCTCAGGTTTTATGCCGATGGCCACAGGTCAGGACATGGATGTAATTGCATCTAGCGACATCAATGTGCTTTTTGATTAATTTGGTTTTTGTTTATTTGTTTACTTTGTCAATTCAGACAAAAGATTCAGCAACTGAGCAGGAAAACATACCACTCAAACCAATCATTTGAGACTGTTGACTTCTTTCCATTTCCCGGAAAGTTCCACAAAACCAACTGCTCCAGCAGCACTACATAGACATAGCCTGATTGTATCACAGGTACCAAGCACAAAGACAGGAATTGGAACTGGAATTTCATATTTGTTAGCAACAAATATTGACAATATGACTCGGTTGGCAGAGACTCTAAGGTTGATTTAGGTTCAATTTTTCATTCATTCAGCCACAATATCTCATCAGCATATACTATGTGGCAGTCACTCTGCTAAAGAGGAACAAGAAAGATCAATTCCTGGAATATAGAGGCATTAAAGAGGAAAATTTCAATACAGTGTAATAAAAAAAAGTGACTCTGCTTTCCACCATGTGAAAAACTGCTTCCCTTCTTTAACCCCTGTTTTCTCTGGCAGGAGGGTTAGTGCTTGCTTTCTACACCTTCTCCCATCAGGTGATGCTTTGAAATTCCAAAATGTTCCAACAGTAACACTTCTATGCTATGTATCTGCACTTCACATCAACTTGAAACTGCCACCGAGTCTGGGAGCATACATGAAGGATTTCTCTGTGGCTAGTTCCACAAAGGAAATCAATTGTGCTCCAGTTCTGCACCTGTGGGATGGCTTTGCTTGTAGAATATACTCCTGCCTGTGAAGTGCAAAAGGACCTCTAATGGGCAGGCTTTCTAGCCACAGCTGGGGAGATAGGTTTGCTCTTTCTCTTCTCCTGCATCTGCACAATGCATGCAGATACCCCAGCCACGTCTCCCCATTAAGCACAGCTTGAGACACTATAACAATCATTGCTACTTCAGAAGTCACCAAGTAGGTGTGCCCTAGTTTGTGTTGAAGTGTCAGCTCCAGGAGCAGTTTGACAAAGCAAAGAACTCCTCAATTCAGTCAATCAAAACAGAAAATATTGTCTTTGGCCAATTATAGAAGTAAATTGTCAACAGGATCATCTTCAATAAGATGAATTGCTCTCTATATCCCTGTATCTCTGTATTCTGTCTCACACACACACACACACACACACACTCTTACACACACATAAACACACTCAGATTTTTCCTTGAAGACTGTGAAACCTTCCTGATTTGGCCCTCAGTAATCTCTTCCTCTGACCCATTTATTGTCCAACTCACTACTAGACAGTTTGACTCTAGTTATAATGTTGCTAATTCAAGTCCCATTTTCCTCTTGCATCCTACATCTAATCTGTAAGTAAATGCTTTCGGCTCTACCTTCAAAATATATTCAGAGTTTGACAACTTCACACTATCTCTGCAGCTACAATCCTGGTCAAAGCCACCATCACCTCCCCTGAATTACTGAAATAATTTCCTAACTGGCATTACTGTTTCTATTCTTGACCCTTTATAATACATTTTATAAATAGCATCCAGAATTGTTCTTTTAAAACATAAGGTAGATTATGTTATTCCTTGGCTCAAAATGTGCTATTGCCTTCTCATTGTTCTTAGACATAAATTATTGACTATGGCCTCCAGGGCCCAATGTAATTTGTCCATGCCTAGTCTCTCATCCCATTTTGTATGATTTCCCCTCTGTCACTAAACTCCATCCAGCCCCGTTGGTCTTCTTTTGGTTTCTCAGGGCCTTTGTACTAGTTATTCTTTATGTCGTTCTGAAACTCACTGCCCTCAGATTTTCTCAAGGCTTATTTTCTCGCTTTACTTTCATATCAGCTCAAATGAACCATATCCTTCTCATCATACAGGTTGCAGCTCAAGAAACACCTCCTCCCAGCACTTTGGGAGGCTGAGGCGGGTGGATCACAAGGTCAGGAGATCGAGACCATCCTGGCTAACAGGGTGAAACCCCGTCTCTACTAAAAATACAAAAAATTAGCCGGGCGTGGTGGCAGGCGCCTGTGGTTCCAGCTACTCGGGAGGCTGAGGCAGGAGAATGGCATGAACCCGGGAGGTGGAGCTTGCAGTGAGCCAAGATTGCGCCACTACAGCACTCCAGCCTGGGTGACAGAGCGAGACTCTGTTTCAAAAAAAAAAAAAAAAAAAAAAAGAAAAAAGAAACACCTCCTCAGAAAAGTTTACCCTGACTGCCCTATGTACGGTAAATTTCCTCTCCAATTTACAAATCGTAAAAGTCAATTACTTGTTATCGCGTTACTATTTTATTATCATTACATTACTTATAACTATTTGAAATTTTCTTATTTATTTATTCCTTCTTATTTATTGTCTCCCCAGCCATTTTCTACAATGTGCATTCCATGAATATAAACATTCTGTCTACCTTGTTAATTACTGTATCCCTGCCACCTAGAACAGTTCATGACATATAGTATGTATGCAGTCAGTATTGTTGAATGAATAAATAGATGCTATGTAGAAAGCACAATTATGCATAGAATTGATGTTTAAAAAAGAAAATTAGATTAATAAATAATCTGAACAATGCATATGGAAATGTTGTTTCAAAGTAAGAATTTCCTTCTGTTTTGGTAAAGTATAGCAGAAAAAGCCAGAAGATAAACTGCAGTGGTTCACCACTGATATAGTTTGGATTTTTGTTCCCTCCAAATCTCATGTTAAAATGTAATCCCCAATGTTGGAGGTGGGGCCTGGTGGCAGTTATTGGATCATGGGGTCAAACCCCTCATTAATGTCTGAGTTCCATCCACTTGGTGATGAGTGAAGTCTTGCTCAGTTCATTCACATGAGCTCTGCTTGCTTATTTATTTATTTATTGTTCCTTTTTATTTATTTATTTATTTTTGAGATGACGTTTCACTCTTGCCCGGGTTGGAACACGATGATGCAATCTCAGCTCACTGCAACCTCCATCTGCCAGGTTCAAGTGATTCTCCTGCCTCAGCCTCCCGAGTAGCTGGGATTACAGGTGTCTGCTACCATGCCTGGCTAATTTTGTATTTTTAGTAGAGACAGGGTTTCACCATGTTGACCAGGCTGGTCTTGAACTCCTGACCTCAGCTGATCCACCTGCCTCAGCCTCCCAAAGTGCTGGGATTACAGGTGTGAGCCACCATGCCCGGCCTTTATTTTTATTTTTTAATTTTTAATTTCCATAGGTTTTTGGAGAACAGGTGGAGTTGGGTTACATGAATATGTTCCTTAGTGGTGATTTCTGAGATTTGGGTGCACCCATCACCCAAGCAGTATACACTGTACTCAATTTGTAGTCTTTTATCCCTCACCTCCCCCCCACCCTTTCCTGCCGAGTTCCCAAAGTCCATTGTATCATTCTTATGCCTTTGCACCTTATAAGTTAGCTCCCACTTAGGAGTGAGAACATATGGTGTTTGGTTTTCCATTCCTGAGTCACTTCACTTGGAATAATGGTCCCCAGTTCCATTGCAAAAGCCATTATTTAATTCCTTTTCGTAACTGAGTAGTATTCCATGTTATGTATATACCACAATTTCTTTATCCACTCATTGATTGATGGGCATTTGGGCTGGTTCCATATTTTTGCAATAGTGAATTGTGCTGCTATAAAAATGCATGTGTAGGCTGGGTGCAGTGGCTCATGCCTGTAATCCAAGCACTTTGGGAGGCTGAGGTGGGTGGATCACCTGAGGTCAGGTGTTCAAGACCAGCCTGGCATCTGTCTTGGAGGCGGGTGGTCACCTTAGGTCAGAAGTTCAAGACCAGCCTGGCCAACATGGTGAAACCCCATCTCTACTAAATATACAAAAATTAGCCAGGTGCAGTGGTGTGTGCCTATAATCCCAGCTACTCGGGAAGCTGAGGCAGGAGAATCGCTTGAACCCGGGAGGTGGAGGTTGCAGTGAGCTGAGATTGTGCCACTGCATTCCAGCCTGGGTGACAGAAAGAGACTCCATTTCAAGAAAAAAAAAAAAAAACAACTGCATGTCTAAGTATTATTTTCGCATAATGACTTCTTTTCTTCTGGATAGATATCTGGTAGTGGGATTGCTGGATCAAATGGTACTTCTACTTTTAGTTCTTTAAGGAATCGCCACACTGTTTTTCATAGTGTTTGTGCGAGTTTACATTCCCACCAGCAGTGTACAAGTGTTCCCTTTTCACCACATCCCCAATGACATGGTTTGGCTGTGTCCCCACTCAAATGTCATCTTGAATTTAACTCCCACAATTCCCATGTTATGGGGGTGAGTCTTTCCTTCACTGTTCCCATGATAGTGAATGAGTCTCAAGGGATCTGATGGTTTTAGAAATGGGAGTTTCTCTGTGCAAACTCTCTCTTTGCCTGCCACCATCCATGTAAGATGTGACTTGCTCCTTTTTCCACCATGATTGTGAGGCTTCCCCAGCCATATGGAACTGTAAGTCCATTGAACCTCTTTATCATCCCAGTCTCATGTATGTCTTTATCAGCAGCATGAAAATGGACTAATACAGTAAATTGGTACCAGGAGTGGGGTGCTGCTGAAAAGATATCTGAAAATGTGGAAGTGACTTTGAAACTGGGTAGCAGGCAGAGGTTCAAATAATTTGGAGGGCTCAGAAGACAGGAAAATGTGGGAAAGTTTAGAACTCCCTAGACACTTGTTGATTGGCCTTGACAAAAATGCTGATAGCGATATGAACAATAAGCTCCAGGCTGAGGTGGTCTCAGATGGAGATGAAGAACTTGTTGGGTACTGGAGCAAAGGTGGCCCTTGTCATGTTTTAGCAAAGAGACTGGTGGTATTTTGCCCTTGCCCTAGAGATTTGTGGAACTTTGAACTTGAGAGTGATGATTTAGGGTATTTGGCAGAAGAAATTTCTAAGCAGTAAAGCATTCAAGAGGTAACTAGGGTGCCGTTAAAGGCATTCAGTTTTATAAGGGAAGGAGAGCACAAAAGTTTGGAAAATTTGCAACCTGAGAATGTGATAGAAAAGAAAATCCCATTTTCTGAGGAGAAATTCAACCCAGCTGCAGAAATTTGCATAAGTAACAAGGAGCCAAATGTTAATCTCTAAGACAATGGGGAAAATGTCTCCACAGCATGTCAGAGGTCTTCACAGCAGCCCCTCCTATCGCAGGCCCTGAGGCCTAGGAGGACAAAATGGTTTCGTGGGCCAGGCCCAGGTTGCCCATGCTGTGTGCAGTCTAGGGACTTGGTGCCCTGTGTCCCAGCCACTCCAGCCATGACTAAAAGGGGCCAAGGCACAGCTCAGGCCATGGCTTCAGAGGGTGCAAGCCCCAACCCTTGGCAGTTTCCATGTGGTGTTGAGCCTGCGGGGGCACAGAACGATATGGTTTGGCTGTGTCCCCACCACCCAAATCTCATCTTGAATTGTAACTTCCTCAATTCCCATGTTTCATGGGAGGAAGCCAGTGGGAGGTGATTGAATTATGGAGTTGGGTCTTTCACGCACTGTTCTCGTGATAGTGAGTGAGTCTCACAAAATCCTGCACAAGCTCTCTTTACCTGCCACCATCCAAGTAAGACGTGACTTGCTTCTCCTTTCCTTCCACCATGATTGTGAGGTCTCCCCAGCCATGTGGAATTGTAAGTCCATTAAACCTCTTTTTGTTCCCAGTCTCGGGCATGTCTTTATCAGCAGCATGAAAACAGACTAATACACCTGCCATATGATTGTATACCTAGAAAACCCTAAAGACTCCTCCAAAATGTTCCTAGAACTGATAAATGAATTCTGCAAAGTTTCAGAATATAAAATTAATGTAGACAAATTAGTAGCTCTGCTGTACACCAACAGTGACCAAGCAGAGAATCAAATCAAGAACACAACCCCTTTCACAATAGCTGCAAAAAAAAAAAAAAAAAAAAGAAAAAACACAAAAATACTTAGGAATATACCTAACCAAGGATGTGAAAGACCTCTACAAGTAAAACTACAAAACACTGCTGAAAGAAATCATAGATGACACAAACAAATGGAAACATCCCATGCTCAGGGGTGGGTAGAAACAATATTGTGAAAATGACCATACTGCCAAAAGCAATTTTCAAATTCAATGCAATTTCCATCAAAATACCACCATCATTCTTCACAGAACTAGAAAAAAACATCCAAAAATTCATAAGAAACCAAAAAAGAGCCTGCATAGCAAAGCAAGACTAAGCAAAAAGAAAAAATTGAGAGACATCACATTACCTGACTTCAAACTATACTATAAGGCCATAGTCATCAAAACAACATGGTACTGGTATAAAAATAAGCACATAGACCGATGGAACAGAATAGAGAACCCAGAAATAAAGCCAAATACTTACAGCCAACTGATCTTTGACAAAGCAGACAAAAACATAAAGTGAGGAAAGGACAGTCTATTCAACATATGGTGCTGGGGTAATTGGCAAACCACATGTAGAATAATGAAACTGGATCCTCATCTCTTACCTTATACAAAAATCAACTCAAGATGGATCAAAGACTTAAACCTTATACCTGAAATGATAAAGATTCTACAAGATAACATAGGAAGAACCCTTCTAGACATTGGCTTAGGCAAAGACTTTATGACCAAGAACCCAAAAGCAAATGCAACAAAAACAAAGGTAAATAGATGGGACTTAATTAAACTAAAAAGCTTCTTCACAGCAAAAGAAACAATCTTAAACTAAAAAGCTTCTTCACAGCAAAAGAAACAATCAGCAGTGCTAACAACCCACAGGTAGGGAGAAAATCTTTGCAATCTATATATCTGACAAAGGACTAATATCTAGAATCTACAAGGAACTCAAACAAGTGAGCAAGAAAAAAACAACCCCATCAAAAAGTGACCTACGTACACGAATAGACAATTCTCAAAAGAAGATATACAAATGGCCAACAAACATGAAAAAATGCTCAATATCACTAATGACCGGGGAAATGCAAATCAAAACCACAATGTGATACCACCTTACTCCTGCAAGAATGGCCATAATCAAAAAATAAAAGGTCCGGTTATTTAAAAGAGTGTGGCACCTCATCCCCTACTCTCTCTCTTCCTCTTGCTCTCACCATGTGACATGTTGGCTCCCTGTTGCTTTCTGCCATGATTGTAAGATTCCTGAGACCTCATCAGAAGCAGATGCTAGCACCATGCTTCCTATAAAGCCTGCAGAACTATGAACCAATTAAACTTCTTTTCTTTATAAATTAAACAGGCTGTTATTTCTTTGTAGCAATGCAAGAACAGACTGACACAGAAAACAAGGAGGGGGACATTGCTATAAAGATACCTGAAGATGTGGAAGCTGCTTTAGAGCTTGGTAATGGGCAGAGTTTGGAGGGCTCAGAAGAAGACAGGATGATGGGGGAAAGTTTAAAACTTCTTAGAGACTGGTTAAATTGTTGTGACCAAAATGCTGATAGAAATATGGGCTGGGCACAGTGGCTCACGCCTGTAATCCCAGCACTTTGGGAGGCCAAGGCGGGCAGATCACCTGAGGTCAGGAGTTCAAGACCAGCCTGGCTAACATGGTGAAACACCATTTCTACTAAAAATACAAATAATTAGGCCAGGCATGGTAGCATGCACCTGTAATCCCAGCTACTCAGGAGGCTGAGGCAGGAGAATCGCTTGAACCCAGGAGGCAGAGATGGCAGTGAGCCAAGATCATGCCATTGCACTCCAGCCTGGGCAACAAAGTGAGACTTGGTAAGAAAGAAAAAAAGAAAAGGAAAGGAAGGAAGGAAGGAAAGAAGGAAGGAAGGAAGAAAGCCAGGCTGACAAGGACTCAGATGGAAGTGGGGAAGCTATTGAGAAATGGAGTAAACGTTATCCATGTTATGCTGTAGCAAAGAACTTTGCTGTATTGTGTCCATGCCCTAGGGAATCAGTGGAAGTTTGAACTTAAGAGGGATGACCTAGGGTATCTGGCAGAAGAAATTTCCAAGCAGCAAAGCACTGAAGAAGTGACATGGCTGCTTCTAACAACCTACAATCAGAGACAAGAGCAAATAAACGACTTAAAATTGAAACTTATATTTAAAAGGGAGGCAAAGCATAAAAGTTTAGAAAATTTGCAGCCTAGCCATGTGGAAGAGAAAGAAAAAAGCATTTTCAGGAAAAAAATTCAAACAGGCTATGGAGCAACCACTTGCTACAATGATGGGAGGGGCTACTGCAAGGGTCTCTGAAATGCCTTCAAGGCCTTTTCCCTGTTTTCTTGGCTATCAGCACTGGGCTCCCTTTTAGTTATGCTGGATCCCTGTTGCCTTCTGCCACGATTGTAAGTTCCCTGAGGCCTCATCAGGAACTGAGCAGTTGCTGGTACCATGCTTCCTGTACAGACTGCAAAACTGTAAGCCAAGTAAACCTCTTTTCTTTATAAATTACCCAGCCTCAGGTATTTCTTTATAGCAATGCAAGAACAAACTGACACAACCACTGATAATAATGTTAATAATTTCACTGTGACAGCATGCCAAAAGCTATTGGTATTCCACCTACCATCAATTAAATGGTCCCTAAAAAGTGGTAAGTTCCCTAAGGAGAACCCTGAAACTTTTCCCCAGTGCCCACTTTTCTACCTCTTCTGAGACTGAGCTCCCTTCTCTATAAGTGCCAAGTCCTAAAGACAGACATGGCATGACATAACAGGGAATAATTTGTTGTGGGAAAACCCCCTCCAGTTAAGCACCATATTTACTACTCCTTTGTTTTAATTCCACATTACCATCAAAATAAAGCCAAAAAGGAGGGAGATTATAGTGGGTGCTGTCACCCAAATTCTCCATTCAGTACTGAAGGAATCATTTTCACTACTGCTGAGAGTGTTGGCTGTTAATGACTCACCGCTGAGTCCCTCTCTGGGATCTGGCCTCATCTGAAGAGAAAAAGCTCACCCAGAGTTGTATCCTCTCTCTGAAGAGGAGTCCACATCTAGTGACTGTGACATAGGACTACAGCTCCTGGCTTCCTTGCATCAGTTTAGGACAAATTTGAAGGGTTATCTCAACTCCAAAACCCCATAAGGAACTGGCTGAAGCCTCTGCTGCAACTGCATGGTAGTCCAAAACGTCTCTGTATCTAAATATTCTTTCCTGATTATCTTAGAAATCTTATTTCTGAGAGGACTTCCTGAAGAAACCTCCTCATACAGATATTCATTTTAGAGGGTATTGACTGAGGAATATGACTTAAGACTGGGTTCTAGGAGTAGACCTAGAAAGAAAACTCTAAAGTGGCATTTTAGAGGTGGATTATCCATCAGCCAGCTTGGAGTGGGAACCATTTCACTGGGGGCAGGTGGAATACTAACTGCTTTTGGCATTCTGTAGGCAGTGAAATTGTTTATGCATCTTTTGGCAGTGAACTGGGATGGAATACCAGAGAAAGAGAACACGTTGGTAAGTACAACATCTTGTATGTTTCAGCATTTGGGTGAGGTAGTAATTATAAGGACTAGGGATTGAATGGCTTTTGCTAGACGCTATTCATGCTTTGGACAAAAACAATGAAAGGATAAGGAGGTCTAGTAATTGATTTAAGATGGAGTGTGAATGGCAAATATCTTTGCCAACATATAAAGAGGCACTCATTTCTTTCAGCTGGAAGGCAGAAAAAGCTGGTGATCAGGCCCAGGACTTAATTATAAAGCATCTCAGAGTCCAGAGAAGGTTGAATTTTCAACCATGGTTAGTCGGCTCTGCCAAGGTCAGGGTATTCATTGGGAAGGAATGGGACCTGAGGCATGGGATAGGTACATCTGGGTCAATGGACTCTAAAATCTTGATTTCCAAGATTCTCCTGATCTCTCTAGGGCTGCAAAAGTTAAAATCCTCCTCCTTGCTAAAATCTAGTGCTCTATCCTGTTTGGAAGATGTTAGATATTTCTGCTTTGGAAAAAAAAAGTATCCTGGCTGGGCATGGTGGCTCACTCTTGTAAGCACTTTGGGAGGCTGAGGTGAGAGGATCACTTTAGCCCTGGAGTTTGAGGCTGCAGTGAGCTACAGTGTGCAACTGTACTCCAGCCTGGGCAACAGAGCAAGACTCTTTCTCAGAAGAAAAAAATACCCTCCCCCCACCACAGAAAACATGTATCCTCTCTCAGAATCCTCACTTCACTTCCTTGCCATGAGACCCCAAACTAAAATCAAGTAACAACATTATCCAGTTAGGGAAGTGCTGGGCCTCTTAAGAGAGGAAAGGGTCTATGTACCAAAGTAGCTGCAGGATCTAGTCAACATGATTAATTGGAGCCAGAACAGTATATGTAAGACTGGATCCTGTGTGTGATGGATCAAAAAAACAAAATGTAAAGTTGGATAAATGTGAGTTTTCTTAATATGGATTACTTTCCCATGATATAGGATTTACTTGGTCAAGGACCCTGGAAGATAGGGCTAATATGTTTCTAAGGTTTCTCTTGGAATCTTTGGAAAATGATTATCCACAAAAAGTGAAGTAAAAACTGCTGGAAATTGCATGAAAGATGATGGAGGAATAAATCAGAACTCTCCAGAACTGGTCATGCCAGGGAAAGGGAACACACTGCAAGACTGGAAAATCTGCCAGCCAAATATTTTCTGAAGAAAGGCTCAGAAGACATTCTATTTAACCAAAGCAATAAAGAATGATGTGCTGGCAAGACAGACACATCCATTACTGAGAAACTTGCTGTCCTATACAGATCAGGGATAACACTGGGAAATGCTGTAATAAAACTGGGCTACTTGATGGCAAAGGTGATGACAGGATCTGGAAATAATTGAGGCCAGATGTCATTGATTTACTATCAGGAGCAAAGTGGGCGCAATTATTGTAGAGAACAGCAAGGTCAGAGTGGCAGCCAAGGGGTCCTGACCTGCAGAGAACTATGCAGATAGTTAATAGAACATAGTATTCTAGGAGCAAGATAGATGGGAACCCAACAAGATTTTTGCCTAATTGACACAACCAAAAAAACAAAACAAAACAAAAAAAAAAAAAACAAAGATGGATGACCAGAAAGGGCAGCTTTCCCAATAAAATATATGATCTCTTGCCCAATTTCCATTCCTAAGCCTGTTCTCATATCCAACACCAAAGCAAGCTGAAAAGCCTATAATGTTTCCTCCAGTCTCTCCCTGAAGTGACTTAAAATTATCTGCTTGAGTAACTATACACTGGGATAAAGGAAATACTTAAGTATTTTGAAGTTTGTTTGGATCAGTTGACATTGCTAACAGGACACCAGAAGTGTCATTGTGGCTTCTCTGTTGGAGTGGGAGCATATATAAACCAGGTAATAAGTGGAGTCCTGGTTCAGGTTTAGCTCACAGTAGGTCCACTATATCTATAGATTCACCTTGGGGTCACTACCCCAGTCTACAAATGTATAATTAGAATGGTTATACATGATACTTGGAAGAATCCCAACATCAGGTCTTTGTTCTGTGGGGTAAAAGCTATCATAGTGGGAAGGCTAAGTGCAAACCTCTGGATAACTCCCTCTCTCTCTTATCCCCAGTCAAGACAGTAAATCAAAAATAAAATTACTTCCTGGAAGAATGACAGAGATTATTGCCTCCCTTAAAACTCTGAAGGATGCAGAAATGTGAGTCCTTACCATATTCTCATTGATTTACCATTCTGGTTCGTATGAAACCAACTACACACTGGAGGGCTAAAGTGGATTATGGTAAACTCAATTAGGTAGTATCCCCAATCACAACTGCTGATCTAGATAATGGTATTTTTGCTGGAGCATATTAACATAACTTCAGGTACATGGTATATGGGAAAGTTTGGAACTCCCTAGATACTTGTTGAATGCCTTTGACCAAAATCCTGATAATGATATGGACAATGAAATGCAGGCTGAGGTGGTCTCAGATGGAGATGAGAAACTTGTTGGGAACTAGAGCAAAGGTCACTCTCTTGTTATGTTTTAGCAAAGAGACTGGTGGCATTTTGCCCCTGCCCTAGAGATTTGTGGAACTTTGAAATTGAGAGAGATGATTTAGGGTATGTGGCAGTAGATACTTCTAAGCAGCAAAGCATTCAAAAGGTGACTTGGGTGCTGTTAAAGGCATTCAATTTTATAAGGGAAGCAGAGAATAAAAGTTTGGAAAATTTGCAGCTTGAGAATGTGATAGAAAAGAAAGTTCCATTTTCTGAGGAGAAATTCAAGCCAACTGCATAAATTTGCATAAGTAACGAGGAACTGAATGTTAATCCCCAAGACAATGGGGAAACTGTCTCCAGGGCATGTCAGAGGTCTTCACGGCAGCCTCTCCCATCATAGGCCTGGAGGTCTAGGAGAAAAAAATGGTTTCATGGGCAAGGCTCAGGGTCCCCATGCTGTGTTTAGTCTAGGGACTTGGTGCCCTGCCTCTCAGCCACTCCAGCCATGACTGAAAGGGGCCAACATGGAGCTTGGGCCATGGCTTCAGAGGGTGCAAGCTCCAAACCTTGGCAGCTTCCATGTGGTGTTGAGGATGTGAATGCACAGAAGTCAAGAACTGGCATTTGGGATCTCCACCTAGATTTCAGAGGATGTATGGAAACACCTGGATGCCCAGGTAGAAGTTTGCTGCAGGGGTGGGGCCCTCATGGAGAACCTCTACTAGGGCAGTATGGAAAGGAAATGTGGGGTTGGTGCCCCCGCACAGAGTCCCTACTGGACACTGCCTAGTGTAGCTATGCGAAGAGGGCAACTATCCTCCAGACCCCAGAATGGTAGATCCACTGACAGCTTGCACCGTGAGCCTGGAAAAGTCACACTCAACTCTAGCCCATGAAAGCAGCTGGGAGGGAGGCTGTACCCTGCTGAGCCACAGGGGCAGAGCTGCCCAAGACCATGTGAACCCACCTTTTGCATCAGCATGACCTGGATATGAGACAAGGAGTCAAAGGAGATCATTTTGAAGCTTTAAGATTTGACTGCCCTGCTGGATTTCAGACTTGCATGGGGCCTGTAGCTCCTTTGTTTTGGCCAATTTCTCCCTTTTGGAATGGCTGTATTTATCCAATACCTGTACCCCCATTGTATCTAGGAAGTAACTAATAAACTAATAACAAAGTTTGACTTGCAATCTCAGGTGCTATGGTTGAATTGAGCTGCTCCATGAAAATGATTTCTTTCATGTTTTTGAAATTAGTATTCTCAGACATTTGTTTTTCAGATAGTATTTTTTAATTTAATGTAATTTGCCAAAGAACAACTGGCTTCTGGTTTCAAATAAAATGTTTCCATGTGTCTTATTCTAACAAAAACAAGAGAAAAGTTTTATTATAAGCCTGCCTGTAACTTGCTGGATGATTTTACCAAATTATCTTTATCTTCTGTGCTTGATGTTACCTCTCTTTATAATGAAAATAGCAGAGAGGCAGAGGACTTTAGGAATACTTACAGAGAAACTTTAATTTCCAAAAGTATCTGAGGATAAATACAAAGACTATTATAAACCCAAGATTCTAGAACAGAAAATAAAAAGACAGTCATCTATACATAGATGACAGCATGTTGAAGCAAATATCAACCCTTTACATGAATATAGTGCTTTATAGATTATAAAGAGTGTTTATATACCAGTGATTGTCTAGGTGGATGCTATAATCATTCCTCTTTTATAAACAGGAAGGCTGAAGCTGAGAGAGGTTAAGATTCTTAATCAATATCTCCTGGGTAATAACAACATAACTGGGAACCTAGGTTTTCTGATTAGAAAGTTCAGGAATGTTTTCACTACACTAAAGTTGTATTTTGAAATGCAAGCAGGAAAGATAAGTTTCAGTTAAGTTTCTTTAACATAAGTAAGTTAAAGAACATTTCAGAAAACATTAGGGAAGAAGAAAAATATCTAAACAGATATTTTCAGAAATGAATGTAGTTTTGAAATGTTTTTCTCATTTAAAAATTTTAGCTGACATTTATAAAATGATTTGATCATCCCAAATTCTTTTTTCAGAAAATCCAAGGCAACACAGAAGTAATATTTACTGGGAGCCTACTTTGACACGGAAGTAATATTTATTGGGAGCCTACTTTGTGTCAAGCACTGTGCAAGGTGCTTTACAGAAAAAGTTCATGCAATTGTCATAGTCACCCTATTATTTTACAGGTAGGAAAATTGAGGTTCAGAGATAATAAATTACTTGCCTAAAGTTCCAAAGCTTATAAGGAGCAGCACTGAGATTTCAGCCCAGGTTGTCTGACTCCAAAGTCCCTGTTACAATTATGAATCAATCATTTGATCCAGTAGTATTTAAGTGGCACTAATTATGAGCTCAGCATTTTGAGGATCAACATAAGAAATATAAGATAGAATCCCAGCCCTCAGAAAATCAACAACTTATCTGGAGAGAAAAAAAAAGGGATTAGAACAAATTGTTGAATTATGTAGTATAGACTTGTATTCAAAAATATGGTCCCTGCCACCAAGTAGGGTGGCTCATGCCTGTAATTTCAGCACTTTAGGAGGCTAAGGCAGGTGGATCTCTTGAGCCCAGGAGTTCGAGACCAACTTGGGCAACATAACCAGACTCTTTGTCTACAAAAAACACATTAAAAAATAGCTGGGCGTGGTGGCATGCACCTGTAGTCCCAGCTACCCAGGAGGCTGAAGTGGGAAGATCACCTGAGCCTGGGAGGTTGAGGCTGCATTGAGCTGTGATCATACCACTGCACTTCAGCCTCTGTGACAGAAAGAGACCCTGTCTCAAAAACAAAAACCAACCAACCAACCAAACAAACAAAAACATGGTCCACGGATCACCTGCAGCAATTTTATCAGCTGGAAGCCCAATAGAAATACAGAATCTTAGGCCCTCTGCTCAGGTCTACCCAATTACAGTCTGCATTTTAATAAGAACCTTGAGTAACTTGTATGCACAGTAAAGTTCGAGAAGTTTGTGTATGGATTATCAATTCCTGCCTAGGGAATAGGCAAGAAAGATGTCAAGAAAGAGATGCTGCAACTGGGCTTTGAAGGCAGGGGTGATGTGACTCTCCCTATCTCCTTCAAGTTGTCTTATCTCCAGTGGGTCTGGCAAGGCTACTCTGAGAGTAGTGATAGGGGAGAGAAGGGAAGGTAGGGAAGGATTCCAGGGAAGTAGTACAAGCAACTGAAAAGTGAAGGAGTTGGTGACGATAATCAGGGAGTTCAGATTCCACCAATAGGAAGAGAGAATGTAAAGGTATTATTTACACCCTTACCCTGCATCACTCCCCATCCTCTCCTCAGGTGGTAGGCTGGAGGCAGTCTGGTTTGTATGTTGCTGTATGTCATTGGATGTGTAAATACATGCATAAACCTCCACCTCAGGACTTCTTTAATGCTATAGGCCTAATTGGTGCATTTTAATAATAAAGTCTTTTTTTCAAATAAACTCATATCCTAAAGCTGTATTTTCTTTGATAAAGCTCAGCCACAACTGGTCCTCAATAAAATTTACATTTGCTCTAGGGACTAAGAACATTAAATATCTTTCTCTTAACTGAGCACCATTCTAATTAGGGAGAAATTGCATTAGGGAGCCATGTGACTATCTGAGAAGAGCACATTCATTCCTGATTTTGATATTTTAAAATATAGCAGATTGCAGAAATGCAGATTACGATGTGGATATAGTGTTAAAATTGCTTTTGCCATTATAAAGATAAAAATAGCTCTTGGCTCAAATTTCCTGCTGCTTCTTTCTAAATGAAGGAGTTAAATACTGAAAGGCAGGTGGATGCTGACGCTTCTTTAGAAAGAGATGAATAGGGTTGATGGCAGGAGCTACAGGGAAGCTATTGAGGCTGCAGATGCATATGCTGCCCTTACTTCCCACAAAGTTCAAAGTGGGGTGAAGCTGCCCGGGTAATTGGCTATGAAATAGCAAACCCTCTGGATGAAAATGGCCCTTGTACTTAATTGCCCACGTTCTGGGCAGCGGGTAGCCACCTGGTTGATTAGTGACCCTACCTATATTTACAACCACCGAAGTTTAAGTGTGAGTATGATTGTTAAGACACTGGCACCAAGTTCAATCGGGGGCCTTGGAATTTCAATCAGTTCTGACCACTTCATGTCCAAGTCCTTCACCTTCCAGACCCAAGCAGATGGTCCTACAAAGCCCCAAGGTAAAAGCCCATTTTACAATTGAACAGAATGAAGACATGCATATTTGTAAAATAGCAAGTACAATAGCAACAACTGTGATGAGAAAGAGGCATTTTATTTGTATAGCACTTAGCAATTTGCCAAGCACTTTTCTTGAAATTCTTATTCTGGTCTTCACAAAAGCTTGTAACAGAGGGTTTATTGTGTTCATTTTTTAGATGGATAAATTAAGATCCAGTGAAGGTAAGTGAGTTTTGCAAGGCTGCACAACTAGTAGGCAACATAACTGGCACTCATATTTGGATCTTTTGACACAAAATCCAATCTCTTTTTTACAGCAGTAATTTACCTTAACTGTATCCACTCTCGCAGTTCTGCAGGATCTAATTTATGTCTGCTTTAGCCACAGAACACCTTTGGGTAGGAGATACCCACGTGTGAAACATACCCAGGTTTACATTGGCTTCTGGTGAATTGGCCAATCACAATGTCTGCCTTGTATTCCCTAATAGTCAAGTTCTATAGTCCGTTCTAAAGTAGTAACAATGGCTAATACTGTGTGCTGAGTGTTGCACTAAGCACTTCACATTTATTAACTCATTTAAAGCTTTACCTTACAACAACCCTACAAGGTAGGTATTGTTTTGTATCCACATTTCACAATTGAGGAATCTGAGGCAGAGAGAGGTTAAGTAATTTGTTCGTAGTGGAACTCCCTAGTGTGGTCCGAATCTATGCTTTCAGCACTATACAAAATCATCTGTCTATGGCAGAATTCAGAAATCCATCCATGGGTACAAGACATTCACACTCCCAGATCTTTTCCAAATCAATCCTGCTAATGCCCCAGAGCTGTGCATTCCCTTTATTGAACTGGGAGTGGAAAGTGTGAGGCTAGATGGCTAGGTAATTGCTATGCCGAAGTGAAAGAAGAGAAGAAACTAAAATTACAAAAAGAAAAACAAAACCCATTTAAAATGGCACCTCTATGGTACCAGGTACTATATTAGTCAATTCACTAATGTTTTCTTCTTTCATTTAAACCAAACTATTATAAAACCTATTTTTCAGGTGAGGAAATAGGCTCAGTGAGGTTAAGTTGCCTAACACAACCTGTAGTTCCATAATTGCATCCCAAACAGTCCGATATCAGAGCTTGAACACTGAACCACTCTATCAAAGTTACATAATGACAACCATTAAACATTACCACTTAATGGGCACATACCACGTGCCAGGCACTGCCTTGAATGCTTTCTCTACAATGGGTCACTTAATTCTCAGGACAACCCTATGAGGCTGGTCTTATAATTATCCCCATTCCAAAGAAAGAAAACTGACTCATACCCACTAAGTGTTGAAGCCAGGATTTGAACCCACTTCTCTTTGTTATCAAAGCTCTTTCCAATATAGGGGAAATGGAGAAAGCTGAGCTTTGCACATCACATAGGAATGTACTCCCTGTTTAGATTGGTCAGGGATGCTGCTGGCTATTTGCCTAGCTGATTCCGAGGCTTTAAGGGAAGACTTGAAAAGCAGAGGCTTGGATTTTTTTCCATAATGTAAGGCTTAGAAAAAAAGCAGGGGCTACTACTTCAGCATAACCCTCCTACTGACACATGACAGCTCACCTTGTACCCACCTTTGGGTCCTCATGGCATCTGAGAAATCTTTTTCACCCATGGGTATAATAAAATCTATAAATATAGATATATAAGCGAAAGTGGGCATACATTACTCTTATCTGGTCCTTAAAGCAGGTCTGAGGATTTCTACTTATTAGTTAGTTTTATTTTATTTTGTGTAATTAAAGAAATTAAGCTTATTCTCTACATAGCAGAACAAAACAATACTTTCAAATTCAATCTTTTGATTGATTCAGTCAAATCCCTGCATAATTAGTAAGATTTTTCTGTATTTTGCTTTGTTTTGTGTATAATGTATACTAAAGTTTAGGTTTAAAATTAAAGCACCATCAACATGAAAGCTGGAAATACAATAGCAGTGTTTCCAACAGTTTAAAGTTAAGACATATGTCCTAGAGCCAGATTTTCCAGCTTGAAATCCCAGCTCTGCCATTAGCTGGATGACATTGGGCTGGTTACCTAACCTTTCTGTGCCTCAGCTACCCATCTATAAAATGAGAATAATGACATACTGGCCTTATAGTGTCATTATAAGTACTGAATGAGTGCATATAGAGTGCTGTAAACAGTGCTTCGATGCTCAATATGTGTTACCTATTATTTTATTGGTAGAGGCCACAGAAAAGAATAATTTGAGAGGTCCTAAAGTACTGGATCAATTATGTTTTCCTTTGTTGGAGGACAGGTGAGGGTAGGTTGAAGACAATGAAGAGGGGTAGATGGGTTAAGATGAGGCTTGGCTAGGTTGAGATAAAAAGTTGATCTGTTATGACTCTTAGATGGGAGAATGGCCTTAAGGTGCCAGTCACTGTCTAGGAAGAATGCTATGTTCTAGAATAGTTGCATCAGGGTTATTGACTTTGCTGTTGACCAAAGAATTATGAGACCTGAGATCTAGCATAGATTCTGACACAGACTAACTGCACATTACATCATGAATGAGTGATTGCATTATACCTACAGTTTATTTAAACACATCAGTTAATAAATCAGAGTACATATTTTATTTTTTACTAATGTCAACATCATGAAAAATATTCAATCTCCATCTAACGTACCATCTATCTAATTGAGAAAATGACAGGCTTATAGAATTTAGGCCAAATCCCAAGATGAATTTTTAAAATTTTTTAATTTTTAATTTTTGTGGGTACACACTAGGTGTGTGTACTTGTGGAGTACAGGAGATATTTTGATACAGGCATGCAAGGCATAATAATCACATCATGGAAAATGGGGGTATCTATGCCCTCAAGAATTTATCCTTTGTGTTACAATCAATTCTACTTATTTTGTTATTTTAAAATGCACAATTAAATTATTTTTGACTCTGGTAACCCTACTGTGCTATCAAGTACTAAGTATTATTTATTTATTTATTTTTTACTCATTAGCCATCCCCAATTCCCCCAACCCCAAACTCCAACTACCCTTCCCAGCCTCTGGTAACCATCCTTCTACTCTCTGTCTGCATGTTTTCAATTGTCTTGATTTTTAGATCCCACAAATAAGTGCAAACATTCGATGTCTGTCTTTCTGTGCCTGGCTGCTTCACTTAACATAATGACCTCTAATCCCATCCATGTTGTAAATGACAGAATCTCATTCTTTTTTATGGCTGAATAGTACACCATTGTGTATGTGTACCATATTTTCTTTATTCATCCATTGATGGATGGACACTTAGATTGTTTCCAAATATTAGCTATTGTAAACAGTGCTGCAAAAAATATAGGAGTGCAGATATCAGTTCAATATACTGATATCCTTTATTTTGGGTATATACCCAGAAATAGGATTGCTAGATTGTATGGTAGCTCTATTATTAGTGTTTTGAGGAAGCTCCAAACTCTTCTCCATAGTGTTTGTACTAATTTACATTCCCACCAACAGTGTTCAAGGGTTCCCTTTTCTTCACATCATTGCTAGCATTTGTTATTGCCAGTCTTTTGGATATAAGCCATTTTAACTAGGGTGAGATTATATCTCATTGTAGCATTGATTTGCATTTCTCTGATGATTAATTATGTTGAGCACCGTTGTTTAAATTTTATTTCAAGTTCAGGGGTGCATGTGCAGGTTTGTTACATAGGTAAACTTGTGTCATGAGGGTTTGTCGTACAGATTATTTAATCACCCAGGCATTAAGCCTAGTACCCATTAGTTGTTTTTCCTGATCCTCTCCCTCCTCCCAACCTCCACCCTTTGAAAGGCCCCAGTGTGTGTTGTTCCCCTCTATGTGTCCATGTATTCTGATCATTTAGCTCTCCTTATAAGTGAGAACATGTGGTATTTGGTTTTCTGTTCCTGTGTTAGTTTGCTAAGGATAATAATGGCCTCCAGCTCCATCCATGTTGCTGCAAAGGACACGAGCTCATTCTTTTTTATGGCTGCATAGTATTACATGGTGTATATGTGCCACATTTTCTTTATCCAGTCTATCATTCATGGGCATTTAGGTTGATTTCGTGTCTTTGCTATTGTGAATAGTGTTGCTATGAACATACGTATACATGTCTCTTTATTATAGAATGATTCATATTCCTTCGAATGGTATTTCTGTCTTTAGGTCTTTGAGTAATCACGACATTGTCTTCCACAATGGTTGAACTAATTTCACTCTCACAAACAACGTATAAGCATTCCTCTTTCTCTACAACCATGTCAGCATCTGTTAATTTTTGACTTTTTCATAATAGCCATTCTGACTGGTGTGAGATGGTATCTCATTGTGGTTTTGATTTGCATTTCTCTAATAATCAGCGATGTTGAGCTTTTTTTCATATGATTGTTGGCCACATTTATGTCTTCTTTTGAAAAGTGTCTGTTCATGTTTTTTGCCCCCTTTTTTATGTTTTTTTTTTCTTGTAAATTTGTTTAAGTTCCTTATTGATGCTGGATATTAGACCTTTGTTGGATACAGAGCTTGCAGAAATTTTCTCATATTCTGTAGGTTGTCTGTTTACTCTGTTGATAACTTTTGCTGTGCAGAAACTTATTAGCTTAGTTAGGTTTCATTTATCAATTTTTGCTTTTGTAGCAATTGCTTTTGGCATCTTCATCATGAAATCTTTTCCTGTGCCTATGTCCTGAATGGTATTGTGTAGGTTGTCTTCCAGGGTTTTCATAGTTTTGGGTTTTACATTTAAGTTTTTAACCCATCTCGAGTTAATTTTTGTTTATGGTATAAAGAAGGGGTTCAGTTTTAATCTGCAGATGGCTAGCCAGTTATCCCAGCACCATTTATTGAATAGGAAATCTTTTACCCATTGCTTGATTTTGTCAGGTTTGTTGAAGTTCGGATAGTTGTAGGTGTTTAGTCTTATTTCTGGGTTCTCTATTCTGTTTCACTGGTCTATGTGACTGTTTTTGTACCAGTACCATGCTGTTTTGGTTACAGTAGCCCTGTACTATAGCTTGAAGTTAAGTAGCATGATGCCTCCAGCTTTGTTCTGTTTGCTTATGATTGCCTTGGCTATTCAGGATATTTCTTGGTTCCATATGAAATTTTAAAGTAGTTTTATTATAGTTTTTTGAAGAATGTCATTGATATTTTGATAGCAATAGCGTTGAATCTATAAATTGCTTTGGGCAGTATGGCCCTTTTAACGATATTGATACTTGTATCCATAAGCGTGGAATGTTTTTCCATTTGCTTATGATATCTCTGATTTCTTTGAACAGTGGTTTGTAGTTCTTGTAGAGATCTTTCATGTCCCTAGTTAGTTGTATTTCTAGGTATTTTACTCTTTTTGTGGTAATTGTGAATGGGAGTTCATTCCTGATTTTGCCCTCAGCTTAACTATTGTTGGTGTATAGGAATGCTAGTGATTTTTGCACATTGGTTTTGTATTCTGAGACTTTGCTGAAGTGTTTTATCATTTGAAGAAGATTTTGGGCTGAGACTATGGGGTTTTCTAAATATAGGATTATGTCATCTGCAAACAAGAATACTTTGACTTCCTCTCTTCCTATTTGGATGCCCTTTATTTATTTCTCTGGCCTGATTGCCCTAGCCAGAACTTCCAACACTATGTTGAATAAGAGGGGTAAGAGAGGGCATCCTTATCTTGTGCTGGTTTTCAAGGGGAATGCTTCCAGCTTTTGCCCATTCAGTATGATGTTTGCTGTGGGTTTGTCATGTATGGCTCTTGTTATTTTGAGGTATGTTCCTTCAACGCCTAGTTTATTGAGGGTTTTTAATATGAATGGATATTGAATTTTATTGAAAGCTTTTTCTCCATCTACTGAGATAGTCATGTGGGTTTAGTCTTTAGTTCTATTTATGTGATGAATCCCACTTATTAATTTGCATATGTTGAACCAACCTTGTATTCCAAAGAAAAAGCCTACTTGATTTTGGTAGATTAGCTTTTTGATGGAGCATTTTTTTGTATCCCTGCTTGCCATTTGTATGTCTTCTTTTGAAAAATGCCTATTCAGTTCTTTTATCCATTTTTAATTGGATTATTAGATTTATTTCCTATAGAGCTGTTTGAGCTCCTAATATATTCTGGTTATTAATCCCCTGTCTGATGGGTAGTTTGCAAATATCTTCTTCCATTCTGTCAGTTGTCTCTTCACTTTGTTGATTGTATCCTTTGCTGTGCAGATGCTTTTTACCTTGATGTGATCTGTTTTGTCAATTTTTGCTATGGTTGCCTGTGCTTGTGGGCTATTACCCAATAAATTTTTGCCCAGACCAATGTCCTGGAGAGTTTCCCCAATGTTTTCTTGTAATAGTTTCATAGTTTGAGGTCTTAAATTTAATTCTGTAATCCATTTTGATTTGAGTTTTTTATATGGCAAGAGATGGGGGCAGGGTTCATTCTTATGCATATGGATATCCAGTTTTCCCAGCACAATTCATTGAAGAGACTATACTTTTTCCAATGTATGTTCTTGGCACTTTTGTAAAAAATGAGTTCACTGTAGATGTGTGGATTTGGTTCTGGGTTCTCTATTCTGTTCCGTTGGCCTATATGTCTGTTTTTATGCCAGCCTCATGTTGTTTTTGTTACTATAGCTGTATGGTATAATTTAAAATGAGGTAATGTGATTTCTCCAGTTTCATTCTTTTTGCTCAATAAAGCTTTGGCTATCCTGGGTCTTTTGTGGTTCTGTATACATTTCAGGATTGTTTTTCTATTTCTGTGAAAAACGTCATTTTTTTTGACTAATGAAGTTATTCTGTCTTAAAATCTTTTTAAATTTTTAGTTTTTACTTTTATTGGATACATAGTAGGTGTATATATTTATGAGGTACATGAGATGTTTTGATACAGGCATGCAATGCATAAAAATTACATCATGAAAGATGGGGTATTCATCCCCTCAATCATTTATTCTCTGTGTTACAATCAATTGAATTCTACTCCTTTAATTATTTTAAAATGTGCAATTAAATTATTATTGACTATAGTCACTCTGTTGTGCTATCAAATACTAGGCCTTGTTCATTTATTCTAACTATTTTTTGTACCTACTAATAATCTTCACCTCCCCCTCATCTCCCCTGCAATACCTTTCCCAGCCTTTGTAGACATCCTTCTATTCTCTTTCTTGATGGTTTCAATTTTTTTGATTTTTAGATCCCCCAAATACGTCAGAACATGTGATGTTTGTCTTTCTGTGCCTGGCTTATTTCACTTAACGTAATGACACCTAGTTCCATCCATGTTGTTGCAAGTGATAGAATCTCATTCTTTTTTCTGGCTGAATAGTACTCCATTGTGTATAAGTACCACGTTTTCTTTATCCATTCATATGTTGATGCACATTTAGGTTGCTTCCAAATCTTAGCTATTGTGAACAGTGCTGCAACAAGCATAAGAATGCAGATATCTCTTCAATATACTGAATTTCTTCATTTTAGGTGTATACCCACTGGTGGAATTGCTGGATTGTGTGGTAGCTCTATTTTTAGTTTTTTGAGGAACCTCCAAACTCTTCTCCATAATGGTTGGACTAATTTACATTCCAACCAACAATGTATGAGGGTTCCCTTTCCTCCACATCCTCTCCAGCATTTGTTATTGCCTGACATTTGGATAAAAGCCATTTTAACTGGGGTAAGATGATATCTCATTGTAGTTTTGATTTGTATTTTTCTGATGATCAGTGATGTTGAACACCTATTCATATGCCTGTTTGCAATTTGTATGTCTTCTTTTGAGAAATGTCTATTCAAATCTTTTGCCTACTTTTTAATCAGATTATTAGTTTTCTTTCCTATAGAGTTGTTTGAGATCTTTATATATTCTGGTTATTAAGCCTTTGTCAGATGAGTAGTTTGCAAATATTTTCTTCTGTTCTGTGGATTGCCTCTTCACTTTGTTGATTGCTTCCTTTGTTGTGCTAAAACTTTTTAACTTGATATGATCCCATTTGTCCATTTTTGCGTTGGTTGCCTGTGTTTGTGGGGTATTACTCAAGAAATTTTTGCCCAGACTGATGTCCTGGAGAGCTTCCCCAGTGTTTTTTGTAGTAGTTTTATATTTTGAGATCTTAGATTTAATTCTTTATTTTGATTTGATTTTTGTATATGACAAGAGACAGGAGTCTAGTTTTATTCTGCTGCATATGGATATTAAGTATTTCCAGTACCATTTATTGGCGCCTTTGTCGAAAATGAGTTCACTGTAGGTGAGCGGATTTGTTTCTGTGTTCTCTATTCCGTTCCATTGGTCTAAGTCTCTGTTTTTATGCCAGTAACATGCTTTTTTGGTTACAATCACTCTGTAGTATAATTTGAAATCAAGTAATGTAATTCCTCCAGTTTTATTCTTCTTGTGTATGATAGCCTTGGCTATTCTGGGACTTTTGTGGTTTCATGTAAATTTCAGGATTGTTTTTTCTATTTCTGTGAAATTGGCATTTTCATAGGGATTGCATTGCATCTATAGATTGCTTTGGGTGGTATGGATATTTTAACAATATTAAATCTTGCAATCCATGAACATGGAATATCTTTCAAATTTTTGTGTGTTCTTCAATTTCTTTCATCAGTGTTTTATAGCTTTCATTGTAGAGATCTTTCGTTTCTTTGATTAAGTTAATTCCTAGGTATTTAATTTTATTTGTGGCTATTATAAAAGGGATAAATTTTACTTATCTTAAAAAATTTACTTTACTTAAAAAATTTCTTTTTCATATTGCTAACTGTTGGCATATAGAAATGCTACTGATTTTTGTATGTTGATCTTGTATCCTGCAGCTTTACTGAATTTGTTTATCCGTTCTAAATGTTTTTTTCGGTAGAGTCTTTAGGTTCTCCAAATATAAAATCATATCATCTGCAAACAAGCATGATTTGGCTTCTTCCTTTCCAATTTGGAAGCCCTTTATTTCTTTCTCTTGTTTTATTGCTTTAGCTAGGACTTCTATTGCTATGTTGAATAACAGTGGTAAAAATGGGCATTCTTTTTGCATTCCAGATATTAGAGGAAAGGCTTTCAGTTTTTCCCCATTCAGTATGATACCAACTGTCGGTCTTTAGTATATGGCTTTTATTATGTTGAGATATGTCCCTCAACATCCTTGTGCACTGTTGTTTGGAATGTAAATTAGTCCAACCACTATGGAGAAGAGTTTGGAGGTTCCTCAAAAAAATAAAATAGAGCTACCATATAATCCAGCAATTCCACCACTGCGTATATACCTAAAAGAAAGTTTTGTGAGGGTCTTTATCATGAAGGGATGTTGAATTTTATCAAATGCTTTTTCAGCATTGATTGAAATGAACATATGGTTGCTACCCTTCATTCTCTTTATATGATTTATCACATTGATTGATTTGCATGTGTTAAACCACCCTTGCATCCCTGGGATAAATTCCACTTGGTTATGATGAATAATCTTTTTAATGTATTGTTGAATTCAGTTTACTACTGTTTTGTTGAGGGTTTTTGCATCAATATTCACCAGAGATATTGGCCTGTAGTTTTCTTTTATTTTAATGTGCCTGTGTCCAAGACAATTCTTATGCCAGGATCAGTGCCAGTGCTCTGCCCATGTCTACTCAGGATTCATCTCTATAAGTTGGAAGTATGATTATTTTCTTTATTGTCAAGGAAGGAGACTCAGCCTGCTGGCAGGGCAAGCCAGAAGGGGTACAGAGTGAAAACCCTTGGAAACTGCCCCCAAACAATGACAAATTGGGAGTCAGTGGATATATACTGCACCTTCTTGTCCCTCGGTTGGCATAACTCTGAAGAGTATTCTACACTGTTTCCCAAAGTTTTCCAGATGGAGCGAGCTGCAATTGCACACAGTGGTAACTTGTTTGATACTTCAAACTTTATTGACTTTCTTCCCTTTGCTGTCTCAGATGCCCACTTTCCCATGAATGCTTACTGGGATCACTTTCCACAAAACTAATTGCCCTGGAATTCTCATTTCAGGGTCTGCTTTGGTGAGCAGAACTCATATCAAGATAAAAGAATAACTTGTGCTGGAAAATGCTTAGAAACTATTTAACTGATATATGAAAATAAAATATCCATTTCTCTCTCCAAACTCTTTATCTTCCTGTAAAATACAACTGGAGCAGAGCTCTCTCTACGTATTGTTTTTTTCATTGTTCTTTTCCCCTGTTTCTTGCTCTCTCATTCCTCAATAGCAAATAAGGCAAGACTTGCAAGATTCCAGGCAGCTAAGCAGAGTTTCCTGGGTGACAGCCTTCTAGTTTTTCATGTCTACTTCCATTTTCTGGGTGACAGGCTTCTAGTTTTTCATGTCTACTTCCATTTTCCTTGTGGAAGATGCAGAAAAGTTCATTATGTCACTTGGGTCAAATATTATTATGCACAAGCCCACCTTTATGCTTAAGTGCATTTGAGGCTCTCCTAGACAAGAACACTGAGATCCAGATATATTTTGGTGAGCAGGTACTTTGTCACCATTACACTTACAGTTTTCCCTCAAACACTTAGCTGATTCTGGCACAAAACTCACCTTGGAATTTGGCCTAAATTTCATAAGATTTATTGCTTCTTCAAATTGACCCACAAGTTAAGTGAGGGTTATTTTCGATACTAGGTTATTTAGGTAATAAAATGAAGCATTTTGTAATGATGTAGGCATTAGTAATTATTTACATATGTAATCCAAATACACACAGTCTTGCTCTTCCCAGCTCACATGATAGAAGCACAGTCCTTAAATCTTGGGCTCCCTTGGCAAGATATTTTTTCTGTCATAAGACATAGACATTGAAAACACAGCATAACATTCATATTTTTCACTTTTGTTCCATTCATTTTCAAAGAATCAATTCTAAATGTATTCCAGTGCATGAAGAAAGGGGGATTAACAATGATTCCATTGTGCAGCTTCACTAATCTTGTGAAGTTTTCAGCTGTTTAGAAGCTGTAGCAATTTACCCTATATTAATAGAGTCAGGGGGTTCAGCTGTGTCAGTGTATCAAGGGGTGTTATGTTTCTCCTAAGGCGGTCATATGGAAGAAAGGGAGTACAGATCTATTTTATCTTGGGCTCATAGGTCTGAGAAGAAAATAACTTGACCAAATTTGGCTTTCTTTTTATTAGGCTTGTGACTTGCTACCTTTCATATTCCCTGGTATGTTCCAGTAGATTTCATTGATTAAAGTCAGGAATTCTCAGTGCTGGGAAGGGCTTTGGATGAGAAAGTGCCTCATGTCCTTCTGAGAAGACAGTATGTGGAAACTCAGAGATTTCACTAGTTATTTATATAGGTTTTGTGAGCATCTAGAACTCTGCATTTATGAGTCAACTCCCACTCCTTTAATTTACCCAGTCTGGAAGGATTAAAGAAAGGAAAACCATTGCTCCCTTTTCTTCACTTTACTTCAAAGCTGAAGATAAATGATCAATCAAATTTTTTTAGTTAATCAGTAACTTCTACTTATTTCTAATTCTACAGTGTACTTGTTTCAGTGTGGAATGTTGAAAAAAAGAAAAATTAGTTGATGTTTTGTAGAAGTCTGAGAATGCTTTTGAAAACAAATTGAAAAAGCAATCTTTTAACAATGAAGGAAAAAATATTACTGGAAAATACAAAAAAATTGCAGAATTTCAGTAACTTAGCATTGAAAGTAAACCTAGAAGTCACCCAACTCAATGTCTTAGCCCACGCAGGAATCTTCTCTTAGCATTCCGTTTGTGTACTTTCAGTGATGGCACCTTTACCACCTCCTCAAAGTAGCCCACTCCATTTCTGGATAGCTGTAACAGGGAATTCTTCCTTATATTGAGTCATTTTCACATTAATGCACATGAAAATGATAGAAAAACAATCAAGTAAGCCATTTGCTAACATAAGATTCCAAGGCACTGTCTTTATGATGAGCAACTCGTGTTAAACCAATTTAATTTCCTTTTGTGACAGAACTGCAGGTCTTGAATAAAGAGGAGAGCAATCAATGTAGGATACATCTGGACTTCACTACAGTTTTGTGGATCTGCAAGGCATTTCCATTGGTGATCCAAGGAGATCAGGCCTGGACTGTACCATTACATGAGTTGTACTCCAAGGGCACTAAACAATGCTTTGGGAGAAACCTGGGACAACATGTTCCAGAGATCACATAGTTTTGTCCCAGAGCTTTTCATTTTTTTTCCTACAAGGTCTAGAATGAGAAAAATGTATACATTCCTACTAAATTTGTGGATGACACCACATTGGGAAATGGAGCTGGAGGGTGGGGAAATTAAAAGCTGAAAATTTCTTGTGAGACAAGAGCAGAATCCAAGGTGACCCTGACCAATTAGAAAAATGATCTGTCAAAAAAAGCTGACATTTGATGTTCAACAGGGACAGTGCTGGGCAATCCATATGCTCCCCAAATCCAAACCACATGAATACCTGCTGAGGAATGGCTGGTGAAACCATCACTCTGAGTCACACCTTGAGTAAATGGAAACAATACAGAACCATTGTTTAAAAGGCTGGCATAGGCCTGGGTTTTGTGAACAGGGCGCTATTAATGTACAAAAGCCAGGACATAATTCTTCTCCTCTATATTCTGCATCAATGTAGACTTTATTACTCAGGCATTCAGCATGTTGGTCTGCATATAAAATATGGAAGTAGAAAAACTGGAGAAATTATCAAGGTAAAAGGAGTAAAAAGCAGTCTTCCTGGAGAATATGTGAAAAAAGCTGAAATGACTACATTCATTAGAAGATTCAGTGTGGACTCCTTACTTGCCTTCCTTTCATCTGATTTCTCCACATCCGCCTAATTATAATAAATCTTTTCCACATTGCTTGTGAAGTTCTATCTAAAGCTGTTGTTGTCCAGTCCTGTTCATCAAGATATTCCATATTTGGCTTAAACTGCTTCTTAAGTTTGGTCACATGCCATGTAGATAAGCCAGATTGGCAGCAAACATTTAGTGCTAAGTGACATGCTTTGGCCATAACGCTATCATAGCAATCATCACATTGATAACTAATCTATCCTGGCATACATACATACATGAGGTACCTTATCACTATATGTTGTATGAAGGAATGGGAGAAGGGATTTACCTAATTGGTTATTATTTTTTTTTAATCTGGACTTCTTTCTGTCAAAGTGAAGTTAATATAAGAATGTTGTGAGGAAGTGTACAATTAATTATGAGCCAAAAGTTGCCCAAGACATTGGGAGGAATCTCTGGAAGGGCACTTAGAATGAAGTAAGGGAAATGTAAGTCAATGGCAGCATTATTGGTGTCTCTAAGCAGTGACATGCTAATATGATGTAAAATGGTTATTTGTTTTTGTAATAACTCTCTTTAGTTAACCTGTCTAAATGTGTCTAAAGCATCTTGCATGGTACCTGGTACACACTAGACGCCAGATACATACTAGTTATCATTCTGTGAATTTTTGAATATTTCTTAATTTAAGCCAATTATACCTGTATTGATTTCCCTGACTTAGCACTGGCATTTCATGCTGTGCTTTTAACTCTCTGAAAACATACTGTAAGAGCTTACTCAACTCTTCTCCAAAGAGAAGAATTTAATGACTATCCAGTTAAGCCATTCTTGCACTGCTATAAAGAAATAGCTGAGGGATCATTCCAAGATGGCCAAATAGGAACAGCTCTGGTCTGTAGCTCCCAGCGGGATCAACGCAGAAGACGGGTGATCTCTGCATTTCCAACTGAGGTACCTGGTTCATCTCACTGGGACTGGTTGGAGAGTGGGTGCAGCCCACAGAGGGTGAGCTGAAGCAGGGCGGGGCATTGCCTAACCCGGGAAGCACAAGGGGTCAGGGGATTTCCTTTTCCTAGCCAAGAGAAGCTGTGAAAGATGGTTCCTGGAAAATTGGGACACTCCTGCCCTAATACTGCACTTTTCCAATGGTCTTAGCAAATGGCACACCAGGAGATTATATCCCATGCCTGGCTCAGTGGGTCCCATGCCCACAGAGCCTTGCTCATTGCTAACGCAGCAGTCTGATACTGAACTGCTAAGCAGCAGCCTGGGCTGGGGGAGGGGCATCTGTCATTGCTAAGGTTTGAGTAGGTAAACAAAGTGGCCGGGAAGCTCGAACTGCAGGGACCCCACCACAGCTCAATGAGGCCAGCCTGCCTCTGTAGGCTTCACCTCTTGGGGCAGGGCATAGCTGAACAAAAGGCAGCAGAAACTTCTGCAGATTTTAACGTCCCTGTCTGACAGCTCTGAAGGAGCAGTGGTTCTCCCAGCATGGAGTTTGAGCTCTGAGAACGGACAGACTGCCTCCTCAAGTGGGTCCCTGACCCCTGTGTAGCCTAACTGGGAGACACCTCCCAGTAGGGGCCAACTGACATCTCATACAGCCGGGTGCCCCTCTGGGATGAAGCTTCCAGTGGAAGGATCAGGTGGCAATATTTGCTGTTCTGCAACCTCCCCTGGTGATACCCAGGCAAACGGGGTCTGGAGTGGACCTCCAGCAAACTCCAACAGACCTGCAGCTGAGGGTTCTGGCTGTTAGAAGGAAAACTATCAAACAGAAAGGAATAGCATCAACATCAACAAAAAGGACATCCACACCAAAACCCCATCTGTAGGTCACCATCATCAAAGACCAAATGTAGATAAAACCACAAAGATGGGGAGAAACCAGAGCAGAAAAGCTGAAAATTCTAAAAACCAGAGCGCCTCTTCTCCTCCAAAAAATCCCAGATCCTTGCCAGCAACAGAACAAAGCTAGATGGAGAATGACTTTGACGAGTTGACAAAAGTAGGCTTCAGAAGGTCGGTAATAACAAACTTCTCTGAGCTAAAGGAGAATTTTCGAACTCATCACAAGGAAGCTAAAAACCTTGAAAAAAGAGTAGACGAATGGCTAACTAGAATAAAAAGCATAGAGAAGACCTTAAATGACCTGATGGAGCTGAAAACCATGGCACGAGAACTACATGATGCATGCACAGGTTTCAGTAGCTGATTTGATCAAGTGGAAGAAAGGGTATCAGTTATTGAAGATCGAATGAATGAAATGAAGTGAGAAGAGAAGTTTAGAGAAAAAAGAGTAAAAAGAAATGAACAAAGCCAACAAGAAATATGGGACTATGTGAAAAGACCAAATCTACGTCTGATTGGTGTACTTGAAAGTGACAGGGAGAATGGAACCAAGTTGGAAAACACTCTTCAGGATATTATCCAGGAGAACTTCCCCAACCTAGCAAGGCAGACCAACATTCAAATTCAGGAAATACAGAAAACACTACAAAGATACTCCTCGAGAAGAGTAACCCCAAGACACATAATTGTCATATTCACCAAGTTGAAATGAAGGAAAAAATGTTAAGGGCAGCCAGAGAGAAAGGTTGGGTTACCCACAAAGGGAAGCTCATCAGACTAACAGCAGATCTCTCGGCAGAAACCCTACAAGCCAGAAGAGAGTGGGGGCCAATATTCAACATTCTTAAAGGAAAGAATGTTCAACCCAGAAGTTCATATCCAGCCAAACTAAGCTTTGTAAGTAAAGGAGAAATAAAATCCTTTACAGACAAACAAATGCTGAGAGATTTTGTCACCACTAGGCCTGCCTTACAAGAGCTCTTGAAGGAAGCACTAAACATGGAAAGGAAAAACAGGTACCAGCCAGTGTGAAAACATGCCAAATTGTAAAGACCATCAATGTCAGGAAGAAAGTGCATCAACTAATGAACAAAATAACCAGCTAAAATCATAATGACAGGATCAAATTCACACATAACAATATTAATCTTAAATGTAAATGGGCTAAATGCACCAATTAAAAGACACAGACTGGCCAACTGGATAAAGAGTCAAGACACATCAGTGTGCTGTATTCAGGAGACCCATCTCACATGCAGAGACACACATAGACTCAAAATAAAGGGATGGAAGAAGATCTACCAAGCAAATGGAAAACAAAAAAAAAAAAATGCAGGGGTTGCAATCCCAGTCTCTGATAAAACAGACTTTAAACTAACAAATATCAAAAGAGACAAAGAAGGCCATTACATAATGGTAAAGGCATCAATTCAACAAGAAGAGCTAACTATCCTAAATATATATGTACCCAATACAGGGCACCCAGATTCATAAGGCAAGTCCTTAGAGACCTACAAAGAGATTTAGACTCCCATACAATAATAATGGGAGACTTTAACAACCCACTGTCAATATTAGATCAATGAGACAGAAGTTTAACAAGGACATCTAGGACTTGAACTCAGCTCTGCACCAAGCAGACCTAATAGACATCTACAGAACTCTCCACCCCAAATCAAAAGAATATACATTCTTCTCAGCACCACATCACACTTCTTCCAAAATTGACCACGTAGTTGGAAGTAAAGCACTCCTCAGCAAATGTAAAAGAACAGAAATCACAACAAACTGTCTCTTAGACCACAGTGCAATCAAATTAGAACTCAGGATTAAAAAACTCACTCAAAAACACACAACTACATGGAAACTGAGCAACCTGCTCCTCAGTGACTACTGGGTAAATAACGAAATGAAGGCAGAAATAAAGATGTTCTTTGAAACCAATGAGAACAAAGATTGAACATATCAGAATCTCTGGGACACATTTAAAGCAGTGTGTAGGGGGAATTTATAGCACTAAATGCCCACAAGAGAAAGGAAGAAAGATCTAAAATCGAAACCCTAACATCACAATTAAAAGAACTAGAGAAGCAAGAGCAAACACATTCAAAAGCTAGCAGGAGGCAAGAAATAACTAAGATAAGAGCAGAACTGAAGGAGATAGAGACACAAAAAACCCTTCAAAAAATCAATGAATCCAGGAGCTGGTTTTTTGAAAAGATCAACAAAAGTGATAGACCACTAGCAAGACTAATAAAGAAGAAAAGAGAGAAGAATCAAATAGTCGCAATAAAAAATGACAAAGGGGATATCACCACCAGTCCCACAGAAATGCAAGCTACCATCAGAGAATACTATAAACACCTTTATGCAAATAAACTAGAAAATCTAGAAGAAATGGATAAATTCCTGGACACACACACCCTCCCAAAACTAAACCAGGAAGAAGTTGAATCTCTTAATAGACCAATAACAGACTCTGAAATGGAGGCAATAACTAATAGCCTACCAACAAAAAAAAGTTGAGGATCAGACAGATTCACAACTGAATTCTACCAGATGTACAAAGAGGAGCTGGTACCATTCCTTCTGAAACTATTCCAATCAATAGAACAAGAGGGAATCCTCCCTAATTCATTTTATGAGGCCAGCGTCATCCTGATACCAAAGCCTGGCAGAGACACAACAAAAAAGGAGAATTTTAGACCAATATCCCTGATGAACATCGATGCAAAAATCCTCAGTAAAATACTGGCAAACTGAATCCAGCAGCACATCAAAAAGCTTATCCACCACGATCAAGTTGGCTTCATCCCTGGGATGCAAGGCTGGTTCAACATACGCAAATCAATAAACGTAATCCATCACATAAACGGAACCAAAGGCAAAAACCACATGATTATCTCAATAGATGCAGGAAAGGCCTTTGACAAAATTCAACAGCCCTTCATGCTAAAAACTCTCAATAAACTAGGTATCAATGGGACGTATTTCAAAATAATAAGAGCTATTTATGACAAACCCACAGCCAATATCATGCTGAATGGACAAAAACTGGAAACATTCCCTTTGAAAACTGGCACAAGACAAGGATGCCCTCTCTCACCACTTCTATTCAACATAGTATTGGAAGTTCTGGCCAGGGCAATCAGGCAGGAGAAAGAAATAAAGGGTGTTCAATTAGGAAAAAAGGAAGTCAAATTGTCCTTGTTTGCAGATGACGTGACTGTATATTTAGAAAACCCCATCATCTCATCCCCAAATCTCCTTAAGCTGATAAGCAACCTCAGCAAAGTCTCAGGATACAAAATCAATGTGCAAAAATCACAAGCATTCCTATAGAGCAAGGACAGACAAACAGAGAGCCAAATCATGAGTGAACTCCTATTCATAATTGTTTCAAAGAGAGTAAAATACCTAGGAATCCAACTTACAAGGGATGTGAAGGACCTCTTCAAGGAGAACTACAAACCCCTGCTCAAAGAAATAAATGAGGATATAAACAAATAGAATTACATTCCATGCTCATGGATAGGAAGAATCAATATTGTGAAAATGGCCACACTGCCCAAGGTAATTTATAGATTCAATGCCATGCCCATCAAGCTACCAATGACTTTCTTCACAGAATTGGAAAAAACTACTTTAAAGTTCATATGGAACCAAAAAAGAGCCCGCATGGCCAAGACAATCCTAAGCCAAAAGAACAAAGCTGGAGACATCATGCTACCTGACTTCAAACTATACTACAAGGCTACAGTAAAGAAAACAGCACAGTACTGGTAACAAAACAGAGGTAGAGACCAATGGAACAGAACAGAGCCCTCAGAAATAATACCACATATCTACAACCATCTGATGTTTGACAAGCCTGACAAAAACAAGCAATGGGGAAAGGATTCCCTATTTAATAAATGGTGCTGGGAAAACTGGCTAGCTATATGTAGAAAGCTGAAACTGCATCCCTTCCTTCCACCTTATACAAAAATTAATTCAAGATAGATTAAAGACTTAAATCTTAGATGTAAAACCATAAAAACCCTAGAAGAAAACCGAGGCAATACCATTCAGGACACAGGCATGGGAAAGGACTTTATGACTAAAACACCAAAAGCAATGGCAACAAAATCCAAAATAGACAAATGGGATCTAATTAAACTAAAGAGCTTCTGCGCAGCAAAAGAAAGTACCATCAGAGTGAACAGGCAACCTACAGAATGGGTGAAAATTTTTGCAATCTACCCATCTGACAAAGGGCTAATATCCAGAATCTACAAAGAACTTAAACAAATTTACAAGAAAAAAACCAAACAACTCCATCAAAAAGTGGGCAAAGGATATGAACAGACGCTTTTCAAAAGAAGACATTTATGCAGCCAACAGACACATGTAAAAATGCTCATCATCACTGGTCATCAGAGAAATGCAAATCCAAACCACAATGAGATACTATCTCACACCAGTTAGAATGGCGATCATTAAAAAGTTAAGAAAAAACAGGTGCTGGAGAGGATTTGGAGAAATAGGAATGCTTTTACACTGTTGATGGGAGTGTAAACTAGTTCAACCATTGTGGAAGACAGTGTGGCAATTCCTCAAGGATCTAGAACTAGAAATACCATTTGACCCAGAGATCCCATTACTGGGTATATGCCCAAAGGATTATAAATCATGCTACTATAAAGACACATGCACACATATGTTTATTGCGGCACTATTCACAATAGCAAAGACTTAGAACCAACCCAAATGTCCATCAATGATAGACTGGATTAAGAAAATGTGGCACATATACACCATGGAATACTATGCAGCCATAAAAAAGGATGAGTTCATGTGCTTTATAGGGACATGGATGCAGCTGGAAACCTTCATTCTGAGCAAACCATCACAAGGACAGAAAACCAAACACCACATGTTCTCACTCATAGGTGGGAATTGAACAATGAGAACACTTGGACACAGAGCAGGGAACATCACACACCAGGGCCTGTCGTGGGGTGAGGGGAGTGGGGAGGGATAGCATTAAGAGAAATACCTAATGTAAATGACTAGTTAATGGGTGCAGCACACCAACATGGCCCATGTATACATGTGTAACAAACCTGCATGTTGTGCACATGTACCCTAGAACTTAAAGTATAATAGTAATAATAATAATAATAATAAAGAAATAGCTGAGACTGGGTAATGTATTTTAAAAAAGAGGTTTAATTGGCTCATGGTTCTGCAGGGTGTACAGTTAGCATAGTGGCATCTCTTTCTGGGGAGTCCTCAGGAAGCTTACAATTATGGCAGAAAGCAAAGGGGGAGCAGGCACATAAAGATGACCAGAGCGAGGAGAGTGAGGGGAGAGGTGCCACACACTTTGAAACAGCCAAATCTCAGGAGAACTCACTCACTATTGTGAGGGCAGCACCAAGGGGATGGTGCTACACCATTCACAAGAAATTTAACTCCATGATCCAGTCACCTCCCACCAGGCCCCACCTCCAACATTGGGGATTACAGTACAACAGGAGATTTGGGCAGGGACACAGATCCAAATTATATCAATTTAACCCTTGAGAACTGTTCAACTTGAAAATCTATTGAGACTAAGATTCCCTGAGCCAACTTCAGGGAACCTCATCATTAATCTTTCTCAAACAATGGAAGTCAATACCTTCTTCACATTTCTAATATTAGAAGATACTAGAACTTTTGCATATAGTAGTAATCTTTAACTAAAGAACTTCCTGATATTTTTATAACTATCTTGGGTGGCTGTGATAACAGTACTCATTCAAGGTAAGGCTTTCTATTGATGACAACAATGTAAATCAGTAAGTGATATTTTTAGTTGAAATTTTTAAAAAGACTGTATGTTTAGTAATGTAAATTTCAAGTAGATTGAGTCCCATAGTTTTGTTGACAATTGTGTGAAGTTGTTTAATTGTGCATGCAAATAAGTATGAGCAGATGATTGCAGATGTAAATGGCCAATCAGTAAGAAAGATTCATTTCCTCTACCACCACATCCTCCCAGATCTGGGAGGCTGGGTGAAATTTGGCTCAGTTTATTTCCAGAAAAAGGAAAGTTCCTTGATCAGTGGTGGAATTATGCTCTGCCAATAAAGCTCCAGATGAGAAATCAGAAGAGGGGATTTCTGTTTTCGATACGTCACTTCTTCATTCTGATACAAGAACAAAATCTTCAGATACCCTGCATTTTCAAATATTTGCAATTGATCACTATCCCTGGAGAGTTCTGAGCAGAATGAGTATGACATTTAAAAACTTCATCAAAAGAAATCACAGTGTACCTTCTCGAAAAGAAACTTTTTTATTTTTGATCATTTCAACTTGTATTTTACATTCAGGGAGCACATGTATAGGTTTGTTACATGGGTATAGTGTGTGATGCTGAAGTTTGAGCTATGAATGATCCCATCACCGAGGTAGTGATCATAGTACCCAACAGTTAGTTTTTCAACCCTTGACTCCCTGACTGCCACCCCTTCAAGTAGTCCCTAGTGTCTGTTGTTACGATCTTTATGTCTGCAAATACCTAATATTTAGCCTTCACTTGTAAGTGAGAATATGCGGTATTTGGTTTTCTGTTCCTGTGTTAATTCGCTTAGGATGATGGCCTCTAGCAGCATCCATGTTGCTGCAAAGGACATGATCTCATCCTCTCTCTTTTTTTTTTTTTTTTTTGACAGAGTCTTGCTCTGTCATCTAGGCTGGAGTGCAGTGGTATGATCTTGGCTCACTGCAACCTCTGCCTCTCGGGTTCAAGCAATTCTCCTGCCTCAGCCTCCCGACTAGCTGGGATTACAGGCATGGACCACCATGCCAGGCTAATTTTTGTATTTTTAGTAGAGACAGGGTTTCACCGTGTTGGCCAGGCTGGTCTCGAACTCCTGACCTCATGATTTCTTCGTCTTGGCCTCCCAAAGTGCTGGGATCACAGGCATGAGCCACCGTGCCCAGCTGATCTCATTCTTTTTCAATGGCTTTGTAGTATTCCTTGGTGTATATGTACTATATTTTCTTTATGCAGTCTATCATTGATGGGCACCTGGGTTGATTCCACATTTTTGCTATTGTGAATAGTGCTGCAGTGAGCATACAAGTGCATGTCTCTCTTTTTGCACATTTTGCAATCAGTCTTTCAATGGAATGATTTATTTTCTTTATTTTATTTTATTATTATACTTTAAGTTTTAGGGTACATGTGCACAATGTGCAGGGTAGTTACATATGTATACATGTGCCATGCTGGTGTGCTGCACCCATTATTATACCCAGTAATAGGATTGCTGCATTGAGTGGTAGTTATTTTTTAAGTTCTCAAAAGAGACATTTTGAAATGGAATTCTGCTGTGCTATTCTTAGATTCTTAGGGTGACCACTCATCCAGGGTTCCTCTGCACTGTCGCAGATTTAGAACTGAAAATACTGCCTCCTGGGAAGCTCCTCAATCCTAGGCAAAGCAGGACAGTTGGTCATCCTGTGTGTTCATGAATGAACCTATTCCAGCTGACTTTCTCAAAGTGTGGTCCTGGCCACCTGCATCACGATCTCTTTTTTTTTTTTTTTTTTTTTAAAGCAGTTTCCCTGGTGATTCTTAGATACACTATAAAGTTCGGGACAGAATTTAACTCAAGAATGCCTTGGAAGTCTGTATATATGGTATGCTCTCATTATCTCTGAGTATTTGCATAAGTACTTTCCTCATATCTGACACCCTTTCTTTGACCGAGTCCTCCCTACTCCCAAGGCAGGATCTGGTGCCCCATCTTTGTGCTCCCATCCTACCCATCCCCACATCCCTTTATTATGGCACTCATTGCACTGGGTTATTTATGTAGCTGCTTTCCACACTTGACCTCCTTGAGGTTGGGGTCTTTCATTTCTATACATCTATAGAAGATACATAGTAGGCCCTGTAATTAATTTCAGGAACAAATTAATAAATGATTCATATCATCAATACTCACTTACAAAAATATTAAAGTACTAATATTGATCCTAAACTTCTACCGTTTACTCTTTTCCACTATTTGTGCCTCCTATCCTTTTCTAAAATTTATTACTGATAATTTGCATTTATTCTGTAGATATTCTTTGCTCTAATAACTTATTAAAGATTTTTAAAAGATAGCCTGTTAAAAGGATGTTTTTGAAATGTTTATTGTTGTATTGGTTCTAAATATTAAATAGGAAAAGTAACTTTGACTTGTGGCAGGAAAACAATCAGAGTCCCCCTTTTTGATGATTTGTGTGTGCTTATATTGGTTCCTACAACAATCTAGATTTGAGTTGGTGACAGCAGACCTCAAATAAAGTATACAGGGATGGAATCTCAGAGAAAGATTATATTAGCAGCAATTTCCAACTCTGGCAAAGTGCATAAATTCATGGGCTGGCAAGGAAAATTGTCTCCCTTGATTCTTTTGTGGTATAATGAGGACCTTCTACATATTTTTAAAATGAAATCATTAGAAGCTAGCAACAAAAATGGATCATTTATATTTTTATGAACTGATGTTTTAAATCATTTTTCCAAGTTGGAGAAGATTTTAATATTTTTGCAGCTTCAATTTTCAGTCTTCTCTGGAGTAGATGTGCTGTTCTCTGTGAATTAAAGGGAGGTATAGAAATGCAAATGTTGCAGATTATAAAATTGTACAAAAGGACTGCCTGCTAAATTGATTTCAAGGCTATATGGGACATTGTATGCTTAGACAAAAGAGAATTGGAAGTTAACAAAAAAAGAAGAGAGATTTAGGTAAAGAACTTAATGCAGAGAAGTGGGAATAGATATGTAGCTTAATAAAAATGGATTTGCATAGAACTCAGACATCAGATTATTCAATTTAATTATCTCCTATCCTTAGTAATTTTTACTGTCAAATTGCACCAATTATATAAAATATCATTCTTTATTTCAAATGTGGGACAGTGTGAGTGATAGTAATACAGAATAGAGTATAGAAGAAATCCATGGTATACATATTACATTAAGAGCACATTCAGTGTTGATGAGGGTATATATACTGATTTGAAAGTTCTACATATTCAGATCAATCCTGTGCTGTTAGAATTATTAAGATTATGCTGATAGAGAAGTATCACTTAAAAACTTGTCAGAGGTCTCATTTGAAGACAGAAGGTGAAAACATGGATTAAAAAGAAGAGTCATTAGTTTCAGGGAGTCCTGATAAGGTTTAGAAAGACAGTGAATATCAGTTTGTCTAGTATCTGGATGCTTTAGTTTTAAATTGTCCTCCCTCTTCCTTCTCCCTATCATCAGTGTTCTGGAAAGAGGTATTTTGTCCATTTGTACTCTCTCTTTTCATTTATAAATGGGAACCCAGTGTGGGTTCTAGACTTGAAGTATTTTGGAATGTGAGAGTAATCTTTTGAACTGAAGGCTGAAGACAAGTTATTTCTCCTGGCAGCAGATTAAACAACTAACTCAAACCCATCAGCTTGCCATTTGCCAAATGGAGAGTTCCTCATAAGAGAACACATATGTTTTGGAGGAAACCAACAACCTACATTAGAAAACATGACCCAAAGTTCATGCACTGATGGGAATCAGTAGCACCATCAGAAGCAATGATCATGATGAGCAGTTATCACATGAAAAGCACCACACTAGCTGGCACTACACAGGCAGAGGACACTGGAATGAATGAGACAACTGCCCTCAAAGGGGTTAACAACAATATATACAGGAAGACATCTTTCAGACTTTTATGATGGAGTGAGCTGAGTTTGAGGAGGGAAGAGAAGTATGAATTTATTGTGGAACTAACCTTCTGACATCCAAAGTGAAATATTGGTGGGGTGGTGTGCTCTAAGCATTGGCGTCATGATTATTCTAACTCCTCCCAATACCAGTATAAATTGGCTGTACACTGTGAAAAAATGATATCCTCAGATGCCTCTTAGTAATGTTGATAGTCGAGTCTCTTTGGAAAACTAGACAAACACAACCGGTGTTTGGTTGGGAGAGAGTCATAGTAAAGTTCCTCTCTGAAACAATGGAAATGTATTAGTAAGCCCGGGGACTATATATTTATTTTTCCATTTCAAGTGTAGGTTAATAGCCAAAAATCCAGAATTTTTTTTTTCTTTCAAATACTAACTTCCACACCCACGGATTTTTCTTGTGGTTTTTCATTCAGCTAGCCTCCCCATCTTCATGTTGTAGCCAGAAAATGTCACAGAGATTTGGACATATTTATTAGCTTATTAAACCAATATGACCACAGAGGCACATTTTCTAAGAACTTAGAAACTCCTGGAGTTGATTCCAAGATGGCCGAACAGGAACAGCTCTGGTCTACAGCTCCCACTGAAATCAACGCAGAAGATGGGTGATTTCTGCATTTCCAACTGAGGTACCTGGTCCATCTCACTGGGACGGTTTGGACAGTGGGTACAGCTTATGGAGGGCAAGCCAAAGCAGGGTGGTGTGTTGCCTCACCTGGGAAGCACAAGGGGTCAGGGGATTTCCCTTTCCTAGCCAAGGGAAGCCATGAGTGACTGTACCTGGAGGAACGGTTCTGCCCAAATACTGCACTTTTCCCACAGTCTTCACAACTGGCAGACCAGGAGATTCCCTCCTATGCCTAGATCAGCAGGTCCCACTCCCACGGAGCCTTGCTCGCTGCTAGCACAGCAGTCTGAGATCCACCTGGGATGCTGAAGCTTGGCAGGCAGATGGGCATCCACCATTGCTGAGGCTTGAGTAGGTGGTTCTATGCTCACAGTGTAAACAAAGTGGCAGGGAAGCTTGAACTGGGCGGAGCCCACCACAGTTCACCAAGGCCTACTGCCTCTCTAGATTCCACCTCTGGGGCAGGGCATAGCTGAACAAAAGGCAGCAGACAGCTTCTGCAGACTTAAACGACCCTGCCTGACAGCTCTGAAGAGAGCAGTCGTTCTCCCAGCATGGCATTTGAGCTCCAATAATGGACAGACTGCCTCGTCAACTGAGTACCTGACCCCTGTGTAGCCTGACTGGGAGACACCTCGCAGTAGGGGCCAACAGACACCTCATACAGGCAGGTGCCCCTCTGGGATGAAGCTTCCAAAGGAAGGATCAGGCAGCAATATTTGCTGTTCTGCAGCCTCCACTGGCGATACCCAGGCAAACAGGGTCTGGAGTGGACCTCCAGCAAACTCCAACAGACCTGCAGCTGAGGGGCCTGTCTGTTGAAAGAAAAACTAAGAAAGGAATAACATCAACATCAACAAAAAAAAAAATCCACACCAAAACTCCATCCATAGTTCACCAACATCAAAGACCAAAGGTAAGTAAAACAACAAAGATGGGGAGAAACCAGAGCAGAAAGACTGAAAATTCCAAAAACTGGAATGCCTATTCTCCTCCAAAGGAACACAACTCCTTGCCAGCAAGGGAAAAAAACCGGATGGAGAATGAGTTTGAACAGTTGACAGAAGTAGGCTCCAGAAGGTCGGTAATAACAAACTTCTCCAAACTAAAGGAGTGTGTTCTAACCCATTGCAAGGAAGCTAAAAACTTGAAAAAAGGTTAGACAAAAGGCTAACTAGAATAAACAGCTTAGAGAAGACCTTAAATGACCTGATGGAGCTGAAAACCACAGTACCAGAACTTCATGAAGCACACACAAGCTTCAACAGCCAATTTGATCAAGTGGAAGAAAGGGTATCAGTGATTGAAGATCAAATTAATAAAGTGAGATGACAAGATTAGAGAAAAAAAGTGAAAAGAAATGAACAAAGCATGCAAGAAATATGGGACTATGTGAAAAGACCATATCTACGTCTGATTGGTGTATCTGAAAGTGACGGGGAGAATGGAACCAAGTTAGAAAATACTCTTCAGGATATTATCCAGGAGAACTTCCCCAACCTAGCAAGGCAGGCCAACATTCAAATTCAGAAAATACAGATAACACCACAAATATACTCCTTGAGAAGAGCAACCCCAAGACACATAATTGCCAGATTCACCAAGGTTGAAATGAGGGAAAAAGTGTTAAGGGCAGCCAGAGAGAAAGGTCAGGTTACCCACCAAGGGAAGCCCATCAGACTAACAGCAGATCTCTCAGCAGAAACCTTACAAGCCAGAAGAGAGTGGGGGCCAATATTCAACATTCTTAAAGAAAAGAATTTTCAACCCAGAATTTCATATCCAGCCAAACTAAGCTTTGTAAGTGAAGGAGAAATAAAATCCTTTACAGACAAGCATATGCTGAGAGATTTTGTCACCACCAGGGCTGCCTTATAAGAGCTCCTGAAGGAAGCACTAAACACGGAAAGGAACAACCAGTACCAGCCACTGCAAAAACATGCCAAATTGTAAAGACCATTGACGTTATGAAGAAAGTGCATCAATTATCGGGTGAAATAACCAGCTAACATCATAATGACAGGATCAAATTCACACACAACAATATTAACCTTAAATGTAAATGGGCTAAATGCCCCAATTAAAGGACACAGACTGGCAAATTGGATAAAGAATCATGACCCATCAGTGTGCTGTATTCAGGAAACCCATCTCATGTGCAAAGACACACATAGGGTCAAAATAAAGGGATGGAGGAAGATCTACCAAGCAAATGGAAAACAAAAAAAGGCAGGGGTTGCAATCGTGGTCACTGATAAAACAGACTTTAAACCAACAAAGATCAAAAGAGACAAAGAAGGCTATTACATAATGGTAAAGGGATCAATTCAACAAGAAGAGCTAACTATCCTAAATATATATGCACCCAATACAGGAGCACCCAGATTCATAAAGCAAGTTCTTAGAGACCTACAAAGAGACTCAGCTTCCCACACAATAATAATGGGATATTTTAACACCCCACTGTCCATATTAGACAGATTAATGAGACAGAAAATTAACAAGGATATCCAGGACTTGAACTCAGCTCTGCACCAAGCAGACCTAATAGACATCTACAGAACTCTCCAACCCAAATCAACAGAATATACATTCTTCTCAGCACTACATCACACTTATTCTAAAATTGACCACATAATTGGAAGTAAAGCACTCTTCAGCAAATGTAAAAGGACAGAAATAACAACAAACTGTCTCTCAGTTTACAGTGCAATCAAATTAGAACTCAGGATTAAGAAACTCTCTCAAAACTGCACAGCTACATGGAAACTGAACAACCTGCTCCTGAATGACTACTGGGTATATAAAGAAATGAAGGCAGAAATAAAGATGTTCTTTGAAACCAACAAGAACAAAGACACAACATAGCAGAATGTCTGGGAGACATTTAGAGCAGTTTGTAGAGGGAAATCTATAGCACTAAATGCCCACAAGAGAAAGCAGGAGAGATCTAAAATCAAAACCATAACATCACAATTAAAAGAACTAGAGAAGCAAGAGCAAACACATTCAAAAACTAGCAGAAGACAAGAAATAACTCAATATCAGAGCAGAACTGAAGGAGATAGAGACACAAAAAACCCTTCAAAAAATCAATGAATCCAGGAGCTGGTTTTTTGAAAAGATCAACAGAATCGATAGACCGCTAGCAAGACTAATAAAGAAGAAAAGAGAGAAGAATCAAATAGATGCAATAAAAATGATAAAAGGGATACCACAACCGATCCCACAGAAATACAAACTACCATCAGAGAATACTATAAACACCTTTATGCAAATAAACTAGAAAATCTAGAAGAAATGGATAAATTCCTGGACACATATGCCCTCCCAAGTCTAAACCAAGAAGAAGTTGAATCTCTGAATAGACCAATAACAGGCTCTGAAAGGGAGGCAATAATTAATAGACTGTGGACCAAAAAAAGTCCAGGACCAGATGGATACACAGCCGAATTCTACCAGAGATACAAAGAGGAGTTGGTGCCATTCCTTCTGAAACTATTCCAATCAATAGAAAAAGAGAGAATGCTCCCTAACTCATTTTATGAGGCCAGCGTCATCCTGATACCAAAGCCTGGTAGAGACACATCAAAAAAAGAGAATTTTAGACCAATATCCCTGATGAACATAGATGCAAAAATCCTCAATAAAATACTGGCAAACTGAATCCAGCAGCACATCAAAAAGCTTATCCACCACGATCAAGTTGGCTTCATCCCTGGGATGCAAGGCTGGTTCAACATACGCAAATCAATAAACGTAATCCATCACATAAACGGAACCAAAGGCAAAAACCACATGATTATCTCAATAGATGCAGGAAAGGCCTTTGACAAAATTCAACAGCCCTTCATGCTAAAAACTCTCAATAAACTAGGTATTGATGGAACGTATTTCAAAATAATAAGAGTTATTTATGACAAATCCACAGCCAATATCATACTGAATGGGCAAAAACTGGAAGCATTCCCTTTGAAAACCAGCACAAGACAAGGATGCCCTCTCTCACCACTCCTATTCAACATTGTACTGGAAGTTCTGGCCAGGGCAATCAGGCAAGAGAAAGAAATAAAGGGTATTCAATTAGGAAAAGAGGAAGTCAAATTGTCTCTGCTTGCAGATGACATGATTGTATATTTAGAAAACCCTATCGTCTCAGCCCAAAATCTCCTTAAGGTGATAAGGAACTTCAGCAAAGTCTCAGGATACAAAATCAATGTGCAAAAATCACAAGCATTCCTATAGAGCAAGAACAGACAAACAGAGAGCCAAATCATGAGTGAACTCCCATTCACAATTACTACAAAGAGAATAAAATACCTAGGAATCCAACTTACAAGGGATGTGAAGGACCTCTTCAAGGAGAACTACAAACCCCTGCTCAATGAAATAAAAGAGGACACAAACAAATGGAAGAACATTCCATGCTCATGGATAGGAAGAATCAACATTGTGAAAATGGCCATACTGTCCAAGGTAATTTATAGATTCAATGCCATCCCCATCAAGCTACCACTGACTTTCTTCACAGAATTGGAAAAAACTACTTTAAAGTTCATATGGAACCAAAAAAGAGCCTGCATAGCCAAGACAATCCTAACCAAAAACAATAAAGCTGGAGGCATCATGCTACCTGACTTCAAACTATACTACAAGGCTACAGTAACCAAAACAGCATGGTACTGGTACCAAAACAGAGGTAGAGACCAATGGAACATAACAGAGGCCTCAGAAATAACACCACACATCTACAACCATCTGATCTTTGACAAACCTGACAAAAACAAGCAATGAGGAAAGGATTCCCTATTTAATAAATGGTGCTGGGAAAACTGGCTAGACATATGTAGAAAGCTGATACTGGATCCCTTCCTTACACTTTATACAAAAATTAACTCAAGATGGATTAAAGACTTAAATGTAAGACCTAAAACCATAAAAACCCTAGAAGAAAACCTAGGCAATACCATTCAGGACATAGGCGTAGGCAAAGACTTCATGACTAAAACACCAAAAGCAATGGCAACAAAAGCCAAAATTGACAAATGGGATCTAATTAAACTAAAGACCTTTGCACAGCAAAAGAAACTCTCATCAGAGTGAACAGGCAACCTACAGAATGGGAGAACATTTTTGCAATCTATCCATCTGACAAAGGGCTAATATCCAGAATCTACAAAGAAGTTAAACAACTTTACAAGAAAAAACAAACAACCCCATCAAAAAGTGGGCAAAATATATGAACAGACACTTCTCTAAAGAAGGTATTTATGCAGCCAACAGACACATGAAAAAATGCTCATCATCACTGGCCATCAGAGAAATGCAAATCAAAACCACAATGAGCTACCATCTCATGCCAGTTAGAATGGTGATCATTAAAAAGTCAGGAAACAACAAATGCTGGAGAGGATTTGGAGAAATAGGAATGCTTTTACACTGTTGGTGGGAGCGTAAATTAGTTCAAGCATTGTGGAAGACAGTGTGGCAATTCCTCAAGGATCTAGTACTAGAAATACCATTTGACCCAGCAACCCCATTACTGGGTATATCCCCAAAGGATTATAAATGATGCTACTATAAAGACACATGCACACATATGTTTATAGTGGCACTATTCACAATAGCAAAGACTTGGAACCATCCCACAATAATAGACTGGATAACGAAAATGTGGCACATATACACCATGGAATACTATGCAGCCATAAAAAAGGATGAGTTCATGTCCTTTGCAGGGAAATGGATGAAGCTGGAAATGAACCATCATTCTCAGCAAAATTTCACAAGGACAGAAAACCAAACACCACATGTTCTCACTCATAAGTGGGAGTTGAACAATGAGAACACATGGACACAGGGAGGGGAACATCACACACTGAGGCCTGCTGGGGGTCGGGAGCTGGGGGAGGTGTAGCATTAAGAGAAATACCTAATGTAAATGACGAGTTGATGGATGTAGCAAACCAACATGGCACATGTATACATATGTAACAAACCTGCACATTGTGCACATGTACCCTAGAACTTAAAGTATAATAATAATAATAACAAAGAAACTCCTGCAAGCTTTGGGAACCCACAGAATGCACGGCAGGATTTCAACTTGTCAGCTAATGGCACTGTAAATATCACTGATTATTCTCTTTGTTTATAAAAGACCAGTATTAACAACTCAATCAACCAGCTAACTGAAAGGAGAAGTGATAGAATGGGTGACTTGCTGCATTATCAAAGCTTTGCATAGTGGCTCAGAACCTGTTCAGAGAAGTCTTTTCCCAATGAGCAAAGTGTCAAACCCTAATAGCTGGTTGGTTTGGATATGATAATCAGAACTGAAATAATTAAAGGAATTGTTAATTTTAAAAACCCTGATTAGGGGTCAGGATAAGACTTGGAAGAGATCTGTAATGACTGTGCTTTTGGGCAATGTGCTTGCCTAACATAATGGGTTATCTATTAGTTGCCATTGTCACACTTCCTTTGGTGTCGGAAGTGCATAGTGACTTCAATATTTAAAAAATAGAAGGATACTATTTGTCAATTAAATCACAGGTAATCTTTTTAAGGTGTTAAATTCAGGAGTATGTGTGGGGGCTGTGGTGTGGGAGCAGCGGCAAGACATAACAGTATGGCATATGGAAGTAAATCTTTTGTTCCAGAGTGATCTTGCCTTGCACATGCTTGCTAATTAACTTTCCTATCCTGTTTGACCCATTTGGCAGGAACACCACACACATAGGTCAAAGCCAATCTAGAAAGAGGGAGGACTAAGAGAGGCATTTTACTACTTAACAAGAGTGATTCTTCAATTTTTGGGGGAAAGGGTAAGAAAAGCACTCTTTCTATTTCTCTTGCCTTTCGGAGAGTTTGATAGGAATAAGTTTTGCTGGTTTTCCTAGTCAGTCTCTGGAAGCAGCTTATTTAAAGCTGTGCTTAATACAGTGCATGCCACACAGTAGGAACTCAAGAACAATTTGTTGAGAAAATGAAGGTGGTATGAAATGTGCAATAGGACAAATGGTCTATGGCCTTATCTGAAATGAAGAAAATCAATGGGAAGTCCATGGACTCTCATCCTGCATTGATATGTTTTCAAGATATGGATGTGAACAGTGCTACTTGTCTAGAAAAACTGCAGTCTAGGCATGGTACCTATAGCTTTCACTTGCTAGGGTAAATGGAACTGATCATATGAGTAATGTAGTGTTTTTTGGCTCATGTGGGACACTGGACCTATTTCATTAAAATGTTAATCACCAGACCCTTTGAAATAACCCATCTTGGGCTCATTTGTTTTTTGGGAAATTGATCCATTTAAAAATAGCATAGATTCTTAGTTTCAAATCATAGACCTTCTGTCATATATAAAGGTAGATATAACCAATTCATCATCATATCAATTCAATCATCCATTCATTTATTCAATATGCATTAGACATCTACAATGGATGAGTTATTGTGCTAAGAGCAGTGGGATAATTTTCTAAGGGCAGAAAAGTTGTTTAGTTTTTCTACGTTGCATCCCTAACATCTAGCATAATATATAGAATATATAGCATATACTTAATTGATTCTTGATGACAAATGAATGAATAAATAAGAGAGGGGACAGATACATACAGAAGTAATTATGCCAGACAAAGTAAAACAAGTGGTATAATCTACGTATTGTGAGCACCAAGGGAAAGATGCAGTTAACTCCCCCTTAGGTGAAATTGGTCAAGAAAGGCTTCCAGTAGAAGATAACATTTGAATTAGTAAGATAGGACAAAAACACATACACATGTAAACACACAAACACACACACACAAACACACAGTAGGGAGGGCATTCCAGGCTATAGTAACATCACACAGGTTGTAGCAGTGTTAAGGTGTATGCCATGATTTGGGAATGGTGAGAGTGGGGGGTGATGATTGGAAGAGCATGGTGATGGATGAGGCTCAAAAAGAGGAGCAATGGCAAATCACAGAATGCTCCAAATGTCCTACTAAGATAGTTGTGGACCATTGAAGGTTTTAGAATGATAAGATTCAATCTACTAACCAAGGCTTTATTAAGCATCCATTAAGTGCCTATATTGTATTATAAGGAGGACATCCCTTTACATAATACTGTTTGGATTTGCAGATAACTGTCATTTCCTTTAGCAAGGTTTTCCTGCCCTAAGTTCATAGCACTCTATATTTTCCTTATCATAACATTTATTACAGCATAATGTAATTGCTTGTTTAGTTTTTACTTTTCTCCACTGGGCTGAGAGCTTACTGAGGGCTGGAACAATATCTACCTTGTTCATCATTTAATCCCAGTGCCCAGAACAGTCTCTGGCATGTATAATAATAGGTATTCAGTAAACACATGTTGAATAGACAAATAAATGAACAAGTAAATTAATCATATGGTTAGTTTGATGTATGTACAAAATACAGAGGGACCCTTTATTGAACATTTCTACTGTAAGATGGAGGGAATTTATTTATGAGATTGGGGAGTCTGTGTCTGTTAAAGATAAAAGGTCCTGAGAAAGTACAGGTTTCTGTGCATCTGTGCAGTACTGGGAATTTAGTTACAAGTCAAGAATTTCTATGTATTTAGTGTTAGGATTTCTCCAGGATCCTTTTTTTTTTTTTTTTTTTTGAGACAGGATCTTATTCTGTCACCCAGGCTGGAGTGCAGTGGCACAATCATGGCTCACTGTAGCCTCAAATTCCCTCTGGGATTCTTTAAGTCACAGGGTTGGCAGAGGAGACTTTGGTGGATATGTGTTTATCTCTAAGATGGTGAGATGATATCATGAGAACAAGATTTGCAGTCTTTCAGGAAGCTTTTTTTGAGGATAGATTTGTTTGGCAAGTTACAAGGGACAATTCAATTGGACTAATGTAACTTTGAAGTATGGTGCATCAATGCAATAGTGACCTATGCAAAGTATAGGAGCCCCGTAAATATTTGTAGAGCCAGTGAATATTTGTTGAATGCCTACGTTAATGTGTTGTGGCAGATTGTATTTTGCAGGATGGTCCCATACACATATTTATTGCATCTTTTTGGCTGTTGGAGAGGTACAGTCTCTGTTCTTTCATCTTGAAACTGAGTGAATCTTTGTAACTGCCTTCACCAGTAAAATACAGTAGAAATGAAGCTATGTGAATTCTGGCTAGGTCAGAAAAGATGACCATATGGCTTCTCTCTCTCTCTCTTCCTCTCTTTCAGAAGGATCATTTGTTCAACTCAGCCACTGTGCTGTGAAAAATGCCAACATTTCCAATGAAGAGACCACATGGAGAAACATGTAGAGAGGAACCAAGGCCCTTAGCTGATAGCCAGCATTAGGCATCAAGCATGTGAATGAATGAACCTTCAGATGATTCCTGCTCTCTGTCAGTGAGTCTTCCACTTGTGACCCCAGACATGGTAGAGGAGATACAAGCCGTCTTCACTGTGCCTGTTTGGATTCCTGAGTCACAGAAACTGTGAAAGATAAGTGAGTATTGTTGCTTTAAGCCACTATGTTTTGTGGTAATTTGTTACTCAGTGATAGATAATGAATACACTTGGTAGACTGGAATAGTGACTTGTAATATATTTTTAAAAAAATCATAGATTCATTAGAAAATTTGATGAAAACTAAAGTGACCTCCATGACCCCCATATTCTGGTGTTCATACCCATGTATAATCTCCTTCTCTTAGGTGTGGGCAGGACATTTGGCTTGTTTATAACCAATAGAATATGGCAAAAGCTTTGAGCTGTCACTTCAGTGATTATGTTACCTTATATAAGACTTTCTCTTGCTAGCAGACTCACTCTAGGGTCTTGCTTTCCTGGTTGGTTTTGATGAACCAAGCTGCCATGAATCTTACAACCACAAGGAAATGAATTCTGCCAACAGCCAGAGTGAACTTGTAAGCAGACCCCAGTTGAGCCTGACGATGAGAACAGAGGCCTAGCTCACACTTTGATGGCAGTGTCACAGAGAAAATTGCTAAGCCATGCATAGACTTACTGAACCACATAAACTGTGAGATAATAAATGTATGTGTTATTTTAAGCCATTACAATTGTGCTAATTTGTTATACAGCATAGAAAACTAACACAAAAGTGATGGATCCTCTCCAAGAAAAATGTAGAGACTCACATATACATAGAATTCTTATGCAATATTTTTGGGTGTTGCTGGACCCCTGATTTCCATGAATGGTGCCTAGTTTAAGAACCACTGCTCTAGAATGTTTGTCCTGCAGTAACATGCAGAAGAGTGCAATGCCTAGAAAATTTCCTTTGTGATGTTTTGTATTAAGTATTTTATTTACCTGCTTAATTGTTCAATATCTTATCACTGAGTATTTTCCACTTAAATACTTGCAGAAGATTGAATTTCTCTTCTGCATCTTTGGAGGTAGATCATTGGAACAGCATCATATTATTTTTCCAGTCATAGAAGTAATCCACTCTCAGTCAGTTTCCCCACCTCCCACTCCTCTCTTTCAGGAGAAAAAACTAGGTGGAAGATCAGCAGACATCAGTAAACAGTAGACAAACAGGAACAGTAGGTAGAGTGATGCTATTGAGTTAATTATTGCATGGATACTAATGAATACAACTCAGTAAATGGTTTACATTTTTTTCTATTTTTCATTGGCAAGTTAAATTTAAAATAAAGCAAAGTTCTTTCTTTTGATCATAATTGAAATGCAATGCAAATAAAAATCTTTATTCCAACCTCACTGTTAAAGCAAGTGTTTTCTTTACTGTCTTCTTTCATTAATAATTGCTATGCTCTAATAAAATTAGAGGATGTAGAAAATAATACTTATTATGAATTCTTTAACACTGGTATGCAAACATCCTCATTAAAGCCAGTGATCTATGTTTTGTTGCTTGGATAAATGTCTGTATTCTTGTCTTTTATTCTTACAATCTATTTCTCTGCTGAAGAAGCACAATAAAGCTCTGACAGTGTCAACTCCCATTTTTTATGATACTTAAAGGAAGGACACATTTCTCTCTAAGGGCAAAATGGGATTGTAATGGGAGCTCCAAAGTAGTTAGAGGCATATTATGTAATGACTTTCTGCCTTCACATACCCTTCATTTATTCTGCGAACATCAACTCAGGGAAGGTGACAAGCAAGTATCTATATGGCTCCCTGGAACCAGCTTCTGCACTAGGAATATCTGGCTTGTGGAGATATCCATGTCTGCCCCACACATAGGGAAGGCAACTTGCATCTCGGCAAGGTGTGGATGGCATAGAAGAGTTCACTTGCTTGCTTGGTAAATGACAGTGACACAAGTCGCATGCAGGCATGCCAACTGACTTAATCTTTCTCTACTTTCCCAATCACAATTTGGCTTTGCCTATTTATTTTTGTAGATACCATTAAAAGGAATACCATAGCTGATGTTATATCAGACCCAATTACTCTAGTGAACTGCTTCTATTTTTTTTTTTCTTTCATGCTGTGGCATTTCCTTTTCCCTGAAAACACTCTTTCACTCAGTCTAGCAATTAACTGCTTGAACAGTATAATAAGGAAGCAATTAAGAGGTGACAGAGAAAAATTAACACTCCATTTCACATTAAAGACTAAGTGAGTATCCTTGCCATTGTGAGTTAAATGTGTCTTTGAAAACCTGTAGTTTGGATGTATTTTCCTTTTGAATAAGGAGCCTAGCTCCATGTTTTTTGTCTAGCATCCCAATCTGAAAATGGATGATAACTAATTGGGTGCTGTCTGCTTAAACAGGCTATATTAATTGCAGTTTGTTCTCCTGTAAGTGTCAAGGAAAACAAAATCTTTGTAATGTGTAGGCATAATGTACGGCTGCCTTCATTTGAATATGCAGGCCATGTCCTAGTGCAAATAAAGCAAACTCCTAGATGCAATGTTGCCATGGCAGGCAGCATTTGCATAATAAATAACAGCTATCATGAGACTTTCTTTATGAAGTTCTCTGTTGTGTTGTCAGCTGTAAGGGCCTCTACTAAAGCAGCCAATATTGAGGAAGTAGAGTGTGTTTTGCTTGCAAATGCAACACCCCAACCCAAGTCACTGTCAAGAATACATTATTTTAGTGTTGCTGGCTAAATGGGATGGATTGTGCTAAGTACGTACATGGAATACATGGTGAGCTATATCAACACACATCCACAGGATGACAAGAATATGACTTAACCCCAAGACATTTGGTTGGATTAAGTCAGGAACATATCAATAGCTTACTCTCCGTGCCACGATCTTTCAGCACAATAGTGATATGTGCGATCTTATTCCTCTGTCACTTAAGCCTGGGTCAAACGAGTTAGAAAATTCCTCTTATTTCTGGCTATAGGGATTGGAATCTCATTTATAGTGGGGGTGGTTTTCAAAAGCTTTATCCTGTGAGGTTTATTCTCATAATATCTTAAGGCTACTAGAACTTTTCTGATGCTTATTTGGAGGCTTTCTTGAGGGCACTGGGTGAATTTACTTTTAGTTAGTATTAGCACAGGAGACTGGCAAAAAAGCCAGGTTATTTTCACATTGACTGTTATTTCTTTCTTTCCTTTCCCACTTTCAGAAACCCTTCTTGACTGCGTATTCTCTGGGTCTCAGAAAGATGGAAGTTTAATTGTGTGTAGGTGTGTGTGTGTTTCCCAATCTTTAACTGCTGTTCATGGAATGAGATTAATAAGATTAATAAGAGCCTTACCTCGCATGGATTTACACATCCTACCTATTTCTTTGGCCCAGATGAGATACTATAGTTTTATTCCTGATGGGGTTAAGAACGTTCTCCCCAAAATATGGCATCTTGGCATGTTGAATATTTTAAACTGAAGGAATTTGAGAAATGGCAGGTGCAATTAGGACTCTGACCTTCCCCTGAAGTAGGTCATAAGACTCTCATGTGATAAGTGCCCTTCTTATACCTGGAGGAAAGGAACATATTTTTCTCCCAAGACAGAGGGAAATAGAGAAGAATCTGCATGAACAGGCCTTGCTAAGTTTTCCTAAGTTTAGTACTCTTAGCTCATACCTCTTTCTGTCGGATCACATTTTTCCATGACTCTCTACTCTTCATCAAACCCAGCATAAAAACGCTCAGGTTTAACTTTTTCCTTAGGTCTTCATTTCCTTATGAAAGTTCTTATATTAGGTAAAACTTACATTAAACATATTTGTATGCTCTTCTCTTGTTACTCAGCCTTTTGTTACAGCGATCCAGCCAAGAACCAAAAAGAGTAGGAATGGATTTTTCTTCCCCTACATTCCCATGGAAAGAAATCACAGCCACCACCATCACTTTTGCTACTACTTATTGTGCTACTAGGCACCTGACACTGTGTTTAAATGATTTTGTGTACCTTATTTCAATTAACCCTTACAATTCTCATAGTTTTTATTTTAAGCCTGAGAAAACTGAGGTTCAAGGTCCTTCAGTAACTTAGTCAGGGTCACAAAGCTTGGCGGAGCCAGGATTTGAATGTTGTGCTATTTCACTGCAAATCTTGTGCTCTTTTTCACCACACTTAGTGCCCGTGCCCCAAGGGTAGGATTTTAAGAACTGAGCATTAATGAAACCATCTTTACACAATGCTATTTTAATGACTACAAGAAGCACTGTACTTTTTTCCCCTCAAGCCAGTGAAAACAGCAATATTCATGACTGTAAAAGAAAGGTGCAACAAATCTGGAGCTGATTCTCACCTCTTTATAGCCTGACTTATAAGGGTAAATAAGTTAGAAAGAAGCCTGCTCTAGATGGAGGCGTAATAGATTGTCTTTTATTTCCTCCAAAAAAGAGAAAAAAACAACAGCAAAACTTCAACAACTCATTTTCAACTTTTAAGAGCTCAGAAACGTAGTCTAAACTATTAAAGATTATTTATTATCTTTTAAAAAATGTTTTATCATCTTAAAATTTCTTTGCTGATATAAGAACTTGCTGTTCAGGTGTCTTTATAGAGCAATTTTTGTAGCCAAGTTAGACGTCTTAAAATAATGACTATAATGGAAACTGGGCGTGAGGTGGCTACAACATTAGCTAAAGAGCACCATTAGAATATGCTGTATTATAGAAAATAAACACTTGGGTACTTCTGCTTTTAAAATGAAATCCTTAAAAGCAAGGCTTCTGTGACAAATGCAGTAATAATAGTTAATAATTGTGAAGAGAGTGGTGAAAATGGCAAAAGTGACCAATTGTTTGGAGAACCTGTAAAGGTTATGTAGTTAAGATCTCTCCTGCTCCTTCCAGAAGGATTTAGGTATGAAAAATAATTTCCTGCAGCTTAGTTTTCTTTACCTTCTTTGTAGTTCTCATTATTTCTGATCTGCTGTCTTATGAACCATGGGTTGGGAGGCAAGGTTTTACTTCTTTTTAATATTTCTCTTAAATGAACATGTCCTTCAAGTTACATAATTGCCTATCCAATCAAGTCATTCTTGGATTATTCAGGTTTCTCTACTCTGCCCATTGAGGGAGTTATATTACCAAAGAGCCTAACTATTATTTTACTCTTGAAAGTAAATCTTTGCAAAAATAAAATCATGATTCTTTTTCATTGCTCTGACAACAGGTCAGTTTTTTTGTTGGTGTGAAGCAGTAACAAATTCACTCAATTATTAATATGTACCTGTGCTCTTTTACTGTTAGTGGACTGTGCAGCATTTTCTCAAGTCTACATAATGCCTACATTCTGGGCTCTCTCACAACCACATCTCAATGAATTCTTCAAAAAAGTAATTACAGCAGCACTCATTTGGTACATTGCTACCTTATCAGGAACTTGCACAAAGAAGTTCTTCATCTGTTCACCAAGAGGATAAGTGGAGGTAGGGAGGATGAAAGAGAGAGTTTATGTAACATATTTCAAGTAACCTTACTCATGTCCGAGACCCAAGTACTGTGTGTATATTGATCTTTAAAAGTATGCACATAATTACTTTCCTTCAGAAAGTATGGGAACTGTGCAAAATTTTCAAAGGAGAGAAAGGCCAGGATTCTGTGACAAGGTTGCCTCCAAGAATTCCAAAAGATGGGAGCTGATGGGACATGACTCTTTGTGTACCCTAATGCTCTCTAAATGGGAGAGACTTTCTTTTTGGTATTTGTGCCTGTCTACTCTCCAATATGCTGCTCATGGCAATACAGGCAGCTCCCAAGTCTGTCAGTCCTTTTCACCTTCTCTGCCTGACTCTGGAGATACCAGGTTTTCTAAAGTTCATCACATCCATCACCCCAGAAAAAGAAACAATAGGTTCTCCAAGAAATTCTATCCACCAGCATCCTTAAACATTTCTTAATTTGTCAAAAACATTGCAGCCAATGCACTAAGGCAATCATTTACCACGGCATTTTCTGCCAAACAGGTCCATCGCCACTACCTAAGACATAAAAACAGAGTTCCCGAACACTTTCAGAATGAAGTTCTCTTTTTAGAAATGTCAGGTGATCTGGTGATTGATAAAGTACAAAACAACTAAATACAACCATAAATCAAGAGTGTTTTTAGCTGGAATTTTGTTTTATGACTTGCAAAGGGATAGACATTAATTTGAGAAATGAAAAACAGTGGCAAATAGCAATGCATATGTCTGTGAGACACATTATATATATTGTCTGCGTATAATGCATGATGAGTATTCCAAAGTCCCTGGTCCTTAGGCTCGGGATCATTAGATTAAAGGAGTTTTCCTCTTTAGTAGAAAACTGGGAGGCGCTCCTGTCCTTTTGTTCTCCTGAATACCACTCACCTCTAGTGGTCAATATCCCTTGTGTCTCTACAGCTGTTTACAGAAAAAACTGTACTTCAGGGCATGGTGACCGTTGTCAAACCCAAATGTAATACAGATGGATACATTTGTAATTTACCAATTTTCTATGGCTGGATTTAAAAAAAAATTGACTTCTCGATTTCTATTTTCTTCCGCTTCTAGTAGAAAGAAGAAGCCAGATCCTTTCTACTGACTTTCTCCGTAGTCATCTACCTGCCTTACTTCCTTCACCCACCTCCCTCTGCACCCTGCATCCTGCACCCATGCTGGTAACTTTCTTTCCTAAATCCCACACTCTTTAGCTTGTCACCAGCCTGGGACGAGTTCCATGACCTTTTTTTCCCCATGACTTTCCAGACAGAGCTTAATCCTTTCAGACACTCCTCTTTCTTAATCAGATACCTTAAAAAGTGCCTCTTGGCCAGGTGCGGTGGCTCACGCTTGTAATGTCAGCACTTTGGGAGGCCGAGGCGGGCGGATCACTTGAGGTCGGGAGTTCAAGACCAGCCTGACCAACATGGAGAAACCCCGTCTCTACTAAAAATACAAAATTAGCTGGTTGTGGTGGCACATGCCTGTAATCCCAGCTACTCGGGAGGCTGAGGTAGGAGAATCGCTTGAACCTGGGAGGTGAAGGTTGCAGTGATCCGAGATCGTGCCATTGTACTCCAGCCTGGGCAACAAGAGTGAAACTCTGTCAAAAAAAAAAAAAAAAGGAAGAAAGAGCCTCTCATTGTACTGGAAACATCTCTGTTCAGTCCCCATGGGGTGAGGGTGAGAGGGCAATATAAGGCAGAGGAGGAAAAAGCCTTCATGCTTCTACCCTAGAGTCATCTTTCTGACCCTCAGATGTCTTCTTCCCCTTTGTTCTCTTTCCTGCCAGTCAAATTCTATCTCATTACAGATGAATGTTTTCAAGTGCCCACATTTACATATAACATCTATAAGACAACTCTCGGTGTCTACTAGAAAAATGGAGGATAATTACTTTTCACGTACAATTGAAAATGGGGGTTGTTCATCACACGCATGAAAACTTCAATCAATTATTTGTAATTCGTCTTTGGTCCTCACATCAGCACCTTGTTGAAGCCCTGTGTTGAATGTGAATATCACTTACCTTGTCAAATAACTTCCTGGTGATGTTTTCGTATTCATTATGTAATCACTGGGACCAGTATAGAATATTTAACTTTCTAATTCTGATGCTTCCAGTAAAGCCTTACAGGGAGCTAAAGCAGAATTAAAAACACAAGTAGTAAAGACTTCAGATAGAAAGGCAAAATGCCAAGGGGAAAACCAGAGTTAACTGGCCTCTGTGCCCTTACTGAATCCTATGTTGTGTTATCACAGAGCTTGAGAATATCTTCATATTTTAGAGCTGGGGGAAACTGAGATCATATAATCTCACATTCTAATTTTACAAGTGGAGAAGCTGAGGTCTGGAGAGAGAAAACTCACCTCAAGTCAAGTGCTAGTCAGTAGCAAAAGCAGGATGCAATTCCCAGATATCAGTCTCTCGACTGTAAGGATGTAAGGGCCTTTCCCCTCCTGTCATGCAAATGCAGGAAACAAGGTACTAAGTATAGCTAAAAATTAACACTAGAGATGTGGGTTAAATTACACAATTAATTTCAACACTCTTATTGTCCCAACACAGCAAAAATAAAGAACACAGAAGGAAAAAACATAAATAGCAGGTTTATTAGTTACAGCCACTAATACTTGCTTCTGTACAAAAGTGTTTCTTTAGATTTGTAACCCCAGATCTAATCCAGAAGCACAGCATGTGTCAGTTTGCACTGTGTCATGTGACATAAAGCTTCTTAATATAACCTGAGTCAGAGTGACATTTCTATTGCTCTGTACTGCAGTAGAAAGAAATAACAGTTCTTTCTCAAGTGGGTAATTATCTCTGTCAGTTGATATTGTTTTGCTATTTGCAGGTAGAAATGGAAAGTAGGTATGTTCTTGAGAGCGCATCTTTAAGAGAAATACCAAGATAAGAAACTTGTGGGAAATATATTTGATAGGGTCACAGAAGTTCAGGCAACATAAATGAAGGAAAACATTATGTTTAACGAAAGATGTATGTTTACCTTGAGAAGCAGTCTGATTGGATGGCAAAGAAACAACCTTATATAGGAAACTTTATATAGGAAACAACCTTAATAAAGTGAGATTGTAATTGCAAGCTAAGAGGAGCTAGTTGAAAGTAAAGAGCAAATGTCTAAGCCTTCCTTATAAAGATATACATAAGGAATTTACTGGAACATAGATAGATAAATGGTTTGACAGGAAAAAGAGTCATTAACATTAATAGCACACACTTACTTATAGTGTACACATTACTTTAAGCACTTCATGTGTCTTAAGTCTTTTATTCATCACAACTACTGTATAAGGCAGCTACTAATTTTTTTTTTTTTTTTTTTTAGACTCTCACTCTGTCGCCCAGGCTGGAGTGCAGTGGCATAATCCTGGCTCACTGCAACCTCTGCCTCCCGGGTTCAAGTGATTCTCCTACCTCAGCCTCCTGAGTAACTGGGACTACAGGCATGTGCCACCATGCTAGGCTAATTTTTTTGTATTTTTAGTAGAGACGGGGTTTCACCGTGTTAGCCAGGATGGTCTCGATCTCCTGACCCCGTGATCCGCCCGCCTCCCAAAGTGCTGGGATTATAGGCGTGAGCCACCACGCCCAGCCAAGGCAGCTACTATTATACTAATTTTACAGATGAGGAAGCTGAAGCCTGAGAGGTTAGGCATCTTAGTTTGGAGGGCTACTGTAACAAAGTACCACAAACTGGGTGGGCCACACAATGGGAATTTATTGTCTCATGGTCTTTCAGTCTAAATGTCTGTGATCAAGGGATTGACAGAGTAGGTTTCTCCACAAAGTTATGAGGAAAGAATCTGTTTCAAGCCTCTAACCTTGGCTTGTAGATAGCCATCTTTTTCCTGTATCTCTTCACATTGTCTTCCTTTCATGCATGTCTGTCTCTGTCCCCAAATTTCTCCTTTTTACGAGGATATCAGTCATATTGGATTAGAGCTCACTGTAACTTTAACTTGATTATTTCTGTAAATATCCCATCTCCAAATAAAGTCACACTTCAATGTACTGGGGGTTAGGATTTCAAAATATGAATTGGGAAGTGGGTGCAACTCAACCCATAACACTGGGTCATGGGTCTAAAGTCACTAGTAAGAGGAGACTGCAATTCAAAATCAGGCAGTCTGCTCCAAACCAGTACTTTACAGCATCGCTCAATTTTGACATCAATATCAACATCAGTTTTATGCCAAGTGGAAAAAAAATCTTGAGAAATCTGTGAGGCCTGATGATGTAAACATGTTTCCTTTTAATCCAAAAGTGACTTAAGTAAGATTGAAACAAGGCAATGGTCATGTCTAGAACAATATCTGATGAAAATTATCACCTGGGAGTCAAGAGTGAGACTGACTTTCCTTCCTTGATTGATCTCCCATTATCTACTACACAAAGTCGTCATTCTAAACACAATAATTGCCTTGCCCTGAACACTTTCACCAGCACTTTTCCATTTTGTCCTAGCCCATTTGTGATGCTGTAACAAAATACTCCAGACTGGGCAATTTATGAACAACAGAAATGTATTCTTTCCCAGATATAGAGTCTGGAAAGTCCAAGATCAAGGGGTCAACAGGTTTGGTGTCTGTTGAGGACCACATCTCTGCTTCTAAGATGACGACTTGAACACTGCATCCTCAAATGCTGTGTTCTCACATGGCAGAAGGAACAGAAAGGCAAGAGGGGACAAATGCTGTGACTTCACATAGCAGAAAAGCAGAAGGGCAAAATAGGACTAGTTAGTTCCCTGCAGCCCTTTTATAAGGTCACTAATCCTATTCATGAGGGCTCTGCCTTCATGAATAAATTACCTCCTAAAGGCTCCACCTCTTAATACTATGACATTGGTGTTTAAGGTTCAACATAAAAATTTTGGAGGGACACATACATTCTAACCATAGCACACCTCTAGGTTTTTACCTCTGCTGTTCTTTCTATTTTGAATGCTTTCAACAACCACCGGTGAATTTTTTTGAATCCTTTGGAGCCTATCTCAAACCTCATTTATCTCTTGGGATTCCCAACCGTATGTGATCCTTCCCTCTTTTGAACTCAGAAAGCTATTGTAGCACTTCATATCATATAATGCTTCTTAAGACACTTACTTTTATGAACTGAATGTTCATGTCTCCCTAAAATTCATATGTTGAAATCCTAACCCACAACATGATGGTATCTAGAAGTGGGGCCTTTGAGAGATATTAGGTAATGAGGATGAAGCTTTCATGAATGAGATTATAAGAAGAGATATGGGAGCTTGCTGTCACTCTTTGCTTTCCACCATGTGAGGACACAGCAAGAAGATAGTCAGATATGAACTTGGAAGGCTCTCACCAGACACCAAATCTGCCAGGACCTTGAGTTTGGACTCCTCAGCCTCCAGAACTGTGAGAAATAAATGTTGATGTTTTAGCCACCCAGTCTATGGTATTTTTGTTATAGCAGCCTGAGCTGAATAAGACACTTAACATATCTGTGCATCTTAACCTTTTAATCTTGCCTTCCTTCCATCCACACACTCTTACTATAACACCTTTCATCATCCCTGGTGATTCTGATGTGAAGAGGAAAGGCCTGTGACCCTCTAAACAGTATGTTAAAATTGTCATGTAGAAATGACACTGGAAGGGTAAATAGTGTCATTTCAAAGCCCTTATCCTAAACTAAATATCCCACATTATCATGTGGCTCGATTATTTCAAATAGTGCACATTATAAACTTGAAATATTTTTCTTTGTAACCACAACAAATGGCATCAGCAACGAAATCCTTCATTCCAAATATCCTAAAAGCCTTTCTTGGGAGGAGGATATCTTCTGGTTGATAAGCCCTCTAAACTTTGAATTATCTCTTCACTTGATTTATTCACCATCGGTCTTGGAGCTCCTTGAGAGAATAATATTGCCTTTTTTTTTAAAGCATTTATGTCCCTTACAGTTACCAGCATAGGGCCTTGCACATAATAAGTGTTGAAGAAATGTTAGTTGAATATTTGACACACCATCTTTAACTTTCCTGATGAGGAGCCATAATTTTTATAGTTCCTCATCAAGAAATCTAAGGATGGTGTGTCAAAAAATCCCTAATGTATTATTTCCTATAAATAGAATGGTTTAAATTCCCAGTGGCATGGATTGATACTTCCCCGAGGCAAAACTTGCAACTACACATGTTCACACTGAGATATTCTTGCTTAAATAACTGAGGTTAAAAACTGAACCACGCTACTCTGGAGGGTGAGGCAGGAGAAAAGCTTGAACCCGGGAGGTGGAGGTTGCAGTGAGCTGAGATCACGCCATTGCACTCCAGCCTGGGTGACAGCGCGAGGCTCCATCTCAAAAAAAAAAACAAAAACAAAAAACTGGACCAAGGCATGAACCAAAATAACAACTTGTGTTTGAATTCCTGAGTCAGGTCTAGCCTAGTCATTTAAGTCATATATTGCAATGTCTTCCAGAGGAATGGTCAGGACTGGTTGTGTTTAACTACAAGTACATGGAACATAAACCAATACATTCATCTGTTGATTGAGTCAATGGTTGATTGATTCTTAGGCAGCTGTGAGTATGTGGGGAATAAAGGTGGGGTTATGGGAGGACTATTAGAATGACCTGTGGAGCATTGCAAGTTAAACCCACATCCAGACGTGTTCTACCCCTTGAGAGTATGCCATACTGCAGAATGAGAACACCCTAGAGAAGTATATCAGAATTTTGAGAGCAGGAGCTAGGGTTTCATAGCCCAGATGAAAAGGTTGAAAAAATTTCCCATGGATTCTGATACCATCCTCACTGCATGCTTCCTGTTGAGGACCACTGTTGTAAGATAAGCTGAGGAGTGAATGCTGTACCAATGGATTGTTTGCCCAGACTCTACAAGCATTAGGCTGTTGTTTGTTTTGGCCCACCCATACATATGATCTGGGCCACAAACAGGGCAGCTGCATATGTTTGTGCAGGTACTCACCACACAAGGGCTCCAGGGGAAGGTGGTGAATGGGGGCTGAAATTTAGTCCATGCTCTGCACTGTTTATTCCACATTGTGTCTAGATCTCTATATCTTTAGACCTAATGGTGGTCTAACTCACTTACAAGAGGAACTATTTAGGTTCTGGTGTTTATTTATTTGTTTATTCATTCATAATTTTTATATTTCTAGAGGTTGTGTGAAATCCAAATACTTTTCTTCATAGCATCTTGAAATTCCTAATAAAGAGCATGTTTGTAGTGAATCAGAATACTCATTTAATTATATATCAGGCTCTGTATTGAACATTGAGGGTAAGATGCAGTCCCAACTCTCAAGGAACTTCTAAACCAATGAAGAAAGCAGAGAAATAATCACGCCACGATAGGAAGTGTAACAAGTGCCAAGACAAAGAGTTAACATGGAGGTTTTGAGAGCATCAAGGAGGAGCCCCAACCCTGACTGTTTCTGGTGTGTGTGGCATGCATATATGCATGCTGGGGAAAGGACTGTGAGGCTTCCCTGATGAGAGCGGAGGACTGAGTTGCGTCTTGAAGGAGGAGGAGGAGTTCAAATAACCCTTCAAATATAAAAGTGAGTGGAGAGGAGCCTTCCAAGCCAGAGAGATCTACAATTGGCCTTCCATATCCATGGGTATGAGTACTTCAATTACGGATCAAAAATACTTGAAGCTGGTGCGGTGCCTTGCACCTGTAGTCCAAACTACTTAGAGGCTGAAGAGAGAGGATCACTTGAGTTTGAGGCTGCAGTGACCTATGATTGTGCCACTGTACTCCAGCCTAGGCAATAGAGAGAGACCCTGTATCTAAAAAAAGTGTATTTATATATGTACATATATATTAAAAAATAATAACAATACAACAATAAAATACAAATAAAAATATAGCCTAAAGCATTCACATTGTACTAGACATAAGTAATCTAGAAATGATTTATGTATATGGGAGGTAATATATAGGTTACATACAAATATTACACCATTTTATATAAGGTACTTGAGCATTTGTGGATTTTGATATCTGAGGAGGGGTCCTAGAACTAATCTCCCACAAATACTGAGGGATGAATATATCTGAAAACAGAAAGACCTTACAGAATCTAAAGAGTGTACGTGTGTGCATGTGCATGCATGTGTGTGCATTGTAAGGAGGTTGTTGGGGATTGATGATGAGAGTCAAACTTAAAGAGGTTTGTGAGGCTGTGAAGGGACAGGGAACTACAGCAGGGTTATAAGCAGGGGGAAGAGGGAACTTTGCTACTGCTGCTCTGTGGGTGGTGGATTAGAGTGAAGACAAGTCTGAAGGTAAGGAGATGGGTTAGAGGGTTGTAAGAGTAATCCAGGTGACAGCCAATGAGCGCTTCCATTAGAGCAGGGGTCAGCAAACTCCAGCCCATGGGCTAAATCTGGCCCACCATCTGATTTTGTAAATAAGGTTTTATTGGAACACAGCCATTCCCATTCATTTATGCATTATCAATGGTAGCTTTTGCTTTACAATAGCAGAGTTGAATAGTTGTTACAGAGACCATATGGCCCACATAATCTAAAATATTTACTACCTGGGGCTTTACAGGAAAAATTGGCCAACATCTAAAATAAAGAGAAGTAGATGATTCTAGGCATGTAACAGATGGACTATTTTCCTTGTATTTACTTCTTAGTTATTAAAATTTTCAAATGCAGAAAAAGAGCGAGAATAGTATAGTGAGTATCCATCATCTAAATTTATCATTTATTTATATTTTTCTATATATGCGTCATCTATTTTTCCCTGAGGGATGTAATGTATATTACAGATATTTAACCCATAAATACTTCCATATGAATCTCTAAAAATATTTAAGAATATTTACTCATATAATAATAAACTTTATACAAAATTAATATTAATTTCCTAATATCATTTAATGATCATCAATTTTCAATTTTCTGAGTTCCATAAATGCTTTTTCTAGATTGTTTGCTTAAACCAGGTTGAGAATCTAATTTGATAAGAAAAATAGGCCAAGTGCAGTGGCTCACACCTGTAATCCCAGCTCTTTGGGAGGCCGAGGAGGGCGGATCATGAGGTCAGGAGTTCGAGACCAGCCTGGCCAGCACGATGAAACTCTGTCTCTACTAAAAAACTACAAAAAATTAGACGAGCATGGTGGAGCGCACCTGTAATCCCAGCTACTCGGGAGGCTGAGGCAGAGAATTGCTTGAACCTGGGAGGTGGAGGTTGCAGTGAGCTGAGACCACGCCACTGCACTCCAGCCTGGGCAACAGAGTGAAACTCCATCTATTAAAAAAAAAGAAAGAAAGAAAGAAAAAGAAAAAAAAGAAAACCTGTATAGAACTTTTATTAATTTTCTTATGTGGGACTCATGATGCAAATGGTTTTCAAGAACTAGTTCCTTGAAAACACATATCAACCTTGAGAAATATATATTAATATCCTTTCCATTTTACAGACATAAACTTCAGTACCAGATAAGTTACTTCTTCAAATTACATGGCTACTAAATAGCAGAGCCTGGATTTGCACCCAGGGCTGTCTTTTTCTAAGTACTATGCGTTATACTGTATGCTTAAAAAAAACTTTGTGCCTAATTGTGAGTTGTGAAGGATAGAGTAGAAATTAAAGATGAAGTCCACAGTTTTGGATTAGAGACTCAACGAAAGAGGTAATTCAGAAAAAAGAGCAGTTTTGAGGGCCAATGATGGGTTCAGTTTTGAAACATTTGAGTTTGAAGTGCAACTGTGATAACAATATAAGTTTTAGAAGGAGTTCTTAGGGGCAGGATGAGAACAAATTGTTAGACAGCAAGGATGGAAGCAAGGAGACTAGCTAGGAGGCCACTACTATGCTCATAATGACAAATGGTGGGCTCTGGAATAGTAGGGTGGAGTTGGAGAGAAATGGATGGCATCTGTATGGCACTGTAGTTCCATTTGCTTAGATGGGGAACACTGGGAGAAGAAAATCAAGACAAAGTGAGAGTGAACAGGGTGTGAAGCATGAGGCAGAGGGTGATGAAAGAGGAGGCTGGGGAAATCGGCAATAGCAGTCATGAGTTTAGACTTTGTTATAAGGACAGTGGGAAGGTACTGACAGGTTTTAAGGAAGGATTTCTGGTTTTACAGATTCACCCTGACTTCTCTATGAAAAGTGGATAAGACAGAGCAGGAGTGGAGGCAGATAGACCATTTAAATAATGGTTGCAGTGCTCCAAGTGAGAAAAGACAAGGCCCTGAACTCGAGCAATGCCAGAGCATGTGGAGAGGAAGGAACAGTTACAAGAGGTGTTAAGGCATTATAAACAAAAGGTGCCATGAAAGAGGACTGTGGCAGTTGAACAAAATGGCCACAATTCTCGGACACTCCTCTCATTGGTAGGTGGGATCCTCTCCTTAAATCTACGTGTGCTTGTGGCTACTTTGACCCATACAGCATGACAGAAGTGATACTAGGTAACTTCTGAGACTTGATCATAAAAGGCCAAACCACTCTATCTTGTCCTCTGAAGCAGTTGCTCTTGGAGTGCTGAGCTGCCATGTAAAAAGACAGACTACCCTGAGACCAATATGCTGGAGAGGAGTCAGGTAGCCTTTCTTAGGGATAGCCCCAGCTGAACCTGTCCTACAGCCATTTCAGCCCAGGCCTAAGACATGTGAGTGATGAAGCCATCTTGGAAGTGAACTCTCCAGCCGTCAGGGGTTGTAGCCCCCAGCTGTTCATGTTACCCCACCAGTCAGTTGAATCAAGGAGCTGAGCCTCCAGCCTCAGGAAGTAGAGAAGAGATGACCCTGCTGTGTCTGTTCCAAATTCCGGATGCACAGAAGCCATGACCATAAGAAAATGATTTCTGTTTAACACCACTAAGTTGTGAGATTGTTAGCAACACAGCTATCAATAATTAGAACAGAGATGAATATAAGATATATAAGATATGGTCTTTGCCTCCTAGGAGTTTATAATCTAAGGAGGGACATGAGAAAAATATGCATACAAAAAAATTCTTAGAAACATGTTAATATTTGCATAAAGCATGTGCGATAAAAATGCTGAGCAAAAGCAATTAAGAGTAACAATGGCTAACTTTATGCTAGTGTTCTCTAGGTATTTTATATATTAAATGAATAAGGTCTCATGCATTTACTCCTCAAAATAGGCCTATGAGACATAGCCACTTATTGAGCCTGTTTTCAGATAAGAAAAACTAAGACTGATAGAGAGGATAAGTAACTTACCTTACTTAACAACTTGCACACATATACTTGGCTTCCAGAGTTTTTCTTAGAGTAACTCTAAGGCCTGTCACTGTTTTTAGCCATGGGATATTAGTGTTGGCTAATAGGGGAAGCCGAGAACATGTATTCATAGCCCATGCTATCTCCTGTAGAAAAGTTTAGATTGGCCTTTCATTGACAGGGTATTATGGAAAAATTCAATCTTCAATGTGATTTCATTAATTATACCAAGTCACCAAAATTCTTTCTTTCTTATTTTCTGTTGCATGGATTGCCTCTTCACATTTCTTGTCTGTCTTTAGTTAAAACTCCATATTTTCTTTCAGAACGAACTTCATCCTGTGGTCCTCAGTTTCTACATTGATGCAAAAAATGAATGGAGGGTTTTCCTGAGACCAGAATCCTGCAGCCACAAAGCAGCAGCAGCATCTTGTGGATCCTAAAGAGAAAGGCACTTTGAGATTATTCCATGCATCTCCTCTTGCTGGATTATGTCCACTAACCTGCCTTTCTAGAACATTGGTCCCTGATCTTGAACTTCATTCTTATTCTTTGCCTAAAAATACTGCTCAACCTGAGCAGACTCATTACTTTATTGCTGTTGCTGCTCAACAATCTTTTACTTTATTGAATTGGATGTCCTAGGACACTCCTAGTTATTTTAAACTCTCCTGCTGTCTCACACTTGTAATTCCACCCCTCATCTCCTCCTGTATGATGACATGACCTTCCTCTTTTACCTCTTCAGTATGTCTCTCCATATCCCTGGCCTCTCTTTGCTTCCCACTCATCTGAGAGGAAGATGCGATTCTGCTCTCAGAGGTTCCCTCTCCCCCCGGTGCTCCTAAAGCCCTCGCGTTTCACCACTTTCAAAATTGTGCTTCTCCAGTGACCTCCTTCATCAGCTATCTTCAGTCCCTCCTGAAAAAAGAACAGGTCTCCTCTTTTTTTTTTTTTTCCAGCCCCCTGCCCCAAACCCAGGTCTCCTCTTTTTTGAAGAAGACAAGCAATCACACTTTTCTTTGATCCCACTCCCCAAGTTAGTCATAGGTTTATTTTTCTCATTCTCTCTCCACCCCTTTTAGCCTATGTTGCCTGTTTATTCCCTCCCGCTCCATACCCCCTTGCAACATGATTCCTGAGCACTATCCTCTATTTGTACAATCTGAGTTACCATGACCTCCCTAACTCCAGTTACAGCAGTCCTTACTGCCTTGAGCTTCTCATCAGCTTCTCAAGCACTGGTGCCATCTCCTGAAAACTCTGTCTTTTCTTATAAATCTGGGACTTAGAAGAAGACTGATTCTCCTTCTGTGCCAATGACATCACCTTCTATAGTTCCCTTGCTGCCTTTTCCCTGCTTTTAGATACACCTAACCGTGGCCATTTCCTGAGATTCCATTCTAGGCCCTCTGCAGATGATATAGAACCTGCCTTCCCGAGGGACATTTTCACTGAGTTGTTCCCCCTATATCAACTCCAAATCAACATGTGTGAAACATTGTCCTCCCTTAAACTACTTCTCTTCTTAAAAATGACTCTGAACTTTAGAGTCACCTTTGACTTTTTCCTCTTTCTGCCACCAATTATGTACTTGAGGTATAGAAACCCATGCTAATATTAGCATAAGAAAAAGTAATTAGGAGGGCCCACCTGCCACACATACACACAAGTCACGTAGTGCATTTTCAGAACCAAATATAAGTGATTTGGGGGTTATTTACTGTTACAGCATAATGCATGCTCAGGCTTAGATTATTGAGAGTGTACATTAACAGCCCCTTCCAGAGTTATTGCCTGGCATCCTAATAGGGTTATATTGTGGAACAGCCATTTTATTTAATGGTTTAAAATTTGGGATCCTCCTTTCTTCTAACCCAGAAGAAAGCAATGATCAAACCATGTTAATTGATGTGTTTTGATCAAGAAGAAACCAAGGTTAGTATGAGGCTTATTTCCGCAGTGACTAAGTGGAAGAGTCAACACATCAGTCTTTTCGAGCCCACCACAGAACTCTCATTTCCATTCTTCTATCCAACAACTGACACTCTAAGTAGCTCAGATTCAAATGCAAATGCAAGCACAAGAATGCAGACACACTTTGAAATCAATAACATCGTTTTGTCAGGCAATTCATTTAGTATTTCTAAAAACCAGTGAAGTTTAAAAAACAAGGGAGTTGAAAGCTTACTCTCCTGTTCCTCAAGTTTTAATGAGCCTATTCCTCACTCTGGGACAGAGAAGCCCTCATTATAACTTGTCAATAGAACATTAGCACCCAAGATGGAGGGAGCCCTATGATCCTAGTTAATTTTCTTTCTTTTTTTTTTTTTTCCATCTGGATATAGTTGAAAAATCTTCTAATGGGAAAACTATCCATTTATTTGAACACTTTTCTAAGTCATAGATTCATCTACTTAAGAATAGGATGTGACTCTTACCATGTTGGTAAAGACGTTTTTGACTGAGACTTTCTCTGCTGGGATATTATGCATTCATAAATGATATGCAGCCTTCGTCTCTCTCAAATGAGCTCCGTGGGACTGCATAGAGCCATTGCAGGCTGCACACTGAGCACTCTGTGCTGCCTGAGCACTTTTGTGCCCCCTGTCTCCCATACTGTACCTTAGCCTTCAAAATGAGAAAATCAGATTCAAGTTTCCATTTTAAGAGGAGGCTTTTGGAGCTAGAGATAAACACAGGGGGAGATTGAGTGGGGGTAGTAACCTGACTTCCCCTTTGTATAACTGCATCTGTTTCACTTGATGCAGCAGCCCTTGAAACCATGAGCAAATGTGAGACAAAGAAAAGTGCAAGTCGCCCTTGTTTTCTTTGCTGTGCCTGATAGGTGGCCTCATATGCCGCCATGTTATCCACGTTAGGTTTTGTTTTTAATTACCTGGTCTCATTGATCATTATGTATTGTCAAGATGTAAAGTTTTAGAAAAAAATATGTTCCCACTTTTTGTTTCCATCTTCAGTACAGTCCCCAATTCAGGTCAATCTAGTGCGTGTTATAAACCGTTTAATCAGATAATACTCTTTCACTCCCCAGATCCTTCACTGCACTCCTAAGAGCTGAGCCTCGTATTCAAATCTGAATGAATCAGGTTCTGATTCAGTCTCTTCAGGAGAATTGTCTGAGAGATCTCTAGAACCTGAACTGGATGTCGCGATTTATTTCCAGAAGTTGTTCACAGTAGTAAAACAGTTCCAGAGACTTGAACTTTCAGGGTCTTTCAGATTCTACCAACAGCCCTATTTGGTTTCATTTCTAGGATGGTTATAAAATCCAATAGATTTGGCTACAGTGCATTTATTTCAGCACACAAATATTCAGTTCCACAGACCTTTTTACTAACACCCGTATGCATCAAGCATTTTGCTTGGCACAAGGGATGCAAAGAGAAAGTACATATTCTTTAGGAAAATTGTATTTTGTCTAAAAGGAAATATTCGTGAACAAAAAAGTAAACACTGAAATGTGGTAAGTACTCAAACAGAAGGAAAACTGAAAAGCTGAGTGACTAACAACACAGGGCTGTCTTCTCTCAAATTATTTTCTTTTCCTTTAGTTCTTTTTATCTTCATTGATTTTAGACAATTTCAGGTCAGAACCCTTTACAACTTGTATCTTGGCAACAGAAATCTCTGTATAACAAAATGATCATCACACTTCATGCATCACTTTTTAATCATCACTAGCCTGCTTAGTGATACAATATTCTACACTACAAAATTGGATTCTGTTTGTTACATACGCAGAGGTTTTTTGGTCCTAAGGAGGCCCCAGGCTCAGCAAGGTGCTCTCTATTAAAGTTTAAAATACAGCCTGGCAGGATACTTAAGAACACTCTCTTGACTTGGTACTTTCTTCTTCTTTGCCTCATTCTAGAAGCAGGATGACAAAGGGGCTTTATAGTCAGACAGCTCTGAGTTAGAATTCGGACTCTGATTCTTGCTACTGTGTAGCTCTGAACAAGTTACTTTGTCCATCAGTTTCTGACTCAGTAAAATGGAAATAATAATAGTCCATAATTTCCAAGGATATTGTGAGATTTAAATGAGCCAGTGTATGCAGAGAGTTTAGCATTGTGCCTGAGGCATACTAAGTGCCCAGCATATATTAGCTCTTATATTCATCATTCAGTGTCCTTGCTTAAGAAAATATACAAATGAAAACAGTATCTAGGTTCCAGACCTGGCTATGGAGCTAGCTAGCCCCATGACTTTGAGTAAGCTGCTAGGGCTCATGTTTCCATCTGCATAATAATGGCAGTTTTAGTAGATGACTTTCAATGTCCCTTTTAGTGCTAAGAGTCTATGTTTGGCCTGTTGCTTGGAGTGACATTGTGAGCTCCTGGGCATGACAGTCATACTGGATGACCCGCAGGGCCTAGAAGCACCCTACTTCCTGTGCAGTATAAAGATAATGCTCTGCTTCCAAAAAAGAGGTTCCAAAGGCAGTAAAAATGTCCCAGAAGATCTGGTAATGATTTGTTACCCAGAGTTTTAAATGGAATATGTAACTGCTGAGGAGTCCAAGTCTTCTATTAACCCCATAGGGGTTCTCTTAACTGTGTAGAACTAAAGAGAATGTCATTCAAAAGAGATCTTAATTCTAGGGTTTATTCAGTTATGCTTCTTTTTTCTCTATCATAGATGTTGAAAATGAAAAAAAAAAAAGAGATCAAGCATTTTGTCATTACTGTTCAAAATTTCTGTGAACTTGTTAACCCTGTGGTATTCTCAGAAGCATTTTAGTGCTCATTACAAAACTACCTTGCATTTTTATTACACCTTGAATATAAGCAACTCAAAACTCTTTATAGACATCATGAAATCTCACCCTATCTCTGAGCAATTTCTCTGCGAAGAAGCCAGCACCATGTCATCCATGAATTACATTAGCCACTTTATTCTACTAGCCATAGTGGATCCCATCCCAATCATACTTATCTCTTTATTGCCAACACTACTTGATGTTGTTGGAATTTCCATGAGGTCTGAGGCAAAGTGTCTTGTACATTAGGAATCTATTTGATGGCACTCCTCTGTGGGATTCCTTCTATCTGCCAAAGTCAGGGTGAGCTAACCTTTATTTGGCTTTTTAAAGGACATACATGAAACAAGAGCTGGGTAGGGTCTGAGGGCCCCCAAGGGAATTATATTATTCTACTTTCACAATTCATCCCATGGAGATGACTTCCACACAGTGGTGTTCATATAGTGAAATGAATAACTGAGTGGTTGTGTGAGAACAGCTCTGGAAGGATACTAGTTTCAAACCAGTTATTCCAAGGCTGTGTCCTGTGTATACATCGAGTCTGACTGAATTCAGTTTAATTTCTTTTTTTTCAAAGCTACTTCCAGCCAACAACCAGGATCTCGTGATCAAATGGTTGTCACAGCCTCAAGATTCAGCCTAGCCTACCATTTCATTTTCTCCATGGCCATGCCCCATACTCACACTCCATACCCTAAGTGGACTGAGCTTTTGGTTTCTAGAATAAGTTATGTTTTCTAAACAACTTGGGACACACACACACACACACACACACACACACATACACATGCACACTCCATGAATACTTATAGTTTAGGTCTCAACTTAAATGCCACTCCAGGAAATCTTTCGCTCCCATAATCCTGGTTAACTAGTTTGGTCTGTGCTCTCAGGGTACCCTGTCCTTTTACCAAACTTAGCACTTACCACACTGTGTAATTAATTACTTTATTGTTTCTTCCATTTGACATCCAAGCACTCTGAAAGTAAGGATGTGGTTTACTCAACTTTCTGTTGTGCCACTCATGCTTAGTAAAAATGTGCCACAATTGTTTGTTGAACAAATGAATAAATTGATTGGGCATTTTAGTTTCAAATGTTTATTCTGGCATTTCACGGCCTCATCAAATATCACAAGCTTTGTTAGATAATAGCCCATATGTGTGTAATTGAGTCTTTTATAAACCATACCTACAGAATCCTGGTCTTTTGGGGCCTTTATATTCTAATTGCATTACCATGAATGTATAGTACAAATATTTTGATTTTTATTCCTTCTACTTCAAGGCTGAAACATATCCTCTGTTTAAATGGTAATGATACTAAATGGTTGCATATCTACTTTAGATTTCAACTAATTTTCCAGGGAAATCACAGAAATTATCCACTAAATGTCTTGTATTATGTAAACATATCTCCCAATATAAAAAATGCATATGAACATTAATAAATTCCTCACTTCACTACTATTACCACTGCATGCTTTCTGATGAATGTAAAGATGCTTGTATTTATATGATGATAAGCTGTATTTACTATTAGCTTTGTTGTCTTGGAGTTGACTCCTGAATTTCTAGAATGAAGACACATTGAACTTGTTTCCAAATCTAAAGGAATATCTGCTCATCCAGTTATTACAAGTATCCGTGTTTGTGGATATGGGGGCAGCTATAATATTCAATGGAGAAAATGTAAATAGAAATGGATAAAAATATGAACTCTGAACCATATGCTTATCATCCATCCAAACCAGTCCTCGCAAGAGAGGAAAGAAGAATATCTGCATTGCTGTCTGCTCAGCTGGATGAACAGACCTGACTTTCTATGCCTGTTACTCTTCATTTAAACCCATTAAAATTCTAACTATCTTTTAAAGTTATATCAAATGTATCTGCACTAACAGCCCCCACCACCACCATGGAAAGAGATGTCAGTTCCACAGAGGAGCTCTGAGCTCACCTAATTCAGTGGTTCTCAACTTTACTGACATGTTAGAATCACCCAGGGCACTTTGTGCACATGTACCCTAGAACTTAAAGTAAAATAATAAATAAACTAAAAGTAATTTAAAAAAAGAAAATACTAAAGCCTAGGCCTCAAATGAAATCAGTTTAGTCAGATTCTCTTGGTCTGAGGTACATCAGGGTGTTTCAAACTGTGCCAGGTGATTTTGAGGTGCAACCAAAGTTGTTAGCCACTGCCCCAAAAGTTCAGTGTGGCTGGAGCATAGAGGGTGAGGGGTAGGGGTGGTGGCAAGGAGGAGAGGTTAGAAATATTGGTAAGGCTCAGCTTTGCAGGCCTTATAATTCATCCCAAAGAGTTTGGCTTTTATCCTAGAGGCCATGAGAGTCAAAAAGGGGTTTTGCCTGGGAAGTAACATAGTCAGTTTGGTGTTCAAGAAATTAAAGTCCCTTCATTTCTCGGAGCTTTCTTTTAATCGTCTGCATCTCTTTGAGATTTTGAAGAAGGCCATAGGCCACAGGCCACTGTTGACTTCTGCAATGATGGGAATATTCCATGTTTTCACCATTTAATGAAATAGCCACACCTGGATATCATTAGTCATCTGTAAAATGCAGTGAGTGGACTAGATGACTTCCAATATCCCTTCTCATGTAACAGAAAATTATTGGCAGGGTCATCATTTCTAACCTAGAATGCCTACTATAAACAGATGCTTTATATCTTCCCCTAAATATAGGCTTTTGCAGAATATAGTATTTCTTTTAGAGGGCAGGCTATCTGAGGGGATTTTTTAGAGGGGATGACTGCTAACAACCAGCTTCTGCCTCACTGAGGAATTGACCTCGATGGAATGGAGGGCCCGTTAATTAGCAGACAAAGCCTTGCAGGCCAAAGCTAACAGGAAGGTTTTTCCTTACTCTGGAAAGAGAGACTGGCGGCTGTGGGAAACTACGCCTAGGCCCTTCCCTGCCCTTGCAAGTACGGGTCAAGAATCCAACATGGATATTTGTTTAATTGAATTGAACACTGCTTGTTAAAATTATACTTGAAATAATTGTAAGGAGACAGGGCTTTATTTTCTGACTCTAGTTCTTGGTTATATCATGGGTAAATGAGGCTCCCAGAAATGTGACCTCTGGATGCAGCATAAAGTAAATATGCATACACGTAAATGTACTGAGAAAGACGTTTAGCCATTTATTATTTTGATTTTTCAAAGGGCTAAGGAGACATTACCATCTGAAATAGTGTAAACTGAATCTGGTTCAGCTGTTTTCAGTGGCATCGCAGGTCACTATTCTTTATCGTAATAATACCCATCATTGCCTTATGTTGCAGAAATAGTCTGCTTGATAGGCATCAATGGTGCTCATCAGCCACTGCTTGGGCAGGGGCAGACTTCCTCTTGATACAGAGGGAGACATGTATGTGGACCCAGCTTAGAACGTGTTCCAGAAATCCACACCATATGCATTTAAGGGCTGGAGTCCTATCTTCCCTTCTCCAGCCAGTGTCAGTTTCTTTATCCTCTTTCTGATTCATAGAAAACCAGCACATCTGTTTGAAATTGTATTTACTTTGCATTGTCATTTGGAAGAAAAGGTTGCTGCTAATGAAGCTGGTGAATTAATATGGATTACTTGGGAGTGAATATGATGGATACTCTCAACAAACACCTGCACCATTAAAAGCAATTTTCCGAGACCAAATGCTGTTTTAGGGGAGATAGAAGCTACTATAATTGAAGTCTTGGGGAAATGTCATCCTTTATGCCTTCCCTTGCACAGAAATCATCACATGTTGTTATGTTGAGGTAAGCATAAAATTTCAATTACATTTTGGAATCTGAAAATGAGAATGCCCTACTTTGCACCCACTTAATTCTCTGGCCATATCAGCTGTTTAGCCCTTCCTTTCCTCAGCAAGAAAGCATTAGGGATTAAAAAAAAAGAAATCACCAAAAACAAGAAATCTTAATCCATGTAATTACTCTAATTGGCTAATAGGAGTCTTTTCTCAATAGCAGATAATTCTTTGCAGTTTACGAACACGTGTGTACATGTTAAAAAGATTCAGTAAATGGAGTTCACTTCCCTGTCTCTCACAACATGGATGGGCAGGAAACATGGCTCAAATTCTTGGCAAAGAGACGCAGCCCTTAAATTTTCCTCCAAACAACTTATTTTTTTTTAAGTTTTCTTTCACTTGTTTGTTGAGATAATGGTTAATGAAGTATTCATTGATGGCAGTGTCACTAATAAAACATAAATCAAATTGGGCTTTACATACAATTCATATGCTTGAAGGAGGCAGCAGTGTGAGCTGGTGCGTGTTTCCAGCTGTTTTCCTGTCATTAGCTTTTAATTTCAACAGCTACCTACTTGGGCCGCCCCTCTCTTTTCTCAGCTCAGGTATTTGTGCTGTTAGTATGATTGTCAGTCCTGTTCTGCTTGAAAGATTTCAGTGTATGTTGCTATGGTTACAGGTGCCAGAATTGGAAAGAAATGAAGGGGGTATCAGAGGTTTGACGTAGCTGTGATGAAGGCTTAGTGCTAAAATGTTAGCTATTACTTTGGCGGATTCTATGTTATTTGACAATGAATCCATTTTAATAGAATATTTAAATGCATTCTTGAATATATGGCACATGAAAATGGAAATATGGATAACTGGATTTAAAGTAAATAAATATTTTAAAACAGTTTTGAGTACATACCGTATGGGACACTTGGGAACTAAGTGAACACTGTTAGTGTAATATGCAGTATCACCTGAGTAAGTAATATGGGCAATTTTATTAGCTCTCTGTGTCTCCTCCGAATGTCAGTGTCTTCTCGTTTTCTCTTTATTTTTTCTCTTCTTTTCCTCAACAGCAGAATTTTTTTTTTTTTTTTTTTTTTTTTGAGACGGAATCTCGCTCTGTCGCCCAGGCTGGAGTGCAGTGGCGCGATCTCGGCTCGCTGCAAGCTCCACCTCCCGGGTTCACGCTATTCTCCTGCCTCAGCCTCGCGAGTAGCTGGGACTACAGGCGCCCGCCACCACGCCCGGCTAATTTTTTTGTATTTTTAGTAGAGACGGGGTTTCACCATGTTAGCCAGGATGGTCTCGATCTCCTGACCTCGTGATCTGCCCGCCTCGGCCTCCCAAAGTGCTGAGATTACAGGCGTGAGCCACTGCGCCCGGCAGCAGAATGAAATTTTATAAATTCGGTAATAAGGAGATGAGTGCTTTAGTTGTTGAGGTGACTGGGAAGACAGGGCTGGTTCTGAGGTTTCCCACAATTCCCCTTCTTGTTTTCTGCTGGAAATATTAGAGGAAAGGCCTGGGGGATTGGCTGTCTCACTCTTTCCAATGGAGGACAGTCAGGGAAACTGATTATATAGAGGTCACCCTTGGCAATGCTCTAATACTTTCTCTATGATCCTATCAAGCTGCTGAAGATGGTCAATCTTCCTTAAAGAAATTGAAGAGGCTGCCATTCCTGGTTTCAACCCCCTCTCCTGCATCCTTTGCTCTCCAGAGCACTGCTACTTTTCTCTGGTTCTATGATCTCCAAGGCTGGAGATCCAGATGACTCACTCCAAGCTTTGGCCTGCTTATTGTGCTTAGGATCCTCCTCTTTTCACTCAGTGACTTGAGGGAATAAAGACACTTATTTCTTTTTTAAAAAATAAATTTGATTTTCACAAGTCTTGAGGTGAGCTGTCTTCTTAGCACTCTCCACATGAGGAAAGACCCTCTGTTTCCACTGTTGATGTCTACACCATCCTTGGAATAGAGCATTGTGGCTAATAACATGGACAGGACACTGGAATCCAAATGCCTGGATTCAAATCCCAGCTCTGCCACTTACCAGCTCTGTCATTTTGGGTGTATTATTACTTAACTTCTATGGGCTTCAGTATCCTCATTTGTAAACTGGATTAATTGCAATTAGTCCATAGAGTTTTGTGATATATATATATATATATATATATCTATGTGTGAGAGAGAGAAAGATAGTCTCAGAATATTAATCAAGCATATCTATTAGGTGCTACATAAGTGTTTGCTTTTATTCAACATATATTTATTTTCTACTCTGTGCCAAGCTCTATGGATGGACCTGAAAGTAGAGCTGGAAACAAAATAGATGTGGTCCTTGCTCTCATAAAGTTTATCTGCAGTGGAGAAGACAAGCAGTAAGAAAGTAATTACAATAATGGATGATGAGAGCTAAAAATTATTGCAACCCACAGTTTTCAGAGCTGCCTAAATATGTAATCTCATGAAAAACACCTGTATAGCCATGACAAGGAATTCTCTGCTGTCTGAAGTGTTTTGGTCTACCCAGGCAGATCTGTGAATGAGGAGAGGTAGTTGGCCTTTCAAGAACTCCCACAGAGGGCTCAGACTGGAGGGGCTGTGTGACTGACAGCAATAAAAGTTTCACTTAAGCCAGAGTCTGGCCGGGACTTTCTCGCTTTTACAAACAACACAAAGGATCTAATTCTCCCTAATAAGCAGAGCTACCAACAGCAGTCTGTACAATAACTTTTAGAAACCTGACCTTGTGACCCAGAGGCCATCCTGAAACCACTGCACCCGTTTCCCCCCTCTTCCCCATCACTCAATAAACGTCCAGGCTGATCTATTGTCCCAGGGAAGAGAAGGCCCATGAAATAATTAACAATCCCCTCTCTGTTCTGCAATACTTACTCCAAACGTTGAGCACTCAGAGGCTCTGGAAAGACTAAGCAAAGATGATGTTCTTACCAGGTGATTAGATGACAAAGAGCCCACTGCCAGTCTTCCGGAACACTGTTGAATGCAGACCATGCCTCAGCATTCCTGGAAGTAGCATAATTAAGAGCTTGCCCTTGTTAAAGGACTAACTTCTTCCCACCCTAGCAGCTTGTCTGGTTACAACGGGACTACTAAGAAGGGATTGGGACTTTGACTTGTCTTGAGTCTCTTTTATTAAAAGATTTAAAATTGGGTTGTGCTAATGCTTCCAGTTGCAAGGGAATTGTTTATCAGTCAAAATACCACTATGTTAACTTTTTTTGAAAGAAAAATAAGCCCTATTATGTAGGTTAGTGGAACTTGTTGCTTTTAACTTGTTCTTGCAGAAATTTCTGAGCAGCAATTTGATGGGTGGGAAATAGAAGGAGCTGAAGTTCAGAGTTCTAAAATGGATGACTTGAGCTTTGTTTGGTCCTGAGTGCCTAGATTGGGTAAAACCACTTGGACCGTGGCGAGAGTGTGATGGTGAAACAGCTGAGTTGGACTGGGAGCTGCCTAGAGCAGCAGAATACACCTGAACTGCAGCAGGAATCACAGGCAATGACCACCAAGACGACAACCATCTTCAGAGCCATAGTGAAGTGTGAGGCCACAGTGAAGAGTTGAGGCAAGAGGTCAGCGGTTGGGGATGGAGGGACAAGGAGACAGAAGAAATAATGATTAAGATCATGGCCTCCAGAGACAGGCTACCTGGGTGGGTGTAAATCCTGACTTTGCCACTTCCTTGCTGTGTGACCTTGGTCAGTTACTTAACTGATCTGTGTTTGTTTCCTCATCTGAAAAATGTGGTGGGGAAGGGTAATGTTACCCACATATGCCATCAATTCACCTGTTTTGTCTTAGATTGATTTTCGACCTTCCCCCTGCTCTCCCTGTGTGGCAGGAGAACTGTCCCTATAGGCTATATTTCCCAGTCACCTGTGTCAGCAGGCTTCCCACAGCGTTTGGCCAATGAGAGGTATGGGTGGGAGACTCAAAAGGAGGAAGAAAGGAGAAACCAGGGAATTTCCCCCTATTTACCACAAATAGGTGCCTGGTAGCTCAAACAGGTTACTGGCAGCAGCTGTGGTTCCTACTGGACAGTGCCTTCCTTCATGGTCCTAGCCTTCACCATAATTCCAGCCCAGTGTGGTCCAATAGAAATATAATGAGAGTCACATATATAAATTTAAATTTTCTAGTAGCCATATTAGAAATATATAAGAAATGAGTAAAATCAGTTTAATAGTTTTAGTTAACCCAATATATTTTGATTTCAATATGTCATCAATATAAATATTAATGAGATATATATTTTTCTACTAGTACTTGAATTCTGGTGTGTGTTGCCCACTTACAGCACATCTCAATGAGGACTAGACACATTCAAATGCTCAATAGCCACATGTGACTAGTGGCCACCACATTGGACAGTGTAGATATGGACCCTGCTGGCTGGTCCTAGTTCCATATTCTGTCTTACCATTTTCTGTCACTGTCCCTCTTGATCTAGGGAAAGTTGGGACTCCTTGCTTTTGTTAATCACCAAATTGCATAATTGTACTCTGTTTGGCCTCTCAGATCTTTAATTGGTCATATTACCAACTTCTTGTATTAAATTCTCTTTTCGAAATACCTAGAATGTTGTCTGTTTCCTCACAGGCCCTGACTAATCCACTGCCTTATAGGATTATTGGGAGGACCAATGAAGCTTTTGCACATAAAGCCTTTGGAATAGTGAAGGCACAGAGTAAGTGTTCAATATGTGGTGGTACTTGAAAAGTAAAGGTCTTAAAAAGAAGTGTAAGACTTCTGTGCAAGCTGTGAGCTGAACAATATGAGCAAATATGATTATGAGATGAAAGATGGGGTGACAATGACATTGTTCCCCACTACCCCTAGGATCATGTTCAAACAGCCTTCTGAGCAGATGACCTCATGGCCTGCAAGTGTACCTTTCTGCTGCTGCCTCACAGAGAAGAGCCTGAAGAGAAAGGAAGAGATGGTTCTCTAAAGTCCCCAGCTTCTATGAGTAAGGCCTTTTGCCTCTCACTTTTTTGAGGGTACCACCATCACCCTGTCACTAGGAGAGCATATAACTGGTACGGGCAGCAATCCAAAAACATTTTACCACAGGAGATATGTGCTTTGAACAAATTACATCATGTAATACTGAGTAGAGAGCATGCATCTTTAAATTAGACACAACAGGATTTATATCCCTGCACTGCCACTTTCTGGCCATATAACCACTGGCAAGCCGTAGATGCTCACTGCACCTCAATTTCCTCATCTTCAAAATGAGTGATAATAATGCTCACTGGATTGTGAGGATTAAATAAAACATATGCATAAAGAAACTGGTACATTACACTTTGGGAGGCCGAGGTGGGTGGATCACGAGGTCAGGATATCGAGACCATCCTGACTAACATGGTGAAACCCTGTCTCTACTAAAAATACAAAAAAATTAGCCGGGCATGGTGGCGGGCACCTGTAGTCCCAGCTACTCGGGAGGCTGAGGCAGGAGCATGGCGTGAACTTGGGAGGCGGAGCTTGCAGTGAGCTGAGATCGCGCCACTGCACTCGAGCCTGGGCGACACGGTGAGACTCTGTCTCAGCAAAAAAAAAAAAAAAAAAAAAAAAAAAAAAAGAAACTGGTACATTGCTTGGCTTAGAATCAGTGCTTAACAAATGCTAGTTTCTAGCACTCTTCTAGGTAAAATACACATGATTTTATAACCTCATTCAACTCAGGTTATTTAATGTGGGCTAAAATATAATGCATTCTCTTCCGCTCTCCCTTGTTTTATCTGTTGGACACTTGGTTTTTCTTGCTGGTTTACCTCCTTGTCCAGGACTAAGTTGTTTAGCACATCTACTTGGACCTTTGGCAAAGGGCACTCCTTTTTTGTCTGTGCTCTGACTGAGTGTAATCTAAGTCATCATGTACAGAGAGCAAAAGTAAACTTGGGCCCTATCCAGGCCAGTGTTACTGCCCAAGGAGGCCCAGTAGGGCACAGCAGCAGGAATTCCAGTCACTGTTGACTCTTGACATGAGAAGAGAGGGCAGTAAAGTATTGCAGGGTAGTCTGACTTAGCTGGAGCAGGACCCCAGACTGTAGCTGGAGAACCTGGAGTAGAGTCTGTCCTCTTGGGACGAAGGCTAACAAGGGCATGGCCAGGTGTTTTGGCTTCAGCCAAGTGAGCTACAGGTCAAGATAGGCCACATTGCCCAGCAAGACTGTGAAAATTGATAACCAAGATGGTTACATTGATTTATGGATTGGGAATACGTGGCAGAGGGTGGGATTTAGGCATGGCAGTGTCTAAGTTTAGGGCAGCAAGCCCTGCGTAATACTAAGCCCTGCCAACTGGTAAGGCTAAGCCTTCTGGGGGCCTTCCAAGTCCAGGGGCTGTGTGGGTGGTGCCTATAGTTGCAAGAGCTGGAGGAAAACTTTTAATTTTATTTTTAATTGCCAAATAATATAGTGATTGTATATATTTGTGGGGTAAAATGTGATGGTGTATATATGGTTACATAATGAACTGATTAAGTCAAACTAATTAATATATTGATCACCTCAAATACTTATTTCTTTTCGTGATGAGGACCATCATTCATTAGACCAACCAATAGCCTATGAGGTGGCCTGGCATGTGTATTCATGTTGAATAGACAGTTCTATTCAATAGAACTGTCCATTCAGCATGAACAAGATTGACCAGTCAGGCTCTTGCTATAGAAAATATAAAGACAACTAGATAACCCGAGGGAATCTAAGGTGTGAAAGGTGCAAGTAGAAGCTGTCATGAAGGCCCATGAGCAAGCTGAAGTCACAAGGAAGCAGAAACTCAAAGTAAGTTGTAGCTATGTCATGGAAAAAGAAATTAAGCTGGGCCCAGTGGTTCATGCCTGTAATCCCAACATTTTGAGAGGCTGAGACGGGAGGATCACTGGAGACCAGGAGTTCAAGACTAGCCTGGGCAGCATAGTGAGGCTTGTCTCTATACAAATTTGGAAAAAAAATTAGAGAGCTGTGGTAGTGCATGCCTGTAGTCCTAGCTACTTGGAAGGCTGAAGTGGAAGGATCACCTGAGCCCCTTGAGTTTGAGGCTGCAGTGAGCTATGATTGTGCCATTGCACTCCAGCCTGGGTGACAGAACAAGATCCTTTCAAAAACAAAACAAAACAAAACAAACGGAAAGGGGAGGGAAGCCAGATAAGAAGAGAGAAGTGAGAAAGAACTCAAAGAAAGAGCAGGTTATATTATATTGCATTATAAAAAAGTCTTATTTTTGTCTCTGGATGTATTAGTTAAGTGATGGCTGCCTGGTATAATAAATAAACCTTCATTCTTAGTGGCTTAACACAATGTTTCTCACACACCTCACAGTCTAGTACAGCTGCTCCCATCGAAGTACCCTTTAACATGTAGTCATTGAGGGACTCAGGTTTTCTCCTTTTGTGGCTCTGCACTCTTCCAGGTCCTTGGAGGCTTTTCTATTCAGCTCGTGGATGCGAAAATAGATCATGAAAAAGGGACATCTCCTTTTTAGCCACTTTTTTCCTGTAAATGACGCACATCAGTTCTCCCACATTCCATTTATGAAAATTAGTTTCAGGGCTCTACTGGGTCAAGTAGGAGGGGAAATATATTTCCTGGCTTGGCAACCACACTCCATGATATTCTACACTATGGAAAAGGAAGGCCAATCCTTGTCAGCTGATTTTCCCTACCACAGACTTCTTGGATTCCCTTGAACTCTCTGTCTCCTCTTCTTCACAACTGATGAGATAAGCTAAAACAGTGCCTTTGGAGGAGAGCCTGTCTTTCCCTCTGTCAGCAGAAGACTATCAATATATTGTTAGTGACTGCAGAGGAATGTTACTGAGCAAGGAACATGTTCTATTGGCTAGGTCCCTTGTCATTAGAACTGAATAGGGCAAATGATGCTGTCTCTCACTTCTTGGGCTCTTCTGGGACTTTGGATCCTGTATTTCATTCCTCCCTTTTGTCTGCAAGTTAGAAACCCACCAACTCTTGAGAGATCTTTCACAAAACCTGGGTTCTTCCAGGGTACCCACAGCAGGAGGGGGAGTTTCTCTCAAGGACAAGGAGTAGCATTGCCATGTGTATGGGGGTGCTCTCATTCCAAGTTCCTCCTCAACCTGTCAAGCTAGGTTTATGCTCTGGGATATGCTAACTTACTTGGGGAAAGTCTAAGGAAGAAGGCTCTTAATCAGAGTCTTCTTAGAGTATTCTTAAGAATATTATTGGGGTCACTTTAAATTTCATGTTGATATTGAGAGTCTCTCCACCAATTGTATCCTAGTTTTGTAAACCAGGCCAATGCTGGGTGGGAAGAAGAAAGAGGAAGGCAAAGGAAAAATCATAAAGTTGAGGTAACCCACATGAAGTGGGGCAAAACTGGATCAGAGATCAAGTAGCATAATGATTTTTAACATTTGTTTTGATAAAACTAAAAGTTTTCACTTTCAATTTTTTAAAGAGCATCAGTTTAACACTATCCCATTCATTGAAATGTCGACAAAACAGAACAGCCAATATAAACAAGAAATAAAAGGTGATTAAAAATAAGCAGTTTTATCACAGATCTCCTTCAGGAAATATAGGACTATGCCTTCTCTAATATGTGTATTTCCAGTTTTAATGACTTGAAAAAAGTTTTAAGAAGTCTCCTGTTGCATTTCAAATGGCAACCCTGTTTTTATACTCAGAGTCTCTCCTTGCAAAACAGCATTACTTCCCATAAACTTCCCTCCTGTGGTCACACCAGAGCCGTCCCACTTCAGTTGGTTACATATTTAGATTTTCATTGTCAGTTGTGGACTGAACATATGGGTATGTGCAAGGCAGTGACATGCGGTAATCCCAGAGCAGTACAGGCACCATTGATTAGAATTTCTGAACGCTACTTTTTAGGGCACCTGGGATGGGCTAAGTCAGGATTACAGCCAAGTAGGACAAGCTTAGCATTTGTTTCTTGAAGAGCTGGTGCTAGGGCAGGGCCCTATTTGAGGTTTCTGGGAGTGGAAAGAATCACAGGGTGAGTCAAAGCCAAAGTCCTTCGTGGCTACAGAGGGTCAAGTCAGAAAAACTAAGTACCAGATGCTAAGTCTAGAGGGGTAATAGTAGGGCTGTAAGCCAGAGACCAAGCTGAATCAGAATCCTTGTGAAAATAAAAGCAGAATAAAGTCAGCCTGGAAGGGAAATAAGGAAGGGCCTTTGCAAGTCTTGGGATTCATTAATTTATTCAATCATTTATTTCTCAAATATTTACAAAGCATCTATTATGTACCAGGAATTTGTATGTGACCTGATTGGTAGTTGTTTACATAATCAGCCTCATTTAAAGTTGTAGATTTAAGCAAGACAAACTGATTGTAAATTCTGGCTTAGCAACTTACTAACCATATAACATTAAACAAGTTAGATAACTTTTCTGTGTATCAGCTTCCCATCTATAAAACAATACATAATAAGAGAAACCTACCTTATAGGGTTGCAATGAAAATTAAAAGAAAATTCTTGTAAAGCACTTAACACCTGACATACGACATATATATGTAAATGTTTGTTAAATAGAGTTGAGAGGACCCCATTATCAATCTTGAGACTGAGTATCAAGTTGAGGGTGGGGTGGAGATTAGGCTAAAAAATTATTTTGTATTGAATTAAGAAAAGATTTGAAAAGCCAATTGAGTGGCATACAGAAAATTTTAGAAATAATTTTCTACCCAGAAACTGAACATCATAATTTTATTTTATTTATATACATGTTTTGTGCCTTGCTTTTTGGCAACAAAATGCTTTAAGTGGCTTACAACAAAACAGTAGTCACACTGAACTAATAACTAAGAAGATAAAAATTGAAAATCCAGTTTAAGAAAGGAAAATTCCCTCAAATATTTCAATCATGAGGGTCAGTATAGTTGTTATGGTTTAGCTTCAAACTGAGTTCTAAACTTTTGAGTGGTGAAGGCATAGAAGGAAACGCAATCAATTGTGTAACTCTTGGTATCACTAAATCAGAAGCATACCAATTCCTTATTGGAAACCAAATATGTTCCTGCAATCTTTCTAAAATATATTTCTCCTATCAGTCTGTATATGATGGATGTGAAATTGAACATAGATTTGGAATCAAGCAGATCTGATTTCAAATTCCAGCTCCATTACTTATTAGCTTTGTGATCTGGGGCACATAATTTAAATTGTTTGAGACACTGACTTACCTGTAAAATGGGCATAATAATATCTCTTATATCTAAGGACTTCGATGAGAATTAAATGAGATATAAAGTATTTAATATAGTGCCTGGAACATACTCATCCCTCAATAAATGGAAGCTCTTCTTTTCCCTCTCCACTTCCTTCTCTTCCTCCTCTTTGTCCTATTTCTCTTTTCTCCTTTTCTTCTTCCTCTTTTTAATCTCTCCATCCTCCTCCTCCTCCTCTTCATATCCCCATTACCTGATATGTTATATTTGGAAACATCACTTCAATATTCATTCTGGGTGCATATAATGACAACGATTTTAACAGCTATATAGCACTTACTATGTGCCAGACATTATTCTAAGCACTTTACTTTCCTTGACTCATTTAATCTTCAATTAATTTTTGAAAAAATCTAGGCCAATTATGTGCAAGGGTAAAAGCTATGAGGATTATTTAAAGGAAAGTTGTATTAAAATTCAATGAGATATCAGAAAATAGATGGTGTCAACTGAGTTGCAGGACTTATTGGGTATATTTTCTTAACAGGTAAATGGACTTACTCTCATATACTTATCTTTCTTTTTGTTAAAAGGTAGAGTAGGAGCCCAAAAGAGAAAGGATTCCTGGCATGGATGATATAGGCCAACTGAGATCTAAGCCTTATATATAAGGGCTCTCACTTTCCTGGCTCTACCTTCACTTGTACACTGTCGCACTCAATCACAAGCATCAGACTCAGAGGCTTAATCAAGAATACTATTCTAATAGCAGTCTGTACCCTGGGAACAATTTACAAGACCCCCCTTGGTGTCTATGCATGGGCTTCAAGGGGCCTGGGAACCTTGTGAAATTGTATGTATTAGCCTGTGTTTATATGTCTATCTTCCTGAGGGTGGTCGTTAATATATCTCACTAGATTCTTCAAGGGATCTCTGCTCCCTCAATGTCAGAAACTACTACTGTAAAGTACAAAAAAATTAGCTGGGTGTGTGGTGGGCGCCTGTACTCCCAGCTACTCGGGAGGCTGAGGCAGGAGAATGGGTGAACCCGGGAGGTGGAGCTTGCAGTGAGCCGAGATCGTGCCACTGCACTCCAGCCTGGGCGACAGAGTGACACTCCATCTCAAAAAAAAAAAAAAAAAAAGACCAAGGGGAAGACTCACATGTAGTTCGGTTCAGCTCACCATAGTTGGATTACCTTTTGATGTGGAAATTTTGGGGGAGAGATTTTGAAACCATACATTATATGTCCTAAGAAATTACAGCAATGATATGCAGCTAGACAGTAAGTCAAGGATATTAGCATTTGGGGATTCTGAGATCTTAATGAGGCCACTACTCTCAATACTGACAGGAATATATAGGTGGCAGTTGAAGCTATGGATGTGAAATGGTGACTTAGAGACACTCAATAGATGAAAAAGAGCAGAGAGCCAAAGAAGAATCTTCAGGGGACCACAAATGTTAAAAGATAGGTGAAGGAATAAAAATAGCAGCATATAGTATGTTTCAGACACTACTTTAAATATTTATGTTTATTAAGAAATTTAATGTCAGAACAATTTTATGAGGTAGGTACCACTATTCTGCCCATTTTACAGAAGAGGAAACTGGAACACAGAGAAGTTAAGCAACTTAATTAAGGTCACACAGTTGGTAAATGCCATAACTGGGATTCAATCCCAGGCAGTCAGTGTGGCTCCCGGGCTCACACTCTTAACCATTAAACTGTATTGCTTCATTCACTTGGCCATTAGAACATACTGTTTCATTGGTACCTGTCTCCAATGAGTATGTCTCGGATCATAAAGATGCAGATTAACCTTCATATGTCTTTTGGGTTCCTCTCTGGACATAGCACAATGTATGTGCTAATAGGTCCACAACAAATACTTGTTGAATGAGTGGCCTGGGGCACAGACCCACTGCGTAGCTATGGAGTCATTATAAGTAGTCTGTGACCCCATGAAAAGGCACTGAACATTGTCTGGTGATAAAATAAATAGGTTATTAATTACAGCTATTGTAATTTTCACAGATATGCAGTTCCTCTTATTATTCATAAAATACAAATTCATTTAAAAGCATCTTAGAGCTCCTAGTAGCTTTGTGTTATGATGAATTACCTCCATCAATGGAAACTTAAAGTACACCTACTATTATTTGTGATGTTTTTTACAAGAGTCATATTCAAAAAGTAACCACTGAGTTGAGAGCACAATTGAAAAAAACACGTATTAGTCATGATATGCTGAGTTATGTTGGGGTAACAAACATACTCCAAATCTTTGTGATTTAAAACAACAAAGATTTATTTATTGCTCACAGTACATGTCACAAGGCAGCTGGAGTCTCTGTTCCATGTCATCTCACTCCAGGACACAAGATGATGCAACAGCAAACATTTGGAACTTTGCCAGTTGTTGTAGCACAGAAAAAAGAAGGAAATTTATAATTTCTGCTAGCAAGTAACACATATTACTTCAATTACATTTTATTGACCAAAGTAAGTTTCTTTCCCAAGTTTCAGTTTAGATCTGGAGGGAAGTGTCATCCTATCATGTGCTTAGAAAAACAACTAGAAATATTTGGTAAGCAGTGCCAATAACTCTCAAACATGTGGGCTTTACTTTGTACAATGGCTGGGTGAAAAGCAAGTTTGTGTAGTCATCTTTCAGATGATTCAGGGGTGTTTACTTTTTGAGAGAATCCTAATAGCTCATTCATTTTGTAATAAAGGAAGCCCAACTCACAATGCAAATAATCAAGTCCATCATTCCATCCTCTCTTAATTATAGACTTTTGTGTAGTTTATGCCCATATACAAGTTTTTAATAGATGATGTGGCAAGACCTCCAGAGAAAAAGCCATCAAGAAGGAGAAAAAGGAGGACTAGGAGAATCAAGTAAAGGCAAAAGTGGTACCACTTATTATGCCCTCTACTAATGTCACCATAGAATGACATTTGACTCCATCCAGACGAGGCTGGCCAGATTGTCTGTGTTTGCAAGGAGCACCTTTCTTGGCCTCAGACAGTCTGTGTAATATGGGTTAGACTTTTTGAATATTACTCTGTGTCTCTGCTAATAACCATAAGAAACTATGAGGCCAGGTGCAGTGGCTCACACCTGTAATCCGAGCACTTTGAGAGGCTGAAGCAGGCAGATCACGAGGTCAGGAGTTCAAGATCAGCCTGGCCAACATGGCGAAACCCTGTCTCTACTAAAAATACAAAAATTAGCCAGGCATGGTGGGCACCTGTAATCCCAGCTACTCGGTAGGCTGAGGCAGGAGAACTGCTTGAACCTGGGAGGCAGAGGTTGCAGTGAGCTGAGATTGTGCCATTGCACTGCAGCCTGGGCAACAAGAGCAAGACTCTGTCTCAAAACAAACAAACAAATAAGCAAACAAACAAACAAACAAAATAAACACTATGAGGTATGGACCTATTTTTTATGCCAGATATTTAAAAGTTGAGAGATAAATTCATTTGACGTTAAATTAATCATTTAAAAATGAATAAATTAGTGGCATTCAGTACATTCAAAGTGTTGTGCAAACACCATTTCTATCTAGTTTCAAAACATTTTCGTCACCCAAAAATGAAGTTTGTACCCATTAAGCAGTAAATCCTCATTCCCTCTACCCTTCCTTCCCTGGAAACCAGAAATGTGCTCTCTGATTCTTTGTATTTACTTGGATATTTCACATAAATGGAGTAATATAATATATGACCTTTTGTGTCTGCCTTCTTTCACTAAGGATAATGTTTTCAAGGCTTTTCTATATTGTAGCATTCATAGATACATTCCGTTTTGTGGCTGAATAATATTCCTATATATATATCTCACAACTTGTTTATCCATTCATCTGTTGATGGGCATTAGGTTGTTTTCACACTTTGACACTTTGGCTATAGTGAATAGTGCTGCTATGGATATGTGGGCACATGTATTTGAATATCTGTCTTCAATTCTTTTCGATATAAAAATAGGAGTGGAATTTCTGGGTCTCATGATAACTTTCTAAGGAACTGTCAAATTATTTTCCATAGTTGCCGAACCATTTTTGCATTCCCAGCAACAATGTACATATATTCCATTTTTCCACATCCTCAGCAATATGTGTTAATTTCCATTTTTTAAATTGTAGCCATCTTAGTTGGTGTGAGGTGGTAACTCATCGTGGTTTTGGTTTGCACTTCCCTAATTACTAATGATGTGAGGATCTTTTTGTGTGTCTGGGTCTTTTGTAAATCCTCTTTGGGGAAGTGTCTAAGTCCTTTGTTCATTCATTTATTGGGTTTTTTTCTTTGTGTTGTTGAATTGCAGGAGTTCTTTATATATTCTGGATACAAGATTTTTATCAGCTATATAATTTCCAAATATTTTCTCCCATTCTGTAGGTTGTATTTTTACTTCACTTTCTTGATTATGCCCATTGTGTTTTAGAGACAAGGTCTTACTCTGTCACCCAGGCTGGAATGCACGGGACAATCATAGCTTACTGCAGCCATGAATTCCTGGACTCAAGCGATCTTCCCACCTCAGCCTCCCAAATAGCTAGGACTACAGGCACATACTGCCACATCCAACTAACTTTTACATTTTTTTTGTAGAGAGGGGATCTGCTATGATTGCCCAGTCTTGTCTCAAACTCCTGGCCTTAAACAATGCTTCTACCTCAGCTTCACAAAGCACAGACATTACAGGCGTAAACCACCATACCTGGCCTTGATTATGTCCTTTGCTGCACAGAGATTTTCTTGACTGCCAGGAGTTAAGAGAGAAAGAATGAGAAAGAGAGAGAAAGAAGAGTAAGAGAAGGAGAAAGAGGAGGAGGAGCAGGAGGAGGATGAGGAGAAAGAGAAGGAGGAAAGAAATAAATAACAAAACCTCTACCAGTCTTTGCAGATTAGCTCTGTGCTGGCCACTCTGTCAACACTTAACCAGGCTGTTTACAACTCTGACTTACTTTCATTTCTTTGCATTAAGCCTAGAAATCACCCAGAGTTGAAAGCTTAAGGTGTCCTCAGGTCTTCCCTAAGCATCTGAGCATGCACTGTGCCCTAGGCATGCTTGTGGCTTTCTAAATTCCCCAGGACTATCACTGGGACTTTTAAATACCTAAATTTCCCCCCTAAAAACCTCTCTCTGCAGCTGTTCCTCCCGGGCTTCTGGTGGCTTATTGTTTGCCTTTATCATAATCTTTTGCCTCAAGCAGCTGTGGGTTATTCATTTGCCTTACAATGTTTTCCAGCAATGCCCACTGTTTTTAGCCCTGAATGAGTTCTGTGTTAGGTGAAGGAAAGACAAACACTCTGCATCAGTACTTCAGGGAACCCCCAGACATGTTAGAATAGATAAATGCAGTTCTTTGAGAACAAGGTCTGCTCTGCTTTTCCTGTATCCAGGCCCCAGGGTTCCACACTGGGAAAATGAGCTGCTATCTTCAAAACTGCCGCAAATCCAAGGAGGTGTATAGGGCAAGGAGAAAGCAAAAATGCCACAAAACTTTTCTACTCTTCTAAAGTTGCCTCTTTTCTTGATACAGCATTTGTTTGGTTGCTGTGCCTTTGACTATTTTGCAGAATTTCTCCAAAGTTGATTTGACAGTTTTTGCTTGATTTTTCAGTTTCTGTGGAGGAATGAGCCTTTGAAGTTACCTACTCTGTTATTTTCCCTGATGCCATTTAGATCTATGCTTTTTATCTCTTTCTTAATTCTTAAGGTTAAAAAGATACCAAAAAAAAAAATATGAGTGGGTGGGTGACTTCAGTCTAATGAAATTTGAGGCCTTTTTGGTAAAGGCTAACTTGTTAGAAAATATGAAGATGAAACTCTCTTAACTGTCTTTTGTACAGTCTTATTTTCCAATATCATTGTTGTGATTTGTAAGGAAGGCATTATTGCATGATGGTTAAGAGCATGGTCTTGAATTAGAAGATATGGGATTGAATATTGACTGTTATTTAACAACCATATGACTTTGGGCAAGTCACTTAACTCTTAATCTCTCTGAGCCTCAGTTTCCTTATCTGTAAAACGTGAAAACTAAATTCTTACCTCATTAGGTTATGGTAGAGATTGAGTTAATGCATATGAAAGTTGATGGCACATACCAAACTGTGCTTGACATTCCTTATTTTTTCTCTACATCTACTCTATATCATTCTCTGACCCTCTTTGTGTCCTGGAAAGCACCCACATGGACTATATCAATTGGCTCCCTTGCCCTCTGGCTGCTAACTGGGTTCGGCCAATGTGGGCACCATCAGGAAATCAGAGGGGGAGATGACATAGAGTGTTTAGGTTATTTATTTTTCCATTTTCCTCCCTACTGGGGTGCAGTTTGTCAGTGACTGTGTTCCTCTACCCTAGTCCACAATTGCTGTCAGGCAGTCATTTTTCCTTGGCTCTAGCTTTCTCCTTTACTGAGTGCTTTACTGGTTGATATCACGACAGCCCACAGAAACCCTTGGATTAAATTCTCTTCAATTACTCCTTTTGACTATACCATCTGTTTTCCCATTGAAGCCCTACCTGTTCATATGGGTGCTCATGAATTGTTCTTTCGGTGTACTTTTCAAAGCAAAAACAGTTAATGTGGCCATTATATGGCATTTTCAAGGTGAAATGGATGGAGGTTGACATCATCATGGTAGAAGTAAGAGTTAAGGTCTCACATGAGTCAGGGAATAAGAGTTGGAACAGTTAGTAGTTACCATAAGCATCACGTGCTGAGTAAGTACCAAGGAACACCTAAGTATAAGAGAGACAAATTGCAGTTCAAAGTCATGATTAGTTTATATTTCAAAGTCAACTGGAATAAAAGTGGATATAAAGAAGTATAATGTATTGGCCAAAAGCATTAACTTGAAACCAGATGATTTACATTGGAATCTTGGCTGTACCCCTAAAAACTGTGTGATCTTGGATAAGTTGCATAACGCTGCTGTGCATGGGTTTCATAATCTATAAAATGGGAGAAAATATTAGTACCTACATCACAGAGTCAAAGTGAGGATTCAATGAATGTAAAGTACCTAGAAGAGTTCTTAACACCTGATAAGTACGGTATATATGTTTACTAAAATAATTGGAAGTCATATGGTCGAGGATTATTTTGGAGTAGATCACTGGCAGAGGATGAAATCCTACTATGGATAAAAAGCCCTTGTTTGAGTGTGTCCGCTCCTATAGATGTAGTACCATAGCTCTGGAGTTTGGTTGGGTCCATAATGACTGCATTGACCCTGAAAAAGAGAACCTTTGGGTCTTCCCAGGTGGCTCCTTGACCAAGGCTTTATGATATATGTTTATATGGTGGCAAATGTTAGGCCTCTGGAAGTCCTAACAGATTTGGCAGAGGGTTTTATAGAAACTATATGTCCACCAAGAGAGACTTTGTGACAGAGAGTACTTGAACACAAGTGCTTCCAGCAAGAATGTATGGATGACATAGTGTCCCTCCTTGGTGCAGTCAGAGGAATGCAGAGAAGTCAGTGAACGATCTCTTGGCATTGGAGGCAGGGGAGTGTCTTTTCTGAAGCTGTTGGAAAAAATGTACACTCTATATTTTGTTCCATGGCCCTTTATAAGCCATGTAGATAAGGGAGGAGGCATTATTAACCATTTATAAACAAGAAAACTGAGGCCTATAGTGACACATCTTGGAAGTGGAGGAACTAAGAAACTGAACCAGATTTGTCTGACTCTTTGTCCAGTTTTCTTTGGACCCCATGATGCTGTGCACTTCTCTAACAGGGTTTCTATGATATGATTTTCTGTGTATACAGAAAAAGTCAAAGGCAGAGAAGATAGCACTAGTATAACATATACCAAGGCAAAAGAGCATGAAACACTAAGCTTTTCAATGACTGGATAAATGAATTCAGAATGCAGAAAGAGAGGAAACTATGTACATCTAACGCTTCAATAAAAAAGTGCAGAAAGACCAGACAGATTCCATCAACAACACTGGAAGCAGTTTGATTATAGTTTGAAATAACTGAAGATGAAACTGATGAGTATGGTGAGTTGGGGAGAATTGCTGTTTCTTTTTTCTGGAAAGTGCACAAAGGTCATTGCGACATCATTATAGGACAGAAGTTCTCTCATCACCAGTAACACTTTGGCACATAGACTAACTTTTTATTGAAAGAATAGAGCCTAGGAACCTAATGCTAAGATGTTGGGCAAGTTTACATTTCTGAAGTGTGGCATGGTTAAGGTGGTGGGGCAACCCACTGCAGGATGGCTTACAGGTAGTGTTTTTGCATGGCTGAGTCTGTAGATAGGAAGATTCTATTGGATTCTACCCCCTTGGCCCTTGCCTCTTTTATCAGAACATAGTTGGATTGGCAATCTGAAAAACTTATTGAAAGTCTTGTTAGGTATAACTAACAAGTTCCTATGCATGGCTTTCAGAATTGCGATGACATTCTAGACTACTTTATCATTATCATCTTTTATCTGTTGTAACATTATAAATTCCGTGTCACAAGAACTCATCATATTTTATGGATTTTAGTGGCATATCCATTCATCATTCAACAAATATGGATTATACCCTAAGGAAGACCAGAATAAACTGCTCCAAAGTTTGAAAGATTGTTAAGCTGAAGCCAATTAAGAAGTTCTCTGCCTTCCCTTTATTTGTCTAAAAGCAGGACATAGATTTACAAAGATGAAAGGTATTATGCCCCCATCTCCCTACCCCACCTTCTACCAGGGAGAACAAAGGTTCACCAATGAAGACAACTTTGGAACTGTATTGGCCTGGAGATGGTACCAGAAGAACCTACATTAACAAACATTAGTAACTAGTCTTTATCTGCCATTTATTTGCCTTCCTCCAAGTTGCCACCTGTAGAAACTCAGTCTTTTTCCTTTGTCTTGTTACTTTTCTAAAAATGTGCTGTTCCTGCGGGCAGAGGCAAGATGGCCAAATGGACACAGCCAGGAAATGTGTCTCCCACTGAGAGAAACCAAAATATTGAGTAAACCATGACACTTCAAACAGATCTTTTGAGAGAAAACACTGAAATCCAATAAAGAGTCAATGCAGACACTGAGGTTGAAGACGGAGGAAGCTGGAAAGCATGCATGGAGTTGTCAAGTGCCAGGACTAGCATGAATGGGTCCTAAGAAAAGGAGGAGTGAAGGAACTCTGGGGCACCACACTCCTGTTGCAGACCTCTGGGATCCCAGCAACAAGAGATCCTATGATCTTCATTGACATTTGAATTGACAGGGGGAGCTGCCTGGAGAGTAGACAGAGGCAGCACTCAAACCTGTGTGGAGCGCAGATTGGGTTGCTCATGGGGCAGGTGCAGCAAAACACGACAGTAGGTATCCATCCGCCAAGGCTCTCCATTTTTCTCTGAGTGACTCTAGCCCATGCTGAGTGCTGGGCCAGGAGACAGTAGAGCTGCCTTTTCTTTGGGACTGAGGCACAGCTGATCTGCATGCTCCCTTGTCTGCTGGCCTCTCCCAAGGCCCCTACCAGGCTGCTTCTGAGAGGGTGCACACAGTACAGCCTCCACTGCACCATCTGAGGCCAGCAGCCTGGGGGCAGTTTGCCTGTCCCCCAGCAGAGCCAGTGCTCAAAACTGTGGGGACAGAGAACAAAGCTACAGGCCCATTTCTAATCTCCCAGTGTTAGAGCACAAAACTCAGGAATATCGAGCTGAGATTGTGGCGAGAGCTCAAGCACAGGAGGAGTCCCCACTCTCAGAACACTGAGAAGAGTGAGCTGTGATTTCGTGTGCTGATGTGGGTGCTGGGCATCCCTCCCTCCATAACACAGGTCCAGGAAGGGTGTAGCCTATTGGCCAGGCACAGCTTCTGCTTTAGAGAGCCCATGGCCTGGGACAGATGAAAAAGCCCAGCAATCTGGGCATGGAAGGCTAGGGAAAAAACCTAGCTGGTTGGGCCTGCTTCTGGAGCAGACACCAGAGGGAGATCCAATTGGGTGAGTGCAAGCTGTGTGGTCTGCACAGTCATCTTCTGGGGAAACAACAACGATGACGACGACAACAACAACAACAACAACAACAAAAACAGGCCAATGTTCTGCCTGGGGATCCTCTGCCCTTGACCCTCTGCATCACCAGACCACCTACAGACATACCACACAACCCACTTTGACTCCGCCAAGCTCAGAGGATCAGTGGGTACCTGGGGAGTTGAAGGTATCCTGGTAACCTAACCTTCAGCTTGGGTTGCCCCTAAAGTGGGGATAGTGCAACCTACCAGGGTACCCTTTGGGGCTAAGGAAATGTCAGCGCAATATCAGTGATTGTAGGGTGTTCCCCCAATGCCCAGGAACAGACTTGGTGAGAGTTTATCTCTTGCCACCTTCCTCCAAGTCTCCCCCTCTCCAGAGTACTGCTGTGGACACATTGAAATAAAAAAAGAGATGCACAGCTGAGTAGTAGCCTATCTGAAGGCACTTACTCTTAAGTGCCATCTACTGGATTACAGGCCAAATTACACTACCAACAAAAACAGATTAATTCAATATACATCCCCTGTGAAACCCAATGCAGGAAACTAAGAAACCTGTACAGAGCCTTGGTCCTCTGAAAGCACCCAGAAACAAAGACAAGTGACTAAAGACAACATACACCACAGTGAAATCCTCAAGGAAAAAAAAAAAGAATGTAAAAGCGAAAATCTTCATCCAAATGAAAGCAACTTCAGAAAGATAAAGAAACTCTAGCCCTTTCAGATGACAAGGAACCAGTGCAAGTGCCAGAGGCATTTGAACCAGAGCAACTCCATCTTGAATAAGGGCTGGGTAAAATAAGGTTAAGGCCTGCTGGGTTGCATTCTTGGATGGTTAGGCATTTTAAGTCACAGGATGAGATAGGAGGTCAACACAAGATACAGGTCGTAAAGACCTTGCTGATAAAACACGTTGCAGTAAAGAAGCTGGCTAAAACCCACCAAAACCAAGATGGTGATGAGAGTGACCTCTGGTCATCCTCACTGCTACACTTCCACCAGCGCCATGACAGTATACAAAGGCCATGGCAACATCAGGAAGTTACCCTATATGGTCTAAAAGGGGAGGCATGAATAATCCACTCCCCCCTTTTTTAGCGTATAATGAAGAAATAACCACAAAAATGGGCAACCAGCAGCCCTCAGGGCTGATCTGCCTATGGAGTAACCATTCTTTTGTTTCTTCTCTAATATACTTGCTTTCACTTTACTCTGTGGACTCGACCTGAGTTCTTTCTTGTGCAAGATCCAAGAACCCTCTCTTGGGGTCTGAATTGGGACCCCTTTCTGGTAACACAAAAACTCTAACAATTCAAAAAGTCAGAGTGTTTCTTTATCTCCAAAGGATTTAACTAGCTCCTAGCAATGGATCCTAAACAAATTGAAATGTTTGAAAAGACAGACATAGAATTCAGAATCTGGATGGCAAGGAAACTGAACAAGATTCAAGAGAAAGTTGAAGTTCAATACAAGGAAACCAGTAAAATGATCCAGCAGTTGAAAGATGATATAGCCATTTTAAGAAAAAAACAGGCCAGGCGCAGTGGCTCATGCCTGTAATCCCAGCACTTTGGGAGGCCGAGGTGGGCAGATCATGAGGTCAGGAGTTTGAGACCAGCCTGGCTAACATGCGGAAATCCCGTCTCTACTAAAAAATACAAAAATTAGCCAGGTGTGATGGTGCGTGCCTGTAATCCCAGCTACTGGGGAGGCTGAGGCATGAGAATTGCTTGAACCCAGAAGGTGGAGGTTGCAGTATGCTGAGATCGCGCCACTGCACTCAAGCCTGGGTGACAGAGCAAGACTCTGTCTCAAAATATAAAATAAAATAAAATAAAGAAAAAAACAAACTGAACTTCTGGAATTGAAAAATTCACTGCAGGAATTTTCAAATACAGTTGGAAGACTTAACAATAGGCAAGAAGAAGCTGAGGAAAGAATTTCAGAGCTTTAAGATCAGTCTGAATCAACCCAGTCAGACAAAAATAAAGAAAAAATAATTCATAAAAATAAACAAAACTTCTGAGAAATATGGGCTTATGTAAAGAGATAAAACCTGTGACTTACTGATATTCCTGAGAGAGAAAGAGAGACAGTAAGCAACTTGGAAAGCATATTTGAGGATATAGGCCACATCGATTTTCCCAATATAGGTAGAGGTTGACATGCAAAGTCAAGAAATTCAGAGAACCCATGTGAGATACTGTACCAGACAACCATCCCTAAACCACATAGTAATCAGACATTCTAAGGTTAATGTGAAAGAAAAATAAAAGAGACAGCTCAGAAAAGGGTCAGGTCACTCACAAAGGGCAGCCCATCTGGCTAACAGTGGACTTCTTAGCAGAAACCTTATAAGCCAGGAGAGATTGGGGGCCTATTTTCAACATCCTTAAAGGAAAGAAATTCCAACCAACAATTTCATATCCCACCAATATAAGCTTCATAAGCAAAGGAGAAATAAAATATTTTTCAGAATAGCAAACACTAAGGGAAATCATTACCCTAGACCAGCCTCACAAGAAACCTTTAAGGGACTTTTACACAGGGAAATGAAAGAATGATACCTGCTTCAACAGAAACACACTTAAGTACCTAGCCCACAGATCCTATAAAGCAACTAAACAATCAAGACTACAAAGGAACCAGCTAACAACATCATGATAGTATCAAAAGCTCACATATCAATATTTACCTTGGATGTAAATGGTCTAAACACCCCACTGAAAAGGCACAGAGTGGCAAATTGAAAACAAACAAACAAACAAACACAAGACCCAAATGTCTCCTGTTTTCAAGAGACCAATTTCACATGTAAAGACATTCATGGGCTCAAAGTAAAGGGATGGAAAAATCTAGCATGCTAATGGAAAACCAAAAAAGAGCAGAGATTTGTATTTTTATATTAGATAAAACACTTTAAACCAATAACAGTCAAAAAAGGACAAAGAAAGGCATTATAGAATGATAAAGGCTTGAATTCAACAAGAATAATTAACTATCCTAAATATATATGCACCAAATATTGGAGCATGCAGATTCATAAAACAAATACTTCTAGACCCGTGAAAAGACTTAGCCACTCAATAACAGCGGAGGACTTCAATACCCCAGTGACAGGGTTAGACTACTAACCAGGTTAGAAAACTAACAAAGTAATTCTGGACTTAAATTTGACACTTGAACAATTGAACCTAATAGAATACTCCACTCAACATCCACAGAATACACATTCCTCTAACTTGCACACAGAACATCCTCTAAGATTGACCACGTTCTTGTCCATAAAGCATGTATCAATAAATTTAAAAATTCAAAATTATACCAAGCATAATCTCAGACCACAGCGGAATAAAAATAGAAATCAATACAAGAAGATCTCTCAAAACCACACAATGACATGAAAATTAAACAGCTTCCTCCTGAAATAAATTGGGGTAAACAATAACATTAAGGGTGAAATTTAAAAATTATTTGAAACAAATTAAAACAGAGACACAACATACCAAAATCTCTGGGGTGCAGCTTAAGTAGTGTTAACAGGAAAAATTATATTGCTAAATGACTACATCGAGAAGTTAGAAAGATCTCAAATTAACCATCTAACATTGCACTCAGAGGAACTAGAAAAACAAGAACAAAATAACCTCAAAGCTGTCAGAAGAAAACAAGTAAAATCAGAGCAGAACTGAATGAAACTGAGATGCAAAAATCCATAAAAACGATGAACAAAACCAAAAGTTGGTTCTTTGAAAGGATAAACAAGAATAATAAATAGCTAGCTAGATTAACAAAAAATAAGAGGGAAGATCCGAATAAAAAATCAGAAATGACAAAAGTGTCATTATAACCAATTCCACGAAATACAAAAGGTCCTCAGAGACTATTATGAACACTTCTATACACACAAACTAGAAAATCTAGAGAAAATGGATAAATTACTGGAAATGCACAGCCTCCCAAGATTGAATCAAGAAGAAATTGAAACCCTGAACAGACCACCAGTAATGAGTTCCAAAATTGAATCAGTAATAAAACGCTTACCGACAAAAAAACAAAACAAAACAAAACAAAACCCTGGACCAGATGGATTCAAAAGTGAATTCTGCCAGATGTAAAAAGAAGAGCTGGTAGCAACCCTACTGGAAATATTCCAAAAAATCAAAAAATTGAAGAGGAGGGGCTCCCCTTAACTCTTTCTATGAAGCAACATCATTCTGATACCAAAATCTGGCAAAGACACGACAGAAAAAGAAAATTACAGGACAATATCCCTGATTAACGTAGACACAAAAATTTCAACAAAATATTAGTAAACCAAATTGTCAACACATTAAAAATTAATTTACCACAATCTAGTAGGCTTTATTCTGGGAACGCAAAGTTAGTTCAACATACACAAATCAAAAAATGTGATTCATCACATAAACAAAAAACACACGACTATATGAATAGACGCAGAAAAAGCTTTCAGTGAATTCCAAGATCCCTTCTTTATTGAAAATGCTCAATAAATTAGCCATTGAAGGAATACATCAAAATTATAAAAGCCATCTATAACAAACCCACAGCCAACATTATACTGAATGAACAAAAGTTGGAAGCATTCCTCTAGAGAACTGGAACAAGATAAGGATGCCCATTCTCACCACCCCTATTCAACATAGTACTGGAAGGCCTAGCCAGAACAATCAGGCAGGAGAAGAAAATAAAAGGCATCCAAATAGGAAAAAGAAGTCAAACTGTCCTCACTGATGATAAGATTCTATACACAGAAGACTCTGACAAAAGGCTCTGAAAACTCGTAAACAACTTCAGAAAAGTTTCAGGATACACAATCAATGTACAAAAATCATGAACATTTTTATACACTAAAAATGTGTAAATAAAATACCTAGGAATACCTCTAACCAAGGAGGTGAAAGATCTTTACAAGGAGAACCACAAAACACTGCTGAAAGAAATCATAGATGATACAAAAACTGAAAAAATATTCCATGCTTATGGATTAGAAGAATCAATATTATTAAAATGTCCATACTGCCCAAAGCAATCTACAGATTCAGTGCTATTTCTCTCAAACTACCAAGGTCAGTTTTCATAGAATTAGAAAAAACCATTATAAAATTATATGGAACTAAAAAAGAGCCAGCATAGCCAGGGCAATCCTAAGGAAAAAAAAAAAAAAAAAAGCTAGAGACACAGACTTCAAAGTATACTAGAAGGCAAAGTTAACCAAAACAACATGGTACTAGCACAAAAACAGACACATAGACCAATGGAACAGAATAGAAACCCAGAAATAAAGCTTCACAACTACAACCATTTGATCTTTGACAAAGTCGACAAAAATAAGCAATGGAGAAAGGATACCCTATTCCATAAATAGTGCTGGGATAAACTGGCTAGCACTATGCGGAAGAATAAAACTGGACTCCTACCTTTCACCATATACAAATATTAACTCAATGTAGATCAAAGACCCCAAACTATAAAAATCCTGGAAGAAAACTTAAGAAATACACTTCTTGGCATTGGGCTTGGCAAAGAATTTATTTTGTAATAAATATTATTACAAAATACAATATTTATATTATATTTTTAATATAATATAATTGCATATAATATATATATAATCAAAATTAATTGCAACAAAAACAAAAATTGACAAGTTGGACCTAATTAAACTAAAGAGCTTCTTCACAGCAAAAGAAACTCCCAACAGAGTAAACAACCTACAGAATGGCAGGAAATATTTACAAACTATGCATCCAACAAAGGTCTAACATCCAGAACCTATAATAAAATTAAACAAATCAAGAAGCAAAAATCAAATAACTCCATTAAAAATTGGGCAAAGGACATGGAAACTTCTCAAAAGAAGACATATGAACAGCCAATAAACATATCAAAAAATACTCATCATCATGAATCATCAGAGAAATGCAAATAAAAACCACAATGAGATACCATTACATACCAGTCAGAATGGCTATTAATGAAAAGTAAAGAAGTAATAGATGTTGGTGGGGCTGCAGAGAAAAGGGAATGCTTATACACTGTTGGTGGGGCTGCAGAGAAAAGGGAATGCTTATACACTGTTGGTGGGAATGTAAATTCATTCAGCCACTGTGGAAAGTACTTTGGAGATTTCTCAAACAACTAAAAATAGAAATACCATTTGACCTAGCAATCTCATTAGTGGGTATATACCGAAAGGAAAACAAATTGTTCTACCAAAAAGACACATGCACCAATATATTCATAGCAGTACTATTCAAAATAGCAAAGACATGGAGTCAATCTAGGTTCCCATCAATGATGAATTAGATAAAGAAAATGTGGTACATATACATCATGGAATACTATGCAGGCAAAAAAGGGAATGGCATTATATCCTTTGCATCAACATGGATGCAGCTGGAGGCCATTATTCTAAGTGAACTGACACAAAAACAGAAACCCAAATACCGTATTTTCTTACTTATAAGTGGGAGCTGAATATTGGGTATATGTAGACATGAAGATAGGAATGATAGATACTGAGGACTACTAGATGTGGGATGCAGGGAGGGGGGCAAGAGTTGAAAAACTACCTGCTAGGTACTACGTTCAGTGCCTGGGTGACAGGTTCAGCCGTATCCCAAACCTCAGCATCACGTAATATATCTGTGTAACAAACCTGCACAAGCACCCCCGAATCTAAAACAAAAGTTGCAAAAACATTTACTGTTCATTGTTGAAAATGATTGATATGGTTTGGCTGTGTCCCCAGCCAAATCTCAGTTTGATCATAGTTCCCATGATCCCCATGTGTCATGGCAGGGACCCGGTGGGAGGTAATTGAATCAAGGGGTCGATTACCTCCATGCTGTTCTCGTGATAGTGAGTGAGTCTCACGAGATCTGATGGTTTTATAAAGGGCAGTTCCCCTGCACAGGCTCTCTTGCCTGTCACCATGTGAGACATGCCTTTGCTCCTCTTTCACCTCTGCCATGATTATCAGGCCTCCCCAGCCATGTGGAACTGTGAGTCCTTTAAACCCCTTTTTCTTTATAAATTACCCAGTGTCGGATATGTCCTTATAGCAGTGTGAGAACAGACTAATACAATGGAATATAAGCTGAATTTCAAAACCACATCTTTGAGAATTACTCATTCCCTGGGTGTCTCACTTGTATATATGAAATATACATGTAAATAAACTTATGTTTCTTTTTCTCCTGTTAATCTATCTCTTCTTACAAGGGTGTCTTTCAACTCAGAACATATGAGAGTTATTCTTCCCCTAACATATACCATGTACTTTGTTAGGGGCTGGGGATCTAATGATGAGCAAAAAACACACACTCGACGTTTTTTTCATGGCACTTATGTACTAGAAAGAGAAAGAGGCATCATTAATTAATCATTGATTGCTGCTGCCCATGCTCATTTGAAAGTGTAAGACTTTGGTAGAACCCTTTGTTTGTGGCTTCTTTTAGGAGATGGAAATAAAACTAGATTTACTGACAGCTTCTTTGTACCAGGCACTATACTAGGCCTCTTGCCTACAGTATCTCATTTATTTCTTGTAATAAACTTACTAGGAAAGTATTATTTATTTCCACTCTTATAGATGAGTAAATGGAGGATCAGAGAAGTCTAGCAACCTACTCAAAGTCAGGCAGCAAGTAATCAGTAGAACTGGAGTTTATTTCTGGATTTCATTCCAGTACTTCTTACAGTACTTCTTACAGTACCTCTATAAAAAAAAAAAAAAAAAAACCTCTACCTCCAAAGTTATGAAATGATTGCTAGCACACCATCACAATAGCTCAGATAATTAAATAATCTTGGATTCTCTTTACAGAAATTCTTATAATCTATATGATGAGTTCAGAATTTTATTCATTAAGATGAAACAAATTATACATTAGTAAAAATTTATTCATTGTCTTTTGACCCAAATTATCATCACAAGCTCACCTTTTAATGATAGCTTTTTATTGTCTACTCTTCAGTATTTTGGTTGAATCTTGATGAAAAGGTTAACATTATTCTCAAAATAAAGAGGTCTGAAGTAAAGGAAACCGGAAAAATGGAAAATTTTTTTTTCTTGAAATGAAAGCATTGGTTTCCCTATGGAATAGAATACTGTTTTGTAGTTTAGTTATGCCATTAGCCATTAAGCAGTGCTTCCCTGCTGTAAAAATATTCTTCCTAAGCAATGTAAGTCTAGCTGTTTCTAACTTTGTTATTCTAAATATGATTGACATAAACATTTATTAGCTTGTTATATGGTGAACAAATAGGATTGCACAAAGATTGTCACTGTCTTAATTTTGGTTTTATATTTCCATTCATGTCTCCTCTTTTGCCTCCTCACCACCCCATCAGAATAGCTTTGTTTGGAAGCTCAACAGTGTCCACCAGTGGACAAACAAAAGTATAACTATGTGATTACAAAGGAAAACCTATTAGATTAAAAAAGTAAAGATTTTCTCCCGACTACTGTATATATATATATATAAAATCAAAATAACATTTATCCATAATATCCAGATTTTATAACAGATTAAAAATTAAGATTTGGGGAAAAACTTTCCATTCCACATTTGCTTAATGAAGAAACCCTAATTCTATGTAGAATTCAAGTAACAATATTAGACACTTTAAAAATTCTTAAATCTTTTGATTTTTCACTATTTAAATACTGTTAAAAATCAAAAGTGTCCATATTTTTGAAAGCCCATATTGTCCTCAATCTTTGCTTGAAATTCCAACTCTTATAGAAATGTCTTAAAGACAGTGGAGGCCAAATGTATATTTGATCTCCACATTCACTAAAATGTCTGAGCCTGCAAAACAGCACATTCCTCCTTGTTAGGAGATAGTGCTTACCCTTTACTTGAAGACAATGCAGAGTTTTCTCTTTGTCTTCAAACTTTAGTTTGTATCAGAATCACCTGGAGAGCTTGATAAAAATGCAGAGGTAAAGAATGTTCTTCTGCTGCCACTGAGATCCCCCTTCAGGCTGGAACACTTATTTCCCCAGATGCTGGGGATGCTCATCACTGCCAGCTTATAGCTGCCAGTAGTCTCTAGGAATTTCCTCAGTTGAAGACCTTATCCCAGGTTATGCCGCATCTTTGGCATAGGGATATCTGGGTTGATGCACTCCAAAATCTTGAATCCTGACATTCACTAAAATGTCTGAGCCTGCAAAAGAGCACATTCCTCCTTGTTAGGAGATAGTGCTTACCCTTTACTTGAAGACAATGCAGAGTTTTCTCCTCATCAAGAAAACATCTGCTGCACCTAGACATCTGCTCTCATAGAGATCTGCCCTAACCTCAACTTATAGCTACTAGGGCAATAACTGGAGTCAGTCATGGCATAATTTAGCAAGGGCATGCTTGGCTTGCTAAAAAGAGAAATAGAATAAGCCTCAAGAGAGCTATAGGACCTAACTAACAGGTACCGTCTACATGAACCAGCAAAGTTTGTATCGGACTAGATTCTGAGAGATGTAGATTCTGGATTATGGGTTGGGGAGAAAATAAAATCGAATAAGGGTGAGCATAATCATTTGAAAGCACTCTTCTAGTATACAGAATTTAACATTTTAGCAAGGACCCTGGGGCACAGGGTAAAAATGTCACCAGAATGATTCCTAGAAACCTGGAAAATGTGCTAGGCCCCACTGGGTGAAGGAGAAATGACAGGACTGTCTTAGCCAACAATGGTAGAAGAAATATAAAGGCACAGAGATGTGGGCATCCTAGAGTAGATATATTTAAGTAAGGATAAAGAACTGTGTTGGCCAGGCGCGGTGGCTCACGCCTGTAATCCCAGCACTTTGGGAGTCCGAGGTCAGGCGATCAAGACCATCCTGGCTAACACGGTGAAATTCTGTCTCTACTAAAAATACAAAAAATTAGCCGGGCGTGGTGGTGGGTGCCTGTAGTCCCAGCTACTCGGGAGGCTGAGGCAGGAGAATGGCGTGAACCCGGGAGGCGGAGCTTGCAGTGAGCCGAGATCGCGCCACTGCACTCCAGCCTGGGCAACAGAGCGAGACTCTGTCTCAAAAAAAAAAAAAAACAAAAAAACTGTGTTACATAAGTGAACCTGAAGGATACTCCATTTACCAAAGCAATAAGAAATGGTAGATAGAGAGATAGAGCAAGATAGCTGAATAGAAGGCTCCACTGATCATCTCTTCCACAAGGGCACCAATTTAACAACTATCTACATAAAAAAAAATAAGCACCTTCATAAGAACCAAAAGTCAGATGAGTACTTACAGTACCTTGTTTTAATGTCATGTTACTGAAAGGGGCATTGAAAGAGGCTAGAAAAGACAGTCTTGGATGGCCAACACCACCTCTTCCTTATCCCCTGGCAGCAGATGCATGGTGAGGAGAGAGTATTTGTGCACTTGGGAGAGGGAGAACACAGGAATTGTGAGACATCGCATTGAACTCAGTGCTGCCCTATTACAGCAGAAAGCAAAACCAGGGTGAACTCAGCTAATGCCTGACCATGGAGGGAGTATTTAAATCAGCCCTAGCCAGAGAGGAATCACCCTTCCCAGTGGTCAGAATTTGAGTTCCAGTAAGCTTCAGCACTATGGGCTAAGTGCTTTCGGGCCCAAACTAAACTTGAAAGGTTGTCTGGACCACAAGGACGGTAAATACTAGGTGAGTCCTAGTGCTAAACTGGGCTCAGAGCTAGTGGTCTTGGAGGACATGTGACCTACTGAGACACCAGCCAGGGATGCTAAGGGAGGAATGCTTGTGCCACCCCCCACCCCAACCCCAGCCTGCACAGCTCACAACTCTAAAAGAGACACCTACATTCTTTTTGAGGAGAGGTGAGGGAAGAATAAAGAGGACTTTGTCTTGCATCTTGGATACCAGCTGAGCCACAGCAGGATAACTCAGCAGTCAGTTATGAGGCCTCCTTTCCAGTACCTAGCTCCTGGATGACATTTATAGTAACACCCTGAGCCAGAAGGAAACTGACTGCCATGAAGGGAAGGACCCCATACAAGCAGGAACTATCACCTGATACTGTGGAGCCAATGGCCCATGAATAACCAGCAGCAATACCCAGGTAGTATGCCGTGGGCCTTGGGTGAGGCTAGCTGGCTTCATGTGACACTCAGCACATTCCAAGTTGTGGTGGCTATGGGGAGAGACTCCTTCTGCTTGAGAAAAGCAGAGGAAAAAGTAAAGGGGACTTTGTCTTGAACCTTAGGTACCAGCGTGCCCATGGGGTCAGGTAGAGCAACTAGTGGGCTCTTGGGGTCCCTGATTCTAGGCCTTGGCACTTGGATGGCATTTCTGGACTTTCCCTGGGCCAGAGGGAAGCCCACTTCCCTAAAGGTGAGTCCCAGGCTAGGCAGGATTTACCACAGCATGACTGAAGAGCCCTTGGGAATTAAGGGAACATCAGTCATAGCCTGGCAGTACTCCCTGTGGGGCTGTGGTGGTAGTGGCCATGTGCTGAAGCTCCTTCATCTGTGGAAAGAAGAGGGAAGAGTGAGAAGGACTGTATCTTATGGTTTCAGTGTCAGCTCAGTCACAGTACAATAGAACAACAGGTAGACTTCTAAGGCTTTTGACTGAGTTCCTGGCTTCCAGATGGTACCTCTGGACCTGCCCATGGCTTGGGGCAACTTGTCACACAGAAGGGAATGACACAAGCCAGGGTGACTTGGTGACCTGCTGATTGTAGAGCTCCAGGGCCTTGAGCAAACATAGGTGATAGCCAGGTAGTGGTTAGAGTGACCCTTGGGTGAGAACCTGTGCTGTGCTGGCTTCGTATTTAAGCCAGTGAAGTTGCAGTGGTGGTAACCACAGGGGTGCTTGTGTCACTCCACTTCCAGTTTCAGATGGCTCACCAGAGAGAGAGAGAGAGAGAGAAAGACTTTGTTAGTTTGAGAGAAAGTAGGGAAGAGAACAGGAATCTCTTCCTGGTAATCCAGAGAATTCATCTGGATCTTATTCAAGACAACCAAGGTGGTACCTCTATAAATTTACAAGAACCATTGTGTTACTGGGCTTGAGGGGCCCTCTAATGCAGATAGAGGTTGTATCATAACACCGAAGTTCTTTACAATACTTGGAAAGCCTTCCCAAGAGTGGTAAGTACAAACAAGCCCAGACTGCAATGACTACAATGAATACCTAACTCTGATGCTTAAACACAGACAAATATCCACAAGCTTCAATACCATCCAGGAAAACATGGACTCACCAAATAAGCTAAATAAGGCACCAGAGGCTAATCCTGGAGAAACAGAGATATGTGTTTTTTTCAGACAGAGAATTCAAAATAGCTGTGCTGAGGAAATTAAAAAGAAATTCAAAATTGTTAGAGAAGAAATCCAGAATTCTATCAGATAGATTCAACAAAGAGATCAAAATAATTAAGAAAAATGAAGCAGAAATTCTAGAGTTGGGAAATCAACTGACATACTGAATAATGCATCCATTTTTTTAATAGTAGAATTGATCAAGCAAAAGAATCTTGAAGAAAGGCTTGAAGAAAGGCTATTTGAAAATACACAGTCAGAAGAGATATTTAAAAAAACAATAAAAAACAAGGAAGCACGCATTCAGGATCTAGAAAATAGCCTCCAAAGGGCAAATCTAAGAGGTATTGGCCTTAAAGAAGAGGTAGAGAAAGAGATGGGAGTAGAAAGTTTCTTAAAAGGGATAATAACAGAGTACTTTCCAAACCTCGAGAAAGAAGACTACTTCAAGAAAGAAGACTACTTCAAGGCATTTGTTAATCAAAATCCCAAAGGTCAAGCATAAAGAAAGTATCCTAAAAGCAACAAGAGAAAAGAAACAAATAACATATAAGGAAGCTCCGATACATCTGGCAACAGACTTTTTAGTGGAAACCTTAAAGGTCAGGAGAGAGTAGCAAGACATATTTAGAGTTTTGAAGAAAAAAACCTTCTACCTTAGAAAAGTATATCTGGTGAAAATATCCTTGAAAGCTAAAGGAGAAGTAAATATTTTCTGAGACAAATAAAAGCTGAGGAATTTCATAAACACCAGACCGTGTCTTTCAAGAAGTGCTAAAGAGAGTTCTTCAATCAGAAAAAAAGGACGTTAATGAGCAAAAAGGAATTGCCTGAAGGTACAAAACTCACTGATAGTAGTAAGTACACAGAAAAACACAGAATATTATAACATTGTAACTGTGGTGTGTAAACTGCTGTTAAGTAGAAAGACTAAATGATGAACAAAAAGTAATAACTAGGAAGAATTTCTATAACATAGTACAATAAGATATAAGTGGAAAAAAAGATAAAAAGTGAGGAGATGAAGTTAAGATGTAGAGTTTTATTGGCTTTGTTTTTGCTTGTTTGCTTTTTTGTTTATGCAAACAATCTTACATTTTTTCAGTTTAAAATGATATGTTATAAGATAGCATGTGTAAGCCTCATGGAAACCTCAAACCAAAAAACATACAACAGATACAGAAAAAAATAAAAAGGAAGACATTAAATCATACCACCTGAAAAAATCACCTTCGCTAAAAGAAAAACAGGAAGTAAGGAAAGAAGGAAAAGAAGACCACAAAACAACCAGAAAACAAATAATAAAATGGCAGGGGTAAATCTTTACTTATCAATAAAAACATTGAATGTAAATGGACTAAACTCTCCAATCAAAAGTCATAGAATGGCTGAATGGATTTAAAAAAACAAGACCCAATAATCTGTTAACTGCAAGAAACACACATCACCTATAAAAATGTATATAAACTGAATATAAAGGCATAGAAAAAGATACTTCATGCCAATGGAAATCAAAAAGGGCAGGAGTGGCTGGGCTTATATCAGACAAAATAGATTTTAAAACAGAAACTCTAAGAAGAGACAAAGATCACTATATAATGATAAAGGGGTCATTCCGCAAGTGGATATAACAAGTGTAAATATAAATGCACCCAATACTGGAGAATCCAGATATATAAAGCAAATATTATTAGAGTTAAACAGAGAGATAAGCTCCAATAAAATAATAGCTGGAGACTTTAGCAACCCATTTTCAGCATTGGACAGGTCTCATCCAACGGCTGCAAAAGACACATTCTTCATCACAGCACATGAATCATTCGCAAGGATAGACCATATGTTAGGTCACAAAACAACTAATAAAACATTCAAAAAATGGAAATAATATCAAGTTTCTCCTTTGACCACAATGAAATAAACCTAGAAATTGGTAACAAGAGCAATTTTGGAAATTATACAAACATATGAGAATTAAACAATATGCTCCTGAATGACTAGTGAGTCATTGAAAAAATTAGGAAGAAAATTGAAAAATTTCTTGAAACAAGTGGTAATGGAAACACAACATACCAAAACCTATGGGATACAGCAAAAGCAGTACCAACAGGGAAGTTTGAAGAAAAGATTTTCCAGCCCAGAATTTCATATCTGGCCAAACTAAGCTTCATAAGGGAAGAAGAAATAAGATCCTTCTCAGAAAAGTAAATGCGGAGGGAATCTGTCACTACCAGGCCTGTCTTGCAAGAGCTCCTGAAGGAAGCACTAAATATGGAAAGAAAAATCTGCTACCAGCCACAACAAAAACATACTGAAGTACAGAGACTAGTGACAGTATGAAGCAACTACATCAACAAGTCTGCAAAATAACCATCCAGCATCATGATGACAGGATCAAATTTACAAATAACAATATTAACCTTAAATGTAAATGGGCCAAATGCCCCAGTTAAAAGATACAGAATGGTAAGCTGGATAATGAGCCAAGACCCATTGGTGTGCTGTATTGAAGAGACCCATCTCATGTGCAAAGACACACATATGCTCAATAAAGGGATGGAGGAAAACTTACCAAGCAAATGGAAGGCAGAAAAAAAGCAGGGATCACAATACTAGTTTCTGACAAAACAGACTTTAAAGCAACAAAGATCAAAAAGACAAAGAAGGGTACTACATAATGGTAAAGGGTTCAATTCAACAAGAAGAGCTAACAATTCTAAATCCATGCACCCAATACAGGAGCACCCAGATTCATAAAGCAAGTTCTGAAAGACCTACAAAGAGTCTTAGACTCACACACAGTAATAGTGGGAGACTCTAACACTCCACTGACAATATTATGTCATTGAGACAGAAAATTAACAAAGATATTCAGGACCAGAATTCAGCTCTGGATCAAGTGGACTTGATAGATATCTACAGAACTCTCTACCTAAAAACAACAGAATATACATTCTTCTTATTGCCACATGACACTTACTCTAAAATTGATCACATAATTGGAAGTAAAACACTCCTCTGCAAATGCAAAATAACTGAAATTATAACAAACAGTTTTTCAGACCACAGAGCAATCAAATTAGAAATCAGGATTAAGAAACTCACTCAAAACCACACAACTACATGGAAATTTAACAATCTGCTCCTGAATGACTCCTGGGCAAATAATGAAATTAGGGTAGAAATAAAAAAGTTTTTTGAAACCAATGAGAATAAACAGATGATGTAGCAGAATATCTGGGATGCAGCTAAAGCAGTGTTAAGAGGGAAATTTATAGCACTAAATGCCCACATCAAAAAGCTAGAAAGATCTCAAGTTAGCAAACTACTATCATGACTAAAAGAACTAGAGAACCAAAAAAACCCCAAAGCTAGCAGAAGACAAGAAATAACCAAGATCAAAGGAGAACTGAAGGAGATGGAGACACGAAAATCCCTTCAAAAAATCAATGAATCTTGGAGCTGTCATTTTGAAAAAATTAATAAAATAGACAGACTGCTGGCTAGACTAATAAAAAAGAAAAGAGAAAAGAGTCAAATAAACACAACTAGAAATAATAAGGGGGATATCACCACTGTCCCCACAGAAATACAAACAACCATCAGAGAATACTATAAACACCTCAATGCACACTAACTAGAAAATCTAGAAGAAATGGATAAATTCCTGGACACACACACCCTCCCAAGACTGAACCAGGAAGAAATTGAATCCCTGAACACACCAATAATGAGTTCTGAAATTGAAACAGTAATAAATAGCCTACCAACCAGAAAAGGCTCAGGACCAGATGGATTTACAGCTGAATTCTACCAGAGGTACAAAGAAAAGGTGGTACCATTTATACTGAAACTATTCCAAAAAATTAAAAAGGAGGGACACCTCCCTAATTTGTTCTATGAGGCCAAGATCATGCTAATATAAAAACCTGGCAGAGATACAACAACAACAACAACAAAAAACTGCCGGGCGTGGTGGCTCATGCCTGTAATCCCAGCATTTTTGGAGGCTGTGGCAGGCGGATCACCTGAGGTCAGGAGTTCGAGACCAGTATGGCCAACATGGAGAAACCCCATCTCTACTAAAAATACAAAATTAGGGGGGTGTGGTGGTGCATGCCTGTAATCCCAGCTACTTGGGAGGCTGAGACAGGAGAATCACTTGAACCCAGGAGGTGGAGGTTGTGGTGAGCCGAGATCATGCCATTGCACTCCAGTCTGGGCAACAAGAGTAAATCTCAAAAAAAAAAAAAAAAAAAAAAAAAGAAACAAAGAAAGAAAGAAAGAAAGAAAGAAAGAGAGGTAAGGATAGAGGGAGGGAGGGAAGAAGGAAGGAAGGAAGGAAGAAAAGAAAAGAAAAGAAAAGAAAAGAAAAGAAAAGAAAAGAAAAGAAAACTAAACTTCAGGCCAATACCTTTGATGAACATCAATGCAAAAATCCTCAACAAAATACTGGCAAACTGAATCCTGCAGCACATCCAAAAGCTTATCCACCACAATCAAATATGGATTGACCAAGGCTTTATCCCTGAGATGCAAGGCTGGTTCAACATACAGAAATTGATAAATATGATTTATCACATGAGCAAAACCAAAGACAAAAATGACATAGCTCAATAGATGCAGAAAAGGCCTTTGATGAAATTCAACATCACTTTATGTTAAAAGCTCTCAATAAACTAGGTATTGAAGAAATGTACCTCAAAATAATAAGAGCCATATATGACAAACCCACAGCCAATATCATACTGAATGGGCAAAGCTGGAAGCATTCCCTTTGAAAATCAGAACAAGACAAGGATGCCCTCTCTCACCATTCCTATTCAACACAATTTTGGAAGTTCTGGCCAGGGCAATTGGGCAAGGTGAAGAAATAAAAGGTATTCAAATATGAAGAGAGGAAGTTAAATTAATTTTGTTTGCAGATGACATGATCCTATATCTAGAAAACCCTGTCATCTCAGCCCAAAAACTTGTTAAGCTGATAAGCAACTTCAGCAAAATCTCAGGATACAAAATCAATGTGCAAAAATTAGAAGCATTCCTATACACCAACAATAGGCAAGCAGAGAGCCAAATCATGAATGAACTCCCATTCACAATTGCTACAAAAATAACAAAATACTTAGGAAGACAGCTAACAAGGGAAGTGAAGGACCCCTTCAAGGAGAGCCACAAGCACTGCCCAAATAAATCAGAGGACACAAGCAAATGGAATAACATTCCATGCTCATGGATCGGGAGAATCAATATCATGAAAATGGCCATACTGCTCAAAGTAATTTACAGAGTCAATGCTATTTCTATGAAACTACCAATGACATTTATCGCAAAAAATATTTTTAAAAGCTTTTAAAAATTCAAAAAAAAGCCCAAATAGCCAAGGCAATCCTAAGCCAAAAGAACAAAGCTGAAGGCATCACATTACCTGACTTCAAACAATACTACAGGGTTATAGTAACTAAAACAGCATGGTACTGGCAATGAACAAACAAACAAAAAACAGGCACATAGACCAATGGAACAGACTAGAGAGCCCAGAAATAAGGCCACACACCTATGACCATCTGATTTTCAACAAAGCTGACAAAAACAAGCAGTAGGAAAAAGACTCCATATTCAATAAATGGTGCTGGAATAACTGACTATATGCAGAAGATTGAAACTGGACTCCTTCCTTACAGCATATACAAAAATATCAACTCAAGATGGATTAAAGACTTAAATATAAAACCCAAAACTATAAAATTCCTGGAAGACAACCTAGGTAATACCATCCTGGACATAGAAACAGGAAAAGATTTTATGAGAAAGACATGAAAAGAATCACAACAAAAGCAAAAATTGACAAGTGGGATCTAATTAAACTTAAGAGCTTCTGCACAGCAAAATAAACTATCAACAGAGTCAACAAACAACCTACAGAATGGGAGAAAAATTTTGCAAACTACTCATCTAACAAAGGTCTGATATCCAGCATTTATAAAGAACTTAAAAATTTTATAAGAAAAAGTAATCTTATTAAAAAGTGGGCAAAAGACATGAACAGATACTTTTTCAAAAGAAGACATACATGTGACCAAAAGGATATGAAAATATGCTCCACATCAATAAACAAAAGAGAAATGCAAAGCAAAACCACGATGAGATACCATCTCACATCACTCAGAATGGCTACTACTAAAAAGTTAAAAAATAACACATATTAGCAAAGTTGTGGAGAAAAAGGAGCACTTATACACTGTTGGTGGGAATGTAAATTAGTTCAACCATTGTGGAAAGCAGTAGGGCAATTCCTCAAAGAGCTAAAAGCAGAACTATCATTTGACCCAGCAATCCTATGACTGTGCATATACCAAGAAGAATATAAATCATCCTGCCATAAGGACACATGCATGCAAGTGTTCATTGCAGCACTATTCACAATAGCAAAGACATGGAATACACCTAAATTTCCATCAACGGCAGATTGGATGAAGAAAATGTGGTATATATATATACCATGGAATACTATTCAGCCATAAAAAAGAACAAGATTATGTCTTTGCAGGAACATGAATGGAGCTGGAGGCTTTTATCCCTAGCAAACTAAACAGGAACAAAAAACCAAATACTGCATGTTCTCACTTATAAGTTGGACCTAATGATGAGAACTTATGAACACAAAGAAGGAAACAACAAACACTGGGATCTATCTGAGGGTGGAGGGTGGGAGAAAGGAGAGGATCAGATAAGATAACTATTGGGTAATGGGCTTAATACTGGGTGATGAAATAATCTGTACATCAAACCTACATGACACAAGTTAATCTACATAACAAACCTTCGCATGTACCCCAGAATCTAAAATAAATGTTAAAAGAGAGGAAATCAAGCAGAAGTTTATTAATCAGATAGGCCTAAGGAGGATAGTGTATGCTATTCTTGGCTCCATGGGGTTGTACTTGGGAATAGAATGAACAAGCAGGAGCTATGGGATGACTTCTGGCTCCCCTGGGAAGATGTGATTGACTTATTTGAATAATTTCCCATGCTGGAAGAGAGGTGAAGTCCATTAGTTTGAGACTGTTAGGGAAATCATCCAGGTGGGAAGCCTTTGCCACTGGGTGGGGGGTCACTGGTGAAAGCAGGAGAATTCATGGTTAGGACACTGGTGTTCTGTGAGGCTTGAAGATATGGAAGAAAGAAACACATGAAATATTAGGCCTTACTACATAAAGACTTGTATTGTTACAGAAATCCAAGTAGTTATTATTTCCTCTATGAAAAAAGAAGAACTTCCCTAAAGCTTCTCTAAGGGTTCGCTCCCACTCTTCCCACCTATAGATGGGAATAGAAATTGAGAACCTTTCAGACTACATTTTAGGTACAAGTTTTAAAAATTTGCTAAGAGGGAAGATCTAATGTTAAATGTTCTTATGATAATTAATCAATCAATCCAAAATAAATAAAATATCTATTTTGAAAGTCTAAGCTAAATTTTGTTCAATATTTTTTTCTCAACGAAGTTCTTCCCTCCCCCACCCCCAGTAAGAGTGGATATACAAAGTAGCTATTGTTATTGTTAAACTTGGTGTACCTCCTTTATTTTAATAGGCCTACCCAAACTCTTTCTTGCCTACCCTAATTACTACCACATAAGAATGGGCCTTCGTAGCACTTCTACTCTTCACAGTTGACTTGTACCAATTGTGCCTTCTGCTTCCTGACAGATTACTGAGCTGTATTATTATTAATATATAGTGAGAAAACTGAGGTTGGACATAATCATAATATCTACCTTGCAGAATTTTTATGGGGATTAAATAAAAATAATAATATCTGTAAAGTGCTTAGCACAGTGCTTGGTACATGGTGAGCAATTGTTAGCACTCATTATTATTAACAGTGTCCTTTTTTGACCTAAGTAACACAAAAATTGCTTTCTTTCCAGTTCCTTGCTCCACACCAAATCATGTCTTCTAGGTGTCCATAATGAGTTGAGGCTGTTTAAAATAATACAGTCGGTTTAACTATGCTGCCCCTATTTTCCTTTCTGCATAAAAGTAGGAGAGCAGAGCTGAGAATGCTTCAGCCCTCGCCAGCACAGGGTAAACAGCTTTATCCCTCCTCCCTAAATTGAGGAAAGAGGGTCAGCACAAGTTTCAGAGTCTGTATTTTTCTTGGTCACTGCCATGTTCATCAGGCCAAGGATTCGAAGGCAGCTGCCAATTTATCCTCGTTGCTATGATGACAAGAATTCCTGGGGAATCTCATTCATAGAAAAATGTCCAAATTTCTTTCTCACAAGGGATAAGGCCAGTTGACCAGCCAGTGGTTTTGGGCCAAGACGAAAGCCCGAGAGCCTGATTAGGGTCTGGAACAGGGAAAGTCAGTGGTGTTATAACTACTGCAAAAACATACAAAGAGTATCTCTTGGCCAGGCACACCAGAGAACAGATATAAATTCTCCTGTTCAAAGTGGCAGGTGTCAAATTGTAAACAGAGGAGGAAGCTGTCAGGACTGTCAACAAGCAGGGGACTGTTGACTATCAGTCAACAGGAAAAAAGGGACTGGAATTCCAGCTGTGCCACTTAAGAGCTGTGTGAATTTGCACAAGTCATTTACCTTTTCTGTGTTTCAGTTTCCTTATCTGTAAAATGAGAATAAAAGTATTATTTATCTCACAGGGTTATTCTGAGGTTATTACATGCAAAGCACTTAGAACAGTGCCTAGTACATATGAAGAACCATAAAAGTGTTTTCTCTTATTATTTTAATTATTATTTTCAAGTTCAAATTCTTTAGTATGATACATAGGGACTCTCAGATGAGGTCCTCTTGCCTACCTCCCCAGCTCACACCCTTTCCTAAATGCACACTCTCCCTATACATACTGTGATATATACAGATCCTAGAGCCCACCTGGCTGCTTTAAGGCTCCTGCCTCTGCCCACTCTGCTGCCTCTGCCAACAGAGTCTGTCATGTGAACTTCTACTCAACTTCCAAAACTTGCTTCCAAAAAGTCCTGCCTCTAAAATTTCACCTAAAATGTGCTGGCTCTTTTGTGTTGCTATTCCCTGCATGGACAGCTGTCAACATACATAAGACATTCTTTTGCCTGTCTTTGTGCACATATCCATCTATTCACTAAAATATGAATCATTTAGGAACAAGGTCAAAATTTGTCTCTGCATTGCAGTACTTAGCATGGTACTTGGCACATATTAGATAATCAGTGCATGTGTATTAAATAAATGAATGAATGAGTGAATAAATGAAGGAGGGAATGAATATATATCATGGATGTGGCTAAGATAGTGCTGAGATGACTGAATGAAAACTCTGTTCCTTTAATAGAGAATCTTAGTGGACATGGTCTTCCACAGGAAGATTTTCTTCTCTGCAGAAAGGGCTTGCCTCTATTGAGATAAGGAGAGAGCTCCTCAGACTCCTTCTTGATGATGCCTAGAGTAGCTGAGAGATCTTCAGGCTTCTAGAGTTTGTAGTGCCTGGACAGGCTTGTAAAAATCTCATCCCACTGTCAGAGTGCCACATGCAGCAGCCAGCAGCTGCCAACGCACTGGCTGCCACCAATATTCCTGAACATCATGGGATGTATTAAGTGACTGAATATCATGGGGCTGTTGTCATCATTAATCTTGCTCAGTGGCAGTATTTTTCTTGGATGAGATTTTTAATAAATTCAAGGTGAAAATTTTTTTCATCCTTTTACTGAGGAAGAAAAAATATTTAGTATTTTTGTTGTATAAGGAACAGTGCCTAAGGCAGGTACGTATACTCCTGACCTCAGCACCACTCACTCTGGTTTTATAAAGCTATAGGACACAGCAGAGTTGGAACTGAAAAGTAGGGTAGAAAATAACACATAAGTTGGAGGGGAACAGTGGGATGCAGAAAGAATGACAGCAGCCACATGTGTCCCACTCAAATACTTTTAGTCCCTGCAGCATAAGAAAGATGCCAACCAAGTCTCTACACTGGCTGGGGATCCTGCCATGGATGCAGGAGAAAATATTCAATCAAAGGGAGTAAGTGACAACTAAGAGAAAAGTCTGATCCACAGCTACACTGGAACAATCCAGAGAGAAGAAGGGGAGTACCAGATTTTGCTACTTGTGTCACACAAGCTAGAAACCCTACCTCTCCCATTGGGGAGGCAACATATATTTCACCCATTTCCTTGCCTTATCAAGATGAAGTTTTATGTAAACTAGATAATAATCTGATTTGGGCCTATTCCTTAATGGATGGAACCAAAGTAACAGGTACATTCATATTGTTAGGTTTGTATCCTGTGCCATTTGAAGATTGTATTAGATTGCAAGCCAAGATGACCACCTAGACACAGCCAGGAAGAACATCTCCCACCGAGAGACTAAGCCATCTGGAAGACTGGCACACACTGAGCAGATCTTCTGAGGGTAGGCCTTGAGAGTGATTGCAGGAAGACGCAGACCCTAGGCTAAATGGATAGGAAGCTGAGAATCCTACACAGGGTTGCTAAGCACTGGAACACATTCCTGGCCCCCACCAGCTTCTAGGGAAAGGGTGAGTTAAACAAATGAGGAGTAGCCTGTTTTTATGACAGACCTCCAGAATCCTAGCTGCAGGAGACCCCACGACCCCTCTGGACAGTTGAGCTGGCAGAGAGAGCTGTTTGGAGAGGTGACAGGGAAAGGATTCCAGCCTGTGCAGAGCTCAGAGGGTTTGGCATGGGAATGGTTGCATTGGAGCACAGCCACGGACACCCATTCCCCCAAGGCTTGCCATGCTCCTGTAGGTGGCTTTGGCCTTTGGTGACTGTTGGACCTAGACAGAGCATGATGGTCTTGCCCATGGGATGGAGCCAGTCCATTCTGAGCAAACACCTCTCTGCCAACCTCTCCTGGAGCCCCAGCCTAGCCATGCCCACTTGTAGTGCAGCCTCAGATGCCCAACCAGATCACTTCCTAGGGGCCATCATTATAACTGCTTCACCAGCAGACTGCACATAATTGTCAGAGAGCTCCAGCAGAATGGCCCCCGTTGATGCACACCCACTGACCCACAGCTTCCCCCAACTGCAGCCTTCCCCTGCCACTTGCTGGTGCACACTCATCCATGGTGCACCTCCCCACTGCTTTACTGGCACCCACAACCACATCTGTCCCATCACTGGCATGAGCATGGATGCATGGATGCTGCTGCCTCACCCCTGCTGCTGTCCCATCCCCGCCAATGCATGTGCACCCTGCTGCATCATTACTGCTATTGGCACACACGTAGGAGCATGAATCCTGCTGTCACTGACCCAACAAAGAGCTTTGACTGGCACCTCCCCACCACCACCATCAGAGTGTTGCTACCAGTGGATTGGGAACACCTCAGTCCCTGCAGTGCAGCAGGTTCCTAACCTCAAGGGGCCAGAGATCAAAGCCCTGGGCCCATTACTAGTCCCCCAGGGTTACAACACATATTCCGGCAGTGATGAACTCAGGCTTGGCTTCTTGAAATTTTACAGAAACAAAGCCAGTGTACTGAACTCATGTTATACCACAATAAAATATTGATGCCCACAAGGGCATCAAATAATATAAAAGTAAAATACCCTATCTAAAGGGCAGCAACTTCAATGATGAAAGGAACATCATTTCACACAGATGGAAAAGATCCAGGGAAAGAACTCTGGCAACTCAAAAGTCTAGAGTGTCTCCTTACCTCCTAATGACCATGCTAGTTCCCCATGCAATGGTTCTGAACCAGGCTGAAAGGGTGGAAATGACAGACATAGAATTCAGCATCTGTATAGGAACAAAGATCATTGAGATTCAAGAGAAAGTTGAAACCCAATCCCAATCCAGGAATCTAAGGAATCCAATAAGATAATACAAGAGCTGAAAGATGAGAGAGTCATTTTAAGGAAGAACCAAATTGATCTGATAGAGGTTAAAAAAAAACTCACTACGATAATTTCATAATACAATCACAAGTATTAATAGCAGAATAGACCGAGCTGAGGAAAGACTCTCATAACTCATAGATAGATTTTTCAAATCAATGCAGTCAGACAAAAATAAAGAAAAAATAATAAAAATTAATGAAAAAACCTCCAAGAAATATGAAATTATATGAAGAGATGAAACCTATGACTCATTGGTGTCCCCGAAGACAGGGAGAGAAAGCAAGCAATGTGGAAAACATATTTGAGGATATTGACCCAAACATTTCTCCAAGCTCATTAGAGAGGGCAACACTCAAATTCAGGAAATGCAAAGAACCCCTGTGAGATACCATACAAGATGACAATTCCTGAGTTAAATAGTCACCAGACTCTCCAAGGTTGAAATGAAAGAAAAAATGTTAAAGGCAGCTAAAAAAAAAGGGCGGGGGAGCTCAGGTCACCGACAAAGGGAAGCCCATCAGGCTAACAGTAGTCCTTTCAGCAGAAACTCTACAAGCCAGAAGAGATTGGGGCTCTATTCAGCATTCTTAAGTAAGAGAAATTCCAGCCAAGAATATGATCCTTTTCAGACAAGCAAATTCTAAGGGATTCTCAGGAAAATCAAAGAAAAGAAAAAAAAATTGTACCAACAATACTCTTGGACCACAGTGCAATAAAAACAGAAATCAATACTAAGAAGATCACTCAAAACCATACATTTACACAGAAATTAAACAATTTGCTCCTGAATGACTTTTGGGTAAACAATGACATTAAGGCAGAAATCAAGAAAGTCTTTGAAACTAATGAAAACAAAGAGACAACTTACCAGAATCTCTGGGACACAGCTAAAGCAATGTTAAGAGGAAAGATTATAGCACTAAACAACCACATCAAAAGTTAAAAAAATCTCAAGTTAACAACCTAACATCACACATAGAGAAACTAGAAAAACAAGAGCAAACCAACCCCAAAGCTAGCAGAAGATAAAAAATGAACAAAATCAGAGCTGAATGGAATGAAACTGAGATCAGAAAAACCGTACAAAAGATCAATGAAACCATAACTTGGTTCACTGAAAGAATAAATAAGATTGATAAACCACTAGCTAGAGTAATAAAGAAAAAAGAGGCCAGGTGTGGTGGCTCATGCCTGTAATCCCAACACTTTGGGAGGCTGAGGCAGGTGGATCTCTTGAAGTCAGGAGTTTGACAGCCGTTTGGCCAACATGGTGAAACCCCATCTCTACTAAAAATACAAAAATTAGCTGGGTGTGGTAGCGCATGCCTGTAATCCCAGCTACTCAGAAGGCTGAGTCAGGAGAATCACTTGAACCCGGGAGATGAAGTTTGCAGTGAGCCAAGGTCACGCCACTGCACTCCATCTGAAGCAACAGAGTGAGACTCTGTCTCAAAAGAAAAAAAAAAAAGAGAGAGAGAGAAGATCCAAGTAAACACAATCAGAAATGACAAAGAGGATTTACCATGGTCCCCACAGTAATACAAAAAACCCTCAGAGACTATTACACACACCTTTACGCACAGAAACTAGAAAACTTAGAAGAAATGGATACATTCCTGGAAACATACAAACTCCCAAGATTGAACCAGGAAGAAACTGAAATCCTGAACAGACCAATAATGAGTTCCAAAATAGATCCAGTTATAAAAGTCTTACCAACCAGAAAAATTCCTGAACCAGATGGATTCACAGCCAAATGCCAGATACATAAAGAAGAGTGGGTACAGTTTCTTCTGAAACTATTTGAAAAAATTGGGGAGGAAACATTCCTCCTTAATGCATTCTATGAGGCTAGCATCATTCTGATACCAAAACCTGGCGGAGACACAACAAAAAAAGAAAACTTCGGGCCAATATCTTGATGAACGTAGATGCAAAATTCCTCACAAAACTCTAGAAAACTAAATCCAGCAGCACATCAAAAAGCTAATCCACCAGCAGGTGCGGTGGCTCACGCCTGTAATCCCAGCACTTTGGGAAGTTGAGGCAGGTGGATCACCTGAGGTCAGGAGTTTGAGACTGGCCTGGCCAATATGGTGAAACCCTGTCTCTACTAAAAACACAAAAATTAGCTGGGCATGATGGCAGGCGCCTGTAATCCCAGCTACTCGGGAGGCTGGGGCAGGAGAATCGCCTGAACCCAGGAGGCAGAGGTTGCAGTGAGCCTAGGTCATGCCATTGCACTCCAGCCTGGGTGACAAGAGTGAAACTCCATCTAGAAAACAAACAAACCAACAAAAACAAAATAAAAACAAAAACAAAAAAATCCCTAATTCACCACCATCAAGTAGGCTTTATCACTGGGATGCAAGGTTAGTTCAACATATGCAAATCAATATATGTGAATCATCACATAAACAGAAGAAAAAACAAAAACCACATGATCATCTCAATAAATGCAAAAGCCTTTTGAAAAAGTTTTAACAGCCCTTTATATTAAAAAACTTCAAGAAATTAGGCATTGAAGGGATATACCTCAAAATAGTAAGAGCCATCTCTGAGAAATTCACAGCCAACATCACACTGAATGGACAAAAGCCGGAAGCATTCCCCTTGAGAAATGGAAAATGACAAGGATGCCCACTCTCACCACTCCTATTCAACATAGTACTGGAAGTCCTTGCCAGAGCAATCAGGCAAGAGAAAGAAATAAAAGGCATCCAAACAGGAAGAGACAAAGTCAAACTATCTCTGTTTGCAGATGATATGATTCCATACCTAGAGAATGGCATGGTCTCTGCCCAAAAGTTCCTAGATTTGATAAACAACTTCAACGAAGTTTATGTACAAAAATTAGTAATATTTCTATACACCAACAATGTCCAAGCTGAGAGCCAAATCAAAAATGCAATTCCATTCACAATATCCACAAAACAGATAAAATACCTAAGAATACAGCTAACCAGTGACATGTAAAATATCTACAAACAGAATTAGAAAACACTACTGAAATAAGTCAGAGATGACACAAACGAATAAAAAAATTTCCATGCTCATGGATAGGAAGAATCAACATTGTTAAAATGTCCATTCTGCCCAAAGCAATTTACAGAATCAATGCTATTCTTATCAAACTAGCAACAAAGTTTTTCACAGAATTAGAAAAAAAAACTTTCTACAATTCATGTTGAACAAAAATAGAGCCCAAATAGCCAAAAGAATTCTAAGCAAAAAGAACAAAGCTGGAGACCTCACATTACTGGACTTCAAACTTATGCTACGAGGCTACAGTATCCAAAACAGCATGGTACTGCTACAAAAACAGACACATAGACCAATGAAACAGAATGAAGGGCTCAGAAATAAAACTACACACCTACAATCATCTGATCTTCAACAAAGTTGACAAAAACAAGCAATGGGAAAAGGACTCCCCATTTAATAAATAGTGCTGGGATAACTGGTTAGCCATATGCAGAAAATTGAAACTGAACCCTTTCCTTTCAACATATACAAAAATCAACTCAAGATAAGGACTTAAATGCAAAACATAAAAACTATAAAAACCCTTGACTAAAACCTTTGAAATACCATTCTGAACATAGCCCCTGGCAAAGATTTCATGACAAGGATGCCAAAAGCAGTTACAACCAAACCAAAAATTAACAAATGGTACCTAATTAAACTAAAGAGCTTCTGCACAGTAAAAGAAACTATTAACAGAGTAAACGGATAACCTAAAGAATGGGAGAAAATATTTGCAGACTATCCATCTGACAAAGGTCTAGTGTGCAGAATCTATAAGGAATTCAATTGAATGAACAAGCAAAAAATAAACAACACCATAACAAAGTGGGCAAAGGGCATTAACAGACACTTTTTGAGAGAAGACATACAGTCGGTCAACAAGCATATGAAAATATGCTCCACATCACTAAACATTAGAGAAATGCAAATCAAAGCCACAATGAGACACTTACTGCTTCACACCAGTCAGAATGGCTACCATTGAGCAGGCAAAAAATAACAGAGCTGGCAAAGTTGTGGAGAAAAGGGAATGCTCGTACACTGCTGGTATGAATGTAAATTAGTTCAGCCACTGTGTAAAGCAGTTTGATAATTTCTCAAAGAACTTGAAATAGAACTACCATTCTACCCAGCAATTTCATTATTAGGTGTATACTCAAAGGAATATAAATTGTTCTACCACAAAGACACATGCATGCGTATGTTCATCACAGCACTATTCACAATAGCAAAGACATGGAATCAACCTAAATGCCCACAAATGATAGACTACGTTAGGAAAATGTGGTACATATACTCAATAGAATACTACACAGCCATAAAAAGAATTAGATCATGTCCTTCGTAGCAATATGGATGGAGCTGGAGGCCATTATCTTAAGCAAGCAAACACAGAAGCAGAAAACCAAATACAAGTTCTCACTCATAAGTGGGAGCTAAACATTGAGTACACATGGACACAAAGAAGGGAACAATAGACACTATAGCCTACTTGTGGGTGGAAGGTGGAAGGAGGGTGAAAACAACAAAAAAAAAACTACCTATCGGGCACCATGCTTATTACCTGCATGATGAAATAATCTGTACAACAAACCCCCACGATACAAATTTACCTATGTAACACACTTGTACATGTACCCCTGAACCTAAAAGTTTTAAAAAGTAAATTAATTTAAAAAAATGTTGTATCATCTGGGAAACAAAGGACACAATGAAAGAGTTTAGTTGAAAATCATTGAATGAAGAGACTAGTTACAAATTTATGGTCAGGGTTAAGGAAACATCACAGGATGCCAAAGCACTAGGAATCTGTAACCATGAGAAACCTTTCCTTCCCTAAGCCTGAAGGTGAAGGAAATGGAATTATGGGAATCTTGAGAGAGCTTGGAGCCACAGAAGAGAGGCTACCAGGCAGGATTTGTGGCCAATGATGAATATAGTCACTTCCAGAACCATGAGGGTAGGGGATAAGTGGCTGGCTTCCTTTTCCCTTCCACTCTTAGATCCTATTTTACTACTTACCATTGAACAAACTAAAACAAAAGCCAGGGGAAAAGGGAGCCCAAGATTTGCAACTGTGATCAGCCTCCAGGGCATAGAGCTGGATGTCCTAAGAATGGTGAGTATACAGGGAAAGGAACACTGAAGTAGAGTAGACAGATTTAGCAAATACAAATACAGGGCATGCAGTTGAGTTTGAATTTCAGATAAGAATAAATTTTTAGTATAAGTGTGTATCAAATATTCCATGGAACATGCTTACACTAAGCAGTTTTCATTGTTTATCTGATACTCAAATTTCATTCACTATGCTGTATTTTATCTGGCAACTCAGCTAGAGAATAATCAGCACAGAGGTGTTTCTATTATTTGGGCTTGTGACTAGACCATGGCTTTATTACTTTAAACACTTCTGTGTGTATCTCAGCAAGAATGGAATTATGTTTTTCTATGTATCAGAAGAAATGATCTCTGACCCCTATCTGCATCTCATTCCCAGATAAGCTCACTGGATCAATTGAGGTGAATGGCAGCCTCTCAGAAGTAACTTGCTAGATTTCAGTGGGTATGAGTAGGATGCCACATGCATGGCATTTCAGCCAAACAGCGAATAGGTGGCAGTCTTCATCAATTTATCAAAGGGAATAACATTTTCTCTTTGAAAATAAAACAGTGACAATATAGGAAAAAAAAACATGTAGATAGCTGAATATTATAGAAGACATTTTGATTAATTTTGATATGATTCAGGATTGAAACATAGTACTATAGTGAGATTTCATTTGTGTTTTAATGAGTTTTTTCCCTTTTCTGAGTTATTTTAAAAATTAGAATCAAATTTATTCTTGAACTTCCAAGAAGTTGTGCTTAAAACCGTAGGATAGTGGTGAGCCATTGGTAGAAGAACTGTGTGCTTGACCCTGCAGGGTAACTTCACCCTGGCTTCACAATAGGGCAGAGTGGCAAAGGAGAGGAAGCCTGGCCAATCATGTGTAATTCACTCAATAAATATAAGTGCCTGCCACGGCCAGGCATTGAACCGGGTATGTGGGATGCATAGGAGAATCAGGCGCAGTAACTTTCATCAGGAAGTTTACAATATTATGTGAGAAAGTGGCATTGATTAAGCTAGCAGCTGCCGTACATGTATTATTTCATTTAATCTTCACAGCAATCCTGTGGGTAGATGTTATGATTGTCCCATTTTTCAAATTAGAACACTGAGGTTAAAAGAGGTTAAGTGACTTGTCTAAGCTCACACAGCTAGCCAGTGACATCCATACACTTATATAAATAATAGGATGTACTAGTGTAAGTGTTTTCTTAGTAATATTACAATGTGCTTCAGATCAAATGGGAAAGTAATCCCTTTCCTCAGGTGTTATTAGGCAAGTGCTTCATGGAGGACGAAGTATTTCAGCTGTGTTTTCCTGAGCAAAGAACAGATTTAGCACAACCATGGAGGCACTAAGTTTCAAGGAATGGAGATTAGCAAGTGGACTCATTTGATTCCAGCATCACAATCATGTAAATTGGGGGAAGGAGAGACTCAAAAGAAAATTAGGTTAGGGCCTGAGTTGGATGGGCATTGAATGCCATAGTGAGAATTTTTTTATGTACATTTTGAAGAAAGCTATTGTCACTCTGAGCAGTGTAGTAACATGAGTGAACCTATGCTTTAGGAATCATATAGGATGAATCCGAAAGAGAAGACAACATAGATAGGAATGACAACCTGTTAAGAGGACATTGCTATAGTTCAAACAAGAGGACTGGAAGTAGGGTATTAGGGAAGACAATGTATTACATGCATGAAAAAAATATAAATAGTCTGCATGACATGTGCACTGAAATGAGTGCAAATGAGAGTTGTTCTGATTGATGGGCATTATAAAGCAGAGAGCAGCTTAGTAAATAGAAATTGCCTTATAACAGAGTACCATTATCAGTGATCTATAAGACTCAAGTCCAAAATACTATTTTAAATTGAATCCTATTCTCTGCAACAGCATTTCCAATGTGGATTCATCCCACATACTCTTCCAAAAACAAATAATTTTTTTCCATATGTTTCAGTAATTACATTTCTGGTTATATATCTAAAGGAAATAAAGTCAGTGTATTGAAGAGATATTTACACTGCCATGTTCATTACAGCACTATTCACAATAGCCAGTTATGGACTCAACCTAAGTGCTCATCAGCAGATGATTGGATAAAGAAAATGTGGCATATATACACAATGGAATACTATTCAACCTTTTTTTAAAAAAGTGAAATCCTATCATTTGCAGCAACATGGATGGAACTGGAGGTCATTATGTTAAGTGAAATAAGTCAGGCACAGAAAGACTAATATTGCATGATTTTACGTATATGTGGAATATGAAAAAGTAGAACTCATAGAAGCAGAGAGTAAAATGGTGGTTACTAGGGGCTGGTATGGAGGGAGGAGGATGGGGAGATGTTGAAACAAAGTTTCAGTTACATGGGAGGAATAAGTTCTGGACATCTATTGGATAGCATAGTGATGAGGTAATAATATATATTTGAAAATTGCTAAGTGAGTATATACATATACACACTTTATATATACTTCTTTATATATATATATATATATATATATATATATATATATATGTACTTTTTATATATACAGAGAAAAAAAACAGAAAAAGAAGAGGTTTCTCTACGTTTACCGAGAATTCCTGCAGCAAAGATACTAGTTGAATCTTGTTAGCTAATCATTTCCTAAACTTATTTAAACCTAGAACTCTTTTTAAAATGTTGAAACCTAGTAAGACCTGCAAAGATTGTGTTTTGTGAAATTCATATTAATGTTATTCTCTTCATCTGCAATGCATTCCCTCTGGTGGACTCTAGAGTGCAGTCCCTTCTCTCAAACGCAGTTGAAATAAAATGGAATCCCAATGTTTGGTGGACACCTGCCAGCAGTGACCTCTGCTGCAGCAAGTATTGATCCTGTTGTCGACAGCTGGTGTCAAATAATTTTTTTTTAAAGCAGGGATGATGGTGATGTTGCAAGGGTAGCTGTCGGTCACCAGCCCAAGAGCTCAGCTCACTGAAGTTGTCCCTTTCTCCTTAAAGTTGTTTTCATCAGTTTGTTGTTCATCTGAATAAACTTTTATGGCTTTCTCTTTGTTCTCCTGACCCTAGTAGCCTTAGTGATGGTGGAAAAGTTGTGTCTTACTAATTTTGAAGTGTCTACGTCTAGTAATAAAACCCAAGCTATCTAGTTAACTCCATCATCCCCTTGCTCAAGATCTCCCCCAGATACCCATCACCTACAGAAACAAAGATCCAAATTATTTGTGTGGGCATCATGACTCTCCATGCTCTGACCCCAGCACACATGCACACATGTTTGCATGAGAACACAGACACACAAATCACTGCTTATTATTTTCCAATAAGAAGGCCTGCTCTTTATTGCTTCCTATGGTTACTCTACTCTCTGTAATTGAAGGGCCCTTTCTCTTCAATGTCAAAAATCTCAATTAGCTGCAAAGGTACACATCAAGTGCTTTCTTCTCCTAGTAGCTCTCCTAGACACCTTAGACACCTCCAGTTGGAATGACTCCCGATTGCTGTCTTTTACTTTTTACTTACCTTTAATCAGTTTATTCTGGGTGCAAACTAGCTTCGTATGAGTCAATATTCCCCACTGGATGCCAGTGTCTTAAAGGTAGAGAATGTTTTACTAACCTCAGTAACCTCTCTAATCAATCAATCCATCAACAAATATTTAAGCGCCTACTCTGAGCCACGCACAACATCCTACACCCAGTAGGGGCTCCTATTGATGTCTGTATACTTTCAAAGCACAACCCCTAGAAGTGGAAGTGGGTTCTCTGAATCAAAACCTCAGGAAGTGATTAATGTCACCAGCATTAACATGATGAATAGGACCACAGGCTAAGTGTTGTTGAGACCACCCTAGATGTGACTTTGTCGTGAGAAGCCTTGGATTTCCAGGGAGGCATCCGAGACAAGCCAGTGATTCTGCAGACATGCTGTCAATTCCAAGTGAACCAAAGAGAGAGGGGCCATTTGTAATTAATTTTGGAAGTTTCTGGCAAAAGTCAGCAAAGATAAGTTCCCAACGGGAAAGCCCCTGTCTTATTTCTGTACTTACTTGCATTGGTATCATTACACTACACCATCTCTGAAAAATCAGACCTCTTGGATTTGGCCCTTTTTCTCTTCATCTGTAGAATATCTGACCCCAATTCAATAATTATAACCACCCCAGTGGAACAGATGCTGTACACACCATATCTCAATGAACTGTCATAACAACCCTAAGACATTATTATAAATACAATATTCATTTTGATAAACTAGGAAATTGTAGTTCAGAGACCAGAAGTGCTCTGACACTTTCATCAAGGAAAAGCAAACATATTAAAGAGCCAGTCACTTTGTGTTTGAATTCTGTGGATCTTTTCACTCTCAGCTGGTTGTTATTAATAATATGTGGCATATATGAATGCATGCTATATTCCAAACATTCTAATAAGTATTATTTTATTGAATCCTACAAATAATCCTTTGGGGTTTCTTGAATTTAAAGAAAAATTAGGCCCAGAGAAGGTAAACAGCTGGTCCATGCTCACAAAAGAGGTAAAGCAGGGCCAAGATACAGATTCAAGTCTGTTGGACTCCAGACCTGCCACCCATTCACTATACTACATAACCTCCTCTTGTAATGCAGTGGGCAGTCTAGGAGCTGCTGGCTGAAGGGATTGTATATCCTTAGTGGACTCTCAGGTCTTCTAAACAGAAATGTTCCACATTAGTGACTCAGTCTCAAACTTTACTTATGCTCCTCCAAGCCCTCCCCATTTTCCCTTTGGACAGGTTGACCCCTCTTTTAACCTCATCTTCAGGGTCAGTCTGTGCTTTCTTGCCATGGTTCAGTCCAGAGGCAGAATAATTTCTTTTAGCATCGTTAGTGTCTAGGAAAACAAATCTCTTTCTCAGGTTTCTCATCAGTTTCCTGGAACAGAATGACTGTGCTGTCCACAGACTGAATTTGTCTCATCTTCTCTGGGCACATAGCTTTGTGCTCAGCTTTCTTTAGCTGCTACTAATGGTAACAGTTCTTTAAGACAGGGCAGTCTTTCTGCCTTAGATGATTTCTAAACCTCAAGTTTTTTCTTAGCTCATATCCCTGTTTCCTTTATCTTTTTGGCTTTGTCTCTTTTGTCTAGTAAATATTAACAGGTTCTATTTAATATTTAGGAGGTGTGCATTTGGGCCCCAGATCAACCTCTGACTTGGTTTTTGACCTTGGGCAAGTTACTTCCTCTTTTAGGCCTCAGTGTCTTTATATGTAAAAGGTGAGAGTGGGAAGATGCCCAAGGCTCCTTGCACCTCTGACATTCTGTGTCTCAAACTTCAATGTCAAAGGACAATACTGTATGAAGACAGTCTGAAAATGTTTCCCATCTTCATTCGACTGCCTAGAAAGGTGATTTGGCTACAGAGATGTAAACTCATCTACTGACCTTCTACTTATCTCTACCCAAGTTTACGAATATGTACCACAAAGGGAGAAAATAATTATCTCAGTTTAAAGTATTTATGACCCAATTTTTTTGGATTGCCCAAAGTTTAAACAGTGTGCTCATTGAAAACCTCAGTCCCACCTCTGACAAAGTGAATGCAGAAACCACTTTTTCAAATCCCAAATCAACACACAAGTATGAGTGGGCAGAACACTTGAAAAGAGGATTCTTCTAAAATTTCCAGGATTCATGATCTTCCCTCAGTAAATGATAGAATTTTAGAATTTTCATGGTAGGGTATAAACTGGGCAACCAGGCCCAAGGCCAGATAAGAGCTTAATTAAATGAATGCTGCTGCAGCTGCCGCTTGTCACCTTCTGTCACCCCAAAGGAAGTATGTACCTTTGGGTTGGTCTAGTGGGAGAATTAGGAGGGAATGATAGTCTTTTCATTCCATCTACATTTAGCATACCCACCAAAGGGCAAGTTAGCAACTTCAAACAACACCTTGACAATGACAAACAGTGAAGTTAATGCAGGCTCTAACAACTCCAGAGCATACTCTGACTAAAACAAAGGGCTCTGGCTCAAAAGGGGGTCCTCCAAGCCAAATGAAAGAGCAGTTTCCAAATGCATAGCAAAATTCAGAGGAAGAAGGAGAGATGAAGGGTGGAAGATGAGGCTGTTTACTTAGAATTTGATTGTTCACACTAAGCCCAGCAACCCCTGTGGTCTTGAGCTTGCTTTGAAAACACGATGTTGCTAAAAAGATCAGGATTCGATGGGAACATTCACACTTGAACATTTGCCGAGCTCTTCAGGGAAGTGCTGAAATCAGTGGGAGGGTCTTCAGCACCTCTGTGATTGCAATCATGGCCAAGCTCAGGCGCTGCAGTTGTGCAGCACAAAATACTGCCCAAGACAAATCTTTCAAAACAAAGTGCAGCTAAAACATCTCTCTTTCTTTAGGGTTAAGTTAAGACTAAAACATTTCAAGCTCAAGGACTTAAACTTGTTTTGGCCAGGCATAAGGAACCCAAAGTTATTCAGGCCCATGATATCATATCAAGTTCATAGTTTACAGAGAAATCCAAGTGGTGGTGGAAAGGATTTAAATTTAGTTGTTTACTAAATTCTACATGAACAGTGTTTGACCAAGTTTCTTATATAGAAAGACCTGATGTTTACCCTGAAAAGGTGGTTAGAAACAAATAATAACAACAAAAAGTCTGCTTTCACATCTTAGTGTTTTTAACTTCTGAGATTGAAAAACACAGGATGGTGATAAAGTTGGAAGTCTCCCAAAAGATGATCTCATTCAAACTTCTCATTTTATGGTTAAACCAACAGAAACCACAGAAGACAAAGGACTTGCTTATGTCCCAAAGCTAGTGAGTGACAGAATTAAGAACAGAAACCAGACCTTCTGTTAAATAGGGAATCCTTTCCCCATTGCTTGTTTTTCTCAGGTTTGTCAAAGATCAGATAGTTGTAGATATGCGGCATTATTTCTGAGGGCTCTGTTCTGTTCCATTGATCTATATCTCTGTTTTGGTACCAGTACCATGCTGTTTTGGTTACTGTAGCCTTGTAGTATAGTTTGAAGTCAGGTAGTGTGATGCCTCCAGCTTTGTTCTTTTGGCTTAGGATTGACTTGGCAATGCGGGCTCTTTTTTGGTTCCATATGAACTTTAAAGTAGTTTTTTCCAATTCTGTGAAGAAAGTCATTGGTAGCTTGATGGGGATGGCATTGAATCTGTAAATTACCTTGGGCAGTATGGCCATTTTCACGATATTGATTCTTCCTACCCATGAGCATGGAATGTTCTTCCATTTGTTTGTGTCCTCTTTTATTTCCTTGAGCAGTGGTTTGTAGTTCTCCTTGAAGAGGTCCTTCACATCCCTTGTAAGTTGGATTCCTAGGTATTTTATTCTCTTTGAAGCAATTGTGAATGGGAGTTCACCCATGAATTGGCTCTCTGTTTGTCTGTTGTTGGTGTATAAGAATGCTTGTGATTTTTGTACATTGATTTTGTATCCTGAGACTTTGCTGAAGTTGCTTATCAGCTTAAGGAGATTTTGGGCTGAGACGATGGGGTTTTCTAGATAAACAATCATGTCGTCTGCAAACAGGGACAATTTGACTTCCTCTTTTCCTAATTGAATACCCTTTATTTCCTTCTCCTGCCTGATTGCCCTGGCCAGAACTTCCAACACTATGTTGAATAGGAGCGGTGAGAGAGGGCATCCCTGTCTTGTGCCAGTTTTCAAAGGGAATGCTTCCAGTTTTTGCCCATTCAGTATGATATTGGCTGTGGGTTTGTCATAGATAGCTCTTATTATTTTGAAATATGTCCCATCAATACCTAATTTATTGATTCCCTATTTAATAAATGGTGCTGGGAAAACTGGCTAGCCATATGTAGAAAGCTGAAACTGGATCCCTTCCTTACACCTTATACAAAAATCAATTCAAGATGGATTAAAGATTTAAACGTTAGACCTAAAACCATAAAAACCCTAGAAGAAAACCTAGGCATTACCATTCAGGACATAGGCGTGGGCAAGGACTTCATGTCCAAAACACCAAAAGCAATGGCAACAAAAGCCAAAATTGACAAATGGGATCTAATTAAACTAAAGAGCTTCTGCACAGCAAAAGAAACTACCATCAGAGTGAACAGGCAACCTACAACATGGGAGAAAATTTTCGCAACCTACTCATCTGACAAAGGGCTAATATCCAGAATCTACAATGAACTCAAACAAATTTACAAGAAAAAAACAAACAACCCCATCAAAAAGTGGGCGAAGGACATGAACAGACACTTCTCAAAAGAAGACATTTATGCAGCCAAAAAACACATGAAGAAATGCTCATCATCACTGGCCATCAGAGAAATGCAAATCAAAACCACTATGAGATATCATCTCACACCAGTTAGAATGGCAATCATTAAAAAGTCAGGAAACAACAGGTGCTGGAGAGGATGTGGAGAAATAGGAACACTTTTACACTGTTGGTGGGACTGTCAACTAGTTCAACCATTGTGGAAGTCAGTGTGGCGATTCCTCAGGGATCTAGAACTAGAAATACCATTTGACCCAGCCATCCCATTACTGGGTATATACCCAAAGGACTATAAATCATGCTGCTATAAAGACACATGCACACGTATGTTTATTGTGGCACTATTCACAATAGCAAAGACTTGGAACCAACCCAAATGTCCAACAATGATAGACTGGATTAAGAAAATGTGACACATATACACCATGGAATACTATGCAGCCATAAAAAATGATGAGTTCATATCCTTTGTAGGGACATGGATGAAATTGGAAACCATCATTCTCAGTAAACTATCACAAGAACAAAAAACCAAACACCGCATATTCTCACTCATAGGTGGGAATTGAACAATGAGATCACATGGACACAGGAAGGGGAATATCACACTCTGGGGACTGTGGTGGGGTCGGGGGAGGGGGGAGGGATAGCATTGGGAGATATACCTAATGCTAGATGACACATTAGTGGGTGCAGCGCACCAGCATGGCACATGTATACATATGTAACTAACCTGCACAATGTGCACATGTACCCTAAAACTTAGAGTATAATAAAAAAAAAAAAAAAAAAAAAAACCAGACCTTCTGACTTCTCATCTTGGGTTTTCTTTGTGTTGTCTGTATATAGCACATGGATGAAAACCAAGCCCTTGGCTAGCTAGTGTCCACTGCTTCCTTTTAGCATCCTCCAGTGAGGTGGGTGGAAGTGGTGTTGATTATACTTCCAGAAGAATATTGGGACTGAAGTTTCTTAACAAGGGTCTACTTTATCAGTCTCCCTCCTTTCTAGGCTTCCAGCTCCTACTGAAGGGCATCTCACACCCTTCACCCACACTGAATTTCTCCTCCTTGGCGGGATGTAGTTCAGTTCTTTCTCTTTGATCGCCTTGTCATCTAAATAGCACTGCTGCCATCACCTTTGCCCTGGTTCCCTTCTCTTCTATGCATGTGAAGGAAAAGTTAGATGTGAGTCCGTAGGACAAGTTCTAGCCATCTTGAGGTCAGCAGGTTTTCTTGCTTCTAACATGATGACAAATTTTCTGTACAAAACTTTCCCTCATTTCATTTTGTGACTTTAATACTAGGCTGTAAATTCACTAAAAATATATAAAGGTCTCATAATACTTTTCAGTAACATTTAAAATCCAGTTCCTTAAATATACAACAATCTTATTCCTTTGTCTTGAAAGCTAAAACAAAAAGAAACAAAATAGAATGACATATTATGATGTTTAAGAGTAAGTTCCAAAAACAAACTGCATCAAATATAGATCAGTAGAAAACAAACAACTCTCAATCAAAGGAATTTCTAGGTCCATGTGGATATTATTCAACTAAAAATAGATCTTTAGAAGAAGAAAACACAATATATAGAAACCACAATGACCTGTTTCAGTTTATATCAGTGCTTTATTTAAGGTAGTGGCCATACTGAATTGTGACTTGACATTTAATAAATCACAACTTGTAAACTGCATAGAAATAAAAATAACTAATATTACTGTATTGATCACCTACTATGTGTTCCAGGTGCTCTATGCTAGATTCTTTGCAAATTCCATCCCATTTGCTTTGTTTTTTTGGTAACTCTAAAGTGTAGGTGGTATTTCTCCCATTTCTTATAAAGGAAACTGAATTCTCACGGAAAGGTAGAATGACTTTGTTAGTATCACACAGCTAGTAAGAACAGAGCTGGGACTTAAGTGTTTATACCTGGGACAGAAACCCTTTTACAAAGGGGAATGGAAAATGATCCACAGAGTTGTGATTTCTGCTAGAATAATAACCCTAAAAGAAGAAAAATAATTTTTTAAGTGACAACCAAATCAGTATTTTATTTTATCAGCACTTACAAAACTGATCTTAAAGGTTCAGAATTTGTGATAAAGAGCTATAATTGGGATAGAATTCCAATGCAGTGCATTTAAGCTCTGAACCTTAGAAAGCAATGCCCATAGCCAACTGGTAATTGCTTTTCAGGAGATTATGTCCATTTTGGTGAAGCAACATGGACCCTATGCAAGTATACAAAGCACAACATACCTGCATTAGACTCAAGTGTTTATATGAGCATATTTATAGTGTTCGGTTGTTACCTTGACTTTAAAAAACAACAGCCGATAATATATAGTCTTTTCAGAAGCTCGATTACACGCAGAGTAGCAGGAAACAGTTTGAAATCAATATTTAATGCAAGTTTATTGACTTTTTTTTAAACTGGAGAATGCTATCATAAGCACTTTTAAACCAGATGTGGTTCATATAGTGTTTATGCTCTGAGTGTTTCCAGAGAAAAGTTCAGACTGCTGCAACAAACACTTCTTTGGGGATAGTTTTGATATAGCAAAAGAATGTGTGGGAAACCAAACTCCAATATTGGCAAGGCTGTCACCAAATAAAGATGGAATCAGTTATCTTTAGGGCAGTAGTGGTTATGGATGGCTCCTAAGGACATTAACCAGGAGAAGAGAGAAGGTCAGATTGAAGAACATCAACGCTAATAGTTCCTATTCCCAGCTCCATCATTCTGGGCAGCTCCCCCTTTAGACAGAATGAAGTATATTGTAGATATAGCTAAAGCCTCAGATCATGTATAGGACAGATGTGGTTTTTAAGCAATCTACAAGACTGGAGATGGCTGAGCTTTCCAGCACGTATCGTCTTGGCCATAGTCATGCCACTGGGGTTGGAGCAGAAATCACATGGACCCTGGGGTCAGGAGGCAGAGCATGTGGGCAAGGTCAGTACTGAGAAGCTAGTAGGCCTGCCAGGCATAGTACAGGATCTAATAAGGCAGCTCAAAGGTAAAACTCTGAACCGTCTGTGGGAAAGTTCTATTGCCTTTTCTACAACACCGTTATAGGGTAACAATGTGTATGTGTGTGCACACATACTTCTCTTCCACTCCCATTCTCTTTCAGCTGAGGTCTACAGAGCTCCAGCAGGTTTTTCTAAGTAATTTTCAGTTTTTATGTGAGGTTGTGTCCTCTATTCTGTCTCCCTTTTGCATGGAACTTCCAATTCCTTGTTAACCAGATTTTCTGGATTTTCCCTGACTATGCCAATTTCAAAGATTCAGTTTCATTGTCAGTCCATGTGAGGCCACCTGATTGTCAGCAGGTAGACCAAATCTGCTAATATCTGAGTTTCTTATTTAGAAGGACTATGCAAAGCTGAAGCTACTCCAAGATGGGAAGAACTGCTTCAGTGGGAAGTGAGCTGCCCATCACCAGAGGCATTGAAGCAGAGGCAAGAGGTGATTTCTATATTTGATGTAAAATTCAACTTACAGAATGTGAAAATCACTTTCAGTGTTTTTTTTCAGGATTTTGCCCTTTGGGGGACATGCATAAGGAAGTGGTTGCTTGACAGAGCATTGAGAAAGCAGGGGATGGTGAGAAAGTAAAAAAGAATGGCAGAAATGTAAAATGAACCCCCAGTGTAGCTGCAGCGTTTGAGCAACTACGTTTAAGGGAAGGAGTCATAGGTGCTGCCTTCATCTCTGTTAAGGACTTTGCTTGCTTAAAAAGCTGGATCTGTGGAATAGGATAGCAATAAACATTTGTTGAGTAGTTTGTATGTACCCATGCACATTGTTAGGCACTTCAAATACACACAAAAATGCTAAGAAACAGAGTCAACTCCATGTTGTGGATGAGAAAATTAAAACTCACTTTTAATTTTGGAGTTCTGGAGTTGTTGGGCATGGAGTTGACATACCCAACATTTCCCTGTAAAGAGCAGAGTTGGAAATGCAATCCAAGCCTGTCTGACTCCATATCTGTGCTCTCTGCTCAGCACTGTACTTCCTCTTCATCCTTACTTACTGGCTCCCTTTAGGAATTACTTGCTGAGCAAAGTCAGGAAAGGAAGAAAAGGTCAGGAATCTCTTAGTCACTTTCTTGGCAAGCCCTCTGATTTCTTTAACCTCCAAGCTGAGCTTGGACCAAGTGACAGGTTTCTCAGGGTGCCCTCAGTGTCTCCCTCAGTTACAGATGAAAAGAGCAGGGTGGAGAAGAATCTTCAAAAGGGTCCCTGTAATGAGAACTCAACAGAGCCACACTCATGGCTATTATCCCTTTGACTAGTCCTCCGTTTTTCCTTGTTGCCACAAAGGATAGCCTCCTAGGAGTTGCTGGAATAAAGTAGCATGTTGTGTACCCACAGCTGGCTTTGCCTGGTGCATGGTTTTGAATTAGTCTGAGACTGCTAGGCTCTGGAGTATTTTACTCTAGATATTGTGCCAGGAAACGTGCTATGTACAGCATAGCGAGCCACACAGGCATAATTGCTGCCCTTTGGGTACTTACGATCTAGTGGAAAAGGTGGATATTAACTAAGGGATTATAATAAATAACTACACAATTTCCAAGAGGCAAAGAACTGAAAAGAGGGCAATCGCATGCAAGAGAATCTGAACTAGGCTGAGTATCTTTGAGGAAGTGGTAATTCAGCTGAGACACTAAGAAGGTGTCAGCCAAACAAGACACTGGGGAGAAGAGGTCTCTAGGCCAAGAGAGTAGCATGTGTAAGTGACCAGGGAGGGATAATTTTTAAAAATCGTACATCTTTTATTTTTTAAATAGAAATCTTAAACTGCACTATATGAAATAGACAAATCAGGAATGATCCAGTTGAAGCTAAAGTGTTGTTTCCACCTTTTGGCTATTGTGAAAAATTCTGCTATAAACAATGTTGTACGAGTATCTGTTTGAAGGCCTGTTTTCAATTATACTATACATTTTTAAGTTATTTTCTTAAGAGTTATCTTGGTACTATAATTAACATGTTAATTTATAACAATCTTGTTTGGATTACCACCCCCTTAATTTTAGTACCATATAAAATTTTTTTTATATAGCTCTATTCTCTCCCCATTCTTTCTGCTGTTATTGTTATATAGATTACGGCTTTACACATTGTGTGCCACGACTTTTAAAATTTTTCATTTTTTATTATGAGTATATAATAGTTGTATAAATCTATGGGTTACATATTATGTTTTATACAAGCACACAATTGGTAATAATCAAAACAGGGTAATTGGGGTACCCATCATTTTAAGAATTTATCATTTCTTTATGTTAGGAACATGCCAATTTCACACTTTTAGTTATTTAAAAATATATAATAAATTATTTTAAACCATAGTCACCCTATTATGTTACAAAATACTAGATCTTATTTATTCTATCTAATTACCCAACTAAAGTACTGGGGAAAAAAAGCCTGCTATTCAAAAATACCCAATAGTGTGCATTTTTGTACCCATTAACCAACCCCATTTTATCTCCCCTTCTTCAATACCTTTCCCTGCTTCTGGTAACCATTATTCCACTCTTTATCTCCTTGAGATCAATTTTGTCTTTTAGATCACACGAATAAATGAGAACACGCAATGTGTGTCTTCCTGTGCTTGGTTTATTTCACTTAACATAATGTCCTTCATTTCCATCCATGTTGTTGCAAATGAGAGGATCTCATTCTTTTTTTTATGGCTGAACAATACTCCCTTGTGCACATGCACCACATTTTCTTTACCCATGCATCTGTTGATGGGTGATGGACACTTAGGTTGATTCCATATGTCAGCTACTGTGAATAATGCAGCAAAAAACATGGGAGTGCAGATAGCTCTTTGATACACTGATTTCCTTTCTTTTGGATATATACCCAGCTGTGGGATTGCTGAATCATAAGGTGGTTATATTTTTAGTTTTTTGAGAAACTTTAACTTTGTTCTCCATAGTGATGGTACAAATTTACATTCTCACCAACAGTTATGAGGGTTCCCCTTTTGCCATATCCTTGCCAGAATTCATTATTGCCTGTTTTATGGATAAAAGCCATTTTAACTAGGATGAGATGGTATCTCATTGTAGTAGAAAAAATTTTCATTATTGGCCTATGCAATTGTTGTCTCAATGATATAGGAGAAATAGTTACAAATAAAATATATATGTGTACTATCTTTTATATTAATTGCATAGTTACCTTAACTGGTGCTCTTTAAATTTTCATGTAGATTCAAGTTACTGTGTAGGGCTCTTTCATTTTAACCAGAAGACTCTCTTTAGTAATTCTAGTAGGGCAGGTCTGCTAGAAGTGAATTCTCTATTTTTGTTTATCTGGGAATTTCTCAATTTATCCTTCATTTTTGAAGGACAGTTTTACCCTATATAGAATTTTTGGATAGCAGGCTTTTTTCCCAGTCCTTCAAATACGTCACCCCACTGTCTTCTGGTCTCCATGGTTTATGTTGGACAATCAACTTGTATGTGGTGACTCACTTCTCTCTTGCTGTTTCCAAGGTTTTCACTTTGTCTTTGAGAATGGACAGTTTGATTATGATGTGTCTAGGTACAGATCTCTTTGAGTTGATCTCGCTTGGAGTTTTTTGAGGTTCTTGGATGTATAGATTATTATTTTTTATGAAATATGGAAAGTTTTTGACCATTATCTTTTCACTTTTTTATTTTGCTTCTCTCCCCCTCTCCTTTCCTTCTGGAACTTCCAGTATGGACACACTGGTACAGTTTGTACAAGTCTTTAAGGAACCGTTTCTTTTTCTTAATTCTTTTTCTGTTCCTTAGACTAGATAATCTCAATTGGCTTATCTTCAGTGTCACTCATTCTTTCTTTTGTCTGTTCCAATCTGCTGTTGAGCTCCTTTGGTGAATTTTTTATTTCAGTCTTTATATGTTCTACTCAAGAATTTCTATTCAGTTCTTTCTAAAATAATTTCTATGTCTTATTAATATTCTGAATTTGGTGAAGCATCATTTTCATATTTTTCTAAAAATGTGATTTTCTTCAGTTTTTGAAATATATTAAAACAACTTATTTAAATTTTTCATCAAGTAAATTCAACATCTGGGCTTTCTAAGGGTCGGTTTCTATTGTTTGCTTTTTTTTTTCTGTGTATGAGGTGTACCTCCTTATTTATTTGAATGTCTCCTAATTTTTTGTTGAAAACTGTACATTTTAAGTAATAAATTAGGGAACTTTGAATATTCCGTTTTACTCATTCCAGGGATTTGCTGCTGTTTAGTGACATTCATGGTCTATTTCCTTGAAGTCTGTATTTTTTGTCATGTTTAACTTAATCCACGTTTAATCTAGTAGTCGTCTAATGCTTCTACAGAGATTTCTTTAACTGCTTGGAGCCAATATTCTCCCCTTCTTTGCTGAGAGTCTCTGTGTATGTACTGGAGCATGTTTTGAACACTCATTCAGAGGGTTTACAAATCTGCCTTATTCTTCCCATTCTGACTGTATAGAATCTCAAGGTTTGCCTGGCATGAGAACCTACAGCCATCCATCTAAGATAATTCCTGAGAATACATACAGCCCTAGACATGTGCATAGCCTTTTAGATTTTAAAGTTTTCTGGAGTTTTTCAAAGTCCCCTATGGACACCTCACTCATTAGCTTTTCCTTTGTTATCTACTCATCCACTTTTGCTTTTTTCCCACTTATGTCTGTGGCACCAGGTCTTTTCCTTCTGAGTTATTTTTATACTTTTCATATTCTACTGCACTGTAACATGACAAGTAGTGGTCTAGTAATTCACCTTTGCATCCTCCAGAAGACTAGCACAGCACATGGCCCAGAATAGGCTCCAGAAAGTGTTATTTTACTTGAATTTAATGGATTAGAATGGGTTGAAATTGATAATGATGGAGTAACTTTTGGCAGAACAACCTTCCCACAAAACAATGATATATTCTAGACCAAAATACTAACATATATTACTTAAAAACACTGAAGAGTGACTAAAAATAGACAGTAGCTGGAATGGAGAGTTATATCTTCAGAAAAAGGTAGTGGCCCTAAGTGGGTTTCCCAGTTTTACGTCCCTTCACTTGAGGACAAGAACCAGTTGGCCACACAAGAAAGCTAAACTTCATATAGATAGAAATACACCATCTTACCATATTGAAGACCTAAACCTGTGGTCCTAATATTTTTTTGGTAAAGGACCACAGAGTAAATATTTTAGGCTTTTGAGCCACATATTGTCTCTGTCGCATAGTTTTTTGTTTGTTTGTTTGTCTTACAACCCTTTAAAATGTTTAAAAAACACAAACACAAAAAACAAAAAACATTCTTAGCGAATGAGCTTTACAAAAACAGCTAATGGGTTGGATTTGGCCCAGGGACCTTATTTTGACAACCCCTGAACTAGAGAATACAGTTTGGAATATCTGGAAACTGAAAGGTGAGGGGAGGGTATCCTAAAAACAATTAAGCCAGCGAAGAGGAATCTGAATATTAACTCAGAGTATAAACCCTGCCCAAATCTCTAACTGACTATCTGAAATACATATGTGCAGTCCAGACTCCAGATAGTCGCAATAAAGCTAAAGCAATTGAAAAGAGTTTTTAGCTCCATCCCTTTGCAAGAAGCCAAGAGTCTTTAGTTTGAGTCCAGCCAAGTTAACTATCTGCTAAAATAAAAATATTTTTAAGGGAGCAAAATTGAGAATATCTCTAATATATCATTAATAATGTATAGAAAAATATAAAATTATTAGACATATGAATAACAAGATAATTTTATTAGTACTCAAGAGAAAAGCCAGGCAATGCACAGTAATCTTGAGTTTACCCAGATGTTGGCATTAGAAGACAAAAATGTTAAAGCAGCTATTTTAACGATGCTAAATAAACCAAAGGGAAATATCCTCACAATGAAAAAACAAATAAGAAACCCAGGCAGAAAAATTAAAACTAGAATAACCAACTGGAAATTCTACAAATAGAAAATTCAATTTCTGAAGTAAAAATTTTACTGAATGATATTAAGAAAGGATTGGAGATAACACAGAAATAGCGAACTTAAAGAAAGATTGATGAAAATCATTCAAATTTAAGAAAAAAGAGAATCAAATGAGATCATTAGAATAGACCCTGCCATCTAGCTAGGTACTGAGAACATAAAATAGGGACGGAAAAGTTGCATTCAGTGAAAGAAAGAGAAAGGTTTTTAGCATGGACCTTGCCTGGAATGTGCAGATTATGAAGGGTTGGTGCTGGTGGATGGATAGTTCCCTGAACAAAATCAAGGCTTTTGTTGGTCAGTAAGAGAAAGTGAGTTAGTAAACAAACAAACAAACAAACAAAAAGGAATAAAATTTTAGGGTGATGTCACTAAAAATAGCAAAAAAGAAAATTCCAGGGTGCTTTCCTTTCATAAAAACAACTAATGAGCTTGTAAAACCTGTCAAAATAAACTTTTACAGAACTCTGGAATCTAGTTAAAAACACAGCAATCAGGTGAAAGTTTGGTCAAGAGACAAGTTGCTACAGTAAGAAAATGCTGTGACATTTTAAACTGCCCACCAGCCATCACCCAGATCCCAGATCCATGGCAGCTATTAGGACAACATGTTGCATTCCTGGTACAGGTTCCTAGTGCAAGAAAGAGCAATACGGATTTTGTTCTCAAAGAATTGTGGTTGTGGATTTTGATTTGTCCAGTGGCTCCCTTAAGGACCTGTGAAAGGCCTTGCCTTTACTTCATCTGACTTGGAGCATTCCCAGGGATAGGATGGCTTCCCAGGCAGATTTTGCCAAGATCAGTTAAAAACTGTAAATACCTACATTGAAAGAGAAGAAAGGTCTCAAATCAATAATCAAAATTTATACTTCAAGAAATTAAAGAAAGAGTCTGGAGGTTCCAAGATGGCCAAATAGGAACAGCTCCAGTCTGCAGCTCCCAGCATGAGCAACGAAGAAGATGGGTGATTTCTGCATTTCCAACTGAGGTACCAGGTTCATGTCACTGGGGCTTCTCAGACAGCGGGTGCAGCTCACGGAGCAGGGCGGGGCATCACCTCACCCAGGACGTGCAAGGGGTCAGGGAATTCCCTTTCCTAGCAAAGGGAAGTCATGACAGATGGTACCTGGAAAATCAGGAAACGCCCACCCTAATACTGAGATTTTCCAACGGCCTTAGCAAACAGCGCATCAGGAGATTACATCCCGCGCCTGGCTCAGAGGGTCTAACGCCCACGGACCCTCGCGCACTGCTAGCACAGCAGTCTGAGATCGAACTGCAAGGCGGCAGCCAGGCTGGGGGAGGGGCGTCCACCATTGCTGAGGCTTGAGGAGTTAAACAAAGCCACTAGGAAGCTCGAACTGGGTGGAGCCCACCACAGCTCAAGGAGGCCTGCCTGCCTCTGTAGACTCTGCCTCTCGGGGCAGGGTATAGCTGAACAAAAGGCAGCAGAAACTTCTGCAGACTTAAACGTCCCTGTCTGACAGCTTTGAACAGAGTAGTGGTTCTCCCAGCACGGAGTTTGAGATCTGAGCCTCCTCAAGTGAGTCCCTGACCCCTGAGTAGCCTAACTGGGAGACGCCTTCCAGTAGGGGCCGACTGACACCTCATACAGCCAGGTGCCCCTCTGAGACAAAGCTTCCAGAAGAAGGATCAGGCAGCAACATCTACAGTTCTGCAATATTTGTTATTCTGCAGCCTCCACTGGTGATACCCAGGCAAACAGGGTCTGGAGTGGGCCTCCAACAAACTCCAACAGAGCTACAGCTGAGGGTCCTGACTGTTAGAAGGAAAACTAACAAACAGAAAGGACAACCACACCAAAACCCCGTCTGTATGTCACCATCATCAAAGACCAAAGGTAGATAAAACCACAAAGATGGGGAGAAACCAGGGCAGAAAAGCTGAAAATTCTAAAAATCAGAGCACCTCTTCTCCTCCAAAGGAATGCAGCTCCTTGCCAGCAATGGAACAAAGCTGTATGGAGAATGACTTTGACGAGTTGAGAGAAGAAGGCTTCAGATGATCAGTAATAACAAACTTCTCTGAGCTAAAGGAGGATGTTCGAACCCATTGCAAAGAAGGTAAAAACCTTGGAAAAAGATTAGACAAATGGCTAACTAGAATAACCAGTGTAGAGAAGTCCTGAAATGACCTGATGGAGCTGAAAACCATGGCACGAGAACTACGTGACACATGCACAAGCTTCAGTAGCCAATTTGATCAGGTGGAAGAAAGGTATCATTGACTGAAGATCAAATGAATGAAATGAAGTGAGAAGAGAAGTTTAGAGAAAAAAGAGTAAAAAGAAATGAACAAAGCCTCTAAGAAATATGGGACTATGTGAAAAGACCAAATCTACATCTGATTGGTGTACCTGAAAGTGATGGGGAGAATGGAACCAAGTTGGAAAACACTCTTCAGGATACTATACAAGAGAACTTCCCCAACCTAGCAAAGCAGGCCAACATTCAAATTCAGGAAACACAGAGAACACCACAAAGATACTCCTCGAGAAGAGCAACTCCAAGACACATAATTGTCAGATTCACCAAAGTTGAAATGAAGGAAAAAATGTTAAGAGCAGCCAGAGAGAAAGGTCCGGTTACCCACAAAGAGAAGCCCATCAGACTAACAGCTGATCTCTCAGCAGAAACTCTACAAGCCAGAAGAGAGTGGGGGCCAATATTCAACATTCTTAAAGAAAAGAATTTTCAACACAGAATTTCATATCCAGCCAACCTAAGCTTCATAAGTGAAGGAGAAATAAAATCCTTTACAGACAAACAAATGCTGAGAGATTTTGTCACCACTAGGCCTGCCTTACAAGAGCTCCTGAAGGAAGCACTAAACATGCAAAGGAACAACCGGTACCAGCCACTACAAAAACATGCCAAATTGTAAAGACCATTGAGGCTAGGAAGAAACTGCATCAACTAATGAGTAAAATAACCAGCTAACATCATAATGACAGGATCAAATTCACACATAACAATATTAACCTTAAATGTAAATGGACTAAATGCTCCAATTAAAAGACACAGACTGGAAAATTGGATAAAGAGTCAAGACCCATCAGTGTGCTGTATTCAGGAGACCCATCTCACGTGCAGAGAAACACATAGGCTCAAAATAAAGGGATGGAGGAAGATTTTCCAAGCAAATGGAAAACCAAAAAAAAGCAGAGGTTGCAATCCTAGTCTCTGAAAAAACAGACTTTAAACCAACAAAGATCAAAAGAGACAAAGAAGGCCATTACATAAATGGTAAAGGGATCAATTCAACAAGAAGAGCTAACTATCCTAAATATATATGCACCCAATACAGGAGCACCCAGATTCATAAGGCAAGTCCTTAGAGACCCACAAAGAGACTTAGACTCCCACACAATAATAATGGGAGACTTTAACACCCCACTGTCAACTTTAGACAGATCAACGAGACAGAAAGTTAACAAGAATATCCAGGAATTGAACACAGCTCTGCACCAAGCAGACCTAATAGACATCTACAGAACTCTCCACCCCAAATCAACGGAGTATACATTCTTCTCAGCACCACATCACACTTCTTCCAAAATTGACCACATAGCTGGAAGTAAAGCACTCCTCAGCAAATGCAAAAGAACAGAAATTATAAGAAACTTTCTCTCAGATCGCAGTATAATCAAACTAGAACTCAGGATTAAGAAACTCATTCAAAACTGCTCAACTAGATGGAAATTGAACAGTCTGCTCCTGAATGACTACTGGGTACATAATGAAATGAAGGCAGAAATAAAGATGTTCTTTGAAACCAATGAGAACAAAGACACAACATACCAAAATCTCTGGGACACATTTAAAGCAATGTGTAGAGGGAAATTTAGAGCACTAAATGCCCACACCAAAAGCAGGAAAAATCTAAAATTGACACCCTAACATCACACTTAAAAGAACTAGAGAAGCAAGAGCAAACATGTTCAAAAGCTAGCAGAAGGTAAAAAATAACTTAGATCAGAGGAGAACTGAAGGAGATAGAGACACAAAAAACCCTTCAAAAAAATCAATGAATCCAGGAGCTGGTTTTTTGAAAAGATCAATAAAATCGATAGACTGCTAGCAAGACTAATAAAGAAGAAAAGAGAGAAGAATCAAATAGATGCAATAAAAAATGTTAAAGGGGATATCACCACTGATCCCACAGAAATACAAACTACCATCAGAGAATACTATATACACCTCTACGGAAATAAACTAGAAAATCTAGAAGAAATGGATAAATTCCTGGACACATACACCCTCCCAAGACTAAACCAGGAAGAAGTTGAATCCCTGAATAGACCAATAACAGGTTCTGAAATTGAGGCAATAATTAATAGCCTACCAACCAAAAAAAGTCCAGGACCAGATGGATTCACAGCCAAATTCTACCAGAGGTACAAAGAGGAGCTGGTACCATTCCTTCTGAAACTATTCCAATAAATAGAAAAAGAGGGAATTCTCCCTAATTCATTTTATGAGGCCAACATCATCCTGATACCAAAGCCTGTTAAAGACACACCAAAAAAAGAGAATTTTAGACCAATATCCCTGATGAACATCGATGCAAAAATCCTCAATAAAATACTGGCAAACCGAATCCAGCAGCACATCAAAAAGCTTATCCACCACGATCAAGTTGGCTTCATCCCTGGGATACAAGGCTAGTTCAACATACACAAAAATCAGTAAACATAATCCATCACATAAACAGAACCAAAGACAAAAACCACATGATTATCTCAATAGATGCAGAAAAGGCCTTCAACAAAATTCAACAGCCCTTCATGCTAAAAACTCTCAAAAACTAGGTGTTGATTGGACTTATCTCAAAATAATAAGAGCTATTTATGACAAACCCACAGCCAATATCATACTGAATGGGCAAAAACTGGAAGCATTCCCTTTGAAAACTGGCACAAGAGAGGGATGCCCTCTCTCACCACTCCTATTCAACATAGTGTTGGAAGTTCTGGCCAGGGCAATCAGGCAGGAGAAAGAAATAAAGGATATTCAATTAGGAAAAGAGGAAGTCAAATTGTCCCTGTTTGCAGATGACGTGACTGTATATTTAGAAAACCCCATCCTCTCATCCCCAAATCTCCTTAAGCTGATAAGCAACCTCAGCAAAAGTCTCAGGATACAAAATCAATGTGCAAAAATCACAAGCATTCCTATAGAGCAATAACAGACAAACAGAGAGCCAAATCATGAGTGAACTCCCATTCACAATTGCTTCAAAGAGAATAAAATACTTAGGAATCCAACTTACAAGGGATGTGAAGGACCTCTTCAAGGAGAACTACAAACCACTGGTCAATGAAATAAAAGAGGACACAAACAAATGGAAGAACATTTCATGCTCATGGGTAGGAAGAATCAATATTGTGAAAATGGCCATACTGCCCAAGGTAACATAGGTTCAATGCCATCCCCATCAAGCTACCAATGACTTTCTTCACAGAATTGGAAAAAACTACTGTAAAGTTCATATGGAACCAAAAAAGAGCCTGCATTGCCAAGACAATCCAAAGCCAAAAGAACAAATCTGGAGGCATCACACTACCTGACTTCAAACTATACTACAAGGCTACAGTAACCAAAACAGCATGGTACTGGTACCAAAACAGAGATATAGACCAATGGAACAGAATAGAGCCCCCAGAAATAATACCACACATCTACAACGATCTGATCTTCGACAAACCTGACAAAAACAAGAAATGGGGAAACGATTCCCTATTTAATAAATAGTGCTGGGAAAACTGCCTAGCCATATGTAGAAAGCTGAAACTGGATCCCTTCCTTACACCTTATGCAAAAATTAATTCAAGATGGATTAAAGACTTAAATGTTAGACCTAAAACCATTAAAACCCTAGAAGAAAACTTAGGCAATACCATTCAGGACATAGGCATGGGCAAGGACTTCATGACTAAAACACCAAAAGCAATGGCAACAAAATCCAAAATTGACAAATGGGATCTAATTAACCTAAAGAGCTTCTGCACAGCAAAAAAAAAAGTACCGTCAGAGTGAACAGGCAGCCTACAGAATGGGAAAAAATTTTTGCAATCTACCCATCTGACAAAGGGCTAATATCCAGAATCTACAAAGAACTTAAACAAATTTACAAGAAAAAATCAAACAACCCCATCAAAAAGTGGGCAAAGGATATGAACAGACACTTTTCAAAAGAAGACATTTATGCATCCCACAGACACATGAAAAAATGCTCATCATCCCTGGCCATCAGAGAAATGCAAATCAAAACCACAACGAGATACCATCTCATACCAGTTAGAATGGCGATCATTAAAAAGTCAGGAAACAACAGGTGCTGGAGAGGATGTGGAGAAATAGGAACACTTCTACACTCTTGGTGGGACTGTAAACTGGTTCAACCATTGTGGAAGACAGTGTGGTGATTCCTCAAGGATCTAGAACTAGAAATACCATTTGACCCTGCGATCCCATAACTGGGCATGCACCCAAAGCATTATAAATCATGCTGCTATAAAGACACAGGCACATGTATATTTATTGTGGCACTATTCACGATAGCAAAGACTTGGAACCAACCCAAATGTCCATCAATGATAGACTGGATTAAGAAAATGTGGCACATATACACCATGGAATACTATTCAGCCATAAAAAGGATGAGTTCATGTCCTTTGTAGGGACATAGATGAAGCTGGAAACCATCATTCTGAGCAAACTATCATAAGGACGGAAAACCAAACACCGCATGTTCTCACTCATAGGTGGGAATTGAACAATGAGAACACTTGGACACAGGGTGGGGAACCTCATACACCGGGGCCTGTCGTGGGGTGGGGAGAGGGAGGAGGTATAACATTAGGAGATATACCTAATGTAAATGACGAGTTAATGGGTGCAGCACACCAACATGGCACATGTATACATATGTAACAAACCTGCAGTTTGTGCACATGTACCCTAGAACTTAAAGTATAATAATAATGATAAAGAAATTAGAGAAAGAAGAACAAATTAAGCACAAAGCTTCAGTAGGAATTAAAGAATAAATATTACAGCAGAGATAAATTAAATAGAGAATAAACAACCAGAGAGAATCAACAAAATCAAAGATTGGTTGTTTAAAAAAATCAACAAAATTGCTAAACCTTTAGTTAGGACTGTTAAAGAATAAAAAAGTGCAAATAAGTAAAATTAGAAATGAAACTAGGAGCATTCCTACTGACTTGACAGAATTAAAAAGTATTATAAAAGATTGCTATGACCAATTGTTTGCCAACAAACTAGATAACCTAAATAAAATTGGCAAATCCCTAGAAACAGTGAAATGAACAAAACCGACTCAAGGTGAAATAGAAAATCTCAACAAATGTATAACAAGTAAAGAGATTAAATCAGTCAACCAAAAACCTCCCACCAAAGAAAAGTTTTGGACCAGATGGCTTCACTAGTTAATTATACCAATAATTTAAAGAATAATTAACTCAAATCCTCTCAAGTTCTTCCAAAAAATACAGAAGAAGCACTTCCTAACTCATTCTATGAATTCACCTTCACTAAGATAACCAAGCCAGACAGACACATCACAATAAAGGACCAATATTCCTTATGAAAATAATGCAAAAATCCTCAACAATATACTAGGAAAAAGAATTTAGCAACATATTAAAAAAATTGTTCACCATGGTCGAGTGGGTTTCCTCCTAGGAATTCAAGGTTCAACATAAAAATAATCAAGTCATGCAATAAAACATATAAGTAAAATTTAAAATGCACACACAATCTTCTAAGTTGATACAGAAAAAAAAACACTGGACCAAATCCAGCATCCTTACAATATAAAAACACTTAAATTAGAAATAGAGGAAGCTTCCTCAACAAGATGAAGAGCATTTTACAAATCTTCATGCTCTTGGATTTGGCAATAGATTGTGTAGATATGATATTAAAAGTATGAGTAATAAAAGGAAAAATAGATTGTGTTTTATCAAAACTAAAAACTTTGGGCATCAAAAGACATTATCAATGAAGTGAAAAGACAAAAAAATGGGAGGAAACATTTGCACATCATGACTCTGATACAAGCTTAACATACAGAATATAGAAAAACTCCTACAACATAATAACAAAAAGACAAAAAAAGGGCAAAAGACTTGAATAGAACATATTTCTCCCAAGAAGATATATAAGTGACCGATAAACACATGAAAGATGCTCAACATCATCAGTCATTAGGGAAATGGAAATCAAAACCACAATGAAATATCACTTCATGCCCAATAGGATGACTATGATTTTTTTTAACAAAGGAAAATATCATGTTGGCAAGCACATAGAGAAATTAGAACCCTTATACTTTCCTGGTATGGATGTAAAATAGTGCAGCCACTTTGGAAAAGTTTTATGCTTCATTAAATGTTAAAGATAGAGCTAACATACAACTCAGAAGCTCCTTTTCTTAAAAGCGCTCAGACATTTAAATATATCCTTGTACAGAAAAGTTTGTAGCAGCATTATTCAGAAAACCCAAAAGATGGGAACAACCCAAGTGTCCATCAACTGATAAATGAATAAACAAAATTGGTTGTATCCATACAATGAAATATTGTTAAGCTATAAAAGTGATCAAAATACTGATACATGCTACAACATGGATGAATCTCAGAAGCCAGACACCAAAGGTCACATATTGTATTAGTCCATTTATATGAAATATCCAGAATAGGTAAATCCATAGAGATAGAGAGCAGAATGCTGCTTGTCAGGGGCTCTGAGAGTGGGGAAGGGGGAGTGACTACTTAATGGGCAGGAAGTTTTCTTTTAGTATGATGAAAATGCTTCTGAATTAGATAGAGGTGATGATTGCACAATATTATGAAGATAGTAACTGCCACTGAATTGTACACTTTAAAATAATTAATTTTATGTTATATGAATTCTACTCCAATGAAACATTTTTAAAAAGAAAAACTTCACCTCAGTCCAATCAATATTAATAAGAACCTTTTCTGTAGGAGCCCTGTGATGGAGAACTGCGAGTCTATGATTTGTATTGGAAACAGACCCTGCTTTCCAAGGGGTCCCAGGGAAACACACACACACACACACGCACACCTCTAATATATTAAGAGGCAGATTAACGATGCCATTAGAAAACTTTGAGGGCATAGGAAAAAGCACTGGACGGTGATGGGAAGGGGTGCATAGAAGAGATAACATTGGAGCTACCTCATTTGAGAAACAGATTGACGTAGTTTAACAGAAAGAACATAGGGCATTGAAGCTAGACTATGTGGGTTAAAATCCTACCTTTGCTTGATCCAGCTGCATGACTATGGGAATGTCAGTGCATTTCTTGAAGCCTTTTTTTCCTCTTCTGCAAAATAGAGATATTAACAATTCCTACTTATTAGGGTTGTTTTGAGGATTAGATGAGAAATGCCTGTAAGTACTTGGCTCAGAAAGGCACATGTGCTGTTCTTTGCTAATTTAGCTTTCTTCCTCTGTTCAGTGCATTGCTCTGCAGGTGGTGGGAATAGACTCTTTGCAGGAGGTGTAGGGGTTGGGATGGGGAGAAAATGAGGTGAAATGATGTTTTTGAAGAGGTCTTTCATTTTCAGAATCTCAGAGAGGAATCTTGGCAATCTCCACTATTTCCTTTTCCACCTAGATTGGTGTGCAGCTCCTAGAAAAACGCTGCACCCTAAGAGTAGCAGGCCCAGTATGCAGATGGCTGCAGGGAGAATTCAGCATTGATATGCTTTAAGCCCTGTAGACTCCCTTTGCTTGCTGCTCTCTCCCTTGGCATGCTGTCAGCTGGTGGGTGCATCAGGTCCTAGTAATTCTGGGACACATGGTTGCTGTGTCTTATTTCAAGGAAACCCCAAAGTGCAACACATTAGGAATTACATAAATATATTAAATGAACTGCTCAACCATTACCTTGCACCTAATTATTTTACTGCCTTTTGCTTTGTAAGCGTTTTTCTGTCCTGAAGAACTCAAAATGATGAAATGGCCTTGGCTAAAAACAAGTGATTCTCTGCATAGCAGCTCCTTCTCTCTGCAGGGACAACACAGCCTGAGGTTGCTGGTGTCTGCACAAACACAGCAGCTGACAAGGCAAAGATGCACAGGCTGACTTTTAATGGTGTATATTTTTCTAGGTTTTTAAAGAGCTTTAACCCATTTGCTGCCCCAATTAGTTTTAAGATTTTTATGCAATAACTTGTAATAAAATATATTTACAACCAAATGAGTAAGTAAACATCTCCACCCCAGCACTTCTTGGCTGTGTTCTGCATAGCTTAGACATTTTTCTGCTTCTGCCTACCAAAGGATTGGGGCAATTTTTTCTTCAAAGACTGAACCCTTGGGATAGTAGGTAAATGCCCCTTTTACATTTCTTGTGGTATACTGCCCCCTCAGTGTTCCCTGCAGTGTGACTCATACACAGTCATTGTGTAAAATAACTATTTTATCACAGAGTAAACAAATATGATACAATAGAAGTAGCACCACACCAAAATTAGGAATCTTAGAGATTCTTTTCTACCAACGAACTTTGCCTGTCATTATCATTCCATAACTGTGTGACTCTGAATGTGCTTCTTGTCCTCTCTGTGTCTCATGTTCAAATGATCTTATTATGTGATCTTTACAGTTTTCCCACGATATAGCATTCACTACAATCCTGGTAAATTGCAAGTACAAAATCACACATTCTTCTATTGAGCTTGGCTTGCCTTAAAGCATTGCTGGTCCTACTCAAGTCCTCTTTGTTTCACTTATAGATTAGCTAACACTCATAGTTTAACCTATTGAATCATTCAATCTTTTCAATTTTTTTTTCCAATCCTGTTATCACAGAAGAAGCAAAGTCTCTGAATTCTGGTTCCTAGATTTTTTGTTATTCCTTGTTTAAAGTATGACTCTTTCCTTAAGAGTAATCCAAAGCAAACCCAAAGTGAGCCATGTCCCTGAGAACTATTCCAAAATTTCTTTAAACTATCATTGTGCTGACCTGGTCACATAGAACTTGTTCTCTCAAGTCTTCTGCCTGAGGATTTATGTCTTCATAATTTCTAAAAGGTTTATTTATTCTGTCACCAAAGACTCCAAACCATGTGCTTAGCCTTACTCAAACACACAGTAGTGTTAACCATTATTTCAGCCTTAGGATGTGGGTTGATCATCTGCATATGACTTTCGAAAGAGTTTTTTCCCCCTTATTGTTTTTTGTCATTAGAATTTGTTTACTTTGGGTTATTCCATGGAATGTTCTGAATGTATGGACCTATTAATCCATCAGATTGTGTCTAATGTTTGGGGTGAGGGAAATGATCAATTTATTTCTTGACATGTTGCATTTTAGTTACCTGTAGAAAAATTAGAATCAAATAACCAGTGAATAGCTGGATATTCTGCATGTATAGTTTAGGAGAGAGATTATAGCTGAAAATACAGATCTGAGATTCATAATTTCATAGACAGTAACTGAAGTGTGGAAGAAGATAACATCAATTATGACAACATACAGGGTGAGAATAATAGGGTTGAGAATGGAGCCCTGGGAAATACTGAGGTTTAAGAAGGAGGAAGAGAAACTTCCCAGTGAGGTAGAGAAAGGAAGGTTTGAGAGATAGATGGCTAATTAAAAGAGGATACTGTAAAGAAGACAAAGGAGTAGGAAATCTCTAAAAAGAGAAAGTGGTTAATGATAATGACAGACAACAGAAAGATCACATATATTTGACTTGGACATGGCCAGAAGCCTCTTTGTGATGAAGTTATTCCATTTTGATAAAAATAATTTCAATAAGAAACTCATTATTGGTAATTATTTTGTAATTAAGTAAAAGTGAATGCAACGAACAGTATTAATCTGATAAATTTTGAGTGAGGGACAGCACTGCGATTTCAGTACAGTGTGGTAGAAAGCAGAGTATGAAGTATGATGATGGTCGTTACAGTTAATTTAATTTCTTTAAGATAGAAATATTGGTGGAATGTGAAAATCTGTGGCATTTTTTTCTGCTTTCTGTTAAATTCATGAAATATTGAAGCACCCACTTTTTTCTGTGCTTAGAACATCTATCCTTGGCTTCTTAACTTTCTTAAAAGTTGGAACACATAAATTTCAGCAGTTTTTAGCTTATTTCCAACTTTATTCAGGAGTTAAGATCATTCCAAGGTTGTCATCATTCCTTTGACTTTTATTTCTTAAAACTGTCTCCAAGATGCTAAAAAGCTGATTAAATGATCAGGCAAGTCAACCTTGTTTGATGCTGGATTGACATCAAATAAATGATGTGAAGATGCAGCAGGGTGTAGACATTGCAATCTCAGCATCTAGTAAAATAGTGGGAATGGCAGAGTAAGGACCAGCGAAAATCCTCCTCTTTATAAATGCAATGCAGATACTGGAAAAAATTGTCAGAATCTTCTTTTTCATAACTCTGAAAGCTAACCAAAGATTTGCATCATTCCAGGAAGTATACATTTAAGAAAAATGGCTGAAACACAGTAAGATCAGTGAGTTTTATGGCATTTTTACTTGCCTTTTTCAATTTCCCTTTTCCCGACTCTGCAGGTAAACAACAGCTTGTCAGCAACTGGGAGATTGTGGCGGTGGGAGGGATAATTGTCTTTATTCAATTTGTTTAGTGGTTCTCTGGAAGACCCAATTCACAACGTTTGTTTTTACATGCCTGGACTTGCCTGGTGCAAATTGACTTTTACCAAAAGTATTTGTCAAAAATAATCAGCAGCAATTGTTTAGCATCATAGCAACTTGAGGTGGTGGATAACAGCTGGGGTAAATAATGAGCTAATTAAAAACTTAAAAAGGAAAAGCTGAGGAATTAGATGACCTTAGGGGACTTTGAAAAGTGTTAGCTTGCAGAAATGGGCAAGCTGATTAAAAAATTTCTATGAAAATTCAAGGAAATTAGAATAGCCAAATAATCTTCAAAAGAATTGGAAGATTACACTTTCCAATTTCAAAACTTACTACAAAAAACAAAAATCAAAATAGTGTGGTATTGGCCTAAGGATATATGTATATATCTGTGGAATAGAATAGATAGTTCAGACATAAAATCAAAAACAAAAATCAAAATAGCGTGGTATTGGCCTAAGGATAAACATATATATCTGTGGAATAGAATAGATAGTTCAGACATAAACCCTATGGTCAATTGATTCTTGACAAAGATACCAAGAAAATTTAATAATGAGAGAATGTAGTCTTTTTTTTTAGACAGAATCTCGCTCTGTCTCCAGGCTAGAGTGCAGTGGCGCGATCTCGGCTCACTGGAACCTCTGACTCCCTCACCAAGCAATTCTCCTGCCTCAGCCTCCCGAGTAGCTGGGATTACATGCATATGCCACCACGTGCTGCTAATTTTTGTATTTTTAGTAGAAACAGGGTTTCACCATGCTGGCCAGGATGTTCTCCATCTCCTGACCTCATGATCCGCCCACCTCAGCCTCCCAAAGCACTGGGATTATAGGCATGAACCACCACGCCCGGCCAAGAATGTAGTTTAAAAAAAAAAAAAAAAGAAAAAGAAAAAGAAAAAAGAAAGGTGCTGAGACAACTACATAAGCATATGTAAAGGAACGAACTTAATCCTCTACCTCACACCGTATACCAAAATCAACACAAATTAAATCAAAGTTTCAAGTGTAAGAACTAATGCTATAAAACTCTTAGGATAAAACATAAGTGTAAATATTTATGACCTAGAATTAGGCAACAGTTTCACAGACAAGACACCTAAAGCAAAAGAAGCTACAGGAAAATAGAATTTTTTCTATTTTTTGATGAATGAAAAAAATGAATTCAAAAAACTGAATTTCATCAAAATTACATTTTTTGTGGACCCAAGGATACTATAAACAAAGTGATAAGATATCTTGCAGAATGTTAGCAATCATTTCCAAATTATATATCTGACAAGTATCTTTTATCAGGAATATATAAAGAACTCTTGATAACTGCACAATAAGAGAAAACCCAGCTTAAAAATGGGCAAACAATTTGAATAAACATTTCTCCAAAGAAAATATACAAATGGAAGCTAAGCACAGCAAAAATGCTTAACATCATTAGCCATATGAAGTAAATGCAAATCAAAATCATTTGGATACTGCTTCTCCCACACTAGGATGGACATAATAAAAAGATAGATAATAACAAGTGTTGGACAGGATATAGAGAAATATACATTCCTGGTGGAATATAAAATGGTGCTGCTGTCAGGGGGATCATGGCAGATGGGATGCAAGACTAGATTGCAGCTCCCACTCAGACAGACAGAGCAGCATGTGGAGGCTCACATCATGAACTTTTGCCCCAGAACAACTGCAGGAATACATTAGGAAAGCCGAGAGAACCCACAAACCCTCTGAAGGAAGCAGATTGCTCCTGCAGCATCTGGGAGACACCCCAAATACTGTGCTGGCATCCATGACTGAGAGACCCACAGATGGTTCACATCACAGGACTCTGTGCAGACAACCCCCAGTACCAGCCTGGAGACTGGTAGATTTGCTGGGTGGCTAGATCCAGAAGAGAGGTAACAATCACTACAGCTCACCACATTCCTAGGAAAAGGGGGAGAGTACTACATCAAGGGAATATCCCATGGGACAAAACATCTGAACAACACTCTTGAGCCCTAGACCTTCCCTCTGACAGAGCCTACTGAAATGAGAAGGGACCAGAAAACCAACTCTGGTAATACGACAAAACAAGGTCCTTTAACATCCCCTCAAAAATCACACTAGCTTACCAGCAATGGATCCAAACCAAGAAGAAATTCCTGATTTACCTGAAAAAGAATTCAGAAGGTTAGTTATTAAGCTAATCAGGGAGACACCAGAGAAACACAAAACCCAATCTAAGGAAATTAAAAAAAAAAAAAGATACAATAAATGATGGGAGAAATATTCAATGAAATAGATAGCATAAAGAAAAAACAATCGAAAGTTTAGGAAACAACAGATGCCTTTATAGAAATGCAAAATGCTCTGGAAAGTCTCAGCAATATAATCGAACAAGCAGAAGAAAGAACTTCAGAGCTTGAAGACAAGGTCTTTGAATTAACCCAATCCAACAAAGACAAAAAAAAAAAAGAATAATAAAATATGAACAATGTCTCCAAGAAGTCTGGGATTACATTAAAAGGCCAAACCTAAAAATAATAGGTGTTCCTGAGGAAGAAGAGAAATTTAAAAGTTTGGAAAATATATTTGGGGGAATAATCAAGGAAAACTTCCTTAGCCTTGCTAGAGACCTAGACATCCAAGTACAGGAAGCTCAAAGAACACCTGGAAAAGTAATCACAAAAAGATCATTACCTAGGAACATTGTCATCAGGTTATTTAAAGTTAAGACGAAGGAAAGAATCTTACGAGCTGTGAGACAAAAGCACCAGGTAACCTATAAAGGAAAACCTATCAGATTAACAGCAGATTTCTGAGCAGAAACCCTATAAGCTAGAAAGGATTGGGGCCCTATCTTCAGCCTCTTCAAACAAAACAATTATCAGCCAAGAATTTTGTATCCAGAGAAACTAAGCTTCATAAATGAAGAAAAGATACAGTCTTTTTCAGACAAACGAATGCTGAGAGAATTTGCCACTACCAAGCCAGCACTACAAGAACTGCTAAAAGGAGCTCTAAATGTTGAAACAAATCCTGGAAACACATCAAAACAGAACCTCCTTAAAGCATAAATATCACAGGATCTATAAAACAAAAATACCATAAAAAACCCCACAAAAAACCAAGGTATACAGGCAACAAATAGCATGATGAATTGTATGGTACCTCACATCTCAATACTAACATTGGACGTAAATGGTCTAAATGCTCCACTTAAGATACAGAATTGCTGAATGAATAAGAAGTCACCAACCAACTATCTGCTGCCACAAGTGACTCACCTAACACTTAAGGACTGACATAAACTTAAGGTAAATGGGTGGAAAAAGACATTCCATGCAAATGAACACAAAAAAGCAATCAGGAGTAGCTATTCTTATATAAGACAAAACAAACTTTAAAGTAACAGCAGTTTAAAAAGACAAAGAGGGACATTATATAATGATAAAAGGACTAGTCCGACAGGAAAATAACACAATCGTAAATGTATATGCACCTAACACTGGAGCTCCCACATTAATAAAAAAATTACTAATAGACCTAAGAAATGAGATAGATGGCAACTCAATAATAGTGGGGACTTCAATACTCCACTGACAGCACTAGACAGGTCATCAAGACAGAAAATCAACAAACAAACAAAACAATGGATTTAAATTATATCCTGGAACAAATGGGCTTAACAGATATATACAGAACGTTCTACCCAATAATAGCAGAATATACGTTCTATTCAACAGTGCGTGTAACTTTCTCCAAGACAGACCATATAACAGGCCACAAAACAAGCCTCAATAAATTTACAATAAACTGAAATTTTATCAAGCACTGTCTCAGACCACAGTGAAATAAAACTGGAAATCATTCCAAAAGGAACCTTCAAAACCATGCAAAAACATGGAAATTAAACAACTTGCGCCTGAATGATCATTGGATCAAAAATGCATTCAAGATGGAAATTAAAAAATTCTTTGAACTGAACAATAGTGACACAACCTAACAAAACCTGTTGGATACAGCAAAGGTGGTGCTAAGAGGAAAGTTCATAGCCCTAAATGCCTACATCAAAAAGTCTGTAAGAGCACAAACAGACAATCTAAGGTCACACCTGAAAAAACTAGAGAAACAAAAAGAAACCAAACCCAAACCTGGCAGAAGAAATGAAATAACCAAGATCAGAGCAGAACTAAGTGAAATTGAATCAAACAAACAAAAAACGATGCAAAAGATAAATAAAACAAAAACCTGGTTCTTTGAAAAGATAAATAAAATTGATAGATCATTAGCAAGGTTAGCCAAAAAAAAAAGAAAGGATATCCAAATAAGCTCAATTAGACACGAAACAGGAGATATTACAACTGACACCACAGAAACACAAAGGATCATTCAAGGCTACTATGAACACTTTTATGGGCATAAACTAGAAAACCTAGAGGAGATGGATAAATTCCTGAAAAGATACAATCCGCCTAGCTTAAATCAGAAAGAATTAGATACCTTGAACAGACCAATAACAAGCAGTGAGATTGAAATGGTAAAAAAAAAATTACCAACAAAAAAATTGCAGGACCAGACGGATTCACAGCAGAATTCTACCAGACATTAAAAGAAGATTTGGTACCAATCCTGTTGACACCATTCCACAAAATAGAGAAATAAGAAACCCTCCCTAAATCATTCTATGAAGCCAGCATCACCCTAATACCCAAACCAGGAAAGGACATTTAAAAAAAGAAAACTACAGACCAATATCCCTGATGAACATAGATACTAAAATTCTTAACAAAATACTAGTAAACCAAATCCAACAGCATATCAAAAAGATAATCCACCATGATCAAGTAGGTTTCATACCAGGGATGCAGGGATAGTTTAACATATGTAAGCCAATAAATGTGATACACCACATAAACAGAATTTTCAAAAATCACATGATCATCTCAATACACACAGAAAAAACATTTGACAAAATCCAGCATCCCTTTATGATTAAAACCCTCAGCAAAAATCAGCATACAAGGGACATACCTTAAGGTAATAAAACCGGTCTATGACGAACCCACAATCAATATTATACTGAATGGGGAAAAGTTGAAAGAGTTCACCTTCAGGACTGGAACAAGACAAGCATGCCCACTCTCACCACTTCTATTCAACATAGTACTGGAAGCCCTAGCCAGAACAATCAGACAAGAGAAAGAAATTAAGGGCATCCAAATTGGTAAAGAGGAAGTCAAACTGTCACTATTTGCTGATGATATGATCTTATACCTAGAAAACCCTAATGACTCTTCCAAAAAGCTCCTAGAATACATGAATTCAGCAAAGTTTCAGGATACAAAACTAATGTACATAAATCAGTAGTTCTGCTATACACCAACAGTGATCAAGCTGAGGGTCAAGTCAAGAGCTCAACCCCTTTCACAATAGCTGCAAAAAAAAAATTAAGTATGTAGGAATATACCTAACCAAGGATGTGAAAGACCTCTACAAGGAAAACTACAAAACATAGCTGAAAGAAATAACAGATGGCAAAAACGAATAGAAAGACATCCATGCTCATGGATGGGTAGAATCAATATTGTGAAAATGACCATACTGCCAAAAGCAATCTACAAATTCAATGCAATTCCCATCAAAATACAACCATCATTTTTCACAGAATTAGAAATAACAATCCTAAAAGTCAATCCAAAAAAGAGCCTGCACGCCAAAGCAAGACTAAATAAGAAGAACAAATCTGAAGGCATCACATTACCTGATTTCAAACTATACTATAAGGCCATAGTCATCAAAACAGCATGGTACTGGTATAAAAATAGGCACATAGACCAATGGAATGGAGTAGAGAACCCAGAAATAAACCCAAATACTTACAGCTAACTTATCTTTGACAAAGCAAACAAAAACATAAAATAGAGAAAGGACACCCTATTCAACAAATGGTGTTGGGATAATTGGCAAGCCACATGTGGGAGAATGAAACTGGATCCTCATCTCTCATCCTATATGAAAATCAACTCAAGATGGATCAAGGACTTAAATCTAAGACCTGAAACTATAAAAATTCTGGAAGATAATATTGGAAAAACCCTTCTAGACATTGGCTTAGGCAAGGATTTCATGATCAAGAAGCCAAAAGCAAATGCAATAAAAACAAACATAAACAGTTGGGACTTAATGAAACTAAAGAGCTTTAGGACAGCAAAAGGAACAGTCAACAGAGTAAACAGACAACTCAAAAAGTGGGAGAAAATCTTCACAATCTATACATCTCACAAAGGACTAATATCCAGAATCTACAATGAACTCAAACAAATTAGCAAGAAAAAAAAAAACAACAATCCTATCAAAAAGTGGGCTTAGGACATGAATAGACAATTCTCAAAAGAAGATATACAAATGTCCAATAAACATATGACAAAATGTTCAACATCACTAATTATTAGGGAAATGCAAACCAAAACCACAATGTGATACCACCTTACTCCTGCTAGAATGGCTATAATCAAAAAATCAAAAAATAATAAAAGTTGGCATGGATGCGGTGAACAGGCAGCACTTCTACATTGCTAGTGGGAATGTAAACTAGTGCAGCCACTATGGAAAACTGTGGGGATTCCTTAAAAAACTAAAAATAGAACTACAATTTTTTCCAGCAATCTCACTACCGCATATCTACCCAGAGGAAAAAAAGTCATTATTCGAAAAAGATACTTGCACACTCATGTTTATAGCAGCACAATTCACAATTGCAAAATCATGGAACCAACCCAAATGCCCATCAATCAACAAGTGGATAAAGAGACCTGGATGAGATTGGAGACTATTATTCTAAGTGAAGTAACTCAGGAATGGTAAAACAAATCTTGTATGCTCTTACTCATAATTGGGAGCTAAGCTATGAGGATGCAAAGGCATAACAATGACACAATGGACTCTGGGGACTCAGGGTGAAAGGGTGGGAAGGAGGTGGGGGATAAAATACCACAAATTGGGTGCAGTGTATACTGCTTGGGTGATGTGTGCACCCAAATCTCACAAATCACCACTGAAGAATGTACTCAGGTAACCAAATACCATCTGTTCCTCAATAAACTATGAAAATAAAAAAAGTAATAAAATAAAATAAAATGGTACTGCCACTTTGGCAAATAGTCTTGTGTTTCTTCAAAATGTTAGAGTTATACAACCCAAACATTTCACTCCTAGGTATATACACAAGAAATTTGAAAACATATGTTTACACAAAAACTTATACAGTAGCAGCCTTTATTTATAATAGACAAAAAGTGAAAAAAGTACAAATGTTCATGAACTGATGAATGATCAAATAAAATGTGGTATATCTGTTCAATGGAGTACTATTTAGCCACAATGACATGAAGTGCTGATATGTACTACAACATGAATGAATTTTGAAAACATTATGCTAAGTGAAAGAAGTCAGATACAAAAAGCCACATTTTATATTATTTCACTCATATGAATTGTCCTATATAGGAACAGTCATGAAGGAAAAAATATATTAGTGGCTGCTAGAATCAAAGGGAAGAAGGGAATGCGAAATGGTGAAGAACTGCTAATATATTTAGGGTTTCTTTCTGTGGTAATAAATATTCTGCAATTAGATAGTGCTGATGTTGATATAACCTTGTGAATACACTAAAAGCTACTGTATCATATATTTTATTTTGTTATTTGTATAAATGCAAGGGATGTAAATGTAAATTTGTTACTGTGCAGTGGAGAAGTCTAAGGGTTTAGTGTATCCATCGTCCAAATGATGTACAGAAACAATATAAAGATTTCTTCAAATCTTTATAACTGAAAATAGAACCACCATTTAAACTGTATACTTAAAATAGAGAGTTTATGATATGTGGATTATATCTCAGATTTTTTAAAAAGATAAGATAAACTATGCAAAGCACAATAAAGTGAAGCACAATAAAATGAAGTAAGCCTGTACTCACTCTTTCTACCTTTGTCATTTTCAGATATTCATCAATCCACTGTAATTTTGGAGCTTACCACTCCACTGAACGTAATTTAGACAAGGAACCAACTGAACTTTATATTGCAAGCGCCAACAAGACATTCTTGAGACCTTATTTTACTTGTTCTTTCTGCAGTGTTCAAGGCTACTGGCCACACTATTCCCTTTTTGAAACTGTATTTTCTTGATTTCTAAAATACCACTCTCTCCCACTTCTACTGGTTTAAAGTTTGAGACTGCTTCTTTGATATCTCCCTCATAGAGTCTTTACTGTCTGGTTATACTGGCTTGTCTGAGATTAATCTTTAGCTCATTTTTCTTCTACATGTACATACTCTCTCTGACTGATCTTATTCATGCAGTTTCATTTTTACCTGTATGCAAATGATTCCTAACATGAATTGTACAGACTTCTTTCTTGAGCTCCAGATCCACGTATGGCAGAATAAAATGTTTGAATGTGATAGTATTTACAGACTCTTCTCATTCATCAGTCCTCCAAAAATAATCTTGTAATTGCCATCTAATTTCTTTTTTCCTCCTCATATCCTGAAAAGAAGCAATCATTTATTGCTGGAAGAGAGGCTATTTATATATAATAAAATTTAGGGGTTGAAGAAGAGAAAAGAGACATAAAGCTGAGAAAGCTGGGGTAAGAAGAACTGTTCTTTTGTCTTAGGTTTGCAAGAGATTAGAGCTTTAGGGGCCTTGTGGGGTAAAGATAATTGATTAGAGAGAAGAGGGTTTAAATAAGGATTGCTGTAGATTGTATATTGGGATATCCTCTGAAATGTTTCAAGAAATGTGAATAAATTAGTTTTGGCTATTATATAATGATTCTTTAAATCCCAATTCCTTCAGAGGCTGAGCCACATGCCTTCCCTTATCAAGATCTATTATGATTAAACATACAGATATCTAACAGTCAATGAGTTTCTCCATGGGCATCTCAGATACAATGTGTTCAAAATTGAATTTGTCCAAAATGTAACATATGGAAAAACAAACTCAATGGTATATATAGTGGTAAAGAACATAAATTCTAGAAATGAACTCACTGAGTTCGAATTTTATCTACATCACTTAATATCTGAGTGGCCTTGGGAATATTTCTGAAAATATCTATGATTCCACTATATCTGTTAAAGGGGGATTACACAAGTGCCTACCACAGGGGATTGCTAGGATGGTTAAATGGGTTAATATTTGTAAAGCACTTGAAACAGTAGCTGATGCCTAGTAAACAATACCTGTATTAAATGAATAAAATACAAATCTTCACCCTTCCATTCACCTTCACTCTTGTCTTCCTCCAGTGATCACCATTTCAATGAATGAAATCATCATGTACCCAAGAGCCTATATCAGAAAACTAAATATTATTCTTGACCTCTCCTCTCTCATCTCTCACCTTAAATTGGCTGCCAATTATTGTTAATTATGCATTCCTGATACTATCTTCTTCCTTCTAAAACTACATTAACTCATACTTTCTGTGCTAGGCACTAGGAATACAATGATGAAAAGGATGGCAAGCAACATTCTTCTCATATAATCTATGGTTTAAAAAGAAAGACAAGTATTGTACAATTACTTTCAAAATGTCAAGTTTTCTTCTAGATAATATGGCTATAAAGTTGAGTACTTATTTCCTTGAGGAACCCAGTGTATGAGAAATTGATACATAAAGTGAGAATTACAAATTACAGTTTTGTGATCAGTGTTCTATTGGAGAGATTTACAAAAAGCAGTGGGGTCCACACAACCAAGTCTTCCTGAATGGGAAGTTAGGCAGATATTCCCAGAGGGGGTGACTTTTTTGAGTCAGAGAAGAAATAAGGAGTTTATTACATGACAAAGGAAGTAAAGACCATTCTAGGGGTAGGAAATAGTATATGTAAAGACATTCAGTCATGAAAGAGCATTGTTTTAAGAAAATTATGATAGCTTCCATGGGGCTAGAACATAGCAATAGGAGAAGGCCTTGTTAGGAGGAAGAAAGGAATGTTGAGGTTTGATGATGAAGATCGTTCTGACAGGCTAAGGAGTTTGGTCATAATTCTCAGAAACTAGGCTCTACCAGGAGATTCTGAGTGGAAGGATAGCGTGATTCCACCAGAGTGCTTCCATGATAAAACAGGATTAGATAGACATTGCCTTACTCGGTTTGCAAAACTGTAGCATTTCCTAGAAATTTTAATCTGATTAAGTGTTTATAAAATCCCTGAAGCTACTAAATTGGGCCTATGGAACTCATATTATAAACTGCTCAGGTTTTATGAAAAAGAAAATCAGATGGAGGGGCTTCAAGATGGCTGACTAGAGGTATTTTGTACCCACTTCTTCCAGTAAGAAACTAATAGTTAGATAATCACATTTTGAATAGATCATCCAAGAGAGAACACTGGAACTCAACAGAAAAGTGACAGGAAATACCTAAAGTAAAGAAGAAGGAACTGAAGCAGCCTGCTTGGTTAGGATTGGCTGGGAGCTGAGAAAGACTCCTTAATATGGGGAAAGGGTAAGTGAGAGAACCTCAGCGGTCCACATTCCCACCATGGACTCCAGCAAACCTAGCCAGGGGACAGTACATTGACCCTCACAGGCCCTGAAACTAACATAAAGAGCTGCTGGTGGATTGTGCAACAGCACTACTCCAGAAAGGAGCTCACACATTCCTTGAGATATAAGCACCTAGAGAAGGGTGCCATTTTATAGCTCCACCCCCAACAGACTGCTCTGTCCTGGAGCTCAGCAGCACTAGGGCTTAGGCATAAGAGACACGCAGATTGTTGTTCCTAGGGCTGAGGTGTGACTGAGGCACAGAATACTGCCATAAGGGCTGAACCATGAATGTGGCATCAGCTATCACAACAGGGGCTGAGGTGCAAGTATTGCCAGGACTGAGGCATGAGTTGTGCTCACATTCCCCACCCACTGGCAGCCCTGGCCTCCCCAGTGGCGGGGCAGCAGCATGTTTGCTGCTGGACCCCATCTAAGCATTCCAGTAGTTAGCCTGGGGATTACCCTGCCCCTTCCCACCATGGCTGGTACCTGCAAATACCATTGAGGGGCCTAGGGACAAGCCTTCCTGGCCTGGCTTCACCACCCCTGGGTCGGAGCACACAGTCTGGGGATCAGGGAATTGCCCAACCCATTCCATCATCATTGGCACATGAACACTCCTTCCAGGATCTGAAGGTGGACCTAGTCACTCAGTTGTTACTACTTCAGCTGGCATCTACTGGCACACACCATCTATGGGCCTGGAGATTGGCCTGCTTAGCCAATTGCAGCCACCACCATCACCAGCATGCACCACTTGGGAACTAGAGGGTTGACCTCCCACTGCCATTGCCATTGCCCAAATTACATCAGCTGTCAAGGGGCCCACTAACCCACCCATCCACCTAGCCCACCATTGTCACTACTGGCATTTGAGTAAACTCCTTGGAAGCCCAATATTTGGCCTGCTTGGACCCACTAATACCAATACCAGCATATGCTGCCCTGGGGCCCAGGGACATGCACATTCAGCCTACTGCTACTACCACTGAGTCTTGAAGACTGGCTCACTTGGCATCCCAGTCTCCAGCAAAACTTTATCACAACTTGTATTAGTCTGTTCTCATGCTGCTAATAAAGACATACCCAAGACTGGGTAATTTATTAAAAAAAAAAGGTTTTTTTTTTTTTATTATTATACTTTAAGTTTTAGGGTACATGTGGACAATGTGCAGGTTAGTTACATATGTATACATGTGCCATGCTGGTGTGCTGCACCCACTAACTCATCATCTAGCATTAGGTATATCTCCCAATGCTATCCCTCCTCCTTCCCCCCACCCCACAACAGTCCCCAGTGTGTGATGTTCCCCTTCCTGTGTCCATGTGTTCTCATTGTTCAATTCCCACCTATGAGTGAGAATATGTGGTGTTTGGTTTTTGGTTCTTGCGATAGTTTACTGAGAATGATGATTTCCAATTTCATCCATGTCCCTACAAAGGACATGAACTCATCATTTTTTATGGCTGCATAGTATTCTATGCTGTATATAAACCCTAGAAGAAAACCTAGGCATTACCATTCAGGACATAGGCATGGGCAAGGACTTCATGTCTAAAACACAAAAAGCAATGGTAACAAAAGCCAAAATTGACAAATGGGATCTAATTAAACTAAAGAGCTTCTGCACAGCAAAAGAAACTACCATCAGAGTGAACAGGAAACCTACAAAATGGGAGAACATTTTTGCAACCTACTCATCTGACAAAGGGCTAATATCCAGAATCTACAATGAACTCAAACAAATTTACAAGAAAAAAACAAACAACCCCATCAAATGTGGGTGAAGGACATGAACAGACACTTCTCAAAAGAAGACATTTATGCAGCCAAAAAACACATGAAAAAATGCTCACCATCACTGGCCATCAGAGAAATGCAAATCAAAACCACAATGAGATACCATCTCACACCAGTTAGAATGGTGATCATTAAAAAGTCAGGAAACAACAGGTGCTGGAGAGGATGTGGAGAAATAGGAACAGTTTTACACTGTTGGTGGGACTGTAAACTAGTTCAACCATTGTGGAAGTCAGTGTGGCGATTCCTCAGGGATCTAGAACTAGAAATACCATTTGACCCAGCCATCCCATTACTGGGTATATACCCAAAGGACTATAAATCATGCTGCTATAAAGACACATGCACATGTATGTTTATTGCGGCACTGTTCACAATAGCAAAGATTTGGAACCAAAAAAAAGGTTCAATGTACTCACAGTTCAGCAGAGCTGGGGAGGTCTCAGGAAACATACAATCAAGGCGGAAGGGGAAGCAAACACATCGTTCTTCACATGGCAGCAGCAAGGAGATGTGCAGAGCGAAGGGTGGGAAAAGCCCCTTTTAAAACCATCAGATCTCGTGAGAACTCACTATTATGAGAACAGCATGGAGGTAACTGCCCCCATGATTCAATTACCTCCCCCTGGGTCCCTCCCACAACATGTGGGGATTATGAGAGCTACAATTCAAGATGAGATTTGGGTGGGGTTACAGAAAACCATATCCCAGCCTCTACTAATAACTACACCTTAAGCCATGGAGGAAATAAGAAATACCACTGATGCAGTTTACAGCTGAAGAAATCATGCATAGACCACACTACTGTATGCATTCAGGATTACAGTGAAAGTGCCCTACCCAGTCAACACCATGGGTACATTTTCAGGAAAAAGTCCTCCCCTAAAAAAGGAAGTTCAAAAAATTGGAACAAGTGACTATTATATTAGATGCACATATATCAATGCAAGGATACAAGAAACATGAAAAAGCAAGGAAATATGACACCTCCCAAATAATACAATGCATCAGCAACAGATCCTAATCAAAAATAAATTTTATGAAATCTTGGAAAAGGAATTTTAATTATTTATTCTTACTTAGCTCAGTGAGATACAAGAAAATTCTGAAAAAAATACCAAACATCAGAAAAAACAAGAATATAAATCACAAATTTACCAAAGATATATATATATTTAATATATAATATATGTTTTATATATATTTAATATATAATATATATTACACACCGTCTATGGGCCTGGAGATTGGCCTGCTTAGCCAATTGCAGCCACCACCATCACCATAATTTTATACATATTTTATAATATATATAAAATATTATATATAAAATAAAAAGAATCAAACATATATTCTGGAATAAATAATTCATTGACTGAAATACAAAAGACATTTGCAAGCTTCAACAATGGTCTAGAACAAGTAGAAAAATCTCAGAACTTGAAGAAATGTCTTGGAAATAATACAGTCAGACAAAAAAAAAAAAAGAATGAGCAAAGCCTTTTTGAAATGTAGAACGCTGTAAAGTGACCAAATGCTTGTATTATCAAGGACCCAGAAGACAAAGAGAACACGAAAGTGTTAGAAAACCTATTTAACATAATCAGAGATGAAAACTTACCAAGTTGAGCAAGAGATACAGGAGTTTCTGAGACTCCCTAACAGATACAATGCAAAAGGTGTTCTCAATGGCACATTATTGTAAAACCGTCTAAAGTCAAAGACAAGGAGAGAGTTCTAAAAATATCAAGAGAAAAGCATATATTCATAGAGAACCCTCATCAGACTAACAGCAGGTTTTTCATCAGAAACCTTACAGACTAGAAGAAAATGAGATAGTATATTCTAAGTGATGAAAGAAAAAGAACTCTGCCAGTCAAGGATACTATATCCAGTGAAATGATTCTTCATAAACGAAGGAGAAATAAAGTATTTCTCAAACAAGCAAAAGTTGAGGGAATTCATTACTACTATACTGACCCTACAAAAAATGCTCAAGAGGATGTTAAACAAGGAAGCAAAAGGACATTTATCATAATGAAAGCACATGAAGTATAAAACTCACTGGTAAAGCAGACACACAAATGAGGAAGAAAAATGATTCAAATGGTACCAGTACAGAAGATTATCAAATTGCAATGACAAACAATAAGAAAAAAAGAAAGGAACAAGGAATATATAAAATAACCAAAAAGATATTCAACAAAATAACAGAAACAAAATCATGCATATAAATAATAACCTTGAATGTAAATGGATTAAGTTCTCCACTTAAAAGATATATACTGGCTGAGTGGATTATAAAAACCATGATCCAACGATATGCTGTGTAGAAGAAATGCACTGTACCTGTAAATACACATATAAATGGAAAGAAAATGAATAGAAAGCAGATATTTCACATAAATGAAACCAAAAGTGAACATAAATAGCTACACTTAGATAAAACAGACTAAATCAAAAATAGTAAAAAAAAAAAGACAAAGAAGATCATTATATGATAATAATGAGATCAATCCAGCAAGAGGATATAACAATTCTGAATATATTTGCATCCAAAACTGGAGCACCCAGATTCATCAAGCAAATATTACTACATATAAACAGACAGAGAGAGAGGGAGGGAGAGAGAGAGAGAGAGAGAGAGACTCTAATACAATAATAGTGGGGAACTTCATCACCCCAAATGCAGCATTAGACAGATAATCTAGACAGAAAATCAACAAGGAAACATTGGTTTATGCTGGACTTTAGACCAAATGAACCTAACAAACACTTATAAAACATTTTATCCAACACCGCAGATTATATATTCTTTTCATCAGCACATGGAACATTTTCTAGGATAGATTGTATGTTAGGTTACAAGACAAGTCTCAACAAATTTTTAAAAACCGAAATTATATCAAGTATTTCCTCAGACCACAGTGGAATAAAACTAGAAATCGGCCGTGTGTGATGGCTCATCCCTGTAATCCTAACACTTTGGGAGGCTGAGGTGGGTGGATCACCAGAGGTCAGGAGTTCGAGACCAGCGTGGCCAACATGGAGAAGCCCCGTCTCTACTAAAAGTACAAAATTAGCTGGGGATGGTGGCACATGCCTATAATCACAGCAACTCGGGAGGCTGAGGCAGGAAAATTGCTTGAACCCGGGAGACAGAGGGTGCGGTGAGCAGAGATCGCACCATTGCACTCCAGCCTGAGCAACAAGAGTGAAACTCCATCTCCACAAAAAACAAACAAACAAAAAAACCAAAAAAACACAAAAAACAAAAAGTGAAACTAGAAATGAATACCAAGGGACCAAGGGGACTTTAGAAACTATACAGATACACAGATATTAGATAACATGCAAATTGTTAAGCATGACACATCACATCAACAGAAGAAGGGCAAAACTATGTTATCTCAATAGATGCAGAAAAAGCATTTGATAGAATTCAACATCCCTTAATGATAAAAACTCTCAATAAACCCTACATAGAAGGAGCATTCCTCAGAATAATAATGGCCACATGTGACAAACCCACAGTTAACATCATACTGATTGGTAAAAAATTGAAAGCCTTTCCTCTAACAATTGGCAAAAGACAAAAATGCCCACTTTTAACATTCTCATTCAGAATAGTACAGGAAGTCCTAGCCAGAGCAATCAGGCAAGAGAAAAAAAATCAAAGGCATCCAGATTGGAAAAGAAGAAGTCAAACTGTCCCTCTTTGCAGATGACATAATTTTATATTAAAAAATACCAAAGGCTCCACCAAAACATTCTTAGAAGTGATAAACAAATTCAATGAAGTTGCAGGATACAAAATCAACATACAAAAATCACTATTGTTTCTATGCGCCAATATTTAAATAGCTGAAAAAGAAATCAAGAAGGCAATACCATTAACAATAGCTACAAACAAATCTAGGAATAAATTTAACCAAGGAGATGAAAGATCGTTACAGGAAAAACTGCAAAACACCAATGAAAGAAATTGAAAAGGACACAAACAAATGGAAATACATTCCACACTCACCAATCTGAAGAACTAACATCACTAAAATGGACATACTGCCGAAAGCAATCTACAGATTCATTGTAATCTCTATCAAAATACCAATGTTATTTTTCACAGAAATAGAAAAATAACCATACTAAAATTTATTTTGAACCAAAAAAGAGCCCAAAGATCCAAAGTAATTCTGAGTAAAAAGAACAAATCTGGAGGCATTTCATTACATGACTTCAAAATATATTACAAGACTACAGTAAACAAAACAGCATGGTATTGGTGTATAAAATACACATGTAGAATAATGGTGCAAAATAAAGAACTCATAAATAAATCCACATACATGTTTATAGCAAACTGAGTTTTGAAAAGGTGCTATGAACACACACTGGGGAAAGAATACCCTCTTCACTACATGGTGCTGGGAAAATTAGATATCCATAAGTAGAAGAATGAAACTGGACTCCTACTTTTCACCGTATACAAAAATCAAATTAAGATAGATTAAAGACCTAAAAATAAGACCTGAGACTATAAAAAAACTAGGAACATTGGACTTAAGTTGGACTTTAGACCAAATTGACTTAATAGACATTTACAGAACATTCTACATTCTTTTCATCAGCACCTGGGACATTCTCCAAGATAGAACATGTTAGGCCACAAAACAAGTCTTAACAAATTTGTAACAATCAAAATAATGTCAAGAATCTTGTCAGACCACAGTGGAATAAAGCTATGAATCAACACCAAGAAGAATATTGGAAACTATACAAATACAGAAAAATTAAACATCATGGTCTTGAACCATCACTGAGTCAATGAAGAAATTAATATGGAATTTAAAAAAGAAATAAGTGAATGAAAATAAAAACACAATATACCAAAACCTGTAGGATACAGCAAAGGCAGTGCTAAGACGGAAATTTGTAGCATTAAATGCCTGCATCAAAAAGTAGAAAGATAAAAAACAAGAACCCAGCATTGCACTTCAAGGAACTAGAAAAAGAACAAATCAAACCTAAAGATATCAGAACAAAAAAATAATAAAGATTGGAGCAGAATTAAATAAAGTAGAGACAATAAAAAATACAAAGGATCAATGAAATGAAAAGTTGGTTCTTCAAAAAGATAAAATTAGTAAACCACTAGCTAGACTGAGAGAAAAAGAGAGAAGATCCAAGTAAACACAATCAGAAATGAAAACAGTGACATTATAACTGATACTGCAGAAATACAAAAAATTATCAGAGGCTATTATGAACAGCTGTACACTCAGAAACTAGAAAACCTAGAGTAAGTGGATAAATTCCTGGAAATGCACAACCTCTCAAAGATTGAGCCAGGCAGAAAGATAACTCTTGAAATGACAAATAATGTGTAGTGAGATTAAATTGGTAATAAAAAATCTCCCAATAAAAGAAGCCCAAGACCAGATAGACTCATAGCCAATTTTTTTTTGACTGAGTCTTGCTCTGTTGCCCAGGATGGAGTGCAGTGGCACTATCTTGGCTCACTGCAACCTCTGCCTTCCAGGTTCAAGCAATTCTCATGCCTCAGCAACCCTAGTAGCTGGGATTATAGGTATGTGCCACCATGCCTGGCTAATTTTTGTATTTTTAGTAGAGACAGGGTTTCACCATGTTGGCCAGGCTGGTCTCCAACTCCTGGGCTCAAGTGATCCACCTGCCTCTGCCTCCCAAAGTGCTGGAATTACAGGCGTGAGCCACCACACCTGGCTCATAGCTAAATTTTTACCAAACATAAAAAGAAGAACTAACACCCAACCTCCTGAAAATGTTCCAAAAAAATCAAGGAGAAGAGAATTCCCACTAACTCATTCTATAAGGCCAGTATCACTCTGATACCAAAATCAGATAAGGACACAGCAAAGAAAGAAAACTACAAACCAACAACCCTGATGAACATAGAGGCAAAAATCCACAACAAAATACTAGCAAATTCAATTCAATGGCACATTAAAAAGATAATACACCATGACCAGCCAGGATTTATCCCAGGGATGCAAGGATGGTTCAACATACGTGAATCAATAAATACAAACATCACATAAACAAAATTAAGGACAAAAATAATATTATCACCTCAATAGATACAGAAAATGCATTCAATAACATTCAGCATCCCTTCATGATAAAAATTCTCAACAAACTAGACACAGAAGGAACACATGTCAACATAATGAAGGCCATATATGACAATCCCATAACCAACCTTGTACTGAATGCAGAAAAGTTGAAAGAATTCCCTGTAAGAACTGGAACAAGACAGGATGCCCACTTTCACCACTCTCATTTAACATAGTGGTGGAATTCTTTGACAAAGCTATCAGGCAAGAGAAAATAAAAGGCATCCGAATTGAAAAGCAGAAAGTCCAATTATCCCTTTTCACTGATGATATGATATGATTGTATATTTAGAAAAACCTAAAGAATCCACCAAAAACTCTTTGATTTGGTAAATGAATTCAGTAAAGGTTCAGGACACAAAAATTAATATAGAGAAATCCATAGTGTTTCTATATAATGATAAAAATCAGGCTGAGGACAAAATCAAGAAGGCAATCCCATTTACAATAGCTACAAAAAATAGAATGCCTAGGAATATATTTAACCTAGGAAGTGAAAGTTCTCTATAAGGAGAACTACTACAAAACACTGTTGAAAGAAATCATAGATGACACAAATTAATGGAAACACATCCCATGCTCATGGATAAGAAGAATCAATATTTTGAAAATGACCATACTGTTCAAAGCAATCTACAGATTCAATGCAATTCCTATCAAAACACCATCATCATTTTTCACAGAACTAGAAAAATATCCGAAAATTCATATGGAAGCAAAAAATAGCCTGATTAAGCAAAAGAAATCCTAAGCAAAAAGAACAAAGCTTGAGGCATCACATTACCTGTCTTTAAATTATACTACAAGTCTATGGTAACCAAAAGAGCATGATACTGGTATAAAAATAAACACACAGATAAACGGAACAGAGTAGAGAACCTAGAAATAAAGTCATGTACCTACAACCAACAGATCTCTGACAAAGTCAGCAAAAATATGCATTGGGAAGGTGGCATTCTATTCAATGAATGGTTCTGGGAAAACTGGATAGCCATCTGCAGAAGAATGAAACTGGATCCATACCTCTTACTATGCACAAAAATTAACTCAAGATAGATCACAGACCTAAGCATAATATCTGAGACTATTAAAATCCTAGAAGAAAACCTAGGACAAACTTTTCTAGACATTGGCCCAGTCAAAGAGTTTATGACTAAGATCTCAAAAGCACAGAAAAATAAAACAAAAATAGACAAATGAGACTGTTTTCAACTCGAAAGCTTCTGTACAGCAAAAGAAACAATCAACAGAGCAAACAGACAATGTACAGAATGGGAAAAATATTTGCAATCTATGCCCCAACAAAGGGCTAATATCCAGCATTTACATGGATCTCACAGAAGCTAACAAGAAAAAAGACCTAATTAAAAAGTGGACAAAGGGTATGAAAAGACATTTTTCAAAAGAAGACATACAAGTGGCCAGGAAACATATGAAAAAATGCTTAATATCACTAGTCATCACTATAACGCAAATTAAAACCACAACGAGATACTATCTTACACCATTCAGAATGGCTATTAAAATGTCTAAAAACAGAAGGAGGTTCCAAGTTGGCCGAATAGGAACAGTTCAAGTCTGCAGCTCCCAGCATGAGCGATGCAGAAGACAGGTGATTTCTGCATTTCCAACTGAGGTACCAGGTTCATCTCACTGGGGCTTGTCAGACAGTGGATGCAGCCCACGGAGCAGGGTGGGGCATCACCTCACCTGGGAAGTGCAAGGGGTCAGGGAATTCCCTTTCCTAGCAAAGGGAAGATGTGACAGATGGTACCAGGAAAATAAGGAAACTCCCACCCTAATACTGTGCTTTCCCAACAGCCTTAGCAAACAGCACACCAGGAGATTATATCCCTCGCATGGCTCAGAGGGTCCCACACCCACAGAACCTCCCTCACTGCTAGCACAGCAGTCTGAGATCGAACTGAAGGGCTGCAGCGAGGCTGGGGGAGGGGAATCTGCCATTGCTGAGGCTTGCAGAGGTAAACAAAGCCGCCAGGAAGCTCAAACTGGGTGGAGCCCACACAGCTCAAGGAGGCCTGCTTGCCTCTGTAGACTCCACCTCTGGGGGCAGGGCATAGCTGAACAAAAGGCAGCAGAAACTTCTGCCAACTTAAACATCCTTGTCTGACAGCTTTGAAGAGAGTAGTGGTTCTCCCAGCATGGAGTTTGAGATCTGAGAACGGATAGACTGCCTCCTCAAGTGGGTTCCTGACCCCTGAGTAGCCTAACTGGGAGACACCTCGCAGAAGGGGCCAACTGACACCTCATACAGCCAGGTGCCCCTCTGAGACGAAGCTTCCAGAGGAAGGATCAGGCAGGAACATCTACTGTTCTGCAATATTTGCTGTTCTGCAGCCTCTGCTGGTGATACCCAGGTAAACAGAGTCTGGAGTGGACCTCCAACAAACTCCAACAGATCTGCAGCTGAGGGTCCTGACTGTTAGAAGGAAAACTAACAAACATAAAGGACATCCACACCAAAACCCCGTCTGTATGTCACCATCATCAAAGACCAAAGGTAGATAAAACCACAAAGATGGGGAGAAACCAGAGCATAAATGCTGAAAATTCTAAAAATCAGAGTGCCTCTTCTCCTTCAAAGGAACGCAACTCCTCACCAGCAATGGAACAAAGCTGGACAGAGAATGACTTTGACGAGTTGAGAGAAGAAGGCTTCAGACAATCAAATGGACGAGTTGAGAGAAGAAGGCTTCAGACGATCAAGCTTCTCCGAACTAAAGGAGGATGTTCGAACCCATTTCAAAGAAGGTAAAAACCTTGAAAAAAGGATAGACGAATGGCTAACTAGAATAAACAGTGTAGAGAAGTCCTTAAATGACCTGATAGAGCTGAAAACCATGGCATGAGAACTTCGTGACGCATGCACAAGCTTAAGCAGGTGATTCGATCAACTGGAAGAAAGGGTATCATTGACTGAAGATCAGATGAAAGAAATGAAGTGAGAAGAGAAGTTTAGAGAAAAAAGAGTAAAAAGAAATGAACAAAGCCTCCTAGAAATATGGGACTATGTGAAAAGACCAAATCTACGTCTGATTGGTGTACCTGAAAGTGATGGGGAGGATGGGACCAAATTGGAAAACACTCTTCAGGATATTATCTAGGAGAACTTCCCCAACCTAGCAAGGCAGGCCAACATTCAAATTCAGGAAATACAGAGAATGCCACAAAGATACTTCTCCAGAAGAGCAACTCCAAGACACATAATTGTCAGATTCACCAAAGTTGAAATGAAGGAAAAAATGTTAAGGGCAGCCAGAGAGAAAGGTTGGGTTACCCACAAAGGGAAGCCCATCAGACTAACAGCTGATCTCTCAGCAGAAACTCCACAAGCCAGAAGAGAGTGGGGGCCAATATTCAACATTCTTAAAGAAAAGAATTTTCAACCCAGAATTTCATATCCAGCCAAACCAAGCTTCATAAGTGAAGGAGAAATAAAATCCCTTACAGACAAACAAATGCCAAGAGATTTTGTCACACTAGGCCTGCCTTACAAGAGCTCCTGAAGGAAGCACTAAACATGGAAAGGGACAACCGGTACCAGCCACTGCAAAAACATGCCAAATTGTAAAGACCATTGATGCTAGGAAGAAACTGCATCAACTAACGAGCAAAATAACCAGCTAACATCATAATGACAGGATCAAATCACACATAACAATATTAACCTTAAATGTAAATGGGCTAAATGCTCCAATTAAAAGACACAGACTGGCAAATTGGATAAAGAGTCAAGACCCATCAGTGTGCTGTATTCAGGAGACCCATCTCATGTGCAGAGACACACATAGGCTCAAAATAAAGGGATGGAGGAAGATCTACCAAGCAAATGGAAAACCAAAAAAAAAAAGCAGGGGTTGCAATCCTAGTCTCTGATAAAACAGACTTTAAACCAACAAAGATCAAAAGAGACAAGGCCATTACATAACGGTAAAGGGATGAATTCAACAAGAAGAGCTAACTATCCTAAATATATATGCACCCAATACAGGAGCACCCAGACTCATAAGGCAAGTCCTCAGAGACCTACAAAGAGACTTAGACTCCCACACAATAATAATGGGAGACTTTAACACTCCACTGTCAACATTAGACAGATCAACAAGACAGAAAGTTAACAAGGATATCCAGGAATTGAACTCAGCTCTGCACCAAGTGGACCTAATAGACATCTACAGAACTCTCCACCCCAAATCAACAGAATATAAATTCTTCTCAGCACCACACTGCACTTATTCCAAAATTGACCACATAGTTGGAAGTAAAGCACTCCTCAGCAAATGCAAAAGAAGAGAAATTATAACAAACTATCTCTCAGACCACAGTGCAATCAAACTAGAACTCAGGAGTAAGAAACTCACTCAAAACTGCTCAACTACATGGAAACTGAACAACCTGCTCCTGAGTGACAACTCGGTACATAACGAAATGAAGGCAGAAATAAAGGTGTTCTTTGAAACCAATGAGAACAAAGACACAACACACCAAAATCTCTGGGACACATTTAAAGCAGTGTGTAGAGGGAAATTTAGAGCACTAAATGCCCACACCAAAAGCAGGAAAGATCTAAAATTGACACCCTAACATCACACTTAAAAGAACTAGAGAAGCAAGAGCAAACACATTCAAAAGCTAGCAGAAGGCAAGAAATAACTCAGATTACAGCAGAACTGAAGGAGATAGAGACACAAAAAACCCTTCAAAAAATCAATGAATCCAGGAGCTGATTTTTTGAAACGATCAACAAAATTGATTGACCACTAGCAAGAGTAACAAAGAAGAAAAGAGAGAAGAATCAAATAGACGCAATAAAAAATGACAAAGGGGATATCACCACTGATCCCACAGAAATACAAACTACCATCAGAGAACACTATAAACACCTCTATGTAAATAAATTAGAAAATCTAGAAGAAATGGATAAATTCCTGGACACATACACCCTCCCAAGACTAAACCAGGAAGAAGTTGAATCTCTGAATAGACCAATAACAGATTCTGAAATTGAGGCAATAATTAATAGCCTACCAAACAAAAAGAGTCCATAACCTGACTGACTCACAGCCATATTCTACCAGAGGTACAAAGAGGAGCTGGTACCATTCCTTCTGAAACTATTCCAATAAATAGAAAAGGAGGGAATCCTCCCTAATTCATTTTATGAGGCCAACGTTATCCTGATACCAAGGTCTGTTAAAGACACAATGAAAAAAGAGAATTTTAGACCAATAACCCTGATGAACAACGATGCAAAAAACCTCAATAAAATACTGGCAAACCGAATCCAGCAGCACATCAAAAAGCTTATCCACCACGATCAAGTTGGCTTCATCCCTGGGATGCAAGGCTGGTTCAACATATGCAAATCAATAAATGTAATCCAGCATATAAACAGAACCAAAGACAAAAACCACATGATTATCTCAATAGATGCAGAAAAGCCCTTCAACAAAATTCAACAGCCCTTCATGCTAAAAACTCTCAATAAACTAGGTATTGATGGGTCATGTCTCAAAATAATAAGAGCTATTTATGACAAACCCACAGCCAATATTATACTGAAAGGGCAAAAACTGGAAGCATTCCCTTTGAAAACTGGCACAAGACAGGGGTTCCCTCTCTCACCACTCCTATTTAACATAGTGTTGGAAGTTCTGGCCAGGGCAATTAGGCAGGAGAAAGAAATAAAGGGTATTCAATTAGGAAAAGAGGAAGTCAAATTGTCCCTGTTTGCAGATGACATGATTGTATATTTAGAAAACCCCATCATCTCAGCCCAAAATCTCCTTAAGCTGATAAGCAACTTCAGCAAAGTCTCAGGATACAAAATCAATGTGCAAAAATCACAAGCATTCCTATACAGCAAGAACAGACAGAGAGCCAAATCATGAGTGAACTCCCATTAACAATTACTACAAAGAGAATAAAATACCTAGGAATCCAACTTACAAGGGATGTGAAGGACCTCTTCAAGGAGAACTACAAACCCCTGCTCAATGAAATAAAAGAGGATACAAACAAGTGGAATTACATTCCATGCTCATGGGTAGGAAGAATCAATATTGTGAAAATGGCCGTACTGTCCAAGGTAATTTATAGATTCAATGCCATCCCCATCAAGCTACCAATGACTTTCTTCACAGAATTGGAAAAAACTACTGTAAAGTTCATATGGAACCAAAAAAGAGCCCGCATGGCCAAGACAATCCTAATCCAAAAGAACAAAGCTGGAGGCATCATGCTACCTGACTTCAAACTATACTACAAGGCTACAGTAACCAAAGCAGCATGGTACTGGTACCAAAACAGAGATATAGACCAATGGAACAGAATAGAGCCCCCAGAAATAATACCACACATCTACAACCATCTGATCTTTGACAAACCTGACAAAAACAAGAAATGGGGAAATGATTCCCTATTTAATAAATGATGCTGGGAAAACTGGCTAGCCATATGAAGAAAGTTGAAACTGGATCCCTTACTTACACCTTATACCTAAATTAATTCAAGATGGATTAAAGACTTAAATGTTAGACCTAAAACCATAAAAACCCTAGAAGAAAACCTAGGCAATACCATTCAGTACATAGGCATGGGCAAGGACTTCATGACTAAAACACCAAAAGCAATGGCAACACAAGTCAAAACCGACAAATGGGATCTAATTAAACTACAGAGCTTCTGCACAGCAAAAGAAACTCTCATCAGAGTGAACAGGCAACCTACAGAATGGGAGAAAATTTTTACAATCTACCCATCTGACAAAGGGCTAATATCCAGAATCTATAAATAACTTAAACAAATTTACAAGAAAAAATCAAACAACCCCATCAAAAAGTGGGCGAAGGATATGAACAGACACTTCTCAAAAGAAGACATTTATGCAGCCAACAGACACATGTAAAAATGCTCATCATCACTGGACATCAGAGAAATGCAAATCAAAACCACAATGAGATACCATCTCGCATCGTTAGAATGGTGATCATTAAAAAGTCAGGAGACAACATGTGCTGGAGAGGATGTGGAGAAATAGGAACACTTTTACACTGTTGGTGGGAATGTTAACTAGTTCGACCATTGTGGAAGACAGTGTGGCGATTCCTCAAGGATCTAGAACTAGAATTACCATTTGACTCAGGCATCCCATTACTGGGCATATACCCAAAGCAATATAAATCATGCTGCTATAAAGACACATGCACATGTATGTTTATTGTGGCACTATTCACAATAGCAAAGACTTGGAACCAACCCAAATGTCCAACAATGATAGACTGGATTAAGAAAATGTGGCACATATACACCATGGAATACTATGCAGCCATGAAAAAGGATGAGTTCATGTCCTTTGTAGGACATGCATGAAGCTGCAAACCATCATTCTCAGCAAACTATCACAAGGACAGAAAACCAAACACCGCATGTTCTCACTCATAGGTGGGAATTGAACAATGAGAACACTTGGACACAGGGTGGGGAACATCACACACCAGGGCCCGTCGTGTGGTGGGGGATGGGGTAGGGATAGCATTAGGAGATATACCTATTATAATGACAAGTTAACGGGTGCAGCATACCAATATGGCACATGCATACATATGTAGCAAACCTGCACGTTGTGTACATGTACCCTACAACTTAAAGTATAATAAAAAATTTTTAAAAAGTTAAGGGTAATGAAAATGCAACCATTTAACGTTTTAAAAAATATGAGTTTTACATGATTAAAAAAATGTCTAAAAACAACAGATGTTGGTGAGGAAGCAAAGAAAAGAGGGGCAGTTATACATTGTTGGTGGGAATGTAAATTAGTACAACCTTTATGGAAAACAGTATGGAGATTTCTCAAATAATTACAAAAAGAACTACCATTCAACCCATCAATCCCCCTACTGAGTATTTATACAAAGGAAAATAAATCAGTATATCAAAGAGACCTACACTAACGTGTGTTGCAGCACTGTTCACCATAGGAAAGTTATGGAATCAACCTAAATGTCCATCAGTGGATGAATGGATAAAGAAAATGTGACATATGTACACAACAGAATGCTACTCAGCAATAAAAATGAATGAAACCATATCTTTTGTAGCATCATGGATGGAACTGGAGGCCATTATCCTCAGTGAAATAATAGAAACAGAAAGTCAAATATTGCATATTCTCACCTGTAAGTGGGAGCTAAACAATGGGTACACATAGGCATACAGAGTAGATTAATAAACATTGGAGACTACAAAAGGTGGCAGGCTGGGAGGGAGTGGGGGTTTAAAAATTACCTGTTGGGTACAATGTTTACCATTCTGGTGAAATTAGCTACTACATAATATATGCGTGTAAGAAATCTGCACTTATATCCCCTAAATGTATATTTTTAAAAATTAAATAAAGATAGAATAAAATGTAAATTGGATCATAAATTTCCCAGCTTAAATTTTTCATTGCTTTTCTAGTTACTTTTCTTTTTAAATATTTTATTTTGGAGAATTTTTTAAAATATCAAAAAATCCCAGACAAGTTACAAAAACAGTAAAATGAATTTCTGTATAACCTTTGTCTGTATTGACGGTTATTCTCTTTTGTTTTAAATTTTATATGTTTTTTATATATTTAAGGTGTACAACATGATATTTTATTATATATGCATACATGATATTTAGTATATACTTAGTGAAATGGTTACTATAGTCAAGCAAATGAACATATCCATCACCTCACAAAATTACTCATTTTGTTTATGGTAAGATCACCTAAAATCTAACTTTTAAGCAACAATCCAGAATATTTTTAAGGTAAAGTTCAAAATCCTTCACCTACTCATTCCTGGGTGATTGACCCAGGAACCTCTGCAGAATCATTTTGCTCCTATTTTTACATTTCTATGATTGAGTAATATTGATGTTTTGAAGCAGTTTTATTGAGATATAATAAAGTATATTAATATATTCACAAAGTTGTGCAACCATCACCACAATCTAGTTTTAGAATATTTTCATTAACCCAGAAAGAACCTCTTTATGTGTTAACAGCCACTCCCATTCTTGCTCCACTCTCCAGCTCTAGGCAACCTAAATATTCTTTGAGGCATCCATAAGAGCTTCTTTCTCTTTACTGGGCTATTTCCTATTTACCTTTGAGATCTAACTACAAATGTCACTTCCTCAGGGGAAATTTCTATTTCCTGTATGTACTATGTCAAATCTTCCTGTTATATTCTCTGTTAGCATCTTGAACTTGTAGCACTTAAAACAATTATAATTTAGTAATTACTGTCTTATTTATTTATTTTTATTTTTTGAAATGGAGTCTCCATCTGTTGCCCAGGCTGGAGTGCAATGACGCGATCTCGGCTCAGTGCAACCTCCGCTTCCCAGGTTCAAGCGATTCTCCTGCTTCGGCCTCCAGAATAGCTGGGATTACAGGCACCCACTACCACACCCAGCTAATGTTTTGCATTTTTTCAGTAGAGACGGGGTTTCACCATGTTGGCCAGACTGGTCTCCAACTCTTGACTTCAAGTGATCCTCCTGCCTCGGTCTACCAAAGTGCTGGGATTACAGGCATGAGCCACAGTGCCTGGCCTAAATTTTAAATCAAAATCTGTCTTCTCCACAAGATTATAACCTTCATGGGAACTTTTGTTTACCAATGATTGTTTAGTGCTTAGCACAATACCTGGGGTGGAGTAGGTGTTCAGTCAATAGATCTTTATTGTATTACTAAATAAAAGTTTTAGATATTTGTTGAATGAATGAATACACAAATGAAAGAAGGAACTGTTGAAATAAATAGTCATCCTGAGTACATTCTATGTGGTTTCTCTATGTTCACTCTGAACTGAAGTCAAAACTGGAAGCATTCTTCTAAGTGACGAAAGCATCCCCTCTGGCAAACCCATGTAAGCTCCTAAGACCACTTCAAAAAGTAGCTCATATGACTATGCATTTTGCAGACACCACCTTATTTCTTGATTTTCTGGTAAACAAATAGCAAAAAGTTATTCTGAGCTTCCCGAGATGAAATTGCATTTCAGAGTTCTTTCATCAATTTTCACCTAATTAAACCTCCACACATAGTCTGCAAGCGCCATGGTAACCAGCAGCCTTTAGAGACCCCAGCCAAACCTGTGGCCTGTTATATGATCACTTGGCCATGCCCATGAATAGATATAAGAGCCTCACAAACCCCATCTTCTCTGCTACTCTCAGAACCAAATTATTCCACCTGGTTTTACGGTGACTAAACCCAAACAGCAATTTTTCCAGCTTAACAGAACTCAGAGAAAGGTTTATGATTTGCTATGACCTTTTCCCACTTTTTTAACTTTGCAAAATTTTGTGTTTCTTGCATTTCCAACATTTTCCCCTGTAACTTCCTGGTTTAAAGAAGAAAAAGAAACAAACCATTCCTTTTCCAGTGCCTGGCAGGGAGGGGTTGAAACCATTGGAAAGAGAAAATGGATGAAATTGCAGGAGAGAAAATTTACGATAAGCCTCACACAAAGCTTCCTGGCAGAACTCTATTAGCTATGGAATTGGAAAATGTTGGAAGTACTATCCCTAGAGATAGTGGCTAAGGTCTACGGATGAAAAAGGAGATGTAAGTACTATTCAAAACAAACCCATTTAGATAGCCATTAACCCATTTGCTTCACAGGATCTTTTGATCTCAAATGTATAAATATTCTATAACATCATCAGGAAAATTGAGTTTAGTACTTTAGATTCAAGTTGCCCACCTTACAAAGAGTGTCTATGACTCACTAGGTACTCAAAATATCTGCTTTGTAATAAAACTTCTCCCAGGAGCCCCAGAGTTTTGTAATGTTAGAACTGGAAAGATCTACCTTAAAGTGTCTAATCTACCCTCTCATTTTCTAGATGGGAAACTGAGGCCTAGAAAAACGAAGGGATTTTCTCAATGGAGCACAGACAACTGGTAGAACCTAACCCAATGCCCTGCACTTCAGTCCCCTTTTCTCTATGTGCTGACTTATTAAATTAAGCCGTGTCCACATGGGCACATATTAGTTCAATTTAATGAGAACATTTTCTTCCTATTTGTTAGATTTAGAAAAACTGAAGCTACTGTGAAAAAACAAACATTTAAACAGGAAAGAGACCAATCTTGAAACGCTTCCTTTATAAAAAAAAAAAACCCTTTTTCCTTTATTCCAAGGCCCTAAGAACATTTGATTGCTGAGTGTTTTTTAACCCAGTCTTGCTTTGCTTTATTTCAGCCTTGATTGCATTCTCGTTCTCTCTCCGGCAGCCACTTCTTAACTGCTACCATTTTGTAAGCTTCCCTGCTGCTCTAAGACTGTCACTGCAACTGATTAATTTCATTAGCACAATGATGCACTTAAGAAAGACTAACTTTCATCTCTTTTGTTTTGTGATCCGGAGTACACATCACCGACAGAATATTTGCAGCAGGAGATAGCCACTTAGATGCCAGATAGGAATAGAAAAATGGAAGCATCTTTTATTGTATTTCTTTAAGTAAAATGTTCAAGACCTCCTGGGTCCTCAAGGAACCCAGCTAAGGTGTTCACCTACACAATCAGAATCCTATTGTTTTGCAAATGTTTTGCTTATCCTGGCACTTGGGAAAATGGCTTCCAATCTATTATTTTTCAAGTGGAGAGGAGAAAGAAAGGGAACTAACATTTATTTAACATCCGCTCGGTGCCAGGCACTGTCCTGGTAGACATGTTTCATCAAATTAAGTACAGCTTCTTAGGAGCCTTTTAACTAGGATACATAATTCCCTGAAATCATGTGGCTGCTCTGATCCCTGGTTACTACCCATACAAGTTAAGAAACTCAACTACAAGATGAGCAAGGGAAATGAGAGGAAAACCCAAGATTTAAGAATGAGAACATTAATACAGAACCCATCCCCTAATTAAAATAGACGTAAGATAAAAATTTATTATTACTTTCTGAAAAGTTTGCAGACTTTTCATAGATATGTTATAGCAGAAAACACACTGTACCAGACGACCTGAGTTCTAGTCACAGTTCTGCCACTCACTGGCTTAGTGATGTTGGGTAAGGCTCTTTCTCTCTATGGAGCTGAATTTCAACATTTAAAAAGCTATGCCTTGTAGAGTCCTTTTATGAGTCAAAGGGAAGAAGCTGTTGGAGTTATGACTGGGAAAAGGACTAAGGTGGCAGTTTTCTGAGCTTGCTATCCTGTCTTAAATCAAGGCATGTTTTTTGTGTTTCTTTTAGATAGTGGGGTTCCAAGATATATCTTATGTTAACAAAGGCTTATATAACTACAAAAGTTTGAAAACCATTTGATTAAATGATGTCTAAAATCTTCCCAACTCTGGGTCCTGTGAGTCTGATTCTTTTTTTTTTTTTTTTTTTTTTTTTTTTGACAGAGTCTTGCTCTGTCACCCAGGCTGGAGTGCAGTGGCCCAGTCTTGGCTCACTGCAACCTCGGCCTCTTGGGTTCAAGCAATTCTTGTGCCTCAGCCTCCTGAGTAGCTGGGATTACAGGCGTGCACCACCATCCCTGGCTAATTTTTGTATTTTTAGTAGAGACGGGGTTTCACCATGTTGGCCAGGCTGGTCCTGAACTCCTAACCTCAAGTGATCCACCCGCCTTGCTCCCCCATAGTGCTGGAATTACAAGCATGAGCCACTGTGCCTGGCCAGGTCTATGATTCTTGAAAATTTGATTGCTGAGTCCTGGGCTACAAAAGCGAGCTGAGATTCTACGATATTTCCTTTCATTTTCAACTCCATTATTTTCACTGTTCTACTACTGGAGTCTTATTTTAAATACACTTGCCTTGCCACTATTCATTTTATAAAGGCACATCTTCAAGTAATTTTGTTTATTTCTCTCTTGAGAGAGGAGGAAAAGAAAACAACACCCTGTTTTCCTGATGAATAATCACATGGTTTGGAGGAAGCTATATATTTCTTAGAGATGGAACAAAAATCCAGCCATTGCTGAAGATGTTTGGGAAGAGGCAGTTTTCCCAGACAGTAAGCCCTTGGGTGAGGGAACAGACTGTTATATACGGATGAACCAATGAAGTGCCAAATTCAGGGCCTCCTTGACAATTCATGACTATGTGAATCCTGTGTATCACTCTAAGATATCTTTCATAGTTTACTGTAGAACAGGCCAGGGAAGAGAGAGTCTCATTTAGTATTATGATCATCAGCCAAATTTAACCAAAAGAATATGGGCCTGGAATGTGTTTGCTCAAAAACTTCTAGATTTTTCTAGTCACTCCAGACCCAGAATGCTCTAGTCAGGCAACATTCCTAATAGTCTAAGGTGCTTCTCTTTTGGTAAGAAAAACCAGTTACCAGTCCTGGTGCTTTTCCATGAAAACTGAGTGCAAAATTATTTTAAGGAAAAAAGAAAAACAACTTTTGAAAGTTGGGTTTTGGTGTCTCTTTTCCCAGTCCTAAAGAGATGCAATACATATCAGAGTGGTTCTTTCTTGTTCCTCTGGATATCAGGTGGATTTTAGTACTATAGAAACATAGTACTATAGAAACAGGAATAACTTAACCAGAAAGATTACAATGGATTTCTTCAAGTTAACAACTTTTTTTTTTTTTTGATGGAGTCTCACTCTGTCACTCAGGCTGGAGTGCAGTGGCGTGATCTCAGCTCACTGCAACCTCTGCCTCCCGGGTTCAAGCGACTCTCCTGCCTCAGCCTCCTGAGCAGCTGGTATTACAGGTGTGTGCCACCACGCCTGGCTAATTTTTGTATTTTTAGTAGAGACGGGGTTTTACCATGTTGGTCAGGCTGGTCTGAAACTCCTGACCTCGTGATCCACCCGCCTCAGCCTCCCAAAGTGCGGGGATTACAGGTTTGAACCACCAAGCCCAGCAACTTTAGCTTTTAAAGCCTTTTTAATTTAATATATTTTAAGAAACAATCTTCTCTGTTATAAAACAGTACAGTAACATCTACACTAAATACAGTCTCGAGATAAAAGGAAAATGTCACTTATCCCTCCCTTTTCACAGATTGATTTTTGCTTTGTGCAATGTCTTTCAATTGATATATACAAACATTTTTATAGTTGTTTCAAGCAGAGTATGGATATGGCTTTTTTTATGCTGTTATATTCATTCCACATTATCACATGTATACATTCTCTTGTTCCTCTAGTGTCCTTGTTTAATGTATACAACTTGATGGATTTTGAGGATATACACTTACAAAACCACCACCATCATCAAGACCATAAACAAATTCATCACCGTCCAAAGTTTTCCTCCACCTGCTAAGGGGGCATTTAAGATGTTTCCATATTGTGGCTATTGTGAATAATGCTGCCATGAACATGTTAGTGCAGGTATCTCTTTGATATTCTGATTTTAATCCCAAAAGTGAGATTGCTGGATCATATGGTAGTTTTATTTTAGTTTATTTGAGGAAACTCCATATTTTTTTCCATAAAGCCTGTACCAATTTACATTTTCTTCAGGAAGGTGCAAGATTTCCCCTTCCTTCATATTTTTGCTAACACAGTATCTTTCATCTTTTTAATAACAACCATCCTAACAAGTATGAGATGATATCTCATTGTGGTTTTTATTTGCATTTCCCTGTTAGTGATGTTGAACATTTTTTCATATACCTGTCTGCCATTTGTATGTTTTCTTTTGAGAAATGTCTATTCAGGTCTTTTACTCATTTTTAAATTAGGTTATTTTTTTTCTTGCTGTTGAGTTGTTGAGTTCCTTAAATATTTTGGATATTAGCCTCTTATCAGATGCATGGTTCACAAATTATTCTCCCATTCTGTACGTTACCTCTTCAATCTTTTGATTATTTTCCTTTGCTGTACAAGAGCTATTCAGCTTGATGCAATCTTACTTGACTATTTTTGGTTCTGTAGCCTGTGCTTTTGAGGTTATAGTCAAGAAATGATTGCCCAGACCAATGTCGTGGAGATTTCTGGGGGAATACTTTCTTTTCTGCCAGACTTTCCTTACTGAACAATTACATGGTTTTTTTTTGTTTGTTTTGTTTTTGCCACTCCCCAGCCCTGTTATCTTGTAAACTACTTTACAGTTAATAAACAACATATACTTTATAAACTTTATATTTTATAAATCCAACAATTCCACTCCTAGAAAATTAAAAACATGTTTACACAAAAACTTGTACATTAGCAGAACTTTTAATAGATAAAAACTGGGAAAAATAAATGTTAATCAACTTATGAATGATTAAACAAAATACGGCATTTTCATTTAGGTATATTCATTCATTCATTCATTCATTCATTCATTCAGTGAATAGACCTGATATTCATTTAGTGAATATACCTGAAAGAAATATACTGCAAAGAATATACCAAAAAGAAATAAAGTGCTGATATATAATAAAATATGGACAAACTTTGAAGATATTATGCTAAGTGAAAGAAGTAAGACACAAAAAGCCACATTTTGCATGACTCCACTTCTATGAAATGTTTAGTATAAGCAAATCATAGAGACAAAAAGTGTATTAGTGGTTGCTAGAGTCAAGAGGAAGGAAAGAATTGAAAATGGTAAAGAACTACTAATGTATATGGAGCGTCTTTCTGGAGTGACAAATTTTCTGCAATTAGATAGTGTTGATGTTGTCATAACTTTGTGAATAGACTAAAAACTACTGAACTGTATAATTTAAATGGTGAATTTATGTTATGCAGATAATATCTCAACTTTTTTAAAGTATAAGAAAAAAGTTCATTTCTTTTCTGTATATACTCTGAAGTAAGATTGCTGGATTATATGGTAGTTCTGTTTTTAATTTTTTTTTATTATTATACTTTAAGTTTTAGGGTACATGTGCACAATGTGCAGGTTTGTTACATATGTATACATGTGCCATGTTGGTGTACTGCACCCATTAATTTGTCATTTAGCATTTTTGAAGACACTTCATACTATGTTCCATAATGGCTGTACTAATTTACATTCTCACCAACAATATGCAAAGGTTCCCTTTTCTCCCCATCTTCTCCAAAACTTATGTTTTGTCTTTTTGATAGTAGACATCTTAACAAGTGTGAGGTGATATCTGATTTAGGTTTTAATTTGAATTTCCTTGACTATTAGTGATGTTAGAGCATTTTTTCATATACCTGCTGGCCATTTTTATATCTTCTTTTGAAGAATGTCTATTCAGGTACTTTGGCCATTTTTCAGTTGGGTTATTTACTTTCTTACTGTTGATTTGTTTGAGTCCCTTGTAGATTTTGAATATCAAGTCCTTATCAGGCATTTGGTTTGTGCATATTTCCTCCCATTCTGTAATTATCTCTTGACTCTGTTGATTGTTTCCTTGCTGTGAAGAATCTTTTTAGTTTGATGCAATCCTACTTCTTTATTTTTGCTTCTGTTGCTTGTGTTTTTGTTGCCATATCAAAAAAGTTATTGCCAAGACCAATGTCATGGAGTTTTTTTCCCTGTTATTTACTTTTTCCTGAGAGTTTTATGGCTTCAGGGCCTTTGTTTTAAGTGTTTAATCCATTTTGAGTTGATTTTTGTATCTGGTGTAAGATAAGGGTCAATTTCATTTTCAGCATTTGCATATCCTGTTTACTGAAATCATTTATTAAGGAGACCATTAGTTGGCCCTATATTTGTGGGTTTACTTCTGTACTCTCAATTCTGTTTCATTTGTTAATGTGTCTGTTGTTTTGTTGGTTGGTTTTGATTTTTTTTTGTTTTTTGCCTGTACTATACTGTGTTGATTACTATAGTTTTGTAATACAATTTGAAATCAGGAAATACAATGACTACAACTTTGTTATTCTTGCTCATAAATGCTTTGGCAGAGATGAATATGTGGATGCTTAAAGGAAGGTGAACAGGAATTCATCCATGTGCTGGGAGGGTGGCACACACCGACTCTACAGGGATAGAAGCTCCAGACCATTCCAGGCCTTCCTCTATGCATTTCTTTATCTGGCTTGTTATTTGTATCCTATGTATAAATTATTACATGTGCCATGAAAATATGTACATCTATTATGTATCAATAAAAAATAAAATTAAAAGAAAAAATTCTTTGGCTATTCAGAATCTTTTGTGGTTTCATATGAATTTTAAGTCTATTTCTGAGAAAAATGTCATTGGGATTTTGATAGAGATTGCATTGAATCTGTAGATTATTTGTGTGGTATAGACATTTTAACAATATTAAGACTTTCAATCAATGAACACAGGATCTCTTTCAGTTTATTTGTTTATTCTTCAATTTCTATCATGAATGTGCTATACTTTTCAGTATACTTTTCTTTCATCAGCTAACTTTGGGCTTAGTTTGTTCTTCTTTTTCTACTTCCTTTAGGTATAAAGTGAGGTTGTTTTATTTTTCTAAATGTTGACATGTATCACCATTAATTTCCTTTTCAGAACTTTTACTGAATGCCATAAGTTTTGTTATGTTGTGTTTTCATTTTCCCTTGTCTCAAAATATTTATTATTTCCCTTTTGATTTCTTCTTTCACTCATTGTTTGTTCAGGCTTATTTTTCTCCTATTTGTGAGGTTTTTTTTTAACTTACCTCTATTAATTTCCAATTTTATAGCATTGCGGTCAAGAGGGATACTTGATATGATTCAGTCTTCTTAAACATGCTAATACATGTTTTGTGGCCTAACATATAATCTGTTCTGAAGAATGCTCCATGTGTACTTGAGAAGAATATGCATTCTACTGTTATTGGATGGAAAGTTCTGTATATGAATATTAGGTTCATTTTGTTTATTGTGTTGTTCAAGTCTGCTGTTTCGTTATTGATTTTCTGTCTGTGTGATCTATTCATTGTTGAAAGTGGGATATTTAAGATCTCTAATATTGTTGTATTACTATCTATTTCTCCCTTTAGTTTGGTTAATATTTCATTTCTCTCTCCATATGTGGAAAGTTTTCTGTTATTATTTTTATTTTATTTTATTCTATTTTTAATTTTTGTGGGTACACAGTAGGTATATATATCTATGGGGTACATGAGATGCTTTGATATAAGCATGCAATATAAAATAAGTATATCATGGAGAAAGGGGTATCTATCCCCTCAAGCATTTATCTTTTGAGTTACAGACAATCTAATTACACTCTTTTAGTTATTTAAAAATATGCAATTAAGTTATTATTGACTACAGTAACCCTGTTGTGCTATCAAATAGTAGGTCTTATTCATTCTTTCTATGTTTCCTGTACCCATTAACCATCTGCACCTCCCCCTTCCACCTTCCAACTACCCTTCCCAGCCTCTAGTAACCATTCTTCTACTCTATGTCCATGAGTTCAATTGTTTTGAATTTTAGATCCCACAAATAAGTAAGAAGATGTGATGTTTGTCTTTCGGTGCCTGGCTTATTTCACTTAACATAATAATCTCCAGTTCCATCTATGCTGTTGCAAATGACAGGTTCTCATTCTGTTTTAATGGCTGAATAGTACTCCATTGTGTACAGGTACCACATTTTCTTTATCCATTCCTCTGTTGATGGACACTTAGGTTGCTTCTAAATATTAACTATTGTAAACAGTACTGCAATAAGCATGGAAGTGCAGTTATCTCTTTGGTATATTAATTCCCTTTCTTTTTGGTATATGCCCAGCAGTGGGATTGCTGGATCATATGGTAACTCAATTTTTAGTTTTTGTAGGAACCTCCAAACTGTTCTCCATAGCGATTGTACTAATGTACATTTCCACCAACAGAGTATGAAGGGTCCCATTTTTCCATATCCTTGCCAGCATTTGTTATTGCTCATCTTTGAATATTAAAAGCCATTTTAACTGGGATGAAATGATACTTCATTGTAATTGTGATTTGCATTTCTCTGATGATCAATGATGTTGAATACCTTTCCGTATGCCTGTCTGGCATTTGTATGACTGCTTTCAAGAAATGTCTATTCAATTTTTTTGCCCATTTATTGATCAGATTATTTGATTTTTTCCTATAGAGTTTTGGATTTCTTCCTGGTTCAATCTTGGTAGGCTGGATAAATCTAGTAATTTGTCCATTTCTTCTAGATTTTCCACTTTATTGGCATAAAGTTGCTCATAGTAGCCACTAGTGTTCCTCTGAATTTTTGCAGTATCAGTTATAATGTTTTCTTTTTTGTTTCTGATTTTTATGTATTTGTATCTTCTTTCTTTTTTCTTAGAAGTCTGGCTAATGATTTGTCTATTTTGTTAAACTTTCCAAAAATCAACTTTTTGTTTCATTGATCTTTCACATTATTATTTTCATTTAAATTTCATTTATTTCAGCTCTGATCTTTATTACTTCTTTTCTTCTACTAATGTGGGGTTTGGTTTCCTGTTGCTTTTCTAGTTCTTTAAGATGCATCATTAGATTTTTCATTTGAAGTTTCTCCTCTTTTTTGATGTATCTCAAGGTTTTGGCCTTTTTGTTTTTTTTTTTTTTTTTTTTTTTTTTTGAGACGGAGTTTTGCTCTTGTTGCCCAGGCTAGAGTGCAATGGCGCGATCTCAGGTCATCGCAACCTCTGCTTCCCAGGTTCAAGCGATTCTTCTGCCTCAGGCTCCCAAAGTAGCTGGGATTACAGGTGTGCACCACCACGCCTGGCCGGCATGTTGTGTTTCTATTATCAATTGTTTCAAGAAATTTCTCAATTTTCCTCTTAATTTCTTCATTGACCCACTGGTGATTCAGGGGCATATTGTTTAATTCCATGCATTTGTACAGTTTCCAAAATTCCTCTTGTTATTAATTTCTAGTTTCATTTATTCCATTGTGGTCAGAGAAGATGCTTGGTATTATTTCCTTCAGGGTCAAGGGCTCTTAAGCCAAACTGGTGAATGCTGTCTGGCCTGGGACTCATTCTTCAGGGAAATGGGCTCCCCTCTGGCCCAGGACAGGTCCAGACATGCTATTGAAGAATCAAGTCCTGGAATTGAAAAGTCAAATCCTGGGCTTGTCCTTGTCTCCCTGTGACTGTGCTGGTAAATAAGGTACAAGACAACATCCCCTTAAGTTTTCTTTCTGCTTTTCTGAAGCAAATGAAATTTTGCCCCATAGCCACCGCAGTTGATAAGGCGCTGAAACTCACCTGTAGCCAGCAATCATCAGAGGCTTATCCAAGGCCCTCAACATAGTACCTGAGTATAGCTGCTTGTGATTCAGTGTCCAAGAACTCTTCAGTTAGCAGGTGAGGAATACTGCCAGGACTGGGTCCTTTCCTCCATGGCAGAGGGTTCCCTTCTTGCCCATAGTGTGTCTAGAAATGTCACCTGGGAGCTAAGGCCTGGAACAGGAGCCTCACGACTCTGACTGGTGCCTTACCCTGCTGAGGCTCAGATGGTATCAAAGATGCAAGACAAATTCCTCCACACTCTTTCCTCTCTTCTCCTCAAGTGGAAAAATGGATTATCTTTTGGTGTCTTGGGCTGTGCAGTCTGGGATTAGAGGAGGTATAATGCTAGCACTCCCTTGGCTGCCCCAGCTGGTGTTGCAGTATGTCACATTTCCCCAGTGTACATTGTCTCTAGGCCTAGTTCAGCACTAGGACTAGCCTAAGAGTTGCAGTCCTGATAGTCTAGACTGCCTATCAAATCTACTTGGAGACATAGAGGCTGTAGCCCTCTGTGGTGAGGTTTGCAGGCACTCAAGTTCCAACCAACAGCCACCCATGAACCCAGATTTATATTTACTGCTTTATGCAGTATTTTAAATCAGATAAAAGGAAAATAGCCCACCCCAGAGGTGGGCTAGGCTAGGAGGCCTTCCACTTATCTTTTTATGGGGTAGGCAGTTTTTACTGTAATGTACTGCTTTTCGGCAATGGGTTCCACTTGTTGCAATTCCCTATATGTGCTCAACAGCTGTTGCTCTAGGACTGTATAGTGGGATTCTGCCCCCTTTCATAATTGAGACCAAAACCCTACAAGTATCATTTCTATTGGTTACTTTTGTCACCAACTTCAATTTATCCCCATGACATCTCTAGTGACTTCTAATACAAAAGGATGCTGTGGCAGTGGGACCTCTAGTGCTTGGGCTTGTTTCACCAACATTTTCGTTTTGTCAAATGTTCTTTGTCTATATGTGTCCAGTCTCATTTTTCTACCTTGCTTTATTAGGGGGTATAATGGGTGGGCTGTTTGTGCCAAATGAGGAATAAGTAGTCACCAGTAGCCCAGTAAACCTAGGAAAACCTGAAATTAGTTTACTCTCTGGGAAACAGGCTACTGTGCTATCTTATCAGTGACAATTCTGGGCATGTTTCATGTCTTATGCAACCACATAACTCTTGGGAATTTGATGGCTGCACTGGGCCCTGTATCATTTTGAGTTTGACTTCCCATCCCCTGTTCTTTAGGCCATCCCAGACAGTTTGTAGGGCAGTCTTCATATCTGTAAGAGACTCAGAGGTTAGCATGTTATCATTAATATAGTGAAACAAGGTGACCAAGGCAGGCAAAGAGAGTTTAGACAGGTCTTGCTCAGCCATACTCTGAGGGATGGTGGAGCTGTGCAGGTACCCTTGTGGTAGCACCTGGAAAGTCCATTGTTGGCCCTCCTAAGGGAAGGCAAACTGGTCTTGTTAATCTCCTGATAAAGGAATACTGAAAAAGGTGTTAACCAAGTCAATGATAGCATGGACACTTCCTAGCTTAAGGACCACTTTCCCTAGCAGTTGAACAATATTGTGTACAATTGCATGTACAGGGATCATCACTTTGTTTCGCTTACAGTAGTCTACTGTAATTGTCCAGATGCCATCTGGCTTCTTCACAGGCAACACAGTGCTGTTATGGGGGTCTTGGCCAGCCTGAATGCTTGTAAATTGTGTAATTTCTGCATTGTTTGGGTGATTTAAGAGTATCCCCTTGGCAGGTGGTATCGTTTCATGTTCATTACTTGTCTCAGCTGAAGCAAGTATACAGACACCCATTTTTCCCCTTCCCTTTTCAATCCTTCATTGCTTTCTGGACTTGGGTCTTGTTTCTATCTAATTCACTGAGGCCAACCAATGCTTCCCCTATTGTCACAGATGTTATTTACCATTAACAGACTCAGAAGTGTGACCATCGAACTATATTATACCACTTTTCAATTGGAAATGACCTACACATTCAGCAAGTACCTAAAAATAATTTTAAGATTTTAAACTACACAAAATGTCCATCTACAAGGATTTATTTCATTTACATTTACTCAATTTATTTTTAGCAGTTAATCTAGATTACTCATGAGAACCAAGACATTAGACAAAGCTAGTGATCATTCCAAGTTATCTCCTTGTTAACCATTTTCTTAGCCTGCGAATATCAGGTGTTCACCTAAACGAGAGCCTTAAAGTTACAAACATGGTTATTTTTACCAATAACTCAGAAAATGTAGCTGTTTTAATTAAGCCAATACTATCAAATTGGTCTTGCTTATCAAAAAATCAGACAAACAAAGATCATTCCAAGCAAAGACTAATCAAAGATCAGTCTTGCTTATCAAAAAATCACACAAACAAAAAGATCATTTTTGTCTGGGTTTATGGTGTTATAAACTTCATGTCAAACCCTGATACCTTAAAATATCTAGTAAAGGCAAATATAAAACTTATCTAATTAGTATACCCAGACAAAAATGTGTGCTGACAATTCTGAAGACATTATTTTTATTTTACCAATAATTTTAAAGCCAGTTTTATTTATTAAAGATCACTAAATTCACATGAACTTGAAAGACATTTGGATTTCTTTATTTTATGAGTGCTCATTTACTTGTAAGCCAATTTGTGATTATGCTAAACACAACATCTAATACATGTGCGTAGAGATAAACACATTTAAACACGTATACACACATACACACATATTCAATAGCTTTTCCCTCAGAACTCTAGCCACGAGACAGCATCACAAACTCACTATTTTACAAATGACAGCTGGACCCAAATTACTTCTGACAAAATTGGGACCTCTTCACATGATTAAAATTTGTTTGCCTTATAGGTAATCCAATGAAGGCTATGGTCCAACATTTTGGGTGAAACGGTTTCCATAGCAGTTTTATTCTAAAAAAAACCTCTTTTATCCTTTCTTTCCCCACAGTTTCAACTGAGTTTTTGATGTTTACATTTTAGCTAGAACTGGCTGAACTGTATAAGAAAAACAAAATCTCCGGTGGCCTTGAGTTGGAAGTACCATAAACAGTGAGTTTTATCTCAACATAGTAGCTTAATAACAGAAGATTCAAAGCAGATAGAAAAGGGAATAAAGAGAGAATTAGAGGGAAAGCTTTAGAAAAATCGACTTAACTATAGTTGCAGGTTAACCATTTGAGCTCTGATTTTACTTTTGCTGTAATTTGCCCATGCATTTAAAAATGTACAGAGGAAAGGGCCAGAATAGTTAACAAGCTGGAGTCCTAGAAAACCTGGGATGCCTTTGAACTTCTGCAGGAGTTACTACCTTTTTTCCTTTCCTGCTCTAATAATTTCTCAGTAGCCGGCCTTATTGCAACAACAAGGTATTGACTCTCCTATCATACTTTAATATTTTAACTTTCTGCAATATTTCCTCAATCCCCACCAGCATTTTCCGAATGTCCCTGTACTCACATGGTGGCTCAAAACGGTTGAGCATCTGGGCAACTCCACCACACATGCATATTGCCAACCACCCCGGGATTCCCTCAGCAGAGACCCCTTCTTGACTCATCATTTGATCTCTCATATCCTGTCCGCGATGCCAACTGTTACAAGAAAAATGTGAGACTGCAACCTCCCTCCCCCCGCAAAAAAATTTGGAAAGGAACTGAGAGACCGAAGAATGACTCAGAAAAGTCCAGCTTGATGAGTAGATGAGTTTATTAGGATTTACATACAGGGCACTCCTGTGTAGACGCAGGACAGCTCTAGAGATGTGTGCTGTCTCCCATTTCTAAACTGCTTTTAAGCTAATTTTCTGGCTCTTTTCCTAATGTGTTTGGACACTGAGACTTTTTTTCTTGTTAGGCTCTCAGATCCTCTGTGGAATGTATGGGTTCTCAGGACACCTGCTCTTGGATTGTTTTACTGCATTCCTTGAACTGGATTTCAATTTCCTCTTCAATCTCAATGAGCACATCCTTGCCATCCAGATTCTGAATTCTGTGTCTGTCATTTAAGTCATTTCAGACTGGTTAAGAACCATTGCTGGGGAGCTAGTGAACTTGTTTGGAGGTAAGGGGACACTGGTGTTTTTAATTACCAGAGTTCTTATGCTGATTCTTTCTCACCTGGAAGGGTTTGTGTTCCTTTAACTGGTGTGTAATTTGAATATAGTCACTTGGCTTTGTTTCTGGATGTATTCACAGGGCCAGCACTCTGTACACAGTCTTCATCTGGGGCTGAATTCTTGCCCTTATTTTCACAGGGAGGGTGTACTTGCAATTTATTTTGGATGTTGTAGTTTGCGCTATGATCCAGTAGATGGCGCTTAGGATTAATGGCCCATAGATAGGCTCTTAGCTGCGTGTCTCCTTTGTGTTAATACTTCCTGGCATTTGCAGCTCTGCTCTGCGCTGCATGAGGAAGACCGATGCCCCCCTCTTACCAGGTCCACTCCTGGGCCTTGGGGGGGCTGCCTCTTGTCACTGGCACTGTATTCACATTTCTTTTATTAGGTGTTCTGGGCTATCAGGCTCCCTTGAGTGGAGGCCACCACAGGGAGATAGGCCACACTCTCCATACTGGCCCTGTGTAGGGTGTCTCACCCTGCTCCCGTGCCAGTGCATGAAACTGCGTGTGTCACCCTTCTCAGTGTTCTGAGAGTGTGGCTCCTCCTTCACTGAAGTGCCAGCCACAAATCTTGGCTCCGCACTCTCAAGCTGTATGCAGCAGCCCTGGGGCATGGGTACCTGCCCATGGCTCCATCCTCTCGACCTTTGGCATCAGGTTTTGGGTGTACTGGGAGGTCTGAGAACAGGCCACTGGGAACATCCTCAGGTACAGCAAGGAACCAAGGCCAGGCATCAGAGACTGTGCCATGCACATGTTCCTGTGGGGCAGCCAAGCAGTGGCTCTTGGAAGGGCTCGTGGCAGGGGGGCGTGCAGAACAGATGTGCCCCAGTACCACAGGGAAGACGGCCCCACTTTCTCCAGGTCCAGCATTCAACTGGGTCTAGAGCTTTTTGGAAGGAGATGTAGAGCCCTGTGGGGGTGTGTTCCTATGGCTGCCCCGTGCACAAAGGTCTCTGGTTCCATGCTGGCTAAAGCCCTGACTCTGCCTACTCTCTGAGAACATCCCTCTGCCAGCTCAAATATCCATGGGGGACATGGGGTTCCCTGCAGCTAGGATCCCAGAGGGCCACAGTGAGAGTAGGGAGTCCCATAGTCTTTTCACTAACCCCTTCCCCAGGAGCCATTTGGGGCTGGGAAGTAGCCCTAGCATGTGGGTACCCCTCACAAGGCTCCCAGCTTCCTCCCTATTAAGCCGCAGTGTCTGTGTGGCTTTTGCATCAACTATTGTCATTTTCTCTCTGAAGAGCTATTCAAATTATGTTGGTTTACTCAATTTCTGTCTTTCTCGGTGGGAGCAGTGCTTCCTGGCTACTTCTAGTCAGTCATCTCATTCCTCTCTCCAGAAATTATTTGTTTTCTTTCCTTTCTCTTCTCTCTTTCTGGGAGTCCCATAAATTAGGCTACTTCGGGTATTTCCAGACTCACTGATGGTCTTTTTAGTTTTAAAATACACTGTTCAAGTAGATATCATAGAAGCAGAGAGTAGAATAGTGGTTACCAGGTGCTGGGGAGGGCTGGAGGAAAGAGGTATGGGGAGACATTGGTCAACGGTTATAAAGTTAGGAGGAATAAGTTCTGGTGTTCTATTGCAGTAGGGTGACTGTAATTAACAATAATGTATTGTATATTTCCAAACAGCTAGAAGAGAGAATTTTGAATGTTCTCAACATAAAAAATAATAAATGTGTGAGGTGACAGATTTGCTAATTATCTTGATTTGATCATTACACAATGTATACATGTATCAAAACATCACATTGTACTCCATAAATATGTGCAGTTATTATTTGTCAACTACAAATAAAATATAACTTTTCAAAAGTTCTTGGTAATTCAGAGAAAAAATACATTTTTCCCCATGTATTTCATTTCGGATAGTTTCTATTATTCTGTCCTTGAGTTTACTGATTTTTTTTCTGCTCTTAATTTTATCCAGTGTATTTTTAATCTCAGACACTGTGTCCTTTTATCCCTAGAGGTTGGGTTTGAGTGTCTTTTAAATTGCTCACATTTCTACTTAACTTTTTGAATGCATGGAACACAGTTATAACTGTTGTAATATTATTGTCTTCTATTTTTTAACATTTGGGTGAGTTTTGGTTTCAATTATTTAATTATCCTCATTATGCGTAGCTTTTTTTTTTTTTTTTTTTTTTGCTACTTTCGATGCTTGGTAATCTTTGACTGGAGGCCAGATATTGTTAATTTTACTTTGTTAGTTGCTGAATATTTTTCTATTTCTATAAATCTTCTTAAGCTTTGTTTTGGGATACAGTTAAGTGACTTGAAAAGTGTGGACCCTTTACATGTTGCTTTTTTAATTTTTTTGGTGGATCCAGAGAATTTTTCCATGTAGAGCTAATTACTTATCATTACTGAGGCTAGACCTTTCTGTGTACTCTATCCAATGACCTGTAAATTATGAATCTTCCAGTCTGGTTTGTGGGAACATTCACTATTCCCAGTCTTATGTAACTGCGAGACACTGCTCCCTTTAATTCTATCAGATGGCTCTCTCCCGCTATGGACTGAATTGTGTCATTCCAAAGTTCATATGTTGAAGCCATAATGTGACTGTATTTGGAGGTAGAACTTACAGATGCCTAATAAGTTTAAATGAGGGTATAAGTGTGTGGGGTTCTATTCTGATAGAATTGGCGGCTTTATAAAAAGAGGAAAACATTCTCTCTCTCTCTCTCTCTCTCTGCCCCTCTCTGTCTCTCTCTTTCTCTCTCTCTCCCCCCTTTTCTCTCTCTCTCTCTTCCCCTCTCTGTCTCTCTCTTTCTCTCTCTCTCCCCCCCTTTCTCTCTCTCTCTCTTCCCCTCTCTCTCTTTCTGCATGCACTAAGAAAGCATCATGTGAGAGCACAGCAAAAAGGTTACTGTCTGAAAGCCAGTAGGTGACCATCCCCAGAAACTAACCCTGCCAGATCTTGATCTGGGACTTCTAGCTTCCAGAAATGTGAGAAATAAATTTCTGTTGTTTAAGCTGCCTGTATTTCAGTAACTTGTTATGCAAGCTCTGGCTGGCTAATTCATCCCCCTAGCCCTTGATAACTTCCTCACATGCGTGCTCTGCTGAATACTTGAGGAGGACTCTCTTTAATCTCCAGGACTCTTTCTCTGTATAGCTCTCTCTTCTTTGGCTATCATGGGAACTCTAGCAGCTATGGACTCCCTGGGCTCTCAGTTCTGTTTCCTTAACTCAAAGGGTTTTCCAGGCTCTGCCTATGTTTCGTTTTTTTTTTTTTTTTTTTTTTTGCTCTACAGCCTGGAAATTCTCTCAAGACAACAAATTGGTTTATCATAAGGCTCACTTTATTTGTTTTCCATCTCTTCCATTGTCTTTCATTATTTGATGTTTCTGGTGTCTTGAATACCATTGTTTCATATACTTCCACGTTTTTTTTTTTAATTGCTTCATGTGGGCAGGTAAATATGGTTCTTGTTACTTCATCTTGGCTTGAAGAAATTATCTTCTTTTCTCTAAGGTTTTGATTGATTAACATCTGTGTTTCATTTTCATATGATCTTATTGCCAAATACTGGAAAGCAAATGACCCCTTATTGCAAAGCAACATTTTCAGATTCCTGTTTCTCTAACTCTTCCGAAACTTAGTTATTAACTCTTCCCCACATATACCAAATGTTTCCATACATCTCTGTGTCTTTGCACAAACCGGAATATTTAACCCTTCCTAGCTCTATGGGAAAACCCACTTATCTAAGTAGTTACCATTTATTAAGTACTTATTATATGTAAAACATTAATCCTTACTACAGTGCTCTGAAGTAAGCCCCAATATTGTATTTTTTTTAATATATAGAAAACTTAAGACTAAAGCATTATAAGTAATTTGCCCAAGGTCAGACAGCTAAAAATAGCTGACCCAGTATTTAAACCCAAGTTGGTTTGATTCTTTAGCATATGCCTATTATTAATCTTGTCTCTAATGTAATGATATATTTCTATGCCTGTATTTACCACTAGCCTGTGTACTCCTTGAAGGCAATATCTGATTTATTTACATATTTTCAGTGCCTAGTCCAATACCTAGCACATCATAAACTCTCATAATGTATGTTGACTGATTAAATAAATGAATGAATGTGTGGACCAGATAGAGGCTTGGCTGGAGGAAGGTGTCAGCCCTGGCTGAGAGAGATTATAGAGGACCAGTCTATGTAGAACACTGAACAAGTTCATTCAGGAAATACTTCCTGCAAGATAAATAAATACATTTTAAAATCCAAACAAGATCACAAAGACTTTCTTTAGTAGTGGTAGACATGCATTCAGAATTTTACCTTAGCACTTCAGAAATGAAAGAAAATGTCTAGTCTTTCAACCACTTGAGGAAGATAAATTTTGTATTTCAAATCCATCAGAGGGTTTATGTGATTTAAGAGATATGTGACTTCAGAGCTAATCCTTATCTCTTGGCTTAGAATTTCAAGTCAAGTTAAATTTGAAGTGCCTTGATTAATTACATGGAGGCCAGACACCTAAAAAACATTTTGGTTCTCATAGCGTAAATGTTAAGGCTATTACTCTTCTAACTTTAGCTTTTAGGATAAATTTGGTGTCTATGAAATGATAAGATTAGAGGCCTGGAAACAGCACAAATGCATTGGCATTCATAAGTAAAAGGGGACATTTGGCCTCTGCTCCTGAGTAAAGGGTATGCGCTTTGAGACATTTCTGAATTTGTCAAACATGCTTAGACTTGAGCCATGTAATTGTCGTATGTTGGAAAGGCATTGGGTACTCTTGAATGTTTCTTGCAGTGGCCTGTGTCTTTGTTTGGGCTTAGAGATTGAAGAGACTAAAGAGGATCTGGATCAGTGAAGAGGCAGACATGAGAGGATTTGACCAAATTGCACCTTCCAAGCCTGGCAGTATAGTATGTTCACACTTGCATGTTTATGAGACTTTCTTGATCCTGATTCTGGGAATTATGATATGTTTCACAGAGTCACAGCATGTCAGAGCTGAAAAGGGTTTTAGAGATCACCTAAACCCATCATGATTGTATGGAGAAACTGAGGCCCGGGAAATGATTTATCCAAGGTCTCAGAGTTAGTACATGCTAGGATAGAACCCTGGTCTCTGACACTTCAATATGTTGTTTTTTCTACTACTCCAAAGTAACTCCTTGGAGAAAGAAAAGGTTGAGGGAAATGTATCTCCTTTCTCAGTGAGTGACACCACCACTTATTGCATTATATTCTGTCATTGAATCTTCCTGGACAAATACCATGTGGAATTGGTCCCACAATACGTTTCTCTAGTCTTGTCCCAGAGCATCTTCATACTGTAAGAGAAAATCCTTCTAAAAATTCATGACCATCAATCTCAGTTGGATTCTTGATACTTCTTGGACATCATTTTTGCTTGTCATTTCTTTCAGTGATTGTACCAAATTTTTCCTAGTCTCGTTAAGTCCTGTATCCAACTATCAGCAGATGATGTTGCATGACTTCATTAAGAGAGTTAGAGTTATCAGATATGAGTTTTCCCCAGTCTCTTGGCCCTCCTCTACTATATTTTCCTTGGCCTCTGGTTTTTCTTTTCTCGATTCTCAGTGAAAGATGTGTCCTTTCTTCAAATCAAGTTCATTCCCTTACCCTGGTTTTTGGTCATATTTAGAATCAGCTCCTTTTCTGGGATAAGTTAGTTACTCATTATTCTATTTCTTTATGCTCTCTCTCTACTAATTTCACTCTGGTCTGTCTGTCTTTGCTTTTTAAGCCTTGCTTCTTGAAAATGTATTCCATATTTGCTTTCTCCATTTATTCATTTGCAATGCAATCCTCAATGCATTGCAATTTAGATTCTCTTCTCACCACTCCACTAAAGGCTTTTTACTAAGGAGGCTAATAATCTCCAAGCTGACAAATTCAATAGCTAGCTCTCTATTTTTAACGTATTGCATCTATCTGCTATGCTTGAAATTGATTTCTACTTCACCTTTGTTTTAAAACATTCTATTTCCTGGGCTTCCATAACACTAGTTTTTGTTTTTGTTCCTTTGTCTTTATAGCCACTCTTTTTCAATCTTCTTCAACAGTTCTTTCTCTTCTTTCTGTCTCTTAAACATTTATGTCTCTCATGAGTCCCTCCTTGGCCCAATGTTGTTCTCTCTTTACATGCTTTTCTTGGGCCATATTATCATCTTCCAGGGTTTCAACTACAACCTATATTAACACTGACACTTAAAATAGGATTTTCAACTTAGGCCTTTCTCCTGAGCTCTGGACTTATATTTCTCTTTATTTTTATTTTATTTATTTTTCTATTTACTTTTTGAGACAGAGTCTTGCCCTCTTGCCCAGGCTGGAGTGCAATGGTGTGATCTCTGCTCACTGCAACCTCCGCCTCCTGAGTTCAAGCAATTCTCCTTCCTCAGCCTCCCGAATAGCTGGGATTACAGGCACACACCACCATGCCTGGCTAATCTTTTGTATCTTTAGTAGAGATGGGTTTTCACCATGTTGACCAGGCTGATCTCGAACTCCTGACTCTTGTTGCATGCCTCCTGTACCTTAGTCTAAATGTGACCCTATCTGAATTCATCATCTACTACTTGTTTTAGTAAATTGCATCATCTATCTAGGCATCTAATAATGCAACCTGAGAATTACCCTAGCATCTTCCCTTTTCCTCTCTGCCTTTCCGTTTTCCACTTTTTGTCAATCATCTTCTTGCATTTAGTGGCCAGGTTGATCATTCTAAAATAATCTGACAATTATACACCCATATTTAAAACTTTTAATGGATCCCTATCTTCTAGGGAATAAAAGTTGATTCCTTTATCATAATTTACAGGATACTTCATGATTTGGCCCCCATGTGATTCTAAAGCATCATATTTTTTTGGTTATTTCTCACTCCTTCTGTATAGTCTACTACTAGCAAATTACACGTCCTTCTCTGTAAATAGTGTGCTGACTTCGATTTGTTGTACTTTTCCTTCCTGCATTTATCCATATAGAAAACTCCAACACACTCTCAGCAATTTCCTCCTGGAGATTTTGAGCCAGGCTATGTGCCCTGCTTCAGACTTCTCATGGCATCTGTATAGACTTTTTGCATTACATATGCCATATTTTTCTGAAATTATCTGTGTATGTGTCAATTTTCTCAATGGGCAATATACTCCATGAGAGTTGGGTTTATATCTTATTTATCTTTGTAGTTTTGTGTTTTGTATAGTATAGGCATTCAGTAAATATTAATAAAATATTTAATCATATTAACCACTCAAGACAGGCCTATTGGATTCTTAGAAAACTCTTTTTCATTCATCTTTCCACATCTAATTATTCACCAATATTTAGAATATATCTTCAACTTGTCTTCTTCCCTCCATTGCTACTGTTACTGCCTTACTTCTAGACTTCATATTCTCTTGCCCATGTAATTAGAATAATTTACTCATGGGTATTTCCCTCCAATTTATTCTTCACACTTCAAGCCAATGTAACCACTCTTACAAATTTAACCATGTCTCGCCTTTGCTTAATACTTTTGATAGATTCTCGTAGGGCAAAAACCAAACACCTTAGTCTGGCTTTCAGTAATGTCAGTTTCCTATTTCTCCAGCTTTATATCTTGCCATTTTCCCCCCATACATTTGTGCTCTATTTGTACCAAAATTTTAAAGTTCCCTAGTCACCTGTACCTGCTCCATGCTACCATGGCTTTCTGATTAAAATACTTTTCCTCTTTCATTCTGGGATACATGTATCCCAGAACTTAAAGTACATTAAAAAATACAAAAAAAAAAAAAAAAAAAAAAAAAAACCTTTCCCTCACCCCTTGTCCTTTCGGGAAAAATATTTACTTGTTTGAAAGATTCAAGATTGGTTAAATACTGCAGTCTCAACATCCAGAACAGTGCCTGGTATGGAGTAGGTACTTACTGACTGCTGTTGAGTGAATAATTGTATGAATAAATAAAGGTGATAACCCAGTTTAGGTACCATATAGAGACAAAAGGAGAAAGAATTTTAGGGGATAATGAACGTGGAGATTAAGAAGTGTATGATACCAGAATAAATAATTCCTCTGGTCTCATAAAGTTCAAAGAGGGAACAAAGTAGAAGATATAATCCTGAAATCAGACAAATGATCTGTTTTTAGCAGTCATAACATGCTGGTGGGTTGAAAGGAAGCAACTTTTATATTTTAATGCCATACTTCCTCATCCTGCTAAACACATAGGTCATTCCCTTCTTCTGTGACAAGTGCTCCTTAGATGGCTGAAGGAAAAGGACTCAGTGTGAATTAGATTAATCAGCTTGCTTTTCTAACATTTAATAAGCAAACTGCACTGAGGAAATAGGATTTTTAATACAGTAGGAGAGTAGGACCAGGGCTGTGTGTTGAATCTTGGCATGGGAACGAGAGATGGACAAATCTCAGTGGTCTTTGACGTGAGCAAGAAGGCATATGAAAGCACAAAATGGATTGGGTGAAGGGAGACAAGGCTAACAGGGAGATGTGACTGCATCTCCCTCTTAGCCTTAGTTTATTTACTATAGTTTATAGTTTATATAGTTTATAGTAAATAAACTATAAACAGACTTATGAACCTGGGTCTAAGATAATATGAGCACACAGAGTTCACAGGGGAAATGAAAGGGCTGTTAGAATTCCAGCAAAAGAGAGCAGACAAAAGGAAGGAAGATAAAAGGTCAGAAAAGAGGCCTTCACATGGCCATTTTGATGGTTAGCACAGAAATAGTTGAATGTTGAAACTTGTTGCCTCATGTATTTTTCTATTGCTGAAAGTTTCTAACAAATTACCACAAACTTAGTTGTCCTTAAAATATCAGAAATGTATTATTCTTACAGTTTGGAGTGTTAGAAATCCAAAATACATCTTGCTGAGCTAAAATGAAGGTATTGGCAGGGCTGCATTCCTTTTGGAGCTCTAGGGGAGAATCCATTTTCTTGCCTGTTTCAGCTTCTAGACACTGTCCACATTTCTTAGCTAGTGACCCTCTTCCTCCATTTTGAAAGCCTACAACACTGAGTCAAATCTTTCTCATGCTGCCATCTCACTAATTCTCTTTCTTCTACTGCCCTCCTCCACTTGTAAGAACCCATGTGATTACATTGAACCCAGATAGTCTGAGATAATCTTGCCACCTAATTAGCAACTTTAATTCCATCTGCAACCTTCAGTCTTTTTTGCCACGTAACCTAACATAGTCACAAGTTTCAGGGATTAAGATGTGAACATCTCTGGGGAGGAAGCACATTATTCTACCTAACACACCTGGCCTACCCAATGCAGCATGGGTACATGAGGATAAACTATGATTAGGGAGAGAAAAATTAAAAGGTCCCCTTCATTTTCCTGAAGGTTGCTAATTCTGGGTAGTTTGTCCTAACATTCCTTGGGCCTGGCTCTGAGGCATCTCATAAACAGTATGTAGCAGAAATTGCTGAACATAATACCCAGGCCAGCAACCTATGTGGTTGCTCAGGAAGTACAGGTGGATTAATATATGAGATTCAGTTAGTTTCACAGTTATATCCTTCCAGAACCAGGGATCTAATGGATCCCCTGAGACCCTTCTACATCCTGATGGGAGAGAATAATATTACCATCCCCTGAGACTCCAAGCTTTAATTTTTCTCCTCTTTAAATGAAAAAAAAAAAGTTAGAAGAAAGCATCTGACCAAATGATCTGTGGAATTGCTATAGCTGCTCCTGCTGACTGCAATCTCCCACGGATACTTTAGCTAAGCTCAAGATGAAGATAGGACCTATTCAGAAAGTCTTTAATCAGATTTATTTTGCTTTGAGTATAATGTACATTCTGCCACCCTTAATTAAGCAGAGTGCAATGTGCCCATTTTGATAGTCATTTTCATATTCTTTAAACATAAAATAGTCTTTTCCAAATCAGCACAGAGATAGAGAAATTGCAGATTAAGTAAGAACAGAACTATGAAATTACTTGATTCGTATGAAGTCGTAGGCCAAAGGAACACCCCACTTTTTAGTTTCACTGTTAGTTTCAGCATTTTGAAATGCATTGCCATTTTAATTAGACCTTGAAATGCTAAATTATGCTCAGAAGCAGCACATTACAGGAGCAAAGATGAAAGAAGATTGCCCCAAGCAAAAATGATTTTTTCTTTGCTTTTTAAAGGTAAACAAAACGAAGCAACAAGGACAAACCCTGTCATATGAACTAATGACTACATCAGAAATACAACACTGTAAGCTACATCGGAAACTTATACAGCTTGCATATATCATTCCTATACATTCCAGGGTTTGGACAGAGAAGCAGAGCTACTATAATTGATATAAAGTAAGGGATTTATTATAGAACTTTGATGTTATGCTATTGTGGGATATGGTTAAGTGGTCCATGTGAGGCTGTTGCTTTTGCATCTAGTGTTGGTCATGTTAATAGAAAAACTTCAGCCAGATTAAATTTAAAGGAGTTTAATTGAGCAATGAATGATTTGTGAGTCAGGCAGTCCCCAGAATCATAGCAGATTCAGAGACTCCAGCTCAGCCATGTAGTGGAAGATTTATGGACAGCAAAAGGAAAGTGAAGTACAGAAAACGGAAGTGAGGTACAGAAACAACTAGATTGGTTACAGCTCGGTGTTTGCCTTATTTCAACACAGTTTGAACAGTTGGTTACATTTGATTGGTCAAAACTCAGTGATTGGCACGACTGTGGGCTACGGTTGGTTTACATCTTCATTTGTCATAGTTCATGATGTACAGAAAAACCTTTAGGTATGGCTGGGCACAGTGGCTCATGCCTGTAATCCCAGCACTTTGGGAGGCCGAGTTGGGTGGATCACCTGAGGTCAGGAGTTTGAGACCAGCCTGGCCAACATGGTGAAACCCCGTCTCTACTAAAAATATGAAAATTAGCCAGACGTGGTGGCCTGTGCCTGTAATCCCAGCTACTTGGGAGGCTGAGGCAGGAGAATCGCTTGAACCTGGGAGTCGCAGGTTGCAGTGAGCCGAGATTGTGTCACTGTACTCCAGCCTGACAGACAGAGCAAGACTCTGCCTCAAAAAAAAAAAAAAAAAAAAAAAAAGCCTTCAGGCTGAACTTAAATATGTAAGGAGGCAGCTTTAGGCTAAACTTGATTTAACAGGCTTGAAGTAATCAGGGCTGGCAACCAGGAAAGAAAGATGGGCATAAACTGGGGTGAGCAAGGACAAACCGGAACCCATGAGGTTAAGCTGGAATGTATGAGAATGAAGTGAAATCATCAAGGACAAAGTGGAAACCACACGAGCAAATGAACTTGTGAATACAAGCTGGAATCCATGAAGATAAGTTGGAATGTGCATCTTTCTCTCATCACTACTAACTTCAGTGATGTGGATGACCCACAGGGTCTTCACAGCATGAGCCCATTACCATACCTTACTGTCTATAAAATTAGTTCCTTGGTCAGAAGCAATGCTCTGTAGAATACCATGAGGGGTAAGAAGACACGTATAGTGGTTATAGTAGAAGTATTATAGACAGGAATGGTAAACCTCTATCCAGAGTAAGTGTCTATTCCAATGTAAACCCCACCCTTTCTATTAATGCAAGGAGTCCAATACAATAAATCTACTACCTGGAAGCTAGATGATACCTCTAGAGAATGCTGCCATATTAGGAGCTCATTGTTGATTTCTGCTTTTGGCAGGTTAGGCACTCAGCAGTGGCTGTAGCCAGATAAATCATGGTAGGAAAAAGCCTATGTTTCTCAGCCCATGCATAATCTTCAACCTTGTTACTATAGCTACTATGGTTGTGAATATATTGGGCAGTGACAGGAGTTGGAGAAATAAGTTAGCTGTCTGGCTTACATAGAACAGGCAAACTTGTCCATCTGATTATTAAGCTACTTCTCTGCTGAGGTAATTCTTTGATGGGCATTTATATGGTACACAAATATCATCACACTCTATGCCTATTGACAAAGGTCTATCCACATAGTGCTTCCTCAGATCTCCTTGTCACTACTTTTCCAGTATTATATTTTTCCAAGTCCCCGACATCCAGCCAAACCACTATCTAAGCTCATGAATCAGTGTAGATCTGTGCGCCTCCAGCCATCTCTCCTCAGGCACAATGAGCAACCAGATGCACTGATCAAAATTTTGCCTATGAGAAGGACTTCCCTTCACAACTTTCTTTCAGGGCCATCCAGAGTGAGACAGGAATAGTACATCTGTCAACTTTTGGGTGGTGACTGCAATATTGTAAACTGATCTTGAGTTTTTTCTTCTTCAGATCAGCTCATAAGGAATTCCTCATGAGACCATACATGCAGGCTGGGAGAGAGAAGATAATACAGCAGGAGCAAGGGTAATGTGCAGCTGGGCCATTTGCTCATGTAACTTACTTGTTGCCTCCAGGACCTAATTGAGACTAAGCTAATCTATAGTCTCTAGTTGATGACTGAGTGCTGCTGTGCAGGTCCAAATTTGTGTCTCAGTTAGTCAGACAACAGCCAATTTATGAGGGGCAGCTTAGGTCACATGGTAACTTGGAGATTTTCCCTGAGGCACAGTAGAAAGTCAGAAACTGTTTATCAAAAGGAGAATACCTGCATATCTCATTTATCTCCTGCATAAATGACTGTGCTGTGATTCACCAATAGGGGCCTGGCCAAAGTTCCATACAGCATCTTTATCCGTTCCTGACACTTCAAGCTCCCAGATCTGCTGTATGTCAAGCACTTTAGATCTGCTAGATTAACGAAGCCTACGTGGCTGAGTGGCTTGCATGAGTCCGGACCTTGTGCAGCGCCTTCTCTTGTTCTGAGCCCACTCAAAACTGGCATCCATTTGAGATACTCGTTACATGGATTGAACCCAAATGAGGACCAAAATAAAGACTCAAATGCTCCAAAATCCAGAAGCCCACTGTGCACTGTGCCTCTGCCATCAACAAATATGTTAATTTGCTCCAGCAATGAAACCACTTCTGGAAGAGCAGCTGCAATTGAAATTTGACTTCAATTTATGATAATCTGCTGTCATTCATTTTCCGTGCTTGATTTGCCTTCTGCACAGGTTAAACAGTTGACTTGGATGGGAAATGGTAGGTAAAAGCAGTTTTAATGGCTTCTGCTTTTCTTCCTTACCCTAATAGTCCTCACTTCATAGATCGGAAAACCAAGATAAGTATTCTTCCAGTTGCTGAGTATGTATATTCCAACTATCTATTTGGAACTGGGGAAATAGCCACAGTGGGAGTTTGAGGACTTGCAGGTCCACTATGAGACAGACCTGAGGTACTCTACTACTGTCAGACCTACATGACTCCTATTGGTGGACCATATTGGCATTTTTGGTCTCCAGTAATTAATGTCAACTCATAGACAGTGTCCAGTTATCACCCCCAAAGTCTGATTATTCCCCTTTTCTAGATACGCAGTTACCCGATAAGTGGCCACAGGTCTCTTTCTCTGCCTTCTCCAACGCACTTAGATGTAACAAATCAACCCATTAGAATACTTTATTTTCCACTAAAGTGTTTTATGAGAGCAAATTCTCGGTCCCTCCAAATGTTGTCCTTTATTACAAGCATCTGCAGGTGATGACTTAAGTAACTCTTGCCACTACATGGCATGTACTAGCATATCTGTGTCACCACTGGGAAAAAGGCAATTTGAACCTTTAGATCTAATCAATTCAGACAATCAGTTACAAATAAGTTAGAATCAATAGAGGAATTTATAATTAAGGCTCTGTGGGTACCCTAGAACTACATTTGGTATCATATACTGTATCAATTAGTATTTGATCTAAGAAGAATTGTTATGAAAATATAGCATAAGAAACTTATCATAGAAATTTAATGTTAAGCAACTGTAGTACTGTGGGGAACCAGACTATGCCACCCCAAAATATGTCACTTTGGCATAAGAATTATTTTGAGATAGAGGCAAAAGGGAATCAACAGATGCAGAAAGAAACTTTTCTAGAACTTCCCTTATCTGACTAAAAGTGGAAACTTCTGAGAAATGAAGATTGCCATAAATCCCCTCTCTCAGAGAAGTTTTATGGCCATAAAAAAGATGGACAATTTAATGGACATATACAAACAAGCCTTACTTCATTAGTTTTCCCCATATATTTACCTTCTTTTTTAAAAATTTTTTTAAATTATACTTTAAGTTCTAGGGTACATGGGCACAACGTGCAGGTTTGTTACATATGTATACATGTGCCGTGTTGGTGTGCTGCACCCATTAACTCATCATTTACATTAGGTATCTCTCCTAATGCTATCCCTCTCCCATCCCCCCACCCCATGACAGGCCCCGGGGTGTGATGTTCCCTGCCCTGTGTCTAAGTGTTCTCATTGTTCAATTCCCACCTATGAGTGAGAACATGCAGTGTTTGGTTTTCTGCCCTTGCGACAGTTTGCTCAGAATGATGGTTTCCAGCTTCATCCATGTCCCTACAAAGGACATGAACTCATCATTTTTTATGGCTGCATAGTATCCCATGTTGTATATGTGCCACATTTTCTTAATCCAGTCTATCATTGATGGACATTTGGGTTGGTTCCAAGTCTTTGCTATTGTGAATAGTGCTGCAATGAACATACGTGTGCATGTGTCTTTATAGTAGCATGATTTACAATCCTTTGGGTATACACCTAGTAATGGGATGGCTAGGTCAAATGGTATTTCTAGTTCTAGGTCCTTGAGGAATTGCCACACCGTCTTCCACAATGGTTCAACTAGTTTATACTCCCACTAACAGTGTAAAAGCATTCCTGTTTCTCCACATCCTCTCCAGCACCTGTTGTTTCCTGACTTTTTAATGATCGCCATTCTAACTGGTGTGATCTAACTGGTATCTCATTGTGGTTTTAATTTGCATTTCTCTGGTGGCCAGTGATGATGAGCATTTTTTCATGTGTCTTTTGGCTGCATAAATGTCTTCTTTCGAGAAGTGTCTGCTCATATCCTTTGCCCACTTTTTGATGTTACCCATATATTTACCTTCTAAGAGTTTGCTGCCATTGGAACCCTAAAACTCTTTTTCTTTCCCTTGCCACTTCTTTACAAATTTACTGTTCTTTGCTAAGATGCTATATAAAGCCAACTTCTAACCATCTCTTTGAGTTATTCATCTGAGATTTCTCCTGCATGATGTGTGCTGCTTGCACTAATGAACTGTTTTTCACTTGTTAATATGTCTTCTGTCAGTCTAATTCGCAGGGTCCCAGCTGGAAAACCTAGGAGAATTGAAGGAAAAATGTTTTCTTCCTAACAAGATCCAGGAAACAGTTTATATAAGGCTGTTGCTTATGAATATAGTGAGAGTGTAAAGTCAGCAGAGCCAGTAGTCAGAAAGGGAAATTGGATGTGGAGTAGGGGGTAACATATCTACACTGGAGCCTGTGAGGACAACCTAAAACCTGTATTTTCCATCATCTACTTCAATCTTGATGATGAGGGACACCTGCAGGATGAACTAGTGCCTTTTACTGTAGGTACAGATGCTCCTGGCTCAGGGCTTAGAGAAGGTGAAGACAAAATCCATCAGGAGCTGAAAGAACTGCAATCTTTGCTGCCTCCCCACACCAAGGTAAGCCACATCAATGAAAGTATGGCTGAGTTGCAAAAGTACCTAGTTCTTACACCAAACTTCTGAACATAAGAATGGTTGCTATTTTATTTCTGCCTTTTCTATCTCATGTAGATTTCTCTTTTGGAGAAGCCTAACCCTGAATCATACAGGAAGAGGAATTACTGGAAAAGTGCTTCAACCTTTAGTTATGTTCACACAGTATCACCATATTATACATCAATCCAACAAATATTTATCATACTATTCCTATGACCAGGCTCTGTGCTAGGTCCTGGGGGGATAGAGTATGTGATCTAAGCCCTGACCTCAAGAAAATTCCCAGGTTAAAGACATGGGGAGGCAGTTACATCATCTGCCAATTATAATGTTGCATACTATGTGCTCTGACAAATATTGTCACCTAGAATTCACAGAAGATGCTCAATAAATATTTTTTAAACTAAAGGATATGACAGAAGTACACACAGATGTTATGAAAATGCAGTCAAAGGCATTCTAGAAGTATCAAAGAAAATGCATACTGGAGGAAGTAATTCCTTAACCAACTCTTGAAGACTGAGTTGAAGTTAACCAGGTGAAGAAAAGGAGAAAGGAATTGTAAAGAGAACAGGCATGGTAATAAAATGGCATAACATGTTTAGGAAACAAGTAGAGCATTAGGAGGGTAGAAGAAGTAAAGAGGTAGTCAGATCAAATAATGAAGGATTTTAGTGCCATGTTAGGGAATTTAGATTTTATCTTGTAAGCATCGAAATATCATTTCAGGATTTTAAGCAAGGGAGTGATGTGATCAAAATTGTACTATGGTTTAGGAAAGTGGATTAGAAAGTGAGACTAGGAAAGGAGCCAATTATTTGGTCCATTAAAGAAATAATAAGGGCTTGAAATAATGCAGCGGGAATGGAAAAGCAGTAATTAATTCAAGAGACGTTGAAGGGGCAGAATTGGGAATGAGATGAGCAACATAGGAAGAAGGCCAGATTTAAAGTTGGGATGAGGCAGAGTAGATGTTCATATGATGTTAGAGATTCCTATGGCTCTCCTGTCTATGCACGTTATAAACTGCTGCGGATATGGGACTAGGACTCAGGAGAAAGTCTGGGCTGAAATTACAGTTTTTAGGATGATTGGTGTGTTTGTGAGAGTTAAAACCATAGGAGTGGATGATACAAACTTCTGGATGAAAAGAGGAGAAGTAGAGGTAGAAATCTGGAGATGAACATTTAAGAAATAGGTAGAAGAAGGCTGAGGCAGATGAATCACTTGAACCCAGGAGGCGGAGGTTGCAGTGATCCGAGATTGCGCCACTGCACTCCAGCCTGGGGGACAGAGTGAGACTCCATCTCAAAAAAAAAAAAAAAAAAAAAAAAAGAAAAGAAATAGGTAGAATGAGGGGTGTAGCAAGAAAAATAGCGGAAACTAAGAAAAAACAACATTCCACATATGAAAGAAAAAGAATTTCAAGAAGGAAAGAGTAGTCCATTGTATCAAATGCTTCACATGAAGACCATAAAATATTCCTCGGATTTAGCAATAAGGTGTCACTGGAAAGTTTTGTGAGAACAGTGTTATAAATTGGTGACATTTCAGGGATTCTAGACACCCCCAATACCAAAATAATGCTCCAGATTCTCCCCTCACCCATTTTCGTAGGATTGCATGAACTAGAAAATGTATGAAGCTCATATTCCTAGAAAGGCAAAATGTAGTTTTTCTTTAGTTTAATGGAGTAGAGCACAGCTTATAGAAATGGTATGAAGGGATTAGTCTGGACAGAAATTCACAGGTAAAATTGATAACCTTATAGAACAAGTTAAAATACATGAATGAAGACTTTTCAGTGTGTGGAATTAGAATGGGGGAAACCATGAAGTCTAGAATGATTAGGCAGAAAGTGTGCATGCACATAGCCAGAAGAATATGATGATTTCGAGGAGAAAAGTGCATAGGAATATGTAGTTGGATTTCCACAGCTTTGTACTTAAAAATAACCCAATAAGAATAACCGAACAAATGTGTTCAGCATCCTAGACTACACTGAGTACATTATGATGGCCCTGATTTTTGACAGGCAGAAGAATCTGCAAGTGGAAAGCTCTCAATAACAGAGAGCTAGGTATGCCTGGGCTACTGCCCCAAATGCTTCTTCCTCTCTTCCTCTACTTATTCTGCTCCTCTTTCTTCATTTAATTGATATATGGTTGCCCCTTGATCAGAAGTATACGAAGCTTTTATAAGGAAAAAGGGAAAGGTGCTGAATTGAGAGGGAATCCATGTTCTGGGAAAATAAAAGCCTTCAAAAGAAGGTAAAGAGTTGGGTTGGGGCGGAGGGGAAGTGCAGCCTATAAGCAGGACCAAAGTTATTTTCAAAGAACCTCTAGGACATTGAAACCGGGGGAGTACCCTAAAAAAGGTGATTATTATTGAGAAAATGTTTTTCTTTACTAATGGTTTCTTCACAGGGTTCTTTTAACACAATAAGGTCCTTAATGCATTTGAAATATGATATATTTTATTTTCATGTAACTATTTGAGAAGGCATCTATCTATTGGATAAAGCCAGATGCATCTGTGTTAATAAGTAGAGTATTTTATTTAGGGAGTGTAAGCAAAAATCTAAACAATAGTTAGCAAGCCCCTTACCATGTTTCTCCCCAAATATAGGTACTCCTCAGAAACAATTTTCTTATTAAATTGTTCTCAAGTCTATACAAAGAGAACTGTTTGCTTCCTGGTGTCTACTGTATCACCATTTATTATTCCTAAAGATATTTTGATACAACTATTTAATAGAAAATACACCTTATTTTTGTTTTCAACTGTATTATTTTTTAACTATTATAACATGTTTACTGCAAAAAGAATAATATTTTATGAAGACTTTTAAAATTTGATGTTGGGTCTTGTCCTGTTTGACATATTTGGAAAAAGATACATTGTTTCCTTAAATATAGTGTCTCATATCTCCCAGATGGAGTATTGTCTCTTAATATGTACATCTATCAATTTGTTTTTTCCAAAGTTGGCCAACACCATAATCATTACTTTAGCTCCACTCTGTGAAATCATTGTATGACTTACAGAGCACGGATAAGACTACTATATTGTCCATTTCCAGGTGTCACCATAGAAAGCATAGTCTATGAGAATGATACACCCATAGGTGCTTGGTGCAGAGCCCAAGTAGCCATACATAACAGCCCTGATGCCAGGAAACACTTTCATAAATTACTTCAGGACAAAGATTTGTTATGTCAACAAGCAATATTAAGGAATATTTACAGAGTGTCTTAGGAGGTCTCTGTGAACTCATTTACATTAATAACCCCTAAAATCTTTTAGAGGGGACTGTAAGCAGCAAAATAAAACTGGGCTTTAAAATTTATGTAGATAATAAATTTATTCAGGGAAGGGTCAATTTTAGTGGCCCAAGGTACCTGTTCTTAAAGGAAATTTAGGACTAGATTTCTTGTTAGATTCAAAAGCACCCTTAACAATTACTTAGGAAATAAAAAATCTAAAATCCAATCCACCTGCACATGAACATACCTTTTTTTTTTTTTGAGACAGTTTCTCACTCTGTCACCCAGGCTGGAGTACAGTGGCGTGATCTTGGCTCACTGCGATCTCTGCCTCCTGGGTTCAAGTGATTCTCCTGCCTCTGCTTCCCAAGTAGCTGGGATTACAGGCACACACCACCATGCCTGGCTAATTTTTAATGTTTATATTTTTATTTTTTATTTTTTATTTTTTAGGAGAGATGGGTTTTTGCCATGTTGGCCAGGCTGGTCTCAAACTCCTGACCTCAAGTGATCCACCCGCCTCAGCCTCCCAAAGTGCTGGGATTACAGGCATGAGCCACAGCCCCTGGCCAATACATCATCATATACCAAAGTGCAATAAGATCCTACATAATAAGGAAAACTACAAGTCAACAAGGAAAAACATGTTGTCAGCACCACTCTTACATAACAAGCAGAGAAGATGCTTTGGCAAATAATTTAAATAGTCCAGGATTTGTGGTAAGAATGGCATTTTAGTGAAGCATGGTGACCCACCAGGCTGCCAGAATTATATGGGTATAATACTTCTTACCCAACACTTCCTATTTAACTCAATTAACAGTATTCTAATTATGAATTTGGCATACTAATCCCGGGAATGTCATTCTCTAGCCAATGAACAGAAGTCTATAATGTTACTTGATATTTCTTGTAAATATCCTTTAGTGTCTTAGTCAGTTTGGGCTGCTATAACAAATTACTATAGATGGGTAGTTTAAACAAATAACATTTATTTTTCACAGTTCTGGAGGACGGGAAATTCAAAATCAAGATGCCAGCAGATCTAGTGTCTGGTGGGGTCACTCTTCCTGGTTTGCAGGTTATCTTCAAATTGCAACCCCACATGGCACAGAACATTGAGAAAGCAAGCAAGCCCTCTCCTGTCCTTTTGTAAGGGCACTAATCCCATTTATGAAGGCTCCATCCTTATGACCTAATTACTTCTCAAAGACCCCATCTCCTCATATCATTCTATTGGGAGTTAAAATGTCAAAATATACATTTTAGAAGGGACAAAATGTTCAATTTATACATCTAGTATCTACTGACATTTTATACTTTCCTAATAATTTTTATCATGAATGTTTGTTTGTATCTGTTAAGATAAGGATAAAATTTTCTCCTTTACTCTGTTAATGAAAATTGCATTGATTGATTTTTGTATGTTGAACCAACCTTACATTCCTGGCATGAAACTTACTTGATCATAATATATTGTCTTTTTTATATATTGCTGGCTTTATTTGCTAATGTGTTGTATCCATATTTATAACAGATGCAAGCCTGTAAATTTATTGTAATGCATTTACCAGTTTTAGTATCAGAGTTGTAGGGCCTCATAAAATGAGTCTCCTTCTCTATTTAGAGAATGTCTGTAGGTCATATGGTTTGTGTTCCTAAAAAGTTCATGTATTAGGAACTTTGTCCTCAATATAGCAGTGTTGAGAGGTGGGACTTTTGGGAGGTGATTATGTCATGAGATCTCTGCCCTCATCAATGGAGTAAACCACTCATGAATTAATGGATTAATGGGTTATCCAGGGAGTTAGTAAGTTATCATAAAAGTGGGCCCGTTTTAGAAGCCAGTTGGCCATCTCTTGTGAGCCCCTCTCTCCCTGTGATTCCCTCAATCATGTTAGGATGTAGCATGAGACCCTCGGCCAAAGCTGATCAGATGCAGCTCTCTGATCATGAACTTCCTAGCCTCCAGAACCATGAGCCAAAATAAATCTATTTTCTTTATAAATTGCCCCGTCTCAGGTAGCATGTTATGGCAACAGAAAACAAACTAAGACAGAAAACTGGTACCAAGAGTGAGGTGTTGACATACAGATACCTGAAAATGTGAAAGTGGCTTTGGAGCTGGGTAATGGGTATAGGTTGGAAGAGTCTGGAGGGACAGATTAGAAAAAGTCTAGATTCTGGTAAAGGTTTAGAAGACAAGATGACTAGGAAAATTTTGGAGCTTGTTAAAAATTGGTTAAGTGGTCATAACCAAAATGCTGATAGAAATATGGGCAGTAATGGCCATTCTGATGAGATCTCAGATGAAAATGAGAAATTTCTTATTGGAAATTGGAGTGAAAGGCACCCTTATAATACAGTTGCAAAGAACTTGGCTGCATTCTGTCCATGCCCTAGGGCTTTATGGAAGACAGAATTTTAATGAACTAGAACGTCTGGCAGAAGAAATTTCTAAGCAAAATATAGAAGTATCTATGTGGTTACTTGTGGCTGCTTACACTAATATTTGAGAACAAGTGAATAATGTAAAGATGGAATTTATAATTGAACAAGAAGGAGAGCAGAAAATTTTGGAAAATTCACAGCCTGACCATGTAAAATGCAAAAAGACATGTTCAGGAGAGAGTGCTGAAGGTGTGGCCCAGGGACCCCTTGCTAAAGATATTAGCATGGATGAAAGAGAGCCAGGTGCTATTCATCAGGAAAGTGGGGGAAAAACTTTAAAGGCATTTCAGAGATATTCAAGGCTTCTCTTCCCATTATAAATCCAGAGCTGTGGGAAGATAGAATGGTTTTGGGGGATGGGCCACTTCCCAGGGCCACCTTGGGTCTCTGCTCTCTGCATTCCAGTGCAGTGCTTCCCTACCACACACAAGCTATGGCTCTTGTGGCTCCAGATGTGGTCTGCACTGATGCTCCCAAGAGAGCAAGCAATAAGTTTTGGTGGGGTCCATGTGTGCTAATTCTGCAGGCATGCAGAATGCAACAGCTATGGGGCCATGGTGTTCTCCACCAATATTTCAGAGGGTGTATTGAGAAGACTGGGGGCCTGCGCAGAGAAGCAAGGGTGAAGCCCCCACTAGAACAACGCTGACCAGAGGTGTGGAGTCAAAGCCAGAGCCACCCCCAAGACCTCAGAACTGTAGTGCCATGGGCAGCATGCAACACCTGCCTGGAAAAGCTGCAGGCACCAGTGTGCAACTTTGACCTGTGAGAGCAGCCACATGGGCTGAGCCCTGCAAAGCCACAGGGGTAGGTTTGCATGATGCCTTGAAGGCCCACCCTTTGTCCAAGTGTGCACCGGATGCTGAACATGGAGTCAAAAGAGATTATTCTCCAGCTTTAAGATTTAATTTTTTTTCTCTGCCAGGCTTCAGAATTGCTTGGGCCTGTTACTCTTTCCTTCTGGCTAATTTCTCCATTTTGGAATGGGAATGTATACCCTATGCCTGTCTCACTATTGCATTTTGGAAGTAGATAACTTGCTTTGATTTCACAGGCTTACAGATGAGACTTTAGACATTTGAGTTGGTGTTGGAACAAGTTAAGGCTTTGGGGGTATCAGGATGGAATGATGTATTTTACAAGTGAGGACATTAATCTGGGGGGCCAGGGACAGAATTCTGTGGTTTGTATGTGTCCCCCAAAAGTTTATAAGTTGGAAACTTGGTCCCCAATGTAGCAGTGTTGAGAGGTAGGACATCTGTGAGGTGATTAGGTCATAAGGGCTCTGCCCTCATGAGTGGAGTAATCCATTAATGGATTAATGTAGTAAAGTATTAATGGGTTATTGAAGAAGTGGTTTAGTTGTCAGGAGAGTGGGTCAGTTACAAAAGCCAGTTTGGCCATCTCCATGAGCCCCTCTTGCCCTGTAATGCCTTCTGCCGTGTTATAACACAGTCTGTCAGACTGGGCCTCCTGTTTACACTCTTATTAGCAACACATAATGGTTCCTTTATTGTCACATTCTCCAGCAGGTGGCATTATCTGATTTTCCAACGTTTGTTAATTTGGTAGGTAAAAAGTGCCATTTTATTGTTGTTTTAATTTACATTTCTCTAAATAATAATGAGGTTGAGTATCTCTGCATATATATGGTAGTTATCTATATTTCTTCATTAAATTACATATTCACTGATTTAATATTGGATTTCCTGCCTTTTTCTTGCTGATTTGCAGGAGTGTCTTGTATATATTACATATTAAAACTCTTGCGGGTTTTAGATATTAAAAACATCTCCCATTCTGTCACATATCTCTTGCCATATTGTCTTTCATTGAAGAAATTTTGAATAAGATGTGTATTTTATCCGTTTTTCTTCTTTGTTCTGTGCATTTTGAGTATTGTTTAAGACATTTTGACCCACCCCAAGGCCACAAAGACATTTTTTCTCCTTTTTAAATATCAGTTTTATAATTTTACCCTTTTCTATTAGATCTTTAATCTATCTTTATTTTTTTATACAATTTGGTGTAGTGATTAAATGTCATGTGTTTATAGAATAAGATAATTTTTCAACACCCATGTTAAGTAATTCATTCATTTCCCAGAGACTATTTTTGCAATTTGAAAATTTGAGTTATAATTCACATATTATATATTACATATTAAAACATATATTACATATATTACATACCACAAAATTCATCATTTTAATGTGTACAATCCAATGGTATTTAGTATATTTACAAGGTTATGCAACCAACAATTCCATCGCCCTCTCATGTATATATATATGTGTGTATATATATATATAGTGTGTATATATATAGATATATATGTGTGTATATATAGATATATATGTGTGTATATATATAGATATATATGTGTGTATATATAGATATATATGTGTGTATATATATGTGTATATATATAGATATATATGTGTATATATAGATATATATGTGTATATATATAGATATGTTTGAGTGATGGAAATATACATATTTCTATATATATATATATATATATATACACACATATATATACATATATGGGAACCCTCCTCATTTCCTCCTCAAGTGTTCCTGGAAACCATTAATTTACATTTTGTCTCTAAGAAATCATATATACTGGACATTTTATAAGTGATATCTTATAATGTATGGTTCTTTGTGCTTGGCTTTTTTCAATTAGAGTAATAGTTTTAAGGTGCATCCATGTTGTAGCATGTATCAGTATTAAATTCCTTTATATGTAAAATTAATAATTAATCATATAGTTATAGCGCATTTTGTTGATCCATTCATTAGTTGATGGATATTATGTATAATGCTGCTATAAATATTTGCGTATATATGTTCTCACTTCTCTTGGGTGGATACCTAGCAGTGGAATAACCGGGTTATATGGTAATTCTATGTTATTGCCACAGCTGTTATATATGCTGCCAAACTATATATATATGTATATATATGTATATATGTATATATACGTATATATATATGTATATATATGTATATATGTATATATACGTATATATATATGTATATATATGTATATATATGTATATATATTTTAAAGTTTTATACATATATATTAAATGTTAACCATATATGTATTAAATTTTAAATAAATAGATATACATTACATTTTATGTTTTAAAATTTTAAGACAATTCCTGCCAAACTATTTTCCATAGTGGCTGTACCATCTACATTTTCACTCTTGATGTATGAGTGATATGAGAATTTCACTTTCTCCACATTCTTGCTAACATTTGTTATTGTCTGTCTATAGCCATTTTAATAACTGTGAAGTAATAGCTTATTGTGATTTGGACTCACCTTTTTCTAATGACTAATGATGTTGAACATCTTTTCATGCATTTATTGTCTATTTGTATATCTTCTTTGGAAAAATATTTATTCAAACCTTTTGCTCATTTAAAATATGGTTATTTGTATTTTTATCATTGAGTTATAAGATATCCATATACTATGGATATAAGACCATGTGGTACGCTAAAAATATGGTTCCCCAAATCATATCCAACTTCTAATCCCTGGAACCTGTGAATGGTGTCTTATATTGTGCCAAAAAAAAGTGTCCTCACAGTTTTGATTAAGTTAAGAATCTTGAGATTATCCTGGATTATCTAGGTGGATCCTAAACACTGTCATGTATCCCTAGAAGAGAGAGGCAGAGAAAGAGTTCAGATACAGACAGAAAGAGGAGAAGAAACACATAAAGAAGAGAAGGCAATGTGAAGACAGAGTAGAGAGAAATTGGAAGGTTCTGGCCTTGAAGATTGGAGTCATGTGGTCACAAACCAAGAAATGCCAGCAGCCACCAAAGGCTGGAAGAATCAAAGAATGAATTCCCCTTGAGAACTTCCAGAGATAGTATAACGCTGCTGACATATTTTGGCTCAATTACACTGATTTTATACTTCTGGCCTCCAGGACGATGAAATAACAAATTTCTTTTAGAATAAACCCTGTTTGGAAATATTACATTATCCTTTCATTTATAACACAGAAAACAAATTTGAGGAGCTTGGCATGTAAGGTACTTATTAAAGAGTACTTTGGGGATCAACACCTGTGGAATGGAGGGGAAGGAAATGGGGATGTTCAGAGGGAGAAGTCACACTGTGATGAGACCCAAGAACTTTAGCTGATACCATGGAAAGCTCCAGAGCTGGAACGATCCTTCAGTACTGTGTCGAGGGAGAGTACAAGAAAAGGGCTTCCTTACTCCATTCTCAGCCTTAGCAGATTGTTACTCCAGTTTGGCAATACACCTATAGTACTAGCCAACAGAGACACTGCAATTTTGAAATAAGTCCAGAGCCAACTCTATGAGAGTAGTGATCAGAGAGTATCTGGGCACTGCTTCCATTTGGATTTGAGTGTTAACCTGGTACCTGGCCAGATGCGTCTTTGAAAAACAAAACAAAACAAAAAACCCCCCAAAACTAAAAGTCTTGCTACTTTGATTCCAAAACATTTTTATGAAGGGAACACACCTTTTTGGAGTTACTTCTGCTTCCATTTCAAACTCTATTACCACTGATGTACACAGTGAATATACTGGCATTGATATTTACATTTGGTTATTGTTACCTGCATTCAGAATGCCAATTGTCTGTTCACACAAAATTGAGAAGCTTTTCATTCTTTGCATTCCACATTACTTTTTAAATCTCAATAGATCTAAGAACAGTAACAAAATACTGATGCATTAGTCATTAGCTCAATGTATTTTGTCGGCAAGATGCTAAAGGAACATCTAACTCAGTGGGCAATCAGAGCCTTAGAGGAAAAAGTTTTAACTCAATGACATTTCCCAACAATAGGTGTTTTACTCACCACTGCCACCCTCAAAAACCTAATCCTTTTAACTGCTATAAACCCATCACAATAGTCTATAAATATGACTAAATAGTTCTTCCTACTCTTCAGAATTGACTCCATATCTTCAACTGCCTACTGGATATCACACACTCCAACACAGCATTGTCAAAACCTGACATCAACCTCTAGTCCTAATCAGAGCCTGCCTCTAACTTATTCCTGACACTATCCTTCCAGATATATGGTTCAAAATTATGTCATCCTTGATCCTTTTTCACTTCTGCTTTATTTTCACAGTCACTTATACCATACCAACATTGCTGTGAAATCCTTTAGTTTTTATCTCTGAGCCCGGTGTCTACTTTCTCTAAGCTATCTCAGATATAGCTGTCAGATAATCTGCCTTAAACATCCTGTCAGTTGGATCCTCTCTGAAATAGACACTAGTTGGAGTTGGGAGTGCAGGAACTTTATCAGGAGTGGGATAGAGTAATACCTGTGAGAGATAAAAAGGGGGAGGAGGCAAGATTCAGCATGGAGGGCATGTAGATGGTGGTTCAGACTTTATACCTGTGAAAAAAGGAGACAGAGGAAGCAGAATTGGCCAGAGGAAATCCCAGACCACAATGCAGATCTGACAAAGTCTTGGCCAAACAAACACCGAGCTATGAAGCAGATAATACTCATTAGAGGAGTCATACATTGGGCAGAAATAGCTAGGCCCAAGCACCTCATGCTAAGTCATCAAATGAAGATGCCTAGAGAAAATATAAACTTAGTTCAAAAGTTGAGGAAGTTCTTTTTTTTTTTTTTTTTTTTTTTTTTTGAGACGGAGTCTCGCTCTGTCGCCCAGGCCGGACTGCGGACTGCAGTGGCGCAATCTCGGCTCACTGCAAGCTCCGCTTCCCGGGTTCACGCCATTCTCCTGCCTCAGCCTCCCGAGTAGCTGGGACTACAGGCGCCCGCCACCGCTCCCGGCTAATTTTTTGTATTTTTAGTAGAGACGGGGTTTCACCTTGTTAGCCAGGATGGTCTCGATCTCCTGACCTCATGATCCACCCGCCTCGGCCTCCCAAAGTGCTGGGATTACAGGCGTGAACCACCGCGCCCGGCCGAGGAAGTTCTTAAAAGCGCTAACAGCAGGAGTGCTAACCACACCACCCAACAGTGGAATGGCAAACTTCTTGAAGGAAGATCTGGGCAGCACACCTCTGTGGCTGCTCAAAACACCCTTTTTTGTTTTTATTATAATTCTACTCAGAACCTTCAATAACTTACTTATGTCAAAATTTCCTTCTCTCTTTTAAGATCTCCATAATCTTGACTTATGCTATTTTGTCAGCCTTATTTATACTACTGTACAATATAACCCTCTATTGTAGGAGTGGATGCAAACATTCTACCTGAACTAGTCTATTCCTACTCTTTCTCTCCCCCTCTCTTTAATTTTAATATTTTTACGTGTACATTTTGCTTGTACCATTCCCATGACTTAAAACGTCTCCTCTGAGCCACATATTGTCTTTGGGCAAGTTCTATCTGTTCTTTAAGGCCCAAATTGAGCACTGTCTCCTTTAAAAAAAATCTCTGTTCTAGCCCTTACTGAGGTATCCATGGCAGAACATGTGATTTAAATTGGATTACAGCATCTACCTGTACTCTGTCAAATATTTTATAAATCTGATGTCACATTTGCAAAATGGTAGTCATAAATCAGAGTTATAGAGCTAAAAGAAGCTATCTAGCCTATAAGATTTTATATAACCTTGAATCATGATCAGGCTCTAATCATTGAACTTACATGTGGGAGTCCACTCTAAGTGTTAATTTTTCCTATATATTGATAAAAAAGGCAACTGATTGCATACTTATTTAAGACACCATATTGGTTCAGATCATGACTTTTGCAGATTAGAAAGACATAAGTTTTAATATTGGGTTTCATACCTCTTTTCAAATTTGCAATATGGGGATAATAGTAGTTCCTTCTTTCCAGTGTTTCTTTGAGAATGAAAATAGATAATCCATGTAAAGTGCTTAGCACAGTGCCTGGTATACATTAAGCACTCAAGGAGGCTACCATTATTACCCTTCTGACCAAATTGACCAAAACATCTAGATCAATTCAGTTCGCAGGTATGATGGATGTATTGATTTTTATGAATTAACTGTAGTGTTAAGCAACCAGTTATGATGGTATCATCAACTCTCCATGTCTTAGTCAGTTCGGGTTGCTACAACAAAGTACCATAAACTGTGTGGCTTATAAACGACAGACAATTGTTTCTCAAAATTCTAGAGGCTGAAAGTCGGAGATCAGTGTGCCAGCATGGTCAGGGTCTGGTGAGAGCTCTCTTCTGGATTGCAGACTGCCAACTTCTCACAGTACTCTCACATGGCAGAAAGAGGGTGAGAGTACTTCCTGGGGTCCCTTTTATAAGGGCACTAATCCCATTCACAAGGACTCCACTCTCATGACCTAATCACCTCCCGAAGGCCCCACCTCCTAATACCAGGACATTGGTGATTAGGATTTCAGCATATTAATTTTGGGGGGACACAAACATTTTGTCCATTGCACTCAATGATAGACTTTCAGAAAACTCAAAGAAGAAAGCATTTTGAGATTTGTGGGACATTAGTATGAATGATCTTCACTCAGCGTCGTATCTGATAATAAAACCATAGACTCTGCCTATGAGTACCTGGGTGGACAAAAGACTGATGGGACTCTGTTTGAAGAATATTTAAGAACCTTGCCAGCTTCTCTTGAAGGCAGAAAGTAAAAGCACTAAGGATCAGCTGCTTGTGTGAATTCCAATTTGGAAGGTTTGAAGAACAACAGGGCATTCTCACAAACCAAAAACTCACTACCTATGTGCATTGCTTCCCACAGTTCCAGATGAGAAGAAGAATCAAGAGAAAAAGGAAGTACAAGAACATAAAATTGCCATTCTAACTGGTGTGAGATGATATCTCATTGTGGTTTTGATTTGCATTTCTCTGATGGCCAGTGATGATGAGCATTTTTTCATGTGTCTGTTGGCTGCATAAATGTCATCTTTTGAGAAGTATCTGTTCATATCCTTCGCCCACTTTTCGATGGGGTTGTTTGTTTTTTTCTTGTAAATCTGTTTGAGTTCTTTGTAGATTCTGGATATTAGCCCTTTGTCAGATGATCTTTTCTATTATTTAATGTTCAAAATGTAAATATATATATATATATATATATATATATATATATATATATATATCTCCAATAAATGAAACCTGATGACTGGAAAAATAAAAAAAATTTAAAGAAAAAATTATAAAAAAACATAAAATTGGTGTACACATGTTAAATAACATGTTGAGTCAATCATACTCATCAAGTACAAACTAGGGTTGGCTTAATTAGATTATGGAACTTAATTTTGGCAACATTTGTCTGTAGAAATGCTTTAGGTTCAGTAGTGGAGCTGAAAATTCTCAGACGCAAAGTGCTGCATGTGTTAGCAAAGATCCCTTAACAGTCTGTTTAAGCAGAGTGACTGGCATATACTAGGAAGTCAATGAATGTTCACTTTCATACCTAAATGTAAAATAAAATAAACGGATTGATTGCAAACAGAGGGTTATTTTGTTCATACCTATGGAAGGAGGAAAAGATAAATCTCCCTTATTGGAGATGCATTTGCTTTACGTTGATGTAAATAATTTGTGTGTGTGTGTGTGTGTAAGACTCAGCTTAGGTGCTTGCTTCTTATGGCAACTTTCACTGACACCTCCACCATCCAGGCTGGTAAGGAGCCTCTCTTCTGCAAGTTCCTGTGGTTACCTCCACCACAGCACTTCTCACACGTGATAGAATCATCTAGTCCTCTTTTCAGATTGTGAGCTCCTTGAGCTCTCACCTTAGCACTTCCATCTTATTCACTCACCACTGTAACCCAGCACAGTTTCTAACATTAACTTAAATGTCTACTAGAACTCCATAAGATATTTATAAACATCCCTAAGTTATGATGTTGCTTAGTAGGAGAGAATGGAGCCATCTATTTAACTGAGTTTTTTGGCTAAATAAAGGCTAGAGATTTTTGTAGTGAAACTGCCTAGAACAATAGAATTTTGATATCTGAGTTAACTGGGAAAGGAGTAGTGTATCTGTTTTAGATGTATAGATATCTAGAACTGTAGCATTTTGTTAACCAAACAACTTAAGTCTAACAAGTAATCAATAGTTGTGTACACACTCTTTGAGAGTCATAAAGATATACAATTGAACTTTACTGACTTTGTCTAGCCAGATTAAATAAACACAATGGAAAAATGAAAATATTCCCCCTACGTTTTACAGTTAAAAGCAGAAAGCTCTAGAAGGCCATGAAAAAGTAGCAGATAGCCAAAAGAATACATTTCAAATGTAAAGTTTAATAAAAAAATACTATATAAAAACCACACCAAAGTATTCTGAAAACAAACAAACATATAGATCTATTTTTTTAAACCACCTAAGTGTGGCCACTGGAAAATACATGTTAAGGTAATAACAATTTAAAAAAACAGGGATGAAATTGAACAAGCTAGCAAAATACTTCCACATCAGCTACTGATTCAATTTTCTCCTCAAAATCAAAAATATACTTGTATGGAGTTACAGAAGATAGCAGAAATAGATAGCTAGTTTGCAGAGAGGAGAGCAGGGCTTTAAATCTAGGAATTTGTAAATTTACCTTTTATTTCCCTATTGGGTCATCTGCTTTGCTTTCTTCATCCCATACTTTTATTGCCAGCATGCCTTGCCACTCTGCCTTACATGGCTAAGGGGATGAGAAGCATTTATAAACTTGGCATATAGTTTTTAGTTTATCCAAGATATTCCTCTAAGAAATAGAGCTTTCACTTCACCTGGCTATCAAGACTTTGATTTGCTAAGTTGTTCAGAAGAAACTGCTCACCTAACTTCTACTCCCCTAACTTGCAGCCATCACTGGCTACAGTCACAGTGTTTAGTGGGATTCAGACAGCAGGTTCTGATCACTGTATCACAGCTTCTCCCTTATAATTGACCTTTTGTTTTTGTTTGTTTGTTTTTGAGGTTTTTTTTTAATTATACTTTAAGTTCTAGGGTACATGTGCACAACATGCAGTTTTGTTATATATGTATACATGTGTCATGTTGGTGTGCTGCACCCATTAACCGTCATTTACATTAGGTATATCTCCTAATGCTATCCCTCCCCGCTCCCCCCACCCCACGACAGACCCCGGTGTGTGATGTTCCCCTTCCTGTGTCCATGTGTTCTCATTGTTCAATTCCCACCTATGAGTGAAAACATGCGGCATTTGGTTTTTTGTCCTTGCGATAGTTTGCTGAGATTGATGGTTTCCAGCTTCATCCATGTCCTTACAAACGACATGAACTCATCCTTTTTTATGGCTGCATAGTATTCCATGGTGTATATGTGCCACATTTTCTTAATCCAGTCTATCATTTACGGACATTTGGGTTGGTTCCAAGTCTTTGCTATTGTGTATAGTTCCACAATAAACATACGTGTGTATGTGTCTTTATAGCAGCATGATTTATAATCCTTTGGGTCATATATACCCAGTAACGGGATGGCTGGGTCAAATGGTATTTCTAGTTCTAGATCCTTGAGGAATCGCCACACTGTCTTCCACAGTGGTTGAACTAGTACAGACACTTCTCAAAAGAAGACATTTATACAGCCAACGGACACGTGAAAAAATGCTCATCATCACTGGCCATCAGGGAAATGCAAATCAAAACCGCAATGAGATACCATCTCACACCAGTTAGAATGGCGATCATTAAAAAGTCAGGAAACAACAGGTGCTGGAGAGAAAGTGGAGAAATAGGAACACTTTTACACTGTTGGTGGGACTGTAAACTACTATAGTTGACTTTTAACTGCCAGAGAATCCATAGTACTGCTTAGAGGTTGCAGAGATTCTAACAATTGCTGTTCAGGAAGTGACAACTGGAGAAAATAGCAAGCAGCCAGCTGATAGTTTTGTGTTGGTTAAAAAATATTTTTTACATTTTAATATGTATAAGAATCACTTTGATAGTAGAACGAGGAAGATGATGAACAAGCGAGGGTGGTTAGTTCCTCTCCAGAATCCAGTGTTGGAAATATTTTACAAGTAAGAGGGAAGTTGGTTAATTTCAGAACCTAACAAGTGGCTCTTACACATCCTGGTATGTGTAAAGTTAACAGCAGATTCAGGGGAAGAGAACCACACGTTATGTATGGGGAATATAGGTGCAGGAAGCATATTTTGTTGTTCTCTTGTCCCTCCCACATGTTGCCTTGGACATATCATTGTCTATCTCTTTAGGGCGTTAAAGCAAGGCCAGTTTAAGGGGTAGCTAGGTACTGTTAGTGATATGTAGAAGCCCAGCTGAGTTAAGGAAGAAATCACAGGTGTATTTCGACTGGCAAGCCTTTAAGCATTTCCTCCCGTCTCCATCATTTACTCTCTACCCTTTAATTTGTGGGCTAGGTTATTAAAACTCAAAAAGATAGCTCTTGGAAAAGTCAGTACTTATGATTCAAGCATTGAGGGGATCCCTGAATGTAAGGATTGCCAAGAGGCAAATGGTACATGATTGAAACAAGATTATAATACCAGATAATCTCATTTACTTGAAAGCATATGGGATCTAAGCTCTTTCCTTTCCCTTAGGTACATATTACTGGCCAAGTAAGTTGATACACTTGAGAGAATATAACCTCAGAAAAAACATGACCTCTAAAGAGCACATGTGCTGTAAAATTGAGACTTTATGCCAGAGAAAGACCTAGTAGTCCTGATGAAACAAGAATGTAAAATAATTATAATGAATATCCTCAAAAGATAATAGAGAATATTGGAAACATGAAGCAAGGACAAGTAGTCATGAAGAAGAATCAACTGAAGAAATTGTATATGAAAATTATAGTTGAAATATAGCATATGATGAATGGATTGGATAGCAGAATGAATATAAATAATGAATTAGTGAAGTGAAAGACATGTCAAGGAACTCATTCAGAAGGCATAAAAACATTAGGAAGAAAAAACAAAAGAGAAATATAAAGGAAATTAAGAGATATATAGCACAGGAGTAGAAGTTACAAAATCCATAAAATAGGAGCCAGAATAAGAAGAAAAAACAAATATGGAGGAATATTTGTAGAACTAATGCCTGAGAATTTTCCTAAGTTAAAGAAAAATATAAGACCCCAGAAATGGTTTGTAGAGTACCAAACAGGTCAAAGAAGGGAAAAAAACCACCACCAACCTTATCTAGATATGTTATGGAGAAAATTTAGAATATTAATGACAAAGAGAAAATTTTAAAATATCTACAGAGGAAATGTAGACTATCTACAAAGGAACACGACTTATATTGACATTAGACTATAAAAATAGTATATCCAATAAGACAATAAATCAATATTTTAAAGAATTGACAGAAATAACTTTTGAAACTAGAATTTTATTTTTAACTAAACTATCATTTAAATGTGACGTTAAAAAAAAAAGGATTCTTAGGCTGGGCATGGTGGCTGACGCCTGTAATCCCAGCACTTTGTGGGGCCGAGGCAGGTGGATCACCTGAGGTCAGTAGTTCAAGGCCAGCCTGGACAACACGGTGAAACCCCATCTCCACTGAAAAAAAAAAAAGAAAAACCAAACAACAACAACAACAACAACAACAACGAAAATTAGCCGGGTGTGGTGGCGGCTACTCCAGAGGCTGAGGCAGGAGAATCGCTTGAACCTGGGAGACACAGTTTGCAGTAAGCTGAGGCCACGCCATTGCACTCCAGCCTGGGCAACAAGAGTGAAACTCTGTTAAAAAAAAAAAAAATTCTTAGCCTGAGCAGTTTCAGATCCTATTTGAAAGCACATCTGGGGAACATACTCCAGCATAATGAAACGTATCAATCCAGGAGGCAGTGCTTCATCTATAGTGCATATCTATATGTTGAATGAATAAAAAATGGTGCATTACAGGTATTTTGTGGCCATCTTCTTTCATATTAGGAAAACATATCCATGGTTTCATTCGTATTGCAACTTCTTTTCTACGCAACCTGTGATCATTCAAAAATTCTCATTTTTTAATTGGAACTTTGTATTATACTGGAACCAATAGGACACACACAGGTTATATCTCTTTTTTGGCTATGATCTAACCATTAGAAAAATATGTATCAAAGCGTGCTCTACACTAGGGCTGTGTCAGTGTTGAGGATAAAAAGTAATCAAAACATAGTGCCCGTGATATCAATGAGCTCATGGTATAGTATGAGAGACAGTCAATTAAACAGATGTTTACAATGAATTATGGAAAATATTAATAAAGAAAAAGGAAAAATGAACTGGTTCTCTTTAAAGATGTTGTGAAAGAGCTTGCTATGTTTGGGAAGTGGTAAGAAATTTTATTTCACTGGATTATATATGGCATGGTGGGAAGAGGTGGCAGCGAAATGGGATTGAATAGTAATTTCAAGTGTATTTCTATGTTTGTTACTGTGGAGATCTAGCTTACAAAAGTACAAGTGTATTACTAGCTTATGAGGCAAAGATATTTCAAGTATATTATTCTCTGAAATGTGTCCATTTCATTTATTACTTCTTTGTGGCTTAAACATCTTGTTTCTTTCTCCTTTCATCCAGGCAACAGACTTACCCTTAGAATTTTCAGTTGTCGGCCGGGCGCGGTGGCTCACGCCTGTAATCCCAGCACTTTGGGAGGCCGAGGCGGGCGGATCACGAGGTCAGGAGATCGAGACCATCCTGGCTAACACGGTGAAACCCCGTCTCTACTAAAAATACAAAAAATTAGCCGGGCGTGGTGGCGGGCGCCTGTAGTCCCAGCTACTCGGGAGGCTGAGGCAGGTGAATGGCGTGAACCCAGGAGGCGGAGCTTGCAGTGAGCCGAGATCGCGCCACTGCACTCCAGCCTGGGCGACAGAGCAAGACTCCGTCTCAAAAAAAAAAAAAAAAAAAAAAAGAATTTTCAGTTGTCCTGCCTTCATGATTCATAATTGTTTTTCCATCCAAGAATTCTGATGCATTTCTTTTTATCTTGCATGTGTGGCAGAATGAAGACAAGAGTCTGAGCCTCCAGCCATTTTGTGACTAACACTGCACAGGCAGTGGAGAATCATATGGTGGGGTATGTGGGGATATGTATATGTGTGAAAGGATGTGGGTGGGGTACCAATAGGTGTTCAATGAAAATGACATTCTACAATGAATCCACTAGAAAAAAATTGGCTATTGGTTTATATAGCTCTCAGATTAACTGCTAATTTACTTTTCAAATTCTGAGGAGCTCTCTGATGTATATTCACTCTAATTAAAACTGATTCTTAGCAAACATCGTCACCCATGCCATTATCCACAATTAAAGGATGATTGTTCAGTCAAATCCTGAAATGAGAATATTCAGGTAATATTCTCTCATAAAAAGAACAAAAGTATTCATTTTAGCCAAAAATATGCAGTTTCTGTGGATATAATTTTGAACTCAAATTACTTTTAAAAAAAAAGATCATTTACATGCTTCATCATTTCCAGGGATAATGCATCTTACTGCCAAAGCTTTGAAACATTTTAACAATTCAACGATTTATTGTTCATCTCAAGTTATTGAAGTATGAATAGACTGCTAATAGTCATCTTTCTTTCTATTGAATGTTGATGCAATCTAAATTTTTTCTGTTATTTTCATCCATTTCCTTATTCAACCATATTTAGTTTTATCTTGCCAAGAATTTTTTACATAAAAATTTTAAGAAAATTTTACATTTATAGGGAAGTTTAAAATATATTAGTGTTTTCCTTAGTGTCCTCTAATGTGGACATCATTCATAAGCATGGTATATATACCAAAACTAAGAAACTAACATTAGTATGATACTATTAACTAAATGACAGACTTTATTTTAATTTCACCAGTTTTTCCACTAATGTCCTTTTTTCTGTTCCAGGATCAAATCCCTTATCCCCCATTGCATTTACCCATCATGTCTTCTTAGTAGCCTACAATCCGTTACAGAGATTTCTTCCTGCTTTGATGACTTTTACATCTTTGAAGAGTAGTACTCAGAAATTTTAGTGAAAATCTCAATTCATGTTTGGCTATTTTCTAATGATTACACTGAGGCTATGGATTTTTAGAAAGAATACTACAGAGATGTGGTACCCTTCTCATCACTTCATATCTGGGGCACATGATATAAATTTGCCTTATTACTGGTAATGTTAGCATTGATCATTGGTTAAGATAGTGTCTACCAGGCTTCTTCATTGTAAAGTGAGTATTTTACAATTAGTACACTTTATTCATTGGAGATGAGTAACCAAAGTCCAGCCTGTATTCAGAGGAGAGAAATTAAGTTCCACCTCCAGGAAGGAAGAGTGTCAAAGAATTTGTGAACATATGTAAAAACAATTGCAGTAATGAATGAATTTGAGGGAGATACTTTAAGGCTGTCCAAATATTCTATTTCCCCTGTGTTTTTACCCATAAATTTTGTAATTGATCTGTTGATTTTGCTTGTACTAATTATTCCTGTAGTGTTCTAATGATAGTTTTTCATTTCTATCATTCCTTCTATATTTATTAATTGGAATTTTTATAAATATGTGTCCCTTCTCCCATTTATTTATGTATTGAAAACCAAATATTTATATCCATATCAACTCAGTGACATTTATTTTATTCTTTGGATGATAATATAATTCTGTTATTATTTGTTTTGTTGCTCAAATTGATCAAGTTTTGATCATTGGGAACTCTTTCAGATGGGCATCTGTGTCCTTTTAACACACTCCCACCTGTATTTATTTTTAAAGCACTTCCTTACTTTCTGATATTATAAAATGCTCTATGCTTATATTTTATTTTTCATGTTTTAGCCTTAGATTCAGCTATTTCTCCAAACAGCATTGGTTCCCTTCAGGTAGGAAAGGTATTTGGAAACCGATATATAGGTGCTTATTGTGCTGGTTGCTGCTAGGCTATTATTGTATCTATGCTATCTCAGTGGACAGAGGTAGGAAATGCATGCATATATACTAACTTTTGTATACATAAACATGTATATTTATTTCTGTATGTATCTATCTCAGTGGTTCTCAACTGATGATGTCTTTACATCCACCCCACATCATTGCCAAGGAATATTTAGCAATGTATGAAGATATGTTTGTCATAGTTGGGAGGGTGTATTAGTGGCATCTAGTGGTAGAGGCCACAGATACTGGTAAACATTCTACAGTGCACAGGACATCTCCCCACAACAAAGAAGCATCTGGCGCAAAATGTCAATAGTGCTGAAGTTGAGGACACTTCCAAATATATATATATTAAATGGGAAAAGTACCTTAATAGACATTTCTCTAAAGAAGAAATGAAAATAGCCAACATATATATATATGTTATATAATGTTATATATATATAACATTAGCAATGTTGAGCACCTTTATATATATATTATATATATATCAACATTGCTAATTATTAGGGAAAAACAAACCAAAACCACAATGAGATAGCACCTCACACCTGATCGAATAGCAATTATTAAATAGTCAACAGATGACGAGTGTTTGTGAGGGTGTGGAGAAAAGCGAATGCTTGTACACTGTTGATGGAAAGTAAACTGATGCAGCCATTGTGGAAAGCAGTATGGAGGTTTCTGAAGAAATTAAAAATAGAATTTCCAGTGACAGAGTAAGCCTGATTCTGAGTGTATACCCAAAGGAGAGGAACTTATCACTTAGAAAGGAAATTCACAATAGCCATGACATGGAAACAATCCATGTGTCTATGAATGAATTTTAAGAATGTGATATGCATACACACACATATACACACACAATGATATGTTATTCAGACTTATAAAAGATCTTGATATTTGTGACAATATATGTGAACCTAGAAGACATTATTTGAAATAAGCTAGATACAGAAAGAAAAATATGGCATGATCTCGCTTATATGTGGAATCTAAAAAACAAACAAAAAAAGGAAACTCAAATACATAGAAACAGAGAGTTAAAAATAAATGGTTAGTGGGGGTGGGGTAAATGGGGAGATGGAAATCAAAGGGAACAAAGTTTTAACTATGTATAATAAATAAGCCTAGAGATCTAATGTACAGCATGAGGACTATAATAATATTGTATTGTATACTAGTAATTTGTTAAGAGAATAGATTTTAGGTACATTTACCACAAAAAAAGTAACTATCTGAGATGATGGACATGTTAACTTGATCAACTGTAGTAATCATTTTACTAACCATATGTATATTAAAACATCATATTGTATACTTTAAATATATACAATGAAATAATGATAAAATAAACATGAGTTCATGTTGATATCTCCAACTATAATCCTTCACTGCAGGGTTCATTTTAGCCTTCCTTCTTTACTTATTTGGAACCTCTTTCTCTGTTGGTGAGAAATCTGGCTTCCATTATGTATAACATACCTATAAGGAGGTTTAAGAATTGCTAACCCATATCCCTGTGAGAAAAAAATATCAACTAGAGTAGGATGTGTATGTACAGCTCTTTTTCCTTTATCCTTACAATATCCAATCAGCTCTATATTTTTTCCAACCCCTTTTAGTGAGGTTATGTCGTACATTTACATTAAAGTTAAATTTATCTGTCACAGTTTGCATTTAATCCTGGGGTTTCCAATATACTGGTTGTTTCCCATTAAAAAATTTAGACAGATAAGTTAATTCTTTATAGTATATAGTTCTATGGGTTTTTACAAATGCATAGAGTTATGCATACATCACTACAGTACCATATAGAACAGTTCCATCATGCTAAGTATTAGTTTATGTGGTCCCTTTGTAGTCAATCCCTTTGCCTTCTCATAACCCCTGGCAACCCTGCTTTATTTTCCTTCCCTATAATTTAATCTTTTCTGGAATTACATTTGAGTCCAACTACTTTCACTTAGATAAATATATTTAAAATTCATCCATGTTGTGTGAATCAATAGTATATAAATTACTGAATAGTATCCCATTTTATGTGTGTCCCACACAGTTTGTGTACCCATTCAGTTGGAGGAACATCTAGGTAATTTCCAGCTTTTTTGGTAATAGTTAATAAAGCTGCTATATATATTTGCATGCATGTTTTTATATGAACATGCATTTTCAATTCACTTAGGTAAATATAAAGGGTGAGATTGCTGAGTCATATGGTAAGTGCATATTTAACTTTATAAGAAACTACCAAATTGCTTTCCAAAGTGGATGTACCATTTTTTATTCCCACCAACAATGAATGAAAATTCCTATTGCTCTACATTCTTAGGAATATTTGGTATTATCAGGTTTACTTACTTTGGCTATTTTAGTAGATGTGTACATACTCTCACTGTGGTTTTAATTTTGGCTTCCCTAATGACTAATGATTTTGAACATCTTCTCATATGCTTATTTGCCATTAATTTACCTTCTTTGGTGAATTGTCTGCTCACATCTTTTGTCCATTTTTTAATTGTGTTATTTCTTTCCTTTTTGTTGAGTATTAAGAATTGTTGATATATTTTAGATACAGGTTCTTTATTTGATAAGCAATTTCCATCTAGTCTGTGACTTATCTTGTCATTCTTTTAACATTGTCTTTCACAGAGCAAAATATTTTTTAAAATAAGACCTTTTATGTTGAATTAATTGTATGTTCATATGCAGTTGTAACACATTATATGGAGAAATGCTGTGTAATCTTTACCCAGTTTTCCCCAATGCTATCATCTTGCAAAACCATAATACGATATATCAACCAGGATATTAACATTGATACAGTCAAGATAGAGAACATTTTAATCACCGCAATGATCTTTCATGTTGCCCTTTTATAGCCACACGCACTTACCTCCAGACCTCAGTCTGGCAACCACTAATCTGTTTTCCATTATCTATAATTTTGCCATTTCAAGAATGTTATATAAATGGGATCATACAATATAAAGATTTTGGGTATGGCTTTTTTCCTAAAGCACAATTCTCTAAAGAGTCATCCATGTTGCTGTGTGTATCAATCGTTCATTCATTTTTATTGCTGAATAATACTGCATGGTATGGATGTACCAGTTTTTTCCTTTTTTTTAACATTTTACTCACTGAAGGACATCTGGGTTCCAATTTGTGGCTACTACAAAGAAAGCTGTTATAAACCTCTATGTATGACTTTATGTGTGAATGTATTTTCTTTTCTTTGGGGATAAAGAGTAATAATAAAGAGTGCCTCAGAGTGTAATTGCTAGGTCATAATGTAGTTGCATTTTATTTTTTTTTAAGAAACTGCCAGACTATTGTCCATGGTGGCTGTACCATTTTACACTCCCACCAGAAATGTATGCATCATCTAATTTCTCTGTATCTTCATCAGCATTTGGTGTTGTCACTATTTTTTACTTTAACTATTCTGATAACTGCACAGTGATACTGAATTTGCCTTCCCCTAATGTATAATGATATTGAGCATCTTTTTGTATGCTTCTTTGCCATCTGTATATTTTCTTAAGTAAAATGTCTATTGATGTATTTTTCCAGTTATCTAATTGAATTATTTGGATTTAAGTGTTGGGTTTGAGGTTTCTTCATATGTTCTAGATATACTCCTTTGGAGGATATGTGGTGTGCACGTTGTTTCTCACACTGTGTAGCTTTTCTTTTCATCTTCTTAACAAGGTCTTTCACAGAGAAAATCCTTTTATTTAGGTGAGGTCCAATTTATCAATTTTTCTTCTTATGGATTGTACTTTTGTTGTCAAGTCTAAGAAATGTTTCACTAGCTTTAGATCCTGAACACATTCCATTGTTTTTTCTAAAAGTGTAATATTTTTATGTTTTACATTTAAGACCTTGATATAATTTGAATTACTTTTTTATAAGGTGTGACCCTTATGTCAAGAGGTCTTTTTTGTTTTTTGTTTGTTTGTTTGTTTTTGCATGTGGATTCTAGTTGCTCTAGCACAATTTATTGGAAAGACTCATTCCACCACTGAATTACTACTGTACCTTTGTCAAAAATCAGCTGGACATATTCGCATGGCTAGGTTTGTAGATTCTATACGTGTTTATTCCTCTGTAACACCACAGAGTCTTGATTACTCTGGCCATATAACAAGTCTTGACATTGGGTACACTGTGTCTTCCCACTTTATCTTTATTTACAAAATTATTTTATTTGGTATAACTCCTTTGTCTTTTATATAAATTGTGGGATAATACTACATATTTACATATGTAATTACACATTTACATATTACATATTTACAAAAAATCTTGCTCATATTTTGATAGAAATTGCATTAAATCTGTATATCAGTTTGGGGAGAATTTATATTTTTCATATGTTAAATCTTTCAGTCCATGAGCACAATATGTCTTTCCAGATATTTAGATTGATATTAATATTTGTATGTTGTATCCTGCAATCTTGCTGAAATTACTTATTCATTCTAGGAATTTTTTTTGTATACTTCAGATTTTCTACATAGACAATCATGTTATCTGGAAATAGGGACAGTTTTATTTCTTCCTTTAATATCTGTATGCCCTTTCTTTCCTTTACTTGTCTTATTGCACTGGCTAGCAACTCCTACATTATGTCGACTGAAAGTGGTAAGAACAGATATTTTTGTCTTGTTCCTGACTTGGGGTAGTATGGGGAAAGCAATTAGTCTTTTATTATTAGGTATAAAATTAGCTCTGTTTTTCTCTAGAGGCTCTTCATGAAGTTAAGACAGTTCTCTATTCCTATTTGTCTAAATGCTTTTTATAAGAGTGGGTTTTGAATTTTATCAGATTATTTTCCTGCAATTATTGATTCGATCATGCAGCTTTCTTCTTTAGCCTGTTAAGATGTTGGGCTACATCTATTGATTTTCATTATTGAGTCAGTCTTGTAGCCTGGGCGAGCAAAAGTTTTTCTTTTGATGTTGGAATTTAATTAAAATTTTTAATTAAAAAAAGTTTTTCACAAATTGTTCTTTCAGTGTTCTATCTGAAAACTGGTTGCCAAAGATCACACAGATTTTTTTCTATATTTTTAGTTAAAAATTTTATAGTTTTATGGTTTATAATTAGTTCTATAATCCATTTGAGTCCATTTTTGTATAATAAAGTTTATGTCTACATTTTTTTATATATAGATGTCTACTTGTTCCAGCACCATTTGTTGAAAAGATAGTCCTTTCTCCACTGAGTTGGGTTCACACCTTTGTCCAAAATTAGATGAATATATCTGTGTGAGCGTATTACAGGGCTCTAAGTTCTCTTCCATTTATTTGTGTGTCTATCCTTTTACCAATATCATGCTGTCTTGATTAATGAAACTTCATAACAAGTTTGCAAACAGGTACTGCAATTTCTTCAGCTTTATTCTTTTTTTTTGTTTCAAAACTGAACTATTCTTGCACCTTTACCCTTCCAAAGAAATTTTAGAATAAGCGCCTTGAGCATAGTTTGATTTTGATAAGAGTATGTTTATTTAATAATGACAACTACCTTCACTGAGTGCTTGCTAACTACCAGGAACTTAAATCATTAAATTTTCATATTAAATCTGTGTGATAAGAACTATTTTTAATCTTCATTACACACATGTGAACACTGTGGCTCAGAGTGGTTAAACGTCTTACCCAAATTCAAAGGCGGTTGCTGAGATCTGAGCTAAGGTGCTGCAAACTGACATAAAGCAATTCAGTGGTTCAACAACTGTCAGGTCGTTCTGGAAAATATTAGAGGCCTCATGATTCTTCTACCCGGTGATACATTACATAGAAGGCAAGTCTGAGGCATGTACAAAATTTAATTAGTAAGTAGACCCTAATGGTCCTGTTCTTGAGGACTTGGTGAAATCCCATTTTGTCTTTGGGCACTGTTCTGGTTAGTAATTTATTGCCCCTCAGCTCCAAACCCACCTTTCTGTGCCTATTGTGATACTGAAGTTTAACACTGTAGATTACATTTCTTATTTGCCACCTAGCTCCGTGTTAAGCTCTGCCAATACAGTGAACAGGAGGGAGACTGCAAGGTGGGAAATGGAAGAAGAGACATGCTATTTTCCATGTGGCAGCAAGCATATCAGTGTATGTGAAGTCCCATCAGCTTTCGCAGTTCAGCAATGGGCTCCTTCTGGCAATTTCTTCATCTCTAGAGCAGCAGGCTGTTCTTGCACATGAGAGGCAGGCACCCTCTGGCAAGCTTCATTGTCACTACGGTGGCTGCAGCTCTCACAGTTCCCCAGCAACTGCCCTCACTAAGTTTCTTCATTATCACAGAAGTGCAGCATATCTCTGTGGCAGACACTATCTCTCCTCAGAAATCAGAATCTCAGTTTTTCAGGAGGGGGTCTCCCTCTAAGTTTCTAAGTTCTTTCCTTGTTCACTCTTTCCTTAGCCCTAGGCCTAGCAGCTCATTTTAATATTTGCTACCTTTGTATATCTTGGAATTCTTTTTTACCCCCTTTAATAGTTAACCACCTTCTATCTAATTAATAATTCTTTATATTAAATTTTCCCTGTCCAAATTACTAGTATAAATTGTCTCTCTTGAGTTAACCTTCAAGCACTCTATCAATTTCCTTGAATAAAAGAGTTTTCCTAAGGTCAACACAATGACATCCTGACAACAAGAACTACAAGCTACTAGTCAGATCATACATCAGAGTTCTTCTTTTGTAGCCAGACTCTGGACCAAACAGAGTTCGTTCAGAATTTCAGATGATACCCTTTAAGAGTTATTATACTTTGTTCCTTCAAGGAAGAGTAAACTTACACAAGTTTTCTTTTGAGCCACATATTTTGAATAACACTATTTTTTGCCAGTAATATCTCTATAATAACTTTCCTGACAATTAACAGTCTCCAGTACAGGTTTAGATAACACTATTTAAGGTACTTGCTGTAGCCCATTTTGGAGTGTAGACCCCAAATTTAGAGTCCTGCAAATGCTAAATGCTCACTAAGCAGTTGTGGGATATGGATTCTTGATCACGAAACTTTATATGGTAGGTAGCTAACTGCCCCTACATATAAATTTAATGCCACCTTATATACTCATATGCATCAACCTGTTCATACTGAAACATTTTAAAATAAATCATCATAGCAAGCCTGTTGTTTAACATTATGCTTGACAGCATAATGAATATCACAATGACTTGGTTTATCTAAACTGGCTGAAAACATGGCTCAGCTTGGCATAATTCTTTGTTTGCAGCAGGGGTCCACACATTGTAGCCCATTGGCTAAATCAAGACCAACACGTTTCTCTAAATTTTTACTCTATCAAAGACATACCCACCCTTTTGCATATCATATATGACTGTTTTTGTGCTAAAATGACAGAATTGAGCTGCTATGATAGTCACAAAGTCTAAAATATTTACTTTGTGGCCCTTTAAAGAAAAGGTTTGCTGACTTCTGGTCTAGAGTTATGTTTAAGAAAATATTTTGATTATTATCATAAAAGCAGTAAAAGCTACCAGCTTTCTTTATTGAAAACTTAATGGTGAAACATAAGAGTAGACTTATTTCTAGCTTCCATTATCAATGTCTTCTATCTGAAGTGGTAGAACAGATTCATTCTGGAAAAGCCTTAGAGATATTTAATTCTCATGCTTTCATTTTCAGAAGTGGAAATTAATGCTCAAAAGTGTCTAAAAGAAGGCAGTAATGGCATTCAACTTGCTGGTTTTTACTTAGTACATTTCCATTTCAGTTGCACAGTGCATCTCAAACTGAATTACCTACCACAAAATAAATATGATTCATCTCCCCAGTTCCACAATGTCTTAGCTTTGTGACCTCAGGCAACTTGCTTGACCTCTCTGTGTCTTAATTTATTATCTGTAAAATAGGCTGTTGTAAGTATGAGTTAATCCAGGTAAAGTGCTTAAAATAGTGCCTGGCACATAGTAAACATTCATTAAATGTTAGCTATTAGTAGTAGTAGTCCAGAGTATGATTATTATCATCATTATTATTAGTCCCAATTTTACTTGAAGATTTGGAAGAAAAAGACTTTTAGAAATTTAAAACAAATATGAACATGTTTGGACTAGAATGTATGATCTGCGTGAATTTGGAAGATAAAGTATAAGATCTCAAAGTGATATATTAAAGTCTTCCCTGCTCCTTGGGGAAAATTGGCTGGGAAAGTTGGAGAAGTTCTGTGCCCTACTCTGCTGTCTGTCATTTCTATCTTGTCACAGGTACTCTGACTCCAGTATCTGTGTGACTTCTGCCTTGCTGGAGGGGCTTTGCATTTCCCTTTGGAGCTGCTTGGGAAGAAGCTCTTTGTATCTGTTAAGGTGGGCTGACTGAAAACTTGTGGCTATTGTTTTCTAAAAAGTTGCCTAATGACAGAACTCACCTAGAATTCTGGACTTTAACTTAGGAATGATGCAGACCCATTCCATTCTTCTTCTGGTGCTGGTTTCTTAATTACACACTGCTTAGGGAACACAAGGTGAATAGACAAGGCCCCCTTGGGCTCTTTATGCAAGCACAATGTAGGGAGTGAGTGGCCTTGTCACTGCTTGTTCCAACATTTCTCGTTAATGTGATTAATATGGATAGAGCTGTCAACTTTCATTTTCACTAAACAATAAAACAAGCCTAACCTTGTATCTATGAGACTAACAGTTTGAAAAGCAGATGAGATATAATTGGGATCTCATTAAAATAGAGTATATTATAGTTTTTTTAATTAGAAACTCAAAATATATGGTATTAACATGAGTACGTTTTCCATTTGACTAAGTCAGTCACAAATTGATCGGTTTTTAGAAATGTCTAGACATAGCCTTTAAAGATTGGGACAAATTGTTCCCAGAATATTTCTTGACATTCTAGGAAGGATGTGAGGATAGGAAAGATGTTAATAGTACAGAAATCTCTTAAAGAGGACACTTTTAGAAAGCACTTGGATTAAATGGCCAGATAATTTATTGCAAGTGGGTGAGTATAAAAACAAACCAAACAAATGTTTGAGGTTGCGGAGTAGAGCTTGTTATTTTCTGAGGACTCACTGTGCGTTAGGCGATATGTCAAAAGTTGATAATGCAATGCTAAATAGGCAAAATTATTGGCTTGACAGAACTCATGGTTTAATGGAGGAGAAGACAGGTGAATTAGTCTGTTTTCATGCTGCTAATAAATATATACCAAAGACTGGGTAACTTATAAAGGAAAGAGGTTTAATGGACTCACAGTTAACACATGGCAAGGGAGGCCTCACAATCATGGTGGAAGGCAAATGAAGAGCAAAGTCACGTCTTACATGGTGGCAGGCAAGAGGGTATGTACAGGGGAACTCCCCTTTATAAAGCCATCAGATCTCATGAGACTTATTCACTATCACGAGAACAGCATGGGAAAAATCCACATGCACGATTCAATTACCTCCCACTGCATCCCTTCCATGACACATGGGGATTATTACATGAGATTTGGGTGGAGGCACAGAGCCAAACCTTATCAACTGGCAAGTAAGCAATTCTGTAGTTCAATTTGGTAAGTAATAAGGTAGAGACTACCCAGGGTCCTATAGGATCACAAAAAGGAGGGGCACCTAACAAGGCTAGGGGATGGCAAGGGAAGGCTTTTTGGAGAATGCATCCTGTGAAGTAAATGTTAAAGGAGAAATCTGTTATCTAGGTGTGGTATGCCAAGTTTTTGAGTAACAAAGGCCACCTCACCCCAATAGCCTTTGGTATACAAAAATCTATGTTTGCTAGGAAAAGCATAGGCACATTTGCATTGGGAGTAAGAAAACTCTTGGCAAAAATGGGATGGGTAGCCAAAAAACTAAACATAGAATGATGATATGATCTAGCAATTCTACTTCTTAGTATATACCTCAAAAAATTGAAAGCAATGACTCAAATAGCTATTTGTATACCCATGTTCATAGCAGCATTATTCACAATAGCCAAAAGTTGGAAAGAACACATATAGCCATTAGCGGATGAATGGACAAATAAAATATGTCATTATAGGGAGTTGTTTAATGGGTGCAGAGTTTCAGTTTGGAAAGAAAAAGAAGTTCTGGAGATGGATAGTGGTAATTGTAAAACAGTGTGACTACTTATGGCCACCGAATTATTAAAAAATAGTTAAAATGGTAAATTTAATGTTACATATTTGTTACCACAAAAAAGATATGGAGACTTCAATGTCTTTCTTTTTTGAGATACAATTTTATTAGGACATCTTTGACATTTTAGATAAGATGGTCTCAAGTGAGATCAGTGGGCAGAGAAAAACACCAAAGATTCTTTAAAGGGAAATTCATTCTAGGGGAATGTGGAACATGGACCAGCCACCCAGGTAGGTTCAGCATTTGAGCCTACATTTCCCCTTGAGAGGAGAGGCTGCTTAAAGCACAGTGTGTTGGGAGGTTAAAAACTGCTCCTGGACTTGCTCCCACGCACTGTAGTTATGCTTTTGGATTAATGGTCACATGAGAATGTGTGAGTATAAAAATGAAAAGTCCAGACCATGGATGTGGTATTGAAAACCATCTCTCATCTTAACTCTAAGGGAGAGACTTATTTTTTCTTACTTTCTCCAAAACATGGAGAATTACTGCAAGAGTGGCAGTAAAGCCATTGCAGTGATGAATGGGAAAAAAATTGATATGTAGAATGGCTTTCTTTCAACAATGTGTGTATGACAGCACATTTGCTTATTCTGTAAGGTGCTTGGAAGAACAAGGGTTGGTCTGGCAGAAAGCATTTTGTTGGTAGCAATGCTCATATTTTGGTGATAATAGTGGTAACAAGTCTCTTTGGAATTCCTGAGTCTTTAATTGTAGTCCTTGGCATGATGGCATGGTACAGCAATCCTTCCTAAAGCAAGTATCTTCTGGTGGCAGTGGAAGCATTCTCCAGTGTCAATGGGGCATACCAGATTTTCAGATTAAAAGGCCAGGTGGGAGTTACTAGAAATGAGAAGAGGGATTATCCCAGTAGAAATGACTCTGGGGTGGAGAGGAGATTTTGAAGGTGCCAAAATGGGTACTGAGAGTCATTTTGACTTTTAAAGTTAAAAGTGTTGTGGGATACAAGATAATAGATGCACACTTATTACAAAGCCTGTAAATATGCATATAAAATATACATCAAAATTTTATCAAATGGTAAAATTTGACAGTGATTGCATGACAGAGTTGGAGTTATGTACCATTTTATTTTCTCCATTTTTCAAATTTCTATAATACTGTTATATATAAAAAAGCATTTGATCCTAGGCATAGCTGTTACTAAGAGTTAGACGAGATAAAAAGGAATTATAAGCAGAAGTAATATTTATGAAGACATTTGCAAAAACATTCGATCCTCCTAACAATCTCACAACATCTACATTAATGTCCCTCTTGTGCTGATGAGAGAACAGATTCATCAAGGCTAATTCACTTTTTCTGCGGTTAAACATCTAGTGAGTTGGTAGGACAGGACTTCCAGCTCCAATATGTGAGACTCCAAGGACTGTGCTCTCATCACCATAGTGTTTGCCTTCCAGAAATAATATCTAGTAGAGGGACCCAATAATCAAATATGTCAACATTTTATTTTTTATCCAGCAATTTTGATAGTGTGTAGCCATAAACAAGGACAAGTTTGCCAGGAATCTGACAAATGTACCAAGGCCAATAACAAGGCTTCCAAATTCATTTTAATCAGGTGATACTCAACAAAATAAGCGAAGTCCAGTGACCCTTACTTTTCATACAGTCTATAGAAGACTCCTGGTCATTTGCAAGTAACCATTGACTATCTTATTATATGGAAGACCTGTTTCAAAAATATTCCAGATCTCAATGTATGACATATCAGTGTTATTCAATAAATATTATAATTAAATTGAAGGAAGACAAATCCCTGCTTACTTAGCACCATGTTTATACACAGCAGTATTTTTATTTTCATTTTAAAAAATTCTACATTTAATGAAAAAATACTGGTTCATTGGATTTGGATTGGATTCGATTGGATTGATTTTTCCTCCTTTAGCTGGTACTTCTTTCATTCTGTAAATACTGCCAAAATTGTGCATGTGTTGGTGGAGGCTGGCTAAGCAAATTGAATAATGAAGGGTACAGCCAGATAAAGTTTGCCTACACAGTTGAGGAGGGAAGTTTCCATATGCAGCTCATGTAACATTTCTAGGTACATTTTATTCAGGACAATAACTGTCTCTGAGGTTATCAGGATTTGGCTCTTCCTCTGGATGTTCATCATGGAAAAAAGAGTTTCTTCCCTAAAAATAGAGGACTAAGGTGGTAGCCATGTAGTTTAGGATTCCAGCCCAATATCACTTTTGATGAGAAACTGCTTCTACATAACACTACATAGACACTTTGGGAGAAATACAATGGTGCCCAGGGGCTCCAGCATTAACTGGTTATACCTGCTAAGCCTTTTATCCAAATCTTGCTCTCCATATCTGAGCACTGGTAGGAGGTTTCTTTACACAAGCCTCTGATTGCCTACTGTAAAGTCTGTTTTGAAGATTCAAATATCAAATAAATTGGAGTCTGTTCAACTGAAATGGCCAAATGTGGGTGCTGATTTCGGCCCTGATTAGTTTTACATCAGCCATTGTTCTGGAGTTTTCCTCAAAGCAGCCCCTTCTCTCAGGTGTACTAGAATGATAAAGGATTGTTTCCAGCATTTCCTCCTAAGAAAGATCTTATATAGGTGACAAATTGGGTTAATTTTTAAAAGCATTTTATTATGGAAAATTTAATCATATACTAAAGTAGAAAAAATACCATAACATGTACTCACTCACTCTCCTCCTCCATTCCTCCAGTGGATTATTTTAAAGCAAATCTTGAACATCAAACCATTTTATCCATAACTATTTCAATAGATACCTCTAAAAGATAAGGATTCCTTTTGTAAAACATAATAAAGAGACCATTATCACAACTAAAAATGTAATAACAATTCTTTTATATCACCAAATATTCAGGTAGTGTCCATATCTGGCCGAATTTGATACAGGTTTTCCTTGACCTCATTTGTCTTGCAGATCCCTTTGGGGATTTTCTCTGACAAAGTCTAGGTCCAATAATGTATAATGAGACAGATAATTTCATTCTCCAGAAGTTCTTCACGTGGATTCCCTGTGATAACACGCACACACACACACACGAACACAGAGCATTTTTATGGCAGTGAAAATACCCTGTATGATACTAAAATGGTGGATACGTGTTCTTATACATTTGTCCTAACTCATAGAATCTACAATACCAAGAGTAAGACTAATATAAACTATGGACTTTGAGTGATAATGTTGCATCACTGTAGGTTCATCAGTTGTATTAAATGTACAAATTTGTCAGGGAAGTTGATAACGGGAGAGGCTACGCATATAATAGAGCAGGAAGCATATGGGACATTTCTGTAACTTCTACTCAATTTTTCTGTGAACGTAAACTTCTCCCTAAAAAAAGCTAACGTCTTTGCAAAAAGCAGAGAGGAAATGCCTCCCAAGAGGTTTTGTGCCTTTGCTTCTACTGACAGCAAGAGCAAACTGCAGGACACAGAGCCTCCAGGATCTCTGTACATCTCTCGATACAGTTGGGCCAGTGACAGGGAGCATAGCCCTGCTGGTCATTCTGGAGTACGGCTTAGGCTTGCGGATTTAGCAAATTTAAAAAAAGACACCCAGTCAAGTTGGAATTTCAGATAAACAGCAAATAATATTTTAGTACACATTTGTCACAAATATTGCACAAGACATATGTATAATAAAAATGTCTAAAAATGTAATTATTTATTTGAAATTCTAATTTAACTGTACAACCTATGTTTTATCTCACAAACCTATGACAGGTGGCAGAGTGGGTTTAGCACAGGCAAAGAAATAACTAGAAGAACTCATGAGGCCATGGTTTCTTGCAGAGTTGAAAGTGCCTATAGGAAATGAAAGGCCTGGGAGAAATGAAGACAGGAGATTTAAAGGTGTTTTGGGGTGAGGAATTATAGCTCTTTTAATGCTTTCTGAAATAAGTAAAATTTAGAATTACTTTTTGAAGTGAGTTTGGTTGTTGAACATTTACTTTGAATATGACACCACTCTAAAACGGAATCAAAATTCTGAATGTGTGCGGTTTGTTTGTTTTTTGCCTCTCCAGAGTTGGGCTTCCTCAAAGTGGTTTGTGGGATAACCCTTTTTTTTCTTTGCAGAATCAAAGTAGAGGAAGAAAGTATTCCGATATTTGCTTAGATACTCAACATGCTCTCATTCTCTTCAGCTCCCACCACATTTCTAGTCTCTGTAAGAAACTTCTGTTTGAGTTTGTTATAAATTTTTATAGTATCCCAAATTTGTAAATATTCTTAGGCACCTCTTAATTTTTAACATACATGGAACCTCTATAAATGGAAGCAGGAAAAAAAAAGAAATGTCTCTAAACTCCCTTCATCTTCTTAAGGACCTGCTTACTGGTAATGAAGAAAGATTAAATGTGATTTCTAAGTCCTTGTGTGCGTAATATTCTATGGTTTGCAAAAGTCTTAGATGTAACTCTTCATTTGTAGAGTATTTGACAGTTCACAAAGCCTTTTCACATCGGGTTCAGTATCTAATTTGGTTTCCACAATAGTTCAATTGGGTAAGCATAGCACAGATGCACAGATTAAGAAGTTAAACCACTTGCTGTTGGTTATACAGCTAGTGGGTGGCAGATTCCAGACAACGATTCAGTTGTTTGCTTCCTAGTTGTTTTCCCCGTGATGCCACACTGACTCGGGTTACAGGATTTTTAAAAAGTACATTTAATACACACATTCTGACTCGCACTCCATTTGACATTTTGTTGTTGTTTAATTGCAGCTTATTTTTTTCCTGTTATTTTAAAGACTTCCTTTCCCATCAGAAAGCCATTTCCAAAAAAAAGAAATTCATAAAACTCAATACATCACAGGCACAGCATTTGCTAGCCTCTTTGCTATTTCTTTTGGAATATATTTTTCAGGCCTTTGCTTCATTATGAAATATCAAGCCAATTGCTGAATGCCATTCAAAATGAAAAGTTCTTTCTCACTCTGCTATCTTCAGAATAATTGGAAGCAAAAATGATGCAGGAATTGAAATAACTTATCTAAGGAATGCACCTGTTTTTCATATTTTAATGTCATTTATGACTCTTTAGAAAGAGTGAAAAGCAACTTCACCAATGCAATGGGTGTTCTTCCAGAGCAATTTTTTTTTTTTTTTTTTAGTTCAGGTAACAGGGTTTTAAGGCAATAAAAAATTAACATAAAATCCTCTTGAAGAAATGATGGAATTTTTCCAAAGAGCTAATTTTTGCCTTTAAAATTCTTTTTATATTTGCATTTCAATATGAATTCCCACTGGAGTGTTAAAAGCTAGTGAGTAAGGATTCCAGCTCATGGCAGTGAGTCTCTGGTTCACAGAGTTTCAGAACATCATCTGTCACTGCCAGGAAAGAGACATCTTAGAAGCTGGTACATAAACCTAGGTTTAGAGCTCTCTGAGTCATTATCCACTGACTTAAGGCTAACCTCTGGATAGAGAGGAAAAGGTTCACTTGTTATTTTGTTTCCAGTTGGGATAGGGATAGGATAGTTAAGAGCTGCCACAGAATTAATAAACATTAATGGTAGTTGATTGGGATGGATGAAATGTAGCAGAAGGACATTGCGGAGTGTGAGTTAATGATATTGAGTATGGTACTAACCAAACACTGGATTCCGATTTGTAACTTTATGTATTTATTTAATTGTCAGATAAAATTGTATATACAACATTATGTTTCAAAATATATGTACCTTGCAGGATGGATAAATCAAGTAATTAACATGTGCAATTTTTCACACAGTTGTCATTTTTATGGTGAGAACACTTAAAAATATACTCTGTTAGCATTTTCAAGAACACAATATATTTTTATTAACTATAGTCCCAATGTTGTACAATACATTGCTTGAACTTATTCCTGCTATCCAAGTGAAATTTCATAATCTTTGATCAACATCTTCCCATTAATATCATGATAGGGAGGGGCAAAGAGCACTCTTAAATCCCTGTCTTAGCTGTATAGTGAATAGTAGTCTTGACTGACTCTGGTGGTGGATAAATAGGCCTCAATTTCCTTGGAAAGGCATATTCTTTAAATGAATTCCTAGCTTAAAATTTGTCCTCAGTCCTATATTGAAACATCCATTTAGTAAACAGGATGTTATCAAGGAAGGAAACAAAACATAATATTCCTTTCCTTATTATTGAAAGGATAATAGTGATGCCCAATATGTCATGAATAGAGGAGGAAATTGGATTCTATTCTTAATTCATTGTTAATGACTAAGCTTCACAAAAATACTTAGTTTCCATTATACTTTCTTCTGTGTTAATTGTGGAAACAATGGGGTAAGTCTTCCTGTAGAAACCAATTATCTTACATGACACCTCTTAATTCTGTAATTCATTGATCCTCAGGAAGTTGAGAATTTGAAACCAGGTTTGGCAGTAAGCAGTTAATTAAAATTGTCTTAGTTTAATGGCAATGTTAATAACGTTGAAATCATCAAGAATAGAATATGGAAACATCACAACTAGATATAGATGTTTATCTGACTTTAAAGACTAAGTTCACTGGTAACTCTGTTTTATTGAGCACCTACTATGTGTCATGCACTGCTCTGACTGTCTCTATACATACAAGCTTGGAAGTGAGAGGAAGAATAAAAATTATCTGCTTGAATTCAGTTAAACAAACTATGTGAAAGAAGAGCAAGGAAGATGAATTCTGTCAAAAAGCAAGGTGATTTGCGAATCGCCAGTTGCATCCAATCAGTCAGCTGTTACTTGACTATTTTCAAAACAACTGAATGCAACCAACTGATTTAAAAATCACTAACACTCTGACTAAAGGTCAACTGATTGGTATAAATATAGCCTATTTTCCTTCTTTACATTGTTCTCTTACAGTTCAAACAGAACAAGAAAAAAAATATTTAGACCAGATTACATCATATAAAATTATGGTTAGTTTGCAAAATGGAAAAGTGGTTTTTAAGACTCACTGATTAAAAAGCAAACACTCCTAAGTGTAAAACAAAGTTTCTGATGACTTCTAGAAAAAGTATACAATACGTAAGTATTTTATCTTAATAAGGAATTTGTAATGAAGCTTAAATGCTTCATTACATTTGATTTTGCTTATTTTAAAATTATTATTTTTCTGTTGAAATACTGAAGTGCATGTGTAGAAATGAGAATATTTCCCCAAGTAACCTAACAATTACAGATTTAGGTCCTACTTTTGAGCTTAACACTCTGCTAGCCACTGTATACTGGAGAGTTTTCCTTTGCTTTCTTTTCTCTTTTCTTTTCTTCTTTCTTCTTCTTCTTTTTTTTTTTTTTTTTTGACAGAATCTCACTCTGTCACCCAGGCTGGATTACAGTGGTGTGATCTTGGCTCACTGCAACCTCCGCCTCCCAGGTTGAAGCGATTCTCCTGCCTCAGCCTCCCAAGTAGCTGGGACTACAGTCATGCGCCACCATGTCCAGTTAATTTTTTTTTTTTTTTGTATTTTTAGTAGAGATGGGGTTTTGCCATGTTGGCCAGGCTGGTCTCGAACTCCTGACCTCAAGTGATCCGCCTGTCTCGGCCTCCCAAAGTGCTGGAATTACAGGTATGAGCCACTGCGCTAGACCAAAGTTAATTTTCTTTATTGGTACTTTGCAATGACCAGTTAAATGAAGTATCTAGGCTTATATTTATTATAATGTTTTTCCGATAATGAAGAGAGAGAGAGAAAGAGAGAGAGAGAGAAGGAGAGAATGATCACCATTTCATTTAATAGGGAAAAGATAGCTAATTAAACTTGAAAGTAGTTTTCTTTTAACGGTTTTTAGTTCCTTTTTGAGAATGAAGGATTAAGTGTCCACAGGTAATTATCCTAACAGATATCTGTCATATAGCTTACTGGGAAGAGCTCATTGGAGTGAATCCTGGAGTTGAGTGTCAAAGAGGACCTAGGATCCATCCATACTAGAAAAGAGTACAGAACATTAGTTTGTCAAAGGCATTTAAAACTTGTCTTCTTTAATTCATTTCACAGTTAGGAAAATTGAGGTCCAAGGAGAAAATAAAATGTGTATGATATCATCCAGTAAGTTAGTTAATTAGTTAGGAGAGTCGGGCTAAAATCCGAGTCTCTAATCCCTAGTTCAGTATTTTTTCACCCAACATATGGTACCCATGGTGGTAAAATCCAGGTATGTCTGACCAGTGTGCTGAACTCTTCTGGCTTTTTGAGGAAATGAGATCATGCATCTTTGAATTATCACCTCTGTAAATTATTTGCTCTTTAAGAACTCTCATATGTTAATTAGTCTAATGTAGCCATGCCACAATATATACATATTTCATGAAGTCATGTTGCACACCATAAACATGTATAGTTTTTACTTGTGAATTAAAAAAGAACTCCTCAAATAGTACACATTTTTACATTTAGAATGACTGGCTTGCTGTGTGCTAGGTCAGAAGTTATTGGAATGAAAAAATGCTAGAAAATGATGAAAAAGGAACCATCTCAATCTTTGAAAGAGAAACCTCTTGTATTCCTTTGATTTATGGCATAAATTCCTTTAGAATTTATCAACAGGAGGAAGTAAACACTTGGGAAATCTTCTACTCTCAGTCTCTTCTGTCATAGTTGTTCACAAGGAAAATCCGATCCTAAATTTTTAGACATTCCTCCAGATTACCCAAGAACCAGTAACACTCTTTATGCTCTTCTAGATGTCAGGAGAACAAGTCTTTCAACTTTCCAACTAAAGTTTTTCAGCAATAGAGAAGAAATAAAATAACTCACTCTGATGAGCATCAACTAAGTGCTCTTTCTGTAGGTAATTGGCTTCCTGGAAGGTGAATCAGCACTCATTTAGCAATCCAAGGCTAAGTGGGTCTTGGCCAAGGGAAAATAAAATGTATCACATTTAGTGCTAAATTAAAGACAGGATTCACAAGCTGAGAACCCACATGAATCAGAAACATGAATCACAAAGCCTGTTCAGTTTATGGCAAATTGGCCCTGAAGACAAATAAATAATCAATCATTAATTTTCACACTCTGCTTTTGATAGACTTTTTTCATTTGAAGGCAATTGCTATTATAATAACAATAATGGCACCTTATAATTTTACTTTGCAAAGTGCTTTTCTGCCTGCTCCTCATAATTCTAATTTCTCTAAGTTCAGAGGGGAAAAATATGACTTTTTATAACTGATGCAAAATGACAATTCAAAGGAAATTCAAAGAGATACTAAAGCTCCAATTATATAGTGCCTAGCATAGAGTGATTATGTTTGAACCAGTATGGATAACATTTATCAGAAGCCAGAATTTTTTATGGGTTGTTTGGTGTGGTGCTGGCTCAGAAAAGGTGATGCTTTAATCCTGTGAATTATGTTATAGCAGGTTAAAAGTAACTTGTGTGCCTGTCAGTGATATATCAGTTCAACAGCAAGCAGGAACTGACTATCTTCTGGTTGGTTGTCACATATGCTAAACTCTGAAAATTCAAAGTCGAGTAAGACATTGGCCATGCCTTAGAGAGAGGAAGGACATTCTTTGTAGAAGGAATAGCAGATGCAGAGGTCCAGAGATACAAACAATCATGGTTTGTCTGGGGAAATACAAGAGTTTGTTATGAGCAGATCATCGAGTAAAAGGGGGGTGAAGGGAGTGAGGAAGTAACAGAAGATGAGGATAGGACCACACGATAGAGAGGCTTATGGGCTATGCTAAGGCACACAGATCTGAAGCCTAAAGAAGAATGAGCATCACTAAGGGATGTTAATATAGATGGTGACATGAATTGATTTCTTTTGCAGAAAGATCACTTGAGTGACTTATGGTTGATGGATTAGAGTTAACCCAATATTGGAGGTTATGGTAGTAATCCACTCAAGAGATGAAGACTTGGGCTTTGACAATAGAATTGGATATGAAAAGGAAAGGATAGTTTTGATGACCTTGACAGGTAAAATCAGAAAATATTGATGATTGAATGTGAGGGCTGAGGGAAAAGGAGATGTCAGAGTACCAAGGTAATCCAGTGGGTGATACTATATCCAAATATCGGCTCTTCATCTTACCCAAACTTGTTTCTACCTCAGTCTGCCCTGTCTCAGTAAATGACAATTCTATCTTTTCAGTTACTCAGCCCCAAAACATGAACTCATCCTTGACTTTTCTCATTCTCTCATGTTCCACAGCCCATCTGACAATAAATTTGGTTCCACCTTCAAAACATATACAGAATATGACCATTTCTCACCAACTGCACTGCTGCTACCGTTTCAAGCCATCATCATCTCTCATCTGGACTTTTACAACAGCCCTCTGTCTAGTTTCCTTGTACTCATTCTCACCTCAGAGCATATTCTCCGATACATTATCCAGACTGATTTATTTAAATATAAGTCAATCTAATCAGAGCATTATTTCTAATTACCAGGTTACAAAAATACATGAAGAAACACAACAAATGACACAAGGAAATAATCAGACAAAGCTTTCCAGGATAACTGGTTCAGGCTCTTCAATAAGTTAATGCCATAGGGAGAAAAAATGCGAGTTGGAGTACTGTTCTACATTAAAAGGTATGTGATAAGCAAAGCAATCAAGTCGATACATGGTCCTTGATTTGATTCTGGTTTAAACAAAACCACTATAAAAGAAATTATGGGGATGATTAGGGAAATATAAATATCAAGTAGGAATTAGAGTTGTTAGTTTTGGTAGCTATGATAATTATGCAGAAAAATATTTTACTTATAAGAGATATATACAGAAGTATTTTGGGATTAAATATCACGATATCTACACTTTAAAATACTTCAACAAAATATACGTGAAGAAATACACTATGGCATAACGTTAACGTGTTACTTCTAGCATAATGGATGTTTATTATGCTATTATTTAAACTTTTCTTTATATTTTAAATTTTTTTATGTCAATAAAAGTAGACCATATCTGGATACTCCTCTTCTCAAAATTCCTCCAGTGGCTTCCCATACCACTAAGAATACAATTCAATCCTTTTACAATGATCTGAACCTCTCTATCTCTTTGATTTCATCTTCTACCACTCTCTCCCTCATTCACCGTTCCAAGAAGACAGCTATCCTTGCCAAATACATCCCTTCCTCTGGGCCTTTGTGCCTGTTTTTCTAGCTGCCTGGATTATTTTTGTCTCGGATATCCACGTAACTCATAGTTTCACGTTATTCAGATTTCTATTTCCCTCATTAGTGAAGCCTTTCTGGACCATCCTTTACAAAATATCACCCCTTCCATCCACTCTTTCTGTGCCCTTACCTTACTTTATTTTCCTTCTTAACATTTATCACTACCTGATATATAATATTTGTATTTTCATTGTCTGCCTCTCCCCACCCCACACAAGCAGAAACTTGAATGTAAGCTAAATATTAGCAAAAGTTTGCCTGTTTTTTTATTGCTTTCTGCCATACATGGGTAGTGATGAAATAAATCTTTTTTGAATGAAATTAGTAAGTAAAGGTGTTTTGGTGGAAAGGCTAAGTTAAGTTTAGGGCATGCTCAGTTTGAGAACCTGTAGCATATTTAAGTGGAAATGTCTTGTTCTCTATTTAGCTTGGAGAAGTTGTGGTTTTAGATTTTGTGATGAGAAGATAAATAATTTTGCATTGGTAGTATCTACTTATTTTCATTGAAGAAGGGAGTAATGCCATCAACTAAAAATGGAACAAAGATTAAAATTAAAATCATGGAAGCTCATGTCTTCTCATTCTATGTACTTTCTTAAGTGATAAAAAGTGAAGAAAGACAGAAAGTCCCCTGAGAAAAAGAATATTTAAGGGGCAAAAAGACCAAGAGGAGGACATTTAAAAAACAAGAAAATGTGATTAGAAAAAAGGGAAGACAACCAGGATAATCTAGGTATTATGCAAACTGAGAAATATAATAATTTTTAATAGGATATCAGATACCAAATGCCCTAGCATTGGCCATGTAAAATAAAGACATATGAAGACACTTGTTGTCATATGAAGGCAAATGGGAGAAAGGTGAATTGGGGTGTTGGATCCTTAATTTCAGGAAAGAATAAGAGATACAGAAGTAAATATTCAATTTAGGATACTTTTTAAAAGAAATTTTCCTGAGAAGGAAAGAAAAAAGTAACTTAGGCAGAGGGGCTGTATACAGTGCTAAAGGAGTGACTTTTCTTTAGAATTAGAAGACATTTGAACATATTTTAATGCTGAGGGTGATAACATGATAGAGAGAAATAAATTGAAAATCAAATACTAAGAGAAAATATATGAAGAAACAAGCTTTAGGAAGAAACAACAGAGATGGCCCAAGTGAAGGGCTCAATAGGAAGAAAGACATGATTGTCTATACAATGGGAAAGAAGAATGGATGGGTACAGAGAAAAATCTGTAGGTAGAATACTGGTAAGACAAAGGATTTCATCCTAATTGATTCAATATTAATGTTATAGGAGTTTTTGAAAGTGAGGGAATTTGGAATTAGGTAGATAACTTGAGCAGAGAAGCCAAGATTTGGAACAGTTATTGTGAGAAATAGGGATGAACTAAAAATAAGTGAAGGTATTGATAAGCGCTATGAAGGATCCAACTGAAGTAAGAAATCATAGATTTGTAAAATGATTTGTACAAGGTTTTCTTTAGCAGTGCTCAGCTTTCTGGTTATAAAATTGAGGAGGGCAGACTGTATACTGAGAATTTGTGAGGCAGGTGCTGCAGCAGGGGCAGTATTGCATTGTGGTTAATTGTAAAGGTTTTAGTCACAGACCGGGCTTTGAGTTCTGGCCCTGCTAAGTGTATGAGCTCGGGCAATTTACATATCCTCCCAAACACTTAAGTTCCTCAACCTTAAAATAGGGGTAATAATAGTAACTATTTCATGGGGTTAGAAAAATTAGATGAATCACTGCAAATTGCCTGATACTTAGTATGCCTTCAGTAAATGTTACCTAAACACAGAAGAAAAATAAAACAGGGATAGGAGGAAGTTGAAAGAGCTGGTGAGACAGAAATCCACGTTATTGACCATGGGCTCCAGGCAGCATTGGGAACAAAATGAGACTTTGGTGGGTGTGGGGGTGTGTAAATTAGAGGCAAATGAAGGAGTCATGGATATGGAGTCTTTTATTGAGGCTGAAGAACAGTTGTAAAGGGAGTGAGAGAACTATACAATAGATAACTCTTTGAGACTGGTATTGACATTTCCAATTTTTTAAAATTAAATATTTATTAGTAGTTACAAAGTCTAGGGTAAGGTCCTACAGGCAATTGCCTGAAGTAAAAAGAAGTTGAAAGGCACTAACATAAGAAGATGCAAAAGTTTTTTTTGTTTGTTTGTTTTCCTTTTTTGAGACAGGGTCTCACTTTGCTGCCCAGGCTGGAGTGCAGTGGCAAGATCATGGCTCACTGCAGTCTCAACCTCCCGGGCTCAGGTGATCCTCCCATCTCAGCTTCCCGAGTAGCTAGGACTACAGGTGCATGCCACCACGGCCAGCTAATTTTTGTATTTTTTGTAGAGATGAGGTTTCACCATGTTTGCCCAGGCTGATCTCAAACTCCGGAGCTCAAGCGATCTGCCCGCCTTGGCTTCCCAAAATGCTGGGAATACAGGCACAAGCTACCACACTTTTCCCAAATAAAGTCACATTCACGGGTTCCAGGGGTTGAGACATGGACATATATTTTTGGGGGCCAACATTCAACCCACAACAGGCAGTGATTTGACAGTTAAAACATTGATGGCTAAATGTCTAACTACATTTCATCTCTCAGATCCTATAGACACATGTTACAGTTAGTAGAGTTCAAACATAACGTTAATATCTGTTGATGATGCAAGAACTTAACTTCTGGCCAGGATGCAGAAGTTTGAGGTTGGGTGTTCAAATTGCCCAAAACTGATGGGAGAATAAAAGTGGAGAGATGCTAAAGCCTTCAATGGCTACAGACTGTGTATTAATTTCCAGTGACTGGTGTAACAAATTGCCACAAATTGGAAGCTTAAAATAAAAGAAATTTTATCTATCTTGGATCAGAGTTCAGAAGTCTGTAATCAAGGTTTCTCCAGGGCTGCGCTTCCAATGAAGACCCTAGGAGAAAACACTTTCTTGCCTCTTTAAGCTTTTGGTGGCTCCAGGTATTCTTTTCCTTGTGACTGCTAAACTCCAATCTCTGCCTCTATGTTCACATGGCCTTTTTCTTCTTTTCCCTGTGTGTCTCCTTTGTGTGTTTCAAATAAAGGCATTGTCATTGGATTTAGAGTCCATGTGGATAATCAAGGATGATCTCATACGGAGATTCTTAATTACATCTGTACAGACACTTTTCCCAAATAAAGTCACATTCACGGGTTCCAGGGGTTGAGACATGGACATATATTTTTGGGGGCCAACATTCAACCCACAACAGGCAGTGATTTGACAGTTAAAACATTGATGGCTAAATGTCTAACTACATTTCATCTCTCAGATCCTATAGACACATGTTACAGTTAGTAGAGTTCAAACATAACGTTAATATCTGTTGATGATGCAAGAACTTAACTTTAGCAAATACTTTCTAGCTTTCATTACTGGGGACAACATACTTAAGAATAGTGGTAATATTAGACTGCCTAGTCATGGTAGGTAATTAATAAAAAATCTAGTACATATATCTGTGGCAATGCTAATTGATTCCTGGGTGCAATGGATCCAGTTATCTTGTCTAAGAGTACTTAAAATATTTTCACATTATTTTGTTATTTGTCAGCTAAATAATGAAGGGATGAACAAATGTGGCCTGTGAGAATGCTGTGGTCAAGGGTAGGGGGTAGGTCAACTGGGGAGTAAAGGGAGCAAGAAAAGAGAGGCTGAGGTTGGGGCTACTATCTCAGTCCAACTTCAGTCCCCTGGAACCAAGGTGTACACTCTCCTTATTTGGTACTGAAGTTGGAATTTGATAGGTGGATTAAACTGGACTTTAGGGTATATTGCCCCATTTGTGGAAGGTCACCAGAGTTTGTTCTATCACCTTGAGTTCTATTTTTCTGGAGTGATGAATAATCATTTAATGAAGGAATGATCCAGTTCATGTTACCTAAATTCTCACTAGACTTGATGAATCAGACATCATGAACGAATGATTCAGCTCATGTTACCTAAATTCTCACTAGACTTGTTGATGAATCAGACATTGAATCTATTAATTTAAAATGATAAGTAAAAGCTACAAGGAAATCTGAAATGTCCCTTCTGTTCAATAAGCCCAATCTCCTCCCAGAAGGGAGATCACAAGATCTAAATGTGGCTTGATGAGAATGGTGGCCTGGTTGAGGGAGGGCATGGAAAGGTCATAAACTCTGTTAACGAAGGAATGTCCCATCCACTCTATGTGCACCAAACCAAGTATTAAGTCGTCAAGCCACTATCTCTCTGGACATATCTGAAGAAGCTGGCAAGGGCCAATTCCAATTCTCCTTTTTCTGGACTCTGACATGACTGCCCTTCAATTTGTCTTGTCATTACATTACCCTTCCTACTTTAATAGATTTGCAGAACCTTTTATAACTTCCAAGTTGATAACTTATTTTATGCTGATTGCATTTAAGGTTGGCTGCTTCCTAGGAAGACACTTTATTCTTGTTAGTAATATGTCACCCTGCTGGATGGGTAACTGTAGGGAAGGCTTCCAGTAGCCAGCTGCTTTCATTCACAGGCAATTTTTAATCCAAAAAGATCCCATTTAAAATGCTTTTCTTTTTCATCCTTTTTATTCTTTCATGTCCACCTTGGTTCCACATCATCTTAGCTACTTTCATCCTTCTGGAGAATATTCATAAACCAAATATATACAACTAGGATGTCTACTGCACATGATATGCAATTTTCCATAGAGGTAATTGTTTACACTTTTCTTTCATATGCAAAAACATAAAACATACAAGTTATAACATGTAAAATATAGAAGTTCAAATGTTCCAGTGAATCTTTACTAGACAACTTTCATGGAGACAATCTTTTTGTGGATTGCATAGCAATTAACACCAAATCATCATATTAGAGATGGCCTTATAAAATTCCTTCATTCTGTGCTGAATAGAACAAATCAATAAATGTTATGCTTCTTTTCCAAGATTTTCCAGTGAGGTCAGTTGTAATTCAGGATAAACAAGAGAACATCTAGGGCAGTTAACTAGGGGGGGAGCTTGTAACTTTCACATCTCAAATCAGGGCTATTTAAATTTATCTGGAAATTTAATGCTTGATCAATGTTTGCTAGTGAACATATAGTTATTAGAAAAAGAATCATCCTATCAGTTATGTTGAATGTGGCAATTCTTAACACATTCAATCTTACTTTTGAAGAAATCTTAAAGAAAGCAGGTGAAAGGGGAAGATGGGCTAACATATGCATTATATATCTTCTTGCTGCATTGGAAACGTGCACACGTCTAATTATGTGCAAACAATAAATAAAGATCATCTGCGCAGGCTACATGGACTTTTGCACAGATCCTATATTTAGGAAGAAAGAGTAAAGGTAACCACTTTGCTCCAGGTGTATAGAAAGGAGCTTTGTGAAGATAAATTTTAATAGAACCATTCATTAAGGCTGTGCTTGCTAAGTGCCACAATAGATGATTTCACTAAACTATATAAATCAAGACAGCATTTCACTTTTTTTTTAAGTGAATGGAAGAAAAGGCTGGCTTTTTAATATGATTATTTTCATTTTGTATACTCTAGTTTATATTATTAACCAACACTGAAGCCTACTTGCTACCAGCAGAGGGAGCGCAAAGACAAGTTGTCAAGCTGCAGCAGCATGCAGGAGAATGAAGGCTTTTTTGGGGGGTGTAGGGTAGAGGCTGGAGGTATGAGATTACTCAAGAATGTACATCACTCAAGAAAAAGATAGCCACAAAAATAATTGCCAAAAAGTGCATAGATTACATAAATGAAGCCAAGTTTGGGAATCTATTGAAAGGGTCATTTTTCCACACCCACATTTAGCCCTCCTACTTCATCTACTGATTAAAACGAATTTAACAAGTTAATCATTACATCCTTTTCTTAACAAATGGAAGGAGTACCTAAGCAATTTTGGAAACTTTCTAGTTTATTCTTCTAACCATTGCTGAAAACAATCTTAAAATATCTGCACTTAGAGGGTCCAATTAATTATTTTTAAATTAGTTTAAAGTTGATTTTATCACACAGTGATTTGCCATCCATCTTTTAATGGTCATGTTTAATAATCCTCTTTATTTTAAGAGGCTTTTTTCCCTGCATATACATTTGCACGAGTTTAATTCAAACAAACTCTGTGACAATATGTACACAGAGATCTAATTTGAGCCATTGTTTTGTGAACAGTTTGATGTCTACTATAATCTGAATGTTTGTGCCTCCCAAAATTCATATGGTGATACTTAATCCCCAAGGCAGTAGTATTAGGATATTTAACCTTTGGAAGGTAATTAGGTCATCAATGCAGAGCCCTCCTGAATTGGATTAGTGCCTTTATAAAAGAGGCCTGAAGGAGGCTGTTTGCTTTTCTGCCATGTGAGGACGCATGGAAGGTACCATCTATGAGGAATGAGTCCTCACCAGATATCAAATCTCCCGAAGCCTTGATGTTGGACTTTCCAGCCTCCAGAACTGTGAGCAATATATTTTTGTTTATAAATGACCCAGTCCAAAGCATTTCGTTATAGCAGCCCCAAAGGACTAAGACAGTGTCCCACCTACATTCATGTATCAATTTATCCAACATATACTTATTGAAGACCTATGATATACTGGATACAATGATAAGATCAATGGACCCACTAGGGAATATGACAAAGAAACTTACAGTCTACTGGGTTAACAGGCGATAACCGATCAAACAAATAATATAATGTCAGAGAAATGCCATGAAGAAATTATGAGGATAATGTGAAAGAGTGACTGGATGGGAGAAGGGGCATATCTCTCAGAGATGATAATATTAACCCAGAGATCTAAATAAGGAGAAGGCCATACAAGGATCTAGCTGTGTCTGGCAAACTTTTTTCTTAAAGGGCTTGTGAGTCCTAAGATATTTGTCTCAACTTCTCAACTCTGCCACAAAAACAGCCGCAGTCAGTAGTAAATGAATGAGCACAGCTATGTTACAATAAAACTTTATTTACAAAAATAGATTGATGAAAGGGGAAACATCTTTCAGGCAAAGGGAACAGAAATATTAAAAGTCCTAAATCAGGAATAAGCTTGGCATTTTATAGGAACAAAAAGTCTAGTATGACTGGAGAATAATAAGGAAAGAATGAGACCAGCGTATGTCAGAGAGATAAATACTGGGCAGGTCAGCTTGTAGTTTGTGGTAAGTTGTTTGAACTTTATTCTAAGTATGAAAGGATACTTTTGGAGAATATTAAGCAGGTGATTATTAACATAATTATTAACATAATCTGATGTGCATTTTAAAAGATGAACTCTGTTGTGTGGAAAGTAGATTTTAGGGAGGAAGAGTAGAAGTCAAAGAATAGTTACTAGTTGGTTCTAATGAGAGGTGATGGCAGATTTGATTAGGATAATAATCAAAGTAGAGATAGGAATGGAGATAGCAGTGGATGGATTCAGTGTGTGTGTTGGAGGTATAATCAATAGGAATCACTGATGCACAAGGAAGATAAAGAGGGAAATCCAGAGTTTTCAACTTGAGCCTCTAGGTAAATGGTGATACCATTTACTGAGGTGGGAGAGATTAAAAGAGAAGCAGTATTTGGGGGCAAGACAGAAACCATAAGTACTCTTTTGGACATAAGAAACTTACAGTTGCCTATTAGATATTCAAAGAGGCAACTGGAGATATGAGACTGGAGCATGAAGCATATGGCAAGTCTAACAATATAACTTTAGGGGTCATTTATTAACAGAAAGTATCAAGTCTAAACATATAACTTTTCAAGTCATTAGTTAATAGATAATATCAATACCATTTAGTTAAATGTGCTCACCTAGGGACAGTGTATTGGACAGAAGAGATAAATGAAGATTGGTACCAAGCCTTGAGGTCCTCCATATTTAGAGTTTGAACAGAGAAGAAGCATCAAAGGAAACTGCTTTCCTCATCGGCCATGAGGAAGAGTAGGAGAGTGTATCCTTCCTAGAATTAAATGGAGAAGTGTCCCAAGATGAGAGAGTAGCCAATAATCAATAGCAGTCAGTCAGTTCCAGCTACCGGCCAAGAAGGTAGCAAGCAGGGAAGCTGAAACCAGAGGACAAAACCTGTTGCTGTTCCTCTTAAGTGGGAAAAATGTATAGTGTATCTAAGCACCAAATGATCACTCCACTTTAAAAAAATGTATTAGTTTGAACACTTTGGAAGCTGTGTTGTACACTCAACCTATGATGATCTATTCTAAATATCCTAATTGTTTTCACATTTTTACCACAATGACAAGGAGCAGTTCTTTAATTAGAGTATTCCCAGTGCTGTTTACTTCTGTTCTGGCCCCATCTTACCCAGTTTGCTTCTCAGTTTTCCAGTACCAATTCTAACGTAAAATGAAATAACACAAACCGTGATTTCCAAAGCTAAGTGCTGGACTATTTGATGCTTCAATTTCTTGAATAAATGAAAAAAGGGAATAGGAGATCCACAGCAGGCATCAGAGAGATCCTTGGCAAGAAAGGAACATTATTCTGGGTGTATGAAGAGACACAAAAAAATAAGACAGACCTGTTATTTTCCTGGCATCAGGGAAGATGCTCTTGGCAATGGTGAAGAGCCATGCTTGTCTCTGAGAATACCAGTCTCAGTGTCTTTACTGTTACTATGAGGTTCTGCTAATTGACACCTGCCTTTGCCTCCATATTAAATGGAATCACTGTGTCTGAGAAAAGAAAGCTGTCTAGTGCTCAAAAGAAATAATAAACTAGATGAAACAGAGAAATAGACAGTTGTTTGCAAAAGTTATGTTTATGAGGGGAAAAATCTAACAATGATTTAAGTATTTTGGACTTTTCTATTCACATAAGATTGCTTTGAACATTCATGTATAAGTTTTTTTGTGAACATACGCTTGTGGTTCTGTTGGATATAATAGTAAGAGTGGAATTGCTGAGTCATATGGTAGCCTTATGTTTAACTGTTTGAGGAACTGCCAAACTGTTTTCCACAGGGGCTGTAACATTGGACATTCCTGTCATCAATGTATGGGGATCCCAATTTCTCCACGTTCTAATCAACACTTCTTATTTTTCCATTTTTGATAATGATGATGATGAATCCCATCCTAATGAGTGTGAAATGGTCAGAGGAGCATCTGCCCTAGTGACAGTCCAGAGAACCTTTTGATTTTATGGTTTTCATTTATATTTCCTTTTGACTACTGATGTTGAGCATCTCTTCATGTGCTTATTGACTATTTGTATATCTTCTTAAAAATCTCTATTCAAATTTTTTGTACATTTTAATAGGGTTGTTTATATTTTTCTTGTTGAGTTGTATGAGTTCTTTATGTATTCTGGATACTAGACCCTTGTTAGGTATATATTTTGCAAATATTTTCTCCCTTTTTTTTTTTTTTTTTTTGAGATGGAGTTTCGCTCTTGTTGCCCAGGCTGGAGTGCAATGGTGCGATCTCGGCTCACCACAACTTCCGCCTCCCGGGTTCAAGCAATTCTCTTGCCTCAGCCTCCCGAGTAGCTAGGATTACAAGCATGCATCACCATGCCCAGCTAATTTTGTATTTTTAGTAGAGATGGTGTTTCTCCATGTTGGTCAGGCTGGTCTCAAACTCCCGACCTCAGGTGATCTGCCTGCCTCAGCCTCCCAAAGTGCTAGGATTACAGGTGTGAGCCACCGTATCTGGCCTGTTTTCTCCCATTTTGTAGGTTGCATTTTTACTTTCTTAATAGTGTCCTTTTGAAGTGCAAGTTTTGAAAAATTTGAGAAAGTCCATTTTACCTATTTTTTCTTTTGTTACTTGCCCTTTTGTTGTCATATCTAAGAAACTGTTGCCAAATTTTAGGTCAAAAGATTTACTAATATGTTTTCTTCTAAAAGATTTATAGTTTCAGCTCTTACATTTGAGTCTTTGATATATTTTGAGTTAATTTTATATATGGTGTAAGGCAGGTGTCCAAATTCATTCTTTTGCATATGGATATTCAGTTGTCCCAGAGCCGTTTGTTGAAAAGACTATTATTTCCCTCACTAAGTGGTCTCCAGACCCCGGTCATAATCAATTGACTGTAGATGAATGGGTTTATTTCTGGACTTTGAATTCTACTCCATTGATCTATATGCCAGTGCCACAGTATTTTGATCATTACAATGAGCTGTAGCTCTAGCTTTGTAGTAAGTCTTGAAATCAGGAAATGTGAATCTTCTGACTTTATCCTTCTTGTTCAGAATTGTTTTGCTTATTCAGTGTCCCTTGAATTTCCCCAGGAATTTTAGAATCAGTTTGTCCATTTTACATTCCCACCAACAGTGTGCAAGGGGTTCAATTTCTTCATCTCCTAATCAACTGTTGTTGTCTATTTCTTTGATAATAGCCATTCTGACGGGAGTAAGGTGATAGCTCATTGTGGTTTTGAATTGCATTTCCCTTATGATTATTGATGCTGAGAATTTTCTTATATACCTGTTACCCATTTGTATGGGCTATGAAACATTTTGGAAAAATGAAGGTAAACAACTGTTTTTGAACATCTAGAGTTTAAGGCTTTAACAAAATCAGAAAATACTAGGAAAATAAGTCACTAGTACATCTTTTATTCCTTAGCCTATTTTTAAATCAGGTTATTAGGTTTTTTAACTATTGAGTTGTATGAGTTCTTTATATATTTTGAAGATTGACACCTTATTAGATATATGACATACAAATATTTTATTCCATTCCATAGGATGCCTTTTCACCATGTTGATTGTTTTCTTTGCTGTGCAGAAGCTTTTTAGTTTGATGTAGTCCCATTTGTTTATTTTGTTGCCAGTTGTTTTTGCTGTCACATCCAAGAAATTATAGTCAAGACTAATGTCATAAAGCTTTTCCTTGAGTTTTCTTCTAGTTTTATAATTTCAGGTCTTAATATTTAAGTAGTTAATCCATTTTGAATTGATTTTTGTGTATGGTATGAAATAAGGGTTCATTCTTATTTTTTTTTTTTTTGGCATGTGGATATCCCATTTTTCCAACAACATTTGTTGAAGAGACTATCATTTCCCCATTGTGTATTCTTGACACCCTTGTCAAAGATCAGTTGACCATATATACATGGATTTATTTCTGGCCTCTCTATTGCGTTCTATTGGTCTATACATCTGTCATCTGTCTTTCTTTTTCTTTCTTTCTTTCTTCTTTTTTTTTTTTTTATTTTTGAGATAGGGTCTCACTCTGTCATCCAGACTGGTTGCAGTGGCATGATCATAGCTCACTGCAGCCTGGACCTCCAGGTATAAGTGATCCTCCCACATCAGCCTCCCAATTAGTACTATCATGCCCAGCTAATTTTTGTATTTTTGTAGAGACTGTGTTTTGCCATGTTGGCCAGGCTGGTCTCAAAATCCTGGGCTCAAGTGATCTGTCCACCTTGGCCTCTCAAAGGGCTGGGATTACAGGTGTGAGCCACAGTGTCCAGCCTATATATATGTCTTTATTCCAGTACTGTACTGGTTTGATTAATGTAGCTTTGAAATTTATTTTGAAATCAGGAAGTATGATGCTTCTAGCTTTGTTCCTTCTCAAATTTGTTTAACTATTCATAGTCATTTATGATTCAATATGAATTGTGGAATTGTTTCTTCAATTTCTGTGAAAAATTTATTTGAGATGTATTAGGGATTGTATTGAATCTGTAGATTGCTTTGGGTAGTATGGACATTTTAACAATATTAAGTTTTCCAATTCATGAACATAAGATGACTTTCTGACTGGAGGTTCCAACATGGCCAAATAGGAACAGTTCCAGTCTACAGCTCCCAGCGTGAGCGACGCAGAATTGGGTGATTTTTGCATTTCCAACTGAGGTACTGGGTTCATCTCACTGGGGCTTGTCGGACAGTGGGTGCAGCCCACAGAGCATGAGCTGAAGCAGGGTGGGGCATCACTTCACCCGGGAAGTGCAAGGGGTAGGGGAATTCCCTTTCCTAGCAAAGGGAAGCCATGACAGATGGTACCTGGAAAATCGGGAAACTCCCACCCTAATACTGCGCTTTTACAACAGTCTTAGTGAACGGCATACCAGGAGATTATATTGTGCGCCTGGTTTGGAGGGTCCAACGCCCACAGAGCCTCACTCACTGCTAGCACAGCAGTCTGAGATCGAACTGCAAGGCTGCAATGAGGCTGGGGGAGGGGCATCTGCCATTGCTGAGGCTTGAGGAGGTAAACAAAGTGGCCTGGAAGCTTCAACTAGGTGGAGTCCAAAGCAGCTCAAGGAGGCCTGCCTGCCTCTGTAGACTCCACCTCTGGGGGCAGGGCATAGCTGAACAAAAGGCAGCAGAATCTGCAGACTTAAACATCCCTGACAGCTTTGAGGAGAGTAGTGGTTCTCCCAGCACGGAGTTTGAGATCTGAGAACGGACAGACTGCCTCCTCAAGTGGGTCCCTGACCCCTGAGTAGCCTAACTGGGAGGTACCCTCCCAGTAGGGGCCGACTGACACCTCATATGGCTGGGTGCCCCTCTGAGAGGAAGCTTCTGGAGGAGTGATCAGGCAGCAACATTTGCCGTTCTGCAATATTTGTTTTTCGGCAGCCTCTGCTGGTGATACCCAGGCAAACAGGGTCTGGAGTGGACCTCTAGCAAACTCCAACAGACCTGCAGCTGGTCCTGACTGTTAGAAGGGAAATTAATAAACAGAAAGGACATCCACACAAAACCCCATCTGTACGTCACCATCATCAAAGACCAAAGGTAGATAAAACCACAAAGATGGGGAGAAACCAAAGCAGAAAAGTGGAAAATTCTAAAAATCAGAGCACCTCTTCTTCTCTAAAGGAACGCAGCTCCTCACCAGCCATGGAACAAAGCTGTACAGAGAATGACTTTGACAAGTTGAGAGAAGAAGGCTTCAGACGATCGGTAACAACAAACTTCTCCAAGCTAAAGGAGGATGTTCGAACCCATTGCAAAGAAGCTAAAAACCTTGAAAAAAGATTAGACAAATGTCTAACTACAATAAACAATGTAGAGAAGACCTTAAATGACCTAATGGAGCTGAAAACCACGGCATGAGAACTACGTGACGCATGCACAAGCTTCAGTAGCTGATTCGATCAAGTGGAAGAAACGGTATCAGTGATTGAAGATCAAATGAATGGAATGAAGCGAGAAGAGAAGTTTAGAGAAAAAAGAGTAAAACAAAATGAACAAAGCCTCCAAGAAATATGGTACTATGTCAAAAGACCAAATCTACGTCTGACTGGTGTTCCTGAAAGTGACAGGGGGAATGGAACCAAGTTGGAAAACACTCTGCAGGATATTATCCAGGAGAACTTCCCAAACCTAGCAAGGCAGACCAACATTAAAATTCAGGAAATACAGAGAACGCCACAAAGATATTCCTCGAGAAGAGCAACTCCAAGACACATAACTGTCAGATTCACCAAAGTTGAAATGAAGGAAAAAATATTAAGGTCAGCGAGATAGAAAGGTCGGGTTACTACAAAGGGAAGCCCATCGACCAACAGCAGATCTCTCAGCAGAAGTTCTACAAGCCAGAAGAGAATGGGGGCCAATATTCAACATTCTTAAAGAAAAGAATTTTCAACCCAGAATTTCATATCCAGCCAAACTAAGCTTCATAAGTGAAGGAGAAATAAAATCCTTTATAGACAAGCAAGTGCTGAGGGCTTTTGTAACCACCAGGCCTCCCTTAGAAGAGCTCCTGAAGGAAGGAATAAACATGGAAAGGAACAACCGGTGCCAGCCACTGCAAAAACATGCCAAATTGTAAAGACCATTGATGCTAGGAAAAAACTGCATCAACTAATGAGCAATATAAGCAGCTAACATCATAATGACAGGATCAAATTCACACATAACAATATTAACCTTAAGTGTAAATGGGCTAAATGCTCCAATTAAAAGACACAGACTGGAAAATTGGATAAAGAGTCAAGACCCATCAGTGTGCTGTATTCAGGAGACCCATCTCACGTGCAGAGACACACATAGGCTCAAAATAAAGGGATGGAGGAAGATCTACCAAGCAAATGGAAAACAAATGAAAGCATGGGTTGCAACCCTAGTCTCTGATAAAACAGACTTTAAACCAACAAAGATCAAAAGAGACAAAGAAGGCCATTACATAATGGTAAAAGAATCAATTCAACAAGAAGAGCTAACTATCCTAAATATATATACACCCAATACAGGAGCACCCAGATTCATAAAGCAAGTACTTAGAGACCTACAAAGAGACTTAAACTGCCACACAATAAATGGGAGACTTTAACACCCCACTGTCAACATTAGACAGATCAATGAGACAGAAAGTTAACAAGGATATCCAGGAATTGAACTCAGCTCTGCACCAAATGGACCTAATAGACATCTACAGAACTCTCCACCCCAAATCAACAGAATATACATTCTTCTCAGCACCACATCACACTTATTCCAAAATTGACCACATAGTTGGAAGTAAAGCACTCCTCAGCAAATGTAAAAGAACAGAAATTATAACGAATGGTCTCTCAGACCACAATGCAATCAAACCAGAACTCAGGTTTAAGAAACTCACTCAAAACCGCTCAACTACATGGAAACTGAACAACCTGCTCCTGAATGACTACTGGGTACATAACGAAATGAAGGCAGAAATAAAGATGTTCTTGGAAACCAATGAGAACAAAGACACAGCATCCCAGAATCTCTGGGACACATTCAAAGCAGTGTGTAGAGGGAAACTTAGAGGACTAAATGCCCACAAGAGAAAGCAGGAAAGATCTAAAATTGACACCCTAACATCACACTTAAAAGAACTAGAGAAGCAAGAGCAAACACATTCAAAAGCTAGCAAAATGCAAGAAATAACTAAGATCAGAGCAGAACTGAAGGAGATAGAGACACAAAAAACCCTTTAAAAAAAATCAATGAATCCAGGAGCTGGTTTTGTGAAAAGATTGACAAAATGTATAGACCACTAGCAAGACTAATAAAGAAGACAAGAGAGAAGAATCAAATAGACACAATAAAAAATGATAAAGGGGATATCACCACCAATTCCACAGAAATACAAACTACCATCAGAGTACTATAAACACCTCTACGTAAATAAACTGGAAAATCTAGAAGAAAGGGATATATTCCTGGACACATACACCCTCCCAAGACTAAACCAGGAAGAAGTTGAATCCCTGAATAGACTAATAACAGGCTCTGAAATTGAGGCAATAATTAATAGCTTACCAACCAAAAAAAGTCCAGGACCAGACGGATTCACAGCCGAATTCTACCAGAGTTACCAAGAGAAGCTGATATCATTCCTTCTGAAACTATTCCAATCGATACAAAAAGAAGGAATCCTCCCTAATTCATTTCATGAGGCCAGCATCATCCTGATACAAAGCCTGGCAGAGACACAACAAAAAAAAGAGAATTTTAGACCAATATCCTTAATGAACATCGATGCAAAAATCCTCAATAAAATACTTGCAAACCGAATCCAGCAGCACATCAAAAGCTTATCCACCATGAACAAGTTGGCTTCATCCCTGGGATGTAAGGCTGGTTCAACATACGCAAATCAATAAACCTAATCCATCATATAAACAGAACCAAAGACAAAAACCACATGATTATCTCAATAGTTGCAGAAAAGGCCTTCAACGAAATTCAACAGCCCTTCATGCTAAAAACTCTCAATAAACTAGATATTGATGGGACGTATTGTAAAATCATAAGAGCTATTTATGACAAACCCACAGTCAATATCATACTGAATGGGCAAAAACTGGAAGCATTCCCTTTGAAAACTGGCACAAGAGAGGGATGCCCTCTCTCACCACTCCTATTCAACATAGTGTTGGAAGTTCTGGCCAGGGCAATCACGCAAGAGAAAGAAATAAAGGGTATTCAATTAGGAAAAGAGGAAGTCAAATTGTCCCTGTTTGCAGATGACATGATTGTATATTTAGAAAACGCCATCGTCTCAGCCCAAAATCTCCTTAAGCTGATAAGCAACTTCAGCAAAGTCTCAGGATACAAAATCAATATGCAAAAATCACAAGCATTCCTAGACACCAATAACAGACAAACAGAGAGCCAAATCATGAGTGAACACCCATTCACAATTGCTTCAAAGAGAATAAATTACCTAAGAATCCAACTTACAAGGGATGGGAAGGACCTCTTCAAGGAGAACTACAAACCACTGCTCAGTGAAATAAAAGAGGACACACACAAATGGAAGAACATTCCATGCTCATGGATAGGAGGAATCAACATTGTGAAAATGGCCATACTGCCCAAGGTAATTTATAGATTCAGGGCCATCCCCATCAAGCTACCAATGACTTGCTTCACAGAATTGGAAAAAACTACTTTAAAAGTCATATGGAACCAAAAAAGAGCCTGCGTTACCAAGACAATCCTAAGCCAAAAGAACAAAGCTGGAGGCATCACACTACCTGACTTCAAACTAAACTACAAGGCTACAGTAACCAAAACAGCATGGTACTGGGACTAAAACAGAGAGATAGACCAATGGAACAGAACAGCGCCCTCAGAAATAATACCACACATCTACAACCATCTGATCTTTGACAAACCTGACAAAAACAAGAAATTGGGAAAGGATTCCCTATTTAATAAATGGTACTGGGAAAACTGGCTAGCCATATGTAGAAAGCTGAAACTGGATCCCTTCCCTATATCTTATACAAAAATTAATTCAAGATGGATTAAAGACTTAAATGTTAGACCTAAAACCATAAAAACCCTAGAAGAAAACCTAGGCAATACCATTCAGGACATAGGCATGGGCAAAGACTTCATGACTTAAGCACCAAAAGCATTGGCAACAAAAGCCAAAATTGACAAATGGGATCTAATGAAACTAAAGAGCTTCTGCACAGCAAAGGAAACTACCATCAGAGTGAACAGGCAACCTAAAGAATGGGAGAAAATTTTTACAATCTACCAATCTGACAAAGGGTTAATATCCAGAATCTACAAAGAGTTTAAACAAATTTATAAGAAAAACATCAAACAACCCCATCAAAAAGTGGGCAAAGGATATGAACAGAGTCTTCTCAAAAGAAGACATTTATGCAGCCAACATTCACATGAAAAAATGCTCACATCACTGGCCATCAGAGAAATGCAAATCAAAACCACAATGAGATACCATCTCACACCAGTTAGAATGGCGATCATTAAAAAGTCAGGAAACAACAGGTGCTGGAGAGGATTGGAGAAATAGGAACACTTTTACACTGTTGGTGGGACTGTAAACTAGTTCAACCTTTGTGGAAGACAGTGTGGCGATTCCTCAGGGATCTAGAACTAGAAATACCATTTTACCCAGCCATTCCATTACTGGGTATGTACCCAAAGGATTATAAATCATGCTGCTATAAAGACACATACCCACGTATGTTTATTGTGGGACTATTCACAATAGCAAAGACTTGGAACCAACCCAAATGTCCATCAATGATAGACTGGATTAAGAAAATGTGGCACCTATAGAGCATGGAATACTATTCAGCCATAACAAATGATGAGTTCATATCCTTTGTAGGGACATGGATGAAGCTGGAAAACATCATTCTGAGCAAACTATTGCAAGGACAGAAAACCAAACACTATGTTCTCAGTCACAGGTGGGAATTGAACAATGAGAACACTTAGACACAGGGTGGAGAACATCACACCCTGGGGCATGTCGTGGGGTCGGAAGAGGGGGGTAGGATAGCATTAGGAGATATACCTAATGTAAATGACGAGTTGATGGGTGCAGCACACCAACATGGCACATGTATACATATGTAACAAACCTGTACGTTGTTCACGTGTACCCTAGAACTTAAAGTATAATTAAAATAAATAAATAAATAAAAATAAAAAATAAAAAAAGATGTCTCTCCCTTTATTTCTGTCTTCTTTAATTTCTTTCATGAAAGTTTTGTAGTTTTATGTGTACAAGCCTTTCATTACATTAGTTTAATCCTAAATATGTTATTCTTTTTGCTGCTATTGTAAATGGGACTGCCTTTCTAATTTCCTTGTTAGAGAGTGTGTTGTTAGTGTATAAAAACACAACTGATTTTTGTATGTTGGTTTTGTATCCTGCAACTTTACTGAATTTGTTTATTAGTTTTAACAGATTTTTTAATGGAGTATAGAATTTTCTATGTATAAGATCATGTAGTCTTCAAACAGGGACAATATTATTTCTTTCATTCTGATTTGGATGTGTTTTACTCACTTACTTTCCTTGCCTGATTGCTTTGGCTAGGACTTCCAATAAAAGTGGTAAGAGTGAGCACCCTTGTCTTATTTGAATTTAAGAAGTAAAGCTTTCAGTTTGAGCTACTCTTCCAAGCATCAGTTACACAGATAAACTAAGGACAGTTGTGAATAAAGCCTATGCTGCTCCCCCTTCTACTAGTACTGGGAATGTCAGCAGAGGAATGTCAACTTTTCAAGACTGAGCTGGGGATCATGACATGTGGTATTAAAATGCCATGAATCTCACTGTTCTTATTGAGATTCAGAGTTTTTTGTTGAATAAGTGCTCTTTGGGTTGCTGCAGGCTTTTGGTTAGTTTCCAGAGTTCTTAAAAGCTTTACTCTGCCAAGTTCTCCCAGTTATTAAGTAATTGTTATAGTGGAGCAAGCTTTGTAGTTCCTTTTCCCTACATCTTCACTGGTATCACACTTTTTAATTTTTCATACTATAATCGATGCAAGACGTTAGAGTCACATCTTACTTAGAACTAGTTCAAATATCTTCCCATGGAGCCTTTCCCATGTAAACTGACCTAGCCTAAACAGAGTTTACTTTAGCCATAAAGTTCAGTCATTTAGATATCCCTTAAAGACTTACTATTCTGCTGGCAGCCCCCAGACTATGACTGATCATGACAAGGATCTGATCATTTCCTTCCAACATGAGGCTTTTCTAATGTATCCATTCCTCCAAAAGAGGGTTAATGCTGGAATGTAATATAAATAAGATTGGCTAAGAAGGACAAGCCAACATTACGGATATCTCACAAGCTAGACAGAAGTCTAGGCTTACTATGTAGGCAATAGCAGGTTATTGCAAACTTTAAGTTTTATAATATAATTCTTTTTATAATACAATAAAAATTGCCCTTATGGCTACTATGGGGGTGTGTTTTCTGGATCTCCCTTCAAGAAAGAACCTGTCACTCAGCTATAAACAATGTATTTATCTGACAGCCTCCACCAATTTGCTTAAACCAATTTGCTCAAAGACAGCAAATGTCTTTCTCATAGTCACACAAAAAGCTAGTTGCCAAGCAATGGTTGAAACCAAAGTCCTCCTGATTTCACAGAGCTCCCCCTTTCTATTTGTGTGGTAACCATACTGGATGTCTCATTGATTCTAGAGTATTCCTGTTATCAAGAAGCTTAATCCAACAAAGTGCCTCCATCTATAATTCTTTGCCCTTCTCAATGAGGTAACATGCAGCTCAACAGAAAATTTTCTTTCTATCTGCAGAGATGATCCTTGATACGTGATGAAGTGAAAATCAACTAGAGGTTACATAATTTAGATTATCCAACTCCGAAGCAAGAGAAGACCTCAAGCAACATTATTTGATTATGGAATTTTGCTGTTGTAGAGAAGTAATCAAATTAATCTTAGAGGTTCATTTATGGGTGTGACATGCTCATTTCATCATACTGAAACTCCTCAACAATTTTCAGTACAAAATGTACTGGTGACTTCTTTTCCTAGTATTTTCTGATTTTATTAAAACCTTAAACTCTAAATGTTAGAAAATAGTTATTTACCTTGAATTTTCCAAAATGTTTCAGAGTCAGGCTTTCTGGCTTTAATGTTGATTTCTAATGATATAGGTGAGCTCCTAAAAGGACAGCAAACTTATTGTTTCTATAGAAAAAAAAATATACCAGGTGCAATAGAATCGGGTGCAGTTGGATCTGCTTTTTCCAAAGTGCCAGGTTTAATCATAATTGTATCTTTTGGCAACTCAGTGGCTGGCATTTTTCCCTTAGTCATTATGTAACTCATGTTCCTACAAGGTATCAGGGAATACAAGGCTTTGTGAAGTGCCATGCTATTGACCAATTCTGGCTGCAGCAAATCGTATGACAAATGAAAGGATTTAGCTTGACTCCTCTGTTCTCTTGTCATCCTCTTTTGATTGTTGCCTCTGAGGATGGTCCTTTGGTTTGAAATTGGCACTACCTTGAACTGGTGGGACTCAGGCACTTCAGCAGAGTGAGATAGGCAGAGATTGGTAATGGCTATAGCTAATTAGGGTTATAAAATGTTGGAAAGACTCTAGAGATTTTATTTTTACATCCAATTTTTGTGGGTAAATGCCTGTTCCTGGGGAAGTATAGGCTGGTACATGTCCCTGTCTTAAACTTTCTTATAGCAGAATCAGGTTTAAATTAATTTCAAGGATATCTCACTAGGGGAGACTGTGTTTGCATATTGGTGGTGGTAAGGCATTGCCAAAGCAATGCTCATTCATTTATTAAGCACACACTGTGTATCACATACTGGGCCAGACAATGAGATTATAATACTAAATAAGACAGTGAAAGGTCCTTGACTTCAGAGAAGTTATGATCTAATGGGAAATAGAAACAGATACACGTATAATATTTATAAACTGTACGGAGATGGATTCTATGGAACTGCCTAGAAAAGGAATCTAACATGGATTTGGGAGTAATGAAAGACTTCTTAGAGGAAGTGATATCTAAGTTAAGACCCAAAGAAGGTGAGAAGTGAAGGAGGACAGAGTTTGTGCTCAGTAGTGAGGATGGCATCTGCAAACAGATTAAGAGAGTAAAAATCATGAAAGAAAGATCCATTCAATTAAGGAGAGAAGTCATCATAGATGGAGCATGACATGTAACGTAAGGAGTGATAAAGCTCTGAGGGCTGGCTATTACTCTGAAGAAGAGAGTTAGGACTTTAGCATCAAAACGTGTATAGGTCTATTTCAATGGCACTCTATTCATTAGTATTCATCATATGTGAAACTCTGCACTAGGCACTCTGGGAGTCAGAGCTTTTATTATTATAGCACATATTTATTGAGTATTTAACTCTATGAAGTAGATACTATTGTTATCCTCATTTTGCATATGAAAATACTGTTGAATAAATGGGAGAAAAATGTAAGCAGTATGTAGCATGGACACTCATAAGAAGAAAGGATCATGGGACTCGAGCTCTCAAAAAGACAGAAAACCTTGAGATACAGGAAACGATTGCAAAGGAGAGGTCAGAATTAGATTTTTCATCAGCAACTATGGGCTTAGATAGACACTGCCCCTAAAGGAGTGACTAAGCGTGAAGAAGGGCAGATACCGATGATAGAAACTTAGAAGATGCTCATGGTCTGCTAGAGTGAAAAGGAGAAACCATCAAATGAGACCAAGAAGGAAATTCTTCTCTTCTCCCCGAAGCAAGTCAAAGTAACCAGAATTTTTCTTCCCCAAGGCAGGCTGTAGAAACTAGAACTCTTTTCTTCCAAAGCAAGTCTTAAAACTTAGAAAGGTCAGTATCTCCCTTTTCCCTTCTCTCTTCTCCCTTGAGGACCCTTATTCCAGAGGGGTCTTGTCCCACACCTGGGAGGAAGGAATGCTACACAGATAGAACAAGAAAAATCAAAACAAACAGAGCTTGATGGGTTCCTGGAATCTAGAAGGGATGAGTTTCACAGAATGTGTGAAGGATTGTGTCAACTAAAACTGAAGGAGGAAGTTACTGTGACCTCTGACAATACAGTTTTACTTTTTCTTCTAAATATACTATGTAACAAAGCAAATGTTGATAGTTTTCTTGCTAATATGAAAACTGAGATGCAGAAACATGATGTGTTGACAGGAATTGAAGACACGTTTTTGCTGTAGTTAAATCCTAAAAGTGTGTCAACATTTTCATAGCCAGATTTTTCAGTGCATCACCAGATCACTTCTTTGCAAAAGTACTTGATGTTTTAAAAATAAAATTATCAATTTATTTCATAAGATGACTGCTCTAACAATGCCTTCATCCTCCTCAAGAAGAGCTTGTCTTTGCTACAAAACCTGTAGCCCAATGGCATAAGATTAAGATTCATGAAATGCTTCAATTAAAGCCAAATGTGTAACTACTTGATAAGTGCTTCTGTTAAGATTAGAACCCAGGTATCCATAGTTCTAAACTGTGCTTTTTCTTCTGGGGTGTCTCTTAATATAAAACAAATTAAGAAGGAATTGACCATTGAGCTGAATGAATCCTGGCCTTTGTATTAATCAGGGTTCTCTAGAGGGACAGAACTAATAGGATAGATGTATATATGAAAGGGAGTTTATTAAGGAGAATTGACTGACATGATCACAAGGTAAAGTCCCATGATAGACTGTCTGCTGCAAGTTGAGGAGCAAGGAAGCCAGTGGTGGATCAGTCCAAGTCCCAAAACCTCAAAAGGAGGAAAGCGACAATGCAGCCTTCAGTCTGAGGCCAAAGGCCTGAGAGCCCCTGGCAAACCACTGGTGTAAGTCCAAGAGTCCAAAAGCTGAAGAACTTGGAATCTGATGTTTGAGGGCTGGAAGCATCCAGCAAGGGAGAAAGATGAAGGCCAGAAGACTCAGCAAGTCTACTCTTCCATCTTCTCCTGCCTGCTTTATTCTAGCCATACTGGCAGCTGATTAGATAGTGCCCACCCAGATTGAAGTTATGTCTGTCTCCCCCAGTCCACTGACTCAAATGTTAATCTCCTTTGGCATCATGCTCACAGACACACCCAGAAACAATATTTTGCATTCTTCAATGCGATCAAGTTGATACTCAATGTTAACCCATTACAAGTCCACCCCTTGCCAACTTGAACCTTTACATATCTCCTGAAATCATATATAATCTTCAAATAAAGACAATAATAAGGTCATAATTATGCCTAACGTAATACAGCTACCCTTCACTAATCCTTAACCTAAAGTTAAAGTGCACTAATCCTTAACCTAAATGCTATTACATCAAGTTAACAGCACTTAAATGCTGATATAAAGTCACTAAATCTTATGTCACATGATAAGGAAGAAGAAATGAAATAAAAAGATTTTTTTTTTCCAAGATGGAGTTTTGCTCCTGTTGCCCAGGCTGGAGTGCAGTGGTGCGATCTTGGCTCACCGTAACCTCCGCCTCCCAGGTTTAGGCAATTCTCCTGCCTCAGCCTCCCAAGTAGCTGAGATTACAGGTGTGTGGCACCATGCCCGGCTAATTTTTGCATTTTTAGTAGGGACAGGGTTTCACCATATTGGTCACCATGTTGGTCAGGCTGGTCAGGCTCCTGACCTCAGGTGAACCACCTGCCCCAGCCTCCCAAAGTGCTGAGATTACAGGTGTGAGCCACCACCTCCCGCCAAAAAGATATTTTCTTACTACAAGTGTATAAATGCACAAACATGTTCTTAACAAAATAAGGAGGAAATACTCGTGATAATTACAGTCCTAATTTCTGCAACTGGTCATGTGGTAGTAGCTGGTAATGATGACTACCTTCTTCTACTACCCATTCTGCATTCCTTTTTAAACATAATTTCTAATTCCAAACTATATCTTTGTGAATGAATAAAACTGAAGGTTTTTTAAGAGCAACCTACTCAGCTCTTGAAAGTTTTGCTGCTTAGAAATTTCTTCGGCCAGATACCCTAAATCATCTCTCTCAAGTTCGAAGATCCACAGATCTCTAGGGCAGGGGAAAAATGCCACAAGTCTCTTTGCTAAAGCATAGTAAGACTCATCTTTGCTCCAGTTCCCAATAAGCTCCACATTTACATCTGAGACCACCTCAGCCTGGACTTCATTGTCCATATCACTATCAGCATTTTGGTCAAAAGCATTCAACAAGTCTCTTGTGGGAAGCTCTAAACCTTTCCACATCTTCCTGTCATCCCCTGAGTCCTCCAAACTGTTCCAATCTCTGCGTGTTACCCAGTTCCAAAGTTGCTTCCACATTTTGGGGTATCTTAATAGCAGTACCCCACTCTACTGGTACCAACTTAATGTATTTTCATACTGATAGGAGTCCATTTTCATACTGCTATAAAGAAATACCCAAGACTGGGTAATTTATAAAGAAAAAGAGCTTTAATGGACTCACAGTTTCACATGGCTGGGGCGGCCTCACAATCATGGTGGAAGGTGAAGGAGAAGCAAAGACACATCTTGCATGACAGTGGGCAAGAGAGAGTGTGTAGGGGAACTCCCCTCTATAAAACCATCAGATCTCATGAGACTTTTTCACTATCACGAGAACAGAAAGGGAAAAATCCATCCCTATGATTCAATTACCACCCACCAGGTCCCTCCCATGACACATGGAGATTATGGGAGCTACAATTCAAGATGAGATTTGGATGGGTTCACAGCAAAACCATACTAGCCTTCATTCTTTTCCAAATGGTTGATGTGGTATTTGGACTTTTGAGGGACTATGAAGTTTTAGTAAGCAATTCCTAACTTATCACGAACCAGGTTTCTTAAACCAATGACCTTTGATGTCACATACCTAAAATACAGAAAGATAGAATGAGAATATTGTCTTCCAAATTTGCTTCTTTAGCTTGATAAGCTATAACTTGCAAGTTGAGAAGTGATACATTACTTAAAAACATTTATAAAATATGATATGTAAACATTTCTGCATAATTTTAATGGCTGTACCCCTACACACAAACCTATTTGAACCCAGTCAATACCTTTGCAGGGGTGAAGGGAATGTACATTATTTCAACAAACTAAAATAATAAAATTCTTATTTTCTGATACTTCTGTTTCATGTAGGCACAATATGATAAATAGATTTTCAGTGCAAGGAAAGTTAAAGACACAGAATAGATGGAAATAAAGGAAGGCTAGAAGAATAAAAGGAAACAGAGAAGGTTGAGGCATTTTCTTGGTCTGTCTGACCTTCTACTTAGGTGGTCACTGGAAAAGGTCAAGTATTTTTCTCTAGATGAAAGTGAATCTGATTTAAATGGGAATATTGGATTTTTCAGATCACTGCAGAATGGCAATCATGCTATTTAAATGATTCATTTCTTTTGTTGACTTCACTTTGTCTTCTAATCTTTATATACCTGAAAAGCAGAAGAAAGCTCCCAAGTAATAAAAGGAACTTCAAACACACCTAAGCCCTGTTCGTTTTTCTCTATCAGCTATAAACTTCACATTAACCCTAGCTGGCCAGCTCTCAAAAATGCTTTACCTTTTATAAGGAAGATTTGCAGGAAAGGAAAAATGTCTAGGTCTACTCTCTAGGTTTCCACTTACATGGAAAAAAAATGCAGAGGAGTCATTGTTTATAGAGGGGGCCCACAAGAGGAGTTAAGAAAAGGAGGCTGTAATAGCTGTTTGGTGTGCTCCCAGATTCTCACATCAGGAATGAAGCACTCATTCCACTAACTGGAGTGTTGGCTGCCAAGCTGAGTTTTTACCTAGGAATCACTCCATCAGCCAAAGGAAACTGCTATGTTCAACATTAAGCTTTCTCCCCAGGGGTAGCCGACATCCAATGGCTGGAAATATGGGAGTACAAAGCCTGGACCCCTTATGTTGGTTCAGTACAACTCAAAAGGGCCATCTTACCTCCAGAACTCACCCATAGGACCAGCTAAGGCCTTTGTTGCAGCTGCATATCAGTAGAACCTCTCTGCCAAAACTCACTTCTCCCATTCCTTTACCATACTAGTCCTGACAGCATTGCTCAAGAAAACTCCTGCACACAAATTTCATTTCAAAGTCTGTTTCTTCAGGAACTTGGTGTAAGACAGAGGGAAAAGTAGAGATGTTGTTATCTAGCAGTATAGGAAGAGCTCCAAGGAGCTGGATGTTTCTTCTTTTTTCTGGGTTAGTGACAAAATACCATACTCCTGGCATACCACTTTCAGTCCAGGAATTGCTGAGTTTATCAGTACAGAGTGAACTTCTGATCTATTTATATTTTGCCACATTTAATATGACTCCATTGGGATAAATAAAATACCCTCTGATATTTTGACTGAATTGACTATTTAATTCAGTTAAGATGGTAAACTCACTCAACTGTATAGATAACAGCCCAAGAAAAGTTAATAAAATCAGACTGGGGAATTTAAGAATAATGAGTAAAGACTTATGTGATGCATAAATCTGAAAATTTTTTTTTCAGTAGAGTGGGTTATAAAATAAAAGGCTGATATACAGAGAAAAGAAATATATTAGTGGAAGTGCTAAGATACGCATTATTGAGTAGTACATAAGTTATTATCCTTGCACTTTCAAGTGATCTGCAATGACCAATAAGGGACAGGAATGTTTTGTGCCTCAGTCTGATCATTTTTAATACAAGGCTTTTGACAAGTTCAGTGAGGTTCAACCTTCTCACAACCAAGGTCTCTTTTTAAAACATTACCTATCCCCACCCTTGGAATACCATGGACTTCACAATTTAAAATATTAAACCCATTCTGCAAACTTCTTTTTACTAAACAGTAATTTTTTTTTACATTTAAGTGGCTAAACATACATGAGTCTGTCAATCAGAGCTTCTGATGAATATGAGGTAGCCAGATAAAGCACACAAATCTCATAAAAACTCCAGCCCAATGCAATGATACTTAATATTCTACTTAGCCTGTGTAGCTTTATTTTGAGAAACTAGGACTTCCAATTTGAAACAGTTCCAAATGCCTTAATATAAGGCTTAGAAAACCTATAGAAACCTTAGAACCTCAGGTTGGAAATCGCTAGACTATTTTACCTTGAAAGTATCTCTCAAGTCTAACATTTTATGTTTTATGACGTTTCTTCGTGTCTCCTTTTAGCAATTCATTTTAATGCATTTTTGTTCAATCATAAAGAGTTTCACTGGATTCTGAACCCTTATAAATCTAAGAAGTAATTTCCTTTTCAATTGGTTATATATAACACTTCGGTATAATCTTAAAAATAGTCTAATCAGAGGTGAGAATCAGAAGTTTATTATGACAATCTACAAGATAGGTGGTATCAAAGAAGTCACAAAGACCTCTACCTCTTGTCATAACTCACGTGGTAAATCCACAGTGCCCCAGAAACCTAGGATCCATTATTTGAGAAACATAACTAACAAATTCCAACGGGTGAATCCTGCCAACAAAGCTAATTCTTTGCATGTACAAGTAAATCAGCCATCTGAATTTTATCTGCAAGTTCACTTGATTTCATAGGTTTCTATTTACAAACGAACAAAGGAATGTCATCTATCATCCATCAGGGTCAACATACATTTTGTACACACGTGACAAATATTTGGCCCTGCTCTAATGGGAAAGTGACGGGATAGATCATCTGTGCTTATTGGCAGGACTGGTAAAATTTACTGGCAGCAGGAAGAATTCCTAACCAATATGCAAAGTATCTCCATTTATGGACAAGATGGCTTTATCAAGCAGTAGCAGGGAGGACTGGCTAAGAGGAAAGCCAAAGCCTCCTTTTAAGCTGCCTAACTCCACGCTACAAATCTCAGTCAGTGTGAAAATTAAAATCATATTTGATTTAAATAACATTCGATTTCGGTGTAGGAAGAGTGGGAACACCCTACATGTTGAAATAATGAGAGGACACATTAATTACTATCTTTTGAAGAATGACTGGGGGTACTGAAGGACTGAAGAAGAGTTTCTTTGACTACTTTAAACACTCTTCTAAAGCAATAAAACATGCATAATATTAAAATACAGCAAATTTACGTTTCTGTAATTCTTGTTTACCTGTCTTCTTCAAATGCTAATGAGCAAGGATTATTCAGTTTACAAATGCATCCAAGGCCATGTTCAAAGACCAGTGGAGTCAGATCACATATGCAGAGCTCTGCCATTTTGGAAGTCACTGGACGTTAATGCCCTGCCTGTTAATGGTTTTGCTCCTATGCAGAGGTGGTGCAGAATACCTTTGGTGACTTTATAAGCAGCACTTCTGTTAAGTTCCTTCCTGTCTAGGTGCTTTAGCTTTCTGGGAGACCATCACTGTCATTTGAAGTCTATGAATTTAGTAATCTATAGATTTAGGGTGAGTTACAGCTAATAGAACTGTGATTCCCTGTGCTTGAAAAACATCCAGGTCGCTTCTTTACTTATTTATGTGACTTTTGAGGGAGGGTGACCGTCTTTATTTTGTTATCAGGTTCAGTTAGACAGAATCTCAAAGGCATTAAGGACCAGACACCTTTTTTATTATCTCAGAATTTCAGCAGAGGGAGGGGCGACAACTGTGGTATCCTGGAAGGCACACTGGAGTGGGAGATGAGAGAGCTGCTTTACCTATACTACTAACATCTTTAACCAAGGTCAATCACTTTTCTCTCTAGTAGGCAATTCTCTTAATTGCAAAATGAAAGGCTCAGGGATATGGGGAAGGAAGTAAGTTTACTTTTATTGAGAGTTTTCCATGTACTACTGGACACTACAAAAATTCTTTAACATATTATTGTATTTGGTCTTTACAACTACCCTAAAAGCTAGATACTAGAGTTCTTTCAGTTTTACGGAGGAGAAAACTGAGGCTTACAGAAATTAGACATTTTAAATAGTCCTCAGCAGAGCCCTAGGAGTCCATAAAGGTGCCTCTGTACCCCTCAATGTAGTGAGAGGGTAGATGCCTTGACGACCAATTTCAATCAAACCTACTGTGTTTTCATACATTATATATGTTGGATTTCCATGTATGTTTTTCTTTGTACTTTATATTCTGATGCTAGAAAGATATTTAAAAATTTTTAGTAATCTCAAAGATCTTGTCTGCCATCAATATAACATTCAACATCCAGTCATCACAAGAAAATACTACAAGGTAGACATCTGCTGGGCTTTCTCATTAGAGATCATCAGTTTCTCACATGAATTTGAAATCATCCATGTTTTTCTTCCTCCTAGTATAGAAACCAACATTCTGAGCTTTCCATATCTTATGCTGTTTTGAATTCTACACAGAAAGCCAGGTTGACCTGGCCTGGGTAAAATGCTCATAGGAAATGGCTGGAAGAGTTTGTTTCTTAGACCTGGTTATCCTGGGCAAAGCAAAAGTTCAGGGTGAAGTCAGGACTGTCCTCAATTCTCTGTCACTTCAAGCAGAGATGAGCTATTAGGCTTGCCCCACTTAGATGAGGCCTGGACAATCTCCAATTTCCCAGCTAATTAGGCAGCCCCTACTGCCCTGTGGAAGTTTCCAATACTGCATACTGTCATAAATATGAGTAAAGCACCATATCTTGGCTGTGAAATCACTCAAAATTACAGTTTGGTTTCATTTTAGCACTCTTTGCCATCCATCTCTGTCCAAGTTTATTCCTAAAGACAATGTAATAATAAAATCTCATAAAAGAATGAGATTTAAAGCTACCCAATCTGCACTAAAATGCTTTCCTGATCAATAAGGCTTTTTTTCATTCATTCATTCATTTCTTTATTCATTTATTTTCTATTATGTGCAGGCAGTGAATTAAATGCTGAAAATGAAAAGATGAACAGCAAACACATGGTTCCTGCCCTTAAGAGGCTCACAGTCTTGTAAGAGACATGCATGCACGAGTAAGAATAAGTCAGGGAGATGAAGGTAATTATCCAGGTATGTTCAAGGTACACTGGTAAGGACCAAAGGACCAAATGGCTCTGAGCAGCCCTCTAAGAAGATTCTTTTTTTAAAAAATTATACCCTAAGTTCTGGGATACATGTGCAGAACGTGCAGGTTTGTTACATAGGTATACACGTGCCATGGTGGTTTGCTGCACCCATCATCCCGTCATCTACATTAGGTATTTCTCCTGATGCTGTCCCTCCCCTAGCCCCCCACCCCAAGACAGGCCCTGGTGTGTGATGTTCCCCTCCCTGTGTCCATGTGTTCTCATTGTTCAATTCCCACTTATGAGTGAGAACATGTGCTGTTTTTCTGTTCCTGTATTAGTTTGCTGAGAATGATAGTTTCCAGCTTCATCCATATCCCTGCAAAGGACATGAACTCATCCTTTTTTATGGCTGCATAGTATTCCATGGTGTATATATGCCACATTTTCTTTATCCAGTCTATCATTGATGGGCATTTGGGTTGGTTCCAAGTCTTTGATATTGTGAATAGTGCTGCAATAAACATACGTGTGCATGTGTCTTTATTGCAGAATGATTTATAATCCTTTGGGTATATACCCAGTAATGGGATTCCTGGGTCAAATGGTATTTCTGGTTCTTGATCCTTGAGGAATTGCCACACTGTTTTCTACAATGGTTGAACTAATTTACACTTCTGCACAGCAAAAGAAACTATCATCAGAGTGAACGGGCAACCTACAGAATGGGAGAACATTTTTGAAATCTATCCGTCTGACAAAGGGCTAATATCTGGAATCTACAAAGAACTCAAACAAATTTACAAGAAAAAAACAAACAACCCCATCAAAAACTGGGCAAAGGATACGAACAGACCCTTCACAAGAGAAGACATTTATGTGGCCAACAAACGTGTGAACAAAAGCTCATTGTCACTAGTCATTAGAAAAGTGCAAATCAAAACCACAATGAGATATCATCTCATGCCAGTTAGAGTGGTGATCATTAAAAAGTCAGGAAACAACAGATGCTGCAGAGGATGTGGAGAAATAGGAACACTTACAATAAGGCTTAAAAAATTTAGACAAACAAAACCACACAACATTACAAGTTGTAGTTTACAGCAAAGCTGGGAACGTGACCTGGAGCAGAATAGATGTATTAATTCTTCCAAGAAGTCAGAGCACTATGCCATCAGGGGCACCATTGTCTTTGTGACCCTCAAATTGTATCATGGCCCTAGATGCTTCTGTCTTCTCCATCATCTCTGGGCCCTGCACCCTGGGTAAAGGGGTGAGGAATAAGAGCCACCTGGTTGGGCTTTGGCCATAATCCCTTGCTGTTGGTGTTTTGTAGTCTCCAGGGCAGTATGGCACCCATGTCTTCCCCTCCTATTTCTCCAATAAATTTTTATTGATGAGGAACTATTTTTGGGTGATAGATGTGTTCACTATATCTTGATTGTGATGATGATTTTACAGGTGTATAAACATGTAAAGACTCATCATATTGCATACTTGAAATATGAGCAGTTTGTTTTAAGTGAATTAGACCTCAATAAAGCTGTTAGAATGTTTATCGGGTGCTTCCCCTGTGTCAGTCACTGTGTTTGATGCTGGAAGTACAATGATGAATAATACCTCATGGTCTGCACCAAGTTTGATTGAACCATATCAAATTGCTTTTTGTATAGGTTAAAAATGAGCAAATATTGGCAATGGTTCAACCTAATTTAACAATGATATATACTTGTACTGTCACTTTGAGATAGGCAGTGTGGGTATTAATACCATTTTATAGGTAAGAAAATTGGGGCTCAAACAGGTAAGGTTAATTTTTGCCACCCGTTATTAGAGTAGTCTGGCCTGAGGACACGAAGAAGGCCAACTTATACAAGGCTGGACATATAGAGCACTGATTGTTCCAATTTCTATATTCCTAGTAGCCCTTGGAGGTGCTGCTCCTGTGGCAACTATGAAGCCGGTGGGTCCTAAGGACCTGTTTGCTTTTCCTTGTTGACATATGGGTCCTTGCTGAGCTAGTCTTATGTGCTCTGGGTCTGTCTATGGGTCTCAGACACTTGCCTCCCTTTGCTACAACCTCACCTATCTTTTTGGTTTTTGGTTTCTACTCACAACTTGCTTTTTTACCTATTTCCAAGTAAACTTCCTTGACCTCTGACTTCCATATTCCAATGGTTTGGCTATGGTTTTCCTACCCAATAGTGAATCTTACCTTCTAACTAGAAATAGCACCTTCAAGGTCAGGGGCTAGAGGGCCCTGAGGAAGTCACAGTATTTTTAAAAAATATTTTCTGAGTTCACACAGCAATTCTTTCCATCAGTGAATGTTTATATTTTACCTATTATTGTTGAGTTACTTTTCATGAAATGGGTATAACAAGTGTACCTAATTCATGGAGTTATTACAAGGATAAAATGAGAAAAACCACGCAGACAACTTAGAAAAGGGCCTGGTCCATAATTAGTAGTCAATAATGTTAGCTATTATTCTTATCCACATAGCATTAGATTAAATTGTTGATTTATGTTCATAGCAGTTTAGATCTGATAGGATTAGAGACACAACAGACGTGGATACAGTAAAACTACTACCTGCAAGGAGCTTGCAATTTATTATCTAATTTTAATATAAGACATATTATGATAATTAACATTTAAAAAGCAAAATATGCTACAACAAAGGTGGAATTCCAAGTTAGGGATGGGGGACTGGGAAAAACTTTATAGAGAATGTGGCATTTGAAGTGGTCTTTAAAGGAAAAATCAGACTTTGACACGAGAGATGGGCAAGAATGGAGTGGCTATGAAGGGTCAAGGAAATGACATGGGCAAAGGCAGAGAGGTGAAAAAGTATTCCTGGGCATTTGGAGGGAAGGCAACTTGCTGTGGTGTTCCTACAGGTATCATAAAAAGGGAAACTATAAAGGTAGTCTAAGACCAGGCTTCCAGTAGATTTTGGTGTAGAGGTATTATAAGTACCTGTCAAGATCACTTTGTATATCCCGAGCCCAGTGTTAGAAGCAACTGGATGTGGTGCTTTTTCACAACTGGTGATGAAACTGATTCAAAAGCTGATTGCAATAAGTGACACTAAAATTTGCTTGTCTGTGAACCAACTGATAGGATGCAATGAGAAGAACATGGCATTGTTTCTGTAGTATCTCTACCAAATATGTATAAACTGAATCTAACAATGAGAAAACATCAGAAAACCCCAGATCGAAGGGCATTCTACAAAGTAACTATCCTAGCCTGGAGTATTCAAAAGTATCAAGATCTTGAAAGTCAAAGACAGGCTAAGGAATGTATAGAGGGAGATTGGATACGCATAACAACTAAATATAACACATGATTCTGAACTAGGTCCTTTCACTATAAAGGACACTGTTGTGATGATTGGTGAAGTTTGAATGAGTTCTAAGAATTATACTGTATTTACATATAAATATTAATTTCCTGATTTTGATGGGCACGTTGTGATTATATCAGGCTGGCAACTTACTGTCACATGATTTGGAGAGGAGAAAAGCCCCTTGCATTGTACTTGAAGTGTTTCTGTAATTCTGGATTGTTTCAAAAAATATATAAAATTATCCAAGTGGGTTTCTCAAGGGAAAGATAAAAGTACAATGAAGTTAAAAAGTTATCTTTTCAAAAAAAATTGCTGGTGACTGGCTGCCATGGTTTCCTGGAGGGTCCCCTTAGATTGCCAGCCAACTGTGTGCAGGATGTGTCTCTACGAATTTGGTCCAGGGAGGCCAGCATGGCAGAGGCTGCTGTGCTTTTTAAAAATTAAAATATTATTGATACACAATAATTGTACGTATGTATGGGCTACATGTGATATTTTGATACATGCATATAATACGTAATGATCACATTGGGTAATTGGGGTATCTATCACCTCATTTCTTTGTTTTGGGAATATCCAAAATCTTCTCTTTAGCTATTTGAAACACAGCTATTTGGAAAAAAAGAGATTTTGAAATAGCTAGAAGAAAAGATTTGGAATGCTTTGCCCTTTGAGGGACTACACACAAAGAAGCAGTATCGGGAATTCTCTTCTGCTTTGGACACTTCAGTTACATATTGTAAACTTTCATCCCCTCATCTTGCTCTAAGACATAGAGGGCAGAAAGAAATAAGAATGTGACCCAATAACAATATTCTAATCGACACATGGGCTACTCTTCCTCTGCTTGTAAGAAACATTAGCAGGTGTATTTATACCCTACCTTATATGTTTTGATTGGCCCTATGGGAACCTAGACAATAGTTTATCTTGCCACTCCTTTTTACCCCAGCATAATCAGAAACAAGCTCTGAATCAATAGTTGAAATGCACAGGGATCATATACTTTAAGTAAGGTTTCAGTGAGCTAATTCCTCCTTCAGCATGGCTAGGGATTGCCAATATTTAAAAACCTGCCACAATGGATATAAAATTTAGAACATTGTCTATTCTCACCCCACACCCCAATCACTGCCAATGCTGCTCCCACTGCCACTACCACCACTACGACCTGCCACCTAAACTGTGGCAGCATCTTTCTAAAAAGCCCAAAGCTCAAGAGGTGTGCTACCTTGCCCAGAAGGCTGAACCACCTCCTAGTATTTCAAGAGCCAATGATTAAATTCCTCAGTCAGTTGCCTGTTAAGCACTTTGAATCATTTACGGTCACATTTGTGTGTGTGTGTGTGTGTGTGTGTGTGTGTGTGTGTGTGTACTTACTGTGTGCCAGGCATCATGCCATGTGCTTTACATGTATTAGTTCAATTGATTTTCATAAAATCCTATTAGGTGGGTGCTACTTTTGTTTTTAATTTTATAGGTAGGAATGCTGAAATTTGGAGAAGGAAAGTGCTCAAGGTCACACATCTCTTAAGTTGCAAAGCTAGGATTCAAACCCACACACCAAAGCCAAGTTCTCCACCACTTTGCTATACTGTCTTCCAGGCCATTTGATCTTATAAACTAAAAATTAGACACATATCCAAAAACCTCAGTCTGGCTTGGAGTGTCAAGTCAGACTGTCATCTGCTAGCGAGACCTTGGGCAAGTTACTTCAAGTCTCTAAGCTTCAATGAACTTACCTGCAAAAATAGTGATAATAGCATTGCCTCTCTCATAAGGGATATTGAGGTGAAATGAATTTATGTATGTTAAGCATTTAGAACAACACCAGGCACATAGTAAGTACTGAATACATGATGCTATTACTATTACATAAATTTGAGTGTGCCATGGCAAATATTGTGTCCTCTGAAATAGTACCCAGACAATGACAGTCCATCAGACTCTCATTATCCCATTATGCAGACATTACTTTTGCTCTCAATATTAGCATAATGAATTTAGAAATTCTGCTCTAGTCATAGGTGGTCTGCTATGAAACTAGAGGAATTTTGTTTTTCTTTTAAATTATTTAATTGACAAGTATTATGGAGAAACTCCTACCTGTCTCAGCACTGTACTAAGAGTGAGAGTATTACATACGAAGTAAGGGATAGTTGCCCTGCCTTCATGAAGGCAACAGTCCAGCCAGAGAGACTAGCATGGAGGAAATAACAATGAGGAATGCTGGACAACACATAATTAAGTGCCAAGTGGTATGATATTTATTTGAAGGGACATGAAAGTTCAATAGGCAGGGAAGAGGTGAATTGGAATCAATATTCACATTAGAGCCAATTGATGAGAATATTCACTCCTAAAACATGCAGCAGAATTGACTGCTTGAGTGCTAACCAAAGCTAGAGTCGGCCTGGCCTGGTAGTCATTGAGACAGATGTCATCTAGCTAGTCCCCCATGTTTCTTAGCAACCCCTCATTCCCTCTCATGACTGTTTTCTAGCCAGCCGCTCTCACTATGTATCCCCTTACTCTGTGTTCTGTTTCTTTATAGTACTTATCACTACCTGACTTAATCATATATTTACTAGTTTTGTGTCTTGTCTATTTCTACCATTGGATTGTCAGATTTTTTATAGCAGGAACTTTCTTGCCTTCATTCCTCAACCCCCAGCCCCCACAAGAGTGCCTAGAACCTATAGATGCTCAATAAATATTCTTTTGGGCAAAGGATGAACTTCTCACCATAATGCTCTCTTCAGCTTTCTTTTTTGTTCTAAGGCCAAGGCTACCCCAATATTGAAGCCACAGTTAGCTGCCATAGAAAATAATGGTTATTGGTGATTGAGCCTTACTATATGCCAGGCTGTATAATGTGGTGCACGCAACCATCTCATGAAGTAGATAATGTTATTATTCCCATCTTACCAATGCAGCAACTGAGGCCCAAAGGTGTTGTATAACTTGCTCAGGTTCACATACTTAAGAAATGAGTGAGCTGTAATAAAGATTGACTACATACCTTATGCTCTCTGGCTTTATATCTTATGCCGAATTCTAGTGGTTTGGGGACATGCCCAGAATTTGAGGCACAGAAATAGACCCTTGAAAAGGTAGGGGTGGAGGAAGGTGAGAGAGTTGGTGGATAGGTGTTATAGTTTGAATTGTGTTCTTTCTCCCTCAAAGACCATTGTCCCTTACAAGGAAACCTGCGGAGACTTCACAGATTATGTGGTCTTGCCAAGGTCAATGTTGCCCTAAGCTATCCCAAATCTTTGTACGTGGATAAACTTCAGAAAATCCCACAAAGCTATATCCCTCACACATCATATGTTGGTGGCACTGCTTGAGAGAAAAAGTTGGAAACAGTTGGACACTTAAGGAGAAGACACCTTCTTACTCTCTGCAGTGTCTGCTGCAGGGTATTCATTCCATCGTCCTTTAACCCTCTGGCACAGAGGCTGATATTAAAAGCTGGTAATGAAGACAGGAGCCTGCCAGGAATGGTAAATGTCAGGGAGTCACTATTATAGGTCTTTTCACAGTAAAGTAATGGGGGCTCAGGACCAATTTTATAAAAAATGACAAGAGAAAATGTTTATGCCACCTCCATACCAACAGACCTACTCAGGGTCTTTCACAGACCTACTGAAGGTCTTTTTGCCAACTCCATACTCACAGACCTACTAAGGGTCTTCCAGAACAGCAATTTGTGTTCTGGACATAACTCCCTTGTCATGACAACAGGAAGCTTTCCTCATGACTGGGGTTAGTGTTTGATTTCTCTAACATAAGGGTCAGCAAACTTTTCTGTAATGAGCCAGATGGTAAATATTGTGGATTTTGAGGGTTGTACAGTCTTTGTTACAACTACTCACTTAAGCCATTTTGTGCAACAATGGCCATGAACCATAAATCAATGAATGGGTGTGACTGTGGACCGATAAAACTTTACTTACAAAAGGCCGGGCGCGGTGGCTTATGCCTGTAATCCCAGCACTTTGGGAGGCCCAGGTGGGTGGATCACGAGGTCAGGAGATCGAGACCATCCTGGCTAACATGGGGAAACCCCGTCTCTACTAAAAAAAAATACAAAAAATTAGCCAGGCGTGGTGGCAGGTGCCTGTAGTCCCAGCTACCCGGGAGGCTGAGGCAGGAGAAAGGCATGAACCCAGGAGGCGGAGCTTGCAGTGAGCCAAGATCGCGCCACTGCACTCCAGCCTGGGCGACAGAGCAAGACTCCTTCTCATAGCCAGTGTTCAGATTTGGCCCATGGGCTATAATTTGTGGACCTCTGGTGTGTAACATAAAATGGCTGGTATTTTGCTGCCCGTGGAAATAATGTTATTGTTTCCAAAGCTTTGGTGTCCGATCTTTTCTGGGAAATGTCATGTCAGGGCTCACATTATCATTATTATTATTGCTCTGTATATTCAAACAGACAAGAGAAATGAATTGATCTATATTGTTACTCTTTTTTAGGGCTCCAAATTACCAACACTAAACTAAAGCGATGCCAACCTATGACCCTTTAATTATTTTCCCTAGAATATATTGGCTCATAAATTTTGTGATAAAGAACAAAGAAGAAATTGCCTTACACAGTGTTTCCCTCAGTGATGAAATGGCATTGATAAAAGAGGACTAGACTCTGTGTCTGAAGCCCTGGCTTCTTGTCTCTGTCTCTGGCCCCGGCCCTGACAAGCCCAGTAACCCCTCACAGTCATTTCATTTCTCTGATGTGACAATTCCTTCCTTACCTACTTCGTGTGATTGTCATGAGAGTAAACTAAAAAGACCAAGATAAGAAATGTAAAGGCATTTCATACAAAGTTAAATTGAAGCTAAATTCCGCTTTATTAGAGAGATTATTGTCACAGATATATTTCTCCAAAGAAGCCAGAAAGATGAGAGGAATGTTTTTCTGCATAGACAGAAATGTTACAACTGAACACAGCGCTGAATCCTCACAATCTAAGGGGACCAGGACAGGAGAGGGCAAAGGGCTGCAGATGAAGCAGGGGCAGTTTCAAGCCTTCCCGTTAGACTGGCTGGTTGTTGTGTCATTTATATCTAAATTTATTCCTTTCACTTTTAGTTGCTTCCCGGCAAGTTTATTGGAAAGAACAGGTGCTCATTATTGAATTTCGTTGTTTATTTTCCCCCAGATCTATTAAATCAGTACCAAGCAGTCAGAATTCTCTAACACTAAAGCAAGTGATTTATTTATGTGTAGTTATCTATTGCTTCTTGCTTGATAGGCTTCATTTCTATGTTAAAAACATAGAGCCCTTTAAAAGTTTAATTTTGCTGCAAAAAGAAAAGTGACAAAATAAGCTATGTAGGAGGATGTGGATGGGAGTAAAGGGGAGCAACTCTCTGGCTGACAAGTCTAAATGTCAATGCTTTCTAAAAAATACACAAAAATATATAGAGTCTGAACATGGACTAAGAGACCAGACTTCCAGAAATCCTCATAGGGAACTCTTGTTTAGGTTTAGGCCTAAGATGAATGTGGGAGATTTGGTGCAAGGGAAAGAGCAGTGGGGTCAGGAAGCCAGCTTTGAGTCCAGGATCTGCCACTAACTTGCTATGTGATAATAGCTAAGTTACTCACTCTTGGCCTTTGTCTTCTGATTTGTATTATGAAGGGATGTAATTTGATGTGCTCCAAAGCTCTTTCTCCACTCATTTTCTACAAAATAAGAATTCAGTCACATGACACATAAACCAATAGTTCCTACTACAGATCTCATCATTCATTCGTTCAGGAAATATTTATTGAGATGCTACTATATGAGCTAGGCACTGAGAATACAGTGGTAGACAAAGACAGCCTCAGGTCCTTAACTTCTTGTGTCCCATAGCGTAGAGACAATCTCTTTCTTCCCTTGAATCAGAGAAGCAGGAGGGCTTCTATACCATCATTCTTCAATTGTTATTTCAGTCCATTTTTTTGAACAGTACAAATTTTACCTGAGTTATAAGACAATATTGACCTGATCAAAAATCAGACTTTGTTGTGGTAATGAGCATAAAGTTTGAGTGTGCATGTGGAAGATGTTTTTGATTTAAAGAATATTACTAGAGGCTAGGGTTTCCAGTCTGAGGGCAAGAGTTGCCAAGCTTTTAGATCTTGATGACTCAGGCATTGTAAGTAACCTTGCAACCTCACCAGAAGCCTGACTCCAACTGGCTCTACCTATAGCCTGGGTCAGGAGGGGTGGGATTCCTAGCCAATTTGCCTGGAAAGAGGAGGGAGAGGTTTCAGCAGGCTCTCCAGAGAAAGGGCCACAGCCTAGAGCTTCACAAGGCATAGGACATGAAATAAATGGCTACATTAGCATAGAAGTCTCCAAAAGTTTGCAATGGCTAGGAAAGTAGGTAGGGAATGGAAAGAAAAAAGATCAGGAACAGCTGTCTGGGTTCATAATAGACAAGAACAGCCATGCTGGGGCTACTACATAGTTGTGAAAGTTGAAAATTAATTCACTGACATTTGCTTGTTGAGTGCCTAATTTGCACGACATACTTTGCTACATTCTGGAGATACAGAGGTGAGTTGGACTTGACCTGTGCCCTCCACAAGCTTACAGTCCAGTGAAGACGACAGATGAATAAACAGCTAATTAGAATACATGCCTGAACTCTGTGAGGACAGTGTTATAGTGTGTTACATTAACTGCTGTTTCCCCAGTTCAATACATGACCTGGCACAACAGATTGTTAGAGACCAGACAAAGGGTGATGATGGCTGAGCGAGAGAAAAATGGAAGAGGAAGGATCAGTGAGATATTAAGAAGGGAGACTAGACCACACTTGGTAACGGATCGGAAGTAAAGTCAGGGGGGAAGTGTCAGGGATAACCTTCAGCCTTCAAACAGGCAACTAAGTGGATAGTGATGCCATTCACTGAGGGGAAAACTCAGGAGTTTGAACCAAGTACAGAAACTGAGGAATAAGGGGTGGGAGCCTAGTAAGGCACAACTTGCTGTGAAACTCTGAAGTCACAAAGGAGCTGATTGTGGTACTGATCTTTCTGTTTCCAGCTTTGTTTCTACCCCAGGATATCTGTTTGTGTACCATATCCTGAGAAAAAGATAACTATTCTTTTTGAAGAGTAGGTAGAAACTGGGAATGGTCTGCAGTCTGACACTGCAGTGAGAGCTAACTGCAGTGAGAGTTAAATCAGGGAGGGTGCAGTAAGTGAAGTCCAGTTCCTCCTTCTTCAGGGATTCCAATGCTTAAGTAATGTCCTGAGACATTTAAAATGATAAGGAAGAAAATCTACGTGGGAATATTTCACCCGTCAATTCCATAGTTCAGCTCACAGATATGGGTATAGGGTTTGCCTTTCATCTATAAAGCCTTACCTTATTTGTGACTCCATGAAATTTTGAGATTCTCCCTCTCTTAAAGGCTCCTTTATAGAACCATTATGGCAACTAAGTTCAGGCAGAATGGAGCCACATACCCAAACATTATGCTAGGTAGAAGGATGAAAAATTAGCATATTACTAGTGAAAAGTGCTTCTGTCTGGAATTTCTTCTTGATGGGTTCCTTAGGAACATATTTTTGTGATATTGTTAGTTGAAACTGATGGCTATAGCACAATACTCAGTATGTATTTGTATGTGGGGTGGAAGAGTTTTGTTGGCATATTTTGGCATAGAAGTTTAGTATAATTTAAATTGAAAATTTTGTACAAAGGCAACCATCGGGAGGGAGTCAAGTGTAGAAGGAACACTGCACTGGGAGTCAGGAGCCCTTTATTTAGTTTTATCTTTGTTTCTATCTAGCTATGTGACCCTAAGCAAATCTCTTTCTTTCTGTGTATCTCAGTTTCCCCAGCTATAAAATATGGAAGTTGGACTAAATGGGCTTTGTTCTTTTCAGCTCTGAGGTTCTAGAAAAGTGAACTGAGAAGAAAACTACTATGACACAACTACTATGAACTACTGTGAGATAAATCAAGAGTAAATAACTACTCTGGTCAACGGCTTCATTGCATAACTCTTTGAAAAGGCAGTAACTGGTAGATGAAAAGATAATTAAAACAGCTTATAATTTTAATTAATTATGTTCCTATCCTAGAAATTAATCTGATGCATTTTCTACCTACAGAGCTGGATTAAGGAGCCAAATTGCAATTCTGAGAAGTAAAGAGCTCTACGTTTTGTGAGAGAACATCAATTGGCTTTAGGTTAACCCAAGTACTCACTTGGGGGTTTCCGCTGATATGGTTTGGTTGTGTCCCCACCCAAATCTCATCTTGAGTTGTAGCTCCCACAATTTCCACCTGTCATGGGAGGAAACTGGTGGGAGGTGATTGAATTATGGGGGTGGGTCTTTCCCATGTTGTTCTTGTGATAGTGAATAAGTCTCATGAGAGCTGACGGTTTTATAAAGGGGAGTTTCCCTGCACAAGTTCTTTTCTCTTGTCTGCTGCCATGTGAGATGTGCCTTTCACCTTTGCCATGATTGTGAGGCCTCCCGAGCCACGTGGAACTGTGTGGGTCCATCAAACTTCTTTGTTTTGTAAATTGTACAGTCTCTGGTATGACTTTATCAGCAGTGTGAAAACAGACTAATACTTCTGCTAAATACAGAAGGTGGCTAGGATAAAGGTAATCAAAGGTTCCTATACTGACAGTTAAGTGAGGGCTATATTGAACCCCACCCCTACCATCCTAAAGTGATCTTTTTCTATGCCCAAATAAAAATGAGTGCCTCATAATGCACTGGGGATCTGGGCTGCTTCTCAAACAACAAACATAGCCTTTCCAATCTCAAAAAGAAAGAAGCTATGGTAGATAACACCTCTGCAGTTTGGCTAGAGACTGTAGGAGCCAATCATCTCTACTAGAATTGTGATGAGGGTCCACATCACTTTGGGACACTGAGTCTTTCTGTCACTGCCAACCCAGAACTGACAGACTGAACATAACAAAGTCATGTTTTCTTAGAGGCAAAGAGTAGAAAATATGAAGTCAACTGTGTGGGGTGGGAGAATTTAAGATACCTGAAGAGTGGCTCCCTATGTTGGGCTTAAGACCCTGAAGTGTCTACTTGTTGGCTTCCCTTTCAAAATGGACTATTTTTCATGACAGTATTATTCATGGCTTGTACTGACTGCAGCAGTGTAAGAAAAAGAACATGAATAGTCACACCCTGTCTGTGTACTCTAGCAGTGCCCCAGGAACCACAAGACAACTCCTTTTCTCAGACTCAAGAAGTCTTCTGTGAGTATCCCAAGAGATTTTCTTACCCTCTCCCCAGAAACAGGAATGCAGAGCCTTGGGACTTGGGCCTGGGCCATGCCATGCCTCAGATCGCAGTAAGTTAATGGCAAAGTTAAAACTCAAAATCAGACTATTTTTGCTGAATAATCAACCATGGCCACTTTTCCTACTAGTGGTTCTGAACTGGTGGCAGCACCATTTCCCACACCTCTTCACCTCCACACACACAATGGACATTTGGAAATGTGTGCAGCATTTGGGGTTGTTACAATGACTAAAAGTAAAGATGTTACTGACATTAATACCGAGAGGTCTGCAATGCACTAGCCACTCCTGCATTACAAAATGCCAACAATGTCCCATTAAGAATCACTACAGGTCTATACCAGGTTGTGTCCATTCAGAAAAAAGAGAGAGTTATGGCTAGGTCTATACCAGGTTGTGTCCACTTAGAAAAAAATACAGGGTTATGGCTGTATCCTGTCTCCCTCTTTGCCTCAGAATAAAGCATGGAGAATTGAGGGGTAGGGTGATTAGAGACCTTGGCTCCAGTTCTAGCTCTGGAATTATATCGTTGTGTGACCTTAGACAAGACTTCCTGTCCAGACCTCAGTGACCTGGTCTGTAAAATAGTGGTTTAGTCAAGAGGGTCAGCAAGAGCTCTTCCAATTAGACATTTTGCTCCTTTTTCTTTCAGAGTATGGTCCAGAGACCACCTGAGAAGCTGTTTGTTAACAATTCAGATTCCTGAACCCTATCACAGACTTGCTAAATCAGAATTTATGAACGTAGGCCACTGGGATCTGTATTCACCACTCACTCCCATCCCTGGTAATTCTGAAATACAAAATGTTTGAGAACCAGGATTCTAGTATTCTAAATGTTAGAACTGTACCTGATCAGCTAGCAAATAGAGCATAAAGGGATGGTTTCCACCTCCCATTCAGAGGTGCAGCAGCATTTGTGTGATGGTAGGCCTGTCCCCACCAAAGCTTCACCACTGCATTCAATGCCCTTTGCAGGCTCCTTGCGATTGCTGAGGCATATGGGAGGGAAGACAGAGTCAGCTCAGGGATTGGAACTGGTAGAGGCAGAGGGTCTCCAAGGGAGCAGTCTGGCTTTTAAGACTGCAAGATTTACTGCTCTGACAACAGAGAGGAGACAGCCTACTCCTATTACAGCTGCCCACCCAGCACCTGCCTTCTCAAGCAACTGCCTCTGTCGAAGCTGTAAGTTCAAGCTATATGTTCCTATTGCTGCTAATTAAAGAACTTCTGCACTTAGTCTAAGCACTTCCTCTGTAGCCTGTCTCCTCACACAACTCCAGTGGCTTTCTCTCTATTCCGGTGCAGTGAATAGAGTCAGCAGCAAACATATTGTGTACAACACACCCAGAGTGCATTGATGAGTCATAGAGTGCTTTGCTCTTCCATTCAACAACCCAAAGTTGAAGACCTCCAACAATGTTCAAAACCAAAAGGCAAATACATGGAATTCAGTCTGGCTAGTTTGGTGGAGGGTGTTTGAGCTTGGAAATGAATGGATAAATAAAGTGGCAGACAGATTGCTTTTATTCACTGTGAGGAAGATGCAGGTGTTGTGTTCCAGGGAAGCTTTGAAGATTTATTATCTGGCATACTAGATGACCTTCAGGCCGACAGGCCATTGGTAATCACCCTTCTAAATAATGCAAAATATGTTGGCACAAAGAAACAGAACACACACACACACACACACACACACACACACAAATGCACACACACATTTATTTATTAAAAACTCACTGTTTTCTCAGTGATTCTCAGGGATCATAAGTCACCAAAAGAGAATGGAGGAAGGTTAGAAGTTAATTGTCAAACTAGTGTCCCAATTTAGGGTGTACTCTCTCTTTCATGGAGAGCAATCTTTCTGAGTTTAATTTGCTAAAAGCGATGACATATAAGATGAGAGACAGTTGGTTCCAAGATGGCCAAATAGGAACAGCTCCGGTCTGCAGCTCCTAGCGTGACCAATGCAGAAGACGGGTGATTTCTGCATTGCCAACTGAGGTACCTGGTTCATCTCACTGGGACTGTTTGGAAAGTGGGTGCAGCCAACAGAGGGTGAGCCGAAGCAGGACATGGCAACGCCTCACTCAGGAAGTACAAGGGGTCAGGGGATTTCCCTTTCCTAGCCAAGGGAAGCTGTGACAGGCTATACCAGAAAAATTGGGACACTGCCACCTAAACACTGTGCTTTTCCAATGGTCTTAGCAAACGGCACACCAGGAGATTATATCCTGCGCCTGGCTCAGTGGGTCCCACGACCATAAAGCCTTGCTCACTGCTGGTCTGAGATCGAACTGCAAGGTGGCAAGCCTGGCTGGGGGAGGGGTGTCCACCATTGCTGAGGCTTGAGTAAGTAAACAAAGCAGCCAGGAAGCTCGAACTGGGTGGAACCCACCATAGCTCAACAAGGCCCACCTGCCTCTGTAGACCCCACCTCCGGGGGCAGGGCATAGCTGAACAAAAGGCAGCAGCAACTTCTGCAGACTTAAAAGTCCCTGTCTGACAGCTCTGAAGAGAGCAGTGGTTCTCCCAGCACAGTGTTTGAGCTCTGAGAATGGACGGACTGCTGCCTCAAGTGGGTCCCTGAACCCCATGTAGTGTAACTTGGAGACACCTCCCAGTAGGGGCCAACTGACATTTCATACAGCCTGGTTCACCTCTGAGATTGAAGCTTCCAGAGGAAGGATCAGGCAGCAATATTTGCTGTTCTGCAGCCTCTGCTGGTGAAACCCAGGCAAACAGGGTCTGGAGTGGACCTCCAGCAAACTCCAACAGACCTGCAGCTGAGGAACTTGACTGTTAGAAAGAAAACTAACAAACAGAAAATAATAGCATCAACATCAACAAGAAGGACATCCACACCATAATCCCATCTGTAGGTCACCTATGTCAAAGACCAAAGCTAGATAAAACCACAAAGATGGGGAGAAACCAGAGCAGAAAAGCTGAAAATTCTAAAAACCAGAGTGCCCCTTCTCCTCCAAAGGATCACACCTCCTCACCAGCAATGGAACAAAGCAGGACAGAGAATGACTTTGATGAGCTGACAGAAGTAGGCTTCAGAAAGTTGGTAATAACAAACTTCTCCGAGCTAAAGCAGGATGTTCAAACCCATCGCAAGGAAGCTAAAAACCTTGAAAAAATACTAGATGAATAGCTAACTAGAATGAACAGTGTAGAGAATACCTTAAATGACCTGATGGAGCTGAAAACCATGGCATGAGAACTACGTGACACATGCACAAGCTTCTGTAGACGATTCGATCAAGTGGAAGAAAGGGCATCAGTGATTGAAGATCAAATGACTGAAATGAAGTGAGAAGAGAAGTTTAGAGAAAAAAGAGTAAAAAGAAATGAATAAAGTCTCCAAGAAATATGGGACTATGTCAAAAGACCAAATCTACATCTGAGTGGTGTACCTGAAAGTGACGGGGAGAATGGAACCAAGCTGGAAAACACTCTGCAGGATATTATCCAGGAGAACTTCCCCAACCTAGCAAGGCAGGCCAACATTCAAATTCAGGAAATACAAAGAACACCACAAAGATACTCCTCGAGAAGAGCAACCCCGAGATACATAATTGTCAGATTCACCAAGGTTGAAATGAAGGAAAAAATGCTAAGGGCAACCAGAGAGAAAGGTCAGGTTACCCACAAAGGAAAGCACATCAGATTACAGCGGATCTCTCGGCAGAAACCCTACAAGCCAGAAGGGAGTGGGGGCCAATATTCAACATCTTAAAGAAAAGAATTTTCATCCCAGAATTTCATATCCAGGCAAACTAAACTTCATAAGTGAAGGAGAAATAAAATCCTTTACAGACAAACAAATGCTGAGAGATTTTGTCACCACCAGGCCTCCCTTACAAGAGCTCCTGAAGGAAGCATTAAACATGGGAAGGAAAAACTGGTACCAGCCACTGCAAAAACATGCCAAATTGTAAAGACCATAGACGCTAGGAAGAAACTGCATCAACTAACAGGCAATATAACCAGCTAACATCATAATGACAGGATCAAATTCACAAAAAATAATATTAACCTTAAATGTAAATGGGCTAAATGCCTCAATTAAAAGACATAGATCGGTAAATTGGATAAAGAGTCAAGACCCATCAGTGTGCTGTATTCAGGAGACCCATCTCACATGCAGAGGCACACATAAGCTCAAAATAAAGGGATGGAGAAACATCTACCAAGCAAATGGAAAGTAAGAAAAAAAAAAGCAGGGGTTGCAATCCTAGTCTCTGATAAAACAGACTTTAAACCAAAAAAGACCAAAAGAGACAAAGAAGGCCATTACATAATGGTAAAGGGATCAATTCAACAAGAAGAGCTAACTATCCTAAATATATATGTACCCAATACAGGAGCACCCAGATTCATAAAGCAAGTCCTGAGGGACCTAAAAAGAGACTTAGGCTCTGACACAATAATAATGGGAGAATTTAACACCCCACTGTCAATATTAGACAGATCAACAAGACAGAAGGTTAAGAAGGATATCCAGGACTTGAACTCAGCTCTGCAACAGGCAGACCTAATAGACATCTACAGAACTCTCCACCTTAAATCAACAGAATATACATTCTAATCAGCACCACACTGCACTTATTCCAAAATTGACCACATAGCTGGAAGTAAAGCACTCCTCATCAAATGGAAAAGAACAGAAATCACAACAAACTCTCTCTCAGACCACGGTGCAATCAAATTATAAGTCAGGATTAAGAAACTTACTCAAAACCACACAATTACATGGAAACCGAACAACCTCTTCCTGAATGACTACAGAGTAAATAATGAAATGAAGTTAGAAATAAGGATGTTCTTTGAAACCAATGAGAACAAAGACACAACATCCCAGAATCTCTGGGACACATTTAATGCAATGTGTAGAGGGAAATTTAGAGCACTAAATGCCCGCAAAAGAAAGCAGGAAAGATCTAAAACTGACACCCTAACATCACAATTAAAAGAACTAGAAAAGCAAGAGCAAACAAATTCAAAAGCTAGCAGAAGGCAAGAAATAATTAAGATCAGAGCAGAACTCAAGGAGATAGAGACACAAAAAATCCTTCAAAAAAATCAATGAATCCAGGAGCTGTTTTTCTGAAAAGATCAACAAAATTGATAGACTGCTAGCAAGACTAATGAAGAAAAGAGAGAAGAATCAAATAGACGCAATAAAAAATGACAAAGGGGATATCACCACCAATGCCACAGAAATACAAACTACCATCAGAGAATACTATAAATACCTCTATGCAAATAAACTAGAAAATCCAGAAGATATTGATAAATTCCCGGACACATATACCCTCCCAGTGCTAAACCAGGAAGAAGTTGAATCCCTGAATAGACCAATAACAGGTTCTGAAATTGAGGCAATAATTAATAGCCTACCAACCAAAAAAAGTCCAGGACCTGACGGATTCACAGCCGAATTCTACCAGAGGTACAAAGAAGAGCTTGTACCATTCCTTCTGAAACTATTCCATTCAATAGAAAAAGAGGGAATCCTCCCTAACTCATTTTATGAGGCCAGCATCATCCTGATACCAAAGCCTGGCAGAGACACAACAAAAACAGAGAATTTTAGACCAATATCCCTGATGAACATTGATGCGAATATCCCCAATAAAATACTGGCAAACCGAATCCAGCAGCACATCAAAAAGCTTATCCACCATGATCAAGTTGGCTTCATCCCTGGGATGCAAGGCTGGTTCAACATACGCAAATCAATAAATGTAATCCATCATATAAACAGAACCAAAGACAAAAACCACATGATTATCTCAATAGATGCAGAAAAGGCCTTTGACAAAATTCAACAACCCTTCATGCTAAAAACTCTCAATAAACTAGGTATTGATGGAATGTATCTCAAAATAATAAGAGCTATTTATGACAAACCCACAGCCAGTATCATACTGAATGGGCAAAAACTGGAAGCATTCCCTTTGAAAACTGGCACAAGGCAGGGATGCCCTCTCTCACCACTCCTATTCAACATAATGTTGGAAGTTCTGGCCAGGGCAATCAGGCAGGAGAAGGAAATAAAGGGTATTCAATTAGGAAAAGAGGAAGTCAAATTGTCCCTGTTTGCAGATGACATGATTGTATATCTAGAAAACCCCATCGTCTCAGCCCAAAATCTCCTTAAGCTGATAAGCAACTTCAGCAAAGTCTCAGGATACAAAATCAATGTGCAAAAATCACAAGCATTCCTATACAGCAAGAACAGACAAACGGAGAGCCAAATCATGAGTGAACTCCCATTCACAATTGCTTCAAAGAGAATAAAATACCTAGGAATCCAACTTACAAGGGAAGTGAAGGACCTCTTCAAGGAGAACTACAAACTACTGCTCAAGGAAATAAAAGAGGATGCAAACAAATGGAAGAAGAACCCATGCTCATGGGTAGGAAGAATCAATATCATGAAAATGGCCATACTGCCCAAGGTAATTTATAGATTCAATGCCATCCCCATCAAGTTACAAATAATTTTATTCACAGAATTAGAAAAAACTACTTTAAAGTTCATATGGAACCAAAAAAGAGTCTGCATTGCCAAGACAATCCTAACCAAAAAGAACAAAGCTGGAGGCATCATGCTACCTGACTTCAAACTATACTACAAGGCTACAGTAACCAAAACAGCATGGTACTTGTACCAAAACAGAGATATAGACCAATGGAATAGAACAGAGGCCTCAGAAATAACACCACACATCTACAACCATCTGATCTTTGACAAACCTGACAAAAACAAGAAATGGGGAAAGGATTCCCTATTTAATAAATGGTGCTGGGAAAACTGGCTAGCCATATGTAGAAAGCTGAAATTGGATCCCTTCCTTACACCTTATACAAAAATTAATTCAGGATAGATTAAAGACTTAAATGTTAGACCTAAAACCATAAAAACCCTAGAAGAAAACCTAGGCAATACCATTCAGGACATAGGCATGGGCAAGGCCTTCATGTCTAAAACACCAAAAGCAATGGCAACAAAAGCCAAACTTGACAAATGGAGTCTAACTAAACTAAAGAGCTTCTCAATAGCAAAAGAGACTACCATTAGAGTGAACAGGCAACCTACAGAATGGGAGAAAATTTTTGCAATCTACTCATCTGACAAAGGGCTAATATCCAGAATCTACAAAGAACTTAAACAAATTCACAAGAAAAAATCAAACAACCCCATCAAAAAGTGGGCAAAGGATATGAACAGACACTTCTCAAAAGAAGACATTTATGCAGCCAACAGTCACATGAAAAAATGCTCATCATCACTGGTCGTCAGAGAAATGCAAATCAAAACCACAATGAGATACCATCTCACACCAGTTAGAATGGCAATAATTAAAAGGTCAGGAAACAACAGGTGCTGAACAGGATGTGGAGAAATAGGAACGTTTTTACACTGTTGGTGGGAGTGTAAACTAGTTCAACCATTGTGGAAGACATTGTGGTGATTCCTCAAGGATCTAGAACTAGAACTAGAAATACCATTTGACCCAGTGATCCCATTACTGGGTATACACCCAAAGGATTATAAATCATGCTACTCTAAAAACACATGCACACGTATGTTCATTGCGGCACTATTCATAATGGCAAAGACTTGGAACCAACCCAAATGTCCATCAATGATAGACTGCATTAAGAAAGTGTGGCACATATACACAATGGAATACTATGCAGCCATAAAAAAGGATGAGTTCATGTCCTTTGTATGGACATGGATGAAGCTGGGAACCGTCATTCTGAGCAAACTATCCAAGGACAGAAAACCAAACACCGCATGTTCTCACTCACAGGTGGGAATTGAACAATGAGGACACTTGGACACAGGGTGGGGAACATCACACACTAGGGTCTGTTCTGGGGTGGGGGGATGGGGGAGGGATAGCATAGGAGAAATACCTAATGTAAATGACGAGTTAATGTGTGCAGCAAACCAACACGGCACATGTATACCTATGTAACAAACCTGCACGTTGTGCACATGAACCCTAGAACTTAAAATATAATTTAAAAAATAAAAAAAAAATGAGAGACAGTTATAAATAAAATTAAATATATCAATATATCTCCCCTGTGGTATTTCTTAAAAATTAGCATTGCTTCCCCTTCCACTGCCCTCCTCCAAGGAGAAAAATAATTGGTAACGTAGGGTTTATCGTTTCTGGCCAATCGCAACAATTCCTGCTCAGGGCAAATGTCAAAGAATCATTGCTCATTATTCAATAGTTCGATGTGAATATTTAATTACAAATAAGTAATTCATTAAGAGTAAAAGATAAGTCAAAACAAAGGCCAAAAGACAATGCATTGTCAGTAAGGAAAGGCCCATTTTACACCTGTTGGAATGTCATTAATCTTCCCTGACAGGAAGAAAGTAGTTTTGTACCTGACAGACTTGATAAATGTGCAAACATCAGTCCTACATTTTAAAATCAATATGGAATGTTTTTCATGGCAAATCCAGATCAAGCTGGCATACCAAACACATCGCATTACAATCAACATGTAGACTAAATGTTTAAATGAGTTCCAGGGGGCAAATTAAAATTACGAGAGAGAAGGTAAGAGTGAGACAATGGTGATAAAAGGAAAATGGACTTGGCTTGGTTCAAATAAACTTTTCTCTAATAAAAACGATCTGGGATGTGAACGGGACCTGTTATGACAGACAGCAATAAAATGCAGGCAAGAACTGAGCAAGCATTTAGTGAGAGCTCTTTATGGATAGCATGCAATTTGGGGCTGAAAGTGTGAACTATGAATCAGAATCATACACAGTTATAGGCACAAAAGCACTAACATAATGGAGGAATCCTCCAGGTTAGAGATACCCAGCTACAGCTTTTATTTTACCTGGATCAATTTATTAACTAAGCATGAACAATTACCAAGAATCCTGGAGAGTCACTGGTGAACAGAACACTGTCCTTGCCCACAAGGAGCTCAGAGAAGAGTAAATAAGATAGAGATATATATGTGGAAAACTACAGTACCGTGCAACAAGTGCTGTGACTGAAGGAGGTACAAGTATTGTTGGACCAAAGAGCAGAGGCACCAAGTCCAACCTTTCTGGAGGAGAATCCAGGAAGCTTTCCTAGAGAAAGGCAGAATTATGTCACAACTTTGAGCCAGGTTCTGAAGTCAGATAGCCCGGAGTTCACATCCAGGTTTTGCCAATTGCTAGTTATGTATGACTTTGATCAACTCACTAATTTCTGTGAGCCTTGGTTAACTCATTTCCAAAATGAGAACAGTGATAGGACCTACCTCATAGGCACGTGCAGATTAAATGAACATCCCATGAAAAGCACTCAAAACCCTTTCTGTCCTCCAAAAATTGTTTAGAAAATAAAAGAGAATATATTTATTCATTCTCTTCTTTTTAAAGCAATGGGTACTATAGACAGTAAGGAGATGTTGTGCGAATGCACAAGTTTATTTCCATAAGGATATTAAAAGGGAATGATTTTTTCCACAGCGGGATAAAAAAGGAGTGATTTTTTTTTTGGAAGTCTTGCACTGAACTTGCTCAGTCAGCTCTGGAAAACCAATCCCACAACTGCTACTGACACCTGCTACTGTTTGTTTTACTAAAGCTGGCTCCTACACCTGAGCCTTAGAGGAAGCTGGTCATTAAACGCACATTCATGTGCACGCACACATATGCACATGGTACGCACACACACATCTACCTTCTCCTGGGCCTTGTGTTAAGTTCTTTCATGTATTTTCTCTTATCAAATCTTCACACCAAACTTGAGAGAAAATTGTTGCTCTCCCCCATTTACAGATGAAGAATAGGAAGCTCAGAGAGATTGACTAACTTGCCGTACTGGTTAATTTTGTGTGTCAACTTGACTGGGCCATGGGGTGGCCAGATATTTGGTCAAACATTATTCTGGGTGTTTCTGTGAAGCTGTTTTTGGATTAGATTGACATTTTAATCAGTAAAACAAATTGCCCTCCATAATGTGAGTGGGTCTTATCCAATCAGTTGAAGTTCTAAATAGAACAAATAGACCAACCTCACCTCCGTAAGAGAGAATTCTCCAGCAGACTATCTTCAGACTTCATCTATATCACTGAATTTCCTGGGTATCAAATCTGCCAGTCTAAGCCAAGATTTGGGCTTGCCAGCCTCCATAATTTTATGAGCCAGTTCTTTTTAATAAATAAATGTGTGTTTGTGTGTGCGCGTGTGTGTGGTGTTCTGTTTCTTTGGAAAATGCTCAGTAATACAGTCACATTTTCTATTTTATTAAATTATTTTAAAAGTTATGTAAGATTTAAATATTATTATTCACATTTAACAGACAAAACAGTGAGGTATAGAGAGACTAACTTACCAAAAACCACAGATAACCACACATTTTCCCATGGCCAGGCTGATTCAATATGCCGTTTAAAATGTTACCAGTGGCTAAAAAATGTTACCAGTGGTTTTAGGTTGTAGCAGCATCCAGCCAAAGCCCTAACGTCCTTTGAAGGACATGGCACAGCACACACAAACATGTAAATCAGGCTATCAAATGCAAATAGAGGCATCAAGTTGGGAGTACACTTCGGTGTTCACAAAAGGTACCTCCTTATCCAGTATGCATTTCTCCAATTGGAAAGCCTGCTCTGCATAGCAAAGATAGACTTTCAGCAAATTCAGTTTTTCTTCGGTGATGAAACTCTGGGTTTAGAAAACTCTTTTCCATTTCTTGTCAATGGCTGGCAGCCCTGGGTTAAATTTGGCTTTCTATGAAGCTACTAAATGAAAAGCATATCAGAGAACACTGGACAGAAAAGTGGAGTCCCAGAGCACAGGCAGAAAGGTTCAGGTGATAGACATGGATGGATTTAGTTGAGGAGTGGAATGGCCTCAGATTTTCTGGCGGAATGTTTTTTCATCCAACATTTATCAAAAACCTATGCTGCTGATGGTTACCCTAAACACCCAGACTTCAGGACTGCAAAATAGATCCATGTAATAAAATTGCACTTGTACCCTTTAAATTTATACAAATAATTTTCTTAAAAAAAGAACCTATGTTATGCTAGGCATGGGAAATCCAAAGACAAATAAGATGTATCACTGTTTTTGAGTAATTAATAATCTAGTATGTATCACAAGATGACCGGGAATTCCTTCATCTGTACAACAAACTTACTAATCGCCAATGATGTTTCAAGGCCATGTGCTAACTGCTGGACATGGAGTGGTGAGTAAATTCATGTACTATAGGCTCCCAGCACTAATGAGGCTCACAGTCTACCACTATATCTGCCCTCAAATCATCAGAGTGGGAAGGAAGCCCTAGAGCCCTGCCGCCACCCTCTTCCCAATCTCCTTGAGTTGAGCTCTTCTGAAACAACGTATTGTGTTTCTCTATTAGATTCTGAATTCACTCCCTTTGTCAGGAACATAACCCTGTGACTGTGGAGAGATTACTGTATTTTCAGTTATACAAAGTCTAACGCTTTTGGGAAAAAAATAAGATGGACAGACACTATACTCAGACATGTAATCTTCTCAGCCAGGATGCAAGGCAGCCAGAGTGCAGTAATGGCCATCCATCTTCCCTAGCCCAACCCAAGAACAAACAATCTTCTCTAAAGCTTAAAGGCCTGAGAACAATTTACAGGGAACGTCTGCACTTGCTTTCTCTCCCCTACCCTATTCAGTGAAAGGCAATTCTGATGTGCAGAGAGGCTTCTACTAAGTAGATAATACAGCCACATTTTTCAAAAGGCCTGCCATGGCTTTTTATCCTCCACAGCATCTAATATCTGTAAAACACTTTAGATTAAAATGAATATAAAAAAAACAGCCTTACTCAGCACTTCCTTTGCTCTGCAGGTCAGGGAGTAGGATGAGAACAAGCCTCAGGGCTTTTAGGTTCACACTGGGATTCCCCTTCCAGATACCCCCCACCCTGCCCTTCACCGGCCAATAGCAAATAAGAAGTAGCACTGGCTTTGGAGTTGGGCATACCATTGACCTGTTGTTGAGCTTGGGAAGTCACTTCACCTCTCTGAGCCTCAATTTCCTTATGTTGATACTGGGAATAATAATCCTTCTCCCTCTCCCCATAGGATTATAATGATAATTAAATAAGATGACATATATAAAAGATTTGATACACAGTGGACACTCAACTGACAGATGTCCATCCTCTTCATGTCTCCCATCCCTGAAGACAGCCTGAGAGCAGATCCCTTCTCAAGGCTTACACTCTTGTTTTGACCTGTACTTACTTACTACTTCTCAATTCTTCATGTAACTAGGGAATTCCTCCTGACCTTCCTTTAGGTATTTCCTGCTTCATTCTGGTTTCCATTTTTGTTGTTAATTAGGAAGTAAGATATTCATGCAATATTAGTGCAACCCAATCAAAATGAGCACATTCTGTCATCATTGAGAATCTGCATAATTTAACTGATGCAAATCCTCCAATAATAGGAAAGTTTCATGTTGCATATGAAAAAAAATCTCTGATAATTAGCATCTTCTTGTCATCACTGTGTTCCGGCAGGCTGTCTGAATGGCTTAGGTCAGGGATTGGCAGCACTCCAAAGCCTCAGTCTGTTAGGAGTTCAGGCCTTTCAGTAGGTTGAAAGGAGGTAATTTAGGAAGGAGGAGAACTTTCAGCACTTCTCATGTCATACCACGTTGAGTGGCCTAAAAATTGCCACCCTCTGTGCAGAAAGCTCAAAAACATTTTCCGGTCACCATCTCTCCCCCAGTCAAACTTGCTTGCTTCATCTATTAAACTGGCATGTCTGTTGCTACCTTACTGTGTGACTTGGGAAACTCTCCTCACTTCTCTTTGTGCCAAACTTCTCTTAATTGAATAATCTGGAGAAGGGCCAGAAGAAATCTGGAATGTACTGGATTTGGATTATTTCATTGTCCTCATCTCCACTCACCACTAACATCAAAAAACTCTCTAGGTAACTTAAACGGCAGCAATACAGGTCTTTATTGGCAGGATATCAGGGTGATTGCAGATTCAATGGGAGGCTGTAGACCTAGGTTAGGAAAGAGACTGGAACCTGGTGAGAAGTTATTTGGGCTCAGGGTGCTGCTGCTTGCATGGATCAATCCCAGTCATATATATTTTGTCTTTGGATCAGTCTTTGTAAGACTGAAAGTGCTGGGATGCAAAAGCAAATGCAATAAAAACAAAGATAAATAGCTGGGACCTAATTAAACTAAAGAGCTTTTGCATGCCAGAAGGAACAGTCAACAGAGTAAACAGACAACCCACAGAGTGAGAGAAAATCTTCACAATCTATATATCTAACAAAGGACTAATGTCCAGAATCTACAATGAACTCAAACAAATCAGTAAGAAAAAACAAACAATTCCATCAAAAAGTGGGCTAAGGACATGAATAGACAATTCTCAAAAGAAGATATACAAATGGCCAACAAACATGAAAAAATGCTCAACATCACTAATGATCAGGGAAATGCAAATCAAAACCACAATGTGATACCACCTTACTCCTGCAAGAATAGCTATAATAATAAAAAAACAAGAACAACAACAACAGTAGATGTTGGCATGGATGCAGTGATCAGGGAACACTTCCACACTGCAGGTGGGAATGTAAACTAGTACAGCCACTATGGAAAACAGTGTGGAGATTTTTTAAAGATCTAGAAGTAGAACTACCATTTGATCCAGAAATCCCACTACTGGGTATCTACCCAGAGGAAAATAAGTCATTATTCGAAAAAGATCCTTGCATGTGCATGTTTATAGCAGCACAATTCACAATTGCAAAATCATGGAACCAACCCAAATGTCCATCAATCAATGAGTGAATAAAGAAACTGAGATATATACATGATATATATGATATACACATATATCTACATATGTATATAGATGTACATCTATATACGTATACAGATATACATATATATGAGATATATATATATATATATATATATGTATGATACACACACACACACACACACAATGGAATACTACTCAGCCATAAAAAGTAATTAATTAACAGCATTTGCAGTGACCTGGATGAGACTGGAGACCATTACTCTAAGTAACTCAGGAATGGAAAACCAAATGTCATATGTTCTCACTGATATATGGAAGCTAAGCTATGAGGATGCAAAGGCATAAGAATAATACAATGAACTGTGGGGACTTGGGGGGAAGAGTGGGAGGTGGACGAGAGATAAAAGGCTACAAATATGGTGCAGTGTATACTGCTCGGGTGATGGGTGCACCAAAATCTCACAAATCACCATTAAAGAATTTACTCATGTAACGAAATACCACCTGTACCCCGATAACTTATGGAAAAAAATTAAAAAATAAAAAATAAATAAACAAATTAAAGGAAAGTGCGGCCAGGTACGGGGGCTCACACCTGTAATCCCAGAACTTTGGGAGGCCAAGGCGGGTGGATAACAAGGTCAGGAGATCGAGACCATTCTGGCCAACATGGTGTAACCTCGTATGGACACAGGAAGGGGAACATCACACACCGGGGCCTGTTGTGGGGTGGGGGAAGTGGGGAGGGATAGCATTAGGAGATATACCTAATGTTAAATGACGAGTTAATGGGTGCAGCACAACAACATGGCACATGTATACATATGTAACAAACCTGCACATTGTGCACATGTACCCTAAAACTTAAAGTACAATAAATAAATAAAAATAAAAATACAAAAATACAAAAATTAGCAAGGCGTGGTGGCATGCAACTGTAGTCCCAGCTACTCAGGAGGCTGAGGAAGGAGAATCGTTTGAACCTGGGAGGTGGAGGTTACAGTGAGCCGAGATCTTGCCACTGCACTCCAGCCTGGGCGACAGAGTAAGACTCTGTCTCAAAAATAAATAAATAAATAAATACATAAATAAATAAATAGTGCTGGGATGGAGAGCCTAGCTGTCTGCATTTAAGCCACCTGGATAGACTGGGGCATTTGGAGCAAAGGCAGGACAGAAGGAAGCTTCAGGCAGCTTTTTGAGTTCCACAGTGAGAAGGAAGGCTTCCCTGATCATCTCTGCAACTTCAAATAGCTTGATTAAGCTATTCTATTTATTAATGTATTAACAAAAACAAAATCTCTTGGCTTTCTACTTTGTTGGTTAAGATGAGGGGCCTGAACCTTCCCTTATCTCCTCACCCCCTTCCTCCAGCTGTGTCAGCTTGTTTCTTCACTTTTGATATTGTCAAGGTAGTTAAGGTTTATGCTTTGTCTTGTAATCATGAGAAAAAGAAAAAAGAAGGAAAAAAGGAAAAAATTCTTTTTATTTATTAAAAGTTTCTTATTATCTTCTATTTTTAAAGGCACTGTTGTGTTTAGTCATTCCTCTATTCCTCCTAGTTAGTCTTTGCTTTTCAAATGATTATTTTCTTTTATTTGTAATTCTTTCATAAGTTCTGTCACTTTCTTTCTGAACATTTTAAATCATGATATATATTGTTCTTTCACATATTGTTTCATTTTTTAATATCTTGTAGCTTGTTTAAAATAATAAGTTATGATTTTGATCTGTTTTGTGGGCATGTCTTTCTGGCATGCTTTCATCGTCTCTGGGATGTTATGCTTCTTTTTTCATATAATAACTTTGTATGAGATTTGGCTCTGATAAACTTTGGTTTGCTCATTTCTATGTTAGATTAATTTTATGTTGTTTGGTGAAGTAGTCACAAATATAGTGGCTGGCTTTCTGAGAATCCCTGGCTTTCTCCTCTCTCTTATTTTGATCTGAAACCTTTTACCTTTGTCTCTGTTGTCCTTCTTCTGGTCAATTTTGATTCCCCCACCATCGATTTTAAAGCCCTGGCCAATCATGTGGAGAGTTCCTAGGAGTTATACTGCCTCAGTCTCTTTAGTAGTTGATATGGTTTGGCTCTGTGTCCACACCCAAATCTCATGTCAAACTGTAATTCCCACATGTTAGGGGAGGGAACTGGTGGGAGGCTATTGGATCATGGGGTCAGTTTTCCCCATGCTGTTTTCATGATAGTGAGTGAGTTGTCACGAGATCTGATGATTTAAAAGTATGTGGCAATTCCCCCCTCACTCTTTCTTTCCTGCCACCATGTAAGACGTTTTTCTTCCCCTTCACCTTCCACCATGATTGTTATACGTATTGTGATACGAAGAAGTTATACGATCTTCACCTTCCACCATGATTGTAAGTTTCCTCCCCAGCCATGCAGACCTCTGAGTCAATTAAACCTCTTTTCTTTATAAATTACCCAGTCTTGGGTGGTTCTTTATAGCAGTGTGAAAACAGACTAATACAGTAGTCCATTCAACTTTTCAGTTATACGATCTCACCTATGTAGGTCATTTGTTTTCCTCTGTTTCTAGGGAGACTTCTGCCCACTCACTCTAACTCAGACTTTATAAATTGGTCTTGTTTCAGGCCTACAGTGCTATCCTAGGAATCTCCTTTACTATTCTTCTAGGGTAGATCTAATGTCTTCCTCTTTTATGATTTATTATCTTATTTTGATGAATTATATCTGCAAGGAATGTTCTAAAAATGGGTTTTAGAAAGCCATACTTTCTGAGTTCTTATGTATCTGAAAAAATCTTTCTTCTACTGTGAGGTTTGACTAATAGTGTCAATAAGATAAAATTCAAGTTTTCCATAGACCTTTGTATATATATCTTCATTGTAGTTTAGTTTCCAATGTTGTTGACGGGAGGTCTGATGGCACTCTGATTCTTGTTCCTTTATAGGTGACCAATTCTCTATCTCTGAAAGCCTTTAGGATTTTCTCTTTATCTTTGTGGTTCTGAAATCTCTCAGTAATGTCTGTGCAAAGGGGAGTCATTTTTCCTTCGTTTTTGAACACTAAATGGGCCCTTTTCATCTGAAGACTTATGTCCTTCCCACTCTGGAAAATTATTATTTATTTTATTCAGGAACAATTTCCTTCCTTCCATTTTCTCTATTCTCTTATTTTGGAATTCCATTTAGTCAGCTGTTGGACCTCCTGGTTGGAGTTTCTAAAAATCAATTTTGTTGAAATATTATTCAGCTACAGAAATATACACTTATTTTGTGTGCATTTTAGTGAGTTTTGACAAAATGTATATGCCCAGGTAACCACCACCACCACAGTCAAACTATAATGTATTTTTATGATCATAATTTTTTTCATGCATCTTTGCAGTTATTCTCCCCACCTCCAGCTCCAGTCAACAACTGATCTGCTTTCTGTCACTATAGATCGCTTTGACTTGAGGTCATATAAATGGGATTACATAATGTGTATCTGGCTACTTTTGTTTAGCTAATTTTTAAAACAGTTGATCCATGTTGTTGCACATATCAAAAATGCATTGTTATTGCTGAGTAATAGTCTATTTAATGGAAGTACCAGAATTTATTTATCTGGATTGACTTTTTAAAATCTCAGAGTTTAGTAGCTCAGAGTATGTGCTCTGGAGCTCCTGAACTTTACCCTCCGGTATCACACTTGTGATTGTGTTATGTTACTTGGCAAATGGGACTTTGAAGATGTCATTCGGACTACTAATCAGCTGACCTTAAGATAAAAATAAGTATTCAGGATTATTTGGTGGGTGGGGCAAATATAATCACATGCACTTTTAAAAGCAGAAAAAAAAAGTCAGAATAATGTGGCAGAAAGGAAAGTTAGAGAGAATTAAAGTGTGAAAAGGATTCAATGTGCCTTTTCTGGCTTTGGAGATGGAGGGGAGCATGTATCAAGAAATGTGATCAATCTCTAGAAGGTGAAAATAATCCCAGGCTGACAACTAAAAAGAAAATGGAGACTTCAGTCCTACAGTCTCAAGGGACTAAATTCTGCCAATTATATAAATGAGATTGGAAGCAGATTATTCCTAGAGCTTCATAATTATAGCCCAACTGACCAACAGCTTGATTTCAGCTTTGAGAGACCCTAAGCAGTGGACCTAGATGGGTCCTGAGAACTGCCTGCCTCAGAGCAAGCATAATATTAAATGGTGGACATTGCTATTATCATTTTTGTTCTTTTGTATTCAACTTTCTGGGAAACTGTATCAAGTTTATCTTCTAATCTTCTTATTAAATGCAATATTTTGACAATTATTTTATTTTTAGAATGCTTTTTTTGCTGTCTGACCATTCCCTTTCCATAACACCCTGTAAATCTTCTGTTTCTTGAATTATCTGGTTGCTAGCCTTTTAAAAAATTTGCATATTTTGTCTTTCTTATTCATATTGCATGCTTTTCTCAACACCCATTGACCTTTGGTTTTGCATTAATATTAAAAAAGTAATAGAAAAACTGACTGGAAACTCAAGGCATATGGGATTTGGGGCTTATCACCCGGCTGGCTTTGCCTTTGGTAAGTGAGCAGAGAGCTGCCATTAGGCAGGAGTCCTTTGACATCTCCCAGTCCAGACCCTTTCTATGGTATTGGCAAACAGATAAGTTCCTACCTAAGCTGCAGCTGCCTCTGCACAAATTCTAAGCTGTGTTTTCCTCTGTCCTACAACAGCTGCCAATTTTTTTAAACTGCTGTCTTCCAGAAACTTGTTCTTTCTTATCCACTGATGGTCCTTTTTCTCGTCTTGTTGGTGTTGAATATTCATACCTATTTAATATTTTAATGATTTTAATTATAGAGCTAATTTTCATGGGCTTTCCAGATGCCCAGCCTACCATGTTGAACCAGATGCCCCCTGTCTGCCCTCAATCCCTCTTAACATGTGACCTTGCCTTTTCTTTCCCTGAGAAAATAAAGGCTTTCTGACTTGCTACTCTCAACTTCCAGCTCTTATAAATTTGCTTCCACACCCATACTCACCTCTTTTTCTCAGAAGAACAGATGTCTCTTATTTGTCCAGAAATAATCCTCTACCTCCATGCCCTTATACTTTTGGTCATAAGAAAATTAGTAATTGGTGACTCTTTCCTTTAACATATCTTCTCAGAAAACAGACAAAATAAGCTGTGTAAAACAATGGTAAATTCACTCTGCTCTTCTTGGAGAGACTGTTCATGTCTCTTGCCTGTGATTTCAAATCTTTCCACCTGCCAATTTGAGTGATAGGAGAAAAGGTAGGCAGCCACTTAGTATTTATCAGGGGTAAAATACAGAAAGGAGTCAATTGCATCCATGAATGATGTGTCTATATATTTCTAGGTGCAGTCAAGCACAAAGCTTACTCCCACACTTCCAAGCCTACAATTAAAAATATATTAAAAATAAGGATATTTCTTTTACTTTAGCTTTGGTCTTCTATCTTACAGCTGCAATTTCCTCACATGGTTACACTTGGCATATATCCTCATTACCACCTCTCTTTCTCACTCAATGTTTGTAGATTATTTGAAGTAATCCTGAGTAGAATAGAAGAAATCAAAATGTAAGGCAAGAGCATGTTTCAAGAAAGAGTAGAGGATCAATAGCATCAAACTATTCAGAGGTTGAGGAGGATGGAACTGAGAAAAAATGCCATCAAATTTGGTAACATGAGATCATTGGGGATCTCAGTGAGAATTGTTTCTAGAAGTTTTTTTAGATCAGAAGACCATAATGCAGGAGGCTGAGAATTAAAAGGCATGTTGAAAGCCTGAGATATATCTAGATGAAAGAGAAAGGAAATGGGAGAAAGCAAGAGTCAAGAAGGAGGTTACCTCTAAAATGTGGATGATTGGAACATGTTTGTGGGCAGAGAATAAAAAGCCAGTAAAGAGAGGGCCAGGGTGTATGTGGAAGACCAAAGAAGAGGAAACCAGTCTTTTTCTGTCCTTAAATTTGGTCGTTTACCCACATTTCTATCTTTAGTCTTCTTTTTTATACCTACACACTCTGTCAAGTGTTTCAGCTATCATCATAGTTTTAATCACTATCTATCCATTAGTAAACCCTCCATCTTCAGCTCTAGCTTATACCTCACTCACAACTCTCAGTTCAACATTCTGGATTACTTATTGGGTATGGATGTATTGCTAGCCCTCAAAGTTAGTGAGTCTCAAAATATACTTCCCTGTGCCTTCAGGTCTGTTATTTCCCTTGACTTCTCTTTCTGTGAAATATTCATTTTCCAGGTGCCACTGAGATAAATTCTGCATTTTCTTTGCTTTATTTATTTTCCTCATTCTCCTTATCCAGTCATTCTTCAGATCTTGTTAAGTTTCCCTTCACAGTGACTCTAAAAAATACTCCATTCTTTTATCTTCATCTTCACTGCCCCTGCCATATAACAGCCTCTCGTAATTGCTCATATTTACTGTTGGCACCTCTGCCTCTAGTCTTATCCACCTTTATTTTATCCTCCACACAAGTATCAGTGCCTTCTTTCCTAAATACCACTTTCATCATACCACTGCCCTACTTTAATCCAACCATCCAACCAACCAACCAACTAACACCTACTGTGGTTCTCAGTACCTTTAGTAAAGTAAAAGTCAATTACTTATTTTGGCAGTCAAGGTCCTTCACAATCTTGTCCCTGACTTCCTTTAAAACTTTGTATTGTGTTCATCTCCAAAGGACCTCCTTCACTCCACCAATTTGAAATGGCCAAAATGCTCCATTTGCCATCTCTGTACTCATGCTGTCATCTAAATTGAAATGTAGTTCTTTCACTCATTCTTACCATTTATTGATATTCTTTCCATCCATTGCAGCCTAATATAACCCCCACTTGCTCCATCTACCCTTATGCCCAGTAACAATGTTAGGAATACAAGGCTGAATTCAATAACTTTTTTCCATTCTTCACCAAAAACTATTGCAATAAGCTGAATGTTTGTGTACCCCTAAAATTCATGTGTCTAACCCTAATCCCAATTGGATCATATTTGAAGGTAAGGCCAAACGAGAGGTAATTAGTTCATGAGGGTGGGGTGGGGCCCTTATGAATGAGATTATTGCCCTTATAATAAGAGGCCAGAGAACTAGCTCGCTCTCTTTCTGCCATGTGAGGAGGACACAAGGAAAAGTTGCCTCTCTGCATCCTGGAAGAGAGCCCACCCCAGAATCTGACCATGTTGGCACCCAGATCTCAGACTTTCAATCTCCAGAGCTGTGAGAAATAAATTTATGTTATTTATAAGCTCCCCAGTTTATGGTACTTTGTTTTAGCAGCCTGAACTGACTAAGACAATGATCTATCTCATCTTCTAGAATCCCATAATGGCAACACTGTAAATTCCTTCAAGTATTATCTAGCCCAAGTTTCTCACTGTTTAGAAAATCAGGCCCTTGGGCTGGGGGTGGTGGCTGACTCTTGTAATCCCAACAATTTTTGAGTTCAAGGGAAGAGAATCATTTGAGGCCAGGTGTTCAAGATCAGCCTGGACAACACAGTGAGACATCATCCTTACAAAAATACAAAAATTAGCTGGATGTGGTGGTGTGTGCCTGTAGTCCCAGCTACTGGGGAGGTTGAGGTGGGAGAATCACTTGAACCCAGGAGTTTGAGGCTGTAGTTAGATATGATCCAGCTACTGCACTCTAGCCTCAGTGACAGAGAAAGGCCTTACCTCTTGGAAGGAAGCAAGGAAGGAGGGAGGGAGGGAGGGAGGGAAGGAAGGAAGGAAGGAAGGAAGAAAGAAAGAAAGAAAGAGAAAGAGAAAGAAAGAAAGAAAGATGAAGTCCAGTGAGAAGTGTCCTGCAACAATAACACAGTAAATTGATGACTTAAGGTGTGTCTAGAATCCAGATCTCAAGCATCTTAAGCCACCAAGGCATTGGCCACTGCCCCAGCTGATTTCCCTATTATTTATCCTATGTTTCTTATGTGTTGCTGCCTTAGAGTGTAGATATAAAGTTGATTCTCATATCCTGTTTAGTACTGAGTTTTAGGAGAGCAGGTGATATTTCCTCTACTCCTCTGAATTCCCCACAGCACTAAATCTATTGTTTTGGACAGAATAGTCACTAAGCAAATATGTATTGATTGAACAACAAATAATACATCACAACCTGAGATAAACCATCAATTTCCACTGTCTCATTAACATATTCTACAGAGTAAAATTAGTAATAACCTTGGGTCCTTGAGCAGTTACGATAACAAAGCACAATACTCCAATATAGGCAGGAAAACTTGAAGACTCAATGTATATTTGATAAAATATTTGAACAGCAGAGCTGGAATTTCCCCTTGAAGGTCATCTTACATAGCAGTCTCCTCCTTTCCCACATTTTTACTGATGGGAAAATTGAGATTCACAGAGTGACAAAACTTCCCCAAAATGTGCATAAATGCACAGTAAATTAATGATGTCGTTACTAGCAGAATTAAATCTCCAAATTCCTGGGCCAAATTTTCCATAACCCAAAAGAGCAGGTTGCACACTATAATGATTATATAGTTAAAGACATGGGGTTTAGAGTCTGACTCACCTGGCTCTGCCACTTGATTAAGTTAATTAACCTAATTGAGTAAGCCTGAATTTCTTTATTTTCAGTAATAAGCCTGCTTGTGGAGCTCTGAGGCCAATTGAGAAGTCAGCACTCTCTATATAGTCTGTAGTGCTGCCTATATCATGCCTTTAGTCTGTGTCTTCTGAATCGGATGGAGAAGATCCAACCACTAGCTTCAGCCCAAGACCATACAGGCTCCTGAAAACACTAAGAGTAACATATGGCCCATACTGTGTCGTACTTACTTTGAGACACTAGAGAATAGGTATTGAAGTAATAGGACAGCACCCTTAGGAGTTGTCACTCCTCCATGACATACCTATTATGAAATTGTCAACAATGCCACTGAAAGTCGCTGAGTAGAGGATGACATCTTGTCTCCAAGGTACTTAATTAGAGCTGCTTAATGCTAGGATAGCTAGAGGGACTCTAACGCCTTACTGTAGGGAAGGTAGAGAACAGTCTTCCAGAATAAAATATTTAGCATCAACCTTTGAGTAGCTGTGGCTACAGGGACAGAGCTGCTTGGAGAAAGCTATGACCTCCAAGTAGAACTCTGTAGGGTTCTACCTCTAAGTAGAGTTCAGACAGAGCAGGGCTGGGTCCTTAGACACCAGAGACACTTTTAAAAAGTCATGAAAGGTCAAGTCTGCTGGGAAGCATGGGAGGCAAGAGAGAAATTTCTTCTGTCTCTGATTTCTATACTTTCTTGTAAAAGACTCCTCCGATTAGATCAGACCCACCCAGAATAATTTCTCTTTTGAGTAACTCAAAGTCAAACTGATTGACGACTTTAGTACATCTACAAAGTGTATTTTTTCATCTTTACCATATAACATAACCTAATCACGGTTGTGACACACATCATATTCACAGATTCTGCCCACACTCAAGGAGAGGGATTATATAGCAATTGGTAGAAATATTGGAGACCATCTTCGAGTTTTGCCAACCATAGTCTTCCCTCTGGCCACCAATGACTCACATCCCTTCTAAGTGCAAAATGCATTCACCATGTTCCTACGAGTTTCATCCCATCGTAGCATCAGCCTGGTGTCTCATCATCTAAATCTAAGTTTTATCCACTTGTCAGCTGAAAATCCAAAATCTCATCTAAATCTCGTCAGCTAAGAGATCAAAATCTCATCATCTAAATTATGTATATTAGGTACAGATGGGGCTTCCTTTCCATCTGTTGAGTTCTTTACACACATTATTATATTTAATTCTCAAGACAATCCTCTGAATAAATTTTCATCATCTTCATCTTATAGATAAGGAAACTGGAGCATTGAGAAGTTAACTAACTTACCTACAGTCATTTAGAGATTAAGTTTCAAAGCTAAATCTTGAACCCAGCTATTTGCAAGTTTGCTAACTATACTAATCTCCAAAGAATAATTTTCTGAAGCCCTCTTGGCAAATAGGGGCTCTTAAATGATCATTCACATCCACAGTAGCCAAGCTTTGGAGGCCATTAAGATTCTCACACTGGAGCGCTAAGTATCAGATAGCATTACTAACATCTTAGAATTGATTATTTTGCCAGGATATATTCCAGTGGCATAGGTGAGCATTGGGTTAGGGAAAAGTATGAATTAACGAGAGGAATGAAAAAATGTTAGTAACCCCAATTACATGATACAAGAAGAAAAAAAGCGGATGAGAAATAGATATGTGCTGGCTTCGGTCCTGTCATGACTTCTTATGACTTTGGGCAAAAAGCTTTTTTCTTTTTGAGCCTCAGTTTCTTTTTATGTAAAATGAGGAAGATACGTTTGAATGCTAGATGATCTCTAGGTCACTTACAAAAGCCTGTAATTCTAACAAGAGGAGCAACCAACAATGCAGGTAAATGTCATGATCTGGCATTTGATAGAGAAAAGAGACATGGCTATTTGAATTCCATGACATTGTTCTTAAACAGAAAATGCTTAAGCATATGGACAACCATAGCTTTGACTTCAGAATATGTGATGGAATCCTACAAAATATTGCAAGGGTAAATCCCAGTACCTTTGAGGAACAAAAGTGATACTTGAGCCATCGATGATCATTATTCAGGCCACTATATTTCTGAAAAACAGGGTCATGAGGAGTGGTGAACAAAATGAATGAATCTCCATGAGAAGTGGATATATCCTGGAGTGATCAGGTTGAGGAATACCAGAGCCCCTGAATGCTTGGGCAGATGAGAGGGAGTTGTGTGCATTTGAATACTAGGTTAAATTGGAAGAAATGCCTCCCTGTCATCACTATACCTATCCAAAATAACCATTCACATCATGCAATTCCCTTCTCTCCACTCACAAAACTCTAAAACCTGTTTTCATTCATTCCACAAATACTGATAATACAACTCCTTTGTGCTGGGCACTATGGGAGCATATAACAATTTATAAGATATAGTCTAGAGCCAAATTATTTATTATGATATCAGTCCTTTGATGTTCCACAAATTATCTAAGACATTATTCATCCTTCAAGGTTGAGGTCTATTGTTGCCTCTTCCATGAATTTTTTCTCTGGTAAGTGGTGCTGGCTGCCTTTCCTCTTCCCTTACTGCCCCTTCCTTCCCCTCCTTTACCCTCTCTTTTCAGCTCTTTCTGTGACTTCTTCATATAGAGTAGTCCCCGCTTATCCACAAGGGATAAGTTCTAATATCTCCAGTGGTTGCCTGAAACCGTGGATAATACTGATGTCTATATATGCATTGCCATACAGTACCAGAGTTAATTTGCCCTTCCACGTTTTATGCCCTGGTGCCTCCTTTGCACTTTTATGAATGTTAAGTGCTGTTGGGCATCTTCATCGCAATTGAAACCTTGCTTTGCGTGGTATCCTTTCTCCTTAATCAACTTCTTCAACTCAGCCAAATGTGGCAGCAGATTCTTTGTTGGCAGATGCAGCCTCTCCAGTAAATTATGTCTTTTTCAGGCCAAATCTATTCCTGAATCTGCGTAACCATCCTTTACTTGCCATAAATGGCTTGGTGTCACTAGTTTTGGGAAATCCCTTGCTGAAGTCTTCATATAAGCTCAATGCTTTCTGGTGCAACATGTTGCTGTCAATCAGAACATGCTTCTATTCATGGCTTCCACCTACAAATGTAATGTCTATTCCACCTGAACTAAGCACTTATCATGCACTATGGCAGTAACTTTTTAAGTTTAGGGTGACACAGCAAAACTAACACAAATTTATTTTTCCTTCTTCACAATTTCACGGACAGAATATTTGTTCTTACCATAAATCTTAGCAACCTCAGCGTATATCTTTTTTCTTTCTTTATTAAGTTGAGAAATTTCACCTTTTCACTTAAAGGGAGGAATTTATGGCTTCTCTTTGGCACACCCAAATGGCTAGCATCACTCCTTTTGCACTTCAGGGCCCTTATGAAGTAAAATAAGGGTTACTTCAACACAAGTACTGCGATACCTGCACACTCAATGTGATAATCAAGAAAGATATTAAGTGACTGATGGGCAGGTAGCATCTACAGCAAGTATCCGCTGGATGATGGGATGATTCACATCCCAGGCAGGACAGAGTAGAACAGTGTGAGATTTCATAATGTTACTCAGAATGTTGTGCAACTTAAAACTCATGAATTGTTTATTTCTAGAATTCTCCATTTAATATTTCCAGACTGCAGGCGACTGTGGGTAACTAACCCACTTAGAGTGAAACTACAGATGGAGGAGACTACTGTATTTTGGGACCTAGAAAACCATACCCCAAAGTATGGCACTTTGGCATGCTGAGTATTTTGCATTAAAGGAGTATTTTGCATTAAAGGATGTTGGAAGGCCTCAATAGCAGTCTCAGAACAAAGATCTCTCGGACTGTCTCTTGGCCTCTTGTCTCCTGCCCCTCATTCTCCCCTGAAGCAAGTCATAGACACCTGAATTCCTTTTCCTGAAGGTGGGTCATAGAAACTAGAATCCCTTTTCCCCAAAGCCAGCCATAAAAACAAAATTATTATTCTAACATTCTCCTACCTTTCTAAGAGCTGGCCATAAAGAAATTCTCTGACCTACCCTAGTCTGATTATAGGTCATAAGACCCTCATTCCAGAAAGGTCTTGCCACATACACAGGAGAAAGAAATGTTTCAATCCAGAGACCGAGGAGAATCTGAACAAACTGACCTTGCTGTGTTTCACCTCTCGGTTTACTAGCATTCGATCATATCATTTTCTTCCCAATTATATTTCTACACAGCTGTCCGTTCTTCATTGAACCTAAGCATAAAAATGGATAGTTTTCCCTGTATCTTTGGGTCTTCATTCTGAAGACTCCCATGTCACATAAAACTGGCTAAATAATTACGTCATGCTTTTATCTTTTTCACCTGTATTTTGTTATAGGAATGCCATCCATGAGCCTTATGATCATATCTTTCCACCCCTACAGTGTAATACTTGGCACTACCTATCTTATGCTCTAGATCGTGTACATAAGTGTGATCTCCACTAGTAGTCTGTGACAAACTTGAGAAGGGAGTATGTTATGTTTATCACACAGTAGGTGCTCAGTGCTGCAAGATATTTCTGAGGCTGACCTTTAAGGCATTATTCAGAATAATAATCACTATCATTACTGTTTAAGGTATGGTGCTGAAGGTGCTGAACATTTTACATTCATTATCTTATTTAATCTTCATCATAATTGTACAAGCTAAATTGGGCTATTAAAATAATGCAGTTCCTATAAGAATCCAGGTCTGCCTGATTCTCAAACCTGTTTAAATACCATGCTAATTTATCTCCCAGAGTATTGAGTATTGCCCTGTCATTCTTTACAGCTGCTATAAATACAGTGTCAGTTAAAATATAGGTCTTCCTAGCCTTGTTTAGTTCCGGCAAATACTGAAATAAATTTGCATTCATTAAGCCCACACTAACTACTAGTTCGGGTATGGAAGAGGGGGAGTGGAGAAAAGTAGGATGAAAACAATCCTGAAAGGTAGTGGGACAATATACCATTGCAGGGAAAATGATCTTCCAGGGTCCCCAGAATCATCAAATCCTGAGGTAACAGAAGAAAAGAAAACAGCCAATGACAAAATGATTACATTTTGTCCAACCACATGCTTGGAGATTGTTTTTTATGAAAGAGCAGAAGAGGGAAAGCCCTTAACCAATATGCTCAGCTTCCTTGACTACTAAAGGGAAAGCCAGAGGGTCTCAGTTCCCTGAACCTTACCCCACAAATCTCTATCACCTGCAGTAGGAACCAGCCAAGACCAGCATTGGCTCCCCCAAAGAAAGTGGCACCCCAGTGACAGACTTCATTTGACACTTAAAGATTTTTATCAGGTTTGTGACACATGCATGAATTTTTGACAAAAGATGTAAAAATATTTTCTAAAATCCAACCATTACTTGTTAACAAAAAGCACAGAGCAGCTTTTTGAACAAACACCACAGTGACCCTTCCATATGAGCACTCTTTCTTATGCAGGAAAAAATGGATTCTTTCTCCATATATTTACAGCAGGAGTAAACTTAGGACTTTACAAAATCCATCTATAAATCACATTTTAATGCCGCATATCAGATACAAATTAGATCCTCTCCCAGTTTTCTTAATAGTTTATATTACAATCACTTTTCCTTGCTCATATTTTATATGAACAATTTTTAATTTGTCTGTAGGGCTGTTTTCAATAAATCATTTGATGGTGCTCAGCTTGCATTTCCCAGCATTCTATGTGCTCACATACTCAGCTAGTTCTGGAACTACCCAAGATTATTTTTCAATCCTAGGCACTTGGAGGACAGTAAGGAGCTCCCTCTTCAAATGCATTTTATCAGCTGCAAAACAGATAAACCACCATATAATGCATTGTTAATATGTAAAGATGTATGTGCACAGACTTTGATTGTGTAATCAAACTGTGGGAGGTGAAGGGTAAACCTTGGGGAAAGTATTTTCCATTTGTCAGAGATGCTGAAAGATGGAAGGTGCTGATAGGGTTTTGGCTTTGTCAAGACCTTTAGAAATTCACATTCTCCAGAGTGTAAAATTTAGCTCTACAAAGAGGAAGAGGCTTTGTCCTTTCTGAATGATTCTGCTGGCTTTTCAGAGGTACAAGCAAACTGAACACCGCAGGGGATCAGGAGAAAATGCCACTGAAAGGAATGAAAATGTTCAACTGAGACACTCAAACTTCACTGTTCTGGAAGAAGGCATACTGCCCTGAGAGTGGGGAGGGTCATAGTCATATTTATCCTCATTCCAAAATGCAGGTACCCAGAAACCAGATATAGTCCCTTCATTAAAGCTGGTATCCTGTGCTCACTTAACAGGCTTGGAGTTGAGGACAGTTGAAGTAGAGGTACATTGCGCATGTGGAAAGGCAGACACGGGGCAGAGATTCAGAGAGGCAGTAAGGTCAATATATTTTTCAGCATTTTCCAGGTCCGGCCTAAGGTCAGTGTCTAGAACTGGACACTGACTATGGTTAAAACCACGTCTTCATAGTCATACAGACCTAGATTTAAATCCTAGTCTAGAAACAAAGTATGACTTTGGGCAAGTTATTTAAACTCTCTCCTTCTCAATTACATCATCTTATAACAGGCATAATTATAGCCGTTACCTCCTAGGGTTTTAGTGGTGAGTTAGTTAAGATAAGGTGATTAGAACAGTACATAGCCCAGGGTGAGTGCTCAATAAATAGTGGCCATTATATAAATTAGACTTTAGGGAAGGACAGGCAAGGAGGGATCTAGAGCTGGAGAACATGGCTAACCAGACACCAGGCAGATCAATGTTCGATCTGAGAGCTTTAGTTCAGTTTCTAGAACTTTGTCATCAGATTAGAGTAAGATTTTATGCTGAAGTATCTGACATGTTTAACCAGGACTACCAGAATACTCCGTATTATTTGGTAATGATTTTCTGGCCTTGCTGAGTTGAGGGGTAGGGTGAGAACTCAGCTCGTCCAGCTATAGAGAGAAGGAATCCAGAGGGGCAGAGCACTAGACACCTCGCCATCTTTGCAGCAGCCAAAATATTGGCAGGGACACTTCGATCCCCTCATATTTCTCATTCTCAAATCACCTCATCCAAGCCGTCATGAACTTTTGCCTGAATTATAGCATTGGCTTCCTAACCGGTGTTCCTGTTTCCACCTTTGCTTCCTTTCCTCCAAATCTCTTCTCAAAATGCACACATAGTAATCTTGCTAAGCAATGATTCTCAGCCGATAACACACAGATTAGAATAACTTGAGGAAGTTTTAAAAATACCTTATTCCAAAAACTTGAATCAGACCCTTTGGTGTAACATTTTACTTCATTGCTCATACCCTTTGGTATCTTTCTTTCTCACTCAGAGTAAAAGACAACTCCTTAGAAGGGTCTGTATAATCAGGTGGTTGCCTGTTTTTCTGACTTAATCCCTGTCAGACCTCTGAGCCCAAGCTAAGCCATCATATCCCCTGTGACATGCACATACACATCCAGATGGCCGGTGCCTGCCTTAACTGATGACATTCCACCACAAAAGAAATGAAAATGGCCTGTTCCTGCCTTAACTGATGACATTGTCTTGTGAAATTCCTTCTCCTGGCTCAAAAGCTCCCCTACTGAGCACCTTGTGACCCCCACTCTGCCCGCCAGAGAAAAACCCCCCTTTGACTGTAATTTTCCTTTATCTACCCAAATCCTATAAAATGGCCCCACCCTTATCTCCCTTCGTTGACTCTCTTTTTGGACTCAGCCCACCTGCACCCAGGTGATTAAAAGCTTTATTGCTCACACAAAGCCTGTTTGGTGGTCTCTTCACACGGACACGCATGAGATTTGGTGCCGTGACTCAGATCAGGGGACCTCCCTTGGGAGATCAATCCCCTGTCCTCCTGCTCTTTGCTCTGTGAGAAAGATCCACCTACGACCTCAGGTCCTCAGACCGACCAACCCAAGAAACATCTCACCAATTTCAAATCCGGTAAGCGGCTTCTTTTTACTCTCTTCTCCAACCTCCCTCACTATCCCTCAACCTCTTTCTCCTTTCAATCTTGGCACCACACTTCAATCTCTCCATTCTCTTAATTTCAATTCCTTTCATTTTCTGGTAGAGACAAAGGAGACATGTTTTATCTGTGGACCCAAAACTCCAGCGCTGGTCACAGACTGGGAAGGCAGCCTTCCCTTGGTGTTTAGTCACTGCAGGGACACCTCTCTGATTATTCACCCACGTTTCAGAGGTGTCAGACCACGCAGGGATGCCTGCCATGGTCCTTCACCCTTAGCAGCAAGTCCTGCTTTTCTAGGGGAAGGGGCAAGTACCCCAACCCCTTCTCTCCGTGTCTCTACCCCTTCTCTGCTTTTCTGGGGGAGGGGTAAGAACCCCCAACCCCTTCTCCTTCACCCTTAGTGGTAAGTCCCGCTTTTCTAGGGGGCAAGAATCCCTAATCCCTTATTTCCATGCCCCGACCTCTTATCTCTGCACCCCAATCCCTTATTTCCACACCCCGACCTCTTATCTCTGCACCCCAATCACTTATTTCCGTGCCCTGACCTCTTATCTCTGTGCCCTATCCCTTATTTCTGCACCCCAACCTCTTATCTCTGTGCCCAAATCCCTTATTTCCATGCCCGGACCTCTTATCTCTGTGCCCCCATCCCTTATTTCCGTGCGCCAATCTCTTATGTCTGCACCCCAACACCTTATTTCTGTGCCCCAACCCCTTTCCCGCTTTTCTGGAGGGTAAGAACCCCCGAATCCCTTTCCTCCATGTCTCTACTCTCTTTTCTCTGGGCTTGCCTCCTTCACTATGGGCAACCTTCCACCCTCCATTCTTCCTTCTTCTCCCTTAGCCTGTGTTCTTAAGAACTTAAAACCTCTTCAACTCTCACCTGACCTAAAATCTAAGCATCTTATTTTCTTCTGCAATGCTACTTGACCACAATACAAACTCGACAGTAGTTCCAAATAGCCAGAAAATGGCACTTTCAATTTTTCCATCCTGCAAGACCTAAATAATTCTTGTCGTAAAATAGGCAAACGGTTTGAGGTGCCTGATGTCCAGGCATTCTTTTACACATCGGTCCCTCCCTAGTCTCTGTGCCCAGTGCAACTCGTCCCAAATCTTCCTTCTTTCCCTTCTGCCTGTCCCCTCATTCCCAACCCCAACCATCACTGAGTCTTTCTAATCTTCCTTTTCTACAGAACCATCTGACCTCTCCCCTCCTCCCCAGGCTGCTCCTCGCCAGGCCGAGCTAGGTCCCAATTCTTCCTCAGCCTCTGCTCCTCCACCCTATAATCTTTTTATCACCTTCCCTCCTCACACACAGTCTGGTTTACAGTTTCATTCTGTGACTAGCCCTCTCCCACCTGCCCAGCAATTTCCTCTTAAAAAGGTGGCTGAAGCTAAAGGCATAGTCAAGGTTAAATGCTCCTTTTTCTTTATCTGACCTCTCCCAAATCAGTTAGCATTTAGGCTCTTTCATCAAATATGAAAAACCCAGCCCAGTTCATGGCTCGTTCGGCAGCAACCCTGAGACGCTTTACAGCCCTAGACCCTAAAAATTCAAAAGGCCGTCTTATTCTCAATATACATTTTATTACCCAATCTGCTCCTGACATTAAATAAAACTCCAAAAATTAAATTCCAGCCCTCAAACCCCACAGCAGGACTTAATTAACCTCACCTTCGAGGTGTGCAATAATAGAGTAGAGGCAGCCAAGTAGCGACGTATTTCTGAGTTGCAATTCCTTGCCTCCACTGTGAGACAAACCCCAGCCACAGCTCCAGCACACAAGAACTCCAAACGCCTGAATCACAGCTGTCAGGGGTTCCTCCAGAACCTCCTTTCCCAGGAACTTGCTATAAGTACCTGAAATCTGGCCACTAGGCCAAGGAATGCCCAAAGCCCAAGATTCCTCCTAAGCCGTATCCCATACGTGTAGGACCCCACTGAAAATCAGACTGTTCAACTCACCAGGCCACTGGAACTCTGGCCCAAGGCTCTCTGACTGACTCCTTCCCAGATCTTCTTGGCTTACCGGCTGAAGACTGACACTGCCCGATCACCTCGGAAGCCCCCAGACCATCACGGATGCCGAGCTTTGAGTAAATCTCACAGTAGAAAGTAAGTCCGTCCCCTTCTTAATCCATACGGAGGCTACCCACCCCACATTACCTTCTTTTCAAGGGCCTGTTCCTCTTGCTTCCATAACTGTTGTGGGTATTGACAGCCAGGTTTCTAAACCTCTTAAAACTCCCCAACTCTGGTGCCAACTTAGATAATACTCTTTTAAGCACTCCTTTTTAGTTATCCCCACCTGCCCAGTTCCCTTATTAGGCTGAGACACTTTAATTAAATTATCTGCTTCCCTGACTATTCCTAGGCTACAGCCACACCTCATTGCCACCTTTTCCCCCAGTTCAAAGCCTCCTTCACATCCTCCCCTTGTATCTCCCCACCTTAACCCACAAATATAAGACACCTCTACTCCCTCCTTAGCGACTGATCATGCACCCCTTACCATCCCATTAAAACCAAATCACTCTTACCCAGCTCAATGCCAAGATCCCATCCCACAGCATGCTTTGAAAGGATTAAAGCCTGTTATCACTCGCCTGTTACAGCATGGCCTTTTAAAGCCTATAAACTCTTCTTACCATTCCCCCATTTTACCTGTCCTAAAACCAGACAAGGCTTACAGGTTAGTTCACGATCAGCACCTTATCAACCAAATTGTTTTGCCTATCCACCCCATGGTGCCAAATCCATATACTCTCCTATCCTCAATACCTCCCTCTACAACCCATTATTCTGTTCTGGGTCTCAAACATGCCTTCTTTACTATTTGGACCCTTCATCCCAGCCTCTCTTTGCTTTCACTTAGACTGACCCTGACACCCATTAGGCTCAGCAAATTACCTGGGCTGTACTGCTGCAAGCCTTCACAGACAGCCCCCATTACTTCAGTCAAGCCCAAATTTCATCCCCATCTGTTACCTATCTCGGCATAATTCTCATAAAAACACACGTGCTCTCCCAGCTGATCATGTCCAATTAATCTCCCAAACCTCAATCCCTTACAAAACAACAACGCCTTTCCTTCCTAGGCATGGTTAGTGTGGTCAGAATTCTTACACAAGAGCCAGGACCACACCCTGTAGCCTTTCTGTCCAAACAACTTGACCTTACTGTTTTAGCCTAGCCCTCATGTCTCCATGCAGCGGCTGCCGCTGTTTTAATACTTTTAGAGGCCCTAAAAAATCACAAACTATGCTCAACTGACTCTCTACATTTCTCATAACTTCCAAAATCTATTTTCTTCCTCATATCTGACGCATATACTTTCTGCTCCCCGGCTCCTTCAGCTGTACTCACTCTTTGTTAAGTCCCACAATTACCATTGTTCCTGGCCCAGACTTCAATCTGACCTCCCACATTATTCTGGGTGCCACACCTGACCCTCATGACGGTATCTCTCTGATCCACCTGACATTCACCCCATTTCCCCATATTTCCTTCTTTCCTGTTCCTCACCCTGATCACGCTTGATTTATTGATGGCGGTTCCACCAGGCCTAATCACCACACACCAGCAAAGGCTGGTTATGCTATACTACAAGCCACTAGCCCGCCTCTTAGAACCTCTCATTTCCTTTCCATTGTGGAAATCTATCCTCAAGGAAATAACTTCTCAGTGTTCCATCTGCTATTCTACTACTCCTCAGGAATTATTCAGGCCCCCTCCCTTCCCTACACATCAAGCTTGAGGATTTGCCCCCACCCAGGACTGGCAAATTAGCTTTACTCAACATGCCCTGAGTCAGATAACTAAAATACCTCTTAGTCTAGGTAGACACTTTCACTGGATAGGTAGAGGCCTTTCCTACAGGGTCTGAGAAGGCCACCGCAGTCATTTCTTCCCTTCTGTCAGACATAATTCCTCAGTTTAGCCTTCCCACCTCTATACAGTCTGATAACAGACCAGCCTTTATTAGTCAAATCAGCCAAGCAGTTTTTCAGGCTCTTAGTATTCAGTGAAACCTTTATATCCCTTACGGTCCTCTGTCTTCAAGAAACGTACAACAGACTAATGGTCTTTTAAAAACACACCTCACCAAGCTCAGCCACCAACGTAAAAAGGACTGGATAATACTTTTACCACTTTCCCTTCTCAGAAGTCAGACCTGTCCTCAGAATGCTACAAGGTACAGCCCATTTGAGCTCCTGTATAGACGCTCCTTTTTATTAGGCCCCAGTCTCATTCCAGACACCAGACTAACTTAGACTGTGCCCCAAAAAAACTTGTCATCCCTACTATCTTCTGTCTAGTCATACTCCTATTCACCATTCTCAACTACTCATACATGCCCTGCTCTTGTTTACACTGCCAGTTTACACTGTTTCTCCAAGCCGTCACAGCTGATATCTCCTGGTGCTATCCCCAAACTGCCACTCTTAACTCTTGAAGTAAATAAATAATCTTTGCTGGCAGGACTATGCTGAATCTCCTTAGGCACTCTCTAATCAGATGTCCTGGGTCCTCCCAATTCTTAGATCTTTTATACCTGTTTTTCTCCTTCTCTTATTCCATTTACTTTTTCAATTCATACAAAACTGTATCCAGGCCATTACCAATAATTCTAAATGACAAATGTTTCTTCTAACAACCCCACAATATCACCCCTTACCAGAAAATCTTCCTTCAGCTTAATCTCTCCCACTCTAGGTTCCCACGCCGCCCCTAATCCCACTCGAAGGAGCCCTGAGAAACATCGCCCATTATCTCTCCATACCACCCCCCAAAATTTTCACTGTCCCAACACTTTACCACTATTTCATTTTATTTTTCTTATTAATATAAGAAGACAGGAATGTCAGGCCTCTGAGCCCAAGCTAAGCCATCATATCCCCTGTGACCTGCACATACACATCCAGATGGCAGGTTCCTCCCTTAACTGATGACATTCCACCACAAAAGAAGTGAAAATGGCCTGTTCCTGCCTTAACTGATGACATTGTCTCGTGGAATTCCTTCTCCTGGCTCATTCTGGCTCAAAAGCTCCCCCACTGAGTACCTTGTGACCCCCACTCCTGCCCGCCAGAGAACAACCCCCCTTTTCACCAAATTTCATGCACATCCCTGTGAAGAGACCACCAAACAGGCTTTGTGTGAGCAATAAAGCTGTTTATTTAACCTGGGTGCAGGTGGGCTGAGTCCGAAAAGAGAGTCAGCGAAGGGAGATGGGGTGGGGCCGTTTTATAGGATTTGGGTAGGTAAAGGAAGAAGGGGGGTTGTTCTCTGGCAGGAGTGGGGGTCACAAGGTACTCAGTGAGGGAGCTTTTGAGCCAGGATGAGCCAGGAGAAGGAATTTCACAAGACAATGTCATCAGTTAAGGCAGGAACAGGCCATTTTCACTTCTTTTGTGGTGGAATGTCATCAGTTAAGGCAGGCACCGGCCATCTGGATGTGTATCTGCAGGTCACAGGGGATATGATGGCTTAGCTTGGGCTCAGAGGCCTGACATTCCTGTCTTCTTATATTAATAAGAAAAATAAAACGAAATAGTGGTAAAGTGTTGAGACGGTGAAAATGTTTTGGGGGTGGTATGGAGAGATAATGGGCGATGTTTCTCAGGGCTGCTTGGAGCAGGATTAGGGGCGTCGTGGGAACCTAGAGTGGGAGAGATTAAGCTGAAGGAAGATTTTCTGGTAAGGGGTGATATTGTGGGGTTGTTAGAAGAAACATTTGTCATTCAGAATTACTGGTGATGGCCTGGATACAGTTTTGTATGAATTGAGAAACTAAACGGAATAAGAGAAGGAGAAAAACAGGTATTAAAGGACTAAGAATTGGGAGGACCCAGGACATCTGATTAGAGAGTGCCTAAGGAGATTCAGCATAGTCCTGCCAGCAAAGATTATTTATTTACTTCAAGAGTTAAGAGTGGCAGTTTGGGGATAGCACCAGGAGATATCAGCTGTGACGGCTTGGAGAAACAGTGTAAACCGGCAGAGTAAAAAAGAGCAGGGCATGTATGATTAGTTGAGAATGGTGAATAGAAGTATGACTAGACAGAAGATAGTAGGGATGACAAGTTTTTTTGGGGCACAGTCTAAGTTAGTCTGGTGTCTGGAATGAGACTGGGGCCTAATAAAAAGGAGCGTCTATACAGGAGCTCAAATGGGCTGTACCTTGTAGCATTCTGAGGACAGGTCTGACTTCTGAGAAGGGAAAGTGGTAAAAGTATTGTCCAGTCCTTTCTAAGTTGGTGGCTGAGATTGGTGAGGTGTGTTTTTAAAAGACCTTTAGTCCGTTGTACTTTTCTTGAAGACAGAGGACTGTAAGGGATATAAAGGTTTCACTGAATACTAAGAGCCTGAAAAACTGCTTGGCTGATTTGACTAATAAAGGCTGGTCTGTTATCAGACTGTATAGAGGTGGGAAGGCTGAACTGAGGAATTATGTCTGACAGACGAGAAGAAATGACTGGTGACCATCTCAGACCCTGTAGGAAAGGCCTCTACCTATCCAGTGAAAGTGTCTACCTAGACTAAGAGGTATTTTAGTTATCTGACTCAGGGCATGTTGAGTAAAGCTAATTTGCCAGTCCTGGGTGGGGGCAAATCCTCGAGCTTGATGTGTAGGGAAGGGAGGGGGCCTGAATAATTCCTGAGGAGTAGTAGAATAGCAGATGGAACACTGAGAAGTTATTTCCTTGAGGATAGATTTCCACGATGGAAAGAAAATGAGAGGTTCTAAGAGGCGGGCTAGTGGCTTGTAGTATAGCATAGCCTACCTTTGCTGGTGTGTGGCGATTAGGTCCGGTGGAACCGCCATCAATAAATCAAGCGTGATCAGGGTGAGGAACAGGAAAGAAGGAAATATGGGGGAATGGGGTGAATGTCAGGTGGATCAGAGAGATACCGTCATGAGGGTCAGGTGTGGTATCAGAAATAATGTGGGAGGCCGGATTGAAGTCTGGGCCAGGAACAATGGTAATTGTGGGACTTAACAAAGAGTGAGTACAGCTGAAGGAGCCGGGGAGCAGAAAGTATATGCATCAGGTATGAGGAAGAAAATAGATTTTGGAAGTTATGAGAAATGTAGAGAGTGAGTTGAGCATAGTTTGTGATTTTGAGGGCCTCTAAAAATATTAGGGTGGCAGCAGCCACTGCATGGAGACATGAGGGCTAGGCTAAAACAGTAAGGTCAAGTTGTTTGGACAGAAAGGCTACAGGGTGCAGTCCTGGCTCTTGTGTAAGAATTCTGACCGCACTAACCATGCCTACGAAGCAAAGGCATTGTTGTTTTGTAAGGGATTGAGGTTTGGGAGATTAATTGGACATGATCAGCAGGGAAAGCACGTGTGTTTTTATGAGAATTATGCCAAGATAGGTAACAGATGAGGATGAAATTTGGGCTTGACTGAAGTAACGGGGGCTGTCTGTGAAGCCTTGTGGCAGTACAGCCCAGGTAATTTGTTGAGCCTAATGGGTGTCAGGGTCAGTCTAAGTGAAAGCAAAGAGAGGCTGGGACAAGGGGTGCAGGGGAATAGTGGAAAAAGCATCTTTAAGATCAAGCACGGAATAGTGAGTTGTGGAGGAAGGTATTGAGGACAAAAGAGTGTACGGGTTTGGCACCACAGGATGGATAGGCAAAACAATTTGGTTGATAAGGCGCAGATCCTGAACTAATCTGTAAGACTTGTCTGGTTTTTGGACAGGTAAAATGGGGGAATTGTACGGAGAGTTTATAGGTTTTAGAAGCCCATGCTGTAGCATGCAAGTGATAACAGGCTTTAATCCTTTCAAAGCGTGCTGTGGGATGGGATATTGGCGCTGAGCGGGGTAAGGGTGATTAAGTTTTAATGGGATGGTAATGGGCATGTGATTGGTTGCCAGGGAAGGAGTAGAGATGTCCCATACTTGTGGGTTAAGGTGGGGGGATATGAGAGGAAGAGGCGAAGGGGGCTTTGGACTGGGAAGAAGGGCGGCAATGAGACGTGGCTGTAGTCCAGGAATAGTCAGGGAAGCAGATAATTTGGTTAAAATATCTCGGCCTAATAAGGGAACTGGGCAGGTGGGGATGACTAAAAAAAAGTGCATAAAAGAGTGTTGTCCAAGTTCGCACCAGAGTGGGGGAGTTTTCAGCGGTTTAGAAGCCTGGCCGTCAATAGCCACAACAGTTATGGAGGCAAGGGAAACAGGCCCTTGAAAAGAAGGTAATGTGGAGTGGGTAGCCTCCATATTGACTAGGGGGACGGACTTACCTTCCACTGTGAGAGTTACCTGAAGCTCGGCATCCATGATGGTCTACAGGGCTTCCAAGGTGATCGGGCAGCATCAGTCTTCAGCCGTTAATCCGAGAAGGCGTCAGTCAGAGAGCCTTGGGCCAGAGTTCCAGGGGCTCTAGGAGTGGCTGCCAGGTGAGTTGAACAGTCTGATTTTCAGTGGGGTCCCGCACAGATGCTACACGGCTTAGGAGGAATCCTGGGCTGCAGGCATTCCTTGGCCTGGTGGTCAGATTTCTGGCACTTGTAGCAAGCTCCTGGGGGAGGAGGTTCTGGAGGAATGTCTGGCCGCTGCGGTTCAGGCATTTGGAAGTTCTTGTGTGCTGGAGATGTGGCTGGGGTTTGTCTCACAGTGGAGGCAAGGAATTGCAACTTTTTTCTATTATTGTACACCTTGAAGGCGAGGTTAATTACATCCTGTTGTGGGGTTTGAGGGCTGGAATTTAATTTTTGGAGTTTTATTTAATGTCAGTAGCAGATTGGGTAATAAAATGTATTTTGAGAATAAGATGGCCTTTTGACCTTTTAGGGTCCAGGGCTGTAAAGCATCTCAGGGTTGCTGCCAAACGAGTCATGAACTGGGCTGGATTTTTATATTTGATGAAAAAGAGCCTAAACGCTATCTGATTTGGGATAAAGAAAAAGGAGCATTAACCTTGACTATGCCTTTAGCTCCAGTCACCTTTTTAAGAGGAAATTGCTGAGCAGGTGGGGGAGGGCTAGTCATGGAACGAAACTGTAAGCCGCACCGGGTGTGAGGAGGGGAGGTGATAAAAGGATTATAGGGTGGAGGAGCAGAGGCTGAGGAAGAATCGGGACCTAGCTCAGCCTGGCCAGGAGGGGAGAGGTCAGATAGGTCTGTAGAAAAGGAAGATTAGAAAGACTCAGTGATGCTTGGGGTTGGGACTGAGGGGACAGGCAGAAGGGAAAGAAGGAAGATTTGGGATGAGTTGCATTGGGCACAGAGACTAGGAAGGGACCGATGTGTAAAAGAATGCCTGGACGTCAGGCACCTCAGACTGTTTGCCTGTTTTATGACAAGAATTATTTAGGTCTTGCAGGATGGAAAAATTGAAAGCGCCATTTTCTGGCTATTTGGAACTACTGTCAAATTTGTATTGGGGTCAAGCAGCATTGCAGAAGAAAATAAGATGCTTAGATTTTAGGTCAGGTGAGAGTTGAAGAGGTTTTAAGTTCTTAAGAACAGAGGCTAAGGGAGACGAAGGAGGAATGGAAGGTGGAAGGTTGCCCATAGTGAAGGAGGCAAGCCCAGAGAAAAGAGAGAGTAGAGACATGCAGGGAAGGGGTTCGGGGGTTCTTACCCTCCAGAAAAGTGGGAAAGGGGTCAGGGCACAGAGATACGAAGTCAGGGCGCATAAACAAGGGATTGGGGTGCAGAGATATGAGGTTGGGATGCAGAAATAAGGGATCGGGGCACAGAGATATAAGAGGTTGGGGCATGGAAATAAGGGATCGGGGTGCAGAGATATAAGGGGTTGGGGTAATTTCCCCTCCCCCAGAAAAGCGGGACTTGCTGCTAAGGGTGAAGGAGAAGGGGTTGGGGGTTTCTTGCCCCCCAGAAAGGCAGAGAAGGGGTAGAGACACGGAGAGAAGGGGTTGGGGTACTTGCCTCTTCCCCAGAAAAGCGGGACTTGCCGCTAAGGGTAAAGGACCAAGGTAGGCATCCCTGCATGGTCTGACACCTCTGAAACGTGGGTGAATAATCAGAGAGGTGTCCTGCAATGATTAAACACCAAGGGAAGTCTGCCTTCCCTAGTCCGTGACCGGCGCCGGAGTTTTGGGTCCACAGATAAAATGTGTCTCCTTTGTCTCTACCAGAAAATGAAAGGAATTGAAATTAAAAGAAGGGAGAAATTGAAGTGTGGCACCAAGATTGAAAGGAGAAAGAGGTTGAGGGATAGTGAGGGAGGTTGGAGAAGAGAGTAAAAAGAGGCCACTTACCGGATTTGAAATTGGTGAGATGTTTCTTGGGCTGGTCAGTCTGAGGACCTGAGGTCGTAGGTGGATCTTTCTCACAGAGCAAAGAGCAGGAGGACAGGGGATTGATGTTCCCAAGGGAGGTCCCCTGATCCGAGTTACGGCATCAAATTTCATGTGCGCCTGTGTGAAGAGACCACCAAACAGGCTTTGTGTGAGCAATAAAACTGTTTATTTCACCTGGGTGCAGGTGGGCTGAGTCTGAAAAGAGAGTCAGCGAAGGGAGATGGGGTGGGGCCATTTTATAGGATTTGGGTAGGTAAAGGAAGAAGGGGGGTTGTTCTCTGGTAGGCAGGAGTGGGGGTCACAAGGTACTCAGTGAGGGAGCTTTTGAGCCAGGTTGAGCCAGGAGTAGGAATTTCACAAGACAATGTCATCAGTTAAGGCAGGAACAGGCCATTTTCACTTCTTTTGTGGTGGAATGTCATCAGTTAAGGCAGGCACTGGCCATCTGGATGTGTATGTGCAGGTCACAGGGGATATGATGACTTAGCTTGGGCTCAGAGGCCTGACAAAGGGAGATAAGGGTGGGGCCATTTTATAGGATTTGGGTAGATAAAGGAAAATTACAGTCAAAGGGGGGTTCTCTGGTGGGCAGAGTGGGGGTCACAAGGTGCTCAGTAGGGGAGCTTTTGAGCCAGGATGAGCCAGGAGAAGGAATTTCACAAGACAATTTCATCAGTTAAGGCAGGAAGAGGCCATTTTCACTTCTCTTGTGGTGGAATGTCATCAGTTAAGGCAGGAACCGGCCATCTGGATGTGTACATGCAGGTCACAGGGGATATGATGGCTTAGCTTGGGCTCAGAGGCCTGACAATCCCCTCCTACTTTCCTCCGTTCTCACTGTGCCCAAAACACAGTGTTCTCTTTGCTCTTTTTTGAATGTGCCAAGTAAGCTTCTAATTTGGATACTTACTTTGCATTTATGTTCCTTCTGCTCACAGCACACTCTTCCAGACACATTCAACATTCACTTCCTTGCTTCCTACAGGTCTCTGCTTAGATGCAATTTCATCAGAAAGGCCTTCCATGCCTAGTCTATCTGGATTAACACGCTAGTCACTCTCTATTTCTCTACCATGCTTAATTTTTTTATGCACTATCACTACCCGATGTTACATTTTACATCAATTTGCTACTATTTCCCTCCACTGGAATGTAAGATCTATGAAGTCAGGAACTTTGTCTTGTTCATAACTATATCCTTAACTCCTAGAGCTGTATCTGGCACATAATAGACACTCAATAGATATTTGCTGCTGGTTGATTGAGTGAATGCATGAATGGGTGAATCTGTGTTTCCACCTCCTAGGCTCTGAGTATATGGGGAAAGCCAGAGGGAGTTCCCAGGCTATGACAACGCATATTGAGCAGATGGCTGAGCAGAATTGGTGTGCAAGGTCTAAGCTCAGATCTCCATTAATTAATTGAAAATCCATTAATAATCATTATGCCCACATGGATTTTTCTTCAATGGTCATAGAATGGATCCTCAGCCTTCTTAAAGCCTGTTGATAGTACATAATCTGATAGGTATTTGAAGGCTTTATGTAGAGTTTTGGAGTGGAGAGATTTCTGAGCTCAGCTCTGACAACATAGCAGATGGCCATGCACATTTGGTATCTGATAGTAATACCACATTTGCATAAGTGCTGCATTTTCAAAGAATTTTTTTTTTTCGCTTTACAAAAGACTAGACTAGAAATGGTATATTATGGATTTCCCACTAGCCACTGAATGTGAATCCAGTTGGGTAATAGGTTAGGTGGCTCTATATTCTTCAGGTTTCTCCAGTAAAGCTTTGGGAAGTTGCCATGTGGGTCCAGGTGAATCTAGAACTAGCAAAGAGCTTCCCCAAACTGGCTATGCCCACTTGTCATCACTAGAGAGTGACAGAATTAGCCCTCATTGCTACTTTTTCTGCCTTTTTTCCACTCTATTCAACCTGACCCCCCTGGACAACTCACTTCATAAAACAATTCTGTCTTGAGCATTGCTGTTTCTATATATGTGCTTCTGGAATAGTCCCTGAAAAGAAAACTCTGTACTGTCTTCCCTGCCTGTTTGAATTCCATCTGCCATTAAGGGCCAGATCAAGTACTCTCCTTCCAGAAAGGTCTTATCTAACCATCCTAGATCAAACTGATAGCCTCTGTGAACTCCAGCAGGCCCTGCCCATGCCATCAACCAAGCCCTTCAGTAGCTTTATCCTTGGGCATCATATTGGTTAGGAACACAGGCTCTTGTCAAGACATACCTGGACTTCAATCTTGGCTCTGCCATTTCCTAGCTGCATGACCTTGGACAACTGACTTCACCTCCCAAACGATCTCACCTTAGTTGTGAAACTAAAATAGTCCTAGTATTAAAATGACTCCAGATCCAATTCAAAGGTTTTAAAAAGCTATGAAATTATCAAGCTAATTCACAAGTAAAATAACTGACAAAACAAGTTCCCCATTGAAAGAGGACAATAAAATGTGGACACTAGACAACTTTCACAGTGTCCATCAGCCAATCAAAAATTAACCGGCCTACAAAGAATCTGAAAAATGTAATGCCAACCGGGGGAAAATTAGTAAAAAAAAAAAATCAGATTCAGAAATAACATTGATGGAATTAACATATAAAGTGTGTTATGCCATTCTTGTATTGCTATATAGAAATAGCAGGCTGTGTAGTTTATTAAAAAAAAGAGGTTTAATTGACTTATGGTTCTTCAGGCTATACAAGCATGGTATCGGCATCTGCTTTCTTCTGGGGAGGCCGCTGGGAGATTTTACTCATGATAGAAGGTAAAGCAAGAGCAGACACCTCACATGGCCAGAGCAGGAGCAAAAGAGAGGGTGTGGGGAGGTGCCACACACTTTTAAACAGCCATATCTTGCAAGAACTCACTCATTATCACAAGGACAGCACTAGGCCATAAGGTATGTTCCCCCATGGCCCAAACACCTCTTACCAGGCCCCATATCCAACACTGGGGATTACATGTCAACATAAGACTTCGGTCGGACAAACATCCAAACCATATCACAAAGATGACAGCTATTACAAATACGTTAAATAATTTAAATAAAACATATATATAATGAGGAGAAATGGAATCTATAAAAAAGGACTACATTGAACTTCTAGAGCTGAAAAATGCAATAGCTATAATTAAACATTCACTGGATAGTCTTAAGAACATATTAAACCCTATAGAAGAAAAGATCATTGAACTTGAACACTTAGTAGTAGAAACTATACAAATTGAAGCACAGAAAGAAGATGAACAGAACTTTAATGATCTGCGGGACAATATCAAGAGATGAAGCAGATGTATAATCATAGTTCCAGAAATGGTGAGAGTCCAGGAAAATATTTGAAGTAATAATAGCCAAATACTTTCCAAATTTGTTGTAGAGAATAAACCTACAGATACGAGTTAAACCTACACAGGCCAAAAAGTAAAAGACATGAAATAAACCACAACAAAGTACATAATAATCAAATTGCTGAAAAGCAGTAATAAAGAGAAATTATTAAAAGCAGTTAGAGGGAAAAAAGTCACATTACATATTGGAGAAGCAAAATGAAACACTGCATACAGGAAAAGAAAGATAAACACTGATTCTGCATCAAAAACAATGTTGAAGGAAAAAACACCTATCAATCTAGACAGTTTTTTCAGACAAACACAAGCTGAGAGAATTAATCACTGAAAGTCCTGCAATATAAGAAATTGTACTCAGGTTGAAGGAACTTCGTACCTATTAGAACTCTATCTATACAGGAAAATAAAGAGTGCTGGAAAATATTAAATGTTTTCTCATTATTAAAAAATGAATAAAAATAGTTGTTTAAAGAAGTAAAAACAGCAATATATTGTGAAATGGAAAATATGTATACAAGTAAAATGTATGAAAAGAATAACAAAATGTCTTAGGGGAAACGTTGTAAGGTTCTTACTTTATACATTAAATTATGTAATATTATTTGAAGTAGACTAGGATAACTTAAAAGTACATATTGTAAAACCTAGAGAAACAATTTAAAAAGTAACAACTAAAACTAATAAACCAATATGGAAGAAAAATATATCCTAAAACAGAACAAAAACAAAAACTATAAGCAACAACAAAAACAAAACTCTCAATCCAAAAGAAAACAGGAAAAGAAGAAAAAATGGAAAAAAAATAAACGGAGCATATATTAAAAAAACTGATATGGTAAATTTAAACCCACTCATATGAATAGTTGGATCAAATGTAAATAGTCTAAACACACCAATTAAGAGGGCGAGTTTGTCAAATTAATTTAAAAAAAAGGCAGACTCAACCATATGCTCTGTATAAGAGACACACTTTTAATACATCAACATAGATTAAAAGTAAAATGATTGAAAAAGTTATACCATGCAAGTAGTAATCATAAAAAGTTTGAGAGCTATATTAATACCAAAGTGTACTTCAAAACAAGGAATACTTGCCAGTGATAAGGAGGGACATGATATAATGATAAAAGGGTTGATTTATCAGGAAGACAAAAACAATCATAAATATTTATCTAATTATATAGAAAACTACACAGAACTGAAACAAGAATTTGACACAAGTACAATCTTACTTGGAGAAGTCCACATTTTTCTCTCAGTAACTGGTTAAACAAGTAGAAAGAAATCAGCGATGATGCAGAAAACTTAAACACCATCAAACAATTTAACTTTACTGACATTTAAATGCCACAACATCCATTAGCAGCAACTTGCACATTTCTTTCAAGTACACGTGGAAGCATCGATAGATCATATTCTGGGTCATGAATCAAGTCTAACTAACTTTAAAAATATTTAAACAGTACAGAGTATGTTTTCTGTCCACCAAAAAACAAACTACAAAGTAATTAAAATGTTATTTGAGAAATACTAAGTTATTTGTAAACAAACATCACACTTCCATAAAACCACAGGTCAAAGAAGAAATCACAAGGGAAACTGAAAAATGTTTGAACTGAATGAAAACAAAAAGCACAGCATATTATTATTTGTGCGATGTAGTTAAAGCAGTGCCTAGAAAGACATTTATAGCATTGAATGGATACATTAGAAAATAAAGTTTCAAAATCTGGGCTTCCATGGTAAGAAGCTAAAAAAGAATGTGTTAAATCCAAAGTAAGTAAAAAAAGGAAATAAGATAGACAAAGAGGAAGGCAAAGAACTTTCAAAAAACAGACAATTAATGGAGAAATACTAAAACCAAAAGTTGTTTCTAGTCAAAGTGATCAAGAAAAAAAAAGAGACCACAAATTCTCAGTTTCAGGAATAAGTGCAGACTCATTAGATATCCTATAGATTTCAAAAGGAAAATAACAGTATATTATGAACAAATATACACCAATAATTTTAACAACTTAGGTGAAATGGAAAAACTCTCTAAGAGATGCAAATTATAAAATCTGACTAAAGAAATATAGAATCTAAGTATCACTATCTCCATTAAAAGAATTGAATTTGTAGGTTAACCCCTTCCAACAAAGAAATGATAGCCCTCTTTTCTTCACTGATGAATTATGCCAAACATGTAAGCAAGAAATAATATCAATCACACAACTTATTTCAGAAAATAAAGAACAAGGAAACACCTCCAAAATCATTTTATGAGGCCAGCATTACCCTGATTTTTTTAAAAAAAGACGTTCTAAGACTAGGAAACTACAGACCACTATCTGTTCTCTATAAGTAGCATCATCCCTCCTCTTAAGGAGCTCCAATATGTGGGTGGGTGGAGTGCTTAAAAATGCACCAAAGTGTGTATATCATAAAGTAGAGCATAACTGGCATTGTAGAAAGCTCCTTGAGCAAGGTTATGTTGTTTGATGGTGTTCAAGTTTTCTATAGCCTCACTGATTTCAAGTGGGCACACAGAGGAAGCAGCTAAGAAATCTTCTAACCAAGTATCTGGGGAATTGGGCAATTATTTGCATCCATATCTGAGCTTCCTTATTATACTCTAAGCTTCTCAAAAATTGGGAAATATCTCATTCATCTCTACCTATGTATGGTTCTCTAATAAATTAATACTTTAAAGGAGGGATTAGCAAAGGTTTTCTGTAAATGGCCAGAAATTAATTCTTTTAGGCTTTGCTGACCACATTATCTATATTGCAGTTACTCAACTCTGCTATTGCAGAGCAAAATTAGTTATAAATGATAAGGAAATGAATACATCTAGGTATGCCCCAATAAAATTTTATTTACAAAGACAACTGGAGGGCCAGATTTGGCCCACAGCCTATAGTTTACCAACTACTGATTTAGGATATGCTACAGAATATGCCCAAAACTGATCCTGTGTGGTGAAGCTAGCAGTATAAGTCAGAATAGTATCTCCCAATTATTGATGTTATTAGTGTTCATTCTAGTACTGTAATAGTAAAATGTTGGAAATAGCCCATATATTAAAAAATAGAGTAGTAATTGACTAAATTTTGTTGTAGAAATACAATGGGATGCTTTGCACTCATTCAAAATGGTAAAGATTTACAGCATTTGACATGAAAAGATATTCTGTACACATAAGGTAGAAAAGCAGAATATAAAAGTCTTGCTTGCATTATTGTCCTAGGCTCCTAGACTCCTTACTCCAAAGGATTTACATCACTCAGCAGTTAGAGTAATATTTTAAAAATTCAAATAAAAATGTCTCATACTCCTTTTTCAAATCCTTCAGTGGCTTTCCAGCATATTTGCTTACAAAGCTTTACGTGATCTGGTCTTTGTCTATCTCTGATCTCATCTCTTACTACTTTTCCTGCTTACCCCCTGTATTCTAGCTAGCACCAACTCTTTATGCTCTGGATGCCTTCTCCACCTCAAGAGTTTTGTGTTTGCCATTTTCTCTGCCTGGGATGTCCCAATTCTCATCCTTCAGATCTCAGTTGAAAAGGCATCTTCTTATGGGCACCTTCCCAACCCACTATTTGTTAAGTTGGCCTTTTGCAATTACTTATTTCCTTTGGATTTTTTTATTAAGTCTTTAATTATTCTGCTTATTAGTTTTTTATTGTCTTTCTTTCCAACAGGTATGTAAGCTCCAAGAGAACAGGTGTTTTTTCTTAACAGTACAGGCACATTTTAGCCTCTGAGTACACATTTCTTGAAATAATAAATGAATGAATGAAACACATTCATAGTAGAAAGCAGAGCACTAACAAAAGCATGGGGTTGCAAAGTGCTAGAACATGGAAATAACCCCTAGGCTTTTTGTCTTCTCCCTTTTTCTTTCTTTCTCTGACATATATGGACACACACACATACACACACACAAACACACATACATACACATGGTTTGTAGTCAAATAAAATGTTGGTTAAAGCCTCAGTAAACTTGTACTTAATTTTTCCGTACTTAAAATTTCTTTACATGTAGGCTTCATTTAACTGTACTGCCTGCTCTCAAAAGATATTCAGATTTCTTAATAGAGAGTGAGCCATCTTTTATTGTTTGGTTTGTTTTTCCTTTTCACGGTAGGTAGCAGTTATTTCCTGATGGGAAACAGTAAGAACACATGTTTTCATTAAATTTTCAAAGCTTTTTTTACCCTTAATGAGAAAGAATCTCTTAACTGGAAGTATAGCTTGTGATCTTTCAAATGGCTATTGCATTCCTTTTGCATATATATGCAAATATATATGCATATATAATATATATACATATATATTATATATCCACCAGTAGTGTGATTGCCAAATCATATAGTAGTTCTATTTTTAATTTTTTAAGGACTCTCCATACTGTTTTCCATAACAGCTGTACTAATTTAAATTTCCACTAACCATATACAAGGATTCACTTTTCTCGACAGTCTCATCAATATTTGTTATCTTTTATATTTCTGATAATAGTTATGATATGGTTTGGCTATGTCTTCACCCAAATCTCATCTTGAGTTATAGCTCACATAATTCCCACATGTCATGGAAGGGACCCAGTAGGAGGTAATTGAATCATGGGTGTGAGTCTTCCCCATGCTGTTTTTGTGATCGTGAATAAGTCTCATGAGATCTGATGCTTTATAAAATGGGAGTTCCCCTACACAAGCTCTCTTGCTGGCCACCATGTAAGATGTGACTTTGCTTCTCATTTTCCTTCAGCCATGATTGTGAGGCCTCCCTTGCCATATGGAACTGTGAGTCCATTAAACCTGTTTCCTTTATAAATTACCCATTCTCAGGCATGTCTTTATTAGCAGCGTAAGAACAGATTAATACAGGCTATTTTAACTGGAGTCAGGTGAAATCTCATTGTGGTTTTGATTTGCATTTCTCTGATGTTCAGTGGTGTTGAGCATTTTTTCACACATCTGTTGGTCATTTGTCTGTCTTTTGAGAAATTTCTATTCAGGTCTTTTGCTAGGTTTTCAGTCAGACCACATGTTTTATTTTGCTGTTGAATTGTTCGAGTTTCTTATATATTTTGGATATTAACCCCTTGACAAAAGTGGAGTTTCCAAATATTTTCTCCCATTCTGTAGGTTGGCTCTTCACTCTATTGATTATTTCCTTTGATGTGCAGAGCTTTTTTATGTTTATGTAACCCCATTTGTTGATTTTTGCTTTTGTTGCCTTTTTTTTTTGTTTGAGGTCTTATCCAAAAAATCCTTACCCAGTACAATGTAATGAATCATTTTGCCTATATTTTGTCTTAGTAGTTTCACACTTTCGGGCTTCACATTTAAGCCTTTAATTGATTTTGAGTTGATTTTTGTATATGGTGAAAGCTAGAGGTACAGTTTCATCCTTCTGCAAGTGGACATCCAATTTCTCCAATATAATTTATTAAAGAGACAGTCATTGTGTGTTCTTGGCTTCTTGGCATCTTGTTGAAAATCAACTGACCATAAATGTGTGGATTTATTTCTGGGCAATCTATTCTGCTACAATTGTCTATGTGTCTTCTTTTTATACCAATATAATGCTGTTTTATTCACTATACCCTTGTAATATAGTTTGAAGTCAGACAATATGATGCCTGCAGCTTTGCTCCTTTTGCATGGGTGAATTTGTCTCTTTGGGCTCTTTTTTTGGTTCCCTATAAATGAATTTTTTTCTATTTGGAAAACAGAAAAAAAGTCATTTTCTATGGAAAATGATATTAGCATTTTGATAGGAATTGCATTGAATCTGTAGATTGCTTTTGGCAGTATGATCATTTTAATATTAATTCTTCTGGTCCGTGAGCATAGATATCTTTCCATTGGTTTGTGTTCGCTTCAATTTATTTCATCAGTGTTTTGTATAGCTTTCCTTGTAGAGGTCTTTAATCTCTATGGTTAAATTTATTCCTTGACATTTTATTTTTTAAAGATATTGAAAATGGTCTTGGCTTCTTGATTTCTTTATCAGCTATGTCATTATTGGTATATAGAAAAGCTACTTGTTTTTGTATGGTGACTTTGTATCCTGCAACTTCGCTGAATTTATTGGTCAGCTCTAAGAGTTTTTTGGTGTTTTTTTTATTATTATACTTTAAGTTCTAGGGTACATGTGCACAATGTGCAGGTTTGTTACATAGGTATACATGTGCCATGGTGGTTTGCTTCACCCATCAACTCATCATTTACTTTAGATATTTCTCCTAATGCTATCCCTCTCCCAGCCACCCACCCTCCAATAGACCCTGGTGTATGATGTTCCCCTCCCTGTGTCCATGTGTTCCCATTGTTCAACTCCCACTTATGAATAAGAACATGCAGTGTTTGGTTTTCTGTCCTTGTGATAGTTTGCTGAGAATAATGGTTTCCAGCTTTATCCATGTCCCTGCAAAGGACATGAACTCATTCTTTTTTATGGCTGCATAGTATTCCACGGTGTATATGTGCCACATTTTCTTTATCCAGTCTATCATTGATGGACATTTGGGTTGGTTCCAAGTCTTTGCTATTGTGAATAGTGCCGCAATAAACATACATATGCGTGTGTCTTTATAGTAGCATGATTTATAATCCTTTGGGTATATACCCAGTAATGGAATTGCTGGGTCAAATGGTATTTCTAGTTCTAGATCCTCGAGGAATCACCACACTGTCTTCCAAAATGGTTGAACTAATTTACACTCCCATGAACAGTGTAAAAGCATTCCTATTTCTCCACATGCTCTCCAGCATCTGTTGTTTTATGGTGGTCTTTAGATTTTTCAATATACAATATCATGTCACCTTAAAGAGGGAAAGTTTGACTTCTTCTTTTCCTATTTGGATGAATTCTGTTTCTTTGTCTTGCCTGATTGCTCTGGCTATGACTTCCAGTACAATGTTGAATAGGAGTGTTGAAAGTGAGCATCCTTGTCTTGTTTCATTTCTTAGAAGAAAGTGTTTCAGATTTTCCCTATTCAGTATGATATTAGCTGTAGGTCTCTCATATATGGCTTTCATTGTGTTGATGTATGTTCCTTCTATACCCAGTTTTTTGAAGGTTTGTATCATGAAGAGATGTTGAATTTTATGAGATATTTTTCTGCATCTACTTAAATGACCATGTGGTTTTTGCTCTTCATTCTGTTGATGTGATATATCATGTTTAATGATTTGCATATATTGAACCATACTTGCATCCCTGGGGTAAATCCCACTTAATAATGGCATATTATCTTTTTGATGTGCTTTTAAATTTGGTTTTCTAGAATCTTGTTGAGGATTTTTGTATCTATGTTTATCAGGGATATTGGCCTATAGTTTTCTTTCTGTGTTGTGTCCTTTTCTGGTTTTGTTATTAGGATAATGCTAGACTCATATAATGAGTTAGGGAGAATTTCCTTCTCTTCAGTTTTCTGACAAGTTTGAGGAAAATTGAGGTTAGGCCTTCTTCAAAATTTTGGTATCATTTGCGGTGAAGTCATAGTCCTGGACTTTCCTTTATTAGGAGACTTTTTATTACGGATTCAATCTTAATACTCATTACTGATCTGTTCAGGTTTTCTATTTCTTCCTGATTCAGTCTTTATAGGTTGTATGTGTCCAAGAATTTATCTATTTTTTCTAGATTTTTCAGTTCATTAGTGTGTAGTTGTTCATAATGATCTCTAATAGTCTTTTATATTTCTATGGTATCAGTTGTAGTGTCTCCTTTTTAATATTTGATTTTATTTGGGTTGTCTCTCTTTTTTTCTTGGTTAGTCTAGCTAGCAATTTATTAATTTTGTTATCCTTAAGAAAGTCAAACTTTGATTTTGTTTGTTTTTGTGTTTTTTTAGTCTGTATTTTATTTACTTCTGCTCTGATGTTTAATAGTTCTTTCCTTCTACTAATTTGGGGTTTGGCTCATTCTTACTTTTCTACTTCTTTGAGGTGCATTGACAGATTGTTTTAAACCTTTCTACTTTTTGATGTAGGTGTTTATTGCTAAAACTATCCTCTCAGTACTGTTTTTGCTGTATTCCATAGGTGTTGGTATGTTGTATTTCCATTTTCATTTTTTTTTTACAAAAAAATTTCCTCCTTAATTTCCCTTTTGACCCAATGGTCATTCAGTACCATATTGTTTAATTTCCACATATTCGTATGGTTTCCAAACTTCCTCTTGTTAATTTCTAGTTTTATTATATTGTGGCCTGAGAAGACACTATATGGTTTTGATTATTTTAAATTTGTTGAGACCTTCATCAAGTCAAGCGGCCTTGTGTATGCTGCATATTTGAGATTCAATCATTGATGTTGCTCAAAGGGTTTAAATTAGGTTCCAAGCTTCTGCAAGGCCCCCTTTCTATAGCTTCTACCAGTTCTCCAATGGATGAACATTTTCTTAGACTGTCCTCACTGATCTGGTTTGGGACAGAACAATTAAACAGCCCATACTTAATCTGAGCAATAAAGCTTATTTTGATTAGACCTGCAAAGGTTCCTGGTAGGATATTATCCCCAGAAAGTCTCTGTGTTTCTTTCCAGGCCCTAATTAGCTCTTTATACTCTCTGGATATGAATATTTTAGATCATGTTTAACTTAATTAGTATAAAGATTTTTGTGATGATTTTCTTTCATTATTACCAAAAAATGGAAAAAGAAGAGAAGAATTAGTGGATTCAACAATATAAAAATTAAACTGCTTAACAAACTTATTGTAAAAAGTTTCAATTATAAAATAAGAGAAACATTGGCAACATACATGAGAAAAGACAAAGCCTTAATATATAAACAACACACAGAAATCAATAAGTAAAAAATCAGTATGCCAAAAAGGAAACAGACGAATAATATAATCTGGCAATTAAAACTTTATAAAGTACATGGCTGAAAAATATAAAAAATGTTCAACCCAACAGATAATAAATGAAAAACAAATTAAAACAATAATGTGTTACTACTTTTTTCATATCAAGTTGCACCAAAATTGAAAATATATAGTTTTGACAGTGTTGCCAGGGGGAAAATGTTGTAAATAATTACTTTCATACATGTTTAGTAGGACTGTAAGTCGATGAAATCTTTCTGGAGGGAAATTCAGCATTTGTGGTTTTTTTTTTTTCTTTTTTATTTATTTATTTTTTTTCTTTCTTTTTTTTTTTTTTTTAGTATTTATTGATCATTCTTGGGTGTTTCTTGGAGAGGGGGATTTGGCAGGGTCATAGGACAATAGTGGAGGGAAGGTCAGCAGATAAACATGTGAACAAGGGTCTCTGGTTTTCCTAGGCAGAGGACCCTGTGGCCAGTGTTTGTGTCCCTGGGTAGTTGAGATTAGGGAGTGGTGATGACTCTTAATGAGCATGCTGCCTTCAAGCATCTGTTTAACAAAGCACATCTTGCACCGCCCTTAATCCATTTAACCCTGAGTGGACACAGCACATGTTTCAGAGAGCACGGGGTTGGGGGTAAGGTTATAGATTAACAGCATCTCAAGGCAGAAGAATTTTTCTTAGTACAGAACAAAATGGAGTCTCCCATGTCTACTTCTTTCTACACAGACACAGTAACAATCTGATCTCTCTTTCTTTTCCCCACATTTTCCCCTTTACTATTCGACAAAACCGCCATCGTCATCATGGCCCGTTCTCAATGAGCTGTTGGGTACACCTCCCAGACGGGGTGGCGGCCAGGCAGAGGTGCTCCTCACTTCCCAGATGGGGCCGCTGGGCAGAGGCGCCCCCCACCTCCCGAACAGGGCGGCTGGCCGGGCGGGGGCTGCCCTCCACCTCCCTCCTGGATGGGGTGGCTGGCCAGGTGGGGGCTGCCCCCCCACCTCCTGGATGGGGCGGCTGCTGGGCGGAGACGCTCCTCACTTCCCAGACGGGGCGGCTGCCGGGTGGAGGGGCTCCTCACTTCCCAGATGCGGCAGTTGCCGGGTGGAGGGGCTCCTCACTTCCCAGACAGGGCAGCTGCCAGGCGGAGGGGCTCCTCACTTCTCAGACGGGGCGGCTGGGCAGAGACGCTCCTCACCTCCCAGATGGGGTGGCGGTTGGGCAGAGACGCTCCTCACCTCCCAGACGGGGTGGCGGTTAGGCAGAGACACTCCTCAGTTCCCAGATGGGGTCACGGCTGGGCAGAGGTGCTCCCCACATCTCAGACGATGGGCGGCCGGGCAGAGACACTCCTCACTTCCTAGACGGGATGGCGGCCGGGAAGAGGCGCTCCTCACTTCCCAGTCTGGGTGGCCGGGCAGAGGGGCTCCTCACATCCCAGATGATGGGCGGCCAGGCAGAGACGCTCCTCACTTCCCAGACGGGGTGGCGGCCGGGCAAAGGCTGCAATCTCGGCACTTTGGGAGGCCAAGGCAGGCGGCTGGGAGGTGGTGGAGGTTGTAGCGCGCCGAGATCACGCCACTGCACTCCAGCCTGCAATCCCAGGCACTCGGCAGGCTGACGCAGGAGAATCAGGCAGGGAGGTTGCAGTGAGCCGAGATGGCGGCAGTACAGTCCAGCCTCGGCTTGGCATCAGAGGGAGACCGGGGAGAGGGGGAGGGGGAGGGAGAGGGAAGCATTTGTTAATAAGCACTATAGAATCTGATAATCCTTTGGTTCAATAAAATATTGGCTGACAAAGGTCTAATATCCAGCATCTATAAGGAACTTAAACACATTTACAAGAAATAGAAAAAACTTTATTAAAAAGTGTTTCTAGTTTATTTGCATAGAGGTCTAGTTTCTCTGATGGTAGTTTGTATTATTTGCATAGAGGATTACAACAGGCAAACAGATGCTTCTTAACCATTGCACATTTGATTTTTGTTTTAAGTATCTGAGTGAAACTATGGCAGAAGTGCTCAGGGATAGGAAAGTTGTTTCATATGTCCCTGCTCATTAGGCCACCTGAAGGACTAAGGATGGATTCAGGACTTGCCACTTCTGCCTACTAAAAGAAAATGCTACATAATTTTATTGAATGTGCTGTACCAGAAATCCTGGAAGATCTATGAATATAAAGCTAGAAAGATTATAATTTACCATGTGAAGAATTTTTTCCTTGCTAGGAAAATATTTTTTAAATGAGAGTGCCTGTTAGATTAGATAGTATTCTGCATGAAGAACTGATTGGTAAAAAGCACAAAAAAGTTTTCATTTTCTGATACCAGCTCTCTGAGTTGGGCTTATTTATAAAGTGTTTTAAATTTCACTTGTTCCTAGTAGGGACTAAAAAGTCTGTAGCTGACTGTTTCATTTGGAGTAATGGGCAAGCATATAAATGTAGAAACACGGAAAAGCAACCAACTTTTTACCACTGTTTATTAGGACAGTGAAAAGTCAGAGACTGATGTTGTTAATGGTGTGTCTCCTGAATTACAAAGCTACAAATCCTCCCTACCTATATTCCCCTTACACTTCCCTTGGCAGCCTGTGTATGGTGTGTTGCATGATGTACCTGCCTTTCTGCTTTTTGGGATTTTATGCCAGTGTAAATTAGTAAGCTTCTATAGCAAAGGTAACAGCTTGATAGGAAATCAGCTTAATAGCTAAAGGTTATTCTTAAATATTACATTGCACCTTTATTTTTATGTCCACCTTGCAAAAGCGCTTACCAAGGAGGTGTGTGCCAGAAAGCACTATTGATTTAAGAGCCCTTTGCTGTATTGTGGTACGTACTCTCATTAGGCCAGCATCTTGAGATGTGAGGGACTCTCTTCCTGCAGCAGGAAGTGTGAAAACAACCAGGAAAGTAGTATGCTAATGACATCACTCTTGCTCCTGCTACTTCATTATTAAGTGCAAACTCCCTTGGCCTTTGCCTATGTTATTCCTTGGAATCCTGAGGTCATTGAGGAGTGGGAGGATGCTTAGCTGCCTGAATTCATTCAGCATTCTGCAGCTACCCTACTTTCCTTATCCCACCTCTATTCTACTGTCCACTTTTGCCTCCTGTTGTCCCAGTGGTGACTATGGGATTCTGGAAGGAGGTGTGCATGCTTCAGCATTTTTAGCTTCCTTTTCTTAAAGGCAGCTGATTTAGTGAAAAGAACTATTAAAGTGAGACATACGGGTTTCTCTCTGGACTCTGCTACTGTCTTAGTCTGCTATAACAAAATACCACAGACTGGATAGCTTATAAACAACAGAAATGTATTGCCCATAGTTTTGGAGACTGGGAACTCCAAGACCAAGGTACTAGCAGATTCATTGTCTGGTGAGGGCTTGCTTTATAATTCGTAGATGGCCACTTTTTTTTTGTTTTGTTTTGTTTTGTTTTGTTTTGTTTTGCTATATCTTTACATGGTGGAAGTGTTGAAGAAGCTCTCTGGTCCTCTTTTGTAAGGGTACTACTCCTATTTATAAGGGCTCTACCCTCATGACCTAATCACCCCCCAAAGGTCCCACCTCCTAATACCATCACATTGGAGATTAGGTTTCAACATATGACATGAATTTTGGGGGAACACAAAGATTTAGGCTATAGCAGCCACACACTAGCTGTGTGCTTGGGTCTCTGAACTTCATTTTTTTGTGATCTACACAATCAAAGTAATAATAGCTCATTCATAAAGTTGACGGGAATTAAAAAAGTGTGTCTAACATTTGACATAGAGCCTAATACATAGTAGCCACTTTGCAAATATTAACCTGTATTTAATATTTCTTCAAGACAGAAGCAGTCCCCATCCCACTCAGGGTCCCTCAGAGGCCTCATGTTCTTTATGCTCCCCTTACCCACTCAAGGACAACAGTACATACATACCATCTGTCTTTCTTCCCTGACCATGCCCATCTCCCCCGCTCAGTCCTGGCCTCCTTACTCCTCTTCTATCAGCATTCTAAAGGTTTAGAGAAATTAAAAGTAGCCCCTATCCTTACAATCATTGAGGACTGTAGTGGTAACATCTGAGATCAATCTCCTCCTTAACCTGGAGCCCTCTTTAATGGGACTGTTGCCTTCAGTATCCTGGAAACTGGTTTAAACCCTAGCTTTTTCTTATACTCACAGATCCTTGATTCTAGTTGAGCTGGGAAGGAAGGGGAAAGGAACTTACAACTTCCACCAAATCCCCGAACAAACATCACAGTGACTGGCCATGGCTAGGACTCAGCTGCAAGGCAAGAGGAGGCATTAGGTTTTATTTCACTCACCCCACAGCTTTATGAGCTTGTTAACACAATATGGCTAGAATCAGTGTTAGCCTCGTGAGGCCTCATGACAGGGAGAGAAGAGTTATGAGCAGCAGTTGTCAGTTTTCTGTGCCAAGGCTTATTGCACCTTCAAGTTTAGATTGCAATCTGGGTAACTTGGGCCTGAACAACATGATGACCTCTAAGATGTTCCCTCACAGAGCTGGGGAGAGGCAAAAGCAGTCATTGACTTTACTGAATTTCCTAGTTGCATCTACATAAACCTAAAGCAAGTGAGAGAAGAATCCAGTCAAACTAGTTCTTTGGAAGTCAATCCAGAGGATTTAGGTAGGGACCAGAGGAACTTCCTCAGAGATAGGCTTGTCAAAGAAATAGGTTCAAATATACACTCTTGGAGGGTGCGGTGGCTTACACCTGTAATCCCGGCACTTTGGGAGACCAAGGCAGGTGGATCACTTGAGACCAGCCTGAGCAACATAACAAAACACCTCTCTACCAAAAATACAAAAATTAGCTGGGCCTGGTGGCACAAGCCTGTAATCCTAGCTACTTGGAAGGCTGAGGCATGAGAATCGCTTGAACCTTGGAGGCAGAGGCTGCAGTGAGCCAAGATCATGCCACTTCACTCCAGCCTGGGTGAAAGAGCAGGACTCTGTATGAAAAAATGAACAAACAAAATAAAAAAAAACCAAATATACACACTTACAAAGCAGAGCAGTGTATTGGAAGACACATGGGTCTTCCCCATTTCCAGTGGAACTATCTACAATATCATTCAATGAAGTGATGAGTTGCCAAACTCCTAGTTACTTTGTCCTGTTATCTAATACACCTACAGAGCCCACTTGTAATCAATTGATTTATTTTGCATTATTACTATTTGTGTTATCACTTTCAGGAGATAGGAAACAAAACTGCTTTTACACATCTGATCACCAGTGACATATTTTGATACTCTTATTTCAGCACAGAATAGGGCAAACAGACAGGGTACCAGCTCTGTGCCCTCCAATCGTCTTTCCATCTCCTGGGTTCAGTTTCACATCAGAGAAGGTATATGATATGTGTTTACTGAATGGATGAATAAATGAATGTGAAATGGGGATAATAATAACACTCAGCTTAAAGCAATTTTGTGGAGAGTAAATGAGAAGATTCATGAATTTAGCACTACACCTGGATCATAGCAGTAAGGGTTTCAATAAATGTTAGCTCCCTCTCTCTTTCCTGCTCCCTCTCCCAGGCATCCATACAGCCTCACCACCTTTCAGGCAGCCCTGTTAAAATTGCTGGAGCAAATATTTCATTTCAGGCTGTCTTCCCTCAGCACCTCTAGAGACTGCCTCCCACGCAGCTGGTATGTGCATTCAGACGGCAAGTGACTCAGGGACAGTGTCAACAGGGTGATGAAAACTGTGACAAGAGAAAAGGGTAGTCTGAAGGCAGAAATAACTACTGTGAATCCAAGTGTTCATTGATCATTGTTCTTATCAGGCTGAGAAGTTGCACTTTGGGTGATAGGAGGTTTTGCTGAAAATGAATTTGTTAGAATATTTCAAGGTTCGTACTCATTTAGATACTTAGACAAAGAAATCCCAGCAGGAAGCAATCCTGATAATTTACACACAGCACCAGGGGTTGTGAACTAGGTTTCAGATTTCCTTGAGAGCTGATATGTGCTCAGTGATGTATTAAGAAAATAGAGGATATGGGAGTAGCTGCTCCTGCCACAGAGGACCCTCATGGCCCACACCATGCCAGTGAAAAGTAGTTTTATTCTGATCCTCCTGGCCTTTGCAGCTTCTCCAAGACATGCTTCATCCTCACATTTTACTTGCATTTTTGACTGTCTCTGTGTCATAGCTGAAGTTTTTTCTCTCCTCTTCCTTGCCTTCCCTGCTTTCTTTTGTGAACTCCCTTCCTTCAGGGTTGTTGATTTTCCCCTTTCTACCGCACCATCTATTTTCCCATGCCTGATGTGGCCTCCAATTTGATCTGCCAGATTACCCCAATTATCTCATCCAACTGAAAGAGTTTTCAGCTAGGAAGATCATTTGAGAAAATAAAACTTCCCAAGAGTTTGAGCTGCAGAAAATGAAAATGGGCTTCCTAGACAGGTTGCAAGGTCTAGTTCACAGAATATAAAAACAGAATCTGTGGCCCATTGATGAAGATGTTGGAGAAGGGGTTTTAGTATCTGATGAAGCTCCTTAAGAATTCTGAGATTCTACAATGTTAGCAACATCAGCCCTCTCATTTTACAGATGAGAAAATTAAGGCTAAAGGTTTAAGGAGATGCAATACCTGAATAGGTTTCCTGAGTTTTAGTCCAGGACTTTTTCCACTATCACACACTGGCTTCTCAAACCCACTACCAATCTCAATCCCTCTGGAAAGCTCTCCTTGGTTAAATGAATTTCAGGCTTAATTACATTCTATTTCAAATATACCTTGTCTTGCAAAAAATTCCACCACCACTGAGTCCCACTCACACACCCACAAAGAGGGGCATTACAACTTTTATGAAAAAATATCTTTGTGCCAAGCTACTAGATGCACAATTGCTAATGAAAATAATCAGAGTTAGAAAAAGTCATCTAGGGAGTTTGGCTGAGACCCTTCCCCTTTCAGATACTGTCCATAACCCCCTTCTTGATCACTTGTGGTTGCTTAGACAACTAGGCTTGACTGAAACTCTAGGTTGACATTGCCAAGTTCAATATTATGCAAGATGAAGAAAAACAAAAGGTCAGAGTCTTGCCTTTGGAGAGCTTAGATTCCTGTAGAGAAGATCACACATAGGTGAAAAAAAGGATTTAAGAGCAAGTACAAGTAAGATGGTAGCAAATAACACAATTGTACGCTTTAAACTGAAACTGTAGGTAAGTGCTTAGAGCACATTAAAGAAAAAAATTAGGGCTATTTCTCCATCAAATGTTTTTCTTAATAGCTGCTCTGTTGAGAAAAATTGTTCCATCATCATCAACAAACATTGATGAGCACCTTCTCTGCTGGCTGGGGAGAAGAGGAGGCACCTACATCAGGATAGAGATCTAGGCCATGCATCAGGCAGCAAGTACTCAGGTCCAAGAATGTTCAGGTACACAGGTATGCAGGGGAGGTGCTGAAATCAGAAATCCCGAGGGCCCGAAGAGAAAGAGAGGGATTTTCTTCAGGATGCTGGTCTCAAAGTGTTCCTTGAAGAATAGCTAGGAAACAGAGAGGGCAAAATTATGCTAGGTTGAGGAAACAATATGGAAAGGACGTTTCGTTTACTATGAGGTTTTAGGAGCCAACATTGAAGAAAGAGAAGCCCAATTGTGGAAGACCATGAATAATACATTAAATAAGGATTTGTACTTTATCCTATAGCCACTTGGGTACCATTGAGGATTTTAAAAAGAAAAGGAGAGGGATAAACTTTACAGAAAGTTTTTAAGAAGTACTCTCTTTACTTTCAGGTGTGGGTTGTTGGTGGTAGTGATGGTAGGGAAATGATCATGTAAGTGTACAAATGGAACCAAAGCTTGGGGATGTGGATCTCAGGAAGAAGAAATGGATAAAACTGTAGTCCTTGTTTTGATGTATTTAGGAAAAACAACGTACTCCATTTTAAAAACAAAAATCAAAGAATGTTGTTTATTTAAAATCAATATACACGTCTTTAGTGATTTGGGGTATTTGACCTCTTCTTCCAGTTTCATGTTTTAAAGGAAATACAAGAACAACGTGCATTTTGATTTCTTTTTAAAATTATGCGTAAGTAAAACTGTCTAATATGCCAGTGAGTGTCTTTCCTTCTTTAAACCTAAATATACTTAAAACACTATTTATTGCCAAATTAACAATTCTACATTAAAGTTAATTTTAAAAAATAAGTTATTGTTCCTGATGATACAACTCTTTGTTATTTTTCATGTTCCCTTCCAGACCTAATCCTTATATATAATTTATTTTATACAACTGTTATTACAGTCCTTTATGTAACTGTCACTAAAACCTACATATAAAATGAAGGAGTTTTAATAGAAAACTAAACCACATAAAAATAAACAAAAATGTTGTAAAATGCAGTTAAAAATAAAAATGCTGTTTTGATACAACTTTGCTATGCCTCCTCAAACTCTCTCTAAACTACACCTGAAGTCATACGAACTGTTAGAAGGCTCTCATAGTTTACAAGCCTGAGATTTGACATCACTGGACCATAAACTGTTGATACTTTTAGGGTCATTATACTTCTCATGAGTAAGTAAAGTGGGCTTTAAGATTTGGTCCCTAATAGTTGTGATACTTATGTAATTATTCAAATAATCATAGTAGTTCCTTTTACTGTATGCCAATGGAATGCCAGGCACTGTGCTAATCAATTTGCATACATTAATTATCTCCTTACGACACCTGAACAGGATAGCAATTATCCTCATTTTACATAGAAGGAAACTGATGCAAGAAAGGTCAGAAACATACCTAAGATCATGAAGTTAGTTAAGTACCAGAATGGGATTTCAAATTTAGGTCAGCCCCATTCTTGTGTCTGAACTCTTAACTGATACTCAACTTGCTATTTTCAATTTTGAAGGGGAAAAGAACTATTTTTGTTCCTATTTAGTGCCTCACCCCCAGCTCCCATGTAACTTTTAGTTTCAGCAGCAGCAACCTACAGAATCCTTGATGGGAGCAATCGGTAGAGTGTGAACAACCCTATGGCTGACAGACACTAAATATATGAATCCTGAGGAAACTAGGCACACTGGGAAACTGCCTGATCAAACCTTTTGAGGCTTCTACCTAGTAGGAAATTGTTTCTTCCCCACAATAGTATTGACACCAGGTTCCCAGCTTCTGGGAATCACTTGCTCTCATAATCCATGTCTTCTATTTCTGTATTACAGTAACTGTTGGGGTTGGGGGATGGGAGTTGGTATGCAATTAAAGCATAGCTTTCATCCCATTAGTCCTTCAACAAATATTTTTTGAGTACCTCATACATACCTGGTACCATAATTGAGCAACTTTTATCATTCTCATTTGTGTTTATTCAGATGTTTTCTGTTAATTTAATTGGAAGTTTAATTTGTTTTCTCTTCTTGGTTGTTGCTTATTTTTCTCTACTGTATACTTGAGGAAATGGAAACTTCCTCAGCAGTCTTCTCCTGGGCACTCTGAGCTAACCATGTCAAACACTGTCTGGTTAGTTTCCTAATGGAGTCATGTCTGAGAAGAAGTCTTCTAAGGTCTCACAATCAGTGCTCTGGGTGGGGCAGGGCTAGCTTGCTGGGCATGCAGCTTGTGCAGTCATACAGGGCCTGAGCCTAGAAAGGCCCTGTACTTTGTAGAATGCTCTGCTGTTGCTGACTTGAAAATCTTAATGACTTTTGAACAAGGTGCCCCACATTTTCATTTTGCATGTGGCCTCATAAATTATAAGGTTGGTCTTGGATGGGCCAATGGCCCAGTGAAGCCAGTGGGAACTGGGATCACACAAATGATCCTTGCCAGCCTTGCCTAGATCCCCCATTTTGAATTGAAGAAAGATGGGAAGATGAATGGCCAATTCATCTTGTTCAATGTATGTCTGCTCTCCATTGAACAATGTGAACCACCTTTGAGGTTTTTGTTTTTGTTTTTGTTTCTGTTTTTGTTTTTGGAGTCCCGCTCTGTCGCCAGGCTGGAGTACAATGGTGTGATCTGTGCTTACTGCAACCTCCGCCTCCCAGGTTTAAGTGATTCTCCTGCCTTAGCCTCCGGATTAGCTGGGACTACAGGCGCGTGCCACCATGCTGAGCTAATTTTTGTAGTTTTAGTAGTTTCACCATGTTGGCCAGGATGGTCTTGATCTCTTGACCTCATTATACGCCCGCCCTGGCTTTTTTTTTTTTTTTTTTTCAGAAGGAGTTTCTCTCTTGTTGCCCAGGCTGGAGTGCAATGGCATGATCTCGGCTCACCGCAACCTCTGCCTCCAAGGTTCAAGCAATTCTCCTGCCTCAGCCTCCCGAGTAGCTGGGACTACAGGCAGGCACCACCACACCCAGCTAATTTTGTATTTTTAGTAGAGACGGGATTTCTCCATGTTGGTCAGGCTGGTCTCAAACTCCCGAACTCAGGTGATCCACTGCCTCAGCCTCCCAAAATGCTGGGATTATGGGCGTGAGCCACTGCACCCAGGGAGTTACCTTATATTTGCAGATTTCCCTGCAGTCAGACATAATCCAGGTGTAAAAGGATAGAATCAGAAGACATGGGTTAAATGTAAGCTCTAACACTTACTTACACGGTGATATTAATAAATCACTTAATGTCTTTGGACCTCACTTTTCTATCTGTAAAATGGAGATAGCGGTGGTCTGCCTTACGTATCTGAAAGAGTGTTTGTGAGACTCAAATGAGATAATGTATTTGAAAACTGTTGAATGTTATTCACGCTTTTGAGATCAGTATAATTGTATATTCTTTCTAAAGCCTATGTAAAATAGATTTTAAATTTTTCTATTTAACAGAATAAGTGTTTGTGATTATAAAATCAAATAAACAACTACAGAAGTTAAGAAATGCACAAAGAAATAGATCAAAAGAAGAAACATAAAACCCTGTAGAGAATGCATGCCATTTCTTGCACTGGAAGCTATCAAAGTGATTAACAAACTGCCGTGATATTTTCAAATTCTTATTGCAATTCTCATTATTTAAATAATAATTGGGATCTCAGGAGCATCATTTTCCAGCTACAAATCTATTGTCTGTCTGCACATTTGCCTAACACTTCAAAAAGTAGAACTGGAAATATTTGAGAGAAATTTGTACCTACTTGTCTAACTTCCAAATCCCTTGTATTCATCATTCTCCTGTCCTTCTATTTGTTGACAGTTGATATTAAATTCTTGTTTTTGTTTTTAGGAGAGAACAAAAGAAATGTTTAAAATGGTATGTTTCTCATACGTCAGAAGCTACATCAATCACCTATTCCCCCCTCCCTTTCCTGTCAGCTATGGGAAGTTCACACAGGTATAACTTTTATTGAAAGTTGTTGTTGTTGTTGTTGTTTTTAACCAGAGGAGCCTACATCCACCAGAATTACCAGTCACTTCTGTTAACTGGTATGCGGTGAGCAGTCTAGCCACTTTTAAACGTTGTACTCTCAAATAAGCTTCCTCTAATCCTCCATGGCTGTTCTGACAGTTTTCTGGAAAGTTGGCTCATGCCGTGATGTATATAGTGAGTTCATTTTTAGGCTCATTTGCCACATTTTTCGAGTAAAATGCATAACGTGAATTCCTAAGTTACAAGCTGGGCTTTGTATCTATTTCTTTCAAGTCAAGAATTTGCTTCTTGGTTAAAAACATCATATTTCCAAGTTAATAGACATCCAGATGGGCCATATGCTCCTCCAAAAAATTTAGGAGGGGGATGCCTCACAACCACTGCTAGGGCTACTTCCTCTCCAGGCAGCTCATTTTGGAAGTGGGCAACCTTGCCTAACTTGTACATAAATGATTTTAGCATCCAAATAGTCCATACAAGTTGGTCATGAAGATAGTAAAAAACATTGATTAACCATTTGTGGTTCTATTTTGCTTATCATATACACATGGTTACACAGTGTAAAATTTAAAGTTAAAAAGCAATTTTACAGTTTCTTGTACTTCATTTCATTTTGTCATATCACTAAAAGCCATTCATAAATGAATCTTCATATTTGTATGGCTTAGCCTCTGGTCTTACCACAGATCCTGCCTTAGCACTTTGGTTATTAAAAAAATAGGCAATACCCCTCCTGGATTAGTGTCTCTGAGGTGTTTCAGTAGATTTGTCAAACTTACTTTCCCCCATATGCTCCAAGACTGATAGATTGAAGCTCTTTGAAAGGTGCATATGTGCACAGCCTTAAGTAAAATATACCCCCATTCACAACATTAGTGACAAATGGGAAATGGAGTTGAATGATTCCATTTATCTTAAAACTAGCAAAGGGACTCTTTCTGACTGTCTGTGCTCAAATCCCTGAAATAAAGGCTAATGATGGAAGGGCCAAAAGAATGCACGGTGCTCATGGACTAGATGCTTCCTCCCAAGAGATTGGCTGCCCAAGGTCAATGATAGGGCAGGGTATATGTGAATAGTAGGCTCTACTGAAGATGACTTTGGCCCAAGGCAATCCGCTTTTCCTCTCTTGAATTCCATTTCCTCTTCTGTAAAGGCAGAGGGTTGAGGTCAGCAGAAAAAGTGGGCTTTGATAAGGAGGTGATAGATAAGAGACTGTAGAGAATAGTGGCAAAGAGGATGGGCTATGTAGCTAGGTTGCCTGCATTCAAATTCTGGCTGTGCCATTTACTGGTTGGGTGGCCTTGGGGAAGTTGTACACTCTGTGCTTCAGTTTCCTCTTCCACAGAAATGGGGCAATAATAGTGCCTACTTCACAGCATTGTAAGAATAAAATGAATTCATACATGCAAAGACTTTAGCACAGTACCTGGCACACTGCAAGTGCCCAATATGTTTCAGCTGTTATTATCAGTGGTCTGTAAGCAAAGAAAGGTCCAGAATTGCTGATTAGGATGATATCTCATTCTGGAGTCCCAGAAAGCCCCACATAGTAGGTCCTTTAGTGCCTCTCAGCCATCCGACTACTGAACACTGGTCGTTATCCTCTTCACCTGGCTGAGCCATTGATAAATGGAATATTCCCTTCTTTGCCTCCTGATCGTATGAACCACACATACCTTACAACTCCCACCCCTTTCACAATGCTTTACCCAAACCACAAGGCACATCCACAGACTCACCATAAAAGTAGGCTCACACATAATATTTAGACACATCATTTAAAATACACTCTCTCACACACCCTCCACACCACACACACACAATCAATCTCTGTCTGTCTGTCTCTCCTGCTTCCCCTGTCCCCCCCGCCGTCCCCCGACCCACAGCCTCTCTTTCTCCACGTCCATGACTTGCCAACATGTAGGTTTAGAACAGTGGGCCAGGCCCAGGTTGTGCCCCAAGAGGGCCACTTCTTGCACAGTGCTGTATGCCTTGCCTCTCTCCATGAAAATAATGTGCTCTGGCTGGCCTTGCACAATCCTTGTCCAGCTGGCTGGCAAGCAAATGAGAATGCCTCACATTAACTGACTGAGCGAGACCTTCATTACCTGGGGTTCAAAGCTCTTCTCTTTCCAACTCTGTATGGGTGCCAAATAACAGAAAGAGTCCTTTCTTGCATCATGATCTCTGCAATAATTGCTGCCTCAGAGGTCAATGCCATATTACAGCATTAAACATGAGTGACCTGTACTTCCTTGCCTGAGCCTCTGTGTTGCTTCTGTGACCTGTGTAAAAACTGTGAGCTATTCTAACAAACGTACCATTTTCTTTCATAGTTTGGGGTCCAGGTACTAATTACTGGGTCAGAAGAACATAGCATAGTTGAAGCTATAACTTATTTTGATATTCTGAATTTTCAGCAACACTGGTTTAGGTCTTAGGACAGCTGCTGAGAATGGTAGGGGGGCAGGAAAGAGGCTGCTACTTGATGAAAATTCAATTTAAGAAAATGAGTACCTCCCTTTCTAGCTGTAAGTTAACAACAGTGACCATCTCGTCAATATCATTAAACCTTTATGGAACACCCTTTAGCCTCAAAGTTTCTTTTCCTCTTTAAAAACTTTTCCTCCCCAGTTACCTGTAAATTGATGCATTATAGCAGTAATAGAGATAACAAAATGCTGTAGGAATGAAGGGGTGGGTTGCCCCTCCACACCTGTGGGTGTTTCTCGTAAGGTGGAATGAGAGACTTGGAAAAGAAAAATACACAGAGACAAAGTATAGAGAAAGAAATAAGGGGACCTGGGGTACCAGAGTTCAGCATATGGAGGATCCCACCAGCCTCTGAGTTCCCTTGGTATTTATTGATCATTCGTGGGTGTTTCTCCGAGAGAGGGATGTATCAGGGTCACAAGACAGTAGTGGGGAGAGGGTCAGCAGACAAACACGTGAACAAAGGTCTTTGCATCATAGACAAGGTAAAGGATTAAGTGCTGTGCTTTTAGATATGCATACACATAAACATCTCGATGCTTTACAAAGCAGTATTGCTGTCCACCTGTCCCACCTCCAGCCCTAAGGCGGTTTTTCCCTATCTCAGTAGATGGAACGTACAATCAGGTTTTATACCGAGACATTCCATTGCCCAGGGACGGGCAGGAGACAGGTGCCTTCCTCTTGTCTCAACTGCAAAGAAGCATGCCTTCCTCTTATACTAATCCTCCTCAGCACAGACCCTTTACGGGTGTCAGGCTGGGGGATGGTCAGGTCTTTCCCTTCCCACGAAGCCATATTTCAGACTATCACATGGGGAGAAACCTTGGACAATACCTGGCTTTCCTAGGCAGAGGTCCCTGCGGCCTTCCGCAGTGTTTGTGTCCCTGGGTACTTGAGATTAGGGAGTGGTGATGACTCTTAAGGAGCATGCTGCCTTCAAGCATCTGTTTAACAAAGCACATCCTGCACAGCCCTTAATCCATTTAACCCTGAGTCGACACAGCACATGTTTCAGGGAGCACGGGGTTGGGGGTAAGGTCATAGATTAACAGAATCTCAAGGCAGAAGAATTTTTCTTAGTACAGAACAAAATGGAGTCTCCTATGTCTACTTCTTTCTATACAGACACAGTAACAGTCTGATCTCTCTTGCTTTCCCCCACAAGGAAAATCACCAACTTCCACTCAGCCACAATCCTTCTGTGAGACCTCATGGAAGATACTTTGCTTTTTCTCCCGGGTGGCAGTTTCTCCACTAGCTATGTTATGTTTTTAGGCCATGTTTTTGAACTTCCTCTTTGGTGGGTAGCCTGAGATGATCATTGAAGGCATACACACTTATTTCCAACACCAGAAGAGATTACGTCTTGAGTCTAAAAAGTACCCCTGACATAGGAGGTGCCTCCATACCTGTAAGCATTCCCAGAAGCCAACAGGATTGCGTGGATCAGAACATTGAGTAAGGCAACATGGCTTAAACCCTTTGCTGTTCATAGTTGGAAAGCAGCTTCCAAGGAAGCAGATCTCAATTTCTTCTACAGCTGAAGACACCTGAAGGCTGAAGCAGGACTAAAGAGCCCAGAGACAGCATGGTGTGTTAGGAGAGAACTGGCCTTGCACTTGGAGGACCCAGCTTCTGGTCCTGCTATGCGACCCACTTGCTTGGTGACCAACTTATGTCTCCTCTCAGGACGCTTGTTTTTCCATGTTTCAAAAGGGGAAATTGGACTAGATGGTCTCTAAGGTCTCTTCCAGTGTTGATATTTGATTGTTCTCCCCAGGGGTTTCACATAGATCATAACCATTCTAGAGTCACACCCTCTGTCCCCAATCCTGGATCAGTATTTGGTTGCTAAGGGAAACAGGCAAGCAAAAATGTTTGACAATCCTTAGTGCTATCACCAGTTGCCAAGTACACATCTGTCATGCTGACAGTGTCAGCAGGGTCACTTTTTGTATCTGGATGACAGAATGGTCATATTATTGCTTGATTTGAAGAAGAGCACCATTGACTATCTGCCGGAAAAAAGCTGTGGGTCCTTTATGACTGCATGATGCACTTCCACTGTTTAGGAAACTGACTATCCGATCATGTGAACTGACAGATACGGGGCTGTGTTAAATATTAAGTATTGTAGAAATGAAAACTGTTATTAAAGTAGTAAAATGTTTATCTAGAGAGCAGTGCTGATGAAACACTGTGGTTAGTTCTTGCCCTCTTTGTTAAAATAGGTAATTGATTGTACCATCCACATACCCACGTGAAAATTATCCAGCATGTTGTATTTATAAGCTCCTCCCTACCTGAGAGAAAAAATGATAATTATCTAGCCTTTTTGTCCTGGGTCACTTAATTCAGTTTCAGTCCAAGTTTTTGACCTTCTTTAATAAGAAAATGCCAGATTTTCCATCCCATAATCTGGTTATCTAATACCTTGCTCAGTGATTAAAATTGATTAAAATGAAGAAAGAGTGCTCTTTTAAAATAAGAAAATGATTGAATTTCTATGGTTTAGGTTGTATTTAAGCAAAGATTGGATTAAATTGATCTGGATTGAATGAAGGACACTCTAAACAATTCTAAACTTATTGCAACTCTGAATATTGCTTTCTGGAATGCCTCAGCACAAAATGTCACTGTCACTTTTGTTTCATAAACACATATATCTTTTAATGCATAGATAATGCACTTTTTAGAGGCGTTTAAAACATACACATTTGCATAGATATTCATTCACAACTGTTTTCACTAAACCAAAATAGAAAAGACTTAGCTGACTTTTAAGCACTTGCATTTTCCAGTTTGAATACAGAGAATTATGACTTTGGAGATCTCCATTTACATAACCAAGAGGTGGCAGTATTACATCCATTATGTATTCACTGCACCATGTATCATTTAATGATAAAAAGTGAAATGTGTAAATAAAAATATGTAACAAATACTTCTGTCCTTTATAAATGTCTGCATCGCTAAAAACCATTAAAGTGTAATGTTTCCTTGTAAACAACAATAACCTTCCCAAAAAAATCAAAGCTAGGAACCACAGTTTATTACCGCTAGTGAGTTTATTGCAGCTCCAAGAATCCATACACATCTACTTCAGTAATCACTTGTTTTCTGGTAAAACATTCACCTCCTTCCCAAATATATATATATATATACAAATCAATTTCTAAAAAAGCAATCAATCACAAGATGCCCCAAAGTAAGACCCTCTGTTTCTATATAAGAAACAATTTAGAAAAAAAGTAAGTAAAAGAGTTAAATATGGATAAACATCATCTTATTAACTGATTATTACTATTAAAATAACTATTTGGAATCAAACATTTTTGGTTACCTTCCAAGATTGTTGAGCATCTTGGAAGATTGAGCATCTACTATGTTATAACATGTCACTTGTGTTATGATCCAAGTAAGTTTTATCTAAGCTACCTAATCTTTTCTGTTTTATTTTTGGTCTTCTATTTCTAACCAGTCTTGGAGATAAAAAAAAAAAAAAACAATAGCAGAAGGAAAAACTACGTAAAACTTGAATCTGTTGAATCACCAGTTTATTATAAAACTATCCTCAGTAAAAATCAATACCACAAATACATCTGAGCAATGAAGTATTGGTATTTGGAATAGAAATTCTTAGAAAAATAGTTTAAATAGAAACTGAGCACTTTACATTTGGCCTTGTGGAAAGTTGGGTTACTCATAAGGAAATATGATGTTATTTTAAACCATGAACTGCATTGTATAAGATTTCTAAAGATCCATCATCCCCGGAACTAAGCCATTTGAGTGTTGGGAAATATTTTTATGTTATTTAGATGCTTATGCTACTGATTAGAATCAGTGCATATCCTAACTGTATAAGAATGTTTGTTGTACAGGGTCTAAAATTTATCTGAAAAGCTTTTATAGGGCACTTAGATTATCAATATCAAACTAAAATATTTATAGCTCTCAATTTCAAAGAAGGTATTATATAGTTATGAGATTAACAGTTCTAATTGTGGACACTTGAATATTTTAAATATGTCCCTTTTATTTCTTTTTTTAGATCTCATTTAAAATCAGAAATTGTGGTTGTAATGGAGAGAATTGGGCATTTTTTTCATATATGGAATAAACAGCAAACACATTCTCAATGAGTTTAGACTGAACATCTAGTTTGAGAAAATTTGATTTATGGACAGGAGTCAAAGTTTACCTGTGAAGATAATGAAATAGCATGACAGAAAAGAGTGGTGTTGTGCCAATGGCCAAAAGAGTAGATCAGAGATTACCTTCCAATGATTTCAAAGTGGGCAAGGGTTTTAATTACTGAAGGTGGAAGGGGAATTAATGTAATTATTGTAATCACTCCTAAGAAATCTTCTAGTTTCACCACACTGTGGAATAATTTTAAGTTTATAATTCATTCTTAATCAAATTTGATGCATTATATTGCCATCTCCCACAATGTTAAAATAAAAATGTATTTTAATGTTTTAATTAAATTTACATTTTTTCTATGTATGAATTATGTGGTTGTATTACAATATTTGATACTTCATCAAACTCTCACCTTCCTCTGTGTACAGGTACTCCTGTCACGTTTTCAGATTCTTTCCCATGCCTCTATTTTCCTTCCTCAATAAAATATTCATTCCAGGGAAAGATGTTGGTTGGTCAGGAAGAGGAGGAAGCAACAAGATATCAACATTTACTTCGTTACTTAAAACATACCAGGTGCTTTGCTAAGAGCTTTGTACTGATTATCCTGTGTAATCTTCACAACAACCATTTCAGGTAGGAACTGTTATTATCCTTATATGACAAAAGGGAAAACCAGAGATGTGAACTGACTTGCCCAAAGTCAAACAGCTGGTAAGCAGCAAAGATACAACACAATTCCACTTACAGGAGGCAACATCACCAACAACAACAATAATAGCTCCCGTTTATTGAACTGCATTATGTGTTAAGCACCATGCTAAGCATTTTACAAACATCAGTTCATTTAATCCTCACAACAGTCCTCATGAAACAGGGGCTAATCATTTTTTTTAAATTTCATTTTATTTTTTATTATTTTTTTAATTATTATTATACTTAAAGTTTTAGGGTACATGTGCACAATGTGCAGGTTAGTTACATATGTATCCATGTGCCATGCTGGTGTGCTGCACCCATTAACTCCTCATTTAGCATTAGGTATATCTCCTAAAGCTATCCCTCCCCCCACCCCACAACAGTCCCCAGAGTGTGATGTTCCTCTTCCTGTGTCCATGTGTTCTCATTGTTCAATTCCCACCTATGAGTGAGAATATGCGGTGTTTGGTTTTTTGTTCTTGCGATAGTTTACTGAGAATGATGATTTCCAATTTCATCCATGTCTCTACAAAGGACATGAACTCATCATTTTTTATGGCTGCATAGTATTCCATGGTGTCTATGTGCCACATTTTCTTAATCCAGTCTATCATTGTTGGACATTTGGGTTGGTTCCAAGTCTTTGCTATTGTGAATAGTGCCGCAATAAACATACGTGTGCATGTGTCTTTATAGCAGCATGATTTATAGTCCTTTGGGTATATACCCAGTAATGGGATGGCTGGGTCAAATGGTATTTCTAGTTCTAGATCCCTGAGGAATCGCCACACTGACTTCCACAATGGTTGAACTAGTTTACAGCCCCACCAACAGTGTAAAAGTGTTCCTATTTCTCCACATCCTCTCCAGCACCTGTTCTTTCCTGACTTTTTAATGATTGCCATTCTAAGTGGTGTGAGATGGTATCTCATTGTGGTTTTGATTTGCATTTCTCTGATGGCCAGTGATGGTGAGCATTTTTTCATGTGTTTTTTGGCTGCATAAATGTCTTCTTTTGAGAAGTGTCTGTTCATGTCCTTCGCCCACTTTTTGATGGGGTTGTTTGTTTTTTTCTTGTAAATTTGTTTGAGTTCATTGTAGATTCTGGATATTAGCCCTTTGTCAGATGAGTAGGTTGCGAAAATTTTCTCCCATTTTGTAGGTTGCCTGTTCACTCTGATGGTAGTTTCTTTTGCTGTGCAGAAGCTCTTTAGTTTAATTAGATCCCATTTGTCAATTTTGGCTTTTGTTGCCATTGCTTTTGGTGTTTTAGACATGAAGTCCTTGCCCATGCCTATGTCCTGAATGGTAAAGCCTGGGTTTTCTTCTAGGGTTTTTATGGTTTTAGGTCTAACATGTAAGTCTTTAATCCATCTTGAATTAATTTTTGTATAAGGTGTAAGGAAGGGATCCAGTTTCAGCTTTCTACATATGGCTAGCCAGTTTTCCCACCACCATTTATTAAATAGGGAATCCTTTCCCCATTGCTTGTTTTTCTCAGGATTGTCAAAGATCAGATAGTTGTAGGTATGCGGCATTATTTCTGAGGGCCCTGTTCTGTTCATTGGTCTATATCTCTGTTTTGGTACAAGTACTATGCTGTTTTGGTTACTGTAGCCTTGTAGTATAGTTTGAAGTCAGGTAGCGTGATGCTTCCAGGTTTGTTCTTTTGGCTTAGGATTGACTTGGTGATGTGGGCTCTTTTTTGGTTCCATGTGAACTTTAAAGTAGTTTTTTCCAATTCTGTGAAGAAAGTCATTGGTAGCTTGATGGGGATGGCATTGAATCTATAAATTACCTTGGGACAAGGGCTAATCTTTTCTCTGTTTTGCGGGTAAGCAGATGGAGACACAAAAGATTTGTAACCTACCTAAGGGCATGTAGCCGGTAACCTAGGATTCAAATCCGGGTCTCTCTTCACTCCATAACCCTTAACTCTCCTGTTATAAAATAGAAGAAGACAGAACTGAAGGTGGGCTCCAAGGATGATTCAGCTTGTTCAGCCTATTCAAATAATCCTAGAGCTGTCCAAAGATATGAGATTTGACTTTATACTTCTTATTTGTAGCTACCTTCAAAAGTAGACCTGGGGCTCTGTCCATATGCAAACTTATATGGTACACCTTCACTCAATGTATTGTTTTGTTCTGTCTTGTGGATAAGGATTAATCCAGGAGGGAACATGCTCATGTCACCCTTCTGACTCAAGAAACTTATTAACTGACCAGTTTTATCAAAAGGGTGGAAAATCCTGCCCATGTAGATACTACTTACAGATACAAGTGATTCCTTACCACCACTCATATCATCAAGGCATCATGAGTAGAACAGATGCCTTTGGATTTTATAGATTATTTATTTATTTTTAATTTTTTAAAATTATACTTTAAGTTCTAGGGTACATGTGCACAACATGCAGGTTTGTTACATATGTATACATGTGCCATATTGGTGTGCTGCACCCATTAACTCATCATTTACATTAGGTATATCTCCTAATGCTATCCCTCCCCCCTACCCCCACCCCACAACAGGCCCCGGTGTGTGATGTTCCTCTTCCTGTGTCCAAGTGTTCTCATTGTTCAATTCCCACCTATGAGTGAGAACATGCGGTGTTTGGTTTTTTGTCCTTGGGATAGTTTGCTGAGAGTGATGGTTTCCAGCTTCTTAAAGAGTAGTACTGGTTGAGGGGGTAGAGGACACTGACCCGGGGTATTTGCGCTCAAAGGGAAAAGTCATTAAAGACCAAGATGTGAGATCCAAAGAAATGAATCAGAATTGATGAAATTTCTTAGCAGTTGAGAGATTACTTGCAAATATCTTTCATTTTATGGACTATAGTGCAGACCTAGGACTGTGAGCATTCTTTTTCTCAGAAAAAAAAAGGCTTTTTGACACTAACACACTGTGAGGCAAAGCTATCTACAAAAGACCACAATTAAAGCAAACTTACTTTTACTTTGCACCAAAGATATGATTTATATCCTAGTCTCCAAAGATTAAAAAAGCTCATGTGCAAAGATAGAGACATCTATGCCTTGAATTATTAAACTTGTCAGTCTCTATTTTTAAAAAGTCAACTTAACATGCAGTCCTGGATGTCTGAACCACATTCCATTTGCAAAAGGCAGCAGTGAGGATGCTCACTTCATCTATTTCTTTGTTAAGTAATGAGCAATCTGAAAAGACAAGTTATTTGTAATCAACGTATCCATTTTAAAAAAGGACACGTCTAAGGAGAAATCCAATCATCATCAGTTGAAGTTTGGATTCAGTGGTAGACTTTCCTTTGGAAAACTAAGTATTAAATCTCATCTATTGGGCATGAATTAGAAATTTATTACAAGCTAGTCTGCTAGGTTTTACCTTATGATATGCAGAATGTTGCTGCTATATATAATAAAAAAGCTTAGTGATACAGTATGACCTCAGCGGTTTTCTATTCAAGCATTGTGCATGAGCGTGGATAATTTCAATCAGAGTAAATGCAATGGAGATATGACTTTAAGCCGAAGCTCTGTCTCTGTGACCTTGGAAAAGTTACTTAACCTCTCGTGCCTCAGTTTTCTCTTTTGTGAAGTAGGATGTTTGATTCGTTCATCTCACAGGTATGTATAGGGTACCTAGTATTTGGTAAGTACTAAGGTTGTCATAGTGAACAAGGAAAGCCCTTGCCTTCATGAAGCTCATAGTCTATGTGTAGAGACAGCCAATAAATAGGCAAATAAATAATTTAATGTATAATTTCAGACAGTGGTATGGTTTATGGAAAAAATAAAGCAGAATAAGGAAATAGAGCATGATGAAGAGGATAGACTAACTTTTTGAAAGACTGCTCCAGAAAGGCTTCTTTGAGGAGGAGACTTTAAGCAGAGACCCAGATAAAATAAAGAATCTAGACATACAAAGATTTGGGTGAAGGAAGAAGGAGACAGAAAGTGCAAAGGCTCTAAATTCAGTGTGCTAAATATATTGGAGATACATAGAGGAGGCTGGAGCTGACTGAGGAAAATCGAGAGCAGTAAGAAAATGGCAAGAGCATAGGAGGCCTTCTGGGCCATGGTTAGGAGTTTTGTTTTATTTTAAGTATGACGGGATGTTATGGATGTTTAAGCAAGGTAGTGCTTTGATTTGATTTACATTTTTAAAAAGATAACTCTGTATTCTCTGCAGACAATAGACTTTAAGGGGAGCAAGAGTGGAAACAGAGAGCAGTTAGGAAGCTATTACAATAATCCAGGCAGGAAATGATGTTGGCTTAGACCCTGATTTTCATCATCAGAGGTAGTAAGAAGTGTTCATATTTTGAACATATTTTGGAGGTAAAGCCTACACAATATCTTGATAGATTGGATATGACGTGTGTATTAGTCTGTTTTCACACTGCTGATAAGGACATACCCAAAACTGGGCAATTTACAAAAGAAAGAGGTTTAATTGGACCACAGTTCCAGGTGGCTGGGGAGGCCTCACAATCATGGTGGAAGGCAAAGAGGATCAAGTCACATCTTACATGGATGGCAGCAGGCAAAAAGAGAGAGCTTGTGCAGGGAAACTCCCATTTTTACAACCATCAGATCTTGTGAGACTTATTCACCATCATGAGAACACCATGGGAAAGACCTGCCCCCATGATTCAACCACCTCCCACAACACATAGGAATTCAAGATGAGATTTGGGTGAGGACACAGTCAAACCATATCAACATGTGAGTGAAATAGAGGTACCAAGGATGATTCTGAGAGTTTAGGTCTGAGCAAGTGAAATGTTTGATAGTGAGATAGGAAATATCAAGTGAGATAGGAACTATATCTCACTTGATATATCAAGTGAAATAGGAAAGATGGAAGAACATTGTTTAGGACAAGAATCACTAGTTCTGGTAGAATTGTGAAGTTTGACATACTTATTAGATATTTAAGTAGAAATGTTGAGGCATGAGTTGAATATATGCATCTGGAGCTTAAAGAATGCTAAGATATGGAGTGACAAATTTTGGAATTTTCAGTATATAGAAGGTGTTTGAAACCACAGAAATGTAAAATATCAACTCCTAAAGGAGAAAATACAGTTGAATAAAAGAAGAGATCCAAGGATTAAACCTGGATCACTCTTTCATTAAGAGGTTAAATAGATCAGGTGGATCCAACAAAGGAAACTGAGAAGAAACAACCCATGAGATAGAAGAAGCAGCAAGAAAGAATGGTGTTTCAGAAGGAAGTGTTTCAAAATGAGGAAGAGAGTGATAAACCATGTCAAATTTTGCTGAGAGAATAAGTAAAATGAGACTTGAGAATTGGCCAGTAGACCTAGCCACATGGAGGTTGCTGAAAAACGTGTTAAGGGTGGTTGCTGAAAAATGCTTGGTGAAAAATTGTTGGTTGAGAAGACAATGGAATGCAAAGAAGGAGAGACAATGAGTATACATAACTATTTTTAGGAGTTTTGCTGTGAGTAGGAGCAGAGAAATTATGTAATAATAATGCTGTTTTTACTGGCTTATGAAAGTTTTTGGCAGACTCTTACATTTAATATACAAATAATTAGACTGATAAAAATTAATCACTTTCTAATGTCAATAACTGGCAAATTCACTTTACATGTTTCTACATATTCATGCATTATAAAGGTTTATTAGTATTTTTGACCACATTAATCTGAATGTTAAACACACGGCAGTCTTCAATGAGTCAGAGATCCCCTCATATGAAACACAAACCCTTTGCCCCATGCTTATGCCATTCTGGATGACTTTGTTCACTAATAACCACTATCTAAGAACATGTCTATATTTTTCTACCAGCCTATATGCCTTGACACATATACTACATAGAGGGAGTATACTTTCTCTTTAGTCTTCAATATAAGCATAAGATCTGTGAGGAAAATTAAACAGAGTGAGTCAAAGTTCTAGAAGGTGGCTTGAGGTCATGTCATAGTTATGGAAAGGGGAGCAGAAAGCTAGAGAACAAAATATTTATTGATTTCTTCCTTGTCATGAGACAATCATGGAAAGGGGAGGGAAATAAACTTGCAATGGAATGAAACTTTCAGAGACATTGAAGGGTATTTATGTGATTGTCAATTTTTTTTGTTCCAAAATGTCTAAGGAGTTCCTTAGAACCCAACCACATTCATTTATAAAATGAGGGTGTTGGAGGAGTTTATGCCAATAAGTGACTGACAACATTAACTCATTCTAGAGGTTCTGGCCATCGCCAATATTCCCTGTATTCCCAAGTAATAGAAATAGAATTTGACTTAAGCCAAAGGAAATATTGACTGCTATTTCAAGGGTTTACCTGGCAGGGTTGGTAATAGCAAAGAATCCCTAGTGTGTCAAGGAGAGAATGGAATCTTTTCTCCAGGTGTAAAGCCTATAATAATCACCGGCATCCACTTAGGTCAGAAAATAAAGCTGTCAAGTTAGAAAACAGCAAACATTTATTTAGTGGATTTCAGCTAACCCCATGTGTGCATGTATACACATGCATGTGTGCACACATGCACACACTTTGTGTGATATAATAGCTAAAGGACAACTCTAAATAATGTGCTTCATAAGGAAAAGTAGTTAACAGATGCATAGACTCTGTTTACATATTTATTCCCAGAGTTGATTGTTTGTGTTAATTTCCAAAAACCCTTGTGTTGATGAGAGCTAGTTGGTAGAAAGAGAAACAAACTCTATGTCATTGTATAATTATGCCCATGTTTGAAAATTTCTTTTTGTTTCTCATCAAGATGCAAGGCTTACCATATATCATTATGCACTGACAATGCTAATAGAGGAAAAAATAAAGCAAACAATTAGCCTTGAGGAAAAGATATGAACTAATGCACAATTCATGAATTTGCTACTCATTCACACCTGTGATTCTAACAGTGAGTGATTTTGAACAATTCTAAGTTAATCTTTTGAGAAAGCACTTGATGTTAGGATTATTTAAAATATGACTTCTTATGGTACGTATGCAAAATAAGTTGTTTTCAACAGAGATGAAGTTCACTGACTTTCGTACAACCTTCCTAAGTAGGCCAGGAATGAGACTCAGGGCAGCTTCATTACTGCCATGAAAACACCTTACTGTGAGCTAAATGTTTGTGTCCCCTCAAAATTCATATGTTGAAGCCTAAACCCCAACATGATAGTATTTTGAGGTGAGGCCTCTGGAGGTTGATTAGGTCAGGATGTTGGGGCCCTAATGAATGGGATCTGTACCCTTATAAGAAGAAGAGACATGACAGAGTTTCTCTCTTTCACTTTCTCTCTCTCCCTTTCATCTGAGGATATAACAGTAGATAATCATCTACAAACCAGAAAGTGAACTGTCACCAGGCCTTGGATCTGCCAGCAATCTTGATCTTGGACCTTCCCAGCCTCCAGAACTATGAGAAATAGATTTCTGTTGTTGAAGACACCCAATCTGTATTATTCTGTTACAAAAAACTCTATGGACTAAGACATGCCCCTAATGATAACGTCCGAATGGGATACAGTTTCACAGATACACGTATGATCTGCAGTCATCAGAACTCTGGATAGATCCCAATTTAAATCAGCTGATGCAAAAATGAGGCTGTATTAGTTTAGATTACCTAGTATAGAAGGAGGTTTATAGCTGGTTGTCAGCAATGATTACAGCAAGGAATTTTACTACTCCCTGCATATACTCTTTTTCTCCATTGCCTGTCCATTTCTCAATATACAGTAATTTTATTCTTTCAGATTAGCTTTTAAAATACTACAGAAGATATCTTATTGGCCCACCTTGGGTCAGGCTCCCACTGTTATACCAATGAATGGTCCCTTGAGCACTACCTCTGGGAAATATAAGACTCCCTATGCCCCCATGAAGCCTTCAGAAGCCCTGAAAATGTGGTTTCTGGGTATATACCAGCCACACAGCATTACCTGGACTACGTCCAGGAAAATAGTTGCTACCTGCCTGGGATTTAGAACTGTTCATATTTCAAACAAGACCAAATAAAACAAAGGAAAAGAATGCACAGACACATATATCTCCTCAATAAATCAGAGGGCTTCATTTTGCTGGATTCCATTCTAGACTCACAGACACCTGTGTTGGAGTTGGCAGGAGCTCATTACTCAGCTTTTCCTTTGTCTTTCTGAAAGTAATCAAGAAAAGAGGCCTAGGAGCCAGGTTAATTTAAATATTTGTTTATAGTCAGTAAAACTGTATTGGAAGAAGTGGTTTGGACTGGTTGCCAAAGTGGGAATTCCATATTACTTCCCCTCAATCTGTATTATGAGACCTACATATGGGAAGAGTTGGGTCTATAAACCAGGATTTTACCCAGCTAGCCACATGGAAGGCTGATACATACCCTGGCTGAGCAAGAGTCAGAGGAAAAGAAAAGAGGGAGACTTTCAGTTTTGCCTATAGAAAGTAGGTCCTGAGCCCTGATCCAGCTATCTTTACCATATATGGAGCAAGGATAGAGAGAACAAGTGCCCCTAAAGAGAGAGCAAGCAACAGATATATGCATGTATCCAGTGACACCTTTCCCCATTTCATCAATCATGTAAATAATTTTTTCTCCCTAGGAAAGGAAAAGGTGAAAAAATAAAGAAAAGCCCTTAAAATGTCTCTCTGATACTACTTTCTCCTGGGGAGTGAAGCCAAAGCTCTCTTATGGAAACATGAGGACAGAGGAATAGGATCCACATCCCTACAAAGTATTATTTTTTCATAACCATGATTATATCATAGTACATTCTTATTGTTTATTCTAATCTACTAAGCCACCAATAATAGAGGCATGTACCAATTTTACCACAACTTTGCAAGCATCATGGATGAACCATTGAACATTTTGGTTTTGACTAATTTAATAGCTATAAAATGCAACTCATTAATTTTCTCTTTTTATTTTTTGATTGCTAGAGGGTTTAAATATTTTCCCATATGCTTGTTTACTAATAGCATTTTCTTTTATAAATTGTTCACCTCCATTACCCACTTATCTCACCAATTTGTATGAGCTTATTAGATTATATAGACAGCAACTCTTTGTCATCTTTACTCTTAACTTTTCTTCTCATCTGTTGTTTACCTTATTATTTTAGCCACTTTTGTATGTATGCAGAGGTTTAATTTTCAGGGAGTCCACATCATCCATTTTCCCTTGTAAATTCTTTAATAGCTTCAAATCTAAGAATGTAATTGACCCCTTGTTCTAATGTATTTTGGGGGATGGAATTATTTAAAAAAAAAGAAGCAGTCATGTCTCACTTCCAAAAAAGTTATAGGAATCAAAGCAATCTTGAACTAAATCACAGTTTGTAAATGAATTAGTTAAGCTTCAAGTTGGTTTTTCCTTATTCATGCTGAAAAAGACTTTTGCTCTTTAAGCAACAAAATATGGATCACAGCGGGAAGTATTAACTTCTAACACTTTCGGAAGCGCACAAACCTTCTGTTATTCCATTCACATAAAATACCAGTTGACAGATGGTATTTGCCAGAAAATAGGAGAGAAAAGCATCTTAGCAGAGATTTATAAATTGAAAATTCTCTCAAGAGAAGTACCTATCTATTTGGTTGGATATTTAAGAGATAATAAGTCTAGGGCCAGTGTCAGAAAATGGAAAGAAGATAGGGAGAAAAGGAAGTTCAGTCTTAAGCCTGGTTTGGTTTTAACTAACTATGTGACTTTCATCAGCTATTTACCTTCTCTGGGCACATGTTTTCTCATGGTTTTTGTAAGAAAATTGAACAGAATAATTTATTAAATCCCTTTTGATGCTAGCATTCTGATTCTTCATTTATTCATTTAATAAAAATGTCGAGTTCATAATATGTAGCAGACACTCTGCTAGTTGCTAGGAATACAATGTTAAGTAAGAAATAGCTCCTCTTTTCACTGACCTTTTGAGCAACTTGATAAGGAAAAGAGATACATAAGTAGAACATTGAAAACCTATGTTATTAGTTCTTTAATGGCAGTGGGAGGTAGAGCTATGCACTGTAGGCTAAGGAAACAACTAAGGGGCATCCTCTCCATCCCCAACTTCCATCTCCATGCTTTCCTCAGCACAAGTCAGGTTGTCAAAGGAAAACTTAACTGAAACCTAAAGATGTATAGGATTTAGGTAAGAGGAGAAGAGATGTGGGTAGATGAGGAAGACTATGTGGAGGAATCCAGTAGGAGCAAAGGCTGAGAAGCATAAAACAACAGGAACCATGCAGAAAACTGCAAGTCTTGATTGTCCTGGAGTTTGGAGTGTAAATCAGAATAAGCCAGAGACAAGGCTAGAGGACAGGGCTCAGACCATAGAGGACTTCTTGTGTTAGGGTAAGTAATCTGGCATTTATTCTCTCAGAAAAAGAGACTTATTATAGAGTTTCAGGTATGAGAGTACCATGGTGAGATTTGTATTCTGTCAGAAGACTGCAGGGTGGGTTGGAGGAGAGTACAAATGGAGGCAAGATCAGGTAATATATTGAAAAGCTATTGTCATAAACCAAGCATGATCCTAGAGGCTTAAATAAGGACAGTAAGGGTGGCTGCATATGGTTGTTCTGGTCATTTACTGCACAGTGGTACCTGGCTAGGGGACAAATGGGAGCTAAAATTCAGTTTGTACTCCAATTGTCAAGTCTGCGCCTTGGTAAGAGGCTTCATCCTTCCAGAGAAAGAGACACCATGTTCTAATTCCTGCAAAGAGGTCATAAATGCTAACTTGCATTGGCCCTAAAAATGGTCTTAGACATGAACACGGATTTGAGAAATATTTAGGAAGGATGTAGGAAGGACTTTAACAAAATTATTGTGAGTATCAAACAATCTAACTATTTGTTATTTCTAAAAAATCAATATTAGATGGCATTGATCTTTCCCCTCATTGAATTTACCTGTGTAAGTTCTGAACTATATCAAAGTTAAGTTCATTTATTTAAATATAAGCTACCAGAGTTAACAGGAATTGTGAGTTTAAACATTTACCATACCATGTGTGACACACAATTGCCATCAGCTGGGTTGGGCTATTGAAGATGGTAAATAGGACCTCCTATGGCCATACCATTAGGCTCTAAAAACCATGAGGCCATAGTGCTTCATGGTTTTTATAAATATCCACTTTCATTATTGCTTTTTATTTTCACACTAACCTTCTAAGGAAGGCACAGAAAAATGGCCTTATTCCCTTTTGTAAATGAAGAAACTCAGGATCAGAAATGCTAAGGGACTTGGCATGGTCATACACAGACACAAGACAAGAACCCGAGTTCCAAGCCTCCCAGGCCAGTGCTCATTCCTTCACACTAATTGGCCTCCATGACTACTCTATCTGTTGTAATCTCACTGCTAAAATAGTTTGAGAAACATCACAGCTGAAAATTCCTATATTAATTTTCAGTAATCATCAGCAGAAATCATACTGATATTTAAAGGTCATTAGTAAAAACAATTTATAAAATACTAAGTGTCAGTCCCAGCAGACCAATAAAACTATCTGAAATGGGAGAGGCACCGTTTCTCTGGCATTCATTCCATCATCTGTGCCTACTATTCCTGTATTAGTTGTCAAGTGCTGCATAACAAATCACCCCCACCTTGGTGAAATAAATGAATGGATTCAGCAAAAAATCTTAAATATTTACTATGTGCCAAGCCTTATACTAGGTGCTGGAGATACTGTGAGACACAGTCCCTGCCCTCAAAAATCTTATAACGTAGTGGGAAAGGTAAACAGACAAAAGCAATAGACTGTGATGAGGGCTTTGATGGAGGTAAGCCCAGTGTAGTCTGGAAGTGCAAAGAATGTACACTCCTATCTCAAATTCTGTGATAAGGGAAAAGTGAAAAAAATCACCACAGAAGAAGTAATATACAACTAGAATCTTGAAGTAAAAGTTAATATACCAGTGAGAACAGGAGCAGGGGGAAGAAATAGCATTCCTGGTAGCAAGAAAAAGAAGTGCAAAGGCCTAGCAACAAAGTGTGCTTAGATTGCTGTATTAGTAAGGGTTTTTCAGAGAAACAGACCCAATAAGATAATATGTATATGTTTATATAGGTGCTATATTGTGTGTGTGTGTGTGTGTGTGTGTGTGTGTGTGTGTGTGTATATATATTTGTGTGTGTGTATGTGTTAGAGTGACAGCAATTAAGAGAGAGAGAGAGATCTTAAGGAACTGACATGCAATTGTGGAGGATGACAAATCTAAATCTGCAGTTTAGGCTAGCAGGCTGGAGACACAGAAGTTGGTGCTATAGTTTGAGTTTAAAGGCAGTATGCTGGCAGAATTCATTCTTGCTTAGGGGATATTAGTCTTTTCTATTAAGGCCTTCAACTGACTGAATGAGTCAGTTACATTACATTACATTACTTTACATCTACATTACAAAGAATAATCTGCTTTACTCAAAGTTAAGTTTTTAACTGTTAATTGCATCCAAAAAAAAACCTTCATAGAAACATCTAGAATGATGTTTGACCAAATATCTGGGTTCCATGGCCTAGCCAAGTTGACACATAAATTAACCATCAAAGTTGCTGAACATAGTTGAGTATATCTAGAGAGCAGATGTCATGTTAAGAGGGAGGTTTTGCAAGAGACGAAACTACAGAAGAAAATGGAGTCCAAATCCCTAAGGATTTTACAAGTCTAGAAAGAAACCGAGGACTGTATCTTGAGGGCAGTGAAGAGCTATGTAAGGCCTAGATTTCCATTTTAGAATGGCTCTTCTGACTGCAGGGTAGAAACTAAATTGGGGAGAACAGGGAATGAAGAACTAGCAAGAGGAAGACCAGAGAGGAGAAAATTGCTGAGTTCAAGCAAGGCATGTTGGTAGCTTGGACTAGAGAGATGGGGATGGAGATGGAGACAAGTGCTTGAAATCCACAGATAATTTAGAGGTAGTAGTCCCAATAATTGATCATGGATTTGATGCATTAGAGAGGGAGAAGTAGCCCTAAATTGATACCCAGGATGCTGGTTGGGGCACTGGTTAAATAGAGATTTCATTTACTAAGATGGAAGAAAGAGAAGGAGGAGGCAATTTGAGGGAAACTATGAAGCATTCCTTTTGTACAAATTGAATTTGAGATACTGTGAGATTCTAGATAGAATGGCAATTGAATGAACAGAGAGTTATATAATCCTATTCTTTCTAAAAACAGTGAAAGGTGCTTTTACGCTACCACAATTCATCTGCCTTTTTCTCTTCATCGGGCAAATACATTCATTGTAAATTCCTGCTATTCCTATAACCTAATGATTGTCAGCCCTTCTCCCTGGATTTTACTGTGGATGCAACTGGAAATAACACAATGGAGCTGCACACACTAGCAGTTTAAAAATTCCTGGAACTCCTTGAGATTTTTAGCTTAAAATAATAAAATGTGGATTATTTTTGGCATCAGATTCCAAGCCATTTCCATTGACTCCACAATCCTGGAAAAGTATTTGGTTTTGGTGCTATCAAGCGGGTTCCCAGGATACCCTCATAAATTGTTCTTTTCCATTTTTATCCACACAGAAGCCTGAGAGATACTTTTACAATGTAAATAAGATGATGTTACTGCTTTGCTCACAACCCTCCCATGGCTCCCCATTTGGTTCTGAGTAAAAGCCAAAGCTCTAATAATGGCTTTCATTCTACAGGATCTGTCCCCTGGCTATTTTTTCTGATCTTATTCCCGTCTCCCCCTTACCCCTTCCATTCTATCCACAGAGGCCTCCTTTCTATTTCACAAATGCACCAGATACACCTCCATCTTAGGGTATTTGTATTTTCTTTCCTACTGCCTGGAATGTTTTTCTGCCAAATATCAACATAAATACCTTCAGTCTCTGCTCCAATGTCAACTTGCCTAAGAGGCCCTCCCTGATAACCCTAAATGAATCTTGCATAAATGTGCCAAATTCAGTGCCTTCCTCTTATCCCTGCCATACGTACACACACAGGCACAAACACACGGATTCAGTCATTTCTCTCTGAAAGCAGAGTTTCCTGGTAGAAACATGTTATTTAACAAAAGATATCCTGGGCTAAGGCAGTGTAGAATGATGGGAATAGAGAGTAAGCAGTGGAAAGATGCTGAAGTCAGCCTTCTTTGGGGACGCTGGTGGCCTAGTTCTACCTAAGATAGACCCACTAAGAGTGGCTTTCTCTTCTTTTTTTAAATATTTCATTGTACTACCACTTTCTAACATTGCCTTCTCCTGTTGAAATGGCATGTCTCTAGTTCTGCTCCTAGCTTCTGGGTCTCTGTCCCAATTACCTACCCTGAGAAGAAAGGAGCCCTGACCTGGCTATATGAGGTAGAAGGCAGTGCCATAGGTATAGTTCAGGCCCTGGGACATCGAGTCCTTCTTCTTTCTCCCTGAGGCCAAGAGTCCTATCTCTCTCCTCTCCTTGTAATAATCATGTTTTGGTTCACTTCCAGCCCTTTGTCAAAGAGAGTAGGACATGGGCTATCCTTCAAGATATGGGCCTAAAATCTCCCTGGCATGATGAATGATCATATTGGCCCAGAAGCCATTGAGGGCTGTCATGGGAGAGGGCATCATCTCTAATCTAGTTCGTCACTCTCCATCTCAGAAGTGCATGTCTTATTTTCCATGTGAACCACTGGAAGTAAACGTTCTACTTTCAACTCCTAGAGATTATGGTTCTGTTCTTTACCTGACATTTATGTTCTCTGTCAGCAACTCATTAGATATGCTAAGAAAAGAACAAAGTGGTGGGGTTGGGAGTTGAATGGAATACGTCAAAGAGATGGGATATCCTGGAACATGTGATTTGCTTTAAGCTCTATTCTTGTCATGTCTTTTCATCCACTGTGTCCCCAACCTCATGATTGTTCCTGTAACATTAGTCTAACAAACACACCATTATAATTGCATAGTTTTTTACTACTATTTCAGAGCATCAGGAGTTGGCCTAACACCTTGGCTATTATATTCAACAGAGCCTATTCAAATTATAAATAAAGCTTTACTGCTAGCTCTTTCCATTTTAATTTCTCACACATGTACATTATCTTTGCTTGCCAGAATGACAGCTCACTATCAGTGAGCAAACACAGGTAGAGGAAGAAACTACCCAGCAGAGAAATTGAAACTAGCTGAGAAGTTCAACATACATCCCTCTCTACTAAGTCTCATCTTGGAAGAAAGAAGACTACTTTCAGTTAGAGTTGGAAATCTAGGACACTGCCTCTAAGAGATAGAAATTCCAAATCCCACACCTAGCTTTTTGCTCTATCTAGTTAGCTATTTTATACCTCTGCAGCTTTTCTGAGGGGCTTTTCTTTCAAGATTCAATTCAAGCCCTACCGCCTTTGGAAAACCCCCTGGGGATTGAAAGGCTGTTTTTACTTTTATGCCCCTGTAACATTTTTTAAAACTTTTTATTTTGAAATACTTTTACATTTACAGAAGAATTGCAAAGATAGTACAGATAATTCCTATAAATCCTTCACCCAGCATCCTCTAATGTCAGCATCTTACAAAATCCTTGTTCATTTGGAATTCACCAGTTTTTCCACCAATATCCTTTTTCTGTTCCAAGAGCCAATCCAGGATCCTACGTTGTGTTTGGCTGTCAGGTCTCCTTAGTCTCCTCCAATTTGCAACATTTTCTTGGTCTTTCCTTGTTTTTCATAACCTTGACACTTTTTAAGAGTACTAGTCCAATATTTTTCATAATGTCATCTTTGTTCACTGTAAAGTTATTACATCCTCTTTTCACACTCTATTCCTTAGAAGTGAATCAGCGAATCCAGCCCACACTGAAGAGGAGAGGAGTCAAGCTCCACTTCCTGGAGGAAGGAGTATCAAAGAATTTGTGGACACATGCAAAGAATACATTTGCAAATATCCAGTTTCTCCTTAAGGTTTTGCCTGTACAATTTGCCACTATCATGTTCTAATAGTTCTAATAGTGATTTTTCCATTTATTTCATTCCTTTCACATTTTATTTATTTTTAATTTTTAATTTCCATAGTTTTTTGGGGAACAGGTGGTGTTTAGTTACATGAATAATTTCTTTAGTGGTTATTTCTGAGATTTTGGTGCACCCGTGACCCAACCAGTGTTCACTGTACTCAATGTGTAGTCTTTTATCCCTTACCACCCCCCAACCCTTTCCCCCAAATCCCAAAAGTCCAATGTATTATTCTTATGCCTTTGTGTCTCATAGCTTAGCTCCCACGTTTGAGTGAGAACATACGATGTTTGGTTTCCATTTCTGAGTTACTTCACTTAGAATAATAGTCCCCAATTCCAGCCAGGTTGCTGTGAATGCCATTATTTCATTCCTGAGTAGTATTTCAGGGTATATATACACCATATATTTTTTATCCACTCGTTGATTGATGGGCATTTGGGTTGGCTCCATATTTTTGCAATTACAAATTGTGCTGCTATGAACATGCATGTGCAAGTATCTTTTTCATATAATGACTTCTTTTCCTCTGAGTGGATACCTAGTAGTGGGATTGCTGGATCAAATTGTAGATCTACTTTAGTGCTTTAAGGAATCTCCACACTGTTTTCTATAGTGGTCGTACTAGTTTACATTCCCACTGACAGTCTAAAAGTGCTCACTTTTCACTGCATCCACATCAACATCTATTATTTTTTAATTTTTTGATGATGGCCATTCTTGCAGGAATAAGGGGATATAACATTATGGTTTTGATTTGAATTTCCCTGATAATTAGTGATGTTGAGCATTTTTCCACATGCTTGTTGGCCATTTGTATATCTTCTTTTGAGAACTGTCTATTCATGTCCTTAGCCCACTTTTCGATTGGATTGTTTGCTTTTTGTTTTTTTTTTCTTGCTGATTTGTTTGAGTTCTTTGTAGATTCTGGATATTAGTCCTCTGTCAGATGTATAGATTTTGAAGATTTTCTTCTACTCTGCGGGTTGTCTGTTAACTCTGCTGATTATTATTTTTTATTTTTACTGTGCAGAAGTTTTTTTTAGTTTAATTAAGTCCCATCTATTTATCTTTGCTTTTGTTGCATTTGCTTTTGGGTTCTTGGTAATGAAGTTTTTGCCTAAGCCAATGTCTAGAAGGGTTTTTCTGATGTTATCTTCTAGAATTTTTATGGTTTCAGGTCTTAGATTTAAGTCTTTGATCCATCCTGAGTTGATTTTTGGATATGGTGAGAGATGAGGATCCAGTTTCATTCTTCTACATGTGGCTTGCCAAGTATCCCAGCATCATTAGTTGAATAGACTGTCCTTTTCCCACTTTATGTTTTTGTTTGCTTTATCAAAGATCAGTTGGCTGTTAAGTATTTGGCTTTATTTCTGTGTTCACTATTCTGTTTCATTGGTCCATATGCCTATTTTTAAACCAGTACCATGCTGTTTTGGTAACTATGGCCTAATCATATAATTTGAAGTTGAGTAATATGATGCCTCCAGGTTTGTTCTTTTTGCTTACTCTTGCTTTGGCTATGAGGGCTCTTTTTGGTTCCATATGAATTTTAGGATTGTTTTTTCTAGTTCTGCGGAGAATGATGGTGGTATTTTGATGGGAATTGCTTTGAATTTGTAAATTGCTTTTGGCAGTATGGACATTTTTACAATATTGATTCTACCCATCCATGAGCATGGGATGCACTTCCACTTGTTTGTGTCATCTATGATTTCTTTCAGCAGTGTTTTGTAGTTTTCCTTGTAGAAGTCTTTCACCTCCTTGGTTAGGTATTTTCCTGAGGGTTTTTGTTTTGTTTTGTTTTGTTTTGTTTTTGCAGCTATTGTGAAAGGGCTTGAGTTCTTGATTTGATTCTCAGCTTGGTCACTGTTGGTGTATTGCAGAGCTAGTGATTTCTGTACATTAATTTTCTATCCTGAAACTTTGCTGAATTCTTTTACCAGTTCTAGGAGATTTTTAGATGAGTCTTTAGGGTTTTCTAAGTATATGATCATGTCATCAGCAAACAGCAACAGTCTGACTTCCTCTTTACTGATTTGGATGCCCTTTGATTTCTTTCTCTTCTCTGATTGCTCTGGCTAGGACTTCCAGCCCTATGTTGAATAGAAGTGGTAAAAGTGAGCATCCTGTCTTGTTCCAGTTCTCAGGGGGAATGCTTTCAACTTTTCCCTCTTCAGTATAATGTTGGCTGTGGGTTTGTCATAGATGGCTTTAATTACCTTAAGGTATGTCCCTTCTATGCCAATTTTGCTGAGGATTTTAATCAAAAGGGGATGCTGGATTTTGTCAAATGCTTTTTCTGCATCTATTTAGATGACCATGTGATTTTTGTTTTTAATTCTGTTAATGCGCTGTATCACATTTATTGACTTACATATGTTAAAACATCCCTGCATCCCTGGTATGAAACTCACTTGAGCATGGTGGGTTATCTTTTTGATATGCTGTTGGAATTGGTTTGCTAGTATTTTGTTGAGGATTTTCACATCTATGTTCATCAGGGATATTAGTCTGTAGTTTTCTTTTTTTGTTATGTCCTTCTCTGGTTTTGGTATTAGGGTGATACTGGCTTCATAGAATGATTTAGGGAGGATTCCTTCTTTCCCTATTTTTTGAAATAGTGTCAATAGGATTGGTACCAAATCTTCTTTGAATGTTTGTTAGAATTCAGCTGTGAATCTGTCTGGTCCAGGATTTTTTTTTTGTTGGGAATTTTTTTTATTACCATTTCAATCTCACTGCTTGTCATTGGTCTGTTCAGATATTCTATATCTTCATGGTTTAATCTAGGAGGATTGTATATTTCCAGGAATTTGTCCATCTCCTCTAGGTTTTCCAGTTTATGCACATATAGGTGTTCATAGTAGCCTTGAATAATCTTTTTTTAAAATTTATTTGGTGTCAATTGTAATATATCTCATTTTGTTTGCAGTTGAGCTTATTTGGATCTTCTCTCTTCTTGGTTAATCCTGCTAATGGTCTACAAATTTTATTTATATTTTCAAAGAACAAGCTTTTTGTTTCACTTATTTTTTGTATTTTTTTTTGTTTCATTTTGTTTCATTTAGTTCTGCTCTGATCTTTGTTATTTCTTTTCTTCTGCTGGGTTTGGGTTTGGATTTTTCTTGTTTCTCCAGTTCCATGAGGTGTGACCTTAGATTGTCTATTTGTGCTGTTTCCAACTTTTTGATGTAGTCATTTAGTGCTATGAACTTTCCTCTTAGCACTGCTTTTGCTGTATCCCAGATGTTTTAATAGGTTGTGTCACTATTATCATTTAGTTCAAACAATTTTTAAATTTCCATCTTGATTTCATTTTTGACCCAACAGTCATTCAGGAGCAGGTCATTTAATTTTCATGTATTTGCTGGCTTTTGAAGGTTCCTTTTGGAGTTGATTTCCAATTATATTTCACTGTGGTCTTAGAGAGTACTTGATGTAATTTCGATTTTCTTAAATTACTGAGACTTATTTTGTGGCCTCTCATATGGTCTATCTTAGAGAATGTTCCATGTGCTGATGACTAGAATATATATTCTGCAGTTGTTGGGTAGAATGTTCTATAAATATCTGTTAAGTCCATTTGTTGTAGGGTGTAGTTTAAGTCCATTGTTTCTTTGTTGACTTTCTGCCTTGATGACCTATCTAGTGCTGTCAGTGGAGTATTAAAATCCCCCACTATTATTGTGTTGCCATCTATCTCATTTCTTAAGTCTAGTAGTAATTATTTTATAAATTTGGGAGCTCCAGTGTTAGGTGCATATATATTTAGAATTGTGATCTATTCCTGTTGGACTAGTCTTTTTATCATTATATGATGTCCTTCTTTGCCTTCTTAAACTGCTGTTGCTTTAAAGTTTGTTTTGTCTGATGTAAGAACAGCTACTCTTGCTCGCTTTTGGTGTCCATTTGTATGGAATATCTTTTTCCATCCCTTTACTTTAAGTTTATGTGAGTCTTTATGTGTTAGGTGAATCTCTTGAAGACAGCAGAAACTTGTTTGGTGAATTCTTATCCATTCTGCCATTCTGTAACTTTTATTTTTTTATTTTTTTATTTTTTTGAGACGGAGTCTCGCTCTTTTGCCCAGGCTGGACTGCAGTGGCGCTATCTTGGCTCACTGCAAGCTCCGCCTCCCGGGTTCATGCCATTCTCCTGCCTCAACCTCCCGAGTAGCTGGGACTACAGGCGCCCGCTACCACTAATTTTTTTTTGTATTTTTAGTAGAGACGGGGTTTCACCGTATTAGCCAGGATGGTCTCGACCTCCTGACCTCGTGATCCACCCGCCTCGGCCTCCCAAAGTGCCAGAATTACAGGTGTGAGCCACCGCGCCCGGCCCATTCTGTAACTTTTAAGTGGAGCGTTGAGGCCATTTACATTCAATGTCAGTATTGAGATATGAGATGCTATTCTATTCATCATGCTATTTGTTGCCTGAATACCTTGTGCTTTTTTCATTCTATTATTGTCGTGTAAGTCCTGTGACAATTATCCTTTAAGGAGGTTCTATTTTGGTGTATTTAGAGGATTTGTTTCAATGTTTACAGCTTCTTTTAGCAATTCTCATAGGGTTGGCTTGGTAGTGGCAATTTCAGCATTCGTTTGTCTGGAAAAGACTGTATCTTTTCTTCATTTATGAAGCTTAGTTTTGCTAAGTACAAAATTCTTGGCTGATAATTACTTTGTTTAGGGAGGCTAAAAATAGGACCCCAATCCCTTCTAGCTTGTAGGGTTTCTGCTGATAAATCTGCTGTTAATCTGGCAGATGTTTCTTTATAGGTTACCTGATGCTTTTGCCTCACAGCTCTTAAGATTCTTTTTTTCACCCTGACTGTAGATAACCTGATGACTATGTGCCTAGGCAATGATGTTTTTGTGATGAATTTCCCATGTGTTCCTTGTGCTTCTTGTATTTGGATGTCTAGATCTCTAGCAAGGCCAGGGAAGTTTTCCTCAATTATTCCCTCAAATATCTTTTCCAAACTTTTAGATTTCTCTTCTTCCTTGGGAACACCAGTTATTCTTAGGTTTGGACGTTTAACATAGTCCAAAATTTCTTTGATGTTCTGTTCATCTTAAAAAAAATTTCTGTGTCTTCAACAGATCAGGTTAATTTAAAAGCTTTGTCTTCAAGCTCTGAGGTTCTTTCTTCTGCTTATTCGATTCTGTTGCTGAGAACCTCCAGTGCATTTTGCACTTCTCTAAGTGTGTCCTTGATTTCCAGATGTTGTGATTGTTTTTTGTTTATGCTCTCCATTTCACTGAATAATTTTCCTTTCATATCCTGCATTATGTTTTTGATTTCTTTGAGTTGGACTTTACCTTTCTCAGGTGCCTCCTTGATTAGCTTAATAATCAACCTTCTGAATTCTTTTTCTGGCAGTTCAGAGATATTGTCTTGGGTTGGATCCATTGCTGGTGAGCTGGTATGTTCTTTTGGGGGTGTTGAATAACCTTGTTTTGTCATATTAATAGAATTGTTTTTTTGGTTCCTTTTCATTTGGGTTGACTATGTCAGAGGGAAGATCTGGGATTCAAGGGCTGCTGCTCAGATTGTTCTGTCCCACAGTATGTTCCCTTGATGTGGTGTTCCCCCACTTCCCCTAGGACTGGGGCTCCCTGAGAGCCAAATTGTAGTGATTGTTTTTACTTTTCTTGGCCTAGTCACCCAGCAGAGCTATCTGGCTCTGGACTGGTACTGGGGAGTGTCTGCAGAGTCCCATGATATGATCTATCGTCAGATCTTGCAGCTGTGGATACCAGCACCTGCTCCAGTGGAGGTAGCAGGGGAGTGATGTGGACTCTGTGAGGGTCTTTGGTTGTGTTTTTGTTTAGTATGCTGGTTTTATGTTGGTTGGCCTCCAGCCAGGAGGTGGCACTTTCAAGGATGCATCAGCAGCAGCCTTATAGGGAGGATGCCAACTTGCCCTAGGACACCTGGTTAAGTACTCGGTTTTCTCTGGTGGTGGGCAGGGCCATAGCGCTCCCAAGAGATTATCCCCTTTGTCTTTGTCTGCCAAGTTGGGAAGAGAAAGACCACCAAGTGGGGGCAAGGATAGGTGTGTCTGAGCTCTGCCTCTCTTTAGGTATGGCTTGCTGTGGCTGCTGTGAGGGATTGGGGTGCTCTTCCCAGTCCAATGGAGTTATGTTCCCAGGGGGATTATGGCTGACTCTGCTGAGTCATACAGGTCTCCAGGGAAGTGGGGTAAAGCCGGCAGTCACAGGCCTCACGCTGCTCCCATGCATCTGCAGTCCTAAAGGCTGGTCTCACTCCCACCATGTACCTCCCCCCCACCAATAGAACTGAGTCTATTTCCAAGCAGTTAGTGACCAGGGCTGGGAACTTGCCTCAGACCCTCAGCCTCCCCACTCAGAAAGCAAGCAGGCTCACAGGTTTTTGGCATCTCAGGGAGCCTGCAGCAGTGATCCAGATCCTTCAAAGAGTCTGTGGATTATCTCAGCTTTCCTGGTACGTTCCAGTATTATCTCAGCTTTCCTAGTATGTTTCCTGGTATGTTTCTGGTATGTTCCGGGTATGTTTCTGTATCTCAGCTTTCCTGGTATGTTCCTTAGAGCAAAAGTTAACAATGTGAGTTTCCACATGTTACTCTGTCTGTAGGAGCAGGAGCTGCAAGCTACTCCTGCCTCTTCTCCGCCATCTCAATCCTAGTACCACCCCTTTTACATTTTTAATTGGCATTCTTCTGTGAGGAAGATTTGGCCCTTTACCTCATTTATTTATATAATCATCTATTTGATCCAAGAATCATATGGACTCTTGGATATTTATTTTATACTTTGGATTATAATCTAATACTGTTATAATTTACTTTCTTGCTCACATTTTCAAGTGTCAGACATAGAAAGCTATTTTAGTTTGGCTCTTGTATTCTTTTGACATCACCTGAAACATTTTAATATACTTTCCTGTGTGTGTGTGTGTCCATCTCATTCAATTAGGTTGTCCTCAAAGACAGAAATGTTGTACTATTTATTTTTGTGTTCCTTGTGTTGAACACAGTGATGGACATGGTAGGTCCTTGATAAATGTCTGTTGAATGAATTAGAGGAACAGAGAAATGGGAGTGGAAGATTTATCTCACTAATAAAGGAAGAATTCATCACTTTAGGCCCATACAAGTCCATATGGGACCACAGGAAACTTAGATACAGAGTTTTTTGTAAAGACCTCATCATTTTTATGAGAATATCATCTAACACAGTTATAGATCAATTTGTGAACAGAATTTCTGCTGCCAAAGAAGAAGAGGTATTGTTGAATAAGTGAACATAGATAGGGTGCTTGAAATAGTAAGTGTCCCCAGAATCATGGCCTCAGAGTTTGGAAGTGTGCTTTGTGAAGAGCATTTGGAAGCAGTCCATATACATTCCCTGAACACAGAGCCTTCATAAGCTACTTCTGACTGGGAAGTTCTCACTGACTCCTGACATCCCAGAGAGTCACATTCTGTCCAGGATCAGGAGGGTGGTATAGATTTTAGAGTGAGGCTATTCAGCCAGTCAGAATAGTTGGCTAAGAAATTTAATGCTTTAAGGTAATATCTCATGTATCCCAGAGTTTCTGAGATTTATTTTTCTTTTTTCTTTGCACCTGTGAGAAAAAGCCAGCTAGTGGCAAAATTTTAGAAAACTTCTGATTCTCATCCATTTTCATCTTTGGTAAGGACCATCGATCTAGGTTTCTCAATAGAGAGCTTAGAGCTCCTGAAGGCAAAGTTGTATGAAACTCAGCCAGGATATTCTTGGTCTCTGCCCAGGTATTAAATAAGAGCCAGAAAAAGCTGCACTCAGGCTAACTCACAGCTACCTTAGTCTCACAATGTCCAGAAGAGAGAAGATAACCAATCATCTTTGGGTGGTGGGAAAACCTTTCTAGAACTGTAACAGAGTAGGCAATAGAATCAGTGAAACTTGAGTTGGAATTTTCTTTACCTCTTGCTTATTTTATAACCTTGGACAAATTGCTTCCTCAAGCCTCGGTTTCTTCATCTGTAAAATGACGATAATATTGCCACCTTGGTAGGTGGCTTTAAGGAGATAAATCATAGATGTAAAGCCCCTAATGGAATACTTGGCACACAGCAGGTGCTGAAGAATGACACCTGTTATGAAGGCTCCAAACTCCCATTCCGTAAGCTCTTCTTGCAATTTCAAGTTCTTGTCCAGTCTGTAGTAAGTAACTGTTGCTGCACTACTCCAACCCAAATGTGAAAAGAATTCACAAGCCTTCCTTTATACAGCCCACAATGCCCCCGGCCTGCAACCTTTCCTTTTAGTTTTTAATTATGTTTATAGTTCTCCTCAGAATGGCTCCCAAAAAGTTTCAGATTGTTACCAGCTGAAAAAAACCTCCAAAATCAACCTCCTTCTTGTATCTATTGTCCTCTCTTCAAACCATCCTGTGGCTCTCTTGACAATACTTTGTGTTCCTACAGCATATTCTAGTAAAATAGGATTAAGTCTTTTCTGTTTGGCTCTAGGAAGGCATATTGCTTTCTGATCAAGTGTTACAAGCATTTTTTCAATACAAGGAGAGATGGAGAAAAATGTATACCACATCAGCCAGAATCTCTAGTAGAAAAAAATTCCTACACATGGGAAATTCTCTTCACCTGAAAGGCTTAAATATAATATAGTGATTAGTTTAGATTGTTACTTGACTTCTGAGTAGTATGACTCTAAAAACACAGAGCTCTTACATGCATTTTAGCTTTCTCTGCATCCAGTACTCTGCCCGGTCAGGCTGACAGAGATGAATCTTTGAGTATAAGCTTTTAGGTTAGATTGTCGCAAGCACAGCACTGCACATCCTATAAGCTGACAATAAATAATAAGAGCATATAGTAAACACATATAAAAATTATATGGCCTGGCCTCATGTAGTGCAAGATATAACTCCTGTAATCAAGACCTAACTGGCCATTTTTAGGACACCAGTTCCCTTCTATAAATCTCCTGCTTCCAGGACTGCAATTTGATATGTGTAGCTGAGAAAAAAGTTGGTAAGTGGGCAGAATATTTGCCTTAAATATCTGAGGAGAAACCATAAAAGGAAGAGCTGAAAATTATTAATGTGGTCAGTGGGGCAAGAAAGAGATTACAGAGCTTAAATTGTGTTTTCCCAAGCGTCAAGCTAGCTACATCATTAGGGAAAACAGCATATAAAACAAAAGGTGAAACAGAGAGCATTCTAAAAACTCATCATTAAAATAATTTCAATATCTTATATTTATAGGCAGATTAGTCAGAAAAAGAAGCCTACAAGATTCCTTGTAGGATGAGTTTCCAGAATAGGGGTACAAGGTCAGGCAGAGTCACTCTGATTGGGATAAGAAGAATTGAAAATGAAATAGATGGGGTTAGCCATCTGTGGAAATCTTTTCAGAAGCAACCAACCCTAAGAGATATCTTGAAAATGTGTTGCCTAATGAAATGAAGACAAGTCCCTAAAATTTCCTTGGGAAGATGCCAATCAAAATGTCATGCATTTAGGATCTGCTGTAATCTCAGAATTGTTACTTAGATTGGGAGTCATAAGAGCTGGCATCCTACACTTGCTGAGTGACCTTGGGGAAGTTATTTGACCTCCCTGAGACTCAGTTTCTTCATCTGCAACATGATAAAGACTTATATCTACCTGATAGAATTGCTGTATTATATGAAAATATTCATGAGAAAGTGCTTTATAAATGATAAAAACCCTAAAATATTAATTTGATGATGATGCTAATGATGAAAGTGACAAAAATGTAAATGGATATGGGCTGTAGAAAAAGGATAATTGTAGTGAATGTTCTTCTTAATTGTGATTGTGACTAGGTCTCCCTGCCTGGTTTAGGGATATCCTAGGGTGCTACCGCCCACTGCCTACATATTTTAACCCACCCAGCCATAATTACCAGTGATTTGTCATCTGTCTCCCTTGCACATGATGGCAAGTATCTCTTATTCCCTTGCCAAACCCTCCCCTTTCTTACTTTAAAGCACCTCCCATTTCTCCTTGCAACTAGTTCTATGTAATTAAAGGAAGAGAAATCATGATGTAGTCTTGCCCAGCATTTTTCTCTCTTTTCTACCATCTTTCTTTTGCTTATTACTCCCCAAAATACATCTTCATGCAAAATAAGTTGTCAAAAGTGCCTTTGATTAGGTCAATAACCATAGCCTTTGATCTAAAGCTTGCTTCATTTTAATTCTACACTGGAACCCCGCCAGGCATTCCTAAATGTTTTATGGCTTATGGTTGTACAGTCCTAGGAGACTACCAAGTCTCTATCCAATGTGATTTTTATCATGTGATTTGGCAACTGATTTCAAGTATATGCATATCTTCTACTTATGCTTCCACTCCCATCAGCTCTTTTGTAAATCCTGCTCTAGGACTGTCAACTGGTCAAGTTTGTGTTCTACCTTGGCAATGTATTGTCAAGATATATAATTTATTTTGATTGCTTGAAAAACACTTAATACAGAGTTCAGCATTGGAAAGAACATTACACCAAAAAGTCAGGGGAACTAAGTTCAAGTTGTCAGCCTGCCACTAACTATCTATGTGACTTGAACAAACCACTGTATTTGTTGAACTTCAGTTTCCTTATCTGTAAAATTAGAATGATCACTGTTTTACTGTGTATCTCACAGAAGCATTGCAAGGATCACTGTATCCTGTACTTGTGTCTCTCATGCTATTTATTACTTTGTGCTTTAATTGTTTGCTTATTTATCTATCTCTCTATTCCCAGAACCTAGCAGAAAACCAGACATATAGTAGGTGCTCAATGACATTTGTTGGAAGAATGAGCACATGAATGAATAAGGTAGTGATTGTGAAAGTGATTTGCAAAAATAAAAATGTATTCAAAATTATTTCAAAATGTCCTAGTAAGACAAGTATTGTAAGTATTTGCATACCCCGTTTAGAGATGAAGTAATAGACTCAGAGGGGTAAAGTACATTGTCCAAGGTGGTAAAATGACTTGATGATGGATAAATGAGAAGACTGGGGTCTTTTGACTCCTAGTCCAGCTCATTCTCTACTGTAGTACATTGTCTCACGTTTTGCTATCAGTATTGTAAATCTTATTGGATGGAGACTTCAGATATCTTATTTTCTGGACCATGTGGGATGAGACTATAGTAATGATCAATTTGGCCTGGGCTTCTCAAAACACTAGAGTGTAAAAAGTGACTGGTAGTGCTTAGGGCCCATTATGTAGTTTTTTTTTTAATAGTTTGATTCTGAAGTAATCTATCAGACCAATAAACTCAGAGCAAAAGAGCACTTTTGAGCAGGGCCTAGCTGAGTAAGAAACCACTACCCAACAACAGAAGTTAAAAACATTTGCAATCATAGTGACCCGAGATCACACTCCAACCTGGGTGACAGAGTGAGACTCTGTCTCAAAAAAACAACAACAAGCAAAAAAAAAAACAAACAACAACAACAACAAAAATTGAAGTTATGACTACAATTTGCAGATAATCAGACAATTGACAGGAAGCCAGACTTTTCTAAACCACTTTAAACCACTTTCTTCTCATGAAACCAGGTAACTTGCCTTTATTTTATCAAGAAACTGTTACCCTATGATTCTTTGCAGCTAGAATGAATGCTAAAAGAGCAATAAACACCTTTAGGAAACAAGTGTAGGACAGAATTCAGGAGCCCTGCAATTGCAGTGTGGTGTCTCAATCAATTACATTGAAAAAGCAGCAGCTGCAGAGGCATTGTTACCTTGGAAACAAAATAAGCATAGCTTATAGAAGTGGACAACACGACCTGAGCACCCCATGCACTTTTATGTGAAGATAGTTCAGAGCACAATTATGCCAATTCCTGCCACACACTAATACCAATTTTAATACACAGAGAACAGCCCTTGAAATCTTCCCTGAGGTTTGCTTTTGGCACTGTATTATATTGCAAGCACACTGAGTAACCAAATCTAGATGGGCTCCAAGAAATCTCTGTGTTGGACTCAATTCCATCCTAGAATATTTATATTTATTATTTATTATTATTATTTATTTATTTATATTTATTATATACCTTTCAGCTCCACCATCATACCTCCTCCCACAAACAAGAGCTCATCTTTTCTCATATGTAGTATTGCAATAACCTTTTAGGTAGACCCTTTTGGCCTGTTTTTGGACCACCTACAACACTTCCTTTACATGGTTCCCCGAGTAATCTTTCTAAAATTCAAATATTTGATCACGCTATTATCCTATAAAAACCCTCTTAAGTAGTTCTCCATAATCTCAACTGTATTTTAAAAAATGTACCCTGGGGTTGCACTGTCAAATAAGTTTGAGGAAGTGTTTCTTAAAATATTCCTGCTCCTGGGCATTCGCCCTGCGTAGCAGTGTATTGAGAGCTCTGAGAAGAGTACCATAAAAATCTGTTTGATTTGTTAAATCCAGTACTTCCATACTTATTTGACCACAGACCCATTTTTCATACTACCTCTACCAACATGTCTAAGCCATTGATATATCAATTTATCAATCTCTTCAGTGTCACTCTCTGAAAAAAATGGTTTGGTAAGTTGTCAGTATCTGAACAATTTCTTAGACCCATGTGCTTTTTTAGTTACAAGTTAGCTTAAAAAAAAACCTTAAAGTTTTTAAAATGTTTTGTTTTTAGCTCATTGGCTTGTATTCTATTTTATTAATTAACAAACTTTATTTTACAGAGCAGTTTTAGGTCCACAGCAAAGTTGAACAGAAAGTACAGAGTTCCCATATATCTCTACCTTCACACATGGACAACTTTCCCATTGACCACATCCTGTAATCAGGTACATTTGTTACAATCAATGAACCTATATTGACCCATCATTATCACCCAAAGTCCATAGTTTACATTAGATTTCACTCTCGGGAAAACCTTAAGTTCTCACTGTGAATTGGTTCCTTGTCAGTTTCTAGCCTCTATTGGGATTATACTTCTGTTTAAAATAGGGGCACCAAGCAACTCATTTTTAGGGATCAGCTTTTTACTACTCAATAAAGGTCCTTGATAAAGAATCTTACCATACCATGAACTTAGTTGTACATCAACATCTTAGGGAATCAGTTGTTCTCATTAACAACATTTCCCACAGAGCTGAAGGCTAATCCTTTCCTGCCATCAAGGGCATGACACCAAGGTACAGCACACAAACAGAAAAGATGTGTGTTGAGTTTTGAAAAGGGAATAGAAGTTTGCCAAATTAAGAAATAGAGAAATGGATTCTGCTGTGGACTGAACTGTGTCTCCCCCCACCCAAATTCATATGTTAAAGCTCTAACCTCATATGATTGTCCTTGGGAAAAGGGCCTTTAGAAAAGGGATTCAGGTGAAATGAAGTCATAAGGGCGGGGACCTGATCCACTACAACTGGTGCCCTTAAAAGAATAGAAAAAGACAGCTGATCTTTCTCTCCACCGTGTGAAGTCACATGGAGAAGACGTCCATCTACAAGCCATGAAGAGGACCCCCCTGGACCTAACCATACTGCCACCCTGTTCTGCGAATTCCAGCTTCCAGACCTATAGAAAATACTTTTCTATTGTTTAAGCTACCCAGTCTGTATTTTGTTATGGCAGTCTGAGCTAAGACAGTGTCCAAATAGAGAGAATAGCCTATATACAGGTAAAATGTCACAGGAAAAGAGTTTGCAAAGACTACCAGGTGATAAAGCCAGATTGCACATGCCCTTTATGTCATTCAAAGAGTTTTCAAAAAACACTGGTCAATAGGATTAAGTCCAATGTGTGTTCTTTTCAACAGTAGTTATATTGTGCTTTAGGGACAATTTACAAGAAAAGAGAAAAAAGTCAGGAAATACAACTGGAGCCTGTGAATGCTCCAGGAACTGATAAGAAAACTATAAGATTGATAAAGGATGACCTGATTTTCAGGAGTGGAAACTTCAGTGTCTACATCATCTTTCAACTCAGTTGTCATAATAGCTTCTTAACTGTTCTCTGAAAATCTACTCTTGTCCCTTCCCAACCCTGCAAACCCATTTTTTTCTACCTCAGACAGAGTTGTAGATAAAGCTTCTCACAATCTGATGTGCATTGGAATTCCCTGAAGGGCTGGTTAAACAGATTACTGGACTCTACTCCCAGAGATTCTGGGTCAACAGGTCTGTGGTGGAGCCCTGAGAATTTGAACATCTACCAGCTCCCAGGTGATGCTTTTGCTGCCAGTCCTTGGACCATACTTTGAGGACCACTGGCATGAAAACCAACCTGATTAGTCTCAGAGTTGCAATTAATATTCATTTTTTCCTCCACTGTACAAATGTAGACTCCCCTCAGCTACTATACCTTCTAACCTTGATGGCTTCTCTTGCAGTGTGAATTTGACTCTCATCCCTGAGTGATCTGAGTCCCTAGTCATCATATTGTCTCATGCTTAACTCCTGCCCTTGTCTATTCAATATTACAATGGAGCAAGTGGTGTGCCAAGAGATGCCCCAGTTGATTATCTGGGTTTCATAAGTATTCACCCTGTTACCATTGTGTAACAACAACCCAACCTCTTCCTGCCAATAAGTCAGTGAGTCCTACCAAGATGATGACTCCTTTTTTCTCTTGTGGTCCAAGGACATAAAGAGTCTCAAGTTCTCTAGTGGTAGTTGTCACTTGTAATTCAATGTTACGCTTGCTGTATCCCCTGGTAAAAGTGTGCTGCCTTTGGTGACAAGCATCTCTATTCTAACTCTATTGAGCCTACAGTTCCAGGGACAGGAAGAACAAAGTCTCCCATTGTAAGACAGGGAGTAATAGAAAATGGAATCATCCTAGCTTTCACCCATTGGTTTTCAGATTATGTATTCATCCTGTAGGGTTATAGCACCATATATAAGTCTTTTATTTAATTTATACACTGTATCCTAGAAAAGGGAACCCCATCCTCAAAGAGAATTCCCTCGAAGCTGGCACTTCAGCTGTGCCTTCAGTAGGCCTTACAGACAGTCTATCAGGCTGGAAATTTCTGAAAAGCACAATATCTGAAACAGTCAGTGGAACCCATGGTTTTATTTTTTGAGATGTTTTATTGGATCCAATTTTAATGGATCCTTTTATAAGCCCTCAGATAGTGGTGCTGGCTGAGGCTCTGCAGGCAAGAAAGGAAAACCCATACCTGATATACCCATCTATTTCTAACAAGAAAGCACTGGCCCTTCCAAGATGGAAGAGACCGACTTGCCACCCTCATGGCCAATTTGCATTTTCAAGGACAGGTTCTATATTGAGGGCTCAGTGTTGTCCTTTGTTTCTGGCCAATTGAATATTTGACAGCAGCAATCAGCCTTGGTGAATGGGAACCCATGTTGTTTGGTCCATGTGTGGTCTCATTTTTTGCCTCCATGTGCTCACTATGCCAGTTCCAGAGTAGCCAATGTCAAAAACAAGTTAATGTCAAATGACTGAGTCATTCTATATATTTGGCAGTTCAGTGTCTCTCCCATAGTAGATGTTTTCTGGTAAGTGTTAACATGTGAAACAAAGATTCTCACATGTTGTACCCACTCAATTATGTCCATCCACATGGCTTTACCCCAGAGTTCTTTATTTCAGTCCTTTCTATTTTTTTTTCATGCCCCTACCAGCCAGACAAGCCATTTGCTGCTGCTCATGAGTCTGTATATGTATTCTAAACCCTGGCCTCTTCTCCTTCCACAAAAGGTGGACAACCTAGTGCACTGCCTGAAGCTGCTCATCGGAAAAATTGTTTATCACCAGTTTTTCCTGGCCATCCCTGAATAAGATTGTATTGCAACTGTCATCCATTTTTTGTTTGCACTCATCTACCCAGCTGACTAATCTTTAAACAAAGTTTGAACCTTTTCACAACTCCCGCATCAGCCGGTCATCTGAGCCCCCAGATGTGGCCATAGGCATGGCTGAGGCAAGGGAAAGGATGATGGTGCAAATGTGGTAGATGATTCTGGCGTCTGGGCTACTGGTTCATGTAGTTTGCTGGTATCCTTTGGTCTTCCTTGTACTTATCTCAGATGTGGCACTTCTACTCTATGATGGGTTCATTCTACATCCTTATGATTTCATCCTCTCACCATTACCAATCAGCAACCCCAGTCTTCTCGTCTCTTGCCTGCCATCATTCCCTTAAAAACTTTACCCCTTAACCCTTCAGGGAGATGGATTTGAGGGTTCCTTCTGTCTCCTCATCCAGCTACCTAATGATTATTAAACTCTTTCTCTGCTGCAACTCCTGCTGTTTCAGTGTATTGATATGTTATGGTACAGCAGGCAAATGATCCTGGTGGTCCCATAACACAGGCATACTGCTTTTCTTGTGGTAACGGGAACAAGTGCAACAGTATGACTTTTCCTTCAGTGAGGTCTCAGCACATTTCTGAAACCAGGACCCCTGAAAACTATACTGATTCAGCAGACTCCCGAATCTTTCAGTATTTACCTTTTACCTCTTGGAGTGGAATGCATGTGTCTTACCAAGTTCTCCATCATGCTAACCATCCCTTGCTGATGTGGCCCAATTAGCATGAAGTCATTGGCTTAAAGGATCTATGTGATTTTCTGCAGTATTTGCAGATGGTTCAGATCTCTTCAGACTACTTTATAACAAAGGGTCAGAGATTTAGCATAGCCCCATGGAAAAACTGAAAATGTGTGCTAATTTTCATCCTTGAGAACATGAACTGATTTTGATCCTCTTTGATTGGGATATACAAGAAAGAATTTGCCAAATTGGAGGCCACATATTAATCTCTTCTGACAGACATTTCATATCTAGCACAATGGCTGTAGTTTGAGCTATCACTTAAATGAATTTGTGGTAGTCTCTAGTTACTATCAGTATTTATTACATTTCTGTAGGGACTAAACTGGTGGATTAAATGGAGATATAATGGGAACTACCACCTCTGCATCTTTCAGGTCTTTAATAGTGGTGATAACTTCAGCTACTCCCCAAAAGTAATACTGGCTTGAATTTACTATCTTTGCCTGAGGTGACAGGGGGTGGAATGAGGCAGCTCTTATCTTATAGTCCAAGGACCCAAGTATGTGAGTTATTCCAAATGCCAAGTATGCCAATCCAATTATACATTTGAGTGTAGGGAAAAGAAAGAGAGATCAGATTGTTGCTGTGTCTGTGTAGAAAGAAGTAGACATAGGAGACTCCATTTTGTTGTGTACTAAGAGAAATTCTTCTGCCTTGAGATGCTGTTAATCTGTAACCTTACCCCCAACCCTGTGCTCCCTGAAACATGTGCTGTGTCAACTCAGGGTTAAATGGATTAAGGGCTGTGCAGGATGTGCTTTGTTAAACAAATGCTTGAAGGCAGCATGCTCGTTAAGGGTCATCACCACTCCCTAATCTCAAGTACCCAGGGACACAAACACTGCGGAAGGCCTCAGGGACCTCTGCGTAGGAAAGCCAGGTATTGTCCAAGGTTTCTCCCCATGTGATAGTCTGAAATATGGCCTCGTGGGAAGGGAAAGACCTGACCATCCCCCAGCCTGACACCCGTAAAGGGTCTGTGCTGAGGAGGATTAGTAAAAGAGGAAGGAACGCCTCTTTGCAGTTGAGACAAGAGGAAGGCATCTATCTCCTGCCCGTCCCTGGGCAATGGAATGCCTTGGTATAAAACCCGATTGTATGTCCCGTCTACTGAGATAGGGGAAAAACCGCCTTAGGGCTGGAGGTGGGACAGGCGGGCAGCAATACTGCTCTTTAAGGCATTGAGATGTTTATGTGTATGCATATCTAAAGCACAGCACTTAATTCTTTACCTTGTTCATGATGCAGAGACCTTTGTTCACGTGTTTATCTGCTGACCTTCTCTCCGCTATTATCCTATGACCCTGCCACATCCCCCTCTCCGAGAAACTCCCAAGAATGATCAATAAATACTAAGGAACTCAGAGGCCGGCGGGATCCTCCATATGCTGAACGCCGGTCCCCTGGGCCCCCTTTTTTCTTTCTCTATACTTTGTCTCTGTGTCTCTTTCTTTTCCAAGTCTCTCGTTCCACCTAACGAGAAACACCCATAGGTGTGAAGGGGCAACCCACCCCTTCATTTGAGACCAGGGAAGTAACCATTAGGTGGTTTCATGGACCCAGTAAATCCATAGTAAGCCAAACCTTGGCCAGATTTTTGTTTATTATCTGGCCTCCAATATGCCTCCACCCTAACAGAGGAGTCATAGCTTTTGCTTACATCCTGTTTCCCAGAATTGAGCCATATAGCTACTCCTAGCTGCAAGAAAAGTTGTGAATGTGAATATTTTAATATTATGAGTAGTTGGGCAAATTACCAACCCAAACACAATCTGAGCTCTGTAAGTAAGGAAAAAGTGGAAAATAGATGCTGTGTAGGTAGCTAGCTTGTCTGCAACAGCAATGCCTATTGGATCCAAGAGGTTTTTTTTTATATGCCATATTCCTTTTATACTTAAATAACCAGTTTAGGAAAATTAGAGCAATATTCATTATTATTCCATTTAAGGTAATGTTTACAAAATACTGAAGTCTCCTAGTGTTAGTGAGGTTATTCCCTTAAAATCAGTGCCTATGTGACTCTGAACAATGTCTGTCTCCAGCTTTCCATTGTTCCAGAATCACATTTTCCCCAAATTAATATGAATTGCTAAGAACATTTTCTATTTTGTTATATCTATAAGGGAGAGAGAGACAGCCAATTTTTTATTAGTCTCAAATTATATTCATCCCACTTTTTTGGTGGTAAAATTACCTCTTATGAAGTGACGATGATTATAACTTATAATTAAATAATAATTTATTTAATATCCTTATTTGGAAAAATTAATTTCCAAATATATATAACACCTGAACTTAACCCTTAAAAGTAAAGGAAAGATAATGCAGACCTCAAGTAAATTATCTTAATGTCAGATAATATACAAATGTCTGAGTCCAGAAGAACATAATAAAGTCTCCTTTACTTTCGATTTAACTGTATGTTTCAAATCATTTGAGGCACATCATAAAAATTGTCTCTTCTTTATCATTTTACCCGTGCCAAGTTTCCTAATGGACACAAGTTCTTCATTCTACTCTTTTAAATTACCCCACTTAATCAACTCTTTTCAATTGGAAGGAAACCTCTTCCTTTTAAAATCACCCTATCTCATTTCTTTCTCGTGTGGCCACTTAGATTTGGTGATTCTTCCTCTTGTCCTGTGAAAAAGGTTATCGAGCATTGAGTATTTTGATCCTTAGACACCTGATAGATTGCTTAGTATATTAGAAAAGGGGGAGGTTTAGATTCTGAAGGATAAATTGGAGAACTTTAAAAGAAGCTATTACCTTTCTCTGCCTTCAGGGTATAATATCTAAAAAAAAATCAGATATTGTACACTGCAAAGATCAAACTGCTCTTAGCACTTTCACTATGCATTATAAAGCTAAAATAATCTCTAGTTCTTTTTTAGCATGGAGGTACAGGACCAGAGAACAACTTTAGTTATTCTGGCCTAGATATGCTTTGTATCTCCAGAAGAAATGCAAGAAAAAAGAAAAAATATGTATCCCATTACACTTATATCACTCCCTGTCTCAAATTGATTTTTGAAATTTGGTGAGTATAGTGAACTCTAGGTGTACAATAGTAAAATTATAGCAGACTTGTACCATGTAGTTAAAATCATCTCTTACATCTAAATGCCACTTTAAAGTTAGTAAAGACCTGTTTTTATCCATTACTCCATTTGATTTTCTTTAATCTCTTATGAAGGTAACTGAGCAAGATAGTCATTAGTACTGATCACACATATTTAAGCTGTCTCTCCCCTTTGGCACATAGGAAGATTGCCCTTCTCTCTGCCTACTTCAAGTTAGGTGTAATCATATGACTTGCTTTGAAAGGTGAGCAGATGTGTCATTTCCAAGGAAAAGCATTGAGAGGCAGTCCATGCTTTTCCACATTTTTTTATTCCCTCTGTCAGGGCAACCGGCAATGCTAAGTCTGTGTCCCAGAGTGAGAATGAAAATTCAGAGCAAAGTCCCCAGACTACCCACAATGAACATATAGTGTGAATGAAAAATAAACCTTTTTGTTGTTTTAAGTCATTAAGACTTTGGAGTTATTCATTACAGCAGCATAAGCTTGCTTAACTTGCAAGATTGAAGTGGCTTTAATCTTAACAATATATTGTTTGTTTGCAAAGAATGGAAACCCATTCAAACTAGCTTGAGAAAAGTGGGCTACAAAGGTATCACATTAAACCCAAGTGTAGGAAACATGACCAAGCCTTGTGGAACCAACCACATATTTGATGATCTCTTTCTTCTCCTCTATTCTGTCTCTCTCTCTCTCTTTCTCTCTCTCTCTCTCTCTCTCTCTCTCTGTCTCTCTCTTGTCTGCCTGTCTCTTTCTCACTCTTACTTTCTCTTTCACACACACACAAACACCTTAAACCCCAAGTGCACATGATCGAATTTCTAGAAAAGAGAAGCTGATTGCCTAAGCTTGGATTAAGTGTCCTTCCCTGTATCATTCAGCTGTGACCAAAGCACAAGGTCATGTGGCAAGCAAGCTGCTCACTTTCTGCAATAGCCAAGGCATATTCCGTAAGAAGAGAGAATAGACAGAGTGAAATGATAGACATTTTTAGTCCACCAGTCAAAATTAGTTGGCTTCAGAGCCAGAAATAGAACTCAGGTGTTCCGACTTGTAGTTCAGGGCTTTTTATCTACCACACCGTTTGCTGAAGCTTCACACTTTTGTATTTGGAAGAAATGATTGGACCTAAACTCTATCTGAACCCATGTAATGATAACACTTTTTATAACAGGGCACTACTGTTATTTTCATTTAAAAAATATATATAGTGATGCAAAAATAGACTGGTATCTCATAGAAGATATCCAGCTTTCATTGGATAATAAGTCAAAACCTCCTTGAATTTATAATTCTATATTTATTGTGCCTTAGTTTGTTGTCTTCTTTCAATGTTTCTGTATTGAATGATCTTTGTCCTAAATCTATCTAAAAAAATACAAAAAAGTCTTTGATTTTCTTCTCAAAGTTTCAGAGTTAGATGTATTCTTTATCCAGATTTTTTGGGCTCAATTTTTATTTTCCCTAATTTAACATTAACTTTTTAACTATTAGTGTTCCTTAAAAAACCTTGTAACAGCATGAAAATCAACTTATAACTTGAGTAACTTGTATTTCTCCCAAATTAATAAATATGTTATTTTTATGTCATCTGTGATGTTACTCTCACTATATGCATGGTGTACATAAATTCAACATTTAATACTCAATAGCCTCTGAAGAATATTTGCACAATTTGAGCAAGCTACCATGCATTAAAAGAGCAGTGACAGGCCAGGAGTGGTGGCTCACACCTGTTATCCCAGCACTTTGGAAGGCTGAGGCGGGTGGATCACCTGAGGTCAGGAGTTTGAAACCAGCCTGGGCAACATGGTGAAACCCCATCTCTACTAAAAATACAAATAATTAGCTGGGCATGGGGGTGCCACGCCTGTAATCCCAGCTACTACGGAAGCTGAGGCAGGAGAATTGCTTGAACTCAGAAGGCGGAGGTTGCAGTAAGCTGAGATGCCACTACACTCCAGCCTGGATGACAGAGCAAGACTCCGTCTCAAGCAAACAAACAAAAGAGCAGTGACAGCTTGGTTACGGTTCTGTGAATTGAAATGCTAGGCTTCCCTTAGGGTTAGTTCCTCCATAAGAAAGATGATAATTCTTCTATCCTCTACAAAGAAGTAAAATATTTATCTTCTCTCTTCACTCTTCCCTGCCTCACCTATCACACACATTTCTGTACCTGATTATGGTGTTCTCCCTTGCCACTAATACTTGGGCCATGTTTCTGAAATCCAGAGCTTAAAGTTATCCAGAAAACTGCTTAATGTAAAGCTTGCTTAGGGTGCAGCATGCTGTAGTAGAAAAAGCTCAAACCAGACTTGAGAAAGCTAGATTCTAGTCCTAGCTTTGTTCTTTAAGAATGGCAAACTTTCTGCAAGTCATATACACTCTGAGCTTCCATTTCCTCATCTGGAAAAGATATATTATAAATACTGTTCTACTCACCTCTCAGGCACACTGAAGGCTCAAAGGAGATGTATGTGACAATTTGTTTAGAACTGAGAAAAAATATACTAATGTAATACACCATTAACAATATTTTCTATAAGAATCTCTATCTCTTACAGTCTCTCCGAAATTGACATTAGAAGAGAAAATTTAAGAATAATCTTAAATAGAAGACAAGCAATCCCTTATTTAACAACATCTGTGTCATAAATGTTTCATATATGTTGTTTGCCACAGTTCTTCCAACTGTTTCTGTCAATGTAAAAACAACTGGAAATTTCAGACAACCTAAAGTTTACAAATAGAAGAAGGCAAGATGCTGTTTAATAAAATAAATCACTTCAAGACCCAATGATAGATTTAATAGTCATGTCCTTTAGCAGATGCCCAAATCCTAAAATTCACATGACCCTTAGATTTTTTTCACTGCTAGAAATCCTACCAATTATAGACTCCATTGCATTAATATGCATCTTCTTTGAAAATGCACGAAAATGCATGTTAATCTCTGCTTTATAAGGATGCAGATTTTGGTTGAGGTGCAGAGGTAGGTATTTTTGTGGCCAGTAATACTTTGTGGGAATGTAGACCTGAGCGATTTTCTCTGGTAGGGGATTAAGGAAGCATGCAGGTATTGGGCTCCAAGCCCAAGGAATAGGAGAAAAGTAGTAGGAGGGTAATAAAGATAATCTTCATCTATTTTTAATGAAAAAGTAACTAATGATAGCCCTGTAACTTACAATAGAAGAAATACTCTCCTTTCACTTCCTTCTCCTCTGTCTTCTGCTTTCAACACATGAGCCCTGTATTAGGGATACAACTATTACATGGTTTCTAATATCTAGGAGCTTCCTTACCTCAACCCTACATTTCAGGAATACAGCCCTCAGTATCCAGAAATCAGGCAGAGACATTAGATCTAGAGTTACATTTCTGACCATAGTTTACTTTCCATGCTACCTTTTATATCAATACCCTTAGATCAATCAATCTGGAGCCTCTTAGATCAATATGCTTCTCTATTATCATCCCCTGACGTGTATATGGGAAGGATGGAAGTGGAGGGGAAGGAAAATATTGGGTCTCACCAAGGGTTACATGTATATGAGGCAACTGAAGAAAATGACTCTGCTTTTCCATATAAGATTCCATGTTGATTTTGTGGGCAAATTCAATTCCTTATCTTGAATGATATACAAAAGTTTAATATATTCAGCAAATATTTCTTGAGCACCTTCCTTGTACCAGACACTGTGGCAGCTTATGGTATAATATGAGATGAATAAGCCATTATGCACATTCTAAAGAAGCTTACTGTTCACTGGGAAGAAGACACAGGCATCAGATTTCAAAACAATAAATAAATACTGTATTAGGAAAACAAACAGCGTTTTATGAAAGATCAGAAAAGACTTTGTGCAGGGCAGGTTTTCAGACAAGATAAGAGGAAGTTGGAAAACTGCACCAGACAGAGGAAATAGAATGTGCAAAGTTTAGCATTGAGATAAGGCATAACATATTTGAAGAAGTGCAGAAACTCTATTGTGGCTAGAAGATAGAGTGAGGTGAAAAGGTGGGAAGGGTAGCAAGAGAAAAGGCTGTGGCTGTGAGCCTTATATATTTTATTAACGTATTACAGTGGCTTTCCAATTATGTGTGATGATAACTCTGGAAGATTTTGGAGTTAGATGAGGTCAGTAAAGAATATTCTTCTACCATATCTGAGGTTAGAACCAACAGAGGGAGAAAAAAAAAGTCAGACAAATGTAGATAAAAATATCAACTTTATGTTGGAGAGTATAACTTTGTATATATTATAATGTCAAGTAGACTTGTTAATACTGCTTCCTTAATTTGAATTTATCTACCCAATCCCAGATACTACTGAAATACCCTAATAGTCTTCTATAGCACATCAGCCTTTGTCAACTTTACAGCATGGAGGAGCAGATAATTCATGCGTCCTGAAGGCAAACTATTTCCTGAAAAAAGAGCCCAGGAGCTAAAGAACGTGAGTTGTCAGATTTCTTGTAATGAACAACCACAGTAGCAACAACAACAAACTCATTCAGACACATAAAATATGATAACAAAGAGAAGGTCTCAGAACTTCCACAAGGAAGAAAACAAAAGTTTTACTACAAAGGGGAGAGAATCAAATTGGCATCAGACTGTTCAGCAGCAATTTGTACCTCTGTGCATCTACTGAACATCTGTCATCCTTGAAAGTCCTGTTATACAATAAACAAGTAATCGAATCACACAAACAATAACTTCTTAAGAAAGTGAGGAGAACTCGGGAGACGGAGCTTGCAGTGAGCCAGGATGGCACCATTGCACTCCAGCCTGAGCAACAAGAGCAAAACTCTGAAAAAGAAAGAAAGAAAGAAAAGAAAGAAAGAAAAAGAAAGAAAGAAAGAAAGAAAGAAAGAAAGAAAGAAAGAGAGGAAGGAAGGGAGGGAGGGAGGGAGGGAGGAAGGGAGGAAGGGAGAGAGGGAGGGAGGGGAAGGGAATATTTGGGCACTTACATATTTGAAAAGGTATTTTGTGTTCAAACAAGATTGGTATATTGTGTGTAGAACTCTAGGATTAAAATGATGTTTCATTAGAACCTTGAAGTGTCACATCATTATTACTCCTACCATCCAATTTTTTTTCCTCTAATAATCTTCCACTCTGTTTTTGAAACTCAAATAGTTAAATAATGGATCTCTTGGATTAATTCCCTCTGTTTATTTTCCTCATATATTTGTTTCTTTTTTATTTGTTTTAAATCATATGACATCTCCACAAATTTTTCTTCTATCAGTTTCTAAGAGCTCTTTTTAGTGCTCTGATTGTTATTGCTTTTCCTGAGAACTCTCTTTTATGTTGCTATCTTCAAACGTGTAGTTATGTTTTTTTCTTTGTATTTTAAGATTTAGCAACAGAAAAGCTTTTCATATTCAAGAAGTTTGTTCACTCACAGAGTTTACTTTAAGGGAGAGAAGGCTGTTTCACAAAGTGACCCACAGAAGCCAATGTCATTCTGGAGGTTCTAATTACTACACTAGTTGCCTTAATTTCCCCAATAACATATAATTTTAACTTCTTTAGGAAAGTGTCTTATAATTTTATTTGCTTATTTGTTTACCTGGGAGATAAATTTTGGCAGTGGGTGTTGCAAACCTAATAAGCCTCAGTGTTTTGAGGTTCCGTTTCTCTTTTCTGACCTCTTTGCATTAAAAGAGATTCAATAATTCTTTTTTTTTTTTAAGTTTTTTTTTCTTTTATTATTATACTTTAAGTTTTAGGGTACATGTGCACATTGTGCAGGTTAGTTACATATGTATACATGTGCCATGCTGGTGCGCTGCACCCACTAACTTGTCATCTAGCATTAGGTATATCTCCTAAAGCTATCCCTCCCCCCTCCCCCCACCCCACAACAGTCCCCAGAGTGTGATGTTCCCCTTCCTGTGTCCATGTGTTCTCATTGTTCAATTCCCACCTATGAGTGAGAATATGCGGTGTTTGGTTTTTTGTTCTTGCGATAGTTTACTGAGAATGATGATTTCCAATTTCATCCATGTCCCTACAAAGGACATGAACTCATCATTTTTTATGGCTGCATAGTATTCCATGGTGTATATGTGCCACATTTTCTTAATCCAGTCTATCGTTGTTGGACATTTGGGTTGGTTCCAAGTCTTTGCTATTGTGAATAATGCTGCAATAAACATACGTGTGCATGTGTCTTTATAGCAGCATGATTTATAGTCCTTTGGGTATATACCCAGTAATGGGATGGCTGGATCAAATGGTATTTCTAGTTCTAGATCCCTGAGGAATCACCACACTGACTTCCACAATGGTTGAACTAGTTTACAGTCCCACCAACAGTGTAAAAGTGTTCCTATTTCTCCACATCCTCTCCAGCACCTGTTCTTTCCTGACTTTTTAATGATTGCCATTCTAACTGGTGTGAGATGGTATCTCATTGTGGTTTTGATTTGCATTTCTCTGATGGCCAGTGATGATGAGCATTTTTTCATGTGTTTTTTGGCTGCATAAATGTCTTCTTTTGAGAAGTGTCTGTTCATGTCCTTTGCCTACTTTTTGATGGGGTTGTTTGTTTTTTCTTGTATATTTGTTTGACTTCATTGTAGATTCTGGATATTAGCCCTTTGTCAGATGAGTAGGTTGCGAAAATTTTCTCCCATGTTGTAGGTTGCCTGTTCACTCTGATGGTAGTTTCTTTTGCTGTGCAGAAGCTCTTTAGTTTAATTAGATCCCATTTGTCAATTTTGTCTTTTGTTGCCATTGCTTTTGGTGTTTTAGACATGAAGTCCTTGCCCATGCCTATGTCCTGCTGGCCAAGGTGATTTACAGATGCAATGCCATCCCCATCAAGCTACCAATGCCTTTCTTCACAGAATTGGAAAAAACTACTTTAAAGTTCATATGGAACCAAAAAAGAGCCCGCATCGCCAAGTCAATCCTAAGCCGAAAGAACAAAGCTGGAGGCATCACACTACCTGACTTCAAACTATACTACAAGGCTACAGTAACCAAAACAGCATGGTACTGGTACCAAAACAGAGATATAGATCAATGGAACAGAACAGAGCCCTCAGAAATGATGCCGCATATCTACAACTATCTGATCTTTGACAAACCTGAGAAAAACAAGCAATGGGGAAAGGATTCCCTATTTAATAAATGGTGCTGGGAAAATTGGCTAGCCATATGTAGAAAGCTGAAACTGGATCCCTTCCTTACACCTTATACAAAAATCAATTCAAGATGGATTAAAGACTTAAATGTTAGACCTAAAACCATAAAAACCCTAGAAGAAAACCTAGGCATTACCATTCAGGAGATTCAATAATTCTGCAAGTCAAATTAACCTTCTCCCCAGTTGCAGATGATAGCTCCCACTGTCCCATTCATCAATTGCTAGAACATTTTCTAGAAATTTGTTGAAATCTTTTTCCACTAATGGCCTCCTTTAGTTATTATTATGATTTAGGATTAAAGGGGGCCTCAAGAAAAAGAGGGGTTAAAAGTGGTGTGTTCTGTCATTCTGAACTGGAAGCCTTTGTGAGTCCTTCAAATTTCAACATTGCTAGGTTCGTTTCTCAAATGATTGTTATGAATAACGCTGCCACCAGTGATATATGAGAATACTTGTTGCCCTGTGTCCTTCACAACAATGAATATTATTGCTCTTTTGAATATTGACCATTCTAATAGGTTAAAAATGGCATATCTTTATTGTTTTGCTTTGCAGTTTTTTTGATTAAAAAAGAAGCTGAGTAACTTTGGATCTCAGATGGGATTTTTCTCTGGTAGAGTTTGCTTTTTATGTACTTTGATCATTTTATTGCGGATATAAACTTTTTATTCATTTGTAGCAGTTGTTTGTATATGTTATGTATTGATAGATACCAGATAAATTTAAAAATCAGTTCTACTATTATAAAGCAGCAAAAAAGTTGCTTTATATATATTAGTTGTTACACAACAACAAAGGATGTACCTAGGAATACATCTAATAAAGGATGTGCATGACCTTTAAGTAGAAAATTACATAACGTTATTGGAGAGTATGAAAGAATGCCTAACGAAATGAAAAGATGTACTTTGCTTATGGATAGAGGACTCAATACGAAAAAATGCGGATTCTTTCCAAACTCATTTATAGCTTCAATGACAGGTCAATTAAAATTTCCCCAAAATTCACTGTGGAACTTGACAGCTGATTCTAATAAACACACACACACACACACACACACACACACACACACACACGAATGAATGAACAAAAGGCCAACATTAGCAAAGATAATCCTGAAAAAGAAGTTTGTGACTGGAGAGAGAGATGTTCCTTATCTGATATAGATATTTATTATAAAACCATAGTTATACAGATAGTGTGACATTCATAGATACACAGATGAGCCAATGGAACAGAATGGAGAGGCTAAAAATAAATCTATGTCTATATATCTATCTATATCTATCTATATATATGCACACACATATATATGGAAACGATATATAACAGAGATGCATTGCAGATTAGTATGTAAAGAGCATAATATTTAATAAACAATGTGGTTGTATACATATGTAACAAACCTGCACGTTGTGCACATGTACCCTAGATCTTAAAGTATAATTAAAAATAAATAAATAAACAATATGGTACAATTGATCTTCTGTGTGAAGAAATAAAATTGTTTCCCAACCTCACACCAGAAACAAAATCAATTCCGATTGGATTAAGGTGGCAAATCTGAAAGGCAAAACGTAAAAAAAAAATTCACATGACAATATAGAGGAAATCTTCTATACCTGATGTTAGATAAAAATTTTATAATCAAGGCACAAAAATCCAATCAGACTGGCCAACATGCTGAAACCCTGTCTCTACTAAAAATACAAAAATTAGCCTGGCATGGTGGCATGCGCCTGTAATCCCAGCTACTTCAGAGGCTGAGGCAGGAGGATCGCTTGAACCTGAGAGGCAGAGGTTGCAGTAAACCAAGGTCGTGCCACTGCACTGCAGCCTGGGTAACAGAGCAAGACTCTGTCTCAAAAAAAACAAAACAAAACGGAAAAAGACACAAAAATCTCAAACCAGAGAAAAATGCAGATAAATTGTATTTCAAATTACAAATTTTTTTTCTTTTTTTTTTTTTTGAGACAGAGTTTTGCTCTTGTTGCCCAGGCTGGAGTGAAATGGTGTGATCTCTGGCTCACCACAACCTCTGCCTCCTGGGTTCAAGCGATTCTCCTGCCTCAGCCTCCCGAGTAGCTGGGATTACAGGCATGTGCCACCACTTTGTATTTTTAGTAGAGATGAGGTTTCTCCATGTTGGTCAGGGTGGTCTCGAACTCCCAACCTCCAGTGATCCGCCCACGTAGGCCTCCCGAAGTACCGGGATTACAGGCGTGAGCCACGGCACCCGGCCTACAAATTTCAATTCTTTAAAAGATATTTAAATACTGAAAAGACAAACCACAAACTGAAAACGTATTGGTGACACATATAGCCATAAAATGTTATTTTATTGATATATAAAATGTCTATTAATGAACAAAGCAGATAGCTATGAAATAGGCAAAAGAAATCCATAGGTATTTTGTAATTGAAACAACAAGAATGGCCAATAAGTTATTAAAAGATACACAGATTCATTAATATTTAGGAACAAAACCATAATGAGACACTATTACATCACATTGGTAAACATTTAAAAGTCTGAAAATACTAAATGTTGGGAAGTTAGTGGAAGAAGAGAAACTCATATACCAGTGATGGAATGTAAAATGGTACAATCACTTTGGAAAATAATTTGCCATGGCCTGGTAAAGTTGACCATGTGCATGTCCTACAAGCTAGCAATTTCACTTCAGGTACAGCCATAGAACACTGGCTTTCAAATTCTCATGACTCACAGTAAAAGTAAAATTTACATCATGAGTCAGTGTATACTTGCATATATTTTGACTAATGTTGAAACATGTGTGTTTCAAAATAATACTCACTGCTGTTACTTTTGATGCATTCTGATTTTTTCATGTTCTATTCTTTTCTGCACAATTTCCTTTTATCCTAGATGTGACTCAACCCACTAACTGGTCACAACTCTCAGTTTGAAAAATATAAGTTTAGAGAAAGCTTTTGAGTGTGCACTTGGAGACACAGAAAAGAATGTTCATAACTGCACTTCTTAAAATAGGAAAAAAATAGAAACAACCCAAATGCTTTTCAATAGTACAATAGATAAAGAAATTGTCGTTTATTCATACAGTGTAAGAATACTATGTATGTGAGGAAATGAATGTCTTATAGCTACACACTACTCTATGAATGGATCTCTGAAACATGTTGAGTAAAAACACAAGTTGCAGAAGACTATATATATATGTATTTGTCCATTTATATTAAAGTCAAAACCACAAAATTATACACTGTTTAGAGACACATATTTATATATTTTATTTATTTATATGGTAAACTGTAAGAAATACAAGAGAGTGATTTAGACAAAATTTAGGAAAGTGAATCTTCTGGGAAGATGAAGGTGGATGCCATAAAGGGGTGACACACTGGGTATACCTAACGTATTGCTAATGTGCTCTGTTCATTTCATTAATAATCCCTAAACTGTCCCCATTATTATATAGGCTTTTTTATGTAATGATATAGTTTATAACTTTAAAATGTAAAGGAATGAATTTATTATTTTATTTAGCAAATATTTAGTAAATGCCTGCTAGGGACAAAAAGATAAAAATCCCTGTTCTCATGGTGCTTGCATTCTAGTGAGGGGAAGACAGACAATAAATAAGACTAATCAGTAAAAGAACTTCTATTTTAGAAAGTGATAAATGCTAAGGATGAAACATAAATCAGCAAAGGAGTTATGGAATGTGGAATATGGGTGTCAAGGAAGCCCTTCACAAAAAGTAAGGGAGTAGAAGATGAGGTGTGAGGAGAAATTAGGACCAGATCTAAGTGAGATGGGAAGCCATTCGAAAGTGTCAAGCACAGGGGTAGATTTAATCTGATGTACTTTTTAACAGCCTCACTGCTAATTAATGCCCTATCACTAGAATAAAAAATAAAATGGGTATCATAAGTGTTCTAAAATGTTACTCTGAAGATAAGAAATAAGGTATTAAGTACACCAAGGCCGAAACCCTAAAATAATGGTAACTACATTACTTTTGGATGTTTTTGAGCAAAATGATAACATAAGAGAAACAACAAAATACTTAAGAAAGAAGACATATTGGTGTGGGGGTTATAGTCAAGAACATCAGGTTGGCAGCTATTAGAATAGTCCACCTGTGAGGCAGTGCTGTGCCCTGAACCCTCTGATAAGTACTACAGTGAGGCTTCAGGGCATTTGCTGTTTGAGCCTATCTTCATGTACACGTCCAGTTTTGCAGTCCCCCTTTCCCGCAAAGCTTTTCTTTCATCTTGAAATAATGTCGGAAAGAAATGACTGTCAGGAATCTATGTAGGAGCTACATGTAGAGCTACATATATAGTCATGTAGAGATCATAGTTTCCAATGTGATCTTATTGGACAAACCACACACCTGTTCATTACTCAGCGCCTGGCAATTATTTCTATAGCTGAGAAGCTAAAAAAAGAATTACCTGAAATGTATACACCAAACAAAGATGATCTTGGGGAGAAGTTTGAAAAGTAAGTGCAAAAGTAATGATATAGTTGTCTGCTTCTTATTTCATTGTGTCTGATCACTTTCACAAGTCTATTAACAAAAGTGAGTCCACAAGCAGACACTGAGATTTATATGCAGAAGTACTTGTTAACTTCTATTGTAGAAGATATGAACATGTGAAATTTTACATGTGAGAAGTTTGCAAAAAATAAAAATGTTAGAAGTATTAGTTCACAAAATATAATCATATTTACAAGTATATAGTTTGCTATGCATAATAGCTATACAAGTCAACCTCATTTATTTTCCTTTAGAAGCTTTTACAAACTCTATTACTGGGCATAAATAATACAGTAAATTAGCATTTTCAAAGTCTAGTATGATTCAGATAAATGATAAGAGGTATGGAAATGACACATGGGAAATGTCAGATATGTGGAGGGAAATTTAAAGAGTCATTTTTATTGATTTATTTTCCTTGTACCTAAAATCAGATACTAAACCTGGGAAGCATGGGAATTTTACCGATATTAATTTGACACTGAGATGGTAGGGCAAAACAAATACAAATGAGACATCTATGAATGTCACAGGAATTGCTACTGACATAAAGAAACTTTTGTCTCTGTGCCATTGGCTAAAATCAAGCTGGTGCTGGTCAATGCTATTACAATACCCTGTAGGACATTGATCACAAGAATTTCTTGCACAAGAATTTAATTGCACTTAGTATTGGTTAGAATACATGAACCAAACTCCAGACTTCGCAATCTTTGTTACACGGAGGTTTATATTAGATATGTATGGAATGATAAAAAAATAAAAACTGAGTGTTATATGTTTAACTTGTGGTATAAATGAATTAGGTTGAATTTATTTCAAAATAGACTGACTTAAAAAAATAACTCACTTAGAAATTAATCAGTCAGAAGCACTTTTGGGCACGCAACACTTCAGTGTACAACAGTATCATGAGTCAGGAAAAATGGACTGATGTTGGGGCTATCCGAGGGCTGATCTTCCTCCACAAGGGAGACTGCCCCCAAGACCTGAAGCCAAGGTTCTCCCAGTGATAGAAAAGTATCAGGCAGAGGGAATTCATCAAAAGGAGGCTGTTAGTAAATTAATAATGAAATGAAGCAAGGCTCACATTGAAACCTGCTGAGACTTAGAGTGCTTAAATTGACCAAGAATTGGCTGAGGGAGAGGATCAAGGCCACTTTAGGTCAAGTTAGGAAAGAAATTACCATTCCTTTGTTTGCTTTTACTTTGGGTCTTGAATTGACTACTTTGTTATTTTCAACACACAGCACTGTATAGAGCATTTTATTTGTTCATTCTACAAATATTTATTAAGCAACTATAATGTGACAGATACTTTTCTCAGTGCAGGCATAAAGTGATGAGCAAAATAGGTATGATCACTGTACTCATTAATTTAATGGTCTAGTGGGATAGGCAAACAAGCAAATTAATCTATACATATATACAAGAATATATACATACAAATCAAGAACAGTCCTCTAAAGGAAAACAATAACGTGCAATAAAGGAAAATAGCAGGGATACTTACTAGTTGATTGCATGTTAAGGAAGGCTTCTCAAAGAACGTGACTCATTTCATTTAAAACTCAATTATCCCTATTTTACACACGAGAAAAGGGAGATTTAAAGTGACTAAGTGCCAGCAGTTAACTCAGCTAGTACTGATAAGGAACTGGGATCAAATCAGGCCTGCCTGATACTGTATTTTATGCCTGCTATTGTATTTTATGCTCTTAACTACTGACCTTAACCATAAGGTTGAGGAACAGGTGTCTGTGAGTTTCCCTGAACTGCTTGTTTGGGTTTATTTCGGTTCTGAGCAACAGCACTATCCATGCCACCTAACAATCAGCACTGCTTTAGCTTCTGATAGTCAGCAGAGGTCAGAGTGTGATACCAAGAAACAAAGAGATAACAAGACCGAACCACAAGGTTGTGGTCATAAATTCACAGCAGTACATATAGCAGCATTTGATTGGTATGAAATAATCGCATCATATTTTGGGTTAAACCATGTATTTATTTACATAAATCTTGTTAAACATTGAAGTTCAACTACAGTTGTGGAACTCTCTTCACCTTTTCCAGAAATTTGGTTAAGTGCAGTAACAGGCTAAGCAACTTTTAGAGCTGCTCTTATTAATGAAGCATCCAGTTGCATATTTTTGATCCAAGTAAGTGAGAACAACAGAATAAAATCAACTAAGACAAATAACACATTAGTAGAAGGATAAGAACAAAAATTAACAAACTCATACAAAGACAAAGAGAATATTAATACAGGAAAAGCTGATTCTTTGCAGAAAGAGAATAGCTAGCAAGAGATGGTGTCAAGTCCAGGAAACATTTCCTTATATTCTTTATTGCCAAATGTGCCATCTTTGGCTAATTTCATTTCTGCCACCACAAAAAAAAGGGAGCAGCACTCTTATTTAGCAAAATGTCATGGCTTTTGTTTGCATTGAAACAATATATATCTTCTTTCATCTGTAGTTTCCTAAGAAAATTTATTTAGTACTGGTTACATAATTACTTTGGATCCTGACCTGTGGCTGAGAACCATCCCAGTCAGATGCAGCGGTGGGACCAATACATGAGCTGAGGCTTCAATCCCCTGACACTTGCTCTATTGTCCCATCTGACTTCATTTACCAGACACAATTTCTCACAGAAAAAAAGAAATTAAGAACTTCAAGATTGCAACTACAGAGCCTTAAACCCAGTGTGAGGCACTTCTGAGCACAGGGTCCTGTGTGACTATACTGGCAACATGCCCATGAAAGCAGCCCTGGTTGATCAAGTGATTGTTCCTTACGTAGGGGCTTTTGCCATTTAAGCTCTTGTAGCTTTAATAGGCAACCATACTGAGCTAATTCCATCAAATGGTACATGTACCAATAGAATAGCTCTTCCAACTGAAGATCACTTGTTTAACTTTTAAAAATGGAGTTCTGGAGCACTTAAATCAATAAATACTTGTGCGTCCACTGTGTTTGGGGTAAATCAACAAAAGTAAAGACAAACTTCCTCTTCCCCAAGAGCTCACAAATCTAATTGGAGAGGGAGAAATAAGATACGGTCAATGGATGTATATCTAACTTATTTTTCTTAAAAGCTTCATAATGTAACATAATGTGCCACTATTTACTCAAATATTTCCCTAATGTTGGGCAGTCATATTATTGTCAGTCAGTCATATCAGTTAGCTTTTGCTGTGTAACTAACCGCCCCTAAATTTAACGGTTGAAATTAATCATTTATTAATTTCCATGATTCCGTGGGTTGGTTGGGAAGTTTTTCTCATCTAGGTCAACTCAGCTGATATATCCTGGGCTCACTCTTGTGTTTATGATATGCAAGCAAATTGACAGAAGGCTGGATATCCAGGATAGTCTCATTCTTATCTCTGACAGTTGGAAAGCTGTTGACCAGAGTGACAGGACTGACAGGTACACATGTCTCTTGTCATCCGTCATTCTAGCTAGTTTCATTCACGTGGTAATCTAACGCTTCCAAGAAAAAGATCAAGCTTCAATGCACAAGCACTTTTGAAGCCTCTTGATCATATTTGTTAATGTCCTATTGGCCAAATAAATCACATGGCCAACTCAAATTTAAGGGACAGAGAAACAAAATTCACCTCCTAATGAAAAAAAGTGATCACTTTTACAATATTTTGCACTAGTTTTTCTGATACTATATAATAAAGATATTTATGCAAGCATACCTTGTTTTATTGTGCTTCACTTTATTTTGCTTCCCTTTATTGTACTTTCCAGATACTGCATCTTTTACAAATTGAAGGTTTGTGTCAACCCTGCATTGAGCAAGAGTATTAATGCCATCATTTTTTCCAATAGCCTGTGCTCATTTTGTGTCTCTGTGTCACATTTTGGTAGTTCTTGTAATTTTTCAAACTTCTTCACTCTTATTATATCTATTATAGTGACCTGTGTGATCAGTGATTTATGTTCTTACCATTGTAATTATTTGGGGCACCAAAAAAATATGCCCATTTAAGATGTCAAACAATTGACAAACATTGTATGTGTTCTGATTGCTTCACCAACCAGCCATTTTTCCATCTCTCTCCCTTTCCTTAAGCCTCCCTATTCCCTGAGGCACAAGAATATTGAAATTAGGCCAATTAATAATCCTACAATGGTTTCCAAGTGTTCAGCTGAAAGAGTGACACATCTCTCAATTTAAATCAAAACCTAGAAATGATTGAGCTTAGTTAGACATGACAAAAGCTGAGATAAGCTGAAACTAAGCCTTTTGCAACAAACAGCCAAATTCTGAATGCAAAGGAGAAGTTATTGAAAGAAAATAAAAGTACTACTCTAGTGAACACATGAATGATAAAAAAGAGAAACAGCCTTATTGCTGATATGGAGAAAGTTTTAATGGTCTAGATAGAAGATAAAATCAGACACAACATTCTCTTCAACCAAAGCCTAATCCAAAGCAAGGCCCTAACTCTCTTCAATTATTTGAAGGCTGGGAGAGATGAGGAAGATCTGAAAAAAAAAAAAGCCTGAAGCCAGCAGAAGTTGGTTCATGAGGCTGAAGGAAATAAGCTGTCTTATAACATAAAAGTGCAAGGTGAAGCAGGAAGTACTGATGGAGAAGCTGAAACAAGTTATCCAGTAGATCTAACTACGATCATTGATGAAGTTGGCTACACTAAGCAACAGATTTTCAATGTAAATAAAATAATCATCTATTGGAAGAAGATACATCTAGGGCTTTGATAGCCAGAGAGGAGAAGCCAATGTTTGGCTTCAAAGCTTCAAGGTCTCAGGCTAATTCTCTTATTGGGGCTAATGTAGCTGGTACCTTTAAGTTGAAACCAATGCTCATTTACCGTTCTGAAAATTCTAGGGCTCTTAAGAATTATGCTAAATTGACTTTCCCTGTGCCTTATAGATGAACTAATGAAGTCTTGTTGACAACACATCTGTTTACAGTAGGATTTACTACATATTTTAAGTCTACTGTTGAGACCTACTGTGCAGAAAAAAAAGATTCTTTTCAAAATATCACTGTGTCTTGACAATGCATCTAGTCACCCAAGAGCTCTGGTGGAGATGTACAAGAAGGTTCATGTTATTTTCATGCCTGCTAACACAACGTACATTCTGCAGCCCACAGATCAAGGAATGATTTTGACTTTCAAGTCTTCTTATTTAAGAAATACCTTTTGTAAGTCCATACCTGCCATAAATAGTGATTCCTCTGATAGCTGTATCTGAGGAAAGTAAATTGAAAAGCTTCTGGAAAAGATTCACCATTTACATGCCATTAAGAACATTTATGGCATTAACAGGAGTTTGGAAGTAGTTGATTCCAAACCTCATGGGTGACTTTGAGAGGTTCAAGACTTCAGTGGAAGAAGTAACTGCAGATGTGGTGGAAGTAAGAAGATAACTAGAATAAGAAGTGGAGACTGAAGATGTGACTCTATTGCTGAAATCTCATGATAAAACTTGAAAGGATGAGGAATTGCCTCTTATGGATGAGCAAAGAAAATAGTTTCTTGAGATGGAAACTACTCCTGGTGAAGACGCTGTGAACATTGTTGAAATAACCATAAAGTATTTAGAATATTACATAAAAATAGTTGATAAAGCAGCAGCATGACTTGAGAGAATTGCCTACAATTTTGAAAAAAAAAATACTGTGGGTAAAATCCTATCAAACAGCAATGAATGCTACAGAGAACTCTTTTGTGAAAATAAAAGTCCATTGTGCAGCAAACTTCACTGGTGTTGTATTTTAAGAAATTACCACAGCCACCTCATCCTTCAGCAACCACCACCATGATCAGTCGGCAGCCAGCAGCATGAAAACAAGACCCTCCACCAGCAAAAAGATTATGATTGCTGAAGGCTCAGATGATTGTTAGCATTGTTTAGTAAGAAATAATTTTTTAATTAAGGTACGTACATTGTTTTTTTAGGCCTAATGCTATTGTATACCTAATAGACTACAGTATAGTATAAACATAACTTTCACATGCACAGGGAAACAAACAGTTTGTCACTAACCTTATTGCACTATTTGCTTTATGGTGGTAGTCTGGAACTGAACTTGCAATATCTCCAAGGTATTCCTGTACAAGTATGGTGGGTTTTATTTCTGTAAGAGAGATTTCCTGAAATGGAATTGTCATGTTAAAGGATATGCAAATTTTTAATTTTAATAGGTATTACAAAATTGTTTCCAGAAAGATAATAGTACTTTATATTTGAACAGCAATTTATCAGTGTTCTTTCCTCTGCATTATCACCAGGAAAGAATGTTAGCACTATTATTTTCTTTTCACAATCAAATGTGTGCAAAATGCTATCTCGCTGTTACTGTAATTTGCAGTATCTTGACTACTAACATGCAATAAACTTCAGAAAACATTTATGTTAACACAGTTGTTGAAAGGTTATTTATTAAGATGATTAAGGACAAGTCAGGAGAAATTCTCAATTGATGTTGACAAGAAAACTGCTTGTCATTTAGTTGTCGATGTAAAACATGCACATAAGTCCAAGATTTGGACTTTTAGTAAAAAGCCATAACAAAATTACACATAAAGTGTATTTAATAGAAGTATGGAGAAAGTTTTATCTGGCTTTGGAGATCAGGAAGGGTTCCTAAATGAAGTGATAGATGCAATGACATTTCTTAATCCCATGCATATTTTAGAGCATATTTTATGTATCAATCTTATCTTCAGCTCTATTTTGCCTAAGTTATCAGAGGTAAGAATTAGGGGAAACAATATATGCCTGGTGGGTGAGTGGGAAAAGATAGACTTAATAGAAATTTCACCAAAAAATAGTGCATACAGATGATGGAGATAATTAGGTGTTTCAGTAGTATAGGAATTGGTCTTTGGGGATCAGGCTCAGAAAAAAAAATATGTCATTTCCTATTTTTCCACCAAACACTGAGAGCTTTCCTTTAGAGGTAGTGAGGTGATTAACTGATTCTGAGTTTTTTCTCATTCTCAACTTTGTTGAGTTGTTGGTGTTAAGTTATGTTACAGTCACAGGGCACCAAATTGTCCATGAACCAGCACTGTTAAATTTATAATCCTAGACAGTTAATCCTAGGAGAGAGAAAAATATTGGAAAAACCAAAGCTTAAAAATCAAAAATACATTGAAGACTTCCATGTCTGCAAATATTCACATATTTTTCAAAGCTTATAATGAGCAGTTGACACTTGGGATTTCTTCCTATATATCTTAGATGGAGTTATATTCCTTGGCTAACCAAAATTCTTTCCTGATTCATTAATACACCAACAAAATCACTTCATGCTTAGTTTACACGATTTCATGTTTTAAAAACTACAATACACATATTCATTGTAGAATCAACTAAAAATCACTCAGTGTATGTGGAGATAATTTCCATATGATAAGGGAAATGAAAATGGCAATAACCTTATCTCCATTCCTCCAGGGAAGGAAATTGAATATAACATTTTAACCTTAAAAAAGACACATAGATTGAAAGCTTAGAAAAAAGCCAGTGATAGCTTTGGACAGTGGCAATACGTTGCCCAAATCAACCACTAGAACATGCACCAAAATTGTGCCTTCCTCTATTTTTATTACTTGATTAAACTACACAATCTTAGGATCACCAGAGTTTGATGACTAAAATTTTAAAGTATTAGCATGAATTTTTCCTTTCATTTTTAAATTGTGTAATGTCAATTTTAAATGCAAAGCATTTAACTTGTATGCAAAAATCACTAAAATTACACAATTAGTACTTTGTGGCTTTTCCCCGGAGGGCACCTAGGGTTGGCCAAAAGAAAACAACATGAGCCAGACTTAAATGTTAGAAGGAGAAAGAGAGAATAGACCTAGGCCCGAAGCTAGCCAAGGGAGTGCTCCTGAGCACTAGGAAACTAGCAAGATGAATGCATACCCTTTTGTATTAGTCTGTTCTTAACACTGCTATAAAGTAATACATGAGACTGTGTAATTTATAAAGAGGTTTAAGTGGTTCATGGTTCCGCAGGCTGCACAAGAAGCATGATGCTGGCATCTGCTCAGCTTCTGGGAAGGCCTCAGGAAACTCTGACCCATGGCAGAAGGTGAAGGGGAAGCAGGCACGTCTTATATGGCAGAGCAGGAGCAAGAGAGTGAGGGGAGAGGTGCTGCATACTTTTAAAACAACTAGATCTGAAGATAACTAACTCACTCACTATCACAAGAATAGCACTGAGGGGATGGTGCTAATCCATTGGTAAGAACTCCACCCCCATGATCCAATCACCTCCCATCAGGCCCCACCTCCAATATTGGGATTATAATTCAACATGATATTCAGGTGGGGACACATATCCAAACCATATCACCCTTGAAAGTATGCAGAGGCCTTACTTCATGATATGAGGCATGCTCAGACCTTACTGTCATTGGACTGCCCTGCCCACCAGCTACTAGACCTGTACATTGCACCCCAGAAGAAGGAGAGGTCTGAGGAAGTTAACTTAGGTATTTTACCAATCCACAGCAAACAAGTGACTTCCAAAGATACTTAAACCTTTCCACTGAAGTGCGCTCGATACTTGAATTGTAGGTGGGTGGGCAAAAGACTCACCTCAACCAAGAGGCAGATTAAGGCTGGCCATCCACTAGACAGTCATTTGTGCTGCCAGCCTAGCCTGGGGATGGCTGCTGCCACCATGCCTCATGCTAAGATGTCATGGGGCATGCATGCCCAACTTCAACTCTCCCTGCCCTTTCACCCAGGCTTCTGCAGGGGCCTGGGGGTAGCAGAGCCCAGGGAAGAAGGAATAATAGGCAGGGCACAGAGTTTCAGAGAGTGAGAGGGTGGCCAAGAACTGAACCTGTCTGGGGAAGGTGGCAGGAGGTAAGACTGCATGTGAGCCAACACTCCGAGCCTCCAGTGCATGTCCCATTTGGCTTAACTCAAAAAGCAGAATTGTAAAGATAAACTCATTTATAATATTTAAGACAGCAACTACAGAATATTAAGCCCCAGGTGCAGGGCTTTCTGAATGTAAGATCCTCTACAACTGCACTGATCACATGGCTATGAAGCTGGTTCTTGCAGCAGGACTATGGAAGGTACATGTAACAGGGTGAGTAGGGTTGAAGAATGGACCCAGTTGTGGGCTACTGTAATAGTTTGAGGGACAGAACTGGGACGTGAGCAGTGCCAATGTGCATGAAAGGAAGAACGCCATTGGTGGGCTGTGGATAGAAATATTTGGAGACACAAAGATGAGAATATGCCAGTAAGTAGGTGGGGCAATGAGAAAGTTGAATGGCTCAGGAAAGTCAAAGGCAGTGTTTTCTTGGGTCAATAAATGTGACCCAGTAGCTTCTTCAGGATACCACACTAGCAGAGTCCAGTACTGTAAGATGAAAGGCAAAATGAAGTGAAAATGAGGTTAGAACGCTTTAGAACAAGAGGAGTACTTCTCAAAGGCATTCACTCTCTCACCTCTACTCTCTCTTATAGGTCTTCCCTTTTCCCTCTTTCAGTATAGCTACAGTCTCCATATACCATACTACTGGGAATGTATATGTAGTTCTATGGTTTGCTCAGTCATTTTGTGCTGAGCTATGGAAGATAGTCCAGCTACCTGTTTATACTTTGGTATCATCCTTGGGCTATTTGCACATGTATGTTGATACAGCCACTTCTATCTATATAATGAAACTTTTTAAGGACTCATTTTAGAAAAGACTCTCTTTGTCTTTCCCTCCTTTACCTATACCTCCAAAGTTCCTGGTTTTTATTCCTTTTTTGTGTGTGACTCCAAAGCTAAGGAGAAGATAAACCACAGCAGTATTTACCAAAGTTCTTTTTCTTTTTCTCTATCCCGTTTCCTCCTCTAGAGTCACATTTCAGCTGCTCAGAAACTTTTCTGTTAAAGTTGTTGATGTATAATTTATACATGATTATAAGTATATAGTTTTATAAATTTAGACAAATGTATACACCATGTAACATTACACAATTATAAATATAGAACATTTCCACTACCCAGAAGGTTCCCTTATGTATTTGCCTGTATCCCCCACCCTTCCATCTTACATAACCACTGATTTCTATTAACTAAAGATTAGATCTGCCAGTTCTAAATTTCATAAAAATAGAATCACACAGTATGTACTATTGTGTCTGGCTTCTTTTGCTTAAGATAGAGATTTTGATATTTACTTTTTTATCACTGAGTAATATTCCATTATAAGGGTACATGGCCAGGTGTGGTGGCTCATACCTATAGTCCCAGCACTTTGGGAGGCTGAGGTGGGAGGATGGCTTGAGCCCTGAAGTTCAAAACCAGCCTGGGCAACAAAGCAAGATCCCATGTCTACAAAAAATACAAAAAGAAAGAGTATGCAACTAATTTATTCATTCACTCATTGGTTGACATTGTTTCCAAGTTATTGGCTATTATGAATAAAGCTGCAATGAACATTCATTTAAAAATATTTGCATGGACATGTGTTTTTGTTTCTTTTGGATAAATGCCTAGGAGTAGAGTAGCTATGTAATTAGGTAAATGTATATTTAAATTTATATGAAACTGCTAAACTGTTTTCCAAGGTGATTGTACCATTTTACACTCTAACCAGCACATATGATTGATCCAGTTGCTTCACGTCTTTGACATTTGGGTTGTCAATGTTTTCCACTTTAGCCAATTAAATTAGTAAGAAGTGTTATACCAGAGAGTTTTTTTTATTTCCTCCTTCTGGATGACTGATAATGTTAAAAATATTTTCATGTGCTTTTTGTCCTTTCATAAAGTATCTGCTCAAATATTTCATCCATTTTAATTGGATTATCTTACTATTTAATTACTAGAGTTTTTATGTGTTCTGGACAAAAGTCTATTATCAGATATATGTATAGTAAATATTTTCTTCTAATAGGTAGCTTGACTGTTCATTTCCTTAACTGTGTCTTTTGAGAAGCAGACCTTTTACATTTTGATGAAGGCCAACTTAGCATTTTTACTTTTGTATGATTTCTCTAAGGGTAACAAAGTGCATCCTTAACTTATTAAAGTTTATTTACAGTCAATATCGTACCTCTTCATATCTGACCCTTCATATTCTCACTTTCCAATTCTCATTTAACACCTGACACATCCCACTTCCCTCTCCACTTCACAAATACAATATTCTTACAACAGTTTAATTACACTTACTCACCTCTTAACATTTGTTTTATTGTTGGCATATTTATTACTTCCACACACATTGCAAAGCTCATCTTGCAGTGGTATTATTTTTACTTGAATCAGTCAGTTGTCTTTAATTGAAGACATTATGAGAAGAAAAATAAAACCTAGTATTTTATATTTACCCACTTATTTATAATTTCTGATATTCTTATTTCCTTTATGTAGATCCTATTTTCTATCTGGTATCATTTCTCTTTAACCTGATGAGACTCTGTTAGCGTTCATTTTATTGCAAGTCTGCTGATAAAAAAATTATCAGTTTTATTTATCTGAACATATATTTTACCATCATACTTGAAAAATATTTTTGTTGGATATGGACATACTAACAGGTTTTATTTTTTCCCTTTAAGTACTTTACAGATGGTATATGCATCTTAAAGAGTAGTCTTCTGGCCTACACTGTTTATGATAGGAAGCCAGCATCTATTATTACAATTGTTTCTGGTATGTAATGGTGTTTTATATTATGACTGCCTTCAAGATTTTCTCTTTATTTTTGGCTCAGCAATTTGATTATGATGCGATGAATTTTGGCTTATTTTTGGTTGTTTACTTTTTTTTTTTTTGAGCAAATTGGATTAATAAGTCAATATTTTCCATCATATTGGGGAAATTTTTGACCATCACTTCTCCAATTTTTTCTGCTCTATTATTAGCCTCTTCTATTTCTGAGATTCTGATTACAAATATCGTGTATCTTTCAATGTCATTCCACAAGTCTCTGAGGCTCTGCTCATTTTTACCTATCTTTAGCCTTCATCTTTTCAGATAGAATATCTGTTGTTCCATCTTTGAGATTACCGACTCGTTAGTCTGCAATCTTCAATCTGAAATCTGATGTTAAACCCATGTATTGAATTATTTATTTCAGTTATTGTACTTTTCACTCTTAGAAATTCCATTTTTTACATTTTTGCTTTTACTGTTAATATTCCTTGTCTCTTGACTCATTAAGATCATGTATTCCTTTAATTATTTTAACACATTTTCATTTAGTTCTTTGAACATTTTTATAATAGCTGCTTTAAAGTCTTTGTCTGCCAAATCCAAAGTCTGGATCACCAATGGGTCAGTTTCTATAAACTTTTATTTCATTTGACTATGTGTCACATTTTCCTATTTTTTTTCATGTGTACTATTTTTTTAAAATTGTACTTGACATTGTTGATGATATATTTTAAACACTTTAGATTGTGTAATCTTTACCTGGAAAGTGTTTATTTCTTCTTAATTACTAGCCAATCATCTTCAACTTGGGTTAGATTAGGTTTACATTTTGGAAGGTAAGATCTATGGAAATTCCAGTGTTTTCCCAGATCCTCCTACTTAATGAAACTCAACTTCCAACCTTTGTATCCCTCGAAAATTTTGTCAGGGTTTGGTTTTAGTCTTCATTAAAGTAGATCTAGAGTCAGCCATATTGTGGTTCTTAATCTTAAGGCGCATCCTTTCTGGTGTCTCCGTTGGGTGGTATAGATATGTTAATGAAAGCTTTATACTCTAGCTAGGTCAGACTTAATATTTCCCAGTGCTCATTGAACTCTAGACTCTCTTCCTTTCTCAAATTCATAGTAGCTTCTCTCTAGTAAGCATCAAGCACTCTCACCCAACACTTGCAGAGGCCAGCCAAGAAATCACGCAGTACATTTCCTCAGAGTTTTGGGTGCCTTCTCTACGTGCAGCTCCTTTCTCTTCAGTATTCTGTCCTGCAGATTCCAGCCATTTCAGCTTCCCTGAACTCTCACTTCTGCTTCCTCAGTTCAATGACATTTCTATGCCCTGCTTGATTCCAGTCCTTTGCACCATGCTTGAGATATTGTCCTCAAGCGAAGAGCTATCTGTTTTTTAAACTCTGTGAACTGTTTCTTTATATATTTTGTACAGTTTTATGGTTGCTTATGATGGGGAGGCAAATCTAATACCACTTACTCTATCATGGTTAAAAACCTAATTATTTTTTTCAACTCCACTCTCACTGTTGATTGCTTGTAATCACCATGCCCCTGGCTAGAATCATGGGGTGTAATCCTGGCCTTTTAAGTCATTCATTTTTAATATACTTATTATCACTTAAGAAAATTACATTTATAAGATCAGAATTAGTGAATTGTTAGTAAGGAAACAGTGTTAGTTATACTAAATATAGCACCATGAAAGGTTTATCATTTGCATTGCCATTTCAAGAGTTATTTTTAAGATTGGTTACTTGTTATTCAGTGTGCCTCCCATTTCCCTTTACATCAATGAGCTTTCTATTTTTTCATAAAGTTAATGCTTATTGAACTTTTACTGTGATACACACACACACACACACATACACACAGATTTTACTGTGTACTGTGAATACAGAAATCAAATGCAGTCCCTCATGAAATTTATCGTCTAGTGAGAGAGGCAGACAAATAAACAAATAATTAATACAATGCCCAAGTTGTTGAGATATATAGTACACCTGGGAAACTGACAAATAGGGATGTGTTGATATCTTTATTACTGATCTGTTATAAATTATCTATTAATTAGATTATTATTCGACATCTTGTTTTTCCATCAGCTCATGCTAAAACTTTTGCCTCATTCAAAAATCCTCCTTGGTATTACTGGACCATCTACAAAATTAGTCCCTTTAACTGTTGGTACTTGGGGTAATACAATGTAAACTTTTTCAGATATAGTGCTTTAGACTCAAATATAAATTAACTGAGTTTAAGTAGGTGTTTTGATCAGACCTTATAAATATTCAATTACCTTAGTAAAAAACTGAAATACAATTTTATTGCTTCTTTTCCTATGTAGAAAAAATAAGTCATTTAAATGTTCAATAGACAGTACTTTTTATGATTAACCCACAATTTAATATACTATAGTCGGCTGCTACCAAACGTATGGTGAGACTGAAGGGATTGAGGAAAAGCACATAAAACACCTAGACCCCTCTTTATTGAAAGGCTAAGGGTTGGAAAATAATTTTATTTGATAGGCTAAGTGTTGACCTATAAAAGGAGAAAATAGGCCAGGGAAGAAAGGATAAGCCTGGTGGAAAGAAGTTAAAGTATGGTTGCTTTGGAGTTATAAAACTCCTAAACCTGATCAAAGAGAGGGAGGCCAAAGGGGTTCTTTCATGTGCTCGAAAGGATGTTTCAGAACATCCTCATGAAAAATAAGCAATGATTTCTACTTAACTGCGAACTGGATTTCCCAGACTTTTTCTGTTCTTTTATTCCAACATTGGTAGTTTAATCAGGTTTATGAAGAGAGAGAGGAGCTTGTTAAAAATCCTGCTTTGGCTTTTCTCCTTTTTCTTCTTTCTTGCACACAGTTCAAAATCAACCAATACATGAAAAACCTACATGGTACTATCTCAGCTCATTAATGTGAAGGGAAATGGGAAGTATACTGAATAACGAATAAGTAACCAATCTTAGAAATAACTGCTAATTGATGAAGTATTAAACAGCAGTGCAAATGATGGACCTTTCATGGTGCTATATTTAGTATGATTGAAATTCATCCATAAAAACTTCATTTTAGAGGAGATGGGAAAATTGAGCTTTTGATTAGTAAAAAGTGGACTTTCAAAAATGAAGAGGAAATATATGCAATATACCTAAAGATGGTAGGACTAAAATCTTAGTGACAGTGTATTTGTTTCACTTGTTTTTCTGAATTTTTAGCTCAGAGCAGTCAAGTTCTCAATGCATTGAACAGAAAAATTGCATTAGCTCAGTAGCAAAAATTTAGCCTCAGTGAAAAAAAATTACTGATAGTTTCTTGGTCCATGTGGGATGGGGTAACAGAAGATGGAAAGGTCTTTTCCATTTTGATGGCTAAATTTCAATGTAAACAAAATTAGTATATTAGTTTTTAGGCAGAGCTGCAAATATTTTCAGAAATAGTATGAGTGACTGCTTAACCAAAATTTCAAAGACTTTTTAGATATAAATCACTGTATGGCCTTTTGTTCTGAGATTGATTCTGTGTGAAAACTTGTGACGTGGAGCCAAAATTCTTGGTTTCAAATCACATCTCTCCAATTTGTTGACTTAATCTCTCTGTGCCTCAGTTTATTCACTTTTTAAGTGGGCAGGGAATTATATCCTCCTTTCAATGTTGTAATAATTTAATGAAATTGTGTATGTAATATGTCTAAGACAGCTTACAGCATAAAAGTAGGTGATGAGTACATGGCAGTTATGTTATTCACCAAAATGGAAACTCCACGAGGGCATAAACTGTGTGTTATTCATAATTTCATACCCAATATCTTTTTAAGTGCCAGGCACATGGTAAACACACAATAAACAAATAAATGTTAAATGAATAAATTCCAGTTCCACACTCTTTAAACATATATAGAAATTAGTCATATCAAGGATGGTTTTGGCTTTTGTTGATGAATTCTTATAGAAAGCAACCAATGTAGTCAACAAAACAGTCCCAAGTAGGTTACCTCTAGCTCTGCTCCTATGTAGTGTAGATGCTTGAATTATAAGGCCTAACCACTAGAAGGTAGAGAGCTAGCAATCTGGCTCTCTTACAACATACCAGTTTCAAGAAATGAAAGGCATATGGTTTTGGTTTTAACATTTTGCTGTTTCTTTAAATTATTCCATCATATCAGTGACACATGATAATTTCCCCAATAGGCAGTGGGTCTCTAAAAACATTCTTCCTTGATACCATGATTTAATCTATGTTGGTTCAATACTACTGGATACAGCAGAAATATTCATTGATTTTCATCTAATTTATCCTTTTTCTTTTGTTAAAGTGTTAACATGTCCCCTTGATCCTCATTGATATGATTTTAAAAGTACCCATAAATACATTTATACTGATCTAATTCCTTGCACTTTTTGATCCTTTTCTTTGTTGAAATGAATCCTCTGGAAGTATACAAATGTAAATGAAAAATTCATAACTTACCAATAGTAAAATAAATATCAAAATGAAGGGGAAAAGGATAACTGTAAGATGGTAATAAATTCTAATTGCACTGAGCTATAGCAAAGAGCTATTCTGAATGGGAGCAGAGATAATCAGCAATCCTTCAGTACATGCACGTTGTGTGAGCAAGTGTACTCTGGCTATGCAATGAGAACCTGCCAGTTTTGAGCCTTTGAAGATTACTTTGGTGATAACGTATGCATTTTGTCCAAAATTCATGGCATTCTTGTGAAAGTTATGAAAGGGTTTTCTTTTTGAGTATGCTTTCAAACCCTGTAATAAAATAAATAGTATTTCTGCTATATTTGCATATCTGTAACTTATTAACAAAAATGTGTGGTTATCTTTCTTATTATGAAATTAACCTCTTTTAATTGAGAGACTAAGTATTGCAGTGGATAAAAAGACAGGTGTTAGAGTCAGGAAACAGGTTTGATTAGACCTCAAATCAGAATCTGTATCAGTTACATATGACCTTCAACAAATCCCTTTGTCTTTCTGTCACTCAATTTCTTCATCCATAAAATAGGAAAAAATAACACCCAGATAATACAACTCTAAATTGTTTTCTTAAGTGTTAAATTCTCTTTCTTTTCCATTTTCAATCTATTATACAAAATAAGAAACAGAGAGAGGGGAAAGTTTCAGATATTTTTGATCTTTAGGTATATAGACTTTATTTATTTATTTTTATTTTTTATGTTTTGCTATTTGAGTGAATATATTTTTTGGAATACTAATTTCAAGACATTACCATAGTTTAAAATTTCTTTTTTTTTCCATTGCTATTTTTTTTATTATTATTATACTTTAAGTTTTAGGGTACATGTGCACAACGTGCAGGTTTGTTACATATGTATACTTGTGCCATGTTGGTGTGCTGCATCCATTAACTCGTCATTTAGCATTAGGTATATTTATTTTATAAATTACCAGTAAATATAATTAATCACATTTCACTATAGAATAGTAAAAAAAATCCTGAGCATTTTCACTGCATTTTACAAAAAGAACAATACATTTACCTAAAACATTTGCCAAAATGATGAAATGTTCTTTTAGAGTACAATATAAGTAATATACTCAAGTAGCTTTCAGGGAGCAGAAAATCTAGCTGTGTCACTCGATTTAAAGAATTGTAGCTATATTATTTTAGATTAGAAGTCTGGTGGCTAGGACTGTCTCCTATCTTTCAAAGCTATGCAGTCTGTGTTTAAGGGCAGTGGAATGACTAATCTCATTTAGATAGGCACAAAGATGCCTGCCAATCAGTGACCCAAGCTTTTCTGCAGAACCAATACGATTGGAGAAACACCTTTTTCACTTCAGGCTGCATTAAGAACCAGAGGCAAATATGGAACTATTAAATGTATAAATGAGTTTAGAATTGGGGGAAAAAGGCAAAAATCAAAAAGGCAAAAAATAACTAGAAAATTGGTACCTCTTATTAATGCAAATAAGTTCATTTTTAATGGTTTTATTGAGACATAATTCACATACCATAAAATTCACTAATAAAAAGTGGACACTACAATGGGTTTTAGTATATCCACAGTGTGGTATAACCACAGCATTATCCATAATTTGAAATTTTTTGTTATCCTAAAGAAAAACCCTGTGCTCATTAAAGAATCAAACTCCATTCTCCCCTCCCCCAGCCCCTAGAAATCACTAATCTTCTTTTTGTCTCTTTGAAGTTGCCTATTATGGACATTTCATAGAAATACAATTATATAATATATAACGTCTTGTATCTGACTTCTTTCATTTAGCATAATGATTTCAAGTTTTATCTAGGTTATAGCATGTATCAGTACATTATTCCATTTTATTCATTTGTACAGATACGTCAAGTTTTGTTTGTCCATTTGTGTTCTGATGGACATCTGGGTTGTTTCCACTTTTAGGCTGTTATGAATAACGCTGCCATGAACATTCATTTATACATTTTTATGTGGCCATATGTTTTCATTTCTCTTGCATATAAACTTAGCACTGGAATTCCTGGGTCAGTTGATAACTGTTGAGTTGTAAGAATTCTTCACATATTCTGAGAATAAATCTCTTATCAGTTGTATATTTGTTAATACTTTATCCCATTCTGGGTGGGTTATTTTCTCACTTTCTTGATGATATCTTTTGGTACATAACTTATAATTTTGATGAAGTCCTACTTATCTTTTTTTTTTATTTGTTCCCTGTGCTTTGGTGTCATATCCAAGACTATTGCCTAAGCCAAGGTTATATGACTTACTCCTATATTTTCTTCTAAGAATTGTAGAGTTTTAGCTGTTGCATCTAGGTAATTGATAGATTTTGAATTAATTTTTGTATATGGTGTAAGGTAGTTGTCCAACTTCATTCGTCTGCATGTGAGTATCCAGTTATCTCAGAACCATTTGGCACCATTTGTTGAAAACATAATTTTTCTTTCATTGAATGGTCTTGACACGATTATCAAAAATCAATTGATCATAGAAATATAGGCTTTTAAAAAGAATGAGATCATGTCCTTTGCAGGAACATGGGGATGGAAGTGGAGGCCATTATCCTTAGCAAACTAACGCAGGAAGAGAAAACCAAATACCGCATGTTCTCACTTATAAGTGGGAGCTAAATAATGAGAACCAATGGGCACAAGGATGGGAACAACAGACACTGGTGCCTACTTGAGGGTGTAGGATGGGAGGAGGGAGAGGATCGGTAAAAATAACTATCAGGTACTGTGCTTAGTACCTGGGTGACGAAATGGTCTGTGCATCAAACCCACATGACACGAGTTTGCCTCTAATAACAAACATGTGCATGTACTCCTGAACCTAAAATAAAAGTTAAAACAAAGGAAAGAAATATGGGTTTATTTCTAGACTCTTAATTCTATTTTATCGATCTACATGTTTACACTTAGACCAGTACCACTGTAGATTTGTGGTAAGTTTTTCAAGATTGTTTTGCTTATTCTGCATCCTTTGAATTTCCATATGAATTTTAGGATCAACTTACTAATCTCTGCAAAAAAAGCTGGGATTGCATTGAATCTGTAGATCAACCCGGGAAGTACTGCCACCTTAATAGTATTAGGCTTCCAACCTATGAATACAAGATGCTTTCCATTTATTTAGCTCTCCTTTAATTTCTTTGAACAAAATGTAACTTAATTTTGTAGGATGAAAATTTTTATGGGATGTTCTTTGGCTGTCATCCATCTCCTATTACACCATGACACCTCTCAGTGGCATCCATATTGTCTCATGCTTTAGACCTTTTCATGGGTAATTATAGGCTTGGTGTTCAAACAGATCTGGATTTAAAACCAACTCTGTCGTTTATGGTCTGTGGGACCATTTAAAAATCAATTAATTTTTCTGTGCTTTGTTGCTCTCTTATTTAAAATAGAGAAAATATCTGCTTCAGGATTACTGTAAGGAATCAATAAGTATTGGAAAGTGTCTTCATGGTTTCTGGCACAGGGTGGTCATTCAATAATTGCTACTCTCCTTCTTAATCCTTGCTCACATCAAAATAAATCTTAAGATGAGTGCCAATGGATAATGGGGAAACCAATCAATCACTGGTACTGTGCTACCTTCTTAGGTAGTAGATGTATTAACTTTCTTAAAAAATAATAGACATTTCAATAAATATTTTGGGGAGATTTTAGGACATGTGCCTTTTAAATCACACACTACAGGCCACTCCCTCATAATAGTATTTAGCATTTACCACATAAATTATTCTGTGAGGAATTATAGATATGTCTAAGGTATAAATAGCTCTGCCTAAAGATACTGATATTGGAGTTGGTAGGACAAAAAAAAAAAGCAAATAATTGATAGCTGTCATAAAGGCAATAGTTAACAGAATTTTCTCAAAAAGATTGTCCAAAATAAGTGATATGAGGCTTTAGAGAAAGAAAAGGTCAAATGTAGACTGGACTGGTCCACAAGGCTTTTTGTAAATAAGGTAAATTTAGCCTTGGGGTTGAATAGCCTTAGATAAGAAGAGAAATGGGAGAAGAGAGAATGGCATGAATAAAGGCAGTATGTCAATGAAGGTTATATGATTGTAAGTTAGGAGATTGACTCCTGGTTAAAAACTTTTGTGTGATTATATAGGCCTACACATACACAATTACAGGTTTCACCTGGCAGGCCTCGTGGAGAAAAGCTGCCCTTCCCACACCACACATAGTTCACAGCCAATTAACTAAAGTTTTTGAGGGGAGCTGCAGTGAAGGCATCCCCTGGCCAGTCATGTTCTTCACGTATTTGCATTCATAGCACCAGTGCCACAACATGGATGGAACTGGAGGACATCATGTTAAGTGAAACAAACCAGGCACAGAAAGTCAGACTTTGCATTTTCTCACTCATTTGTGGGAGCTAAAAATTAAAACAATTGAACTAATGGAGAAAAAGAGTAAAATGTTGGTTGCCAAAGGCTGGGAAGGATAGTGGGGTGGGGAGGGGAAGTTAGGATAGTTAATGGGTACAAAAATACAGTTAAATAGAATGAATAAGTTCTAGTATTTGATAACCTTCATTCTTAAATGTGTTTACCTGAGACTTGGGCAGAGGTCTTCTTTAGCTGCCTCTGCCAAGGCTTCATTATAGAGGGAGGAGGGGGAAACCTTAAAGATAACTTTTATTTCACTATGACTCAGTAACCAGTACTTTTCTACTCCAAGCCCACCCGACCCAAACCACGCCCAACTACCTCAGAGTCCATAAAACTCTAGGAGTCTTTTGTTTAGACTGAGATGACCCCCATGTCTGTGCTGGTCAACCTGATGCTCCACTGGTGCATCTTTTCATGGAGACAAATAAATTAGGGTGAGTTAGCACTTCGTTTTCTTAGGTTTTGACCTCTTATAATTTTGCAGTAAATGATTACAAGCTTAACTCTTATTTTTGAATTGTTGTTTTAATCAACTACTCTAACACCTGGCAGCTCAGCAATCTCCCAAAGCTCAGTTTAACTCCTAACAGTAGGTAAGGGCAACTTGCTCTGTCTAAATATGCAAAAGAGAAAATTTATTGGAAGGGTATGAGATAGAGTAGATAATTGAAGGAAAATCCAAAGAACCAAGCTTTAGAAAAGATAGGAGGCAAAGAACGCTAAGGCAATAGGATCTAACTAACAATATTCCAGGAATCACTTTCTAAATTAATTAAGTCTAATTCTTGTGTTTAGTACGTGTGTAGCTCCATTCTGAGGGAAATTCCAGACAAAGGGAGCTTGGCTTAATTAGGACCACATTTCTACTTTGGGCTCCTTATTTGATAATCCACAAAGATTGTATCCAATGTGGGTTAGGTATTTCCGCAGAGAAAAATTTGCTACCAGACGAAGATAATTGGATACTGGTAGACAAAAAAGGCAAGTGTATTATAGGGAAGCACAAGTTGTGTTTGAAGGACGGTATAGATTTCTGTTTCTCGGGACTGTGGGGTTCATGTAGAGGAGTAGAAGGGGATAGAACATAAATATCAGGGACTTACTGTGGGACATCATAAAAGTCAGACTAAGAATTTTGTTATTTATCGTATAGCCACTGGGAGCCTTAAATCAAAAACATTTTGTCATGAGAACAACATGATAAAAATAATAATGTAGGAAGATTGCCTTGGTAACATAAGGATGAAACTGAAAGGAAGAGCGAACAAGGCAAGAGGTTACCGTAAGAGTGTAAGCATGAGATATTAGCTTCCAGAAGGAGGATAAGTGGAAAGAAATTGCCAGACATCGTAAAGGTAGATTTTCATAATTGACTGGTTGAATGAGGGGTAGGGAAGTCAAAGATGAAGACTGACCAACAGACAGATTGGGTAGTGAAGAGGAATACCTTAAGAGAGAAAAGGGCTTCAGTTTCTCCATCTGTACAATAAAGAGGTAAGACTAGATTTCTAAGGTGACTTCTAGGTTTCAATTTTTATGATTGTATGAGTTTTAAACAACTTTATTGAGGAATAATTGAGATGCAAAAATGGCACATACTTAATTGATACAACTTAACGAATTTTGACATATGCATACACCCTGAAACCACCACAATCATGATAATAAACATATCCATCACCTCCAAAAATTTTCTCATGCTCCTGATGCTCCTCTGTTTTTATTTTATTTTTTGCAGGAAGAACACTTACTAAAACCCTCAATTGAGCTAAAACCCTCAATAACTTTTTAAAATGTACAATACAGTATTGTTAACTACACGCACTATGTTGTACAGAAGATCTATAGAACTTCTTCATATTACATAACTGAAACTTTATACCCATTGAACAACAACTCCCCATTTCCCTCTCTTCCCAGCCCCTGGCAACTACTATTATCTGTTTCTATCAGTTTGACTATTTTAGATACTGCATATATGTGGAATCACATAGGATTTGTCCTTTTGTTACTGGCTTATTTCAGTTAGCATAATGCCCTCAAGGTTAATCCATGTTGTCACATATGGCAAGATTTTCTTCTTTTTAAAGATTAGATCATACTCCATTGTAAATATACACTACTGTTTTATATACATTCATCTGTCGATTGACATTTAAGTTGTTTTCATATCTTGGCTTTTGTGAGTGATGCTATGTGAATATGAGAGTGCAGATACTTCTTCGCAATTCTAATTTCATTTTTTTGGATATATGCCTAGAAGTTGAGTTTCTGGATCATAAATTACATTTGAATTTTTTTTGAGAAAACTCCATACTATTTTCCATAGTGGTTGCATCATTTTACATCCCTACCAACAATGTACATGGGTTTCAATTTCTTCACATCCTTGTGAACACTTCTTTTTGTTGTTTTCATAGTAGCCATCTTAATTTGTATAGGATGATCTCATTGTGATTTTTATTTGGACTTCACTGATAATGAGTAATGTTCGGCACCTTTTGATATACCTGTTGGCCATTTGTGTCTTCTTTGAAGAAATGTCTATTCAAGTCCTTTGCCCATTTTTTTTTTAAATTGGGTTATTTGTTTGGTTTTTGTTTTTGCTATTAAATTGTATGTTATACCTTATAGTTGTACCTTATATATTTTAGATATTGATCCCTTATAAGATATTGGTTTGCAAATATCTCCTTCTAAAGGTTGCTTTTTCATTCTGTTGACTATTTGCTGTGCTGAAGGTATTTATTTTGATACAGTCCCATATACCTATTTTTTCTTTGTTTTCCTGTGCCTGTGCTTTTGATGTCATATCCAAGAAATCTGGTTTAATGCTGCTGGCATAGCTCTGTGAAATTTAGAGAAGGCGCCAGGTGTGGTGGCTTATGCCTGTAATCCCAGCACTTTGGGAGGCCAAGGCAGGTGGATCACGAGGTCAGCAGTTTGAGACCAAACTGACCAACATGGTGAAACCCCGTCTCTACTAAAAATACAAAAAAAATTAGCTGGGCGTGGTGGTGGGTGCCTGTAATCCCAGCGACTTGGGAGACTGAGGCAGGAGAATCACTTGAAATCAGAAGGTGGAGGTTGCAATGAGCCGAGATTGCACCACTGCACTCTAGCCTGGGCAATAAGAGCAAAACTCCATCTCAAAAAAAAAAGAAGTTTAGAGAAGGCACATAATGCTAAAACTTCTCCCCCAGGAGAGAGAGAGAGAAGAGTAAAGCATGTATTCACCATTTTGGCCTTTCAGTGCACTGTTATAAGGAAAAGGAATGGATGGCTTACTGCAGCAAGCATAGCTCTGTGAGATTGGGAAAAGGTGCACAATACTGAGACTTCTCCCCCATGATGGAGGGAGAAGACTGGAAAGTGCACATTCGTTAAAAAGGTTTTAAAGGCTTCCAAAATATGTAGTCAGGCTGATCAGTGAAGGTCTTTCCCTGTCAAAGCCAGTCTGTAAAATTGGGAGAGGCCCCTGTTTTTTCATATGCATGAACACCAACACTAAACTGCAAGAAACACAAAGAATCAAGAAAATATAACACAACCAAAGCAAAAAGTAAATCTATAAAATGTGACCATAAAGAAATAGACATCTGTGAATTTCTTGATAAAGAATTCACAATAGTAGTCTTAAAGAAGATCAGTGAATGATATGGTTTGGCTCTGTGTCCCCATCCAAATCTCATCTTGAATTATACTCCCATAATTCCTACATGTTGTGGAAAGGACCCAGTGGGAGATAATTGAATCATGGGATCATTTCCCACATACTGTTCTTGTGGTAGTGAGTAAGTCTCACAAGATCTGTTGGTTTGATAAGGGGAAACTTGTTTCGCTTGGCTTTTATTTTCTCTCTTTGACTGCTGATATCCATGTAATATGTGACTTGCTCCTCTTTGCCTTCTGCCATGATTATGAGGCTTCCCTAGCCATGTGGAACTGTAAGTCCAATTAAACCTCTTTCTTTCATAAATTGTCCAGTATTGGGTTGTCTTTATCAGCAGTGTGAAAATGGACTAATACAGTAAATTGGTACAGTAGAGTGGGGTGTTGCTGGAAAAATACCTGAAAATGGGAAGCGACTTTGGAACTGGTTAACATGCAGAGAGTGGAACAGTTTGGAGGGTTCAAAGAAGACAAGAAAAATGTGGAAAGTGTACAACCTCCTAGAGATTTGTTGAATGGCTTTGCCCAAAATGCTGATAGTGATATGGACAATGAAACTCAGGTTTAGGTGGTCTCAGATAGAGATGAGGAAGTTATTGGGAACTGGAGCAAATGTGACTGTTGTTATGTTTTAGCAAAAAGACTGGTGGCATTTTCCCCTGCCCTAGAGATTTGTGGAACATTGAACTTGAGAGAGATGATTTAGGGTATCTGGCAAAAGAAGTTTTTAGCAGCAAAGCATTCAAGAGGTGACTTGGATGCTGTTAAAGACATTTCATTTTATATGTGAAGCAGAGCATAAAAGTTTGGAAAATTTGCAGCCTGACAATGTGATAGAAAAGAAAAACCCATTTTCTGAGGAGAAATTCAAGCTAGCTGCAGAAATTTGCATAAGTAATGAGAAGCCAAATGTTAATCCCCAAGACAATGGGGAAAATGTCTCCAGAGCATATCAGAGGTCCTCATAGCAGCCCCTCCCATCACATGCCCAGAGGCGTAGGAGAGAAAAAACGGTTTCTCGAGTCAGGCCCAGGGTCCCCGTGGTGTGTGCAGTCTAGGGATTTGTCCTGCATCCAAGCCACTCCAGCCATGACTAAAAGGGGCCAAGATAAACTTGGGCTGTTGCTTCAGAGGGTGGAAACCCCAAGCCTTGGCACATTCCACATGGTGTTTAGCCTGCAGGTGCACAGAAGTCAAGAATTGAGGTTTAGGAACCTCTGCCTAGATTTCAGATGTATGGGAATGCCTGAATGTCCAGGCAAAATTTTGCTGCAGGGGTTGGGCCCTCATAGAGAACCTCTGCTAGGGCAGTGAAGAAGGGGAATGTGGGATTGAAGCCCCCACACAGAATCCCTACTGTGGCACTGCCTAGTGGAGCTGTGAGAAGAAGGCCATTGTCTTCCAGAGCCCAGAATGGTAGATCCACCAACAGCTTGTATTGTGCACCTGGAAAAGCTGCAGCCACTCAACATCAGCCCATGAAAGCAGCCAGGAAGGGTGCTGTATCCTGCAAGGCCAGAGGGGCAAAGCTGCCCAAGACCATGGGAAGCCACCTCTTGCATCAGCGTGACCTGGATGTGAGACATGGAGTCAAAGGAGATCATTTTGGAGCTTTAAGATTTGACTGCCCTGCTGGATTTCAGACTTACATGGGGCCTGTAGCCCTTTGTTTTGGCCAGTGTCTCCTATTTGGAATGGCTGTATTTATCCTTTGCCTGTATCCCCATTATATCTAGAAAGTAACTAACTTGCTTTTGATTTTACAGGCTTATAGGTGGAATGGACTTGCCTTGTCTCAGGTGAAACTTTGGACTGTGAACTTTTAATTCTGAAATGAGTTAAGACTTTGGGAGACTGTCAGGAAGGCATGATTGGTTTTCAAATGTGATGATATGAGATTTGGGAGGGGCCAGGGGCAGAATGATATAGTTTGACCTGTGTCCCCCACAGAGGTCAGAGGAACAAAAAGAAAAACAGAATGAAAAAGAGTGAGGAATGCCTAAGGGACTAGGGGACACCTTCAAGTGAACCAATATGGAAGTTCCAGAAGGAGAAGAGAAAGAAAGGGGAAGAAAGCTTATTTTAAAAACCAATGACTGAAAACTTTCCAAATCTTGGAGGAGGGAAGGATGGGAATGGAGATCCAGATTAATGAAGCCCTAAGAATCCCAAAGAGAATGAATCCAAAGTAGTCTACCTCAAAACACATTATAATCACATTGTCAAAGAGAATCTTGAAAAGAAGCAAGAGAAAAGTGACTCATCACGTAAATGGAGCCTCCATAAGACTGTTGGCAGATTTCTTAGCACAGCCTTTGCTGGCCAGAAGGAAGTGGAATGATATATTCAAAGTGCTGAAAGAACAATTTGCCAACCATAACATTATACACAGTAAAACTGTGCTTCAAAAATGAGGAAGAGATAGAGCTTAGGGAATTCGTCACCACTAGGCCTTCCTTACAAGAAATGCTAAAGGGACCTACCTCTTCAAGTTGAAATGAAAGGATGCTGAACAGCAACATGAAAGCATATGAAGTATAAAACTCACTGATAAAGGTAAATAAATAGACAAACATAGACTGTAATACTGTATTGATGGTGTGTAAATCACTGTATTTTAGTATAAAAGTATTTAAAAAGTATTAATAATAACTTTATAAAAAATTTGTTAATTGATATGCTGGACAAATGATGAAAACTGTGAAATCAATAATATAAAGTGTGTGTTGGAGAGGTGTAAAATTGTGGAGTTTTTGTACGTGGTTGAAGTTAAGTTGTTATCAGCTTAAAATAGACTGTTACAGGATGTTTTATGTAAGCCTCACAGTAATCACAAAGAAAATACCTTAGCAGATACACAAAAGGAAAAGAGAAAGGAAGAGAAAGGAATCAAAATATACCATGACAAAAAATCAGTGAAACACTCACCAAAAAAGACAGAAGAGAGGAAAAGAGCAATAAAATAACTAAAAAATGAGCAGAAGGAAATTAATAAAATGGCAATAGTAAGTCATTTTCTATCAATAATTATTTTAAACATATATGGATTAACTCCCTCAATCAAAATACATAGAGTGGCTGAATAGTTCAAAAAATAAGATCCAACTGTGTGCTGTCTACAAGAAACTCACTTTAGACTTATGAGTTTTGTTTGATTTGATCTAGAAGTATGCTAGGCCTGTGGCATGCATTGTTTAAACATATATGCCCATTCTTTGGGTCTAGTGCTGGAACTGTTATTAACCCACTCATTTTGCTTTGTGCCACTATTAGGCCATTCTCACTCTGCTAATAAAGACATACCCAAGACTGGGTAATTTACAAAGGAAAGAGATTTAATTGACTCACTGTTCCACATGGCTCAGGAGGCCTCACAATCATTGTGGAAGGTGAATGAGGAGAAAAGGCACGTCTTACATGGTGACATATACCCTGAGCATATGCAGGGTAACTCCCCTTCATAAAACTATCAGATTTTGTGAGACTTATTCACTATCATGTGAACAGAATGGGAAAAACATGCCCCCATGATTCAATTACCTCCCACCAGGTATCTCCCATGACATGTGAGAATTATGGGAGCTATGATTCAAGATGAGATTTGGGTGGGGACATAGCCAAACCATATCAGTGCCCCTAGATCTTTTTTGGTCAAGAAAAGGTTAATGCTTTTCCTTACCATCCTACAGGAATAAATACACATTTCTTTATATTTAAATAACCCTTTACACTTAGAGTACTCTTCTGAATCTACTCTGCATTTCACCCTGTGAGGTAGGCAGTGCAATAATATATTTATTTCATTGAGGAAACTGGGGCATAACAAGATGAAGTGAATTTCCCAAGGACGCATAGATAAAAGATGAAGCTAAAACTAGGATTCAGTTGTTCTGATTCCTAGTCTAGGACTGTTATATTATACTAAACTATATAAAGCAGTTATAGCCTCTGAATGAATTTAGATTTCATATGAATAACTTAGGTGAAAACGTGCTATGGTAGATGACTATATTAGAAGCATTTGAGTCCTCAAAAATCATATATGCTACATTTATTTCCAAAATCTAGAATATAAACTAAACAGAAAAAGTAGATATGTGTGCGTTGCAGAATGGTGTCTTTGGGCCAGTTTCAATAACTTCCCTTTTATTTTACTTCTCCCTAACGCAACCACATGGTTCAAAATTGGGTTTTAAAAATAAGCTTATTTGTTGAAATGATTAACAAAAATTGAAAATATAGAAATGGGACCAGTAACACAGTATTTCCACCTCTATTTCCTTTCCCTTGGCTGTAGTATGAAATACATTTATTGGTTGGGCATGGATGTTGCTTATGATAGACAACATTAATGCCTCCCCCAAGATCACTGAATTCTGCTGCATGAGTACCCTGATACCACCCCAAAACTATTTTTTCCCATCCCAGGAAGAGTTAAAGATAGTAGGGTTGGATCTCAGGGCATCATCCTGAAAAGCATGGATGTTTGGAATGTCTTTTATAATTCCCACCCATAAGAGTAGAACCAGCTTCCCACTGGTCCTTCTCCAAGCCTGGAACACTAAAAGTTCTTCTCCAAGCCTGGAACACTTAAAAGTGGGGAAAGAAACTTATTACTCATTAATTTATTGCTTTTTAAAATGAAGAGAAAGGAGAGAGAGATCTAAAAATATTGGCTCAGGTACCTTATCTTCTTCAAGGGGAAAAATTTTAAAACTCAAAATATTCCTCTGACTTGGTCATGCTAACCAGAACAAAATTAATTTTGATTCTTCATGTATTTTGAAAGGAAATGTTTAAAAGAACAAGCTAGTTAATGTCTGAACATTACTATGGTCTTGGACTTTATTTGTTACAAAAAGGAAAAATCACATACAGAGTCTAAAGTCTGCTTCACCATCCTTTAACCCAACCTCTAAGATCAAACAATCACAAATAAAAATTTCAGAAATATACTCTACTGTCCATCAGTCCATCTATCACATTGAGGCAGAGGAGTAGCAATCATCATTTTGAGCCACTGCTTTTATCTCGAAACCTCACAATTCCAGCTAAGAAAAAGGCCACCACAACAAACTAATTTTCTTGGAATACTGATTTTACATGTGTTTACCATTCAATTTTATATTGTTTTTCTTTATGTGGTAGAAGTAAAGTCAGTAAATATAATTTTTAAAAAATTTTAATTAGCTTCTTCCATAAATACTTTTCTCAAACTTCTGGTACTTGCTACAACATGTCTTCTAGTGAGTACTCATAGATAACACAAAAGAATTAGCAAATGGAAAACAGGTTCTATCAGAAAAAAGCTAGTGAAAATCTTATTCACTACCTATCAAATGAGTGTGGCTTTACTGTATTTGGAAAACTTTTTCAAGTTCATTGTTCAGGCAAGGTTTTCCTCAATATATGCATTTATAATCATTTTCTGCTTGGAACTCTTCAGGCCCTTTTCACCAAAGTCAGTGTATATCTTCTGCTGTGTATCTACCCTGAAAGTAAACAGTAGATATGTTGTTTTAAATATTAGCAGTTCAAATCTGAAAAACCAATATGACGAGTAGAAAGGTAAAAATAGGATTAGCATTTGTTTTTATAATATATATATACTCGGAATTTGAATTCCAATTAAGCCCACAAAAAGTGCCAGGTACCTTGCTAGTTGATGGGATTGAAAACCTAGATAGGAAAGTATCTGTATACTCAAGACCCTCAGCATCTCATAGGGAGATACAGAAAAAGAAGCAAATAATTCTAATGCAATGTGGTGTGATACCGGCTGTCATATATATATGTTTAAAGTACTATATGTAATTTGAGGAGCTGCAAATTTCCTCAAGTGGTGTTAAGGAGAGATTTTCCTGAGGTGGAGATATTTGCTTTGAGTCTTAAAATATGATTAGGAACTCCTCAGACAAAGAAAGATGGGTAAGGGCAATGTGAAAGGAATAAAAACTGATATGAAGTTAAGATGACTGGTATATCCGAATATATGGGGCAAAGTAAAAAATCCAGAAAAGCCCATTGGATTTTTTTTTTATTGATTTACAGCTTAATCATATGAGCACAATGAATATTTAGAGACTATATGATATAAAAAGAACAATCAGAATAAGCGATTATGTCTTCCTGAATCTCATTTAAAACTTAATTAGATCTGGCGGGAAGCTGGCAGAATCCTATCTGGTTGGAAGGAGATAGATCTATCACTGTAAAAAAATATCAAAAAGTCAGCTTATTTCTCCACAAGCCCAGAACTTATCTGTAAACTCAACTTTGCAATGTTGGAAGAGTAGATTCTTACCTTAAAAGAGACACTTAAGTTTATAAGTGTTTTCCAAATACATTTTCATTTTATCCTTACAGCTATTCTTTGAGGTATTGACAAATAGGACCTTTATTATTATCCCTTTCATCCATATATGAACTAAGGTCAGAGAAGTCAAGTAACTTTTCAGAGTCACAAAGCATGTCAGTTTGTATAGCCAAGACCAAAATCCATATTTTCTGATACTAAATATTTCATTCCCTACTACACCACACACTATATTTACCAAAATTTACAACACACTTTTAAAACAAATTATGCCATGAAATTATAATTATACTTAAATTGTTCTATGATAATCTTAAATTGAATTTAATTAATTCATTTCTTCAAAATAAATCTACTTATATCTACCTTGAGACATGTAGGCATGAGGCAACTTTTTTCCAAAAATCCTTACAGTAGAAAATCCTACATTCTTCACCTTGCTCATTGCCCTGTGACATTGACTTGTGTAAACATACACCAACAGGCCTCTTACCTTTAGCTTCCTGTTGGCTTTGGCCAGTGGGAGGAGGCACCTTCAGGTGAGAGAAAAGGCAGAAGATGAGGTTGGAATATGTATTATATTCCTTTGACTCCTTCCCTGCTGTTCTACAGTAGGATGGCTATGTCCTGCTACTGAAGGCCACAGCTCCAATCATGTGGCCCTTCACACATAACTATCCTGTCTGGGTTCTGATAATCATTTCCTCCTTTGTTCCTTCAAGCCCAGCGGTGCTAACAGTACGCTACTGTTGTTAGTCCTGGGGTACTTCACCATTACTTACTGCTATTCCTAAATCCTAGCCACACTTTTGTAAATAGTCCATGTGTTAAATTCTTCTCAAATTATTCATCATAAGTGTGTCATGTTTCCTGCTTGGACTTGACTGATAAAGCCCCTAATCTTCCTTTTTGCTTCCTTGCACCCATTTCTGATAGTCTCCCCATGCAAACTCCTTGTTTCATTCTTTTACAAGGCTAAATAGTATGCCTCTGTGTGTGTGTGTGTGTGTGTGCACGCGTGTGTGTGTGTGTGTGTGTGTGTGTGTGTGTGTGTGTGTGTGTCTCAGTGTTGGGGGAGGGATGTGGTGGGAGGTGGTTGGATCATGGGGGCAGATTTCCCTCTTGCTGTTTGCATGATAGTGAGTGAGTTCTCATTACATCTGGCTGTCTGAAAGTGTGTGGCACTTCTCCCTTTCTCTCTCTCTCTCCTGTTCCACCATGGTAAAACATGCTTGCCTCCCCTTCACCTTCTGCCATGATTGTTTCTTGAGGCCTCCCAGTCATGTTTCCTGTTAAGCCTGCACAACTGTGGGTCAATTAAACATCTTTTCTCCATAAATTATCAAGTCTCAGGTAGTTCTTTATAGCAGTGTGAAAACACACTAATACAATGGACATTTAGGTTGTTTCCACATCTTGGTTATTGTGAATAGTGTTGGAGCCAGTGAGAAAGGGAAATAGTGTATGTTGGTCAAGGGGTACAAAGTTTCAGTTACATAGGATGAATAAGTGAATAAGTTCTGGAGATCGAATGTACAACAATATGATAATAGTTAATGCTGTATTGTATAATTGACATTTGATAAAAGGTTAGGTCAATAAGTGTTGTCACCATACACACACAAGAAAATGGCAACTATGTGAGGTGATAGATATATTAATTAGCTTATTTTTGGTGATTATTTCACAATGTAAGTGTATATCAAATAATGAGTTTGCACACCTTAAATATATGCAATTTTAAATTGTGAGTTATACCTCAATAAAAACATAAGTAAGTAGCTCCACCCCCATCACTCTTTCACACAACCTTCTTTTTTTTGTTTTTATGTTGAGACAGGGTCTCATTCTGTTGCCCAGGCTGGAGTACAGTGGCGTGATCATTTTCCACAGCATACTCAAACTCCTGGGCTTTGAAGTTATCCTCCCGCCTCAGCCTCCTGAGTAGCTGAGACTACAGGCACATGCTGCCACGCCCAGTTTTGTTTTGTTTGTTTTGTTTTGTTTTGTTGTAGCCACAAGGTCTTGCTGTGTTGCCCAAGTGGCTCTCAAACACCTAAGCCCAAGCAATCCTCCCATCTCGGCCTCCCAAAGTGTTGGGATTATAGGTACGAACCCCCATGCCTGGCCTATTTTTCTTATATAATGTATTACTAACTGAAATTTCCCTTTTTGTTTATTGTGTCTCTCCCTTCAAGAAGGAAAGCACCTTGTAAGAGGAGAGCAAAATGGTTTGTTCATTGCTGTATCTCCAAAGCCTTGAGGAATGTCTGGCATACAGTATGTACTTGGCAAATAATTCCTGAGTAAATGAACAAATAAATAATTTTGGCCAAGTGATTAAGTGATTAAGAATCAAACTTCCTAGATTTGAATTCTGACTCTCCAATCACCAGTCCTATGCCCTTGGGCATGATGCTTGACCATTCCATCACTTGGCTTTATGATCTTTAAAAGTAGTAATATAAATAGAACCTAACCCTTAAGGTTGACATGATGTTTGACTTAGTATATGTAAAGTGCTTAAAACAGTGTTTGGCATATAGAATGTGCTTTATAAGGATTATATCATTACTGCTGCTATTAGTGCATCATAGATTCACTGGGGCATTCTCATTCTCATTATTCCCCAAATCCTCATATTCCAGTACTAGCTCTTGGTCATTAAATCATTCATGAGGGCCTCTGTCAGATGTATTTAGTGGTTAAGGATGTAATCCTGTAGACACTAAAGATCTATGGAGTCACTGATGCTTAAAATGTAATTGTATTGATTCAACGGCAAGATTCATCACACATTTTACAAATATGGAAGATACTCAACACACACACACACACACATGCACACACACACACATAGCATAACTTTATCAGATGGATCTGGGCTTGTTGAAAATTTTGACTTCTATGCAGTTGGTAGTGCCCTAGAAAGTCCAAGCTATACACTTAAATTATAATGCCCACAAGTCTTAGGAACTATTTTTGTCATTTCAGTATAGTGCCTTTCTCAATAATATCTATTTTGCTGAAAGCAAAATATGTCAGAAAACCAACAAATAATTATAATTCTTTTTTAAAAACTTTTATTTTAAGTTCAGGGATACATGTGTAAGTTTGTTACACAGGTAAACTTGTGTCATGTGGTTTATTGTATAGGTTATTTCATCACCAAAGTATTAAGCCTAGTACCCATTAACTATTTTTTTTTGATCCTTACTCCTCGTATCATCCACCCTCTGACTGACCCCAGTGTGTGTTGTTCTCCTCTATGTGTTTTTGTGTTCTCATCATTTAGCTCCCACTTGTAAGTGATAACATGTAGTATTTGGTTGTGTGTTCCTGTGTTAGTTTGCTAAGAATAATGACCTCCAGCTCCACCCATGTCCCTGCAAAGGACATTATCTCATTCTTTTTTATGGCTACATAGTATCCCATGATGTATATGTACCACATTTTCTTTATGCAGTCTATCATTAATGGGCATTTGGGTTGATTCCAGGTCTTTGCTATTGTGAATAGTGTTGCAGTGAACATACCTGTGCATATGTCTTCATAATAGAATGATTTATATTCCTTTTGGTATAGTATACACCCAGTAATGGGATTGTTGGGTTGAATGGTATTTCTCTCTCTGGGTCTTTGAGGAATCTTCACACTGTCTTCCACCATGGTTGAACTAACTTACACTCCCACCAATTGTGTATAAGCATTCCTTTTTCTCCATAATCTTGCCAGCATCTGTTATTTTTTGACTTTTTCATAATAGTCATTTTGACGGGTGTGAGATGGTATCTTATTGTGGTTTTGACTTGCATTTCTCTAATGATCAGTGATACCAAGCTTTTTTTCATATGCTTGTTGACCACATATATATATTCTTTTGCAAAGTGTCTGTTCATGTGCTTTACCCCCATTTTTATAGAGCTGTTTGTTTTTTTCCCGTAAATTTGTTTATGTTCCTATAGATACTGGATATTAGACCTCTGTTGGATGCATAGTTTGCAAAACATGTCTCCCATTCTGTAGGTTGTCTGTTTACCTTGTTAATAGTTTCTATTGCTGTGCAGAAGCTCTTTGGTTTAACTAGATCCCATTTGTCAATTTTCATTTTTGTTTCAATTGCTTTTGGCATCTTCGTCATGAAATCTTTGCCTGTGCCCATGTTCTGAAGTAATGACTTGGTTGTCTTCCAGGGTTTCATATTACGTATTAATATTGCCATGTAGCCTCAACATAAATTGACTTCTCAGTGGCTACATTTTTCCTATAGTTAAAATGGGAAACCTTTGAGAATGAGTTACTGTGTTGCAGGTTAGCTCCTACAACTCAGGTAATAAAAAAGTCTCTAAAAATCATGGAGAAGAGGGACAAGATGTTTGACTAGATGCAGTCACAAAGCACTGCTGCCATCAAGGGAGTCCAAATTATCCAGCAAATCACCATAATTTGGAGAAATTATGCTCAGAGTGGAGGTTGAGGCAACGCTGAAGCTGAGACTCTTTAGTCTCAGTTTCACAGCAGGGACAAAGCTGTGAACCCTGCACAGTGTGGCCAAATTACAGGGCTTATCCTTGGCCTCAAAAGGTTCCTGGTAAAGGAAGGAGCTGAGGAATAGCTCACTCTCACTATGGTCCTCTGAGAGCCTAGCTACAAGGAACCCCACATCCCCCATGGACATGTTAGCTGTCAGGGGACTCTCCCTGGGGAGCAGGCAGAAACAGGTCTTCAGACAGCATGGAGCCTAGGAGCTTTTTTGTTCTGAGCAGCTCCAGTGGACAGCAGTCATAGACACCCATTCCCCAGGGCTCCACATGCCCCACCAGGTGATACGGGCCCCAGCTGAGTTCTGAGCCAGCAGAGAGTAGGGCTAGCCTTCTTGTGGAAGTTCAATGCATCTGCTCTGCAAATCCTTCTGCCCTCTGGCCCTTCCCAGGGTCAATGCCTAGCTACCTTGCAGGAGGGGATGCATAGCACAACCCTTGTAGCACAGCCTGAGTGCATTGCTGCACCTGAATACTTTCCTGTTGGTCAGGAGCACATTGGACCCTACAGTGCAGCCAGGACTCAAGTGGAAGAGAAGACTCCACCATCACAGCAGTGAGAGGGATGAGACTTGTGGGCTCCTGTGCTGGGGTGGGAACAATGCATGCCTCCTCCTACAAGGTCAGTCCAGAGAAAGTGTGACATATCTCTCTGTTGCAGCCTTTGCACTTAACAAAAGAAATGCAGGCACAGGACTAGCAATTGGAGGCGGCTCCCCCAAGGCCCAGAGGAACATCTCTGATATGAGGGGGTCATCTCTCTTTCTGCCTCCCTGTAGAAGACACCTATGGTGCATGCCTCCTCCTACAAGGTCAGTCCAGAGAAAGTATAACATATCTCCCTGTTGCAGCCTCTGCACTTAACAAAAGAAATGCAGGCACAGGACTAGCAATTGGAGGCAGCTCCTCCAAGGCCCAGGAGTGGATCTGGTGAGGGGGTCATCTCTCTTTTTGCCTCCCTGTAGAGCACACCTGTGAACATAAGAAAGTACAGAAGGGTCATGTGGCTGGGTATTAACCTAACTACCTGCCATCATTCTCAAGTGCCATCTTCTGGATTGCAGTCCAAACTACAAAACCAAAAATTTATCCAGCTAATATATATACATGTGAAACCAAGTGCAATAATTCAGCTGCACATGAAGATGCTATGCAGACCCCTGGCCCTCTGAAACCATCTGGAAACAAAGCCACCTGACTGTACTCAACTTATATCACAGGTAAAGGAACACCAACCCTTCCAGATGAGAAAGAATCAGCATAAGAACTTTGACTATTCAGAAAGCCACAGTGTCCTCTTACCTCCAAATGAACCCATGTGCTCCCCAGCAATGGTTCTTAACCAGTCTGAAATGACAGAAATATCAGACATAGAATTCAGAATCTGGATGGCAGGAAAACTCAGTGAGATTCAGCAGAAAGTTGAAACCCAATCCAAGGAATCTAAAGAATCCAGTAAAATAAGCCAAGAGTGGGAAGACAAAATATTCATTTTAAGAAAGAACTAAACTGAACTTCTACAGCTGAAAAAACTCACTACAATAATTTCATAATACAATCAAAAGTATTAACAGTAGAATAGACCAAGCCTAGGAGGGAGTCTTAGAGCTCAGAGACTGGTTCTTTGAGTCAACTTGGTCAGACAAAATTTAAGAAAAACAAATTCAGAAAAATAAACAAAACCTCTGAAATATATGGGAATATGTAAAGAGATTAATCTATGACTCATTGGCATTCCTAAGAGAGAAGAAAAGAGAAAAAGCAACTTGGAAAATATATATGAGGATATAGTTTATGAAAATTTCCTAATCTCACTATAGAGGATGATATGCAGATCCAACAAATACAGAAAACCCCAGCTAGATACTATATAAGATGACCATCCCCAAGGCACATAGTCATAAGATTTACTAAGGTCAAAGAAAAAGAAAAAAATCTTAAAGGCAGCTAGGGAGTAGGGGTAGGTCACATAAAGAAGGAACCCCATCAGGCTAGCAGCAGACCTCTCAGTAGAAAACCTACAAGCCAGAAGAGATTGAGGGCCTATTTTCAACATCCTTCAAGAAAAGAAATTCCAACCAAGAATTTCATATCCTGCCAAACTAAGCTTCATAAGTGAAGAAGAAATTGCTTCTCAGAGAAGCAAATTCTGAGGGAATATGTTTCAACTACACTAGCTTTAAGACTCCCTTAAGGGAGTGCTGAGATATGGAATTGAAAGAATGACACCTTTTACCAAAAAAACACACTTAAGCACATAGCCCACAGGCATTATAAAGGAACTACACAATCAAGTCTACATAATAAGCTAACAACACAATGACAGTATCAAAATCACACATATCATTGAATATAAATGGACTAAACATCCCACTTAAAAGACACAAAGTGGCAGACTGAATAAAATGACAAGATCCAATGATCTGTTGTCTTCAAGAGGCCCATTTTACATGTAATGGCACCCAAAAACTCAAAGTAAAAGGGTGGAGAAAGATCTACCATGCAAATGGAAAACAAAAAGAAGCAGGAGTCACTGTTCTTATATCATATGAAACAGAATTTAAACCAACAAAAATTAAGAAGACAATGAAGTGCATTACATAATGATAAAGGGTACAATCCAACAAGAAGCCTTAACTATCTTAAATATATATGCACTCAATACTGGTGCACTCAGATTCATAAAACAAGCTGTTCTTGACCTACAAAAAGGCTTAGACAACCACACAATAATAGTGGGAGACTTCAACACCTTACTGACAGCATTAGATCATCAAGCTAGAAACTAACAAAGAAATTCTGGACTTAAACTTGACACTTGACCAATTGGACCTAATAGGCGTTTACAGAACACTCCACCCAACAACCACAGAATATACATTTTTCTTATCTACACGTGGAACATATTCTAAGACCACATGCTTGGTCATAAAGCAAATCTCAACAAATTAAAAAAAATTGAAATTGTACTCTCAGTCCAAAGTGCAATAAAATAGAAACCAATGTCAAGAAGATCTCTCAAGACTACACAATCACATTAAATTAAACAACTTGCTCTTGAATAATTCCTGGCTGAACATTGAAATTAAGGAATAAATAAAAAACACTTTGAAATTAATGAAAATATGGACACAATTTATCAAAATCCCTGGAATGCAGCTAAAGGGGCGTTAAGAGGAAAGTTTATAACCCTAAACACCTTCATCAAGAAATTAGAATAATCCCAAACTAGTCAAATAACTTTGCACTTAAAGGAACCAGGAAAAACAGAACAAACCAACCTGAAAGCTAGCAGAAGAATAAAAATAATTAAATTTAGAGAACTTCATGAAACTGACATGCAAAAATCCATTTAAAAGATCAGTGAAACCAAGAATTGGTTATTCAAAATAATAAATAACATTGATGGAATGCTAGCTGGACTAACAAAAAAAAAAAAAGAGAGAAGATCCAAGTAAGTAAAATCATAAATGGCAAATATAACATTACAGCTGATCCAAAGAAATTCAAAAGATCCTCAGAAACTACTATGAATGACTTTATGCACATAAATTAAAAATCTAGAAGAAATGAATGCATTACTGGAAATGCACAACCTTGTAAGACTCCATTATCAGGAAGAGATTGAAACCTTGAATAGACAAATATCAGGTACTGAAATTGTATCAGAAACAAAGAAACAAACAAAAACCTATCAACCAAAAAAAGCCTTGGACCAGATGGATTCACAGCTGAATTCTACCACACATATGAAGAACTAGTACCAGTACTACTGAAACTATTACAAAAAATTGAAGAGGAGGGACTCCTTTCTAACACATTCTATGAAGCCAACATCAGCCTAATACCAAAATCTGGCAGAGACACAGTGAAGAAAGAAAACTTCAGCGCATCTGATAAACACAGATGCAAAAGTTCTCAACAAAATTCTAGCAAACGGAACCCAGCAGCACATCGAAAAGTTAACTGGCCCCAATCAAGTAGGCTTCATTCCTGGGAAGCAAGGTAGGTTCAACATAGGCAAATCAATAAATGTGATTCACCACATAAATAGAATTAAAGCAAAAATTATATGATTATCTCATTAGATGCAGAAAAAGCTTTCCCTGAAATCCAACATCCCTTCATGATAAAACCCTCAACAGACAGGTCATTGAAGAAATATAGCAATACCTCAAAATAATAAGAGCCATCTATGCCAGACCCACAGCCAACATCATGCTGAATGGACAAAAGTTGGAAGTATTCCCCTTGAGAATGGAACAAGACAAGGATGCCAACTCTTACCACTCCTATTGAACATAGCACTATGAGTCCTAGCCAGAGCAATTAAAGGAGAAAAAAGAAATAAAAGGCATCCAAATAGGAAAAGAAGAAGTCGAATTATCTCTCTTCACCAATGATGTAATTCTATTCTTAGAAAACCCTAAAGACTATGCCAAAAGGCTACTAGAACTGACAAATGATTTTGTAAGATTTTAAGACACAAAATCAATGTATAAAAATCAGTAGTAGCATTTCTATACACCAATAACATCCAGGTGGAGAGTCAAATCAAGAACACAATCCCATGTACAATAGCCACAAAGAAAATGAAATGCCTAGGAATACAGCAAACCAAGGATATGAAAGAGCTGTACAAGGAGAACTATAAAACACTGCTGAAACAAATCAGAAACAACACAAATAAATAGAGAAACATCCCATGCTCATGGATTAGAAGAAACAATATCATTATGATGGCCATATGCCCCAAAGATATTTAGAGGTTTAATGCTTTTCCTGTGAAACTGTCAACATCATTCTTCACAGAATTAGAAAAACTTATTTTAAAATTAATATGGGATCAAAAAAAGAGCCTAAATAGCCAAAGCAATCCTAAGCCAAAAGAACAAAGCCAGAGGCATCACACTAAATGACTTCAGATTATATTATAAGGCTACAATGACCAAAACAGCATGGTACTGCTACAAAAACAGACACATAGACTAATAGAACAGAATAGAAAACTCAGAAATAAAGCCACACACCTACAACCATCTGATCTTCAACAAGGCTGACAAAAACAAGCAATGGGGAAAGGGCTTTCTATTCAATAAATGACGCTGGCATAATTGGTTAGCCATAGGCAGAAGAGTGATATTAGCCACTTAACTTTCACCATATACACAAATTCACTGAAGGTGGATTAAATATTTAAATGTAGGACCTCAAACTGTAAAAGTCCTAGAAGAAAATCTAAGAAATACCCTTCTCTACATACACCTTGGCAACAAATTTATACCAATTCCCCAAGAGCAACTGCAAGAAAAACAAAAATTAACAACTAGGAACTAATTAACCTAGAGAGCTTCTATACAGCAAAGGAAACCATCGATAAAGTAAACAGACAATCTACAGAAGAGAAAAAATTATTCACAAGCTATGCGTCCAACAAGGGCATATCTAGAACCTATGAGGAACTTAAATAAATCAACAAGCAAAAAACAATCCCATTAAAGTGTGGGCAAAAGACATAAATATACACTCCTAAAAAGAAGACATACAAGGGGCCAGCAAACATATGAAAAAATGCTCATCATCACTAATCATCAGAGAAATGCAAATCAAACCATCTGATACCAGTCAGAATGGCTATTATAAAAAGTCAAAAAAATAACAGATTCTAGTGAGGTTATGGAGAAAAGGGAATGCTTATATACTGTTGGTGGGAATGTAAATTAGTTCAGCCTCTGGGGAAAGCAATTTGGAGATTTCTTAAAGAACTTAGAGATACCACTCAACCCAGCAATCCCATTATATACCCCCAAAATATAGATCATTATACCAAAAAGACATATAACCTCATATGTTCATCACTGCACTGTTCACAATAACAAAGACATGGAATCAACCTAAATGGTCATCAATGGTGGATTGGACAAAGAAAATGTAGCATATATACACGATGGAATACTACACAGCCATTAAAGAGAATGAAATCATTTCCTTTGTACCGATATGGATGGAGCTGAAGGCCATAATCCTAAGTGAATTAACACAGGAACAGAAAACCAAATACCACTTGTTCTCTCCTAAACATTGAGCACACATGGACATAAACATGAGAACAATAGACACACTGCGGACTACTGGTGGAGGAAGAGGGAGGAAAGCATGAGCTGAAAAACTACCCATTGGGTACTATGATCACTACCTAGGTCTAATATACCCATGTAGCAATCCTACACATGCTATGTGTAGGATATGCTGTGTATCTAAAACAAAAGCTGACGTTTAAAAAATAATCAGGGAACAACTCTCTGTATGTTAGAACAAAGCATATACCTGTACATGCCTATCAATTAGCTCAAATGAGCATGACTACTTGAAGAGTAGGATTTTGCAGAGCCATGTTAGCACTGTGCAGTACTTCTGAAGTTCTACCTCAAAATACTATAATACAGAGAAAACATGAGCAAATATATTAAAAAAAACATTCTTTTTTGGTGTTAGAAAACTGCATTCAGCTCTTTTTGATGGATTTGCTAGTTGGTTCATTGAAACAAATTCTCAGCTAATTCAAACAACTCATGCATTTTGCTGTTATCGCCCACAAAATTGATGTATTTGTCCAAATTGCTAGTTGCTCTGGTTTTCTGCAGCAGAGGGTAAGTTCCGATGAACTCTAGTAGATGGATGAAAGCAATGTAGTTAGCTTTCTAATAACATCCACAAATGATCACCAAAAACAACACATGTATATAGGATATCAAAAAGATCCTAAACCATCATCACAATTTGACTTTTTAAAACTTACACAACAAGGCAAACGATTTGGTGGTAACTTCTAAAATTGTACTAGAACTAGGGCAACTTGCACACACAGAAACAAATAGAATAATTTGTTGCCAGAATGTTTCTGGTGTCTGTGGGTTTTAAAATAAGTCCCAGTTTTCCTCCTGATCTAGAACATCTCATTATCATCATCAAAAGGAATACTTGCTTCTGATGTCTTATATATTTACTATCTTTAACAGATAGCCAGGGGATTGCAGTCTTTGATGTTTACATTTATCTAATTTATTGTCCACAGGCTTTGAATTGCTTATTTAATTTAAATTAATGGGCCATGTTTAAATCAAAGAAAGCTAAACTAATTAGGCAGAATAGCCTAATCTGGCACTTTAAACTTTAAGATTTATTGCGGGCATTCAAGATTTGAAATTGACTGCATTTATTGAATAAAGCCAGGAAGCCATTTTATTCTAACGGTTGGGCTAGGTTAATCTGTAATGAAATCCAGTCTAAGAGTAGAGGGGGGAGTTCAATTCAGTTAGACATTTGAGTACTGTGTGCCATATAGATGCTAGATACTGAGGATAGGGAGATGACTAGGCCTCACACCATACTTTCATGGAGCCCACAGTCTACTAAGAAGGATGGAAAGGAAGAAATAATTATCACAAGGGATGCATCCTCCTTTCTTCTGTAAGTATGTGAAGAGGACTTAACTTCCAAAGATATATTCAGTTCAAAAAGCTTTTACTGAAGACCTATGATTATGTGTTGGAAACTGGTACTAGTGTTAGGGACTGAGAATACATAAATGAAGCCTTTGCTTCTGTCATTGAGATGAAGGAGACAAAAGAAACAAATGTTTACAATAGAGTGGAAATAGATATATGAGCACAGTGAATAGAAACACAACTTGCTCTGGAGGAGTTAGAGATAACGAGATATTGCCAATTGATGCATTCAATAAATGTTTAATAAGTGCGCTCACTATGTATCAGGTCATAGGGGTAAAGGGATGAATAAGTCATAGATCCTTCCCTAGAGGAGCTCATGATTCAATGGAGCTGTGTATTGCAAAGTGCTACAAATGTTTGCATCTGGTGGATTATTTTAACAAAAAATAAAAAGTGTTTGAAATTCTCAGGCTTCTGAAAGATATAGCACTGGCTTAATGTAAAAATATAGAAAATCCTGAGGCAGAAATAATGAAGGATGTAAGACACAGAACTATCAGTTGGATGAAGGTTAACAGTTTTTTTACTGAACTATATTGTGTTTAAAACAACTTACAAGCTGAAGTTAAAAAATGACTCATGATGCAATTATGAGTTCTATCGATTAAATCATGATAAATTGCCTCAAATGTTTTTCTTGGATTGAATTATAATCTATGATATTAGACTGTTTACACAATATCAAAATCACTGGTGGAAAATTGTAAGATTTGGTCAACTAGTTTTTCTCTACTTTATGCTAAATGATTTAAATTTAACAATAATAATTTTCTAAAAATAACACTGTTCAATGATGATAAAATTGTTGTCCCAGTGTATTTCTGTACAATTGTGAGTTGTTGAATTGGTTGAGTACAGAACTTCTTAAAGTTACATAGAGTAGTTGCTTTGCCTTTACAGACATATTCTTTTCAAGTTCCAAGATTCATAAATATTAAGATTGCATATGATTTCCTCACTAAAACATCTATGACTAGAAATTGTTACTTTTTTGGAATTTTTTATATGCATTGCCAGCAGTTGACTTTCTTGTGGGGACTATTCTTCCTCACATAAGATTTTATTACTTAGAATTTTGTCAGGTTGACTAGAGAATAATCATGCCACTTGCAGAGAAAAATGCTTTCCAGTCCACTGCTTCATTTACCATCCAAGTGAATACTAAATGTTGCCAGGGGTGTGGAAGGGAGACAAATCATGATATCATCAAATCCAAGGGTCACTTGAAAGTATTTTAAGCTTTGAATATGAAATCTAAGAATGTTGTTTTGTACTATATAAATAATCTTACCCTTTTATTTTTAAAATACATACCTGACTATGTCTCTAATCCCATGCCAAGCAATACAAGGAACTTAGAAGTAATACCAATCCTTTGTGAGGCCTAGGTAGGCAGATCACCTGAGGTCAGGAGTTTGAGACCAGCCTGGCCGACATGGTGAAACCCTGTCTCTACTAAAAATACAAAAATTAGCCGGGTGTGGTGATGTGCACCTGTAATCCCAGCTACTCAGGAGGCTGAGGCAGGAGAATCGCTTGAACCTGGAAGGTGGAGGTTGCAGTGAGCTGAGATTGCGCCATTGCACTCTAGCCTGCATGACAGAGCAAGACTCCATCTCAAAACAAAACAAAAACAAACAAACAAACAACAACAACAACAACAAAAAACAGAAGTAACACCAATCAGCCCTCCCATCTTCCATGTTATTTGTCTAGTATTATAGTCTCATCTTCTTTTTGGTCATATCAACCGAGAAAATTATTCATCAATATGATTGTTTATGTCAGGGGTTAGCAAACCTGTTCTATAAAGCTCGAATAGTAAATACATTTGGCTGTGCAGGCTCTACAATCTCTGTCACAACTGTGTAACTCTGCTAATATAATGCAGAAGTGACCATAGACAATAGGTAAATTAATGAGAGTGGCTGTGTTCCAATACAATTGTACTTGCAAAAACAGGCTGTAAGCTGCATTTGACCTGTGTAGGCCATAGTTTACCAAACCCTGGTTTATATATCAGAGATTTGTTCAGCTTTACCACAATCACCCTGCTTTTTAAAAACGTTTGCATTCCACTTCTTATACATTCAATTTTCTTCTTCCTGAAGGGGAGCTCCCGTTCGTATTTCAGAGAGGGTCTCTAAAGCATAATCATCTTTGACAGCTAGGATTTCCTGAAGCTCTTCAGTTTAGATATTCTAATCTAATTTGATTGGTGTTTTAAATTTTATATAAAAATTACAAATTCTTTCTAATTCTGTGAAGAAAGTAGCTTGATGGAGATTTCATGTGGAACCAAAAAAGAGCCCATATATCCAAGACAATCCTAAGCAACAAGAACAAAGCTGGAGGCATCATACTACCTGACTTCAAACTATAAAGGCTACAGTAAGCAAAACAGCATGGTACTATTACCAAAACAGATATATAGACCAATGGAACACAACAGAGGCATCAGAAATAATGCCACACATTTACCACCATCTGGTCTTTGACAAACCTAACAAAAACAAGCAATAGGGAAAGGATTCCCTATTTAATAAGTGGTGTTGGGAAAACTGGCTAGCCACATGCAGAAAACCGGACCACTTACTTACACCTTATACAAAATTAACTCAAGATGGATTAAAGACTTAAATGTAAGATCTAAAACTATGAAAACTCTAGAAGAAAACCTAGGCAATACCACTCAGGACGTAGGCATAGGCAAAGACTTCATGACTAAAATACCAAAAGCAACGGCAACAAAAGCCAAAATGGGATCTAATTAAATGAAAGAGCTTCTGCACAGCAAAAGAAACTATCATCAGAGTGAACAGACAACCTACAGAATGGGAGAAAATTTTTGCAATCTATCCATCTGACAAAGGTCTAATATCCAGAATCTACAAGGAACTTAAACAAATTTACAAGAAAAAAAACAACCCCATCAAAAAGTGGGTGAAGGATATGAACAGACACTTCTCAAAAGAAGACATTTATGCAGCCAGCAAACATATGAAAAAAACCTCATCATCACTGTCATTAGAGAAATGCAAACCAAAACTACAATGAGATACCATCTCACTCCAGTTAGAATGGCAATCATTAAAAAGCCAGGAAACAACAGATGCTAGAGAAGATGTGGAGAAATAGGAACACTTTCACACTGTTGGTGGGAGTGTAAATTAGTTCAACCATTGTGGAAGACAGTGTGGCGATTCCTCAAGGATCTAGATCTAGAACCAAAAATACCATTTGACCCAGCAATCCCATTACTGGGTATATACCCAAAGGATTATAAATCATTCTACTAAAAGACACACGTACACGTATGTTTATTGCGGCACTATTCACAATAGCAAAGACTTGGAACCAACCCAAAATGACAGACTGGATAAAGAAAATGTGGCATGTATACACCATGGAATACTATACAGCCATAAGAAAGGATGAGTTCATGTCCTTTGCAGGGACATAGATGAAGCTGGAAACCATCATTCTCAGCAAACTAACAGGGAACAGAAAACCAAACACCATGTGTTCTCACTCATAAGTGGGAGTTGAACAATGAAAGCACATGGACACAGGGAGGGGAACATCACACATTGGGGCCTGTTGGGGGTTGGGGGGGCTAGAGGAGGGATAGCATTAGGAGAAATACCTAATGCAGATGATGGGTTGATGGGTGCAGCAAAACACCATGGCACACGTAATACCTATGTAACCAACCTGCACATTCTGCAAATGTATCCCAGAACTTAAGGTATAATAAAAAAAATTATAAGTTCTGATTCTTTTATTCAAAAGGTCATACTCTAATAGAAAATTGTATCTATACTAGGTTTAAAACTGTTTATTTATGATATAAATATAAACAAGGACTGGAAAGGAATGTGGGAAAATAAAAATAGTTGATTTGTTAGAATAGAAGGATTGTAGCTGATTCTTTTTTCTAGTTATATTTGTAGAATAAATAAATCTTTTAAAAGTTTTTGTTTCAACTGATTCAACTTTATTTTCCTTGGACAAGAAACATATTTATAGCTTTCAAGTAAATTGGTGTAATATCAATATCTAAACAGAATGACATTGATTTCTTTTTGTAGGATCTCAGTTTCTCAAAGAATACCTTAGGGAACTCTTTTGGCAACTCTGTGTAGTTATGCCGTCTGGATGACACAAATGTGTTGAACACTGATTCCCAGAAGTATATACTGGTTTCTTCCCCAAGAGGCCTGTGTGCCTACCTGATGCTGAAAATTGGTAGCTACTTGGCATAGGAGCTGTATTGCATAGTCAAAACTCACGTTCCATAAGTATCATTTGCGCTAATGATTGACTGTCAAACATTAAGATATGTTGATCTTAATGTCTTTGGCAATGAGTGCTTAGGGGAAAAAAAAACTTGTCAGTAGACTACCACTAGAATCACCTTAATTTTACACTCATGACCTTTGATAAGGACTGTTATAATGTAATATTTTTATCAGTTATTTATCACTGCATAACAACCTGCCTCAAAACTTATTGGTTTAAATACGCAAATATGTCTTATGTCTCAAGATTCTATGAGTTTCCTAAGATAATTTTCTGGACTGGGTTGGTTTAATTAAAGTCTGCTCTGCTCACTGATGTGTCTCTCTTCAGGCAGTGGGTTAGCCGACACCTGGATGTTCTAGGATGGCCTCATTTCACATGTCTAGCACTTGTCAGACTTATTAAATGGGGCACATTGGTTATCTTCTGTAGTGGATGCTATGGCATGCAACCTAGATCCTCCTCTACAGGGCCAAGACAATTTTCCCACAGTGTCTAGAAGTGTTGCGAGCTGACAATTTACTACTGTGCCCTTACCCCAATTATTGCCAAAAGTTGCTGCATAGCCCAAGATCATATTACCTCACTGAGAGACACCCTCATTCTATTACTGGTTCTTGCAAAGAGAAAACGCCTAGACCCTTTGCCCAACTTGGTACAACTTTGAATAACCATCTCAGTTCTAGAGCTTCCCAAGGAATCAGCTGAGACCTTCATCTCAACTGTGTTGCAGCCCAACTTTATCTTGTGGCCAGTCCTATATTTGTTATTGCCTCACAGTTGTTGCCAACAGTGCTTTCAAAAGCTTCCTGCTTGGAAATCTCCATCCCAGAATCTATTTTCTAGGGAACGTCACCTAAGACATCTTTATGTGGTTTCTCATCCTCTAGCAGACTTTCAGTCTCATTCATCTCAGGGTTGTTACAGGGTTCCCAAGTGCTTAAAGAAGCCATGTCTTTTGAAGACTGGGATCAGAACCTGCCCAATTTCTCTTCTGTCACATTATTTCGGTCAGTCTTACCAGTTGTTAAAATAAATTTGAAAGGGTTAAGTAATCATTTAAAAAAATTATAGAGGTGGGAACTTTGCATATTGCTCAGGCTAGTCTCAAACTCCTGGGCTCAAGAGATCCTCCCATCTCAGCCTCCCAGAGTGTTGGGATTACAGGCACGAGCCACCACTCTTGGCTCTATATAATCTTTAAAAAATTTTTTCAAAACAGGGTCTTGCTCTGTTGCCCAAGCTGGAGTGCAATGGCATGATCATGGCTCACTACAGCCTCAACCACCTGGGCTCGAGAAATCCTACTGCCTCAGCCTCCTGAGTAGCTGAGACCACAGGTGCGTGCCATTATGACTAATTTTTTTTTAATTTTTGGTAGCCATAGGGTGATATTGTTTGGATACTTGTTCCCACCCAAGTCTCATGTTGAATTGTAATCCCCAACACTGAAGGTGGGGCCTGGTGGGAGACGTTTGGATCATGGCAGCAGATCACTCATGGCTTGGTTCCATCTTTGTGATAGGGACTTCTCACAAGATCTGGTCATTTAAAAGTGTGTGGCACCTCCAGCCCCACTCTTTCTCTCACTGACTCCTGCTTTCACTATGTGAAGTCCCTGCTCCTGCTTTGCCTTCTGCCATGAGTAAAAGCTCCCTGAGGCCTCCCCAGGAGTTGAGTAGATGCCAGCACTATGCTTCCTGTAAAGCCTACAGAACCATGAGCCAACTAAACCTGTTTTCTTTAGAAATTGCCTAGACTCAGGTATTTATTTATAGCAATGCAAGAAGGGCCTAATACACATTGTCTCTCTATGTTGCCCAGGTTGGTCTCAAACCCCTGGGCTCAAGCGATCCTTTTGCCTTGGCCTCTCAAAGTGATGGGATTACAGGTGTGAATTACCACACCTGGCCTTAATTAATCTTAATACTGCTGATGATGATGCTTTTTCGAAGGTTATTTTCTGCCAGGCATGATTCTAAGCACTATATTTATAATGACTTATTTATTATTACAGCCTTATATGGTAAATACTGTAGTTATCCTTTTTACAGATGAAGAAACAGTGAAGTTTCATCATATATTTCCCTCAAATAAGCTAAATGTACCACATGAAATCTATGAAATACCCCCGCCTTTCCTAATGTGAAGATGGGTGATGTGGTTCTGTGATGTACAGAGCAATCAATCAATTGGCTGACTTCATATTTGGGATTTAAATCATTGAACAATGCTGATGCTAGTGAGAAGTTTCATTAACTCGAGAATTTTATTAAGTGAGTGAGACTTGGAAGTAAAGAGTGAGAGGGCTCACATCTCCCAGTTTTTATTTGGACTCTACAAATGTTGTGGACTTCAGCGTGCTTGTGCTCATGAATCCCTACTATATTTTATTCACTGAGGGATTCCCACGCTGAAATAATTTCAACTGAAGAATTTGTCTGGTGTGGTCAAACTGCCCGTTGTGCATCAGAGCAGGCATTTTAAGCATCAAGCCAGCTTATATTTGAATAAAGGTGGATCTACTTACTGATCCCATGCATTTATGCTGTCTGCCTTTTATTTTAATGATTGCTTTTCCCCAACCTCCTTTGATAATCAGAAGCTATTTTTATGGCTACTCAAATATTATTGAGGCAGCATAGATTTAGCATAAAACTTTCTACAGCTAAGAACTGTCTCCTCATTCCTCTAACATAAAAATGCAGAAACTATTACTAAGGGAATGTGAGAGCAATGTTGCAACATTTTCACTCCACAGCATGACCGGATGGCAGTTTGGTCTGACTGGCTGCGTGGGTATTCCCTTTCTCCCTCACTATTCAATATACAATTGACTAAGGGGCTGACCTTTCCATATGGTAAAGATTGCTATTTGGTTATGGAAATGCAAGTTGCTGTCCTCTTGTGCTGGAATTTTTAAACAAGCTTCTAGAGAACATAAAGGGCATCTTAAATGCCCTACAATTACAGCATATGTAATTTTCACCACTGAGATATTGTAAGTAGCCTAGAGTTGTCTTTGTGGATTCTCAACCTGAAGCTCCAACACTTCACTGTCACTTGTACTATAGTTAGAACACTAAAAATATAATTCATAATGTAAACATATGTTCAGTTTATCCTTAATAAAATCAAAAAAGAAGTCATCTTCCAAAATGGGCCACTGTTCAGTCGCATTCTTTACAAGCTGGTCTACAATGCATTATCATAAAATTTTGGCTCAGAAGAGGAATTGTAGTCTACTTTCTCTAAACTGCAGTCATTGACTTAAAATATCATAAGTATGCTCCAGGGACAGTTAGTAAAATTATTAATGGAAGGCGACTGAGCACCTATAAAGTTTGAAAGGTTCCCCAATGAATAGCAGCTAGCCAAATCAGAATATTAATTTTTATTGTATTTATGACTTATTGAGCATATTAAATAAACAGAGCTCAATGTTAGGCTCCTGACCTCAGTATTATTATTGATATTACTTACAGGGTAAGATTTTCATTCAGGGAAATTATTTTGATTAATTTCTTTGTTGACTAAGAAAAGATTCTCATTTCCCACTTCCAGAGTTGCTACTTCATTTACTTCAGTTGGCAGTAGAAAAGGTGATTAAATTGTTGACCACTCATGTTCTCTTTTGTAGCATATTTGAGTTTGTCTACTTCAAAAAGTAGAACAGGAGCATAATCTTGGTGACAGAGTTTCTGGGATCTGTAGCTACGCATCTCCTCAGGTCATTGCTTATTGTATCTGCCTGACTCAGGGAAAGTTCCACCACACTGAATGTTGCCAAGCCACAAACTGATAGAACACCACCATTTTCGTCGATAGAGCAATTTGCTAAAAAGTCTTTCAGCAAATGATTTGTTATAACTGAGCCTAAATGTACAGAACACCCTGGGCTTCTATTTGTTTTTACCTTATGCAATTGTGTTGTCAAATAATAGTTAGATAAATTAATATCAGTTCTTAAAAATTGCCTCAAATAAGACAAAACAAAGACCTTACAGCAGTTTACAGCAGTTTGTTCTCTACTCTTAAGTCCTCCATTTCTACAGATGACATTCTGTTCCAAGAGAATTAAAATCAAACCATCAGGTAATTGTATCTATATACAAAGTTATTTTCTTCCATATTCAAATCCCTTTGAAATTGTCTTCCCTTTAGCACTTAGTTTCTAATTAAGCGTGTCTTTGGTACAAACTTGAAATCATCGTTAAATTGCCACAGATGGTTCTGCCTTGTTCACATTTTTTCCTCAGTCTTTCCCTTGATGTAGCTAGGAGCTAGCTTTCTGCTTTGATTTACCTTAGATTTTAAGAAGTTAGAAATGCACATATCATTTTACTCCATAAACTGGACTAAATGGCTTTTCCTTCTCAGAATTCCTTGGAGGATCTTTGTTAACATCAGTTTGTGTCGCTATTTCTAGTCATATGGCATGTGAATTATTTTCCTAAAATGTGTTTAAACTGATATGGTCCTCACAATCAACTGAAGGTATTTATCAAGATCATTAAAATAAATCCATATGTTATCCATTCATCTGCATAGATATTTCAAATGGATATGTTTTAGTCAACATTTTAAGCCATTTCCCTAACATTCCACCTTGCTATGCAACTGTAAACCTGAGTGCTCTACAAATAGCCATACGCACACAAAAGGGATTTTCAAATGCCAGTGCTGATGTTTGTAATAAGTTTTCCCCAGTTTGTGTGCAAAATTGTATTTGTTTTATGTGCTGGGTAGCTAGTGGAATTTCCTTCCAAATGTCTGTAGTAAAAGAGCCACCTCTTGAGTTAAGCTGTGAATTTTTTAAAGAGGGAACTCTCATTAACCTTGATTATGGACCCACAAGATCCAGCCTAATGCTGTGGACTCTGAGTACATTTTTGGTGAATTACAGACGGATTATCTGTGAAAAGCACAGGCTGTGAAGAGACTGTTAATTAGGGATTAAATTGTATAACTGATTACATCATATTTAATAAGTTTTATGAAATCCAGTTTGATTGAAAAGATATACCAGTGCCACTTAAAAATGAACAACACTATATAAACCATAATAGGAGGTAAACATGAATGCAAACAGTCCAGAAGAAATGCAGCATCAGATTGTGAACAATTGAAAACTTGGACTTCCCATGCTTGGCATGTGCCTTACTTCTGTCTCCTTTCTCATCATATGGAGAAGAATTAAGTTAAAGAAGGGAAACTGCATGGAAGGTGATGTCCTTATTCTTGTTCACTTTGTGGTTATTATTCTTGCCCACTTCTGGTTTACCTTGCTCCTTGTAAGCACCTGCATAGCATTTTATGTTTTAGAAATTAAAATTGGACTTTGGGAATTATAGTTGGGAAATTATTTTCATCTTTCTTAACTTACTTGATCTTCATCAGAACCATATGATTTAGATAGTTATAGTAGTCGTTGTAGTAGTAGTAGTAGCAGCAGCACTAATAGCAGCAGTAATGATATAATCCTTATAAAGCACATTCTATATGCCAAACACTGTTTTAAGCACTTTACATATACTAAGTCAAACATCATATCAACCTTAAGGGTTAGGTTCTATTTATATTACTACTTTTAAAGATCATAAAGCCAAGTGATGGAATGGTCAAGCATCATGCCCAAGGGCATAGGACTGGTGATTGGAGAGTCAGAATTCAAATCTAGGAAGTTTGATTCTTAACCAGTTAATCACTTGGCCAAAATTATTTATTTGTTCATTTACTCAGGAATTATTTGCCAAGTACATACTGTATGCCAGACATTCCTCAAGGCTTTGGAGATATAGCAATGAACAAACCATGTTGTTCTCCTCTTACAAGGTGCTTTCCTTCTTGAAGGGAGAGATACAATAAGCAAAAAGGGAAATTTCAGTTAGTAATACATTATATAAGAAAAATAGGCCAGGCATGGTGGTTCGTACCTATAATCCCAACACTTTGGGAGGCCGAGATGGGAGGATTGCTTGGGCTTAGGTGTTTGAGAGCCACTTGGGCAACACAGCAAGACTTTGTGGCTACAACAAAACAAAACAAAACAAAACAAACGAAACAAAACTGGGCGTGGCAGCATGTGCCTGTAGTCTCAGCTACTCAGGAGGCTGAGGCGGGAGGATAACTTCAAAGCCCAGGGGTTTGAGTATGCTGTGGAAAATGATCACGCCACTGTACTCCAGCCTGGGCAACAGAACGAGCCCCTGTCTCAACATAAAAACAAAAAAAAAGAAGGTTGTGTGAAAGAGTGATGGGGGTGGAGCTACTTACTTATGTTTTTATTGAGGTATAACTCACAATTTAAAATTGCATATATTTAAGGTGTGCAAACTCATTATTTGATATACACTTACATTGTGAAATAATCACCAAAAATAAGCTAATTAATATATCTATCACCTCACATAGTTGCCATTTGCTTGTGTGTGTATGGTGACAACACTTATTGACCTAACCTTTTATCAAATGTCAATTATACAATACAGCATTAACTATTATATTGTTGTACATTCGATCTCCAGAACTTATTCACTTATTCATCCTGTGTAACTGAAACTTTGTACCCCTTGACCAACATACCCTATTTCCCTTTCTCACTGGCTCCAACACTATTCACAATAGCCAAGATGTGGAAACAACCTAAATGTCCATTGTATTAGTGTGTTTTCACACTACTATAAAGAACTACCTGAGACTTGGTAATTTATGGAGAAAAGATGTTTAATTGACCCACAGTTGTGCAGGCTTAACAGGAAACATGACTGGGAGGCCTCAAGAAACTTACAGTCATGGCAGAAGGTGAAGGGGAGGCAAGCATGTTTTACCATGGAGGAACAGGAGAGAGAGAGAGAAAGGGAGAAGTGCCACACACTTTCAGACAGCCAGATGTAATGAGATCTCACTCACTATCATGCAAACAGCAAGGGGGAAATCTGCCCCCATGATCCAACCACCTCCCACCACATCCCTCCCCCAACACTGAGACACACACGTGCGCGCACACACACACATACACACACAGGCATACTATTTAGCCTTATAAAAGAATGAAATTTTGTCATTTTCAACAATATGAACATGAACTTGTAGGCCATTATGCTAAGTGAAATAAGCCAACCACAGAACAACAAATACCACATGATCTCACTTATAAAGGGTGGAGCTGCTTTTGGCTATAATCTGGGAAGTCCTTTCTGAAGAGAAGATAATTGGAGGAGGCTGAAACATTTACAAGAGGAATGAAACAGCCATGTAGACAGAGTTCATCATAAAGTAAGAATAGCATTAGTTCAAAGGTGATAATGACTAAAATCATAGCAGAAAAGAGAAGAAGAGAGTGTGGCTAGAATGTAGAGAATGAGGGGGAGAGTGCAGAACATGAGTTCAGAGGTCCCAAAGGGGTTTGGTTCCATAGAAGGATTTTGGATTTTGCTCCAAGCAAAATGAAAACTCATGGAAGACTTTTGAGCAAGAAAGCATTAGAGTCGGATTTAAATTTAAAATGGCAATTTCTGGCTGTTTTGTAAAGAGAGAACTTCGCCCAGTTAAAAGTGGAAGCAGAAAGACCCACTAGTAAGAAGTGAATGGATTTGGGGCATACTTTGGACTCACAGACAGTAAGGAGAGAACCTGGATGATAAATCAGGTTGTCTACTCCTCAAAAACTAGTTTCAATTTTAACACGAAGAAAATTAATATTTTAATTGCTGAGTGTGGGTAAGGAAGGAAAGAAATGTGCAGGAGACAGATAGGAGAGACAGAGAGAGAGAGGCGGGGCCAGAGAGAAAAGAAGGAAGAGTAAAGAAAGGGAAGGTGAGGGAAAGGAGGAGAAGGGAAGGGAAGAAAGGAAAGAGAAAACATTTAGAATATAAATCTCTGAGGAATGTCTTTCAAGTGAATTGCCACAGTTGAGAACTTTAAGCAGTAGAAAGTCTCTGGAATTGGGGAAGCAAATATTCCGTGTTTCAGAATACTAGGAGACCAAGTTAGCCGAGAAATTCTTCTCAAGATAGACTAAGGACCAGATAGACTCTAGGTGGCTTCTAAAGTGAGAGACAGAATATCATTGTTGATGTTTATAAAAGTGGCCTCCCTTTTATCCTTACAACTGACATGCTCCCCTAAATTGATAAGCATTACAGAATTTAGTCAACTGAATGTATTTTTATTCTTTTGCTTCTTCAATAGAGAGTTATTTAGCAGAGTCTTGCCCCTTTCCTTTAAATGGGGATGTGTTTAAGCGAAGCATATGTCTCTTGTGCATCTTAGCCAGTCTAGCGTGCTGTGAAAGCCTGATAAATGTTCAATCACTCTAACGACCTAAGACTTCTTCCTGAATGTCCTGAGGCTTGTCTCTTGGGTGTAAAGCCTACATTGTTCTGGGAAGTAGTCACAGTAATGGTTTGGTCAATTAGTGTAAGTATTAGCTGTGACTAGATCCAAATGATAAAACTGTGTTTTTAAGCATTCTGAATGTAAGGCACAATATATCTAAAACCTCTTTGTAGATTAAATCAAGTTATAGCCAACATTTCATCAAGCTCCATTTAACAAAGTGTGCCAAGAATCTTAGGATCACTCTCTCTCAACTTTCTTTCTCCTTCACATCCTGTCTCCTGTTAAAACCTGCTCTAAAGAAAAGACTTGAAAGTAATTTGCAAAAGTATAAATGTCTAATAAGCCTTCAGATACTTATTTACTCCTTCAAATACATTTTCATTTCAACAGGAAATAAGAAGTCTCGAAGGAAAAGAATGACACTCCAGTTACAAAATTTGCCCATCAATGAAAGGGGCAGAACAAATAAATCGAATGTTTACTGTATTAATCAAGATTCTGCAGAAAAACAGAACCAATAGAATATTGATTTATTATTTACTTGCTCATTTATTATAAACACTTGGCTCACGCAATTATGGAGGCTGAAAAGTCTAAATCTACAATGTGGTCTTGCAGACTAGAGATCCAGGAGAGGTGGTGGTAATGAAGTTCCAGTGTAAAGGTAGTCTGCTTGAGAATTCACTCTTGCTTGGGGAGGCCATTCTTTCTGTTCTAGTCAGGCCTCCATTTTATTAGATGGTGCCCACCTGCATTAGACAGGGCAATCTGCTTTCCCCGAAGTTCACTGGTTTTAATGTTAATCTCATCCACAAACATCCTCCAAGTTGACACATAAAATTAACCATCACATCTACCTTTGATAAGAACTGTTGAAAATATGGTTCTATCTGCTTACTTCTCCCATGGGTTGTGTTCCTCATTATATTTGATTGTCTTTTGTTTGGAATTCTGTTCAAAACCAACATGATACATATATGAAATGTTATGTTCAAAACAAAAAACATACATATTTGATATGTTATGTTTCCTGCTGTCAATATGTAGATATAGTAAAGAACATACCGGGGATAACTGACCATGTTCAAATTCACAAACGTATGTATTAAGCCCTTATTATAGGATAAGGATTGCAGGTGAAAACACAAATAGGTAAACCATAGACTTACTCTCACACACTCTTGGGGTGAGGAGTAATATAAGTATATAAATTATTATATGTAAGGTAGAATAACAATACTATCATAAAATTAGTATATGCATGATTTTTGAGGATTTAAAGAAAAGAGACATGATATCCCATTGAGAGAATGTATCCATTTCTTTCTTCCTTCATAAAATAAATATGCATGAAGTTCTACTATAGCTAAAGCACTATTTTAGGTGATGGTGATACAGCAGTAAAAAAAAAAAAAAAAATCCCTGCCCTCATGGAATTCCCCTCCTAGGAGGGAAGACAGACAGGCACCCAACATGAAAACAAATCAGTAGAGTGGTTTTAGGTCCTGATAATATTTCAGAGAGTGATAAATAAAACTTTAAAATTAAAATAACCAAAGAGAAGGTGATGGGTTACTATTTAAGTTAGGAAGGCCAGGGTTTTGTTATTGTTTTTGTTTTTTGAGTCAGGTTCTCGCTCTGTCACCCAGGCTAGAGTGCAGTGGCAGGATCATGGCTCACTGTAGCCTCAAACTCCTGGCCTCAAGCAATCCCCACGCTTTGGCCTGCTCAAAGTGCTAGGATTACAGGAATGAGTCAGAGCATCCAGCTCCTTTCTAAAGAATGGCATTTGAATGGACACCTGAATAAAGAAAGGAAGTTATCCATGCTTTTGTCTAAGGGAAAAGCATCCCAATAAATGGGAATCACAAATGTAAAGCCTCTCAGGAAAAAAAAAATGGGTTTGGAGTGTCCAGGAAAATCTTCATGAGGGGTGGGATTTACAAAGAAGCTTAAAGAAGAGGTGAGATTTTTTGCAAGTAAAAATGGGAGTGAGAAAGTGGTGTTTATTTAGAAATATAAAATCTTCTATGAAGAGTATTGGTTATATGTATTTATATGACCCTATAATATTAATTGTAATATTTTATTTCCTAAGTGCTTTTATTTCTCCTCTGTTTTGTGCAATGAATAATTCAAGACATTATGAAATAAATATGAGTGTTGGTCTCATCCTTCTGAAAGTAAAAGACTGAGGTGGACAGGTCTACTATCCAGAGTATGTGCAATCTAATGGAAAGAGCTCTTTCCTCAAAGAGTTTTGTTCTCTAATTTCACAATGAGATCCACATAAATAGCTTTTGCACGCCTCAATAGAAGGTTATTTCTATCTGTCATTCACACTAAAGTGAGAATAATTTTGATCAGGTAGTTGAATAATTTCTTTGTATACTCACATAACCTCAGGTAATCAGAAGGAGACTTAAAAGTCACCTCAGCCAAGCACCTCCTGATGCTTTTGTCCCCACCAAGTGATTGCCTATGTTACCGAACACAACTAATGTTCTCTCTGAGACGTCCCATCCCATCATTGGTCAGCTTAGATAAATCATTCTTTTTGTAGCACCTATCCATTGGTCTAATACCTATACCTCTATGTCAGGATTCTTAGTCACAGATAATAAAATCCACCCTAGGTAGCTTAAATATAAAGGGATTTATTACAGCTTGTTAGATAGCTTACAGAATGTTTGACAGTGTGGGAGATCAAAGATTGGGTAATACACAGCCAGTAACAAGAAATTCTCAACCAAACTGTAGGGCTACTCTAGCAGAAATTCCACTAACACGAATGCCCACTATTCAGCATCTGTGATTTCAGACAGTAAAAAGTAGAATCTCTGCCACATTTTCCCTTGAAGATTCTAACTCTTTATTCACAGTCACCACTTCTCTCTCAAATTTAATGGGCAAGTATATCTGTTTGGTGAAGCCTAGATCACATACAGAAGCTTAGACATAAGGGAATCTGGTCAATGCAGTTTTGTGATTGCAAGACTCTTACTAGTGAAAAATATGGTAGAAGAGGATTGGGAAGGATATGGAATGAGCCAATCTGTAATATTTGTCATATTTCCTCTCTGAGATTTCTTGAAATTAAACAGCTTCAGTTCCTTCAAATGTTGGAGGCTGTTGAGATTTAAGTCGGTTTGCCATCCTGGTACTTCTTCTCTGAGAACACCACTATTTGAATATCTCCTTCAAAATGTCATACCAAGAACATGATAAATTTTTCAGGTATATTTTGACCTGTGAAAAATGGAGCAGTCCTACTACCTCTTCAAGACACTGAACATCTATTGATATAGCCTCCAAATGCTGTTGATTTATGGAGCTTATTGTGTAGGACAGCAAGTCCTTTTCACATGTCTTACTGTTTTTTGTGCTTTTTGTTTTTTTGTTTTGAGAAGGAGTTTCTCTCTTGTTGCCCAGGCTGGAGTGCAATGGCGTGATCTTGCCTCACCGCAACCTCCGCCTCCCAGGTTCAAGTGATTCTCCTGCCTCAGCTTCCTGAGTAGCTGGGATTACAGGCCCAGGCCACCACGCCCAGCTAATTTTTGTATTTTTAGTAGAGACGGGGTTTCACCACGTTGGTCAGACTGGTCTCAAACTCCTGACCTCATGATCCACCCGCCTCAGCCTAGCCAAAGTGCTAGGATTACAGGCGTGAGCCACCGCGCCTGGCCATCTCACTGTTTTTAAGATAAGTCATCCCAAAACTGTGCTACTATACTTGTAGGGCTAGTTTTATACACAAAGGTAGAATGTTGAAATGTATCACTATTAAATTTCATGTTGTTAAAAATCAGAATTCAAAACCTGGTATCAAGAGGCTAAAAATATGGACAAAATATATTTTCCAATATAAATCATTATCTCTCCTGGTTTGTATCTACTAATGGCTTGATAAGCATTTCAAACTATATTCTCACTCAATTAATTAATATGATTAATATGACAAGGTAGAAGACAGAGACCTATCAGAGATGAGTTAACACTGATATATTAATTAGAATAAATTCTGTTTAACTGTACACACACACACACACACACACACACACACACACACACAATTGTTGTCTGGTCCCAATTTATTCATCTTATACATAGTATACTAGGAAAGACTTTGAGTGCTAGTTTTTTTGTGGTGCTATAAAGAAACACCTGAGGCTGGGTAATTTATAAAGAAAAGAGGTTTAACTGGCTCACAGTTCTGCAAGTTGTCACTAAGCATGGCACCAGTGTCTGCTTGGCTTATGGTGAGGCCCAGGAAGCTTTCAATCATGGCAGAAGGCAAAGGAGGATCCAACAAATCACATGGCAAGAAAGGGAGCAAGAGAGAGCAGGAAGGTGGCACATTCTTAAACAACCAGATCTCACATGGACTCAGAGCAAGAACTCACTCATTATCACAAGGGTAGCACCAAGCCATTCATGAGGAATCTGCCCACCATGACCCAAACACCTCCCACTAGGCCTACCTCCAACATTGGAGGTCACATTTCAATATGATATTTGGATGGGACAGAACATCCAAACCATATCACTTTGTAAAATGCCACATAAAAATCCAGTTACATCATTTTCACAGAATACCCTTTATCTACCAGACTGATGAATTTCAACATAATTCATCTCATCATCCTACCCACATAATAGATCTGACTCCTGATTCTCATATGTCTGACAAAAGGTCGTTTCTCCTTTAGGTCACTCAGGAATGTTAAACCGTCTTTGAGACCTTTAATTTCCTCTCACCATGATTAATTAATCACTAAGCTGGTTGTTTTTCTTCCATTATAATGCTCTGGTGTCTCCATTTTGTACTTTCACCACCTTAATCTGGGCCTGTATCATTTCAGACATGGGCTGCTGCGAAAATTTAGCTGATTTCCCTCATTGTTTTATTTGGTGACATCGTGAAGAATAACTTCCTTTTGTTCTTGTGATCCCCATTTAAAATGCAATCACCCATCTCCTCTGTACACATTTATTAGAGATTCTTGAGGGCAGTTTCTTTCAACCTGTTTGTAAGCAACTTAAAAGCAAATATTATGGTATCAGCTCCCACAATTATTGTTCACAGAAATATTATTTAACAGCAGTTAACTAGAGCTTGAACCCATTGAATCAATTCACTTATTAAATGTAGGTACGGAATATTTTTGTAGCACTTATGTGAAGATGAATATATGCAACTGTTTTGAACCAAGAGCAGCGATACCACATTGAATTCATTTGGGTGGTCTTGTGGTAAAGCTTTAAGAATTTGTCATTTGACAATCTTCCAAATGTATTGGCTGCTACTGCAGGCAGAAATCTATTGGCAGATAAAATGCCCCAAGTGTTTCACTTGCAGTGTTTGGCTGAATCACATTTGGCAGTAAAATCTATTCAGAGACCTCAGAGACTCATTAAAACCAGATAACGTTGAAACATAGCAAAATGGTTTCTATTTGGACCATAGTGCCAACTTAATAGATGTGTGAAAAATAAAAGAATTAAGTAGTTTCTTGTAAGAACATACATCTAACTAGCCAAGTCCTGAAATCAGTCAATATGTGTATATGTATTAGGTCAATGGCAGTTGACCTACATGGGTGATAAGAGAGAGATGCCTAAGAGCACACTATATATGTGCTAGAGTATTGAAAATAAATTACCTAGCATTAAAGTTAAGGTATTAGTACATAAATATGCTTCATTTGTATGACACAAAAAAGAATAGTCAGTCTATGGGAGAACCACTTACTAATGGGGGCATAGCTCAGTGGTTCCCAATCCTATATATGATACACATTTATCTCAACTCTTAAAGCAGTTAAAAAGTTTTTCTAGTCACTAGAATAATTCATTGTCATTATAGAGCATTTGGAAGATGCAGAAGTACAAAAGAAAAAATACCATTACCTGGAATCCTGCCACTCAGATTTTACTCCTATTACCATTTGGAAAACTATATAGAATTTTAATATATTTTTATATATAGGTATCTTAATGTGCATATTGTCAAAAGAAATGTTTTCTACTAAAATAAAATAGTTCTTCATTTTCTTGTCATTGATGCTTTCAAATGAACATCCATATGTTAATTCTTACCAACTTTAATCTTTTTGTTGATTTTTATCCATGCTCTAACAGGGAAAATCAAGAATGTATGTATTGTTAAGATAACTAACTGATGCTTGTTTTAGAAGTTGTGCTAGCTATTCTGAAGATCCTTTCTAAAAGACCTCACTGAAGGCATAATAACCTCCAGTAAAATGTAAAGCAATTTGGTAACTGTCAACAAGTGTCAAATAGGTCCCTTGCAGGGAAGGCTGAGTATCTTACTTCTTGGGAACCTCTCTGGTAAGGAATATTGAACACTGTGAATACTGCTTGCCTGGTAATCAGGACATCAGAGCTCTAATTCTGACTCTGCCACTGAATTGCCACTAATCTTATTTTCTGATATATGGAATGGGGGTGGCAGGAAAGTGAACATATTTTAAATTATCTGAAAATTTACTGTGGATCTATTCTGATTTAGACAGAAGACATAGGTAATCAATGTATTATATATTGGATGTTAAATGACTGAACAGCATCTTCATCTCAGAAAGGTTAAGCAGTTATAGATATAGCATTAAATTAATTGGAAATGTGGGAAAAGGTAGAGGAAAAACAAATTGTGTCAACTCTCCTAAAATGCTTTTCAGAAAAAAAAAGAAAAAAGCACAATAAGGAAGTCTCCTTGACAAGTATAAATATTTGAAAATAGTCATTAAATAATACTGTCATTGATTTGTTGAGTTTGGAGTCTTGACTCACTGTTGGCTCCTTCCTATCATAATATTCAGTTTTCTTTGCCCATTTATTATTTATTCTAATCATGAAGCAGTGGAGTGACATAGGTCCATGGTAAATACCAAAGGAAGTCTCAAGCCAGGTTCATTATACTAACGTCTTGAAATATATTATTATGTGCCGTACTTATATTCTTATTAAAGTAGTTAGGGTTAATCTTTCCTGAATGCATGGACTATTAATTTCTTTTAAAATGGACTGGGGGAACAATTGTATATGTGTATTAGTAAGGTTTACTAATGAGATGGTCTGTTTTCATTTTTTGGCTCAATTTTAGTGATTCAAGGTTGGAGAATCACTTAGCTATGTGGCTCTTCAAGACCTACAGCTCACAGAGCAGATTATGAATGATACAAAAGAGTAGAGCTCTGACAAGGCCTCACAGTGATAAAGTACTGGGGGCAGAGACACGCAAAAACCTATGAATCTCAAATTTCTGCCATGGAACTCTCTAAGTTTTCAACACTAATCATAGCCACACTTTAAAAATAAGATAAAGAAGCTCCACTTTCCCAGTCACTGGTTTCTTTCCTCTGCACTGTTCTTGCGTTTGCCTTTATTGACGTGGTATCTCTTCCCTCTATTCGTATTGTTCCCTGGTTGGCTTTGACCACTTAGAGGGCAAAATCAGCAAAAAATTTTTGAGAGTCTGAGAAGATAGGAGAACTGTGAAGGAATTGGAGATTTTGCTTGTGAAGTACTGGCCTGTTGTTCCTTGTTACTAACAACAGGAAACTGAAAAAAAGAGATTGTCAGATAAAGGGAAGAGTGAAAGAAAGGAAACATCAAGTATCTTTTCTCTTCTCAGGGATAGGTGGATGGGGGGCACTCACTGAAAGCCATGGGGGAAATATGAAGAGAAGTGACAAAACATTGTCACAGGAGGGATGGAGCAGGATGGCAGAGTAGCAGGCTCCACCAATCATCACCACTACAGGAACACAAAATATAACAACTCTCTACACCAAAAAAAGCACCTTCATAAGAACCAAAAATCAGATGAGCACTCACAGTACCTGGTTTTAACTTTATATCACTGACAGATGCACTAAAAAGGGTAGAAAAGACAGTCTTGAATCACGACACCATCCCTCCCCACCCCTCTGGCAGTGGCCACGTGGTGTAGAGAGAGAATCTGTGCATTTAGGAGAAGGAGAGTGCAGCGATTATGAAACTTTGCATTGAACTCAGTGCCACTCTGTCACAGCAGAAAGCAAAACCTGGCGGAACTCAGCTGACACCCACCCATGGAGGGAACATTTAAACCAGCCCTAGCCACAAGGAATCACCTATCACAGTGGTTATAACTGGAGTTCTGGCAAACCACGCCACCATGGGTTAAAGTATTTTGGGGTCCTACATAAAGTTGAAAGGCAATCTAAGACACAAAAACCGTAACTCCAAGGACAGTCCTAGTGCTGAACTTGGCTCAGAGCCAGTGGACTTGAGGGACACATGACCTACTGAGATACAGTCAGAGCAGCTAAGGGAGTGCTTGCAACAGCCCTCCCCCAACTCCAGGCCACAAAGCTTGTGGCTTCAAAAGAGATCATTTCCTTCCATTTGAGGAGAGGAGAGGAAATATTAAAGAGTACTTTGTCTTGCAAAGGATTCCAGCTCAGCCACAGTAGGATAGGGCACCAGTCAGAGTTATCAGGCACACTTTCCAGGCCCTGACTCCCAGATGACATTTCTAGACACACCCTGGCTGAAAGAGAACCCAATGTCTTGAAGGGAAGGACCCAGTCCTGGGAGGATCCATCACCTGCTGACTAAAGAGCCCTTGGGCCCTGAATAACTAGCAGTGACACCTAGGTAGTATGCCATGGGCCTCAGGTGAGACGCTCAGACTTGCTGGCTTCAGGTGAGACTCAGCATATTCCCTGCCTAGCTGTGGTGGCTAAGGGGAGAGACTCCTTCTGATTGAGAAAAGTGGAGGGAAAAGTAAAGGGGACTTCTTGCACCTTAGGTACCAGCTCAGCCACAGGGGAGTGCAGCACCAGGCTGGCTCTCTGGATCCTCAATTCCAGGCTTTGGCGCTTGGATGGCATTTCTAGACCTCCCCTCTGGACCTCTGGGAGAGAGGGAAGCTCACTGCACTGAATAGTGAGTCTCAGGCCAGGCAGCATTCACCATAAGCTGACTGAAGAGCCCCTGGGCTTTAAGGGAACATTGGTGGGTAGCCTGGGAGTAATCCCCATGGGCCTGTGGTAGTGGTGGCCACAGTGAGAGACTCCTCTGCCTGTGGAAAGGAAGACTGGGAAGAACAGCATCTTGTTTCAGTGCCACCTCAGCTGCAATACGACAGAACACCAGGTAGACCTCTAAAGTATTTTTCTCCAGTCCCTGGCTCCTGTACAGCACCTCTGAACCTGCTTGGGGCCTGGGAGAAGTCACTGCCTTGAAGGGAAGGAAACAAACCTGGATGCCTTCACCATCTCATGATTGTAGAGCCCCAAGGGCCTTAAGTGAACATAGGCAGTAGCCAGGTAGTGGTTACAGTGAGCCTTGGGTGAGACCCAGTGCTATGCTGGCTTCAGGTCTGATCCAATGCAGTTCTAGTGGTAGAGGCAACTGGGATGCTTGTTCACTCCATACTCAGCTCCAGGTGGCTCAGAAAAGAGAGAGACTCTATTTGCTTGGGAGAAAGTAAGGGAAGAGAACATGAGTCTCTGCCTGGTAATCCAGAGAATTCTTCCAAATCTTGTCCAAGACCATCAAGGCAGTACCTCTATCAGTATGCAAGAATGACAGCATTACTGGTCTTGAGATCCTAAAGCAGATACAGCTTAGATCACAACATCCATGTTATTTCAAATATTTGGGAAGCCTTCTGAAGAAGAAAGAGTACAAACCAGCCCAGACTGTGAAAACTACAATAAATACTTAACTCTTCAATGCCCAGACACAATAAGTCACCAGGGACGAATCCTGGAGAAACAGAGATATGTGAATTTCAGACAGAATTCAAACTAACTGTTTTGAGGAAATGCAAATAAATTCAAGATAAGCAGAGAAGGAATTCAGATTTCTATCAGATAAATTTAACAAAAAGATTGAACTAATTTAAGAGCAGCAAGCAGTAATTCTAGAGTTGAAAAATGCAATGGATATACTGAAAAATGGATCAGTCTTTTAATACCAGAATAGATCAAGCAGATGAAAGAATTAGGAAGCTTGAAGACAGACTATTTGGAAATACATGGTCAGAGGAGACAAAAGAGAAAAAAATAAAAACACAAAGAAGCATGCCTACATGATCTAGAAAACAGCCTCAAAAGGACAAATCTAAGAGTTACTGGCCTTAAATAGCAGATAGAGAAAAAAAAAGGGTATAAGGTTTATTCAAAAGCATTATAACAGAGAACATACCAAAACTAGAAAAATGTATCCAAGTACAAGAAGGTTATAGAACACCAAGTAGGTTTAACCCAAAGAAGACTACCTCAATGCATTTAATAATCAAACTCCCAAAAGTCAAGGGTAAAGAAAGGATCCTAAAAGCAGCAAGAGAAAAGAAACAAATAACATACAATCAGGCTCCAATATGTCTGGCAGCAGACATTTCAGTGGAAACCTTACAGGCCAGGAGAGAATGGCATGACATATTTAAAGTGCTGAAGGAAAAAAACGAACTTTTACCCTAGAATAGTATATCCAATGAAAATATCATTCAAACATAAAAGAAAAATAAATACTTTTCCAGACAAACAAAAGCTGAGAGATTTCATCAACACCAGAACGCCTACAAGAAATGCTAAAGGGAGTATTTCAATCAGAAAGAAAAATATGTTAATGAGCAATAAGCAATCATCTAAAGGCACAAAAGAAACTTGTATTAGTAAGTACACAGAAAAACACAGAATATTATAACACTGTAATTGTGGTGTGTAAACTACCCTTATCTTAAGTATAAAGACTAAAAGATAAACCAATCTAAAATAATAACTATGACAACTTTTCAAGACATAGACAGTATAGTAAGATATAAATAAAAACAAAATGAGTTAATTGTGGGATAAAGCTAAGGCATATGGTTCTTATTAGTTTTCTTTTTGCCTGCTTGTTTGTTTATGCAAGCATTGTTATATTGTTATCGGCTTAAAATAATGGGTTATAAGGTAGTATTTTCCAAGGCTCATGGTAACACAAAATCAAAATTATATAATGGATATACAGAATAAAGAATAAGGAATTAAATCACAATTAAAGAGAAAATCACCTTCACTAAAAGGAATACAGGTAGAAAAGAAAAAAGGAAAAGAAGACAACAAAACAACCAGAAAACAAATAACAAAATGGCAGGAGTAAGTGCTTACTTACCAGTAATAACGTAGAATGTAAATGGACTAAACTCTCCAATGAAAAGACAGAGTGGCTGAATGGATTTAAAAAAGTGAGACCCAGTGATCTGTTGCCATAAGAAACATACTTCAGTTATAAAGATACACATAGACTGAAAATAAAGGGATGGAAAAGATATTCCATGTAAATGGAAACCAAAAAAGAACAGAAGCAGCTATACTTATATCAGACAAAATTGATTTCAAGGTAAAAACTGTAAGAAGAGGAAAAGAAGGTCATTATATAATAATAAAGGGGTCAATTCAACAAGAGAATATAACAATTTTAGATATATATGCACCCAACACTGGAGCACCCAGATATATAAAGAAAATATTATTAGAGCTAAAGAGACAGACCCCAATACAATAATAGCTGGACAATCCAACACTCCACTTTCAGCATTGGACATATCTTTCAGACAGAAAATCAGCAAGGAGATATTGGACTTAATCTGCACTATAGAACAAATGGACCTAATAGACATTTACAGCACATTTCATCCAATGGCTGCAGAATACACATTTTTCTCCTCAGCACTTGGACCATTCTCAAGGACAGACCATATGTTAGGTCATAAAACAAGTCTTAAAACATTCAAAAAGTTGAAATAATATCAAGCATCTTCTCCGACCACAATTGAATAAAAGTAGAATTCAATAACAAGAGGAATTTTGGAAACTATACAAACAAGCGGAAATTAAACAATATGTTCCGGAAGGACCAGTGGGTCGATGAAAACATTATGAAAGAAAATGAAAAGTTTCTTGGAACAAATGATAATGGAAACAAAACATACTAAAACTAATGGAATACAGTGAAAGCAATACTAAGAGGGAAATTTATAGCTGTGCCTACATCAAGAAAAAAATAAAAACTTTAAATAAATAACGTAAGATGCATCTTAAAGAACTGGAAAAGCAAGAGCAAACCAAACCCAATATTAGCAGAAGAAAATAAATAATAAAGAACAGAGCAGAAATAAACAAATTTGAAATGAAGAAAACAATAGAAAAAAGCAATGAAACTGTAAGTTGGTTTTTTGAAAAGATAAATAAAATTGACAAACTTTAGCCAGGCTAAATATGAAAAAAGAGAGAAGACTCAAATAAATAAAATGATGGATGAAAACGGAGACATTACAACTGATACTTCAGAAATTCAAAGGATCATTAGAGGCAACTATTAGCAAGTGTATGCCAACAAATTGGAAAATCCAGAGGAAATGGATCAATTCCTACACACATAAACCTACAAAGTTTGGACCATGAAGAAATAAAAAAACCTGAACAGACCAATAACAAGTAATAAGATCAAAGCCATAATAAAAAAAGTCTCCCAGTAAAGAAAAGCCCAGGACCCTATGGCTTCATTGCTGAATTCTACCAAGCATTTAAAGAACTAATACCAATCCTACTCAAACTATTCTGAAAAATAGAGGGAGAGGGACTATTTCCAAACTCATTCAATGAGGACAATATTATTGTGATACCAAAACCAAAGACACGTCAAAGGAAGAAAACTATAGGGCACTATCTCTGATGAATATTGATACAAAAAGCCTCAACAGTATACTAGCAAACCAAATTCAACAATACATTAAAAAGATGATTCGTCATAAAGAGACTTTATTTTTTTTATTTTTTTTTCAGACTTTATTTTTGAAAGTCTTATCAGTAATTTTTTAAGTTTTATTTTAGCTTCAGGGGTACATGTGCAAGTTTATTATATAGGTAGGTTGAGTGTCTAAGGGGTTTGGTGTACAGATTATTTTGTCACCCTGGTAAAATGCATAGTATCCAATAGGTAGTTTTTTGCTCCTCTCCTCCCTCCCACCCTCCAAGCTCAAGTAGGCCTCAGTGTCTGCTCTTCCCCTCTTTGTGTCTATATGTTCTCATATTATAGCTCCTACTTATGAGAAAATGTGCTATTTGTTTTTCTGTTCTTGCATTAGTTTGCTTAGGACAATGGCTTCCAGCTCCATTCATGTTGCTGCAAGGGACATGACTTCATTCTTTTTATGGCTGCATAGTATACTATGGAGTGTATGTTCCACATTTGCTTTATTCACTCTACCATTGATGGGCATTTAGGGTGATTCCATATCTTTGCTATTGTGAATAGTGCTGTGATGAAAATATGCATGCAAGTGTCTTTATGATGAAATAATTTATAATTCCTTGGGTACATACACCAAATAGTGGGATTTCTGGGTCAAATGGTATTCTAAGTTCTTTGAGGAATCACCATACTACTTTCCACAATGGCTGAACTAATTTACACTACCATCAGCAGTGTAAAAGCCTTCCCTTTTCTCCACAACCTCACGAGCATCTGTTATTTTTTTCCTTTTTTTTTTTTTTTTTTTTTTTTTGTTTGACAGAGCCTCACTCTGTCACTAGGCTGGAGTGCAGTGGTGCGATCTCGGCTCACTGCAACCTCCACCTCCCAGGTTCAAGCGATTCTCCTGGCTCAGCCTCCTGAGTAAGTGGGACTACAGGTGTGCACCACCATGCCTGGCTAATTTTTTGTATTTTTAGTAGAGATGGGGTTTCTTCGTGTTAGCCAGTATGGTCTCAATCTCCTGACCTTGTGATCTGCCTGCCTCGGCCTCCCAAAGTGCTGAGATTACAGGCGTAAGCCACTGCACCCAGCCCTTGACTTTTTAATAATAGCCATTCTGACTGGCATGAGATTGTATCTCATGGTGGTTTTGATTTGCTTTTATCTAATGACTAATGATGTTGGGCATTTTTGCATACGCACACTGGCCACGTGCATGTGTTCTTTTGAAAAGTATCTGTTTATGTCCTTTGCCCACTTTTTAAAAATGGGGTTGTTTTTTGCTTGCAAATTCATCTACATTCCTTATAAGATTCTGGCTACTAGACGTTCTTTGGATGCAGAGTTTGCAAAAATTTTCTCCCTTTCTGTAGGTTATGTTTTTAATCTGTTGATATTTTCTTTTGCTGTGCAGAAGCTCTTTAGTTTAGTTAGATCCCATTTGTTATTTTTTTGTTTGCATTGCAATTGCTTTTCATGTTTTCATCATCAAATCAGATGTGGTTTGGTTTGGCTGTGTCTGCACCCAAATCTCATCATGAATTACAGCTTCCATAATCCCCACGTGTCGTGGGAGGGACCCAGTGGGAGGTCATTGAATCATTGGTCCAGGGTTTTCCCATGCTGTTCTCATGATAGTGAATAAGTCTCATGACATCTGATCATTTTATAAATGGGAGTTCCCCTGCACATGCTCTCTTGCCTGCCACCATGTAAGACGTGACTTTGCTTTTCCTTTGCCTTCTGCCATTATTGTGAGGCCTACTGAGCCATATGGAACTGTGAGTTCATTAAACCTCTTTCCTTTATAAATTACCCAGTCTCGGGTATGTCTTTATTAGCAGCATGAGAACAGACTAATACAGTAAGTTGGTACCAGGTAGTAGGGCACTACTGTAAAGATAGCTGAAAATGTGGAAGTAACTTTGGAACTGGGTAATAGGGAGAGGTTGGAACAGTTTAAAGGGTGCAGTAGAAGATAAGAAAATGGGGGAAAGTTTGTAGCTTCCTAGAGACTTGTTGGATGGCTTTGATCAAAATGCTGATAGTGATATGGACAGTAGAACCTGGACTGAGGTGGTCTCAGATGAAGAAGAGGAACTTGTTGGTAATTGGAGTAAAGTTCACTCTTGCTATGCAAAGAGACTGGTGGCATTTTGCCCCTGCCCTAGAGATTTGGGGAACTTTGAACTTGAGAGAGATAATTTAGGGTATTTGGGGGAAGAAACTTCTAAGCAGCAAAGCATTCAAGAGGAAGCAGAGCATAAAAGGTTGGAAAATGTGCAGCCTAACAATGCAATAGAAAAGAAAAACCCATTTTCTGGGGAGAAATTCAAGCTGGCTCCAGGAATTTGCTGGAGTCCCTACTGTGACACTGCCTAGTGGAGTGGTGAGAAGAAAGCCACCGTCCTCCACACCCTGGAATGGCAGATCTACCGACAGCTTGTACTGTGCATCCAGAAAAGTCAAAGACAATCAATGTCAGCCTGTGAAAGCAGCCAGGAGCAGGCGTGTACCCTGCAAAGCCATAGAGGTGGAGCTGCCCAAGGCTGTGGGAGCCCATCTCTTGCATCAGCATGCCCTGGATGTGAGACATGGAATCAAAGGAGATCATTTTGGAACTTTAAGGTTTAATGACTGCTCTGTTGGATTTAGGACTTGCATTGGGCCTGTTGCCCCTTTGTTTTGGCCAATTTCTCCCACTTGGAATGGGTGTATTTACCAAATGCCTGTACCCCCATTGTATCTAAGAAGTAACTAAATTGCTTTTGATTTTACAGGCTCCTAGGCAGAAGGGACTTGCCTTGTCTCAGGTGAGACTTTGGACTGTGGACTTTTGGGTTAATGCTGAAATGAGTTTAGACTTTGGGGGACTGTCAGGAAGGCAAAATTGGTTTTGAAATGTAAGTACATGAGATTTGGGAAGGGTTGGGGTGGAATAACATGGTTTGGTTTGGCTGTGTCCCCACCAAAATCTCATCTTGAATTGTAGCTCCCATAGCCCTACATATCATGGGAGGGACTTGCTGTGAGGTAATTGAATCATGGGGGTAGAGTTTTCTCATGCTGTTCTCATGACAGTGAATAAGTCTCATGAGATCTGATGGTTTTATAAAAGGGTGTTCTCCTGCACATGATCTCTTGCCTGCCACCATGTGAGATATGCCTTTGCTTCTCCTTTGCCTTCTGCCATGATTGTGAAGGCCCTCCAGCCATGTGGTACTGTGAGTCCATTAAGCCTCTTTCCTTTGTAAATTATTCAGCCTCGGGTATGTCTTTATTAGCAGCGTGAGAACACACTAATGCAAAATCTTTGCCAGGTCCTATGTCAGGAATGGTATTTCCTAGGTTATCTTCCAGGGTTTTTTTACAGTTTTAGGTTTTACATTTAAGTCTTTAAGCCATTTTGAGTTGATTTTTGTGTATGGTGTAAAGAATGGGTGCAGTTTCAATCTTCTGCATATGGCAAGCCAGTTATCCCAGCACCATTTACTGAAGAGGGAGTCGTTTCCAAGTTGCTTCTTTTTCTTAATTTTGTCGAAGATTAGATGCATGGCACTGGTACAAAAACAGACACAGAGACCAATGGAACATAATAGAAAGCCCAGAAATAATACCTAACTTTAAATTAAACTACAGAGCTATAATAAACAAAACGGCATGGTACTAGCATAAAAACAGACATATAAATCAGTGGAACAGAATAGATAAGCCAGAGATAAATCCATACATCTATGGTGAGCTAGTTTTGACAAAAGTGCCAAGAACATATATTGGGAAAAGGACAGCCTCTTCAATAAATAGTGCTGTCAACACTGGGCATCCATATGCAGAAGAATCACACTCAACTCCTATCTCTCACCATATACAAATATCAAATCAAAATGGATTACAGGCTTAAATCTAAGACCCCAAACCATGAAACTACTACAAGAAAACATTCAAGAAACTCTACAGGACATTGGACTAAGCATAGATTTCTTCAGTAATACCCCACAGGCACAGGTAACCAAGGCAAAAATAGGCAAATGGGATCACATCAAGTTAAAAAGCCTTTGCAAAAAAAAAAAAAAAAAAAAGGAAACAATCAACAAAGTGAAGAGACAACACACAGAATGGGATTAAATATTTGCAAACTATCCATCTCTCAAGGGATTAATAATTCATAACCAGAATATATAAGGAGCTCAAACAACTCCATAGGAAAAAAAGCTAATAATCCAATTAAAAATGGGCAAAAGAACTGAATAGACATTTCTCAATAGACATACAAATGGCAAAAAGTATATAAAAAAGTGCTCAACATCATTGATCACCAGAGAAATGCAAGTCAAAACTACAATGCAATATCATCTCACCCCAGTTAAAATGGCTTATATCCAAAAGTCAGCAATAAGAAATGCTGGTGAGGATGTGGAGAAAAGGAAACCTTCATACACTGTTGGTGGGAATGTAAATTAGTACAACCACTATGGAGAACAGTTTGGAGGTTTCTCAAAAAACTAGTAATACAGCCCACATATCCCACTCCTAGATAAATATCCAAAAGAAAGGAGATCAGTAGATCAAAGAGATATACTTCTACGTTTAATTATAGCAAAATTCACTATAGCCAAGATTTGGATTCAACCTAAGTGTTCATCAACAGATGAATGGATAAAGAAAATGTAGGACAAATACACAGTGGAGTACTTACTATTCAGCCATAAAACAATAAGATCTTGTCACTTGCAACAACATGGATGAAACTAGAGGTCATTATGTTAAGTGAAGTAAGCCAGGCACACAAAGACAATCTTCACATGTTCTTACTTATTTGTGGCAGCTAGAAATTAAAAGAATTTAACTCATGGAGATATAGAATAAAAGAAAGGTTATCAGAGGCTAGGAAGGGTAGTGGGCATGAGTGGGTAATAAGTGGGGATGGTTAAGGGGTACAATAGAAGTTAGAAAGAGTGAATAAGACCTAGCATTTGCTAGCAAAACAGGGTGACTGTAATAAAAAATAATTTAATTTTACATTTAGAAATAACTGAAAGAGTATAATTGGATTATTTGTAACACAAAGGATAAATGTTTGAGATGATGGCTACCCCATTTACCCTGATGTGATTATTATGTGCTGCATGCCTGTATCAAAATATCTCATGTAGCTCATAAATATATACACCTACTATGTGCCCACAATTTTTTTCAAATATCTATATAAGCAGCTATTGCTGCAAAAAAAGCATTGCCATATGTTTGAACGCAGTACTACCTGTCAGCAAGAGACCAAATGACATATAAACCTTCCTTATTGACACTTGAATCAATATGCCACTAGTTTGCAGCAGCACAGCCATAATCACCTACTGAGGAGTTTACAGAAAAAAAAAAAAACAGACACTTAGGTTGATTCCAGGAATTCACATAGAATCAGTGGCCAGTTTATAGCATCTCAAGAGAATGAAAGAGTGATAAGGAAGAAAGGCATCTAGAGAAACAGCCAAAAGCTCCACCGCCTTTTGTTAAATGTTCTGCTCACCGCCAACAAAGTTTCACCAAGACCGGTCTTGGCAGAGCCTTGGGAAGACTAAAAACTTAAGTTTACACCTAATTCTTAAAAGCAAAGGGTTAGCTAGGTGACTGCTAAAGCGTGTTTCCAATCTTTCTTGATCACATATCCTCCTTATCAGTAAAATAATAATAACTCCCAACATGGCTGACATTTGGCTAATACACTCCTGTACTTCCCTACCTATTGTTTGCATCCATTCTAATTGGCCAGTGTCCAATTAGGCTATCATATTTCTTTAAGGGGATTTTTGAAACAAAATTTCCTGATCTGTCTTGATTTTCCCTGATATACTTCATGGCTGTGAAGGCCTCTTCCATAGAGTCACTTTGGAGGTCTGAAAGGGTCACAATATGAAAATTTCCCCTATCTTACATTTGATAGCCCAATGTTGCCAGCTATTTAAGGTCTGGCTAAGTTAATAAACCAGAGAACACTTGGTTAAAGGGTACATATAAGTGAAAAGAGCTAACTGCTACCAGATGGGTTAGGAGGTCCAGGAGGAGCCTATTAATTCACCGCTCATCAGCTCTGTCTTCTCTTATGACCAGTTGCAGGGAGTTCTCATGGCTGCTCAACCTCCACCAAAACCAGGAGACCCTGGGAGCTCTAGCTATGCAGAAAGCCGTACAGCCAAAAGAAGTCCAGGAAACTTCAAGTGGCAGCAGGGACATTCTGAGCGGGTGTTTCTGAACAGCACCTATAATAAGCGATGTGGCTAAAGCAACAGTAGTACCTAGAGGTGAGCAGTGGCAACCTTAGAAAGGTTGACAAACTTTAGGGTAAAACCCAGACCTTAGCTGGTTCCTTGAGATTTGGAAGCATTTAGTATCTTTGGTTACATGGCCATAACTAGTTTCCTGCTGCCTTTTCACTCCAGCTCATGGTTATTCGGTGAGGAGGAGAAGCACCACAGAACAATGCCAACACCAGTTCAGTCTGAGGTGTGAGTGTGGGAGAGGCTGTGAGTGTGAGAAAAGTAGCATGAAAAATGCAAACATTCTGATTCTAAAATAGAATATTAAATCCATTTCTATAAGCAAGTACAGGAGGATCTTGGCAGTGTATTAAAGTTCATGATTCCTGCACATCATCTCATACTGTAAGTGAAGTCTTAACAAGCGGCAGGGAGATGGGCTGTGGTAGCCAAACATCTTTTACACTTTAAGATAATGTTGTCAGGGACATTGTTCAGCCATAAGAAGCTAGTTCAAAATGGAAAGGAAACTCAGATGCGTGCTTTAAAAAGTGGGAGGTAGCATGGTATGATGAGAAGTGTACAGATTTTGGATTCAGGTAAACCTGAGTTCCGATCCCAGACCTGCCATTGAATGTATATTTTCTGACTTCAATCAAGTTGGCTTTCATCTTCTCATTTGTCAAATTGAACTAGTAATAGCACCTATAAACGAAGGTTTAATGAGGATTAACGAAAATGCTATATATAAAGCCCCAGCACAAGAGTCTGTCACATAATAAGTGCTCAGTAAGTGGTTATTCACATTCCACTTTGCTCTCATTTTTTCTTGGCCTCTTAGAGTATAAGAACTTAAGACACAGACAAAAACATGGGCCTAGGAAGGCCAGAAAGTGGAGGATGACTAGGCATAACACTTCTTTTTTTGAGACTGTAACTAGAGACAAAGCATTTCTGCCTTCTAGGTTTGGAAAGGTTCTTGTATAACAATCTGGGGAGTATAGGCGGGAGGTTAAAATAAACAACTCATTAAACCAGAACATTTAATATGCTATTACAAGAGGCAGGAGGGAAAATTAATAACTTCTAAAGACTCCTTGGTCTCCTCTGTGTATCTGTGCTCTGAAGACTTCAGCCAGATCGGCTTGACAGAATATGGGCTTGTCAGGGTAAGTTATGCTCTGATGGGAGGCTCAGTGGTCTTCCAGCTTTGCCCCAAATGCATGATGATCTCCATTCATGAAGATCTCATACTGACTCATCGGAGAAGTCTAGGAATTGAAAAGCGGAGCTAAAAATCATTGTGGGCAGCCTTTTCTGAGTATGTAGGAAAGGAAGATCAAGAGATAAATATCTCTGCTAGAAAGGATGCAAACAGCAGTGTTGCCAAATAGGCTGCCCTACTTGCCTTGCCTAGGATAAGCCATAAAGATTCTTCCCAGACAAACCAAAGTGGTGGCCAAAAGCCCAGATATTACAAATAATTTAATTCAAAAAAATAGCTGAAAGATACAAATGCTTATGAGAGTCAAGTTGTTTTCCTAGCCTGACTCTCCAAGTGCTCTAAGAACTGATGAGATAAAGCAAACATGTTACAAATGTACCACAATTTATTAGGTAAAATTGGTATTTCCTATGTTGAATTTGCTTGAAGATAAATTAGAAGCCATTTCCTTATAAAAAGATTCACACCAGGATTTTCTTTCAATAGTGAATTTTAGAATAAATTTTCTCCATATGCAGCTCTTCATGAATGTGCCTACTGGGCAAAACAGAAAGTCCTGTAAAAAGAAGGAAAGAGGTTACGATTTATAAAGAGCCAAGGAAAGCAACTGCCTTCTCATTGGTCATACTGTGCTAACAACCAATCATCAGGAACAGCCAAAAATGTTACAAAGGGCTACAATTATAAATGTGGCTCCTGAATTGTCTGTTTGGAATCAAACATTGCCACAAGGTTGCTACATGCATCAGCATCTCTTAGTAAGTATTATATTCTGTGGATATATATTATGGTTAAAATCTATTAAGTACTGATTCTAGGCATCCAGGCAGTCGACATATGTCACCATAGTTCTTTTGGTGATGGAGGAGAAATTATAATTTAGAAAGGCAAGGAGGAAATAAAATTAGTTTCTATTAAAATTAAAAGAAAGCATTAGCTGACTTCATTAAGGCAAGTCAGAGCCATTAGGAAATGAAATTACATATCTAAAATCATGAAGCCTTCAGATAGAGCAATAACTATGGAATCTATCTATTTCTCTTCTAAATTTATCCAATGTTACCTCAAAGCCCTGCCAGAAACATAATTCATTCTCTCATGCCTCTTTCATAGTTAGAGTTATAGAACTTTACATAAGAGGCTAAAATTACCCCATATTGTAAGACACTTACAAGGTTGCTATTCATGTGTTTAGTCCTAGAGTTGCATCCTGGCCAAAACAGTCTGTGCAATCAAGAGAAATTTCAAAATAAGCCTGGTTTTCATTTTTATTTATTTTTATTGTTTTTACAGGCAGGGTGTCGCTTTGTCACTCAGCACAGCAATCATAGCTCACTGTAATGTCGAACACCTGGCCTCAAGCAATCCTCCTGCCTCAACCTCCTAAAGGGCTGGGATTACAGGCATGAGCCACCATGCTTGGCCATCATTTGTATTGCTTAAACATTGCTGTATCAGTCAGAGTCTCACCAGGACATAGATAGAATGCTCAAATGGTGTAATTGAGGAAGGTTTAATATAGGGGCCGTTTTTATGAAGATGTAGTCAGGGTAGGGAAAACCAACAAAGACAGTGGCATATCTGGGGACTAATAACAGGGGGAAGCTGCTACCATGTCCAGAAGTGAAGGAAACAAGAGAAGGAGTGGTGTTACTAAAACTCAGTGGACACTGTAGCCATAAAAGTAGGGCTTCTCAACAGAAGTTTTAACACTTAATAAAGGAATGAAGCCACTGCCAAAAGCATAACCAGGTTAGTTGTTGGGTAGGGAATCAATACCCTAACCAACATCTCTCTTTTCTCATTATTTGATCTCATGCTAGTGCCTTCCATTGACTGAATCTGAAGAAGCCCCAGCTAGAGACCTGGGAGATACAGTACCTAGAGCCTGCAGGGGTGCAAATCAGACAAGAGAATGGTAGAGAATAAATCTGTAGGAAAAAAAATGGAAAATAACTAGTACTGATAGGGGCAGAAGAGGGCAGGTTCTCGGCAAGAGCCCAACCCTCAAACTGAAAAGGTGATATGGAGGCCCAAAGTGAGAACATACATTCCTGTTTTCTAGCTTGAATGCTGCCTTTTCCAAAACCACTCATAGCCCACCCCACTCCCCCATCCTGTGCCCATAAAAACCTCAGGCTCAGCCAGTGAGAGAGAGAAGCAGCTGGACGTTGGGGACTACAGTTGGACGTCACAGAGAAGTAGCTTGACTTCAGAGGGAAAGCTTGATGGCATAGCTTCAGAGAGGATCCCAAGAGGGGAGGACCAGACTCCATGGGAAGATTACCTTCCCATCCATCCCCTTCAGCTCCCCTTCCCACCGAGAGCTATTTTCACCAGCAGTAAAATCCCCCACATTTACCATCTTTGATTCATTCATGTGACCTCATTCTTCCTGGACACTGGACAAGAGCTCAGGTGCCACAAGTGTGGGTGCAAAAGGCTGTCACACTATCCCTCCACTGAGCTGTTAACAAGCCATCTGTGGATGGCAAAGCTAAAAGGGCACTGTAACACTTCCTCTGGGGCTTCAGGGGTCACAAGCATGCTCCCCTAGATGCTGCCATGGGGTGGGTACAAAATTTTCTCTTGCTAGTGTCCAAAAGCACTCACCCTGGCTCCTGTACTTGCTCACATGAGCTCCCCCTCCCACAAGAGGTGGAGCAGCAAGTGAGTGAAGTTCACCCCAGCTGGCACCTGTGCACTCCAGTTTACACCTGTGAAGGGGTTGGGGAAATATCCTGCTTCAGTACCACTATGAACATGGATTCATAAACCACAGCAATACTTCCTTAAGATGTCCCATTTCTCTTTCATCAATTTCCTTCACAAATCACAGTTCTCCTCATAACCCCTTATAATCTCCTCTAGTTCTTCCCTTTATGTACCTATTATTAATATCTTATTCTCCCACCCTCCTTTTTTACTCTTGATTCATTCTATACCACAGAAACTCAAGAGTGAGTCTGATAAGGCAGAACCCTCTTTCCATTGTGCAGGAAAAGAAGAAAGCAAGGTATACCAGGCTTGAATTCCCTTTAGCAAGCAGGAAGAAGGAAACATTGGAAACATTCATTTATTAACAATTTTTATCTCTTTAAAATAGAACTTTCTTAAATTCTAATCTAACTGCTCCTTTATTGCCATCACCATGAACACAACAATTATCAGTATTCTAAGGTCACTCTGCTAAAGCCACACCTGCTTACTCTCAAGGTTTTTAGTATTGTATCTTGACTCGTCTGAGGTTAAATATCACTATGGTTTCTGCAACCTCTTACATTTTTTTCTCTAGGAGTTAGAGTATTCTTGAAAGAAGTAAATGGTACTAAAAATGAACTTTAAAACTTAAAGCAATAGAGTAATGGGCCTGCAATTAGTGGAGCTTATATTCTGCTGGGTGTTGTCAGGGAAAGAGTCAAACAAAGGATTGGTAAAAACATTGTCATCCCAAGGTAACTGTGTGCATGCCCAAACTGTATCCTATGAAGAGCAACATCACAGGCCTCACACTGCAGGGGAAAACAGACTGCCTTAAAGTAATACAGCCAGCAACTACACACTCTCATTTTCACTGAAGCATTATTCACAATAGTCAAGATATGGAATCAACCTAAATGTTTATCAATAAAAGAATGGATAAAGAAATCATGGTATATATACACAATTGAATACTCTTCTGCCTTGAAAAGAAAGAAATCTTGACACTTGCAACAACATGGATGAACCTGGAGGACATTACACTAAGTGAAATAAACTAGGCAGAGAAAGAAAAATACCGCGTGATCTCACTTATATGAGGAATATAAAAAAGTTAAACTCACAGAAGTAGAGAGTAGAATGAGGATAACCAGAGGCTGCTTGGGTGGAGGAAGGGAATGGGGAGATGTTGGTCAAAAGGTACAAAGTTTCATTTAGCCATATAGAATAACTTTTTGAAATCAATTGCACAGTGTGGTGACTATAGTTAATAATAATGTGTTGTACATTTCAAAATTGCTAAGATAGTACATTTCAAATGTCTCACCACAAAAATGATAAGTAAGTGAGGTGATGGATATGGTTTAGCTTGATTTAGTCATTCCACATTGTATACTTATATGAAAACATCACACAGTACTCTATAAATATATAAAATTATTATTTGACAATTAAAAATAATAATTTTAAAAGAACCATATAGAAATTCTGGAAATGAAAAGTACAATAACGAAAATGAAAAATTTGTTAGAGGAGCTCAACAGATTTAAACTGGCAGGAGAAAGAATTAGTGTGCTTGAAGATAGATTAATAGAGATTATGCAATCTGAAGAGCAAGAAAGAAGAACAGAGCCTTAGAGAAATGTGGAACACCATTACGTGCACCAATATATGCATAATGATGGTGACAGAAGGAGAAGAGAGAGAAAAGGGATAAGAAAAATATTTGAAGAAACAATGGCTCAAAACTTCCCAAAACTCTTGAAAAACATTAATCTACACATTCAAATATCTCAGCAAACTCCAAGTATGATAAAAATAGAGATCTGAAAATAGTCACATAATAGTAAGAGTGCTTAAGGACAAAAAAAGAGAAAATATTAAAAACAGCAAGAGAAAAATGGTTCATTACTTACAAGAGAGCACCAATAAGGTTAATAGCTGACTTCTCATAAGAAACTTTGTACATCAGAAAGCAGTGTGATAACATATTCGAAGTGCTCAAAGAAAAAAATGAACGACCAAAAATCCAATATTCAGCAAAGCTATATTTTAAAAAAACGAAGAGAAAATAAAAGCATTCTCAAATAAGTGAAAACAGAGAGAATTCATTGCTAGTAGAATTTCCTTGCAAGAAATATTACAGAAAGTTCTTCAGACTAAAAGCAAATGACCCTAGACAGAAATTCAAGTCTACACACAAAAAAAATAAAAAGCACTGGTTTAGGTAATTATGTAATTATAAAAGATAAATGAGTCATATCAGCATAAATGGTAGAGTAGGTACCTCCCCACCTTCATCCTACTCTCAGCCCCCACTCCAAAGAAACACCAAAAAACAAGCAAAAACTGTCAAAATCAACTTTGTCAGAACTCCAGAAAACAATCAAAAGTTTGCAGTAAACAAGCTAACATTGAATCAAGAAAAAGGCAATATGGAACTGTTTTGTGATGTTTTTACCTGCCCTTACTCCATCCCCTTTCCTATACGGCAGTAGTCTTGGTCACTGAACAGTGGCAGTCTGTTTTCCTAGTGTGAGACCATGGCCCCTGGTTCTAGAAGGGAACAGAGCATACCTTATTCAGAAACTATTGTGAATATATGTTCTAACCTGTCTAGGGGCTACATGGAAAACTAAGGCAAGACACTCATATCTATTTTGCCTAACTTGGGGCTCAAGCTAGAAAAATGGTAGACTTTACTGGAAAACACTGCAAGCTAAACTAACAATCCTTAGATGCTGGGGACAAAAAATTATGGACAAAACATTAAAAAAACCAACAACTAAGGAATGAGAAAAAACCTTGGGAGAATTTCTTTGTGAACCTAGGATTTCAAAAGTAGCAGTTTAGACCTGGTAATTTAGGAAGTCATGCACACAACCAGAGACACATGCTAAGACCTAAGCTTTCACTTTAGGCTGAATCCTAGGCTCAGTGCAAGCCTAAGTGTTAAAGGAGTGCCCTGGCACAGAGCTAATCTGCAAATACTGGGAGAGGTGTCCTTTGTTTGTCTGTTTGTGCTCCTGGAGTGCAAGGTAATCTCTATCAAAACACTAGCTGAATACAAGCTAAGGAACAGAAACTTCAGTTACCATACATGACAAAGAATACAGTATTTGCAAAAATTGCTAGAGTTAGACTGTAAACAAATGAACTAGTTCAGCCTTCAGCAATAAAAAAAGCAAACTCTGGGGAAGAGGGAGAATTTCATAAATAAGCTTGTGTTTGAGGTAGGCCTTAAGGAATAGGAAAATTTGCCTTCAATAATAGAATGAGAAGCTAGGAGAGGAAAGCTTTTACCATTAGAGGAATACAGGGAGCCACACTATGGAAAACAACAATATCTAACCTTGGTCTTAGGAAAACTCAGCCTCCAAGCTATATGGCCCAGATTGTCCTTTGGGTAAGAAGAGCAAGGAAAAAAATACACACTCAGTATTTCCTGATGAAGCTGTAGGAAAATAGGAGTTACT